>NC_000011.10:88002896-92802896 GCF_000001405.40 Homo sapiens
TATATTATACATTGTATAATAGATTGTGTATATTATACATTGTATAATAGATTGTGTATATTATACATTGTATAATAGATTGTGTATATTATACATTGTATAATAGATTGTGTATATTATACATTGTATAATAGATTGTGTATATTATACATTGTATAATAGATTGTGTATATTATACATTGTATAATAGATTGTGTATATTATACATTGTATAATAGATTGTGTATATTATACATTGTATAATAGATTGTGTATATTATACATTGTATAATAGATTGTGTATATTATACATTGTATAATAGATTGTGTATAATATACATTGTATAATAGATTGTGTATAATATACATTGTATAATAGATTGTGTATAATATACATTGTATAATAGATTGTGTATATTATACATTGTATAATAGATTGTGTATATTATACATTGTATAATAGATTGTGTATATTATACATTGTATAATAGATTGTGTATATTATACATTGTATAATAGATTGTGTATATTATACATTGTATAATAGATTGTGTATATTATACATTGTATAATAGATTGTATATATTATATATTGTATAATAGATTGTATATATTATATATTGTATAATAGATTGTATATATTATATATTGTATAATAGATTGTATATATTATATATTATATAATAGATTGTATATATTATATATTATATAATATTGTATATATTATATATTATATAATAGATTGTATATATTATATATAATATATATAATAGATTGTATAATATATATAATATATTATATATATTATATATATTATATATAATATATTGTATATATTATATATAATATATAATATATTGTATATATTATATATAATATATATAATATATTGTATATATTATATATAATATATATAATATATTGTATATATTATATATAATATATAATAGATTGTATAATATATATTTATATATATAATTATATAAATATAATTATATATTTATATATATAATTATATAAATATAATTATATATTTATATAAAGATATAAAATATATATACTTATATAGAGAGATATATATATACCTATATATAAAGGTATATGCATATAGGTATATATATATATAAAAAAGGTATATGTACCTTCTCTTCTATTTTATATATATATGGGAGAAGGTATATATATACCTTCTCAGAAAAGAAAGAAAATCAGGTCCTTTACTAATTTTATGAAACCTCGTTTTAGCAGTTATTAAAATACTGATAAAATATTACTTATAGAACAATTGCCTCATAGACACACATCCTTCATGAATACAGATGAAAGGACATACATTCTTCGTGAATACAGATTTAAAAAGTCTTTATTAAAACAGCAAATTGATTACAGCAATTTGTAAAAGGTATGATACATTTGAGCAAGTTAGATTTGTCCTACGAATGCAAGTTTGATATAACTTTTGGAAATCAATCAGTGTAATTTACCACAATAACAAAATCAAGAGCAACAGGATCACCACACACAAAAAAAGCATTTTAGAAATTCAGTACCAATTCTATCAAAAACTATCAGAAAACCTGAAATATAAGGAAAGTTCCTCAATATCATAAAGGACAACTATGAAAAACCTACAAGAAACATTACACTTATATCACTCTTAATGGTGAAGGATCAAACGCTATCCATCTATGAGCAGGGCAAGCATTGTCGGTACTCACTCCTTCCAGAAAACATGGTTGAAGTTCCTAGTTAGTCATTGCATAAAAGAAGAAGAAAAATATGTAAAAAGTACAGAGCTTGAACACAAAGAAACAAAATTATCTTTATTTACATATGACATGATTATTCACATAAAAATTTTCAAGTAAACTCAAAGGAAATAAAACTACTAAAACCAGGAAGTGCATTTAGTCAGGTCTCAGGATAAGGGTTAATATATAAAAATCTATTTCATTTCTATATTCCTGCACCAAACAATTGGAAAAATAAATTTTATAAAGTTTTATTTTGAATATGATCAAAAATACTAAACCTACAGGGTTAGATTGAACAAAAATGTTCAAGAGCTTTGCAGACAAAACAAAATATTCCAGAGAAATTAAAGTATACCTAAATAAAGAGGGATTTGTACAATTTTCATGAATTGGAAGGGATAATTTCATAAAATGTAAATTTTCCCCAAAGCAATTGATGAATCTAATGTAATCCTAAACAAGATCCAATAAGCTTCTTTTTGGTAGAAATCAACAACTTACTCATAACACTTCTATGGAAAATCAAGAAAATAAAAACTCAGAATAACAAAACGTTCTTGGAAAATAGGAATAAACTCAGAGAATTCACACTACCAGATTACGTAGATTACTATAAAGCCAATGAAGACAGCGGGAATTTGGTACAAGGTAGACATACAGATTAGTTGTAAGAAACAGAATAGACTCCAGAAATAAAGTCACATATATGTGGTCAATAGCTTTTCAACAGAAGTGACAAGGCAATTCAATGAAGGAAATAAAAACCATTAAAAAAAATATCCTACAACTGGAAACCCATTTTAAAAATAAATGAGCAATGAGCTTCACTCCTACGTCAAACTACATATAGAAATTGTTTTTTATTAATTAAAATTACATCATAATTTGTGAATATATTCACCTATTTTGTTGGTTGTCTCTTTGCTCTGTTCATTGCTGTCTTTGCTGTGCAGAAGTTTTTTTTTTTAATTTCATATGATACCATTTGTCTGTATTTGCTTTTCTTGCCCATGCTTTTGTGGTTTTATTTTTAAAATCCTTGCCTAGAGCAATGTCTTGGAGCTTTTCCCTGTTTTTTACAAGTAGTTTTGTAGTTTGGGGTCTTACGTTTAATTCTTTAATACATTTTTAGTAGTTAATTTCTGTATATGGTGAGAGATAAGGGTCTAGTTTTGTTCTTCTGTATGTGAATATCCAGTTTTCCCAGCATTGTTTATTGAGGAAACTGTCCTTTCCCCATTGCATGTACTTGACATCTTTGTTGTATATCAGTTGTCTATAGATGCTTGGGTTTAATTCCAGTTTTATATTCTGTTCCATTGGTCTATGTTTCTGTTTCTATGACAGAGCCATGCTGTTTTAGAGACAACTGACAGAATAGAAGAATATATTTGCAAACTATACATCTGATAAGAGGCTAACATCTAAAATATATAAAAAACTCAAACAGCTCAACAACAAAACATTCAACAAAAAATGTGCAAAGGACCTGAATAGACATTTTTCCAGAGAAGACATACAGATGACCAACAGAAATAAAAAAAAAAATGCTTGACTTTATTAATCTCCAGGGAAATGCAAATCAAAACTACAATATCACCTGACTCCAGTCAGAATGACAATTTTTAAAAAATCGAAAGATGACAAGTGTTAGCAACAATGTGGTGAAAAGGGAATCCTTACACGCTGATGGTGAAAATGTAAATTAGCATAGCCATTATGAAAAACAGTATGGAGTTTCTTCAAAAAATTAAAAATGGAACCACCATATGATCCAGAAATCTCATTACATTTGGGTATATATTCAAAGAAAATGAAATCAGTATGTTGAAGAGATATTTGCACATCCATGTTTATTGCTGCAGTATTCACAATAGCCAAGATATGTAATCAACCTAAATATCCATCAACAGATTAATGGATAAAGAATACATTATATATATACACATTATATATATGTATATAATATATATACACATTATATATATGTATATATAATATATATATACACATATAGACACACAGTGGAATACTATTCAGCCATAAAAAATGAAATCCTGTCATTTGTAGCAACATGGATAAACCTGAATAACATTATGTTAAGTTAAACAACCCAGTCACAGAAAGACAAATATCACATGATCTCAATAATATGTGGAATCTAAGAAGTTGTCCTCACAGAAGTAGAGAGTAGAATAGTGGTTATCAGAGGATGGGGAGGGTTAGGGTGAGGGTGGGTGATGGTTAGAGATTGGTCAATGGGTACAAAGCTACAATTAGATACGAAAAATAAGTTCTGTCAGTCTATTGCATAGTCTGATGTATTGTATATTTCAAAATACCTAAAGGAGAGGTTTTTGAATCTCACAAAGAAATAATAAATTTCTCACAAAGAAATAATGTTTAATGTGATGGATATGCTAATTACCCTGATGTGATGATTACACAATTTATACATGTATCAAAACATCCTGTTGTTCCTCATAAATATGTACAATTATATAAAAATTATAAATAAAAAGATAAAATTACACTATAGAACTAAATATGAGGACTAAAATTATAAACCATCCAGATAAAAATTTGGGAGAATGTCTACAATTTGGGTGCAAAGATTTCTTAGTACACAAAAAGCAATACACTTAAGAATTAATTTTTCTCATTCTGTCATAATTTAAAACTTTCATGAAAAACACTGTTAACAAAATAATTCATAGTCTGAGAAAAAGTACATATACTTATATTTGAAAGATAATTTGTATCCTAAATAGCTAAATAATTTCTGCAAATCAATAATAAGTTGCCACAAGTTTTGACAGATACTTCATCAAACAAGATATTTAAATGATCAAAAATTACATGAGAAAATCTTAAATTATAAATTATTAGCCAAATGCAAATTAGAATAACAATGCAATACCACTTCACAATAACTAGAAATGCTAAAAATAAAAATAACGAAAACATCAAGTGTCAGATACATAACAACAAGAATTCCTATAGATTGCTGGTGAAAGCATAAGGTGATACAACTATTTTAGGAAACTCTTTGGCAGTTTCTTTTAAGTTTGAATATACTCCTAACCCAACAAGCCTGAAATTCTACTCTAAGGAGAAATAAAAACATATGTCCACAACATATATGTACAATATTGCTTATAAAAGCCCTATTTACAATAGCCAAAAACTAGGGGTAGGGGTAAGATCTCAAATGTATCAACTGGAAAAATAGATAAGTTGTATATTATTTAAATAATGGAATACTACTCAGCAATACAAAGGAATGAACCACTGTAAATGAAACAATATGGATGAACCTCAAAAATACGTTGAGTAAAGAAGTCAGACACAAGAGATCATAACGTATGTTTCCATGTATATAAAATTCACATACAAACAAATCTATGGTTATGTAAATCAGGAGAGTTGTGACATGTGGGCAGGAAGAATGACTGGCAGTGGGCATGGAAACTTTCAGAAGAAAGAAAAAATTCTATGTTGTGATCAGGATGTTGGTTAGATATGTACATAATCGTCAGATCTCCTGAAATTATACATTTGATATCTATATTTACTGTATGTAAATTATACTTCTATTTTTTAAAATATTATACCCTTAACCATAAAACACAAAAGAGCTTTAGAAAATTAAATATATTATAGCTAAAATTAAAATCTGACCAAAAATCGAGACAATAATGAGTCGGTATTAATTCCGAGAGGGGAACAAAAAAGAAAATGATGTGAAAAACAAAAGTTACCAGAAGAAGAGCATTAGAACAGTGGTTCTCAAAGGATATCTAGCAGCAGTAAGCCATACACTTGTTAGAAAAGGAAATTCTCAACCATCATCCCAACTTAATCAGTTACTGGAAGTGAAGCCAGCAATCTGTATGAAGAAGCCTCCAGGTGATTCTAATGCATGATAAAGTTTGAAAAATACTGAATTTGAGGTTCAATCTATGAAATCTGACTAATATACTCTCCAGAAAGAAAACAGAGAGATTATTGGGAAGGAAATTGTCAAGGAATGATATAACAGTTTCTTTTCTTTTTTCTTTTGAGATGGAGTCTCGCTCTGTCGCCCAGGCTGGAGTGCAGTGGCGCCATCTCGGCTCACTGCAAGCTCCGCCTCGCGGATTCACGCCATTCTCCAGCCTCAGCCTCCCAAGTAGCTGGGACTACAGGCACCTGCCACCACGCCCGGCTAATTTTTGTATTTTTAGTAGAGACGGGGTTTCACCATGTTGGCCAGGATGGTCTGAAACTCTTGACCTCGTGATCCGCCCGCCTCGGCCTCCCAAAGTGCTGGGATTACAGGCGTGAACCACTGTGCCCGGCGGAAATAACAGTTGCTGAGTAAACAAACGTGGTCTCTAACAAAAATGCAAAACAATAAAAATACAAAAACAAAAACCCAGGCCAAGACATATCATCATGAAAATTTTGAACATCAAATATTAAGGAAATATGTACAACCTTCCAGAGAGAAAAATCAGCACTGAAACTGAAATTAGGTAATTTTAAATGCTCAATATTAATGCCAAAGCTTGACAGAAATGGAACAATACTATAAGATTCTAAGGGAAAATAATTTCTTATCTATGGTTCTATACCTCACCTCCTAAAAAATCAAGCATAAGCATATAATAGAGGCACTGCTATTCAAGCAGTCTCAGAAGTGTCATTCCTTCATCTCTCTTTCTCAATATGTTATTAGAAGATATGCTTCTCATGAAGGAAAACATAAGCTGGCACAAAGGAAAATATCCCATCTATAAACAAGAGATATAAAAAGAAAGGGACAGATAATCCTCAGGAGGATTCTGGGGAGAAGTTTCAGGGTAAATCTTCCACTTATCCTGCATAGAAGCTGTGTGAAAGGCATAGACAGAAACCACTTAAGATTGTAACATGATGATAGAGGATTCCAGAAGGAGTTATGCGGTGAGTTTACCAATATGATAAATAGTACTGAGAGATTTCGATGATTCTGTTGAAGTGCTTGGGAAAAATTAATAAAGGAGATCAAAATACCAAAGGAGTAAAACAATTAGGCAATTGTCAACTCTAGGAAAATAATCAAAATTTATAGCTTTGTGGGTGCCACAGTGCCAGTGAGATTAGCTCTTTGGGGTTTCATTGTGGCTGACACATTTTGGACTATAATAGAGCATTTTGTCTGTGCTCTTTATATATATTCAGGTTGAGTATCCCTTATTAGAAATGCATAGAACCATAAGTATCTTGGATTTCAGATCTTTTTGGACTTTGAAATATTTACCTATACATAAGTGAGATATCTTTGAAATGAGACCCAAATCTAAACATAGGATTCATTAATGTTTCAAATACACCTTATACAGACAGCCTGAAGGTAATTTTATATAATATTTTTAATAATTTTGTGTATGAAACAAGGTTCTGACTGTGTTTTGACTGTAACTCATCACATAAGGTTAGGTGTGAAATTATCCACTTGTGACATCATGTTGCCATCAAAGAGTTTTGAATTTTGGTGCAGTATGGATTTCAAATTTTTAGACTAGGGATGCTTTATATGTAATACACACTTGACTTATGCTGTATGTTGTCTACCAAATAATTGGCAACATATTTCATTCTCAGTTCAAAATATTTATTTGTTCTTTCAACAGTCATTTAATGAGTTTCTTAAAGCACTAGAATTCCAGCTCAAGTTCTATAAGAGAGGACAAATAACAAATGTAATCAAGAGGAAAGAGAAGTTCAAGGTGATGTGGTTGCCAGATGTATGAATAACTGACTGCCAGGGTGGTCAGGGAGGGTTTCAGATAATTTAAAAAGTACTTTGTTCAAAACATATAAAATCAATATTTACTGTATTGATATGAATTCTATTTTTTCCCATAAAATCCAGAGAACATTCATGATATAAGATGGAAACCTAATTAGGTTTGGTCAACTTGGACTCAGTCAGGATTTCGAGTTGAATAGAATCATGGAGTAAGCAAAGTTCCATCCTGGAGGGATGACTCCTTATTTTGGTTCAGTATTTTACAAATCACTTTTATATCCACTCTCTCATTTAATTCTCACGATAATCCTGCAAATACTGTTATTCCTGTTTTATAAATGGGGCAGTTGAGAGCAAAACTATGTGATTTTTCCAGGTTTCAAGGCAGGATTTAAGGCCAGGTATTCATAATCTCAACCCTTTTACCTTCCTCGTAGTCACCTGTTTCATGCAAGCTCCCAACCTTCAGTATCATCCCTTCCCACCTACCCACCTAGCATTCCCAAATGTCAGAACTTATTCTGCCAGTCTGGAGGTCTCTACAAGAGAGCCCAGAATCAGCTGTTAACCCCTTCTGCCTCCACCTTCTCTGAAATTTGTCTCCCTGGCATTTATTTATTAAGAAAAAAGTAGTCAGAGTCATTTACAGAGACATCTTGGTAGTCTGAGAGGCTATTCCAGATGGGTATCTACTGAGAGAAATATTAAATGGCCCTGCAATTCTGTTTCTCCGCATATATTTTAACTGGTGTATGACAGATATAGTTCCCACTTAATATGTGTAAGACACTGTATTAAAAGCTGTATTCATGCATTATTAATTGTTTCCTTTAACAACTATTTATTGAGCACTAATTATATGCAAGGCACATTGCCAGATGCAAGGAACACCACGTTGTATAAGATAGGGTTCTTGTTTTTATTAAAATTTATAGTCTCATTTAATCTAACTTAATCTTTTAACTAGGCCCATCTCTATCAAGATGTATGCGTATTATTCCTATTTTACAAGTCCAAAAACTGAGCTTTGTAAAGGTAGACTGACCTGCATAGAGTAACATAAATAGTAAATAAATGTTGTAGTCCAAACTCAAACATAGCTGTATCTGATACAAAGCCATGTGCTCTTAAGAGCCAATCCTTGATAAGCATCTCAGAAAGATGACTGAAATAGCAAGATTTCCAGAAAATTAAAAAGAGTAAATAAGGGTGAGAATGCAGCAGGGCTCATCTTGATAGTAATAGTTACCATCTTGGCCTGCACATATTAGATATTCATCTAAGTCTTTTTTATAAATTATGTCCTCTAGTTCTTCAAGACAACCTCATGGTGTAGGTATCATAGATTTCATCCACAGGGTAGAAAATTAAGGTTCAGTGGGGTTAAACAATGTTTCCAAGTCAGACAGTAGGTAAGCAGCACATCTGGGACTCAGGTATAGGCCTCCATAACTCCAAATCCTTTGTTCTTAATTAGTAAGGCACACTGTCTTTTGAGTGAGAGATTTTGCTTTGAGACTTTTGCTCCATTCGTGTTGTTCTGCTTTGCCAGATTAAAGCTACCATGGGGCACACTCACTCTCTCTATATCCCTTCCTTAAGTTGTCTCAAACAGTGTGACATTCACCTGAGAGATGGGACAGGAGATTCCCACCTTAATCCTGGCCTGCCATGAGTGGGGTCCAGTCACTGGTAGAGTCACTTTTGCTCTCTGGGCCTCATCAGATTTTCAATCTGGTCACCAAGAGTCATGGCACCGGTGAGGAGAAATGTTTAGACTGTGACCTACTGATTAATGAAGCTGACGATCACACAGCCACCAGAAGCTTCTCACTCTTCAATTGAAGCAGGTAAAGACAGAGTCACTGTACTGTTCAGATACTTGGAAGGACACTGGAGGAAGTAACTTTCAGCATTTGTGTCAGGACATAAGGCCAGCAGCAGGAAAAGACACCACACTGGAAGGGAAGACACTGGGACCAGGATTGTTGGTAAGTAACGGGGAGGAAGACGGTGGGAACCAAGCACGGAAGGAGTATATGGAACTTACTGGATTATTTTTCCTAATAAAGTTTCTATTAAAAAATAGTTTTAAGCTTGAACAGCTAGCATACCTGGTAGCATATTTTTCTGGCTTCTGGGTGGGGACTAGAGTGAAGAAGAATTATCAACAATTAACAAGGCTCCCAAAAGCCATCTGTGCCCTTTGTCTTGTGAACAGCTCTTAACACAGAAATTACATGCTCAGCAAATTACAACCAACCAGGTAGGACAGCAATAAGCCTCTGAAAAGCTCCTTTGTACTGGGGAAAGAGGATTATTCCTCAATTATATTTAGTCAAACTCCTCCACTATACTTCCTGTCCTTCCTCAATGTCCCAGTGGGTGCTTGAACAAATAAGCCGAATCTGATAATAGTAGTGTTCCTTTACTACACTAGTGGAAAAAATTGATTTTTAAAAAAGCTCAAATGTAACTTCTTACTCAGCATACACAATTTAAAAAGAATTTCAAACAAAGGACTACGTGTACAGAAAGTATTGTGTTACAAAGAGGGTCCACTCTGAACTCCCAAAGCACACACATCTCAGGGTGCTCTGGGCCTGTTTTCTCATGTGCAAAATGAGATGGTTGTCCCAGAAAAATCTCATCCTTATGGTTCTTTCCAGGTCTGACATTCTGTAGGGATAGTAATACATTAAAGTTTATTTATCTCAAAAGGCCTGTAGGTAATAAACTTTCACTAAATACCAAAAATAATACAGAATGAAACTTTAATAGTTATCTAATCTCAGATACCTTGGAGAATATAAATTAGGAACAGGCATAGAAAATTGGAACAAAGAAATAACAGCCTTGATATTAATTGTCTTGCTTATCTGTCTAAAGCAGGGCTGAGGAACATATTTTGTTTGTTTTAGTTCATCAATTTCTTTTGTTCAGAGTAAGTATATGTTCAACAGAATAGAAGTGAATGCCGTTTTATTTTCTACTAATAACATCCAAGGATGTGACTTCATGATTGCTTTTTTGTTTTTGTTTTTTTTTGCCATTTAGAATGACTGGAACAAAAGGAAAATAACCAATTGAGAATGACTAATAGCATAAAAAGCAATGCTGAGATTTTGTTCTAGCTGATTCAAAATCTGAAGATTTGGAGATTTATGCTTGCCTGAAAAATGCTGCAGTGAAACACTAAGAGCCCAGAACACTTAGGATGACAAACTGTGAAATCACTCAAAGAAGGACTCATCAGCAGGTGCTAGGACCGAGATGGATAAAAAGAAAGATGCATAGGCCAAGTCCTATTATTCACACCTTCTAGAGTTTATGGTTTACTAATGAAAGCTTCTTGCATTAACCCTGGCCTGCAAAAACCCAGGACTGGAATGAAATGGCTATTTTTCAAGGCCATGCAATATAATTGATTGAAAGCAGACATACTGACATTAAAATCAATAGCACAGTAAAGAGCACATCGCAGTACCCTTTACATATTGCTACATAGTTCCTGCTCAATAAATAATACCAGAATAGCAGCAGCAGCAGCAGCACTAGTGGTAAAAGCAGTCATATTAGAAGTGGTGACCGTAGCAGTAGCTATTATTGTTATGGTATTAAGTGGGAGATAGAAGACAAGTGCACTACTAGGGACAATCTCCTCTTCCCCTCTTGCTCTCCAGTATCAAATAGTCAAGAATAATGGGAACTTTAGTAGGAGAAATAAACGGATTTATAATCTGTATGCCAGGTCTTAATGCAGTTACTTATATATACTGTCTTATTTCTATACTCCATATGGTAGGTAGTTTCAACTGCATGTTACGGATGAGGAAACAGGGTCAGGGAGTTGAAAAAATTTCTGCAAATTCACACAGTTGCTAAGTGGAGCAAATTAGGATGCAAAGCCTGATATGCCTGGTCTCAACCCATCATAGTGTCCCTTATCTGTATATCCTAAAATTTCAAGGACAGAATGACCCCGGTCTGTTACTTGTTTTACAATACAACAAGGCTATTTGGTAGGTATTATTATCCTAATTTAAGAGACCAGAAAAATGAAGTTCTGACTGGCAAAATGACTTTCTCAAAGTCACACAGTTCAGAAGTGGCAGAGTTGAGATTAGAAGACAGATCTATCCTCCATGATTGTTACAACAGCCACAATCTGGATGTAACAAGTCATATTAATGGTGGTGGTCATTGCTAATTTCTCCCATCACCCATACCTACCCTGCTGGCAAGGCCTGGTTTGTACCCTGACAACCATGTGTTTTGGGGAGGATCCTTCCTCAATCCTTTTTACTGATGGGCCTTATTACCTGCATACTGATTGGCTTAAGAATGGGTGGGGACAAATTTGAGCCTCTCTTGATGTGCAATAAGGCCAGGTGGCAGAGACCAGGGCAACAAGAGGTACAACCCTCAGGGCACTACTGGAAATGTTATTAGAAATAGTACTGAGCAGTGAAGGACGGCAGGGCTTCTGTGGGAAACAAGACAGATATGGATGTGGCAACCTCTGGAAAGTTGTGGAGACACAACATCCAGGAATTTCTGAAAGTGAAATTGACAATCAAAGCAAATTAGTAACCAATAATAGATCGACCTTAAAATCAAAGTACCAAACACACCCAGTTGCCTGTATTTTTTTTTTTTTACAAATTTTTTCAGTTATAAAATCTCTCTACAATGTTGAGTCTTGGTGATAATTTAATTGCCATTATTTTTCTTAAGAAGTATGTGGCTGGCTAGATCATGGGCTAGTACTCATCTATCTACTCATCTATCTAACCAGCTATACAGTGAGAGAAATGAGAAGCTTTAGCTTTTCTCTTCTATGGTTCTCAAACGTGCTGAGTAAACTAAGTGAGCAGTCTTACAGGTGGAGACTTAGTTCCTCAGATACTCTTTTTATTTTTAGTTCATTAGGTAATGTAGTGTGGAGTCAGATTGTTTACTTTTAGTCTCAGATCCACTGACTACTCATTGTAACCTTGGGCAAGTTTTCTGAATCTGTCTTGGTCACTACAATATGGTTTGCTATAAGGATTGAATGAGATCATCATGAAGGTAAAGCACCTATCACATAATAAGTGATCGATAGGTATCAGCTACTATTTTGATCATTGCCTTGCAGGGGTTCAGGATATGGAAATGTGTTAATCATACTCTTGTGGTGATTTAGATGCTTGTTAGATCTACTAAGGGGGATAAGACTCCAGGAGAGGAAAGTGAGTTACGAAAACATTACAAATCAAAGCTAATATTTGACTCTGCCAGTAAAGACAGCACCCAGTCATCCTAAAAGCTCCCTATCAGCTGTTGCGTGTTCCTAAGCTCCTGGCTCGGTTAAAAAAATGTCTTGAGTCTTAGAGAAGAAAAATGTTTCCAGTTGGGCTTTGGAGCCTTTGCATGAGGACAGTCTGAAGGCTTTTCCTTTCTCCTCCAGCCTCTGTTCCAAGTAAAATGTTAAGACTTTAACACTGGCCACTTGGGAGGTCTGGGCTTGTGCATCAGAGATAGAGATCCTTGTACTTTCAGCCATCCTTCCACCATATCCACCACCTCCCAATGGGGTAGCCCTTGTCTTCAGCTAATATTTCGGCAATGTGCAATCTCCATATAGAAAAAAGCAGCAGGGAAAAAAAGCAGCTTTGATTTCTGCACCTGAGCTGTCCACTGAATGCCAGCTTCCTTTGCCTACTTGGTAGCTAACAGAATTCTGGCAACAACAATAGCTAGCTTGTTTTGCAGCAATCCAAACTTTTATTGTCTAAACAGGCAGAGTATGGTAGAAAGTATGCTACATAGAGGACTTCAAAGACAAGCGCTCCAGGCTGTCCACCCTTGCAATGATTACTTTAACATCCTGAACCTCAGTTGTCTCACCTGGTAACAGTAGAATGAGACAACCTATTTCAACAGGTTATAATGAGGACTTATATTCTCAATAATGTAAGTCAGAATATCTGCCTAAAGAATCTACTCAGATGCCTGTGGAATCTAATGAAAATGATTGAAGACTTGAAATAAAGATAATTTTTGCTTGTGGTGAAAGGAAACATCTTCTGATTAACTTCTTCCTGGGGGAACACAGGCCGGGGCACAGATGTTCTCTCCCAGCTAAAGATCCATCTTGCTTCCTAACAGACCTTGATAAGTCCATGGTCACTTTCACCTCCACCTTCCTGAGATGCCACAAGGGGGAGCACTAATACTTATAGATGACCTATCAATGTGCACTTTAGTCCATTTTTGCCCCATCAGCTATTTCCTGGTGTAAAAATGTTTTCTTCCTTAAAAGCAGGTAGATTCAAGCAGAATAAAGAGAAACTTAAACTCAGCAAAGAAAACACCATAGTTTTGGCCTAGTTCTGACACTGACTTGCTTAAGTCCCCTAACCCCTTTGAGGACTCACTTTTCTTTATTTGCAAAATTTATTCAAAACTTGCTGGGCACGAATCTGGGTAATAATGATTCAGAAATGAAGAGATTTAATCCTGCCTTCAAAGAACCCACAGCAGGATGGATTAAGCAGACTTGCAAACCAACAGTTACAAAGCAAAATGATAAATGTTAATAGGGAAAGATCAGACACTTGGAAGAAGGTGCCCCTAGGGTTTCTTAAGAGTCATAAAAAGCTTCACAGACAAGGCAAAGCTTAACTTCGAATTTGAAGGAGGAGCAGCAGCTTGGTAGGTGAGAAAATGAAGATAAGCACTGCAAGCAGAGAGGATGAAATACACAACCATGGACATGAGAGAGGAAAGGTCAGTTTACTCAGAATACATTTAGGGGTAGGATCAGAATTCTTATCCATTGGTCTGTGAATACTTCATGTATGATATTGTACCTATGTGCATAAATGTACTTTTCAGTGGAGAAAATCCATTTAGTGATCTCATCATATTCTCAAATTAGTTGGTAATAAAGGATATATAATATATAGACACATACACACACACACACACAAACGCAAAGAGAGAGAGAGAGAGGAGTTATATAATTTCTAAGGTCGTATAATCCACTTCTTCATTATATTTATTCACAATTTTAAAAATGTGCATATAAAGCTACTATTCATGGGTCTCAAGGACATCTGTCTCTAGTTCTTTTCTTATTATGCTATGATTCATATTTTGCTGATTAACTATTACGTACCCTAGTCTTACACTGGCTTCTTTATAACTCCCTTGAAATCTGCATTTGTTTTAAGACCCCTGCTTTCAACAGCCTTGGACAATTTCAGCTCTGTCTCTATATGTTACCCAGATCTTTTGTTAAATTGTATTTTATATATATATATAATATATATTATATATATATATAATATATATTTTATAAAGAGGAAGGTCACCGCAATTCCCTGTGATTTCCTCTTTTTCAGACTGATATGGTTTGGCTATGTCCCCATCCAAATCTCATCTTGAATCATAGCCCTGGTAATTCCCACTTGTGGGAGGGACCTGGTAGGAGGTAATTGAAACATGGGGACATGTCTTTCCCATGCTATTCTTGTCACAGTGAATAAGTCTCATGAGATCTGATGGTTTTGTAAAGGGGAGTTTCCCTGCACAAGCTCTCTTCTCTTGTCTGCCGCCGTATGAGACATGCCTTTCACCTTCCTCCACGATTGTGTGGCCTCCCCAGCCACAAAGAACTGTGAGTCCATTACACCTCTTTCTTTTGTAAATTGCCTAGTCTTCGGTATATCTTTACCAGCAGCGTAAAAACGGAGTAATGCACAGACCTTCACCTTCCCCTATCAACTTTTTTCTGCCAGCTAATAACCCTGCTTCTTATTTCACTGAGCCAGTCTGTACCCGTATACACTTACTGCTAGACCTGTTATTATCAAAAGTCAACTCTTAAATTTAGTACTGCAGCACGTGCTTCTCATTTAAGGATATTTCTCTAGCATTGTCCACCCTTTTCCCACATCATCTTTTCTCTCTACTGAATTCCCCCCACTACCATTCAAACATAGTGAAATAGCTCTGATTTTAAAAGAAAATCCTCCCTTTATCCTTCCATCTCTCTTCTACAATAACCCCATTTATCTATTTTCCTTTATGGCAAAACACCTCAAAAGAGTTTTCTGTATCCATTGTCTCCATTTCTCATTTTGAACCTACTCCTGACATGTCTCTGTCCCTAGCAGAAAGCAGCGACAATAGCAAATTCTCAGTTCTCATATTAGAGCCATCCCTTGGTATCCATGGGGGATTGGTTCCAGGACCCCTGCAGCTACCAAAATCTATCATGTTCAAGTTTCTTATATAAAATTGTGTAATATTTGCATATAACCTCCATATACATACTTTAAATCATCTCTAGCTTACTTATAATATCTAATACAATGTAAATGCTAAATAGTTGTTACATCTTTAGAATTTGTATTTTTAAATTGTTATTGTTTATTTAAATATTTCAATCAGAGATTGATTGGTTGAATCTGAAGATGAGGAACCCCCACAGATGAAGAACTGACTGCATTTCACTCAACAGCAACATTGATATACTCAATTATTCCCATTTTTAAAACAATTTTTTTTATTTTTGGAAGGACATTTCATTTTTTTCCATTTCCCTCCTACCTCACTGACCACTTCTTTTCTATTTTCTTTGATGAATTATTTTTATCTTCTAAAAAATGAAGTACTCTGCAATTCATATTTTTTTTCCTCTTCTCTTCTCTAACCACACTATACTCTTTTCCTAACTGATTTCCATAAACTGGAAATACACCTTCACTTGGATGATTAACAGGTAACTCAGTTTTTAAAATTTTTCCACCTATACCACAAACCTGCTCCATCCCTAGTTTCTCTATCTTTGTAAATGGTACCATAATTGACCAAGTTCCACAGATCAAATATCTTAGAGTCATCTATGACTTTTTTTCTTTCATAGAAATGCACATCCAATCTGCCAGCACATCCTCTCAGCTTTCTCTGTGAAATACACCCAGAGTCCAATTCATTCTCACCATTTCTGCTACCACCACACTGCTCTAAGGCATAATGGTTGCCAGGACCCCTGCAACTTGCAATAGCCTTCTAGCTATTCTGTTTCCACCTTTTCTCCTTAATCCCAAGCAATAAATGGAATCCTTTAAAATGTAAATCATATAATATCATTCCCTGCTATCAACACTCAAAATGCCTCCCATCTAAAGTTCTTAAAATGGCTCACAAGGAAAAATACAGCCCCTATGTACTTCTCTGAACTCATATTCTATCAGCCTCCCTGTTTCTCCTACTCTTTGAATACCTCCCAGATGCACTCCTACTTCAGTCTCTTTATGTTACAGCCTTCTCTACTAAGATGATATTTAACAGAAAATTTATGACACTCATTTTCACTTCATTCAGTCTCTGCCCAAATATAACCTTCCCTATGAGTCTTGTATGACCTATCTAAAATATCACCTCAATTTTCTCTTTTTTCGGTCCTAGAATTATCCATATGATAGTACTTAATATAAATGTTTGTGGTCTATCTCCTCCAAACACACAGGTCTTTGAATCATGAACTTCTCTCTAATTCAGCACTGTAGACATACACATAGACCAGTGCCTGGTGTATGGTTCTCATTTAATGAGTATATATGAAATGGGTTAGAGAGAGCAGAGGTAAATGAGTCTTTGAGACAACTTGAATGTAGGCCTTACCCTCAAAGGTTCTCTAACTGAAGATATTGACAAGTAACTTTGGCCATTTGTATCAGGGTATATAAAATGAAAAGACATAGAGGAGCTGAATAGATAAAATCAAGACCCAATGATCTCTTGTCTACAAGAAACACACTTCACCAATAGAGACACACATAGACTGAAAATAAAGACATGGAAAAAGAGCCAATGAAAACCAAAAAAGAGCAGAAGTAGCTCTACATATATCAGACAAAATAGATTTCCAGACAAAAACTGTAAGAAGAGACAAAGAAGGTCATTATATAATGATAAAGGAGTCAATTCAGCAAGATGATATGATAATTATACATTTATACGCTCCCAACACTGGAGCACCCAGATATATAAACCATTTATTATTAGAGCTAAAGAGAAATAGACTCCAATACAATAATACCTGAAGACTTCAGCACCCCACTTTCATCACCAGACAGGTATCCCAGACAGAAACTCAACAAAGAAACATCGGACTTAATCTGCACTACAGAACAGATGGACTTAATAGATATTTACAGAACATTTCATCCAATGGCTGCAGAACACACATTTTTCTCCTCAGCACATGGATTATTCCCTTGAACAGACCATATATTAGGTCACAAATGTGTTAAAACATTAAAAAATTGAAATAATATAAAGCATCTTCTCTGAACACAATCGAATGAAACTAGAAATCAATAACAAGAGGACTTTTGGAAATGATAAAAACATAAGGAAATTAAACAATATGCTCCCAAACAACCAGTGGGCCAATGAAGAAATTAAGAAGGAAATTGATAAAAATTTCTTGAAACAAATGATAATGAAAACAGAACATATGAAAACCTAAGAGATACAACAAAAGCAGTATTAAGAGGGAAATTTATAGTGAAAAGTGCCTACATCAAAAAAGAGGAAAAATTTCAAAGAAATAACCTAATGATGCGTCTTAAAGAACTAGAAAACCAAGAGCAAACCAAACCCAAAATTAGTAGAAGGAAATAAATAATAAAGATCAGAGCAGAAATAAATGAATTTGAAAAGAAGAAAGTAATACAAAAGATCAACAAAACAAAAAGTTGGTTTATTGAAAAGATAAAATTGACAAAACTTTAGCCACACTAAGAAAGAGAGAAGACCCAAATAAGTAAAATCAGATGAAAATGGAGACATTACAACTGGTACCACAGAAACTCAAAGGATCATTAGTGGCTGCTGTCAGCAACTATATGCCAATAAATTGAAAAGTCTAGATGAAATAGATAAATTCCTAGACACATACAGCCTACCAAGATTGAACCATGAAGAAATTAAAAACCAAACAGACCAATAATAAGTAATAAAATCTAGGCCATGATAAAAAGTCTTCCAGTAAAGGAAAGCCCAGGACCCATTGGCTTCACTGCTGAATTTTACAAAACATTTAAAGAAGAACTAATACTAATCCTACTCAAACTGTTCCTAAAAATAGAGAAAGATAATTTATTTATTTATTTATTTATTTATTTATTTATTTATTTATTTTGAGACAGAGTTTTGCTCCGTCACTCAGGCTGAGGTGCAGTGGCACGATCTTGGCTCACTGCAACCTCTGCCTCTCGGGTTCAAGCGATCCTCATGCCTCAGCCTTTCAAGAGCTGAGACTACAGACCTACGCTCAACTAATTTTTGTATTTTTAGTAGAGGCAGGGTTTCACACTGCTGAGGTTGCAGCGAGCTGAGATCATGCCACTGCACTCCAGCCTGGGTGACAGAGCAAAACTCCATCTCAAAAAAAAAAAAAAAAGTATTCTTTTTTTATTTTCAAATTCCTGACCTAAAGTGATCCACCCACCTTGGGCTCCCAAAGTACTGGGATTACAGGCATGAGCCACTGCACCTGGCCAAGAAAGAGAATACTTTCAAACTCATTCTATAAAGCCAGTATTAAATGGATATCAAAACCAGATAAAGACACATCAAAAAAAGAAAACTACAGGCCAATATCTCTGATGAATGATGGTGCAAAAATCCTTAACAAATACTAGCAAACAGAATTCAACAACACATTGGAAAGATCATTCTCCATGACAAAGTGGTATCCCAGGGATGTAAGGATGGCTCGACATGCAAATCAATCAATGTGATAGATCATATCAACAGAATGAAGGATAAAAATCACAAGATTATTTCAACTGATGCTGAAAAAGCATTTGAACTAATTTAACATCACTTTATGATTAAAAAAAAACCCTCAAAAAAAAAAGAGTACAGAAGGAACATATCTGAATGTAATAAAAGCTGTATATGACAGACCCACAGCTAGTATTGTACTGAATGGGGAAAAACTGAAAATCTTTCCTCTTAGATCTGGACACAATAAGATGCCCACTTTCACCACTGTTATTCAATATAGTACTGGAAATTCTAGCTAGAGCAATCACACAAGAAGAAGAAATAAACGGCATCCAAATTGGAAAGGAAGAAGCCAAACTATTCTTATTTGCAGATGACATGATTCTGTATTTGGAAAAACCTAAAGACCCCACAAAAAAAAAAAAAAAAAAAAACAACTATTAGAACTGATAACCAAATTCAGTAAAGTTTGCTAAGGATAATGGCCTCCAGCTCCACTCATCTCCCTGCAAAGAACATGATATCATTCTTTTTTATAGCCATACAGTATTCCATGGTGTATGTGTACCACATTTTCTTTACCCAGTCTATAGTTGATGGGCATTTAGGTTGATTCCATGTCTTTACTATTGTGAACAGTGCTGCAATGAACATATGCATGCATGTGTCTTTATAATACAATGATTTATATTTTGGGGGGAACAGAAAAACAAATACTTCATGTCCTCACTTATAAGTGGGAGTTAAGTGATGAGAACACAGGGACGCACAGAGGGGCACAACACACACTGGGCCTTTTGGAGGGTATAGAGTGAGAGGAAGGAGAGGATCAGGAAAAAGAACTAATGGGTGTTAGGCTTAATAACTGAGTGTGACAAAATACTCTGTACAACAAACCCTGATGACATAAGCCTACCTATGTAATAAACTTGAGCTTGTACCCCTAAACATAAAAGTTAAAAAAAATGAGAGAAAAATGTTAGTTAATATTTTAAAAAATTAAGTAAAGTTGTAAGGATACAAAAACATCATACAAAATCAGTAATATTTCTATATCCCAAAGGCAAAAATCTGAAAAGTAATAAAAAATGTTTTTCCATTTATAATAGTAACAAATAAAATTAAATATCTAGGAATTAATGAAAGAAGTGAAAGCTCTCTACAAAAAAAAAACCTACAAAACACTGATAAAAATCTAAAAGAATACTAAAAAAGTAAATATATTCCATGTTAATGGACTGGAAGAATCAATGTTGTTAAACTGTCCATATTACCCATAGCAATATACAGATTCAATTAATTCCCTATCAAGATACTAATGACATTCATCACAGAAATAGAAAAAAAAATACTAAAATTTCTATAGAATCACAAAAGGACCAGAATAGCCAAAACTATCCTAAGCACAAAGAACAAAACTGGAGGAATTACATTACCTGACTTCAAATTGTGCTACAGAGCTATACCAAAACAGCATGGTCCTGGCTTAAAAACAGACCCATAGACCAAAGGAACAGAATAGAGAACCCAGAAACAAATCTAAACACCTACAGTAAACTCATTTTTGACAAAGGTGCCAAGAACATACATCAGAAAAAATACAATCTCTTCAATAAATGATGCTGGGAAAACTGGATATCCCTATATAAAAGAATGAAACTTGATCCATATCTCTCACCTTATACAAAAATCAAATCAAAATGAATTAAATACTGAAATCTAAGACCTCAAACTATGAAACTTCTGTGAGAAAACATTGAGGAAACTCTCCAGGACATTGATCTGGGCAAAAATTTCTTGAGCAATACCCCACAAGCACAGGCTACTAAAGCAAACATGAACAAATGGGATCACATCAACCTAAAAAGCTTTTACATAGTGAAGGAAACACTCAAAAAAGTGAAGAGATAACCAGTAGAATGGGAGAAAATATTTACCTATTACCCATCTGACAAGGGATTAGTAATAACCAGAATATAAAGGAGCTCAAACCACTCTAATAATTTGATAAAATAAATGGGCAAAAGATTTGAATAGACATTTCTCAAAAGAAGATATACAAATGGTAAACAGGGATATGAAAAGGTGCTCAACATCATTAATCATCAGAGAAATGGAAATCAAAACTATAATGAACTATCACCTCACCCCAGTTAAAATGGCTTTTATTCAAAAGTCAGGCTATAGCAAATGCTGGGGAAGATATGGAGAAAAAGAAACTCATATACTTCTGATAAGAATGTATATTAGTACAACCACTATGAAGAACACTTTAGAGGTTCCTCATAAAACTGAAAACAGGGCTACCACGTGATCCAGCAATTCCGTTGCTGGGTATATACCCAAAAGGAAGGAAATCATTTTATCAAAGAGATATCTACATTTCCATGTTTGTGGTAGCTCTGTTCATAATGGCCAAGATTTGGAAGCACCCTAAGAGTCCATTAGCAGATGAATGAATAAAGAAAATGTGTAATGTAGTACTATTCAGCTATAAAAAAGAATGAAATTCTGTCATTTGCAACAACATGGAAAGAACTGGATGAAATAAACCAGGCACAGAAAGACAAACATCTCATGTTCTCACTTACTTATGGGATCTAAAAATCAAAACGATTGAACTCATGGAGATACAGAATAGAAGGATGGTTGGCAGAGAATGGGAAAGGTAGTGTGGGGTGGGGTGGAGATGGAGATGATTAATGGGCACAAAAAAAATAGTTAGAAAGAATGAATAGATCCTAGTATTTGACAGCACAACGGAGAGACTAGAGTCAATAATGACTTAATCATACATTTAGAAATAACCAGAAGAGTATAAATGGATTGTTTATAACACAAAGTATAAATGCTTCAGGGGATGAATATCCAATTTTCCATGATGCGATTATTACATATTGTATGCCTCAACCAAAATATCGCATATATCTCATATTTACACCTACTATGTAGGTGGCTGTGTAGTATTCCATCATATATGTGATATACATATGAGATATATATTATAATTATATTGTGTATATAACTTATGTATATAACTATATATATTATATATAGTCACATTTTTTAATCCAATCCATCATTGATGGGCACCTAGCTTGATTACATGTCTTTGCTACTGTGAATAGTACAGCGATGAACACATGAGTGCATGTGTCTTTTTGGTAGAATGATGTAGTTTCCTTTGGGTATATACCGAGTAACGGGATTGCTAGGTCAAATGGTAGCTCTGCTTTACGCTCTTTGAGAAATCTCTAACCTACTTTCCACAGTGGCTGAACTCATTTATATTTTCACCAACAGTGTATGTGTTCCCTTTTCTCTGCAGCCTTGCCAAATCTGTTGTTTTTTGACTTTTTAATAATAGCCATTCTGACTGGTGTGAGATGCCTCATTGTGGTATTGATTTGGATTTTTCTGATAATAAGTGATATGGAGCATTTTTTTCATATGTATGTTGGCTACTTATATGTCTTCTTTTGAAAAGTGTTCAGTCTTCTGCCCACTTTTTAATGGGGCTGTGTGTTTTTTGCTTGTTCAATTATTTAAATTCCTTATAGAGTCTGGATATTAGACATTTGTCAGATGCATAGTTTACTAATATTTTTTCCCATTCTGTAGGCTGTCTGTTTACTCTATTGACAGTTTATTTTGCTGTGTGGAAGCTCTTTCATTTAATTAGGTCCCATTTGTCAATTTTTTTGTTGCAGGTGATTTTGAGGACTTACTCATAAATCATTTCCAAAGGCCAATCTACAGAATGGTGTTTCCTATGTTTTCTTCTAAAGATGGAGTCTCGCTGTGTCGCCAGGCTGGAGTGCAATGGCGCGATTTTGGCTCACTGCAACCTCTGCCTCCTGGGTTCAAGCTATTCTCCTGCCTCAGCCTCCTGAGTAGCTGGGATTACAGGCACGCACCACCACGTCTGGCTAATTTTTGTATTTTTAGTAGAGACAGGGTTTCACCATGTTGGTCAGACTGGTCTTAAACTCCTGACAAAATTAAAGATATGGAAAATAGATTAGTGGTTGCCAGGTGTTGGGGATGTGGAAGGTAGATGTGGTTATAAAAATGCAACACAACAGCCAGGTGCGCTGGCTCACACCTGTAATCCCAGCACTTTGAGAGGCCGAAGCTGGCGGATCACGAGGTCAGGAGATCGAGACCATCCTGGCTAACACAGTGAAATCCCGTCTCCACTAAAAAAACAAAAAATTAGCTGGGCGTGGTGGAGGGCACCTGTAATCCCACCTACTCAGGAGGCTGAGGCAGGAGAATGGTGTGAACCCGGGAGGCGGAGGTTGCAGTGAGCCAAGATCGCTCCACTGCACTCCAGCCTGGGCTACAGAGCGAGACTCTGTCACAAAAAAAAAAAAAAAAAAAAAAAAAGGAAAAGAAATGAAACTCCTGACCTCATGATCCGCCCGCCTCAGCCTCCCAAAGTGCTGGGATTACAGACATGAGCCACTGCACCCGGCCGTTTTCTTCTAAAATTCTTATAGGAAAAGTGTTGTTTATAGAAGAATGACAACTAGTAAATGCAGAAGTTTTCAAAAGCCATTTTACAACCACCACAGTAATAATTGATTCAGAGAAATCATTAATTGGTACTAAAATCAACAGGTGAAAGTTAATTGGAGAATAGGATATTCAGGTGGTTGTCAAAAATATATAATCTGAATCAAATCTCGAGATAACAAAGCTGGCAAATCTAAATTGTGAGACATTTTACATAATTGGCCTGGATACTCATTTTTCAGTTCAATGTTTATATATAAAAATACAATTGATTTTTGCGCAATGACCTCACATTTTTTAAATTGACACTGAGTTTGCTAAATTCATGCATTAATTCAAAAATATTTTTGATAACAATCAGACCATTAAAATAAAATAAACGAAGATTTTATAGATATTCTTTACTAGCTTGAGAAAGTTTCCTTTCTATTTCTAGTTTTCTGAGTTTTTTTTAAATTGTGGTGCATATTAACTTTTGTCAAAGTTTTTTTTTGCATCCATTAAGAAAGTATTTGAGATAACGATCTCAAAATGGCTGAATAGGAACAGCTCCAGTCTACAGCTCCCAGTGTGAGCGACGCAGAAGACGGGTGATTTCTGCATTTCCATCTGAGGTACTGGGTTCATCTCACTAAGGAGTGCCAGACAGTGGGCGCAGGTCAGTGGGTGCGTGCACCGTGTGCGAGCCTAAGCAGGGTGAGGCATTGCCTCACCTGGGAAGCACAAGGGGTCAGGGAGTTCCCTTTCCTAGTCAAAGAAAGGGGTGACAGACGGCACCTGCAAAATTGGGTCACTCCCACCTGAATACTGCGCTTTTCTGACGGCCTTAAAAAACGGCGCACCAGGAGATTATATCCCGCAACTGGCTGGGAGGGTCCTACGCCCATGGAGTCTCGCTGATTGCTAGCACAGCAGTCTGAGATCAAACTGCAAGGCGGCAGCGAGGCTGGGGGAGGGGCGCCCGCCATTGCCCAGGCTTGCTTAGGTAAACAAAGCAGCTGGGAAGCTCCAACTGGGTGGAGCCCACCACAGCTCAAGGAGGCCTGCCTGCCTGCCTCTGTAGGCTCCACCTCTGGGGGCAGGGAACAGACAAACAAAAAGACAGCAGTAACCTCTGCAGACTTAAATGTCCCTGTCTGACAGCTTTGAAGAGAGCAGTGGTTCTCCCAGCATGCAGCTGGAGATCTGAGAATGGGCAGACTGCCTCCTCAAGTGGGTCCCTGACCCATGACCCCTGAGCAGCCTAACTGGGAGGCACCCCCCAGCAGGGGCAGACTGACACCTCACTCGGCCTGGTACTCCTCTGAGACAAAACTTCCAGAAGAACGATCAGACAGCAGCATGCACGGTTCAAGAAAAACCACTGTTCTGCAGACACCGCTGCTGATACCCACGCAAACAGGGTCTGGAGTGGACCTCTAGCAAACTCCAACAGACCTGCAGCTGAGGGTCCTGTCTGTTAGAAGGAAAACTAACAAAAAGAAAGGACATCCACACCAAAAACCCATCTGTTCATCACCATAATCAAAGACCAAAAGTAGATAAAACCACAAAGATGGGGAAAAAACAGAACAGAAAAACTGGAAACTCTAAAAAGCAGAGCGCCTCTCCTCCTCCAAAGGAATGCAGTTCCTCACCAGAAACGGAACAAAGCTGGAAAGAGAATGACTTTGACAAGCTGAGAGAAGAAGGCTTCAGACGATCAAACTACTCCGAGCTACAGGAGGAAATTCAAACCAAAGGCAAATAAGTTGAAAACTTTGAAAAAAATTTAGAAGAATGTATAACTAGCATAACCAATACAGAGAAGTGCTTAAAGGGGATAATGGAGCTGAAAGCCAAGGCTCGAAAACTACATGAAGAATGCAGAAGCCTCAGGAGCCGATGCGATCAACTGGAAGAAAGGGTATCACCGATGGAAGATGAAATGAATGAAATGAAGCGAGAGGAGAAGTTTAGAGAAAAAAGAATAAAAAGAAATGAACAAAGCCTCCAAGAAATATGGGACTATGTGAAAAGACCAAATCTACGTCTGATTGGTGTACATGAAAGTGACAGGGAGAATGGAACCAAGTTGGAAAACACTCTGCAGGATATTATCCAGGAGAACTTCCCCAATCTAGCAAGGCAGGCCAACATTCAGATTCAGGAAATATAGAGAATGCCACAAAGATACTCCTCGAGAAGAGCAACTCCAAGATACATAATTGTCAGATTCGCCAAAGTTGAAATGAAGGAAAAAATGTTAAGGGCAGCCAGAGAGAAAGGTCGGGTTACCCTCAAAGGGAAACCCATCAGACTAACAGCGGATCTCTCGGCAGAAACTCTACAAGCCAGAAGAGAGTGGGGGCCAATATTCAACATTCTTAAAGAAAAGAATTTTCAACCCAGAATTTCATATCCAGCCAAACTAAGCTTCATAAGCGAAGGAGAAATAAAATACTTTACAGACAAGCAAATGCTGAGAGATTTTGTCACCACCAGGCCTGCCCTAAAAGAGCTCCTGAAGGAAGTGCTAAACATTGAAAGGAACAACCGGTACCAGCTGCTACAAAATCATGCCAAAATGTAAAGACCATCGAGACTAGGAAGAAACTGCATCAACTAACGAGCAAAATAACCAGCTAACATCAAAATGACAGGATCAAATTCACACATAACAATATTAACTTTAAATGTAAATGGGCTAAATGCTCCAATTAAAAGACACAGACTGGCAAATTGGATAAAGAGTCAAGACCCATCAGTGTGCGGTATTCAGGAAACCCATCTCACATGCAGAGACACACATAGGCTTAAAATAAAAGGATGGAGGAAGATCTACCAAGCAAATGGAAAACAAAAAAAGGCAGGGTTTGCAGTCCTAGTCTCTGATAAAACAGACTTTAAACCAACAAAGATCAAAAGAGACAAAGAAGGCCATTACATAATGGTAAAGGCATCAATTCAACAAGAAGAGGTAACTATCCTAAATATATATGCACCCAATACAGGAGCACCCAGATTCATAAAGCAAGTCCTGAGTGACCTACAAAGAGACTTAGACTCCCACACATTAATAATGGGAGACTTTAACACCCCACTGTCAACATTAGACAGATCAACGAGACAGAAAGTCAACAAGGATACCAGGAATTGAACTCAGCTCTGCACCAAGCAGACCTAATAGACATCTACAGAACTCTCCACCCCAAATCAACAGAATATACATTTTTTTCAGCACCACACCACACCTATTCCAAAATTGACCACATACATGGAGGTAAAGCTCTCCTCAGCAAATGTAAAAGAACAGAAGTTATAACAAACTATCTCTCAGACCACAGTGCAATCAAACTAGAACTCAGGATTAAGAATCTCACTCAAAACCACTCAACTACATGGAAACTGAACAACCTGCTCCTGAATGACTACTGGGTACATAACGAAATGAAGGCAGAAATAAAGATGTTCTTTGAAACCAATGAGAAAAAGACACAATGTACCAAAATCTCTGGGACACATTTAAGGCAGTGTGTAGAGAGAAATTTACAGCACTAAATGCCCACAAGAGAAAGCAGGAGAGATCTAAAATTGTCAACCTAACATCACAATTAAAAGAACTAGAAAAGCAAGAGCAAACACATTCAAAAACTAGCAGAAGGCAAGAAATAACTAAAATCAGAGCAGAACTGAAGGAAATAGAGACACAAAAAACTCTTCAAAAAATTATTGAATCCAGAAGCTGGTTTTTTGAAAGGATCAACAAAATTGATAGACTGCTAGCAAGACTAATAAAGAAAAAAAGAGAGAAGAATCAAATAGACGCAATAAAAAATGATAAAGAGGATATAACCACCGATTCCACAGAAATACAAACTACCATCAGAGAATACAAAAACACCTCTACGCAAATAAACTAGAAAATCTAGATGAAATGGATAAATTCCTCAACACATACACTCTCCCAAGTCTAAACCAGGAAGAAGTTGAATCTCTGAATAGACCAATAACAGGAGCTGAAATTGTGGCAATAATCTATAGCTTACCAACCAAAAAGAGTCCAGGACAAGATGGATTCACAGCCCAATTCCACCAGAGGTACAAGGAGGAACTGGTACCATTCCTTCTGAAACTATTCCAATCAATAGAAAAAGAGGGAATCCTCCCTAACTCATTTTATGAGGCCAGCATCATCCTGATACCAAAGCGGGGCAGAGACACAACCAAAAAAGAGAATTTTAGACCAATATCCTTGATGAACATTGATGCAAAAATCCTCAATAAAATACTGGCAAACCGAATCCAGCAGCACATCAAAAAGCTTATCCACCATGATCAAGTGGGCTTCATCCCTGGGATGCAAGGCTGGTTCAATATACACAAATCAATAAATGTAATCCAGCATATAAACAGAACCAAAGACAAAAACCACATGATTATCTCAATAGATGCAGAAAAGGCCTTTGACAAAATTCAAAAACGCTTCATGCTAAAAACTCTCAGCAAATTAGATATTGATGGGACGTATCTCAAAATAATAAGAGCTATCTATGACAAACCCACAGCCAACATCATACTGAATGGGCAAAAACTGGAAGCATTCCCTTTGAAAACTGGCACAAGACAGGGATGTCCTCTCTCACCACTCCTATTCAACATAGTGTTGGAAGTTCTGGCCAGGGCAATTAGGCAGGAGAAGGAAATAAAGGGTATTCAATTAGGAAAAGAGGAAGTCAAATTGTCCCTGTTTGCAGATGACATGACTGTATATCGAGAAAACCCCATTGTCTCAGCCCAAAATCTCCTTAAGCTGATAAGCAACTTCAGCAATGTCTCAGGATACAAAATCAATGTACAAAAATCACAAGCATTCTTATACACCAATAACAGACAAACAGAGAGCCAAATCATGAGTGAACTCCTATTCACAATTGCTTCAAAGAGAATAAAATACCTAGGAATCCAACTTACAAGGGATGTGAAGGACCTCTTCAAGGAGAACTACAAACCACTGCTCAAGGAAATAAAAGAGGATACAAACAAATGGAAGAACATTCCATGCTCAAGGGTAGGAAGAATCAATATCGTGAAAATGGCCATACTGCCCAAGGTAATTTACAGATTCAATACCATTCCCATGAAGCTACCAATGACTTTCTTCACAGAATTGGAAAAAACTACTTTGAAGTTCATATGGAAGCAAAAAAGAGCCCGCATCGCCAAGTCAATCCTAAGCCAAAAGAACAAAGCTGGAGGCATCACACTACCTGACTTCAAACTATACTACAAGGCTACAGTAACCAAAACAGCATGGTACTGGTACCAAAACAGAGATATAGATCAATGGAACAGAACAGAGCCCTCAGAAATAATGCCGCATATCTACAACTATCTGATCTTTGACAAACCTGAGAAAAACAAGCAATGGGGAAATGATTCCCTATTTAATAAATGGTGCTGGGAAAACTGGCTAGCCATATGTAGAAAGCTGAAACTGGATCCCTTCCTTACACCTTATACAAAAATCAATTCAAGATGGATGAAAGACTTAAATGTTAGACCTAAAACCATAACAACCCTAGAAGAAAACCTAGGCATTACTATTCAGGACATAGGCATGGGCAAGGACTTCATGTCTAAAACACCAAAAGCAATGGCAACCAAAGCCAAAATTGACAAATGGGATCTAATTAAACTTAAGAGCTTCTGCACAGCAAAATAAAGTACCATCAGAGTGAACAGGCAACCTACAAAATGGGAGAAAATTTTTGCAACCTACTCATCTGACAAAGGGCTACTATCCAGAATCTACAATGAACTCAAATTTACAAGAAAAAAACAAACAACCCCATCAAAAAGTGGGCGAAGGAAATGGACAGACATTTCTCAGAAGAAGACATTTATGCAGCCAAAAAACACATGAAAAAACGCTCGCCATCACTGGCCATCAGAGAAATGCAAATCAAAACCACAATGAGATACCATCTCACACCAGTTAGAATGGCAATCATTAAAAAGTCAGGAAACAACAGGTGCTGGAGAGGATGTGAAGAAATAGGAACACTTTTACACTGTTGGTGGGACTGTAAACTAGTTCAATGATTGTGGAAGACAGTGTGGCGATTCCTCAGGGATCTAGAACTAGAAATACCATTTGACCCAGCCATCCCATTACTGGGTATATACCCAAAGGATTATAAATCATGCTGCTGTAAAGACACATGCACACATATGTTTATTGTGGCATTATTCACAATAGCAAAGACTTGGAACCAATCCAAATGTCCAACAATGATAGACTGGATTAAGAAAATGTGGCACATATACACCATGGAATACTATGCAGCCATAAAAAATGATGAGTTCATGTCCTTTGTAGGGACATCGATGAAATTGGAAATCATCATTCTCAGCAAACTATTGCAAGAACAAAAAACCAAACACCGCATATTCTCACTCATAGGTGGGAACTGAACAATGAGAACACATGGACACAGGAAGGGGAACGTGACACTCTGGGGACTGTTGTGGCGTGGGAGGAGGGGGGAGGGATAGCATTGGGAGATATACCTAATGCTAGATGACGAGTTAGTGGGTGCAGCACACCAGCATGGCACATGTATACATATGTAACTAACCTGCATGTTGTGTACATGTACCCTAAAACTTAAAGTACAATAATAATAAAAAAAAGAAAAAAAAAAGAAAGTATTTGATTAACATGGTGAAACACATTGATGAACCTTTGATTCCTGGTATAAAACCCAAATTTTCATGATTCATTATCTATTTTATATATCATTGGCTTTGATTTGCACTTGTAAAAAGTAATAGAGAGATCCTGTGTACCTTTTACCAGGTTTCTCCATGAAAAATTGATATTGAAGTAATCCACCAATCTTAGTCAACGTTTCCAGTTGTGTTTCTGTGTGTGTCTTTAGTTCTTGCAATTTTATTATGTTAAGTTTGTGTATCCATCATTATAGTAAAGAACATTTCTCTCACCTCAAGGATCTGTTGTGTTGCCTTTTTTTTTTTTTTTTTTTTGAGATGGAGTCTCGCTCTGTCGCCCAGGCTGGAGTACAGTGGCGCAATCTCAGCTGACTGCAAGCTCCGCCTCCCGGGTTCATGCCATTCTCTTGCCTCAGCCTCCCAAGTAGCTGGGACTACAGGCAGCCGCCACTATGCCCGGTTAATTTTTTGTATTTTTAGTAGAGACAGAGTTTCAACGTGTTAGCCAGGATGGTCTCGATCTCCTGACCTCGTGATCTGCCCACCTCGGCCTCCCAAAGTGCTGGGATTACTAGCATGAGCCACCGCGCCCTGCAGTTGTGTTGCACTTTTATAACCACATCTACCTTCCACATCCGCAACACCTGGCAACCACTAATCTGTTTTCCTTATCTTTAATTTTGTCAATTCAATAATGTTACATAAATGGAGTTATACTGTATGTAACCATTTGGGATTCGCTTTTTTTCACTCAGTATATTTCCCTTTTAATTGCTGAGTAATATTCCATGGTAAGAATGTATCACTGTCTGTTAGCCATTTGCCCATTGACAATTTGCAGTTTGTTTACAGTTTTGGGTTATTACACGTAAGTGTTATGAATATTTATGTATTGGTTTTTGTGTGAGCATAAGCTTTTATTCTATGGCATAAATGCCCAAGAACACAAATGCTGGGTTTACAGTGGTTGTATGTTTTATTTTATAAGAAATTGCCTACTATTTTCAAGAGTGGCTGTAACAGTTTACATTCCCAACAGCAATGTTTGATTCCAGTTTTTCTGAATTCTTGTCAGTATTTGATGATATCATAAACAAATTTTATCCATTATGACAGATATGTTATGACATCTTATTGTAGTTTAAATTTGCATGTCACTAGTGGCTACTGATGTTGAACATATTATCATGTGCTTATTTGCCATCTGTATATCCTCTTTGGTGGAATGTCTCTATTCATGCCTTCTGTTCGTTTCCTAATTGGATTTTTTTCTTTTACTGTTGAGTTTCAAGAGTTCTTTGACCTTACACCTTTACTGTGATTGGATACCTACGATATTTCTGGTGTGAGGCAATATTGCCTTATTCTTCTATGAACATTCTTATTCATGTCTTTGTTGAGTTTAAATTTACATTTATGTTAGTATACACATGAGAGTAGAATTGTGAGTCATAGATCTGCATGTGTTTATTATTGGTAAATATTGACAAATAGTTTCAAAGTGGTTGCACCAACTTTATACTTTCATCAGCTGCATATGAGAGCTCCTTGACAACATTTGTTAATGTCGTTTTTTAAGTATAACACTTTCTCTGGATGTGTAGTGGACCTCACTAGGTTTTAATTTTTACTTCTCTGCTGATTAACAATGTTGAGGACATTTCTCTTTTTTTGATCAGATGGATCGTCATCTTGTAAACTCTCTCAAAGACTTTTGCTTATTTATTTTTAAAAAAGTGGTATCTTCTCTACTGTATGAGTAATTTCTTCATCCTTTTAATGATGTCTTTTGATGAATAAAGTTTTTAAATTTTAATGAAGTAAATTTTATTAATCTTTTTATATAGTTAATGCTTTTTCTTCACAGCCAGTCTTGTACCTGCTTCTTTGAAAGTAATGTGTTTTTATTCTCTAACAACTTTTAAGATTTTTTTTCTCAGAAACATTGACTAATACCAAAATCTGTATTAGTCAGAGTTCTCTAGAGGGACATAACTAATAGGATAGATGTATACATAAAGGGGAGTTTATTAAGGAGTACTGACTCACACAATCACAAGGCGAGGTCCCACAATAGGCCATCTGCCAGCTGAAGAGCAAGGAAGCCAGTCCGAGTCTCAAGGCTGACAAACTTGGAGTCCAATATTCAAGGGCAAGAAGAGTCCAGCATGGGAGAAAGACATAGACCAGAAATCTAAACCAGTCTAAGTGACATTAGACATTTTCTTGAGTTTTCTTTCTGCAATTTTCTTTACGTAAGGATCTGAATACCTCAAATTTGGTTGACTAAGCGTCTTGAACTCCAATTTTTGGGGACATCCCATTCTAGCAAGACTACTTAAATTTCTCCTCCTGCTTTATGCACTGAAGCAAATTGACAAATTTCAGGAGGAAAAATAGTGGTGCTGATCTACAACTAACCTCAATGCCCTTTTTTTTTTCTTTTGGGATCATGGCTCCTTAAATCCTGTTTGCCTTGATTTCTCTCTAATGATTTCAAACCACTGCTTTTAAAAATCCAGGTTTTATAGTTGTCAGTCCCCATATGAGCAAAAAATAATAAAATTAAATTAAATTAAAATTAAAATCCAGGTTTTATAGTTGTTCTTAGTTGTAATACTAGTCAGATGCAAACTACTCCTTCATAGCTAGAAGCAAGATTATGATTATTGTTAATAATCAAATCATCTCAAATTTTGATAATGGGAGTCCAGTTAAGCTGGATTCTGGATCATTTTGATATGTACCCTCAATTCATGATACTCCTTTACTCTCTGCCACAACAAAATGTTTCAAGGTCACTTTGTACTTACTCTGCCAAAGACATAGATTCAGTTATATCTCTAAGGATTCCAGTTATTTGTAGTGAAAAATGATGTTTAGAAGCCAAGATCTGGGGAAAAAGTATACTTATCGCTACCAGAGTAACATTGCTTCTGAATCTTTCCATGGCTTAATTGCATGTATTTAATCATTAATGCTAACAAAAATTCAAATACAATACCATAGCATTTGTCCTTGCCTTTTCCTATTCCATATTTACCCTTTCTTTCATCCTACAGTACAAAAACCAGTGTTAAAATGTCTATACCAATGCCATCACCAATAAAACTTAATAAAGCTCACAATTTCTGTGCATTTCCTTTTTTCTTAGAACATTTTATTGAGTGTACCTTCAAAATATTATTTTCTCAGATTAAGTTTTTCTATATAAATATGTTATCAATCAACATAGAGGTAGGGTCACTTGTTTCTCTTTTGTGTTGAACTTTGTGGAACATATCAATGGAATCAAATGATTATTTACTTGAGAACTATTAATATAAGGATTTATATTAATATATTTCCTAATACTAATATAAGGATTTACATTAATAGATTTCTTAATATGAGTCTTTAATCTCCAGAGCAAATATGGTTTGGTGATGATGTATTATTTCCTTGACACCTTGTTGGCAGGTTTCATTTGCAAATACTTAGGATTCTTGAATCAATATTCATAAGGAAACATGATTTCCTAGTTTTGTGTGTGTGTCTTTGTCAAGCTTAGTTATCAATATTACATTTATTTCAAACTTTTTCTTATTTTATTTCTATGCTTTGGAACAATTTAAAAAAGAATGGTCTTTGAAGAATTGGTCAAATTTCCTACATAATCATCTAGTTTGAGTGATTTTTGAGCAGGTAGTTGTTTGAATTCTTTATCATTTTATACGTCAATCAGTTTGTTGAAACATTCTATTACAACCAGGGTCAATTATGATAAATAGTATTTTTGCATAGGATTTCAAATACATTTCCATAGGTTTACCTGTAATAATCTCATAAGTTTGTTCATTTCATTTTTAAGTTATTTCCCCTCTGCAGCATTTCATTTTGTAGATAATTAAATACTTTCACCTTTTATTCTTTGCATAATTACATAATAGTGGTTTGTTCATTTGGTAGTTTTACCCAAAGAGCCCTAATTGTATTACTTTGACTTTTTAATATATTTTATTAATTTATAATTTGAGTACAATAAAGTGTACCCATTCTAAGTGTACAGTTTGAGCACTCTTGGAAGTGCACTTTTATAAACACATCATAATCAAGACATAGAACATTCTCACCTCCACAAAAACTCTTTTAGGCACATTTGTAATAAATCGCCACTACCATTTCTGTCATTAATCTAAAGAAAACTACTAATCTGCTTTCTATCACAACAGGTTTGTTTTGCTATTCTAGAATATCATATAAATAAAATGATACAGTATGGGTCTTTTGTGTCTGCCTTCTTTCACTTAATATAATGCTTTTGACATTCATCAGGTTGCTCTATCAGTTCATATCTTATTATTAATAGCTCAGTATTCCATTGTAAAGATATAATAACTTGCATATACTTTTACTGTGTATCTTATATATCTTCTTTGGGAAGTATCTGTTTCAATCTTCTGTTATTGTTATTGAGTTGTTTGCCTTCTTATTAATGTAAGAATACTCATTCCAAAAGGTATAAACAATCATAAAGATATATAAAATATATGGTGAGAGTATAAATTGTCTTATAGTTATGTAATATAGTATTGTGTGTGTATTGTCTATGTATATAGAGAAAATACAAAATACTTTTTGCTCATCTGTGAGTTGCCTTTTTATTATATTAATGGCATTTTTTGAAGAGTCTTGCCTGATACTCTACCTCTGTATCCCATTGTCTCTAGCTTTTTCAGTTACATGACCCAAGATATTTCCCTGCAAAAACCAGCATGAGCTGGGGTTTTCCCCAGCAGAAAGAATCCTGAGCAATGCCTAGTGAGCTCAAGGCAATTTATCAGCAGCTTTCCTAGTGTCCAGATGTTAAATCAATAAAAATATTAATTACCATTTCAGAACCCAAGCTCAGAGCAATGGAGCAGTTGGTTCCAGACCACATCGCAATTGCAATGTTGATTTTTATTTTCCTCTGGGAGGTAGATGGTATATTTTTCTCCATAATGTTTGCTTATCATCATTTATCAATTCGATATTTTTTCTAAGCCATTTAACAGTTTTATTTATCAATTTAGATGCATGTCTTCACTTCCAACTAGACTGAGTTCTTTAATGGCAAAACATATTTCCTCACACTTAGTAGGTACTAAAAATAATCTGAGCACACTAAACTTACTGGTTTTCTTATGTTCTATCAGAAATAGAACACACAACTTTACCTCAATTTTCTGTAAACTCATTTGGTAATCATTTTTTCTTCTTCATACTACCTTTCACCCAATCAAATACCAAGTCTTACGAATTATATATCTGCAAAATCTGTAGTTCTTCATCTTCACTATTATTTCCTTAGTCCAGACACATCATTTCTTGCTTAAATGGCTTATTATTTTTACTTTGATTCTCTGCTTTTTGGGGGATGAAACTTTAAAGACACATCTAAGATATAATCCACATTGCAATCAGCAATACTTTACAAATATCTATTCCATTTATTTATTTATTTGCTATGTGCCAACACTATGCTATGCTTTGTGGTTGTTAAGATGAAAAAAGAAGAGCTCCTGGCTTTCCTTTTATAAGTAGAGTAGACAAACTTCAGAAAAATAATGAGGAATCAAAGAAGCAAGTATGAGTCAATTTATTTGGGAGCATATAAATGGCAGTGAATACTTGAGCTGAACCTTTAAAGAGGAGTAGAAATTTGTTTGTCGTGTTCCTTTGTTTTTAGTTGGAGCCGAGTTGAGAAATAATTTAGATTGTGTCCTGTAAGCAATGAAAAAGGAAATTGCCATTATTTTTATTTTTAAAAGATAATGTTAGTGGCAATTTAGAGACTGCTTGGAATTAGGAAGTTTTGATCATGTGAGTCTTTTTTGTATGACTATATTGAGTATTTGGAATTTAATCAAGAAAACTTGCCATTTAAAAAAAAACTTCAGCTACTTTTTTTTTATGATAGAACAGCAAAGCACCATAAACCAGACCTATTTATGAGGCAGAGATTTGCTTAACAGGTTCCTTAGGCCAATGTAAAGCAGCTAGGCACCTAATACCCTGGATAAGCAGAACTGTGGTATGAGGAAAAATGCAGAAAAGTGTGCACAGGGACTTAGGAGCCTCTGGAGAGGGAGGGATTAAGAGCTGTCTCCTTTCTTCTTGAGGTTCAAGTTTTACTCATGAATTGATTAATTTTCACAAAAGATCCACTGACCCAGAAAGGACTGAAGGGGAGTCTACCAAGAGGGGAAGGAGAGCCTGACTGGCGAGGTAGGCTCAACAATAGGACCTAAATAGGCATGAGAATGGGCATGTGGCTGACATTATCAACTACTCCTTAGCCTAGAGGAGAACTTCAGGCACAGTGACTGGGCCTTAAATGTAGAGTAAAGAACTATGACCTTTTAAGTCCAATCTAGAGCATCTTTAAATGAAGGGAATGCTCGTGGGAGTGGGATTCAGACCAGTAAAGATGTCTTTGCTGCATCTGATCAGGAAATGTTCACTAGTGCAGCACTAGTCCTCAATTGCACCATTGATTGTAAAAGAAACAAGGTAAACAAAAAACTGGCATTTGCTCATGGCCAGATCTGATTCTTAAGTTCTTGTTTAGCCTAGAAGCAGTTGCAGCTGTTTTGAACTGAATAATTCCCAGGGGTTCTTAGACAATTGCTAGGTATTGAGAAAGCCCCAAGAGAGACACTCTACAACCTTTGCTGTGTTAATTTTCTTGGGCTGCCATAACAAAGTGCAACAGACTAGGTGGCTTAAACAATAGAAATTTATGTTCTCACAGTTCTGGGGGTTAGAAGTTAGAGATCAGAGTATCAACAGGACTAGTTCATTCTGCATCCTCTCTCCTTCACTTGTAGATGGCCGTCCTCTCCCTGTGTCCTCACATGGCCTCTGCAGATATCTGTGTCCTCATATCCTCCTCTTCTAAAGTCACCAGTCATATTGGATTATGGTTCACTCTACTGACCTCATTCTACCTTAATTACCCCCTTTAAACAGCTTATTTTCAGGCCAGGTGAGGTGGCTAACACCTGTAAACCCAGCACTTTGGGAGGGCCAGGAAGGCAGCCCAGGAATTTGAGATCAGCCTGGGTAACATGGTGAAAACCCATCTCTACAGAAAATAAAAAATTAGCTGGGTATGGTGGCTCATGCCTGTAGTCCCGCATAGTCCAAGCTACTTAGGAGGATCACCTGAACTCTGGGATGCTGAGGCTTCAGTGAGCCGTGACTGCACCACGGTACTCCAGCCTGGACAACAGAGGGAGACCCTGTCTCAAACAACAACAACAACAACAACAACAACAACAACAACAACAACGAGCCTATCTCCAAATACAGTCACATTCTTAGGTGCCAGGCATTAGGGCTTCAATACATGAATTTTGGTGAGATGATAAAACTCAGCCTATAACACTTGCCATGTTGCACGAATGGAGACTTGAGTGAATTTGAATGTTAAAAAGATACAGCCCCTTAAAATTATTTTATTGTCAAATCTTTACTCATCACCAGTTTAATCAAATCTAATGCTGTACTAACTTGCTTCAGAACTTTGTGTTAAACAACCAAATAAATATAGAAGACACTGCTGGATTCCCTGTGTGTTCCTCTCCATTCCCATTCATGTCTGTCCCTCCAGAGAAGTTTCCAGTATGTATCCTAAAACATTGCTAGGATATTTTTATTCTTTTGTTGCAATCTTATCTGTACTCCAAGATAGTGAAATATATCAAACCAGTTACATCTGCTTACTATTCTTATATAAATGTTAACTTCAGAATAAATCCATACTCTGTAGCATGGCATGTTCCTTAAATATCTGTCCTCACCTGCGTTTTCAGTCCCACTCACTGCCCTTCCCCTCTGTAATAGTGAGCGGAACATGCCATTTGCACATATGTATCTCCATTCCTTTCCACGTGCTCCTCTCTTTGCCCGGAAAGACCTTGCCTCCTTGCATCTGTTTTGTTAAATAATAATTAGATAACACTTCTGTCACAATACACATTATATCAATTACAATAAGTTTTGTTACACGTTTTACCCAAACGATTCAGAGTTTTACCCAAATGATTCAGAGTACCTTGAATGTAACGAGTAAACTTTTTATAGGTCAATGTCTAGAGTTTGGCATATAGAATGTTATTAGCTCAACTAAAGCTAGTTTAAAAAATGATTAATGCATAGATCAGTTGGTTGTTGATGCTGCTTGGCAGCACATGCCTAGCCCGTGAAATTGAGAAAAATTTTAATTACTTACTAAATCTGAAAATCATGTGTCTCAGAGTCTCTGCTTCAACAACAGAAAAAGCACCTAGATAAGGGGAAAATATAAATACATTTTCTAAAAGTTGTTTCTCCCACTGAGACTTGCATACCACTGCTGACTTCCCTCTGCGACTGTGGTATGTATGACTGACAGGCTTCAGGATACCTAAGCGCAGCCCACATTTGAAACCTGGCAGCTCAGCCTCCCCTCATCCTGCTGGGAGCTGTTACAAGCTATGAGGTGCCAGTGGGTTTTATTCCTGCCTTATTAAAATGGAGAACTAGACCCCAAAAATTAAAGCTCCCAAAACCCACAACTCAGAAAAGGAAATTGGGGTTTAGGGAGGCATATAATAGATTTCTTCACACAAATTCTAAAATTTAAAGGCCGTTTTATTACAGCCACATTCAAAATCTACTGTAAACTCAACTCCTTCCTCTGAAGAAAAAAAAAATACCATTTCTAAGAAATCATAGGTCATAGACTTCCTAGGAAAAGGTAGAAGTCTGTTTCTCTCCAGGTAACGATTCTCCCAAATACGGCTATCTCTGCATGGGAGATAGCCCCCACCTCTCATTTGCTAAATCGGGCAGCCGGTTCCTGCACACAGCCTTGCTTCTCCATCACCTCCCAGTGCTAATTGCTTCTCTAGGATGTGTTGAGAAGCTGGAGTGGGAGGAGCTGGGCAGCATCCTGAGGTAATTCCTGAGGGCTCTTTTCCTGTACTCATTATTCCTGTCTGACACTGTCAGCCTCCAGGTTTCTTCAGAGCACCTCAGGTCAGTCATGCTAGAAGATGGCATCATGAGCCACCTGCCTTCTGAATGATATAATGGGAGGTTAATTCCCAGGCACAGTGCCTGGGGAAGCCAGAGAGTGTGCAAGGGAGACTGGTAATTCCCAGGTAGATCTGTGTCAGCTGTCTTGCCCTAATTACTGAAAGCAGACAGAAGCCCTCTAGGTGAGTAGACCCAGTAGGACGCAGGCTGCCTAGGAAGTTTTCACTAGAGATCAAGCCAGAGGAGAGTGCAGAGACCTCATGGGAAGCTTTGCCTGGAATGAACCAAGGGTTCATAAAATAGGCCACTGGGTAGGTTTTCTTTTGTGAACCTCAGAATGCCTGACCCAGGGCTCAAGGCTTATTCAGCAATCATTCAGTGTCACATGACTTGGCTCATAGGCTGAGAACAGAAATGTCTTTACAGAGGGTAATATAAGAAAATTTGACTTGCTAAAGCAATAGCTAAGTTAAGGGTAGCAACAAGTACCTGAAACACCCCTAATATATGCATTTTTAAATAAAAGCTCTCTCACCACACACACACAGAGCAATAAACTAATTTCCTTTTTTTTTACTGGAAAAGAGCCTATGCAAACGTAACAAGTATGAGACACACTGACTCTCTAAAGAGATCAGAAATCATCTAGAAGGACCATCTCTGCGAGACATTTCTACACTGGAATGCACATTGTTCCAAGACTGTTTTAACTCTTCCATGTGATCATGCCTGTTTCCTCAAATAAATGGCAACACTCTCAGCTAGATCGTTATTTGTCTCATCTACTTTTGCAAAGTCCACAGGGTCTAGTAAAGTGACAGGCAAAATAAGGTGCTAAGTCAGCGTTCCTGGAGAGAAAAGAAATAAGGGGGTGAAGAAAACAAAGGCAGGATGGAGGCAGGGAAGGAGATAGGGAGGAAAATTAGAAGGTGATTGTCAGACCTCTGAGCCCAAGCTAAGCCATCCCCTGTGACCTGCACGTATACATCCAGATGGCCTGAAGTAACAGAAGAATGACAAAAGAAGTGAAAATAGCTTGTTCCTGCCTTAACTGAGGACATTACCTTGTGAAATTCCTTTGCCTGGCTCATCCTGGCTCAAAAGCTCCCCCACTGAGCACCTTGTGACCCCCCCACCCTGCCCACCGAGAACAACCCCCTTTGACTGTAATTTTCCTTTACCTACCCAAATCTTATAAAATGTCCCCACCCCATCTCCCTTTGCTGACTCTTTTCAGACTCAGCCCGCCTGCACCCAGGTGAAATAAACAGCCTTGCTGCTCACACAAAGCCTGTTTGGTGGTCTCTTCACATGGACACAAGTGAAATTTTGGCGCCATGGCTGGGATCAGGGGACCTCCCTTGGGAGATCAATCCCCTCTCCTCCTACTCTTTGCTCTGAGAGAAAGATCCACCTATGACCTCTGGTCCTCAGACTAACCAGCCCAAGGAACATCTCACCAATTTTAAATCTAGTAAGCAACCTTTTTTTTACTCTCTTCTCCAACCTCTCTCACTATCCCTCAACCTCTTTCTCCTTTTAATCTTAGTGCCACACTTCAGTCTCTCCCTTCTCTTAATTTCAGTTCCTTTCCTTTTCGGGTAGAGACAAAGGAGAGGCATTTTATCCATGGACTCAAAACTCTGGTGCCGGTCACGGACTCCAGAAGGCAGCCTTCCCTTGGTGTTTAATCATTGCAGGGACACCTGCCTGATTATTCACCCACGTTTCAGAGGTGTCTGACCACGTGGAGACACCTGCCTTGGTCCTTCACCCTTAGCAGAAAGTACTGCTTCTCTGGTGGGGAGGAACCCCCGACCCCTTCTCTCCGTGTCTCTACCCCTTCTCCACTTTCCTGGGGGGCAAGCACCCCCCAACCCCTTCTCTCCGTGTCTCTACTCTCTTTTCTCTGGGCTTGCCTCCTTCACTATGGGCAGCCTTCCACCCTCCATTCCTCCTTCTCCCTTAGCCTGTGTTCTCAAGAACTTAAAACCTCTTCAACTCACATCTGACCTAAAACCTGAACACCTTATTTTCTTCTACAATGCTGCTTGACCCCAATACAAACTCGACAGTGGTTCCAAATAGCCAGAAAATGCCACTTTCAATTTTTCCATCCTACAAGATCTAGATAATTATTGCCGTAAAATGGGCAAACGGTCTGAGGTGCCTGACGTCCAGGCATTCTTTTATACATTGTTCCCTCTGTAGTCTCTGTTCCCAATGCGACTCATCCCAAATCCTCCTTCTTTCCCTCCCACCTGTCCTCTCAGTCCCAACCCCAAGTGTGGCTGAGTCTTTCTAATCTTCCTTTTCTACAGACCCATCTGACCTCTCCCCTCCTCCCCAGGCTGCTCCCCGCCAGGCCGAGCCAGGTCCCAATTCTTCCTCAGCCTCTGCTCCACCACCCTATAATCCTTTAATCACCTCCCCTCCTCACACCCGGTCTGGCTTACAGTTTCATTCTGCGACTAGCCCTCCCCCACCTGCCCAGCAATTTCCTCTTAAAAAGATGGCTGGAGCTAAAGGCATAGTCAAGGCTAATGCTTCTGTTTCTTTATCTGACCTCTCCCAAAATCAGTTAGCATTTAGGCTCTTTTTCATCGAATATAAAAACCCAGCCCAGTTTGTGGCTCGTTTGGCAGCAACCCTGAGATGCTTTACAGCCCTAGACCCTGAAAGGTCAGAAGGCCGTCTTATTCTCAACATGCATTTTATTTTATTACCCAATCTGCTCCCGACATTAAATAAAGCTCCAAAAATTAAATTCCGGCCCCCAAACCCCACAACAGGACTTAATTAAACTCACCTTAAAGGTGTACAATGTTAGGGTAGAGGCAGCCAAGTAGCAACATATTTCTGAGTTGCAATTCCTTGCCTCCACTGTGAGACAAACCCCAGCCATATCTCCAGCACAGAAGAACTTCCAAATGCCTGAACTGCGGCGGCCAGGCATTCCTCCAGGCCTGCGTCCCCCAGGAGCTTGCTACAAGTGCCGGAAATCTGGCCACTGGGCCAAGGAATGCCCGCAGCCCGGGATTCCTCCTAAGCCATGTCCCATCTGTGCAGGACCCCACTGGAAATTGGACTGTTCAACTCACCTGGCAGCCACTCCCAGAGCCCCTGGAACTCTGGCCCAAGGCTCTCTGACTCCTTCCCAGATCTTCTTGGCTTAGCGGCTGACGATCGACGCTGCCTGATTGCCTCGGAAGCTTCCTGGACCATCACAGATGCTTTAGGTGACTCTCACAGTGGAGGTCAAGTCCGTCCCCTTCTTAATCAATACGAAGGCTACCCACTCCACATTACCTTCTTTTCAAGGGCCTGTTTCCTTTGCCTCCATAACTGTTGCGGGTATTGACGGCCAGGCTTCTAAACCTCTTAAAACTCCCCAACTCTGGTGTCAGCTTAGACAATACTCTTTTAAGCACTCCTTTTAGTTATCTCCACCTGCCCAGTTCCCTTATTAGGCCGAGACACTTTAACTAAATTATCTGCTTCCCTGATTATTCCTGGGCTACAGCCACACCTCACTGCCACCTTTTCCCCCAGTTCAAAGCCTCCTTTACATTTTCCCCTTGTATCTCCCCACCTTAACCCACAAGTATAGGACACCTCTACTCCCTCCTTGGTGACTGATCATGCACCCTTTACCATCTCATTAAAACCTAATCACCTTTACCCCACTCAAGGCCAATATCCCATCCCGCAGCACGCTTTAAAAGGATTAAAGCTTTGTTATCACTGGCCTGCTACAGCATGGTCTTTTACAGCCTAAAACTCTCCTTACAATTCCCCCATTTTACCTGTCCTAAAACCAGACAAGCCTTACAGGTTAGTTCAGGATCTGCCCCTTATCAACCAAATTGTTTTCCCTATCCACCCCATGGTGCCAAACCCATATACTCTCCTATCCTCAATACCTCTCTCCACAACCCGTTATTCTGTTCTGGATCTCAAACATGCTTTCTTTACTATTCTTTTGCACCCTTCATCCCAGCCTCTCTTTGCTTTCACTTGTACTGACCCTGACACCCATCAGGCTTAGCAAATTACCTAGGCTGTACTGCTGCAAGGCTACACAGACAGCTCCCATTACTTCAGTCAAGCCCAAATTTCTTCCTCATCTGTTACCTATCTCGGCATAATTCTCATAAAAACACATGTGCTCTCCCTGCAGATCGTGTCTGACTGATCTCTCAAACCCCAACACCTTCTACAAAACACAACTCCTTTCCTTCCTAGGCATGGTTGGATACTTTCAACTTTAGATACCTGGTTTTGCCATCGTAATAAAACCATTACATAAACTCACAAAAGGAAACCTAGCTGACCCCATAGATCCTAAATCCTTTCCCCACTCCTCTTTCTGTTGCTTGAAAACAGCTTTAGAGACTGCCCTCACCCTAGCTCTCCCTGACTTATCCCAACACTTCATTACCCACAGCTGAAGTGCAGGGCTGTGCAGGCAGAATTCTTACACAAGGACTGGGACCATGCCCTGTAGCCTTTTTATCCTAGGCAAAACTTGACCTTACTCTTTTGCCTAGCCCTCAATTCTGCGTGCAGCCGCTGCCGCCCTAATACTTTTAGAGGCCCTTAAAATCACAAACTGTGCTCAACTTACTCTCTACAGTTCTCGTAACTTCCAAAATCTATTTTCTTCCTCACACCTGACACATATACTTTCTGCTCCCCCGGCTCCTTCAGCTGTACTCACTCTTTGTTGAGTCTCCCACAATTACCATTGTTCCTGGCCTGGACTTCAATCCGGCCTCCCACATTATTCCTGATACCACACCTGACTCCCATGACTGTATCTCTCTGATCCACCTGACATTCCCTCCATATCCCCATATTCTTTCATGTTCCTCACCCTGAACACACTTGGTTTATTGATGGCAGTTCCACCAGGCCTAATCGCCACTCACCAGCAAAGGCAGGCTATGCTATAGTATCTTCCACATCTATCATTGAAGCTACCACTCTGCCCCACTCCACTACCTCTCAGCAAGCTGAACTCATTGCCTTAAGTCAAGCCCTCACTCTTGCAAAAGGACTACACATCAATATTTATACTGACTCTAAATATGCTTTCCATATCCTGCACCACCATGCAAGAGGTTTCCTCACTACAGAAGGGTCCTCTATCATTAATGCCTCTTTAATAAAAACGCTTCTCAAAGCCGCTTTACTTCCAAAGGAAGCTAGAGTCATTCACTGCAAAGGACATCAAAAGGCACCAGATCCCATTGCTCAGGACAATGCTTATGCCGGTAAGATAGCTAAAAAAGCAGCTAGTGTTCCAACTTATATCCCTCACTTTCAGTTTTTTTCCTTCTCATCTGGCCACTCCCACATACTCCCCCACTGAAACTTCCACCTATCAATCTCTTCCCACACAAGGCAAATGGTTCTTAGACCAAGGAAAATATCTCCTTCCAGCCTCACAGGCCCATTCTATTCTGTCGTCATTTCATAACCTCTTCCATGTAGGTTACAAGCCACTAGTCCGTCTCTTAGAATCTCTCATTTCCTTTCCATCATGAAAATCTGTCCTCAAGGAAATCACTTCTCAGTGCTCCATCTGCAATTCTACTACTCCTCAGGGATTATTCAGGCCCCCTCCCTTCCCTACACATCAAGCTCTGGGATTTGCCCCCACCCAGGACTGGCAAATTGACTTTATGCAACATACCCTGAGTCAGGAAACTAAAATACCTCTTGGTCTGGGTAGACACTTTCACTGGATAGGTAGAGGCCTTTCCCACAGGGTCTGAAAAGGCCACCACGGTCATTTCTGCCCTTCTGTCTGACATAATTCCTCGGTTTGGCCTTCTCACTTCTATACAGTCCTATAACAGACTGGCCTTTACTAGTCAAATCACCCAAGCAGTTTCTCAGGCTCTTGGTATTCAGTGGAAACTTCCTACCCCTTACCATCCTCAATCTTCAGGAAAGGCAGAACAGACTAATGGTCTTTTAAAGACACACCTCACCAAGCCCAGCCTCCAACTTAAAAAGGACTGGACAGTACTTTTACCTCTTTCCCTTCTCATAATTCAGGCCTGTCCTCGGAATGCTACAAAGTACAGCCCATTTAAGCTCCTGTATAGACCCTCCTTTTTATTAGGCCCCAACCTCATTCCAGACACCAGACCAACTTGGACTGTGCCCCAAAAAACTTGTCATCCCTACTGTCTTCTGTCTAGCCATACTTCTATTCACTGCTCTCAACTACTCATAAATGCCCTGCTCTTGTTTACACTGCCCATTTACACTGTTTCTCCAAGCCTTCACAGCTGACATCTCCTGGTCCTATCCCCAAACCGCCACTCTAAAGTCCCTCTTAAAGTAAATAATCTTTGCTGGCAGGGCTATGCTGAACCTCCTTAGGCACTCTGGTTAGATGTCCTAGGTCCTCCCAATTCTTAGTCCTTTAATACCTGTTTTTCTCCTTGTCTTATTCCGTTTAGTTTTTCAATTCATACAAAACCGCATCCAGGCCATCACCAATAATTCTATACGACAAATATTTCTTCTAACAACCCCACAATATCACCCCTTACCACAAAATCTTCCTTCAGCTTAATCTCTCCCACTCTAGGTTCCCACGCCGCCCCTAATCCCGCTTGAAGCAGCCCTGAGAAACATCGCCCATTATCTCTCCATACCACCCCAAAAAAATTTTCACCGCCCCAACACTTCGCTATTTTATTTTTCTTATTAATAGAAGACAGGAATGTCAGGTGTCTGAGCCAAAGCTAAGCCATCACATCCCCTGTGACCTGCACATAAACATCCAGATGGCCAGTTCCTGCCTTAACTGATGACATTCCACCACAAAAGAAGTGAAAATGGCCTGTTCCTGCCTAAACTGATGACATTACCTTGTGAAATTCCTTTTCCTGGCTCATCCTGGCTCAAAAGCTCCCCCACTGAGCACCTTGTGACCCCCACCCCTGCCAGCCAGAGAATAACCCCCCCGATTTGACTGTAATTTTCCTTTACCTACCCAAATCTTATAAAACGGCCCCACCCCTGTCTCCCTTCGCTGACTCTCTTTTCGGACTCAGCCCGCCTGCACCCAGGTGAAATAAACAGCCTTGTTGCTCACACAAAGCCTGTTTGGTGGTCTCTTCACATGGACGCGCGTGAAATTTGGTGCTGTGACTTGGATCGAGGGGACCTCCCTTGGGAGATCAATCCCCTCTCCTCCTGCTCTTTGCTCCGTGAGAAAGATCCACCTACGACCTTGTTGCTCACATAAAGCCTGTTTGGTGGTCTCTTCACATGGATGCAAGTGAAAGGGATATTTTAGAGTTTTCCATATTTATAGAAAAATTCACCGTCTGGGCCAAATGTAGGTTAAAATTTGGTTTTTACTACAGTGAATTCAAAGGTCCAGAGACCACAAAGGTAAAAAGCAGTCAACAGCTTTTTCACACAGTTCTCTTTCTACAGTCAAATTCAAATAATATTTAAATACATTCTGCCCTGCGTTTTACAACCTTCCATCTAACACTTTGTTCAATGAACAAAACAGTTCTGGGTCCAGCAGCAAATAAGCAAAAATCCTGAGCTACATTCTTCAAATAGTACATGTGAATATGTTTTTCATATGTTTAAGGTACTGGTGCAGACAGCTAAAGGAATGCCAGCACCGAACTTGACCTACCTTGCTTATAACAATGAATTACCCTTTATGTAAGTATCCTTCTTTTTATAAATAGAAAAAACTGTGACATTGTCAATGGTAGCAAATACTGTACCCATGAGAGAGGTTTGTCCCTCTGATGATTTCCTCAAAATAGGAAGGAAGAGGAAATCCATATAGGACCTTATAAGTTATTTATTCTAACATTTTAATCTTTCCCTAATGGTAAAAGGAACACTGGAGAAACTCAACCTAAAGCTACAAGATCCTTATCTAAGTCCCTCCCACTTTGTTTCTATTTCTGTTTCTGTCTTTCTCTGGGGCATGATTGTACGTATGCCTACTCATGCACTCATGCACCTACGTACACATGCACTTTCCACTGGAAGGTGAAGGAAAGGAAAAGAGTGTATTGTATAATTCCTAGAAAGCTAATTTTATTTTTAAGGATAAAAAGTTTTACTAGAAAGAATAAGGTGACAGAATTGCTTTTTGAAATATGTATTGCTTTTTCCCCTAGAATTTACTTTTTTGTCAGTCTTTCATCTAGCTCCTTGTAGCAATCTAAGAATATTCTTCTCTGATTCTTGTTCCAGTTAAGATGAAATAACCACCCTCTACTCTGTTTTTCTCACAGAGTATAGCTGCAAAACCTGGATAGAATGCATAGATCAACTAGTTGAAGGCTCTGAAATATAATTAGTAACAGGAAGGTTGAGGAAGAAGACCAGAATTCAAAGTTCCACCAAACTGGTTACATTTTTTTTCTGCCTGTCTTCCTGCTGCCTGGCTCCAGATGGAGGTGCAGTTGTAGAAATATACAGCAAAGGAGGGCTGGAATTAGGTTGAGGAAGTGAGGCTGGGTAGTAAAGTGCAGAGCTGGATCCTGTCTTTACTTAAATTGCAACATTTTGTTCATTATAAATTTTCACATTAATTTTGATTTTTTAAAATATCGCATTAAAATTTTACTTATCTATTGAATGTTTTGGTACCCTCTTAATTTCTGTACCCAAGAAATGTGCCTCACTTTTTTCACCCTGGTCTTGGCCCTGCAATGGAGTAGGATAACTAAAGCCCCATCTTTCCTGCTGGAGGGCCTAAAAAGTGATCCCCAGGGTACTGGAAACTGACAAAGAGATTAAGGATAAAAAGTAGCTGAGAAATGTGAGCCCATGCAAATTGTACATGAAATGCTAGGCAGTACATGCATAGATCTGATTCTAATCAGCACCTCCAAATCCTTGACAACTGAGTGGTGACATACATCACCACCTAGGTCCACCATACTAGGTGGAGCACAAGCAGGACGGATAGAAGCAAAGGCTTTGAAAACTCAACTGACATTGGAACAATAGACAACCCCCACAGAAGGTGAAACTGAACTTGCAGCCGGAACCTAACAAAAAAAAAAAAGTCAACATTTTGTATGCTGTTTAAACAGGATACAGTCAAAAATTAGTCATCATGTGAAAAACAAGGAGAATCTCAACTTACATGGGAAAAAGCAATCAACAGATGCCAAGACTGAGATAGCACAGATGTTGAAATTATCTGACAAAGTCTATAAAGCAGGCATTATAAAATTGTCCCAATATGGAATTTTGAAACCTTTTGAAACAAAAAATAGAAAGTTTCAGCAAAGTATTAGAACCATAGGAATAACTAAATGACAGTTTAGAGCTAAAAAATATAATAACTAAATAAAGGGCTGGGCGCAGTGGCTCATGCCTGTAATCCTAGCACTTTCGGAGGCCGAGGCTGGTAGATCACCTGAGGTCAGGAGTTTGAGACCAGCCTGACCCACATGGCGAAACACCTTCTCTACTAAATACAAAAAATTAGCTGGGCATGGTGACTCATGCCTGTAATCCCAGCTACTTGGGAGGCTAAAGCAGGAGAATTGCTTGAACCAGGGAGGTGGAGGTTGCAGTGAGCTAAGATTGCACCATTGCACCCCAGCCTGGGCAGCAAGAGCGAAACTCCGCCTCAAAATAAATAAATAATAAAAGAATAAACAACTCACCTGTTGGGGTTGACAGTGAAATAGAGATGAATAGAGAATAGAAGAAAGAGTCAGAAAACTTTTAGATAGATCAGTAGAACTTCTCCAGCCTGAATAACAGAAAAAAAAGAGATTAAAATATGTAACAGTCTCAGAGATCTATAGGTCAAAAGCAAGATGTCTAATATTTATGCTGTCCGTCCCAAAAAGTGAAGAGGAAGAGTTTGGTGCTGAAAATATAGTTGAATTAATAATGCCTGAAAACCTTCCAAATATTTTGGTATACGGCCCTATGAAATTTAATGTATGCATTGAATCATATAAAAACCACTACAAAAAGGTAACAATAGAACTGGATTTCAACCCTAGGTCTTTTTCACTCAAAAGCTTACTTAGGTCTTGTTCATATGCTTCCTTAGGTCTGTATTTGAATTTTATCAAATAGATACTCTCTTTTTTAAAATGTGAAGAAAAAAGTATCTCATAATTTCCTCCATTCTCAAAAGTTCCTGACATTGAACTATCAATGCTACATTAATGACTATGCTCCTGGCAGTTTCCCTCAAAGCTGTTTTCTAATAGATGAAAATCTTCAGTGACCTAGAAGAAATTGAGGCCACCTTTGACAGCAAGGAATCTTTCAGTTTGTGGAGTCTCTTTACTTGCTGGGCATTTGGCTGACCAAAAATAAAAAGTGGGGTGGAGGTTAATACAAATTTTTATACCTCTCATTACTGCCTCCCAGGGCAGAAGGAAAAAATTTCATATATATATATATATATATATATATATATATATATATATATAAATTATATATATGATATATATGATATATATGTTATATATATGTTGTGTGTGTATATATAATATATATACACATATATATGGAATATATATAATATATACATATATGGAATATATATATTATATATATACACATATATATGGAATATATATTATATATATACACATATATATGGAATATATATATTATATATACAATATATATGGAATATATATATACACACATATATATGGAATATATATATACACACATATATATGGAATATATATATACACACATATATATGGAATATATATATACACACATATATATGGAATATATATATACACACACATATATATGGAATATATATATACACACATATATATGGAATATATATATACACACACATATATATGGAATATATATATACACACACATATATATGGAATATATATATATACACACACATATATATGGAATATATATATATACACACACATATATATGGAATATATATATATACACACATATATATGGAATATATATATATACACACATATATATGGAATATATATATATATTCCATGCCTTCTGTTCATGTCCTGGAAAATTATCAGATGAACATGAAAGTCATCAGACAGCTGTGCGTCCAGTGAGAAAGATGCATTTATAAAAACCAATAGGAGCTTCTCTCATAATGGGAAATAAAAGTTAAAACCAAATAAAATCAGGAGGTTGGGGCCATGAGACAAAAAGCAGAAAATTTAAATGAATTTTATCAAAAGCCTTGATACGCAGTGACTTGCCAAGGACAAATAGCTACTTTAGTTCTTAACCAGGTGCACTGTTAGGAGAAAGGACTTAAGCTTTTTTTTTTTTTTTATTTTTTCCTCATAGCAAAGTCACTGGCCAGGTGGAAAAGAAAATGTTTGAATGAATAAGATGAGAAAGGCATTCTTACTTATGTCATTGCTGCTCATACAGCAAGAAAAGATCATGCAGCATGTAGTGTAAAGAGTACAAATTTTGAAACCAGATAGAATTTTTTGCACATCTCACATTTTCCTTTTAACTTGTATGTGAACTTGCCAAGTCATTAAACCTGCCTTGATCTCATGTTCACGAACTGCGAAGAATGAAGATGTTATGCCCGCATCACCTGACTGTTGTAAGGATTAATGCATATAAAGCACACACCCAGCCACATCTCTAAGAACTTAGCTATTATGAAGAATAAGAGATAGAAACTCAAGTCTGAATGACAGATAACATTTTTCTTGCATGTAGAGTAACAGTCCCTCTAACTGGCCTTCCATCTTCATCTTGTTTTTTTGAGGCTTGAAGAACCAGGCTAGGATGAACCAGGTCTCCTTGACTTGACAACATTTCTGGGTAGTTTTCTGCATTCTAACAGCCTCAAGTTTTATGTATAAGATGGAAAAATAAAACATGTAATACTTCAATTAACTTTGACACACCTCAGTGAAGCAATTAAGTAACTTGGAGTATTAGTTTGAATTTTAGCAAAAAACCCAAAGGGAAGCAAATATTAACCTGGGAATGCGCCCAACATGGTTTTAATGCTGAGAACTGTATAGCTGATTCAGCTCATCTGGGATTTAGTAAGCTTCTACTGGATGTGACATAATCTCTGTCTTCCAACTGCCTAAACCAAATCCAAGGAGTCAGAAATCTCACTAGATATTCCAGTGTGATAAATCCAGTAATGGAAAGATATACAAGGGACATTAAGGAGGCCACTAACTTTGTTCAGGGTGATAGATGTGCTTCACAGGGAAAGTAACATCTGAGCACAAAGATATATACGGTTTTCACATTTGAGGTGGGAACAGGTTTCCCAAGAAAGGACAGCTTGCACAAAGATACAGAACCCAGTAATTGCACAGCGTTATCAGGAGATCTCCTTAAGTCTACCATGGTCCTAAGACAAAGCCTTGGGCATGAGAATTCATTTCCCTAGAGTCAGAGTTGTCTGGTTCTAAATTTCACACAAGTGGATATAATGTAGGGAATAATATGTAGACAAAAAAAATCTAGGTAGACTATTTGATCTTGGGCAAACCACCCAGAACATTAGTTTCCTCATCTGTAAGTAACCACTTAACACTGGCTATTGAGAATTTACTGATATTAAGATACCTGTTAGCATGATACGGTGGCATGTGACTGCAGTACCAGCTATTCAAGAGGCTGAAGTAAGAGGCTGGCTTGAGCCCAGGAGTTCAAGGCTCTAGTGCACTATCATCATGCCTGTGAACAGCTACTGCACACCAGCACAGGCAACATAGTGAGATGCCCATCTCTTTAAAAAGATAATTAAATAAATAGTATTTAAACTGTAAAACATACAGATGTCAATTATTATTACAGATATTTCTTTTGATATTATAATTTGTAAATCATCAACATTAGATTAACCTTAAATAGCAATATTCATAAAGCAACAGATACACAGTAACATGAATAATATGAGTATGTAATGCATGGCTGCCACTAAAATGTTCTTAGAGTTGAGATAGGTATGAAGAGATCTGGGGACTTTTGAATCACTTTCAAAATGTTTAGTGACTAGGAAGAGAAAATCAATCACATATTATTACATTCTATCTGCAAAGTGTAGAGGAAAAGCTTTATCATGAAAGAGGTACTGTGATAGAAAAACTAAAACAAGTCAACAAAGAGTATGGTGCTTGAATACATGGACTATTTAAAAAACATGAAAATATAAAGCAGTTTTCAAGCTGGGAAAACTTGGCCAAAGGATTGTGTGGAATAAGAAGTAAAAACCATGCAGCTACCCAGGAAGAATGAAGGAAAACGAAAGATGAACAAGGCAGCAAATCTTCAGCATGAGAAATTTAACACTTAAACTGCAGCAACTCAGAGTAGGAGGCACCGGAAACTTTGAAAGAAAGAACTACTGCAATGAGACAATTAAAAGGAGGCCCTGGTGATCTAATGATGAATACAACTTGTTTAGTTTAGTTTAGTTGAGCTTTGTTTTGCTTTGCTTTTGAGGGCCCTCATACTGCTACTTAGGTGCCATTTTAGAATGCATGTATTTTTTTCTTTCGTGTGTGTGTGTGTGTGGTGGGGGCAGTTTATACATAATAATTTTGCTTTTGTGTAATTATTTTTAGCTCTCCTCTGGATTATGACTCCCTGTAAAAGCTTGTTCATCATCTGATTAGTATGGTAATGAAGAACAGCAAATTATTGTATTCATTGATTTATTTGTTCTTTCATTCTATTAACCAATCAAGCCTACTTTATGCCAGGCTGGATATTACAGATACAAAGGTGACTAAGGGAGCCACACTGTTTGTCTTCAGGATGCCTATATGGGAATGGAAGAAGATGTCTAACTGAGAAGACAATACCAGGAATGTTAATAGCTGCTCTGGCAGGAGATGTAGAGTGTTATAGAAATCATGTGCTGGTATTTCTTGTGTGGTGTGGAGTAGGAGTAGGTCAAAATGAGGATTGTCAGGGAAGTCTTCGGGAACTAAATGCAGTTCTAAATGGTGGGGAGTTTTTTCATTCAAAACGTTTATTGAGGACTTAAATTGTCATGAGGGGCCCGGCGCAGTGGCTCACGCCTGTAATCCCAGCACTTTGGGAGGCTGAGGCGGGCAGATCACGAGGTCAGGAGTTTGAGACCATCCTGGCTAATACGGTGAAACCGCGTCTCTACTAAATACACAAAAAATTAGACGAGCGAGGTGGTGGGCGCCTGTAGTCCCAGCTACTCGGAAGGCTGAGGCAGGAGAATGGCGTGAACATGGAAGGCGGAGCTTGCAGTGAGCCAAGATCGCACCACTGCACTCCAGCCTAGACAACAGAGCGAGACTCCGTCTCAATAAATAAATAAATAAATAAATAAATAAATACATACATACATACATACATACATACATAAAATTGTCATGAGGACTTAGGGGATATAGAAACTACCAAATCACCAAACCTAATATATTAATGCTTATCTCCCAGTTTCTTCAGTGATTCCTGTGTTCACTCGGTGAATATATAATGAGTATCAATGGCTTCTATGGCCAGGTACTAGGTATGAGTCCTAAACAAGACTGACCTGATCCCTTCCTTCATCCAGTTTAAATGCAGCTGATCTAAAAACTTCACTGTACCACTGGAGAGACACTTACACTAAGAGGAACACTGATCAAAAGTTAGAAGTGGAGACGTTTTCTTCCCTGAGACAAGCATGCACAGAAAGTGAGCTAAAAACATCCTGAGAAATCATTTTGCTCTTTCCTCTGCCTGCACAAAGGACACAGGCATTCAACCAGATATTCGTGGGTGGAATTTGCCCTCCCAATTCCCAGAACCATGCATCCTCATTTGAAGGCCTCATTAGACCTGAATAGTCCTAATACATGAAGGCAAGAGCATGGTTGAAGACAAGCAGATCTAGGTTGAAATCCCAGCCCTGAAGCTCCATACCTGTGCCATCCTGAATAAATGCTTGATTTTCCTGGGCCTTACTTTCATTAGTCTATCAAAAAAAAAAAATGAGGGAAAATGCACCTATCTTGTGAAGTTGCCGTGATTCAATTAGCTAATCGAAATAAAGAAGCACACAGCATGTAGTGTTCAATAAATGTTGTTTCCTTATGCTGCAAGGTCCTGTCCAAATGTTAACTCCTGTATTAAAGCATTCTTAATTTCCCTCGGCAGAGTAGGGAGCTCGGAGGTCTTGTCTAGTGTTCTCATCTTCACATGAATACAATTTTTAAAAACTATGTTACAAAAGTTTTTAGCCTGTGTGTTTCCTCCATTAAGCTACAAACTCTTTGAGGGTGGGGAATTTGTTATCTGTACCTGTGCAGCCCCAGCCCTAGTTCATTGCTTAGGATCTTTTATCTGTTCTTCTTCATCTCTACCCCCTGCAAAATTACCCTGACTTTCCCCATTAACAGGAGGTAAAAATAACAGGGGGTTAGGGAATTCCTTGGAGCATCCTCACAAATGAAAAAAAATTGCTTGGAAAATCCCTGCATCAGCTAGAGGTACTTACCCGCAGCGCAAGTTCCTATAAATCTGCAGGTGAGTGGCCATGTATTTTTGACAGCCAAAACAAGAAGGAAATGTGAATATTTACATGACCTGATGTGCAAAAGGAAAAGATAAACCAGAGGCATTAGGGAAGCATAATTATCTTTGGTATTAAAACCAGAGAATCATTTCTCTGGGGCCTCACACAGAGGATACTTTAATTTAATTAACAATACCTCCAAGAGCATCTTTACAATACATATGACCCACAACAAAAAGACCATAACCATGAAATCTAGGGACATTCCTGCTGGTTATTTGCAATGTAGAGATAGATTTTATAATACCTAGAGGAACAAATGAACAGTATAATCTTCAGACAGTCCTCCTTAAACATTGTTTTCTCAGAGCCAGTTCAACATGTATAGAGGGAGCATCTGCAACTTTGAGAATCTACTTCCTGAAGAGTAGAGCTTAGTGGTAGTCTCTTCCTACAACAAACATGTGGCCTGCGTGGAGGTTTTTGATCTGCATAATTGATGACTATTTAGAAACATTCCTGAAGAATAATACCTTCTCTAAGAAGTGAGGTTTAAGACATTACATAAAAGGGATGACTGCAGAACCAAGTGGATCCCATCCCTCACATTAGCAAGAGGTATTGAAATAATTTCAAGGTATTCAAATAATTTCAGTAATTTCATGGTCCTGGCCTTTTTGTTGTGCATGATATTTACAGTAAAGATGCTCTTGTAGGCATTGTTAATTATATTAAACCTTATCCTCTGTTAGGCCCCAGAGAAATGATTCTCTGGTTTTAATACCAAGAGATAATTGTGCTTCTCTAATGTGTCTGGTTTGCCTTTTTCTTTTGCACATCAAGACATTAAATATTCACATTTCCTCCTTTCTTTGGGCTTCCAAAAATATGTGGCCACTCACCTGCAGATTTATAGGACTTGGCACTGCAGGTAAGTACCTCTAGCTGAGACAGAGATTTTCCAAGCAATTTTTTCCATTTGTGAGGATGCTCCAAGGGATTCCCTAAGAGTATTGCTTAATGTTTAAGAACTCAGGATCTGGACTCATACTGACCTTAACTACTATTAATTCTGTGACCTTGGGAAAATCACTTAACCTCTCTAAGCCTCAGCGTTCTTGTCTGTAGAATGTGGATAACAACAGAAACTATATCATAAAGTGTTGTGGGCATAAAATAAGAACGTGTGAAAAGTGCTTAGTTCAGTGGATGGGAAGCGGCAAGCATTCAATAAAATGCTAATTATTAACACACGTTTTGAATGGCAAACTCATTAACTCTCCTAAGTAGTGATTTCTTTCAATTGAATTATATTATACTTCCCTCTGGCTTATAATCTCTATTCATTCTTAATAGGGGTATAATTCAATACCTCTTGCTAATGTGAGGGATGGGATCCACTGGATTCTGCAGTTATGCCTTTTATGTAAGGTTTTATGCCTCCCTCTTTAGAGAAGGTATTATTCTTCAGGAATGTTTCTAAATGATCATGAATCATGCAGCTCAAAGACCTCCACACAGGCCACATGCTCCTTGTTAGAGGAAACTACTTTGGCTTCTGCCCAGAGTGTTTCCCTCAGGTTTCAGAGTCAAATGCTATTGTTTCAGTATTTCTGTGAGACTATTCAATAATCATTATTAAACACCTACTGTGTTCCAGGCACAGTGTTTGGTCCTGAGTCTGTTACACTGAACAAGATGAGATCCCTCCTTGCATGGCCTCAGGGCAGGCTCTCCTGGAGCTCCCTGACACCTATGTACCAGCACTTCAACACAAAGATGGTCAACATTGGAGCCTTCTAAGACCCTGGTCCGGCTCACTGTCAGCCTTGGGCCCAGGCCAGGAGGAAGGCCAGCTGGTTGCAGCAGGTGCAGATGCATTTTCCTGCCCACTGTCCTGGTGCCCAATTCTCTGGATGCTCATAGTCTCCTTTGGAGGCTCTAGACTCTTTAAAACAATCTTGATAAAAGTAAGTCTTTGTGATTCATTTTTATGAACATTCAATTTTATGAACACTGACTGAGCTCAGGAAGCAAGTGGAATCCACATGTCTGTTAGGGCCTTGGCATGTTCAGCTCCTCTTAAAGTGGTCTGTGCTTGAGAAGCAAAGACAAAAGTAACTCAGAGTGGCCACCAACAGGAGACATGAGATTTATTTTCATTCTCTTTCTGTAAGCACGTTTTTGATCAGAACTGCTCCTCTTTGTGTCTCCAGAGAACAGCCTGTGTCTTACTCAGATCCCTTATTAAAATCCTGACATCCCTGGGTCTTATTAAGGTAAGAATTCTTGCTTGCATCTATCTCTCTGTGTCTAGATTCTTGTAACATTTTACGTCAGACAGACTTTAAAGAGTGCAAGGAAAATGTATATGTGTTTGAGTAACTTCTATGTATCAAGCACTGAATACAATTATTATTTTACTTAATTCCCAAAGTAAAAGGAAGTGATAGCTTTATTTTATATAGAGAGGTTTATTTTATATAGGAGGAAGCGCTGGTAGATAGGTGTCAGGGAGCTCCAGGAGATGTAGAGAGGTCAAGCAACTTGCCCAAGATCATAAAGCAAGTGAACAACTGAGTTGGGACTGGAACCTAGGTCTAACTCCAAAGCTACATTTTCAACTCTACTAGAGTTTCTCAATCTTGGCACATTTGGGGCCAGATAATTTTTTGTTGTTTGTATACCCTATATATTTAAGGATATTTAGCAGCATCCCTGACTTATACCAACTAGCTGCCAGTAGCACCACCCCCAGTTGTAACAGCCAAAATTTTCTCCAAATATTGTTCCATTAAAAACTACTAACTAATGCTAGGCTAGGGAAAAATCTAGCAGGTTATCTAAGCTATCTGTTCCAAAAAGTTCCAAAAATGCTGAATTATGTAAGGTGATATGTTAGGAACTGTGGGGATGCAAACATATATAAAACATTGTACCTTTAAGGAGTTTAATAAAAAGACTTTGGAATCGGGGGAAAGATGTCTAGATTGCCTGTGAGGACAACAATTTGTTTTTTTAGGTGAGGAAATTATTAATGAACTGCTGTCCCTTTGCTAATCTGAACAACATTATCCGTGCCCTACAATGATATGATGAAAATGTGAACAGTAATCATCACAGATATAACAACAATCATGCGATATTGACAGACTCTTACTGATTTTGCCAGTGAGGAAATTGAGACTGAGAGAAATAATGTATTCTACTTTGAGCCATACAGCTGTGAAGAGGAAAGGCCAGGATGAGCATCATTTCTGTCTGGTTCCAACAGTGTTCAAGGGGATCACAAATGGTGAACAGTCACAGATGCTGCAAAAGACCCAAGTGCAAGCAATTGGCAGAAACCTCAGAAGTAAAGAGAAAAATAGCAAATTAGTCATGAGTTTCAGTGCTGAGCAAAATGAGAATATTAATCAAACAAATTTGGAAAAGACATCCCAGATGTCTAGAGCCATTAGACTGTTTACGTAACATAGATGAAGACGTCACTTTGTTCAATGATCATTTAAGAATCAAATTGCAATATGTATTTGCCTCAAAAATAGACAACTGATTCTAACTGGTGATAGATTATAATAGAGGAAATAAGAAACATTGAGGCAATGGAAAGAAATTTTTTTTAATAACCTTTATTGTCTATAGGAAGAGAAATTCAAATGACTTTTTTTTTTCCACAGGACCTAGAGAAGTGCCTGGAACTCGGTTCAGCACAGGTGTGAGGCCTGATTTCCTCTTGTGATCAACTCACAGTGTGCTGGCAAGACCTGCCAATCCACTCCTCTGGGAGCCCATCTGTCACTATGCGGAGGTGTCACTACAAGAAAATGGTCAGGGTCACTTTGCTGTTGTCTTCATATGGCTGCAAGTCTTTTCTTTAGTGAGTGCAAGAAGACTTGATTCAGTCTACCCTGAAATAGGGTCTTTGGTTCTTTTGTCTTCAATTTTGCTGTTCAAGAATTTTTTATTTCAAATTGCAACTTCCTTGGATTTTGCAGATACATATATCATCTTTTTTTTTTACTAGCTATAGTAGAGAAATGAAAACAGTTTAATAAATGAAGAAAAGGAAAGTATGAATATTTGAAGAAATAGATTTGGCAGTTAAATACTGATATGGTTTGGCTCTGTGTCCCCACCGAAATCTCATCTTAAATTCTAATCCCTGTAATCCCCACATGTTAAGGGAGGGACATAGTGGGAAGTGATTCGATCACGGGGGTGGTTTCCCCCATGCTATTCTCATGATAGCGAGTTCTCACCGAGATCCGATGGTTTTTATAAGTGTTTGACAGTTCCTCCTTCACATACACTCCTCTCTCTCACCTGGCACCATGTAAGACATGCCTGCTTCCCCTTCCACCATGATTCTAAGTTTCCTGAGGCCTCCCCAGCCATGCAGAAATGTTAGTCAATTAAACCTCTTTTCTTTATAAATTACCCAGTCTTGGGTATTTCTTTATAGCAGTGTGAGAACGGACTAATACAAATACTGTCTTAACAATGCTCTACTTTTCCACTTTCTAATTATTTCTGTTTTGTAAATTTTATCACTTAAGAAGTATCTCTAAGCTCCTCATGAAAGGTAGCACTTGTTTTTTCCTAAAAAGTGATAAGCACAGTAGCTGCTTAAAGTATTCTGACTGTCTTTAATTAATCTGAAGAAGACAAAAGAGCAACATGGAAGAAGAATTAAATTAAGAGTCAAGAGACTTAGTTTCTAGTCCAGGTTTCCCACAAACTAATTTTGCAACCTTCAGCAAGTCTTGGAGTTTCTTTGGGTAGCATTTGCCTCAATTTTACAACCCCATGCATAATCTATTTCTCCTGTCTACAGTAATGTAAGAACTATATAGTCACAGAGATTTGTCAAACCCCAGCTGTTAAACTTTATTTAAATTTATTTAACTTCATGCACTGAAAATTGTTGAACCTGGATGATGGGATTAGGGTGGTTTACTATGCGCTCTACCTTTTTATATGTTGGAAATTCTCCAAAGTAATTTTTAAGACTTTGAGTGAAAAATATTCTGTAAAATGTTTCAATCGAATAAACTGTCTCAAGGGATAGATCTATTCATGCCCTGCCTAAAGGTGACACCACTTATATCAAGAGAGAGTCATGGTGGGGGTAGCAAGAAAACAAAACAATAAAACAGAATTTACAACTATATCTATAATATAACTTTATGATTAAAAGAAAATAGAATAATTTGGAACCTAATATATCAGGATCACTAAGTTTTTGAGGTAATTGTATTGCCACAAAAACTACCTCTTTTACTTCCCCTATGCACATCCCCACACACAAAACATTGTTTAAGCTTTGAAATTACCCTTTAGGTTTCCAATTTTCCACAAATAGAAAGTTGTTTCTGAAGTTTCTACAGCCTTCAAGGAAGGTACCATTCCTACACTCACTTTAGAATGGCCAAGGAGAAAAATGCATGAAGAGAAACTTCTTTTTCAGTAGGGACATGGAGAATAGTGGGCAAAGGAGCAAAAGAGCCCCTGTCAGACAGTAAAGCCAGGGCTTAAGCAAGAACCTTTCGCTACACCTAAGATAGGGTGTCGATATGGTTTGGCTCTGTCCCCACCCAAATCTCATCTTGAACTGTAGTAATCCCCAAGTGTCAAGGGCAGGGCCAGGTGGAGATAATTGAATCATGGGGGCGGTTTCACCCATACTGTTCTCATGGTAGTGAATAAGTCCCATGAGGTTTATTGGTTTTAAAAAGGAGAGTTCCCCAGCACATGCTCTCTTGCCTGCCATCATGTAAGATGTGCCTTTGCTTCTCATTTGCCTTCTGCCATGAGTGTGAGGCCTCCCCAGCCACGTGGAACTGTGAGTCAATTAAACCTCTTTCCTTTATAAATTACCCAGTCTCAAGTATGTCTTTATCAGCAGCATGAGAACAGATTAATACCAGGGTCTTCCCAAGCATATGCTTAGTGGGATTTCACATTTGCTACGAAACAGTGTCCCGTTTGAAATGAGATTTTCTATTCCAGTTATTCTGGGCGTGTTCGACCATTGTAAATGTCTATATTGACAACCAGATAACTAGAAGGAACAACAACAGGGACTCAGAGAGGAAACTGTCATCAATGGAGATTCCAAATTTTGAGATGGGTGGAGTGCAATGAGTCACTATATGGGAGCTTGGGTTATCATCTTATGGAGATGGTGAATGTGTTCAAGGTATGAGAGAGAGTATAATAAAAATGTGATGCTCAAAAAGATGGAATGGAGTAGAGAGTAGCTAAATGTTCACAAGTTCCACTTCCTCTTACTGGACAAACAGGAAGATAACATTTCCAACTCCTCTTCTAGTTAAGTTGAAACCATATTTCTGGCTTCTGGTTAATGGCATGTGGATGGAAGTGATGAATGCCATTCCCAAGCCTGGCCTGCTGTTACCCATGTGATCTTGTATAGGGTCTGTCTCTCTCACCCACACAATCGCAAGTGAAGTATGATACTCTGAGATGAAAGGAGCCTGGATCCTTGAGTTGCCTCATGGGAGACAGCTGCACAAATGAACACTCTCCCCACGTCAGAGTATAACATGTGATAAATAGGCCTTATTCTCTTAAGCCACTGAGATTTAAAGGTTGTTGAAGCAACTAGCATTAATTACCTTAGATTTATGTTTTGGATAAAAGCATACATCTCCAAACAGCTTTCCAAGTAATAACACAACAATGTCATATAATATGAGCTATTATGTACATGAAATTTTCTTTGTATTGACAGTTTGGGGAATTCATTAATTATATTCCTTTGCCTTTTTTCTCCACTTTTTATTCCTTAGATATTTAATGAATGTTTTGTGAATGCCTACTGTTTGTCAAATATTATTCTTCTTGCTAGGAATTCCTTAGGAAATAAACAGTGTTTCTGGTCACATGGTGCTTACAATCTTGTGAAAAAAATCTTCTGGTTCTTCTAAATAATCATTTTCAGAGATCTGTATCTGGAAAAAGATCTTTGGCCTTATGCTATGTCTTTTTCAGAGCCCCATGATTCTTGACTTTTCATTTTATCGTCTCTTTAGTGGTCTTTATATGGGCAGACCTCTGTCAGGGCCAGCATTTAACAGGCTTGCAGCATTTCCCTCACAGATCCAAATATGAAGGGAAAGCTTGGTGTTCATCTTCTAGCTCCATGTGTGACACTCAGGTGCAGGTTTGCTTTACAAATATTCACTCTCTTCTAACCAATGCCACAATAACGAGCTTTGTAATTTCAATAGAAACTAATATTTTATTTATAATTCTTTGATCATTCAGTACAGGAGAAACCATACATCCTGGCATCTAATATTCCTAACATTCTTCCTCCCTTAAACCCCAATTTTAATATAGTCGCTTCCATTTGCAATGCCCCAAGATGCTGAGCTTTGAAAAGGTTTTTAAAGGTGAAGAAGTGCTGAAAGCAACAGAGAAAATGTCTAGCTGTAATTCCAAAATTAGTTGACCTAGGTTAGTGCATCCCCTAGATATAGGCAGTAAAGCAGATCAACATGTTTTAATATCTTCTTTCGGGAAGAGTTAGAGCATTTCATAGTAGGGAACAGAAGTAGCTAAAGAGGCCTGAATATTGGCTCTCCCACTCAAAATTATGGGACGTATGTCCTCGGACAAATCAATTAACCCAGCTAACATGTTTTATTACTCTACAAATGCACATATTAATATTGAAGTCCTCATAGGGTTGCTGTAAGGATTAAATGAGTATATGAAATGCTTCACATTAATATTGAGTTTCAGAAGGTGAACTCATAGTTTATTGCACAAGAAGGCATTTCTCAGTTTATGTTCATCATGGCACAGAGGAAAATCTCCCTTCGATTTGGTCAATTGTCCTTTTCAAATTTAGATTTCAGATTCAGTTTTCTGAATTTGTACGGGCTTTTCGATGGGAAGTTGGGAGAGGACATGTCAGGCAAGGCTTTGATAAGTTTAGAAACTCCTGCCTCATTTAAGGCAGAAATAACCTTAAAGTGAACCCAACTCTGCAAAGGCACTGCAGACTGCTTTGTTTTATAATCACCAAAGTTTCAAGGGATCTTTGCTGACGTATTTGACTTGAAATTTAAATGTATGCTTTGTAACAGAAGGTTAGATAACAAGTTTACTTGGTTGTCAAAACTTTGTCTTAAAAATACTCCTAACTCCTTGGTGGTTCATTGCATGGCAGACATTGGTAGGGATTTTGCTACCAGAGGACTTATTGAGGTACTGTTTGTATATGCTGCCTGAGGTTATTGCAGCTGAAACATGATCTCCAAATATTTCCAGTGTTCTTGGAAATGCACAGTGGTTCCAAGGATAGAATATATCCTGGGTCTCATCACCCTAGCTAAACATTTTGGGATAGATACGTTTTCTGCGTAGAGTTTTGTCCAAAATACACAACTCTATCTCCAATGAAATAAGAATATTTCAATAATGTAAAGATAATATAAACAATAATATAAATGTAAATATGCTGCTCTGCCTCAATCTATGTGATATAGTTACTAAGGATAAAATAACAAAGTATAAATATGAAAACATGGGTCAGGATGCACAGATCTCATTAGAGGCAGTGGAGCCTAGTGGTTAGGTGTAGGGGCCATGCACTAAAATATATCTGGATTTGACTGGCATGGCCACCAGTAAGTGTGGGCTTGAATATATCATCTGAACATTCTGGTCCTTAATTTTCCTCTCTAAAAACTAGACATAAAACATTCCACTCCAAGGATATTTTTAACATTAGGTTTTTCCTCTCAATTTCTCATCGAGGTATAGTTTACCAACAGCGAAATACCCATATTTTATGTATAAAGTTTGATAAGTTTTTCAAATGCTTACAAACCCCTGTCATGATTTAGCACATTTTCATTACTTCAGAAAGTTCCCTGAGGCCCTCTTCCAGCTAATCCCTGTTGGTTCCACTCTAGTGATGTCTTTCATTATAAATTAGTTTTCCTTTTAAAAAAGACCGAGTTTTCAAATGAAATAAGGTGCCTAAAGTGTTTAGAATATTTCTTGGTATTTAATAAGTACTAAAAATGACTTTGGTTATTATTAGTATTTGTGCACAGAGTTACAGGCTCAGATGACAGATGCACTGCAGCCACTAGAGAAGAATATGAGGGAAAATTCAAACTGACAGGAAATGAGTTGCATATAAAACATTAAGAAGGTAAAGAGGAAGATTAGAATATTTAAGTTAAAGCAAGATATTTTTTAAAGCTCATTGAATGCCTTCTAGATGTTAGCATTACACAACAAGTTTACGTTATTTTATCTTCATAATACTCTAAGATATTTTTATCCCCTCTGCACCCATTTAGCAAATGAAAAAAAAAAAAAAAAGACCAGAGAAGTTAGGTAGCTTTCCAATGTCACATAGCACCATTAAGTAATAAAGCTGAGATTCAAGTATCTTTCCAACTCTGAAGCTCCATCCATTCTAATAGACCATCATGAGCTCTATATTAAAAAGCACATAAGGGAAAGGAAAATAACATTGATTGGGTCTTAAAATGGAAAGACATTAAGCTTGGTGCTTTTTGCACATTATTTCATTCAATTATCAGTGATGTTATTTTTTCCCCATTTTACTCTTGTGGAATATGCAATATAGAGAAGTTGAGCATCAGAGTTCACATGTTAGTCTAACTTCAAATGGCAATACTTCCCACTGTCTATCAAAAAAAATGAGAACACATGGACACAGTGAGGGGAACAACACAGGGTGTGGGTGGCAAGGGGAGGGAAAGCATTAGGACAAATACCTAATGTATGTGGAGCTTAAAATCTAGATGATGGGTTGATAGGTACAGCAAACCACCGTGGCACATGTATACCTATGTAACAAACCTGCACGTTCTACACATGTATCCCAGAACTTAAGGTAAAATTATATATATATATACACACACACATATATATACATATATATACTTATATATATACACATATATATACTTATATATATACACATATCTATACATATATTTTATATATATATAACAAAAAGAACATTTAGCTTAACCCATAATTCAGTTTACAAAAACTCAAATTCTACAAAACACTCCTCGAAAAGACCTACTGAAATCTCAGTATTTAGACTTGAGGTTAAAAGATGTGATGAAGGACTAAAGTTGAAAAACATGCATGGTGTGAATCAGGACTAGACCAGTGGACCCCTACTCCTTGCATACACATTTTAAATAATGTGTGGATTTATGTAAAATATCTCGTTGGTAATTGAGTTATATTTACTTTAGCTAATATATCAGCTATAATCTGAGTTTTTTGTTAACCACTTTCAAAATTCCTTTTTCTTTCATATAAGAAGACATAGCCTAATCTTAGGTAATAGAAATAAAACAATAAATATGAACTTATGCTATCTTTAAAAATAAACTCATTAAAACACAGTAAATTTCCTGGCAATTGTGCAAGCTGAGAATTGAAATTGAGAAAATTTAGGATTTCTGACCCCTATGAGAAGTCATTGCATTTACACTATACATTTCTTTTTATTCAACTAATATTTGATTAAAACCAAATACCATGGCACTTTTTACAATAAAAATCAATACTTTATGAAGCTATTATAAAAATTAAATGACACAAATAAGCATTTTATATTATTAAGAGCTCACACTTGCCCTAACATGACAAGTCAACTTTCTCAGTCAGGCTGTTCTAAATAAACTATTGCTGTTTGTGCAAGAGAATTGTGAAATCAAAGTTTTTTCAACCAGTTAACATGAAAGGATCTTTGATTCCAGCACCAATGTATCTTCATTTGATGAAAATAAATATTTTAAGGCAATTTGCTAAGTTCACATCAAGCTCTCCTGGGTATGGTACTGAGAGGTGACAACATGCTGGCGGCCCTTGCTTGCTCTCAGCACCTCCTCGGCCTCGGTGGCCAGAGTGGACACGCTTGAGGAGCCCTTCAGCCGGCCGCTGCAGTGTGGGAGCCCCTCTCTGGGTGGGCCAAGGCTGGAGCTGGCTCCCTCTGCTTGCAGGGAGGTGTGGAGGGAGAGATGCAGGCAGGAACCGGGGCTGTGCACTGCGATTGCGGGCCAGGGCGAGCTCCCGGTGGGCATGAGCTCAGTGGGCCCACACTTGGAATGGCCTGCCAGCACCGCTGGCTCTGGGGAAGTGAGGGGCTTAGCACCCGGGCCAGGAGGTGCGGAGGGGGTGCCGGGTCCCCCAGCACTGCCAGCCCACCCGTGCTGTGCTCGAATTCTTGCTGGGCCTCAGCCACCTCCCCACGGGGGCAGGGCTCAGGACCTGCAGCCCGCCATGCCGGAGGGCCCCCCAGGGTGGGCTCCCACGTGGCCCAAGCCTCCCCGACGGGCACCAACCCCTGCTCAGTGGTGCCCAATTGCATCACCACCCAAGGGCTGAGGAGTGCAGGCACATGGCACATGACTGGCGGGCAGCTCCAACCACGGCCCTGGTGCGGGATCCACTAGGTGAAGCCAGCTGGGCTCCTGAGTGGGGTGGGGATTTGGAGAACTTTTATGTCTAGCCGGAGGATCGTATATGCACCAATCAGCACTCTGTGTCTAGCTCAGGGTTCATGGATGCACCAATCAGCACTCTGTATCTAGCTAATCTGGTGGGGACTTGGAGAACTTTTATGTCTAGCTAAAAGATTGTAAATACACCAATCAGCACTCTGTGTCTAGCTCAAGGTTTGTAAACACACCAATCAGCACTCTGTGTCTAGCTCAAGGTTTGTAAATGCACCAATCAGCACCCTGTGTCTAGCTCAAGGTTTGTAAACGCACCCATCAGTGCTCTGTGTCTAGTTAATCTAGTGGGTTACTTGGAGAACTTATACCTCTAGCTAGAGGATTGTAAATACACCAATCAGCACTCTGTGTCTAGCTCAGGGATTGTAAACGCACCAATCAGCACCCTGTCAAAACGGACCAATCAGTGCTCTGTAAAATGGGCCAATTAGCAGGATGTGGGTGGGGTCAGATAAGGGAATAAAAGCAGGCTGTCCGAGTCAGCAGAGGCAACCTGCTCTGGGTCCCCTTCCACACTGTGGAAGCTTTGTTCTTTTGCTCTTTGCAATAAATCTTGCTGCTGCTCACTCTTTGGGTCCACACTGCTTTATGAGCTGTAACACTCACCACGAAGGTCTGCAGCTTCACTCCTGAGGCCAGTGAGACCACAAACCCACTAGGAGGAATGAACAACTCTGGACGGGAGGAGTGAACAACTCCAGACGGGCCGCCTTAAGAGCTGTAATACTCACCGCGAAGGTCTGCAGCTTCACTCCTGAAGTCAGCGAGACCACGAACCCACCAGAAGGAAGAAACTCTGAACACGTTTGAACATCAGAAGGAACAAACTCCGGACACGCCACCTTCAAGAACTCTAACACTCACCGCGAGGGTCCGCGGCTTCATTCTTGAAGTCAGTGAGACCAAGAACCCACCAGTTCCAGACACAGTATCAGGAAGCAGAATGAGTCTAAACCATTTTCAGAATTTCCCCAGGAATTAAAAACATAAATGCCTTCAACATGGCAGGAAATGTTTCCTACGTTTTAATTTCATGCACATGTGAGAAAGAGAAAATGCTCAGAGAACTTAGGTCAAGAATGCTATTCTAATATCTCTGGTTGCCAGACATCAGAATATTAAAATAAGCATAGTGAAAAAAAATTCCACTTACACAAAGGATGAAGAATGCTGAAAGACAATGTTGTTCCCACCCAAACTACAAGGCAACAACAAGCAGTCCACAAAATGTAACTTATTTGGATCCCATCAGATAACTGAGGTTGCAAGACAGCAAGAACTACACTGAATTACAAAGAGCGATAAGCTCCTTCAAGGAGAAAGAGGACACATGAACTGTTTATAGAAAATGAAAGAAGGAAATGGCTGCCATAATATTTGGTAATAGAACATCAGCTAAAATGTTAAATTTTTAAAAGCCAAGCATGGGCTAATATGAACGTTTAAAATGACTGGGAGCCTAAGACTTAAAAGGAGTTCACAAATATATACTCAAAAACCCTTTATCATGAGCTTCAACTAGATGCTCAAAAGAAAGACCAGAGTCAGGGAAACAGTAGCAACAGCACTACTAGGTGGTGCAAGCATGCAGGTTCTGATCAGTGCCACTGTGGGACGAGCAGGATACCTTACCTGCTTTCCAGGACACTTCTCTCATAGAAAATAAAAGCTTTTAATCCACTGGGGGAGGACACACACACACACACACACACACACACGTGTGCAAGCAGAGATATACCACTTCTGGGAAGGAACAGAAACAAAATCCACCTGCCTATGATGTACGGTGGAGGAATGGAAAACTCTCATATGCACAAGGCCCAGCAAGATCTACTGTTTCTGGGAGAGTGACAGAAGCAATAGCTATCTAACTCTGGAATAAAAGGAGGAAATTCTCTGGGGCTTCAAATGCTGCACCAATGCAAAACAGAGTTCTGCTCTCAGTAGAGGAGCATCAGGAAACCCTCTGCCACCTAAGACACACCACAAATTAAAGGCAATGTTTTACTGCCATATAAAGAGGGCATAAATTCAGAGAAAGACCCCACCCACACCCAGAGGCTCAAGAATTACCTAAATCTGACACTGGATAAGGAGACTTGATAATGACCAATCAAATCCATGACAAGCCAAGCGGCAAGTAATAAACAATAGCAATTGATTGGTAATAGGGGCAAGGGCATGGAGAAAGAATCCCTTTATGATACACAAATGCAGCAACTGATGAAAGCTGAGGATGAATTCAGGAACACCAGAAACAAGCCTCTGATACTCCAGGCCCCATACTAAACACACACTGGAGGATTTGAAAGCTCTGGTGTATTGAGACTAATGGTACCAACAAAACAGCTCAATTCCTGGCTAGAATCATTCAACCTCTGACATTACAGCCTCACAGGAGAGGCATGCCCATTGTAAGTCATAAGTACAATTTACCTACAAGTCTACCTTTCATACATACACAATGTCCAATATTCAGTAAAAAATTGCAGAACCCACCAAAATGCAAGAAACAAATCTCATTGTCATGAGATAAACAGTCTACCTTACCAAAATCAGAAATCAGCAATGATTCATATGCTGGAAATACCAGACAGTGACTTCAAAATAATATGTTAAAAAATCTATGGGGGAATTTTGAAGAAAGAGGAAGCTTGTAGAAAGAGTCAAGTGGAATTTGCTAGAAATAATAAACGCAATACCAAGAGAAACAGATCCTCACTGTGTTCATCAGCAGACTGGACACAGCCGAGGAAACAATCAGCACACCTAAGGATAGGTTGATAGTTTTCTAATCTGAAACAACAAAGAGAAAAATGATCTACAATAAAGGAACAAAAAAACCTAAACAAACGAAAGGAGAATAAAGCATCACAGAACTGTGAGATACTATCAATGGTTTTATGCACATGCAATTGAAATGACAGAAGGAGAAGAGAGAGAAAATGGCACAGAAAAAATAAATATTTAAAATTTAGTGGCTGAGAATTTCCAAAATTAATGGAAGACAAGCCAAAGTTTCAAGAATCTCTGAGAGCCCCAAGCAGATTGCATGAATTTAAACAATAAGAATCCACTGAATAAACTATGGATAAAAAATAAATCACAAGGAAAAATACAAACATTTTAAACTGAATATTTATGACTGAGCGAAAGCAGGGCTTAAAAGGAAAAATTATAGCAGTATACACTTACATTACCAAAGAAAAAAATATTTAAATCAGTAACGTATGCTTCTACTTTCAAAAAGTAGAAAAAAAAAAGACTTCTGGTTCCAAAATGCTGGTGTAGAATCTAGCTGGCTTCACTGCCTCCCCACTCTTCAAAATACAGCACTAAGGTTATAGTCAGGAACATCCCAGAACTTAAGTCTGAGGAAAAGACAATTCCTGGGACCATAAAAAACTGAAAAAACTCAGAGCGAACAATAAGAGAATTGGGCTTGTATATCTGTGATACCACTACCTCCAATCTGCTTGGCACCAAACACAGAAAATCTCCCTTTGACTCCTGGTTTATACACTACAAAAAGTGAGGTCAGGGTGGACAATCAACTTCCCCACCATCTTGTGTTTCTTGGCAAGATACCTTTCAACACACCATAAGAAGTGTTGAAAGTGCCTGGAGAGAGATATATCCCTGAACATGGCCAGAGACAAAGTGGGGACATCCATCTGCAGCCCTGGAAACTCTGCTCTGTAACTCAGCCAAAGGAGACATCGAAGTGGATGTTCAACAGAACCATGCTACAGGAAGTTTGTTCCACAGTTCCCCTGGGCACAAACTCCTAGCTAGTCTTCCCACACTACTGGGTTATCCCCTTTGGAACCCCCCTCTTTTGGAACTGGAGGCACTATGATTGTTTACTAGAACTGAGGCAAACCTTGGCTTAGGTTGCCATCTAATACCAAAAAGAAGACAGTGACCTAGCAGGGAAAAAGAAAAGAAAGAGAGAGAAAATCAACAGGTAAATTACGAAGAACCTCTAAGCAAATGTATCTAATAAAAAACAAAACAAGCCAGACATAGATTACTGGAATAAATAATCCTTCAATGAAAAGACATAGACATACATCCACAAGAAACAACAGCAAGCAAGAAATTGTGATTTTCTCAAATGCACAAAGGAACCAATGACTGACCCTAACAAGACAGTGATATGTGAGCTTTCTGACAAAAAATTCAAAATAGTAGTTAAAAAAAAAAACAACTCAGTGATCTCCAAGATAACACAGAAAAGGAATTCAGTAGTTTATCAGAGAATTTATTGAAGAGATTGAATAATTTTTAAAAAAATCAAGCAGAAATTTTAGAACTGAGGAATATATTTGTTGAACTGGAAAATTCACTAGAGAGTCTTGACAGCAGAATGGACACAGCAGAGAGAAAAATCAGTGAGCTTGAATAGACTATTTGACAATACACAGTCAAAGGAGAAAAAAAAACATACTTAAAAGAAATGAAGATCGCCTACAATATATAGAAAATTCCCTAAAAAAAAAAAAAATCTAAGAATTACTGGTGTTTAAGAGAGAGTTGAGCAAGAGATATAAAGCTTATTTTAAAAAAGTAACAGAAATGTTTCCAAAGCTTAAATAATGAAAATCCATTGGTAAAAGGAAGTGCTAAAAGGAGATAAAATTCTGAAGTTATAAAGCTCAATGTTAAAATAAGTGGACAAACCCAGAATACTGTAATACTGTACCTGTGATGTGAAATACACCCATAACTCTACTGTGAAACCCAAAAGACTAATGTATCAGAAACAACAATAGCTACAGCAGCTTGTTAAGTATAGGCAATATAAAAATATGTAAATGAAGACAACATAAAGACTAAATATGGGGAAATGGAGTTACAGAGTTTTAAAATTATTTCTTTGTTGATATTCTTTTCTTTCTGATCTAAAATAAGCTGTCATCTCTTTAAATAACTTGCTATAACTGTAAGATCCTTTTTGTAAGCCTCATAGTAACCATAATGCAAATACCTATAATAGATTTATTAAAAATAAAAAGCAACAAATTAAAACATACTACCAGAGAAAATCACTTGACCACAAAGGATGACAGTAAGAAAGGAAGGAAGGGAGAGAAGAGTTAAAAACAATGAGAAAACAAACAACGAAATGGCAGTAACAAGTTTTACTTATCAATAATACCAGTGAATCTAAATTGATTCAATTCTCCAATTAAAAGGCACAGGATAGCTGAATGAATTTTTAAGAAGACTCAATTATAAGCTGCCTACAAGAAACTCATTTCACTTATAAAGACTCATATAGACTGAAAGTAAAGAGGTGGAAAAGGTATTCCATGCAACCAGAAAACAAATATAAGCAGGAATAGCTAGACTTATATCAAATAAAATAGACTGCAAATCATAAACTATAAGAAGAGACAAAGAATGACACTATATAATGATAAAGGAGTCAATTCAGAAAAAGGATATACCAATTGTAAATATCTATGTACTAAACCCTGGAGCACCCAAATATACAAATTAATTATTATTAAAGAGAAAGTTAGACACCAATACAATAATAACTGGAGACTTCAACACCATTCTCAGCAATGGACAGCTCATTCAGACAGGACATCAACGAAGAAACATTGGAGTTAAACTACACACCAGACCAAATAGACCTAACTGACATTTATAGAACATTTCACTCCACTCCTGCAAAATACACATTCTTTTCATAAGCACATGGAACATTCTACAAAATACAATATCTTAGGCCACAACACAAGTCTCAACAAATTTTAAAAGGTAGAAATCATATCAAGTATCTTTTCTGACAACAATGGAATAAAATCAGAAATCAATAAAAAAGAGGAGCCTCAGAAGATATACAAAAACATGGAAATTAAACAACATGCTCCTGAATGATCAATGAAGAAATTAAGAAGAAAATGTAAGAGTTTCTGAAACAAATGAAAATGGAAATACAACGTACCAAGGTCTTTGGGATATAGCAAACGTAGTACTAAGAGGGACATTTATAGCAATAAACACCTATATCAAAAAGATAGAAAAACTTCCAGCCAGGCACAGTGGCTCAAGCCTGTTATCATAACACTTTGGAAAGTCAAGCTGGGCAGATCACTTGAGCTGAGGGGTTCAAGGCTAGCCTGGGCAACATGGTTAAACCCCAGCTCTACAAAGAATACAAAAATTAGCCAGGCATGGTGGTGCATGCCTGTAATACCAGCTACTCGGGAGGCTGAGGTTGGAGGATGGCTTGAGCGCAGGAGTCGGAGGTTGCAGTGAGCCAAGATTTCACTGTTGTACTCCAGCCTGAGTGATAGAGCAAGATTTTGTCTCAAAAAAAAGAAAACAAAAAAAAAAAAGCAGAAAAACTTCAAACAACCTAATGATGTACCTCAAGGAACTAGAAGGGAATAAACCAAACTCAAAAACAGTAGAAGGAATGAAATAGTAAATATCAGAGAAAAAATATTAAAATTGAAAATAATAAAATAAAATAAAAAGATCAAAAAAACTGAAAAGTTTTGTTCCAGACTGACTAAAAAAGAGAGAAAAGATACAAATAAATAAAATCAGAAATGAGAAAAGAGATAGAAGAATCTGACCACAAAAATAGAAAGCATCATTAAAGACTACTACAAACAACTATATACCAATAAATTAGAAAACCTATAAGAAATGAATAAATTCCTGGATTCATACAACAAACAGGCATAGAAAAAAACATACCTCAAATAATAAAGACCATACATAACAAACCTACAGCTAATATTGTACCGAATGGAAAAAATTTAATGGCATTTCCTCTAAGACCTGAAACAAGACAAAGATACCTACTTTCACCATTGTTATTCAGTGTAATACTAGGAGTCCTGGCCAGAGCAACTAGTCAAGAGAAATAAATAAAGGGCATCCAAATTGGAAAAGAAGTCAAATTAGCTATGTTCACAGATGACATGATCTTAAACTTAGAAAAACTTAAAGACTCCATCAGAAAACCGATAGAACTGATAAATGAATTCTGTAACATTGCAGGATATAAAATCAACATACATGCATGCCAACAGCAAACAATATTTTTAAAAGCAAGAAATAAATTCTATTTATAATAGCTATAAAGAATATAGGCTGGGTGCAGTGGCTCACGCCTGCAATCCCAGCATTTTGGGAGGCTGAGGTGGGTGGATCACCTGAGATCAGTAGTTCAAGACTGGCCAACATGGTGAAACCCCATCTCTACTTAAAATACAAAAAAAAAAAAAAATTTAGCCGGGAGTGGTTGTGCAAGCCTATAATCCCAGCTACTCAGGAGGCTGAGGCAGGAAAATCACTTGAACCTGGAAAGCGGAGGTTGCAGTGAGCCAGGATTGTACCACTGCACTCCAGCCTGGGCAACAGAGAGAGACTCCATCAAAAAAAAAAAAAAAAAAAGAAAGAAAGAAAGAAAAGAAAAGAAAAGAAAAGAAAAGAAAAGAAAAGAAAAGAAAGAAAGCAAGCAAGAAAAGAAAAAGAATATAAAATATCTAGGAATCAATTTAACCTAAGAAACAAAAGATCTATACAAAGAAAACTATAAAACACAATGAGAGAAATTGAAGAGGACACAAAAATGGAAAGTTATTACATATTCATGGATTAGAAGAACAAATATTTAATAATTAAAATGACAATATGACCAAATGCACTTTAAAGATTCAATCCTGGTCCTTTCAAATTACCAATGACATTCTTCACAGGAACAAACATACTAAAAATCCTAAAATTTATATGGAATTACTAAAGAGCCCAAATAGCCAAAGCAATCCTGATTAAAAAAAACAACAAAGCTGGAGGAATCACACTACCTGATTTCAGAATATACTACAAAGCTAAAATAACCAAATCAGCATGGTACTGCCATAAATGCAGACACCTAGATAAATAGAACAGAATGCAGAACCCAGATATAAGTCAATGCATTTACACCTAACTCATTTCAACAAGGGAGCCAAGAACATGCAATAGGGAAAAGACAGAATCTTCAATGAACAGTGCTAGGAAAACTGGATATGCAGAAGAATGAAACTAGACTTGTATTGTTCCCTATATACAAAAGTCAAATAAAAATAGATTAAAGACCAAAAATTATGAAACTACCAGAAGAAAATATTGGGAAAATACTTCAGGACATAGATATTGGCAAATATATTTTGTGTAAGGTCTCAAAAGCATAGGCAACCAAGGCAAAAATAGAAAAATGGGATTACATCAAACTGAAAAAGCTTTTGCATAGCTTTGTATCCATTGTTGACAGGAAACTATCAACAAAGAGAGGTGATAACCCACTGAATGGGGGAAGATATTTGCAACTATCCATCTGCCAAGGAGTTAATAACCAGAATATAGAGAATATTGAGTTGTTGAGCTCAAACAACTCAATAGCAAATTCATCATCATCATCATCATCCAATTTTTAAAATTGGCAAAAGATATGAATATACATTACTCAAAAGAAGACCTGCAAATAGTCAACAGGTATATTAAAAAATCCTCAACATCACTAATCAGAAAAATGTAAAACAAAACCACAATGAGACAATTCACTCCAGTTAAAATGGCTTTTATCAAAAAGATGAGATAAAGATGCTTGCAAGGATGTAGAGAAAAAGGAACCCTCATACATCGTTGGTGGGGATGTAAATTAGTACAGCAACTAACGGAAAACTGTGTGGAGGTTCCTCAGAAAACTAAAAATAAAATTACCATATGATCCATCAGTTCCACTACTGGTTATATATCCAAAAGAAAGAAATTCAATCTATTGAAGATATAGCTGTACTCCCATATTTATCACAATATCTTATTTTACAATATGAATCACCATTCAGAATAGCCAAAATATGAAATCAACCTAATTGCCCATCAAGGGATAAAAGGATAAAGAAAATATCATGTATATGTATATATGTGTGTATATATGTGTGTGTGTGTGTGTGTACAGTGGAATATTATTAGGCCATAAAACAGAAGAAAATCTTATCATTTGCAGCAACCTGGGTGGAACTGGAGGTCATTATGTTAAGTGAAATAAAGCCAAGTACAGAAAGACAGATGCTGTATGTTCTCACTCATATTTGGGAGCTTAAAAAGTGGATCCCATTAAGATAGAGAGTAGACTGGTGATCATCAGAGGTGGGGAAAAGTAGGGGGAAGACAGTTATGAAGAGAGATTGCAATCAGTACAAATATACAAATTTGATAGAAGAAATAAGACTTCGTGTTTGATATAGCAGTAGGGCAACTATAATTTACAAGGATCTATTGTATATTTTAAAATAGCCAGAAGGAAATAAATAAAATACTTCTAGCATAAAGAAAAGATAAATATTTAAGGTAATGAATTTCATAGTTACATTGATTTTATCTTTCCATTTTATATGAACATGTTAAATTATCACATGTACCCTGAAAATATGTACATCTATTATGTATCAATTAAAAAACTTAGAAAGTAGGAAAAAAATAGAGCAAACGAAACCTAAAGTGGGCCAATGGGAAGAATTAATCAAGATAAAAATTCAATGAAATAGTCAACTAAAAAACAATAGAGAAAACAAATGAGACCAAAACTTCTTTGAAAATATCAATAAAATAGATAAATCTCTGGTTAAACTGGAAGAGAGAAGAAACAAAACAGTAATATCTGAACCAAAGGAGGAAACAGCATTATAAGTCCAACAGACATTATCAGAATAATAAGCAATTATTATTCAAAAATGTCAAAAAGATGATAGCTAGATGAAATGGACAGATTGCTTGAATCACACAAAGTATCATAGCTCGTGTAAGGAAAATGATATTCTCAATAGTTCTATATTATTTAAGAACTCCAATTTTAAGTAAAAATCTACCCATAAGGAACTCTTCTAGCCCAAACAAACTTACTAGCAAATTACACCAAAATTTTAGTACCAATTGTACACAAACTCTTCTAAGAATTTGAAGAAGATGGAATACTGGTCACCTGATATTATGAAACCATCATTTCCCTGATATCAAAACTATTACAAGAAAAGAAAACTATCTACTGACATTGCTCATGGAAATAGATGCAATAATATTAAGAAAATATGTACAAACCAAACCTAGTAATATAAAAAATGTAATACATCATTAGCAAATGGAGTTTATCCCAGGAATGCAAAGCTAGTTCAACATGTGCAAATCAATCTAAGTAATTCACCACATAAACATCATAAAAAAGAAAAAAAATATAGTAATCTCGGTAGATGCACAAAAATCATTTGAAAGAATTGAATTCTCATTTAAGATAAAAACTCTTAATACACTAGGAATAATGGGTTATTCCTAAATCTGATGGCAGGCATCTAACAAAAACCTTTACCTAATATTATATTTAATGGAAACAAAGCAAATACTTTTTCCCTAAGACTGAGAACAAGATAGGAATATATACTATCATTATTTCTAATTAACATTTTACATGAGATACTAGACAGTTCAATAAATAAAAAAACAAAAATAAAGATATATAGATAGGAAATGGAGAAATAAAACTGTCTGTATCAGCTGATGGCATTTCCATACATAGAAAAAATCCCAAGGAATCTATCAAAAGCTTCTACAAGTAAAGAGTGAGCTTCTCAGTGTTTCAGGATACAAGGTCAATATATAAAAACAAAACAAAACAAAAAAATTATTCATTCGCTAGCTACACACAATTAGAAATTTAACTTTTAAAATATTACAACGATGTAAAAAGTAAAGATAAATCCAATAATAAATATGCAACATTCATAAGGCTCTAAACTACTACATGAAGAAAAATATTGATGAAAAAAGTGTTTAAAAGATCCAAATAAAAGGTGATATATATACTGTATGTATTAATTGGACTACTCAACATTGTTAGGGTATGAGTTCTTCTCCAACTGATCTATGGATCTGATGCAAGCCGAATCAAAATTGTAGCACATTCTTTGAGAAAGTGACAAACAGATTCTAACATTTAAATAGAAAAAAGAAGGATCCAGAATACTCCAAACAATTAAAAAAAAAGTTGGAAAACCCACGTAAACTGATTTTAAGACTCAATTTGAAGTTGCAATAAACATCACAGTAGTATGTTTGTGTACAGATAGATTTTTACATCAAGTGAACACAAGACGAAGTCCAAAAACTTAGCACCTCGCCCCTGATACCCAAGTGTGGTTAATTAATAAAATAACTTAATGGAGAATCATTTTTCCATCAAGGCAGCATTTGGTGGTTTGATGAGCAATTTAGCATGGAAGGAAGGAAGGAAGGAAGGAGGGAGGGAGGGAGGGAGGGAGGAAGAGAAAGAAAAGAAAGAAGAAAATAAAATAATAATGAAAGAAAGATAACAAAGCCATCTTAAACCCTACCTGCCAACATACTTACAACTCAATAGGAAACAAACAAACAAATAAAAGTTGGACAAAATATTTTAAGACACTATATAAAAAATACTCATTTAAAGATTCTCATAATTAATCATTAGAAAAACAGAAAATAACACCACTACACATTAACTACAATGGCTAAAACAAAATAAAAGACACAAAATTTACAATATCAAATGATGACAAATGTGCAAAACAATTGAAACAGTCATATATTGTTGGTTGAAATGAAAAGTAGTATAATCACTATGGAAAAAGTTTGGAAGTTTCTTAGAAATTGAAACATAGCTTTGTTATACTACCCAGCAATCCCACTCTAAGTATTTACACAAGAGAAATAAAAATGTATGTCCACACAAAGACCTGTATATTAATGTTTATAGAAGCTGTGTTAGTTTTCTACAGCTGACATAACACATACTCCAAACCTGACAACTTAAAACAACAGAAATTTTTTGTCTCATAGTTATAGATGCCAGAAGTTATGGATGTTAAGGTGCTGACAGGGTTGGCTCCTCCTGGAAGCTCTAAGGAAGAATCCATTCTATTCCTATCTGCTAGCTTCTGGTGGCTATTGGTAATCCTTAGTTAGCATTCCTTGGCTTGTGACACATTATTGAATCTCTGCATCCATCTTTACATAGCCTTCTCCCCTCTGTGTCGCTGTGTGTTTGCTCCTTCTGTATTTCATAGAAGGACATCCATCATTGACTCACAACCCGCCCTAATTCAAGATGGTCTTGTTTCAAGAGTCTTACCTTAATTATATCTGCAAAGACCCTTTTTCCAATTAAGGTCACATTCTGAAGTTCCAGGTGGACATACCTTTTGGAACGCCACATTCAACCCTCTGTAGCAGCTTTGTTCATAAAAACCAAAATCTGGAAAAGCCCAATATCCTTCAACTGGTGAAGGGATAAAAAAAGTTGCAGTATACCTTACTACTTGGCAATAGAGCAGAATGAACTACTAATACATGTAACAAAAAGGATATATCAGAAAGGCCTTATGCTAAGTGAAAAATTCCAAACACAGAAACCTAGATATGCTATGATTTCATTTACGTTGCATCCGAAAAAGGCTCAAAATTAATTTCTAAGACAAAAATCAGATCGGTAGTTGCCAGGGATTGGGATGAGAGATGGAAATTGACACAAGAGCAAGCTTTCTGGGGTGATGAAAATGATCAATAATAGAATTGTTTTGGTAGTTACATATCTATATATTTGCCAATGTTCATAATAGTTTAGACCAATCAATGCTCAAGCTAAGGAGAGTCTACTAAATTAAATAAGCAATGAGAAGATACTGAAATTTTGAGCAAAAATGTTAATCATCTTAATATATTAGAAAGAAAAAAAAATATTTGTAGGATGATTCAGGACATGCAAAGCCAAAAAGGAAGGAGATCAATTTTAGGAGTCTGAGCAGAAAATGTCAGCCTGGATGCCTCCTGTGGCAGAGGCATTGGGAAGTAAACACTGTCAGGAGACAAAACCACCCAGATATCTAATAGGAACCTCAAATTTAACATAGCTAAAACAAACGCCTAATCTTCTCTCTCAAATATGCATCTCCCGCAATCTATCCCATCTCAAGAAAGAGCAACACGACTATTCCAGTTGCTCTGATCCAAAACATAGGAGTCATCTTTGACCTTTATCTCTCAATCCCACATCTCCATTCATCAGAAAATCCTGCAAGCTCCATCTTTAACATTTATTCAGTCTCACTTCTCAATAACTTCATTGAAGGCATCCAGATCTAAGATTCCAGCATCACTCTCCTAATTTTTGCAATTGCTCTCTAACTGATCTTCTGCTTCTTTCCTTATCCTCTCCAGTTTTCCCTCCATTTATAAACACAGTCATCCTTTTAAGACATAAATCAGATTATTTAACTTTTCTGTGCAAAAGCCTCCAATGGCTTTCTTTCTCATAAAATCTAGGGTCCTACAATAGCCTAAAGGACCCTAGATAATTTGGTCTTCTAGTTCTCCTGACATCTCTTTCTACTCTTCCTCTAGTTTAATCTCCTTTAGTAATATTGGTCACTTCACTGTTCCTTAAGCACGAATAGATACGCTCCTACTTCAAAGCTTTTGTAATTACTATTCTCTGGGTTGGTCTAGCTATTCTTCTAGATAGATGCAAGGCTCGCTCCCTCACTTCCTTCAGTGTTTATTAAAATATTATCGTTACAATAAAGCCTTTCTTGAATACCCTATTTAAAATTGCACCCCTCATCCTAAGCTCTCTTTATACTTTTTCCCAACTTACTTTTCTTAATATTTCCCCGAATCTGAGATAACATATATTACATACATAATAATATGTGCATTATATATTTTTGAATTTCCTTGATTCAAAGACACAGAAATTTATATTTATAGAACATTTTAACATCTCTGAAATGAAAATGACTCACAATGGATGGAGTCTTATTTTAACTGGTAGCATGCTTTATGGTGATACTTGAAATAATTATGTATTTAAAAATCACTGGCATTTTAGATTTAATTAAATATTCAATTAAATGTGGCAAAACATTTATTGTTTATTTCTCCCGATGATAATATAAATTCTAAGCTTGGTGCCATGGTTTGAATGTGTCCCTTTCAAAATTCATGTTGAAACTTAATCTTCATTTTGGTAGCATTAAGAGATGGTTCTTTTGAGAAGTGATTAAGTCATGAGGGCTCTGCCGTCATGAATGGACTAATGCCTTCTAAAAGGGCCAGAGGGAACTAGCTCAAGCTTTTTTGCTCTTCTGCCTTCTGCCATACAAGGAAAAGGTCACAGAATGAGCAAAGAGGCACTATCTTGGAAGCAGAGAACAGGGCCCTCGCCAAACACTGAACACACCGATGCTTAGATTTTGAACTTCCCTGCCTCCAAAACTGTGAGAAATGAACTTCTATTATTTATGAATTACCCAGTTTTGATATTCTGTTATGGCATCACAAATGAACTAAGACAGAAGGATCTTTTTCTCTCTCATTTACTGCTATATCCCCATATCCTAGAATTGTGCCTGGATAATAGTAAGTATTCAATAAATGTTCACCCAATAGATATTGAATAAGAATATTAAATGAATAAATAAATGAATAGTGACTATCGAAGAGGAAGGTGCAGAGGAAGTATACGGCAATGAATTGGATGGGGGGAGTAATAATGTGTGTGACAATAAGGCTTAATGCAAGTCCTGAAGCCTAGACATTGGAATATAGGGTCAAACAGTTACCAGTAATAGGGAAATTGGGAGACAAAGCTACCCTGTGGTTGAACGAGGAGAAAAGAATTTTGTGTGGATAGTGTTGCATTGGAAATCTGGGGCTAGAATTAAAAAAAAAGTAAAGTTATGAGGATTGATGTCATCTGCTTTGAAAGGGATGAAATATAAAAGTGAATGGAGCTCCAAGAGGTGTGTAACAAAATAAAAAAAGGAGGGAGATAAAATCATCCTGAACAGCCACTGCTACTACAAGAAAAGAAGGAAAATGACCTGGTGAAGGATTCAGAGATCGATCAGAAAATAAGGAGTAGGATGAAGTGAGATAAGGTAAAATTTCACTTTGTCGAAAAGATCTCTGCATTACTAATTCTGTTTTGATTAATAAGTGACTGTTTACCCTTCAAAGCCAGACTTCATAATTATGCCCTTTTTGGATCCTTCTCTGACTCTTTTTCTTCTCTCCTCATATAACAGCTCTCTCTCTTGTGTTGCTTCTTTCCTTCTTTGATAGTAGCATTATCATAATACATAATAGTCAGTTATTTTGGGTTTGTCTTTCCAGTTCTTTGGAAGTTTCTTGGGGGTGAGACCACATCTTGGTCATCTTTGTAATACCATTACCTAATACACTGCCTGGAACATAATAGCACTGAATGTTTGCTGAATAAAGTATTAGATGAATAAGCAACTCTTCACAGTAGGCAGATTGCATATTTTGATCCCATTTTATAAAGGCAGAATTAAGGTGTGAAGAAATTAATTATTCTGGGCCTGATAGAAATAGATGATGCCCAAAATGGGTAATTCGATAAGAGTTTAGTAACAGGACTGCTTAAAAGGAATGGACAGGTGTAGAGAAACCACAAAGGTTAGAGCACACCCCTAGGGATTAATGGTTACTAGAACCTGGAGAAACAAACTTAGATAAAAAGAAGACTGTCTTTACAGGAGCAATGATGCTCTGGTAAGGGAATTAGTCAGCACTTGGTGATCCTGCAGGGTGAGAACCAACCTCATTCACTTCTTTCACTATATATCTCTTGTGGGTTAACCCTTCTGGTCAAATCCAACTGACAGCCATAAGGCAAGGAAGCTCAAGAAGTTCATAGAAGTAGGTTTCCCAAGGCAAAATTGGGTAAAAAGCAGAGGTGTCACTGAAGGGAAAAAGGGAAAATGCTCACAAGGGAAGCCAAGTAACTTTTACAAAGTAACTTTAGCTCATAACTGATAAAATCAGAAATCAAATTCAGATCTTTTGGCTCCAAACCTAATTATATTTTCATTATAGTATGTAACTACCTTGTCTAAATGGTATATAGAGACTAAATATTATGATATGGCCTGAGAAAATTTCACTAACTATGAGTTATATTTTTAAGAAAATAGTTACATCAATTCAAATGATTTTATGAAATAAATGGGGATTACTTGTTTAAAAAAAGAAGCCCACAGGCTAAATTCCCTGATCACTTGTCTTTGTAAACCAAGTTTTATTGGAACACAGACACACATTTGTTGATGTGTTGTCCATGGTTGCCTTTGCACTATAACTGCAAAGTTGAGTTAATTAAGACAGACATCATAAGGCGTACAAAGCCTGAAGTATTTTCTATATAACTCTTTACAAACAAACAAACAAAAAATTACTGCCCCATGCTTTACAGAAGGAGAAGAGTTGAGGCTGTTCTTACACCTGAAATTAGGATTCTTGGTAAATTCAGGGACAAAATCTACAGAAGAGAAAGGCAGCTTAGTGTAGCATTATGACCATCAGAGTTGGTAGACTGGTTTGAACTTTACCTCCGCAGTTTACTAACTGTATGACTTTGAGTAAGTGATTTAATCTCTCTAAGCTTCAATTTCTTCAATTATAAAATATAGTTTAATAATAATATCTTGTAAGGCTATTGTGAAGATTAAGTGACAATGTAGGCATTCCAGAAATCCCAAATCTTATTATTGTGACTCTGTTGCTTTGTGGGATGAAGAAATAATAATAGTTAGGAATCATAAAGTATTATACATATTGTTTTAAGAAAGACAGTTTTGATTTCTATGCCAGTAAAATTGCGTAAACATATTAAATTACAATGTTATATTTTGTTATGCCAAGGAGTAGTAGATGAGTTCTTAAGAAATAAACCCCATTCTTGTGGAAGAATATGTTGTAACCACATATTCTCCTTGGACAAGGGTATTGATATAACCACTTTCTCCTCTGTCCCTAGACAAGGTAATTGGTCTCCTGCCTAAGAGCTTATGTGTTAAAGTTTGACAATTGTTTCCTAATTACGCTGGTGATGGATTGATAAGACCTGACATACGCTATTCCAATTACTGGGCATTGAACCTTTTCAAAGAGCTGGATATTAGAGTAGGAGGTAAGCTTGGGCAAGTCACAGAGTTTAGATTGATCAATCAAATGACCAATTCTGTGTTTGAACTCCCTCAACACACCAGTAAATGAATAGCATATGAATTTGGTGTCAAGTAATAGGTGAGCAGAAAAATATAAATGGATAGATAGATAGAGGATTTCTTTTGGCCCTTTGATTATCCCCTCTAGGAGTGTCTCTGGTGTTAAGTCCTATGCTCTTTGAATTATGCAGAGTACTTTCTTATTTCTAGCGGACTATTCTGGAGCAGATGTAAAATGCTTATCACAGTGCCAGTATCTACAAAATAATAAACATTCAATACACTGTATCAATTATCTTTACAGAGAAAACTAAAGATTTTAAAAAGCAGGCTGGACAATGCTATGGGGACAAATTGGAGGACGGCAAAAATGTCCTATAAGGAGGAGTCTTGTAATGCAACTTTCAATACAACTAAGAATTAACAGGTAAAGGAGATGCAGAAAGAAAGGAAGGATATTTGTTGGTTCTGTTTTGCCACTGAAAGGCATTATACAACTTGCTGAGCAGAATGTGCCTTGAATAGAACACCTAATGCTTAATCCTTGTATCTCAGATCATCTGTCCAAGCAGTGATCCCTGAGCAGAGACCTCACCTGCTACTTAGTCCCAGAACAAGGGCTACTCAGGGAAGAGACCACACTTGGCCATTGTTTCATTTATTTGAAATACTTTATCATAGAGAATGTATTAGTCCATTTGCATTGCTGTAAAGGAATACCTTAGACTGGGTAATTTATAAATAAAACAGATTCGTTTGACTCACTGTTCTGCAGGCTTTACAGGCATGGCACTGATGCAGAACAGATGAGCCCCAACTTTGCAGCTTAGCCAAGGAGGGTTCTTGGTTTTGCCTAGGAAAGAATTCAAGGGCAAGCCAATAGTGTCAGACAACAATCTTTTATTGAATGGCACTGCTCCTTGAGAAGCAGGGCTAATTCATAGGCAATACGCCCAGAGTCAGGAACATATGGGCTCTTGGCAACTGTATTGGCTCTTGGTAAACCCAATTTAAATTGCATGCACATTAAGGGGTATGTCAATGCAAATTGAGAGGTGGGTCATTTCGAAATTTTTTCTAGAAAAGGGGCAGTAAGTTCTGGCTCTTACCATAGCAACTGCAAACTGTCATGGTGCTAATGGGAGCGTCTTATGTCAGTGAACAATGAGAGTACCTAGGGATTGCTTTCATCACCATTTGCTGGTTCCTGATGGTTTCTTCACTTTATCCTGTCTGGACCAGATCCCGTTTTGGTCAGCAGGGTTGTGACTAGAAAAAAGTCCTTATGGTCTCCTACCTCATCTCCCACTTGGAGGTAAGATATTTCTCCTTAATATTACAGGAGCTGAAAAAGGGTGGTGGTCCATCTTCCGTAACAGCTTCTTGTCAATTTTATGGGTGTAGGCCCTGCCTAGCATTGGAGGTGTGTGAATCTCTAGATATCTGATCTAAGGGACCAACAGTAGGATGTTTTCATTTTCCATGTCAGCAGACAGGATGGATTGGAAGCTTTGTGCTAGCATCATCTTTATGTGGAATCTAGAAGATATAAAATTTACTAGGAAGTTAAACAAGTAAATTGCAATTAGGCAGAAGAGAAGAATTGATGCTACTATGTCCACCCACAGCATCAATTATTTAACTATGTATTTGTAAAACAACAAACTTAAGTTTTCTAGGGTTTTCAAATGCAGGTTGTGGTGTCCTTCTTTTATCCCTGTAGGGACTCATAAGAAACAGTTTAACTCTGGACAGTTGTACCCAATTAGTGATGACCTGAAGTTTAACAGCAGTAGGGGTACTTAACAATACCTGATAAGGGCCATTTTATTTTGGTTGTAATTAATCATCAGGTGATCTTTTTTTAAAGATTTTATGAAGACTAAGTCTTCTAACTGAAGAGGGGAGCTATATTTTCATTTGTGGGTAAGGGCAATACTTTGATTTCATGATTTTTTGAAAGGCATTTAAATCTGGCTTAGATTTCAAGGGGGAGCATGGTGAGGTGTGTCTGACCCCTGGTTTCCTGTCACGACCAGAGTTAGTTTTTTTTTTAGGTGTCTTTGACATTCCCTTTGGCCAATTAAACATTCTAGGCCAGATGAGAATGAAGGTGGGCAGGTATCATTAGTCCTTTAAATTATTTAAAGCAATGTGAGAGTCAAAATGTAAAAGCCAAAAATAAGGTTACACATCAAGAAAAACCAAAACCATAGACTCAAGATATATCGGGGAAAATATGTCTCTCATAGACGTCTAAGACAAAATGCTTTAGCATCAGGCTACAATAATAGAGTTGGAGGAGAAAAACTCACAGGAGCTGACAAAAAAAAAAGAGCTAAAGGATAGACACATCATCATAATCCTTCTTATAGAGAAAAATAGATGAAAGCAGCAAGACACAACAACAGTTAAATCTCTGAGATACAAATCCAAGAAGTTTCAAAAGAAACTATTTATGACATTACAAGAAACATTTCTGATAATTTAACAAATAAATACCTTCCTTCTCATGTCAGGGGCAGATTGAATAAGGGGCAGAGGCTGGCATGTCAGGGGCTCTCATCTTGACATCCCAGATGCTGATCTTGTGACACTCTCTCTTGTTGGGCAACCCTGAGGTGGCAGGGGGCTTAAAGCAGCCATTAGTAATTGTACTTTCTGGCTGTTTCTTTTGGCTTTGTTTTTCACGTCTTTGCAGTGTCCCTAGTGTAAACTTTATAGGCTACATTTAAGAGCTGGCTCATAGGAGTCTGAGGTTTCAATGCTGCTTTTTGTAGCTTCCTCCTCATGTCAGGGGCAGATTGAGTAATAAAATAATTTCCAGAAGAGAGTGCCCTTCTAGGGAGTCTGGGTCTGCATTAATATATTTCCTGAGTGCCTCAACCAAATGACCCTGAAACTGAGTGGGATTCTTGTCTTCTTCCTAAGGTATTTCTCTAACCTTGCTACAATTGACTGGCTTCGCCACATACTTTTTCCTGTTTTTTTATGCCATGGCACAGCAAGCAGTTGACAATACTTGCAAGTCATGAAAAGTTAAAGAACATGATCAACTTAAAAAACCTCTCTATGAACTTTTCTGGTTTCTCTGAAAACTGGCCATATTTTTCCCCGTACAAAGTCAAATCACACATAAAAAACGGCACATGAACTCTAAGATTTACCTCATTTTCATCAGCTACCGCCCGCAATGGACACAGATTTGATTTTAAGGGTTGATATGAAACCCCATTCTTCGTGGTACTGGTTTGGCTTACTTTCTTGGTCAGTAGAAGGTATAGGCTGTGGCTTGTTGGATAAGTGGGATTGGTGCCTGATGATCTTGAGGTGGAATCCTTCATTAGGTTGTGGGTGGGACCCACCTCAGAACTGGGGGACTATAAAGAGACTCTGGAGAGGGTGTTAGCCTTCTAGGGGGAGCAGCTAGGAGAAGATTCCTTAGGAATGGTTTCCTAGAGGTACCATGAACCAGTAAAGGGTCATAAAAGCCTGAACACAAGGGTCCTCTTCTCATTTCCCTTCCTTTTCACAGAATAAGTATAATTGTAAAATAGCGTTATAATTAATAGAAGCGTCTTTAGGCCAAATCTCTTAGTTTTCTAATTTGTATTGAATCCAAACAGTGTTGCAATAGAAAATAAGTTTCTTTTTCTTTAGTCAAATTCGAATGTGCTTCAGTAGCCTGATGGATATCCTAATGGTGAGTCCTGTGGTATGCCAGTCATTGTCCCCATGTCTGACAAGGATTTTTACTGGACACAGAAGTTTTTCTAAGTATAGCAAGAGAGACAGCAAATGGGCCTTTGCAATTTTTCCCTTTTAGATTCTCATTTCCTACAGAGAAGGTGTAAGTATAGGTAGCAAGTCATTACAAAAGTGGATTATAAGTGTTTGCCAGTGAATGAAATAGGACAAAAGAAGTATTTTTATTAAAGCATAGAAGGAAAAGTGTAAATAAAGTAACAATGAGAAAAAAAAATCTGTTACAGAGAATAACTTTAGGGCAGAAAACAAGAAAAGGCAAGACTAAGATTACCCTAGGGTGGGCCCACAGTTCTCCAGAACCCACAGCTCTGGAGGAAATGTCAGTGCCAAAAACCTGGTAGCACCCAAGTGGCAGCCAAAAATAACAAATGCCAAAAAACCTACAGTGCTCAACTATCAGCCAAGGAGGATCCCCACACCAAATGCCAAAATGCTGGAGCATCTGAGGGGCAGCCAATAGTGAACTCCAAAGGCCTGGTTAGGTCCATATAACAACATGACTCTGGCATCTCAGAGTCAACATAACAAGGGCCTTTCACAAACATGTGTCCTGCCTTAAACAATTGCCCAAATACAGTTAACAGAAAGTCAAATAAGAAAAACAGAACTGCAAACAAAACATACATTTTAGAACTGAAAATAAAATGGGTGCTGGAGCAATAAAATGAAGTCCAAGAAAAAGGACCAGGAGAAGGGGTGACAAGGACAGGCTTCAGGTTACCCAAATGATGTAAGAATTTAAACTGACCACCTAGCCAGAAGTTTTATTCCCTAGCTCACCCAATATTGGGAGCAGGGGATGGAGGGACATTCACCCATCCACAGGAGCCAAAATGATGCCAATGAATCTTTGTGTGGGACCTGGGTGAAGGTCTCTCTAGGTTCCCTCAGCCCAGGTGGGCTTCACTACAATGTAGGGACCAGTGACCTGATAGCCTACTGGCTGGATTGACAGATCTCACATGAGGTGATGGTACTATGGCCACATGCCCTTCCCCTCAACTCTGCCAGAACAGATGACGGCTCTTGAAAGAGACTTTGACTAATGTTACAGCTTGGTAGCACTAATCACCTTCTCACCATCTCTCACCAATTGCCACCTCTTGCCATCTCTCCATCTCGCCATCTCACCAATCACCACCTCTTGCTGTCTTGCCATCCCACAGACCGCTGATTGCCATCTGACTGTTTCTCACTGTCTCTCATTGTCTTGCCTCTTTGCGGATCAAGACCATTTTGCTGTCTCACTACCACATCAGTTATGGCCTTTCATATGCTATCTTCATTCCTTTGTAGTCACCAAATGTTGCAGGACAGGCAAGCCCCAGCATTGGGGCTAGCCTGGGAGGGTTCTTGGCTTTAGCTGGGAAAAATTTCAAGTGAGAGCTGGTAGTGTTAGACAGTAATCTTTTATTGAACAGTACTGCTCTTTATGGTCAGCTAACTCACAGGTAGTGTGCCCAGAGCCAATTTATGAGCTCTTGGCAACTGTAGAGGCTCTTGGTAAACCCACTTTCAATTACATGCAAATGAAGAGGCACGTCAATGGAAATTGAGGGGTAGGTTATTTAGAACTGTGAAGAAAAAGGCAATAATTTTTGGGTCATTGCCATGGAAAGCAGTGGTAGCTTCCAAGTCATTGTCATGACATTTGTAAACTGTCATGGTGCTGTTGGGAACATCGTATGGCAGTGATCAATGAGGGGAGGTAGGGATTACTTTTGTTGCCATATTCTGGTTTCTACTGAGTTTCTTTACTTTATTTTGTCTGGACTAGATCCTGTTTTGGTCAGCAGAGTTGTGAGTAAAAAACAAGTCCTGCTAGTCTCTTACCTCAGCACCAGAATGTGCTCAACTTGTGGTAAGTCTCAGGGAGCTTACAATCATGGAAGAAGGTGAAGGAGACGGCCGGTGTATCACATGGCAAGAGGGAGGCAGAGAGAGAGAGAGAGAGAGGGAGGGAGAGAGAGAGAGAGAGAGAGAGAGAGAGAGAGAGAGAGAGAGAGAGAGAGAGAGAGAGAGAGAGAGAGAGAGAGAGAGAGAGAGAGAGAGAGAGGATATAGATGCCAGGCTCTTTTAAACAACTGGATCTCATATGAATTCATAGAGTGAGAACTCACTCATTCCCACTATGAGTACAGCACCAAGTCATTCATGAGAGATCCATTTCTATGACCCAAACACCTCCCACTAGACCCATCTCCAGCATTTGAGGTCACATTTCAATATGAGATTTAAAGGGTGCAAAATATCTGAACCATGTCAAAGAATATGTTATGTATATGGGTTTAACTAGTGTATATATATAAAACATATATTTTCTAATATATAAATATATATTCACTTTAGATATGGTAAATTAATATAAGTACCCTAATCATGATACACCCTTCAAAAGAAAATAGTTAACATTTGAAAGACTCTATTCAGAAGCCTACTTCAGAGGTAGTATAAAAATGAATAAAGTTTGGGAAAAGATGCCTAGAGACATGAGAGTTCATTCTAAGATACATAAGATCACACAAGAAGGCAAGGCTTTCTTTCCCACAGCCAGGCTTCATAAAGTGTGGAAAAATTCTGTATCAAGATGATCATATCTGGTGATGCCTGCTCTAGGGCTTCATTGTCACGATGGTTGACCACATAATTTTGTTTCCCTTGTTCCAAGCACAACTAATTAACCATCTTTCTCTGTATATTTCTCAAGATTATTATACTCCTTCAGAGAAAATCTGATTGGCTTATTGAGAAAGCATACAGATTGGTGAGTCCCCGTGTGTCCATATGGCCAGAGTTTTCACACTAGGCAACTTCACAGACTTTTGGATAGCCTATACTGACTGAATGACTTTGGGTAAAATGTTTACCTCTGATCCAATCTGCAATAAACATTATATTTTGATTTATGTGAAATGTTCAGAACAGGCAAATCCATAGAGAAAAATGTAGATTAATGCTTGCCAGACATTGGGAGGGTGGCAATTGGAAGTGACTACTAATGGTTATAGAGTTTATTTCAGGGGTAATAAAAACAACCTAAAACTGATTGTGAGACAATTTTATAAACATACTAACATACATCGAATTGTATAGTTTGAAAAAAAAAATTAATATCTTCTCCAATTTTATACTCTCATAACCAGTCCTTTTGTTCATTGAAATCTTTACCAATTCTTACCAGGATTGTTTATAACAGTATCCTAACTTGTTATTCTACCTCCACTGCTGCTTTCAATCCATCTTCCACACTACAGCCAGAAAGGGCTTTCTAAAATCTAGATCTGATGTTCACTCTCCTGTTTAAAATCAAAAGTGACTCCAACTACTTACAGTAAAAAGCACACCCTTATGATGGCTTCAATCCATCTTTCAGCCCCAGCATCACTGACAGATTCTATTCTACCTACATATGAAGCACCTTGCCACACTTGCCAATTAACTCTTCCCTCACCTCTTACTTCATTTTCACATGCTCCCTGTCTCTGCCAGATGTCCTACCCACTTTTTCTAAAAGATATACTTATCTTCGAAAGGGCTCCTTGCTAACTTATCTGAGAAGGGTACTCCAACTCCTGAATAAAATGAGCCACTCCTGCATCATTGCTTCCATGGCTAGTGGGTCACAGAGGACACAGCTTTAATGATGTGTTTTCTGTCTTTCCCTGGGCAGAATCTTCATTTTACACATGTTGACAGCTCCACTCCCCAAAGCATTGGAAGACTCAATAAATACTGAGTACAATAGGTAATACATACATGAACATACGCACAACATCAGTAGTAATCAGTGAATGAAGCCAGATTTGGTGCTTTTCCCAATATACCACTATTCTCTCCAATTCCTAGATAGATACACAGCTACTTTCCCCCTAATTATTCAAAAATTCCATTACATGGCTTGCCATCACTCTCCAAGTCCATCTGTGTTTTCTTTGCTAGTTTCAATAGGCACATGGATCAATTTTCTAATATCATAAGCCTCATCTTCTTTAATGATCTTGTTCTGCCAACTACCTCTGCCACTCATTTCTGAGGCCTACCCTAGACTATTATTAAGAACAAGTTTTGCTTTCTGTAAACAATCCTTTGATCCCACCTGTGCCTACAATAGATTGATCTTACCACCACTTTACTGTCCTTCAACTCCTCATGTCTCCACTTTCCTCCTAATCCACTTAACTCTCTTGTCAAACATTATGTGAACTCTTTTACATGTGTCCTCATATCCCTTACCCCTCTTTCCCTCTATCAGACTTTCTTATTAAATCACCAACTCAAGTTGAATCTAAATTTCCACCTACTTTAACCTGAGCCTGCATAGCAGAATATGACTGGCAACAAAAGGCAGAACTATACTTTTTGATCTCACTTTAAATTTGTAACTGCCAACTTCGAGTGTGTTCTTTGTGCTGGCAGGCAATTATATATTTCTTTATGTATATTTCAACTCATCTTCCTACTTTCTTAGAAGATTATTTCACACCTTTTCATTTATTCTTGAACCTTCAATATCTGCTTTTCTCCTCTCACTCTCTTCTTATTCCACTGAGAAAGCAAAAGCAATACACTGCCTTCCCACCAGTTACTATGGAGAAACATTATTTCGCCTATGGCCAATTCTTCCATTCATGCCCTAGATCCTCTTTTCTCACTCAAAGACATCACTCCAATAATCACCTTTCTTTTTTCTTGCACCATTAATTTTTCACCTCCCTTCCCCAGTCTATTGGATTATATCTTTCACTGTGCAAACATGCTACACATTTCCCATCCTAAAACACACAAGATATAAGCAAAAATACAGAACAAAATGAAAGCTCTGTATTTATCTCAACACCATTCCTGACATAATCCCATTTCTCTGCTTCATTTCCAAGCAAGGGAATTGTTTATATTTACACATTTGTACCTCCTCTCTTCATTCTCTTATTCTCTACTGAAACTCTTCTGTCATAGTTACAGTAATTACCTACTGATAGACCCACTGATATCTTCTCAGTCCTCATCCTCTCAGTCTATCAGCAGCCTTTGATGTAGTTGCTCCTGTCTTCTTGAAACATTCTCATTTGGCTTCTAGGAAGTCACTCTGTTTTCCTCCTACTGACTGGCTACTCCTTTCATTCTTCTATGCTATTCCTTCTTATTTTTCAAAATTTAAAGTTTGAGTACCCCAGAAGTCAATCCTTGAATTCTTTCTTCTCTTTATATTTACTTTCTGCATTATCCATAACTTTAAATACTGTCTATAAGCTGATGAATTCCAAAGTTTTAACTAAACCTGATGTTTCTTCTCAACTCTAGTATTATATATCATATGTCCAACTACCTATCTCCAATTGGTATCTCAAATTTAACAAGCCCCAAATTTGACTCTTGATCTCCCTAACATCACAGTTATACCTCCTACTCTGTTCACAGCTTTTGCAGTTACTCAAGACAAAAACTTTGGATTGCCCTTAATTCCTCTCACACCTCACATCCAATCTATCAGGAAATCGCTTTGGTTCTGCTTTTGAGTCAACACTCAGTGACTTTCAGCACCTCATCCACTGCTACCCTGGTTCAAGGCAGCATCATCGTGTGCTTGGATTATTGCAATAGTCTCCTATCTGGCATTTCTGCTTCTACCTCTGACCCCTGTAAACTCTTCTTTACACAACATCCAACAGTGGCCCTCTTAAAATTTCGGTTATATAATTCCACTCCTCTTCTCAGTATCTTCTAATGCTTCCCCATTTTATTCCAATTAAAGATCAAAATAAGAAATCCTACATCATCTTTACCCTCCCCAATACCTTTCTTATTTCATTCACTTTATTCTCCCTAGCTCAGTGTCTTCAGGTCACATTGACCTCTTTACAGTTCCTTGGAAACCCCAAGCATGTTCCTCCCTCAGGGCCTTCACATTTCCTGTTCTGTCTATAATTGTTTTTTTCTCTCAGATATTTTCATAGCTTGGTTACTCAATTCCCCCGGTTCTCTGCTCAATTGTCATCTCCACATAGAAGATTCCTTTGGCTATCCTGCATAAAATAGCACCCCAACAATCACTGTCTCTCCCTCTTACGTGTCTACCTTTCTCTGCAAAACTCATTAACACCTAACATATTATATATATATTTGTAGATGGTCACGTAGACCAGTGAAACTTACATGAGAGCAGGGCCTTTGCTTTATACACTGCTTTATCTGCAGCAATCTCAACAGTGCTAAGTTGTTGATAAATGAGTTATATTTGAAGAAATAATTCTTTAACAACAAAAACAAAGAAAAAAAGAAAGGAAGCAGGAATGATGGAAGGAAATAAAGCAAGCAAGAAAGGGGCCAGTGTGTTTTTATTAAAATGTTCTGTATGTAGAAAATATTCTATTTGTGGTAAGAATGCATATATAATTTCACACTATATTTTTAAATTTTAAAAATAAAAGAAAAAATATAAACAGAAAATATTCTAGAAACTTATGTCAAAATGTCAACAGAGTAAATATTTCAGTGGTGTGGTCATGGAAGGGGCGAGGGGGGACTCTTTTTTCATATCTGTTTTATTTTGTAAAATAAAAAAACACATTTCTTTATCCATTCATCTGCTGATGGACACTTCTACCTGTGAACATTTTTAAATAGAAAAACAATTCTTAAGAGAAATTATACAAGAAAAAAAAGAGATCTATATCCCCATATGTTTTTATTTTCTACACAGCTCAAATACTGGACTCTCTAAATTAAAACAGGCCTTGTTTTGCACATAGACAAGAGACTTTCCTTTCCATTCCTATTTCCCAGGGCTTTCTAGGATATCCCAAAATACCCCATGAAGTGCCTGTTACTTTATAGCAAATGGAATGTTTCAAGTCCAACTCCAGATGCAAAGCTTGGGCAAATTCAATCAGACAACCAGCAAGCATTTAGCATCTACCTGATTGTGAGCTAAGTACAGAGGAAACAAAGCACTCCATCTGTGCACCAAAGAGTTTATAAACTGTCAGGAAGAAATTCCTGAGTCTGCGTTTGGATCCTAGAACAATCTTTGATTGTGAGTAATACCTGTGCGTAGTTCTGCAGAAACACAGAGGAAAGAGTAACCAAGAATAGAGAGTGGAACCCTCCCAAAACACAGCCAGGATGCTTCAAGGATGCTTTGACCCCCTCACAGTATTGTGTGCCATGCGGTGCCCTCAGCTTTGTGACTCACAAAGGAGCTGTAGTAGGGACATGTTGAGGACACCAGGACCAAACTCATTCGCTACTACAGAAAGAATTCGAGTTCCTTCATCCCTTAATTTCCTGTTAGCTTTACATTTTCATACTCAACCTGTACCTCCTCCAAGTATTATGAAATTCCTACACAAGTAGAAGTCCTAAAAATCTAGAAAAGGACAGGATAGGGCTTCTGAAAAAGGACAATATGTTCTGATTGTGTCTCTGGAAAACAGAGGTCTTAATTCATTACTATTGCAGAACCTTAGTTTTCTTATCAGTAAAATGGATGGATTTCAGAATTGAATACAAATACATATTTACCAATTTACAAGAGTATCACTTTATCAATACTTTACTGCTCATGCTTCTCTTCTTTCCAAAGTCAGCCTCTCTAGGAAGCCATTACCTGTCCTTGTGATTTGATTTATCAAGGGGAATGGTTAAACATCGGAATTGCTTCAGAGCCTCTTCTGAGCCACTGTAGAACAGCTGAGGTAGAGATGCAGTAATACATAAATAAATAAATAGAGTCTTATTTGGTGGTGGCTTCCTGGTTTCTTGTCAGAAATTTGGTACACAGCAAACAGGAAAGGGACACATATTTCAACAATAGAAAGGACGATGGAATAGAGAGCCTGCTATGAACGAGGTGGGACAGCGTACCAGAAAGACAAATGCTAAGGTCAGAACAGGATTTGAATTCATCCTTACTCTGTGTGACCTTGTGCAAGTAACTCAACCTCTCTAAGTCTGTGTTTATTTGTTAAGAGAAAACTTAAGTCTATATTGCAGGTTTGCTATGCCAACTAAATAAAGTAATGTAAGTAGAATGCCCAGTACCCAACATTCTCTCAGTAGCAGGACATATTAGTGGAACAGTGGAGATATGGCTTTTAGCCAATATTCTGTATCTTAGCTAGTTGCATGACCTCATAAACACCAGTGAACATTCTTGAACTTCAGTTTCATTCCTACAATGAGTGCTGGGATAATAACCTGAAGATCTTTCCATTCTCTGTTTTTAATGCAACATAACTTTTTGAAAGAATGTGTAAAATAGGTTGGATTTTCTATTTTACTAAAGCCTTACAGAAGCACCTCTGAGACTCAATCAGTGAAACAAACCCAAGGCCACGCTGTAAGTGTGCTTTACAGCTTACTTGAACTTGCTATTCTTATTAGAACCTTGATTTATTAGATAATAGCGAAGGCATCCTATATGTTGCTTATACTTGTGGTATCTCCTCCAGGTACAGAAAAACCAAACAAACCCTACATTGTTTAAAAATAGCCCATTTTCATTTTGGGTCTTCATACCAGGCATGATACTGAAAAATATTTTTTTGTTTTCTTTTTGTTGCTATTATTTTTTAGTAAGAAAAGCAGATTCTTTTTATAAAAGCTAATTAAATCCTAAATCTTGTATATTTTTAACTGGACATAGAGTGGACCAAAGGAAATAAAAATGTGTTCTTATATGTTTGTTTTATTTCTAATAAAGCTCTTTAATCATTTCTGTTTGTTTTAAAAATTATTAAAAACCAATAGAACTATATTTGATCCTTAAAAATCAAACGTAATTGAAATAGAATGAGGAATTTATTTATGCAGTTTTATCTTATGCAAACTGATTATGTATAATATGTAAAAAATGCAATAAAATGGTGAAAATGAACTCTTGGGATTTAAATCAAGCCTGGCTTATCATTAAATATTTAATGACTTTTATGCCCTAGAGCTCAAGGAAATCCCTTTCCTTGTTATGTTATTTTGTTTTTTTAATTTTCACAGAATTCATCACCTCTTCTTAAGTCTCACAGGTTTTCTTGATGTGACACTCCGAAAATCAAAACGAGGGGAGAGAAAGAGAACTTCAAATAGATACAAGTGGAAATTATTTTTAAGTCACATTAACATTCCATTGTTATCAATTAGAATCTCCTAAGGGGAGTAAATCAATCCGAAATATAAGCATAGTTGAATTAAAGCACAACATGGGGGCACTTGTGGTCATGTGCACACCTCCTCACCCAAACACATAGCCCTACTCATGGGAGTCTAGTGTGTAGGAGAATATGTTAAGATGTCCTAGCTAAGCCACCTCCAACACCAGTGATATTTGATATCCTCCTAGGACAAGAGTGTTGGGTCAAATCTTTCTAAATCTAAATATATGATTGTTACAGAGCACACTCTTAGTACATAGGGTCAAGGCATGTCTTTCGCTTGGTGATATTTAAATTTCAATTTATATTAAAATAATAATTTATTAATATAATAATATTTTCACAGTTCAAGATGTCAAGGATTCTTCTAAATACTTCAAATAGGTTATCTCATTTAACCTGTTTAGGAATTCCATGATTAAGAACTTCATTCTCCCAGTTTTATCAGAAAGTGTTTAGGCTGGTCTGAAGGTAATGAGTTATCTTAACTGATTGTTCACAGTCAGTTACAGATCAAACCCCTTGTTTTACTCTCCTCCCTTCTCACTAGTGCACTTGACTCATCTTAGAAAAAGTGTTTAATCATGAGTGATTTTTGATAGTTTTCCTTAATAGCAATAAAACACACACACAAAGACAAAACAACAAAGATTTTTAAAAACACCTAAAAAGTTGAAAAGTCACCCCCGCCTGTTAACCCAAATCCAACGAAAAAGAATAGTACAATACTGACAGATGCCATAAATTCTGATTCAAGGTCAGCCAACATAAATCGAAAACATTTGTGGAATGGCCGTTTTAAGGGAGCCTAGCTAGCATTCCTGAAGGGTGCCAGAAAAGAGGGAGTGGTGAGATTGTGTGGAACTGTAAAACTGTAAGAAAATCATGTAAGAAAGTCTTTCCGATGGCATGTTAATATTATAATTCATCGTCCAATTGTACTTGGTATTTCATATTTTATATTCCACTAATCCAATCCATCAAAGAATCTGGCTCCCTGCTGTGATTAAAATAGATTATTAAACATTTCTGGGGAAAATTTTCATGGCTATATTCATTCTGTTATTAGAATTATAGTTTATGCAAAGTTAAGGTGTAAACCTCAATAGCATTTTGGAAAGTACATTTTATTGCCACGGATTTAAAACAAACTAAGGTGATCATATTAGTTGTTGAAAATTGTAATAACACTTTGGTAGAATAAATGTATTTTTAAAACTGCAAGACACAAAGACTTGACATTAATTTTAGAAATATTATGGACAGGCAGGTTTTGTAGGAGCCTGTAGGTTATAATTTCAAGTAGACAAAATAGTTCTTAGGAAACCCTATCATTTACTTACTTTTTACTTTACCATTTATCTTTACTGTCATAGTACTTCTCCCCAACTGCTAGGGAATAGGATGATCTTTCTCAAGGATACTGAATAAAAGGAGGAAAGAGGAGACTAAAATATAAGTTTAATCTGTTCTCCTATTGAAAATGACATTGCTGTAATCTGACATCAGGTTTTTGGTGTCTGCAAATGTTTTCCTTCTCTTCATGTATTTATCACTCCCTCCCCAACACACACCTGGAAAGGCCTTCTGCTGGGTATCCACAATGGTTACAAGTAGGTGTAGGAGAGATGGTCATAAATTGCTGTGCTCTTTGGATATTTTTAAACATCAATGACGGAAGTGGAAATTAATACAAGCTTTCTGAAAATAATATTCACATGGCTTAACATTTTTTCATAATCTTTGATTCAGCAATTTAACTTCTAAGAATCTATTACAAAGAATTAATTGAGTAAACAAACATTTATCTTTGAAACATCATTTAAAGGCAAATTATTTATAACAACATAGATATCCAGCATTCATGGTTTGGTTAAATAAACCACAGTATATATTAATATAATATGATTTATATTCACCTTCAAAATTTACGCTGTATAAAAATATTTGATGAATTAGAAAGATGTTCATTACAAAGAGAAAAAAATTAGGTCCCAAGACATCATGTTAAATACAATTCCATTTAGGCAGACAAAAAGGCAGGTTAATGTGAATAGTGTATCACTCATGAATTTTGCATTCATTTTATGTATTTTATTTAATATGCATATTTTATATTTGTTGTAAGAGGAAATATGTTATAAAGACACGGTTTCTGTTTCACACTATAAAAAATGTTTTTGATTTTCATGACCACAAAGTTGATAATAATATTATCAACAGCTGGTTTTAAGTAACCAACACATAAAAGTAATAATATACATAATTATGTTATTCAAATTATATAATCTCTATTTATAATTACACTATTATATTTATATACTATTAACATATTTATACTGCTTTCCATATAGAAATATACACTGAATATTAATTGTAATTCTAGTGGCATTTAGTGAAGAAAGAGTGAAAGAGGAATTGGAATGGTTACCTTGGAGATCCTGGAGAAAGTAGAAAAACGATGACAGCAAATATCTGTATGGTACGCACAAGTAAAGCTCTTAGGACTGTGCCAGGCACAGAGTGAGGGCTACATAAGCATCTGATATTGCTATTGTTATCATTGTTGTCAATCTTAACAAGAACCAGGATGTATGACTCTACTATTAACATACCAATTTTGCAGATTATAAAACCAGAGGATTAGGTTTTACTCAGGATACATGCCAGGTTGTATCAGACACCTCCAATACCATAGCTTCAATAGGATATAATGTTTTTTCCTCTATCCTAAAATATTCAAGCAGGTAGTCCACTGTTGGTAGGGCAACTCACCATTATCTGGGACCTGAACCCTTCTATCTTTTTACTCTTTCATTCTCAGTGAGGCTTCCACTTTGCAGTTCCAGATGACTGCTCTAGCTCTCAGCTTCATGTCGACATTCCAAAGGAATATGGGCAATACTTTCTTTTCATTGAAGGAAAAAGCTCAGGAATTGCACACAATTTCTGTTGATTTCACATTGACCACAATTTAATCACATGGCTATACTCATCTGCAAGGGACACTGAAGTGTACTATTTAGCTGAGAGTTCAAATACCCAGCTAAAAAGTATATATTCACGTAAGAAGGAGAAAAAGTTATTAGGTGGCAACCAGCAGTCTCTGCCACAGAGATGTTAAGGAGATTGCTCAAGAAAGCATGAATATTAAGTAATAATGCTAGGATTTGAATGTAGGCAGTGTCATTTCAGACAAACTCCCTTGCTCTGAAACTTCCTCTCCAGCCTATGAGTTAAGTCAAATAGGCATGATGATACAGGCTTGCACGCATCTCAGGCAAGTACCTAACAAGCATTTACAGCAGTTTCTCAATCTTTCTTAACCCACTCTCTTCTAATAAATATTACATTGTTACTCCCGTCTCCTCCCTTCCCTCATTAGTTTCACAAACACTAGATTCTGATATGTCATTCCACAGAGTGCCCTTTCCATTTCCTCCTATATATAATCCCATCTGCCATGCCCTTCCCTTTGTAAATGCGTGCTGTAATTTAACCTTGAGATTTTGACATATATCCTATTTCTTTTTTCACCCTTGATAATTACTGATTTAGGAAATTTAATATTTACTGAATGTCTAAGTATGTAGTGGCTCTGTTGTTTAATTCTTTACATAATATTGCTCTAAATACCATAGTGTTATTTTGAAGTAGACATCTTATTTTTTATATTATAGATGAATTAAGACTCTGAGACATATGATAACTTAAACTTATTGACAAGCATTTGAAATCTAGTGTGTCAGAGATAAGGCTACATGTTTACTGTCTATTTCATTTTTCTCTAGTACATTTCCCAGTTTCTCATAAAAGTAGAGTCTTCTGACTATGTTCTGGTCAGCACAATGTGGGCAAATTACATATACACCTTATCGGATTGGCTTTAAACCATGCCTCTAATCTTATATATTCTGTCTCTCTCCCGTTTGTTTACAGAAACAAAGGGCTCCAAGGTAGTGGAGCCACACAAGACAAGGCGTCTAAATAGTTGAGTTTCTATTTATAGAACAGTAGCTTTATAGAGTCACCTGACTAGCACCAGATCACGCTTTAAGTGAGAAGGAATCCTTTATTATACTAAGCCATTGAAACTTTGGAGTTGTTCCTGCAGTTATCATGGCTTACTCTAATTAATACACTGTGCCAGTTTTCAATTCATTGCTTCTCTGCTCCAAAGCCACCCTCTTTTCCTTAGTTTTAAATTCCAAAGGGAAACCTTGCAAACATTTCTCCTTTGCCAGTAGGCACAATGTAAAGCCTTGTCAGTAGAGGGTGCTAGTGAGATCCTGCAGGAGGGAGGGGATTCTCTTACCAGAGTCAGTGCTTTTTTTCTGGCTTCTATGGTGTGCTGCCAGAAGACAAGTGTCCTTCCTTACCAGCAGCCAGCTTTCTTGCCAGAAGGTGTCGTCAGTGAGGGTGGAAGACCTAGCGGTCCACAACCCCCAGTGAGTTTCAGTGATTTCCCAGAGAGTGGTTTCCTGATCATCTGCCCTGGCATGAGGCACCTAACTGAACTTTTCCCCTATCTGGTGGGCTTTGGCAACACTTTCTCCAACAAAGTCTGAATCTCAACTTGAAGCAAGGGGTGGGAAGTTGGGGAGGATCTGCCAAGTTTTTTCCCTCTTTGGATGCGCTCCCTCAGCCATAGAAGTGGCGGCTTTTCCCGGCATTTGCTATTCCTGGATTCTTTAGCGTTCTCTTTAACCAATCCTTCTTAATTGATCTCCTTTTACTAGTTATTTTCTTACGTTAAATGTCCCTTATTCAATTTACTGCATGTCTGTCCCTTACTGAAACTTAACTGATGTTTACACAAAATAAATACATAATCTTGAAAATTGGTGCCATCTAAACTATGGTCATATGAAAATATGGTCAGATAGAGGCAGATTGAAATGTGTCATTTGAGTCATGGTAAAACAAAATCTTTTGAGCCAGCCAGTCTTGAGTTTGACTACTGGCTCAGTCACTTTCTAGCTATGTGAACCTTGAAATAGTTGCTAAAGATCTCTGAGCTTTATAATTTCTTCATCTCTCAAATCAGGTTAATGATTATCTTGTGGTGTTGCTGTGACTAAGCAGCATGTGTACAGTAGTTGGCACAAAGTGGGCACTAAATAAACAGTATTTTAAATACCAATTCATGATGATTTTTCAGTGCCTGTGATTGAGCACTATTTCATTTACTTGTCATATTCAAATGATTGTGTCTCTCCATAAACTCACTGTAATTCTTTTTGTGGTTAGGGCCAAACAAAGCATTTATGAACCTTGCTTATCCTTTGTCCTCTCAATATTTGTTTCCTTTGCCAAAGAGAATAGCTCAATATCACTCTTCTCAAAATTAATCAGTATTTAAATCATTTATCAAATCCCTTCTCATGCTGCTTCTGGGAGACTCCATGGCCCCATATTATTTTGCACTTTCACAAAATTTTTATTTTCCATCCTTCTTTGATTACTCTCAATATTCTCTCTTCTCTAGAAATTTCCAGACCTTACTTTACAGATTTTTAATAATATTTACCTCCTGATTCTTGTATGGAAACACACTCTGATTAAAGCATTTTCATATTAATTTATAATGTAAATAACATCACATGTATATAAATTAATATACACCTTCCTCTATTACACCTTCCTCTATAGTAATTTAACAACATTATTTATTCCAAAAAAGTATTCATGTGCTTTATTTTTATTCTATAAGCCACTTGTCATTATCTTTTTATTTCTGGGCTGCTGACTGTTTCACTTGGATTAGCATCTTTTCCTCCATCGGCCATGTCTTTATATACTTTTTACTAGCAGAATACTTGAAGTAAAGCTGCCAATACCTATACAAATCTATGGCTATATTAGTCAGGAATGTTTGAGTTATAGAAAAATCAATGCAATCTGTTCTGAACAAATGAACAACAACAAAACCAAAGAGGAATTTATTGCCTCTTGTAACTAGGAAGTTAAAGGTTAAATCAGGACTTATACACAGTTAAACTAAGAGATTCAGATGGGATCTTCATTTCTCCCTGCCTTTCTTTTTCTTAACTGCTTGATTCTATGTATAGGTTATGTGTTCACCCAGCTGTCACATGGGGTGAGAAAATCATGGCCATTTCCTACAAGCCCCTTTTCTAAAGAATTGGAAAAAAGGCACAGCCAAAGACCCTGCATAGTTCAGCTTGGATCACAAGCACACCTCTAGACCTGTCACTTGAGCCACGAAGAATGAAGTACTCTGATTAGCCCATTGTGGCCAGAAGAGCAGATGCACTGACAAGAAATCCTGCCAGAATCACATGATACATGTAGATCTTTTATTTCTAACAATGTTTTCTTATCTATAAAATGTGTAATCATACCTCCCAATAGAGGTAGTAATGATGATTAAATGACATTATGTTTTGAAAAGATATAATACCTGATCTGAACAATGAATTATAGCTTCTAACATTTATTATAATGATAAAATAAAATGCAGAATGTCATGCAGTGGAAACAGAAACAGTCTTCTTTTCTTGATCCTCAACTGTATCTTTTGCCTCTTATTAACCCACTCTCCCTTCCCCCAATGAAACTGTAGACTTAAAGAGCAGAGACCCGTGACTTTTTTATTTCTGGTTTCCATGGCAACAGCTATCACAGAGAGAAAAAAAAGAAACTAACATATATTAAGCACTATGCATTTTGCTAGAGATCTTGACAAGTGACTTACTTAATGCACCAAACACAACAACTTGCTCAGAGCAGCGAATTGATAGCTATTTGATTAAGGAGTCCAATGAATACAAATTTATGTTACACATCTGGCATAAGGTAACTTCTTCAAAGTTCAGTTCAAGACAAAATAGAAAACATTGTATTTTATTACAAGTAATAGCAACTTTCTCATATTTGATATTTACAAAAAAAACACACTTTCATAAAGTTTCTTTGAGCTCTTTGAAAGACAATTTTGTTCTAATATAAAGCATGACCTGGGTCATCTGGAATTTTAAATTCCAGAGTCTTATGTCTACCATTACAGTTTCAGTGAGTACACTGCATTTAGGTATATACTGCCTGTGCCTGGAGGTTGATATTCTAAAAGTCAGTCAAATTGAAGAAAATAAATTAGCTTGATGATATGGAAAATTTCAGACTCATCAATGCAGTGAACAGTTTTGGACACACTTCCTAAAGGCATTTTACCCTTGTCTTCAAGACTTACTTTGTTTAGTTTATCAGCATTTCTGACCGTTTTTATTAGGATTTTTCATGATCTTTTCTTTTCCAATATTGGGAAATTTTCCGGTTGCTTGGGAATTCCAAGAAGCCAATGTTTTAAGACAGAAACAGCTCAGATGCAGCCAAGTTTAAATTCATACAAAATGCTAGTTGGAACATCTGAGAGCAAGTCATGAATTCAGAAGTGATGAAGTACTAGACAGAGAAGAGCAGCGATAAAGAGGCACACTCTAAAATTCCCTCCCGTGGAATAACAAACACCAGGACTACACACCATCGTTAAGCTAAAGTGATGCATCAAGGGAAACAATAGTTTTATACTGCTTTTTCCTGTGGTTCCACTTTTTTTTCTTATCACAGCTTTATTTTTTATTTGCATACCACAGATTTTGCCCATTTAAAGTATAGCATTCAGTGGATTTTAGTATATTCATGTTGTGTAACTATAACCAGAATGAATTTGAGAACATTTTTCTCATCCCCCAAAGAAAACCCATAGGCTTTATCTGTCATCCATGAAACCCTCCGAAGCCTAGGTGACTGCTAATCAACTTTGCATTTCTATTGATTTACCCTAGGGTCCCATATTTGACACATCCAAAAATATCTACCATTTTTTACCTAATAGCTTTGCTTATACTACTTCTTCAATTTTAAAAATAAGCATAGTAGTATCATAATATCTACATGTATTGATTACTTGTTATGTTTTAGCACTATACTAAGTGTTTTACATGTATTATTTCATGACAAACTACCTCTCACTGTTGTTAAGAAAATTGTTAATCTTTTCAAAAAAAAAAATACCTCCTGGATTCATTCGTTTGAAGGGGTTTTGTGTCTCTATCTCCTTCGGTTCTGCTCTGATCTTAGTTATTTTTTGTCTTCTGCTAGCTTTTGAATTTGTTTGTTGCTGCTTCTCTAGTTCTTTTAATTGTGATTTTAGGGTGTCAGTTTTAGATGTTTCCCACTTTCTCCTGTGGGCATTTAGTGCTATAAATTTCCCTCTAAACACTGCTTTAGCCATGTCCCAGAGATTCTGGTCTATTGTGTCTTTGTTCTCATTGGTTTCAAATAACTTATTTATTTCTACCTTAATTTCGTTTTTTACCCAGTAGTTATTCAGGAGCAGGTTGTTCAGTTTTCATGTAGTTGTGCAATTTTGAGTGAGTTTCTCAATCCTGAGTTCTAATTTGATTGCACTGTGGTCTGAGAGACTTGTTTGTTAAGATTTCCATTCTTTTGCATTTGCTGAGGAGTGTTTTACTTCCAATTATATGATCAATTTTAGAATAAGTGCAACGTGGTGCTAAGAAGAATGTATATACTATTGATTTGGGGTGGAGAGTTCTCTAGATGTCTATTAGGTTCACTTGGTCCAAAGCTGAGTTCAAGTCCTGAATATCCTTGTTAATTTTCTGTCTCATTGATCTGTCTAATATTGATAGTGGGTGTTAAAGTCTCCCACTCTTATTGTGTGGGAGCCTAAGTCTCTTTGTAGGTCTCTAAGAGCTTGCTTTATAAATCTGGGTGTTCCTGTATTGGATGCATATATATTTAGGATAGTTAGCTCTTCTTTTGCATTGATCCCTTTACCATTATGTAATGCCCTTCTTTGTCTTTTTTGATATTTGTTGGTTTAAAATCTGTTTTATCAGACACTAGGATTGCAACCCGGTTTTTGTTTTTGTTTGTTTTTTTGTTTTGTTTTTGCTTTCCATTTGCTTGGTAAATATTCCTCCATCCCTTTATTTTGAGCCTATGTGTGTCTCTGCACATGAGATGGGTCTCCTGAATACAGCACACTGATGGGTCTTGACTCTTTATCCAATTTGCCAGTTTGTGACTTTTAATTGGGGCATGTAGCCCATTTACATTTAAGGTAAATATTGTTATGTGTGAATTTGATCCTGTCATTATGATGCTAGCTGGTTATTTTGCCTGGTAGTTGATGCAGTTTCTTCATAGTGTCGATGGTCTTTACAATTTGGTATGTTTTTGCTGGTACCAGCTTTTCCTTTCCATATTTAGGCTTTCTTCAGGAGCTCTTGTAAAGCAGGCGTGGTGGTGACAAAATCTCTCAGCATTTGCCTTGTCTCTAAAGGATTTTATTTCTCCTTTGCTTATGAATCTTAGTTTGGCTGGAAATGAAATTCTGGTTTGAAAATTCTTTTCTTTAAGAATGTTGAGTATTGGCCCCTACTCTCTTCTGGCTTGTAGGGTTTCTGCAGGGAGATGCGCTGTTAGTCTGATGGGTTTCCCTCTGTGGGTAACCTGACCTTTCTCTCTGGCTGCCCTTAACATTTTTTCCTTAATTTCAACCTTGGTCAATCTGATGATTATGTGTCTTAGTGTTGCTCCTCAAACTATACTACAAGGCTACAATGACCAAAACAGCATGGTACTGGTACCAAAACAGATATATAGAACAGAGGCCTCAGGAAAAACATTACACATCTAAAACCTGGCTCTTTGACAAATCTGACAAAAACAAGCCATGCGGAAAGGATTCCCTATTTAATAAATGGTGTTAGGAAAACTGGCTAGCCACATGCAGAAAACTGAAATTGGACCCCTTCCTTACACCTTACACAAAAATTAACTCAAGATGGATTAGTGACTTAAATGTAAGACCTAAAACCATAAAAACCCTAGAAGAAAACCTAGGCAACTCCATTCAGGACATAGGCATGGGCAAAGACTTCATGTCTAAAACACCAAAAGCAATGGCAACAAAAGCCAAAATTGACAAATGGGATCTAATCAAACTAAAGAGCTTCTGCACAGCAAAAGAAACTATCATCAGAGTGAACAGGCAACCTACAGAATGGGAGTAAATTTTTGCAATTTATCCATCTGACAAAGGGTTAATATTCAGAATCTACAAACAACTTAAACATATTTACAAGAAAAAAACAACCCCAACAAAAAGTGGGCAAAGGATATGAACAGACACTTCTCAAAAGAAGACATTTATGAGACCAACAAACATATGAATAAAAGCTCATCATCACAGGTCATTAGAGAAATGCAAATCAAAACCACAATGAGATACCATCTAATGCCAGTTAGAATGGTGATCATTAAAAATTCAGGAAACAACGGATGCTGGAGAGGATGTGGAGAAATAGGAACACTTTTACACTGTTGGTGGGAGTGTAAATTAGTTCAACCATTGTGGACGACAGTGTGGTGATTCTTCAAAGATCTAGAACCAGAAATACCATTTGACCCAGCAATCCCATTACTGGGCATATACCCAAAAGATTATAAATCATTCTACTATAAAGACATATCCACACGTATGTTTATTGCAGCACTATTCCCAATAGCAAAGACTTGGAACCAACCCAAATGCCCATCAATGATAGACTGGATAAAGAAAATGTGGCACATATATACCACGGAATACAATGAAGCCATAAAAAAGGATAGTTCATGTCCTTTTCGGGGATATGGATGAAGCTGGAAACCATCATTCTCAGCAAACTAACACAGGAACAGAAAACCAAACCAAACACTGCATGTTCTCACTCATAAGTGGGAGTTGAACAATGAGAACACATGGACACAGAGAGGGGAACATCACACATTGGGGCCTGTCAGAGGGTGGGGGGCCAGGGAAGGGATAGCATTAGGAGAAATACCTAATGCAGATGATGGGTTGATGGGTGCAGCAAACCACCATGGCACATGTATACCTATATAACAAACCTGCACATTCTGCATATGTATCCCAGAACCTAAAGTATAAAAATAATAATAATAAAGGCCAGGCGTGGTGGCTCACTTCTGTAATCCCAGCACGTTGGGAGGCCGAGGTGGGCAGATTATGAGGTCAGGAGTTCGAGACCAGCCTGGCCAATTTGTTGAAACCCCACCTCTACTAAAAATACAAAAATTAGCCGGGTGTGCTGGCGCATGCCTGTAGTCATAGCTACTCGGGAGGCTGAGACAGAAGAATCACTTGAACCTGGGAGGTGGAGGTTTCAGTGAGCTATCGCACCACTGCACTTCAGCCTGGGCAATACAGTGAGACTCCATCTCAAAAAAAAAAAAAAGAAAAAAGAAAAGAAAAGAAAGGTGTTTAGGCCAGGTGTCTGGTGGCTCGCACCTGTAAATCCAGCACTTTGGGAGTCCAAGGCAGGTGGATCACTTGAGGCCAGAAGTTCGAGACCAGGATGGTTGATGAGGTGAAACCCTGTCTCTACTAAAAATGAAAAAGAAAAAAAGACAGAGACAGTAAGAATACTAACAGGAAGGTTGGTGAGATAAGCTACATTCTCCAGTGTTATGGTTAATCCTGACACCATACGTGATGCCATAATTAATATTCATCATTTCCCTTCCCTTGACCAAACTGCTTCTAATCAAGGTTCATTGCATAGTGCAATAACTCAGACATTTATCCCTGAGAGTATGAGTCCCTGACTTCTCGTCCTTATCAAGATGTTGCTGCTGCAACTGCCCTTTCAGATATCACCAGTGATGGAGGCATCAAGAGGCACCCCAGTGAATCCCATGAGTTCCAGACACACTACTTTCTGCTCCACTATCTAGTAGCAACCCCATTTCCTTTTGATCATTATGGTGAATGACCCTTGTCTGTATAGTAACTACCTTCTCTAACTGCTGGTTTATAGGCCTGAGGAGCCAAAATTAATCAGACAGCAGCTGAAGCTGTAGATTTATTGGAACCCTTACTATGTCTTCTGGTAGAAGTATTAAGACCTCCAATTATGGAAAACCTGAAGTTCTGGCAAGGAGAAACTCATTTTCTTAAGTAGATTATTAAAAGTAACAGGGAGAGGCTATACTCTTATTTCCATCTTTTGGTCCTAGATGTCTAAGACACAGAACCAAATATGCCAGCACCATTTAATAGTCTACCACTTAATGACCCTTAAATATGAAGGAAGCCAGTCCCATAAAAACAGAGCAACATCTCTATAATCTCAAGCCTGGTCAATAGAGAACAATCACTACTGAGTTTCTCATTGATGCAGGTATCCCTCTTTTGGGAACACTTCTTGCTTTAGTAAAGTGATTGTCTTCTAGGCTCTCCTGGAGAACACAATGAGCTGGCAGATTCTCCGGCCTTTCAAAATAAGTACACTCTAACATTCCCACTTCTATGAGACCCTGGATCTCTTCTCCAGTATTTTGCCAATGTAGTTCTGGCATGTCCACATCATTTATTTCAGGCCAGAATCATTTATAAGCTTCAAGGAGCCAAGCCATTCCAATAGCATATTAGAATCAATGCCAGGTAGACTTGTCAGAATGTTAAAAATTAACTCATGAAAGTATTTCCTCATATAAGTAGAGTATCTATTATCCGGCCTTATCGCCATGATCCAATATTTCAGTATATCAAGACCAATTCATGGATTGTTCTCTACATTACTACTAATATTTACTAGCCAGATTCTGTAGTTCATTTGATAAATAATCCATTTCATCCTGCAACACAGATCATCCTTTTCCACTCAGATCATGCTGAGACTTGGCCCTAGTTATTTGTCTAGAAGCAATGAGGAGAAATGGGGGCAGAACTTGATATGGGCAAGCCTCACCTTAAAACTTCCTACTGAGGCAGGGCTTTTATGTAGCAATTAACTGTTCTCCCACTGGAAAGAGTAGAAGGCCTCTTTTTCTAGGTCAGAGTTTCCAAAGAATTTGGGGATTCAAGACTCTTAAGGATATGTACCCACATATCTCATCCTCTATCTCAGGATCCTGCAGAGTTGTAAGAGGCCAAGCTGACAGAGCTACCACGTTTCCTCCACTAAAGTCAAGACCCTTACAGGAAAATAGCAGGATCCTGATAAACCTCGTCTCTATTAAAAATACAAAAATTAGCTGGGCGTGGTGGCACATGCCTGTAGTCCCAGCTACTCAGGAGGCTGAGGCAGGAGAATCGCTTGAACCCAGGAGGTGGAAGTTGCAGTGAGCTGAGATCGCGCCACTGCACTCCAGCCTGGTGACATAGCAAGACTCCGTCTCAACAACAACAACAACAACAAAATATATATATATATATATGTATATACGACTCCTGTGAGTGTATTACAAATATTAATATGAAATAATGACATTAAAAAATAATAGCTACCTGCACGTGTCAGCACCACAACCACTGTGTAAACCAAGGTGTCACAATGCATATTTTATTGTTTCTTTTTATGTTGATTGATCTGGCACCTTTCTTAATCAGAATCTATGAGGACATATTCCTCTGATTAACTAAAAATATGTATATGCACTGTACACTCTGTAGCCTAAATGTCAATATGAACAGTAAATGCAGATGGCATAGACTCATCCCAGTTTTAATAGTGTCCAGCAGTTTCTTTAAGCATACATTTCTCATCTCCTCCTTGAAATAAAATTTTAGAAATGGATCTTGAGAACCCTGTTTACTTTGTCCGAAAAAAAAAAAAATCCCTTCACAACACTAAGAAACTTAAAGCACTTTCATAAATAGGGAAACAGCATCTTTTAATGTTTTATTGTTCACTTGCAAAAATATATATAATATATATTACATGTATAGCATGTATAGAGGAGCCCCACAGCTTGAGTCAGAGAAAGCTAACAGAAAGGCACATATGGAGGCATGTCTTTTCATACAATATTCAGTTAAGCCAACATTCAGGCCATGGCAAGTGACAGTTAGGACAAGGACAATATAGCACACCTGTGTTCACGATTCCAAAGAGCTAACTCAGAGGCAACTCTTAGGTCTGCCGAGAATGGAGGTCATCTTGGGAGAAAATATCACATCTACTTAATAGGCCTGTCAGGCCATCAGAGAATATACTGAAATCTGGAAAAAGACACCAGGGCAAGGTGAAAGCCAGTCCTTGACTTGACAGCTAGTTTGTTCTTCTCCCCTTTTATTTTAAGACTTGAGGCCTTTGCTGATTAAAAGAAGCAAATAACAGTGCCGACTGTGGCCCTGCAGGATTTTGGTCAGCTACATGACAGAAGTTTGTAACAGACTAAATATTTTCAAAAGTTTGTAAACACTGTGATGATGGTGAGGAAAGCATAGAAAGAACATTTGCTATTTCTCTCTCACTGAAAAAACAGAGGCATAGATCTTTGGCTTGCCACATGTGGTATCTCTATCCTGACGTTTACCCAAAATGGTAAAAATAGAGGCACAATTTGTGGAACAATGAGGTCATTCCTACCAGACACCAGCAAAGGTGCCTACTAGGATTTGGCACAGCCAGAGCAGCTGGCAACCTTGGTTGATGTGAGATGGGGCTTCACGACGTCCGGCTCAATAGACTCCATTAGGTCACACTCATTTGCAAGTATGTGTTTCACCAGGCATCTGGAGGCTTCATCAATGTTTATATTTTCCTATGAGGGAAAAAATAAAACAGCTTTTCTTATTCAATACTCTGAAATAATGCTAGAGCAGAGACTTATATGTGACAATTCATTTAAATATTCCTTCCTATATGCTACATATGCATCCCCCTCCTGTTTCCCTCACTCTTATTTGTTCCTTCAAAGAACTTTACTGTTTGGTTCCTCAAAAAAGAAGTATTTATTTTGCTATGTCATATAGGAGGAATGGTGTCTGGTAAATGTACTTAGTAGGTTAAATTTCAGTTAGAGGGCAATTTTCTTATTTTCACATTTTCACATACTCAAACTATAAAAATATTGTAGAAGAAACATAAACCTTTAATCTGACTTAGATTTATAATTGCCCTCTGCCACATACTATTTTTGTGACCTTGATATAAAATAAGAATGATAAGACATCTTTTATAGTATGCATTAATGGTTTCACAGATATTTCTGGGTCTCTATATTCTAGTGAAATGGGGAAGAGTACACTGTTCTGACCTCTTTGAACTTAGCCATGGACATGTGACTTGTTGGGCGTCAAAATGTGAGAAGTAATGTGTGTCACTTTCATATAGGAGCAATAAGAGCCAGTGCTCAGTTTCCTGTTTTTTCTGTTTCTCCCTGTGGAAGCACAGCAATGGAAACTCTTTTGGATAAGGTCTGTGAGTGAGAATCAAGTAGAGGCAAGTATCCCAATCAGCCCATGCTATGTAGTGTGCATGAGAATGATGATCTTTGCTATTTTAACCCACTGAGATTTGAGGTTATTACCCCAAATAAACCCTGGCATTATCTAGACATTCCAGATGGATATAACTCCTCAAGGAAAAAAGTAAAACTGGAAATATAAGTTTAGGTTCAAAAATGAAATAAACTTGAATTTGGAAAAAATATGGAGCAAACATTTGAATCTAAAATATGTCAGTAGTATAAGTTAAACTGCTTTTTTTGTTCCTGCTGGTCAGAAACCTAAGACATATAGAAAATATACTACCAGTGTACTAAAATAAATATCTTTGATTAGGTAAAAAGTAGTTAAAGATCTGCAATAAAGTTAAATTTGATTGTTTTTAATCACAATTTGTAGAACTTCTTTGATGTATTTCTTCATACTTAAAGAGACAAGGCTTTCTCGTTGTTAAAATGTTTTACTACAGAACCTTGTTGTCCAATCTGAAGTGGAAATACTTATCCCTGATTTTTGCATGTATGTCAAAGTTGTTGATATATTTTGAGATCATTGAATGGAGTCATATTACTTGGAAAATATAAGAAGTACTGTTGGCTTCCAAATGGCATCCATGACTAATGACCTTAGTTGTAAATGTTTATTAGCAGGTTCTCCATCCTTCAAGCCTGAAACTGAGTTCACCAGCTATGAAAGCTTAAGGTAACTTTGGAGTTCCAGACAAGTATAGCCTAATTATTTATCTCCTCTCTAGAGAGCCTTAAAGAAAATGTTTCCCAGGCTTTCTAAATCCAAAACACAAGGTAAAAGTGTGATTGCTTTTTTGCTTATTATATTATTGTTGTTGCTTTTTACCAGACCAGTCTTCCTTTCTCTAAGCCTCCCTTTCCCCAGCTATAAAATGGTCTTGATGATAACACTTACCTAATAAAAATTTGCTTCCCTTGACAGAGTGCAGCAGACATTATTGCTTTCACAATGTGAACTTGCTAGGGACTTCAATAGTAAGTAAGTAATCTTATTTAATCCCATTTAACACCCTTTAAGATAAAGATTATGTTTTTTGTCCATATGGATTTTGTTATTATTGTTGGGGTAAGGGTGGGGATGGCATTTCTTCCTTCAGCTCAAGTATCTTCCTCACTCTATGGAATCCAGTCCTGAGAGAACAGCAATGCTTCTGCCCCATCCCCTGTTGGGCAACTTCCTGTGCCTTAAAGTCATTGCCTGTGCTTAGCATGTCTTCTGCCACTCTTCCTCTTCTTAGTGTCACGTCTAAGGGTCACACCTGAACTCCCTGCTCCCAGGCAACCAACTGACCTAGGCAGGGCCTTGCTTTTTGGAACGGACCCAGCTCAACACTTTGTTCCGGAGCCCTGCCACTTGCTATGTGACTGAGTGGAAGCCTGTCCGATGGTCCCCTACTGTGTCCCATTCAGGAAGGTAAAAAGGGGTCTCCTCGCCCAGACTTCCACTTAAGAGCCATCACATCTCATTAAAGAAGCCCTATTTGAATGGTTTTAACGTACTTGCCTGGCCATTAATAAGCCAATACTTTGATTCCCATTTGGCTATTGTTTGTGTGTTGGAGAAGGAGGCAACAAAATTATACCCCAAATACCAAACATGAGATATTACTACATATGTTTACAGACAAGAAAGCTTATCTGTAAGGGGTTAAAAGGCTTCCCCAGAATCACACAGCAAGTGGGCTGGGAGGCCAGAGCTTACACTGGGTCTTTCTGACATCAAAGCCTGGCTTTTGCTAAGCTGCATTCCTTTTCCAGATTGTTCAGAAAACCAGGAACAATCACAAATAAAAGTTAGTTCTTCAGTGTTAGACCCAGTTAGTGTTAAATAATGCTAGTTTATTTATCTTCCATATATTATAATAAAAACATGTTTATATGACAGGAAAACAATTTTAAACATTAGAAAGGGCCTTTCTTCGTATATGATAAAAATTAGATAAAAGTTAGTATTTTTTAAACCTCCACTCATATATTAACTGCCAGTTAAACAGGTTTTCCTTCATCATAACGTGCAAATTGACAAAATCTACTAATGAGGAGAATTCAATGCGTGTGGGAAAATCAATGAAAATCCATTATCATTATGAGAAAAAGAACTGAAACCTAAGCTCAAATTAGTGGCAACCTAGCAGGGTCATTTTAGTGAAAATATAAGATAACACTGTTTAAATTGTTTGCGAGTTTTAACACACCAAGTAAAGTCTAGATGGTATTAGGCCTAGGAGAGCGGACCATGAAGGATGGGCTCTAGAGAAAGGAAACAGGCAGAGCCAAGGAATGACTGCTTATAGACTACATGTACAAAGAGTAGCAGTTCATGGTGACTGAGTCAGGTTCATTCACCCAATTAATAGTATTTAGATTTCCACTAAGTACTAGGCATACCAATATACAGATGATACATCTCATTCCTGACTGAGCTTACCTACTAGCAGGGTTTGTGTAAATAGCAAAAGCATAAAAAGGTTGGAAAGGGCATCAGGGTGCCAGATCTCTGTAGAGCCTTGAATACTAAATTTGTCAAGTAGAGCCATTGAGGGTTTTTTTCAGGTAAAATGTCAGTAACCACAGTACTATAAAAGTCCATTACTAGACAAGCCTGTACAGATCCTTAGCACTTTAACAGCTGACCTATCAGTAACTATTTAGTGAATACCTAATACATGTGTACCAAGGTGCTGATTGTCATGGTATACATATTTCAGATTAGAAATTTTAAGAGAAAGCCAGGAAGAACTGAAAATGCTTTTGACTATATTTACCACAGGCACGCTACAAAAAGGCAAGGGGTATAGTCTTTAGAGTACAGGCCTGGAGACAAACCCTTATCTTAGTTCCCCTACTTTCTGGTTGCATGACCTCAGAAAAATTACTTTAACCACTTCATGCTTCAGTTTCCTCATCTGTAAAAGAGAGAATTCAAAATTTACCTCACAAATGATTGTAAGTTAATATATATTAATACTTGAAACATGAAATACTTAGAACAGTGAAAGGCATACAGTACACATTCAATAAATGTTATCTGTATATTCTCCTCATACAAGTTAACCATCAGAAGAACACAATGTGTGTGTGCCTTCCATTCCTTCATTTTGCAGTTGAAGATACTGAGCTTCAGACAGGGAAAGTGACTGGCCCCAAGTCACACACTAGTAATTGGGATGGCCAGCTGTGAGCTCAGGGAGAAGAATAAATACTAATATTTACCACATGTTTACTACAAAAGGCAAGACGTATACTGTTTAAAGCACAAGCTTGAAGCCAAATCCTTATCTCAGCTCCCCCCCAAATATATCCCAAAATAAATAAAGGAACACAATGGGCAGAGCACCTGGTTCCAGCATGCAAGGTAGGAGCATGCAACCAGGAATCAGGCAAGGCTGATTTGTATTACTGGCACTTCGAACCATATCTGGTCTTTCTGACTTTCTATATACCAATCAGGTCATGGCCAAAGGGCCTAGGCTAGGAGAAGAAATAGCAATATAGAACAAACCTCCCTCTCCCCATTAACCCAAGGTCAGCATGGATAATCAGACCCTGCCTGATAGAATTGCAGGTTCAGACCCTTTGGGCAATTAGATTGCAATATAATTGATTGAGCTAGTTGGCATCCAAATAGACACAGTGAAGCCCACATTTTCTGGGTGATTGTATAGAAACAGAGTTGCCAGAATAAGTGAAAAACACTACCTGGAAATTTTCATTTGCATTTATTATAGGGAGTAGTCACAACATCTCCAGGGGCATCTTTTGCTAGAAAGGAAATGTATATACTCTGACTTCCAGGACAGGTAAAATTGGACTGGATATCACTGTGATTTATTTCTATATCTGCAGTATGACAAGATGGTCTACTGTTTTAAGGTAATGCGTGTTCTTCTTTGCACCACTGCTCAGAATCTTTCATTGGTACTGATCAGCAAGTCTCAGAAACAGGCTAAAATTCCTAACAAAGAATTTTACTAAAAACAAATGGAGTTAATTAAGCAGGTGCTTTGTTTATTAAATAATACTCACATTGAATATTCACAAACATCTATTGGAGAGGTAATGGTCATATTTTAAAGGTAAGGGAGCTAGAAAAAAGCTTAAGTAACTTATCCAGAGCAGAACATTATCTTAGCCAATCTGTCATTTCAACCAAGACTATCCCAATTCCAGTTCCCATCCTACTCCCCATACATTACATTACAATGAATCCTAGGAATAAAATAGATCCTAGGATATTATTTAGAAATTATAACTTCTCAATCCTGGCTGTATATTCATATCCCTTGTAAAGTTAAAACAAATATGTTACCAGGGCCCTCCTTCCAGACATTGATCTAATTGGTCTGACATGGGGCCCTACCTAGCATGAGCATTAAAAAAAAATTCCCAGTTAGGCATGGTGATGGGATTCATACTCCTAACCTCTGCCTCACACAATATTCCCATATAACAAACCTGCACATGTACCCCTGTATCTAAAAGTTGAAATTTAAACAAATTTAATTTTAAAAATAAAGTTGTTCATAATTTTTTAAAAAGATTCTACACTTAAAATGTACAGCCAATTTTGAGACACACTCATATAATTAAGAATGTCTTTAAAGAGACTGTCCTTTTTATTCCAATTGTGAACTTTCTGGAAATACAATTTAATATAATCACTCTAAGCCACAGTGATTCTCATCTTTCGGTGGAGGAAGGCACATACAACTAACCATCAGAGGTCCTGGTTACTTGTCAGTTTTTTAATTAGCTCTTCAGAACATCTGTCTTGCGGCAAAGTATTTAATCTTTGACCCCCAGCACCAGAGAGCCAAAAAAAAAAAAAAAATCCTAGCAGAAAATTTTCACATCTGCCTAGTTAGAAGCTGGCAAAGAATTCATCCTCCCATAATCTTTCCAAATACATCAACCTCAAACAAAACACCAACTGTACCCGAGACTCCAAGGTTAGGGCACTAAATTCCCCAGCCCTGTGAAATTTTAATTAGAGCAGATGGCCTACTGGATAATAACACCACTGTACAAAAAGTATTACACAAAACAGGGGTTTAAAAATCCTTTCTCTGAGAAGATTTAGCACTTGTTTATTGAGCACATAAGTGGCAAAGATTTTGCTAGCTTTCTATTAATCATCATTAACACCTAACATGGGTGCTAGTGTAGTGGACACCTGTCTGTTAAGCACTTCTGTCCTCCCTTGTCCCTCATATCAACCTCCCATTTCCTTTGGATACCTGCTTTCCTCCACTGCAATCATTAGCTTCTACTGGGGCTCCCCTAAACTGACCTTATGTTTCAGACATTATTCTCAGAATATGGCATTTCACTTAATCACCACAATAACTCTGAGATGGGAGCTACTGCCCTCCTTTAACAGATGACAAAAGTGAAGTCCAGAGAAACTAAATGATGTGTGCAAGGTCTCAGGGATAGTAAGGGTCAGAACCTGGCTTCTGCCTATATTTTCTCTTTCTCTTCTCCTTGCTCTCTTCTTAGAGTCTATGGCCTACATTTTCTTAGTGTCCAAGCCAACGTCTATTTGAATCCAAAGCCCACAGTTTTGTACTTTACCATGGTATCTCCATGAAGAGAAGGCGTACATGGTGAATGTGACGCAGAGAAGCCAGGTCTCAGTGATGCCCTATTGTATGAAAGTTACCAGAGTTTGGTGTAACAGTCATTGGGAAGGACAGACTGAGCCACATTGTCACTTATTTTAACATAGGACAAAGTCACATTGTCAGCATGGAGAAATGGGATATAGTGAAGAGAAAGGTTCACAAAGGGAGCTCCTAAGATTGTGTCCCTCTGACAATGCCTCCCTCATCCCCACCATGGCCTTACCTCAGCCTCTGTCCTTTATTCTTTAGATGTCAAAGTGTATTTCAAATTTTTCTTACCTCCTTTCTGTAGCTCTAGAGCCTTATACCTCCTAGGTCTCCCCGCTTACGTACCAAAAGTTCTCCCTCCCATCACCCTAGCCACCTCTAGTGCTCTGTTTCAGCCATGAAACATCTCCAAGCTCACAGAGAATCACCAAATATTAGAGAGGAGGGGAACTTAGGTATCACTAATTCGCCCTGCTTTCTTTGACACATCAGGAAATTAAGGCAAAGAGACAGAAAGTGATCTGCCTAGCATCACACAGGCTACTGAGCCTCACAGGGAATATGCTATTATAGAATGCGCCTCACCTCTTAGCTCTGGCTACCTGCATACCTCCATGTTTCTGGAAATATCTCTACTGAGTAGCCTTCTCTTAGCACCATGAAACATTATCTTTAGTGTTCCCTGGTACTTCGTACCCACCTCCATTGACACCACTACATCCTAACTGCCTGTTGCCTGTGTCCTTGAAAACAAGGATTATCTTTTATTATATTTGTATTCCTAGATCCAAGCACAGTGCCTAATGCATATGAGGTATCTAAACAGTAATATTACCAAAAATAGCTGATGCCTATGGATAACTTATTGTAAGCCTGATGGCATGTATTTTACTGGTACTAAGTTTGTACTCACAAAATCAGGTGGGGAAACAGGGGTATAGAGAAATTAAATAACTTTCCCAGAGTCACACAGCCAGCAAGTCAAACTTTTGGCACCTGGTTTTGCAGCCCATGTTCAGACACTCATAATACAATCCCTGAAAGTTTCACAAATGTCAAATAGCAAAGCCCGACTCAAGAACAGAGCCCCTGCTGCTCTTTTTTTGTTTTTTGTGAGACGGAGCCTCGCTCTGTCGCCCAGGCTGGAGTGCAGTGGCACAATCTTGGCTCACTGCAAGCTCCACCTCCCAGGTTCACACCATTCTCCTGACTCAGCCTCCTGAGTAGCTGGGACTACAGGCGCCCGCCGCCACGCCCAGCTAATTTTTTGTATTTTTAGTAGAGACGGGGTTTCACCATGTTGGCCAGGATGCTCTCGATCTCCTGACCTCGGGATCTGCTCACCTCGGCCTCCCAAAGTGCTGGGATTACAGGCGTGAGCTGCCGCGCCGGCCCAGAGCCCCTGCTCTTAACCCACTGCTCCCTATAAATGTCTATTGAAGGAATGAGGACCCATGTTTTCTAAGTTTTTGGCTACTGCTTCTTTCTAAATCGCAAAAGTTACGAACAAACAGTCCACAATGTGTTACATGTAGCCCAGAGTTATTAATTGATCAATTTATTTATTTATTTTTATGTGTAGATGTCTGTAAATGTGCATTTCTGTTAAGTTCCTGGCCCCTGAAAATAATCTGAGTTCAACATCCTCGCCTTTTTTGCACCAGACCCCATAACCTTAATACGAGGCAGACACAGCTCTTGAGTCTTTTTGACAGTTTACTATTCCCGAGATACATTTTCCAAATCCAATATATAATGTATGACTTACCAGTAATTGCCATTAAGAACCAGAATATTCATAGATATTGCCTCTATTAATATTTTGTTTTTAATTCAGTAAGTTTTTAATTGTTCTCACTGTGAGTCTTTTACTGAAACAGTGCTGGGATACCCAATAATCAGTCTTGAAAAGAAAGAATAAAGATAAGCATAAAGATTATGTTTAGCCAGACTTAACAAACCCCATTCATGAAAAACAGCAGCCTTTAGTTCAACTACTTTCTCATTAATCAGCTTGAAAAGATAAATGGTCAACCAGACACAAAATATTAATTGTAATAATTGCTAACAATTATTGAACACTTTATTATTGAACACTTAGGCACCATGCCATGTATGTTACATACATAATCTCATTTAACCCTTACTACACCCTGAGAGGTGGATAAACTATTAACTCTGTCTTACAGATGAGGAGACTGAGACACATATAGGATAAACTACTTTGCCACAGTATTTGCTAGACTTATTCAACTCAAAGTGTTATTTATTGAGTGCTATCTATGGTAGAAATTACATAAATTATGAGTTTCACAATTTATTTTTATGATAATTAAATGCTTTTATTCTGGCACCTCTATGTGCCAAGACTGAGGACTGAGACTGGTACATCATTGTCCCAAATACAGTAGGATAAAATGGAAAGAGAAAGCATGTTGGAGTCAAGCTTTAAAACTTGGTTTTGCCACTTACTGTTAAACAAAGGACAAGTGAAAAGCCTGAGCCTCTACTCCTTAACTTAAAAATGAGGCCAATCGTCACTATATTTCATGAGATTCTTGTTAAACGATATACACAGATGAAATACCTAAACATTACATAATTAGTCCTCCAATGAATACAATCTCCTGTCTCCTTCTTCTTCCTTCAGGTCATTCTTCAGTGATCACCTCCCATGGGAAATCCCCCCTGACTCCCCGAGGCTGAGCAGGAATCCCTCTATTCTGGCACTTACCCACTGGTCAGTATGTAATGCTTTGTTTGTGTATCCTCTACTGGACTGGGAGCTTCCAGGAGTTTCATTGCCCCATCCTGGTGTCTAGCACAGTGCCTACAAACAGTAGGCACTCAGAAGACATACAGACTAAGCGAATGACTGACTGAATAAATGAATGAACAAGGACTTTGGAAGAGTGACCAGTTCAGCTTTCACTGAAAATAATTTTAGACATGGGTGATTTCTGCAGAAAGTAAAAAAGAAAACATGTTCACAAGAAAATTTACTTTACAGGTCCAACTGCCTGTCCTTATTTTGCTTTCCAGTTATTATTTGATACCATTCTTTTAGGTGAAATGGAAGGAAGACTGAAGAAACCAGTATATAAAAGTTGAGCTGAACTACTGTAGGCTTTGCAGTAAAGCAGACATAGGTTGAAGTCCTAATTTTGTTCTTTTAAAAATATTCTTTATATTCTGTTGCTCCACAGGTGATTTCAGTGCATTTAATAACTAAATGTACTTAGGCAAAATATTTAATTTTCTTTGGCCTTACCTATAAGGCAGAGATAATACCCATCTGGCAGAATTATGAGAATTAGGAATATTTTACTGGGGCAAATGTAGAAGTTAAGTAATATTATGTATTTTTACGACTATATAGTACATATAATGATTTTAACAACATCTTCCTCTCTTAAGAACTTTTATGGATAAGACCCACTTCTAGCTTAACAAATTCATTTCTCTCCCAAACTAGAGAGTTAATTTTTTTCTTATATATGATTCTTATGCCCTAGCCCTTAACTCTTTAGTAGAGAGTTTGAAGCTCTTGCTTCTCCAGATAGCATAAATGAAACTATTTCTGCCAGCATTGTTAGAATAATGTTACCTTGGGTGAAAACAAATAGGAAGAAGAACCATGTGTAAAAATGGATGTGTTGATAAAGCTAAATAAATTAATATTTTAGTCACTTTTTGTATTTGGATTGTCAATGATACTAGGCAATACCATTCAGGACGTAGGCATGGGCAGGGACTTCATGTCCAAAACACCAAAAGCAATGGCAACAAAAGCCAAAATTGACAAATGGGATCTAGTTAAACTAAAGAGCTTCTGCACAGCAAAAGAAACTACCATCAGAGTGAACAGGCAACCTACGAATGGGAGAAAATTTTTGCAATCTACTCTTCTGACAAAAGGCTAATATCCAGAATCTACAAAGAACTCAAACAAATTTACAAGAAAAAAACAAACAACCCCATCAATAAGTGGGCGAAGGATATGAACAGACACTTCTCAAAAGAAGACATTTATGCAGCCAAAAGACACATGAAAAAATGCTCATCATCACTGGACATCAGAGAGATACTAGCTAACTACCAAAATTCTGGCCTCAACCATAGAACCTGTCGACCCAACCCTCACAAATTCCTGACGTCTAACTCCTAAATTCCACAGTCAGATAACAACTCATTCTTAGCCTGCGCAACCTCCCGGAGGCAGCACTTAGAATATGTTATATAATTTTCTACTTTCAGATATGGAATAAAACATTATTTTTCTTCATTCCACAAACTTGTAATTGAAAATTAAAAAGAGGAGATACATCAATTTGAAGTTCTTATATAATACTTGAAATATCATGTAACTAGATGAAATGATTTATTATTCAGCAAATAATCATTGAGCACTTTTCATGGACCAGGCACTATTCATCAAAGGCTTTACAATCCATGCTTTAATTTGCTACGCAATAAGTTATGTGACTGTCTTGTTAGTCCAGGGCTCTTCAACTTATGCTTAGAGATGATGATGGACATGACGTGCTCTCTTCTCATAGTGACTGTAACATTTTACCCCAGTTCATGTCCTGTGTAGTCTTCTCTCTGATCACATGCCTCTAGTTTCTTCTGTCTCACTGCAATCATCCTCTATATTCCTTCCAGACTGTCTCTTAACTACTCCAATTAAGATGTAACTACATTCATACTTCATCGAAAAAATATCTTGTGGGCTCACATTGCGTACTCAGAATAAGTTCAGACCACAAAACTGGTGCCCAACCAATATGGCTACAACTGAACTCTCCTGTTTCATCTGTACTAGATTCCAACCGAACTAGACCATAAACCCTTCCCTCAATGTGTTCTTTGCTTGAGTTAGTCTTATTCCCATCTCTATCTGTAGATCCCCTGCCCCTCCAGAACAAACATAACTTTTTTGGAAGTATTTAGCTGCTAACATCTAACTGATTGACATTCTCCTTTGAATTTTTGGATGAAGTTCAGTATATCCTCTAGCTTCAGAATTGTCTGGTATCTTGAATTTTTATTATTTGTCTCTATTTATTTAATGTGAAGGGAAAAGGTGCCATAGAAAGACTCAGAACTTGTGAATTTGTTTGAGTTCTGTGTAGATTCTGGATATTAGCCCTTTGTCAGATAAGTAGATTGCAAAAATTGTCTCCCATTCTGTACGTTGCCTGTTCACTCTGATGGTAGTTTCTTTTGCTGTGCAGAAGCTCTTTAGTTTAATTAGATCCTATTTGTCAATTTTGGCTTTTGTTGCCATTGCCTTTGGTGTTTTAGACATGAAGTCCTTGCCCATGCCTATGTCCTGAATGGTATTGCCTAGGTTTTCTTCTAGGGTTTTTATGGCTTTAGATCTAACATTTAAGTCTTTAATCCATCTTGAATTAATTTTTGTATAAGGTGTAAGGAAGGGATCCAGTTTCATCTTTCTACATATGGCTAGCCAGTTTTCCCAGCACCATTTATTAAACAGGGAATCCTTTCCCCATTTCTTGTTTTTGTCAGGTTTGTCAAAGACCAGATAGTTGTAGATATGTGGCATTACTTCTGAGGACTCTGTTCTGTTCCATTGGTCTATATCTCTGTTTTGGTACTCATACCATGCTGTTTTGGTTACTGTAGCCTTGTAGCATAGTTTGAAGTCAGGTAGCGTGATGCCTCCAGCTTTGTTCTTTTGGCTTAGGATTGACTTGGCAATGCGGGCTCTTTTTTGGTTCCATATGAACTTTAAAGTGGTTTTTTAAGACACATGCACACGTATGTTTATTGCAGCATTGTTCACAATAGCAAAGACTTGGAACCAACCCAAATGTCCAATGATAGACTGGATTAAGAAAATGTGGCACATATATACCATGGAATACTATGCAGCCATAAAAAATGATGAGTTCATGTCCTTTGTAGGGACGTGGATGAAGCTGGAAACCATCCTTCTCAGCAAACTATCACAAGGACAAAAAAACCAAACACTGCATGTTCTCACTCATAGGTCGGAGTTGATCAGTGAAAACACTTGGACCCAGGAAGGGGAACATCACACACTGGGGCTTGCTGTGGGGTGGAGGGAGGGGGAAGGGATAGCATTAGGAGATATACCTAATGTAAATGATGAGTTAATGGGTGCAGCACACCAACATGGCACATGTATACATATGCAACAAACCTGCACATTGTGCACATGTACCCTAAAACTTAAAGTATAATAATAAAAAAAAAAAGAAAGACTCAGAAGTATCCCAGCTCTGTGTATTGCCACTCGTGTAACCTCCAGGAAGTCACCATAACCTCTCTCTCAGCCTGTTTCTTTACGTATAATCTGTGATGAAAATAATGCCAACTTCACAAGGTTATTGAGGATGTGTATAAAGTGAGAGGAGATATATGAAAGAACTTAGCAATAGTGCTGGCATGCAATAGGCACTGAAAATAAAGCACTTGGAAAACAATACAACACTGCCCAACTATTATTGTTAAGTCATATATGAGACTGGAGGGGCAAACAAACTTCTTCATTAGAGTAAGATATTTCCAAGTGGGTTCTGAAGTTTCATAGGATGATATGGGAGAAAAGCCATCTTATGGCTAAATGATTTTAGATGTTAAATTAAAAATAATACAAAAGTGTTTCTTAATCATAGGATTTCTCAGAGTCTTTTAGAAGATCGTGGAGTGTGCCTTGTGTTCAAATTCTTTACATTAAACAGAAAAGCAGTTTCTCATTCTGGGCTGGAATGCATGAGGGGAACTAAAGCACCATAATGAACTGGGAGCAGAGGGGAAAGATGTGTATCAATTATGTGTGAATGGAAATAAGGCAGATTCAAGTTGGGATGGGAGAACAGGCTTTCTCTTTCTCCCTCCCATCTCAAAGAAGGGAATGATTGTGCAGTGGTCATAAAGTTACCTGACTACAGAACTCTTATCTAATGCTGTATCTCAGAGAGCTAATGTTCCTCTTCACACAGTTTGACAACTACTGATCTGGAAATAGTGGTGGTATAAGTGGGAGTGGTTAAGAGTAGAGGGGTTTGTGGAAAGAGACATTCATTAACCAATTTTATATTACCCTGTGTGTTTTTTATACCCTCACCTAAGTAGTGCTACCCCCATTTTTATCTTTCTCTAATTTTCCTGAGACTAGCCCAAAATGAAATACATGTGTTTTCTAAAATATGATTTTAACAGAGTAGATGATATAATGCAAAGTTGGAAACAATAGATCTGAATGGTTATGATAAGGTATTATCCTCTCTGATAGACCAATGCTCCCTAATCCAGAACCCCAGCAAGGTAGGGTTGGCTGCTAACCAACCTCCTAGGTGGCTCCTAACAGTTCCCTATAGTATCTATGGTCACACACATGTACAATTACTTTTTAAAATTTACCTTCTCTCTAGATAACAAACTTCTTGAGAGCAGAAGTGACACACATTTGGAGTGTCTATCTTGACAGCAGTTATCATAGAGCCTGTTGGCATGTAGTGCTTACAATGTAATTTATGAATGAACTGTTCTGTAAAAGGGAAAGAAAAATGAGCTGATTCAAATTTAAAAAGCACAAAAGAAATTGTGACTTCTCTGTGCTGATATCCATTACACCGAATCTCTTTATACTCAGGACAGCTTAGGACAGGGAATTAGGAGACTTGAGTCTTAGCCCTGATGTTGCTACAAACTATCTTGGTCACTATGAGCAGATTAAGTCCTCTTTCTGGCATCCGTTTCACCAGCTGTGAAGGGAGATAATTTATACTCTCCCTTTTTTCCAGATAGAATTGAAGGTGACTCCTGAGACTATCTCAAGCTCTTGTCTAATGTAGTTAAACTTGTGGGAGAGCTGAGAATAATGCTCCCTTAATGGGAAAGATTTCTCAAATTGAGAATTTAAATATAAGGCATTTGTTAAGCAATCATCATCTACAGCAAGTGAACTCTGTCAACTTGATTAGCCGTAAGTTACTGGTTGCAAAAATCAGAAACCCATTGAATCACCTAGGCCATCTGGAGGGTAGCTCCCAGGAGTAACAGAATTGCTGAAAGACTCAGGTTACTCCAGGAACTTTAGAAAATAAAATTAATCTCTCAAATACCATCAGATCACCTTAATTTTTCCTACCTGCCCTCAGGTTTTTGCAAATAAAGAAGTTCAGAGCTTCTGGATTCATATGCTCATAGTTTTGCCACTAAAGAGAAAAGGCTTCCTACCCTCAACCTCAGTTAGAGAAATCTTGAGGAAGGACTCTGATGACTTTAGTTTCAGGCACATGTTCATACTCAAGACTAGAACAATTCCAAGTCCCAGAGACAGTGGTACCACAAGTGGACTCACTTGGATCATGTGGACACTATTGGCCAGTTACAGTGACTTGAGAGACACAGTATGTAGGAGTGGCAACTTCTACTGGGACAACTTGCAGCAGGAGAGGAAGAGGAATGGTTGGGAGGAGGAGCTCAAACCTGGCATGGCTCAATGATTTTGAATCTGGAAACCCTCAGTTGTATTTACTATATCACTATATGGACAGTTGTATATCTATACCAATGTAGATGTATGCATTCACATTTTAGATAGACATAAGCAATGCATAATTTTAAAAATAAATAGAAAATATTTTTCCGTAAACTTACACATTACCCAACAGATCAAATCTAGTGGCACCTGAGTACCTTAACATATACAGAATAAGTAGAAAACTGAGGCTATAATACTGGACATGCAAAAAAGCAAGATAAGGAAAGTAGAGTTGAAACATAAATGACTTGAAGAAAGGCACCTCTCACCAGAAAGGTATAAAGTAGTTGCTCAATAAATTTGAGAGAAAATAAAAAGGAATAAAAGAAATTTCTTACAGTTTAAGAAATGGCTGGGCGTGGCGGCTCACACCTATAATCCCAACACTTTGGGAGGCTGAAGTGGGCGGATCACTTGAGGTCAGGAATTCAAGATCAGCCTGGCCAACATGGTGAAACCCTGTCTCTACTAAAAATACAAAAATTAGCTGGGCATGGTGGCATGTGCGTGTAAACTCAGCTATTCGGGAGGCTGAGGCACAAGAATTGCTTGAACCCAGGAGGTGGAGGAGGTTGCAGTGAGCCGAGATCGTGCCACTCAACTGCAGTCTGGGCGACAAAGTGAGACTCCATCTCAAAACAAACAAACAAACAAACAAACAAACTTCAGTTCTGATAATGAGCCAATTCTATAGACTGACATTTTAAGGACAAATATGGCTTAAAATGAATAAGATGGAGTTATTTTTAATATACAGATACACACATATTTCTTATTGAATGAAACAGAACAAAAATGTTAACAGTTAAATGAATTAGTGGTTTGATTACAAATAATTTTAATCTTATATTTTATAATTGTGATCATTTTCTAAGTTCTCTATAAAATGCATATGCAATTCTAATATTCATATTCAAAGGTGTGGAACAAAAAAAAACAGCCATAAATTTTGAACCAAGGATAGTGTAGGAAGTTCTAATATCTTTAATTTGCCTTTGAAGCCCAGAAAATAGGAAGGGAGCAGCACATTTGGAAGTATTCCACAAACTGGAAAATAGAAATATCTAAGAATGAATGGAAAACTGTGTAAGTTATTCTCACAGATGGGAAACAGTCCATAAAATTGAGTGTGGAAAAAAAATAAGGACAGGAAGCTCAGAAACAGAAATTCTAACTATACAATCATGAGTAATCCAAGGAAGAAGAAAAAGGAAACCCATCTAAAAGAAGCTAGTTTGACTACAGGAACATCTCAGGTAAAATCAAGTTTAAAAATAACATGTACAAAAGACAGAAGGAGAAGGGAAGTGAACGCAGAACAGATTCGAGCGGTGTCTGAACTCATCCACATGGGCTCAGGAAGCTAAAATGAAGTCTAAGGACAAACTTGAAGAAAATACTAAAGGCAGAAAAAGACTGTTTTGGAATTTATTCAGAGCAAAAGTATTATCACTGAAGAGACGGACTAGCACTACAAGTTTAGCAGACTGTGGACACAGAGAATGGAGATATAAACACAATAAACTAACTTCATTTTCTGCCATAATAAGGATTTCAGACTGAGCAATCAGGAGACTGCTTTGAACATCTGATCTTTAGTATAATGCCCCTCTTAATGTCCCTGCTGACAAGGTGACTATGGGTTGGTTCCAAAGTAAAATGGCTAGATTTGTATGGGCTCAAACTGTGCCTGAAGACTATTAATTATTTAATTACACTAAATAAGAATAGTTTCTCAGGTGGTAGTATAGGACTCAAACCCCTGTCCAGAAGTAGCCTCATTTTTATCAGAAGATTGGATGAAGTCATAAAAGGCATACTTATCAAATTTTTGTTAGACCCAAAGGCAGAAGCGAAACTGACATGAGGGATGAAATTAGAATTTTAGAATGTTCTCAGAATGATGACTACTTCAGTTCATTGTTGGTAAGTATAAATTAGTTCATCATTTTTGAAAATATGTGATAAGAACATAAAAATGTCCATTCCCTTTGATCTAGTAAATCTAAGAGTAAGCCTTAATAAAATAATCTTAAACATATAAAATAATTTATGTACAAAAATACCCATCATTACATTATTTAAAATAGTAAAAACTAAAAATGTAAGAAAAAGAGGGTTAATGATAGGGGATATTATGAACATCCTTATAATATGGTATTGTTCAGTTATTAAAAATTATATTTACAAATAGTTCACCATAGAAATCCTTATAGTACATTTTTTAAGTTGCACACAATATGATATAATTAAGAAGTATGACAATGTTAGCAGTGATTAATCCTGTGTAGGAATTTCTGTGTGATTTTTTTCCATTATTAATTTCCATTTTTCCTAAACAAGACAGATTTATTTTCTCTAATTTGGCATTTCAAATTTTACCCTGGCTATCAATATGCAATATCTCCTCTTCCTTTTTAACAGAATGCTGATTTTTGCATAGGTAGCTAAAACTTTATTTCCCTGGCTTCCTTGTGCTAACTGCAGTTATGACTAATGAAATATAAACAGAAGTCTACTAAGTAGGGTTTCCTATAAAACTATCAATTTCTGAACTTTAATCTATGGCCATACCACTTTGAATGTGCTTGATCTCATCTGATTTCTAAACTTAAAAAGAGGGGCAGGCAGAGTTAGTTGTTACACACCTTTTACTCTTAACCTTTCCAGGATACTTAATCCTGCCCAGAAACTAATATGACAGACAGAATTCTAATTCTAATGTTCCCAAGATGTCCACCCCCTAGGGTCATGCCCATTGAGTGCAGGTGGGACCTATGAATAGGACAGCATAGTCAGTCCCTTGATTAGGCTCCCTTTCATAAGACTTCACTGTAGCAAACTAGAGAGAAATTCTCTTTCTAACCTTGAAGAGGTAAGCTGCCATGCTGTAAAAAGGCCACATGGTTAAGAACTCAGATCAGCCTCTAGGAGCTGACAGCAACCCCCAGGCAACAGCCAGCAAGAAAACAGAAACCTCAGTCCTACAACCACAAGGAACTGAGTTCTGCCAACAACCTGAATGAGCATAGAAGAGGATCCCAAGGTTTAGATGAGAACACAGCTATGACCAGCATCTTGGTTTTAGCATGATAAGAATCTGAGTAAAGGACCCAACCAACCTGTGCTAGGACTACTGACCCATGGAAACTGTGAAATCATAAATGTGTGTTATTCTAAGCTGTCAAGTTTATGGCAATGCATTACACAGGAAAAGAAAACAGAAACTAATGCCCTCATCTTATAACCATAAGGGAGAAAGTCACGTGCTGAGGCTGGTGATCCAGGAAGTTGAGCCATTTATGACGTCCTTGAACTGCAGTTCCAGCCCTGGGTACATACCTCAAGACTTGTTTCATGCTATAAATGAGCTCTTCTTTGGTTAAGTCACTATTTTTAGGGTCTCTTTCAAATATAGACGAACACAATTCTAACTGAAATAGATGTTTTACTTTTCTTTTTTCTTGAGACAGTGTTTCACTCTTGTTGGCCAGGCTGGAGTACAATGGCACGATCTTGGCTCACTACAATCTCTGCATCCCAGGTTCAAGTGATTCTCCTGCCTCAGCCTCACGAGTAGCTGGGATTACAAGCATGCGCCACCATGCCCAGCTAATTTTTTGTATTTTTAGTAGAGATGGGGTTTCTCCATATTGGTCAGACTGGTCTTCAACTCCTGACCTCAGGTGATCCACCTGCCTTGGCCTCCCAAAGTGCTGGGATTACAGGCATGCACCACCATGCCCAGCCTAGATGTTTTACTTTTAAGGGTAAAAATAATAGATTAAAAATGAAATTGGAATTATAGCTTGAAACCACAGAATAATATTTAATAGATATTAATAATAAAATTATACATGTGAGTTCAAGTTATCAATAGTTTAAATGCACAAGATTTCATTTGATAGCATATTATTTAGAAAAATAAGGGATTTTTAGTTGACCGTAAGTACAACATGTCTCTAACAGTTTGATACAGCTGTTGAAAATAAATTAATGTAGTGAACTACTGCATACAATAGAAATATTGTGGTCTAGGAAAGATAGGTTAGAGTCCCATTATCCCATGCTCTGTTCAGTCTACATCTAGTATATTGTAAACAGATCTGGCCACTCCATTTAAACTGGCATACGGACAGATTACAGTGTCCAGGTAAGACAACCAGAATGGTAAGGGTTCCCAAAGCCAATTCACTTGAACAACAGCAGGAGTTCTTAATAAACAAGTCTTACAAAGAGTGAAAAGTCATTCTGTGCTGGGAATTTGTGAAAGCCAAATAAGAAAATAAATGTTGGAAACTTCCAAAATTTGAAAGTTTTAAACAAATGTTATATATTAACATTTTGAACATTCATGGCAAATAACAAAAGCTGACTTTCAATCTAGATGATGAACTCATTTACAAAGTTTCTGAATATTTTGGCCCTTTTGTAGACCTGAAATTTAGGCTTGCTACTATGCTCTTTAAGTTAGATTTAAAAATCTCTAACTACTATAAAGTCTGGTCAAAGCTTACTCCTGTTACACCCTAGACACCTCTGACCCATGCTAGACCTCCCAGTGACTTAAAAGAAAATACACTGTTGACAGAATAGAGGGGGATAATTATTTAATAACCTTATTTTCCTACTTTAATTTTTAGACCCACCAACTAGCAGAAACACAGTAAGTGAATGCAAGTTTTGATTATTTAAAGAGAGAACCAATGATGTATAATCTGACTTTTTTTCTTGTCCAAAATCTTCCCAGTTTACTACTCAGAAGAATAGCATAGAAAAAAAAGAGTGAAAAGTCAGGCTACTCAAAAGTAATCTTATTAGGGCTGTCTACTGAGGAGAGTCCACTGAGTTCTAGTCTTAGCTATTTTGAAATACACCTATGCTACCTCTACTACTTCCCCTCTCTGGGGCCTCATTTTTTCATCTAAATGTGGGAATGCCAAGAGATTAGTCCTGAGTCCTTTTCTCTTTTCTATCTATACTCATTCCCAAGGTAATCTCATTCCAAAGGGATCTTTAAATATTACCTATACATACATAACAACCAAACATATCTGCAGCCTGGACTTTTCTCCTGAACTGCAGAATCATACATAACTACTTACTTTACATCTGCTCTTAGATGTATAGTAACCTTTTAGACTTTAACATACAAAAAAAAGAATCTTGTATCTCTTACCCATTGATCCCTCTGTATCTCAGGACCCCATTCAAAAACTGCCAACTCTATTTATTTTATTTTATTTTTTTGAGATGGAGTCTTGCTCTGTCACCTAGGCTGAAGTACAGTGGCGCAATCTAGGCTCACTGCAACCTCCACCTCCTGGGTTCAAGCGATTCTCCTGACTCAGCCTCCTGAGTAGCGGGGACTACCGGTGTCTGCCACCATGCCTGGTTAATTTTTTGTGTTTTTAGTAGAAATGGGGTTTCTCCATGTTGGCCAGGCTGGTCGCAAACTCTTGACCTTAAGTGATTCCCCTCACCTCGGCCTCCCAAAGTGCTGGGATTACAGGCGTGAGCCACATCACCTGGCCGCCAATTCTATTCTTACAGTTGCTTAGGCCAAAAACTGTTGAGACATCCTTAAATCCTCACTTTCTGTCATTACCTTTACTTAAATTGCTAGGAAATCCTGTGTCTGAAGAACATTCATAAATACAAGGTAGAATTTGAGTACTTCTCACAATCTCATTCTTAAATATTGCAATAGCATCCCAGCTGATCTGCTTCCAACCTTTCTCACTATAATTCAGGTTCAACAAAACCACTGCAACGATCCTTTAGATCAAATTATATCACATCTCTGATCAAACCCAATGGCTTCTTGAACAGAAAATTCTGTCTCACAAAAATCCAAAATTCTTACAATTATCTAAAAACTCAACAGGACATCACCTCTCTGACCTCACCTCTATCACTCTGCTATTGCTCACTCTGCTCCATCTTCACTGGCTGCCTTGCTGTTCCAAAAATACAGCTGTCAATTCCTGCCAGAGTGCCTCTGCTCATGCTATACCCACTTCCTCGACCATTTTCTTTCCGTGATTTTATATGGCTCAATAGTGCTCATCTTTCAAATATTTACCTTAAAAACAACAACAACAACAAAAACACCCTCTTGATGAAACCTTCCCCGGTCACCCTGTCTAAAACTGCTTACTTCTCTTTTTACTCCTCCCTATATCCCACATGTTACATATGCCACGCAAGCTCCCCTGCTTTCATGTTCTGCTTAGCACTTATCTCCACCTGACAAACTATATATTACGTTTATTTACCATTTTATAACCTGTCTTTACTCACTTTAATGCAAGTTCCAAGGTGAGAGGGATTTTATCTATTTTGTCCACTGGTATAGCCCTAATGCCTAAAATAGTACCTGTAACATAGAGGTTCTCAATGATTATTTGAAGAATAAATGAATAGATAAAACCGTAAAATAAAGTACTTAGACCACAGGTTAAGTTAAACTGCTCGCCACATCTAATATTCTTGTGTTTCCATGCAAATGGTAGAGAAGATATATAATGGCATGCCACTTTGGGGGTTAAATATGGGTTTCAACTACTGTGGTAATGCTAGATCTCTTTCAACTCTGATAGTTTGCATTTACTGCTTGTGACTGTCCTTCTTTACAAAAATCTGAAACACAAAATCTAAACTTATTACCAGATGAAATAGAATGTGACAATAGTCTTCCAAAGAAACTCTTCCTTTTTAAAGAGACTCATCCAGGAAGAGCTACCATAACGAGCCTTTTGCGATGGTATTTAAAAATGGGATTTACAACATAATGTTTCAGAAACATATAGTATCCTGGCATCTCAATGCTGTCATTCCTCTTTCATTTTGAGAACCCCAGGGGAAATGAAAGCTAAATAATTTGTCTTACAGCTAACCAACAATTTTACTTACACTAGAAAATTCAAAGTGACTGGGAATTATGAAAGTTCTCAAGAGAGAACTTCTTTCCTCCGGAGCAAGCTTTGACAAGTAAAATTATTCTCAAAAAGTGACTCCACTTCATTTAGTTCAAGGAAATGGATTTACAAATCTTGAGCATTCTGTCATTGGCTTTTCTACATTATCCCTAGGGCTATTCCATCACTTTAGGATATCTCTGGACACCACAGGCTAACCCAGCCTTTGAGCACTCCCGTAGCATGTTAGGTCCACAGACAGGCTACAGAGGAGCTGCTGCTGCTCCTCACTTTTGCCTAATGGGATATTGATTTTCCCCCCAGTCTCAGCAGGCTTTCTCAAGAAATCAATACCTCGGTAGCAGTGAAGTAGATGGAGATGAAACAGAAGGCCTTGGGAGGGTAGGACTGTCATCCACAAATCTAAGGGCGCTTCAAATGTGGCCAACAAGACACATCAGAGAAGGCAAAGGACCACAAAACAGAGGTCAGACAAAATCAATACTAAAAAAGTAAAGTAACAGAGAAGGAGAGGGCAAACGTGTCTTAGTAACATAACCCTTTCGAAAACAAGGAAGCCACTCTGCCCAGGGTTGAAGATCAAGAAAGTTAACATTGGTTCTGACAGAAGAGACAGGGCCTTTGTCTACTGGCTTTTTTAAAAGTAGAAAGCTGGAAAGAATGAGAACATGTGCAACAGCATTCAAAAGATTTGCACACATTTTTAGAAATCTAAAAGTAATAGAGAAGTAGTAATAGGTTTAGCAGAGTATAGATAGTATGGTCTAAAGAGTGTATAGAGGGAGATATGGAAAATAGTAGGGCTAATTAATTCCCTCAAAATCCAAGAAGCTCAACACTTACACAGTAATTGTAGTTGAAATCAGGGAGACTGGTTGAAAGTCCAAATGGGGACATCAACCCTGTCCCTTCTCCATTCTTAGGATACCAGCAGTCAGACATTTACACCCCAAGTCAAATTCTGGTTTATCTTCTGAATAAACTAAAGAAAGGAGACTTGAGACTCAAGAGACACCAACTAGCATACCCCTGTAGGTGATATGGAGATGGAAAAAATAATCAACTAAAGTCTGCAAATATGGCAGCTGGGCTACTCCTTCCCTCTACTAAGAACTCTGACATCTTCACCCTTAGTGGGAAAGAAGAGTTTTTCTATAGAGAAAAGACCTTCAACAACTGACATGTAGTCCCCAGTGAAAACCAACCTAAAGCAAAACCCACAAATCAACAATCACCATAGCCACTATTCAACAAGCCTTTCTAGACACACAGAGCTCAGTATCTGCTTTTGATTATCTTGCTCTCAAAATTTTTAAAGGGACCATCAACATAAAATAGAAGAACAAAAGTAGACTGAAAAAATAATTCTAATGAAATAGATAATGCAAAAATCAGAAAAAACTTCAGAAAAATAATTCAGCATCTTCACAAATATAATCAACTATCACATTCTTAGGATTTTTGAAAAAGAATAATCAGGATAAAATTGAGTTATTCAAAATTAAAACTATGATTGCTGAAATTAAAAATTATAATAAAAGACTGGAAAATTGCAGCAAACTAATAAACAGAATAAAACAAAAATTGCTAAAGTGCTGAAAATATGTGAAAAAATCATAAGCTCATAGACTTAGTTCAGGTTACACCAAACTAGGAGTTTCATAAAGAAAGAACACAGAAAACAATAGGAAGAAAATTATCAAAGAAATAACATTTTTCAGAACATGAGTTTGTAAGTTGAAAGAGCTTACAAAGGGCCCAGAACAATAAATGAACAAAGGTTTATATAAAGCACAGGATTGTGGACTTTCAGATTACCAGGGGTAAAGAGATGATTCTAAAAACTACCAGACAAAAGAAAACAGCTTATGCACAAAGCTTTAAGAATGAGAATGGTATGAGACTTCTGAAGAGTAATGCTAAATGCTGTATTACAATGAAGCAATGCCTTAAAGTTAAAAGGGGAAATTATTTTAAACCGAGGAATCTATACCCATCTAGAGAGTTAAAATTGTGTGAGGGTTAGAAAATATGTATTTGAAGATATCAAGTACCCAGAAATGTCATGCATCTTTTCCTAAGCAGCAGCAGGAGGCTATGTTCCAGCAAAACAGGACAAATAAATGGAATCCAGGAAGCAGGCAATCCCACACACAAGAATGTCAAAGCACAGTCCCAGGATTACAGCCGTGTGCTGGCTCTACAGGGCATTCAAAAAAAAATTGCATAAGGAAAGGAGAGGATTCTGGGATGGAGATCTCCAAGACAAAACTAGTCTCAACAGAATAAACACTATAATGGAAATTTTTTAAAACATTAAGGAATATTCATTGAAAATAAGCACAGACAGCAAATTATGTGAGTGACTAATATTTTCATACCTAATGATATAAACCACGATTTTTGTCATGATTCAACCAAAAGCAGTGATAGAATTTTACTGAAAAGATGGGGAAGTGGGGTAAGTAGGTAAGAAAATTAAATTCTCATCTAGAAAAGCAAATTATTAATGAGTATGTAGAAATCTAATAAATCAAGAAATAGCAATATAAGACTATCATTTAGACACAGAGAAGTAAAAAGAAAAATAGGGAAGAAGAGATCTGAATAGAGAGAGTTGGGTTCTAATTTTGACTCTGCCACCTGCTAACCATAGGATAATGGGTAAATTGTTTAACTTCTTTAAGTCTCAGTTCCTTAATATATAATATGGGCATAGTAATAGCACCTATTTCATAAGGGTTTGTGAGAAGTAAATGAAATAAATAAAGCACTTACTACAAGACCTGTTAAACATGCATTTTATACATACAATTTTTATTATTATTCTTTTTTTTTTATTATTTTTTTTGAGGCGGAGTCTTGCTCTGTCGCCCAGGCTGGAGTGCAATGGCGCGATCTCGGCTCCCTGCAAGCTCCGCCTCCTGGGTTAACGCCATTCTCCTGCCTCAGCCTCCCGAGTAGCTGGGACTACAGGCGCCCGCCACCACGCCTGGCTAATTTTTTTTGTATTTTTAGTAGCGACGGTGTTTCACTGTGTTAGCCAGGATGGTCTCGATCTCCTGACCTCATGATCCACCCGCCTCCGCCTCCCAAAGTGCTGGGATAACAGGTGTGAGCCACCATGCCTGGCCTATTATTCTTAATATTAAGATTCGCATGGTCTTGTTTTGACAATTTTATGATGACTGATAATGATAGGTAACTCTGCAGTAACAACATGTTCTTGATTAGATATCTTAGAAAAATGATGAGAAGCTTGTTTTTGCTTTCTAAAAATGAAATACCCAGGAGTTCCTAAGAGTGGGTTCCTAATGCCACACTGCACAATATCCACTAAAAAGGAGTTCTCAGTGCTTCCCTTCAGTCTTCCTTTGAGGCCTCTCTTATTCTTGGCAACCCAGATTAAACACCAAAGAAGCTGCATCACTCACAGGTGGGGGTAACAGCTTTTTCTTCAGCTGCTCTCACTGCTCTTGTAAAAGCCATCAAATTATCTGGAACTTCATACTATATTGTAAATATTTGTTTATTTTGGTGTCTTCCAGGAGTTGAACCTAGTAAGAAACTGTGCCCTCTATTATCAGTGCCCCAGTGCTTAGCAAAGTGCCTACTTGAATATATAGTAGGTATTCAGAGAATACTTGGAGAATGAATAAATGAACGAATAAATGAGTTAACAAATTCCAACACAATGCATCTTAACCAGGGTGCAAGTAAAAATCACCAAAGGAGTGTTTTCCAAAAACATATATTCTAAGCCCCTCTAGACTTCTCTGAGAATAGGGCCAAGGCATCTGCAATCTTACCAAGCTCTTTACATGTCCCTGATGCACAACTTTTACAAGAATCATTGTCATGGAATAGATAGAGTGCTAGACTGGATCTGAAGTCTAGGCCTGGTCTCACCAATGAAAATAATTGAAAATCCTCCCCAGAATTCTGTTTCTTTCTTAGTAAAAAAGACAAATTTGACAGCCATTGCAGGTGGCTCAAATGACAGTAGCTAAAACTCAAATGAGAGATACATGTAAAACAGGATTATAAGAATTTCAGTGAAGAAAATTGCTATATTCTGGTCCTGGAGTGTGAAGGAGGAATGACTTGCATAATTCGGTGCACAAGCTAATGTCAGATTCTTATGGAATGTTATGTGGCATTGCCAAGCAAAGAATTTGCAAATCTCAGTTGAGGGCCCAAGGCAAGGCATTAAGGTAGGGGGTGCAGCTTCCCTCACCTTCATTTTTCTTCTTTACTTCTCCATCCACACTGCAGGGCACAACAATCTCCCTCCTGTGCAGTTTCTAAAGAGCTTTCTGGATGAAAGGAGTTACATAATGTGGGGTCCTCCTGGGAACTACAGCAATAAATTAATTTTTCTGCTTCTACACAGTTATCTAAGGACATAAATACTCCGCACGGGCAGGGCCAAGAATAATAGAATAAAATAATCTTTTGAAAGATTCCTTAAAAGGCAGTGCATCAAAATATTCTTTTCCATCCAATAAACACTGAGCAAGTGATTACTCTCTGCACACAAGCCATTGTGCTGGGTAATGACCAGGAGGATTCACAATGCAGTGCAGGGACCAGCCCCATAAGGAAATCATCTTAACATAGCATGGTAAGGTATAGGAGAGACTGTAACAGGTAATGTTAGAGCCAAGTCCTGAAGGAAGAGTGAGAGACAGGTGCATAAAGCTAGGAGGCACGTTCCAGGCAGGGGAAATACCAAGGTGTGATGGGAGACTTGATGCAGTTTAACACAACCATGGAATAAATGGAAGGAGTAGAGATAAGCTTGGAGAAGCAGAAAAAAAATCTCACTATTGGAGTCTTCTATGCTCAAGAATGAGGGGTTTCTAAAGAATGTGTGACCTGGTTATATGGTGTCCAGCTTGAGTGTCTGTATGGATGTAGGGTCTCCAAATTGGATAATTATATTTCCAGAAAAGCTGATGAATTCCATTTCAGATATGTTGGGTTTGAGGAGTTCTCTGAGTGATATCCAAGTAGAGATCCAGAAGGATATGGAAGTCTGAAGTTTTAGAAACAAGTCCATGGCTAGAGATAGAGATCAAGGAGGAAAGATCCAGGCTCAAAGACAACATGCCTTACTTTCTAGATGTTTTCTTCCTCCCACAGACTCATGGAAACAGGCCTACAAGTATTCTTTTTTCTCAGATAGAATCAAGGCAGACCTGACTCTGTCCCCACCCCCTAGAAAACAGCAGAACCAACTGGGCACAAGACATATTTTTTGATCACTGTTTAATTGTGGTCTCAGTGGGGAGTGATTTTGCCCCTGCAACCAGAGGACATTTGGCAATGTCTGGAGATATGTTTGATTATCACAACTGATTGGGGTGTTGGGTGCTACTGATCTTAAGTGGGTAGAAACAAGGAATGATTCTAAATATCCTGCCTTGCACAGTACACACACTCTTCCCTCCCAATCCCAGCTAAGAATTATTTGGCCCCAAATGCAATAGTGCTGAGGTTGAAAAACCCTACGCCTTATATTAGGATTTGCCAAATTTTCTAAGGAAAAGGCACTAATTTCATAAGAGTTGTTATTTAGTTGGCATTTGTCTTTTAATAAAAATCAAATATGGTCATCCTTTGATTTTTGGACATTACTAAGAAACTGTTGAATCTTTGAGTTCAGACTTCTACAGTCCATTAGGATTCTCAGCTGGAAGGGTTTATGCTAATGGACATGGTTTGACATACCGCAAAGCTTTGCTCTCTGTTTCCCCTCCACCTTATCCTTCAGCCTCATTGAACCTCAGCATTGTCAGCACTTTCTGTTATTTCTCAACTCCATGCCTTTCACGTGCTGTTTCCTCTGCCTAGAATACCTTTCTCCTTCCATCTCTGCCTTTGGAAATTCTACAGATTTTACAAGTCTGTGTTCCCCTCCTACCTTCCTACCCTCATACATCATATGGCCTCTACAGGTTTCCTCAAGAGCTGTCCTCTCTCCAACCAACATGCCTGGTACTACCTAGGAGATAGATATATGCCAGGCCAGCTCATATAGTACAGTTCAGCCCTCTCTTCTGATGGATGGTCCTTGCCTAGAGAGATGAGGCCATGGTGTAGATAGCTCTCTGAGTGACTGCATCCTTCTGACCTCAGAAAAACAGGCCTGTCCTCAACTAGACTCAGCTCTAGGGTCACAAGGAATTCTGAATCTGAGAAAGACTGCTGAGAAGCATGGAAACACTTTTGCAGATCATGGAAAATGTGGGCTTTTACCAGATAGCTAGGGGTCAGAATCATGACACAAGGCTGCATGCATGGCTTTGAGCAAGTCCCTTAATCATACCACAACTCCTCCACATGGAAAACGGGGATAATGCTTCATTATTGTAGGAATTAGTGATAATAGCTGTGAAATGCCTGGAAGGTTCTTAGTATGCAATAAATGATTGCCCTCTCTACAAATAATTAAAGTTGCACACATAATTTCAAGAGATTCTTAGAGCATCCTATGCACTGAAGCATGGATCCTCTTTTACAGCCAGCCCATGGTGTCATGAATTGCTTAAGTCCCTTTCCATAGGTATCTGTAGAAAAATGTATTGGAGTCAGGCAATTCCTGAAGAAAGGGTTAATACTTAGCCAGAGCAAGAATTATTTGTTGGGGGCAGAGTATCAGAATCAGGGATTCTAATTTGAGTTCTGAAGACTCCTGAAGCCAGGATATTTTTCTATGTTTCTTCTCTCACATCCAGAGCTGGACTTTGTTGGGCAAAATGAAATACAGACAAAGAATGTCCATTGCATTATAATCCCATACAGCGTGACCAACATGGACAAAAGCAGAAAGATGAGAAAAAGATAGGTAGTTCTGACAACGGCTAGACGAAAAGTATATGTGAGAAAAGGCCTTTCCCTTATCCAACTCACCCAACAATTCCATGTGAATTGCTCCATTTTGTCACATTTCTTGGAAGACGTATTTACACATCTGTATACCTGTCATTAGACTTTAAACTCCTAGAGATCAGGACCACATTTTACTCATTTATCTATCCCAGTCCCTGGTCTACCATGTATCAATTGCTCAATAAATACTTATTATATAAGGTCAGACTAGAAAAGGTTATACGGTAGTGCAATGTGGTGGTTGGGTGGCTAAGCTGTTCTGTCAGCACATCTAGCTTGAAATCCTGACTCTTTGACATACCGCAATGAGATCTTTAGCTAGTCACTCTCTAATTTAAACTTTAATTGCTTCATCTGTGAACAGAAAAAGTAACAGTACTTACTGTATAAGATTATTTCAAGGATAAGCTAAAATGTATGTAAAGCCACTAGCAGAGTGGTTGGCTAAAGAGAAGTTATTCTTATTTTGAGACATCAGTGGTAAACTTTGAAGCATAAAGGGTCAGATGGTAAATAATTGAAGCTCTGCAGGCTATAAGGTCTCTGTTACAACTGTTTAACTTTGTAGTTGTAACATAAAAACAGCCATTGATAACATGTAAACCAATGAGCACAGCTGAGTTCCAACAAAACTTTATTTACAATACAGGGCAGGCCATATTTGGCCCACAGATCATAGTTTGCTAATGCATGTTCTAAGGTGTCTAAATTTAAATCATTAAGAAGTAGAACCTACAGAAGATTCTTGAACTAGGCAGTGGCAAAATCAAAGTCATCCTTTGAGCAGGTTAAGTTTTTAATAGCATGCAAAACACGACTTTGAGCAAAGTCTGGAGTCAGGTTATTATGATTGTCCAAACATGAAACAGGAAAGATCTGAGCTCTAAGTAGTGAAAATATGAACCATGCAGAATAGAATGACATATGCAACACCCTGCCTTCTACAAACTGAACTATGGTTATAGCCTCTGATCGTTCATTTCTATTCTCCTATTATACAGTATCTTAGTCACGGGTGGATCTCAGATTGTCTAGTAAATTATAAGCATTGACGTAGGGAACCTCTAGAGAATTGATTAGCTAAAGATAAAATATTGTTATTAATTTATATTGATCCTTAAATAGATAACTAGCTTGAATTTGAGACTCATACACTTCACCTATTCCCAACTTCAGAAAACAATTTTCATTCTTCATGTAGGGCATCAATAATCTGTCAGAAGTGATGATTCAAATAGTTGTACTACAGACTGGTGGACATTATGTGAAATCACTATTAAACACAGCCATCATTTCCTGTATATTATGATTCTCAGTTTGCTCTGGTTTTAGATTTCAAATCAGACCCCTCCTTTTATGTCCCTAAGTATAACGAGCTCAAATCAGATCAGCTAAAAATACAGGGTTAAATGTGCTGTGACAAATTAAGTCAGTGGAGGTATATCTTATAACTTCATCTAAATTATTTGGAGATGGATGCCTACAACCTACAATTGGTGGAATCTAGGTCATCTGCCTGTGCCTAGCTGCAAAGGAAGCAAAAGAAGAAAGTTTCCTGAGTTCTTCCTGGAGAGGTGAGCTTCCTACGGCTGGAAATTCCCCGAAGATAGCAAATGTATTTAACAGTTGTTAGAAAGCCAAACAACATGAGAAATATCCACTACACTGTGAAACATCCGTTCCTCTCCCTAAAAGAAACTAATACCATCTTATAGAGAACAGTATTAGATATATTCCTTTTCTCAGCAGAAGGATACACATTAACATTTTTATTTTTAGCTTCAAAGAAGAGGCAAAAATTGAGTATAATTTAACGTAAGAAAGCTTCTTCCCAGGGCACCTGTTGCTCTTAGAACATTCTGGGAGAGAGGGTGGGTCCAAAAAGTCACTATAAATAGCATAGAAAGAACCAAGGGTATCTGTCAGGAGTAGGACTGGGATAGGGGAGCAAGAGCTGGAAGCACTGGAGGTTCTTTCTGTGAGTTTGACTTTTGTCCCCACTATTGCATAGGTACAACTTGCTCCATTCTTTCCCACCTACACTAGTGTTTGTGGTGGTGTATTTCTGAGCATAGCCACACCTGATCCACTCCATTATGTGAGCAGAATGGAGCAGGCTGGAAAGAGCTAAGGTACAGAAACAGACCTTTTCACCAGAGTATGGCTGTTGTGTGCATCACGGCTAGATCGGCGTATGGGCTGTGGGTAGAGACAGTAGGAATGGTGTAGAGTGTGCAAAGTGTGTGTCTACATGTGGTGGGATCAGATATTATGCATCTGGCCCCACATACATTATTTATCTCTCTTTTTTTTTTTGTGGGTAGGGATGGAGTTTTGCTCAAGTCGCCCAGGCTGGTGAGCAATGGCGCGATCTCAGGTCACTGCAACCTCCGCCTCCCAGGTTCAAGCGATTCTCCTACCTCAGCCTCCCAAGTAGCTGGGATTAACAGGTGCCTGCTGCCAGCCTGCTAATGTTTGTATTTTTAGTAGAGACGGGGTTTCACCATGTTGGCCAGGCTGGTCTCGAACTCCTGACTTCGTGATCCACTTGCCTCGGCCTCCCAAAGTGCTGAGATTACAGCCGTGAGCCACCGCGCCCAGCCACATTATCTCTTAATGTTCACAGTAGCTCTAGAAGGTGAGTGGGTGTGATTTTACAGAGTGAATTCAAAAACAGCAACTGATGGAGATTCAGGCAATGGGCACCAAGAATGTACCAGGTAATTTGTTCAGCAGGTAGCAGAACCCAGTCAGCCTCTCAAATGGGCCCTGAAGATATACTAACAAGAGAAGGGCAGGGTCTTTATCCTAAAGAAACAGATCTGCCAAAGCAGATTATAAAAATGGGATATGGGCACAGGAATACTAAAATATCCATTATTAGAGCTAAGGTATGATGTAGAGAGTAAAATAAGTTGAGCTCATGATCTACAGGGTGACCATGTAAATTTAAATTACAAATTAAAAATGAAGGTATTATTAATAATTATGCTGGAACAGCAGGTATAAACCAGGAATTTGGGGGGCAAAATGGGACACATGATTACCCCAATTATACATCACCTAGAGAATCCACAGACAGAATTCAAGGAAATACAGCCAAGAAAGCAAAAGAATGCAAAGGTTAAAAACCAAAGAATATGACGCAGAAAAGACTATTTTCTTTCCTTTGGTTTTAATATTGGAAGAGATAATGTGAAAAACCAGAGACACCAACATGTATTTAATTTTTATTTTTTCTCTCTTAATTCACTTGCCAGCCAGGGGCTACCATGATTGCTCCAGCAACAGCAGTAGTCATGAAAACTCTCATGGAAAGTTACTCCATAGGATTGAAGAGCAAGAGGGTAAATTTCCCTCAGCAGTGGGGTCAGTGGTAAGATGGAGGCTGGTTTCAATGACTAACTCATCTAAAATCCTGCAAGTTTCAACTGCAGAGATGTCAAAGCTGATGATGATACCTGAAGGATTTCTGCTGGATGTGCCCATGGGGACAAAGCCAGAAGTTTGACTCAGAAGTTTCAGCAATGTGAAGAAAGGAAATCAGGTATTTATCACCAGACATTATGTCGTCACTCAAAAGGACTCTAATTTTTAGAAGATTGACTGTCTAAAAGAAGGATACCTATGGGAAATGTTCTCTGATCTCAAAATGAAGGAAGGAATTCATAGCTATCCCCAAAATCTACCATCTCTGCTTCAGGCAGACAGTTTAATCTAGGCCTCAGTTTTGTAAATGTTGTAATACTATAGTCAGAAAGTTAGCAGAGCTTTATCAGAGATCTTTAAAAAGAATTTTAAAGAAGTTTGACACTCCAGTTTGTCAGTGCTGCAGGATTGTTTCTGAGCTTCTCAGTGTTGACTTTGAATACTAACCTGGCACAGGCAAGCCGTTTTCGTTAAGACATTCAGAAGGACAACCTCAATAGCATTAGGTATGGAAAAGAGATGTTGAACGTGCCTTCTGTATTTTACAATAAGGCCTTGTACTCTCTTGATTATATTAGCTTGTGAAATCTCATGTCCCCCTTCCCCAACACCGTACAAAGCTTCTCTTCAAAGTTCACACTTAGAGGGATTTGGAGGATTAGAAATCCAGTACCTAAGTAAGGTGGGTCAGCCAGTCCTAAAGGTACTAAACATTGTGTCCTTAATCAGGCAGTTTAACACTATAGTGGTTGAGCAAGGAACGTCAGAGTGAGGTGAAAAATGTCTTCAGAAGGTCTTTTGACCCACGGGTAATTTCAAGCTTCCCCACAGATTCATAGGCCTCTTCCTTTCTTTTTTCCCTTTCTTCTTATTAGCACTTAATAAGTATCACACATCATATATTTATGTTTTGTTGTTGTTTTTATCCATGAAGGCAAGGTTTTATCTGTTTCATAAGTTTCTACATTCTCAGTGCCCAGAACATTTGTCTGGCATGTAACAGGTATTTGATAATATTTATTGACTGAATGAATGAATGAATGAATAACAGAAGACTCCTCTCCCCATGTAAATACAGGTCATTCAGCCTAGTTTGCACTTACAATGTAATGTAATCAACAGAGAAAAGGAGTTCTCAAAGTCCTACTCTGTCTCCCTTGTGCCTGGAGGCTTCTGAGCTGAGAGTGACATTTTTTGAAAGAAAGCAATTTGAAGGAACACGCAGCAACTTTGGAGTGAAATTGAGTGTGGCGCTAAAAGGAAATGAAAATAAGTGAATTTACCCACATTTTGGAATTAAAAAAAAAAAAAAAACAGCTAACATTCAAAAAAGAAAACAGCCGGGTGCGGTGGCTCACGCCTGTAATCCCAGCACTTTGGGAGGCTGAGGAAGGCGGATCACGAGGTCAGGAGATTGAGACCATCCTGGCTAACATAGTGAAACCACATCTCTACTAAAAATACAAAAAAATTAGCTGGGTGTGGTGGCGGGCGCCTGTAGTCCCAGCTACTCAGGAGGCTGAGGCAGGAGAATCACTTGAATCCGGGGGGTGGAGCTTGCAGTGAGCCGAGACCATGCCATTGCACTCCAGCCTGGGTGACAGAGCGAGACTCTGTCTCAAAAAAACAAACAAACAAAAAAAGAAAATAGACTACAAAAAGATACCATGCTTGTTAAATTTCTGTAACTTAATCATACCTTTCAGTTGTGCTGTCTCCCCTTACAGCAAGAAATCCTTCAACCACATAAACTAAAAACGTTCAAAGAGAGTCAAGAAATATAAAATGATGGGAAATGTATCCTGAACCAAAGGAAGAATCCCAAGAAACAGGGGAAATCAAAATTTTAAATAGAATGAAAGGGAAAAGCACACTGGCATACTGGGGTCTCAAAAGGAAGACAAGAACTCTCGCAACTGAGCAATAACAACTTTCCAAACATAAAAGCTAGTGACAGAAGAGCAAGGAGACAGGCATCAAGGCTCTCCAGGAATGGTTCAAACAAAAGAACATCCCACTGTGACAGAAAAAGTGGCACCACTGCCCTTTTCTTCCTCTCCATCAACTCCAATCCAAGTGCTTGCTTAATTGTGCTGGTCTTTGTAATTTGGTGGTATTCTCAAATCCAGGTTTTCTTTCCTATCTATAGCCACTACTCCAGTTTAAGGTCTCATTATGTTCCCACAGAGCATGGTAACTACCATGCCACTGTGTCTCCTGGTTCACTGCCCTCCAATCCGTCTTCTATAGTTTCTCCAAGGCAAACTGGACCATTCTCTTTCCAGCAGAAAACCCATTAGAGGTTCCTCCTCAGCCTATTAGAATGATGACCATTCCAGCAATATTTTCAAACCATTTGCTAATGAGGTGCACAAATGCTCACTATAAGGCCAAAGTGTGAACTCCATAAGTACGGAGCCCATGGCTATCTTATTCACAGCTGAATCCCAAAAACTAGCGTAGTACCTGTGCTCTACAAACATCTAATATTTGAATAAAAGTGGAAAAATCATGATATAAAACCATGTGAAATGCAATCCTAACAGTGTAATTATATGCACACACACAAAAATCAAAAGCAAAAATGGTTATTCTTTTAAAATTTTAGTTATGGTTTTTTATGGATTTTCAAATTTTGCCATGAAAGTATTTTTTTTTTCTCCTGTGATACTGAGATTTTTTAAATACAGGCAAAAACAAAAAGAGAGTAGAACAAAAGCCAGGAACCTGACATATCAGATGGCAACATGAGGGAACAATGAGAAGTATATTATCCTCATCACACCATACAGGATCCTTCATCTTCCAGCCCTGCCTCAGCTCCACCTCCTGCCACTTTTCTGCCATCCAGGGGAAACAGCATGGCCAAGCTATGCTGTGTTCTTCACATTTGTGCTTGCTGTCTATTCTCTGTTACCCCACTATTCCGGTATGCCCAATGTAGTGTTTGCCATCTTTTCTTTCCTAGGAGGAAGCACAATTCCTGATGTACAGGTGAACATATTAAATATTGATTGTGTAAATTAACTAACACATGAATAAGGCCTTTACTATAAAACCATACTCACCTAATAAAGTTGTGGTGAGGACTAAATAGGAAAATGCATGCAAAATATGCCTGGCTCATAGTAAGACCTCAAAAGGCAAACATAGTTATCAACTATTACTATTGAAACCTTGTACAAGTTGCTTTCCTCCTCTTGCCACAATGATCTTAAATTGTAGATAATAATTCCTGCCTTACCTACTCATTGCACTGAGATGAGAAAGAGCTTAGAGCAATGTGAAAACCATACATCACTAAACAAACATATTATTATCATTATGATGATGGTGATGATTATGTGCCATTTTCTTTGTGAACCTTGCTTATATTAAGCTTATTATTTAAAGTCACATTACCTTTGCTGATGTTTCAAACCATCCTACGAAACCGTGCTCCTTGCAGAACTGGTCCATCTTGAGGCCATTGTTCATGAGCACATCCTTCCCCTGGTCACATTTGTTGGCCAACAAAACCACTGAAACCGGTTTGCCATTAGGGAGACTTAACTTGGAGTCCAAATCATTTTTCCACTTTGCCACTGCTTCAAATGTGGCTGGCCTGGTGACATCGAAGACAATAAATGCACCCATAGCTTCTCGGTAATAGACCCTCGTCATGTTTCCAAATCTTTCTTGACCTGACACCAAAAAGAAATAAAAATAAAAATGTATTAAAATTGCAAACTGAATCATATTATAACTTCATGAAGCCTCCAAGATGAGCAAGTCAATCAGTAAAGTGCTTCGTCTTTACTGATAATCTTTAAAGAGCGAACTAAATATGCAATCATGTAGCTTGTTCTTGATTTTTGAATTCAGAAGGGAATTCATCCATTTAACAAATATGTACTGAGAAATTTCTGTGTACCATGTAATATTCTAGACCTATGCAAATACAGTATTCCAGTAGCCACATATGGCTATTTAAATTAAATGAACAAAAACTAAACAAAATTTTTAATTCAAGTATTCTGTCACCCTAGCTAGCTACATTTCAAGTGTTCAGTAACTGCATGTCGCTAGTGCCTACTGTATTAGACTATGCCAATAATGAAACATATCCATCAGTATAGAACATTCGATTGGGCAACACTGTTCTAAATATTTGGGATACTCTGATTAAAACATAACCATCCCTGCCACCATGAAGATTATATTTTAATGGGAAGACAGACTCTAAACAATAAACATAATAAATAACAAAATTATGGAGTATGTTTAAAAGGGATCCACAATCTAGTCCAATTAAAGGTTATAATACTAGCTACCATTCATTCATGTTTACTAACCATGAGAAATGTGATTTACATAAGTGATCATTAAGGTGCAATTATTACCCCCATTTTAAAGTGAGAAAATTGAAACTTAGTCTAAGTAACATTCTCAAATCATACAGATAGTAAGCTTAAGAAATCATAATTCAAACCTGAGCTGTTTGAATCTAGGGCTCACAGTCTTTTACCAACATTAAATACTCTCAACCACTAAATTATAGGCTTGTACTCTCTCTTCCGCAGGCTTAGATACCAGGACCAGAGGACCATCCCTTTGAATTTGACTGAACAGATATTTATTGGACATCTATTATATCGATGCCAGTTTCTGGACTCTTGCTCAGAATGTAACAGTAAACTAGATAGTCTCTACCCTTAAATACTCTACAACCTATTGGATAAGAAAAGCTCTCCTACAGCAAAACACTAAATAAGTTTTGTTGTTGTTGTTGTTGTTTAGGATAAGGATTGGTTTCAGAATTAGAATCAGCTGGAATCAATTTTGCTCTGATGCTTAACGTTCTGATTGAATATTGTCAAGTTTCTTAAGCACTCTAAGTTTATTCTTCCTTATCTGCAAATTGGCAATAATAATATGTACTGCAGAGTTTTGCCATGTGGATGAAGTGAATTAATATATGCAAAGCACCCAGCATAGTACCTTATACTTGAGTTTTCCTTCTCTTTTGGCAGCATGTTAAATAGTGTGAAAGACAATATGGCACAAGTTCTGAAATCAGAGTTTCAGATCAGAGTTTGTGACAAAAAAATTACAAGTATTTCAGCTGAATAACAAAAATGAACAAAATCCTACTACTTCTAACTCTGTCTATTAATGGTTGCTGAAGACAGGAGCTAATGAAGACTTGTATTTTCTGAACTCAAAACCCCAGAAGTATGTGACCAGACAAAGCCTTTTTATTCTGATTTGGGAATTTATTTATGTTAAGAGTCTTATAAAGTTATATAAATTAAAATAAAGTTAGTGTGCATTTAACAAGTCGACTTTTCTTGGAAAGAGTAAAATGCTAAAACTGGGATGTATCTAGGAAAATATAGGTTAACATATCTCTAAGAAGAACACTTTACCCTTAATTTTGAGCTAAAAACTTTATAATGGTAAGTTTTAATTCAAGTTAGCAAGCTGTTTTGTAGATGGTTATATTTACATTGGTAGTAGCATTGAAACTGTAAGAGAAGCCTCTCTAAACACTTAGTGAAAATGAATGAAGGTCGAGGGCTCTGGTCCCAGTGTGTGAGCCTGTGTGCACAAGCAAGTATCACTGGAAAAAAAGAGTATTTTGTCACAGCCAGCACATGACAATCTTACAGTATTTCTTACGTGGGTTATACCAGAGACGCATTTTTTTATCCCACAGTTGCCTAGTCAACGAAAGAAAGGGGCAAAATACTGTCCACATGACACGTAAGCCCCAGATGAACTTTTAGTTTTCCCAAATAAGTTTTAAATTTCTTTTTTTCTTTTTAAATACCTGGTGCAAACAGTGATCTCCTTTGATACTGCCCAGAGTGGCCATGACATTTCAGAAAAACAGGGGAAAAAAGCCTTCTGTGATAACTCAGAACTTCCAAGGCCTTTAGGCTTTTAAAGGATGTCTTATGATCTCTTTCAAGGATCTAATCAGATGAAGAGCAAAGTCATGGGTTATTCAATAATCTGCTTGTCCAGAGGTTTTCATAGTAGAACAAGGCAGTCCTCAAGAATAAAGATTTTGCACTTTAAATATATGATAAAGAGTTATTTTAAGACCATACAAAAAGCAATACATAGGCTATAACTTCATAGAGAATCAAAAAGGAAAATATGTGTGTGTGTGTATATATATATGTGTGTGTGTTTGAGTTTGTGAATGTATGTGTGTCAGATCAGAAATAAGAAGACAGCTTGTTTCTAGAAAGAAAAGATGTTTATATGTTCAGGTCACTGAGCCAGGCCACTTGGAAAGTTTATATTTTTGGCATTCCAGCAAGAGGTCACACTTAGATCAGAGCATTTCTAGCACTCACATTTTCTCCTTCCTTTGTCAGCTGACAGTCCTCTTTGCTCTTTCTTATTCAAAGAATGAGAACCATGTGACTCAGAGTGAGTGCCTACTTTTGGGCAAAGTAGAGACCTGATGAATTCATCATAGTTAAATTTACTTTTTAAAAAAATGACTATAATTCAAAAACTTCCCTTGATTTTAGATCACTTATTCAACACACATTTATGGAATAGCTAATGTGGCTAAAGCTCTATACTTTGTGCTGGAAATATACAGTTTTTGCCCAGGAGGAATTTCTAAACTAAGTTTTGTCACACTGGATTACTGCACTGAAAATAATCCACTTCCACATAGGTCCCCAATGCTCTTAAACTCATAGCAGTGTAGATGTGGCTCATGATTCAGCTTTCAGCTATGAAGGGTGTTAAATAGGAAAGCAATAAACCAAATCACAAAAGTTAATATAATGGCTGCGGGAACTATTTAGATAATCTCACAGCAGAAGACACCAACTTGAAAAGTCAGAAGGCATGGTCTTAATTTTACTTACTGGTTACCAGAACAGGCTCAGACACATGTATTTCTCTCCCTGAGACTCAGTTTTCTTATCTATAAAATGAACTTGGTGTGGCTGATCTCAAAGGCCCCTTGCTCATGCCTTAGATTAAATCAAACTTTGGCCCTCTGTCCCAACAGCCTGAAATGGTCCACTTGGTGTCATAGACTCAGCTAAAAATACACACAAACATCACAGCTAAAATGTATATCTAGCAGTATTTTTACTTCCAGTCATCTTCTAACTCCCTCCTCACTCCTTCAACCAAAGAGGCTCCAGTATCCAACTAACACTTCTACTTCAGAGGTAGCCCTTGGCTCTGCCCCTCCTCTCCCCCAGCACTGCTCCTGCTCCACCTCAGCCCCTCATTGCTCCTCACCTGGACCCCTGGCAGCTCCCTAAATGGGGATCTCAGTATCTAGGCTCTCATCAATGTCTCTCTCCCCAAATATAAACATAAATGTAAGCACAAGTCTTCAGGTAGTTGCCATTCTGGCAGCATAAGAAATCACCTCTGACACCTAAGAAATACCCATCCCTAGTTGGGTTGCACTTCTCAGAGATTCTTTATTGTGTTGTTTTTGTGCAGAGATCAGGAATTTGTATTTTTAAGCCATCTCTAAGTGATGTTAGTGTATGATTAGTCTTAAAACTGCTATTTCTTTTTTTCCCCCCAAGATAGTACATTAGAGCCTTTTAGCATGCCTCAGCCACATGGAAATAGCAAGATAGTGCATAAAGACCAATTGTGTGGGCTTTATATCAAGAAGGAAAATGGGAATCCACCAGGACAACTCAAATTGAAGAATACCCCAAATTCCAGGGAGGGAACATGGGCAAACAGCCGCTTTGATGGCATTCAGCTAATAAAAGTGAGAGAAGCTCAGGTATGTGAGAGAGGCAGAGAGCCTCCCTCTGTGACTTGCCTTTCCATTGGGGATCCCAGCAAAGCATGCCAAGGGAAAGCACTTTGTTTCTCCCAAGCCCTAGAGCTAACTTGTGGAGTTTCTTGGAGACATTGTGAGGAAAAGACGTGAGGAACAGCTGCAGACATTTTCCCAGACCCAGGACCAAGATCAGGATGCCATTTTTAATCCGAGTGCATAGAAAGGCAACTATTCATTTTAATCTCTAGCCAGAGACCAGAGCACTCACTCTAGAGCTGCATAGGAGCCTCCACAACCAGAACTGTGGAAAGCCCCTCAGCAGTAGGTGCTAGAAGTGTGTTCTCCTCTGTCACAACCTTGGGACAGGAGGAGGGCTGATAAAGCTGCAGTTTCTACTGGGCAGTAATACTTGTAGCTAGGGCCAGCTTGGCGATCTGGAACCAAACTGCAGGTGTCCAGCCTGCTCCCCTGAGATTGTGGTGTAGCAGGGCCCTCTTTGCTCTACTCCCAGGCAGAAATCCAGGCATTTGGAGCACCCACTTGCCTGGACCAGCAGCCTGAGCTGCCCCACCTGTGACAGACATAGATCGTGGTACAGCAAGTCCCTCTCCACTCCATGGCTACGCAGATATCCAGGCATTCAGACGACCTGTTCAGCTGGAGCAGTAGTCTGACCTGCACCAGTCTTCCTGTGCAGTCAGCCTGGTGCTGGGAGGCTAACTCTGTTTCACACCAGGGCAGATCTCTGGGCATTCAAAGCACCTGCTCATCTGGCCACCACACCTGTCCTGAACATAGACCATGAGGCAAAAAGGTACTCTCTGCTCCATGCCCAGGCAAATATCCAGCCATTAGAAGCACCACCTCACCTGAATTGGCAGCCTGAGCCATCCCACCCCTCCTGTGCAGAGATTGCGGTGCAAGGATAGCCTCTCTGCTCTACATCCAGGCAGCTCTCTAGGCATCTGAAGCACTTACTCTCTTGGATTAGGGGTTTATAGGCGGCTACTCTTCCCATGCAGTTGCGGCTGAAGAGATTTCCCAACCTGATGCTGAGGTACACAACTCACACTTGGTAGCTGCCCCCCAGATTCTCCCTCAGCACAGCTGCTTGCACCTGCCATTAGGGCACCTGTAGATGAACCTACCTGGTCTGGCCCCACCCATTGTGGACCCCAATCCCCTTGGCTAAGCAGGGAGCTCAGACCACTGTGCGTTCCAAGAATCAGCCCATTGCCTGAGGCAACAGAGAGCTTCCGCCAGTAAACAAGGATCAAGTATACACCTAGCCACATTGACCACAGCCTGCTATCATGCATAAGCACTATCTACTGACTTACAGGTCAAACTGCACAGCCCAATAAAAAACCTGCAGAAAGAAGTACATAAGGCTACAGAAGCAAAACCAAAAGACCCCATGGAGCAGGGCAAAGGAAAAGGAAAAAGGAAAGAAAAAAATAGCAATAGTATGATAGAGAAATAAAGAAAAAGAAAAAAGTCCTACAAACATGAAAATAATTACAAAAATTAGAAGTGCCAAAATTTCCAAATGAAAAGGAAAAAGCACAAAAATCCTGATACTATGAAAAATATGAATGCAGTGACACCATCAAAGGATTGCACTAGCTTTCCAGCAAAGGTCCCTAATGAAAATAGAAACTCAGAAGTGACAGATAAAGAATTCAAATCATGGATTGCAAGGCAGCTCAATGAGATCCAATATAAGATTGAAAAGAAACGTCTAAAGCAGTCCAGAAAATGAAGGAGGAGATAAATCTTAAAAAGTAATTAATCACAGCTTCTAGAATTGGACAATTCACTTAAGGAGTTTCAAAATACAATTGAAAGCTTTCTCAACAAAACTGAACCAATCAGACGAAACCATTTCAGAGCTTAAGAACTGGTCTTGTGAACTAACCCAGTCAGACATACATAAAAAAAGAGAATATTTTTTAAATGAAGAAAGTCTTTGAGAAATGTGGGATTATGTAAAAATATCAAACCTACAAATTATTGGCATTCCTGAGAGAGAAGAAAAATTTAAAAACCTGGAATACATATTTGGGGGGATAATTCAAGAAAATTTCCCTAACCTTGCTAGAGAGGTAGACATTTAGATACAAAAAAAATCCAGAAAACACCTGCCAGATACTATACAAAATGAACATCACTAAGGCATATAGTCACCACATTGTCCAAGATCAATGCTAAAGAAAAGAATCTTAAAGGCAGCTAAAGAAAAATGTCAAATTGCATAAAAAGGAAACCCCATTTGGCTAACAGTGGACATCTCAGCAGAAACTTTACAAGCCAGAAGAGACTGGGGGCCTATTTTCAGCATTCTTAAAGAAAAGAAATTCCAATCAAGAATGTCATATCCCAGCTGGGTGCAGTGGCTCATGCCTGTAACCCCAGCACTTTGGGAGGCCGAGGCAGGCGGATCATGAGGTCAGGAGTTCGAGACTAGCCTGGCCAACGTAATGAAATCCCATCTCTAATAAAAATACAAAAATTAGCTGAGTGTGGTGACACACACCTGTAGTCCCAGCTACTTGGGAGGCTGAGGCAGGAGAAACACTTGAACCTGGGAGGTGGAGGTTGCAGTGAGCCAAGATCATGCCACTGCACTCCAGCCTGGGCGACAGAGCAAGACTTTGTCTCAAGAAAAAAAAAGAAAATTCATATCCCACCAAACTAAGTTCGTAAGTGAAGGAGATTTTAAAAATCTTTCAAAACAAGTAAGTCCTAAGGGAATCTGTTACCACTAGACAAGCCTTACAAGAAATCTTTATGGGAGTTCTAAATATGGCAATGAAAAAACTCTACTGGCTGCCACAAAAATACACTTAAGTACGTAGCCCACAGGCCCTATAAAGCAACCACACAATAGAAACTTATATTTCAAAGCAAACTAGCTAATAACTTCGTGATAAGATCATAACCTCACATATAAATATTAACCTTGAATGTAAATGGTCTAAGCTCCCCACTTAAAAGGCACAGAATGGCAAGTCAGAAACAAAAACAAAACCCATCCGTATGCTATCTTCAAGAAATCCATCTCACATGTAATGACACCCATAGGCTCAAAGTAAAGGATTAGAGAAAGATCCAGCACACAAACAGAAAACAAAAAAGAGCCCAGGTTGTCATTCCTACGTCAGATAAATCACACTTTAAACTGGCAACAGTCAAATAGGACCAAAAAGGCCATTACATAATAATAAACGGCTCAATTCGACAATAAGACTTAACTGTCCTGAATATATTATGCACACAACATTGGAGTAGTCAGATTCATAAAACAAGTACTTCTAGACCTCTGAAAAGACAGAGACAACCACATAATAATAGTGGGGGACTTCAATATCCCACTGTCAGTATCAGACAAATGAGCAAGGCAGAAAACTAACAAAGAAATTCTGAACTTGAATTTGACACTTACTGATTGGACCTAACAGACATCTACGGAATACTCTACCCATCAACCACAGAATAAACATTCTTCTCATTTGCACAGAACATAGAAAGATTGAACACATGCCCAGACATGAAGCAAGTCTCAATCAATTCGAAAAAAATTGAAAATATACAATCATACTCTTGAACCACAGTGGAATAAAAATAGAAAGCATTACCGAAATCTCTCAAAACCACACAATTACATGGAAATGAAAACAACTTGCTTTTGAATGACTTTCGGATAAACAATAAAATAAAGGATAATTTTTAAAAAATCTTTTAAATAAACAAAAACAGGGACACAGCATACCAAAATCTCTGGTATGCTGTTAACAGGAAAGTTTATGGTGTTAAATGGCTAATTTAAAAAAGTTAGAAAGATCTTAAATTGACAATCTAACATCAGAACAAAAAAACACTAAAATCAGAGCAGAACAGAATGAAATTGAGACTCAAAAAATACATACAAAGTATCAATGAAAGCAAATGTCGGTTCTTTGAAAGAATGAACAAGATCAATAGACAACAAGCTAAATTAACAAAGAAAAAAAGGGAGAAGATCCAAAAAAGCCCAATCAGAAATGACAAAGGTGACATTACAACTGATCCCACAGAAATACAAAAGATTATCAGAGACTGTTATTAACACTTCTTTGCAAACACACTAGAAAATTTAGAGGAAATGAATAAATTCCTGGAAACACACAATCTGCCAAGATTGAATCAGAAAGGAATTAAAACCCTGAATAGACCAATAATGACTTCCAAAATTGAATGAGTAATAAAGAAACCTACCAACCAAAAAGTTGCAGGCCAGATGGATTCACAGCCAAATTCTACCAGACATACAAAAAAGACTTGGTATCAATCCTACTAAAACTATTTCAAAAAATCAGGAAGCGTCTCCTCCCTAACTCATTCTAGAAAGCCAGCATCACCCTGATACCAAAATCTGACAGACACAATGAAAAAAGAAAACTACAGGCCAATATTCGTGATAAACATAGACACAAAATTCCTCAACAAAACACTAGCAAACCAAATCCAACAGCACATGAAAAAGTGAATTCACTATGATCAAATAGTGCAAGGATGCAAGGTTGCTTCAACATATATAAATCAATAAATGTGATTCACTACATAAACAGAATTAAAAACAAAAACCATATGATCACCTCAATAGACTCAGAAAAAGCTTTTGATAAAATCCAACATCCCTTCATAATAAAAACCCTCAAGAAAATAGGTATCAAAGGAACATGCCTCAACATAATAAGAGTGATCGATGACAAACCCACAGTCAACATGACACTAAAGAGGCAAAAAGTAGAAGCAATCTCCTTGAGAACTGGAACAAGACAAGGATGTCCATTCTCATTGTGCCTATTGAACACATTACTGGAAGTGCTAGCCAGAGCAATCAGGCAAGAGAAAGAAATAAAAAAATCCAAATAGGAAAACAAAAAGTCAAACTATCTCTCTTTATGGCCAATATGATTCTATACCTAGAAAGCCCTAATGACTACGAGAACTATAAATGACTTCAGTAAAATTTCAGGCTTCTAGAACTGATAAATGACTTCAGTAAAATTTTGGGATGCAAAAATCAATGTATAAAAATCAATAGCATTTCTATCCACCAATAATGTTCAAGCCAAGAGCCAAATCAAGAACACAATCCCATTTACAATAGCAGCAATAAATAAATAAATAAATAAATAAATAAATAAATAAAAATAAAATAAAATACCTAGGAATACATCTAACCAAGGAAGAAGGTAAAAGATCTCTACAAGGAGAACTATGAAACACTACTAAAAACAATCATAGATGATATAAACAAAGAAAAAAACATTCCAAGCTCATAGGTTGGAAGAGTCAATATTGTTAAAATGGCCACACTGCCCCCCAAAAATCTACACATCCAATGCCATTCCTATCAATCTACCAACATCATTTTTCACAGAACTAGAAAAAACTATCCTAAAATTCTTATGGAATTAAAAAAAAGACCAATAGCCAAAGTAATACTAAGCAAAAAGAACAAAACCAAAGGCATCACATTACTCAACTTCAAACTATAAGGCTACTGTAACCAAAACAGCATGGTAATATTACAAAAACAGACACATAGACCAATGAAACAGAACAGAGAAACCAGAAATAAAGCTTCACAAGTACAGCCATCTCATCTTTAACAAAGATGACAAAACTGAACAGTAGGGAAAGGACACCCTATTCAATAAGTGGTGCTGGGATAGCTGCCTAGCCATATGCAGAAGAATGATACTGGACTCCTACCTTTCACCATATAGAAACATTAATTCAAGATGGAATGAAGATTTAAATGTAAGATCTGAAGCTAGAAGAAACCTAGAAGAAAACCTAGGAAACGCCATTCTGGACATCAGCCTTGGGAAATAATTTATGACTAATTCCTCAAAAGCAATTGCAACAAAAACAAAAACTGACAAGTGGAACCAATTAAACTAGAGAGCTTCTGCACAGCAAAAGAAATTATCAACAGAGTAAACAGACAATCTACAGAATGGGAGAAAATATTCACCAAATACACATCCAACAAATGTCTACTATCCAGACTATATAAGGAATTTAAATAACTGAACAAGCAGAAAACAACCCCACTAAAAAAATGGGCAAAAACATGAACAGACAGTTCTCAAAAGAAGATATATGAGCAGCCAATAAATGTGAAAAAATATCCCATATCACTGAACACCAGAGAAATGCAAATCAAAACTACTATTTGATACCATCTCACACCAGTCAGAATGGTTTACCATTTACTAAAAAGTCAAAAAACAACAAATATTGGCAAGGCTGCAGAGAAAATGGAATGCATATACACTTTTAGTGGGAATGAAAATAAGTTCAGCCATCATGGAAAGCAGTTTGGAGATTTCTCAAAGAACTTAAAACAGAACTACTTACTAGTCAATCCAGCAATCCCATTCTTTTGTATATATCCAAAAGAAAGCAAATCATTCTACCAAAAACACGTGCACTCACATGTTCATTGCAATACTACTGACAATAGCAAAGACATGGAATCAACCTAGGTGCCCATCAATGGTGCACTTGTTAAAGACAACATAGTACATATTCATCATGGAATATTACACAGCCAAAAAAGAGAATAAAATCATATCCTTTGCAGCAACATAGATGTAGCTGGAGGCCATTACCCTAAGTGAATTAATGCAGGAACAGAAAACTAAATACTGCATGTCCTCACCTATAAGTGGGAGCTATACATCAGGTAACCATGGACATGAAGATAATGACAACAGAAACCAGGCACTACTGGAGTGAGAAGAAAAGAAGGGGCAAAGGTTGAAAAACTATTGGGTACTATACTCACTCCCTGAGTAAGGGGATCATTTGTACCCCAAAGCTCAACATCATGCAATATACCTACGTCTATGTCATAAACCTGCATATGTATCCCCCTGAATCTATAATAAAAGTTTAGAGAAAAGAAAAGAAAACCTCTATCTCCATTAGAATCCACTATCAAAAGGTAAATCTTACCATTACTCTCTGCTGTTTTAGCTATTCAGTGACTCTTATATGCCCAAGAAAAATACACCTTCATTGATATGTCATGTAATGTAGCACATTTTTGGTTCCGACCACTTTTTCAAACTCTTGTCGCTTCCTTCAAAGTGCTCCATGGCCAAGTCCCATTGGACTACTTGTTCTTTTTAAAACGCATCCTAAATTACTTTCCAGATTTTCTTGCCTTTTTAAATCTTTGTGCCCAAAGCCTGAATTCCCTCCTCATCTCTACTCCCACTCTGTTCAATAAAATCCTATACATCCTTCAAATGTGCCCTTAAATCTCACCACATTTGTGCATACTTCCCTGTCCTGACAGCTGGAATCACTGAATCTCTTCTTTATGAACCCATAGAATTTTAAAATTTCTACACCACTGACACTTATTATGCTGTGCATTCATGCTTGGATCTCTAACCATGGCACTGAAAATCCTGGAGAGCAGATTGACCATCTTTCGATATTGCAAAACCCGAGGCTTATTTCTCCACCTTTAGGATACAATAAGAGCTCAAGATTTTATGGTGGAAATAAATTCAAATTAAGGCTCCTTCTTCCTCTAAAATGCCTTATCATGTATTTGTGAATTAGTGCTGCATACTGATGAACTTACTCTATACTCAACTCCAACTTCCAGTAAATAATCAATAGATTGTTATTGGAGGAGAAAATTAACATTATTGTGCATATCTGTTGTAACAAGTTTCAGCCTGGATTATTATGCTTTCATAATCATTCTCATTTTCTTAAGAAATACTACCTTGGAATCAATTTACTCTATCTAAATGATACATGTGTTGGGGTCACAGAACCATCAGTAGACCTAAGAGTGACACCAAGATGTTCTCTATATTTCTAGGGAGTAACAGTGTGGAAAACATAAAGTAAATATATAATCAACAGTAAATATGGACCTTGCACAATAATCTAGAAGAAAAAAATCAAACTATAATTGCTGCAATGGTCAAAAGGACACTGACATCATAATGGCTTGTGCTGGTTTTGAAAGCTCAGTGGAAACCCACATACTGAAATCAGAGTCAGGCTGACATCCTAGTGATGGTGGTTATTTCCAGTTTTTAATAAAAGCCTATTTGACAGTCTGGCGGTGGTTCAGAAACACTTTCATCTGTTTTCATGACTTTGTCCCATCAAACCAATGACAGAAACATATAAATTAATTACCATTTTTCCAAGTCACCTAGGTGTATATCCTAGAACTTACCTGGTACAATCTTCCCCTACAAAATAACAAGCCACCCCATAGCCAGAACCAAATTTCTGCAGCCCCTGTGACAAGCACTGCACTCTATATAGTAAGCATTCAATATGGTCCCCATGCTGAGTGAAGGAATAATTCTTAATTCTTTACTCCTCTCCCAGTGGATTTGCAGGCTTATTAGTTATTTAAGAGTTTTCTGTCATGTCTGGTCTGTTGCATTCATCACTTTCTTTCCACTCCCACTAAAATCACTTTAGCTAAGACTGTCTAATTTCATCTCGTCTAATCTCATTCATTCATTTAACAAAAAAAAATTTAATCCCTATAATTTTCCAGAATTATCACTAGGAACATATAACTAGAACATACAGCTGGTTACTAGTTTTGTTCTATAACTAGAAAAAAATCCTTGCCTTCACGATGATTCCATTCCACCCTCTGACCTCCTGTGGGATTTCTGAGGTCGCACTCTTAGATCTACAAGTTAAAGGCTAATTTTCAGACTGAGGTCAAGGTTTTGACCCAACCTATGCCTTGCTAGGCTCTGCTAAGTTCTGCTTCTTGCTTCCATTTACTCCCATACCATGGCAAATCCACTCCCACTGAAAGACGTCCTCTCCATCATCCTTCACCTAACCAGATTCTACCCATTCTTTAAGGTTGTACCCAAGCTCCACCTTCTTGGAGACTTTTATGACTGCCTGGACTCACACTCATCTCTTCACTCTTCTATATTCCCACAGCACTGACTAACTGGATCATTCGCTCAACCATTTGATCAGGCCCTGCCTTGTACTGCTTTTTATGTGCTGCAAACCTGTGCAGCCTGTGTCCTCAATTACACTGTAGATTCCTTGAGTCCAGTGTAGAATTACTCAATTACTATATTCGGTGTCTCCATAACACAGGTACCCTAAGAGGCTGTTACTTTATGCTCACAATGCACTTCCAGAATAGAATGGAACTAGCAATACAAGTACTCTTTGCATAATGAAATAACAATTAATACTTATTTCTTATTTGCAAGAGGGAACCCCAGCAGGAAAAGGTGTAGGCTGAATAAAAGAAGATCTTTGATCTAACTCATTTACTTTTATGCCTACTGAACTTGCCATTTTTAAGATCCCATCTGAAAAATATCTGTTCATAATTCAGAACCACCCAAACTCTTTTAGCAATTTCCTTAGTTCCCCCATAAACAATGGCTCTCATTTTACCCTACTGTTAGTTATCATCTCTTAAAGGCAAATTTTGTCTCTATTCAACAAGAAGATAAAGCTAGATGAAGTATATTGAATTAAGTAAGCTAAAGTGGACAAGAGAATAAAATGGCATAAAAGGTAAATATTGACTTTATTGTTGTTCATAATTACCTTATAGAACAAAAGATGGATGGATTATAGTGACCTACTTTTGAAATACATTTTCGAAAGTATTCTCATTAAATTCTGAATGTATATTTAAATTTAAAGCAGTGCATGTGATATATATGTGTGTATGTGAAAATGAGTACTAATACAGTAGCCCAACAGATTTTTTGTCAGAATAATTTTAGACTGGAGCCCAATGCTACCAGCTTAAGCAAATAACTCATGTGGATGGAGATAAAAAGATCATCTAGCAATGTAAGGTGCAACAGTGGATAAAGCAGGGGGAAGGAAGGAAACCAAGTCATGGATGACAGGTTGGAGTGAATCAAGACAGAAGGACCAGCATCTCATGTTTATAATCAAATAAACAACCTAAAATACCTCTGAACTGTAAGCTCAAATGTATTACATAAAAAACCTATTTTTGAATTATTTGGCATTTGAGACAATACCAGTCAGTATCCATTAAATAAATTTTTATAAATAACCCCCAAGAGATCCTGGACTCTAAAAGTTGCACTCTTAAGGAATATCCAGATTCTGCTACAGTTATAACTCCCAAAATATATGCCAAGGTGCTCTCGGTGGGGGGGGGTGCCATGGTGAACTCACATGGGTGAAACAGGATATTTTAAATTTTCAAGGCAAATACGGTAGTACTCAAGATCCATTAGACACCCCAGGAACTATTAGCTTGAGGTAGTTCACAGTGTTAACACTATATTCCTTTTGATGTCATTATATCTGTTTGAAACTGGGGTTTGGAAGTTTCTGTGATGAAAAGCAAAAATCATGTGAAAATCAATGTGAAACAGGAAATGACGGTGGTATGGTAGTGGCATCCACTCCGGCTCAAAGGTTTGAGAGGGTGTTTCATGACCAAAGCCATACACATGCCTATAGTAAACTGTGGTGATTAACAATGAAACAAAAATAATTTTCTTTTAATTTATGCGTTCTCTTTTTTTTTCTTATGGCTATTATAACACTTATTAAGTTGTTTGGTGCTATTTAATGAACAGGATTGTTAGGTAGTGCTTTTGGCCTAGAGGCACAATGAAAAAATCCAAAACACTAAGGATTTGGATGCGGTGAACTGAGAAAGTTTGAGAACTTGCGCTGTAGCCTCTAGAGTCTAGTGTATTTTTTTTTTAATTTAAGATACACACACCACACAATACATGCATACAGATCCTTCTACCACCATATAAATCTTTTTATTCTGATACCAACAAGCACTACAGCTATTCTTAGCTTTAATTTGTAAACTAGAGACTTCTGTCCCTCAGGCACAGTGGTTTTCCTGCCTAAAAGTAGTATATGAAGATGACTGTTAATAAGTCAAACCAACCATATGGTGTCAGCAATGATGCATGCAAAAAATTCAACTCATTCAATAATTAGGTCTATCCAAAAGTATACAGGTTAAAAATTAATAAATTACTATTTTAAAATATATAATGAGCACCTTCTAAAAGCAATGTATAACAACCCACGAGATGTAAAAACCATTATGCTGTTTATAATGCATCAGGAAACAGTAGAATAGCATGGCTAGAAAATAGGATTTGTAGTTAGACAAATCTCAGTGCATATCCCAGCATGACCTGCTACTATTGGTAAGACTTCTGAAAAGCTTTCTGTGCTTGTTAGCTTGTTTATCTTTTTTCTGGCCTGTTTATAGTTCTCCCATCTCTATAGTAGGGTTAATAACAGTGTCCATCAGATAAGCTCATTATGAGCTGTAAATAAAATAATGCATATGAATGCATAAAACTATGCCTGACACTTAATAATTGGTGGCCATTTATAGCATGTTATAGGGAAAACAGTCTAACCAAAAATAATTTAAATCAATAAGTTTTCATTACTCTTCTTAAAAGAGCAGTTTTATGCAAGGCTGATAAACAAATTGAAAGTTATATTTAAATAAAAGTGATAAGGAACAAAGGTTAAATAATACATCAGAATAACACAAACTACAAAAAGTAGAGACTCAGAGCAAAAAGTCATAACACATTTGAAACTATTAACTATCCTTTTATTAAATTATCTACCTCTTGCTTCCAAAAGCCTGCCCTTGCTAGGTTCTCCTCATTCTTGGTGTTTCTTCTTCTCTACTTCTTTGCTGACTCTACAGTAATTTCATTAAATTATGCAGCAAATAACTCACAGCAGGATTTACTAAAAATCATGAAGGAAATTTGGATAGATAGAAAATAACTGTAACACAAAGCTTAACTAGAGAAGTGCTACAAACAAGGGAAAGAAAAGTTGTATGGGACTCAAGGGAGGAAGAAGTTACTACTGACAGAGAGAACTAGGAAAGTCTCTGTAGAGGAGCTGCCTTTTCAGATAGGTCTTAGACATCAGGTAGGATTTGGATGTGCTTCCAAAGGGAAGGACACATGAACCAGCAGACATGAACCAGCAGGGCAAGCAGGAGCAAAGGCTCAGAGGCAATAAGCATGGAAATGAACCAGGAATAGCAAGGAGTTCAAATGGTTGAAATTTAGACCTCATCATGGAGGGAGGGAGAAAATGATATTAGAAATGCTATTTAAAGCCAAACTGTGGATGACTTTGGGTGTCTCCACTGCTATGCCATTATCTCCTCTTCTCCACTGCACGAACTTCCACAGGGCTGGGTGCCTTCCCAATTTGATCATCATTATAACTCAATGCTGAAGACAGCACCCAAACACCTAGTATTAAAAAATACGTTTTTAATTATTCAAGCTTCCTTGGTAATAAGCCAGGTAATCTTGTGTTCTGGTTCTAATTCTACCACTAACAAGCTCTGTGGGCCTGAGAAACTAATGTCACCTCCCTTCCAGATCAAGCTTGCTCATCCATAAAATGACTGATATGGTTTTGATGAGTACTCAGGGTTTTAATTCTGTAAAATTACCTTTCACGAAGTTATTATTTTATATAATATACGCTTAAATTTTAAAAAAGATATAGTTTTGCCATTTGACATCCAAATGAATGACATTTCACTTCAAATTATGGAGACTGTTAAATGCAAAAACACAGCTTTTAAGAATGGTATTTAAGGACATTTCCCAGTTTTCATGGTTGGAAAAAAAATAGAATGTCTCCTTAAGAAAAGTGGTTGCCATATTTCTCAATTCTAAATTATACTTTTATATATTAATGTTTATAAAGTTGTGAAGTTTTTCAATCATGAACAGAAGTCTATTTTTTATTGAAGAAATGTTTAGATCAATGATATGTCTTAGAATTAAGGCATTGATACAATAGTTGACTGAAAAACTTTATTGAACAAATACTACTTGAGTTCCTACCACATGTCCAAATACTATGTTAGGACCCAGGGATACACTTTGGAGGAAAAAGACATTCCAATGCAATAGTAAACTATTTCTATCTGGAGTAATCATGGAACTTTATGGGAGCAGAAAAAGTGTTTCCCTGAGTCTCATGGTTTCAACAGACATTCTGGAGGAGGTGATATTGATAGAGTGAAAAGGACCCATAGGAGTTATCTATGTTAACAAGAGGAAGGTGTTTTTTTTTAGCTAGAGACAACTGTGTGAGCCACAGCATAAAGGGGAAGGTAGGTATACTGGGGCCACTGTAAGATATCTGGAATGTAAAAATCATAGATGTGAGAGATAAGACTGAATGACAAATGAGTGACAGTTATGATGGTCGTGACTGTCATGCTAAAAAGTTCAGCCTTTAATTCTAAAAATGCTGTGGCTCCAGTGATGGGTCCCAGATGAGAATATCAACTGGAGAACAACACCATGATGAGGGGTATCACCACTGTCGATTACAAACTGATTGGCAGGGAAGCTGGAGGAGGGGATGGGCAGGAGGCAACTGCTGCAACAGTTCCGGTGAGTTGTGAAGAAGATGTGGCTATTGAAAAGATGGATGAGATATTTATTTTATAAGGTAGAAAAGACAAAATTTAATTAGTACTTGAGAGTGGGCAATGAAAGGAAGGAGAGAACAGTAGAAGTTAAAATCCGAATTATTTTCAAAGAGTAATTTAAGATCACGTAACTTCTTAAATTCCTGAACAGCTGAAAAAATGAGTAAAACTCAATTATTAAGAACCCCAGGCTAGAGTCTCAGACTTGACCTTGCCAAGTTGAAGGACATCAGTCTAATTCACCATCCTAGAAGATAAGGATCATCCCTTGCTGGAATAAACCTGATTCCTACCCCAGGAGCAATAGGTCCACTGTATTCTTCTGGGAATATGCATCCCAGAATCTAAGAAAGTAACATAAATAAAGCTTCTCAATGGTTTGAAAGCTTTCAAGGAATCTCCAAAGTGAATCATCAGAAGAGGGAGAGAAAGGATTGTAAGTGTAACTCAAAACATCTATTCTCAAAAATTCACCAGATGAGTGATGGCTTTAGTATGAACCTCAGTGACTGCTTAACACCAAACCACTTTTACTAAGCAACAATTATGTACCAGGTGTCATGTTCTACTTATGCTTGGCCCAGCTTCCTCATCTATGAAACTGGAAGTAAGAAGACCTATTTGTTAGAATTACTGTGGTATTTAAATTGCAAATATTGCTTTGATAAATTGATAAATGTAAGGAATTTTCACTTTCACCGTTCTTAACATTTAATTTGGCATATATGACCTTTCCTAATTTGTCTGCCGCATCCCTCTTAACACCTCCTTCCTCACACATTGTAATCTTCAGCTAGGTCAGATTACTGAAGCCCGCATGATGTCTTCTCATCTCCATGTTATGGCTATGGTAAGTCCCCTGGTTGACTTTCTTTTAGCATGTGATACTTTCCCATCAGATCACTTTTCAATGACTAAATAATTATTTTGAAATAAATATCTTTATGCCACACCAGACTCTAAAAGTCCGTAAGAGCAAAGATCAACCTATTCCGATCACCCCTAAATTTCTCTGCTTATCAAGTGAATTAATAAAGTTTCTCAGGCAAGATCTTATACTTCTCAAATCTTCAAGTTTTAAAACTGCATTTTTATATAAAATGCAGTAAAATAAAACAAAAAAAATTAAGTAGCACTTGAGCCCTTAATGACAGTTTCTTTGTTCCTCACAAGAAGACCACAATAGGAGAGACATCCTGGGTTTCCTTTTGACTTCACCAGGCCTCAAGGACTCCAGTCACTTCTTAAATTCAAGGACTTCACAAACCCATTCCTCAATTTCTCTATGACTTGGATCTATCTTATTTCTAATTTTCTAATTATCAGCCCCCCTAATACCTTATTCTCATCCCCTCCATTGTTCTCATCACAGCATGTGTAATCTATAGCCAATAGAAAAGAAAGATGTTCTGGGAAGATAAATTTGGCTTTGATACACCTGAGAACTGGAGGAGGCAGAGATTAGAGCTAGCTAAGAGGCTATGATCCAGAACAGGTATGTAAAAAAGTGCTGTCTCTGGTCTATGGCAGTGGGAAAAGAGAGGCATATGTACTATCTGACTTGGAGACTGGTGACATATGAGGGTCAAAAGAGAAAAGATGGCAGAGGTTTCAAGCCTAAGTAACTGGGGGTAAGGTATTTTGGTTAACACAAACTAGAAAGTCCACTGAATGTGGACAAATGTCTAGTTTAGACTTACAAATAGCATCATTTACTACTTATCATTAAGTGGGGGCAAATATGCATACATTGTTTGTATTTCTTTCTTGTTTTTCTTTTCTGTTTTCCAGCTTTGCTACACTGAGCACATATTACTTTATTAATAGAAAAAACAATCCTGTTTTCACACAAACTTTGTTATGCACATGTTCACAGGCAGTATAGGTGAGATATTGTAGAGGAGATGTTCAGCAGGAAGATGGAATTGTAAGCCTGAGCTCATGAGTAGTCAAGGATATAGGCATAGTTTTAAAGTCATCTGCATAGAGTTAAAGCCCTGGGAATGCATGAGATCCTCAAGCAAAGGAGACTGAATTAGAGGGCCAGATGATGAAATTCTGTCTCAAGTTGTGCAGCCCTGACGCACTCACAGGGAATGACTGGTGCTAGGTAAGAGCACAAGAAACATCACACTAGCCTTGAGGTTTTGTCAACTTCCTCAGATTTAGTCTCAGAGAGTAGGAGAACGAGGTGTGGACAACATCTCTGCACCATGAGAGTGTTCTGAAGTTATGTCTATCAATGCTCTTTACTTATTGTTACAGTGATTTGTTTTTGTGTCATCATGCTGATGAAGCTGGGATGAAGAAGTAAATCTTATTCAATTATTATCCTTCTTTGTTTTTCCCTCACCTAAGTACTTTCACATACCAGGCACTTTATATATACATACATATATTTGCTGAAGAAACCAATCACACATATAGAGCTACTTTTTCCAATCCCCTCCCACTCTCAAATGCCTTAGCTTTCCTTGGTCAAGCTGCTACTTGCTTTTCTATCAGAATCAGTCCTCTAAAACCCAGATGACACGACATGTCCTGCCTTGAGGCGTTTTCTCCATATATCCCTCATTCCTACTTTGAAAGTTCACCATTTTTGCTCACTGTACACATTATTTACCCGTAAGAACATAGCATGTTATTTTACGTGGCATTTAGAAAATCTGTAATTAGCTAAGCTAGAAACAAGGCAATAAACTGCCCAGTGGAGCATGGCTCAGACTCGATATGCATTTTGGGGGGTTTTATTTGACACACTCATCGCCAAATTTAGCTCTTTCTACATTCCTAGACCTACTACTTTGACATTTAAGACCCATCTTCTACAACTGCTTGAAGAAATAGTCTTTCAGAAATCGGTACTAAAGAGATAGTTAAGTCCGAATCCTATCTTTGGTTGAATTTCACAACCTGAAAGAACTTCACAAACTCTAAAACAACATAACAATGTGACCCAAATAAGTGTCAGAGTTGCTGGTGTGAAGAGTCAGTTTAAGGACTCCTGACACTGGGCCTGGGCTGCCTTCATCCTGTTACTTTGTCTATGGGACAGTTAATGTATTCTTCTGCTGTCATGTCACATGGCTTAGGTGGGGGAAGCTGGTATAGATGTGCCTTGAGTGGAAATATTTTTCTTATAGGGTAGATCTTATTTTAAGTATTTAGAGGCATTTGTTATTTAGCAGAGCTCTGCAGTCAAACTTTTACATAGCAAAGAAACACTCGAAACACTCTCTAAATTGTCTGCCAACTTAATTTATTTTCCACTATAGCAATATAAAACTGGATTGGGTTTTTTTATTACCAACAGACTTGGTTATCTCACTCATACAAGTAAGCTGAAGCTAAACAGACCGACTGTTCCTATTCTCCTCTGCCACTTATGATCTCAGGCAACTCTCTTACCTCTCTCATTTTTTATCTTTTTAAATAAAATTGGGTTTAGGACTATCTGCTTGTCTACACCCTCAGCAATGCTGGGGAGATCAAGTGGGAAAATGTATGTGAAAACAGTCTGTAATAATAACAATTATGACAACAGGAATAATAGCTAACACTCATTCAGCATTTATTATGTGTCAGGCACAGCTTTGCATAAATTAACTCATTTAATTCTTACAAAAATACTAAGATGCAGGTATTGTTATTATTCCCATTTTACAGACAGAAAACGAAGGCACAGAGGCTAAGTAACTCACACAAGTCACAAAGCTAGTAAGTAAAGAAGCTGGAATAAATGACCATGTGCTACCTATACCCTGAGGACAGTGATAATAAACCTTTTGCTTACAGAGACTACAAAAGATAAAATAAGTATCACAGGAAAATTAAATAATCATCATTTTATAGATGAGGCAATTGAGGTTCAGCAAGGTTTCACAGTTTGCCTAATTATATTTTCAGAGTATCTAAATTTAGAATATATTTAAACTATGTCTGAAGTGCTCTGTTTTCAAATTAAGGACAGTAGAGCAAATCTTTTGAAAACAGATTCAATGGTCAATTTTAAATTCTAGTGGCCTAACCAGCTATTATACTGGGAAATTATAGATTAAATATGCCTGGACATTCATAAGAATAAGGGCTTAAGAAATATTAGCTACTATCCCTATAAATGTCCCAATGCCTAGATCAGAGTCCCAAAGCACATCAAGAGTTCTAGACAAGATAGTACAGTTCTTTTTGAAAGGGTGAATGAGCAATTATAGTCTCTGGATTTGGAGAGTAATAAAAAAGTGGAGTCTCAAGTGTGAACTTTTTGTTTTCATTTTCCCTAAATGACCTATTTTTTTAAAAACTCTATAAATTCACATCCTAATCAAGATAAAATTTTCAGAAATAGATTTTAATTCATTCCTTTTCACTGAATGCACAGTGGTACTTAATAATACCAAAAATCCAGTTAGAAAGGAGAAGGTAAGTTTAACCCACCTACTAATGAAACAACACCTTTAAAAAGAAGGCATAATCCCTGTGGGCCAGCTGTGTGCCAGGCACTCACAGGCCAGCAAGTGCAAACAGCAAGGCTTGACTCTGAGTGAAACGGAACCGGGTCAAATCTGGCTCTTCCTCTACTAGCTGGGTGGCCTCAGGCAAAGTTACTTCATTTCTTTGACTCTATCAGGAGCCTCTGAACACACAGCTGACCTTCTAGCATGGAATCACTGGAATCCAGGCCAACTGCTGTCCCCTATGGGGTTTGGTGGGATTTATCATCTTGTTTCAAGGCCTACTTCACAAGACCCCAGAGATACTTTTTGGAGTCTTTCAAGATCAGACTGGCCAATCTACATGGCTATAAGAGACACATCATGGGAATTTAGTAGATTAAAAAGGGCCCTATTTGGCATTGAACCAAATGAGTATCAAGAGTCTAGCTGAGCCAAGATTCCCTTAATAACAAATGTATATGATATCCTATCAGAACAGTGCAGGTCTTCTCTATCTCATTGAACACCCACAACCTTCTCAAAGCTAGGCCCACTAACCTCCACTACCTGCTCTCTCCGGGGACACACCAGAGTTGAACACTAAGGACGGAGAGATGCATTCTTATCTGTGGACAGACAGGCTGTGATTTGAAAGTACTATAAGGTACACCTGGCTGACTGGAGTCTGGGTGGGCAGTTGAGGTTGTATTTCACATGAACTCATAACCCACATGGCTCCCTATGCAGCTTAAACCATGAAACATGGAGCACGTGCATGTTCCAACCATTTCCTACAGTGGCCTAGCTTTCACCCAATTCACTGTGCCTGCTGTCCAATCTATAATTCAGCTAACAGGGCCTTTGGGCTTAAGGCTGCTAAAGACAGGTTACCACTGAGCATTAGAGCTCTGGGAAAAACAAGCTCCTCTACTGAGATGTTGAATGTAACACCACCGCAGTATCTGTAGAATGAACTTCCCAAGACTTCAGATTTCTTATTTATACAGACTTCTGTGACTACAGCCTCCACTGCAACTTCAGTCTACAAAACATGGCTAACGAAGTGCTTTCGAGCTTGGGAGTTAAATTGCTCCTGAGAGTATGTCAGGAGCAAAGCTGAAAATGGTGATAACTTGGGGACAAAATATATATGTAATATTGGGATCACAATTTATTAGGAATTAATAAGCACTTGTATATCATATCCTTCTTGCCTAGCATTTATATAGGCTTAAAAAAATGGTAGCTAGTGTGATAATAATCCTTGCAGATCTCCTAGAGAACAGGCATGATCACCTTCAGCTAGCACTGTTGGTTGCTCACCTGTCATCTATTGGGAGAAAGCATTCTCCCTGTTTACAAGTAAGGAAACCAAAACAAGGAGGTTAGAGAACTTACCTAAGATTGCCTACTACATGCAGAGTAAAGTAAGGATCCAGATGGAGGCAGTTCAACTCTGGAATTTGGGCTATTAATCACTGTACCCTTCCATCTCTTCTGTTTATGTGAGGAGACTGAAATCTACAGACATAGAACTTCTCTGCTGTCATGCTGTTACCTGGATTGTACACAGAAGTCCAAATTACAGCTACATCCCCGTTTAAACAGTAAGCCGTTTCTAAATCTGAATCCTGAGGACTTTCGAGCAGCCAGAAGGGTTTTCAGACATTATGACATGCAGCAAGAAAGTACACAGAGAGAATTTTTTTAGATGAAAAGCCCCATCCAACAGTGGCTGATAACATTTTCTGTTCTCTGATAACCCCCTTGCTACTAGAGCAGCTGAAGATGACTCCAAATGCATGAATCTGTTCATCTGTTCACATGCTAAAAGAAAAAGGCCTGGCAGTTCATGATTAAAGAGGCACGAAAGTCCCCAGATCACAAATGCCCTTTCAAAAATTTTCCACATTTGTTCTAGTTTCAAGCCATGATAAAGAGTTTCCAATCAAATGCATCAGCTAAAATGAATCCATTTTCTGAAACAGAAGTGGCTAGTTTGGGTCCAGCACTTATAACGAAAGGTTCCTGGTGTCACAGACCATGAAATAAGACTGTTTGAAGTTGTTCCCATGGAGAATCCCAGAGGACTTTAAAACTTCTGAGCAGGAAGATCCTTGACCCTTGCCCAACTCCTTTCCACTTAACAGCGATGCAACTGAGCTGAAGAGACTTGTCCAAAGCCACTGAGCAGGTTAGTTAGTGGCAGGGCTAAAATCTGTAATGAGGGGTTGGTCATGCGCAGGTTGCAAACAGCCTTGTCCAAGGATTCACACTTGGAGTAGATACATTGCACCCTCACTTTTGACTAGGCCTAACTTCTGGTACAAACCTGTGGAGTCAAAATCTGATTTTAAATATTGTAAAAAACAAAAACAAACAACCTCTCATTTTTCAGATCTCTCAATGAAAACTTTAGGGCCAAATCAAGAAATCATAAGGCTATCATAGGCCCTTACATAAAAATGGCCTTAAAATATACACACAACCTCCTTTTCATAGAAGACAGAGAGCCAGAGAGATAGAAATACAGAAAGAGAGGGAGAAAGAATACTTTGCCCCTGACATATACACACAAAAGTACTTGGCTTACTGTAAGCAAAAAGCAAAAAAAAAAAAAAAAAAAAACAAAACAAAAACCCTCAAACTCCTTTGTCTTAAGGGCAGAGAGAAAGGTGACAAAATTTGAAATAAAGTGAGCCACTGAAGACAGGAATGGGCAAACTCCAGCTAGCCTGGAACTATCCCGGTTTCCTCTGTGAACCAGCCTAGGGGCTTCCCCTCGGTCCGCCCCTGCACGGAAGGACGTGCGTGACACTGGGCTGCGTCATTGGCAGAACTGCCCGCGCCCAGAAAACGAGCTGGAGTGGAGAACAGAATGCAATTGCAGACAATCTTCCTCTGGTTCCCTGGGGAGGCCTGCTCTGGGCAGAGAGATCCCAGGGGACTGTGCGGGAAGGAGCTAAAGCAATAGCCCAAAAGCGCCAGGGAATGCACTTGAAGTTTCAGACGTTTTTCTTTTCTTTGAAACTAAGTTTCCAGCCCACCAGGAAAAACTGCCTCGCGACCTAGTGATTTTAATCTCACGCTTGGCCGCAAGCCGCTGCCTCGAGACTGGAAACCGGCCGCGAGGCGCTCTATCCCCCTGACCCCCTCCCCCCGCGCTCACCTGCGATATCCCAGAGCTGCAGGCGCACCACAGTCTCCGGGTCCCAGTGGAGCACCTTGAGCGCGAAGTCCACGCCGATTGTGGCCCGGTAGTGCGAAGAGAAGTTCTGGTGCACGTAGCGCTTGATGATACTGGTCTTCCCCACGCCCAGGTCGCCAATCACCAGCAACTTGTACAGGTGCTCCTTGTGCGGGGCCTGCATCCTGGCGGCCGGCCAGACGTGCCGTGCCTGACCAGGGAAGCGCAGCCTGGGCTCTGCGCACGAGAGAGACTTGGGGAGCGCAAGTGTAGGTGCAGAGAGAGGCGTGGGCGGCGGGGCGGGGGCTGGGGGGCGGAACTCCTCCCCTAGGGGTTAATCCTCCTTCCTACTCCGCGGTCTTGGAGAGGGGAGGAGACAGGAGCGAGTCCCGGGACTGGCAGCTGAAAGGGGTTCGCGTGTGGTTGCCTGTTGCAGCGCTTATTTATCCGGCGCTTTAGAGTTTCCGAAGAGCTGTTTTCACCTGTGACCCTGGCCACAAACTTGTGAGGTGTGGATCTTATTTTCCACGTTTTGCTTGCGAGAAAACTGATTGTGAAAAAGTACTCTGCGGGAGATGGCCGGTGAAAGGCCCCGTTGACCACAGGTCTGAAGTCACAGGCTCTTAACTACCCCACACTGTAGAGAGAAATTACAGTATTAGGAAGCCCAAGACTGGCTGGGCTTGGTTCCTGCGTGCCCTGGTTTTTAAGTTGAGGGACCATAAGTAAGTCATTTGAGCTCTCACAGCCTGTTATTTCTCAATGAATGGCAATGCTGACCTCTGAGCAGCTTGGAGGTGGGAACACTGAGCACTTTCACACCCATTCAACTGGTAATCAGTTAACAAGGAGGACAACTGGGCCGAAAATGCCAAGGGCACTGGTGACTTTTAGCCTCTTCCCATATCCTAAAAACTCAGAGCTGCACAGAAAGACAGTTTTAACAATCGGTCAGATTATTACAAATAATAATAATGGCAAACATTTATTGAGCACTCGCTATATGCCAGAGGGTTTATAAATTATGTCATTTAGTCATCCCAGCTGTCTTAATAATAGATACCATTTTTCTTCCTATTTTACAAATGAGGAAGCTAAGGACCAGACATTTTAAGTAATGGACCCAGAGTCAAATAGTAAGGAAAAAAACCAAATTCAAACATAGGTCTTTAGGTTCCCAACTTCTTTTTGTTGTTTTTGTTGTTTGTTTTCATTCATTTGACCAATATACATTTTATTACCAATTAATATATGACAAATTGTACTTATTTTGTCTTGTCTGTCTCCACCTACAAGAAGGTAAATTTTTTTGAGGCCAGTAGGCATTGTCTGCGTTAGGATTTCTGTATCATCCTCCTAACGCAGACAATGCCTACTGGCCTAAGAAAAATTTACCTTCTTGTGGGTGGAGACAGGACAAGACAAAATAAATACAATTTGTCATATATTAATTGGTAATAAAATAAGGCAGAAAGGGGATGTGAAGAGATTATATGGGGTTTGCCTTTTAGATAGGGTGGCCAGGGAAGGTTTCAGTAAGATGGAGACAATTTAGTAAAGACATAAAGAAAATGAGAAATTGGGCATTCAGGGCTAGGGGGTGAGCAGTTTATACCAAAATGAGCTATTTTGTACCTGAATGTGCTGTGAAGGAGCTCTGCTCACATTCTATCATTTCATCTTCTCAATTGCTTTATGAAGTGGGTTATTTTCTTCAATTTATAAATAAGGAAACCAAGATTAACAGCAGCTTTCTCAAGGGCACACATAACTAGTATGTGTTAGAACTAGGACTTAAACACAGGCCTGTGTGAAAGGGAGAAAGGAGGTTTGGCAAGGCCATTGTCTTTCTGCCTTCCTCTTCTGGCCTGACACTCCCTAAACTTTAGCCTCCACATGCCCCAAACAAGCAGAGGGATGCTGAAGATGTGTACCCGGGACAAGTCACATAACCTCTGAGCCTTGGTTTCCACATCAACGAAAGGAGAATGATAATACCTATGGCAGGGCATGGTTGCTCATGATTGTAATCCAAGCACTTTGGGAGGCTGAGGTGGGTGAATCACTTGAGGTCAGGAGTTCAAGACCAGCCTGGCCAACATGGTGAAACCCGTCTCTACTAAAAATACAAAAATTAGCCGGGCGTGGTGGCAGGTGACTATAATCCCAGCTACTTGAGAGGCTGAGACAGGAGACTATCTTGAACCAGGGATGCAGAGGTTGCAGTGAGCCAAGATCACACCATTGCTCTCCAGCCTGGGTAACCTGAGCAAGACTCTATCTCTAAATAAATAAATAAATAAATAAATAAATAAATACAAATGAAATTGTTGATAAAATGCTGGGTCCATAGTAGGTGGTAAATAAATTGTAGCTATTACTATGAAATGAGGGACAAGCTTAAAATACTGTCCACAGGCACTGTCCTGTGCAGTTTCATCTTTCCTCAGAGAGTAACTCAGAAGTTTTGCTCAGAATGGACACTAAGTGACAGTGTGTAGAATTGCAGTCGTTTGTGTTTTATTGAAGTGCTTAGCTGGGTAGGCCTCATTTACTGGTTTCCACCCATGCGAGGACACACCAAGAAGATCACATCTAACAAGTGAGACAAATACTCTACCTGCTTAAAGAATTAGCCAACAATGTCACCTCACTTCCCAGGGAGGGGAATTCAGTAGCCCAAGATGCTTAAGCCATTCTAAATGCCTGCAAAATTAGGGAGGATGACAAAATGAGACCTTTGCCAGCTCTAAAATCCTGGGTCTGTAAATCTGAGAGACAGGCTTTGTCTGGCCAACAAGCTCCTGGGGTAGAAACAAGGTAGGAGTTTGAGACATCTTGTGGGCCAGCCTTCAAAATTATACCCAACCCAACTTTCTTACCAGCCCCGTACTGTTTTCCCAAGCCTGGTCCCGGCAGAGTCATCCTCACCCTTATCTGTTCTCTTTTGAGCAAGAGCATATTGGAACATCAGACATTTGGATTTATGAGGTAGGACAGGCAGGGCAAAGTTCAGGATTTCTGGTCCTGAAGCTGATAAAATTGGAGGAAGTAGCTTTTTGAGCAAAAGAATGCAAAATCAAAAATATATAATTAGGTCTAGGGCCTTGGAAGGGGTCCTGAAGCTTCAGTTTTATTGCCTCTCTGGGGGTAGGAGATTCCTCTCTCAGGGACAGCAGCCAACCATGGTGAGCAAGTTCCTTGGCCAGGCAGGAAGTATGTGCAGTTTTGTTTCCAGCCGTACTCATTTAGGTCTCATGATCATTCTTCACAGTGGGAAGAAATTACTCTCGGTTTATATTTTTAAGACTTTTAGATTACAGTAGCTTGGTAAGCACCCCAGCCTAGCAGTTCAGTAAAATCTTCGTAAAAGGCGCCTAGGTCTCTGAACCTGAAAGTCCCTTGGGTAAAATGAGGGAGTTAGGTTGCAAGATCTCTGGAAAGTCCTTTGGACTCTAAAATATCAGAATTCTGGGTCTTCTAGACATTGTCTAGTAGGAGTGACACCCTAGCTGATTCTAGTCACCCCACAAGAGCACCACTGCCAAAGAGGTGATGTTTTCTCTCCTCTTTTAGGTTTGGAAGAAAGGCCATCTCAAAGCAAACATGATGCCATAGTTCTCCTCTGGTTTCATGGTGCTATTCTTTCCTCTGCTGCTGTACATTTTCCCACAAGACAAAGGCAATCCAAGAACATTCTTTTTGGAGGACAAACCTTCATGTACTCCCCTTCCTTGCTTTGAACTTATTTTCTACACTCAGAACTAGGCTGCAGACAGGGAGCCAGGTAGCCAGGGACAAACTATAAACTGGATCAAGCCAGACAGTGAATAGATGGAAAGGATATTATCAAGCAGCTAGACCATTCTTGCCTCCTCTTTCATTCAACCCTGTCCCCTGCAATTATGATGCTTCTTCAGAACCTATCTTCCCCAACCTGAACATATACCTGTCAAGATGGCTTAGGATTATCAGGAGGATCTCAGCTTTTTCTGACACAAAAGATCCAGTGCTTCCTCCCCATGGAGAGAACAGCTGTGCCATTCGTCCCCCTCCCAGCAGCCACACTGCACCATGGAAACCTGTTCTCCACAGTAATTCTCAAAACATCTCTGGTGATGTTTTGACAAGCTTACTACCCTCAAATTGCTAAACCACAGCACATCTTCTCACCAAGGTCGGGAAGGCTGATGACTCAAGTTTGTAAAAGGTGTGTGAGACCACAAAGTGCTCAGAATTCAAGCCAAGAATGATATCCCAGAAGGCACAGCATTAGGTTTCTCTTAGTCTCCATTCCCTTTCTGTCCAATGTGGGTACTTAGTCTTATGAAATGGAAAAACTACAATGATTGCAAATTGCTTTGCAAATGTAAACTTGAAGGGACAAACCCTCATGTTTTCCTCCTAGAGCTGCTGTGTTTGGTGAGCCCCTGTGAAGTCACATTATTTGCTTTTGCCATTAAGAGAGCCATGGGGAGTTATTCATTAGCTTATGTGAGCTTTTAATTATTGCTCTGAAGAAATATGTAAATGACTGCAAGATGGGGTCCCAAGGGCTCTGTTATAGAAAAGGTAATCTAATTTTTCTTAGATTAATACAAGAAATATATCTTACAACAGATGAATTTTACTCTGCAAAAGGCCTGGAAGAAATGACCATATATTTTATCATTCAAACTATGACTCTTGAGAGTGAAAGGGGGCACTATGAATAATTACACCAAACAACAGGAACAAGCCAGGACTTTCCTAAAGAATATTCATTCCTAAAGAAGAGGGAGAAGTTGAGGCTCTCAAATGAGATCTACAGCTATAGGGGCTTTGGAAAATTCTCCTAAACCACAATTTTAATAAATAGGTCTGCCAAGTTAAAGTTGCAGCTTATTTCTTTCTTGTCTTCAAAAAGTTCTCTCTTTACCCACTAGGCTTGTCTGAAACCTGTGCTAACTTGCAATTTGAGTCATCTAGTATTGATTCAGGATTGCAGCAGATGTCTAGAAGTAGGAAGCAACTTTTGGGTTATTTGGAGAGAGGCCAAGATGGATTCTGTATGGGATGTTCTTGAAATAAATACTCTTCAGTCTATGAGAAATTTCTGGCTAGATTTTTTTCCAGAAAAAAAAAGACTACAATAGGATATTTACGGGTTATCATGAGAAACTGATTGTAAGTGCATTTTTTAACCCACCAGTAGTATGAATCAAGAAAACCAGAGTATGACCTAAACCATTTTCAGCAGTGTATTTATCACCAACTAAAATTATGTGCCTTAGCTGTGCCAGACAGGCATGGCTGAATCGGGGTGTATTTTTCTACTAACACATCTAACATGGATGAGTGGAAATAAGCTATGGAATGGCCGAAAGGCAAGCATCTGAGAACATGGAGAAAAATGATTCTGTATGTACTAGAATTTCAACTTCCTTATCCTGGGAACCTACAATGAGCTAAGCCCTTTATCTTGGTAAGTTTATTTGATCTTCACGACCACTCTGTAGCAAGTATCTTCACTTTATAATGAGGGAAATAGGGCTCAAAGAATTTAAATAATTTTTCCAAAGTCACAGATATGGAGTGACAGCATGAGAATCGTAACCAGTAATTCCTAAATCTGTGCTTTTTCTACTATACCACACTCCTTTAGCATGTGATAAATTCCAGGTCCAGGCTTCTACTGTAGCTTTGTTTCTGCTATGCTACTAAATATTCAGGCTATAAAGAAAAGAGATTGATTCTATTTCCATTTGATAAAGTCTTAACTATGCAGGGAAACAGCCAATAAAGGAAGAAAAGAAAAATCTATGATTCAAAGATAAAAGGATATATCCCATAATCTCTCACCAACTCGGGCAGAAAGTCAACACAAGTAAAAGTGGCATGCTGTGCATTTGTGGGGAGAGGTCTGACCCAGTGCACATAGAGAGCATATACAAGGAATCTACTTCTGTTGCTCTCAGAGAAGGCGATAGGATAGTACTGAGGCTGTACAGTGAATGAACCCCTATTCCATAATGGGTGATGACAGAGAGACTGGTAGGGTCTAGCTCAGAAGGTTAACGCAAGAAAATTACTGACAGACCATCACAGCATAAACGAAGAAATATTTATGTACAAAGCATTGTAACAGAGTTTTTTGAGGATCAGGGTCAGAAGAAAGGTCTCACGTTTATCTCAAAGAGTGTATAAGATATAAGTCCCTGCCATCAAAAATGCTTCCATTCTGGTTAAAGCATCAGCATGTATACACATGACCTTCTGCCTTCCACTCTGACCTTCTTAGACTCCTTCACAACTTCCCTTCTTTTCTGCCCATCCACTAAAGTTTGCTATTCTTCATCCTTGGGACTCTGACTTTCCCTGCTTGAGCTCATCTACTCCTGTGACAATAGAGCAAATGGGGTTAGGAACTCTGGAATCAGGTGAGCTTACCTGATTTCACATTCAAGTTCTACCACTACCCAGTCATAAGAACTTTGTAAAGTAGTTTAACTTTTGCAAGCTTGTCCCTTCATGTATAAAATGAGGATAATAATTTTAACCTCCTATTTTTTTTTTGAGAAGACCAAATAAAATTCTGTGAAGTGCTTAGCATAGTGCTTGGCCCAGGATATGCACTGAAAAGAACATGTTGTTAAACTATCAAATGTCTGCTGATGATTTCTATATCTGTATTTAAAACACAACCTTACTCCTGCATTCCATAAACTTGTTCCAACTGCCCGTTGGGCATTTCTACCAGGCTTTCTGGCAGACAGTTTAAATGCAACATGTGCAAAACTGAACTCATTATCTACCCTAACAGACTTGTTCCCTTTCCTGTATTCCTGGTTTTTGGTCAGTGGTTCCACCCTCACCAAAGTCTACCAAGCTCAAAAACTCAGTCACTCTTGATTCCTCTCTCTTTGTTACCCATCTCAGACAAATTCCTGACAGCATTTCCACTACTTCACAAAATTACTATTATAACAAAAAGGTGAATATTTATGCATTATTATTGTGGAGAAAGGACCTTTGAATATTATGTGAAAGGCAGAAATAATAAAAGGAAAAAAAAAAAACTAAACGTGTAGACATTAACAATTACCAGAAGCAAGAAAAATGATACTTTCAGAATGAGAAAAATTTTACAACATTTAAGACAGGCAAAAGGAAATATACCTTATATTAAATTGTTCTAATAATTTTTTAAACACTAAATTAGATAAAGATATAAATAAGCAATTGACCACACAAGACAAACAAAAAGCCAATAATGTGAAAAGTGTATTTTTCACTAGGATAGTAATAAAAGTATGAAAATTAAGCAATAATGTAATACCATTTTTTACTTTTTAAATTGACAAATATATTTTAGTACTAAAAATATCCAATTTTGATGAGAATGTAAAAAATGGATACTATCATATGATCCTGTGGTGGGACTAACATAAGAAAAAGTTGTTAAAGGGAAATGTGGTTATATGTATCAAAAACCTTAAAATGCATGTGCCCTTTGTTAATTCCATTTTTAGGAATTTATGGTAAGGAAATCACTAAAGATGTATGTGACGATTTAGCTTTAAGAATTCCGATTGCAGTGTTGCTTATAAAAACAAAAATTCACAACTCCCTAAATACACATGAGGTTAAATATTGTAATGGTATACGTATGTGCTGGCACATTATACAGCCTTTATAAACAATGTTGAAGAAAATATTGCAGCTGGAAAAATGTTCACAATTTTTTTCATAACATTTTTAAATGGGAGGTCAACAAATCACAAAAAGTTAGAGTCCCCAATTTAGCATAAAATACATAATTTCCATTTTACACAAACATGCACACATTGTCGATGGAAAAAAGGTACAGAAAATTATGTACCCACATATTAGAGTTTATCTCTGGATAGTGAGATTATTGCTTCTTTTTTATATATTTTCCTGCTTTTCTATATTCATTTCATTTTTATGGAAATGTTATTGATATCAAAAGAAGAAAACAAAGTTAAAGTCAAATGTGTACTGAATAGGTCTTGGATGAGGATTTCCAGTGGCTCCTGTTCCAGGTTTCAGCATTCAGTGTGTAGAGACAATGAAGTTTCCTGTCTGGCCACCAAGTGCTGGGTGTTTTAGGTTTCAGTATTTTTCTAGCCAACCTTTCTCATTCTGATCACACTAATCTTATCAGCGCTGAGAGGTGTGCCCTCCTAAGGGAACCAACGCACTATTTCATGGGTGGCATGATCAGGCTGATACTCCAAAACCAGTTAGACAAGGTACTCACGCTGTCCTGGAGTGTCTCTGCCATAGTAGCCCTGGCTTAGCTCATGAAGACAAGCTCCATGTGCCTGAAAGGGAATTGACTGTCTCTTCCCAATTTGGATTGAAATTCCCACCAGGGTCACCAATATCCAAACCTTGATATCATCTTCACTTCTTTTCTGCTTGTGCCCTACTTTTCCATTTCAACACCAACTTGCAAATTCTTCTCTCCGGTGTCTCTTTCATTCATGCTGTCATTTCAGTCCCTCTTAATATCTCATCAAGTAGTTGTTCCCTAAGGACATCTTCCTGATTCAGTTTCCCCTGCTTTTTCCTATCCCTTACCACTCTCAGATCAATCTTCAAAAATAAATTACTACAAGCTGGGCATGTTGGCATCTGCCTGTAGTCCCAACTACTGGGAGGCTGAAGTGGGAGGTTCACTTTAGCCCAGGAGTTCAAGTCCAGACTGGGCAACATAGCAAGACCCTGCCTCTAAAAAGTAAAATAAAATAAAGTTACTACTGCAATAGGACACTCACTCCTCTTATCCCAACCTCTGAACTTATGTGTGAGAGGAATACATTGTTTGGTTTAACCTTTGGATGAGTTGGGTTTTCTGTTTATGCAGCCAAACCAAACCTTAAATGATAAATCTCCTTGAGTCTGAAAGAAGTCATGTCTCTGCTTAGCATGCATATATAATAGCAGTTTATATGTATGCCATTTCACCATTCTACCTCTCCCCAACATTCTTTTTGTAGATTTTGTTGCCCTCCTCTTTGACTCTGCCCATGAAATCAGAAGCATATACCCTACCAGCACAAGGTGCAGCCTGCTCCATGATACTGGCATGCTCAAGAAATGGTCCATACTTGTTTATGCCAGGCTGTATTTAATGTCTTGACTACTACAGGCACTCAGTAAGTCTTTTAATGACAATGAAAAATATGAATCATGCAAGACCATGTCTTATGTTATTGGCAACAATTTTGAGCCTGAAATGCAGTAAGCTACCTGGCATTTTGTTTTATTTATTTTATTTTATTTTTTTATAAGAGGCTTGAACTTTGCTACTGGCATCCATAAAAAGCAATGGGAAGATGAGTGCACAAAGACTGCTAGTGTGGAAGTTATTGGGCTGCATTCCCTTACTGACTCTGCCACTAATTTCAGAGTCAGCCTGATCCCTTTACTTCATACACCCTTTTAACCTCCTTTGAGTATCTTCTCTAAATTGATAGCACCTTCTCAAAAACAACCAGGTCATATGCATGAAGGGTCTTAAAGATAGGCATAATTATCCAACAACTAGTAAGTACCCTTTAAACAGTTGTTCCTCTTCTAAAAATCTGTCCCAAATAAATAATCAGGCAGTCTTTCCAAGATTTATGCACAAGATATTTAATGCAGCATTATTTTTAGTAGCAACCTAAATATTTTTCAATAGAAACTGGCTAAATAGACAATGTCATATCCATAAAATTTAATATTTTATAGCCATTAAACATCATGTTTATGAAGAATATTAATGGAATGAATATTCATGCTATTGTATTATTTGGAAAAAAGCTAAATATAAAATTACATATATATGTCATACATATATCAATTATCCAGATTTTATAAATATATGTACATGATTATACATATAACTAGAACAAACATTTTTCTTCTTTATACTTTTCTAAATTATCTAGGATATATATGGATTGGTTTTAAAATCAATGAAATTAATATGTAATTATCTTGAAAATCTTTAAGGATTTACTATTTATTTTTTATTTATTCTTGAAATTTTGAAATTTTACAGTTAACACATCTTGGTTTAAGTCACCAAGCGGTCTCTTTCATCTGGACACAGATGCTTTTCATTTATCAGAAGCATTCTTGCATTATTTCTTTGATAATTTTCTCTCTCTTTTTATTTGTTCTCAATCTCTCAAAATTTTTTTTTTTTTTTTTTTTTTTTTTTTTTTTTTGAGACGGAGTCTCGTTCTGTCGCCCAGGCGGGAGTGCTGTGGCGCGATCTCCGCTCACTGCAAGCTCCGCCTTCCGGGTTCACGCCATTCTCCTGCCTCAGCCTCCCGAGTAGCTGGGACTACAGGCGCCCGCCACTGCGCCCGGCTAATTTTTTGTATTTTTTTAGTAGAGACGGGGTTTCACCGTGGTCTCGATCTCCTGACCTCGTGATCCGCCCGCCTCGGCCTCCCAAAGTGCTGGGATTACAGGCGTGAGCCACCGCGCCCGGCCAATCTCTCAAAATTTTAAAGTCTAACGCGAGGACACCATTAAGACTTTTTAAACAATGTTTCATTCTTTTTGTCTCTGTATTCTACTTTCTGGAAGACTTGCTCAACTTGGTTTACAAAGTCTTTCATTGAAAACTTTTAATTAGCAACTTGATTTTGAAGAGATACTTAGATCTATTTATCTACTTTTTAAAAAGTGCTAGGTTCCCAAAACATAAATATACAGCTTAATCAATTAAACTTTCTTTATCAATTTTTGATAATAATGTCACAGCAGCTTCCTAGAAAAACTATTGGAAAATGTATACCCCCAGGGCCCTGATGTGATTTAGCTGTGTCCCCACACAAATCTCATCTTAAATTCCCACATGTTGTTGTAGGGAGCTAGTCAGAGGTAATTGAATAATGGGGGTAGATCTTTCTTGTACTATTCTTGTGATAGTGAATTAGTCTCACAAGATCTGATGGTATTAAAAGGAGAGTTTCCTTATACAAGCTCTCTTGTCTTGTCTGCTGCCATGTGAGATGTGCCTTTCACCTTCCAACATGATTGTGAGGCCTCCCCAGCCATATGCAACTGTGAGTCCAATAAACCTCTTTCTTTTGTAAATGGCCCAGTCTCAGGTATGTCTTTATCAGCAGTGTGAAAACAGACTAACACACTAAATTGGTATGAGTAGAGTGGGGTGCTGCTGAAAAGATACCTGAAAATGTGGAAGTGACTTTGGAACTGAGCAAGGGGCAAAGGTTGGAACAGTTTGGAGGGCTCAGAAGAAGACAGGAAAATTTGGGAAACTTTAGAGCTTCCTAGAGATGGTTGAATGGCTTTTACCAAAAGCCTGATATCAATATGGACAATAAGGTTCAAGCTCAGGTGGTCTCAGATGGAGATGAGGAACTTGTTAGGAACTCGAGCAAAGGTGACTCTTGTTATGTTTTAGCAAAGAGACTGGCAGCATCTTGCCCCTTCCCTAGAGATTTTTGGAACTTTGAACTTGAGAGAGATGATTTAGGGTATCTGGCAAAAGAAATTTCTAAGCAGCAAAGCATTGAAGAGGTGACTTAGATGCTGTTAAAGGCATTAGGTTTTATAAGAGAAGCAGAGCATAAAAGTTTGGAAAATTTGCAGCCTAACAATGCGATAGAAAAGAAAAACCCATTTTCTGAGGAGAAATGCACAAAATATTTAATGCAGCATTATTTTTAGTAGCAACCTAAATATTTATCAATAGAAACTGGTTATCAATAGAAGCCGGCTGCATAAATTTGCATAAGTAATGAGGAGATGAGTATTAATCCCCAAGACAGTGGGGAAAATGTCTCCAGGGCATTTCAGAGGTCTTCATGGCAGCCCCCTCTATCCCTCTATCACAGGCCCAGAGGCCTTCTCTTGTCTGCCACCATGGGTGACGTGCCTTTCACTTTCCATCATGATTGTGAGGCCTCCCCAGCCATGTGGAACTGTGAGTTCAATAAACCTCTTTCTTTTATAAATTGCCCATTGTCAGATTTGTCTGTATCAGCAGTGTAAAAACACTAATACAGGCCCCCCACCTTCACCCACCATATAAGAAGTATTTAAATAGCACTGAAATTTTATGTTGCCTGTAGATTTGCAAGCTCTGACATATCTTAACCTCAACAATAACCTAGGTGTTTAGTGAAATAAATAATAGATGACCTATGGGAAGCAGGAATTCTTAAATTGTATTAATTTTGGAAGATCCTTTCAGTGAGCTGAGCTCAACTAGGGGCAACCTTGGAGGAAGGGAAAACTGGCTGTTTCTACCATTTTCCCCCAAGTCACCTAATGACTACCCTATATTTAGAACTTTAAGAAGAACTCAAAACAAAGATAGAAAATGCAGGCAAAGAGAAAAGATGAGAGATTTAGTTGTTGCTGTTGTTTGATTTTTTTTTCTTGTGAAAGAAAAATAAACTCTTAGTTCTGATCTATTAGACTCACGTCTACCAGTTAAAGGTGTTTGGCGATATTTTTATATTGATCAGAGTTTGTTTCCCAGATCTTTGCAAAACCATACAGATGATTGGTGCCTCCTCATTCCACCAGTTCACCTTGGAAAAGAGATACTTATAAAGACTGCTGGAATCAATCATCTTTCCCAAGCAAGGTATATTGTTGCACAAATTGGTCTATGTTAGAGGGAACAGAGACATAAGAAAAACCTGAGGACCCCTAGACATGGCTATTGGGCTGCTTGAGGTTGATAATCCCATGATAAATCCAAAAAGAGGCACCAATTCTTCCAACTTGCTTGGTACTATTAGTCTCAGGAATATCAGGGTTGTAGGCGTCGCAAACTCCAAGACCCATGGAACAAGTGTTTGCTGCTGATTTCACCTTTTATTTTTTTGAAAGTGTTTCAATCTGTCAGCCAGGCTGAAATGCAGTGGTATAATCATAGCTCACTGTAGCCCTGAACTCCTGGATACAAGTGGTCCTCCCACCTCAGCCTCCTGAATATGTGGGACTATAGCTGTGTGCCAACTTGCCCAGCAATTTTTTTTTTCTTTTTTGTAGAGACAGGGTCTTTCTGTATTGCCCAGGCTGGTCTTGAACTCCTGGCCTCAACTGATCTTTCTGCCTTGGCTTCCCAAATAGCTGGGATTATAAGCATGAGTCTCCATGCCCAAATGCTTTCTCCATTTAAGGCAAGGATACTTTGGCCAAAACTTTACTATTTACTGATTAAAGTTGAGTTCCTCCAAGGTAATCTAATCTGGGCATATGGTCTTCTTAAACACATTTTCAATATTCTTGGCAGTTCTGGAATAATGCCTGTGAGTCTCCAAGGCACATATTTGCCTTGCTGACATTAGAACCCTTGGGAATGCAATAGTTCAATTAGCGGGGTCACTCCTCAGTCACTCTGCAGTGTCTCAGTTTACTATACATTATGTATTGTTTCTAAAGGTAGTACAGTTTATTTATTCTCTTCCACTTAGAAAAATTGTACAATGCTAGGAACTTTTCTTGATCCATTTTGAAAGCAGTTCCTTTGGAGAATAACTGTCAAACAAGCATGCTCCTGAAACTTCCTTATCTCCACCCCCATTGGGGCCGTGGCCTCTTAGATTTATGGCCCAGACTCCCAGTTCTTGGTATGCAGATCTGGCATTCTTTGCTGTTGCTACAGACTCCTGAGGCTCAGCCTGAGAGATTAGACAGCCCCTTGCCCCCCGGAGAAATGGGCCAAATAAATAATAATTGAAGATGAAAGAGATTTTCACAGTTTCAACTAAGGCTAAGCAGATTACATTTATTCTACCCCTAATCACGGTGGTAGCTTTATTGCCACTTGGGTTCACAGTGAGGTCACAAGTCACTGGAAGTAAATATCGGCTTGGAAGAGTAAGAGTTATGTATCAACATGCATTGTCTGCTGTTTGTTAATTAGCTAGTGCTGCCTGGCATTTATTATACAGAAAAGTTAGCAGAACTAGAAAAAAAGAAGATTTGGAACACTGGGCTGACAAGCATGACTGAAAAGGCTATAATTATGGGTCTCAGCAAGGAAAATGATGGTCATATATGCAGAAAGTAGGAAACACTTGTAGCAGATCCCTGGGACACTGTATGCTGGGAGGCGAACTCTTAACTTTGCATTCATGGCTTTTCAAATCTTACTGAAAAATACAAATTATTGGGTCTAGTACAAGTTCTACAACTTATTTGAAGCGTGATCTTGAGCAGTCATTGATTCTCTCTGAGCTGCAGGCTCTTTAGCAGTAAAATTTGATGAATATTATCCACCCTCCGTAGTGGTGAAAATTACATCAGAAAAGGCTATAATTATGGGTCTCAGCAAGGAAAATGATGGTCATATATGCAGAAAGTAGGAAACACTTGTAGCAGATCCCTGGGACACTGTATGCTGGGAGGCGAACTCTTAACTTTGCATTCATGGCTTTTCAAATCTTACTGAAAAATACAAATTATTGGGTCTAGTACAAGTTCTACAACTTATTTGAAGCGTGATCTTGAGCAGTCATTGATTCTCTCTGAGCTGCAGGCTCTTTAGCAGTAAAATTTGATGAATATTATCCACCCTCCGTAGTGGTGAAAATTACATCAGATAAGTAACTGAGCAATTGTTAGGACATTGAAGACATCACTATAGAAAAGTTAAGTCACAATTTGTCACTATGCCTCTTTTCCCATGCTATAAGATTTTAAAAACTCTTCAGTAAGAGTAGACACTAATATTCTAAGACTAAACATAAGATTTACACTGTAAGACTAAAAGAACTCTATTACCCATGCTATAAAAATAAAGATTAAAATAATTCAATCTTCTCTGTGAAAGTATCAGTGAACATTGTCAACTAGAAGTGATTCCCCAGCCTCTCTGAAACTCTGTAGCACATGCTGTCTTGCATCAAGCAGACCTGAGTTTGAACTGTGGCTGTACTACTCACTACTGGTATGATCTTTGGGGAAGTTACTTAATGTGCCTCAGAGTTTTTTTGTGTACGTACCTAATATGTAATTCAAATCTATTCTTTTTTATTATCAAATAGTACCATTATTGCATTTATTTATGAAGAAACAGGCTGAGAGGCTAGGTTTCTTTTCTAAAGACATATAACATGTAAATACTTAAGTTGAAATTTGTATTTTATGATGCATGTACTATTTTTAATTCACAAATATTATATTATTATGTACAACACATTGTTTTGAAATATGTCTACACTGTGGAATGGCTAAATTGAGCTAATTAATATACACATTACTTCACATGCTTATCATTTTCTATGGTAAGAACACTTAAAAACCTACTCTTTTAGCAATTATCAAGAATATAATACATTGTTATTCACCGTAGTTACCATATTGTACAATAGATCTCTTGAACTTATTTAAATTGGAATTTAAACCCAGAACCATCTAGATCTGAGGTCATCATCCTTTCCATTAAGCAATGGTGCATAATCAAAAGTGCAAAGCACATAGTAGACATTTGGTAAGTGCAGGCATAATAAGCCTGTTGGCCCTGAAGTCAAAGTGCCTGGATTCATTCTTGCTTTGCCATTTGTTAGTTGTGTGACCATGAGCATGATTCTTAACCTCTCTGTGCCTCAGCTTCTGCCCCTATAAAATGGACATAAAAGTGGTACTACCTTATAGGGTTGTTCTGAGTACTGAGTTATTGTATATAGTCTACTAGAGTAAGTGCTTAAGAAATATGAACTATTATTGCTGAACAGCAACAATTTTCTGAACTTCTCTTCACCAGTCTGTAAGTATGTTACTGTCCACTTTATGAAGAAGCAAGATATAGCTGCAAAAAAGAAAATGATTTATTTTTAGAGTTATTAGTAAATCATAAGTGCTTTTGCCAATGCATACATAAAATTCTGAGTTTTCATTTACCACTCCGACAAAAGAGGGGATATTTTTTATCTTTTTTAGCATACATTCATGCAGATGCATTTTCAAGAAGTTTGGCAAATATAAAAAGTAGAAAAAATAGATCTCATAGTTTCGTCATCCAGCACAATCATAGCCAATTTTTTTGCATTTTATTCTGTTATTTATTTCTCTTGTAATGTATATGTAGATATGTAAGTACAGTTAAGACAATATTACATATGTAGGTATATTTCTTAGTTTTACTTGTTTATATAACGAAGATTTCTTTGGCTTCAAACATTATGAAATGCAGTTCATTCAGTCATGGTCCATTGTCCCTTTAAAGTATGTTTAAGATAAAGCTCAGCAAATTATCGTTTTTGATCCCAAATAGAGCTTTTTAAATATAACAGCACTAGAATCTTAATGGGAGTTTGTTCTTATTTTTAACACATTACATATGAAGTGATATATCACAGGAAACAGCATTTTAAGAAAATATCATTTCCTTTCTCAAACGATAATAAAAACATCCACTTTTTTTCCAAAATGAAATAGAAAGTAATAAAAATAATCTTCTTAAGCTATATACATTATGTTTTATGTATCTTGAGACTTTCTCCAAAGTGCAAATTTTAGAAAAAAATCATTGTGGTCTTTGAACATAATTTTTAGCATAAGCAAATTATCCACATCTAATTATACTTAGCACTTTTCATCTGGAGTGTGTCAAAGCAATTCACACAACTTAATAAAAACTTAGGTTTTTTAAATTAAAGATTTAATTTGAGGTGATATTCAGCAACAACAAAAAATTCTACCCCCACAAGGGGCCGGGTGCAGTGGCTCATGCCTGTAATCCCAGCACTTTGGGAGGCCAAGGTGGGCGGATCACGAGGTCAGGAGATCGAGACCATCCTGGCTAACACGATGAAACCCACGTCTCTACTAAAAATACAAAAAATTAGCTGGGTGTGGTGGCAGGCGCCTGCAGTCCCAGCTACTCGGGAGGCTGAGGCAGGAGAATGGCATGAACCCGGGAGGCGGAGCTTGCAGTGAGCCAAGATTGCACCACTGCACTCCAGCCTGGAAGACAGAGTGAGACTTCACCAAAAAAAAAAAAATTTCTATCCCCACAATTTTCTGTGAGACAGGATCTCATTCTGTCATCCAGGCTGGAGTGCAGTGGTGCAATCACTGCTCATTGCAGCCTCGACCATCTGGGATCAAGCAATCCTCCCACCTCAGCCACTCATGCATTTCATATGTAACGTGTTAAAAAATAAGAACAAAATCTCATGCTTGGAACTATAGGGATGCCGAAACCCGGCTAATTTTTTAACTTTTTGTAGGTACAGAGTCTCACTATGTTGCCCTCCAAATCCTGAGCTCAAGCAATCCTCCAGCCTCAACCTCCCAAAGTGCTGGGATTACAGGCATGGGCCACTGTGCCTGGCCAAATTCTTTATAAGATACTATTAGGTTGGTGCAACAGTAGTTGTGGTTTTTGCCATTGAAAGTAATGGCAAAAAACTGCAATTACTGTTGCACCAACTTAATACATATGATAATGTATAATTATAGACTCAATTTTTATTTTAATTCTCTGTGTGTTCCATTGACATTTATTTATTTATTTATTTATTTATTTATTTATTTATTTATATTTCTAACTTAATTCTAGGTTTAGGAGTACACTTGTAGGTTTGTAATGTAGGTAAATTGCGTGTCATGAAGGTTTGATGTGCAGATTATTTTGTCACCCAGATAATAAGCATAGTACCTGATAGGTAGTTTTCTGATCTTCATCCTCCCCCCAACCCTCCACCCTCAGGTAAGCCTCAGTGTCTATTGTTCCCTTATTTGTGTCCCTGTGTACTCAATGTTTATTACCCCACTTAAAAGTGAGAACACATGCTATTTGGTTTTCTGTTCCTGCATTAAATCACTGAGGATCATGGCCTCTAGCTACATTCCTGTTGCTGTAAAAGACATGATTTTATTCTTTTCTATAGCTGCATAGTATTCCATGGTGTATATGTACCACATCTTCTTTATCCACTCTTCTGTTAGTGAGCATTTAGATTTATTCTGTGTCTTTGTTTTTGTCAATAGTGCTGTTAGGAGCATACACCTGCATGTGTGTTTATGGTAGGACAATTTATACTCCTTTGTGTATGTACCAAATAATGGGATTGCTGGGTCAAATGAGAGTTCTATTTTAAGTTCTTCAAGAAATTGCCAAACTGTTTTCCACAATGGCTAAACTAATTTACATTCCCACCAGCAGTGTATGTGTGTCCTTTTCTCCACAGCCTCAAAAGCATCTGTTATTTTTTGACTTTTGATTAATAGCTATTCTGACAGGTGTGACTTTGTAGCTCACTGTGGTTTTGATTTTCCTTTCTCTAATGATTAGTGATGTGGAACATCTTCTCATATGCTTGTTGGCCATGTGTATGTTGTCTTTTGAAATGTGTCTGTTCATGTCCTTTACCAATGTTTTAATGAGATTGTTTGTGTTTTGCTTGTTAATTTGTTTTTGTTCCTTATAGATTCTGGTTATTAGACCTTTGTGGGTTGCATAATTTGACAATTTTTCTTTCCATTCTGTAGGTTGTCTGTTTACTCTGTTGATAATTTCTTTTGCTGTGCAGAAGCTCTTTAGTTTAATTAGGTCCCATTTGTCAATTTTTGTTTTTGTTACAATTGCTTTTGGCATCTTCAGCATGAAATCTTTGCCAAGACCTATGTCCAGAATACTATTTTCTAGGTTATCTTTCAGGGTTTTTACATGCTTAGGTTTTATATTTATATCTTTAATCCATCTTGAGTTGATTTTTTTATATATTGTAAGGAAGAGGTCCAGTTTTAATCTTCTGCATATGGCTAGCCAGTTATTCCAGCATCATTTATCGAATAGAGATTCATTTCCCCCATTGCTCATTTTGGTCAACTTTGTAGACGATTAGATGATGTAGGTATGTGGCTTTATTTCTGGGCTCTCTATTCTGTCAGATCTATGTGTCTGTGTTTGTGCCAGTGTCATGCTTTTTTGGTTACTGAAGCCTTGTAGTATAGTTTGAAGTCAGCTAATGTGATGCCTCCAGCTTTGTTCTTTTTGCTTAGGATGACTTTAGCTATTCAGACTCTTTTTAGGCTTTGTACAAATTTTAAAATAGTTTTTTTCTAATTCTGTGAAGAATGTCAATAGTTAGTTTGATAAGAATAGCATTAAATCTGTACATTGCTTTGGGTAGTATGGTCATTTTAACCATATTGATTCTTCCTATCCATGAGCATGGAATGTTCTTCTATTTGTTTGTGTCATCTCTGATTTCTTTCGGCAGTGTTTTGTAATTCTTGCAGAGATCGTTGGCCTCCCTGGTTAGCTGTATTCCTAGGTATCTTATTCTTTTGTGGCTATTGAGAATGGAATTGTGTTCTTGACTTGGTTCTCACCTTAGACATTGTTGGCATATAGAAATGAAATTGATTTTGTATCCTGAAATTTTGCTGAAGTTGTTTATCAGATCTAGGAGCTTTTGGGCAGATACTATGGGGTTTTCTATATGAGGAATCATATCATCTGCAAACAGAGATGGTTTGACTTCCTCTCTTCCTACTTGGAAGCCTTTTATTTCTGTCTCTTATCTGATCAAGCTGGCTATTCAACTTCCCATATCATATTGAATAGCAGTAGTGAGAGTGGATTCTTTCTCAAGGAGAATGTTTCCAGCTTTTTTCCATTCAGTATGATATTGGCTGTGGATTTGTCATAGATGTACCTTCAATGCCTAGATATTGAGGGTTTTTAACATGAAAGGATGTTGAGTTTTATTGAAAGCCTTTTCTGCATCTATTGAGATAATCATGTGGATTGATTTTTAGTTCTGTTTCTGTAATGAATCACATTTATTTGTTTACAGATGTTTATCAAATTTGCAAACCAGGGGTAGACCCTTCTTGATAATGATGGATTACCTTTTTGATGTGCTGCTGGATTTGGTTTGCTACTATTTTGTTGTGGATTTTTGCATCTGTGTTCATCAAGGATATCAGCCTGAAGCCTGCAGCCTGCAGCCTGCGGTTTTCTTTCTGCAGTGTCTCAGTCAGGTTTTGGTATCAGAATGATGCTGGCCTCAGAATGAGGTGGGGAGAAGTCCCTGATCCTCAATTTTTTTTTAGAATAGTTTCAGCAGAATGATACAAGCTCTTATTTATATATCTGGAAGAATTGTCTGTGGTTTCAACTGGTCCTTGGCTTTTTCTGGTTGGTAGACTTTTTATTACTGATTCAATTTTGGAACTGTTATTGATCTATTCAGGGATTCAGTTTCTTCTGGTTCAATTTAGGAGTTTGTATGTATTCAGGAATTTATCAATTTCTTCTAAGTTTTCTAGTTTGTGTGTGTTGAAGTGTTCCTGGCAGTCTCTGGGTGTTTTGTTTTGTATTTCTGGGGGGTCAGTGCTAATGCCTCCTTTATCATATCTAATTGTGTTTATTTCAATCTTCTCTCTTTTTTATTTGTCTAACTGATGATCTATCAATCTTATTTATTCTTTTAAAGAATAAACTCCTGGATTCAGAGATCTTGTGTGGTTTTTCACATCTCCATGTCATTTAGTTAAGCTCTGATTTTGGTTATTTTTTGTCTTCCACTAGCTTTGGGGTTGGTTTGCTTCTTTTTTTTTAGTTCCTCTGATGTTAGGTTGTCAATGTGAGATCTTTTTAACTTTTTGATCCTGGTGGTTGTGATATAAACTTTCCCCTTAATGCTGCTTTGGCTGTGTCCCAGAGATCCTGGTATGTTGTATCTTTGTCCTCATTAGTTTCAAAGAATTTCTTGGTTTCTGCCTTAATATTATTGTTTACCCAAAAGTCATTCAAGAGCAGGTTAATTTCTATGTAATTGTATGGTTTTGAGCCATCTTCTTAGTACTGATTTCTATTTTTATTGCACTGTGGTCTGAGAGTGTGATTAATATGATTTTGAGGTATTTTTTCTATTTGCTGAGAATTGCTTTATGGCTGATTGTGTGGTCAATATTACAGTATGTGCCATGTGCTGATGAGAAGAATATATATTCTATTGCTTTTGGGTGGAGAGGTTTGTTAGGTCCATTTAGTCAAATATTGAGGTCAGGTCCTGAACATCTTTGTTTTCTGCCTCAATGAACTGTCTAATACTGTCAGTGGGCTGTTGAAGTCTACCACTATTATTTTGTGGTTATGTCTCTTCATAGGTATCTAACAACTTGTTTTATGAATCTGGGTGCTCCTGTATTGGGTGCATGCATTTAGAAAAATTAGGTTTTCTTGTTGAATTGAACCTTATACCATTAGGTAATGCCTTTCTTTGTCTTTTTTAATGATTGTTGGTTTGTGTTCTGTTTTGTCTGAAATGGAAGAGCAACACCTGCTTTTTTCTGCTTTCCATTTGCTTGGTAGATTTTTCCTCCATCCCATTAATTTGAGGCTATGGGTATCATTGCATGTGAGATGGGTCTCTTGAAGACAGCAAACAGTTGGGTTTTACATATTTATCCAGCTTTCCACTATGTGTCTTACAATTGGGGCATTTAGCCCATTTACATTCAAAGTTAGTATTGATATGTACAGATTTGATCCTGTTGTTGTGTTGTTAGTTGATTATTATGCAGACTTGATTATGTAGTTGCTTTATAGCATCAAAGATCTATGTACTTAAGTATACTTTTGTGGTGACTAGTAATGGTCTTTCCTTTCCATGTTTAGCAGGCCCTTAAGGATCTCTTGTAAGGCAGGTCAGGTGGCAACAAATTTTCTTAGCATTTGCTTATCTGTAAAGGTTCTTATTTCTGCTTTGCTTATGTTTTTTGTTTGAAAATTTTTTTCCTTAAAAATTCTTAGTATAGGCTTCCAATCTCTTCTAGACTGTAGGGTGTTTGCTGAGGGGTCCATTGTTAGCCTGAGGGGATTCCCTTTGTAGGTGACCTACCTCTTCTCACTAGCTGCCTTTAATTTTTTTTTGCATTTTGATTTTGGAGAATCTGACCACTATTTGTCTTGGGGATGTTCATCTGGTATAGTACCTTGTAGGGGTTCTCTGCATTTCCTGAATTTGAATGATGGCCTCTCTAGTGAGGATTGGGGAAATTTTTATGGTCGATATCCTCTAATATGATTTTTCTGTTGCTTGCTCTCTCTCTCTTTCTCTTCCAGGGACATCAGTGAGTCATAGATGTGTCCCCTTTACATAATCCCATATCTCTCAGAGGTTTTGATCATTATTTTTTATTCTTTTTTCTTTGTATTTGTCAGTATGAGTTAATTTGGAGGACTGGTCTTTGAGATCTGAGAGTCTTTCCTCAGCTTGGTCTATTCTGCTGTTTATACTTGAATTATGAAATTCTTGAAGTCAGTTTTTCAAATCTGCTGGATCAATTTGATTCTTTGTTAAAATGGCCATTTCATGATCCAGCTTCTATATCATTTTATTACATTCCTTAGATTCCTTGGATTAGGTTTTGACTTCCCCCTGAATCTCAATGATCTTTGTTCCTACCCATATTTTGAATTCCTTGTCTGTCATTTCAGACATTTCAGCCTGTTTAAGAAACATTGCTGGGGACTAGTACAGTCATTTGGAGGTAAAAAGACATGATGGCTTTTTGAGTTGCCAAAGTTCTTGAACTGGTTCCTTCTCATCTGTGTGGGCTAATGTTCCTTCAGTTATTGAAGTTGCTGACCCTTGGATGAGGTTGTTTGCTTTTGTCTTCTTAGATGACCTTGGAGATTGAATTGCAGTATAAGATTGGTTCAGTTGACTAGCTTCATTTCTGGAAGATTTTAGGGAGCCAAGTCTCGGCTTGGCATTCCTGAGCTATGTGCTCTAACTCTGGGTGGTAGTACTGGGATGATAGTTTTGTTCTCTGGCCCCTTGATGTTAGGAAACTGCTGCGCTACAGAAACTGAGGTATTTTGGCCTGCTGGCCATAACACGCTGATGTATGGTGCTGGCCAAAGCACTTCATCAGCGTGGTGGCAGCATGATCTATGCTTTATCTTGTGTGCCAATAGCCATGGCAATGCAGCAGGGTACACATACAGGGCACTGTCAGGAGCAGGGTAGCAATGTTCCTGCATATCCTCACGCTGTTGGTGATGGCAGTGGGGGTAGGGTGTTTGTGGGGAGGGTTTTGCTGGCTAGACTAAATTTTTAAGGCACTAAAATGAATACTGCATTTCAAGATGAATAAAAGCAAATTGAGTCAAGAAAAACCCATTTATTTCCAGTTTATCTGCTATAGTTCTTACTAAAATGAAATAAATCAAACCAGTAGTATTTCAAATCAAGAATGGTCAATTAGATAAATAAACAAGTTTACTGACTTTACTGAATTCTCATGTTCTTCTGCATCTTGTTTAAAATATTTTCTCCTACCATCTTTTTAGTGTTCAACCCTTTGTGCTTATTAGTTTGAATGTCTAAATATTCTTCATGAGTTATACCTGTAAGATATATCTGGAAAGTGGCAATGGACATATTCAAAATTGTGCATTGATGTGCTACTTTTAGAATCAGAAGATACTATCCGTGTAGTAGTTTAGGAAGAGAAGAAAGTACGTATCTCATAAAATGTATTTTTATTTATATTCCTGATTATATTATTCAAAGTGATTAAATTGTTCAATCAATAGTGTATTCAAAAGGCATATAATCTAGGGCATTTGTGCTAAGGAGTACTGTTGAGATTTTAATGCAATTTTGGAGGATGGGAATTTAGTCAATTAGCATGTTTACCTGAAAAAAGAAAATTAGGATGTTGGAAAAGAAAGAAGAAAAACAGAAAAGAGGAAAGGAAGAAGAGAAGGCACAAGAAAGGAGAGGGAAGGTGAGACAGAAGGAAGAAAGAAAGGAAACAGGAAAGGAAGGAATATTCATTATACTCCTACTTTGTGTCAAGCATTTTTACTAGCATTTAACTATCAGCCTGATCCTGAAATATAAGTATTAGCTCCATTTTACAAATGAAATTGAAGATCAGAAAAGGATTGCTTAATTTCATAATTAACATCACCTGTAAGAAATTGAACTGAGGTTTAAACTCAGTAGTATCTGGCTTCAAAGCCTGTGCTTTTCCCATGATATCATACAATAATTCTACACATTGCCTAAAGGTTCTATGAGCTTTTCCCTGTGATTTATTGAAGTAACTTAATCTAGCTTTTTCCTAGTTCATTTCAGATTGCCTGCTACATGGTAGACTTCTAATAAACATTTGTTAACTAAAGGAATGAATGAATGAATGATTCCCAAAAACAGAAGAAAGAAATGGTAAAATGTGCTTCCTTTTGTTCTTAGAAAGGAAATAAAATAAGGAAGACATCAGAAGGTGGGAACTATATTTTGCTCTATTTTGACCCAGGACTGGTTTGAATTTAGTTCAATGGTTAGTGCTTAGAACATTTTGAATTTAGTTGAAGGTCTGAGTTCAGACTTGTTATCATCAAGAAGTGTGATTTAGGCTCAGATGATCTCTAACATGGAAAGAACAAACAAAACAAGAGTCAAGTTTAAACCAGGGACTAATTTGTGGAAATTCTTCTGCTCTAGGAAAGTTCAAAGTGTGGCAGTACATACTGAGGCCTTAGTGGATTATCACAGACCACATTCCTACTACAAGATTTACTCTCAAATAAACATGGATTCCAAGGTCTCTTTCAGACTTGGAGTTAGACTTCCCAAACATTTGTCTCATGTATTTTGAAGCCTCATCTCTTGGACCAAGCTGAATCTCTCAGGATGCAGACCTGATATTTTATCAGGTACTCATTGGCAACTGAACCATCAAACATTCATACTGTGCATCATACAAATAGATAACAGGGAGGCAGCAGGTGGTGTTTGGTTTGTTAGTTGATATTAATGGGAAATTTATTTGGCAATTGCATTAATCATAAGATTTGGCATAGCAAGTAGCAGAGTTCCAACTAAAATCACCTTCAACAATAAAAGGAATGTTAGCAAATATTCAGTCTAGCAATATGGTGAAACATGATCCAGTAGCTCAAAGAAGTCAAGAAAGATCCAGTTTTTTCTGTCTTCCTATTCTATCTTCCATAGTATTGGCTTCTGTGTATAAAATGCATAGCTATACACTAAAATTTTTAGCTCTTTCTCCTGATGACACCACTGGATTGTATGTATTTCCTAGCCTTCCTTATAGGTAAATTTGTGCATGTCTCTAAAGTCTGGCCAGGAGACAGTGGGCAAAATTTTGTTTACTTCCACGTCTAGCCTATGTGTGTTTCTTGATGCTATCTCCTTCCGCAAACTGATGAAGAAAGGCACCACAATCCTAGAAACTGTACGTGGCAAGCCCAGGTTCAAGCCAGTTGCAGGAAAGCCACTGCCAATGATGAATACCTATTTAAACTTTATGTAAAAGGGAAATAAATTGTTATGCTGTTTGAGCCATTACATTACTTTACTGACTTACATTAAAATATTGATACCAGAAGTGGAATGATGCCTCAAGAACAACCTAAACTTTATAGGACTGGTTTAGTTATAGTTGGATTAATAATAGAATATGCTGAAAAAAATAGTGATCTATGTTATACAATAGAAAAATAATTTAATAAAGCAAATGCTTCAGTAATGTAGAAGGTAGACTATGAGCCTGTAACATTAGGAAAAGTGATTGAAAAGATACACAATGTGAATATGTGTTGCTACTATTTGTTGCTTTGCTGACAAATCATTGGAAGAAAGAGATTAGCCTATTTAAAAGTCAGTTTTCAGTCAGAATTGAAAGACAATATATAGATTCCAGAATTTAGGACCTAAAGGGAAGGGGAAAGATGATTAATTCTAGACTTGAAACAGTAAAAGATAAGATTATAAATAGGCTTTGAGCAACAATGGCCAAATAGTGTGTATTATTGCTACAAACTATTTCAAATGGTTTCCAGTTAACTATCATTATTGTGAATGGCAGATATGCGGATGATAAATCAAAAATAAAAATGAATCAGGCTTTAGAACTATATCTAGAAATAAACTTTATTCTGGAGAATGCTCCATGTACCCTTGAGAACAATGTATACTCTGCTGATGTTTGGTGGAATGTTCTGTATACATCTGTCATGACCATTTGGTCTATAGTGCTCTTCGAGTTTCCTGTTTTCTTACTGGTTTTCTGTCTGGATGTTCTATGTATTATTGAAAATGGGGTGAAATCTCCTATTTTTATTGTATTGCTGTCTATTTTTCCCTTTAGATCTATAAATAAATATTTGCTTTATATATTTAAGTGCTATGATATTAGGTCCATATGTATTTATAATTGTTATATCTTCTTAATTGACCCTTTTTTATTATATAATAGCCCTCTCTGTCTTTTATGACTGTTTTTAACTTTAAATCTATTTTTTGCCCTCTAAGAGGGCAAAAGCCATTCCTGCCCTCTTTTGGTTACTATTTACATGAAATATCTTTTTCCATCCCTTCACTGTCAGTCTGTGTGTCCTTAAATCTAAGGCGAATCTCTTGTAGAGAGCACTGGATCTGGTTTTATCCATTAAGCCATTCTATGGCTTTTGATTGGGGAGTTTAATCCATTTCCATTTAAAGTAATTATTGATAGATAAGGACTTGCCAGTGCCATTCTGTTCCTTGTTTTCTGTCTGTTTTTGTAGTTCTTTTGCTCCCCTTTTCTTATCTTACAGTCTTCCAGATTTTTAAGCCTTGACTGGTCAAGGCATTTTTTTTTTTTTGTATTCGTTCATGGCTTCTTTAGCAATTCAATTTCCTCAAAATATAGTAAACTTATTTGCTTCCAGATAGTTTCATCTGCCTATAAACATACTAAAAAAATTTTTTTAAAAAAATAAGCTCACTTTATTGAAGTATAATTGATACACAAAAAGCTATACATATTTAATATATACAACGATTAAGTTGTTATTAGCTTAAAATAGGCTGTTATAAATATATCACCATGAAAGGTGCTGGAGAAATTAATAGGAAATACTCAGACAGAGAAGTCAGCCTGAAGAAAACGGAGTGAAAAAGTTCTTTTCAGAAGGCAAAATAAAAGTCAAATCAAGGAATTTTCTCCATTTATTAGGAGAGTGGGACTTCACAATTCTTGCCTGGCAGGATTTTCATCATTGTTGTGCACTACTGACTGTAGTAGAAATCCTACTGTTTACTTTTTCTTTTTAATTATCCTATCCCTGCTCCAATACTATTTATTGAGTGGATATAGAGGAGAAAATAAGTAATTTTTGCTTCAAATGCTGTGGGATTATTAGAGATAATAATCAGGCTTGATGAAGAGAAGAGGATAGTACTGGAAGATCATAAATAACTGTATGTGACTACAGGTTGTCTCCCATGAGATGAAATGAGTATCTTGTACTTTGTGGGAGGAGAGGTAAAATATATGTTTGATGCCTATAAAGGCACAATGTGTTAGAGACTGGCTAGCCATTTACCAAAAAGCATTTCCTATTTTTTCCTGTAATTACAGTTTGAGTATTTTTTCCCGTTGACCTTTCAGTCAGGTGCAGCCATGTGATTAAGATCTGGCCAGCAAAATGTGGCAGAAGTTAGCAACCACTTTTAGACTTGACTCACAGAAAGTACTCACATGTGATTCTTCATGTGGATCATGTGGCTCTTTCTTTTTCTATGGCTTGACAGAAATGAGCATAGAGATCATGCAAGCTGTATGTTGAGAATGGAGGAGCCACAAGATATAAGGAGACTGGGCACTTCTGCTTCTAACTAGAGTGGGAGAAAGGGCATAGATATATCTTCCTTTCTGAAACAATGAATAAATTTTACAAAATATTTGAAGCAATAGTTTTCTATGTATTAGACATATAAGTCAGATATTGAAGGATAGTTAGTAATCCTTAAAAAACAACACACAAGTGGGTCCTACAACTTTTCCAGGTTACTGCCTTGAGAGAATTTGCAAGATGCAGCTCAGGGAGTAGGAACCCAAGCAGATTCCAGCATATTTTCTAAAATGAGGCATCAGATATAAGTCTGGGAGGGACCCAGGCAGATGGAGTTCACAAAACAGCATAATAGAAAGGAAAGTGCTGCACAGAAAGAGAACTAAGGAGATATGCAGAGGGTACACCTTAAGTGTTCAGCAAAGTACTGATCAGCAAATGTGTGTGAGAAGACTATCTGGGGCTGGAAAAAAAGAATAATCTATAATGATCTAGAATGTTCACATGTAAATATATACTTCAAAAGTTTTCTAATTTGTCTATTTCAAATATATGCAGTTTGTTGCACATCAATTATAATTCCATAAAGTTGTTTTTAAAAATGTAAGGCTCTTGTATCCCTGAAAATAAAAAAAGCAATCAAAAACTTGGAATTTATTTAAATTAGAAATAAACCATATTGTTTTTGAGTCATTTTTGTTTGTTATAGCCTAACTAATATAGCTTCCTATTAAAGCTAATCCCAAGACTTTATGGCCCTATGATATCAACCTGCAGGAACTAACAGTATCTGCTTTCTTATTCATGTCCAGTAAGACAAAGTGCCTTTTTCATAGATTCCATAGAACAAAGATAATTTTTATTTAATTTTCCAAAGCCCCCATTAATGTTCTTTTTGTATTTTATTAATCTAAATTGGTTTATGTGACAGTGTCTGAGTGAATCATGGTCAATGCCATCATAGGCAATTGTGTAGGTCATGCTTTGAAATGGAGCACTCAACCATGGGGGAAAAAATGAGGGCTTAAAATCAGCATGCGCCCTGCTTACCGAACTATGCAATCTGGTGCTGAGCTACAGTTACCTGGAAAGAATGGGAAACTTTCTGTAATTTGCATGGAGCTGCCAGCTGCCATATATCTTTGTTTAGGCTCCAATCCTGGTGGTTAAGCAGATAGACATTTGTTGGAAAAGAGAAGGAAACTGAGTGCTAGCTAGGGATGAGTGGAACCAGAAAATTACTACAACAACAACATATGATTGTGGATATGGATATTGTTCATTTACTGTATTTCAAGTTGTCCTTTCAGATACCCTGGATGAAAGGAATCTCTCACTTATCTGAAGTCTTCTACAACTTTATGTTATAAAACTCTCACAGTGTTTATAACTCCCGACCTTTAATTATAATTAATTGCATGTGTGTAACAAATTAGGAATACAACATAAAGAGAGGCAAGAATTGGATGACTATGTGAAACAAAAATGTTTTGGAGGACCAAATAGAGACAGGGAATTCTTTTGGCCAACACAGAAAAAGCTGGCATAATAAGAAAGGGTTCCAGTAATCTTTATGTTTCGAGAGGAAAGTACTTAGGTGGCGAATGCTACTATGCTACCTGTGCTTTTCTCAAGTCAAGAAATAAAGTGACTTCTTGATCATACAGTGTATTATATATAGCAATGACCAACAGTGGGAAGATGTCTTGATGGAGACACTACCCAGTGAGGTTTCCTAGACACTTCCAAGACGCAGCAGTAAAGTCCCATTAAATCTGGGAGACAAAACACAGGAGTAAATGAGTCATCTGCAGAACCAAATTAAAAATTAATTTTCCAACAGATTTCTGTGCTCTGGTTTGCTTTTGGGTTTATGATCAGTTTGGTGCTATGTGATGGTTAAAAGTTATCAGAGCACCATGTTAACAGAGGCATGCTAAACTCAAATGGACTTGTGCCAAAACAGTCAGTTCAGATTGCAAGCAAATATGTTGGGCGAACCATTTGTTTGTTTCTACCAACTTGTACAAGCTCACTGGCAAAATGTACAGTAGTAAATATAAAATGAAGAAATATTTGTTAAATGGCCCTTTAATTTTTCCATTATTATATTTTATTATGCATCGTTAATTTAATTGGTCCACTAAAATAATATTTTCATAGTTACAAAAAATGTTTCTGTTAAAAAAGAAATTAAAATGATAGTAATAATGGAAAATATACACAGAATAGCCTAGGCAGTACAAGAGAACAAAATTAAGTCCACAAAAAGTAAAGCATAAGACAAGAAAATGCATGTTTGTACTATTGAATTCAATATTGACATTTAAATGTCAAACAGTGACATTTATATAACATTTAATTAATATATTGATTTTAATTAAGTAAGTCCTAGATTTATGTATTTAATTTAGAAATGTGTTTCGGTTTGTTTAGTTCTAAAATAATACATGAGTTTATACCTACTCTTTCTTATTCTTATACATATCTTAGTAACATAACAAATATCAGTTAACACTAGTAATAGATAAATTTTTTTTCATTTTAAGAAAGGTCTATATTTTACTCAAGTTTGAGAAACAATCTTACATAGAAGCTTTTTCTTAATTAAGTGTGTGGCAAGAGGGGTTCCTTTACATTTTTGAAATGCCCAACTTTTGAAGGGAAAAGTACCAGAAGATGTAGGATCCAGGAGAAAGAAGAATGGGGTAAGGAGGATGGAGATATACCATCTAAAAATTTCTCAGTCAATAAAAAAACTCCAGTAATGGAGACACTTCAGAGGTGGCAATGCTTTTTTTTCTCTGCCCTAGACTCTAATGGCCCTAAGGAAGTATTCATATCTGATTAGTGACTATCTTCACTGTATTTAACCATATATATTAATTTCGGTAAACACCATTGCAAAATTGGCCAAAATTAAGGAAGTGACAAATTAGTCCACAAGCCCAAACATAGTTCAATGTAACAAAATTTATTGAGCATGTACTTAGAACAGTTACTATTCTGTGGATATACTAATGAAAATAATATAATGTATTCCCATGAATAATCACTGAGACAGACATGTATATGAATTGTAAAATAATACGACAAAAATATATATTTATTTATATATGTAATTTTTTAATATATCTATAAATTGTTCAGAGGATGAAATGATTAACTTCAGAGATGTAGCAGTGGAGATAGGAGGGTCAAGGAAGCCTTTACAAAGGAAATGATTGGATTCAGTTTTAAATGCTGAAAAAAATTTTCTAACAGAATAGGTAGGGAGATTATTCTAGGCAGAAGGGATGGCACATGCTTTCGGAAAATAAGAGCCAGATTAAAAAGAAAATCTAACTGTACAGGTTGTAAATTTTGTAACAGAATAAGCTACCTAGAAAAGTAAAATATGTTTACTGGGACCAAATTTGTATTTGAATGTACCTAGTTTAATGTATGAAACTTATTTAACTAGAATCATCTTCTTCCTAAAACCAAAGAAGGAAAAATTATATCACAAAGTGTTCTTATATGAACTATGGAGTTAACATTAAGTTTTTACACTTCATCTGGTTACCTTGATTGGTAGTTTGATCACAGTTTGCCTTATATCCTGCAATAAAATTGTGGTGGTTAAATAGGCTCACTGCAATAAGGCAGACATGGGTCTTAAAGCATGCGAGTAGTGAATACAGTTAAGCTAACTCTCAGATAATTTTATCTTTTACCATGTCCTTGAAATTACTCAGCAAGGTTTTAAATTGTCTACATTGAAACTGAGATGAATATGTTTTGATAGACCTCTAGTAAAGAAAAAGAGAGCCATACTAAAATGTCATACCTGGGAAGTACTATATTTTATTAATCAGGTGACAGTGATATTCCTTTAGATCTAATAGCTGGAACAATGAAGCTGAAAATGGCAACATTATGCTAAATTTAAGGACTTATAAGTGATAGTCAAATGTTTGTGGCAGAAGAATTGGGGTATTGAATTCAGATTTCTTAGATGAGTCAACAGGAGTTTCTTGCTCTCTCATTGGGAGTGTCCTCCCCTCCTTCTGTGATTTGTTGTATCATCAAACACTGGTTGCTTTCCCACAGGGGACTCATTCTGTTTTTAGTTAGTTTCAGTCCTCATCTACTACCCACTCCTCCCTCCATTCAACATTCATAGCCACCCTAGCATCATCTGCCTTGAAGCTTTTCGGAATGAATTCCACTGTGCCTTCATTCCTGTTCCTATTAGTCACCTCTCAAAGCTCAGGACCTCCAGGTCATTTGCTGTCTCCTGGACTCTCAACTTCTAATAGGGCTGTATTCTCTCATCTGATCCCATTTCTCACCTAGGCCTCAACTTTTGAAACCCTTCCACTTTGTCCTCAATAACCTATGTCTAGTCCTCTACTTTCTTAATATTGCCTCTGAACAGTCTCTACATCTTCTGGAAACTGACTTTTGCTAAGACCCTTCTTCCCCTATGGATCTCTAACATACCAGTACAATTGTGAGTTCAATATGTAGTTGGTAGTTGAGAGAAAGTAATACTCCAGAAGGAAACTTCCAGAATGATTTCCTTCAACCTGCAGGCAAATGAGCTTCGTTGGCCATGTAATTACTAAAGGAGATGCTATTCAACTTTTAAAATGCATTTTATGCTGCAAGTGGAACAGAAGAGACTACAGAGAAACTTCGAGTTATAATCTCCTTTTTCTTTCCAGTAAGACCATGATTTCAAAAAGAATCTTTGGTATGGTTCAAAGAGCCTAGGTTTGTACTTACTTTCAGAGGTTTAAAGGCTGGCCCTTCAACCTTCTACTTGTGTGACTATAATGTAAAATTACCAACCCATTACAGCCCGAATTGTCTTAGTTTTATAATGTATAGGATATCTTTGAAACTGTGAAAATTCAGTTAGATAATTTACCTGAAGATGATTGATTAAAAAATGTATGTTTAATAAATGACATTGCTTTCTCTATTTTAGGGACTGAATGAATACATGTCTAAGAAGACTTTGTTTAGGGGAAAGGTGTTCATGACCATACTTTAAACACCATATTTCTATATATCTTACAAAAGTAATTAGTATAAGGGGAAGTCATCCCACTTTTCAGATTGTTCAGGTAATTCCATGTTGTAATTTTTTAAAAAACTTCACATTTGTATACTATTTTTTACTATCCAAAGCCCTTTCATGTATATTATTTTTCATAACTCTGCAAATATTAATTCATGTTTACAGATGAACAGACCTAATTTTAAAGAAACCATTTTTTTGCTTTTATTATTATTTTTGACTCATAATTGTACATATTTTGGGGTACAGTGTGATATTTTAATGCATAGGTACAATATGTAATGATCAAATCAGGGTACATGGAATATTCATTACCTCAAGCATTTTTCTTTTTTGTGCGTGTTGGGAACATTCAACATCTGCTCTGCTAGCTATTTGAAAATATATAATTCATTGTTGTTAATTATAGTCATGCTACAAATGCTAAAGAATGCTAGAACTTATTCAACTTATCTAACTGTAAATTTTGTATTTATTAACCAATCTTTGACTATCTCTCCCTCTTACTTTTCCCAGCCTCCAGTAGCCACTATTCTACTCTTTACTCTAAGGTATCACTTTAATTTCACAATGAGAATAATGTCTTTAGATAAAATGCTTTTCGTGATTATATCTCTGAATACAAGAAATTCCCAAACTCAATAAATGATTTATGAAACTAGGGGAAATTTAATTTAATAAATGTAGTTTAACTTTTAAAAATCAATTTTAACATTTAATCAGTTTAACTTTTAAAAATCAATAAAGCAGGATTTCCACTTTTAAAAAACAAGCCTTGAAAAAGTTAAATAAATTATACCAGTCCTAATTTTAAAGACATCAAGAGACTGTGAAAACAACAAAGACTAAATTAAAATTTTAGAGAAAGGAGTGCCTTTGGAAAGGGAGCTGATAATCTTATGTTATTTTTCCTCGAAGGGCATTTGCCCAGTCTGAGACCAAGGTAAGGACTGAAGTTGGTTCTGGCCCAGAACCTCCAGTGGGGAAATAGAAACCAGTAAGCTTGTGGCAGTCAAACAAGACTGGTTTAAAACAAATCGGGAACTTGAGAGACCTCAAGAGCCATTGTGGGATAGTTCTTTAATTCTGGGGCTTCACAAAGGCTGGAAGTTATGCAACAGATTGCACAAGGGAAAATGAAAGCTTCCCTTAGGTGAAAGTTGGAGAAGAGGAAAACTTTAGTTTCAAATGATTTTCACAGTTTTATTTTTCAAAATGGACATTTTGATTACTACACTGAAACTATTCTTGGAACTAATGTTTTATTATCTGGAATGGGAATGGGATAGTCCCTGGAATGGGATAGTCATAAGATCTGATATAATTTTTAGGTGGAACAGGGATGAAACAGCTGCATAATTGTACGAATGGATGGAAGTGGGAAAGAGGGTTGTTTCATTGGTACCCTGTCAGAGACTAGCAAGATGCAGATCAATCCCATTTCTTCCTCCAGGGAAGAGAGCAAAAATGATTTCTCAGCTTCTTTTGCAGTTGGTTTGGGGTCATGTGACTGATATCTGGCCAATAAAATGTGGAGGGTGGTATACCACTATGTAGGCCTGGCTATTAACTGCCTCAATTATTCCTTATCTAATTTTGTTCTGACCTTATTGCTAGAAGTGAATGATTCTGAGATTCTAGATCTGCATAATGTAAATCAATATGCTTGAATCATCTAGAAGTTAGCACACCCAAAATCCATAGCAAATCACCTGAACCTCTGCAGATTATAACATTAGCAAAAAATAAAAATTTATTATTTTAATCCACTGCAATTTGAGTTTGTTTCCTACAGAAGCTAGAGTTAATTTTCCTCATGAATACACAGCCTCTCTTTTCATAAAATTCTGAAAATATGAGCAATTATATGCATCATACTCACAACTGATTGTTATGAAGCATTGACTGGTAACACTAAGTAGAGAATGATTTCCAAGTATCGAAGGATCTTTCCTTAAGGCCTGTTGAGAATCAAAGATCACAGAAATCTGTGCTTTAGTGAACATGGGGACAGAGCTATGTTATAAGGCTGTTTTGTGCAGACAGTAGTAGTGTATATTTGAGGTCACAGTCATGGTTAAGACTACCCAAGAATGTAAACCCTATCTAATCATAAAACAAGGGTCAACTTCTGGTTGCTCAGTAGGAAGAGGAAATTATAACTTCTGATTGGATTAATTAGAGAAGAATTTGATTAAGGCAATCTTGAGCTTAGCCTGAAGGTCAAATTAGACAGAGAAGAACTGGCAGGCTATTCATGGAGTGAAGTATAGCACAAAACAGGTTGCAGATCCAGGGTTGAAAGTGGTTGCTAGGATAGAAAATGGACCAGTCATTTGACATGATGGACTCCTCCATTTGGACCATCAACATCAAACCTGAAAAGATGGAAATGGATAGAGAAGAATTTTAGTAAAGAATTGATGAGACATTCTGACTACTACATGATTCCCAGGAATAATATATTGAGAGCTTATCATGTATTAGTTGCTATTTCACATGCTTCATATTTCATTTAATTCTTATAATCTAGTGAAGTATGCATATGTATTAGCCCCATTATATTAAAAATAATATTGATTAATTAATTAAAATTGATTTTAAAAACAAGGAGAGGGAAATAAAGTAAAATGACCTCAGGTTACTAGCATAGTAAGTATGATGTCTAAAATTCAGACTCAAGTAGTCTGACTCCAGTAAATGGTCTTCACTACTACCCTATATTTAAGAATAAGAATAGAGGTTAGAGGAAGTGAGGAATCGTGTAAAGAGCTTAAACTTTGGAATCATAAGGATCTTGGTTTGAATCCTTTCTCTATCATATGAAGTCTTAGGCAAATGAAATTTTCTGAGTCTAAATATCATTTTTTAGTGAAGATAATGATACTTACATTTTAAAAATTTATATCTGTATGTATGTAATTATATATTTAAGAGATCCTGGGTACAGTACATAGATCCCAGTAGATGGCCCAATATATCGTAGCTCTGATAGCATTAAAACATGGTTTATAGGGTGGAGAGATCATAAGTTTAAAGTTTAAGTTTTGTTTTGTTTGTGTAATTAGATTACAGCACTGGGTATGGCTAGAAAGTGCCTAGTACATGCTTGGTGCTTAATGTCTATTTAATCAGATTCTGATTTTGTGATGATAGTGGAGCATTCAAGTGGCACTGTTGATGACAGTTACAGATATAGGGCGAGCTTAGGGTAAACATAAATGTTGAAACTGCAGCCACCTATATATTGTGCTGATTGAGTTCTCAAAAGTAGATGAGATTTGTGAGAAAGAGGTACAAAGTGGGAACACAGCACTAGTGCCTGTTAGATTGTGGGAAATAAAATGGGTCCAGAAAAGAATAATCATAGAAATAATAATTGTTTTGTTAGCCTTAAATTAAAAAAGAGATTGCATTTCACAAGGAAAAATGTATTAGTCTGTTCTTATAACACACATCTTACATGGGCGGTGCAGGACGAGGGTGAGGGGCTGGTGTTGCATACTTTTAAATGACCAGATATCAGGAAAACTCACTCACTATCATGAAAACAGCACCAAAGGGGAAATCCACCCACATGATCCAATCACCTCCACCAGGCCCCATCACTAATATTGGGGATTACAATGTGAAATAAAATGTGGGCAGGGACACAGATCCAAACTATATCATTCTGCCCCAGCCCCTTCCAAATCTCATGCCCTTTTCACATTGAAAAATGGAATCATCCCTTCTCAATAGTCCCCCAAAGTCTTAACTCATTCCAGCATTAACTCAAAAGTCCAAATTCCAGGGTCTCATCTGAGACAAGGATAGTCCTTTTCACTAATGAGCCTGTAAAATCTCAACCAAGTTAATTACTCCAAAGATACAATGGGGGTACAGGCATTGGGTAAATACTCCCATTCCAAAAAGGAGAAATTGAACAAAAGAAAGGGGTTACAGGCCCCTTGCAAGTCCAAAACCCGGCAGGGCAGTCATTAAGTTTTAAAGCTCCAAAATAATCTCTTTTGACTCCATATCCCACATTCACTGATGCAATGGGTGAGCTTCCAAGGCCTTGGGCAGCTCCACCACTGTGGCTTTGCAGGGTTCAGCCTCTGCAGCTGTTCTCATGGGCAGACATTGAGTGCCTGTGTCTTTTCCAGGCTGAGGGTGCAAGCTGTCAGTAAAGCTACCATTCTAGGGTCTGGAGGATGATGGGCCTCTTCTCAGAGCTCCATTAGGCAGTGCCTAAGTGGGGACTCTGTGTGGGGTCACCAACCCCACATTTATCCTCTGCACTGCCCTAGTAGAAGTTCTCCATGATGGTTCCATTCCTGTAGCAGGCTTCTGCCTGGACATCCAGGTTTTTCCATAAATCCTTTGAAATCTAGGTGGAGGCTTCCAAGCCTCAACTCTTGCACTCTGCAAACCCGCAGGCTTAAGACCATACAGAAACCCCCAGGGCTTATGGCTTGCACCCTCTGAAGCAGCTTCCTGAGATGTACCTGGACCTCTTTGAGCCACAGCTGGAACTGGAGCAGCAGGGATGGAGAGATGCAGCTGGGATACAGTGTCTCCACGCTCTGCAGTGCAGCAGGGCCCTGGGTGTGGCCCACAAAGCCATTCTTCCCTCCCAGGCTTCTTGGCCTGTGATAGGAGGGGCTGCCAGGAAGTTCTTTGAAATGCCTTCATGTCCTTTTCCCCATTGTTTTGGCTATGACCATCTGGCTCCTCTTTACTTATGTGAATTTCTGCAGCTGGCTTGAATTCCTCCCCAGAAAATGGGCTTTCCTTTTCTATGATATGGCCTACTATTTATGGACAGGTTGCAAATTTTTCAAACTTTTATGGTCTACTTTCCTTTTAAATATAAGTTCCAGTTTTACATAACTTCTTTGCTCACACATGTGAACTTAGGTTGTTAGAAGCAGCCAAGCAACATCTTGAAAGCTTTGCTGTTCAGAAATTTTTTCTTCCAGATACTCTAAATCATCACTCTCAAGTTCAAAATTCCACAGATCCTTAGGGCAGGGGCACAATACCACCAGATTCTTTGCTAATGCATAACAAAAGTTACCTTTGCTCCAGGTCCCAATAGGCTCCTGATCTCCCTCTGAGACCTCAACAGCTTGGACTTTATTGTCCATATCACTTTAAGCATTTCAGTCACAACTATTTAACCAGTCTCTAGGAAGTTCCAAATTTTCCCTCATATTCCTGTCTTCTGAGCCCTTCAAACTCTTCCAACTTCTGACCATTAACCAGTTCCAAAGCAGCTTTCACATTTTCAGGTATCTTTATAGTAATGTCTCACTCCTCTGTACCAATTTTCCTTATTAGTTTTTTCTCACATTTCTATAAAGAACCACCTGAGACTGGGTAATTTATAAAGAAAAGAGGTTTAATTGGCTCATTGTTCTGAAGACTGTACATGAAGTATACCAACTTCTGCTTTGGTGGAGGCCTCAGGAAATTTACAATCGTGGTGGAAGGCAATGGGGAAGCAGGCATGTCTTACATGGCTGGAGCAGAAGGAAGAGAGTTGGGTAGGTGCCACAAACTTTTAAACAACCATATCTCACAAGAACTCACTATCATGAAAACAGCACCAAGAGGGAGATCCACCCCCATGACCCAATCATATCCTACCAGGCCCTGCTGCCAACATTGGGGATTATAATTCAACATGAAATGTGAGTGAGGACACAGATCTAAGCCATATCAATAAATATGCTGACTAATAGACTTATGGCTTACCTAAATATGAAGTGTCATGGAAAAAAGATAGCTAGAGATGATATATTTGTCACAGACAATCCACAATGTGTGTATTCACATGTGGATACTATTTTTAATTGTATTTTTAAATAAAAACATTGCCTTCCTCTTCTGAAAATTATTGGTAAATTAGAAATATCATGATATCATTCCTGTTATTCCATACATACTATTGTATATATATCTCAAATGGCCTTTTCCATATCCATTGGTGTCTCTTTTTCAGACAAGAAACAAGAAAAATATGCTTTCCCACAGAGAGCTTAAGATCACAAATCACCACTAAACACTTAACTCATGTAACAAAACACCACCTGTTCCCCAATAAGCTTTGGAAATAAATGAAAAATAAACATAAATAAAAATATCAAAAAAGACTACCTTGTCTTTTCGATTTCTAATTTCTATTCCATTTTTCTCAAAGTAGTCTTACTGATTTTTCAACAACCCAACATTTGTTTAGCACCTACTAGATGGAAGGCACTGTGTTAGTGCTTGAGGATTACAAAAATAAATTTTAAAATTATCACTGTCTTTAAGGCCTATATATTCCAGTGATGACAAAGGTATTTATACAGAAACCATGTTTTTGTGGGGATACAAATAACCACAAAACAAGATTTAATATTTATAGCAGGTGAAAAAAAACATCTTCAAAGGAGCTGAAGATGCTTAGCTGAGCAGTGAAAATATGTAGAATCTGGACAGGTAGAAATGAGAAGTGAGAAAGCAAAAATGTTTGCCTGAAAAACTGACTAATTATAATGAACTAAATTTTAAGATTTAATTTTCCTTGTTTGCACGAGGCTAATGTATAATTTTGATGTATTGCTTTAACAAATATTGTAGAACTTGCATCTTTTCTCCTTATTTTGATTTGAAACATTTTTGACTTAGCCATACTGAGCACTCTAGCTTATGCAAATCTTTTAAAACTAGTTGTAATTTTCCATAATCATCCTACTGTTTCAAATATACCTATTCAGGTGAAATTCCAAAATTCATGCAAGTATGAGGAATAAATTATTTCTGATCAACCTAATCTGTCACATTCTCAAAAGGTCGGAACAGATTCCTTTATGGTAAATCCATTGACACATGAATCTAATCTAAATAAGATGAAAGAACTAATTTATATAGTAGCAGTTTACTTATGATGTTTTCAGGATTTGTTACAAAAATTATCTGTTAAATAAATTAAATAATTTAAGGTTTTATTGGATGACTAATACCCTGTAGGAATAAAGCAGTTCAACAATCCCCATTTTTCTGACCTCCCTCATCTGCATTCTGAAGGTCACTATTAACATACTGTCTTCAGCTCTCTGATGTCCTAGATATTCAAAAAGCATACCACAACCTCTTCTGCCAAACATGATCAAAGCTTTGAAGTCAATGAAAGAGTTTTAGAGCAAAACTTCCAAAAGCATCACAGACATTTTTTAGGATTTGTTACAAAGGGACTATAGAGAGGAAATATAGCTCACTGTGCATAATTTGCTATATTCTAGCCAAAGCTTCTGTATGGAATATCAACTTATTATTATAACTGTTACTTGAGAGGAAAGATTAGCAATAATTTTCATCCATGCCTTACATTATTCTTATAATTTTTTATAACATGTGCTGCCAAGAGGAAGAATTCTTACTGGATAAGAGACTAAGGCTCTACTTCATGAGACAGAGAAAGAGAAAGAGAGAGAGAGAGAGAAAAAAAAAACTCCCCATGAGACAATTATTAACATGATTTGGATATTTGTCCTTTCCAAATTTCATGTTGAAATGTAATCCCAGGCCAAGCATGGTGGCTTATGCCTGTAATCCCAATATTTTGTGAGGCTAAGGTAGGTGTACTGCTTGAGCTCAGGAGTTTGAGACCAACCTGGGCAACATGGCAAAACCCCATCTCTACCAAAAACAGAACAAATTAGCTGGGTGTGGTGGCACACACCTGTGGTTCCAGCTATTCAAGAGGCTGAGGTGGGAAGAGCACTTGAGACTTGAGCCTGGGAGGGAGAGATTGCAGTCAACACCACTGCACACCAACCTGGGTGACAGAGTGAGACCCCCGTCTCAAAACAATAAATAAATAAAACAGAAAAAAATAAAAAAGAACTGTACTCCCCATTGTTGGAGGTGAGGCCTCATGGGAAGTGTTTGGGTGTTTAAATCATGGAGCGTAGATCTCTCATTGCTTGAATTCTCACAAGATCTGGCTGTTGGAAAGTGTGTGGCACCTCCCTCCCCTCTGGCTCCTGCTCTCACCACATTATGTGACATGTCTGTTCCAGCTTCACCTTCCACTATGAGTAAAAGCTCCCTGAGTTCTCACCAGAAGCAGATGCGGGCACTATGCTTTCTGCAAAGCCTAAAGAACTGTGAGCCAATTAAACCTCATTTCTTGGTAAATCACCCAGCATCAGGCATTTCTTTATAGCAGTGCAAGAATGGCCTAATTCCGTTATACTTAAATAATACTAATAAAATTTACTGAGTAGTAATGATGTATCAGATATTGAGCTAAACAGCTTATCTCATACTTCAAACTTGAAGGCATCCTCATATAATAAAAAGATCTGACGTTTATAGTAATGAAAGTTTGAACTCAAAACTTGACTCTTAAATATCTGGGTATCTTGAATAAGTTGCATATCCTCTTTCAGTCTCCTCTTATCTTTGAATGAGGGACAATAATATCTAACAAATACTATGAATCTAAAACCTCTTGTATAGCACATAACACTTAATAGGGTCCTCAATAAATTCAAAACCTAAAAGTAGCAAAGAAATTTTATCCACGCTTGGAATAATATTGCCCTGATGTTTATCACTACCTAGCCCTAGTTTCCCCAATAAATTCAATTAGTCAGAAAACTGACTACAGATGACTTTTCATATACACAAATCTAGCATTGGGGACATATTGGCATTGAATCAACAGACAGAAATTATTAATACACGGCCTTGGTTATAGGTGACTAAGTCAGTTGACCTTCTGTTTGGATTCCCATGGTAGCTTTATATATATAAGTTAATTTATTCCTCCCTATTTTCCTGACCTCCCTCATCTGTAGTTTGAAGACCACTGGTATTGTCTTCAGCTACTCTGATGTCCTAAACATTCACAAGGCACACCGCAACCTTTTCTGCCAAACATGATCAAAGCTTTGAAGTCAATAAAAGTTTTTATAGACATTTCCTGACAGTTATCCTATGATGAGCAGTTAATGGGTTGTGGCTTCTGTACAATTACTGCTAACAATTATCAGTATGCCTGAATATGTTTGCTTTTGATCTGGATTCTTTCTGAATATGTTTACAGTCTCTCAAAAATGTTGTGTAGTGCTCTATGTTCAAAAATGTTGTATATCAGTCCTTAGATAGAGTTTTACCTTTTTTCCAGTTGCTTTTTGCTGGTGTGCAAAATGCAAATTGATATGTATATGCTAAATTTAATGCAAATTGTTATTTGAATGCTAAAATTTCTGAATTCATTTGCTAATTCTTACAGTTTATCAATAGATTCTTTTGGATTTTTCACATCTATAATCATGTTATCCAGGACAAATAATGAGTTATTTCTTCCTTTCCAAAACTTGGGCCATTTCTTGCTGGCTAGAATCTTCAGTACAATGTTAAATAGAAGAGTTATGACAGTGAGCACCCTGTATTTCACCTGATCTTATGGTGTAAATATCAAATATTTTACCATTAATCAGAAAGTGTATAATAAGAGTTTTGTAGATGTTCTTTAATAAATTAAATATATTTATTTCTATGTTTACTATGCTAACACTTTAATGTGAACGGATGATGAGTGGTGCCAAATGCTTTTTTCCTGCAGCTGTTGAGATAATCATATAATTTCTCCTTTCTTTCCTTAATATACTGGATTATATTGATTTCTGAATGTTGAAACAACCTGAAATAAAATCACCATTATCTAACTTGATTCAGTAATCAGCTAATATTATTTAGGATTTTTTGCATCTATGGTTGTGAGAGCTATTAACCTGTAACATTCCTTTCTTCTAACATCCTTGTCAGATTTTGTTGTCAAGATTGTACTACCCAGGAAATTTTAAAATATGTCTTTTTTTCCATTCTCCAACAGATCTTAGGTGAGGTTGGTGTTATTTTTATCTTAAATGTTTGGAATAATTTATTACTAAACTCATCTGCCCCTGGAATTTCCTATGTGGAAAAGTTTTTATTTTCAGGCATATTTCTTCACTAGACATAGGACTATTCAATTTGTATAATGCTGCTTGTGTATGTGTTTATAAATTTAATTTTGAAGTAACTTTACTGGTATATCAAAATTTTACAATTTATCTACTTACTTATTTTTAATTTTTTCCAGATATAGGGTGTCACTGTGATGCTCACGCTGGTCTAGAATTCCTGGCCTTAACTGACCCTCCTATCTGGGACTTCCAAAGCTTTGGGATTACACATATAACTCACTATGCCAGGCCAAACTTTTATAATTTAATGACATCATTTTGTTTTGTTTTGTTTTTTTCTTTCATTTTTATTATTTACTAGTTTCTTTTTTTTCTGTTTTTATTATACTTTAAGTTTTAGGGTACATGTGCACAACGTGCAGGTTTGTTACATATATAAACATGTGCCATGTTGGTTTGCTGCACCCATTAACTTGATATTTAACATTAGGTATATCTCCTAATGCTATCCTTCCCCCCTGCCCCCAACCCATGACAGGCCCCGGTGTGTGATGTTCCCCTTCCTGTGTCCATGTGTTCTCATTGTTCAATTCCCACCTATGAGTGAGAACATGTGGTGTTTGGTTTTTTGTCCTTGCGATAGTTTGCTGAGAGTGATGGTTTCCAGCTTCATCCATGTCCCTGCAAAGGACATGAACTCATCATTTTTTATGGCTGCATAGTATTCCATGGTGTATATGTGCCACATTTTCTTAAACCAGTCTATCATTGTTGGACATTTGGGTTGGTTCCAAGTCTTTGCTATTGTGAATAGTGCCACAATAAATATACGTGTGCACGTGTCTTTATAGCAGCATGATTTATAATCCTTTGGGTATATACCCAGTAATGGGATGGCTGGGTCAAATGGTATTTCTAGTTCTAGATCCTTGAGGAATCGCCACACTGACTTCCACAATGGTTGGACTAGTTTACAGTCCCACCAACAGTGTAAAAGTGTTTCTATTTCTCCACATCCTCTCCAGCACCTATTGTTTCCTGACTTTTTAATGATCGCCATTCTAAATGGTGTGAGATGGTATCTCATTGTGGTTTTGATTTGCATTTCTCTGATGGCCAGTGATGATGAGCATTCTTTCATGTGTCTGTTGGCTGCATAAATGTCTTCTTTTGAGAAGTGTCTGTTCATATCCTTTGCCCACTTGTTGATGAGGTTGTTTGTTTTTTTCTTGTAAATTTGTTTGAGTTCATCGTAGATTCTGGATATTAGCCCTTTGTCAGATGAGTAGATTGCAAAAATTTTCTCCCATTCTGTAGGTTGCCTGTTCACTCTGATGGTAGTTTCTTTTGCTGTGCAGAAGCTCTTTAGTTTAACTAGATCCCATTTGTCAATTTTGTCTTTTGTTGCCATTGCTTTTGGTGTTTTAGACATGAAGTCCTTGCCCATGCCTATGTCCTGAATGGTATTGCCTAGGTTTCCTTCTAGGGTTTTTATGGTTTTAGTTCTAACATTTAAGTCTTTAATCCATCTTGAATTAATTTTTGTATAAGGTGTAAGGAAGGGATCCAGTTTCAGTTTTCGACATAAGGCTAGCCAGTTTTCCCAGCACCATTTATTAAATAGGGAATCCTTTCCCCATTTCTTGTTTTTGTCAGGTTTGTCAAAGATCAGAGAGTTGTAGATATGTGGCATTATTTCTGAGGGCTCCGTTCTGTTCCATTGGTCTATATCTCTGTTTTGGTACCAGTACCATGCTGTTCTGGTTACTGTAGCCTTGTAGTATAGTTTGAAGTCAGGTAACATGATGCCTCCAGCTTTGTTCTTTTGACTTAGGATTGACTTGGCAATGCTGGCTCTTTGGTGGTTCCATATGAACTTTAAAGTAGTTTTTTTCCAATTCTGTGAAGAAAGTCATTGGTAACTTGATGGGGATGGCATTGAATCTATAAATTACCTTGGGCAGTATGGCCATTTTCATGATATTGATTCTTCCTACCCATGAACATGGAATGTTCTTCCATTTGTTTGTGTCCTCTTTTATTTCATTGAGCAGTGGTTTGTAGTGCTCCCTGAAGAGGTCCTTCACATCCCTTGTAAGTTGGATACCTAGGTATTTTATTCTCTTTGAAGCAGTTGTGAATGGGAGTTCACTCATGATTTGACTCTCCATTTGTCTGTTATTGATGCATAAGAATGCTTGTAATTTTTGCACATTGATTTCATATCCAGAAACTTTGCTGAAGTTACTTATCAGCTTAAGGAGATTTTGGGCTGAGACAATGGGGTTTTCTAGATATACAATCTTGTCATCTGCAAACAGGGACAATTTGACTTCCTCTTTTCCTAATGGAATACCCTTTATTTCTTTCTCCTGCCTGACTGCCCTGGCCAGAACTTCCAACACTATGTTGAATAGGAGTGGTGAGGGGGCATCCCTGTCTTGTGGCAGTTTTCAAAGGGAATGCTTCCAGTTTTTGCCCATTCAGTATGATATTGGCTGTGGGTTTGTCATAGATAGCTCTTATTATTTTGAGATACATCCCATCAATACCTAATTTATTGAGAGTTTTTGGCATGAAGGGCTGTTGAATTTTGTCAAAGGCCTTTTCTGCATCTATTGAGATAATCATGTGGTTTTTGTCATTGGTTCTGTTTATATGCTGGATTACATTTATTGATTTTCATATGTTGAACCAGCCTTGCAATGCAGGAATGAAGTCCTCTTGATCATGGTGGATAAGCTTCTTGATGTGCTGCTGGATTCGGTTTGCCGGTATTTTATTGAGGATTTTTGCATCGACGTTCATTGGGATATTGGTCTAAAATTCTCTTTTTTTGTTGTGTCTCTGCCAGGCTTTGGTATCAGGATGATGCTGGCCTCATGAAATGAGTTAGGGAGGTTTTCCTCTTTTTCTATTGATTGGAATAGTTTCAGAAGGAATGGTACCAGCTCTTCCTTATACCTCTGGTAGAATTTGGCTGTGAATCCGTCTGGTCCTGGACTTTTTTTTGGTTGGTAAGCTATTAATTATTGCCTCAATTTCAGAGCCTGTCATTGGTCTATTCAGATATTCAACTTCTTCCTGGTTTAGTCTTCGGAGAGTGTATGTGTTGAGGAATTTATCCATTTCTTCCAGATTTTCTTGTTTATTTGCATAGAGGTGTTTGTAGTATTCTCTGATGGTAGTTTGTATTTCTGTGGGATCGGTGGTGATATCCCCTTTATCATTTTTTATTGCGGCTATTTGATTCTTCTCTCTTTTTTTCTTTATTAGTCTTGCAAGCAGTCTGTCAATTTTGTTGATCTTTTCAAAAAACCAGCTCCTGGATTCATTGATTTTTTAAGGGTTTTTTGTGTCTCTATTTCCTTCAGTTCTGCTGTGATCTTAGTTATTTCTTGCCTTCTGCTAACTTTTGAATGTGTTTGCTCTTGCTTCTCTGGTTCTTTTAATTGTGATGTTAGTGTGTCAATTTTAGATCTTTCCTGCTTTCTCTTGTGGGCATTTAGTACTATAAGTTTCCCTCTACACACTGCTTTGAATGTGTCCCAGAGATTCTGGTATGTTGTGTCTTTGTTCTCACTAGTTTCAAAGAACTTCTTTATTTCTGCCTTCATTTCATTATGTACCCAGTAGTCATTCAGGAGCAGGTTGTTCAGTTTCCATGTAGTTGAGCAGTTTTGAGTGAGTTTCTTAATCCCGAGTTCTAGTTTGATTGCACTCTGGTCTGAGAGACAGTTTGTTATAATTTCTGTTCTTGAACATTTGCTGAGGAGTGCTTTACTTCCAACTATGTGGTCAATTTTGGAACAGGTGTGGTGTGGTGCTGAAAAGAATATATATTCTGTTGATTTGGGGTGAAGAGTTCTGTAGATGTCTATTAAGGCTGCTTGGTGCAGAGCTGAGTTCTATTCCTGGATATCCTTGTTAACTTTCTGTCTCACTGATGTGTCTAATGTTGACAGTGGGTTGTTAAAGTCTCCCATTATTATTGTGTGGGAGTCTAACTCTCTTTGTAGGTCTCTAAGGACTTGCTTTATGAATCTGGGTGCTCCTGTATTGGGTGCATATATATTTAGGAAAGTTAGCTCCTCTTGTTGAATTGATCCCTTTACCATTAAGTAATGGCCTTCTTTGTCTCTTTTGATCTTTGTTGGTTTAAAGTCTGTTTTATCAGAGACTAGGATTGCAATCCCTGCCTTTTTTTGTTTTCCATTTGCTTGGTAGATCTTCCTTCATCCCTTTATTTTGAGCCTACGTGTGTCTGTGCACATGAGATGGGTTTCCTGAATACAGCACACTGATGGGTCTTGACTCTTTATCCAATTTGCCAGTCTGTGTCTTTTAATTGGAGCATTTAGCCCATTTACATTTAAGGTTAATATTGTTATGTGTGAATTTGATCCTGTCATTATGATGTTAGCTGATTATTTTGCTTGTTAATTGTTGCAATTTCATCCTAGCATCAATGATCTTTATAATTTGGCATGTTTTTGCAGTGGCTGGTAGAAGTTTTTCCTTTCCATGTTTAGTGCCTCCTTCAAGAGCTCTTTTAGGGCAGGCCTGGTAGTGACAAAATCTCTCAGCATTTGCTTGTCTGTAAAGGATTTTATTTCTCCTTCACTTATGAAGCTTAGTTTGGCTGGATATGAAATTCTGGGTTGAAAATTCTTTTCTTTAAGAATGTTGAATATTGGCCCCCACTCTCTTCTGGCTTGTAGAGTTTCTGCTGAGAGATCAGCTGTTAGTCTGATGGGCTTCCCTTTGTGGGTAACCTGACCTTTCTCTCTGGCTGCCCTTAACATTTTTTCCTTCATTTCAACTTTGGTGAATCTGACAATTATGTGTCTTGGAGTTGCTGTTCTCAGTGAGTATCTTTGTGGCATTGTCTGTATTTCCTGAATTTGAATGTTGGCCTGCCTTTCTAGATTGGGGAAGTTCTCCTGGATAATATCCTGCAGAGTGTTTTCCAACTTGGTTCCATTCTCCCTGTCACTTTCAGGTACACCAATCAGACGTAGCTTTGGTCTTTTCACAGTCCCATATTTCTTGGAGGCTTTGTTCATTTCTTTTTATTCTTTTTTCTCTAAACTTCTCTTCTTGCTTCATTTCATTCATTTGATCTTCCATCACTGATACCCTTTCTTCCAGTTGATTGAATCGGCTAATGAGGCTTGTGCATTTGTCATGTAGTTCTTGTGCCTCGGTTTTCAGCTCTGTCAGGTAGTTAAAGGACTTCTCTGTATTGGTTATTCTAGTTAGCCATTCATTTAATCTTTTTCCAAGGTTTTTAACTTCTTTGCCATGGGTTCAAACTTCCTCCTTTAGCATGAAGTAGTTTGATTGTCTGAAGCCTTCTTCTCTCAACTTGTCAAAGTTATTCTCCATCCAGCTTTGTTCCGTTGCTGGTGAGGAGCTGCATTCCTTTGGAGGAGGAGAGGCACTCTGAGTTTTAGAATTTTCAGTTTCTTTGCTCTGTTTTTTCGCTTTGTTTTTTCCCCATCTTTGTGGTTTTATCTACCTTTGGTCTTTGATGATGGTGATGTACAGATGGGGTTTTGGTGTGGATGTCCTTTCTGTTTGTTAGTTTTCCTTCTAACAGTCAGGACCCTCAGCTGCAGGTCTGTTGGAGTTTGCTGGAGGTCCACTCCAGACCCTGTTTGCCTGGGTATCAGCAGCAGAGGCTGCAGAACAGCAGATATTGGTGAACAACAAATGTTGCTGCCTGATCATTCCTCTGGAAGTTTTGTCTCAGAGGAGTACCCGGCCGTGTGAGGTGTCAGTCTGCCCCTACTGGGGAGTGCCTCCCAGTTAGGCTACTCAGGGGTCAGGGACACACTTGAGGAGTCTGTCCGTTCTCTGATCTCAAGGTGCATGCTGGGAGAACCACTACTCTCTTCAAAGCTGTCAGACAGGGTCATTTAAGTCTGCAGAAGTTTCTGCTGCCTTTTGTTTGGCTATGCCCTGCCCCCAGAGGTGGAGTCTACAGAGGCAGGCAGGCCTCCTTGAGCTGTGGTGGGCTCCACCCAGTTGGAGTGCCCTGGCCGCTTTGTTTATCTACTCAAGCCTGGGCAATGGCAGGCACCCCTCTCCCAGCCTCGCTGCCGCCTTGCAGTTTGATCTCAGACTGCTGTGCTAGCAATGAGTGAGGCTCCGTGGGTGTCAGAGCCTCTGAGCCAGGCACAGGATATAATCTCCTGATGCTAAGGATATAATCTCCGTTTGCTAAGACCATCGGAAAAGTGCAGTATTAGGGTGGGAGTGACCCGATATTCCAGGTGCCGTCTGTCACCCCTTTCCTTGGCTAGGAAAGGGAATTCCCTCACCCCTTTTACTTCCCGGGTGAGGTGATGCCTCACCCTGCTTCAGCTCAGGCTCAGTGCACTGCACCCACTGTCCTGCACCCACTGTCTGACAATCCCCAGTGAGATGCACCTGGTAGCTCAGTTGTAAATGCAGAAATCATTCGTCTTCTGCATTGCTCACACTGGGAGCTGTAGACTAGAGCTGTTCCTATTTGGCCATCTTGGCTCTACCCTTATTTTCTAGTTTCTAAAGAGAGTTTATTCCAAGCAGAAAGGTTGAGATGGTCCCACATGGGAAGCACAGATTCCTAAGAATGAAAATCAGTGTTCCAAAGTGTAGAGGTGTGGGGTTACTTATATAGAGAATGTTTAGAAAATCTTACCAGAATTTCAACATGTTTCTAAGTAAAGATTAATGCTTAGTTACAATGATCTGATTAGTAGAAGAGATCATTTTTTTTGAGGGATGGTATATTTAACATTTCATACGGAAGATGTAACTGTCACAGGGTTTAAGGGACAGAAATGCAGGAATCTTACATGAATACATTGCATAGTGGTGAAGTTTGCTTTTACTGTACCCATCACCCCAACAGATAGTTTTCAAATCCTCATCCCCATCCCACTCTCCCACCTTTGGTAGTCTCCAATGTCTATTATCCACTCTGTATGGCCATGTGTACCCAGTGCTTGGCTCCCACTTGTAAGGGAGAACATGTGGTATTTGACTTTCTGAATTATTTCACTAAGGATAATGACCTCCAGTTCCACCCATGTTGTTGCTAAAAACATGATTTCATTCTTTTTTATGGCTGAGTAGTATTCCATGGTGTGTGTATATCATATGTATTTATGTCACATGTATATATCACTATATTTCATATATATACATATACATATACACACCACATTTTCTTTATCCAGTCCTCTGTTGATAGCTACTTAAGTTGATTCCTTATCTTTGCTACTGTAAATAGTGCTGTGATAAACAAGGTGCAGGTATCTTTTTTATATAATGATTTATTTCTCTTTGGGTATATACCCAGAGGTTAAATTGCCGGATCAAATGGTAGTTATATTTTCTGTTATTTGAAAAATCTCCATTCTGTTTTCCATAAATGTTTCACTAATTTGCATTCCCACCAGTAGTGTATAAGTGTTCCCTTTTCTCCACATCGTTGCCAACATCTTTTGTTTTTAGACTTTTTAATGATAGCAATTCTGACTAGTATAAGATGGTATCTCATTGTGGTCTCTGATGATTAGTGATGCTAAGGATTTGTCAATATGTTTTTTGGCAGCTTATATGTCTTCTTTTGAAAAAATGTTCACATCTTTTGCTTACTTTTTAATAGAGTTTTTTGTTTATCTCTTGTTGATTTGTTTGAGATCCTCGTAAATTCTAGATATTAGCCCTTTGTCAGATGCATAGTTTGGAAGTTTCTTCCCATTTGTCTGTTTACTCTGTTGATTCTTTTTGCTTTGGAGAAGGTTTTTGTTTAATTAAATCCCATTTGTTTATTTTTGTTTTGTTGTGTTTGCTTTTGAGGACTTACTCATAAATTCTTTTCCTAGGCAAATGTCAAAAAGCGTTTTTCCTAGGTTTTCTTCTAGAATTTTATATCTTCAAGTTATACATTTAGCTCTTTAATCCATCTTGGCTTAACTCTTGTATATGGTGAGAGATATGGGTCCAGTTTCATTTTTCTCCACATGGCTTCTAATTTTCCCAGCATCACTTATTGAATAGGGTATCCTTTCCCCAGTGTATATTTTTGTTGAGTTTGTTGAAGATCAATTTGCTGTAGGCATGTGGCTTTATTTCTGCATTCTCTATATGGTTCCATTGGTCTCTGTGTCTATTTTTATACCAGTACCATGATTTTTTGCTTACGATATCCTTGTAGTATAATTTGAAGTCAGATAGTGTGTTGCCTCAAGTTTTGTTCTTTTTGCTTAAGATTGCTTTGGTTATTCAGGCTTTTTTAAAATTCCATATGAATTTTAGTATTGTTCTTACTGATTCTGTGAAAAATGACCTTGGTAATTTGATAGGAACTGCATTGAATCTGTAGGTTGCTTCAGGCAGTATGGTCATTATAACACTATTCACTCTTCCCGTCCATGAGCATGGAATGTTTTTCCATTTGTTTGCGTCATGCAAGATTACTTTCATCAGTGTTTCGTAGTTCACCTTATACAAACCTTTCACTGCCTTGGTTAAATATATTCTTAGGTATTTTTTTGTAGCTATTGTGAACAGGTTACCTTCTTGATTTGGCTCCTGGCTAGATCATTATTGTTATATTGAAATGCTACTAATTTCTGTACATTAATTTTATATCCTGAAACTTTACTAAATTTATTTCTCAAATTTTTGAGTTTTTTGGTTGAGTCTTTAGGGTTTTCTACATGTAAGATCATATAATCAATGAGAATAGATAATTTGACTAACTTTGTTCCAAACCGGATGCTTTTTATCTTTTTCCTTTTCTTTATTGCTCTAGTAAGGACTTCCAGTACTGTACTGTATAACAGTGGTGAAAGTGGACAACCTTGTCTTGTTCCACTTTTTGGAATGCTTTCAACTTTTCCCTGCAAGTATGATGTGGCCATGGGTCTGTCCTAAACAGCCTTTATTATGTTGAGATATGTTCCATTTATGCCTAAGTTGCTGAGAATTTTTATCATGAAAGGATGCTGAATTATATTGAAACTTTTTTCTATTTCCATTGAAATGATCCTAAGTATTTTGTCCTTAATTCTATGTGATGCATCACATTTATTGATTGAATGGATGGTTTGTTTATTCATTGAAGGATGGTTGAACCATCCTTGCATCCTTGGGACAAATCTCACCTGATCATGATGTATTATCTGTTTGATGTGCTGTTGGATTTTACTTGCTAGTATTTTATTGAGGGTTTTTGTATCTATGTTCACTAGGGATATTGGTCTGTAGTATTGTTTCCTTGTTGTGTCCTTGTCTGGTTTGGGTATCATTGTGGTACTGGACTTGTACAATGGTGAGGGAGAATTTCACTTTCCTTGATTTTTTGGAATAGTTTCAGGAGGACTGATATTCATTGTATGTCTGGTAGAATTTGGCTGTGAATCCATCTGGTATTGGGCTTTATTTTGGTTGGGAAATGTTCAACTCATCACTCATTACTGGTCTATTCAGGAGTTCTATTTCTTCCTAGTTCAATATCAGGCAGTTATGTGTTTCCAGGAATTTATCCATTTCCTCTAAGTTTTGTTGTTTGTGAGACTATAGTTGTTCATATTGTATCTGATGATCTTTTGTATTTTTGTGGTATCAGTTGTAATGTCTACTTCTTCATTTCTGGTTGTATTTATTTGGCTCTTCTTTCCTTGGTTAGTTTAGCTAGTAGTTTATTAACTTTTTTATCTTTTCAAAGACTCAACTGCTCATTTCATTGATTCTTTGTATTCTTTAAATCTGAATTTCATTTCATTCTGCTCTGATCTTTGTTATTTCCTTTTTTCTGCTAACTTTGGGTTTGGTTTGTTCTTTTTTTAGTTTCTTGAGGTGCAATTTAAGTTATTAACTTGTGATCTTTCTACTTTTTTGATGTAGGCTTTTAATGCTATAAACTTTCCTCTTAGCACTGCTTTTGCTGTATCCCACAGGTTTTGGTATGTTGTGTTTCCATTTTCATTTACTTCAAAAAATTTTTAAATTTCCAACTATACCTCTTCATTGACACAGTGATCATTCAGGCATGCCGTTTAATTTCCATGTACGTGTATATTTACCAGACTGCGTTGGCATTGATTTCTGACTTTATTCCAGTGTAATCTGAGTAAGTACTTGATATGATTTTGATTTTTTACAATCTGTTAATACTTATTTTTGGCCTAATATTTGGTCTATCTTAGAGAATATTCCATGCGATTGTGAAAATAATGCATATTCTCTATTTATTAGGTAGAATGTTTTATAAATGTCTATTAAGTCAATTTGTTCTGAAGTCCAATTTAAGGCCAATGTTTCTTTGTTAAGTTTCTACCTCAATGATCTGTCTAGTGCTGTTAGTGGGATATTAAAACTCTCTACTGTTATTGCATTGCTGTCTGTCTCTTTCTTTTGGTCTAGTAATATTTGTTTGGTAAATATAGGTGCTCCAATGTTGTATGCATATATACTTAGGATCGTTATATCCTCTTGCTGAATTGATCCCTTTATCATTACATAATGGCCTCCTTCATCTTCTTTCTTTACTGTTTTTGATTTAAAGTCTGCTTTATCTGATATAAGCATAGCTACTCCTACTCACTTTTGGTTGGTTTGTGTAGAATATCTTTTTTCACCCCTTTACTTTCCGTCTAATTCAGTAAGGTGAATTTCTTGTACCATATAGTTTTCATCCCTTTACTTTCAGTCTAATTCAGCAAGGTGAATTTCTTGTACCATATAGTTGGATTGTGGGCTTTTTGTCTATTCTGCCAATCTTTATCTTTTAAGTGCAGCATTTTATTCATTTACATTCAAGGTTAATATTGATATGTGAGGCTTTGTTTCTGGCTTATTATTGATTGATTTCAAGTTGTTTTAAACAATTCTTTTTTTTTCTTTTTGTCTTTGTGGTTTAATGAAATTCTGTGGTATCTTTGACATCTTTCTATTCCTCTTTTGTGTGATTGTTTTATACAAACTGTAAGTTGTATATTGCCATGTGTTTTCATGGTGGTGAATATTAACCTTTCATTTCTTGCTTAAGGACTCTTTGAGCATTTACTATAGGTCTAGTCTAGAGTCTAGTAGTGGCAAGTTTTCTCAGTTCTTTCTTGTCTGAGAATGACTTAAATTATCCTTCATTTATAAAGCTTATTCTGGCAGGATACAAAATCATTGGCTGGAAGTTTTTCTTTCAGTATTTTGAAAGTGCCATCTCATTCTCTTCTGGCCTGTAATACTTTTGCTGAAGAGTCCACAGTTAGTTTGATGGGATTTCCTTTATAGTTGACTTGATATTTTTCTCTTGCTAATTTTAAAACTCTTTATTTCACTTGGACTTTAGACATTCTGAGTATAATATGCCATGGTGAGGTCCTTTGTGCAATGTATTTTCCTTGGGGTTGCTGTGTCCCCTGTATCTAGATGCCTAACTTTCTTGATAGATGAGAAATTTTCATTATTTTCTTAAATATGTTTTCTAAACTTTTTGATCCCTCTTCACTTTTGGCAATACCAATAATTAGTAAATTTGGTCACTTTATCTGGTCCCAGATGTCTGAAAGCTTTGTTCATTCATTTTTTATTCTGTTTCTCTTATTTTTGTCTGACAGGATTATTTTGAAAGTCTTGTCTTCAAGTTCTGAGATGCTTCTTCTTGGTCTAGTCTATTATTGAAACTTTTGGATATATTTTTTATTTCTTTCAATGAATTTTTTAATTCCAGAATTTCTATTCTATTTGTTTTTATGATGTTCATCTCCTTGGTAAATTTCTCATTAATATCCTGGATTGATTTTCTGATTTCTTTGTATTGATTTTCAGGTTTATCTTGCATCTCATTGAGATTCTTTAAGATCAGTATTTTGAATTCTTTATCTGAACTTTTAAAGAGGAATTATTTTTGATTGGGATCTGTTATTGGATAATTTTGGTCCTTTGATGGTATCATATTTCCCTGATTTTTCATGTTTCCTGTGTCCCTCCATTGATTTTGGTGCATCTTGTATAGCAGTCACTTTTTCCAAGTTTTTGAAATTGCTTTCATAGGGGAGAATTTTTTCCTGAGGATGTGTATATGTTGTTGATTCAGTTAAGATACTGTGGCTTTGATTTTGGGTGCTCATGGTAGTGTGATCTTTGTATGAATATTTTGGCAGTACACAGGGCAGTGGTCTCTGTGATTTCCTCAGTGACTAAGGGTACAGCTAATAGTTGAGTTTGTGGTGGAATTAAGCTAGTGACCTGGACACCAACTAAATCAGTCTTCAGGCTCTGGTGGTAGTAGCAGTGGGGTCCTTTCAGGCCCCAGAGCAACTTACACTGGCTCTAGTGTTTGTGAGTCTGGGAGGACTGATTCTTGAGCCTTCACGTGGCTTGCTTAGAAATTAATAGTAAGAGCAGTGGTCCCAGTGTGTGGGTGGGTTCTTAGGACCCTTGGTAGCTAATGTGGTATGGGTGATGGTAGTAGCAATGGTGGTGCAACCCACTGGGACCCAAGCAACGCATGTTGTTGTTGCTGGAAGCTGTGATGGGTTGGGTGGGCTAGTCTCCAGTCCCACAGCCACCTGTAGCAGGGCAGTAAGCATTGTCCTAACTGTGCTTAGGAGAGCTTTGTCTCACTTATCCCTTTCCCAGCTGGGTGGCAGCTGCAACTATGTCACCTCAAACTTGGCCCAAGGTTGGGGCACAGCCCAGTATTAAGTTCTCAGAATGGCACTCTGGGCCTGTGACCAGGGAGTGTAAGGTCCCTTCAGGCAAGAAGCATGGGCAAGAAGCTATGGGAAAAGCAGTTTACTTGAGTCTTGGTCTTACAGCAGCCCGTAGTAGGGTACTGGGTATTGACCTAGATGTGCATTGGGAAGCCTGGCTTTCCTATACCTCTTTAACTGGGCATTAGCTGAAGCCATGTCAAGTCAAACTCATCTCAAGGGCAGGGGACAACCAAGCATTAAACTCTCAAAATGGCACCTTGAGTCTATAGTCAGGGAGGGTGGGTCTCCTCCCATGCAGGCAGTGTGGGCATGAAGCTGTGGAGAATACAGTCCACTTGTGTCTCAATCTCACAGCAGCCTGTTGCAGGGAAGTAAATATTGTCTTAGATATACATAGGATACCTTTGTCTTCTTGTTCCTCCTTGGCCAGATGGCAGCTACAACCACATCAGCCTGAACTCAGGCCTAAGGTGACATATGGCTCAGCCTTAAACTCTCAAAATGGCACTCACCCTGGGCCTGGGACCCAGGGTGGGCAGAGTACCTTCCAGTCTAGCAGTATGGGCAAGAAGCTATGGGGAATATGGTCCACTTACATCTCAGTCTCACAGCAGCCCACAGCAGGGCAGCAAGCACCCTCCTAGGGGTGCATGGGAGTGCCCAGCCTCTTCTTTCTCTTGTTGGAGCAGTGCAGTAGCCCCAGCCATGTTTGTAGATCTCCAGTATCTAGGCTCTCAAGATAGCTCCCAGCTGAGGCTGCTCCAAGCTCAGGTGCCTGTGAAATTTTGCATGGGTTCTCTTTCTGGAGAAACATCTCTTTGCAATCTTTAGCCAGCTCTGTATGTCAAGCCCAAGGCCCTAACGAGTTAAGGGTTTCTTTGGTGGCCATGATAGTAAAAGCTGATTTTGGAACCCCGGGGGTTTCTCTTTTACTATTTCCCCATGTCCAGGAGGCTCTCCTAACTTTTAGCTGGTTCCTGGCTGGGCAAGCTGTCTTGCTCTCTCTTTACCTATTTCGGGTGCTTCTTGTCACTGCTCTGGGGAATCCTAGCATTGTGCCCTATATGATCTGTTTAAAATGTGAGTATCTGCCAACTATTCTGATATCTACTTACTATCCTGGTTCCTCTCCTAGGAGGAGGCACATATTACCTATGTCTAGCTGGCCATCTTTATATGATGCACAGTGAGTTTCATGGATATGCACCCAGAGCAGGTCCCCATCTACCAGCCAGTTGTCACTATTTTTAACTGTCACTTTAATTTCCCTAGAATCTAATAATGCTGCCCTCACTTTTATTCCTGTGTTTTGTGCTAACATTTAATCTTCATAACCACCTTATATAATAGGTATTATTTTCCATTTTTATAGAAAAGCAAACAAATCACAAAGAGCTAAGAAGCTGCCCAAGTTTACTTGGATATTGAGCACAAAGTCAGGACTCAGAGCAAGGTCTGTAGCCTCAAAAGCCTCTATTCTATACAACCATGCCATACTCACTTAGAACCGTAATATGGAGCAAAGCCACTAGGTGGAACCCCATAAAATCTGCGCTTGCCACAGGCCCAACATTAATCACTTTAGTCCATCGGATGCTGATGCTGGAAAGGATGAAGCAAATCAGTGATCCTACCCCTTCATTCTCACAGAGGAGAAATCTGAGAACTAGCTAAGGAAGAGAATTGCCTAGGTCACACATTGATTTAGTAACATGCCCCAAATCAGCACCCAGAGTGTGTATTGCCGTAGGTCTTTGCATTTGCCACAGTTATTGTTTTTCTTCCATGGTTATAAACAGAAAAGATGTACAGCTTACATAAAATCAGGAGAAATATCTGATCCATCTTTTCTATGGCAAGACAAAGCAGGGTTGGAAAACGTTAATTAGCTTGTGAACACACACTCTCAGCCAGAGGAAGTGTGCTTCATAGTCAAGGCTCACAACAGTGTGCATTAGAATAAAAGTATCTATGTTTCCTCTTCTAGATCATCAAAGGGTTTTTACATCACTTGCCTACTGCAACTAAATGCCAGGGCTTGGGCATACTGAGGGGAAAAGGCTGTCTAGTTTTTCTGCTCACAAATGTTGTGGTCGGAGGCAAGTTTTCTGCTCACTGCTTCCACGGAGTAAAATGGTACCATCTGCTGTGCCTAATGGGCACAATCAGAGTGCGGAGTTATGGGGTCTTGAGATGAGATGATTGTAAGAAAAAAACTGATTATGACAGACGATCATTGATAGCTTTGCTGTCCCTTCAGTTCTATCATAACCCCTTTTACACAATGACAACCTGCTACCATGCCACTGTCCTAGAAGGGAATCTCACAATTGCATGCAGCAATCTCAAAAATAGAAATGATACAACAAATAAGGATGGTTATATTGTTGAAAATAACGCTGTTCAAAAATTGTTTAAAACAGTTAGCTTTTTCTATGCTATCTCATTCCTCCCAGCTAGATTTACCTTTAAAAGAACACTAAATGAGACTTTATCCTCACAGCTGAAAAAATCTGGTCTTCTGATAGAAAGCTTTTGTGTCAGTTAATATATTTATACAAAAGGTAGAGTAGCTAGAAATAGAGGTGCTCCATATATAAAGATTAATTAAACTTCTAGAATTTTCATTGCTAAATTTGTAAATTCAAAATAAAAACATAAATCACTTTTATAAAAAAAAGGGAAAGAAATGTCTTACAACCTTTACAGAAAAGGATATAAGAATTAACTTACTATTTATTGCAACCAAATCTGTGAGTTGGGTAATATTATTCCAATGTTTCAGAAAAAAAAGTTAAGAACAACAAAAAATAAATTGTACAACGGGTAAATGTCAGAGCTGGAATTCTGTATTTGATCTTTTTTGGCTCCAAAGCCTGTCATTCGAACCACTACACACTTAGGGTCACTATTAGGCCCTGTATTCTACCTCTTTTTCATTTTTAAAGAAATAACTGGCAAAAATTTCTCATAGTGGCGTATTATATAGAATTGTTTTCTTTTACCTTTAATTTTCTAACAACAGACATAAAAACAAAACAGGAGAAAAATACACAATATTGTTGCTAAAACAGTGAATGCTGTAGAACAAAATGATAGGTGATATGTGTGTGTATATATCCTTCTTTCTCTTCTTTTCCATATGTAGTTACATTATTTTAAAACTTAAAGAAGAGTATTAAGGAGACGGGACAGAAGTTAATATAAAAATACTTAAGAATTCTGAAAAAGCCGGCAACTTTTCTTTCTACCTTGTGATAAGTCTGAGATGACACCCTTTGACACCGTTTTCCTCCTCCCTATCCATTCTCAGTATCTAGAGCCCTGACATCACACACACACACACACACACACACACACACACACACACACACAATATTGCCACATTTCCTACTTTCTCTTTGATAATACCCATTCAAACTGAGCTTTGCACCTCTAGAATTGGTTCTCCTGGTTCCTGGAGTCCCTCCTGCTGTGAGATTTGCTCTGACTCTGGACTATCCCTGCCTGCTTACTACCTACCCTCCTTTTCTTACACTTTTCTCACCAATAATTAAGGAACACATGCATTTTTCTAAACAAACCAAAATATGCTGTAGCTCTGTGCCTTAGTACAAGCTTCCCCTCAGAAAAATCCTTTCCACTTAGTTACCTCAAACTACTTACCTTTTAGGTATGTCCTCCATCCTGGGGCCTTCCCTACATTACACTCTCACTCCCCAGTGGTTGCTTGTTCCATCCTTAAGTCTGTGTACTCTTTTCCTGCCCCTCCTTTAGATTTGCCATTTTATAATACAAATATTTGTTCATATTTATCTATTCCTTTGGTCTATGAGATCCTTAAAAGCAGAGATCTGGTCTTGTTTGACTTTATAACTTCATATCCTAGCATAGTACCTTCATAAAGTAGCTATTCAATAGTAGTAATAATAATGTCAATGATGATGATGACAACGACGATGAAGAATGGATGGATGGATGGATGGATAGATTAATGGATCAACAATGAAACAGATCAATAAATGAAACGATATACATAAGCAGTAGGTGAGATGTTTGAAATTCCACCAACAAAAAACCGACTATGAGGCCTGGTATAGTTTGTGTGCAAATCCTCTGTCTTGTCTTCTTGGCTGTGAAATCTGTCTGGGGTGGCTACTCCAACAGTGTCTCCAGCCCTGCTTTCTACTAAAGTACAAGCCTGTTAGAAGTTGCTCCATGCATAGAAAGACCTCACAATGTCGGATCCTGGATTCTGCTTCTCAATCTGCCTTAAATTAGGCTGTAACCTTGGCCAAGTTGCTGTAATTTTCCTAAGAAAATTCTGTTTCTTCATCTAAAATGGGAATAGTAACCCATGCCCACATTTCCACCCCATGTGAGGTATTATGAAGGTGTGATACATGACAGGCTTGCAAACAATAAAGTGTGATGCAAATTTAAGGGCTATTACTAAATGTCGTTTCTCTTCTTATGTATACGGTCCTGAATTTACTCTCAGGTGAATTTTTTTTTTTCATGTCAGCTATAACATACTGATTTCTAACTCCTGGTAATTCCATAGGATTTGCTGGTGAGGAGGCAGAGTATACTGTGCTAAGAACGTGGACATTTGATTTAGATTTTCATATAAATCTTAGCTTCATTATTTATTAGCTACACGATTTTGAAAGTTTATACAACATTTTTGCTCCTTAATTTCCTCATCTCCAAAACAGGAATATTAATGCATTTCTTACTGGTTCAACATAAAAACTAAATATGATAATCTAATGTTACAGTATATATAAGCTCCTTGTACATACATAGTAGGTACTTTGTAGAGTGGAGTACTGAATAGAGAGGAGATGTCTAAGGACTGCACAAACTCAAATTCTGATGGTAAAGACTGTTTCCAGTTGACTGAGGTTAAAAATAATATAAAATGACAAACTTTAACTCTTCCCAGAAAATTAACTAGAATTAACTTAAGAAATCCAGGAAGAGTCAGTCCTATTCTTGAAATTTGAGATCAGCCATTGCTTCCAAATATTCATGTATCACAGCCATAATCTTTGTTAATATTAAGTATTATCCAGACTATTACTTTTTTAAATGATTAAAGTTAGATGTTGTTTAGCAATATCCTCCATAAAATCACAGGTCTGATATGCTGGTTAAATTTATTCTGATATATATGAGAATAAATATTTTGCCTAAAACACATAATAATACAGAACCACCACCAAAAGTAAGAAAATAGAAAAAAAGTTGTATGCTACCTAAATGGTTTAGAGAATTCTTCATTGCAAGCTTCTTTCTACAAATGTTTATGCCCTTAAATCTTGCTCACAATTTTGTCATTAACTGGATTTAAAATAGCTACAAGGAATGAAATAACACTATGGCTTGAAGTGTTTAAAATCAGTTTTTAAATTTGTATTACACAAAGAGTAAGTTTTTGCTTGCTCAGAATATCAAATTTCTATTGTATAGGGCTTCTACCTCAAGCAAGTACCTGGCAAATCATTGGCATCTATAGGATATTGGTAGATGGGATGCATGGAGGATAGAAATTCATCTTATGCTTATTTGCATTTAAAGCCACAAAGACTCTCTGCATGTTAATTTAATCACTAATTCATCAAATAGCCAATTAAACTAGAAGATTCAATTCCATCTGAGAAGTGAACTAACAGAGGCTTATGAAGAGTAACAAGGGGCACCAAGTAAAAGTATCTTACCTACCCAGCAAGGGGGAAACTTGGTAAGAGACAGGAATCTTATTTAACTTTCTTGTAACCCATTGTACCTTGATTATCTATATTTTTGAGAACTTTACTTCAGACCTTAACAAACTTAGGAAACTGGAGTTTCCTAACTGGCTTCCTACATGGCTGCTATTTATTCTTCATTTATTCATTGGATAAATATTGACTGAGCCCTTACTATGTGCCAGGCACTGTGCTGGAACTCTGATCAAGCTACCACCCACTCCATCCCCTCCCTGTGGCCTCTGGCTGGAGTCCACATTTCTTTTCTTGGCATTCAGGGCCCATGTTCATCTGGCCCTGCTCATCTCCTGACCACTCCTTTTCCAGCACTTCCTATTCCAGCCCCTGCACTGCTTGCTTCTCCGATGCCCTGTATTTGTGGCCCTTGCAGCCTTTGCATAGATGCATATCTTTCTTTACCTGGCTCTCTCCTCCCAGCCTGTTCTAAAGTCATCTCTTCTAGGAAAAGGAGACTGTGAAATAGCTGGAATCCTCAAGGATATCTACTGATATTCTTTAAGAAAAAAACCTAAATAGTGGTTTATGTTATGTATCTACGCCAAAACAATAACAAAAAAGGAAAATATATTTTACAAGGTTAAAGTGGTCATTTCTAATTAGTAGAAAATAGATATTTTTAATCTGTATTTTCTAAAATGTTCTTTGATTACCATCTAATTTTATACTGGGAAAAAATAAACATTTTTAATAGGGAAGGGGAGAAGGGAAAAAGAGAAGCAGCAAAGAAGGGAAAAGGATTTTTTAAAAAGACAGTATAGAAGCATTGAACAAATTTCACAATGTTAAATAAGCTACCCATCAGCTTAGTGAGCTTGCCTTTATTCGTCTATAATAAAAATCACCCTCATGTTTCCCATTTATAGCTAAACTCAGTTAATTACAGCATTGTTTGTGGTTGCTTCTGGGCAGAGTCAATACAGGTAACTAGATCCTTTACAGTCTTTAGAAAGTTACTTTCATTCCCTGTGAAATATCAATATCTGGTGCAGTGTGCATTAGTAAGGAGATCCAGTGAGTAATAATATGATCCTAAGGTTGGTGAAGTGAAAAACAGAGGCAATTAGAAAGATAACTCAGGCAGAGTTTCTTGCCCCTGAATAACCAAGAGCAATCATTTTTGTCAGACTTATTTAGAAAAAGATCTCAATTCTGAGGTTTAGCAAAGCCAGGAGCATTAGAGAATCATACTCTCTTGGAGGTGGATAAACCCTTAGAAGTTGTCAAATTTTGTCCTAGTAGTGAAAGCTTTTGTTCAGATCAATTTAAAAATAGAAGCTTGGTACAGTAACTTTTGGGTAGCATGACAAAGTACAGTTGACCCTTGAACAACACAAGTTTAAACTGTTAGGGTCCACTTATATGCATATTTTCTTCTGCCTCTGCTACCCCTGAGATGGCAAGACTAACTCCTCCTCTTTCTTCTTCTCCTCAGCCCACTCGTCATGAAGACCTATATGATGATCCACTTTCACGTAAGAAAACTAAATATTTTTTCTCTTCCTTATGATTTTCCTAATATTTTTTTTCTCTAATGCACTTTATTGTCAGAATATAGTATACAATACATATAACACAAAAAGTGTTAGTTGGCTGTTTATGTTATTAGTAAGGCTTCCAGTCAACAATAGGCTATTGAAGAGTCAAAATTATACATGAATTTTCAACTGTGCGGGGAGTTGGTGCTTCTATCTCAACTTGTTCAAGGGTTAATTTTAGAAAGAACAGGACTCACTGACTTAGATAAATCCAGGCTTGAATTCCAATTTCATCCTTAAGCAAGTAACTTGTCCTAACTGAAGCTCTCTGTTTTCTTGTGACTAAAACACGGATAATAAATTCTACCTCAAAGACTGGTTGTGATAACAAATGAAATGCAGCCTGGATTTAGTATTACCAGCCTGGTGCTATTACTATGTAGGGGCTGCAGTTTTTTAGCCCTCCCCAAATTAAATACTAGGAAAATGAGTTTGCTCCTTGGAAATTAAAATTAGAGCTAACATATGCAAAATCACTGAACAAGTCTGAATAATTTACAGTCCAGTAGAACTGATTTGTATTTGATGGAATTTATTAGCATTTTAAGAAGGAATATGAGACTTAGAAGGAGGAGTTGAGAATCTCAAAGGCATTCAACATCTAAGCATTTTCCAAAGGATATTCAAATGTAGCCAATAATCTAAAAGTCTTATTCAGAAGGGAATCCCCAATGTGGAAAGGTTGGAGAGATTTTATACCTAGGACTTTTCTATTTCTATTTTCATAGGCACTACTACCCTTACCCACAGATGAGGTGATCAGGGAATCTGAGGCTAATGCCATTAGACCTTGAGTGCCTCTGGCTTCCCTTGTCCTGATTCCATGTTATTCTCACAACCTTTGATACTTATTTGGAATCCCATGTGGATCAGCCTCTAGCAACAATATGTAATGGTCACTTGGAGGTTGAGTATTCTAGTCCCTGTGGCCATTATTTATTCTGGTAAACCCATAAACTGGTATTTGAGTATTATACCTTAGTTCATTGAGCTTGACATACATAACTATGCCCAAGGGATAAGTTCTCTTTCTGCTGACAAGATCAGCAAGGCCTCAGATTGGGGAAAATTTACCATGGCAATAAATGTCCCCTCATTAAAGAGGCCCTTGGAGTATAGCCAGCTTCCTTCTTTGATAGGATAATACAATATCACCTGATGGCTATTTAACATCATTTTTAAATTTCCATTCTAGGCACCTATTAAGTATTCATTACATCTCTTTTCTAACCCAAGGAGGTTCTTTGATTGGATTTTCTCTAGAGCAGTCCCTGAGACAAATACTTGTGTGCAAATAGAATATTTGGGAAGTGGTCCCAGGAAGTACCAATAAGAAAATGAGGACAGGAGACAGGAAGTGGAAAAAAGCCAGCAAAGTTTACAATATCAAGCAAGTTAATACTGTAGACAACAAGGGCTCAATCCTAATGGGCAAGGAACTTAGGGAGATAATGTAGAACATGTCACAGGGTTAGACTCCTAGTCCCCAGGGGCAAGGAAGATGTATATTAACCTCTAATTATGGTCTCTCTTTGGCTGATGGTTGCTCCCTAATGCATCAACTCCTGATATTTCTGGCCTTCTGGGCCTGGAGGCCTAGAGAATGTGCTCAGGGGAGAATCACACTGGTCAGAGTGGTAAAGCACTGTAAGACTTTCTCTGTGGTTTCAAAATTAGGCTCCAAAAGGGCATCACAGAAAGCGAAGTCAAATTTGAGACTTATTCCCATATCTATGCAGTCTTATTTGATTGGAGTAATAAGGACTGTAGTGTTATTTCCTTCAGGTCAATGTTAAGTCAGAATACTACAGTATTGACTTATATTTATATTCTGTTTCAATATCTGCAAGAAATCAAAACGTGAGTCTGTCAGCTGACCCCAATTTAACTCAAGCAAGTGTGATGAATTAGAATACAAGTCCAAACTTCTCAATACTCAAAGTGCAAGTAATATCACATTTCTTTAAACTTCTCAATTTTATTAAAGATTCACATAAGACTCCTCTACCCACCAAAATGTGTGGAAAATTCACTATTAATTATTTGAAGGACTATTGGTGTGGGTTCCTCTCTCTCTTCCCTTGTATGATACAAGAACAGGAAAGGAGGGTTGTAGAAGGTATATAGCTCTGAAATGGTGTATATCAGTCATCAAAATCTTTAGCAGAGAAGAAGCAAGATGTGTGTGTGTGTGTGTGTGTGTGTGTGTGTGTGTGTGTGTGTGTAATGTTCCTGTTCCTTGCAGCTGTGTGTTTCCTTGAAGGAGCCATGGTCCTCCAACTTCTGCTGCTCCAAGTTGCTATACAGTCTCCTTGTCCAGCTTTCTGCCTGGAAAGGCAGGTCTTTGAAGACCCAGGCCCTGAAAGCTAGTGTCAGCCCCAGTGCTTCTTTACATTTTCTTAAGCCACAACAACTAGCTCTGACCTGCATTCTTCCTGCCCTTTTCTTCAGGATCCCACTGGGTATGGATTCCCCTTCTCTAATCCACAAGACTAAAAGTCTAGTGTTTTTTACTCTCCTGCTCTTGATCAAGAAAGCTTAATTGCTTCATTGGGACTAGAGTCAGCCTCATCAGCCTCAGCTGTTCACAGATGTATGGAAACACAAACTCCTGAAGAGAGCAATCAAGAAAAGTGACCTGGGGGGCGGTTCCAAGATGGCCGAATAGGAACAGCTCCAGTCTACAGCTCCCAGCATGAGCAATGCAGAAGATGGGTGATTTCTGCATTTCCAACTGAAGTACCAGGTTCATCTCACTGGGGCTTGTTGGACAGTGGGTGCAGGACAGTTGGTGCAGCCCACCGAGTGAGAGCCGAAGCAGGGCAAGGCATCACCTCACCCAGGAAGTTCAAGGGGTCAGGGAATTCCCTTTCCTAGCCAAGGAAAGCCATGACAGACAGCACCTGGAAAATTGGGTCAGTCCCACCCTAATACCGAGCTTTTCCAATGGTCTTAGCAAATGGCACACCAAGAGATAATATCTGGCATCTGGCTAGGAGGGACCCACACCCACGGAGCCTCAATCATTGCTAGCACAGCAGTCTGAGATCAAACTTCCAGGTGGCAGCAAGGCTGCGGCAGTGGTGCCCGCCATTGCTGAGGCTTGAGTAGGTAAAGAAAGCAGCTGGGAAGCTTGAACTGGGTGGAGCCCACTGCAGCTCAAGGAGGCCTACCTCTGTAGACTCCACCGCTGGGGGCAGGGCATAGCCGAGCAAAAGGCAGGAGGAACCTCTACAGACTTAAATGTCCCTGTCTGACAGCTTTGAAGAGAGTAGTGGTTCTCCCAGCGTGGAATTTCAGATCTGAGAACGGACAGACTGCCTCCTCAAGTGGGTCCCTGACCCCCGAGTAGCCTAACTGGGAGGCACCCCCCAGTAGAGGCAGACTGACACCCCACACGGCCGGGTACCCCTCTGAGACGAATGATCAGGCAGCAACATTTGCTGTTCAGCAATATTCGCTATTCTGCAGCCTCCGCTGCTGATACCCAGGCAAACAGGGTCTAGAGTGGAGCTCCAGCAAACTCCAACAGACCTGCAGCTGAGGGTCCTGACTGTTACAAGGAAAATTAACAAACAGAAAGCACATACACAACAAAACCCCATCTATACGTCACCATCATCAAAGACCAAAGGTAGATAAAACCACAAAGATAGGGAAAAAACAGAGCAGAAAAGCTGAAAATTCTAAAAATCAGAGTGCCTCTCCCTCTCCTAAGGAACGCAGCTCCTTGCCAGCAATGGAACAAAGCTGGATGGAGAATGACTTTGACAGGTTGAGAGAAGAAGGCTTCAGATGATCAAACTTCTCCAAGCTAAAGGAGGAAGTTCAAACCCATTGCAAAGAAGCTAAAAACCTTGAAGAAAGATTAGACGTCCGTCTAACTAGAAAAACCAGTGTACAGCAGTCCTTAAATGACCTGATGGAGCTGAAAACCATGGCACGAGAACTACATGATGAATGCACAAGCTTCAGTAGCCAATTCAATCAACTGGAAGAAAGGGTATCAGTGATTGAAGATCAAATGAATGAAATGAAGCAAGAAGAGAAGTTTAGAGAAAAGAGAGTAAAAAGAAATGAACAAAGCCTCCAAGAAATATGGGACTATGTGAAAAGACCAAATCTATGTCTGACTGGTGTACCTGAAAGTGACAGGGAGAATGGAAGCAAGTTGGAAAACACTCTGCAGAATATTATCCAGGAGAACTTCCCCAATCTAGCAGGGCAGGCCAACATTCAAATTCAGGAAATACAGACAATGCCACAAAGATACTCATTGAGAAGAGCAACTCCAAGACACATAATTGTCAGAGTCACCAAAGTTGAAATGAAGGAAAAAATGTTGAGGGCAGCCAGACAGAAAGGTCGGGTTATCCACAAAGGATAGCCCATCAGACTAACAGCTGATCTCTTGGCAGAAGCTCTACAAGCCAGAAGAGAGTGGGGGTCAATATTCAACATTCTTAAAGAAAAGAATTTTCAACCCAGAATTTCATATCCAGCCAAACTAAGCTTCATAAGTGAAGGAGAAATAAAATCCTTTACAGACAAGCAAATGCTGAGAGATTTTTGTCACCATCAGGCCTGCTCTACAAGAGCTCCTGAAGGAAGCACTAAACATGGAAAGGAAGAACCAGTACCAGCCACTGCAAAAACATGCCAAATTATAAAGATCATTGATGCTAGGATGAAATTGCAACAACTAACAAGCAAAATAACCAGCTAACATCATAATGACAGGATCGAATTCACACATAACAATATTAACCTTAAATGTAAATGGGCTAAATGCTCCAATTAAAAGACACAGACTGGCAAATTGGATAAAGAGTCAAGACCCATCAGTGTGCTGCATTCAGGAGACCCATCTCACGTGCAGAGACACACATAGGCTTAAAATAGAGGCATGGAGGAAGATCTACCAAGAAAATGGAAAACAAAAAAAGACAGGGATTGCAATCCTAGTCTCTGATAAAACAGACTTTAAACCAACAAAGATCAAAAGAGACAAAGAAGGCCATTACATAATGGTAAAGGGATCAATTCAACAGGAAGAGCTAACTATCCTAAATACATATTCACCCAATACAGGAGCACCCAGATTCATAAAGCAAGTCCTTAGAGACCTACAAAGAGACTTAGACTCCCACACAATAATAATGGGAGACTTTAACACCCCACTGTCCACATTAGACAGATCAACAAGACAGAAAGTTAACAAGGGTATCCAGGAATTGAACTCAGCTCTGCACCAAGCAGACCTAATAGACATCTACAGAACTCTCCCCCGATATCAACAGAATATACATTCTTCTCAGCACTACATCGCACTTATTCCAAAGTTGATAACATAGTTGGAAGTAAAGCATTCCTCAGCAAATGTAAAAGAAAAGAAATTATAACTGTCTCTCAGACCAGAGTGCAATGAAATTAGAGCTCAGGATTAAGAAACTCACTCAAAACTGCTCAACTACATGGAAACTGAACAAACTGCTCCTGAATGACTACTGGGTACATAATGAAATGAAGGCAGAAATAAAGATGTTCTTTGAAACTAGTGAGAACAAAGACACAACACACCAGAATCTCTGGGACACATTTAAAGCAGTGTGTAGAGGGAAACTTATAGCAGTAAATGCCCACAAGAGAAAGCAGGAAATATCTAAAATTGACACCCTAACATCACAATTAAAAGACCTAGGGAAGAAAGAGCAAACACATTCAAAAGCTTGCAGAAGGCAAGAAATAACTAAGATCAGAGCAGAACTGAAGGAGATGGAGACACAAAAAACCCTTCAAAAACATCAATGAATCCAGGAGCTGGTTTTTTGAAAGATCAACAAAATTGATAGATTGCTAGCAAGACTAATAAGGGAGAAAAGAGAGCAGAATCAAATAGACACAATAAAAAATGATAAAGGGGATATCACCACTGATTCCACAGAAATACAAACTACCATCAGGGAATACTATAAACACCTCCACACAAATAAACTAGAAAATCTAGAAGAAATGGATAAATTCCTCGACACATACACGCTCCCAAGACTAAACCAGGAAGAAGTTGAATCCCTGAATAGTCCAATAACAGGCTCTGAAATTGAGGCAATAATTAATAGCCTACCAACCAAAAAAAGTCCAGGACCAGATGGATTCACAGCCGAATTCTACCAGAGGCACAAGCAGGAGCTGGTACCATTCCTTCTGAAACTATGCCAATCAATAGAAATAGAGGGAATCCTCCCTAACTCATTTCATGAGGTCAGCATCATCCTGATACCAAAGCCTGGCAGAGACACAACAAAAAAAGAGAATTTTAGACCAATATCCCTGATGAACATTGATGCAAAAATCCTCAGTAAAATACTGGCAAACCGAATCCAGCAGCACATCAAAAAGCTTATCCACCATGATCAAGTGGGCTTCATCCCTGGGGTGCAAGGCTGGTTCAACATACGCAAATCAATAAACATAATCCAGCATATAAACAGAACCAATGACAAAAACCACATGATTATCTCAATAGATGCCGAAATGGCCTTTGACAAAATTCAACAGCCCTTCATGCTAAAAACTCTCAATAAATTAGGTATTGATGGGACGTGTCTCAAAATAATAAGAGCTATCTATGACAAACCCATAGCCAATATCATACTGAATGGGCAAAAACTGGAAGCATTCCCTTTGAAAACTGCCACAAGACAGGGATGCCCTCCCTCACCACTCCTATTCAACATAGTGTTGGAAGTTCTGGCCAGGGCAGTCAGGGAGGAGAAAGAAATAGAGGTTATTCAATTAGGAAAAGAGGAAGTCAAATTGTCCCTGTTTGCAGATGACAAGATTGTATATTTAGAAAACCCCATTGTCTCAGCTCAAAATCTCCTTAAGCTGATAAGCGACTTCAGCAAAGTCTCAGGATACAAAATCAATGAGCAAAAATCACAAGCATTCTTATACGCCAATAACAGACAAACAGACAGCCAAGTCATGAGTGAACTCTCTTTCATAACTGCTTCAAAGGGAATAAAATACCCAGGAATCCAACTTACAAGGGATGACAAGGACCTCTTCAAGGAGAACTACAAAACACTGCTCAACGAAATAAAAGAGGACACAAACAAATGGAAGAACATTCCATGCTCATGGGTAGGAAGAATCAATATCATGAAAATGGCCATACTGCCCAAGGTAATTTATAGATTTAATGCCATCCCTATCAAGCTACCAATGACTTTCTTCATAGAATTGGAAAAACCTACTTTACAGTTCATATGGAACCAAAAAAGAGCCCACACTGCCAAGACAATCCTAAGCCAAAAGAACAAAGCTGGAGGCATCACGCTACCTGACTTCAAACTATACTACAAGGCTATAGTAACCAAAACAGCATCGTACTGGTACCAAAACAGAGATATAGACCAATGGAACAGAACAGAGCCCTCAGAAATAATACCACACATCTACAACCATCTGATCTTTAACAAACCTGACAAAAACAAGAAATGGGGGAAGCATTCCCTGTTTAATGAATGGTGCTGGGAAAACTGGCTAGCCATATGTAGAAAGCTGAAATTGGATCCCTTCCTTACACCTTATACATAAATCAATTCAAGATGGATTAAAGACTTAAATGTTAGACCTAAAACCACAAAAACCCTAGAAGAAAACCTAGGCAATACCATTCAGGATATAGGCATGGGCAAGGACTTCATGTCTAAAACACCAAAAGCAATGGCAACCAAAGCCAAAATTGACAAATGGGATCTAGTTAAACTAAAGAGCTTCTGCACAGCAAAAGAAACTACCATCAGAGTGAACAGGCAACCTACAGAATGGGAGAAAATTTTTGCAATCTACTCATCTGACAAAGGGCTAATATCCAGAATCTACGATGAACTCAAACAAACTTACAAGAAAAAAACAGACAACCCCATCATCAAGTTGGCAAAGGATATGAACAGACACTTCTCAAAAGAAGACATTTATGCAGCCAAAAGACACATGAAAAATGCTCATCATCACTGGCCATCAGAGAAATGCAAATCAAAACCACAATGAGATACCATCTCACACCAGTTAGAATGGTCATCATTAAAAAGTCAGGAAACAACGTGCTGGAGAGGATGTGGAGAAATAGGAACACTTACACTGTTGGTGGGATTGTAAACTAGTTCAACCATTGTGGAAGACTGTGTGGCGTTTCCTCAGGGATCTAGAACTAGAAATACCATTTGACCCAGCCATCCCATTACTGGGTGTATACCCAAAGGATTATAAATCATGCTGCTATAAAGACACATGCACACATATGTTTATTGCGGCACTATTCACAATAGCAAAGACTTGGAACCAACCCAAATGTCCAACAATGATAGACTGGATTAAGAAAATGTGGCACATATTCACCATGGAATACTATGCAGCCATAAAAAATGATGAGTTCATATCCTTTGTAGGGACATGGATGAAGCTGGAAACCATCATTCTCAGCAAACTATTGCAAGGACAAAAAACCAAACAATGCATGTTCTCACTCATAGGTGGGAATTGAACAATGAGAACACTTGGACACAGGAAGGGGAACATCACACACCGTGGCCTTTTGTGGGATGGGGGAGGGGGGAAGGATAGCATTAGGAGATATACCTAATGTAAATGACAAGTTAATGGGTGCAGCACACCAACATGGCACATGTATACCTATGTAACAAACCCGCACGTTGTGCACATGTACCCTAGAACTTAAACTATAATAATAATAATAAAAAGAAAAAAGAAAAGTGACCTAGAGAGAAGGGGGTTTGGATAATAATATTCAGTTCCAAAGTCACTCACTGCTACCAAAAACTCTAGCAGGAATCAAAACCACCTCTTTTCCTAAAACAATGGAACTAAAATTTCTGGGCTAGAATTCCACCAGAAAATTTCCAGAATTTCCGGAGTTATAATTGCTCACTTGCATGAGTCGCTGATCAAAGTGTCCTTGGCTGATTTTCACTGGCAGTCATCCTCATTTCATAGGCATCTGATTCACTTCAGCCAGCCTTCAAGTCCCACACCCTCCTTCGTCATCAGCTAAGATTACCCTCATCAGACTGTGTTTCTCATGATACTTAGAGACAAAGAATTCACCAAGTTTTTTTTTTTTTTTAAGATGCTATCCCTTTGAAGTATGCCTTGTAGTCCCCCAAATCCTCTGCTGAGTTTACTTTGATGCATCTATAGTGCACTGGGTGATACTTTCCTATTTAGTTCTAAGATCATTTCAAGAACTTTGTGGAAGGCTTTTTGGCAGTCGAAACCATTTATATATGTGTATATAGAAGTATTTAACATTTGTTTAGTGCAATAATTTTTCTATCTCAGTGAAGAATTACCGAAGGAGTTTGTTCAAAATGTAGTTCATACCTGGAGATTCTAATTCAATAGGTCTGGAATGGGCCTTGGGAATCTATATTTTTAACAATAACTTTCAGATGCAAAGGTGAGAAGACTGCATTCTATAAAACACTTATTTGTTACTATTAATAGATATTAATAGTGTCAGGCAATTTGCTAAAAGCTTTACAGACTTTATTTTATGAAACTATCACATCAATGCTATAATGAAAATATTATTAGCCTCATTTTATAGATGACTAAAGAGGGCTGAGAAAGGGAAATGAAAACCCAAGGTCATTAATCAATTATGTTAGATCAGAAATTCAAATTAAATTAAGTCTATGTAGTTGCAAAATCCAAACTCTTTCAATTACATTACATTATAAAACAAATTCTGATGTTAAGGACATTACAATTCTAGCAAAAAAAAAAATGGCAATTCTCCATGAGTACATCTTGGGTTAAAAAATTAATCTGTTCTTTAGTTGAAATTTATGTATCCATCAATTTATGCTATATTGTGATAACAAACAATTCATGGGCAGTAGTCACTTAACACAACTAAGATTATTTTTCCCTGATGCTCCGTGACTACCTTGAGTTGTGCTGGGAATCCTGTACCATGCTGTCTCCATTCAGGGACACAAAGTTTTGAGCCACTATCATTTAGAACATCACCACTCCCTGTGGCAGGGGAGGGAAATAAAGCAAAAAGGCACCAGCTTTTTTGTTCACATTTCATTAACCAAAGCAAGCTGTATGGCCATATTTAACATTACAACGGTAGTGAAGTACAATTCTACCATGTGCTCAGAAGGCAGAGAGTTGAAAATACTGTAAACTGCACAATGGTTCACAGATAGATTAGAAACTGCTAGACTTGGAGAAGGAGGACGTGGGTTCAAATTCTAATTTCACAATGTACTAACCCTATGACTTTAAGCAAGTAAATAAATCTCAGTTTATTTCCTAAACAAGTATACTAATACTTATGCCATATGTTTGTTGTGAAAATCAGCAAGACCGAGTAAATTCAGTTTAGTGCCTGAAGCATAAGTGCTCTCACTAAAACTAGTGGAATTGGAAATAATCACTTTGCTGACTATCCTTACCTATCACATGCCAATGATGTTTCAGATTCACATAGTTTCTATTTTATTCTCACATTTCAATTTAAAGATGGTGTCTAAAGAAACCACTGGGTAGGGAGAATTAAAGGCAGCTAGCTTGCTAGTATGGGAAGCTCTCGTAAACTAGCTTTCTCAGTAAATAGACTCTAGGGTAGATATTTGTTTGCAGGAACAGTACCTGAAAAGGGATGAAGGAAGTAGGACTGAATAAAAGGAAAAACTGACTTGTAACACAGTAACAACAGAACCAATCTGCTTGGGAGCTCTGGAACTGGGGTGGCACTTCGGGGATGGTCTGGATTGTGGCATAAGATCCTGGGCTAACCTTGGACCAGGTGGTGCCCTTAGAAGGAAATGCCTGGAGAGGGATTCAGCTGACAGCCATAACCAATTCCTGGAGAGGGATTCAGCTGTGAGGCAGTCAACATTTGCTACAGCTGGGGAAACTAGGGGACTGAGGGTCTCAGGCCTGAATGGAGGGGTCTGAGAAATGGACCATGACACCTGCTTTGAAAGTAAACCTAGAGATAAAATCAGCTATAAAACTGAAAGACTATGGACTATGACGTCTTATTATTTTTCATTAAATCTTGCTTCCATTTGAACAATAAGTTAACTGAGGTACTTAAGGTTTAATATTCTAGTATATAAATAGTGACCCCAAACTGTTTCCTCTTGCCTGTCATTCTCATCCAGGAATAATTGACCTCCAAGGATTACTATCAGAATGTTAGATCTAGTGCCAAAAAGCAACTATTTTCATGACAATCGCCTCAGAAATAATTACTAGAGGCAAAAATCATTTTTGGCTTATTTTTAGCTTGGATGAAATACTTTCTAAACAGATACATCTTACACTAGAATATTGTACCTCTCTAGGACTTCTTAGGGATGTTCCAGTGAGGCACCAGGAGCCACAGGATAAAGACGGCACATTTTTGGAACATGGCATGATTGGATGACATGAAAGATTGTGAAGGGGGTCAACACATGATTTAGTGATTTTAAATCTAAAAAGCATATATACTGCAGAGTACAGAACTGCACTATTTTTTTTTTTGAGCCGGAGTCTTCCTCGGTCTCACAGGCTGGAGTACAATAGTGTGATCTCAGCTCATTGCAACCTCTGCCTCCTGGGTTCAAGCGATTCTCCTGCCTCAGCCTCCCGAGTAACTGGGATTACCATGCCCGGCTAATTTTTGTATTTTTAGTAGAGACAGGGTTTCACCATGTTGGCCAGGCTGGTCTCGAACTCCTGACCTCAGGTGATCTGCCTGCCTCAGCCTCCCAAGGTGCTGGGATTATAGGCATGAGCCACTGCGCCCGACCGATAAATTATATCTTTCAATAAATGTCATGGTAGATGTAGGGCATTCAAACCACATGGAGACACAAATTCATTTTGCTGTGCCTTTAAGGACACTTTCTAGAAACTTTTGGGAAGCATACTCTAAACTATTGCAGCTTTCTTACTTCTGGCTTATCATGATCTCTTTGAAATTTCACAATTTTCATACTGCAGAAACATATCTCCAGCAGTTGTTTCCTTGGGAATTAGAATAAATAAAGGAAGCTTATATTTCTGTAGAGCACAAAGATCAATTACATCATGTCTTATCCTTCAGTGAGGCTTTATGTTACCAAGCCCAATAAGCCTCCAAAGAGATATCAAGAATTCGTCACTCAAACTGTCTAAAATAAGGTCATGGTAAAATGTAAGTGAGAATAGGATCTGAAATGGAATTATTATGCATATCCCACAACCAAAATCTTTTTACATAGTTTATCTCATATAAACCAATTTTTGAGAAGCACTATTCTGATTCTATAAATAAATAAACTGGGACTAGGAGAATTTAGAAAAATGGGAAAGGGCTTAAACTCAAGTTGTGGGTCTTCAATTATTTATGTTAACAAACTATTTGCCAAAATATTAAATTATTTTGACTAATACAGAGAAGCCCTATGGTATAGAAAGCTGTCTGGGATTCAGAATCAGATAGAAGTTCAGATTCTGGTTCTAGTACGTACTAATTCTACGACATTTGGAAAGCACTTAAAACTTTCGAGCCTTAAATACTTTATCTGAAAAATGCAAAATACCAGATTTGGGTTGTGAATATAAGAATAATACCTAAAAGCACAGCAGAAATTGAATAAATAATGATAATTTTATAACATATTACATATGAGATCCATAAAATAACCTTCCAGGAACTTCCAGATCTAACTTTATATAATTCCTGGAACGATGAATTTAATGAGTATGCCTAAATAAATGTGCCACCTCCAAGCCTACTTAGCATGAAGCCTCCTGGAGTCCTGGTAGGTACTTGGAAACCCCAGGAAGAGGAGGGATATGCTCTGACTTACTTGGCTACTCATCTGTGTAATCCAGCCTATCTCTCAATTGTCTGTGCTTCTCTCAGGCAGTTGTTGACAATAAGATCATCAAACATCCTCTAGTTTTCCCAAAGAAGGCTTGGTAATATTCCCAGAATGCTTTAAAAAAAAATCTTCCTCTTCTACATGACCCATTTTCGCCTGGGATATTTTCTTCACTATTTGAGCTAGTTTTAATTGAAGTTGATAATTCTTGGGTGCCTTCCACATGCTCCCTGATGAGGGTGATATAAATGGACACAATAAACAGACCATCTAATATTGATAGAGTCTACAGCTGCATCTGCTAATTAGGGCCACTAATGGCTTTTGGGGCAAGAGTTCCCATATGATGTTTGTTTAATTAAAGTCTTTGTCTGCCCTCCTCAGAAGGGTGAAAAATATTCCACTTAAAATGCACTGAAAGCAAACATAGCTGTTAGAAGGCAGAACATTCGATAATAGTCCCTTCTGGACTCCCAGAAGGAAAATTTTAGGGCAAAATAATATTTTTTTCTTGAAGGTACATACAGTGTTGTTATTATTTTAATTAAACTAGGTAAATTATTCTATTTCCAATTTCATATATATGTAATTCATATATATATATGTGTGTATATATATGTGTGTGTGTGTATATATATATATATGTGTGTGTATGTGTGTATATATATATATATATATGGTTCAAATGTGAGCCAGGAGGATTAGAGCAGGGAATATGAAGCAGACTGGGTCTCTCAAATATTATCCTATGAGTAATGAGCTCACCTTGACCAACTACGTAATGTTTTCTCTCAATTACAGGCTGAGTTATTTACTCCAGATCTCTAATTATCTATTATAGGTCATGAGATAAGATGCACTGTGGTAGGATGGTGAAGTGGAAAGTGCCTTGGGCAGAGAGACAGAAAGTGGATGTTAGTCCTGACTTTGCTATGAATTTAGAAAATTATTGTTTGAGTCTTCATTACTTTATTAAGAGAAATGGAAGTATGTATATTTAGGGAGGACTTTAACTGGCTTAATTTAAAAGATACTTTCCTGCTTTAATGTCTTTGATTATATTATCTTTGATTTGGGGGATTTTTCCAAATGTGGCTCACATGAATTACCAATTCGTAAGTAATTAAAATATAAAAGGGTTTTTATACCACACAGATAGAAGGCTCTGATCTATATGGCTGACCTGGGTTCACAGTTTAGCCCTATGTTTTCCCAAAAACAGGAAAGATCACATTGGCTTGATTCTAAGCTGTACTTTATTCTATCTCCACTTGTTTCTGAAATCAAGATACTTCTCAAAGCCAAAAAGTTACTGGCCTAAGTTTTAACATAGCTGTCACTGCTTATAGGTAGGCAAATGTAGCTCTGTGAGTGTGTGTGTGTGTGAGAGAGACAGAGAGAGAGAGAGGATAACTGTTTATCTGTCACCTCAGTTTAGTTACTGGCACTATGCTAGGGGTTACATTTCAACTTTTAAATTTGGATCCCTAATTGTTACTTAATATGCTTTGAAAAATGTTACACTAGGAAGCAGCAGTGAACAAAAAAGTTGTTAAAAGTTTTGACACTTTCCTGTTACACACAAGTCAATAAATAAAAAGTAGATTTATCAACTCTCTCAAGGTATGTTATGAAATAGTTAAAGCTAGGAGAGATTGATCTAATCAGGTTACAGGTTACATGTGTGAAGGGCTGTGACTTTAATCATGGAATTATCTTCTCAAACTTTTTTCCTTTTCCTTTCCTCATTTCCTCTATTTTTTTCTTTCCTTTCCCTCTCTCCCTTCCTTCTTCCTTTCCTTCCTTTCCTTCTTTTCCTTCCTTTCCTTCCTTTCTTCCTTCCTCTTTTTAAATAAGTGACTTGATTTTTAGCATCTTCACATTACGAAAAATTCAGCGTATATATAAAATTACAATCAACATCTCAGCACCCGAAATTAATAATCAGTACTATTAAGAGTATATCATTGCAGAATTACCTGTATACCTATATACAGATCAAATGATAGATACACTACTAGATTTAAAATGTTAAGATACTTGGGTTGAGTTATGCATATTTTAAAATTAAACGTATTAAATTTAGTTAAATAAAAATGAAATGTAGTAAATGAGATAGCATATATAAAAATATTTCTTGCTCTGTCAGCTGAGAAGTCCTAGAATCAAGGATATTTCAGTTATAGCAAACACACCTAGCACCGTATCATGGTTTCTAATACCATTCTCCAACAAAAGAAAACAGGGCTACTTAGAGAAATGGCTGAAGCTAGGGCTAAGACAGAAAATATAAAAGATGATTCCAGAGGATTTTATAGTGCCAGAAAATAAGGGAATGCTGAAAAAAAAAAAAAAAAAAAACAACAACTCACAACTATTGAGTATGTCAGACGGATATGGGGCAACTGGAAAGAACTTCAATGACCAAAACTGAAATTATCTGAGCAGCAAAATAAGTAAAAAATTATTATATTATAATCCAAATTATAAAAAAAATTCAACTAACTAGAATTAGTTTATTAGTTTGGTCATTAATTTAATTAGAATGAAATAACATAAACAAATCTCCCCTGCCGAAGAATTCCAAACAATTTATGGAGATACTTCACCCTCAAGGAGGTTAAATATAATTCACAATTCCTTAAATGAAGCCTGTGCATAGTGACTTCTTGCTAAAGAGTAAACCATAAGAAGTGAGAAGAAGAATAACTTTAGAATAGAGAAACTTGACAGACACTACCCCAGCCAAGTGATTAAAGATAGTAGTCTTAAATTATGTAGATACTACAGACCCTTGGTACGATGTGATAAAAATGGCACTTTTGGGGGGTGAGCTTCACAAAACCTCATAAGCCCATTCTAACCCTGAAAACTATATTAAACAAATTTAAATTTAGAAACGGCTTATGAAACATGTGACATGTGCTCATCAAAAAGCTCAAGGTCATTTAAATGGTCTAAATGCCCCACTTAAAATGGGCGGAGTGGCAAGTTGGATTTAAAAATAAGGCCCATTAATCTGTTATCTTCAAGAGACCCATGTCACACATAATGACACCCATAGGCTCAAAGTAAAGGGTTGGAGAAAGAGTTATCATGCAAAAGGAAACAGAAAAGAACAGGGGTCACTATCCTAATGTCAGATAAAACAGACTTTAAAACAACAATGGCACAAAAGTACAAAGAAGGGCATTACATGTGGATAAATGGTTGGATGCAACAAGAAGACTTAACTATCCTAAATATATATGCACCCAACATTGGAGCACCCAGATTCATAAAACAAGTACTTCTAGAACTACAGAAAAATTTAGACAGCCACATAATTATAGTGGGGAACTTCAACACACTACTGACAGTGTTAGATCACTGGGGCTAGACTTAAATTTGACACTTGACTTAAATTTGACACTTGACCAACTGGGCCTACTAGACTTAAATTTGACACTTGACCAACTGGGCCTACTAGACATCTACAGAATGCTCCATTTATCAATTACAGAATATATACTCTTCTTATCTGCATATGCAACATAGTCAAAGATCGAACACATGCTCAGTCATAAAGTAAATCTCAACAAATTCAAAAAAACTGAAATCATATGAACCATATCCTTGGACTACAGTGGAATAAGAATAGAAATCAATACCAGAAGATCTCTCAAAACCACACAACAACACGGAAATCAAACAACTTATTCCTGAATTACTTTTGGGTAAACAGAAAAATTAAAGCAGAAATCAAAAAATTATTTGAAATAAATAAAAACAGAAAAACAACATACCAAAATCCCTGGTATGCAGCAAAAGCATTGTTAAGAGGAAAATTATGGTGCTAAATGGCTACTTTAAAAAGTTAGAAAGATTTCCGCTTGAACCTAGGAGGCGGAGGTTGCAGTGAGCTGAAATCGTGCCATGCACACACCAGCCTGGGGGTTAGAATGAGAGTCTGTCTCAAGAGAAAAAAAAAAAAGAAGAAAGATTTCAAATTGACAATCTAACATCACATCTTGAGGAACTAAAAAAACAAGAACAAACTAACCTCAAAGCTAGCAGAAGAAAAAGAAATAATTACAATCAGAGCAGAACTGAATGAAATTGAGACCCAAAAATCTATATACAGAATCAATGAAACCAAAAGTCAGTTCTTTGAAAGGATGAACAAGACCAATAAACCGCTAGCTAAGTTAACAACAACAACAAAAAGAGTAGAAGTTCCAAGTAAGCTCAATCAGAAATGACAAAGATGACATTACAACTGATCCCACAGAAATATAAAAGATTCTCAGAGACTATTATCACACTTCTTTTGGCACAAACTAGAAAATCTAGAGGAATTAATAAATACCTATAAGCACACAATCTCCCAAGATCAAATCAGGAAAAAACAGAAACCTTGAGCAGACCAATATCAAGTTCCAAAATTGAATCAGTAATTTTTAAAAAAATCTTCCAACCAAAAAGAGCTCTGGACCAGGTGGATTCACAGCTGAATTCTGCCAGACATACAAAGAAGAGCTGGTACCAATTCTACTGAAGCTATTCAAAAAAATTGAGAAGGAGCTACTTTTCCCTAACTAATTCTACAAAGCCAGCATCATGCAGATATGAAAACGTGGCAAAAACACAATGAAGAAACTACCGACCAACATCCCTGATTAACATACATACAAAAATCCTCAAAAAATTCTAGCTAAATGAATCCAACAGCACATGAAAAGGTTAGTTCACCATGAATAAGTAAACTTCATTTCTAGGAAGCAAGGTGGTTGGTTAAACACATGTGAGTCAATAAATGTGATTCACCACATAAAGAGAATTAAAAACAAAAGCTATGTGATCATCTCAATAGACGCAGAAAGAGCTTTTGATAAAAGCCAACATCCCTTCATGATAAAAACTCTCAACACACTAGGTATCAAAGAAAATACCTCAAACCAAAAAAGATCCATCTATGACAAACCCACAGCCAACATCAGATTGAATGGGCAAAAACTGAAAGCATTCCCTTTGACAACTGGGACAAAGTTGGAAGCATTGCATTATCTGACTTCAAACTATACTATAAGGCTACAGTAACCAAAACAGTATGGTACTCTACAAAAACAGACACATAGACCAACGGTACAGAGAAGAGAACCTAGAAATAAAGCTGCATACCTATAACCACCTGATCTGTGAGAGATTCAACAAAATAAACTCCCATCCAATAAATGGTGCTGGGATAGCTGGCTAGCCATAGGCAGAAGAACAAAACTGACCCCCTGCCTTTCACGATTTACAAAAATTAACTCAATATGAATTAAAGATCTAAATGTATGACTGTAAACTGTAAGAATCATAGCAGAAGATCTAGAAAACACCATTCTGGACATCAGCATTTGGAAAGAATTTATGACTAAGTCCTCAAATGCAATTGCAACAAAAGCAAAAATTGACAAGTGGTACCTAATTAAAGTAAAGGGCTCCTGCACAGGATTTGAAACTATTGACAGAGAAAACTGACAATCTACAGAATGCAAGAAAATATTTGCAAACTGTGCATCCAACAAAGGACTAATATTCAGAATCCAAAAGAAAGTTAAACAATTGAACAAGAAAAAAGCAAATAACCCCATTTAAAAATGGGCAAAAGACACTTTTCAAAATACACACAAGTGGCCAAGAAACTTGAAAAAAAATGCTCCATATCACTATTCTTTACAGGAGAAATACAAATCAAAACCACAGTGAGATACCATCTCACACCAGTCAGAATGGCTACTACTAAAAAGCCAAAAAACAACACATGCTGGTGAGGCTGCAGAGAAAAGGAAACGCTTATATATTGTTGGTGGGAATGTAAACTAGTTCAGGCACTGTAGAAAACACTTTGGAGATTTGTCAAAGAGCTTAGAGATATCATTCAACACAGCAATCCCATTACTGGGTATATATCCAAAAGAAAATAAATTGTTCTACCAAAAAGATACATGCTTTTGACACATATCATTATGTTTACAACATTTTACATTTACAACTGTTTTTAGGCCATTCTCGCATTGCTATAAAGAAATACCTGAAACTGGGTAATTTTTGTTTTTTAAGAATATTTTATTGGCTCACAGTGCTACAGGCTACACAGGAAGCATGGCACCAGCCACTGTTTCTAGGGATGGTTCAGGAAGCAGAAGGTGAATGGGGGCAGGCATATCACACTGTGGAAGCTGGAACAACGGAGTGGAGGTGCCACACTTTACAAAACCAGAACTCACTCACTATCACAAAGACAGCCATGAGGTATCCTCCCCCATGACGCAAACACCTTTAACCAGGCTTCACTTCCAAAATTGGGTATAACATTTCATATATATATACTTTATATATATATATAAATAAAATATATAAATTTTATTTATATATATATAAAGTATATATACTTTATTTTAAAAAATTTTTATTTTAAAAACTTATTTTAGGTTCAGGGGTACATGTGAAGATTTGTTACATAAGCAAATTCATGTCACAGGGGTTTGTTGTATAGATTATTTCATCATCCAGGTATTAAGTACAGTATCTAACAGTTATCTTTTCTGCTCCTCTCCATCCTCCTACTCTCCGCCCTCAAGTAGACCCCAGTGTCTGATGTTACCTTCTTTGTATTCATGAGTTCTCATGATTTATCTCCTACTCATAACTGAGAACATGCGATATGTGGTTTTCTGTTTCTGCATTAGGTTACTAAGGCTAATAGCCTCTAGTTCCATCTATGTTCCCACACACACACACAAAAACATGATCTTGTCCTTTTTTATGGCTGCATAGTATTTCATGGTGTATATGTACCACATTTTCTTTTACCTGTGTGTCACTGATGGGCATTTAGGTTGATTCCATGTCTTTGTTATTGTGAATAGTGCCACAATGAACATTCACATGCACGTGTCTTCATGGCAGACTGATTTATATGCCTCTGGTTATATACCCAGTAATGGGATTGATGGGTCAAATGGTAGTTCCACTTTTAGCTCTTTGAGGAATTGCCATACTGCTTTCCACAATGGTTGAACTAATTTTCACTCCCACCAGTAGTGTATAAGTGTTCCTTTTTCTCTGCAACTTTGTTAGTATCTGTTTTCATTTTACTTTTTAATAATAACCATTCTGACTGGTGTGAGATTGTATCTCATTGTGGTTTTGGTTTACATTGTTCTAATGATCAGTGATATTGAGCTTTCATTCATATGCTTATTGGCCAAATCTATGTCTTATTTTGGAAAGTCTCTGCTCATGTCCTTTGCCTACTTTTTAATGAGATTATTTAATTTTATCTGGCAAATTTGTTTAGGTTCCTTATAGATGCTGGATATGCATAGTTGGCAAATATTTTCTTCCATTCTTTAGGTTGTCTGTTTACTCTGGTGATAGTTTAATTTCACATGGAAATGCTCTGAAGTTTAATTATATCCCACTTGTCAATTGTTGCTTTTGTTGTGATTGCTTTTGGTGTCTTTGTCATGTAATGTTTGCCTGCTCCTATGTCCAGAATGGTACTGCCTAGGTTGTCTTCCAGGGTTTTTATAGTTTGGGGTTTTACATTTAAATCTTTAATCTTGAGTTGATTTTTGTATATGATGTAAGGAAGGGGTCAAACTTCAATCTTCTGCATATGGCTTCTCCATTACTTGTTTTTTTCAGCTTTCTTAAAGATCAGATGGTTGTAGGTGTGTGGCCTTAATTCTGGGCTGTTCTGTACCATTAGTCAATGTGCTTGTTTTTGTACCAGTACCATGCTGTTTTGGTTACTGTAGCCTTGTAGTGTACCCTGAAGTTAAGTAAAGCTAGCTTTTCTCTTTTTGCTTAGGATTGCCTTGGCTATCTGGGCTCTTTTCTGGCTCCAAATAAGTTCCAAAATAGTTTTTTCTAGTTCTGTGAAGAATGTCATTGGTAGTTTGATAGGACTAACATTGAATCTACAAATCGCTTTAGGCAATATGGCCATTTTAATAATATCATTCTTTTTATTGATGAGCATGGGATGTTTTCCATTTGTGTGTGTGTCTTCTCTGATTTGGTTATCTGTGCTTCTAGGTATTATATTATTTTTGTGGCAGTTGTGAATGGGAAGCCTTCCTGATTTGGCTCTCAGTTTGGCTGTTATTAGTGTGTAGAAATATTAGTGATTTTTGTGCATTAATTTTGTATCCTGAAACTTTACTGAAGTTTTTTATTAGCTGAAGGAGCTTTTGAGATGAGACTACAGAATTTTCTCGATACAGAATCATGTCATCTGCAAAGAGGAACAGTTTGACTTCCTCTCTCCCTACTTAGATGCCTTTTATTTCTTTCTCTTGCCTGATTGCACTGGCTAGAACTTCCAATGCTGTGTTGAATAGGAGTGGTGAGAGAGGGCATCCTTCTCTTGTGTGGGTTGTCAAGGGGAATGCTTCCAGCTTGTGCCCATTCAGTATAATGTTGGTTGTGTGTTTGTCATAGATGGCTCAGTATTTTGAGGTATGTTCCTTCAATATTTAGTTTATTGAGAGCTTTTTAACATGAAGGGTGTTGAATTTTATCAAAAGCCTTTTCTGCATCTATTGAGATAATCATGGTTTTTGCCTTTAGTTCTGTTTATGTGATGAATCGCATTTATTGGTTTGTGTATGTTGAACCTACATCGCATCCCAGGGATGTGGCCTACTTGATCATGGTGGATTAGCTTTTTGATGGGCTGCTGTTTGGTTTGCCAGTATTTTGTTGAGGATTTTTGAATCAATGTTCATCAAGGATATTGGCCTGAAGTTTTCTTCTTTTGTTGTGTCTCTGCCAGGTTTTCATATGAGGATGATGCTGACCTCTTAGAATGAGTCAGGGAGGAGTCCCTCCTCAGTTTTTTGGAATAGTTTCCTTTGGAATGGTCCCAGCTCTTCATTGTACATCTGGTAGAATTTGGCTGTGAATTCAAAAGGTCCTGAGCTTTTTTGGGTTGGTAGGCTATTTGTTACTGATTCAATTTTGGAGCTCATTATTGATCTGTTAAGGGATTCAATTTCTACCTGGTTCAGTCTAGGGAAGGGTGTGTGTGTCCAGGAATTTATCAATTTCTTCTAAATTTTCTAGTTTGTGTACATAGAGGTGTTTGTCGTTTCTGATGGTTATTTTTAGTTCTGTGAGGTCAGTGGTAACATTCCTTTTGTCATATCTGATTGTGTTTATTTGGATCTTCTCTCTTTTCTTCTTAGTCTAGCTAATGGGCTATTTTATTTTATTTTTTTTTCAAAAAACCAACTCCTGGAATCATTGATCTTTTGAATTTTTTTGTGTGTCTCAATTTCCTTCAGTTCAGCTCTGATTTTGGTTATTTCCTGTCTTCTGCTACCTTTGGGGTTGATGTATTCATGTTTCTCTAACTCTTTCAGTTGTAATGCTATTGTATTAATTTGAGATCTAACTTTTTGATATGGACATTTTAGTGCTATGAATTTCCCTCTTAACACTGCCTTAGCTGTGCCCCAGAGATTCTGGCATGTTGTATCTTTGTTCTCATTAGTTTCAAAGAAGTTATTCATCTCTGCCTTGATGTTATTAATTACCCAAAACTAATTTAGGAGCATGTTGTTTAATTTCCAGGTAATTGTATGGTTTTGAGCTCTTTTCTTAGTTTTGACCTCTATTTTTATTGTGATATAGTCTGACAGTGTGTTTGGTAGGATGTTGGCTATTTTGCACTTGCTGAGTATTCTTTTATGTCTAATTATGTGTTTAATTTTAGAGTATGTGCCATGTGGCAATGAAAAGAATGTGTATTTTGTTGTTTTTGGGTAGAAAGTTCTGTAAAGGTCTATTAGATCCATTTGGTACAATGTTGAGTTCAGGTTCTGAATGTCTTTGTTAATTTTCTGCCTTGGTGATCCATCTAATACTGTCAATGGAATGTTGAAGTCTCCTGCTATTATTGTGTGGAAGTCTATGTCTTTTTGTAGGTCTCTAAGAACTTGCTTTATGAATCTGAGTGCTCCTATGTTGGGTGCATGTAATATTTAGGACAGTTAGGTCTTCTTGTTCAATTGAACACTTTAGCATTATGTAATGCCCTTGTTCATCTTTGTCTTTTTGATCTTTGTTGGTTTGAAGTCTCTTTCATATGAAATTAGGATTTCATCCCCTGCTTTTTTCTGTTTTCCATTTACTTGGTAGATTTTCCCCTATGCCTTTATTTTGAGCCTATAGGTGTCATTACATGTGAGATGGGTCTCTTGAAGATAGCATACCACTTGGGTCTTGATTTTTTATCCAGCTTGTCACTCTGTGTCTTTTAAGTGCATTTAGTGCATTCAACCCCTTTACATTCAAGGTTAGTACTGATATGTGTGGATTTGATCCTACCATTGTGTTGTTAGCTGGTTATTATGTTTGTGTGATTGCTTTATAATGTCACCAGTCTGGGTATTTAAATGTGTTTTTGTACGAGCTCATAGCAATCTTTCTTTTCTATATTTAGTGTTCCTTTTAAGATCTCTTGAAAGGCAGGTCTTGTGGTAATGAACTCCCTCAACATTTGCTTCTCTGAAAAGGATCTTATGTCTCCTTTGCTTAGGAATTTTAGTTTGGCTGGATGTGAAATTCTTGATTGAAGATATTTTTTTTTCTTTAAGAATGTTGAATATAGGCCCCTAATCTCTTCTGGCTTGTAGGGTTTCAGCTGAGAGGTCCACTGTTAGCCTCATGGGGTTCCCTTTGTAGGTGACCTGCCCTTTCTCTCTAGCTGCCTTTGATATTCTTTCTTTCATTTTGACCTTGGAAAATGTGATGATTATGAGTCTTGGGAATGATCTTCTTGGGTCAAATCTTGCAGGACTTCTCTGTATTTTTTGAATTTGACTGTTGGCCTCTCTAGCAAGATTGGGGAGCTTTTCATGGATGATGCCCAGAAATATGTTTTCCAAATTGTTTGCTTTCTCCTTCTGTCTTTCAGGGATGCCAATGATTTACAGATCTGGCCTCTTAACATTTTCCCATATTTCTCAGAGATTTTGTCCATTCCTTATTATTCTTTTTTCTTTATTTTTGTCTGACTGTCTTATTTCAGAGAGCCAGTCTTCTGGTTCTGAGATTCTTTCCTCAGCTTGGCTTATTCTGCTGTTAATACTTGTGATTGCATTGTGAAATTCTTGTATTTGTTATTCAGCTTTGTCAGATTCATTAGGTTCTTTTTTCAACCGTCAGCTTCTGTATTATTTTATTGTGCTTCTTAGTTTCCTTTAATTGGGTTTTTCTGTTCTCCTGAATTTCTATAATCTTTGTTCCTATCCATATTCTGAATTCTATTTCTGTCACTTTCACCGCCTCAGCCTGGTTAAGAACTCCTGTTGGACAACTGATGAAGTCATTTGGGGGACATACAACACTCTGACCACTTGAATTACCAGAGCTCTGGCATTGGTTCTTTCTCATCTCTGAGAGTTTGTGAGTTTGTGTTCTTTTTAACTGCAGTGTAGATTGAATACAGTCAAGAGACTTATTTTCCAGATGTTTTCACAGGGCTGAGGCTTTGTGCAGTGTCCTTATTTGAAGCTGACTTCTGGTCTTTGGTTTTAGTGTGGGGTATGTTAGCAAGGTATTTTTGGTGTTGAAGCTTTGGGGTGTTATCCAGTAGGTGGAACTTAGGCAGACTGGTCAATTGGTAGATTCTTGCTCAGTTGTGTGGCTCCCCTATGTTTTCTCACAGTTGCAGCCACATTCCCTGTCAACACTCTGAAAGTGTGGGTTCCTCTCCCCCTTGAGTGCTGGCTATAGATCGTGGCTTGGCACTCCTGGGCTGCCCACTGCATCTCTGGGGAGATCTCAGTGTTTATGTTCCTTCCCCAAGGTGGAGGCAGCAGATGAACAGACCTTAGCAGTAGTCATGGCCAAAGGTCTTTTACTTGTCTCCTGGGGGTTCCAACCCGGAGAGATGCAGGTCAGCAGTTTCTCAGTACACTCAGCCCAGGATGGAGGGTCCATGCTATGGGCCTAAGCAGGGGGTTTCCTGTCTAGTGACAAACAGTGTGTGTGGAAGGGGGCACATGGCAGACAGACTGGACTTCTTTTTTTGTGTTGACTGTAGCTTTTTGAAGGTGTAGATAAGGCACTTAGGGTCTTTGCTCCTTTGTTAGTCCAAGGGTAGCAAGGGCAGTTCCACTGTAGAGACAGTGGCAGAGAGGCTTTCATTTGCCCCTGGGGGATCTGACCAGGGAGTAGCAGAGCTACAGACTCAATTGCTCTGGCAGGGGATTCCTGGAGGCCCAGGCCTGGAGGACCTGCCTGGTGAGGAGATATGGGAACAGGCACCCATGTAACAGTCTGGCCACTTTTCCGAAGGGCTGCTGTGATATGCTGGGTATTCAGTACCTAGTCACCTCAGATTTTCTAGTACCTGGAAGTATCAGCAGAGAAAGCTGTCAAACAGCAAAGAAGCTGGTCTGCACCTCCCTTTAGGAGCTCCATGTCAAGGAGGTATAAACCTGTTGCTGGCCCAAATGTACCTGCAGGAGGTGGCTAGAGACCCCAGTTGGGAGGTCCCACCCAGTGAGGAGGAACAGGACCCACTTAAAAAAGTAATGTGGCCACGTTTTCATAGAGCAGCTATTCTGTGCTGGGGGTCTGCTTCAGTCCCTGTCACCTCAAATTCTCCAAAACCCAAAGCTCAGAATGGCTAAGTCACCCAAATAGTGAAGTTGGTGGCCTGTCCCTCCCTCTGGGAGCTCTGTCCTAGTGAGGTTTCAAATCTCCATCAGCCAGACAGCACCAGACAGACTGGCTGGAGACCCCAGTTTGGAGGTCCCGCCCAGTGAGGAGGAACGGGATTGGGGACCTGCTTTTAAAAGCACTCTGACCAGGTTTTTGTAGAGCAGCTACGCTCTGCTGGGTGACTGCTTCCACCTCCAGTTGGCTTGTACTTTCCAAAGCCCAAAGACTGGAAATAACTAAGTTGCCCAAACAGCAAAGATGGCGGCCTGGCTCTACCTCTGGGAGATCCATTTCAGGGAGATTTTAAATCTCTGTCAGCTACTGGGGGTGGCTGGAGATTCCAACTGGAAGGTCCTGACACATGAGAAACAATGGGATAGGTGAACCACTTAAAAAAGCATTCTACTCAAGCCTTTAATCCCAGCACTTTGGGAGGCCGAAGTGGGTGGATCACGAGGTCAGGAGATGGAGACCATCCTGGCTAACACAGTGAAACCCCGTCTCTGCTAAAAATAGAAAAAAATTAGCCAGGCGTGGTGGCAGGTGCCTTAAGTCCCAGCTACTCCGGAGGCTGAGGCAGGAGAATGGCGTGAACCCGTGAGGCAGAGCTTGCAGTGAGCCAAGATGGTGCCACTGCACTCCAGTCTGGGTGACAGAGCCAGAGTCCGTCTCAAAAAAATAAATAAATACATAAATAAAAGCATTCTAGCCCCTTTTTGTAGAGCAGCTGTGCTGTGCTGGGGGATTGCTTCCACCCACAGTTGGCTTGGATTCTCCAAAGCCCAAAGGCTGGAATGGCTAAATTGACAAAACGGCAAAGATAGCAGCTAGCCCCTCTCCCTGGGAGCTCCATATCAGGGAGGTTCGACGCTACTACTGGTGGCTGACAGAAATTCTAAGCCAGTGAGTCTTACCCTGTGAGGTGCCATGGAGTGGAGCCTGCAGACTATTTTGGCTCAGCCCCTTGAATTCAGCGCCTCTCCAAGGGATAGGTAAGGGGGTATAACCTCCTGTTTTGCCAGAGTTGCAGCTACTTTTGCTGGAAAGCCTGGAAAGCCCAGGTATCTAAGGCTCCCGGATATTTGTGTGTTCCTGAGCAGCTTCTCTGCTGACATTCCACGTAGCTCTATGTGACAGACAGAAGATCCTGGCTGAGTGAGTTCACAAGTGGATTTCCTGACCCAAGGGTTGTAATGATCCATAAGGGAAGCATAAATTCCCAGGATCGCACATTCACTCACCACTTCCCTGGGTGCAGGAGGTTCCCTTGGCTCTGTGTCGTTCCTGGATGGGCCATTATCCTGCCTTGCTTTTCTTCACTCTCCATGGACCAAACTGTTTCCTCATTTGGTCTCAAGGTATGTACCTGTATGTTTCAGGTGAACATGCTATGTTTACTCACCCCTTCCATTCCTCTCCATGAGCACCACACACACTAGCTGCTTCTAGTCAGCCATGTTGGCCACCCCTGAGATTACATTTCAACATGAGATTTGGGTGGGGACAAATTTCCAAATTATATCAATAAAATTTAAAAATGTGCTGTAACAGTACTGCTTCTGTGTTTAACTTTAGTTCTGTATTTAAATAATTTCAGTGCTAACATTTTTACTCTAACATGACAGTTTATCTATCAAAAAGTTACAACTAACTTAATAGTTAATAATGAAAGACTGGATGCTTTTCACCAAAATAAGGAAGAAGAGCAAGAATCTTGGGTCTTATCAGTTCTACACAATGTTGTACAGGAGCTTCTAGGCAGGGCACTGTGCAAGAAAAAGAAATAAGAGGCATCAAAACTGGAAAACAAGAAGTAAAACTGTCTTCTGTGCAACATGTACAAAACCTATGAAATCTACAAAAAAAGCTACTAGAAAAAGTGATTTTACCAAGGTTGCAGGATTCAAGGTAAGTATATAAATTATATTCTCATCTACTAGCTATAAATGATTGGAAACTGAAATTTAAAAGATCACATACAATTGTATAAAATAACATTAAATACTTCATAATAAATCTGACAAAACTGGGCAAAATATGTACAATAAAAGTTACAAAATATTGCAGAGAGAAATTAAAGAACATCTAGATAAGTGAAGAGATAAACCATGTTAATGACTAAAATGTGTCTATGTGCAAAATTGTAATTTTTTCAAACAAATAGATAAATTTAATGCCTTTCCAATCCAAATCCCAGAAGAATTTTCTGTATATATTATCTCATTGTTTCTAAAGTGTAAATTCATGTTACAAGAACCAAAACAATTTTTTAAAAGAACAAAGTTGGATAATCAGGGTGATGAGGTGAAGGAAGATGGCCAAATAGAACCCTCTAGCGTTCATCCTCCCTGCAGGAACACCACATTGAACAACTATCCATAAAAGAAATCACCATCATAAGAACCAAAAATCAGATAAGCAATCACAGTACCTAGTTTTAACATCATATCAAGGAAAGAGGCACTGAAGAAGGTGGGAAAGGCAATCTTGAATTGCTGACACCACTCCTCCTTCATACACTGGCAGCAGCTGTGTGGCATGAAGAGAGAATCTGTGTGCTCAGAGTAGGGAGAGCAGAATGATTGTGGGACTTAGCACTGGAACTCAGTGTTGCCCTGTTGCAGCAGAAAGAAACATTCAGCCAGCATCCATAGAGAGAGCATTTAGACCAGCATTAGCCAGAGTGGAATTATCCAACACAGCAGTGGAAACCTGAGTTTCAGCAAGACCTACACCAAAAGCCAAAGTGCTCTGGGGTTCTAAGTAAACTTGAAAGGCAAGCTAGACCACAAGGGCTTCAAATCCTGGACAAATCTTTTTGCTATGCTGTACTCAGAGTGAGTGAACTTGGTGTGTATGTAACCTAGCAAGACACCAGTTAGAGCAGCCAAGGGAGTACTTGCATTTCCTCTACCCCAACCACAGACAGAACAGCTCACAGCTCTGGGAGACTCCTTCCTTACCCTTGAGAGGAGAGGAGAGGAGAGAGTGAAGAGGACTTTGTCTTGTAAATTGGATACCAACTCAGCCAGAGTAGAATAAGGCATGAGGTAGAGTTATGAGGCTCCCATTTCAGACCCTAGCTCCCAGACAGTATTTCTAGACATACCCTTGGTCAAAAGGGCACCTGCTTCCATGAAGAGAAGGACCCAGTCCTTCTGGGACCTTCCATGAAGAGAAGGACCCAGGCAGAATTCATTAACTGCTAATGAAAAGAGCCTTTTGTCCTTGAATAAACATCAATATTAGCCAGATATACTCACTGCAGGCCTTGGATGAGACCTGGGGCTGTGCTGACTTTAGGTGTGACCCAGTACATTCCCAGCTGTGGTGGCCATGAGGAGAGAATCCTTTCCTTCTGCTTGAGGAAAGGAGAGGAAAGAGTAAAGGGGACTTTGTTCTTAAGCTTGGATACCACCTCAGCTACAGTCGGGTAGAGTATCAAGTGGCTTCCTGGGGTCACCAATTCCAGGACTTGGCTCCTGGACAGTGTTTCTGGACCCATTCTGGGCCAAAAGAAAGACAACTGTTCTGTAGAGAGGGACTTAGGCCTGGAAGCATTCACAATCTGATGGAAGAGGCCTTGGGTCTTGAGTCAACACTGGCAGTACCCAGGCAGCACCTGCTGCAGGCCTGGGGCAGTGGTGGCCATGGGGAGAAACTCTTTCTGCATGAGGAAGTGAAAGAAAAGAGTGGAAGGACTTTGTCTTGTGGCTTGGCTGTCAGCTTAGCCACAGCACAATAGAGCACCAACTATATTCCTAAGATTCTTGAATCCAGGCCCTGGTGGACAGGGGGATCTCACTATGCTAAGGGAAATGCCACAAGTCTCGCTGGATTTGCCACCAGTTGATTGAAGAGCGCTTGGGCCTTGAGTGAACATTGGCAGTGGCCAGGAAGTTAAGACACCCAGCGCTGTGCTGGCTTTGGGTCTTACCTAGTGCAATTCCAGTGGTGGTGGACACAGGGGTGCTTGTGTCACCCCTCCTCAAGCTCCAGGTAGCTCAGTACAGAGACTCTTTGTTTGGGGGAAACTAAGGGAAAAGAACAAGAGTCTCTGCCTGGTAGTCTAGGGAATTCCTCTGGATTTTACCCAAGATCCAAGTTAATATGTCTATGAACACACAGGAGTCACAGTATTATTGGGCTTCAGGTACTCCCTAATACTACAGCCTTATCTTCAGGTACAGATACAGCTGCAATGACCAAAGATGTAGATCATAACATTCAACTATCTTTGAGTACTTGTAAAGCCTTCCCAATAAGGTTGGGTACAAAGAAGCCCAGACTGAAAAGACTACAATAAGTACCTATCTCTGGCCACGTGCGGTGGCTCATGCCTGTAATCCCAGCTACTCAGGAGGCTAGGGCAAGAGAATTGCTTGAACCCGGGAGGCAGAGGCTGCAGTGAGCCAAGATTGCACCACTGCGCTCCAGCCTGGGCAACAGAGCGAGACTCCATCTCAAAAAAATAAAGAAAAAAAAAATCCAGTAAAATATGGCCTCACTAAATGAACTAAATAAGACACCAGTGACTATTCCCAGAGTAACAGAGACATGTGACGTTTCAGACAGAGAATTCAAAATGGCTGTTTTGAGGAAGATCAACAAAGTTCAAGATAACACAGAGAAGGAATTCAGAATCCTATCAGATAAATTTAGCAAAGAGATTGAAATAATTTTTAAAAATCAAGGAGAAATTCTGGAGCTAAAAAATGCAACTGACATACTAAAGAATGCATCAGTCTTTTAAGAACAGAATTAATCAAGCAGAAGAAAGATTCAGTGAGCTTGAAGACAGGCTATTTGAAAATACACAGAGGAGAAAAAAGAAAAATAATAAAAAAGAATGAAGCACACTATAAGTTCTAGAAAGTAGACTGAAAAGGGCAAACCTATGAGTTATTAGCCTTAAAGAGGAGGGAGAAGGAGAGATCAGGGTAGAAAGTTTATTCCAAGGAATAACAGAGAAATTCCCAAGCCTAGAGAAAGATTATCAGTATTCAAGTACAACAGGTTTACAGGACACCAAACAGATTCAACCCAAAGAAGACTTCCTCAAGGCATTTAATAATCAAGCTCCCAAAGGTAAAGGATAAAGAAAGGATTCTAAAAGCAGCAAGAGAAAAGAAATAAATCACATATAAAGGCACTCAAATACGTCTGGCAGCAGACTTCTCAGTGAAAACCTTACAGGCCAGAAGAGAGTGACTTGACATATTTGAAGTGCTGAAGAAGAAAAAAAAGACTTTTTAATTCTAGAATAGTATATTCAGAAAAAATATCCTTAAAACATGAAGGAGAAATAAAGATGTTCCCAGACAAATGCTGAGGAATTTTATCAACACCTGTAAAGGGAATTCCTCAATATGAAAGAAAAGCATGTTAATGAGCAATAACAAATCATTTTAAGGCATAGAACTCACTGGTAACAGTAAGTACGTAGATAAACACAGAATATTATAATACTATTATAATATTATAATAGCACACTTCTCACACCTTGAGAGATTACTACACACCACTCATACCTTCAGTAGAAAGACTAGATGAAACTATCAAAAATAATAACTAAAATAACTTTTCAAGAGAAAGATAGTATAGTAAGTTTAAATGAAAACAATAAAAAGTTAAAAAGTGAGGGAGGGAATGAAGTTAAAGTGCAGAACTGTTATTAGTTTTCTCTTTGCTTGTTTTTGTAATCAGTATTAAGTTGTCATCAGTTTAAAATAATGAGTTACAAGATGTTATATGCAAGTCTCATAGTAACTTCAAATAAAAAAAATACAGATACACAAAAAATAAAAGGCAATTAAACACAGCACCAGGGAAAATCACCTTCACCAAAAGTAGGACAGGAAGGAAAGAAGGAAGAGAAGACCAGAAAACTAATAACAAAATGACAGAATTACTTACTTATCAGAAATCACATTGAATATAAATGGACTAAACCCTCCAATCAAAGACATAGAGTGGCTGAATGGATGAAAAAGAGAAGACCCATTGAATTTTTGCCTACAAGAAAGACAACTCACCTATAAAGGTACATATAGACTGAAACTAAAGGGATGGAAAAAGATATTCCATACCAATGAAAACCATAAAATAGCAGAAGTAGCTATACTTATAAGACAAAATAGATTTCAAGACAAAAACTATAAAAAGAGAAAACAATAGTCTTTATATAGTGATAAAGAAGTTTATTCGGTAAGAGGATATATAACTATTGTAAATAGATATATGCCAAACACTGCTGCATGATGATATATAAAGCAAATATTATTAGAACTAAAGAGGGAGATAAACCTCAATACAATAATAGCTGGAGAAACTCCACTTTCTGGACAGGAAATCAACAAAGAAATATCAGACTTAACCTACACTATAGAACAAATGGACCTAATAGATATTTATAAAACATTTCATCCAGTGGCTGCAGAATACACATTCTTCTCTTCAGCACATGGGTCAATGGGTCACTCTCAAGCATAAATCATGTTAAGCCTAAAAGCAAGTCTCAAAAAACTGAAAAAACTTGAAGTTCTAAGAAGTATCTTCTCTGACCACAATGGAATGAAACTGGAAATCAATAACAAGAGGAACTTTGGAAACTATACAAACTGGAAATTAAACTTCCACCAAAATTAATGCTCCTGAATGACCAGTAAGTCAATGAAGAAAGTAAGAAGAAAATTTAAAAATGTCTTGAAACAAATGAAAATAGAAACACAACATACCAAAACCTATAGGACACAGCAAAAGCAATACTAAGAGGAAACTTTATCATAATAAGCATCATGTCAAAAAAAAAAAGAACAACTTCAAATAAACCACCTAATAATGCATCTTAAAGAACTAGAAAAGTAATAACAAACCAAACCCAAAAATTAGTAGAATAAAAGAAATAATTAAGATCAGAGCAGAAATAAATGAAATTGGAATGAAAAAATACAAAAGATTAATGAAACATAAACTTGAGTTTTTGAAAAGATTAAAAAAATAAACAAATCTTTAGCCAGACTAAGAAAAAAGGAAAGAAGACCAAAATAAATAAAATCTTGAATAAGGAGACATTACAATCGCTACAGCAGAAATTCACAGGATTAATAGACTACTATAAGTGGCTATATGCAATAAATTAGAAAATCTGGATGAAATGTAGATACATACCCCCTGCCAAGATTGAACTGTGAAGAAATCCAAAACCTGAACAGACCAATAAAAAGTAATCAGATTGAAGCTGTAATGAAAATCTCCCAGCAAAGAAAATCCTGGGACCTGATGGCTTCACTGATGAATTTTACCAAATATTTAATGAAATAGTACCATTTCTACTCAAACTATTCTGAAAAATAGAGGAGAAGGGAATACTTCCAAACCCATTCTACAAGGTCACTATTACCGTGATAATAAAAACAAAGATATATCTAAAAAATACAGGCCAATATCACCGATAAATATTGATGTAAAAATCTTCAACAAAATACTTGCAAACCAAATTCAGTCACACATTAAAAAGATTATTCATCGTGACCAAGTGGGATTTATCCCAGTGATGCAAGGATGGTTTAACATACACAAATAAATCCATGTGATATATCATATCAACAAAATGAAGGGCAAAAATCATATGATCCTTTCAATTGATGCTCAAAAAACATTTGATAAAATTCAACAGCTCTGCATCATAAAAATAAAAAAAAAACTGACTATAGAAGAAACATACCTCAACACAATAAAAGCCATATATGACAGATCCACAGATAGTATCATCCAGAACAAGGAAAAACTGAAAGCCTTTCCTCTAAAATTTGGAATAAGACAGAATGTTCACTTTCACCACTTTATTCAATATCGTACTGGAAGTCCTAGCTAGAAAAATCATACAAGAGAAAGAAATAAAGGGCATCCAAATTGGAAAGGAAGGAGTCAAATTATCCTTGTTTGCAGATAATAAAATGGAAAAAAGACTCCACCAAAAAAACTATTAGAACTGATAAACAAATTCAGGAAAACTGCAGTATACAAAATCAACATACAAAAACCAGTCACGTTTTTACATATCAACAATGAATAATCTGAAAAAGAAATCAAGAAAGCAATCCCATTTACAGTAGCTACAAAAAAATAAGATACCTAGGAATAAATTTAACCAGATATGAAAGACCTCTACAAGGAAAACCAGAAAACATTGATGCAAGAAATTGAAAATGACACCAAAAATAGAAAGATATTTATGTTCATGGGTTGGAAGAATCAATATTGTTAAAATGTCTATACTACCCTAACAATCTATAGATTCAATGCAATTCCTATCAAAACACCAGTGACGTTATTCATAGAAATAGAAAAAAAAATCCTAAAATTTATATGGAACTACAAAAAACCTAGAGTAGCGAAAGACATCCAAAGCAAAAAGAACAAAACTGGAAGAATCATATTACCTGACTTTAAATTACACTACAGAGCTATAGTAACCAAATCAGCATGTTACTGGCATAAAAATAGACACAGAGACCAATGGAACAGAATAAAGAACTGAGAAATCCATGTATCAGTGAGCTAATTTTTGGCAAAGATTTTAAGGATATACGTTGAGGAAAGGACAGTCTCTTCAATACATTTTACTGGGAAAACTGGACATCCATATGCAGAAGAATGAAACTAGACACCTATCTCTCACCATATTTAAAAATCAAATCAAAATGGATTAAAGACTTAAGTTTAAGACCTCCAACTATAAAACTACTAAAATTAAACATTGAGAAAACTCTTCAGGACATTTTTCTGAACAAAGATTTCTTGAATAATGTCCTGCAAACCCAGGCAACCAATGCAAAAATGGAGAAATGGGATTACATCAAGTTAAATGTCTTCTACATAGCAAAGGAAACAATCAACAAGGTGAAGAGACAACCCGCAGAATGTGAGAATATGTTTTAAAACTATCTATCAGACAAAGGATTAATAACCAGAATATAAAAGGTGCTCAAACAACTCAATAGCAAAAAAAAAAAAAAAAAAAAAAATCTAATAATCCAATTAAAAAACGGGCAAAATATTTGAATAGACATTTCTCAAAAGACATACAAATGGCAAACAAGCATATAAAAAGGTAATCAACACCACTGATCATCCGAGAAATGCAAATCAAAACTACAATGAGATATCATTTCACCCCAGTACAAGTGGCTTTTATCCAAGACAGGTAATAATGAATGTTTTGCAAAAATGTGGAAAGAAGGGGACCCTTATACAGTGTTGGTGGGGATGTAAATCAGTACATCCACTATAAAGAATAATATGGAGGTTCCACAAATAACTAAAAACTCTGATATGATCCTGCAATCCCACTACTGTGTATTTATCCTACGGAAATGAAATTAGTATGTTGAAGAAATATCTGCACTCCTATGTTTATTGCAGCACGATTCACAATAGCCCAGATTTGGAAGCAGCCTAAGGGTTGATCAACAGAAGAATGGATACACAATGGAGTACCATTCAGCCATAAAGAAGAATGAGATCCTGTCATTTGTAACAACATGGCTGTAACTCAAGAACATTATGTTAAGTAAAATAAGCCAGGCACAGAAAGATAAACTTTGCATAGTCTCACTTATTTGTGGGAGCTAAAAATTAAAACAAGTGAAGCCATGGAGACAGAGAGTATAATGATGGTTACCAGAGGCTGAGAAGAGTAGTGTGTGGGGGTAGGAAAGTGGGGATGGTTAATAGGTACAAAAATATAGTTAGAATGAGTAAGTTCTAGTACTTGATAGCACAACAGGGTGACTATTGTCAATGATAATTTATTGTACCTTTAAAAATAACTCAGAGTATAACTGGAATGTTTATAACATAAAGAAAAGATAATTACTTGAGATGATGAATACCCCATTTACCCTGATGTGATTGTTATGCATTGTATGTCTGCATCAACATATTTCATGCACCCCATAAATATATATACCTACTATGTATCCATAAAAAATTTTTTTAAAAAGAAAAAAAGAACAAAGTTGGGGGACTAACCTTCAAGAAATATTATATGGCTACAGTTTACAATTATGTTTTTAATCTATACAATTATGGCACTGGCAACAAGATAGACAAATAGATAAATGGAAAAGAATAGAACCTTCAGAAACTGGTCTGCATAACTGATTTTGATGGACAATTGATTTTCAACATAAGTGCAATGGTAATTCAGTGGGAAAAGGATTGTCTTTTCAACAAATGGTGGTGGAATAATTGAATATCCATATACAAACAATGACTTTGGTCCATACTTCACAGTGTATTTTTTAAAAAGTAACTCAAAATATATTTGAATCTAAAAGTAAAACCTAAGAGCATAGATAATTTAGAAAAAAATAAGAAAACCTTTATTATATTGGTTAACAATTAATTTCTTAGTTATGACATATGAAGCACGATCCACAAGAGAACAAACTGATAATTTGTATTTCATCAAAATTAATACCTTCTGCTCTTTAAAAGACATTGTTAAAAGAATTACAATACATAGCAACGGTCTGGGAGAAAATATATCAAATCATGTATCTGTAAAGGACTTGTATCCAGAATATATAAAACTCAATAATAAAACCTAAAAATTTAATAATAAAAAATGTAATCAGCAAAATATTTGAACAGACACTTCACCAAATAAGACATAGTGGTGACAAATATATACACAACAAAGTACTAAACATCATTAGTCATGTTAAAAATGCAAATTAAAACAAAAAATGAGATATTGCAATATAGCTATTACATGGGTTAAAATAAAAAAAGACCAACCAATTGGCAAGCATGTCAAGGAAATGGAACTTTTATGCATCGAGGCTGGAAGTATAAAATGGTACAACCACTTTGAAAGATAATTTGGCAGTTACAAGTTAAACATATACCTACTATGTGGTCTAATCATTCACTCTTCGGGTTCTATTCAAGAGAAATGAAGCATATGTCACTCAAAGACTCATATATGAATGTCCTAGAAGCTTTATTTATACTGCGCAAAACTTGAAACAACCCAAATATCCATCAACAGTGAATGAGAATCTGTGATATATCCATAAATGGAATATTACGCAGCAATAAAAGGTATAAATTATTGGCTGGGTGCAGTGGCTCAAGTCTGTAATCCCAGCACTTTGGGAGGCTGAGGTGGGTGGATCAAGAGATCAAGACCATCCTGGCTAACATGGTGAAACCCTGTCTCTACTAAAAATACAAAAAGTTAGCTGGCGGGCACCTGTAGTCCCAGCTACTCGGGAGGCTGAGGCAGGAGAATGGCATGAACCCGGAAGGCGGAGCTTTCAGTGAGCCAAGATTGTGCCACTGTACTCCAGTCTGGGGGAAAGAGTGAGACTCCGTCTCACAAAAAAAAAAAAAAAAAAAAAAAAAAAAAAAAAAAGATGTAAATTATTAACACATTATAACATTGATAAATCTCTAAATAATTATACCAAATGAAAGAACTCAGACAATAGAGAGGACATAAATGTATGTATTCCATGGACATAAAAGTCTAGAAAATGCAAATTAATTTATAGCAACAAAAAGTAAATCAGCTGTTTCCTAATGGGAGAGGGGTGCAGGCAGAGAGCAGCCGGAGAGAAAGGTTACAAAGGAGCATAAGTAAACTTTTGTGGACAATCTATATGTGCATTGTCTTTACTATGGTGATGGTTTCATGAGTGTACACATCTGACAGAACTTATCCAATTGTGTATTTCATAAACATGCAATTAGTTAAACATTATCTCTCCATATCAATTTTTAAAGTAAGAAAATCAGAACATCCCCATGAGGATGGGCCAAACACTTTAAATGAATAAAATTAATTAAACTTTTCAATTTTGAATGTGAAAAATCTTAGACTTAAACACTGTGATACTGAAAAGAATGAGGTATTTAATTACAGAGATACAAATAGGCTAACAATCAGTTGAGAAAACATTTACTGTGTCTTAATTTTTTATTGAAAACATACACACACACACACACACGTACACACAGAAAGAGGAATAGAATAATGAAAGAGAAAAAATTAAATGAGAGGAAAGAAAAAAAAACAAAAGAGCATCACTTCATTTTGAGCCACCAACAAGTATTTAAGAAGCCAATGTCCAGTTTTGAATATGACTTTCCATAAAGAAGTCTAGACCTTAACTCTTTTCCTGACATAAAATTTGAGAACACTTTGTGTGGGACCAAGCAGAACAAAGAGTTTGTAATGGAAATTGGTGGATAAGAATGTGAGAATGGCAATAATAACCGGAATTATAGTTATTATGTTCATGATCCCTGCTGACCTCAAGAACAGCCTCAGGGTGCTGGGTAGCCTGGGCATGTTCTAGCATTATTATGATTCTGTCTGAGAACTTATCAATTCTGTGTATTCATCTCAGCAATTTAGCTCATAGGCAACATGCTGCCCACCTACCAGGCATATGAATTAGTCATGCAGCAAAATATCCAGGTAAATAGAATTAAAAATTCATGTTATGAGTGGAGGCTACAGGTCCACTTCACATAAATTTTTGCTATTATAGGTAGAGTCCTCTCAGTAGCAACCTCTAGATGTGAAAATTTAAAGTGACCAGACATCTATTGAATTGAGGAAAAGATGAATAGGATCTCTTGAGGTTCAGAATAGGCTGTCCCTTTACTCTTTGGTACACAGAACTGGCAGCTCTGTCTCTTGTCCTACCCACAACACACCTTATTCCTTTGCTCAAAGCCCATGCATCATATAATCTCTGAGAGAGAATTATAGAGTTTAATCCTCTGTATTCTCCTATATAGCTACCAGCAGTAAAGCAGCAGTGAGGATTTTCAATTTTCAAGGAAATATACCTTTAGCCAAAATGGTAATTGCATTATAAGAATACATGGAAAATTTAGAAAAAATTCAGTGCTGCTGTGTCTCAAAAAGATAACAGAGCCAGGTATAGAGAACTCAATGCCCCATTTCTTATGTCTGCTTCTGTTAACAGATCTTGCCCACTCCTCTTCTCTCTCTCTCTCTCTGTGTGTGTCTGCCTCCCCTTCCCTCCCCTTCCTTTCCCTTCCCATCCCATCCCTTCTCTCTCTCTCCCCCCGCTACCCCTCTCCACAGATTGACATCCTATATTTAAATTACTCAGGCTCATATGAAGGGACTACTCTCTCTATTGAATTGAACTGATAACACCTATTGAATAAGAATATGATTACGATGGTGGTGGGAACATTAAGTACCTACTTTGGATGCCTGAAAACAGGGATAATAATACCTATCCAATAGGATTGTTGTATAAATTGGACAAAATCATATATGGAGAAATCCAACAGAGTTATTGACACATAGGAAATTACAAATCAATTAAAGACCCAACTATAAAGGGCTTGCCTCCTGTGTCAATGATGATATGATTTAGCATTCATTAAACACTTACTGTGTGCCAGGCACTTTTTGAATGGCCTTAGGTAAATTATCTCATTTGATACTCTTAACAACTGTATGTGGTATGTGCTATCATTTTCCTCAGTTTTCAGAACCCAGAACCTGAAATACAGATGGGTTAGTATAAAGTAGAACCTTGAAGCGAGCCAGTCTGACTCAAGGGCTAGTGCTCTTAACTTCTATGTTACACCAACTTCTCAGGTTGAATTTTAACTTAAACACAATAGTAATCTCTTAAAGGTTTAAACTAATGCAGTTTTAGAAATAATTTTAGACAGACTTGGTTTTCATAAAGATCACTCAGATGATAAAATAGGGAATACTTTGTGGTATGAAGATTACCATCTCTCAGTATTGCTAGTGAAATTAGGAGCAAAAACAATCATGTGCCAAGCAATTAGAGATATATGTGGTTCAAAATAACTCAGATAAATATATAACAACCCTGAAACCATTTGATGATTTTAAAGGGTTCAGACCAAAGTTAACCTACATGCTATTTTTTTTCAGAAAGCATAATTCTCCCTCTTTTCTTTTATGAAACAAAATCTAGCTTAATGGCAGGACTAAGGACTTTTCAGTTACTGACAGCATGCCAAGCCTTGGGATAAAACAGCCTTGGGCTCATAAAGAGATCAGTCAGGTATTCAGTATTTGCACGATCAGATTGCAAGTGATACATGAGGTCTGAGTTTAAATATCTCCAAAGCACGGGCATTCAAAAAAAGTAACCATGTGCTGCAAATTCTACATTCTAACAATTGCAACTGGAAGAAAGCCTAATCAAAAACAAAGAAAAAAAAAGTCTCATCTTTATTCCAGCACAGTGCCAGTTTCCATTTGCAAGTTGATGACAAAAACTTAAATTTTTTTGTGGCGATTGGCCTTCACTTCTCAATTTCTCTTCTCTCTCTCTCTCACTCTTCTAAACACACACACATATATACATACACATGTACATATACACATAAATATGTAGACACAAATATATATATATACACATACATATTCATGCATTCTTTAGTGACCAAAAAATTTTATTCTGATATATTGTGTTTAAATAAATTCAGCTCCTGACAACATGGATATTCTTTTGAACACTTTTAAATAACTCATGTTCTCTTTGATTCCTTGTATTATTTAGTAATTTAATTTTATGTTCTGGATTTCTTCAAAGCCTCAGAGCCTGCATCTATAAGTAATACATTCGAAACAATAAGAGCGAGCCTGTTATTTTCTAATAGAAGTATCATTTAATCCAGCAATTCCACTACTAGCTATCTACCCAAAGGAAAACAAATCCAGGCTGGGTACGGCAGCCCACCCCTGTAGTCCCAGCACTTTGGGAGGCCAAGGTGGAGGATTGCTTAAGGCCAGGAGTTCAAAACCAGCCTGGGCAACATAGTGAGACATTGCCTCAACAAAAAATACAAAAATTAGCCAGGTGTGATAGCATGGGCCTGTAGTCCCATCTACTCAGGAGGCTGAGATGGGAGGATCATTTGAGCCCAGGAGCTCGAGGCTGCAGAGATGTTCATGCCATTGCATTCTAGCCTGTGTGACACTGAGACCCTGGCTCAGAGAAAGACAGAGAGAAAGAGAGAGAGAGAGAGAAAGAGAGAGAATTTACTTAATGGGTAATGGGTACAATGTACATAATTTGGGTCACGGATACAGTAAAATCCCAGACTTCACCACTGTGCAATATATCCATGTAACGAAATTGCAGTTGTACCCTTTAAATTTATATAAATAATCTCATTAATGGGTATATACCCAAAGGAATACAAATTGTTCTATTATAAAGACACATGCATACATATGTTCACTGCAGCACTATTCACAACATCAAAGACATGGAATCAACCTCAATTCCCATCAGTGATAAAATAGATAAAGTAAATGTGGTCCATATGCACCATGGAATACTATGCAGCTATAAAAAAGAATGAGATCATGTCCTTTGAGGGGGATGGATGAAGCTGGAGGCCATTATCCTTAGCAAACCAATGCAGGAACAGAAAACCAAATATTGCATGGTCTTGCTTATAAGTGGAAGATAAATGATGAGAACACATGGACACATAGAGGGGAACAACACTTTCTGGGGTCTAATGGAAGGCGGAGGGAAGAGGATCGGGAAAAAATAACTAATAGGTACTAGGCTTAATACCTGGGTGATGAAATAATCTGTACAACAAACCCCATGATACAAGTTTACCCACGTAACAAACCTGCACATGTACCCCTGCACTTAAAAGTTAGAAAAAAAATAGTAAAAAAAAAAATATATATACACATTAAAAAAAAAAGTCACCCATCTAATACTTTGCTGTAGGAATCAGTTAGCTTTCCCCTTTTTGACATATCTATATCCCTGTACATAATATGTTATGCCTTCCTTTCTCTACTTATGCGATGCTTTATTTGCTCCTACTTTCTACTTTTCATTGAAAAGCACTCATGTATTTTTCTGTGTGTTTATTATGAACCTAATGCAATGAAACAACTAAAATAAAATTAAATTCATCATAGTTTATAATGTCATTAGAAAGGTATGATACAGAAACAGAAAATAAATGTTAAATGATTTGGCAAGGGTAGTTTATCCTACAGAAATTTGGGTGAGAAAGTCTGACGAGGATGAAGGTGAGACTTGGACAGTGCTTTGAAGATACCAATAGCTTCCTAACTGATCTCACTGTTGCCAATCTTGCTCTTCCTCTTATGATTTCCTTACCAACAGATAACAACATTACAAAAGCAAAGATCTGATCATAATATTTCTCTGTACAAATTCCTTCTCCCCACTGATTACATCCTCACCAGCATTTATTATTAAAATTCATTGTATATGGAAATAAACCCAGATGCAAAGTTGCAGACTTTCTTCCTTCCCAGAACCTTGAATATCCTCCTAGTTTGTATTCTAGTTCCCCCATCGACCCCTGCCTCATTTTCCTGGGTCTAGATACCATGCTCAGCTATTACTTTGCTGGATCATGATACACTATGCCCACCTACCTCACCCAGGCACTAACTCACTGGGAATCTTTAGCCAAAATTTAGAATCATGTTACTGTCCCTATTTGTGCCCCAGAAACTTCAGCAGCTATGTTCCATCAACTTAGAAGATGCCTCCTTTAAATATCTATACTTCCTGGATCATACTACTGTATTTCCCTGGAATCCATAAATTGAACTGTGACTTCCTTTTATTCTATACCAACTTACATCTGAAGTGGTAGATTACTTCATATGGGTAGATTTAGAACACTGTGTTTCATTTGGCTCTTCCATTTTACTTTCTCCAAGAAAAAGAATGGAAGATAATAGGAAGCAATATGTATAAGACTGAATTAAGACAGAATTATTATCAAATTGAAAGACAGTGAGTTATGTTATTGGCTTTCAACATATATCAGACAGACCATGCCTCCTTGTCTAATAATAAAGACTTCATTTGGAGGTCCCAGAACACTAAATGATATGAAGCTATGGGTTAGGGGATGGTCAATTTACAGAGGCATGGGATCCTGGTTAACAAAAATTTTCTAGAAAGAAAAGAACATGAGTAAAGCTAATTTAGGGCACCATGATACATCTACTTATGGACATATTTGTAAACTACCAAGACCACCCTGTTTCATAATAGCCCAGTCATAGGTAGAATAATTACCTTTAAGAAGAATATAAAAGTACTAATGCTAAAGAAAGCAGAAATAATTCTCTAAGTCATTATTGGCTAAGAGTGTTGTATAATTTGCAGGTACATTTAAAGGAAGAATTACTAACTCAAGGCCTACTGCATTGCATTTCAGAAAATATACATTGAAAATAACGTGACATAATAGAGAATAGGTAAATGTCTGTAGCCATGGGCTCGAATACTGATTCTTCCAAATACCCTGAGCAAGGATCTTGGTCTACTGAACCTCAGTTTTCCTATCTGTAAAATGGGCTTTTAAAACCTGTTCTATTGACAGATTGTTTTGAAGAATAATACAAGTAATGCACTGCCATTCAAAAGGTAGTTATTTTATCTATTGTCATCGCTATTTAGACAGGCACAGTGTCTCAATATCAGGTTAATATAATGTCTTATTTTTGACATGTAAATGGCCATTAAGTGTTTTAAATCCTTCTTTAACTAAACAGGAGATTTGAAGATCAGCTTTTGAGTCCAGAGATTTGGGCAGAGGCCAAAATAATTCAGCTGCCAGCTACAAAGTACCACAGCAAGTGCCAAAAACGCTACTCATTTTTGAATGAGAAAAATATCTCTGCCAAACCAAATCTTAAGCGTTTTTATAGTTCTTTCCCGTATGTTCCTATAAAAAGGTCATTTTTTACATCTCATTTTTGAATGGAGCTGTCAGAATAACAACTTTCAACTGTCTCCCAAGCCTCAAAAATTGATCCAGTTAAAAAGAATTTGAGGATGGGAAGTATTTTTAGAGAATCCAGTGACTTGTGCTTTGAAGTCATGGACAGCACAGATTGAAATAAACACAAATAACTGACCTCTAGTTTGTACTTGGTCCATCCAGGTCTGCTTCTGGAGAGACAGCTCCCAAACAAACATTTCAGAACTCACAGCACCACCTTCTGGGGGTAGTATTTGGGGCAATATTTGAAATATTTGATAACCAGTCATGTTACAACTGACTAGAAAATACCATTTTCACTCTTATTTACACCTATTCCATGGCCAGATTAGAAAAACGAAGAGGAAGTTTGTTAAAGCAGGCCACACAATCTCTAAATTCCAGGCGGCTAGAATTTCACACGGTCTGGGGAGGAATTAGTGGTCTGAACTGATTGTGCAGGTCCCTGTCTCCACCAGGAGGAAGGGGCATCATTTTCCCATTCCCATATTGGCACTCTGTGAGCTAGCAGAAGCCCTTGGAGATTGAAATATTACAATAAATAGGTCTGAGTTTCTCAGAACTGCCATGAAACTTCTAATATGTGAAAATGTCTGGAAAGTTATAGAGTGGAACTGAAATATCTTCAAGGGATACAGCCTTCCAAATAGATAATGTTCAAAGAACAATTGATAGTGGTTACTGAAAACTAATACAACTGTTTTGAGTTTACATCCCCCATATCTGAGATTCCACACTAAACAACTTATATAGGGATTTTGCATATTATTCAAATAGAAAGCTAGATTGTTCACAACTGTCACTCAACTTCACATATTCTTACCAGCTAAGATTTTCCTGAGTTTAAATTTTTGTAGCCTGTATTGTGGAAATCACAGATTTATTGAATGTGCATTTTCAGAATCACTATCCATATCCATCTTGAAATATTTTTGAGCTATGGGAAACCAGGTGAGCATTTTAAGCAGGAATGTGGCATTGTCACCACTGGTGTGGTAAGGACTGGAAGAGAGCAAGACTGGGAGTAGGAAGGTATGTTAGGAAGCCATAGCGATGACATAGGTTACAGATCATGATAGGTTAAGACAGACATGTGGAGAGACAGATGTAATAGGTATTTAGAAATCAGAATTAATAGCAGCTCATGATTAATTGAATGTTGGGGTAAGGAAGATGAATAAATACGATAGTTTTCTGATTTTTGAAAAGTTGGTGAATGGAGATGCCATTAACTAAAAAGATGGAAATGAGCTGCCTTTGGGAATAGAAAGATGATGTATTCAGACTTGTGCATGTTGCATTTAGTAATAGGACTTGTGCCTTGTATCAGTGGAGAATGAGATACAGGGTTTAGAATTATAATAGGCAGCCTTTATGAGGACCCCCAGTGAAGTTACCTCCTGGTATATTCAGGCTTCATGTAACACTATCTCCTTCAGTAATGTGCTTCTGACCAACAGAATATGGAAACATTGAGGAGATGTCTCTTTCATGATTAGGTTACAAGAGATTATGAATCCTGTCTTGCAAGTACACTCTCTCTGTTGCTTTCATAGCTTGCACATTTTAATGAAGCAAACTGTTGTGTTATAGAGGCCCACATGGCAAGGTCCTGAGAGTGGCATCTGGTCAACAGACACCAAGAAACTGTCAACATAAAATAAACAAATTCAAAGTCTATTTTAAGAGAGTTTATTCAAGCACAAAGGTTAAGGACTGCAGCCCAGGAAACACTTCCAAATTGCCTTGGGAGTGCTCTGGAGAACAAAACAGATGCTCAAGTGTTTAAAGAAAAAAAAGATGAATCAGGGGAAGCAACAATTACAAAATTTTTTTGTCAAGAATTCTCATTGGTTCACAGAAATAACATTAGTTAGCAATTGGCTATACATTGTGGAACTATAGGGTATATGGCATTTTATGGCTACTTGGGATCAGTTAGTCTAGAGCCTGCAAAGCAAGTGGCTTGGAGAGATAGTGATTTAGCTCAAGAGGGAGTGAGATGTGACTGTTGCCACATGTTAAATGCTTTTCTGGGCCTGATTATTTAAGGGAGCTCACATGCCTAGAGGGAAAGTAAAGTTTAAGGAGGACCGGGAGACTGAAAAGAATATTGCAAAGAAATACAGATCTGAAATCTGGGAATTGCAAGGTTAAAGAAGGTGTGACCAAATAAATACCAACTGCTGAAAGACTGAAAACTATTTTCAGCAACAAGGTGGATTTTATCTTGATGTGAACAATTTCACATTAAGTGACCTGGCAGAAGGCAGATTTCAACAGACTGAGGAGAAAACACAAAGTGAGAAGGTAAAAGAAATTTCGTTGAAGACACTTAAATGTTAAGAAAAGTATAATGTGATATTTGCAGTAGGTGAAAAGTTGGTAGCTGATATGGTTTGCCTCTGCGTCCCCACCCAAATCTCACCTTGAATTGTAATAATCCCCATGTGTCAAGGGTGGGACGAAGTGGCGATAAGTAAATCATGGGGGCAGTTTCCCCCATATTGTTCTCATGATAGTGAGTGACTTCTCCTGACATCTGATGGCTTTATAAGGTGCTTCCCCCTTTGCTCTGCACTCATTCTCTCTTCTGCCGTCCTGTGAAGAGGTACCTTATGCCATGATTCTAAGTTTCCCCAGGCCTCCCCAGCCACGTGGAACTGTTGTCAATTACACCTCTTTTCTTTAAAAATTACTCCATCTTCACACCAGTGTGAGAACAGGCTCTTATAGTGGCTTTTTGGAGGAGAGAGAGACTTGAGCTTATTTATGTGATAAGGCCTCTTTGGTCATGCAAATTTTTATTACATTTTCTGTTATTTATACCATAGCTATTTTTCATAAGAAAAACAATAAAGGAAATAAGTACGCTTAATCATTCATAATCCTCTTGCCCTTTTGAAGGCACTAACATATCCATTTGCATTTTTCATAACAAAATACAGCATCATTTTTCCCACATATAACATAAGTACTTCTTAATGTTGTTATGTTAGTGCCATTGTTGTTTTTAATATTGTATAATATATTGTCAAGTTTGTGTACTATAAATGATCTATTTTCTACTTATTGGGCCTCTAGGTTGTTTCCAACTTTTTATAACTGTAAATGATGCTGTGATTAATTGTGCAAAGTTGCTCCAAAACAAAAACAGAGAAGCTTCCCATAAGAGTGTTTCCTGGATGTTTGCCAAAGTCAGTACTCTTCATGCCAAAGGGCTCTGAACTGAATTCAATAAAAGTTCATGCAAATACTGCTGGGACTATTCCTTTTTTTATTTTTTATTATTGAAAACTTCAAAAGCCCAGCAGATGGGTAGATCAAATATACAGAAAGAGATCACTGAATGTCCAGATTGACTTTAAACTTTCTGTGAAACCAAATGTATTCTGTGAACTTATTCTAGGTTGATATCTTTCTACCAACATCCTGAAGTACATTACATACAGCAGAGAGGGCCTCAATAATCTTTCTTCTTTTATTTATTTATTTTTTTATACAGGAAGGAATGTTGCTGTCCTTAATACCTCCCTTGCTAATGCACTTGCAAGAAAAATAATCCACTTCCCCTTGGAGGGCTGAGTGTGCTGCCAAAAAAAAAAAAAAAAAAAATTTGAGCTTATAGCATTTGTTGCAAATCTGCTAAACATTATGTTTGCCAAATTCTTCCTAAAAATTGCTATCACATTTCTGGGAAGACACTTGCTGAAAGGAAAAGCTTGTACTGCTTTAGTAGTGGTCAGCTGAAATTCAACCTCTTCAAAGTAGAGCTTGTCATCCATTGCCCACCACCTCCCTCCTGACTTAAATTCTAGGAGGCCACCCTTCTTTTATTTATTCTAGTTTAAGATGCTGAAGGTGTCTTCTTATTTCTCAGGACTTGTGCAATTACGATAGTTTCTTACAAAAGATAAGGAAGAACAAAAGAGATCAGGACCTGAAATATCAACAAACTCCTGGGAAAAGCACAGGAAGAACATCTTGAGGGAAGTATGGTTAAGAGCTATGGTGCTAGAACAGAGACCTGGATTCAAATCCCAAGAAAATGGATGACTTCCTTCGCTTGTCTTATTCCTTATGTGTAAAACAAAATCTATACCAGGAATTCAATGAGACGTTGTATGCAAAGAGCTTACCATACCACCTAGCACAAAGTAAGACCTTGATAAATGGCAGCTATCATTATTATTACCAATAAAGGCAAAACTAACTGGGTCAAAAATAAAGTATCCACTTGGTGAAGCTGCTGCAGGGGACAGTCAAGGTATAAAGAGGCAGCAGTCAGGTTCAAGGGGAGGGGCAGGGGGAAGATAATGTTTGCTCCTGGGTGTAGCAGGAGCACAATGATGGGGAATCCAGGTGCTGCACAAAATGCCCAATTCTTGACAGCATGTAGTGAGCATTTTAAAAAGTCTCTCCATTGGCAGAAGGAATCTAGTTCCCAGGTGGGATTTTACTGGTCAGAGTCTTGGCTCTAGAGACAATGATAGCATGAGTAAGACTACATCTCCACCCCAGAGAAACAGACAAAGGGCTGAGGACTGAGAGAGCCACTAAGGGTCAGGGAACAAATGGAGAGCTCAGTTTCCCAACAGGTCTGACCCCGGATGAGATTATGGCTCAAAGCTGAGTTACCTAACCGGTCTAGCCACCTGAATCTCACCTGCCAAGCCTTTTCAATGGTTCCTCCCAGCCTATAACTGAAAGAAAATTTTAAATAGTAACAATATTGGCATTTTGGAATGGCTACTGCCTAGGGGAAGAGGCACCCATACACATAAAAGTTTACTGCCAGTACTGGGGCTTACACATCTTCATAAGCCTAATGGAATTTTATGCAAATATGGGATAAGTAAGTGAACTTTTCTGGAGAAAGTATCCATAGTTTTCAGCAGTCTCAAAGCAGCTCATGACCCAGCAGGCATGAAGGATCAATGCTTTAAGTAAAGATGTTACAATCTACCTCTTTCCTTCTCATCTTTATTTTGATGAAATGTTGGGTGAGTTGAATGGTTTCATCTTCTATGGCAGAATTTTCCCACATGCTTGGGCCTTCAATTATCACAATAACTTCCCATTTGCTCCCCTCACTTTTTCTTATAAGGGTTTATCACAACTTCTGGTTCATTAAGACATTCTATTCTTATAAATTGTGGCCATGTATTTAATACATTTTATACCTTTTATAGTCATGTCAGTAGGTTCTGTTGGGTGGGGATTACTGCAGAATGGGGTCAATCTGTCACCTTGAAATTGAAGGGAAGTGTCTTAATCTTCTCTCATTGCTTCTATCTTCCCACAGTCTCTTGGCCTCCCATGCCTTTTACTACGCCTCTTGCTTTTTCAAAGCTCAGCTCAAGTTCCAGATTCTCTTTGGAAGCTTCTGGGATTACTTCAACCCTCAGAATTCTTTCCCTCTTCCAAAGTATATAACATTCATTTGGTGCTGGGAAAGTATATAAAGGAATTAGCATGTTGTAGACAGGACTTTTTCAACCTCAGGACTATTGACATTTTGGGCTGGTTAATTCTTCATGTGGAGGCTTGTCCTGTGCACTATAGAATATTTAGCTGTATATCTGGCCTCTATCAACTAGATGCAGTAGCACACTCCCATCCTCGCCCCAGTTATGACAACCCCAAATGTCTACCAACATTAGGGGCAAAATTACCTCTAGTTGAGAACCAGCGTTGAAGAATGATCCCCATGTATCAGGTAATGTACTAGATTATATAGCTTTTATTTCATGGGTATATCCTACTTTCCTACGTTTATCTTCCCTTTAATTCAGTTCACTCACTTATTTTTAATTTATTTTACATTGCGTCTTAACCTTTGCAAAACACTTTAAATCTTTTTTTAAAACAAGGCAAGTTATATGTAAACACTCGTTGCTTCTTTTAAACCTTGGCACAGCCCTTGAAAAAAGATATTAGCAACGCTGTTTAACAGGCAAAGACACTGACTACTAGAAATCTCTGTTCAATAACTGAACAAAGTCCAAATAACAAACATTGGTGGAGCAAAGACTCAATATCAGGATTTTCTGGTTCCAAAGACCATGACATTTTTGTGCCACAATGCTATTTTTAAAAATTGGTACACATTTGTGCATATTTATGGGGGTACATACGGTATTTTGATACATGCATAAAATGTGTCACAATCAAATCTAGGTATTTAGCATATACATAACCTATAACATTTATCATTTCTGTGTTGGGAACATTTCATATCTTCTCTCCTAGTTGTTTTGAAACATACAATATATTATTATTAAATATAGTTACCCTACTGTGCTATCAAACACTAGAACTTATTCCTTTCAACTGAATGCTTGTACCCATTAACCAACATCTCTTTATCCTCTCCCCCAATACCCTTCCAGCCTCTGTTAACCATTATCCTACTCTCTACCTCCATGGGATCCACTGTTTTACCTCCCACATATGAGTGAGAACATGCAATATTTGTTTTTCTGTGCTTGGCTTATTTCACTTAATATAATAACCACAGGTTCCATCAATGTTGCTGCAAATTGCAGGATTTCATTCTATTTTATGGCCCAATAGCATTCCATAGTGTGTATATATACCATGTTTTCTTTATTCATCCATTGATGGACAGCTGACTTAATTCCATATCTTGACTATTGTGAAGAGTGCTGCAATAAACATGGGAATGCAGATATCCTTTTGATATACTGATTTTTCTTTGGATAAATACCCATTGGTAGAATTTCTGGATCATGTGGTAGTTCTATTCTTAGTTTTTTGAGAAACTTCCATATTGTTTTCCATAATAGCTGTGCTAATTTACATTACCACCAAGAGTGCATAAGAGTTCCCTCTTCTCCACATTTTCACAAGTGTCTTTTTACTTTTCGTCTTTTTTATAATAGCCATTCTAACTGGAATGATGTCTCATTGTGATTTTCATTTCCCTAATCATTAGCGATGTTGAGCATTTCTTCATATACCTACTAGCCATTTGTATGTCTTCTTTTGAGAAACGTCTGTTTAGATACTTTGCTCACATTTTAAGGAGATTGTTTGGGTTTTTTGTACGTTTGTTTTTGTTTTTTGATGGTGAGTTGTCTGAGCTCCTTTTATATTCCAGATATTAGTCCCTTGTCGAATGAATCATTTGCAAATATTTTCTCCCATTCTACAGGTTGTCTCTTCCCTTTGTCGGTTGTTACCTTTGCCGTGCAGAAGCTTTTTAGTTTACTATAGCTCCATTTGTATACTTTTTGTTTTGTGTGCCTATGCTTTTGAAATATTAACCATAAAATCTTCGCCTAAGCTAAAGTTCTTGGGCATTTCCTATGTTTTCTTCTAGTATTTGTATAGTTTCAGGTCTTACATTTAAGTCTTTAATTCATGTTGAGTTGACTTTGGTATATGGTGAGTCATAAGGATCTAGTTTCATTCTCCTCCACATCATGGATATCCAGTTTCCCCAGCACCATTTATTGAAGAGGGTGTTCTTTTCCTAGTGTATGTTCTTGGCAACTTTGTCAGTTGGCTGAAAATCTATGAATTTATTTCTGGGTTCTCTAGTGGCACAATGCTGTTTTGTTTACTTTCTTTCCATAGGCTTATCCTTCTCACCCAACTGAATTTTAGCCTGCTGAACTAGGATTGCACCTGCTATCTCTTGGGAATAGTGCCCATTTCTTATAGTGGCATAGAAATAGTCAATCTAAAAGAAAAGCAGACTTTTAGTTCTTCAGAAACCCCCAAAAAGAGAGAATGAAGGTATAAAAATCTGATACTAAAAGCACTTATTTTCTGTCATTTATCTTAAACTACAGTGAAACTATTCAATACTTTTGAAGGTCCAGAAAATACATTACAGAAAAAAAAAATCATCTCAATGATTACTTTAATGCACAACGCTTAGTTTTATGGCGTTTCCCTCATTTCCTCAGGAGAAAGCTATTTCTCTAACTTATTTCTTTCAATTGATTGCTAGGATTTCAATCTCTTTAAGACCTTTTGCATTAGAGGAAGAAAGAAGTCTGCTATTTTTTTCTCAACTTGGGGAGTCTGAAGTTTATCACATTCTTTCCCCATTTAACCACCTACAGACTTGAATTTCAAGAAGACAAATTGTCTTTAAGAACATAAAGTTAAAAACCAAAGTATTACATCAGCATCACATCCTCAAAGTTGGAAAAGAAGAGGTTAAATTTCTTCTACTAACTCTTAAAAGAGATTTAAAGAAAAGGGATATTGAAAAATGGACTTCTCAAAGGAAAAAGGAAAAACACACACACAAAAGGCATGTGCTGCATTTTCTGCCTGAGTTAGTTTATCTCCTGAATTTCCAGTTTCCTATCACTAGGAGGACATAGTATGGCATGACCAGAAAGTCTGCTGAAGTTCCAATTATTTTATGTCCCAGGCAATTTCACGCAAATTTGCACTTTTAATCGGAACTAAAATTCAATGAGGTCAATACTTTACAGTTAATATTTCATTAGGCCCAGTGACTAACTGACCCACTACCAATACACAATTCTAAGTCCATGTGCTGCCCATCAAAGAAGATTCTGATATATCTAAAGCTCCCCAAACTTGGTCAGGAAGATTCTACTTAGCTTTAAACCAAAAATAAACCTTCATTAGAGTTAAGAGATATAACTATATTAACATCACTATATTTAGAAGAAAACTGTTATATTAATCTTTCCAAACCACCACACATGGATTGGCACTCAGAGTACCTGCCCCAAAGAAATGAGAACAGGATTTCTGGGAGGTGGCACAAATCTTGGAAATGATTTTAAAGAACAAGGTGAGGTTACTGGTCTCACAACATTTAAGAATGGAAACATTATTTTGCCATTTTTCTTAATTGGAAGGCAGCAGGTACAATAGAAAGTTCTGGACATATTGAAGCATAGATTTATCTTTATTAGCTGGAAGCTCAGGCATGTTACTTCACCTCTCAAGGCCCATTTTTAGCAAGAGGTGGACTAGATAACCTTCCAGCATTAATGTGATGTGAATCTGTTATGCTTACTTTATCTTCATGCTTTTAGAACCTGAATAGGAAAATCAAATTATTATGACTTTACATTACCTTCAGTCTTTTTCACTTCAAAGTTGCAATGTCTTTTCCCTGGCTGGGTCCTGTTACTCATCCCTGTGGTAGTCTCTCAAACTCCATCACCTCTCAGACTTGTTCTCTTCCCACAGGCAGCAACACAAGAATGGTGGTAGTGAGGGATAAAAAAATTTTATAGTAAAAAATAAAATTAAAACCATATGCCTAACTCATAAAGCTTTTTGCTTTTCTCTGTGCGTTTCCTTGTGCTAGTGTTCCTCTGTAGGTTCTTTTCGCCCTTAAAAAAACAAACAAAAAACCCCTCATAAGCCCTTCTCTATCCTCTTGTCATAGAGCTTATTTATAGAATACATCTTATCTGATTCCTCATAGCAAAATATTATTTTACAATTTGAGTTCAGAAAAAGATAATATTTATTTACTCCTTACCATATGCTAAGCACTGTTCTATATACTTCATATATATATATATATATATATATATATATATATATATATATGGCATTTAACCCTCAGAGAACTCTATGAAATATGTATACATATTCCTTACTATCCAAATCTATTCAGTTCCTGAGTTCTGTGAGCAAGTTTTTATGATCAGGGAAACTGCATTGTCTTTAATTATCTTTAGCACCTCCATTTGGAATGATGAAGGGCCTGAGTTTAGATAGCAAGTAATGCTGTTAAAAATGCAAATACAAATACATTTAGTTCCTTTGTTGCAATGGTAATGGTTCAGAGAGGACAAATTCATTAGCCGGGTATGGTGGCATGCACCTGTGGTCCCAGGTACACAGGAGGCTGAGGTGGGAGGATGGCTTGGTCCCAAGAGGTTGAGGCTGCAGTGAGCATGACTCAAAAAAAAAGTCAGAAATTCGGACAGTGAGAGAGATATCTATGCCATTTTCTCTACTTTTACAGAAAAGAAAGAAAAGAAAAGGAAGGAAGGAAGGAGAAGGAAGAAGGAAGGAGAAGGAAGAAGGAAGGAGAAGGAAAAAGGAAGGAAGGAGAAGGAAGAAGGAAGGAAGGAGAAGGAAGGAAGGAAGGAGGAAGAAGGAAGGAAGAAGGAAGAAGGAAGGAAAAGGAAGGAAAAGAAAAAAGAAAAAGTAAAGAAAGACAAGAAAAGAAGAGGGAGGGAGGGAGGGAAGGAGGAAGGAGGAAGGAAGGAAGGAGAGAGAGAGATGAAAGAAAGAAAGAAAGAAAGAAAGAAAGAAAGAAAGAAAGGATGCACAGTGCATAGGTAGATAAGGAAACTGCCTAAGGTTTCATGGCTAATAAGATACAGAGTCAAAACTCTTATCCAGGCACTACAGCTCCAGAGTCAATATTATGCTTGTGTTAGACTGCCCAGCTAAATATTATTTTTCTTCTTTGTGACCTGTGGCATCATTTATGTAGATAATCCTTGTAGATTTTCTGGGAATGTCTTTGGGGAGGTTAGCCAGAGTTCCCATCTGATTTTTTTTTCTAGAGCTCCATTTGTTAAAAGACTCCGAGTATGTGTTCTATTAGCATCAATATAAAAAGTTCTAGATACTGACACCAACTGCTTTTTGTACAGCTTAACAGTCTAATCGCATGGTTTGTGGAACCCTAATGTTCCATTTAGTCACTGTATTTGATGAAATCTGCAACATGGATGATATAAATGATCTTTCTGTCATACAGAAACAGGAAAAGCAGACTTCGACAGTAGATAAATCCAAGTTGAAATGTAGTCTATCTTAAGTTCTTATTCTGGGCAATCCCTCATAATCTCTGAAAACTTAGGGCCTCTTCAAATCATTGCTTGTCCTCAAGCAAACATGTTGTATAATCTGACTTCCATGCCAGTTAGGTTCACACCAGTATTTAGCCATTTAATATTTCCTAAAGTATTTAATGAATGACACCAGCAATGAATTTACTTAAGAGCCAGTCAGGGCCCTCATGAAATAGTGCAAAATCACAGGCACTCTACATCATGATGAGTTGTTCTCATGTGTCAGCCGACTGCTGTCCAACTGGAAAACTAGAGAATAAATTCATGCTTACATGTTAAATAGAATTGTGTTTGTTAAACTGACAGATAGTATCTTCATGAATTTTAGTGAAAAAAAACTTATGCTTGATTTCAAAGGTCTGTTTATATGTTCACATAGCAGTGAGGCTGGGCACAAAATAGGATGGAAATTACATTCAATCAGTAACAATAAAAAGAAAATGTATCTCATCTCCTTGGAGGCCTTCCAATGATTCCGACCCTGGCTATGCCTTCCAGTGCTGTTTCTGTGCCACCATGTGGTGAAAAGATCAAAGGTATGTGGCAGCATGCCAGGAGGTCCAGGAAGCCAAACTTTAAATGGTGCATACTCCTGGAGCCCTACTGCAGTTCAAGGAGGGTAAAAACATCATTATAGTGAATTTTAATGCAGAAAATACGTGGGTTTTGCACAAAACTCTGAAACTCAGAATGTTAAGGTGAAATTTCCAAGCATGCAGCTAGTATCCCTGGTGATTGCAGATACTCTGGTGGGAAATGCTGAGATTCAGTGCTCGAAGGTGCTCAAAGAGAACTCGGTTTCGAAGATCTAAGTTTTAAGCATGACTCCATCACTTGCCAGCTGTGTGACCTTGGACACATCTCTTGCCCTCTAAGTTGAGTCTCTATCTGTGCAAAGAGTTTAAATTACATGATCTTTATGGTCCTTTCCAGCTTGAAAAGGCTGTGGTCCGTGTTTATGTTTCAGAGCTCTGACTGCCTTATTCTCCTGTTACATAATTTCTAAGAGAAGGCATATGTTACTTAGCATAGAGGTTTCATATCCACTGTGAAATATCTCTGGGAGATTCCAAAAATCTATTTAAATCTAAGCTGCTAGTATTTCACTCATTAAGCTATTATTGCTCACCTACTGAAGACTAAGCAATACTCCCAAATACAAGATACACACCATAGAAAATAAATTCACCAATATCCAGATTTTGTCAAAACTCTTATTTCTTTTCTCTGAGGTCTCAGACTCATCAAACATCCAAGGATAATTTTAGGATTCACTAGGCATTATCTGAGTATATCTCCCTGTCATAAAGGTTCATAGTTTTGTTTTTAATTGAAATATCTTCAAATGCTTTTCCTTCTTAAATAAATGCTTACATAGGTAACATAAGTGAATCTTACTGAGTCAGTGATAAAAATTCCCTGAAGTAAACATAAACTCCATAATGCAGTTATTTTTAAAACTTTATTTTAAAAATATGAGCATCTATTTTAAAAGTTTTGATAATTATTGCCATTATTTTCTTGTGATTGGTACAATTTAAAAATAAGTCTATGTTTTCACATTGATTTTAAAAAATATAGCATGTTTGAATTACAAATGATTAAGCAAACTCTATTACTTCATAGCTGACCATCTTCCAGAAAATTCCCACTTAATTGAATACTTAGAAAAAAATGGCCAGTGGCCGATTGAAAGGTATATTAAAATTAAGGGCAGTTTTAATTCTGAAGACAAATATCTTCATGGAAATCTATTTGTAAGCTTCTGAGATTGCTGCTGAAAGTCTACAGTCTGTGAATATACCAATTCCCCTTTACAACTGATGCAGATCATTATGAAATACTGGAAGGCATACCCTACAATTTAGGAATTGGTGTGGCTGCCACTGCTATGCTCTCAATTGCACACTCATCAGTTCCTCTGCGGATCCGGAAGTAGCCATTCTCACCCCAGCCGGTGCCCCAGCTGTTTTTAACAATCCAGTAATCCATCCCAGAGGCTGAGTCAGTGCCATAGCCCACAAGCAGAACAGCATGATTAGTCAGCTCAAAGGGGTTGAAAGGGTCTCTTAGACCAGTGTGGTGGTAGATCCCCTTTTTGTAGTGGAGGAAGTCATCATATACTTCAAAAGCAACTGCCATGGGCCCATGATGGACCAACTCAAGCTTCATCAGGGCTTCATTGCAGCCTCCATAGAAACCTCCTACATAGTGGTACTCAGAGGAGTAATAACGAAAGCAGTCTTCCTTCATTTTGCATGGAGAATCAGTGCCTGTGTAGGGGAAGCAAGCTTCTTCCACCAGCCCAAAATCTTGGGCGTACTTTCCTGCAATAAGGTATGGGAAGCCGCCTTCACAGCCTGAAGATGAATAACACACATGGTTACCCCTTAGTAGAAAAAGGATTATCCCATTTTCTATTTTTTCTTCTTTGCTCCATTATTCTTTGCATGTTACCCCTGAAAGTTGTTCTTAGCTTAAGCATCACTTCATTCATCCATCCATTTTCCAACTAGCTAACTATCCTTTCATCCTCCTTCTACTTAACAGATATCTACTTAGCACCTAATATGGATGTAGCTATGGCAAAGTGGTTAAGTGGGGAGGCTCTGAAGCCTATATAGGTTTAAAGCCAAAGCCGTGTGAAGAGTTTAACTTCTCTGTATCTCTGCTTACTTACCTGTAAAATCTAGATGGTAGTAGTACTTTCCTCATAGGGTTAAATTAGTTACTTCATGTAAAAATAGCAAAAGTTAGGTATTATGGTCATTGCTAAGCAGCCAGACCCCACAACTTGGCTCTTTCTCAAGCAAGTCTTTTCCCTGACAACCTCTTGCCGAAATGTCTTTCCTACCTTCCTCATGCAGTCCTGGCCCTATTATATATATTATAACTCTGTACTTTTTCTTCACTGTTCTTCACTCTGTTGTTATAATTATTTAATCTCTATCTCTTACTTAACTGTAAGCTTCATGAGGATAAAGATTGTCTTGATATATTATAGCCCCTATAGCCTACAAGTCACAACTAGTAGTACATATTTTAGAAAGAATGAAAGGCTCACTGGCAAATAATCACTCATCAGCAGTTTCACTAGTGAGCTGGGAAATTCCTAGTGGCCAAATCTGGGCTTGAAAGCATAAACTTTAAAATGGTAACGTTTCTCCCTCAATCAATTATAGCTGTGTTTTCGACATACATCACATACAGCCTGATCTGAAAGCCTAAGTACAGATTTTTTTTTTTTCATAACAGGGCCTCACTCCGTTTGCCCAGGCTGGAGTGCAGTGGCATGATATCGGCTCACTGCAGCCTTGACCTCCTGGGCTCAGGTGATTCTTACACCTCCGCCTCCTGAATAGCTGGGACTACAAGCACACACCACCACGCCCAGCTAATTTTTTGTATTTTTAATAGAGAAGGGGTTTCGCCGTGTTGCCCAGGCTGGTCTCAAACTCTAGGACTCAAGAGATTCACCCATCTCAGCCTCCCAAAGTGATAGGGTTATAGGCATAAGCCACTGTGCCCAGCCCTAAGTACAGAATTTTAAAATTCTCCCAGAGAGAAACCAGTGTTAGTATAGTTTTAATAAAAGTTGGGTTTTGGAGACGATGATTAGAAGTGAAACTCCAATGCTAAAAGCTGTGAGACCTTCAAATTATTAGAAAAATTTCTTAGTTCCTGTTCCCCGCCCATAAATAGGGATTATACTTACTACTTCTCAGAGTTTTGAGCATTGTTAGGCAATATATGTAACAAGCAGAGCTCACTCAATATATAGTAACTATTGACATTTTGCTGGATGGTACAGTAAATTCCATGAGCAATCATCCATTAATAAGTGATAGGGCCAGACTTGCACTCAGATTTTCTGACTATAGACACTGCGCTCTCTCTACTGCATCATCCTTTTGCCTTTGCCAACAACAGCCAGCTGCACACAGGTAAATAGCTCATAAATGGTGTCTGAAATGCAACACTTACCTTGAGCATACTGGCTACAAGACACAACCTCCTGAGGGCTTAGGATTGGGGTCTGAGAATTGTTGGTTAGTATACGGATTCTCGCTTCTAGCATACCCATAGAAGCAAATGAGTAGCAGCTGCCACAGGATGCTGGCGATGAAAAAAAGACACATAATCCAAGAGACATCTGAAGCCTCACAGAGAATCATGCAAAAACCTTAGTGAATCACATACATTAATGTTTATACTGAATGTTGTTGTTTATAAGAATCAGCACAATAAGAAGACTCAACTAACAAGCATTGTTGAGCTTATTAAGGCAATCATTAAGATTTCATCCTTTTTCATCAAAAGGCAAACATTAGTACATGGGACTTTCTTTGAGAATATTTTAGAAACTAAAAAAACCCCTCATAATTTCTGAGAAGCTTTTGGCAATATTCTTGATAATGATGAAAGGATTTATGTCTACAACGTTCAAAGCCATCAGGTTGGGTGATGGAGGAATACATGTGAGCTGTGGAGGAATACACGTGAGCTGAGCTTTCAAATATCTCTAATGCAATGAGATGAAGGTTTATGTCCCTCTAAAATCATGTTAAAACCCCAATCCCAAAAGTGATGGTCTTAGGAGGTGGGGCCTTTGGGATTAGTGACCTAATACAAAAGGCTCCAGAGAGAACTCTCATCCCTTCTACCATGTGAAGTTATAGAGAGAAGTCAGCCTGTGAGTCCTATTTCCTTTTAACTACTGCCATTTCTGATGTTCCCTAAAATTCTCCCCCTAAAAATCTCAGATTGACCATATTGTACACTGTTTTGCTACTGAGAGATTATCTAAATTATGAAGATTAGAAAAGCACTTGGAAGAAGGACCTGTGAATTCATCTAGTGTACAACCTGCTCACTTGATAGATAACGTGTAACGGTGGCTCAGAAAGAAGCAATGAGCTGTCCAAGGACACACAGCTAATAGATAGCAGGGACAAGTGCCTTACTGTCTCCTAAGGCAGGATTAGTGTCCTTTTCAATTTATGGGTCTGTGTCTACTTTAACAAATATTCAGATTTTCTCTCCCTGTCTCGTAGTCACTAGACAGGGCAAAATTAGCTTATATCTTTTGTTTTCAAAACCATGCAGATGATACTATCCATAGGACCCATCCTTCAAATGACGGAATGTCAAAGAACATTGTACATTGTACACTGAACATATAACTGTGTTCAGCAGTACCTTCCAACAGTGAAGAACACACTGAACTAGGAGTGAGGATACTTTTTTTTTCCTCCTTTCTTGTTTTGCCCCTCATTAGCTGTGCAACACTGGACAACTTACAAATACACCTTGGCGCCTCATGAAAGGAAACCAATGTCAAAGAAATAACACAACCCAGGAGAGTCTGGAAAAGGTCCCTTTCTGACCACCCAGCTTTCTTGGCCCATAGCAGCCATGGAAATAATCTCTCTCAGTACTGGTCATTAAACTCCCATTATCTGACCATCGATCACTGTGGGAGGCACAGGCTGCAAGTGCATTCAAGGGCTCTGAATGTGTTCTATTTACAGAGCAATCACAGGAACAAGGGAAGAAGATAAACTTCATCAAGCCCCTGACCTGTAAGAATGTGTCAGCTACCAAGGTAATTAATGCCTCATTTCAACAGCCAAGGCCAATCTGATTCTAAAAGAGCCATTTATCTCTTAAGAATACTGCAATGCAATAAAGAATAAGAAGTGAATCTAGCCCAGCCAGAGCTCTGCAGTAATCAAATTTCTACAATCTCAAATAGATAGTGTGATCTTCATATGGTATAACTATGTTCAGCAGCACCTTCTAACAGTGAAGAACACACTGAACTAGGAGTCGGGAGTCAGGATTCTTTTTTTTCCCCTCCTCTCTTGTTTTGCCTATCATTAGTTGTGCAACACTGGGCACTTGACCTTTTGACACTGTTTTTTTCTTTTTAATCTTTTGTGTAAAATGAATTGGGTGGAGCAGTTTAAGGTCTCTGCCTTCCTGCTCAAATAATATAAATAGCATTTTGAAACAAGACTTAAATGGACTAGACTTTACGCATTATGAAAACACTCTGTATTTCCTAATTAATGTGACCCAGGAGAGACACTTCCCTTCTCTCTTAAAAATACAATAATAAATAAAAACAGCATAGCTGGGAGAAGAACAAAGAAAGCCCATTCTGCCGTATTTCTAAGCTTCTCTTCCCTCTCATACCTCAAAGTATTAATAAATCTAGGTATAAGGCTTGTTCTTAAATCTGTTTTCAAGTGTAAAGGTAAAACCTCATTTGTCCTCCCACTATTTCTTTTTTCTTTAATTTCAATTTGCTCTCTGACTACAGAAAAGCTGTGAATTCCCTTAATTGCAGCTAATTCTGAATTCTGGGTTATACAGAACACTGGTATTGGCAAAGTTGGTGGGAATTTTCAAGTAGCCCAATTAGCAGGAAGAGAAAATACTTTTTTCCCCAACTTACAGTATAGAATACCAAAAGAAAGTCAAAAGAGGAAACTTTAAGTACATTATTTTCTCAAGTACCTGACAAGATACTGTAGATGAGGGATCAATTCAAAGCAATTAATCCATCAAAGCCCTCTGTTTTGAAATTGCCATTTCTCTGTACAAATCATACTTATAACAGTCAAAGAATAAAGAACATGGGAGAAAATAACAGCTTTTACCAAGCTATATGAAAACCAATGTCAAATAATTTGGCTTTAGAAAGTCGAATTTCCTTTCCCTGAATTATTATCTCATATAACTTGTCAATCATTTCTTTTGGGAAGGGTTTGCTAAACTCTTCTACCTTCTCTTATGTTACCAATGAATTTAAAAAATGCTTTATTAAAGTAGTTATCATGCTTTACTTTAATGTTTTGCTTGTATGTCTTGCTAAACTGTAAATCACTAGGACAAGGACTATGTCATATTAGTCTTCATTTCCTCTGCCATTAAAAAAATCCTAATATATTTTAGATGTTCTGGTAACAACACCAGAAGCAACACTATAGTATCAGTAGCTCAAATTATATCATGCCAATGCTATCATGTGCCAGGACCTCAATGATAAAGTCAACACATAATATGCACTATGAATTAATCCTCTCAGGCACAAAAAATCTATTTGGTGATAGCATAACTTGCAATCTCTTAACATGGACCCTTCAATTTCACTTTCCATTCATTTCTCAATTATCTTCAAATTTATCTTATTTCCAATCCCACTTTCCAAAGAAGCCCTCCCCAGGAAATTGAGAAGGTAGGGAAAGATTTCAGGACCTATACTTTCTTTAGAGCTGAAGAGCCCAGAATAACTGGTAGAAAAGCAAAGAGACGAGACCCTTGGTGTCAGATGAAAAACAGAAATGTTGCTGACTGGCTGTTATAAGACCCACTTGGGGCTCTCAACATTCAGAACACTGCAAGAATTCAGTGAGATGGGAGCTTGGAGGGCAAGTGATGAAAATGAGACACGGCAGAGACTGATTATCACTAAAAGTTTAGGAAAGGGAAACAACAGTTTATCTTTGGGTACTATAAATTTATAATCCTCCCAGGAGACACTAATCAGAATGTTTCCAGACAGCAAATACTAAACCTATTTTATAGTAACAAATCAGCCATGGGTAGTATTATCTTCAAAATGAGCTTAGAAGTAATAAAACTGAGTATTGCATAGATTCTCCAAGTCATTGTTGGCTACAACTCAGGATAACAAGATAATTTGCTATCAAGTGCAGTTAGAGGACATGTTATGAAATCAACTCACATTGTATCAAACTTCTGAAAATAACTGGTAAAATTCAATAATAGGAATACTTTTCATGAACCTGGGTTCCGCCCTCACGCCATCACTCAGGAAGCTGGGTTAATACTTACCATCACATATCGTATTCTAATGTAAAGTGAATTGAAAGGTCCTTACACAGCTCAAAAAATCTACCAGGAAAATAATTTAAGGATTTATTTTACGGGTTCATGTAGTAATTAATGACTAAATTAATGGGGGTGGGGGAATACAGGAACAGGTATCAAAGAAAGATTCCAACAAACCACTTGCAGAATGGTACACAATTCTTTGCTTCTACTAGAATCTTTCCTACTAGGAGGACAAATGAGTTTGTCTTACATATCACTCTGATTGTCACTAGCTACCTGGAAAATATATTGAGAAGAGTACTGAATAAATGCTAAGCTCAGTAGAAAAGAAAATTTTTTACTAAAGTTTGTCATGGATATAAAAGGAAAGAATAATTCATAGGCCACCTATTTTCTATTTCTGTAAAAAGGGGATCATGCCCATTCCATCTAGGTATCCCCGAAATCCATCACACAGAGCAACTGTTCAATAAATAGTTCCAAACAAATTAACAAAAAACTTAGGCTTATTTTTTTACCTTGGTTTCGAACAGGACTGACAAAATTGATACCATGAACATTTCTCCAGTCCCAAGATGTTGGCAAATGCAAAATCTTTTGCTGTATTTCAGCAGTCAGTGGTGCAGGTTTGGGCCTAGAAAGGAAATATACATTTGATATCAACATATAATCTTTCCTTTGAGGATGATTTCCTAAACTCTACTATAATTCTATGATTTCAGCTACCAGACTAGCTAGGATCTAGATTCAGACCCAGAGCACCTGTTTTATGAGTGATTCAATGTGTCAATTACACAATGGAGTTGTGTAAATGGCTTTCATTCGCTGTTTCTTTTTCAGGATCTAGTATTGATAATTTTCCTTTGTGAAATGACACTGGTTTTGTATATCACTGTGATGTTATTTTTAGTTTGCCTGAATAGCTGCATTCTTACTCATTTTTGAAAGATTTTTGACCAAGAAAGAGATGAGAAGTAGAAGACATAAGAAGGGTTTAGAGAAAACAGAGGAATCACTGATGTTTGACTTAGGAGACAGACACATTGGTAGTGAGGTGGCTGTAAAAGAAGTGAAGTTGGCAAAGGGAAAAAAGGGTCTATGTGAGGCAGGAGAACAGGTTCTGGAGGCAGGGAACATAAGGCCAATTCACACTGACTTCCTAGAACTAAATAAAGTGGAAACACTTCAGCAATGGCAGGAATGCGAAGGGCTTTGTCACTTCACTTCATCCTCTCCGTTTACATGGGCCACAACCCCCAGGAGTAACACCCTCTCCATTAACACAAGGCCTATACTGAGTAAATGACTTTGTAACTTAACTCCACCCTCTTCATTTACATAAGGCATACACCAGGTAACCAATGGGAAACCTCTAGACGGTATTGAAACCCCAGAAAATTCTGTAACCAGGGCCTTGAATCATTTACTTAGGCCCACTCCCATCCTGTGGAGTGTGCTTTCATTTTCAATAAATCTCCGCTTTTGTTGCTTCATTCTTTCCTTGCCTCATTTGTGAGTTTTGTCCAATTCTTTGTTCAAGAAGCCAAGAACCTGGACACCCTCAACCAGTAACAAGCATAACACAGGCTGACTAGCTCCGTAAACAACAGATAAAACTGTTTCATTATAGAACCACACCTTATATGACAGTGTTGGGCTGTAAGACACACAAAGGAGAGTTGCCTAGGCCCATGAATGAACGGACATTTTTGGGAAGTGAGAAAATTGTTCTAACAGCTTCTCTGTATTAGCGATTTCACACATACATACACATGCACACACACACAAACACACGCGCGCACACACACACACACACACACACACAGAGAGAGAACCACAGCTTTAGACACATTCGACTTCTTGGAGTTTCCCCAAGACTGCCAAATGGCCTCTCTGTTCTATATCTTTATGCTGCTGCTCCTGTAACCTCAAGTGCCTGTTGCTCACCACTTAAAACTCCCCTAAGAGTTTTTCCCTAACTTGTAATTTTCAAAACTGCTCATAAAGTAGCCTCCACTCACCAGCCCCCAGCGAAAACTCACTTCCTCTCTCTCTCTGCTCCTTCAAATTTGTTTTTAGGGCACTAGTCACAATGTGGTAAAAATTATTTTTTGTTACTATAAACTATTTGAATTTCTTATTCAACTGGGCATTGTCATATCACACTGTTCTAGTTTTTCAGTGGTTACCAGATGTTTTTTACTAGGCTAAAATTTAGTCAATGGCAAAGATTCTTTCTGGGCTACTTCATGCCCTCTGCACCTATCCACAAATGGTCCCGTCTCTCACAGCTTCTCTTAGATATAACACAGGTTAAGAATACATGACAAGGGGCCAGGCGCGGTGGCTCACGCCTGTAATCCCAGCATTGGGAGGCCGAGGCGGGCGGATCACGAGGTCAGGAGATTGAGACCATCCTGGCTAACACAGTGAAACCCCGTCCCTACTAAAAATACAAAAAAAAATTAGCTGGGCGTGGTGGCGGGTGCCTGTAGTCCCAGCTACTCGGGAGGCTGAGGCAGGAGAATGGCATGAACCCAGGAGGTGGAGCTTGCAGTGAGCCGAGATTGCACCACTGCACTCCAGCCCGGGTGACAGAGCAAGACTCCGCCTCAAAAAAAAAAAAAAAAAAAAAAAAAAGAATACATGACAAAATGGAACTGAGATGAAACAAAGAGAAAAACAACAACGATTTCTTCAAAAATAGCAATTGTAACCTTGACAATTGTATAGATTACACAAACACTAGTTAATTGTTCACTAATTTTTTCTCCTAAGCCAGTCACATTGGTTGAAGATATACATGATACAGAGATAAATATGAGATGGTCATTAACAATATGGAAGACAATGTTAAGAGACATAATATACACAAAGATTACTATAACAAGTTACAGTAATGCTATAAAACACACAATTTGGACAAAGTCTATATAATCAAGGATCATAAAAATCTGTGCCTCATAGGTAATTTTATATATAGGGTGAGAGAAAAAACAAAGCTTGGACATTTCTTCTAAGATGTATAAATAAAAACTAAGATGCAAACAAACCATTTCCATCTTTGAATGGAAATAGTTTCTGTGGTTTCACATTGAGAGAGTATGTTGAAGAAGAAACTCAATTTTTTTTTAATTCTCTCACTGAACACTATCAACTGTCAACACAAAAGACTTCTGTGATCAAATGCATGTGGGTTTTTCCCCACAAATCAAGCAAGCAACCAATTTCACAGTGAATACTAGCTGGGTGTCCTCCAATCCAGTTTTGACACTGTGTACTTAGAGATGGCATCAGATCTCACAGGCTGAGGGCTCCGTCCCACAAAACTGCCCCCTACTTCTCATGCCAATTGAAAGCCCTAGGTTGTTTACCTGTGCTTCTGGCCAACCAGCTATAATGTGGGGATCCTATGACACCCTCCTTGGGTTCAATTAATTTGCTAGAGTGACTCACAGAACTCAGAGAAATACTAACTAATGTTTAGTGGTTTATTATAAAAGATACTACAAATGAAACAGATGAAGAAATGAGTAGGGCAAGGTATGGGGGAAGGGGCACACAGCTTCCATGCCCTCCCTGAACACGCCACCCTCCAGGAACTTCCACTTGTTCAGCTATCTGGAAGCTCTCTGCACCCTGTCCTTGTGAGCCTTATATGGGGACTTCATCAAATAGGCACAACTGACAACCATGTAGAGATGTGACTGGACATAAAGGGAATGATGTAAACACAGCAAGGCCTGTCCAGATTCTTCTGAGCCTCTCTCTGTTCAGTGTTCCTTCCTTTAGGGTATGACACAGGACATCTTTGGAAATGAAGGTCTTATGACCCAAGATCAGAAAGGCAGGAGAAGATTAGAGTGCTGCCCTGGGCAGGTGAGAGGAGGGCGGAAGAAGATCAGAGAGAGAGAGAGAGAGAGACTCTGTTTTCTGAGGCCTACTTCTGAGGCCTAATGTGCCCCAACGTTAAAAGATAGTGACAAGGGCTATGGGAGTTATGAGCCAGGAACTGTGGACAAAATCTAGTATGTGTTAACTAGTTGTCTTGTTTAAACCTAAGAATATACTAATATAAAGGATAAAAAAGAAATTTAAGTTTGGCAGCATAATGTAATTTCAGGGCATATGATTTTATCACTTACTATCTGTGTAACATTTGGCAAGGAACCTAACATTACAAAACTACAGTTCACTTCTATTAAAGTGGGTATAATCATGCTTACCTCAAAGGGTTGTTATGAAAATTCAATGTAATAATGGGTAACAAGTGCTTAGAACAGTGTTTTTCTCTGATAAGTCCTTAATAAAATGGCAGCTGTTATGAAGATAACATTCATATCATTAACAGGACTAAATAAGATGCTGATACAGTTTAAAGCAATTATCTGGCACAAAACAGTCATTACAATATTAAGTTCCTTTTTTCTACCATCCTATAAGGCAGAGATTTGCCCATCATTGCACACACAAACAAAACAAAAACAGTGTGAGAACTGAGGCTTAATGATGTTGTCAAAGGTGTTTGACCCAGAGCAACTCCATCTTGAATAGGAGCTGGGTAAGATGAGGCTGAGACCTACTGGGCTGCATTCCCAGACAGTTAAGGCATTCTAAGTCATAGAATGAGATAGGAGGTCAGCACAAGATTCAGGTCATAAAGACCTTGCTGATAGAACAGACAGGCTGCAGTAAAGAAGCCAGCTAAAACCCACCAAAACCAAGATGGCGATGAGAGTGACCTCTGGTCTTCCTCACTGCTACACTCCCACCAGCACCATGACAGTTTAAGAATGCCATGACAGGCCAGGTTTGGTGGCTCACATCTGTAATTGCAGCACTTTGGGAGGCCAAGGTAGGCAGATCACCTGAAGTCAGGAGTTCAAGACCAGCCTGGCCAACATGGCAAAACCCTGTTTCAACTAAAAATACAAAAATTGGCTGGGCATGGTGGGTCATGCCTGTAATCCCAGCTACTTGGGAGGCTGAGGCAGGAGAATCATTTAAACCCAGGAGGCAGAGGTTGCAGTGAGCCAAGATTGCTTTACCGCACTCCAGCCTGGACAACACAGTGAGACTCTGTCAAAAAAAAAAAAGAATGCCATGACAATGTCAGGAAGTTACCCTCTATGGTCTAAAAAGGGGAGGCATGAATAATCCATCCCTTGTTTAGCATACAATCAAGAAATAACCATAAAAATGGACAACCAGCTGCCCTCAGGGCTGCTCTGTCTATGGAGTAGCCATTCTTTTATTCCTTTACTTTCTTAATAAACTTGCTTTCACTTTGCATTGAGGACTCGCCCTAAATTCTTTCTTGCACAAGATCCAAGAGCCCTCTCTTGGGGTCTGGATCAGGACCCCTTTCCAGTAACACTGTGAAAATGAAGAGAGAGCAAGAGGAGTCTGGGGGATAAAAAGGTGAGAATTACAAACATTTTGAGTACAAGATACAGGATTGGCTCTTAATCTTTTGGCCCACATTCTTTACAAATCTAGTGAAAGCTCTAGATTCAGAAATGCTCATAAACAATAAATGCTGTCTGTAATTTCAGCAGTTTCAAAGACTCCCTATATCTCAAGTTAAGAATCTTTGAGAGTTTCTATTACGTCATTGGATTCTTAGAACAGAACTAATTTATAAACAAAAATGCTAGTGAAAAATCAGGAAGCCAGATTATAATATCTGCTTTCATATTTCCTACTTCACTCAATTCCATCTCCTTATCTTAAACCTTCTATAAAGCTTTAGTCATGAAAACAGTCCTTCATAAACCCAGCCCTTGTCTAAAACAAAAGTGGTTGGCTGGAGGGAGAAGGGAGCTTTAGCAGGAGTCCTCAGAAACATAGCATATGACACTTGGTAAAGCAGCTGTGACTGAGGCTCCCATCTTTCAGGCAGGAGCCACAGTCTCCCTAGGCTCAAGTGCTAACACTCCTCCTCTTGATGCTTGTTTGGATTTTTGTTGTTGAATAGATCTCAGCTTCCTGTCTCATGCAGATACATTAAGACACATTAGGACTTCACTTTGGTGAATTTGAGAAGGGGATATGATATGCTCCGTTTTCCAATTTTGATTAACTAGAGCATTTCACAGACAAGAAATTCTCTAGAATAAACTTGGAGAAATACTGCAAAAGATTCTTTTAAGAAAGGGGTAGAATTATGGGAGGATGCCATCAGTTGGACAGGAAAAACCTTCACATAGTCTCACAGTTGAAAAATGCCACACCTTAGCATTATTAGTCTGCAGATGAAAAAGTTAGTAATGTTGATATGGACAGGAGACAGGGAAATACTGGGTAGAAGAGGGTGGTCCCTCAGCAAAGGCCCCACCCTCAAGCCTGAAGACCTAAGGCCCTAAGAGAAGACAGGCATTTCTGTTTTCACACCAAAAAAGGTGCCTTTTGGCCCGCCATGCCCCCCATCCTTCCCCCATATAAACCCAAAATCTTAGCAGGCACAGATACAAGGAGCTGAACATCCAGAGGAGCAGAGGAACAGAGCGGCACAGAGCTGTGGAGAGTGGTGGGACAGCACAGCAGAAAAGGAGGGAAGAGGTATTTGAACCCAGAGGAGAACAGGAACAAGTGGACTCCAGGGGAAGAACACCTTTCCCCTCCATCCTCCTTCTCTGGCTGAGAGTCGTCTCGCGGAGAGCCACCTCCACCACTCAATAAAACCTTGTGCTCATCCTTCCAGCCCACGTGTGATCCAATTCTTCTGGTACACTGAGCAAGAACTTAGGCTGTCACATTGGACCCCTGCCCTTGCAATAAGGCATGGGGTCTAATGACCTGATTAACACAAGCCATCTGCAGACGGCTAAGCTGAAAGAGCACACTGTAACACATGCCCACTTGGGCTTCAGGAGTCTCCAACATCCACTCCTAGACACTGCTGTGGGGCCAGAGCCCAAAAGCACCCCCCATGGCCTCTGCACCTGCCCCTCTGCATGCTCCCCCTAGGGGTTTGGGTGGTAGGGCAAGGGCAACCAAAGGTGTGAGAAGCCACACCTCTGTCATATGCCTGCGAGGGAGATAAGGGAACTCTCACATTTCAAAGTGTTTTAGTTGAGTAATTATTAATCTATTAGTAGTTTATTCAAATAATACAAATTTGAGCCATGAACTCTACAGATATTAGAGGATTAAACATTGTATTCTCTGAGAATTTGAGGCTATTTCAATGTATTAAGGAAAAATAACCTACCTATATAATTTTTCAAATTCTGCTAGCTCCCCATTGCTTTCCAATTCCTTACCCCTTAGTCACATGATCCTAAAGCAAAGTATGGCATTACAGGACTTATCCGTGGCCATTTAACAAATGTTAAGGAACTATATTAGATAGATGTAGATCCTAAGCTAGATCCAGCTATACTTTCAGAAAAATAATTTTTTTTTAAATTATCTAAATTTCTGACTAGACAGATTCAAAGTATTATGATATAATTTCCCAAACTAAGAAATATACCATGGGGCTTATGGGTAAAGATGAAAAATGCCACCTCTGGTTGAGAGTAATAGAGCTATACTGATAACTTTTTTTTTTTTTTTTTTTTTTTTGCTGGACATCAAAGCATAGAGAGGATTTTGAGATTTTTTTTTAGGTGGCAAATTTTACAGTTACTGTAGGCAAGTTGAGGGCTATTTGAGGCAAAGGGAACAGCACAAATGAAGATGAAAAATGAAAGTTTTCATTCATTGTGTGTCATATCGTTTGAAAGCAGAGCAAGGTGATAAATATAGTTATGGTCATAATTAGATGGGTTTGGATACCAGGCTAAATGTATCCATTAGGTAGTGGGCAGTAACACAGTCTCGTAATCACCCAACGGGTTCTCCTTCCTCACGGCCTACACAGAACTGATTATCAAGACAGGGAAATTGCAATAGAAAATGAGTTTAATTCACGCAGAGCCGGCTGTATGGGAAACTGGAGTTTTATTATTACTCAAATCAGTCTCCCAGAACTTGGTATAAGAGGATGAAACTAGAAGCATTTCATAAAACAGCTAAGAATGGGAACTGGGAGAGGTAGCGACGAAAGAGATGGCAGGCATGAAACCGCCTTTGCAAAAATTATACCAGTGAGAAAACTATGAGAGTGAAAGAGAGCTAAGCTAACCCATCCCCCATCTTGCCTTCCACTTAAATATTCCTGGGCTATTGGGCCAAGCTAACTTTGGAAGTCATTTCGGCTACAGTTTAAATGACAATGGGCCTTGCCCTGAAACCCAACCACTTTTGTGAAGCTAATGGAGGCAGTCAGGCTGTGGGGAGAAGAGGAACCTGAGTCCAGCTAAGGCGCAGACTTGAGAGATTGTCAGCCGTTATTCCAGAGGTTATAAGACATGCAACTCCATCAATTACTCCAGCAAATAACATCATTATTGTAGAATCTAAGACTGGCTTTTTGAAATATCTTTTCAGGGAAATTTTATATTTATTTTATTTATTATTTTATTTTATTTTATTTTATCTTACCTTATCTTATTTTATTTTATTTTATTTTTGCATGTCTGACACCCGTGGTTCTACCTGGACCCAGCAACCCCACTCCTATGGCCCCACCTAGAAGCAATTCAGCCCACAGGAGGACAGCTTCAACTCCCTGTGATTTCACCCACCCCAACCAATCAGCAGCAAGCATCTGTTACCTGGCCACCCCCACCCCTTCCCCCAAGCTGCCTTTGAAAAACCCCTACCTATGAGCTTTGGACAAGATAATTTGAATATGAACTCCATCCCCCACGTGGCATGGCCAGCCTAGTGTCTCTTAAGCTCTTTCTCTACTATATTGCCATGGTTTTTCTTTATGCAGCAGGCAGGAAGAACCCCTCAGGTGGTTACCGGCAGGAGGCTAATCCATAGCATGGGGGAAACAGGACAAAGCTGCATGCCAGAGTGTAGAAAATGGAAAGGGGGCAATGGAAACAACAGACATGTGAAAGAAAAACTCATAAATAGGACTTGGAGAGTGACAGAATATGTATCAATAGGAGATAAAGATCGTTAACAGATCACATAAAAAGTTACAACTGGGATGACCAATAAAATGGCGAGCAACACTGGTAGGACTGCTTAGGAGGGAGGATGGTATTCAGCATTCATATTTTTATTAATGATAAAATGTGTGCTTGATTACCTTGGGATTTTTCGACTGTGGCCACCACTTCTCCTAATCATATCTCCCAGGGTAAGAGTCTCATATTCCATGTATGTAGTTGCAGTCCAAGACTTCTGAATGGCATTGATAGCTTTCACAAAGTTGTGATCATACTTGTAGAGCCTATTAGAATACCTGTCCCCAAAAATGAGATAATTTCAGATATAGTCTTTACTGATGTAAATAGAGTAATTAAAACAGGCATTCACACTCTGTGCCTAAGTGGAAAGTGGTACAATCTTTCAGGAAGGTAATTGGCAATATGTATCAATAGCCTAGAACAGCCTGGCATGTCTTCTCTAAAAATAAAAGTTCAAGTTAACTAAGATGCATGTATAAGGATTTTCCATGAAGTACTTTTAAACTACTAATAGATTGTAAATAACCGAAATAAATATTCTAAGATAAGGGACTGATTAATGATGTTTCATTTTCTATATATTCATTTAAAATGTCTAGAAAGTTATTTAATGATATGGAAGAGTGCTCACAACTATATTATATTAAATATGAGAAGATATCAAAGTTTATACATAATCATAATCAATTTATCAACTTTTGCACAGTAATATATGTATATTATATGTATATTAACGTATATGTATAATACATACATATATATGTATGCGCGCACACACACACACACACACACACACACACACACACTATAAATGCATTTTTAAAATGCCAAACATGGTTACCTCTGAATGGTGGCATGAGATGCCAAGCTTTCCCCTACTCCCTACAGTTTCTACAGTGTACCTTTATAACCTTTTTAATAAGAAAAAAGAGAAAAGCAAAACCTGTATGCAACATATATACAAAATGCAAGCATTATAACCATATGATACTAAAAGAAATTATACTTTATGGACATTCGGTTTATACTTGTTACTCAGAATTTAGTTCTTGAACCAATATCAGTAGCAACACCCAGAAGTTTATTAGAAATGCATACTGTAAGTACTCAGCCCAGATCACCTGAATCAGAATCTCCTTTTTTTTTTTTTTTTTAAACAAGATCCCCAAGTGATTCACAATAACATTAAAATCTGAGCCACATTGGTTTACCTTGTGCCAAATGCTTGGATATATATGTAAATAGATTCAACACACAAAGAGCATATTTACAAAGTAGAAAAATTCAGGAAGCTGATTATTCACTTAATTAAAACATTTATCATACCTGTGTGCTAGATGCTAGGAATTATAGAACTCACCATATTATTACTATTAAAAAAGAGTCTGTGGTTTCAGAGTGACTCACTATCTAAGACTTCCATAAACATTCAACTATGCAAAACAAGATATAATTAACCTGAGGAACATTTTAGGCATACTGCAAACTTTTCTTTCCCTTATAAATCATGTGTGTAGAGAGAGAATTTTGATATGGTCTAAAAACCTAAGAGCACTGAAAATAATCAGAAAAACGTGCAACCAGGTTGATAATGTTTTAATGTTTTTGTCGAAGTTCTTTCCCACTTGTTGCAAAGTGTGAAAAACCCAGAGACGTACCCTTATCAAGCAGATTATAAAACTGTATCATATGTATGACTACACTAACACAATAACAAAAACAAGTTATAGTTGTTTCATTGTTTCTTTAGGCAAAAGAATATATTTTAAATTGTAAATAAAATACTTTTGAGATATTTTCCCACAACGCCAGTCAATATTTCATTGACTGTAGATATTTGAGGAGCAGTAGCCTGCTGTTTCGCTTGCTTTATCATAACATCTAGCAAAACCTCGTGTGTTGACATGTGCATTAAAATAATGACAAGATAGCATCCTACGTCTTAAATACTATTATTTTTGGTGTTTAAGATCCAACGAGATTAAAAATAATGTATCTTACTATGGGATAACAGATCATTAAGAGCTGAAAGAGACCTCAAAGGCAATTCAGTCCCACATGCTCACTTCACAGGTGAGGCAATGTAGGTTCTGAGCACTCCGGTTGGGAGCTTCTTCACTAAATGAGAGAATGTTTGAAATATCAAATAGAGTACAATAGTACATAGCATATCCTAAATGATAGGGTACAAAGTAAACAAGTTAAAAGTAAATGTGTAGCTCTAGGATCAAGCCAAACAAAGCTATTTAAAACCTAAACTTAAAATGAAGGGGATGAATTAGTCTAGATCTTGCCCAGCACCTTTGCAGACAATTCATCCTCCTTTAAATCATCTCTCTTACCTCTGTGCTGCAGTCATTCATTACTAATGTTGCCTGGCTTGGGATGATTTGTACATGTACATTTTTAGTGGCTTTTACAACTACATAAAACAGAAAAAGTAACAACATTTCATCTCTTCCTTCCAAAACTAATAAAGTCTAATTTGAAATCTCCTGTTTGTGTGGTTTAGTCAGTTATAGATTTAATTTAACAGTAAACATTAACTGCAGTTTATAGTCTGAATTGTGTCCCCCTCAAAATTCATACGTTGAAATTCTAACCCCCTGTATCACAGCCATATGACTGTATTTGGAGACAGAGCTTTAAAGAGGTCATTAAGGTAAAATTAGGTCATATGGGTGGGCCCCAATCCAATATGACTGATGCCCTTATAAGAAGAGGACATTAGGACAATCAGAAAAGACTGTTTAGGAGCCCAGTAAGCAAGCAGACATCTGCAAGCCAAGGAGTGTGGCCTTGGAAGAAACCAAACCTGACAACACCTCAATCTTGGACTTCTAGCCTCCAAAACTGTGAAAAAACAACCTTCCTTAAGCCACCCAGTCTGTGGTACTTTGTTATGGCAGCCCTCGCAAACCAACAGGCTGCATAAATACTAAGAACTTTGATTTCAGTTATTTATGGTCTTGTTTAAAAGTTGCCCAATTAGTATCACCTATACTTGTTGCAGCATAAACATACGTATCTACTTGTATCATGCAACATGTTATTACATGGCAATAAGCAAAATGGCTTTTCTTTATTAGTAATTTGCAATTCTGTGGTCCATTACATGATTTCATTTAAAGTAATCATTGGTCCATTACTTTTGGAACACTTTGAAAAAATACTCTCAATAATGTTGGTCAATTTATTTTTCCAGTAAGGTTTTACATAGCATGCCTAATATTTCTAAGCCAAAGATATTTTGTATAATCAAACTAAAATTCCAAAAATGTACACACATATTCATATATACTATAAAACAAAACTAAACGTATGTCTCATTTGTAGCAACTCACTTTTCCTGAGAATTCTTAAGGTGTGCTATGTTGACATACACATTCTCAGAGGCAGTTCCCACCTTCTTTCCGGTGAAACAAGCCCAGTTCCGGCCCAACACATCATGCACCCACCCAGTCATTGTCTCGTTGCAGTAAGTGGTCACCTTGCTGCCCTCTTCTTTATACTGCAAACAAATAAGAGAAAAGAAAACCAAGTAAAATCTGTCTTCAAATTTCAGGTCCATTTCCATGGCTCTCATTCACAGTAAATGTGCCCCTTTCAAAACAAAAACTTCACCCTGAGAGGTTACACTGTAAGAATTATTCTAGAAAAAGAAGACATACAAACTTTTCTGTGGTTAGCACTGTTGGCCACCAAACAAAATGTATATAACAAAACACTTCCAGGAATGAAGGCCAAGGGAAAACAAAACAAAACAAAACAAAAAAGAAAGAAAACAGACCATCTGGCATATTCAAGGCATTTTTCAAAAGTGACTTCACAGTCCTTACAAGAAGACTATGAGGATGCAGATGATAATAACCACATTTTACCAAGGACAAAAGGAGCTCAGCTCAGAGATAAGGAGCTCCTACCAAGGCAACAGGCGAAGTGGCAGAAACAGAATTCTCCTCAGTCTATCACACTACAATTTTCCACTGAGACAAGGGCCACACTAGGAAACTACAAGAACAAATGATGAACTTTTTTTTTCCAGGGATGGAGTCTTGCTGTGTTGCCCAGGCTGGAGTGCAGTGGTGTGATCTTGGCTCACTGCAACTTGCACCTCCCAGGTTCAAGCGATTCTCTTGCCTCAACCTCCCGAGTAGCTGGGATTAAAGGTGCTTACCACCACGCCTGGCTAATTTTTGTATTGTTTAGTAGAGACGGGGTTTTGCCATGTTGGCCAGGCTGGTCTTGAACTCCAGACAAGTGATCCACCCACCTCGGCCTCCCAAAGTGATGGGATTACAGGTGTGAGCCACAGTGAAACAGAATCCTTTTTTTCTGTCAATCTCTCAATTTATTAGCATATTCTGATCATGAGGGGGCTAAAGTAACCTGAGTATTAAATATATTCTTTACACTTTATTTCAGTAATATGGCCTTTTGTCTTATTTCAGTGTTAGAACTGAAAAATAACTATTATTTTTAACAGATCCAGGATTTGAACTAAGATGCTCTGGCTCCAGAGCCTAGTCACCCTCATGTTAGAACATCTCCTCATGGAGGCGGGGCACATGATCCAGGATGACTGTGTAGCATGTGGGAGACAGAAAGGGAAAATGCTGTGCTAAATTTCTGAGGAGAGACTTGGGCACAGACAATTTCAGGCTCTGACTTAATTTAATAGAAAAGACTATTTGTAGAACCTTGGGCAAGATTTTACGAGGCTTTAGTTCTGTTGCCTGTAAAATATGGAAAGTAGAAAAAAAAATCCTCAAAGGTATAAACATTCTGGGATTCCATGATCAAATGCAGGGTTTGGTAAACACTTCCTATAATGGCCAGACAGCAAAGACCACTAGGCTTTGCAGGCCACTTAGTTCTCTTGCAACTGTTCAACTCTGCCCTTGTAGCACAAAAGCCATCAAAAGCAAGACTCAAACAAATTGGCACAGGGGTCAACTATGTTTCTATAAAATTTCTGTTTACAAAAACAGACAGTAGGGTGGTTTTGGCTCCAGAGGTTGTAGTTTGTGGACTCCTGCTCTACTCTAATACACATTATTTCACTTGTTTGCAGAGGTTGGCAAACTTCTTTTTGAAGGACTAGATAGTAAATATTTTAGGCTTGAAGGCTGGAAGACCTCAGTCACAACTACTCAACCTAAAAGGTGCAAAGGGAATACATAAATGAATGAGCTAGGCTGTGTTCCAATAAAACTTTACTTACAAAAAGAGGTTTGTAGTTTGCCAACCCCCAGTTTAGAGAAATGTGTGGGCTAAACTACACTTAAAGTTAAAATTACCTTATTGCATCTGACTCTCTGAATTCAAATCATATTTAGGGGGAGAGTTAAAAATGTATGGCTTTAGAATCCAGAAAAACTGGACTTGAATTGTGGGAATCACCACTCACTGTGTTATATAGCACAGGAAAAGTTACTCTGGGCTACTCATATCCGCATCTTGCTTTTATCTTTGGTGATATTCATGATATTCTCTTTTTTTCAGACAGAGTCTCACTCTGTTGCCCAGGCTGGAGTACACTGGCGAGATGTCGGCTCACTGCAACCTCCGCCTCCCAGGTTCAAGCGATTCTCCTGCCTCAGCCTCCCAAGTAGCTGCGACTACAGGCATGTGCTACCAGGCCTGGCTAATTTTTGTATTTTTAGTAGAGATAGGGTTTCACCATGTTGGCCAGGCTGGTCTCAAACTCCTGACCTGAGGTGATCTGCTTCCTTCAGCCTCCCAAAGTGCTGGGATTACAGGTGTGAGCCACTGTACCCAGCTGGTTGTTCATGATATTCTGGATCCCATATGTCTGCTTCTAGTGAAGAATGGCTTCACTAGCATGAGTTCAGTTCCCAACTACTCAAGTCCCTGCTAAAACCCTACTCAATATGATGACCATGGAAACAAAGACCCAGGACATTGTTGGGCAGCAATATGAGAGGGTGTGTTGTGTGAAAAGGTTAATAAAATTAACTTCATACTAAACTATGTAAAACTTCTACTTTGGTAGATCGAAACAGTGTAACATGGTAACTTTATAGGATGCAACCTAAACTCCATAAAGTTGTATTATGTACTTCTCTCTGGCACTGGCTCTTGATCCTATTCTCTTCTCCTTGGTTGCATGCTGGTAAGGCAGGCCAGGTAGGGTTAGGCCGATGCTCCCTCCCACCTCTGCTGTTTGAGGAAGCAGTCTGACAATGTTTCCAGAGTTCTTAAGAGCTACTTTATAGATATTGACACACATACACAAACAAAATGCTACACACAGGAAGACATTCACTGCAGTATAACACAAGTTAAAAATAAAAACAATAGAATGTCCTAGAAAATGCCCAAATTTAAAAAGTATTAGGTAAACAATTTATTCAAAGGAATAATGTGTAACATTGTATATGATAAACCTGAGTTCTATAGGAAAGGGGTGAGCAAACTAAAATTGGAGAAGACTGCCTATTTCTATAAATATAGTTTTACTGGAGAACAGCATGCCCATTCATTTATACATTGTCTATGGCTACTTTTGTGCCACAATGGCAGAGATTTCATACTTTATAAATATTGTACAGATTACTCATAAATCTTACAGGTTCAAGAGAACACAGAAATGATATAGTCTTGGGGGACAAAAAAAAGACCTAAGGAAGTGGTGGAACTAGAACTAAGCATCCTACCCAATGCCATCCTCCACTTCTTCCTACAATTTGTCTTCTCACGAAGAGCCAGAGAGGTAAACAATTACTAAAATCACTGACGGGAGATACCCAGAAATGACAGAAAAGGCTTTTTTTTAAACCCAAAGGGCTTCCACCTATATTATTTGAGCCTCACGATAATCTCTTTGGGATAAAATTTCTTTCTAATGAAGAAAAGGTGACTCTGCAAAATTAAATGGAGAGGAAAGGATTCAAATACAGGTTTACATGTTACAAAGGTCATTGCTTTATCCATTGTATTCTCTAAAAAAAAAAAGGTGCAGAGAATTAACTGACTCATGAGTCACGTTCAAATTGTTGCCCAAGGCCTTTAAAGGGCTGCCTAAAATTTCTAGCAGTCCTCATAGGTGTTCTCCCATTCTTCAGGTACCTATGTTGCCTTGGCTCTTTCAGTCTTTTTACCATGCCTGCCTAGGGTTTTTGACGCAGAACAGAAAGAAAGAATAATGCCTTCAGGCCTAGACTGCCTAGACTGCTCTGCCACTGATTGGCTGTGTGATCCTGAGCAAGTCACGTTCCTCTCTGTACTTTCAGTTTCCTCATCTTTAAAACAGGAGCAATGGCCAGGTACAGTGGCTCATGCCTTTAATCCCAGCACTTTGGAACGCCGAGGTTGGGGGAATCACTTGAGGCCAGGTGTTTTGAGGTTACAGTGAGCAATGATCCAGCCACTGAACTCCGGCCTGGATGACAGAATCAGATCCATTCTCTAAATAAATAAATAAATAAATAAATAAATGAAGCAGGGATGATAATTACAGACTATATCTCATGGGCTGTGTTTTATGTATACTAACTCATTTATTTTTCACGATAGTCTATCAGGTTGTTCTTTCCACAAAAACATAACTATGACAATAGGATTTTTGTTTATTCAGTACCTAGAAAACTATCTGGCACTAGGAAGTAATTAACTACTAAATGAGTGAATAAATGAATAACAGAAGAGGAAGAACAACAAATGTCAAGTCCTATTTCAACAGTTAACAAGGCACTGAGAATAGGTAAGTTTATAATTAACAGAGGTGTGGTGATGCCAATATATCACAATGTCTGACAGTCCAAATCACAGTATTACTTCAGAAGTGCAAATGTTCCTCTCCAAAGCTGCTTCCCTATTTGTAATTTTAGGTTGACCTAGAAGTTCCAAAAATTTCCCTTCAAGCTTTCTAATTGCAAATCCTTATATCTGTGGTTGTCTTAATTTTTTTTTTTTTTCAAGATGGAGTCTTGTTCTGTCACCCAGGCTGGAGTGCAGTGGCGCGATCTCAGCTCACTGCAACCTCCGTCTTCCGGGTTCAAGCAATTCTCCTGCCTCAGCCGCCTGAGTAGCTGGGATTACAGGCATGCGTCACCACGCCCGGCTAATTTTTGTATTTTTAGTAGAGACAGGGTTTCGCCATGTTGGCCAGGCTGGTCTTGAACTCCTGACCTCAGGTGATCCGTCTGCCTCGGCCTCCCAAAGTGCTGGGATTACAGGCATGATCCACCACGGCCAGCCTTCTTATTTAATATTCATAAAGCCAGTAATTCTTAATAGACACACTATTTATATGAGTAATCCTAAAAAACTACAACTTTGTTTTTGTTGTTATAACTTAAACCCTACACATTCCATTAAATTGATGGAATTATTTTCCCTTTTAAAATTTTATTTTATACTATTCTTACAATCTGAAATAATGTATCAATTTTAGAACCTGAAATTATTCTGTAAAAGTACAGAGCTGCAATGCCACTCTGCACGACAACAACTTAGTAAAAGAGAGGCATTTACCAGCGGGGAAGCCAAGTACGCAGTACCTTAAGGGGGACCATCCACTGTACCCCTGTGATTTTCTTGATTTGAATGTTTTCGGGGTATGTCATTTTTTCCTGTGAAATACTTCTTTTGTGATTTCTGACGTTGTATCACCAATTAAGAAGTTGAAGTTTTGACCCCGCTATCCAGCTTGAAATGCAGCCAAAAAATTTTTCTGAGTTTTCACTTATATAAACATCAGTCTCTGAAGACTGCCTTGCACAGATGAGATAATTTAAGTTTCCATTCATTTATGCTAATTTCTACTGCAACAAATAGATAATTTCCTAAAATATGAAGATCAAGCCCTAGTATTTAAGTTTAAAAAACTATTATGATTCAATAACTATCCATTTGCTTCTTCAATATTACCATTAAGTTGCCACACATTCTCAAAATATCCCTTCTTCAATTTCCCACTCATTTTATCAGCTATCCAATTAGATATACCTAGTCATAGGGAAATTTTGGAATTGAAGTTATTTTTGGGAACTGAAGTTATTTATCTTGGATCTTTTACTTGACTGCTTTTTGACACTGAGGAGAGGGAAAAAAAAATTCCTTAAACCTGTTCTACTGTTTTCTTGATTAATAATATACTTAGCCAATGTCTGAATACTTACTTTACATAACAAACTTGGCTAGAAGACAGAGGCAGTTTAGTAAAGTGGACTCCGCCCTTTAAATCCAGTCTGTCACTTATCATTTACGTAACCTTGAGCAAGTCAAAACTAGTGAGCCTCAGTTACTTTATCTGAAAGTAGGAATGATATCTATAATTGATACTACTTTACTGGACTGCTATGAAAGATATAGATGAAATTGAAGTTGGAAGAGTTAAAAAGTTATACAACATTAAACAAGTGACTATACTAACATTACCATCATTACCATGAAGGATACTTCATCCATGCCTTCATAGAACTTATATTCTATCCAAAACTGCCAACTGGGCAGCTGACACTGGGACCTATCCTTTCAACCAGTGGTTTCCAGCGGAACATTGGAAACAAAGTATTGTAACTCCCATATATATTTCTAACATAAAAATACAATTGGCCAGGCGCAGTGGCTCATGCCTGTAATCCCAACACTTTAGGAGGCTGAGGCGGGTGGATCACCTGAAGTCGGGATTTTGAGAGCAGCCTCACCAACATGGTGAAACCTTGTCTCTACTAATAATACAAAAATTAGCCTGGCATAGTGGCACACGCCTGTAATCCCAGCTACTTGGGAGGATGAGGCAGAAGAATCCTTTGAACCTGGGAGGTGGAGATTGCAGTGAGCTGCAACCATGTGCCATTGCACCCCAGCCTTGGCAAAAAGAGGGAAACACCGGCTCAAAAATAAATAAATAAATAAATAAACTAATTAAATTGAAAACTTCCACTATTATTTAATATATGAAACAACATTGGTGTGCCCATCAGATCTAATATCAGATGTTCATCTGTTATGTACAGTGTGCTAGTAAGTCCCTATAAGATAGTTAAGGCACAGCATATTCCCTTTTTCACATCTGCCTGCTTAAACTGACTTGAGCATCTTATCTGAATTAATCAGGCTAACACTCATAAAATGAACAAGTAGTTTAAAATATACTTGCAAAGAAACAAGGATTTGCAAATACTAATGATGCAAACATAAGAAAATGGCAGTTTTTTTATAATTACCCTATTCTGACTTCTGTCAAACATGTTGACAGAAGTTTTTAAAAACAGATGTTTTGAAATGGTTCCATCACTATAATATTTTTTTTAGTCCTAGACATCAATAAAGCAAATGTTTCAGTTAAAATTTGTCTATTAAAATTGTCATCCCTAATACCAATTGATAATTATTCTAAATCCTTCTAAAGCTGTGACACTTTCATACTTTTAACAAAAATGTGTCAAAATCTACTGAAATTCTTTAAGATTTTAAAACACATCAGAAAATTTTGTTTCCAAATGTTGAAAATTTACAGTCATGAAAATTATCAGTAACAGGGACTCTAACATTACTTTTGGCAACAAAATCATAATAATGAAGAATATTTTACATTATTTTCAAATGATATCTTCTTAAAATATATTTTGGGTAGGGCACAATTTTATGACATTAATAAAGTATTTAATCGCTTAATATTTCACATTTTATAACAAATGTAGTACAGTGATACATGTATATATAATTTTCAAAATGTACCTATAGATAATTTAGAATACATAATAAAAAATTTAGACATCCAAGTCTAATCCATCAAGATGATTTGTAATTTTGAAAAGAGTACTTTGCATGGAGTTGAATGATTTGATGATTAACCAAATATGGAAATATTATATTCCAGCAACATTAAAAAACAAAAAATGTTTCCATTTTTGCCCTTTGTTTACTGTAGAAATCTATATACGTACAATTACCTCCATTTGCTGTCAGAAAGGAACCAGGCAAATTTTACTGAATTGGTATTTTGCCAAATCCATCAGAGTGTCACATCTTTCCTCAGAAAGAAACCAACTTCCCTATGTCAGTTCCAAGGAATAGCTATAGTTTTCTGCCTATTAACTGGACTGAACCATGCATTTAAAAAGTCGAATTGTAATAAAATGCAAAACTGCCAGGAAATAGTTACAGTGGTTACAGCCAAGCAACTTCCAGCATTTTACTGAAGGAACTGGAAGTTTACATGTGAAAATGGAGGGTCATAAATCTGTTTATTTCCAGTGCTGAAAGGACATTACATTAAAACCAAAATACACACTCCAGAATTAGCTAAGAAAACAGCAATTTACTGCACAGCAAAGTAGTCAAAGTCCCTGGGCTCATTCCTCACTTACTTACTCATAAACTCAAACCGTAAAGTTGGAAAAAAATCTTAAGAGTTCATCTAATCCACTCCTCAGCTCATGTTCCTCACTATACTCAACAGAGGTGAGGCACACCATGCAGCATTTCAAAGCTTCGGTCCTCCAGGCTTTGGGGAACCCCTGCAGTCAGAACACTCAGGATTTCCCTTGATAGCTAATTTTGTTTTTAGTAGTTTTGAAAGTTAGAACATCACTGTTTTTAACTCTGAGCCCTATCTTGGCCTCTATAGGCTTACACAAGATTAAAACATAAATAAATAAATAGAATAAAATATAAAAGTCTAATCTCTTTTCCACTAAATCATCCAACATATATGGCCTGAGGGCCCACCATAGCCTCTAAGGACACAAAGGTAACACTTCAAAGAACACATCAATAAAACAATACCACATGATATATTACATAACATTCTTTATTTTACAAGTATTTATTGAAGGCTTATTATTGGTCATATATCGTGTAATACATAGGGAATCAAATGGTTAGTAAGATGGAGTTGATCCTTGCCCTAATGAAGTTTAAAGACCAGAGAGGAATACAAACAGGCAATTATGACACAGAATACTAAGCCTTATTATATTCAGGGATCTTCTGACACATGTATCTGCAATTTTGTACTCACTGAATCTTCTCTTCCATAATAAAAGCATGTTGATGCAAAATTACTCAGATAAAAGAACTCATTAGTAATTTTTAAAATTCCATATTAAATATATATACATATATATTTTAAATTTTTTAAGTTCCAGGGTACATGTGTAGGATGTGCAGGTTTCTTACATAGATAAACATGTGCCATGGTGGTTTCCTGCACCTATCAACTCATCACCTAGGTATTAACCCATTTATGCCAGAGGTTGCAATTTGTTGAATGTGAAAAATCAGACCTTGGCAATGACCTTGAGCAGGATATAAAGAACTTCCACATGCTTAGCATTCCAGAAATGGAACACTAGGCATAAATGGGTTAAGCCCAGAATGCATTAGCTATTTTTTCTAATGCTCTCCCTCAGCTTGACCCCCCACCCCCTGACTGGCCCCAGTGTGTGTTATTCCCCTCCCTGTGCCCATGTGTTCTATTGTTCAGCTCCCACTTATAAGTGAGAACATGTGGTGGTTGGTTTTCTGTTCCTGCATTAGTTTGCTGAGGATAACAGCTTCCAACTCCATCCATGTCCCTGAAAAGGACAGGATCTCATTCCTTTTTATTGCTGCATAGTATTCCATGGTGTTTATGTTCCACATTCTCTTTTTCCAGTCTATCACTGATGAGCATTTGGGTTGATTCCATGTCTTTGCTATTGTGAATAGTGCTGTAATAAACATACATGTGCATGTATCTTTGTAATAGAATGATTTCTATTCCTTTGGGTCTATATGCAGTAATGATATTTCTGGTTCTAAATCCTTGAGGAATCACCACACTGTCTTCCACAGTGGTTGAATTAGTTGACATTCCCACCAACAGTGTAAAAGCGTTCTTATTTCTCTACAACCTCACTAGCATGTTGTTTGACTTTTTAATAATCACCATTGTGACATGAGATGGTATCTCATTGTGATTTTGATATGCACGTCTCTAATGGTCAGTGATGTTGAGCTTTTCTTCATGTTTATTGGCCACATGAATATCTTCTGGGAAGTGTCTGTTCATGTTCTTTGCCAACTTTTTAATGGGGCTCCTTTTTTCTTGTAAATTTGTTAAGTTCCTTGTAGATTCTGGATGTTAGACCTTTGTCATATGGATAGATTGAAAAAATTTTCTCCCATTCTGTTGGTTGCCTGTTCACTCTGACAGTAGTTTCTTTTGCTGTGCAGAGCTCTTTAGTTTAATTAGATCTCATTTGCCAATTTTTGCTTTTGTTGTAATTGCTTTTGGTGTCTTTCTCATAAAATCTTTGCCCATTCCTATGTCCAGAATGATATTGCCTATATTCTATTCCAGGGTTTTATAATTTTGGGTTTTACATTTAAGTCTTTAATCCATCGTAAGTTGATTTTCGTATATGGATTAAGAAACAGGAACAGTTTCAATTTTCTGCATATGGCTAGCCAGATATACAGTAGGATTAATTGAATAGAGAGTCCTTTCCCTATTGCTTCTTTTTGTCAGCTTTGTCAAAAATAAGAGAAGAATCAAACAGACACAATAAAAAATGATAAACAGGATACCACCACTGATCTCACAGAAGTACAAACAACCAACAGCAAATACTACAAACACCTCTATGCAAAGAAACTAGAAAATCTAGAAGAAATGGATAAATTCCTGGATGCATACACACTCCCAAGACTGAATCAGGAAGAAGTTGGATCCCTGAATAGATCAATAACAAGTTATGAAAGTGAGGCAGTAATAAATAGCCTACTAATGAAAAAAAGTCCAGGACCAGATGGATTTACAGTTGAATTCTACCAGAGGTACAAAGAGGAGCTGATACCCTTTCTTCTGAAACTATTCCAAACAATTGAAAAGGAGGGACTCCTCCCTAACTCATTTTATGAGGCCAGCATCATCCTGATACCAAAACCTGGCAGAGATACGACAACAAAAAGAAAACTTCAGTCCAATATCCCTGATGAACTTCGACGCAAAAAATCTCAATGAAATACTGATAAACCAAATCCAGCAGCACATCCAAAAGCTTATCTACCACAGTCAAGTTGGCTTCATCCCCAGGATGCAAGGCCGGTTCAACATATGCAAATCAATAAACGTCATTCATCACATAAACAGAACTAAAGACAAAAACCACATGATTATCTCAATAGACACAGAAAAGGCCTTCGATACAATTCAACATCGCTTCATGTTAAAAACTCTCAATAAACTAGGTATTGAAGGAACGTATCTCAAATAATAAGAGCTTTTTATGAGAAACCCACAGATAATATCATACTGAATGGGCAAAAGCTGGAAGCATTCCCCGTGAAAACTGGCACAAGACAAGGATGCCCTCTCTCACCATTCTTATTCAATATAGTATTGGGAGTTCTGGCCAGGGCAATCAGGCAAGAGAAAGAAATAAAGCGTACTCAAATAGGAAGAGAGGAAGTCAAATTGTCTTTGTTTGAAGATAACATGATCCTATATCTAGAAAACCCCATCATCTCAGCCCAAAAGCTTCTTAAGCTGATAAGCAACTTCGGTAAAGTCTCAGGATACAAAATCAATGTGCAGAAGTCACCAGGATCCCTATACACCAACAAAAGGCAAGCAGAGAGCAAAATCATGAATGAACTCCCATTCCCAATAGCTACAGAGAGAATAAAATATCTAGGAATACAGAAGAAGTGAAGGATCTCTTCAAGGAGAACTACAAACCACTACTCAAGGAAATGAGAGAGGACACAAACGAAGGGAAAAACGTTACATGCTCATGGATAGGAAGAATCAATATCATGAAAATGGCCATACTGCCCAAAGCAATTCACAGATTCAATGCTATTCCCATTAAACTACCATTAACATTCTTCACACAATTAGAAGAAACTATTTTAAAATTCATATAGAACCAAAAAAAAGCTCGTATAGCCAAGACAATCCTAAGCAAAAAGAACAAACCTGGAGGCATCATGCTATCTTTCATACTATACTACAAGGCTACAGTAACCAAAAAAGCATGGTACAAAAACAGACACATAGACCAGTGGAAGAGAATGAAGATCTCAGAAATAAGACCACACATCTACAACCATCTAATCTTTGACAAACCGTACAAAAACAAACAATAGGGAAAGGATTCCCTATTTAATAAATGGTGCTGGGAGAACTGGCTAGCCATACGCAGAAAATTAAAACTGGACCCCTTTCTTATACCTATACAAAAATTAACTCAAGATGGATTAAAGACTTAAATGTAAAACCCAAAACAATAAAACACCCTAGAAGAAAATCTAGGAATGCCATTGAATATATTTTTTACATATCAGTTGCTTTGGTTATATTTACATCCTGAAAGTCAGCTTGAAATATGCAATTCTTTTAAAACTCTGCAGGAAGGTAACCTGATAATATTCTTTAGAGCAGGGAATCAAAAAAGATGTATATGGCACCATTCCTGATTTGTCTTTCTAGAATCCTACAAAATTAATTCTTTGTAAGTTGGTAATACTTGTGAAAAGTCTGCAAAAAGAAAAGAAAACTGTGGTGCATTTTCCAGGTACCTACAAAGTTCTATGTGCATTAGGTGTTGAAGATATACAGGGAGAAATACAGATTTTCAATCTGGAAAGAGATGAAAACATGCTACCCAATCACTCCATTACAGCATGGCATGAAAGCAGAGGTACCTGCGATATGCAATGGGAACCAAAGTTCTGATGTTTCTCACGGTAATAGAGAGAGCTGGGGAGGGTTTCAGAGAGCAGCGTCATCAAGGTCCTGAGTGATAAAGAATTTATCAGGTCCAGAGGTGAGATAGATAAAAGTTTCCAGGTGGGAGCAGTCCACTGTACTCTTAATTCATCTTTCTGAAATACTTCTTCTCAGAATAGCAGAACAGTATACCTCTCAGATCATACAAAGAGTCATCTGAATCAACAGAGTAAGGATGACAAACTACTCTCTAGAGAAAAATTCTTCTATTCAAGCAGAAATGCAAGAGAGGAAAGTCCACCCAGACAATATGAATTAAACATAACCCCATAATTTCAGGCTTACCAAAGCTGAAAGAAGTCAGCTCTAAACCAACAGAGCAGGAAACAAGACCATTATTCGGCAGGAAAGAGCTAGAAGATAGCAATCAGTTGAACAATACTGTAATTAAGATTAGTAAATTTGACTATGACACTTAGTTTGTACTTAATTTGAAGTTTACAAAGCTCTTCTACCAATTTCCAAACTACAAACTGAAGGAGAAGGTAAGTTTTGGTCTTCAATGAAAAAACCCTGGTTTAGGCAAGAAAGTCAGTAGCCTAATAGCTAAGGAAACCTAAGCTTCAAGGCAGTTCTTCTCTTAAAACTTCAACATGAGCCCATGCAACATTAAACTAATATTCATGATGCTCACAGACTGGAATTTACCAGGAAATCCAAATATGCCTCTAAATACCATTTACTTATTTGTGAAATGGCTTTTTTCACTATTTAGCCCCAAGGAAGTCTTTAGGCTTGAAAGACAAGTTCTAGCATTTTACAGTTAGAAACTCTGTGAGCTTAGCACTGTAAGAGATTAATTTTCTCTATCTATAAAATGAAACTAGTTATATCTACTTTACAGAACTTTTGTAGCTTATAGTATGTCAACTTCTTAGCACAAAGCTTGTACCTAATGAAAAAAGAAAAGAAAAAAAATAGGGTGTTTACGATACCATCTTTCTGGCCAGAGGTACTGGAGGTCTATAATCTGTAGAAGTATACTATAGCAGTCTGACATATCTGAGAAAGCCTCTTTTTTCCCTTCTTTAAATATGTCCTCCATAGGACCATCTTCCCTTCAATAACTTATATCTGTGAATCTCAAGAGATCCAAGGGCCTTATTTTCTCCTTACAACAGGCTCTTGGGTTCCTCAAGGTAATTAGAGAAAGGAAAGACACTCAGGCAGACAGTTAAACTGTGAATAAAATTTACGCTGTGAATAAAACAAAACATACACTTCAAATCCTGACAATCTTAGAAAAAAATCACTGTAATAGAAGGGATTTCAAAAGAGAAAAAGAACAACGTGTTGTATATTGTTCCTTTTATTAAAAAACTGAACGGTGAAGCCACCCAAGATTTTGCATCTTCAGAATTTTTTTTTCCTTTCTCCTGTGTAGTCTCTGGTTGTTCACATTCCAAAATGATGTTTACTGTTTTCCAAGGGAGTGTTCAGGAGGGCAGCTGCCTTGGAGGTAGGTCACCAGGACTCCTTTGCATTTTGCATGCAAATAAAGACTCCAGAAGGGACTGTAGCTGCTAGAGGCCTTTGCTAGCTGCTACAGGTAGGTCCACACTGTCGCAGGCTGCTCTGTCTCTTAGCCCCAACGTCTGTTCATGGCTGTGGTTTTAAAAGAGTCCCTCAACAGATGCTCTATTTAATAACTACAAGACAATAAAAACTAGGGTTACAAGCCAACAAGGATCATATTGTCTCTTAATATTTAATCATATCAGTTTCTTTAAGTAAAAAAAAAAAAAAATACCAGCACTGATATTTGAGATCCTGGTATATTTTTGTAAATGTTAAGACATTCACAGGAAAGATGCCATTCTGAAGCTAAATGCTTAAGCAACATGTACTGCACATGCAACCAACATGCTTTAGAAGCACATGCATCTGAAGGTAACTGCCACTGAAAAAAACGAATATGTTTCTGAAACATACTTAAGAAACAGGCTAAATATAGTAACTTAGATACATTAACATGTATACCTTGCAAACTTTAATTTAGGCTCAGTGCTGCCTGAATCCACATGACTAGGTACTAGGCTATTTATCCCATTTACACAACAAATTACCAGGGTTTATCTTTTCTACTGGTGGAGCGGTCTCCCTAACTAGGAGAAAGAGTGAAGAGTTAAGGATAAAATTTTGTAAACTGTATTTTGAGAACAGCTTATTTTTCGTGGAAAAAAAAAATAGTGAACCTATCTGGGAAAAGTTTCCTATTGCATCTTCCTCCTAAGCTACCACCATACAATATATTACAGACTCTGAGAAGTTCTGAAATAAAGAAAACTATTTAATACATTCTATATTTATTCAACTACCAGAAAGAACTGAGAAGAAACAGCTTACTAATTTCAACCCTAATGCTCACTTTGATCTGTTATTAGTGGCTGTATGGAACATTGCTGAAGCTTAACAAGATAACGCGACACAACTGATGAGCAATTCCTACCTGGCAGATGTGTGGGTCACTGCTGGTTCATTATAAAGTTTGGAAAATGCTAATATAAGATAAACCTATGGTGCTTTCAATACTTGTTCCCAGTTCCCTTTTTCATATCTCACTTCTGGTATTTAAGAGCCAAGTAACAGAGGAAGGAAAAGGGGAAAGAATATTATGTTAAAATGCAAGGAAGGGTAAGTCTCTATTAATTTTACTCTCTAATCACCTATTTCTTCATCAACATTTTAGACATTTATGGATCCAGTGTGAGCAATGATTTAAACATCTATTCTGAAAATGTGAAGAGAATGTAAAGAGTGAATAAGATTCTCTCCTCCTCAGTGAATAGTCTATTAAGACTATTTTAATAGAAGCCAGTTTTACAAAGCTGGGTCATGTCAGATAAGTGATGAGTATGTCAATTTCTCTGTAAAAGCCACCTTCTCTGTGGAAGACAGATCTAAGCTGCTGTGGCCTCACATGTTTCTCTCTTGAGGGATTCTTTTCAAGAAAAGAATAAGCAACCTAAGGCAGCCTAACTACTTTACGAATGTGAACTGAACTTGAGTCAACCTTTTTTTTAGCTGGGTCTTTACCCTTTTCGGTTCACGTCTACTTAGGTTACAAGTAGCATTCTTGGGAGAGCTGATTTGACATGTGAAAACAGAACATAATAAAGTAGAAAATTACTCACATAAAATAGTGCAGACAACTTAGAAACAGCAGACAAGCAGGCTCAAGCAAGAAATTCATAAGAAAACCATAATCTCTCCAGTCACCCTCTGATGAATAAATAGGCATTAATTTGCATAAGCCATCAGGAAGTGAGGAAGCTTGCTTTTAATAAGAAAGTTAGAAATTTTTCAATGGAGCTCACCCAGTTTGTTCCTCAGATGTGGCAAATCATATATCCCCACAGTTCCCAGCTGCATGAACAAATGACTGATAAAATCAGTGACATCCTACAAAGAGTTTACAATGGTAAACTGAGTCATTATGTTGAGATTAAGCATCATCATGAAAGAAGACATAAAATAGTTAGGCAGGCACTCAGTGCTAAACTTCTGATACTTTTCCTCCACTGAAATACTCTTACAAGTAAACCCAAAGTTGTTTAAAACAAAACAAAAAAAAGACAAAATGCTGAGCTTGATATATTGAATCCAAATTTTAAAAAGTATACCTATCTCAATAAGTCTTCTAAAATTGTTATATCTTAATAATGAACCCAGAAGGCTCAGTGAAAAAATGTCACAATATTCCCAAATCTTTTATTGTAGAAACACAGGCGACATTTCTGGCTGTGTGATAAGCTTGAAATTTATTAATCACTAGCACACAAAGTGAGAAATTAAACCCTCTAGTATGGATTTCTCAACATAGAGTTCTTGTTTCTGTTTGTTTTGTTTTTGAGACAGAGTCTCACTCTGTCACCCAGGCTGAAATGCAGTGGCACAATGTCAGCTCACTGCAACCTCCACCTCCCGGGTTCAAGCGATTCTTCTGCCCCAGCCTCCCAGGTGGCTGAGACTATAGGCGTGCACCACCACACCCGGCTACTTTTTGTATTTTTAGTATAGAGGGGTTTCACCATGTTGAGGCTGGACTCCATCTTCTGACCTCAGGTGATCCACCAGCCCCAGCCTCCCAAAGTGTTCTTGTTTTGAGTAGCAACTTGCTTTAGAAACACTGATGGTCATTTTTTTTAGCTTATAGTTCTATTAAGATTGGAGCCTTTCAAACAAGAGCTCAATTAGAAAGCCCTAAGATTTGCTTCACTATCACCAAATAAAATTTCCAGCCATAATGAGTCTACTTCCCCTCTACATATTTCCTCAGCCCTTGAGTAGCTTAATCTTCAAAATAAAATCTGAGTTCCTTCTCTACTGCTCCCTTTTAGAGTCAGTTTCTTTTACTGCCTCAGAGAAAGTAAAATGAGAAACAGTAGGTTAGAAAGCCTATTCAGGCTGGGCGTGGTGGCTCACACCTGTAATCCCAGCACTTGGGGAGGTCCAGGCGGGCGGATCACTTGGGGTCAGGAGTTCAAGACCAGTCTGGTCAACATGGTGAAACCCCATCTCTACTAAAAATACAAAAATTAGCTGGGCGTGATGGCGGGCACCTGTAATCCAATCTACTCTGGAGGCTGAGGAAGGACAATCTCTTAAACCCAGGAGGTGGAAGGAGCGAGGGCCTGGGAGACAGAGCTAGACTCCATTTCAAAAAAAAAAAAAAAAAAAAAAAAAAAAGCCTATTCAACAGGAGGTCATTTTTTGGAGCTTAGTTTGTTTTACAGGACTTCCTGTCTCTGGGCAATTTGGTGGAGAGAATGCTACACAGAGGAGCTTTATACATGATCATCATTAAAAATGAACAAAGTACATAAGAGCATAAAGAAGAAAAAATAATCACATATCCAGCCATCATGTAAAGTCAGACATAATTAAGCATTTTCACAGTATTCTGTTTCGTGTTGTTACATTGTGTGTGTGTGTGTTTTGTTTTGTTTGGAGACAGAGTCTCACGCTGTCACCCAGGATGGAGTGCAGTGGTGCAATCTCAGCTCACTCCATGCTCTGTCTCCAGCGTTCAAGTGATTCTACTGCCTCGGCCTCCCAAGTAACTGGGACTACAGGCGTGCGCTGCTATGCCTGGCTAATTTTTGTATTTTTAGTGGAGATGAGGTTTCACCACGTTGGCCACGCTAGTCTCCAACTTCTCAAAGTGCTGGAATTAAAGGCAGGAGCCAAGCTAGCCTGCATTGTGTTTTTATATAGGAGATTGCCTGCAGGTACTTTTAAGAAGTGCAAATTTGCTAAAGTGTGCCAAGTACAATGAAATGGTAAATGCTACTAAAATCTGATAATCTTAGAAACTGGCCTGTAGATAGTATTGTCTTTTGTTTTGGCCAGCCCAGTGTTTTAAAGGAAATTTGAATTTGAATGCCTCTAAGACTGTTTCCATCTTGCCACAGGCCTGATTACTCCTTATTAGTTTACATAAGGTTATTTCAAATGCTTAGATACCCACCCACCTGAGTGGGCCCTAAATGTAATATGCAACTCCCATAAAGTGCTCAGATAATAAAATGCCTGGAGGATGCTGAGTAAGAAAAAATCTTTCATTTTTTTATTATTATTATTATTTTGAGACACCCAGGCTGGAGTGCAATGGTGTGATCTCGGCTCACTGCAACCTCTGCCTCCTGGGTTCAAGCAATTCTCCTGCCTCAGCCTCCTGAATAGCTGGGATTACAGGCATGTGTCACCGCACCCAGCTAATTTTTGTATTTTTAGTAGAGACGGGGTTTCTTCATGTTGGCCAGACTGGTCTCGAACGCCTGACCTCAGGTGATCGCCTGTCTCGGCCTCCCAAAGTGCTGGGATTACAGGTATGAGTCACCGTGCCTGGCTGAAAAAAATATTTTAAAAACATACCTAGTACCTCCTGCTCAACTCAAACTATGCAAAAACTTTAGATGTCAAACTTTTATTCCTTCCAAACTTTTATCTAGCTTGAAGTCACATCCAAATATATGTATCTCCATCCCTACTATACCCCCAATTTCTCAAGCTGTTAAAACCAAGTTTTAAAATGGCTTAGAAATCTCAAATCATAAAAAATGTTTCTCTTTCAGATAAGCCCTGAATAAACAGAACTTAATAAAGCAAGTTTCTAGCAATAGGAGCTATTCTGATTGATTCCGAAGTGGAATGCCGAGAATGGCAAAGAAGCTGTGTCTCTCCTGGTGAGATGCAGGATGCTGAGGGAAGCAGAAGGTAAAAGCAGGAGCCTAAAAGAATGCTGTGGTGTGGAAAAACTACTCAACGTGCTTTTTCCTATTCTCAGTCAGCAACAACAATCAATACAAAAGACTTCGGTGACCCCAAAATATGTAGGAAGTTCTCCCCACCAGCAAGCAAGCAATCAATTCTGCAGCAGACACCAGCTCAGTGCCCTCCAGTACAACTCCAATGCTACCTACCAGGAGACAGTTTCAGATCCCGTAGGTTGAGGGCTTAGTCCCCAAGACTGCCTGCCCACTTTAGACACCAGTCTCAAGTCCAGGCCTCCAGAACTTCTGATGGACTGGCTTCAAATTGGGGTTCCCATAACCCCCTCTTTGGGTTCAATTAATTTGACAGAGTGGCATAAAAACTCAGGGAAACATGTTTATGATTTATTACAAAGGATATTTGAAAGGATATAAATACACAGGCACTTGAAGAGATACATAGAGCAAGTTCTGGAAGGGTCCCAGACACAGGAGCTTCTGTCCCTGCGGAGTTAGGGTGGACCACCCTTCCAGCATGATGAGTTCTTCTTCACCTTCCTGTCAGACCCTACATGTTTAGCGCTTCAGAATTCCCTCAAATCTGTTCTTCTTGGGCTTTTATGGAGCGTTCATTGAATACACATGATTAAAGCATGGATAACCATGTTAAAATATAATTAGGTTATAAGGACATGATCTAAACCTAACAAGGCCTGTCTGTTCAGATTCTTCTTGGTGTCTCTGTGCAGTGTTCCTTCTGCTATGGTATGGGGCAGAATACTCTCTGGTATGAGGGTCTTAGAAACCATAATCAGATTAGAGTTCTGCAGTGGGCAGATGAAAGGAGGGTAGGAGAAGATCAGAGAGAGAGATTCTGGTTTCTGTAACAAGGGTCTTGGGAGTGAGTTATGAGCCAGGAACCATGGACAAAACCTATATATGTCATAACATACAAATACTCTGCATGTACCAACTACTCAACAAACTCGAGCAGCAAGAACAATAAGAAACAATCTACTTCAAGCATATCTGAAGCATATATAAAGAGGATAAAAGGAAGCAAGTTGTAGGGTTCCAGTCAGTGGAGAGGCGTGAAAATCCAATTGATTTGTAGGATAACAACAACGATGGCAGGTAAGCATGGCAAGAATTTGTCAAATATTTCTGTAATGGCAGTAGGTTGAGTATGTTTTCGTTTATGTAAGACTCTTTGAATAGCAAATACTACTCAAGTTTTGATGTTTTCTCTTTTTACAAAAATAAATTTTAATGTAAAAGATGCTTTCTAATTCTATAGGAACAATTCTCACATGCAATACTTATTACATGGGCTTGTGTTTTCCTTGAGTTACGCATCCTTTCAAGCACGGTTTCCCCAGCTGCAGGAAATACCCTGATGCTTATGGTAAAATCTGTAAACTTTCTGTATTAATAAATGTCACCCATCAACAGTGGATGACTTTATTATTCAAAGTCAACTCCATCTTAATATCTTTCTTAAGTTTTTAAACTCTGTTTCCCATCACTCTTGCAATTGGATTTACTAAAATAACATGGTATTTTATCACTTTGCAAGCTATGTTTATCTGGAACTACCTGATTATATTAAGTTTCAAAAAGAAGTATCCTATTATATTCTACTCTGCCTAAGGAAATTATGGTGCTTGTCATAAGACCTAACTACTGACCAGAGTGGTTGATTTTTCTGCAGAAAAAGAAAACATGGCCCTGATAATGGTTTTGTCAAATGGGCACTTTAAAATAGACATATCCTGAAATCAGTAGGGCAGGAGTATTTTTTCTATTGTTATTCCTAATGAAAGAATAAGGATTCGATCAATGCCATCCAGAACCATATGATTAGGCAGGGTTCTACCCTCCAACAGCATATATATTAATTCTTTCCAACTCATGGTTGGGAACACATATAACTTTATTTGGCTTTAAAAAGTGATTTTCTATTGACCTAATGTGACTAATGTTCTTAGGCAATGGCAAAACACCAAATGTGCTTACACCGTGATTCACAAAAAGTGATACAATTCCTCATTCAGCCACCAGCTAATTCCCTCTGTCCCTACCAGCTTTGGACTACTATTTAAGCTAAGAACTAACTGATGAAAAAATAATAAAAGAAGAAAACTGCTTTTGTCTATATCTATTACATCTCTGGTAATTAAATAATGATTTTAGAAGTTTCCCCACCAGTTTCTCCAATTCTGCAGAATTTAAGAATCAAAAGTTTTCTAAGTCAAAAGAATAAACTATGTACTTGTCTCTTTTTACCTATTCCTCATCTCCTAAATAATTTATTTAACCTATTTCCCAACTGAATTCCACTTCATTCATTCATTTTTTTTGTAATAAATTGACTAGGTGTCTATTGTGTGTCAAAGAAGAAGGGATAGAGACAGAGGAAAAGAAAATGACAAAAAATTATGTACAAGGTTTATGGTACATGGTAACAATTGCCTTGAATATCTCTTCCTTTGCACATGCATTCCACATGCAATTGATTCTTAATCTGAAGTCAAAGAACCTTTGAAGGGCTGTGACAGAGTAACTGTAAGAGGTCTGCAAAGGCCTAGGCTCATCAACGTATACACCAAAGATTATTTTCAGGTTAAATATACCACATATACATTACAATTTTAAAAATTTATATAGATACTATTGTAAGTATGTTTTTTACAAAAAAAATGCGTAGCATCTGGAAATGATACTAAAAATAGTTAACAACTGGTTAAGCATGGGTTTCCACTAATTCAGTGGACTGGTGGCCATCAACAGCTAGCATGGACAAACTGGTTTCCACCAGCTGCATATCACACCAGCAAATCCAGTTGAGGAAAGGCAACCTCTTCCTCTCTATTTCATCTTTTTTTTTTCCATATTAAAGAAAGGTCCTTATTTTAAAAATATTTCTGGGAGTTATTATTCTAAAAAATATTGTAAACTTGCTTGGACCGCCATAACCTTGTGACAAACCACAACTCCCATGAGAAATTATAACAAGTTTAGAACTAGGCCTTTGTTGGTGCTTTGTCTTTTATCATATTTAACAGAGTTATTCCCTACTTTCCCACTTCTTCCCAGATGTTTTAAAGGCTGTAAACCTTTCACCATGAAAAAGTCTGTCTTAATTTATACTCTATGTATAATGAGAAACGCCTAGTTTCAGGCTTATGTATCCAATTTACTTGAACCATTTAATATTTAGCTTACAAGAAAAGTTCCAGCTTGTGAAGAACAAATGAAATGGGCTGCAATTTGTGCTAAACTATTTTAACCCTGAGTATGTTTGCAATTGGAAAAAGTGTGTTATGAGAATGAACAATAGTTCTTTCCTAATGAGAGAAGGAAACAAGCTGGGTTGACTTGGCTACCTTTCACTTTAACCAGCCTAAGGGAGTAACTCCTAGGTTCTCTCTTTCTGTTAGTTTAGAAGAAAAAATTACTCAACATATTTAGTACATTTAAGATAATGAATCATTTAGGCCTATCACTACCTCAGCCAACAGGTAGTGATAGGAAGGACAGCATAGTAACTGCAAGAAAACAAAATGTGTAATCTCTCTATCTTTCCTACAGATTTAGAACAAAGCCAAATGACTATGGCAACATTTAGAAATAAAGTGGTAGTAATAAGGAAAATAAATTAAGAATTTAGTCATACTTACCAAAATGTAAATTTTAAACATAATTTATACATATTCAAATGTAGCACTGGTATTTTGTAAACCTACTAAAATCATAATTTTAAATAAAGTGGCAAAATTATACCAACTACTACTACTCTTGGGAAGAGTGGTGTCAATTCCGGTCATCTTCTTAATCTAAAATTAAAATTCTGAGGGTCTACTAATCAGAAGAGGTTTCAGATATCAAATCATTGAAAATGTAAATCCAACTTCCAACAAAACTAACCTTAAAAAAGGCAAACCACTTGTAGTCATTCAACACAATCTCAAAGCCTTGGTTGTAAATGATGGTGAAATGGCCAGAATTGCCAAGGTCATCATATGCTGTATCCAGCTTCTGAAGGTACACCACTACTTTTTTTTCTTGTGGTCCTAAAGAAAAAAAAAAAAAGCACAATAAAGGAAAATTATTTGGATTTCAATAGGGGAAAGAATCCCCCAATTTCAATTTTAATTGTGCTGCTTTCCTTTCATGCTACCCAGTTTGAGCACAGTCTGCCTAGTGAAGAAACCAGAGGCTCCATCTTGTTGCCTCAAACAGTTCCTGCTCCGAGGCAAGACTGTGAAGTTAGGCTCTAAAAATTTGAGATAATGCAAGCAGAAGCAGTGGCTCACGCCTGTAATCCTAGCACTTTGCGGGGCTGAGGTCAGAACTTCAAGACTAGTTTGGGCAACATAGTGAGACCCTGTCTCTACAAAAATAATTTTTAAAAATTCGCTGGTTATGGTGGTGCATTGCCTGTAGTCCCAGCTATTTGAGCGGCTGAAGCTGAGGTGGAAGGATTGCTTGAGCCCAGGAGTTGGAGGCTGCAGTGAGCTATGATTGCACAACTGCATTCCAACCTGGGCAACACAGTGAGACCTTGTCTCAAAAAAGAGAGATATGCTATGCAGCCCAGCAGGCAGGGAGACCCCCAAAACTACAGTACCTTTCCAGAGCATCCCAACACTGAAGAAATTTTTCCACTGAACAAAAGGAGAAATGGGGAATGTTGAAAATTACAGGCTTCCAGAAACGGAGAAAAGGCAAAATGCTAGTCAAAAGTGGGAAATGCAAGAATAAAAGGTATGACAACAAAAAGATAAATAAACAGACTATCAGATCCTAAGGAAGACAATGTGCTAAGCCCAGGAGAAGACACAAAATGATCTATTCGGAGAAGAAATGGGGTACCTTTCTCCTCAAAGGCTCTACAGTTTAGAACCTCATAATCTGAATCCTTCCAAAGTTTATTCAGCAAACTAGAGGTCTGTATCCTATAAAACCAATTAGTGCTGATAGGAATGATACGTTTAACCTTCATAGATGAGGGCTCAGACCTGTGGGTGCCTTTAATTACTGAATTAAGGCCAAAGGTAATTTTATAGGCAGAGCCTTCCTGAAAATGATTCAGCTGTGTCCATCTGGAGAGTTGTGTATTTTAAAGTTTTTCCATGTTTGAGAGTAATGCTCTGACATGGGAGATTGCATGTGACAGGGCAGTGCAAATCCTGATCTCTTTCTGCCCCAACCTTCAAACTCAAATTTAAAAAAAAAAAAAAAAAAAAGGCCAGGCGTGGTGACTCCCGCCTGTAATCCCAGTACTTTGGGAGGCCGAGGCGGGCGGATCACGAGGTCAGGAGATGGAGACCATCCTGGCTAACACAGTGAAACCCGTCTCTACTAAAAATACAAAATATTAGCCGGGCGTGGTGGCATGTGCCCGTAATCCTAGCTACTCGGGAGACTGAGGCAGGAGAATCGCTTAAACCCGGGAGGCGGAGGTTGCAGTGAGCCGAGATCCCGCCACTGAACTACAGCCTGGGTGACAGAGCAAGACTCCATTCTCAAAAAAAAAAAAAAAAAAGTTACAATGTTCAGGATTATGAAATGCTATACAGTCAGTTAAAAAGGTATTTCTTTAGTAACAAATGACTTAATCTTTGTTCTGTTGACAAGAAAATTATAGCTGATTTTTTACTGACTCTGCAGAAGTCACAGGCTGTAAGAGGGTTTGGGTAGACCACAGTGTGACTCTTCTAACTAGTGATTGTCTTTTTTCCACCCCACCCCCTTCACTAGGTTCTTTGTTCTAGGGGTAACCATGTTATCTGAAGGCATATGGAATATCTCCAGTATGTTCAAACACTAGGTATTTATTGAGAGCCTTCCATGAGCCAAACATTGTGCAGACTCTGGGCATTTCTAATTACTAGGTTCAGAGTTAAGTTTTCTTTGTTATTAATTTTTTAAAAAATTTTTACCTCCTTGCAATGCATGAAACAATGCAGAGTGGTACTAGCCGTTTTCTAGTACTCATCAACACCCGCTCAAACCAAAATCGCTGGGCAGAAAGTCCCTTTCCCACCATCTAACAAAAAGAGAAAACTTCATGCTATATCCTCGAGAGTCTCTGAGCTCATCTATCTTCACTAGTAAAATAGTAATAAAAAATAAAAATAAATTTTAAAAATAACGCTACCAGATCGGACTGGAGAACCAAACGATTGCAGTTCCCAAGTCTCTCTCAAAGCAAACAAAATTAAGCGGGAGGAATAAAAAAGTTCTTGATCAAAGTGTTGAGTCCCCAAGATAACCAAGAAAGTGTGGAGTTAGAAGTTCTCAGCAGATGAACTTTAACTTCGCGAGCCTGGCGGGGAAGAAGGTCCCCAAGGGTCCCCGAATCCAGTCAAGATGCTCTGGCCACCCACAAGCGTCTGCCTGGGGGGAAGCGGTAGTTGGCGTGGCGCTGCGTTAGGGGCTCAAGGGCAGAAAGGACGACCCGGAGGACTGCCGAGCCGGCGGCTTACCCATAACCGAGCAGTTGACATCGCGCTGGGAACCGCTGGAGCCCACCTGGAAGACCCAGGTGCCCAGCAGGTCAAGATAGGTGCAGTTGGCAGGTGTGTCGCAGCGCACGGCGCCGTCGCCGGAGAGAAGCAGCAGGAGGGCGGCGAGCAGCAAGGAGGGCCCAGCACCCATGCTGCAGGGAGCTGAGAAAAGAGGTGAAGAATTACCAGGAAGCCGAGCGCTGCGGGCTAGCGGTGAGTCCACCACGAGGCGCGCGCCTTGAAATAGCTACGCCGGCCCGGAAACCCGTGGGCGGGGTCACTGAGCAGCAGGGGATTGGGGGTTGGGCGCCAGGCGCGTGCGCGTCTCTGAAACGGGGACTTGGGAGCGCGCGCTGCCCCTCACTTGGCTGCAACTGGACCCAGAACTAGGGAAGAGGCCAGGGACAGATTTTTTTTTTTTATTTTTATTTTTTTTGCCGAGGGACGTTTCAAAATTTTGCACGGCCAGGGTGACAAAAAGAGGATTTAAGAGCCACAAGCGGTCCGCACATGACCCAGACTTCGTTCCTGTGCGGTAACGTAGGGAGAGAAGGAAAGGGTGTGGGGGGAATAAGGGAGTGGGTCAGGTGAAAGAGCGCGACAGAGGGAGAGATCTAGCAAGTGGAGTTCTGTTTTACTTGCTATTCTTCCCCTTTAGTCTTTTTTCTCAGGTCCACTTGCCTCATAACCAACTTCTTGTTTTTTCCTCTGAAAAACTTCGCTAGCTAACATCAACTATTCCAGCTGTTTGAGAACTTATCTTCCTTCCGTTTTCCAACTCTTCCTACTTTTTTATGTGCTTGATTTTGTTTTGTTTCCTGGTAAATGCTGTTTGCCTGTTTGCATTCAGCAGAATTCAGTTTTTGTGCAAACCTGCAGTTTTGATGTATTAGCGTTGTGGGGGTTTTCCCTCTGGCACGCACACACATGGCGCTCTCAGAGATGATATTGCTCAACCCCTTTTATGTTACAGAGGAAAAGCAAGAGGCCCAGAGAGAGGAAGCGGCTTGCCCAGGGTGAGAAGGGTGAGGAAGGAAGCTAGCCAATGGGAGAAGGCTGGTCTTATGAACCGTTCTAGTGTGTCAGTCTGATCGCCAAAAATTATTAGGTGGCACTATTTCCAGGTGCCTCCTTGCTCAGTTTAAGTATCACCCTTTTCCGTAAGAGCCTCCCGTTCTTTCCTGGCTTTTGTTGGTAATTGGGGCTCCTTTCTCCCACTGAGCCTACTAGGTGTCAGGCCCTGTGGACACAGTGATGAACAAGACAGACCTGATGTGTCCCCGTTTTCTTTGGGATATGAATTTTTGCCCCCTTTGCACTGGTCACAAATCAATATTCATATGTCCATTTTTTTTCCACCAGATTATAAACATTCAAAGAGAGCAGGTCCAAATTATTCACTTATATCTCCCTAGATTCTGGTTTATTCAGAAAGTGTCCTTGAGTGTTAAAATAAGTGTACTTAATATTCTTATCTTGGTTGCCAAGCTTGAAAGCCAGTTTCAATGAGGCAAAAGGAGTTGTCCTTGAAAGTTCAGAGGTGAAAATACTCTTCAATGGGGGCACAAATTTCCAAAGCCTGGGGCGGGGTTGGTGGCGGGGGGTTGGGGAACACCTTGCTTTTAGGTTTTATATACCTTCTTAGAATTGAAAGCTGACATTGTATAATTAAGCTAACACACTATTTATTTAAAGATACCCTGACAGATTAAGCTTCCCTTCCTGAATCTCTAGGAAGGTGTGTTACTGATTGTTAAAACATTAAATTTGTATTAGGTCATCAATATTGAAGAGCCAGTTTAGGTGGAAATTTCTTTGATGAATGTAATCAAAGCAACACACTTAATTGTAAAGAAAGTTTAAAACAGTCTTTATTCAATGATTGAATAATAGAAAAAGATCTTGTGGACCTCTTAGTCTAATGGATTCATTTTAAAATTGGGAAATGGAGATTCAGAGAGTTAAATCACTTGCTGAATGTCATATTGCCACTTAGTAAGATTTAAGAATGAACCTCAGGCACATTGATTTTCAGTTTAGTTTATTTCTACTAATCTAATAATTCCCATACTGTTCTCTCTCAAAAATAACTACTAACTCTCCATTCCACGCACACACAAAAAATTGATTCTCAAACTGATCAGACCCCAAATCCTTTACTTTCTGAAATGAAATTAATATATAAACTGCTTACACACTTAATAAAAAGAAATGTAATGCCAAATGTAATATAAAGAAGAAATCAGATATTTTAAATATATTTCTAGTATAATAAGTTATATCCCATCATGTAAAATGTTCAAGTATGACTGTGTTGGAAAACATAATGAGGCACTCAGATACTTGCTCTTCACACTTCTGTAACCACCCAATGGATTCACCTGGCCTGCTGCCTAGACAGAGCCAATTTATCAAGACAGGGGAATTGCAATGGAGGAAGAGTAATTCATACAGAGCCGGCTGTGGGGGAGACGGGAGTTTTATTATCACTCAAATCAGTCTCCCCGAGCATTCAGGGATCAGAGTTTTCAAAGATAATTTGGTGGGTAGGGGCTTGGGAAGTGGGGAGTGCTGATTGGTTAGGTTGGAGATGGAATCATAGGGGGTCTAAGTGAGTTTTTCTTGCTATCTTCTGTTCCTGGGTGGGATGGCAGATATGGTTGAGCCAGATTGCTGGTCTCAGTGGTGTCAGCTGATCTATGGAGTGCAGGGTCTGTAAAATATCTCAAGCACTGATCTTAGATTTTACAATAGAGATGTTATCCCCAGAAGCAACTTGGAGGGTGGGAGGGTGCAGACTCTTGGAGCCAGAGGCCACATGACCCCTAAACTGTAATTTCTAATCTTGTAGCTAATTTGTTAGTCCTGCGAAGGCAGACTGGTCCCCAGGCAAGAAGGGAGTCTTTTTGGGAAAGGGCTATTATCAATTTTGTTTCAGAGTCAAACCATGAACTGAATTACTTCCCAAAGTTTGTTCCACCTATGCCCAGGAATGAAAAAGGACAGCTTAAAGATTAGAAGCAAGATGGAGTCGATTAGGTCTGATTTCTTTCACAGTTGTAATTTTTGCAAAGGTGGTTTCACTTCTATGTAAAATTGTAGAATCGTGGTAAATGTGATAGGAACTTTTTTCTGAGAGCACAAATGATTTCTGATGAGTTATAACTCAAATACCTTATCAATTAATCACTCAAACACCATACCAAAGTTGTTGATGTTGGACAATTCTTGGTCAAATTCCCAGGAGAACAAAGTAGAATTTTCTGTTGAAGGTTTATCAAGAGGTTGCATTCCCAAAAATTCAGTATATGTTAAAATTATATAAAACAAAAGTGAGCTTATGTGCAAAACATGGTCTGTCAGTAGGCTCCCATCATTAAAAGCAGGTTTACAGAGAGGCAGCATTACTTGGCAGTGGTTCTCAAAGTGTAGCCTAGGACCAGGGACATCAGCATCTGTCTTAGTCTGTTTTCTGTTGCTAGAACTGTACCTGAGACTCGGTAATTTAAAACAAAGAAAATTATTTTTTATAGTTCTAGAGACAGGTAAGTCCAAGGTCAAGAGGCCCCATCGAAGGGGGCCCTTCTTGCTGGTTGAGACTCTTTGCAGAATCCCAAGGTAGTACAGGGTATCACGTGGCAAAGGGGGTCATGAGAGATGGCCAAACTAGTGCTTATTACAGACCCACCCTCATGATAACTAATCCTTGATAATTCCATAATCCATTAATCTATTAACCCATGATAGATTCATCCATTCATGAGGGCACTGCCAATCACTTCTCAAAGGTCCCACCTCTCGACACATGACTTTTGGGGGACAACCTATGTTCAAACCACAGCATTCTGTCCCTGACCCCCAGAATTCATGGCCTTCTCACAATTCAAAATACAGTCATTCCATCCTAGTAGTCCCAAAAGACTGAATTTGTTCCAGCACCAACTCAAAAGTCTAAAGTGTCATCTGGGAGTTTGTGAAATCAAAACAAGTTATCTACTTCCTAGATACAATGGTGGGACAGGTATAAGGTATACACTCCCTTTCCAAAAGAGACAAACAGGCCAGAAGAAAGAAGTAACAGGCCCAAGCAAGTCAAAAACTCAGCAGAGAAGACTTAAATTTTAAGGCTGGAGAATAATCTTTCTTGATTCCATGTACAGCATCTTGTGCACATTGGGGGATGGGGTATTTCAGGAGGCCTCAAGGCACCCTGGTGCCCTCAGCTTTCCCAGGCAGGTATTGCATGCTGCTGGTGGCTCTACTGTTCTGGGGTCCTGGTGGCAGTCTGGCTCTTACAGCTGCATTAGGCATTGCCCTTAGGGGGGCTCTATGCAACAACCCCAGTTCCACTGTTCCACTTCGTATTGCCCTAGTGGAAGCTCTCTGCAGTAGCTCTACCCTCAGACAGTCCAACACATTCTTCAAAATCTAGGTGGAGGCTGCCAGGCCTCCACAGCTCTTGCATTCTATGCACCTGCAGAATTAGTACCACATGGATACTGCCATGGTTTACCACTTGTACATCCTAGAGCTGCAGGTTAATCTGCACCTGTGGCTGCTTGAACCACAGCTGGGGGCGCTGAGGAGCAGTGTGCTGGAACGCAGGGAGTAGAGACCCAAAGCAGCCCTGGGCAGCAGTCCATCCCCGGAATTATTCTGCCCTCTTAGAGCTCAGGGCCTATGAGGAAGGGGCAGCCTCAAAGATCCCAGAAATGCCTCTGGGGTTTTTAATTTCATTGTCATGGATAGCCTTTGGCTTCATTCTATCCATGGTGACCTCTTTAGCAATCTCTTGACCATACCCAAACACCCCTTTCACTGTTAAGGTGGCCAGGCTTCAAATTTTCTAATGTTTTTCTATTCTGTTTTTTCTTATATCTTACTATAAGTAGTTAAAAGAAGCCATTTAGTAGCCTAAATACTTTGCTGCTTAGATATTCCTTCCACCAGATATCCTAGTTTATCACTGTTAAGTTCTGCATTTCATAAAGTCCTAGGACATGGACAGAATTTAGCCAAGGTCTTAGCCAGTTTATAGCAGCGATGGCCTTTACTCCAGTTTCCAATACCTTGTTCCTCATTTCCATCTGGGACCTCATCGGAATGGTCTTTTCTATTCATATTTCTATCAGCATTCTGATCATGACCACTTAAATGATCTCTAAGGAGTTTCAGACTTTCTCTAGCTTTTTGTTTTACTAAACCCTCACCAGAATCAGCCTTAATGCTCCATTCACAGTGATACAAGCTTTTTCTAGCGTGCTCATCCAAATTCTTCCAGACTGTTCATTACCCAGTTTCAAAGCCATGTTTATATTTTCAGGTATTCACTATTAGCAACAGCCCTACTCCTTTGTACCAATTTTCTGTGTTAGTTGATTTTCTGTTGTTATAACTGAATAACTAAGACTGGGTAATTATAAAGAAAAGACTTTTACTTCTTACAGTTCTGGAGGCTAGGAAGTTCATGGTCAGGGGGCCACAACTGTTGAGGGTCTCCTTGCTGGTGGCGACTCTCCAGAGTCTAGAGGTGGTGCAAGCCATCACACGGTGAGGAAGCTCACGAGAAATGGAGAAACTGGCTTTTATAACACATTCACTTTCATGATAACTAACTCACTTCCTTCATAGCCCATAATCCATTAATCTATGATTGGATTAATCCATTAATGAAGGCAGAGCTCTTATGACCCAATCACCTCTGAAAGGCCCCACCTCTCAACACTGTTGCATTAGTAACCAAATTTCTAACACATGAATTTGACACATAAATTTTAGTGGACAGCTATATTCAAACCACAGTAGCATGCCCTTGGAATTTGTTAGAAATTCAAATTCCTGAGTCCCATATCTACCAAATAAGAAAATGTCTGGGTAAATCCCAGCAATTTGTGTTTTAACAATTACCTTTGAGAGGTTCCTGATATAAACTAAAATTTGAGAATCACTGGCTTACATATTAATGGCAAGGACTCCAGCCAGACTATCTCTATTTGAAGTCTGGTTCTGACACTCAGCAGCTGTTTAATTTTGAGAAAGTTATTTTACTTCTTTTTGTGCCTTGGTTTTCTCACCTGTAAAATGTTTGGAATTATATTCCCAATGACTACTACCTCACCTGGCTTCGAGAAGACTAAATAAGATAATACAGATCTCTGTGGAGATCTGACTACATACATGTATTACTGTGTGTATTTCTATTGGAAAATTTTCCTTATTAATTAGACAGTAGATTCCAAATCCAGTTCAATGTAATCCTAGCAATCTGAATAACTCCTAGCACAAAATAAATGTTCAAATATTTGTTGAGTAAATGAACATTATGATTGATGTAAATTTGTCTATAATTCATAATATTTGGCAAAGAGCAGTATGATTTCTATGTTCTCTGCCTCATGAATAAATTGGAAAAACTATGCTAGAATACATATCAAAACTAAGAAAGATCTTAGAGGAAGAATTTGATATATTAATATTATACTATGTTGTTTGCTATTGTATATACCTCTGTAATTAGTAGTAATGATAATGATCATAATAATTTTATTTACCACTTTACATTTTACCAAAATAACAAACATATATTAATGTTATCCCATTTAATCATCTCACAATTGTATGAAGAAAGTATTACCTGATTTCTATTTTATCTCTGATCAAACTGAGGCTCAAATAATCTATTAGAGAGCAATGCCTGTGAAAGAAAAAAGAGGGAAGGAACAGGAATAAGAAGAGAAACTCTCAGATGACAAGGTAGTTCTCTGACACCTGCTAAAGAAGGAAGGAAAGGGGACTGGGGCAAAAAAGACTTAGAGATACACCTCTGAGATAGCCTCGGCCAGCCTAGCAGGGAACTCTGGTGCAAAGACTGCCCATAAGGGAGCTTGGCTTAAGCCCAAATGGTCAGGCTTGATACCTGTGCTGCACTTAGCAGTTGGCCTTGATTGAAAAGCTGAGGTGAATCCTGAAGCCGTGATGGCTGGAAGCTGTCAGCAAAGGACACCCCTATGACAGGTGCTCTCTGGAAGAGAAATGGGAGCAGAGCGCCATCATGGCAGCCACAGTGGGGAAACTTCTGTTTGAAATTATGGGTTGATTTAAACCATAAAAAGGAGGCTGGACCGTTTGTTCAGGCCTTATGATGTCCTGGGTACTGTACTCTGTTTCTGTCCTCCTGATCTTCTAGGCAGATGTCAAAACTCTCTTTCCTATGACCCCATGCTCCTGCATTCATAATTCATTATAATTATCTGAGTGAATGACTGTCTTTTCCATAAGGCTCCATGCTCCTTGACAGCAGGAATATATTATTTTCATACATCAAGGTTCATCACAGAACCTGGTCAATGTTTATTCATTTATTCACTCAATAAAATGTGTAAAAGAAAGGAAAAAAGATATGAAGCTAAGCAGGAAGGAAGGCAGAAGGAGAGAATAATGAAATTTCTGTGCAAGAAAACTCAGCTAATTAGGCCTTACTATTATGGTGGATGAAAAGAAATAACAGGTTTGCTTTGGTAATGCTGCCCAGCTTGGTTGATTGCACAATACCAATGTTTCTCAAAGTTTTGCTCTCAGGACTCCTTTGCATTCTTAAACGATATACAGAACCCAAAGAGCTTTTGCTTATATGGTCAATATCTGATAACATTTACCCTATTCGAAATGAAATGTAAAAAAATAGAATATTGACTTATTCATTTAACAATAAAAAATGAAAGTAACACTCTTGAAGATATAGCTGTAGTTCCAAAACAAACAAACAAAAATTAATGGGAAAAGCAACATTATCTTATAGATTTGCAAAATCTTTAATATCTGGCTTAATGAAAGAGTGCTATCTTATCTACTTCTGCATTCCACCTATTGAAATATATTGCTTTAGTTGAAGAATATGAAAAAACCAGCATTATACAGATATATAATTGAAAATGAGGAACGTAGAGAACTCCTGCAAGGATCCCCATAGGTCCTTGGAGCACACTCTGAAAACCTCTTCACTGTAATAATTTTCCACTGTGAGATCTCTCACTGACAGCTATCTCAAAAATATGTGCCCTTTGTCATAAGGCAAAGAGGGATGGGCAGAGAATGTGGTTGGATGACTACGACACAACTGCAAGAATGGAGAAACCACAGAAAGCATAGCCCTTACAAATTGTGGCTCACTAGTGTTACTTTTGTATATCAGGCATCTGAATATTCTAGGTTTATTCAGTTAAGATATGTAAAAAATAATAGGGGAACATTTTTTAATGTGATGGAATAAGAGTTTATAACATTAGAAAAATAATCATTATGCTTTGTATTTGAATAGCTTATTATCAGCTGCATAGTACATTCACATTTTATGTCAACCTGAGAGTCATCTTCCAGATATTATTACTCCCATTTTACAAATAAGGAAACTGAGGCTCAGAAGCGATAAATGACTTTTTAATAAAAATACAACTGGTGAATACAAAGCTGATAATCAACAAGACTTCTGGCTTTAAGTCCAATTGTTAGAGTGGAGTTAAGAGAATGAGATTTTGTCTAATCATTGATGCAGACAAATATGAAATCAAGAAAAACAAAGATTTTACAAATGAACTATCCACATGATGCATGTTGAGTCACCTGTGGAACTGTGAATTACTGAGATAGTCTCTACTGTGTGATCCCATTCTCACTTCACTATTTCTGTTAAATAAACCAAGTTTTTGAAATGAAAATTTTCAGAAGCCTTATTGTTTGCTAATAGATGAGGAGTATCCCATAGACCACACCAGTAAGAGCAACGCTGAAGAGACAAGGACAAACTTCATGAATGTGTCCACTTTGATCTGTTTCCACCAATACCACTCTGGTCCAATATGCCATAATTTCTTGCTGGACTATAGCAATTACTTTCTAATTTCATTTTCTTTTCATTGAATTCAATGCACAAGCCAGGAACCTAAGCGCCTTCCTTGGCTCTTCCCTCTCCTGTCTCCCACCCCGTATCTGATCAGTGAGTCCGACTGAGTCTACCATCACCACTTTGCTTTTTTTAATTTAAATGTGAATCATTAATTCCCTTGCTTAATACTCCTCAGTAGGCTACCTTTTTATCATGTTTGAATAAAATCCCACAAGACCCTGCATCATTGGCCCCATCTATCCCTTTGATCCTCTAGTTGTTCACTCTCCCAGGAACCTGCTTTCTCTTTGATCCTCAAACCCTCTAGACTTCCCTCTTCATTACCTTTTCACTTTGCTATTTTTCTCTGCCTGAAATAATTCACATCATTTTTCAAAAAACTGCTCATTCTCACTGTTTGTGAAATTCTCACTGATAAATATTTTACCTTCTCAGAAAGGCCTCCACTAACCATAATATCTATGGTGGCCTTTTCCAGCTATTCACTTTTATCACTGTCAACTGAAAAATGAGAAAGTTAATACAGAAAAGAGAGCTTTGTTTCTTATAAAGGGTTGCAGCCTGCAGGGTGGCCATTCTGACAGGCCACGAAGTGTAGCCTCTGGCCAGAAGCCAGAAACAGATATTTTGAGAGTGAAAAGTATAAGACAGGGATTTATACTGAATGAGGTGGACAAATATACATATTCAATAAGCTATAGGAGGAGTCATGAATATTCATGAAAGGAGAAATACGTGCATGTGCAATTTTGCTCCATGCCTCTCTGTGGGACCCATGTGCAAAAAATGGGGCATTATCACCATCTGAGGGTGGAGTTTTTGGCCTTCTCATATCAAAAGGTGAAGCAGAGGACACAAAAACCCTCACTACTCATCTTCCTGTAGACTTCCAGAACCACTCCATGGTCGGTGGTCTCTCATCAGGAAGGAATGCTGGTTGGCTGTCTTGTTGAAACAGCAAAACAAAGGGGCAGCATCAGGCATTGGTTGATACTACTGATGGAGCAAGTATTTCCAAAGGGCTGGTTTCTGTTTAACTCAGGGTTATCCAATCTTTTGGCTTCACTGGGCCACATTGGGAGAAGAATTGTCTTTGGCTATGCATGAAATACACTAACACTGGCCGGGTGCGGTGGCTCATGCCTGTAATCCCAGCACTTTGGGAGGCCGAGGCGGGCGGATCACGAGGTCAGGAGATCGAGACCATCCTGCCTAAGATGGTGAAACCCTGTCTCTACTAAAAAATACAAAAAATTAGCTGGGTGTATTGGTGGGTGCCTGTAGTCCCAGCTACTTGGATGCATTCCAGTCTGGGCGACAGAGCAAGACTCTGCCTCAAAAAAAAAAAAAAAAAGAAATACACTAACACTAACAACGGCTGATGAGAAAGAAAGAAAGAAAGAAAGAAAGAAAGAAAGAAAGAAAGAAAGAAAGAAAGAGAAAGGGAAGGAAAGAAAGAAAAAGAAAGAGAGAGAAAGACACACACAAAACTTAAATCTCATAATGTTTTAAGAAAGTTTACAAATTTGTGTTGGGCCGTATTCAAAGCCGTCCTGTGCTGCATGTGGCCCATGGGCTGTGAGTTGGACAAGCTTGCTTTAACCCTTAGGAAAGAAAGTTTAATGGTGGTTAGGAAGCAAGGGGGCTTAACGAGGCATGTCCAACTTCCCATCCCACTGTGGCTGGTAACTCAGTTTTCAAGGTTTCTCTGGGATACCCTTGGCCAAGAAAGGGTCCATTCAGTCTGTTGAGGAGCTTAAGTTCATTTTTATTTTTCATCACGCTATTTATTTCCAGGTAACACTTAAAATTGCCTGTAATTGTTGGAATTTCTTGTGTATTATGTATCTGCTTCACTGGAATATAAACTCTACGCAGCTTGAGCCTTGTCTGTCTTATTCACTGTTATATCCCTAGCACATAATAGGTGCTCAATAATATTTATTTAATGTTGATGGAAACTACTTACTCTCCAGGTTTAACTTTAACAACAACAACAACAAAAGAGTCAGGTTTATTGGGAGCAAATTTTTCTTTGCCAAGCGTTTGTGTCAATAGATGATTATAAATTTTATATTTCTTCTTTTTTTTTTTTTTGAAACAGTCTCGCTCTATCACCCAGGCTGGAGTGCAGTAGTGTGATCTCAGTTGTAGCGTCTGCCTCCCGGATTCAAGCCATTCTCCTGCCTCAGCCTCCTGGGTAGCTGGAACTACAGGCGCCCACCACCATGCCTGGCTAATTTTTGTATTTTTAGTAGAGATGGGGTTTTGCCGTGTTGACCAGGCTGGTCTCAAACTCCTGACCTCAAGTGATCCACCCACCTCGGCCACCCAAAGTGCTGGGATTACAGGCGTGAGGCACTGTGCCGAGCCAAGTTATATTTCTTACCTCATACTGTTCACCTTTGGAGATATTCATCTAGCACAAGGACTTCATTTTCAGAGATATTTATCCAGCACAAGGGATCTGGTGAGCCCTAGTAGCATCAGGGATGTTACATCAACATGCTAGTGTGGATTAGTTTGGAAGCTGTGAAAGTTGACCCTGGATGACTTTACATATATTTAGCTTGCTAACTTCAATTCAAGTTATAAACATGTGTTGGGCAATAGGATGTTAAACCCTACGTCAAAGGGTTTATCTTCACAGTTTTGCAGTGTGACTTGACTCCTCTTCTCCTTATAGGCTATTGCTTAGAGGGAAACATGAAGTCAAACAAAGCAAATTTTAAACAAGCAAAACTGTAGAGAGTCTTGGCATGAAGAGAGCAAAGCCAGGCCAGCAGCTGGTCTAAGGATGGCAGGTTTAAAGGTCAAAACTATCAGTTTCTCCCAGTTGAGAGATTTCATTTCTTTTCCAAGAATCAGATAACTTACCCAAGTAATGACAGGCGGATATTTAAAATATTGTATTTGCATAATCAGTTGCAGAAATCAGGCTCATTAATACATGACTTTTCCACTTTATTTTTTATTTTTATTAGAGACAGTCTCATTCTGTTGCCTAGGTTGGAGTGCAGTGGCATAGTCCACTGCAGCCTCCAGCTCTTGGCCTCAAGCAACCCTCCCACCTCAGCCTCTCAAAACACAGGGATTATAAGTGTAAACTATTGCAACTGGCTTCTCCTTTCACTTTAAACACAACGCCCTTCAGATGGATAGCTAGCTAGCTAGCTAGATATAAAAATAGGAAGAATGTGAATAAATAACTTTGCTGCAGATACTAAAGACTAAGGTAACAGAACTCTGAAGAATAAAAGACCTCATTTTCATTGGTGCCTACTCCTTTCTTGTCTTTGTTTCTTCTACTTAATTTTATTTATATTTATATTGTATGATGGAGACATAAAATTCTCTAAATTTTACTTAACATTACACCAAGTGCATTTTGCCATTGTGCTGTAATTGTCATTGTTCTTTTCCTTAACTTTCCTTTCCCCCCTTTTTCTTGCCATACACACCCTGACAAGCAAGGTAACGTATGTTCACTCCCTGGTGTGTATCCTTCCCTCTTTTATTAAACTCACCTAGCCATTTACAAATATGCGTGAGAAGTAGGGGACATATTACTTAAGGGCACAGATTCTGGAACCAGAATGCATGGTTTGAATCTTGGCACTGACCCTACCTGTGTGACTTTAGGAAACTTACTTATCTTCTGTGACTTGGTTTCCCCATCTGTAAAACCAAGATAATAAGAGTACTTATCTCATAGGGTTATAATGAAGTTTTAAATAAATTATTATGTGAAGTGCTTAGAACAATAGTGTCATAGAATAAGCACTGTAAAGGCGCTATTATTATTATTTTGATGCATCTATGTATGGATTTTTGTGGCTTTTTATTTTCATGAAAAGGGAACATACTATATACATTTCTCCTCAACCAAATTTTCTTTCTTTCATTAATTCTCCTTAACCTGATTTCATTCTTAAAATTCTTCCATTCTTAAAAATACATTAGAGATATCTCTTGACATCAAGAAATTGAATTCATTTATAGAAAATAGCTGAATGGGATTTAAGGTCTGTAACACATCTATTTAACGGTTTTCTTATCAATGGACATTTGGATTATTTCCAGGTATTTCAGCATTATCATTTTTTTGCCAATGCAAACAATGTTGCAATTAAAATTTTTGAACATATATCCTTCCTACAGATACTTTTGTTTCTATAGGAATGTGATGGGAACTAATTGCTAGATCAATGGACATTGCTAGATTAAATGTCCAGAACAGACTTAGCTAATCACATTTCCACCAGGAATGTCAGTCCTTTCACGTCCCACCTGGCCCTTTCCTCAAACACTTCCATTCTCTTCTGAGTTGCTTTAAACATTTTTTTAATTTAAATATTTCGAATTGTTGAAATATTTCAAATAATTGTTTTTTAATTTTAATATTGTCTCTCTGAAACACCTAAAACCTAGTTTTCTATATGGTGTGATATATAAGTTAAGTTGTCTTTTCATCTAGTCAGTGGTACCAGAACCATTTAATAAATAAATATTATTTTCCAGCTGAGCACGGTGGCTCATGCCTGTAATCCCAGCACTTTGGGAGGCTGAGGTGTGAGGATCACGAGGTCAGCAGATCGAGACCATCCTGGCTAACATGGTGAAACCCCGTCTCTACTAAAAATACAAAAAATTAGCCAGGCGTGGTGGCGGGCGCCTGTAGTCCCAGCTACTCAGGAGGCTGAGGCAGGAGGATGGCGTGAACCCAGGAAGCGGAGCTTGCAGTGGGCCGAGATTGCACCACTGTACTCCAGCCTGGGTGGGGGACAGGGCAAGACTCCGTCTCTAAATAAATAAATAAATAACAAAAAATAAATAAACAAATATTATTTTCCCTCTAAATTTCAATAACAAATTCTGGAGTATTTTGCTGTTTTGTTTCAGTAATTAGCTTTAAAGCAAGTTCTGTCACTATTCTTTTTTATATATTTCTCAGCTTTTCTCTGGCATTTTTTCCCCTCCCTGTAAATTTTAGAATCACAGTTTTTGTTTCAAGATTTTTTATTACTTACAAAATTGTATATTTTTGTTTAATGAAGCATTTGATGGATCTAAATTTGGATATAATTTTTTTAAAAAAACATCTCATCTACCCTGATATTTTGTTTATTTTTAATTTATTAATTTCATCTTTTATTAGTTCTAATTTTTTCTTCCTACTTTGTCTCAGTTTGTTTTTTCTATTCTAATTTATTAACATAGTACTTAGTACCTCATTTTCAATCTTTTCCTTAAATAATAAAGACATATTAGGCTCTAAGTTTTCTTCTAAGACAAACTTGCATCCCGCAAGTTATAAAGTGCTTCTTTTCCTTTGTATTAAAAAGTTTATAATTTAGGTTTGATTTCTAGCTTGTTCTATAGGTTATTAAGGAGTCAGTTTCTTATTATAACAAGTTCAATTTTTATTATAATTTATTTTCTTATTTTAGTAGTTAGTTTGGAGAATGTGGCCTATAAAATGCCAATATTTAAGATTTTATTAATGCTTTCTTTGTGGCGAATTTTATGAAATGAACATATAAAAAATTATATTTTACTGCTCAACAGGCCTGTGATATACACTCACTGTGATTGTATTAAATCTCTTTATGAACTTGCTTTTTTTTCTTTTGTCTATTACAACTTTCAATTCTGAAAGAGTAATTGAAATCTTTCAATGTAAATTCACTCTAATTTTTCAGTTATTTTAATTATTTGTTCTTAATAGATTTAGTTGCTATGCTATTTGGTACACATCCATGTATGTACATTATATCTTGTTTGTAACTTATGCTTTTTGCCTATTCATAAGTGTTGCACTATAGCCCTCTCCTCTGGAAATTCTGCCTAAGCCTTCAGCCACAAATGTTCTCTCAAACACTTGTCAGCTTGCCAGTGCTGGGTTTTATCTCATTCTAGCATCTAGTTAAGATTGAATTTACAAGGAGAGAATTCTAGGAATGCAAATTCATACTGTTATTAGGTGCCTTATGTTTTTAATTTGTAATTTTTTTTCCTTTTTTGACTTCTATAATGTTAATAGGCCTTCTCACTGATGTAGGGTACAAATTACTGACAACAGTATTATTAATAAACTAGAAGGAACAAAGAAATTAAGTTAAAGGTAAGTGCTTGGAGAGAGGCTGCAGGTATGGGTATAATTCATTTTTTTGTTTGTTTGTTTTTTTGAGATGGAGTCTCGCTCTATCACCCAGGCTGGAGTGCGGTGGCACGATCTCGGCTCACTGCAACTTCCACCTCCCAGATTCAAGTGATTCTTCTGCCTCAGCCTCCTGAGTAGCTGGGATTACAGGCACACGCCACAATGCCCAGCTAATTTTTGTATTTTTAGTAGAGATGTTTCACCACGTTGGTCAGGCTGGTCTTGAACTCCTGACCTTGTGATCCCCCTGCCTCAGCCTCCCAAAGTGCTGTGATTACAGGTGTGAGCCACCATGCCCAACCTCATTTTTATAATAACAGTTACTGTTTATTAAGTGTCTATTATCTATAGACAATTTGTACATATTCACACTGTCTAATCCTTACAGGTGCACTATAAGGCAGGCATTATTTACTTCATTTTGGAAATGAAAAAGTGTTACAAACAAAGACATTAAGCATCTCAATAAACATGCAGTTAATAAGTAGCTAAACTAGAAAGCTTGGTTGATTTTCAGTTTATGAAAAGTTAGATACTTATTTCTTCCCAGTGTACCACACTGCCTTACTTGTATACAGACTAAAAAGATATTCTGGTTATACTGAATAAATGGTCATCCATATATAATATAATAAATATAATACTTTTTAAATCTTAAAAACTGTATTTATTCAATAAATATCTATTCAACATGGAGTACCTACTGGTAAGTGTTGCAGCTACTAAGCAAGAGGAAATGACAGGAGAGTAGATATTTTTGGAAAAAAGTTCATTCAAATGGGGATATGTCTTTGAAGCACCTGTGGGATATAATAATGGAGTTGTCTAGTAAAAGGCTGGGAATATTGATGTAGGACTCGGGAATGGTCATTCAATCTTGCAATAAATATTTATTGAGCATCTACTCTCTTCAAGGAATAGGCAGACAATGAGAATACTTACAAGGTGTTCAGGTTACCTCAGGCGCTGGCTAACACAGTTTTTATTAGTCATCACTAAATAAAGGAGAGCTGACGTTACAAGCATAGAGATCACCCAAAGAAAGGCTATGTCATGCAGGGGAAAAAGGGGAAAGAAAGGGCTGAAGATAGTTTAAAATAAAATTTAACAAAAATGTTTAAGAAAAGGGGTTCATAAAAGAGAAATTAAGATATGCAGAAAAAGGACCAAGTAAGAAAGAATGATATGATGAAAGCAAGGAAGTTTTGAGTCTAATATTTGATGAATGAATTTTTACTTCAGCCATCCCTAAGTCATAGCGAACTTTGGCTTCTATCTTCAGGACCATATGTCAAATTGGTGTCCCATTTGTTGGGCTCCTGGCAAATATTCCCAGCTTATTGGGACACTGATCAGAAATCTAGAGTCAACAGCCCCCAACTTTCTAGAGAACTTAGGGCCCCCTGAAACTGCAGTGTGGCCACTCCTGATGCACATTACTATGAGCATGTGGTTCTGTGCTACAGACTGAGCAGCATGTTAAACCTGATAGTTTTCATTATACCGTTATACCACAATGTGTCATATACTGAGATGCTTTTTAAACATTTTAAATGTCAGCTTATCATTTTTCTCTCATAAAAGGGTACAGAAACATTACCACAAGTTGAACTTTCTAGTTGCTTAGAACCTGGAATGAGGAGGAATAAATAAAGATTAGTGTCCCGTGCTGGACTGTCTTTCTTGGTTTTTCTTTAGAAAATTGAAAAGCTGTAGGCAAAAAATCTGTTGCATAATTGCAAGAGTTAATTAAGAAAAACCCATCTGCGTGTGATTCACATGACATGTCTGAAAGTCAAAATGAAACTATCATCTAATTTGCTGAACTAAGTTTAACATGGTTCCCTAGAAGGCTGAAAAAACAAACTGTTCCCTCTGTGATTATAATTTCTGATTTTGTTAAATTGAATCCATTAATAGAAAAACTATTGATTCAGGGGTATTATTAGGTATCTCTATAGACATAGAGACAATAAATATTTAGAGAATCTCTATGATTCTCCCTAGAACTCAATTTGCACAAAACTGTCATTTTAAATCACAGAAATACTCAAAATATCTGAAACATATATTGGAAAAAGTATCTGCTAGGAGCCAAGAAACCTGGCTTATAATTATATCTCTCTCACCAACTCATTTGGATGTTGAGAAGATCAAACTATTTCTGTGATTCATTACAGGTCAAATTAGGGATAATTGCCATGCCTATCTCACTAGATTTTTATGAACATTGAAAAAAATTCACTTTTTCAATAAAGATTCATTCATTCATACAAGTGCATATTTACTTACTCCATGCTAAGCTGTGTTAGCAGCAAGGAGTCAGCAATGAACATGGCAAATGAGACCCTTGCTGTCATGGAGCTTAAATTTAAGCCAGAAATAAAACTTCAGGTACATGTGGGTTGAGTATCACAAAGGTAAGTGTCAGTATCATAATGATAATGTATGGTAGTTTACGAAGTCAGAGAACTCTCTGAGAAAGTGATAGGCTGAGCTCTGCTGGGTAAGCGTTGTGTATGCCAACAGCATTTAAAGTCAAGGAAAGAACATGTTGAAAAGGTCTATAGAAATTTGAGGAAGTGTGAATAATCCAGAATAGCTAAAACCATGAGTGGTGGAGAAGAGGTGAAAGATTATAGTTATGAAAACACATTGTGACATGGCTAGTGAGAATACAACATGGTTTGAACATTTTGGAAAGCATTTTGGTAAAATGAAATAAGAATCTCAAATAATCTTTTTAGCATTTTATTAGATAATTTCACATCTGCACAGCTATCCTATTAAAAATAATATAATACACAGACAAAATTAAGAACAATGATGTTTATTAATGTATATTTGTAGTAGAGAAAAACAGAAAATTATATAGGTGTGGGCAAAAAATTACAGTTTGTGTAAATGAGGAAATATTTATAGCTAATAAAAATCTGTACATGGAGTTCATAATAATAGAAAATATTTATTTAATAATATTAAAAGAAAGAAGGAGAGGACAAGGCAGACATGGGCCCAGGTAAATAATAATCACTCCATGAATCTCTGTCACAATTGAGGAACTCTCAGATGAGGATATCCTAATTTTATACAGGGATTTCTGGCAAACCTCTCCACCTCTCCTCTGGAAAAGACAATATCTTGATTATGCCGGATTGTCTCCAGGAAGGAGATGGAAACATCTCATCTTTGATATCCTGGTCAGCAAATAAATCTGTCCTCTGACCTGTAAGGAGAGACCATTTCTAGCTTCCAAGAAGCTCTTTGCTATGGGAACAACCTTGAAAAAACAGCCTAACACAAGATCTATAGAAATGCCATGGAGAAATGCCTCTCCAAAGTCCTATTTTTTTTAACTTTTAAATTTTTTTTTTACTGTAAATATTTTTTAATGTTTTAGAAAGGGTTACTATTATGAGCACATGACATTCATTATGGTGGGAAAAACAGAAAGTTGGCTACGTAGTGACTTGAGTTTCTTCCTGCCTCATAAATGTCAGCTAACCTAGGAAAGTTTCTGACACTAGTTAGATGTAGCAACTTCTCTGAGCCGTTTCCATTAAATGACAGCTCAAGACATACTCTGTCTAAACTTGAATCTACTTTAAATTATATGATTTAGTTATTCCATGTAGCAGGGGCAAAAACCCAAACCTACAATTGAATGAATAATTGAAATTACTTAATTTAAAGGAAATTTCCCAGTCATAATATTAACAGTATATAGTTTAATTACTTGAGTCAAGTGATCCAATACATTATGCGCAGAAAGACCTTTATAAATATATTTTAAAATAAAGTTCAAGTAGTTTGACTCTATGCACATGTTAATTCCACAGAATATTTCTGGAACAAAAACAGAACTTGCAGTTTTGAAGATAAATGTTAAAAAAGTGTGATAAAAATTACTGGATAGTTAAACATAAGAGGCAAGGAAACTATAAAGTTCAAGAATATGTAGCTTATTTTCTCCATTCAAATCCAGTATGATGTCCTCAATTTGTAAGATGTTATGCAAAGAATATTGTCTCAAAATTACATTAGAGAAATAACTTTAGCGTTAGAAGACCTAACTTTGGCAGCTGCTTACTAAATGTATTATCTTGCGTAAATTCTCTGAGGTTTAGATATTCTCATAATAAAACAAAGATAATTCTTGGCTGGGAGCGGTGGCTCACGCCTGTAATCCCAGCACTTTGGGAGGCCGAGATGGGCAGATCACGAGGTCAGGAGATCCAGACCATCCTGGCTAACACGGTGAAACCCCGTCTCTACTAAAAATACAAAAAATTTAGCCGGGCGTGGTGGCGGGCCCTTGTAGTCCCAGCTATTCGGGAGGCTGAGGCAAGAGAATGGCTTGAACCTGAGAGGCGGAGCTTGCAATGAGCCGAGATGGCGCCACTGCACTCCAGCCTGGGGGACAGAGTGAGACTCCGTCTCAAAAAAAAAACAAAAAAAAAACAAAAAAAAAAACCCAAAGATAATTCTCACCTTAAAGAGCTGTTGTCAGGATCACATGTGATGATATATGTGAAACTATTTTGTAAACTGTAAGATTTATAATAGAAATGTAAAGGTTTATTACTACTAAACTGAGTGGTAGTGACTTTAATACGCAGAATATGATAAAGGCTGTGAGTTTTAAATACAGTGTGAGGAGAGCATGAAGAAGGGAACCATTAATTCTTCTAAAGGCAAGGAAGAGATTTGAATCTGAGGAGGAGAGGTTATAGCTAGTCTGTGATGGTGCAGATGTTTTGCTTTTAGAGTAAGAGCAAGAGTGAGAACTAGAGCTAGTGAGCAAGAGAGAGAAGGAGAAGATGAAAGAGAGACAGAGAGAGACAGAAAAAGAGAAACTGACTTAGGTAGGGTGACTTAGCAGAGGGAAAAATTTGGCAAAGAGATGAAAGTTTCTATTTTGTTTGCATAAAGTTTCAATGTGACAAAACAGTGAAATTTAGCTTAGGGGTAGCAATTTTTCTACTAGTTTATCACTGATGTCTGAAATTTCACTTTTATGATGAATTCCTTTGGGTCATTGAGAAAGCCCTCCCTGTTATACCAAGAATGCTTAGTCATTCCTTCTTCTGTACAACAGCTACACAGCGTACCTGCTTTCATCACCATATTGACTGCATGCTTCATTTAATTTATTTATTTGTCTGCCTTCCTTAGCATCTTTATAGGTGGTGGGCATGGCAGGAAGGTCCTGTAATTGACACTATTCAGGTTTAGAATAGGCTTCAATAAATATTTATTGAATGTAATTGCCTGTGGTTAAAATACAAACACTTCTGAGAACTGTAACAAAATACGCGTCATCAAAGTTAGCTAAGATTATTTTTCCCACAAAAATCCCTTAGGGATACTAGAAAAAGTGGTAAAAGATTTGAATTTATACAAAGCCCAGAGAGAACATCACAGTAGGAGGGCCCTGGGCCCTGAAGTGTGGGAGGTTTCCAGAGATTAAGAAAAAAGGAAAGGAGAAACATAGAAAAATAAAAAACCTTCATCCTCTTCATATTTTTTCTAAGAATCTGCTCTCCCAACCTTCAAGAAATTCATAGTTCTTTTGAGAAGAAAAGAGTAGCAAGCAGAAAACAATAAACAAGGAAGAACTTTATATCCGGGTTTTCCAAATTCAGACCATGTGAAGTTGATTTATGGAGTGGAGGAAGCAAAATGCATCAAAGACACATATTAATCAGTAGTATGTCTTCTATTCATGCATGACTTTCTCATATGTGCATATTAATAGACCCTGTTGCGATTAATAAAATACAAGTTATATAAGATAATTCAGAGCTATTTAATCAAAATATATGTTATTTAGCAACTAACTATAAAGGTAGTACTACCAAGTTGGGGAAAATGGAAGTTGTCATTGATAAACAATTTTTGTTTGAATAATTTAAAATGAAAATGTGGGAAGGACTACTGCACACCAGCTTTGAAAGACTGCTTTTGGCATTTCCTACCTCTGAGTCGTGAAAACTGATGTCAGGCCACACTCTACCATTAACTAGCTGGTCATTTGGGGAAAACCACTTTTTCTCACCAAGTCTTTGACTTAATTTTTCTGTGCTAGTAAAATGTGGATTAGAATAATCAAGAAAGAATATTTTATAATTGTGAAAAGTATTTGAATGAGATTCAGGCATGATAATTCCCCCGTATAAAGATTCACCAAAATTCCAGCGATGTGAAATTTGGTTATTTGAATTTCAGAAGAAAGGAGAGAAAACTGCTTTTATCAAACACCTGCTATTTCAGATATTTTGAATTACCTTAAAAATATAATCCTCATAGGCTGGGCGCAGCGGGTCATGCCTGTAATCCCAGCACTTTGGGAGGCTGAGGTGGGTGGATCACCTGAGGTCAGGAGATGGAGACCATCCTGGCTAACACGGTGAAACCCCATCTGTACTAAAAATGCAAATATATATATATATAATATACAAATATATATATATAATATACAAATATATATATAATATACAAATATATATAATATACAAATTTATATATAATATACAAATATATATATAAATATACAAATATATATAATATACAAATATATATAATATACAAATATATATATAAAAATACAAATATATATATATATTTCCCATAAACCCTGAGATAGTATAATAATCTGCAAGTTACTTATCTTGTAGAGAGTCCACAGCTTGTAAATAGCAGTGTCACTATTCAAACCTTGGTCAGTGTCCAGTTCCCATGCTCTGTCAGTATGCCATATACCGAATGCACCCAATTTTTAATTTTATAAACATAAAAGGAAAGATTCTTATCCACCCAGACATGAAAAATCTAGCATTATCCTGAGCCTCTGCTTTCTCTTTGCAAATTACCCCTGTAGCAACTCAAGAAGCATTTATAGTAAGCAAATATCTGTTACTTTAGGAAAGCTTCGGAGTCAAGAAGCTAAGCCACCTTGCACAGCTCACAAAGCTGCAAGGCATGATCTTTCACTTGTTGATGAGTAGAGTAATTTTTAACATCCTTGTTTTGAAATAAGAGTAACTACTGCCTAGATGGATCCCATAGCACATAGAAGTGTAATGTGGGATGTGAGAGGAGGTGAGTGGCTACAGAAGGTGAGGAGTGGAAGGTGCACGCAAGCTTCAAGGGATTAGTAAACTAACACTGAAAAGAGGAAGTGGTTTCTGTAGCTACTGATAAAACCCTCATATGCCCTGTTGGAATACATATGCCACCTAAACTCAATGTTAATTTTCATTTCTTTTTCTCCTTTGCTTCATCTTTTCTTGTACAAATGAAGGGTGTGAAAGGGAGGAACAGAATGTTTTCACAGGGGGAAGTATTTTAAAACTTTTGAGTCATGCTTTCTTTTTCCTAAAAGTAGAGAATTTGACTATGTTTATTCTTTTAGTTTTGATATCCTGATATCACAGTTTTACATTTAAAAATGTATTTTAAATGGGTAGCCATAAAACATTTAAAAACATTTGACATTTTTAGAAATAGACAGAAATGGGCTTATTCAAACATGGAAAGCACAAAGCATCTATTGCTTTTTTTTTTTTCTAACAAGTGAACATAGCTAAATAGAGTAATACTGCTATCAGAAGTATATACTCATTGAATGCAAATTCAGTATCTCTCGAATGGGGTGAGGAGATCAAAGGAGGTTTTACTGAAAAAAAACTTAACCAAATAAGAAAAAAACAATGTAGGAATGGTTTTCAGTTATTAACTTTGCTAAATAATTAGTAACAAAAAATTACCCAGTAAAAGAATAATTTAATGTTTTACCATTATGTTTGTTAAACAATAACCCAAAAGCATGTTCACCAGTCCTGTATCTTCTTTCTCACCCCATTCTGACAAGTTTCTCAAAATGCATCAGTCTGTATATTCATCCCTATTTACCTTCACCCCTATTCATCCACCTGCCCCTATCCTTCAACCTCTACTGAAGACCAGGAGGAGAATTGTTTTTCTCCTCACCATTAAGCGGTACTGAGCACATCTGTTTTATCCTGCTGTAACCTCATTAACTAGCAATTACCTGTTGAGTGGATCAACTAATTTTGTTTTATAAGGTGAAGTGTCTCAAGCACAGGCAGAACCCGCCCTCCCCAGTGGAAAATTGAGAGCCCTAATGTTCAGCTCTGGTTTTTGGCTAAGATACCTGTTTTCATGAACAGAAGGCCTTCTCTGCATTTGAGCAAGGAAGAAGGGCAAAGCCAGCTCGAGCAATAATTGTCAACTTTGAATTCTCACTCTTTCTGCTCCTAGTCAGGGTTTTTCTACTCTCCCTAGCGGTAAATGATTTGCTTCTCCCAGGGAAAAAAAAAAAATTAAATTTAACGTGGGTCTTTAGTGATTGCATTTCAGACTTCCTTTTGAACAAGTACGTATTCTTTACTAATAAAGAAAAAACCCGGCCGGGCGCGGTGGCTCACGCCTGTAATCCTAGCACTTTGGGAGGCGGAGGCGGACGGATCACGAGGTCAGGAGATCGAGACCATCCTGGCTAACACGGTGAAACCCCGTCTCTACTAAAAATACAAAAAATTAGCCAGGCGTGGTGGCGGGCGCCTGTAGTCCCAGCCACTCGGGAGGCTGAGGCAGGAGAATGGTGTGAACCCGGGAGGCGGAGCTTGCAGTGAGCCGAGATCGCGGCACTGCACTCCAGCCTGGGGGACAGAGGGAGACTCCCTCTCGAAAAAAAAAGAAAAGAAAAAAACCCAATAGAAAAATGAACCAGAGATACAAATTAGTCGTTTAAATGAAATAAAATAATTCTGATCAATACTTCAAGATGCATATTAAAATATATATTAATTTTACCTATAAGATTGATAAAAATGTAATAGATTAACCATATCCAGTTTAAATGAAGACGTGTGAAAACAGGCACTTTGCTGTACTATTGATGGGTACAATAATAGAAATAGCATTTCCTGAAGAGGAATTTGTCAATGTTGATCAAAATTTTAAGTTCATGTGATGCTTTGACTCTACAATTCCATGGATAAAAGGTTAATTACAGTTCGGGCGCAGTGGCTCACGCCTGTAATCCCAGCACTTTGGGAGGCCGAGGCGGGTGTATCACCTGAGATCAGGAGTTCAAGACCAGCCTGGCCAACATGGTGAAACCCCGTCTCTACTAAAAATACAAAAATTAGTCAGGCATGGTGACGCATGACTGTAATCCCAGCTACTCGGGAGGCTGAGGCAGGAGAATAGCTTGAACCTAGGAGGCGGAGGTTGCAGTGAGCCGAGATCCTGCCATTATACTGCAGCCTGGACCACAAGAGCGGAACTCTATTAAAAAAAAAATAGTAAAGTAATTATAGCATTCTTATAATCATAAATAGTGAGTAATATGCAAGTGGTTAAGAAAATTAAGGAAAACACATACTATTGGCCGGACACGGTGGCTCACGCCTGTAATCCCAGCACTTTGGGAGGCTGAGGCGGGTGGATCACCTGAGGTTGGGAGTTCAAGACCAGTCTGGCCAGCATGGCAAAAACCCATCTCTACTAAGAATACAAAAATTAGCCAGGTGTGGTGGCGCAGACCTGTAATCCCAGCTACTCAGGAGGCTGAGGCAGGAGAATAGCTTGAACCCAGGAGGCGGAGGTTGCAGTGAGCCGAGATCCTGCCATTATACTCCAGTCTGGGCCAGAAGAGCGGAACTCTATTAAAAAAAAAAAAGGAAAGTAATTATAGCATTCTTATAATCATAAATAGTGAGTAATATGCAAGTGGTTAAGAAAATTAAGGAAAACACATACTATTGGCCAGACATGGTGGCTCACGCCTGTAATCCCAGCACTTTAGGAGGCTGAGGCAGGTGGATCGCCTGAGGTTGGGAGTTCAAGACCAGTCTGGCCAGCATGGCAAAAACCCATCTCTACTAAGAATACAAAAATTAGCCAGGCGTGGTGGCGCACACCTGTAATCCCAGCTACTTGGGAAGCTGAGGCAGGAGAATCGCTTGAACCCAGGAGGCAGAGGTTGCAGTGAGCCAAGATCGCGCCATTGCACTACAGCCTGGGCAACAGAGCAAGACTCCATCTCAAAAAACAAAAACAAAAGCAAAAACAAAAACAAAAACACATACTATGGAATATTTATGGAGTTGTCAAGAAAAGAATAAGAGCTTTAAATACAAACATAGAAGGATGGCCAAAATACATGATGTGCAACAAAAGTTACCTGGTAAGAGAATGTGTGTAATTTTATGTTTGTATATGTATTTTTAAAAAGTCTTAGATAACCAGAAAACTCTTAACAATGGTTGCTTTGAGGTGGGGTAGGAGGGAAGGTACCATGTTTGTAACTCTGTGTTCCAAATGTAACTTTCTCTGATATTCTAGGAGGCTACAATTTTTATTGCCTGCTTTTCATATTGTAAATTCAGCACAGAAAAATTTTAAAGCAAAATTTAAACTCTGTTTAAGAGAACTGTTTTGTTTTTCTATGTTCCTTTTCCCCCACTTCATATATTATTTGACTAATACATCTGTGCCATGCATCCTACTGGACAACTGCAATGCTGCAATGCATAGGCAAGCACACTCTTATACACACACACGTCCCTGGTCTCACAGAGCAAACACCCTCCCCAACCCCAGCCACACTCCCACACTAATGCCTCTGCTCTTACAGAGTTAACAGACTTTATCTGTGTACATATATTTGTTTACATTGCTGTTACATAGAACTTATGCCTACTATTATTTTGTGTAACATAGTATTTTATTATCTGAATTTAGTAATGATTACACTGAATATGCCATCAAAGAGAAGTCTCAAAATATATATAATTATTCCCCTATAGTTGGGCATTTGGGGTATGTACACCTTTCCCCTTTAATGGATCTGTAATCTAGTGAGTTGTTAGTGTCTACACATAAATCGTTGAGGATGCTAAGAAGAAAATTAGGGATGGGATCCCAGAGATGTTTCCTACAAATCCTCTTACCACACAGACAGACCCTAGTGAAGAAACAGCTATGTTAATACCTTCTGCTTCTTGTGTACCTCCTATAAGCCAAACACTTTGCATTTGCATCTCTTTTAATTGTCACAGTAACAGTACAGTACTAGTATCCTTATTTTACCAGTGAGAAAAGAGAATTCAGAAAGATTTTGTAAGGAGGAAATGACTCACCATCACTTCAAAAAGTCTCCTCTTATTAGTGCCTCCTTCAACTCAGGAACTTGATTAATGCTTACATAATCATCACATTTAATCTTCCTACAACTCCAGTCAGATACCTATCCTTATCTCAAATTTATATCTGAGGGAATTCAAAGAAAATAAAATATTAGGTTCATATCAGAGACTCTTCCTATGAGACACTCTTAGCAAGGGTATTGGGCAACATGAAGTGGTGATGCCATCTCACTGTGAGACTCCCACCCCACCCGCAATACAGGGTTGAGGCCTCTGTTGCAGGTTTTTCTTGATTTTCGTTACTGGATAGCCTCAGTCCTTCTTAGGTGAGATCATGCTGTTCTTCTTCCTTCATATATACCTAAGACTACTTTTTCCATTTTGGTTGAAACCAGAGAGATTATAAAAACACAGAATCACAGGCTGCTGAGGCACTTGATGTGAGGAGCACAAAGACAAAGAGGTGGCAAGGTGAGTTTAATGCAGAGGCTGAAAATACATTTATCTTTGACATTGTGTAGTGATAAGATCACCCCTGAAGAGAAGCTTCTGTTCCTTACACAAACACAATCCACCAAAGAGAGTTCAAAACTGCTTCCCTGCAATGTCTGGAATTTTGGCGTTCAACCTATACACATTCATTTATTAAAGAACAGTCTTGTCACTCATTTCAGTTGTGCCTAAAGATAGAGACAGATCCTCAGGCTATTTCACTTCCCCAGAGATAGGAGAGGTTGTGGGCATAAAATTTTAAGTTAAAAGATTTGAGTTAGAATCATGGATCTGCTTGTGATTAGGCTTTGGCAACTTATTACAGCTCTGAACCAGTTTTGTCAAAGCGAACATTAGGTTTTTCAAAAAAAAAAATCATTGTGAAGATTAAATACAGTTATTTAGCATAGGTGGCTATCATCATTCATCATCATCATCATCATCATCATTATTTTACAAGTCAAAAAAACTGTATATCTTCCATCTTGGGTTATGTGGTCCATTCTTTCTAATCCCCATATTTGGAATTACTCTCAGACATTAACTCATTTCTCATTTCCCCCGATTTCCTTGGGGTGTGCCCCAGTTCTCAGGGTCTATTTCTAGCCTTCAGACCCCATTACTTTCCAAGCTGCCAAGTGACATCCTGGGTGACAATGCTTCTGTTGTGCACCATCAGGGCCAATCTGAGCAAACCTCCCTTTCGTGGTACATTGACTTTGGCCAGTACCAAGAAAAGCTTTGGCCAGTACCAAGAAAGCTTCTAAGATTCCAAAAAAAGCTTTTCTGACTCCTGTAACCTAAACCTTTAACCTTCCAACTCTGCGTTTTCAAGCTTTCTCCCAACTTCATTGTCATTCATTTATTTTTGCGCAAAGAGTGATTTGCATGAAAATTTTGGGGGAATTATAACGTGCTATAGAAACATTGAAATTGCTATTATTTCTGTCTTCCAGCCAGCTGCTAGTAAATTCTTAGCATTAAATTATAATCATCAAAACTAAAAGCATGAAAAACCTCATTTACATTTTGATTTATTCTACATTTTTACATCTACAGCATACAGAGGTACCCTTTTTTATGTTTTGGGGGAGAGGGCTTTACAATCTCATCTTTATTGTAAAGCACTTTTTCAAACATGGTAGGACCTAATGCAGTCTGTCTCTCAATTCAGTAAAGCCTTCCTACATAAGGAAAACCAGGAATAAAGTTGGGCTTATTTAAGATGAATTAGATGTATTTAATTCTTTATCAAGAAAAGCAGTTTTATTGGTTTCAATTAATAATCTCAAATTTATTAATCAAGTGTTGACAATCTACAATATTTGGAAAATTGTTTTGATAAAAAGATACATAATTTATAATTTATTATGAGGCATTTCTTTGCAAGCAATTGCTTATTATATGTTCAAACCCTTTTTATGGGTCAAATAATGTCACAGTAATGTTATTTAAATTGTGTTTTGCTCTGCTACCTCATAGATACATTGAGTCAGTTGATAAATATTTGTCTTGCATATTAATAATAAATGTCAAGCAATCCTATGAAACATGAAGAAAGAATATGAACAGCCACTTAACATGAGAAGTAATAGAAATAATCAATAAACACTTTAAGAATGCTTACAGTTTGAATAAGAAGGAAAATTAAAATGAGGCCTTGATAAATGTATCATATTGCTGCTGCAGTGTTGGATCCTGTAGTCCCCGTTATTTGAGAGGCTGAGGTGGGAGGATCACTTGAGCTCAGGAGTTTGAAGCCAGCCTAAGCAACACAGCAAGACTCTGTCTCTAAAAAAAAAAAAAAAAAAAGAAAAAAAAGAAAAAAATTATATTGCCCAAAATGTAAAAGATTCATAAAGATTCATGACACCCAATGTTAACCATAATTTGAGGTAGCACTGTTCAATAGAACTTTCTGTGATGATGGAACTTTCTGTATCTGTGTTGTTAATTATGGTGACCAAAAACTACATGTAGCTAGCTATTGGTCAGTTAAAATATTGCCAGCTAAGTGTGGTGGCTCACAACTGTAATCCTAGCATTTTGGGAGGCCCAGGTGGGAGGACTGCTTAAGGTCAGGAGTGTGAGACCAGCCTGGGCAACACAGTGACCTTATCTCTAAAAAAAAGAAAAAGAAAAAAAATTAGCTAGGTGTGGCAGCAGGCACCTGTAGCTCCAGCTACTCTGAAAGCTGAGGTGGGAGGATCTCTTGAGCCTAGGAGTTTGAGGCTGCAGTGAGCCATGATCACGCCACATCACTACAGAGTCTGGGTGACAGGGCAAGATCCTATATGGAAATAAATAAATAAATATTGCCAATGTTACTAAAAATTGAATTTTTAATTTTTTAAAATTTAAATTTAAATAGCTACATATGGCTAGTGGCTTCTGTGTTGAACAGCACTGGTTTGAGAAAATAGGCAGTTCAATAAACCTTTTATAGTGGTATAAACTTATATACCCCTTTTAGAAAATAATTTGAAAAAATGTATTGAAAAAGCGTGCGTATTTTGACTTAGCAGTACTGACATTGGCAACCTGTAGTACAATAATACTTGAAAGTGTTCAAGAACTCAAATAATAATGTCAGCATAATTTGTGAGAATTAATAATTCGAAACCAATTAAATACCTTAAATAATCATTAATAAAAAAGAAGTTAAATAAATTGTCATATCTTCATACTATGCCATTTTGTACAGATATTTTTAAAAGTATATGTTAGATCTTCCAATACTGACTTGAAAAGCTATCCATGACAGTCTGAGTGAAAAAATAATTATATAGTCAAAGTATACATAGTATGGTAAATCAATTTTCCAAAGGGAAAAATAAAAAGTTTGTGCATGTGTATTTGTCTATTCATAAAGACAAACCCACCAAAGGGTGGGTTTATATACTGAAGTGTTGCTTGTATATTCTGAAAGCATATTTTCTTCTTGAAATTAAAAAATCTATATAAATATGTTAATTTCTTATTTTACACTCACTAGACCTTAGCCAGGATTCAAATTATGCAAAACTTGTATTCTATCTTTTAAGATTTTACAATTTTATAGAAAAATAGACAAAATATTTCATAAACAATTGTGAACATTAGAATGTTGACTACACCAACATAAGAAAGGGAGAGGATACATGACTCTACATTTAATCTCAATTTGGAATGGTGTTGCTAAGGGTAGTTGCAATGTTTGTGCGGAAGTGTGGGTGAATGATAGGTGCAGAATCAGCTGCCTTTCAATGCCAAGATCACGTGGTATTCATTCTGTACGGAGACCCACAGGAGTTGCTAACCAAGTGCAGCCTTTTGCTGATAGGGATCTCTTTTAAGCTTTTCTCAGGTCTTGGATCAAAGGAAGCAATCTTTCTAAACTATAAATTTGATCTCACTTTGTCTTTCTCTTACTTAAAAAAAAAAAAAAAAAAGCTTTAGAAGTCTCCACACTGTTTTCAGAATACTGTCAAGTCCAAACTCCTTAGCTTCTTGTGCCAAGACCTTCACAATCTGTCCCCAGTTTAATTTTTCCACCTTTATTTTGCACTACTTCCCATTCACTTTCCTCTCACAACACGTTACTCATTTTTTCCTGAACTTTGACAAGCACTTTTAAACTTTCATGTCTTTTTTCACACAGTTTTCTCACTAATGCCTTTAATTACACCCCTCTGTCCTTATCTACCTGCTGTACTCAAGGCCTAGCTTAATGTCACCTCTTTGAATCCCTCCTTGATTCCCATAGGCAAAATTAATTTCTCCCATGCCCTCTGTTTTCTGAAAGTCTCAGTAATTACTTCTATCTTAGAAACAATGTTTACACGTCAAATTAAAGTTAATCAAATTAAAGTTAATTATTTGCATTACTCATTATCATTTTTCCCAATTAATGATGAATTGCTGGTATCATGTCTTATTCATCTCTGCATGAAGTAATGCATGTATAACCCGGCAACCTGGCGTCCAATAAGCCCTTGATATATGGAGCTATTATTTTGTTGTTTATATTAGTGGTGCCACCTCAAATGTATATTACAAGACTTGGCATAGCACATACTTTAAAGACTTCTCTGTCAGCTAAACCCTGGTTGAAAACAGTACTGTGACGTTGCTCACCCCTGTGCTTTTGGGAACCCTAAAGTCTTTATCTTCCCTACTTTTAGCATATCATGCTGCTAATTATCTTTATATCTTCATTTAGTTTGTCATTTGTTCCAGAAATACTTATTTAACACCCATTATAAACCAGATAGTTTGCTAGACACTGAGGATATAGAATTAAATAAGATGAAAATTATTTCTGCCTTCCTGAAGCTTATCATCTAGCAGGGAAAATAATAATTAAACACAAGACTATGTAATTAAAATTTCATATCTGTTCTGCAGGAAAATCATAGGGCATTGTGAATAATTATTTTAAAAAGCTCTGACTTCATCATATGGGTTAAAGAAATCTCCTTGAGGAAGTAATATTTAGGCTGATATCCAAATAATGGGCAAAAATTAAGTAGAAAAAAATGACCAGGGATGGTGATGGAGGTGGGAAGATGGGAAAGAATTTCAGACAAAGAGAACTAAACCCAGAAAAGTAGTCAGCATGTTTTATAGAGCCAAGTTGTTCAATAATGAGTATAACTGTAATTCTCAGTGGTACGTAAATCCTGGCCTTTTGCTCAGTATTCCCGGACCTGAAACCTATTTTCAATATTTCCCTTCAAACCTATGCCTGATCCCCATGGACCATGTTCCTACTCAGACTCTTCTTTCTGGTTGCAATGTTCCATCTCTCAGTTTCAAATTTTACCCATCCTTCCAGAGCCAATTCTAATCCTGAGGTTCTATCTTATCCAGCTCACCTGGCAACAATGACACTTTCCTCTCTATCATTTCCATGTCACTTTATTTCCATCTATCTCACTATCTATATCTATATATGCAATTCATATTTGATTTGTCTCTACACCCCCTTCTTGAAAAGAGGTCTGGCAGAATCCCTGTACCAAGTACATATTTAATATATTTTTATTGAATAAAAATGGCTTTTAATGAGTCATGTGTGACACTGATGAAGTAACTAAGAGGGGGCATCAAATGTCTACAGAGTTTAAAAAGCGAAACTATTCAGTCAAACGTTTGTTTAGTTAGAAGTTGAATGTGCATTTATCACATGTATTGTTGGAGGCCAGTTAGCTCAGTTGGTTAGAGTGTGGTGCTAATACCATGTGTAGCATGTAAGGTTGCAAACTTTGCAAACAAGGAAGCATGAGAAAATCGACACAATTCTTGCAACCACAGTTGGAAATCAAGAGCACAGACGTGTAGCCTAGTACTTCAGTGTTTCCCTACTACTACCCCTTCCTCCACACACATATTATGACAAAGACATTTACTTCTATTAGTTTTTAAATAAAAATTCTAAAATTAACCTAGCTCTCTCCCTCTGAGTACCTTCAGAAATCTATGGTTTGTGGAAGCCATGACACTATTTTCTTGTGCAAGGTTAGCATAATTCAGAAGGACAAGTACAGTCTCCTCCTTTAGCTCTGAGGCTGAGAGAGGCATGTATGTCTCTGGGTTATGGGACCAACCTCTTTCTCCTGAGTCTACTTAAAAAGAAATATTGAAAGATCTCACTCTATCATTATCTTCCCCTTGAAGCATCAGTACATCTTCCTTCTGACATGAAACTTTATTTTTCTTTGGGCAAATTGAGGGACTCACATCTCTCTTAATTTCAAACCTTTGGGATAAGATAGCTATGTTGTCCAGAGCTCTGGGTTGGTCAATAATGATCTTGGAGAGTAAGGACTTAGTGTTTTCAAAATTTGGTGTCTGCAGAGGTTCCTTTGCTGTACATTGAGAAAAAACCCTAATCTATGGTCACAGAATGAACTGCTAACCTTGGCTGGGCATCTTATAAATGTGGGCCTTTGGTCATAAGTGTGCAAAACAGGAAAACTATTGATCATGTATCAGTGGCCCCTTTTTTACCTGGAAAGGATATACAGTGTGTAGAATTTTTAAAATGGGGAAGAATTTCTTCCCCAACTCCACCACAACCTGTCGTAGGAAATTCTATGCCAAGGTGTTTTCATCTCTCTTTAAGTACAGTAAAATAAAAAAATTTAAAATGAAAATAATGCGAATGGGCCAGGCATGGTGGCTCATGCCTGTAATCTCAGGACTTGGAAAGGCTGAGGCTGATAGATCACTTGAGGTCAGGAGTTCAAGACCCGCCTGGTCAACATGGTGAAAACCCATCTCTACTAAAAATACAAAAAATTAGCCACGTGTGGTGGCACAAACCTGTCATCCCAGCTACTCGGGAGGCTGAGGCAGGAGAATTGCTTGAACCTGGGAGGCAGAGGTTGCAGTGAGCCAAGATTGTGCCACTGCCCTCCAGCCTGGGTAACAGAGCAAGACTCTGTAAAAAAAAAAAAAAAAAAAAAAAAAAAGAAAGAAAGAGAGAGAGAGAGAAAGAGAATGAACGAACATAATGTGGATGGAGCAAAAATGATTGAAGTAATTCTATTGAACTCTTCAAATTACACTGACAGCTACTGGTTAAAGAACCCAATTGATTAATATTGATTCCTTAAGGATTCAGTCAGCTGAATCATAGGAGTACATAAAAAAGAAATTTTCTCAACAGAGGAAACTTCACTTGATCATGAGAACAGGAAATATGTTAGTCTCAGGTTCAGATTGCACCAAATGGTTTATATTCTCATCGAAACTGACTCTGAACCAGCTAGCTTTGCTCTCTCCTGCCTCCAAGTTCTTTTTCTTTGCAGGATTAGGCACATTTGCTTTTCTGATTCTGCAGCTTTTTCTAAACCAGAGGCAAGAATAATCTCAGTGCCAGATAAAGGAGATATAATTTCAGTGTAATGTCGCTCTGTTCTTTTTTATTTTCCAAGAATGTTATGCACATTGTCAAATGTGACTGAAATGTGAGGGTTGCTCATATTTTACTGGTGTTTTTCTAGAGATGGAGGCTTGGAGGAAGAAGAGTCTGTAATCCATAGCACCCTGAGAAAACATCTCTTCTCTTGTCTGTCTTCTCTCTAGCTACACGTGCCTTCAGAGCAGGGAATTTAGTAACTCTCACTACTACATCTCCAACACCTCTCTTATAGTCTAGAATGACAGTGAATGTCTCTGGAATAAAAAAAAAAACTTTGCAGAATAGGAAGATTAGTTTAGAAACCTGGAGAAGTTTTGCAAGATTAAAAAAAAAAAAAAAGACCTCAAGGGGACATGAATGCCATCCATTAGTTTCTTAAGACTACACAATTGGACGTGAAAAAAAGACTTCTCAGTGTTATAGACAGCAGAGAGCAAAGTCCAGAGTCAGAACCCACAAGTTTGTGGAAAAAAATATTTCTCCTCCAAAGGTCTAGTGCTTTTAAAAATTATCTTGAAGACTCGTGTAGTAGCTACATCTGCTAATGTGAGTTGAGTATTTTCAGAAGATTAAAAGGAAGTTGGCATTAAATTGTGATTACTATCATTCCTTTTCAAGTACACAGGTTATGCCATGCATTTTATGACACCGCAGGCTCATTTGCCCTGTGAACCTCTCTCTAACCTCCTCTCCAGTTGAGAATAACTAATTATTCTGCATTAGGAGAGTACTTTGTACATCTCTTGGCATAGCACTGCCACACTGAAACATATTTTATTTGCACCAGATTGACAGCCTTCATGAAAAAGGAAATAAACAAAAACTAAGGATTGAGTTACTATGTCAGACACAGTACTGGATTTTCTTTAGCATTCTGTACTTTTCTTTATTGTTAGACTAGCTTGAGGACATTGGTATTATTTTCCCCATTTTTCAGATTAAAAAAAACAAACTAAAGAGAGATGAACAGAAACTGACCATATGCCACACGTATAGTAAGCGCTGTTCCCAAGATTAGAACCCAGATCTGACTGAGAAGAGATCTCAAGCCCATTTAACTCCACCACACTTAAAGGCAGAGGAGCATAGTAGCATTGGTTCTAGAATCAGATTGCCTGGGTTTGTATCTCAACTTTGTCTCTCACAGACTACCTAATTTTTATGAATCTCTACTGTGGTTAAATGTACTATAAATGAAAAAAGTAATAAGTACACAACACATAGGATTGTTGTGAGGATTAAGTAAAGCAATACTTATTAATCATTTAGAAGGGTTCCTGAGACATGGTAAGTGTTGAGTAAAGGTTAACTATTTTTGAGAACAGATAATAGATCATTTTCTTTTGTATCGATAGAACTTAGCATGGTCCATAATTCGATGTTAGGCAGTTAGTAAAGCTTGAAATAATGATTGCGGATTTTAACTATATGTTGATGAAGAGGCAGAATTAAGAAAACGTACTAGAGTTTTCTGGAAAATATTTCATAGTTCATACAATTCAGGAAATGTAGTGTGGGGTACCCTTATTACTCGTGGATACTCCCACAGTCGTTTTTCACCTGTATTTTTTCAAAGCGCAAGCTTTTGAATGTCAGTTAATAAATGTGGAAATGATAATGAAATTAGAAAAATGTGTGACCTTAATCACAATGATTTTCAGGCAAGAATTACCAACTGATGCTAAAATTGGTAGATGAGGATGTCCATTTCTGCTTAAGATGTAGAATGTGACAAGAGAATGTCTTTCCCTTCTTAACAATGAGAAAAAGTTAGAAAATCTACAAAATCATAAAAAATTTTTTGAAATCATAAGAGAGCTGACATTGCAAGGCAAACCAACTGAATTCCAATGAATGGCATACTACTCTGAAAAGGGATGGGACAAAAGAACTATTTCATTTCTGACAGAACATAAGAGGAAAAAATATTGCTGTCCTAAAAGCAGGTACAATGTTAAAAATCAGTTACAATGTTACCAAATTCTTTAAAGCAATGTGTAGGATAGCTTATTCATGACCATGAGAACCTAAACACAAAAGGAGTTGATCCTAACTCACATGTTCTTTTCCACAGGCTTCCAGAGGTGTTCATGCAGAAGACTGGATGCAGGACCCTTGGTGGCACCAGTGTGCAGATGAGCAGATAGTGACTGATTGCCACTGGGGTAAGTTGGAAATTACCACTCACTTCTCTGGATTCATGTCTCAAATAAAACAAATTACTAAGCCACTGAGAAAGAGGCAACAACCCCTCCAACATTAAGGGCCAGAAAAAGGTCCTCTGCTTATATGAAAGTGATAACATAAAAGGTAGGAAAACCTTCTTTCTCCAGGACCCAGAAAAAGACCCATTCCTTCTGGGAGAAGGGTAGAATTAAAATATCTCTACCTCTTGGAAATTTGAAAGAAAACTTTTGGGCCCAGGTTCCTGGACTGATACAAAGCAGAGGTCTGCTACAACTGGAGTATGGGCAGGATCCAGGGGGAAAAGGGGAGCAGGAATGCTGAAAAGCCAAAGCTTCAAGGCCCGGGTGTATAGGATCTGCCTAAGACTGAGACTGGGTCATTAGAGCCAAGAATCTCATCTTCTCTCCAAGAGCTTCAAACTGAGTAACCAGCAATAATAGTCTACCAACTGGGACCAGGACAAAGGATGGTAAGAGATTCTCTCTGTGGTAGAGAATGGCTGAAAGCAGGGGATGGATCAGCAATACTGAAAAAAACGTTCTGGTACCCAAGGAACCACTCTAAGCACAATGTACATATTCTATCACTGGAGGAATTGGAAGTGTGTGGTACACTTCAGGTAACAATAGCAAAAACAATTACCAAATCTAGTCTAACTACTAACTAGATTGACTCAACTCAGAAGTAGAGGTACACACATTTCCAAGAGTAAATACTATTTACTTTTGTATCTGCTGTTTTTCCACATACAATTACCAGTATTTAGTAACAATTATGTTCTGTACCCACAAAAGCAAGAAAGAATGACCCCATTGTCAAGAATAAGAAGCAAGAATCCCAGCACTCTGGGAGGCCAAGGCGGGCGGATCATGAGGTCCGGAGATCAAGACCATCTTGGCTAACATGGTGAAACCCCGTCTCTACTAAAAAATACAAAAAATTAGCCGGGCGTGGTGGCAGGTGCCTGTAGTCCCAGCTACTCGGGAGGCTGAGGCAAGAGAATGGTGTGAACCTGGGAGGCGGAGCTTGCAGTGAGCCAATATAGCACCACTGTACTCCAGCCTGGGTGACAGAGTGAGACTCCATCTCAAAAAACAAACAAACAAACAAACAAAAAAAAAAAAAAGAAGCAAGAAAAATCAGATTCAGAGTTGAGTCTGATAGCTGAAACTATAGTTGAAACTCTCCGACTGGAACATTTAAATAACTATGATTAATATAATAAAGGACCTAAAGAAAAAGGAGAATGACATGCACAAAGAGATGAATTTCAGCATAGAGATAGAAACAATAAATATAATCAAGTGGAATTGCTAGAAATTAAAAAAAGATAAGGGAAATAACATTGAATATTTATAATCAGACTGCATGCAGCTGAGAAAAAAAGTAAACTGGAAGATGTCCATAGAAATTATTCAAACTGAAACATAAAAATAAAAAAGATTGATAAGGCCAGTATACAAAAATGCATGGTAATTTTACATACTAGCAAGGATAATTTAGAAATTATTATTATTTTCCTTTTGTTATGGGAGATGAGATGCTATTTCTTTGAAGGCCCCTTCTCTTCTTTAGCTCTTGATTCCACTCTTTTATATTTTCACGAATCCTCTAATCTTCGTGTGTTTCTGTCTCTCTCATCAGCTATTTTACTCTTTATTAAATTATTTGCTTTATCATTTAGACTCTCTAGTAGTTATATAAAAAGAAGCACAAATAAACCTCTTTGACTCCCTGTCTCTCCGCCACCTGCCACCCACCTCACTCCCTCCTCAACATACACCTACCCTGGTCTTTGTTCCCATTACTACCCTCAATCAGCTCTAGTCAAGAGAACAAGTATAGTGGTTACTTCTCTACCATTGACTTAGCCTATTAAGAACTCTTGACCAGCAGTCACTCCTGCTTTCTTGAAACATTTATTTATTCTGCCTTCCTTAACACCGCACATTTCTTTTTCTGCCTCACTGAGACCTCATTCTGTCTCCTTTTCTGGCTTAAATTATCGTATTCAATGTCTAACTGTTGATGTACTTTAGGGTTGAGTCTCAGATTCTTTCTGTTGCCTTCTTACATTTTTTCCTATAGAAAAGATCCTCCAGTAATAGGGTTTTAAGTACTACTTGTATGCTGATGTCTTCCAAATTTCCATCTGGACATCTTTTGTGAGCTCCAGCCTTGCATACACAACTAAATTCATGACATTTTCACTTTGAATATCAATAGGCATTTCAAATTTATCATTTCCAAAAAAGAACTGTTAACTCTCATCCACCTTCAGCAAATCTATTTCTCCCATAAACTCCCTCATCTCAGTAGAAGATACCATTATCTGCTCAGTTGCTCAAGCCAAAAACTTAGGAGTTGTTTTTGATTGCTTTCTTCTGCTCACTTCCCATGCCCAATGCAGCAGCAAGTGACATCATTTGTACCTCTCAAGTATATTCTGAATCTTTCCTTTTGCAGCATGTCTATGTGCATCCAAGCCATTTGGATTATCATATTAGCATCCTAACTGGTCTTTGTGCTTCAACTCCTGCTTTTCTAAACTCCATCCTCACAGAGCAGCCAATGTACTTTTAAATATATATATATGTGTGTGTGTTATATATATGTGTGCGTGTATAGGTATATATGTATTATATATATGTGTGTGTGTATATGTATATATATACACATATAATACACATACACATATATATATACACATACATATATTTTACATATATATATATATTTCCTACCGTGGTCTATATGGCTTCTGACCACCTCTCTGATCATAACTTCTTTCACTTTTCCTCTTACTCACTGTTTTTCAACAACACTGTGTTTTTTTCTTGAACAGAAAGAGAACTTGCTCCTGCTAGTTCCTTTTCATTCATATGGAAGCCTAAGCATTTTATCCCCAGGAGGGCTTCCCTGACTATTGTAGTTAGCATCCTACTGCTTCATTAATACAGTTCTAGCTATTCTCCATATTCTTATGAGGAGGTGAGTAGAGACAGCAAGATGGGCATGGGAAAAAAGCTAACAAAATATTGTCTCAGATTGAGACTAGCTTCATTCTAATTTCACAGAATCTCTGGAGAAAAGTCTGCTACAGTGTAAATATCCCCTTGGAGTAAGGCAGTGGCCTTTGGTACTCCTCCATCAGTCATTTTTTTTTTTGGGTTTTTTTTTTTTTTTGCCAAGGTCCAAGGGATGGACAGTGAGGTTAGCTGACCTCCTGAGCAACGAGGCTGCCATTGACCAAGGACAGTTCTTTACAGAAGGGAGAAACTGTGGGTGGTAGACAACACTGCTACTTCCAGCAACTGGAGGGGTCAGGGCAGTGGGTAGCAAAGAGAATATTGGCAGGACATCAACAGCCTCTATTATACAATGTTCATCTTTGGGGTTTGTTCAGCTTTTTAAATATGTAGGTTTGTGTCTTTTGCCACATTTGGGACATTTTTAGCCATTATTTCTTTGAGTATTTTTTAGCCTATCTTTTTTTAACTTTTTTATTGTGGCCAACTTAGTCTAATATAGCTACCATTTTTTCCCCTCTTCTTTTGAACTGAATTAAATTTTAGGTGGAAAGATGGGTATAGGATTTGAATAACATAGTTTCAAAAATTCTTTTTAATTCTAAAATTTTATAATTTTGTAATTGTAACAATATCATCTAAGTTTATTCATGGTAATTAATCATAATACTGACACAGATTTTATTTCACTTTTCTAAGCATTTGATTTACATTATGATACATAGTCAAGTAGTGAGACTTGATTATGCTTTTCAGAATTCATTAGATCTGTAGAAATTATATCCAGGTCTGCAATCACACTGACCCACCCTCAATCATCTTGTTTACATTCTATTCTACCCTAGTCAACTCTAGCTGTAATAAGCCTACTGGAACTTTAACATCGCATCTTCTGCGATTGCTTTCCTTACCATTGTAAGCTAAAATTACTCCTCTCTTTACTCTAGAAAATGATAGTACTTAGCACATTACACAATGATGTCATTAATTTTGTATAGCTAAGGATGATCTCAGTGCCCAAGATTTTCTAGTAGTTAAATATTTTCTCATCTCAAACACATTCAGAGTTCCTTCTGACTTTTACAAGTCTTACCCCCATTAAACTCATTTAAATCTACAAAAAAACTGGAAAATAAAGACAAAATCTATTTATCTTCTCATTATTTTCCCTTTCATTTCTGTCAGCTCTGGAAATAAACTGGTTTTGCCTTTACATCTAATTTTTTTAATTTTATGCAGGCTGAAAAGGAATTTATTTGTTCAAGCAAATAATGTCATCAACTTATAATGAAAGAATGTATACTGTTTTCAACTGGCTGGAGATTGATATTCCTATTTAGAAAAACACTTACTATAGCATGACAATAAGATGTATGGAAAATAAAAGTCTAAATAAATTGCTTGGAACAAATAGACTTGGAACAAAAGCAAAGGTTGTTGGCTCAGATTGCTGGGCAATACATGAGACCAATGTTTCACAAACTCTGTGTTTCTCCAGCTGTTAATAGATTTCCCCTGAAATGAACAGTTAATTTCCTGGTCAAATACATTGGAGGAAATGCTGTATAGTGTGATTTAAAAGATAAATTAACCATTTAAAAATGTTCAGAAGTCCTACTGAAAAGAAATCCATTATTCTTAAACACTTATGCAAACATCTCTCAGTTCACTAATAATTTCAGATCAGCCAGGAAACTTTTGACTTGGACTATTATACAGTTATTCCCAAGTATATGTTCTCTTGTATTAGTTGATTCTGTCAGTCAGTGTTTGGTTGCAGAGTACTGACTCTACTGTAGATAATTCTAGGAGAAATAAATTATAAATGTGTGCTAAATGGCTAACAGAATTTGGGGAATAAATGAAATAACAGACTTTTAGGCAGAACTTCCAAAAATCACTTGGAAAACCACATAACAGAACTGTGTCTCTAAGGGTTTTTCTCTTTCCATCATAATCAGGAATCTGATTATTGAATTGAGAAGCTGCTGCTACAGAAAGTTCCATACCCTCTCTGTTTTGTTGTGACCCACACCAGCAAAATAGAGGTCTCACACCTGGCCTTTCTATGTACTTAAAACAATTTAAATTCAGATTTCACTCTTGTGCATCTGATTGGTGAAACATAAACATATCCAGAATCTCAGCTTCAAGGGAATCTGGATAATGTGATTTTCAGCTTTCCAGCCTCTGCTTCACAGTATCCTATACACCATAATCGTTTTGTCCCAACATATACTGTATTGCAAGATGCTAAGGTTTCTGATGATGCAATGGGATGAAATAATAATTCTAAAAATTCTGGCCAGGAATGATGGCTCACGCCTGTAATCCCAGTACTTTGAGAGGCCAAGGCAGATGGATCACTTGAGCTGAGGAGTTCAAGACCAGCCTGAGCAAAAGGTGAAACCCCGTCTAAAAAAATACAGAAAAGAATAGCTGAGTGTAGTAGCATCCATCTGTAGTCCCAGCTACTGGAGGGCTGAGGCGATAGGATGGCCTGATCCTGGGAGATTGAGACTGAAGTGAGCTGTGATCACACCACTGCATTGTAGCCTGTCCAGCCTTGGTGACAGAGCAAGACCCTTTCTCAAAAAAAAAAAAAAAAAAAAAAAGGAAAAAAATCTAAATAAAGCTAGTTTCATAAAGTTTCATGAAGCCAGAGATTTATTATATGAGCCTAATTTAATGTTTGTAATAAAATGGGTACTCAAAAAACAGTGTCATTTAATGAATAAATGCATGAGATTATAGGATCACCCTGCCAACCCTGTTGTTTTCCTGAAGATGAAACAGAACTCTAAAGAGGTGAAATGACCTGCTTACATTCTCCACAGTGGAATCCATCCAAGGTCTGTTATCTTAAGTGTGTTCTCATTTTATTGTTCCATATTCTCATATTGTAATACAGTGTTTTGCCTTTTAAAAAAGATTACAAGGTGAAAGCAATGCGTAATTGTGTAATCGAAAGGAATAAAATTAAATAGAATTAACATACTAACGAGCAGTTAAAATATGCAGAATGCTATGCTAAGTATTGTAGGAAACATAAATACAATATAAATTCTTATCCTTCTAAATCATCAACAACATTAAATTCTAATAATGGACTTTCTTTCTCTATACTACCATACAGAATGTTAGAGCAACACTACACATGTAATTCCTGTAGCCAATTTTATTTACATGCTCCTAAACTTGAAGCCCACTGCTTTATGCTTCTGTTAAATAGCTTTCTTTATTATTTTAATGTTTAAAAATCTTTTGCTAATTTTACATTTACTAGTATTTTCTTCCTTAACATTATTCTCTGTAGTTATTGGCAAATGACATAAGGAAGGTTCTTACATTCATCTATATTTAGCCTTATGTAACATGGAGAGATTTTCTGTAAATTGTAATTCCATCTGTTTAAGAAGATTTCTGTTAATACCTGTATTAGTCTCCCATAATAAAATATCATAGATGGGTGGTTTAAACAACAAAAATTTATTTCTTACAGTTCTGTAGGGTGGGAAGTCCAAGATTAAGGTGCTGGCAAGGTAGGTTTCATTCTGTGGCCTCTTCTTTTGGCTTGTAGGTGATGACCATCTGGCTGTGTGCCCTCATGACTTCTTTGTGTGCATAGAGGAAACTAGATAACATTCGTAGGACTAAACAGTACCTGTGTTGCTATTGCTTCACAGTAGCAATAAGGTTTATAGTATGTATCTTTATCATGATTAATCTTTAAATGTTGTTTTTGTACTTCACATATAATGAAAGAAATTTACAGCAGAATATTTTCATATAGTTTCTCTAATACTTTGTGGTACTGTTATAAATGTTTATTATAATCTTCAGAACAGCTGCTAAGAAACTTAAAGTTATAGCTAATGAACTAATAATGGAGATAATATGAATATCATACTACCTTATATGTAGAAAATCATAAAGACCACCAAAAACTGTTAAAGCCGATAAATGAATTCAGTAAAGTTGCAGAATACAGAATTAACCTAAAAAACTCAGTAACATTTTTAGGCAGTAACAATGAACTATCCACAAAGAAAATTAGGAAAACTATCTCATTTATGATAGCATCAAAAAGACTAAAACAATTAGGAATAAACTTAACCAAGGAAGTGAAAGACTTACACACAGAAAACAACAAAGTATTAATGAAAGAGATTAAAGGCACAAACAAATGGGAACATATCCCATGTTTATGGATTGGAAGACTTAATATTGTTAAAATGCCCATTCTACCCAAAGCAATCTGTAGATTTCATGCTATTGCCATCAAAATCCCAATGGCATTTGTTAGAGAAATAGAGAAAACAATTTTAAAATTCATATGGAACCACAAAAGACCCAGAATAGCCAAAGCACCCTGGAGTAGAAAGAATAAAGCTAGAGTTATCATACTTCCTGATTTCAAAATATATTACACAACTACAGTAATTAAAACTCTATGGTACTGACATACAGACAGTTATATAAGACCAATTGAACAGAATATAGAGCCAAGAATTAAACCGACACGTATGTGGTTAACAGATATTTGAAAGAGTACCAATAATACACAATGGAGAAAAAATAGTCTTCTTAACAAATTGTGTTGGGAAAACTGGGTGTCAACAAGCAAAATAATGAAATAGGCTTTCTATCTTACACTGTACACAGAAATAAACTAAAAATGGAGTAAAGACTTAAATGTAAGATCTGAAACTGTGTAACTCCTGAAAGAAAACACAGGGAGAAATCTCCATGACATTGGTCCTGACAATGATTCCTGGCTATGACACCAAAAGCACAAGAAATAAAAGCAAAAATAGACAAGTGAGACTATATGAAACAAAAGGTTGTCTGCACAAGAAAGGAAACAATCAACAGAGTAAAGAGGTGACCTACAGAATGAGAGAAAATATTTGCAAGCCATGTATAAGGAGTTAGTATATAAAATATACAAGGAACTACTATAACTCAATAGCAAAAAAGTATGACTTAATTAAAATATGGTCAAAAACCTGAATAGATACTTTTTCTGATAGAGGCATACAAATAAAAGGTCAGCAGTTATCTGAATAGATGCTCAGCATCACTGACAACCAAGGAAATACAAATCAAACTGAAGTGAGATATCACCTCATACCACCAAACAAACAAAAGTTGAATTTTGGTGAGAAGGTATAATACTTGGAACCTTTTTACACTGTTGGTGAGAAAGTAAAATAATGCAGCTGCTATGGGACACAGTAGGGAGGTTCTTCAAAAAATTGAAAATAAAACTATCACATAATTTAGCAATCCTACTTCTGGGAATATACTCTAAAGAATTGAAATAAGGATCTCTAAGGGATATTTGTACTCCTGTATTTATTACATCACTCACAATGGCTAAATTATGGAAGCAACTGAAATACCTATTGAAAGATGAATGGATAGAAAACAATTGTGATTTTTTTTGCATACAGTAGAATATTATTAAGCCTTAAAAAAAAAGGAAATTCTGCCATTTGCCACAACATGGATGACCTTGAAGGACATTATGCTAAGTGAAATAAGCTAGTCACAGAAAGATAAATACTACATGATTTCACTTATATGAGGTATCTAAAATAGTCAAACTCAAAAACAGGTAGTAGAATAGTGGTTACCAAGGAGCAGGGGGACAGGGAGTTGTGGACTTGTTGTTCAATTGATATAAGGCTTTTGTTATGCAAGATGAATTAGTTCTAGAGATCTGCACTATAGAATAATAGTTATAGTTAACAATACTATATTATGCACTGAAAAATTGTTGAGGGCAAATTTTATGTTAAGTGTTTTTATCACAAAAAGGAAACCCACAACCAAACAATAAAACAATGGGACATAGGAAACTTTTGGAAATGGTGGATATGTGCATTACATTGATTGTGATGATGGTTTCATGAGCATATGCTATGTCAAAACTCATAAACTGTATACATTAAATATATACATTTTATTGTATATCAGTTATACCTCAATAATGCTATCTAAAATAAACTAACAAAAGAAGAACAAATTAAACCCAAAGTAAGAAATGGAAACAAATAATAAAGACAAGAAAATAAATGAATAAAATTAAATTGGAAAACCAATAGAAAAAACTAGTGAAACCAACAACTGCTTCTTGTCAAAATTCAATACATTTGGTAAATCTCTAACAGCAGGAGTTAGCACATTTTACTAATATCAGAAATGAAAGGACAGGAGGAAGCATAAATATATATTGTTCTAAATTTAACAGAATATAAGAAAATATTTTGAACAGCTTTATGTCAAAAACTTCACCACATAGATTAAGTGAACAAATTCTTTAAAAGAACGAAGTAACAAATTTCACCAGGAATAAATAAATAACCCATATATCCTTGTATCTACTTTACTTAGTTTATTTTTATCTTAAAGGTATGTTGAATTTTGTCAATTGTTATTTCTGCATTTAATGAAATAATCTTATGGCTTTTCTTATTCAGTCCAGTAATAGTATAGAAATTTACTGGTTGATTGATTTCAAATAGTAAACAAAACTTGAATTTTTTTTTTTTTTCTTTTTTGAGTTGGAGTCTCACTCTGTCATTCTGGCTTGAGTGCAGTATTGCCATCTGGGCTCACTGCAACCTCTGCTTCCTGGTTCTCCTGCCTTAGCCTCCTGAGTAGCTGGGATTACAGGGATGCACCACCATGCCTGGCTAATTTTTGTATTTTTAGTAGAGATAGGGTTTCACCATGTTGGCCAGGCTGATCTCCAACTCGTGACCTCAGGTGATCCACTGGCCTCAGCCTCCCAAAGTGCTGGGATTACAGGTGTGAGCCACTACGCCAGGCCCCAAACCTTGAATTCTATAGTAATCCCTTATTTGTTCATGATATATTTTCCTTTCTTAAAATACATTTCTGATTTGACTTGCTCATTTTTTTAAATTATTAATATTAATCTTTTTTTAAGAGTATCTTGTTTTGCTGCTAGAACAATGCTGGCCTCAAAAAATAAATGAGATGTGTTATCTGATATACTAATTTCAGAGTTTCAGGATAAATATGAAGAAAAACTCTAGCTCTTCACGGTCAAATGATTAAGAAAACAAAGGTAAAGGGAAAATCTTGAAGTCAATCAAAGAGAAAAGAAACAATTTCTACCAGGAAGCAGATATGAAATAGCAGACTTGGCTTCTGAAACGAGGCCAGACAGAAGACAATAAAGTTGCTTATTTGACATATGGAAAGCAAACACAGAAACAGCAACTCACCACCTACAATGATGCCCTGTGAAAACATCTTGCAAATAAGAAAGCAATGTGCTTCTCAGACGACAAAAACTGAGATAAATTATTGCCAGCCAATTTGCATGAAAAGAGATGTTACAGCAAGATCTGGCAAACTGAGCATGATATCAGATGAACTTCTGAAGGAAAACACACAGACACACTCATGTACATGCATAGACACACTCATGCACATGCATAGACACACAAAGGCATTTGGACACAGTAATAATGTGGGTAAATATAACAGACTTTAGTTTTTTATATGTCTTTAAAATATAATTGCCTTTAAAATATAATTTACAATGTGGGTGTATAGAACAGATTTAATATTTGTAAATATCTTTAATATATAATTGAAATCTCTTTAAAATAAATTTGTCCTGCTGCTTAGGTTTCTCTGAAGCTTCAGGAACTCTGGTTTATTATCTTTCATTATATTTGAAAAAGTCTTGGCCTTTATCTCTTCAAATATTTCTTCTGCTTCATTCTTTCTTCTCCTCCTGAGATTCCAAGTATGTGTATATTAAATGATTTTGTCTGGTTTCGCAACTCTTCCATGCTTCTGTTTGCCTTTTAGCTCTTTTTTTCCTCTTTGTGTTTTAATTATCTTCAAGTTATTGCTGCTTTCCATTTCTCTGACTATTCTGCTGAAAAGCCTGTTGAAGTAATTCTTCATTTCTGATATTGTGTTTTTATTTTCAGCATTTCCATTTGATTCTTTTTAAACTTTCCTCCTTCCTTCTGAATATCTCCCATCTTTTCATGCATGGATTCACCTTTTCCACTACCCGATTCCTTCAGCGTATTAGTCATTGTTATTTTAAGCTCCCTGTCTGACTGTCAACCTCTGAGGTGTCTCCATGTCTGCTTCTCTTCATTTCTTTTCTTTCTTGAGCATATGTCCTTTTACTTGCTTTATGTGTTCCATAATGTTTAGATAAATGTCAGACATTGTTAGTAAAAGGAAGAAATTGAAACTAGATGAATAAAACTGAGACGAGGTGACTAAAATTTATGCCTGGAAGTTTTCAGTTTTTTCTTCTATCAGGCAATTTGAAGGGAAGGGTTGAGTAAATCTAGTCTGTTGCTGAGCTGGTTTTGGGCTTTTCGGTTGCTAGGTTCCTTCTGTGTACCACAGACTTCAAATTCCTTTAGTGCAAACCACCACTATCTTGTGCTTAATGCATGGCCCAGAGTGCTAGAGGCTTTCTCCTAGAATTCCTGTTCCACCGTTGGCTTTCTGTAGGCCTGCACTCCTAAACCACATTGGTGGTTTCTCTCTGTGCCCTTGCCCTTCCCTTAGTGATAGGCTGGTGATGTTTGTTACTGAGAGTAAGGCGGGAGCAGAATTTTCTTGGCTCTCCTGCTGCAGCCTCAAACTTACATAGTCCCTGTCCTAGTCCCTGTCCACAGAAGCCTCAGCATTCCTTTCTATTCCCAAGTGGCAGCCAATCCCCACCTTATACTCATGCAGGGCCTAGAGTACAAAATGGGCTTCTCCAAGTGCTCCTCCTCCACCCACACACCTAGCCAGGCGCAGCATCCCATGTCACTAATGCAGCTCTTTCAGGTCTCTGTCCCCGTCCCCACCTTTCTCATGAACACGTGATGGATGCACATGGAAAACAACTAGTGAGGCCAGGTGCAGTGGCTCATGCCTGTAATTCCAGCACTTTGGGAGGCTGAGGCAGGTGGATCACCTGAGGTCAGAAGTTCCAGACCAGCCTGACCAACATGGAGAAAGTCGGTCTCTACTGAAAATACAAAATTAGCCTGGCATGGTGGCACATGCCTCTAATCCCAGCTGCTTGGGAGGCTGAGGTGGAAGAATTGCTTGAACCGAGGAGGTGGAGGTTACAGTGGGCCCAGATTGTGCCATTGCACTCCAGTCTGGGCAACAAGAGCAAAATTCTGTCTCAAAAAACAAAAAACAAAAAACAAAAACAAAAACAAAAAAAACAAACTAGTGAGGGCTACTCTGGGCACACTGCCTGTGGGGTATCCCTGCTCTGCAAGGGGCAGTGAAACAAACAAACCAGTGAGAAAGAATGGGCTTCCCATGTATCTAGGACTCCCAGGGTATTAAATTCACACTGATCTACATCTAGCTTTTAGAAATTCATTAAAATATCAGTTGTATTCTTCTAACTGCTTTTATGATGATCATCTCTTCCTTCTGTGTGCTCCCAAATGTAACATATTTCATGTGTCCCATCTCTCATCAGGAACCCATCACTCCTTAGGATTCCATTTCCTTGATTGCTTTGTGATCTCAGTTCTCTGATTGGCTCAAATACAATTACAATTTGTAGACTTTTTTCTACTTTTTCTCATTGCTTGGGTGAAAGTGATGTGATTTTTCAGGCTTCTATATCCTAACTGGCTTATCTTGAAATTTTCTTGAAGAATATAGATCATTTAATTGTAGATATCTCTCAATTTGGGTGTTTCATATGTTTGTGTGTATCAGCATGGTATATGGCATCTATTAATCACATTACTTGTGACGTTAACTTTGATTCCTTGATTGCTACATTTCCGAACTGAAAATTACATTTTTTCCACTTTTTACATAATGTTGCTATGGGGAAATACTTTGTATATTTGTAAATATCCTATATTCTCTCAAATTTTATCCACTAGCTTTAGCAAGTATTGACACATTTTGCCTGGATCAATTATTATGCTGGTTGACAACTTGTAATTTTGTAATTTTATATTTCCTTATCCATTTCGTTATCCACTGGGAGGACAAACTTTCCATTTTTTAAATTTATATATTTACATATTTTATTTATATCAGTGTGAACTTAAGAATTCTTTATTCATGGGCTATAATCCTTTGCTATCATTATTTTAATGTTCTTTTTTTTTTTTTTTTTTTTTTTAATTAAGACGGAGTTTCGTTCTTGTTGCCCAGGTTGGAGTGCAACGGTGCGATCTCGGCTCACCGCAACCTCCGCCTTCCCGGTTGAAGCGATTCTCCTGCCTCAGCCTCCCAAGTAGCTGGGATTACAGGTGCCCACCATGACGCATGTTGGTCAGGCTGGTCTTGCACTTGACCTCAGGTGGTCCACCCGCCTCAGCCTCCCAAAGTGCTGGAATTACAAGCGTGAGCCACTGGGCCTGGCAGTGTTCTAGTTTTTCTAGGTTTGCCCAAGGGAACTGCTTAGAGCTGGCCCCTGTGTCCTTTGACAAGCCCTATCATTATTTAGACTCTTCGTACTTTCTGTTACTAAAAGATGTTCTAGATTCATCTTGTAGTTTCTCTGCTCCAGCCCATGAGCCAGTCATTTCTCCAATGAGTGCTCATTTCATTTCATGGAGAATGGTATTTAGAAGTCAAGATATGGGCAGTCATTTTTATTTTTAAAATAATACCCATAAACTAGGAAAAGACATGAAACAAATTGATAATAAGGAATTAACCTACAACTTGCCTGGAACATAAGAGATCCTCAATATAAGTTTATTGAATGAGTGAACAGTATTTAAAAAGTAGATTTTAGTAGGTAGTCTGCATTTGACAATTTTATCCAATCCCGCAGTTTTTCTCCTCTCCCCAAATCTCTTGCAAGAATAATTTTAATTCCCCTAAGTTTCAGATTTAAGTCTGTCACTCAGTTATTTAAATATGCTCTTATATTATCATTTGCACAAAATCTAAGCTTCTTGACTTAACGTTACAGCTCAGACCCTAATTCATATGTAAATATCTACGCTTCCATTAACTGTGTGTTCCAATGAGAATTTGCTAACAACAAAAGACGTCTTACTCTATCCCTATATCTTTCTTATATTGTTCCATTGGTTGAAAATATATCTACCTTACAGAACAAATGTTACTCATCCATGAAGCTTTCTCTGATTTCCTCTAGCTTGGAATGATTTACACATTTTCAAACTCATAAAATGATGGTCTATTAGTTTATTTATATTGGCTCATCTCTCACACTTCTCATATAAGAAGCATACTAGATTTGTATTACCTTTGCAAATAACATTTGGATAGATTGACCACTTACCACTTTGCCAGTACAGATGCATTATAATACTATTAGAACCAGCTTGTCATCACTTTGAGAAAAAAGTTCATTATTTTAAAATGATGAAAGTATGCACCTGGCCAGGTGCAGTGGCTCCTGCCTAATAATCTCAGCACTTTGGGAGGCCAAGGCGGATGGATCATGAGGTCAGGAGTTCAAGACCAGCCTGGCCAAGATGGGGAAACCCTGTCTCTACCAAAAATACAAAAATTAGCCGGGCGTGGTGTGGCGGGCACCTGTAATGCCAGCTACTCAGGAGGCTGAGGCAGAGAATTGCTTGAACCTGGGAGGCAGATTGGGTGACAGTGAGAGACTCCATCTCAAAAAAAAAAAAAAAGAGAGAAAGTATGCACTTCATTATCAGTTTTAACATCTAGAAAACATATTAAACATAACAGAAAGATGCACTTCATTATCAAAGAGTTTCAACATCTAGGAAACATATTAAACATGACAAAGATATGATCATATATTGCTTAATTCTATGATACACAACTAGCTAGAAAGATATGTTTATGTCAATTTTACAAATGAAGCAACTGTAAATATTTACATGGATTGCCAAGGTCAAGTTACTAATAAGTGGAGGATCCAATTCTAAAATCTAGACTAACTTCAGATCTTTTCTACCTTCTCCTATAACAGGAAAGCTCCCAAATATTTATAATAAACAGACATGAAAAAATACAAAAACAAAAACAAAACCATTAATGCTTATTAAATGAGGTGTGGAAGGAATAAATGATGACATGATTCAAAAATCTGACCACTAATGCTTATCTAAATAAGGCATAGAGCTTGTTAGATGATCTTGCATTGAGGTTAATGCAACAAAGGGAACTTTATAGGCTGAAGTTCATCTAGGCTACATCAAAAGGCAGTTTTAAAATAATCAATGGGAATAAGCTTTGTAGCTCTAACCTCACCTCCTATAGAAAGCTTTATCTAAAACTCCCACACTGGCTTATGTGCCCTTTTATGGGCTCCACAGAACCCTCTCTCTTTATCTTTATACTTGTACAAATATCATTGCATTATTTTTTCTCTTCTTTGTGTCTTTCCAGATAGAATATGAACTCCTTCTTTAGAGATTTGACCATTTTTAAATTATTTTGCGTGGTGCTGAACCCACTGAGAGCTCATGATAAATAGGTAACAAATGAATGTCCTTGTGACCTGAAAAATCTTCATATGTATTTGTATTTAATCTGCCCAGTGATCAAAAAGTAACTATAGCTACAATATTTGTCATAATTTATCTAGCAAATCTTTTGTAAATATTTGTGTTTCCAAAGTGTTGGGTGTTTTTTTCAGAAGCATAAATGAGTTTTTTGAATTGTCCCTGTCTATAAAAGAATTAAAGTTATTTCTAGGTAGGTTTAAACTATTATTAAATGATAAATATTATTAGATACAATATTAAAGGAGATTGGCAAATTGGAGTAATTTCTGTTGCACTGAAGAATACTTGTATTTCAAAAAAGATCCTTGAGTATTTTCAGAATTTGCCTTCATTATAGTGAAGACCAAATGCAGTGAGACTCTCTAGTTTCCTTTTTATCTTCTATGTGTGATTAAGGGAACCCAGATACTCTAGTGCAATGCTTTCACACTGTTTTAAAACAGAAAAACCTTCTAGTAAAATACTGCATGAATGATAAGTACAGAAAATATATTCGGAGTTCTATTTTGTCCTGATTGCAGTGGAAGTGGAGAGATTTTATTAGATGTATTCCTTCCCACACTTTTCCCACTTACAAACACACACACACACGCACACACACACGAGTCTCTTAAAGTTCCAGGCAACTGCAGGGTCCTGCATAGGGGAGACTGAAAACATTTGCACCAGAATGCATCATTAACAGGTTATCAGAGGTTGAATAACACCCACTCCATCAGGTCATTCATGATTCTTAATTTTTAAAAGTCCTCCAGGTAATTCCAATATTTTGCCAGCTTCAGGGATAACTAAACTGGGTACTCTTTAGGGTCTCTTTAAAACATATGACTTTAGTATTGTTTTCCCAAAGCCTAAATTTTTCTCATCTTTTTAAAATGTTCTTATTTTTCTTCTTTTCCTCCATACTTTACTTCATTTCTTTTCTCTTCATTTTATTTCTTTTATTTTTTTCTTTCATAAATCATTCAGTCCAAAAACATTACATGGCGCACGTTGTAAGTGTCTGTCCTGGGAGGACACCCATGGTGGCACAGATTGGGAGACAAAGCCCAAAGGGAATGGGAAGGCATTTTTATAGGACGATGCTACAGTGATGGCCTCACAGCCCAAGAGTGAGGGAGGTGGCCTAGCACAGGGTGCTGGAGTAGGAAATGGATGAGGAGGATGTCCTTATGGTAGGGCCAGAGCAGTAGAAGGTACTGTAGCTTGAGTGGAGTGAGGAGTGTATCCACATTGGAGGCAGAGGGCAGGTTAATGAAGTATGTCTAAAACTACTAATGGATATTTTGGTTCCTCCAAAAGGCCTAAAATCTTCTCAAAGGCATTGTGTTTCCTCCATGACCTGGCTACTGCTTCCTTCTACCTTTACCTCAACTTACTATATTCCTACCCCACTAGCCCTCCTTCAGTTTCACCAAGGCTCACACCTTGTTCAATGTTGTTCAACTTTATGCAATTCGAGAGCTCCTTCCTGGAATTCTCTTCCTGCCATTTCCCATTTAACAAACTCCTAACCATTCTTAGAAATACACTTAAAAGCCATTTCTTTGAAAAGATTTTCCAAGCTGCCAAATTAAATTAGACTTTATTGTTATTCTTTCTCATAGCACAGGATTCCTTTCTACAATAGCTCATGTTTTAATGTATAATTATATAAGTATTTAGGTAACTAATTGATTTATGTCTATCTCCCCTATCCAACTGCAAGTTCTCTAAGAAAAGGAGCCATGTATGTTTTGCATCCCACAGGGAAGTGCCTAACTTACAGCAAGTACTGTATGCATACTTTTTAAAAGCTTCAATTATTAGATGGATGTTTGTATGGAAAGATGGATGAGGAGATGGATGAGAGTAACTGAGTACGTAAAAGCACATTTGAACAAAGAGTTTTACATCTTGGGACATGTATTAGTCCGTTTTCATACTGCTGATAAAGACACACCAGAGATTGGGAAGAGAAAGAGGTTTAATGGACTTACAATTCCACATGGCTGGGGAGGCCTCACAATCATGGTGGAAGGCAAGGAGAAGCAAGTCACATCTTACATGAATGGTGGCAGGCAAAGAGAAAGAGCTTGTGCAGGGGAACTGCTCTTTATAAAACCATCAGATATTGTAAGACTTATTTATTATCATGAGACCAGCATGAGAAAGACCACCCCCATGTTTCAATTACCTCCCTCTGTATCCCTTCCACTACATGTGGGAAGTGTGGGAGTTACAATTCAAAATGAGATTTGCATGGGGACACAGCCAAACCATATCATTCCACCACAGCCGCTCCAAAACCTCATGTCCTCACATTTTAAAATCAATCAAGCCTTCCTAACAGTCCCCAAAAGTCTTAACTCATTTCTGCATTAACTCAAAAGTCCACAGTTCAAAGTTTCATCTGAGATAAGGCAAGTCCTTTCCACCTATGAGCCTGTAAAATCAAAAGCAAGCTAGGTACTTCCTAGATACAATGAGGGAACAGGTATTTTTAAACACAGCCATTCCAATGGGAGTAATTGGCCAAAACAAAGGGGCTACAGGCCCCATGGAAGTCTGAAATCCAGTGGGGCAGTCAAATCTTAGAGCTCTAAAATGATCTCCTTTGACTCCATGTCTTACCTCCCAGTTACACTGATGCAAGAGGTGGGTTCCCCTGGTCTTGGGCAGCTCTACCTCTGTGGCTTTGCAGGGTACAGCCTCCCTCCTGGCTGCTTTCACAGGCTGGCGTTGAGTGTCTGTGGCTTCTCCAGGTACACGGTGCAAGCTGTAGGTGGATCTATCATTCTTGGGTCTGGAGAACAATGGCCTTCTTCTCATAGCTCCCCTAGGTGGTGACCCAGTAGGGACTCTGTCTGGGGGCTCTGACCCCACATTTCTCTTCTGCACTACCCTAGCAGAGGTTCTCCATGAGGGCCCCACCCCTGCAGCAAACTTTTGCCTGGACAGCCAGGCATTCCCATATGTCCTCTAAAATCTAGGTAGAGGTTCCCAAACCTCACTTCTTGACTTCTGTGCACTCACGGGCTCAACACTATGTTGAAGCTGCCAAGGCTTGGGGCTTGCACCCTCTGAAGCCATGGTCCGAGCTCTACATTGGCCCCTTTCAACCACAGCTGGAGCAGCTGAGACACAGGGCACAAAGTCCCTAGACTGCAGACAGCACAGGGACCCTGGGCCTGGCCCAGGAAACCACTTTTGCCTCCTAGGCCTGATCCTGTATTGGGAGGGATTGCCGTGAAGACCTCTGACATGCCCTTGAGACATTTCCCCCATTGCCTTGGGGATTAACATTTGCTCCTCATTACTTATGCAAATTTCTGCAGTAAGCTTGAATTTCTCCTCAGAAAAAGGGATTTTCTTTTCTATCGCATTGTCAGGCTGCAAATTTCTCAAACTTTTATGCTCTAATTCCCTTATAAAATGGAATGCCTTCAACGGCACCCAAGCCATGTCTTCAATGCTTTGCTGCTTATAAATTTCTTCTGCCAGATACCCTAAATCATCTATCTCAAGTTCAAAGTTCCACAAATCTCTAGGGCAGGGGCAAAATGCTGCAGTCTCTTTGCTAGAACATAACAAGAGTCACCTTTGCTCTAGTTTTCAACAAGTTCCTCATCTCCATCTGAGACCATCTCAGCCTGAAACTTATTGTTCATATCACTGTCAGCATTTTTGTCAAAGCCATTCAACAAGTCTCTAGGGAGTTCCAAACTTTCTCACATTTTTCTCTTTTACTCTGAGCCTTCCAAACCTCCAACCTCTGCCTCTGCCTCTGCAGTTCTGAAGTTGCTTCTACATTTTTGGGTATCTTTTCAGCAACATCCGACTCTACTGGTACCAATTTGCTCTATTAGTACATTTTCACATTGCTGATAACTGAAACTGGGAAGAAAAAGAGGTTTAATGGATTTAGAGTTCCACATGGCTGGGGAGGCCTCGCAATCAGGGTGGAAGGCAAGGAGGAGCAAGTCACGTCTACATGGATGGTGGCAGGCAAAGAGAGAGAGAGCTTGTGCAGGGGAACCCCTCTTTGTAAAACCATCAGATATCATGAGACTAATTCACTATCATAAGAATAGCCCGAGAAAGACCCTCCCCTATGATTCAATAACCTCCCACTGGGTCCCTTCCATGACACATGGGAATTGTGGGAGCTAAAATTCAGGATGAGATTTGGGTGGGGACACAGCCAAACCATATCAGGACATTATTCTTTTATTTATTTATTTTTATTATTATTATACTTTAAGTTTTAGGGTACATGTGCACAATGTGCAGGTTAGCTACATAAGTATACATATGCCATGATGGTGCGCTGCACCCACTAACTCGTCATCTAGCATTAGGTATATCTCCCAGTGCTATCCCTCCTCCCTCCCCCCACCCCACAACAGTCTCCAGAGTGTGATGTTTCCCTTCCTGTGTCCATGTGTTCTCATTGTTCAATTCCCATCTATGAGTGAGAATATGCGGTGTTTGGTTTTTTGTTCTTGCGATAGTTTACTGAGAATGATGATTTCCAATTTCATCCATGTCCCTACAAAGGACATGAACTCATCATTTTTTATGGCTTCATAGTATTCCATGGTGTATATGTGCCACATTTTCTTAATCCAGTCTATCATTGTTGGACATTTGGGTTGTTTCCAAGTCTTTGCTATTGTGAATAATGCTGCAATAAACATATGTGTGCATGTGTCTTTATAGCAGCATGATTTATAGTCCTTTGGGTATATACCCAGAAATGGGATGGCTGGGTCAAATGGTATTTCCAGTTCTAGATCCCTGAGGAATCGCCACACTGACTTCCACAATGGTTGAACTAGTTTACAGTCCCACCAACAGTGTAATAGTGTTCCTATTTCTCCACATCCTTTCCAGCACCTGTTGTTTCCTGACTTTTTAATGATTGCCATTCTAACTGGTGTGAAATGGCATCTCATTGTGGTTTTGATTTGCATTTCTCTGATGGCCAGTGATGGTGAGCATTTTTTCATGTGTTTTTTGGCTGCATAAATGTCTTCTTTTGAGAAGTGTCTGTTCATGTCCTTTGTCCACTTTTTGATGGGGTTGTTTTTTTCTTGTAAATTTGTTTAAGTTCATTGTAGATTCTGGATATTAGCCCTTTGTCAGAGGAGTAGGTTGCGAAAATTTTCTCCCATTTTGTAGGTTGCCTGTTCACTCTGATGGTAGTTTCTTTTGCTGTGCAGAAGCTCTTTAGTTTAACTAGATCCCATTTGTCAATTTTGGCTTTGGTTGCCATTGCTTTTGGTGTTTTAGACATGAAGTCCTTGCCCATGCCTATATCCTGAATGGTATTGCCTAGGTTTTCTTCTAGGGTTTTTGTGGTTTTAGGTCTAACATTTAAGTCTTTAATCCATCTTGAATTAATTTATGTATAAGGTGTAAGGAAGGGATCCAGTTTCAGCTTTCTACATATGGCTAGCCAGTTTTCCCAGCACCATTTATTAAATAGGGAATCCTTTCCCCATTTCTTGTTTTTCTCAGGTTTGTCAAAGATCAGATAGTTGTAGATATGCGGCGTTATTTCTGAGGGCTCTGTTCTGTTCCATTGGTCTATATCTCTGTTTTGGTAACAGTACCATGCTGTTTTGGTTACTGTAGCCTTGCAGTATAGTTTGAAGTCAGGTAGTGTGATGCCTCCAGCTTTGTTCTTTTGGCTCAGGATTGACTTGGCAATGTGGGCTCTTTTTTGGTTCCATATGAACTTTAAAGTAGTTTTTTCCAATTCTGTGAAGAAAGTCATTGGTAGCTTGATGAGGATGGCATTGAATCTTTAAATTACCTTGGGCAGTATGGCCATTTTCACGATATTGATTCTTCCTACCCATGAGCATGGAATGTTCTTCCATTTGTTTGTATCCTCTTTTATTTCCTTGAGCAGTGGTTTGTAGTTCTCCTCGAAGAGGTCCTTCACATCCCTTGTAAGTTGGATTCCTAGGTATTTTATTCTCTTTGAAGCAATTGTGAATGGGAGTTCACTCATGATTTGTCTCTCTGTTTGTCTGTTGTTGGTGTATAAGAATGCTTGTGATTTTTGTACATTGATTTTGTATCCTGAGACTTTGCTGAAGTTGCTTATCAGCTTAAGGAGATTTTGAGCTGAGACAATGGGGTTTTCTAGATACACAATCATGTCATCTGCAAACAGGGACAATTTGACTTCCTCTTTTCCTAATTGAATACCCTTTATTTCCTTCTCCTGCCTAATTGCCCTGGCCAGAACTTCCAACACTATGTTGAATAGGAGTGGTGAGAGAGGGCATCCCTGTCTTGTGCCAATTTTCAAAGGGAATGCTTCCAATTTTTGCCTATTCAGTATGATGTTGGCTGTGGGTTTGTCATAGATAGCTCTTATTATTTTGAAATACGTCCCATCAATACCTAATTTATTGAGAGTTTTTAGCATGAAGTGTTGTTGAATTTTGTCAAAGGCCTTTTCTGCATCTATTGAGATAATCATGTGGTTTTTGTCTTTGGCTCTGTTTATATGCTGGATTACATTTATTGATTTGTGTATATTGAACCAGCCTTGCATCCCGGCCGGGGATGAAGCCCACTTGATCATGGTGGATAAGCTTTTTGATGTGCTGCTGGATTCAGTTTGCCAGTATTTTATTGAGGATTTTTGCATCAATGTTCATCAAGGATATTGGTCTAAAATTCTCTTTTTTGGTTGTGTCTCTGCCCGGCTTTGGTATCAGGATGATGCTGGCCTCATAAAATGAGTTAGGGAGGATTCCCTCTTTTTCTATTGATTGGAATAGTTTCAGAAGGAATGGTGCCAGTTCCTCCTTGTATCTCTGGTAGAATTCGGCTGTGAATCCATCTGGTCCTGGACTCTTTTTGGTTGGTAACCTATTGATTATTGCCACAATTTCAGCTCCTGTTATTGGTCTATTCAGAGATTCAACTTCTTCCTGGTTTAGTCTTGGGAGGGTGTATGTGTCGAGGAATTTATCCATTTCTTCTAGATTTTCTAGTTTATTTGCATAGAGGTGTTTGTAGTATTCTCTGATGGTAGTTTGTATTTCTGTGGGAACGATGGTGATATCCCCTTTATCATTTTTTATTGCGTCTATTTGATTCGTCTCTCTTTTTTTCTTTATTAGTCTTGCTAGCGGTCTATCAATTTTGTTCATCCTTTCAAAAAACCAGCTCCTGGATTCATCAATTTTTTGAAGGGTTTTTTTGTGTCTCTATTTCCTTCAGTTCTGCTCTGATTTTAGTTATTTCTTGCCTTCTGCTAGCTTTTGAATGTGTTTGCTCTTGCTTTTCTAGTTCTTTTAATTGTGATGTTAGGGTGTCAATTTTGGATCTTTCCTGCTTTCTCTTGTGGGCATTTAGTGCTATAAATTTCCCTCTACATACTGCTTTGAATGTGTCTCAGAGATTCTGGTATGTTGTGTCTTTGTTCTCCTTGGTTTCAAAGAACATCTTTATTTCTGCCTTCATTTCGTTATGTACCCAGTAGTCATTCAGGAGCAGGTTGTTCAGTTTCCATGTAGTTGAGCAGTTTTGAGTGAGATTCTTAATCCTGAGTTCTAGTTTGATTGCACTGTGGTCTGAGAGATAGGTTGTTATAATTTCTGTTCTTTTACATTTGCTGAGGAGAGTTTTACTTCCAAGAATGTGGTCAATTTTGGAATAGGTGTGGTGTGGTGCTGAAAAAAATGTATATTCTGTTGATTTGGGGTGGAGAGTTCTGTAGATGTCTATTAGGTCTGCTTGGTGCAGAGCTGAGTTCAATTCCTGGGTATCCTTGTTGACTTTCTGTCTCGTTGATCTGTCTAATGTTGACAGTGGGGTGTTAAAGTCTCCCGTTATTATTGTGTGGGAGTCTAAGTCTCTTTGTAGGTCACTCAGGACTTGCTTTATGAATCTGGGTGCTCCTGTATTGGGTGCATATATATTTAGGATAGTTAGCTCTTCTTGTTGAATTGATCCCTTTACCATTAAGTAATGGCCTTCTTTGTCTCTTTTGATCTTTGTTGGTTTAAAGTCTGTTTTATCGGAGACGAGGATTGCAACCCCTGCCTTTTTTTGTTTTCCATTTGCTTGATAAATCTTCCTCCATCCCTTTATTTTGAGCCTATGTGTGTCTCTGCCCATGAGATGGCTTTCATCAGGACATTATTAGGAAAAACAGGGTGGTAGATTTAGCTGGCCACATCTTTTCTAAGATTGTTGGTTCCAGAATTTTTATGGGTATGTGTGTGTGTGTGTGTGTGTGTGTGTGTGTATCCAGTGAGAGAGAGAGATTGGGAATTGCACTCAGACCAACAGGTATAATCTATAAAGTAACTAGTACTGTACCTCACATATAATAGATGTTTCATATGTCATTATTATTGAAGAAATGAGAGTTTATATATGTAAAGAGTGAGTACTCTTCAGACACATTTTGCCCTAGATGTGTTAGGGTTGATTGTTAGAATGTTTTTAAATTTAATTTAAGAAATAAACATTTTTGAATACTGATATTGTTTGGATGGGCACCCCCTCCAAATCTCACGTTGAAATGTAATTCCCAGTGTTGGAGGTGGGGCCTGGTGGGAGGTGTTTGAGTCATGGGACAGATCCCTCAAGAATGTCTTGGTGCCCTTTTTGCAGTAATGAGTGAGTTCTCACTGTGCGTTCACAGGAGAACTGGTTACTTATGAGCATTTGGCCCCTCCCCACTCCCTCTCTTTTGCTCCGTCTTTCACCATGTGACATGCCTGCTCTCCTTTGCCTTCTGCCATAATTGTAAGCTTCCAGAGGCCCTTACTGGAAGCAAATGCTGGAGGCGTGCTCGTAAAGCCTGCAAAACCTCAGCCAATTTAATCTCTTTTCTTTATATATTATCCAGCCTCAGGTGTTCCTTTATAGCAACACAAGTGGACTAACACAAATATTCTTGAATTTTGTTTAAATATAAATCCCTAGAGCAGGCAGGAGAGCTCCAAACATGAAAAGGCTCTGTCTATTCCCATCTTTATATAATTAGAAGCAACCTAGTTTCCATGTTAGTTTAATGCTCTGCAGAGTAAAATGGCAATGATAGAAGTATTTTCAACTAGGGTCATAACATGAACTCTTTTATTTAAAAAAGCAACTTTTAGCTTCAAGGCTTCAAAAAAAATGAGGTCATGAAATATATTTAGTTGTCTTTATTCGTTATTTTAGTCCCAATTCTTAATTCTACTTAGTAACCACTTGGTAACATTTGATTTCTTAGAAACACACAAGGATCAACAACTTCAAAGCTAAAATTCAACTTCCTGAGAAACGAATTTGGGAACAATATCTTAATACTAACACAAAGGTGAACCTTACATACAATGGTTCCCTTTCATCCCTGGGGGATATGTTCCAAGATCCTCATTAAATGCCTAAAGCCATAGATATTACTGAACCTTACATATACTATGTTTTTACCTATACATACATACTTATGGTAAAGTTTAATTTATAAATTAGGTGCCATAAGAGATTGACAACAGTAACTAATAAATTTATTATTAGTTAAGCATTGTTAAGTAAAATAAGGGTTACTTGAACACAAACACTGTGATACTGTGACAGTGGATCTGATAACCTGATACTGTGACAGTGGATCTGATAATGGGTAGGAAGCAAATACAGTGTGGATAACATTCGACAAAGGGATGATTCATGCCCTGGGTAGGGCAGAGTGAAACAGCCCCTGATTCATCACTCTACTCAGGACAGTGCACACTTTAAACTTATGAGTTGTTTATTTCTGGAATTTTCATTTAATATTTTTGGACAGCAGTTGGCCATAGGCAACTAAAACCACAGAAAGAGAAACCATAGATAAAAGGAAACTACCATACAGGGAAACAGTTTGGTGTATTTATTTTTGTCGATTTCCTGTGGGATGGAAAAAATCTGTGTATCTGAAATACAAAAAATATTTTAAGACCACTTTTTTTTTGCTGTGTACCTCAAATTTAGAACTTGACAAAAATCAAGTTTCTCTCTAGTATACATGAATAATTCGTCATGTGCTGCAGTCTGTCTCTGTTTGCTTACACCAGATATGCCTAGAGCTTCCCCACAGTGTTTGGGAAATAATAGTTACAGAATTGTGTGTGGTTCTATCACATAATTTCTTGATAAAAATTGACCCAGGAGTTTAATTTCCCTCATCTGGAAGTCATCCTTTCTCATTTCTTACAGAAAGAAAGAAATGGAAGAAGTTATGAAATGAACTCTTAATGGTAACTGTAGAACAGGCACGATTTTAACTCAAATTTTATCCTACTTCTAATAATAATTCTTAGTGTTTGTCTAACATTCTATAGTTCATATAGTATGTTAATGTTTACTGAGATATATTTTGTGCTTGTTTATATAGGATTCTTGAATGTTTGTGTGTTTCTCATGTTTATCTACCTTAGTTTAAATCTTGACACCACCCTCTTTTCTGATGAGAACCTCAGTGCTCATTTATTGGCTTTATGCCATGGATAAATTCTACTAACAAAAACACATACATGCACGCAGAGACACATGCTTAAGGAAGAACATCTGAGCAAAATCTAAAATCCAGTGACAGGGAGAGGACAAATGCATAGACACTAATAATACAAGGCAAAATGTGGTATAATATGTTAAATAAATGATACAATAAAAATGCCAAAAACATTCTGAGAAGAATAGAAATAATTATTAGGATTATTGAGCTTCTATTAGACACTAGATACTTTGCACTATACGTTGTTTTGGCCATTTACAATTATTCGATAAGATAAATGACATATCTTTATTTTACAGATGAAATTTTTAAAAAAGAACCTTGAAGTCTGTGAGTGACCAATCAAAGATGAAAATTAATAATGGAAGACCTGGGATATACAATCAAGTCTAAAGCCTAGATATCTGGTTATTTTAGAAAAGCTTCATAGGCAAGTGTCAGTGGAGCTGTGTTATTTGAGCTGAGCTGCACCTTGAAGAACCAAAAAAATTATAAATGGACAAATAAGACCAAGTGCCTACACCAAAAGAATTCTAATGCTTAGAAGAGTTGCAGAATAAAATATGTTGCATGGGATGTCAATAGTAAAGGTCAAGATAGAGGACAAAGAAACACAGAGGAAGGAGGTTAATGGAATGAGAGAAGAAAGTATTTTTAGAGGAAGTTGATATTTCACCTGAGTTGTAAAAGGTATGTAGGTAGAGAAGAAAGGTAAGTGAAAGGGGTATAGAGCCACTTCTGACAGAGGGACTAGAGGTTACAGAGACATTGAAATGCAGGATCACAAAATCATCAGAAAATAGCAGGTAGTTCATAATGGCTGGAGCCTGGAACAGAGATCCCAATGCACAGGACGTGTGAGTGAGCCAGGGAATTGGTGAGGGAGGATGTGTACCCATGAGAAATGAGTCTTGTGATTAGCAGCCAAATGGACCTCAAATGAAACTCTCCCCTTGACTCTATTCACAGGAATTTTCTAACCATTATCTTTTACCCCTCTTATGCACACACATGGAACTCAGTTACCATATATACATATGTCATTTTCATTTATTTTTAATATATTTACACTTGGTTTAAACCAGGAACTAATTATTTCATGGGATGGAGCTTCTTAAGTGAATATATCTTAATGAGAGACCCTGATCCTGTCTGCAGTTTTGCAGGATCCGTAATGTGATTTGATTACCTTCTCCAAGGATGAGCAGGCCCTAGGGGACTGCATCAGACTAATGAAGCTTACAAATCAACAAATTTAATGCCAATATTGGGTAAAGGAAATGTCATTTAGTGAGAACCTACTCCATACAATAGTAGACACTTCACTCATATTATTTAAATTAGTTGTCACTACAACACAGTGATGTAGTTCTTTCTTTATCCCAATTTTATAGATGAGAAATTCAAATGAGAACATTAAATAATCTCACCTCATTTCAAAGCTACCAAGTTTTGAAGCAAAGAATCAAACCTAAGATTCTTTGATGTCTACTTCATGCAATGGGCAGAGAATACTCACAGTGGCTGAAAAAAATGATGATGATGATGATGATGATGGTGGTGGTGGTGGTGGTGGTGATGATGGTGGTGGTGATGATAATGATAATGATGATATAATTAAAGTAATTATAATTTATTGAATGCTTACTTTGTGAGAGTAATACATTATATACCTTATCTTTTGTAACCTTCAAACAATTCTATTTGATGGGAAATTATTTCCATTTTAGAAATGGGGAAAGAGATGTTCAGAAAGTTTAAATAGCTTTCCAATATCCAAACCTGGTTAGGTGGTGGGGCAGATATTAAAACCACGTCTCTCTGACCACACAGAACTATTCACCACTAGCAGAGTAAAAGAATATCTGATGAAAATAATACCTGAGTAGGAGAGTCAGAGTGAAGAGAATATATTAGTTGAGAGAATATTTCATCTAGGTTGTGGCAAAGAACAGAAAACCATTGACATTCTCCCAGTGAGGACACTGATCATGTATCTTTATAACTCAATGAAACAAACATTGAACACTTTATACCATTGTTTTTCACTTTTACTAATAATTCTTATCAGTCACAAAAAGCTCTGGTGACTATCTGTATTCATGATAGAAAATATGTGTTCTAATTTCAGTATGTACGTCTCACCGTTTAATAGGAGAAATTTTAGGTAGTGAGAAAGAAACAAATGTCTCAAACCTGAGCAAAACATTAATACTTTTTGATACTTTAAGAATCGTTCTTTATCAATTAGTAATACTTCTGATTAACATCCCAATCAGTGAAGTTAGAGTTTAGCCTACAAAGCTGATACATGTGTGATAGTATTACAAACTTAAAATCTTGTGAATAGATCAAAAACTTTAGCAGACATTCCTTTCTAGTACCTAGACTAACACTCTTATCAAGATAAGAATTTTTTGTCATTTTCATTTATTTTGGCTTTTACTAGAAAGACACTCTTTGCAGAAGCAACATTTGAATTGGCTTTCTTTGAAGTGAGTACTCTTATTGACAGTTTGAAATAAACCTAGACCCTTGCTCAACATCAATACATCTGGGAAATTTTGTCTAACATTCCTTTGTTCCTTTAACCTAAACTCCTTGAAGAGGGGATTGACTTATTTGTACTATAACCCAGTTATCTGGTATGAGATTTGGTAAAAATAAACATGATTTCTAAATGTTAGTTGAAGAAATAAATATTTGAATGAATTTACCAGCTTTAGACCTTGTTTCAATTTTACATTGCTTACATTTTGGAAAGATGTTGCAGATGAGCCGTCTCATTCATTTATTTTTATTCTTTTGCAAAGAATGTCTTTGGGGGCTGCTTATCAAGATTTCCTGTGTGTGTCCTGTCTGACTTGGTATCCTCCAGGCTCTGGTGAGTTTCCTCACCAGCCTGGGACACTTCCGTTTTTCCTTCTCCACTAACTCACATCACATTTCGGGATAGGGCTTCTAACCCCTCTTTTAATAGACACAGTTTTTAACAGCATTCTATCTTAAACATGAATAAACAGTTGGAATGTAGGCAACTTAGAGAATGTTTAAACAAATGAGAAGTAGCTGGAAGGTTGAGAAAAGGTCACTACAGTTATTGAGAGGAGTCTGACTCATGAAACAAAACAAAACAAAGCAAAACAAAAGTTACTTAACTGACAAAAAGCAAATCAGAGAAAAAAACAATCATGAGAACATTTTGGGTGGCTGGCTGAGGCAATACCAAAACTTCAAGTGATGAGAATGGGAAGTTAATCAGAAAAGACTGCTCCTAGGGTGGTGAACCTAGTGTGACTCCTGGAGGGAGGCTTTTTCCCAGCTGTCTCTCTGACTTTTCTGGGTATCTGCATTCTCACTTGTTAAACAAGGGGGTTATATTAAAGTAGATATAATATTATTTCCATTTCTAATCTTTTACATTGGGCTCTAAGTTTTTAGCAGACTAAATTCTTATGTTTTAGGGAATATAGTTAATCTCATATAGTTTGGTCTTTATATGTTTTTCTTCATTATTTAACCCATATTTATTGAGTGACTCTGGTTTGAGCACTGTGTTACGCAGTGTGCAGGCAAGATGAGTAAGACAAAAGCACTGTCATCGAATGCCTCATAGTCCGAGGGACCACCGCATTATTAACAGTGACTTAGCAATCAGGAGCAGAGGAGATGGCTGGGACAGGGAGGTAAGGATGCAGGGATGGAGATGGAATGAAAAGGATAAGACCGAAGGAAAATATTTTATCATCTCCTGAAATACATGAAGGTTACCATTTTATCTTAGAGAATAAAAACTGGTTATGATTTTTGTTTTTACTCCTTTGGTTATAAATGTGTTGAGCTCTGGATCAACTTGCTGCACTAAGGATGGTAGTGCTGACTGGGATTACTTAAAAGGTTAATGAGGAGTTCACTAGCCTTTCCATAGTTTCTATAATAGAAGATAGCTAACTCTTAGTTTTATTGATGTGGGGCACTACCTAGCCTGGCCTATAGATTTGTGTTTACCATGCGGTAGCTGCTTGGCGATCTGGGAGGCTGCTTGGTGATTCCTCATACAGCTTGATGCTGACCTGAAAGATTAAAATGCACAGAGAGCAGTGAGAATAGAAGAGCCTAGAACTGCTTGGGAAATTTGAATGCTCTCTTGGGCCGTCCAGGTGGGCAGAATATGTGAAACAGATGGGCAGAAAATAATAGTAAATGGTGTGGGCTATTAATTAAATGGAAAGAGCATATTTCACCTAGATGTCTTCAGATTCTTGTTTCTTTCCTCACTCCTTCATGCCGTGAACCCTGTGCCTGAAAGCACAGAACAGCCAGCCCTAAGTCTCAGTTTGAGAGTTATCGTGGCCAAGACAATTCTTTCCTTCACTATGGCTTTCGAGGTATAATGCCTGATCATTGCATGGCATACTGTAGCAGTTAAGTAAGGAAACATTGTTTTGGTTGCTGTTCATTTGTTTTTATCCCCCCTTGTCTAAAAACATGCTTAGGTAAGTAGTAAATATATCACTAAGATGTTATTGGGAAACAATGCTGGATTTAGAGCTAAATATATGTAATTCATGTAAGGGATTTTAAAGCATTTTTAAAATTAAGATAATGCATAAAGAATATAGAAATACAGAATACAGGCAAAATCCATATAGAAATGCATACAGAAAAGAGCACATAAAAGCACAAACTGAACATGCCTACATTAAAAAAAATCACAACATCATCAACATCATGGAAGCACCAGTCCACTTCATGCTCCTCTCTAAGGATTATTTTTAATATCACTTGGTAAAGTGTCTGCCTTCTACAGTCACCAGTAGAGTTACAGGTTAATTTACTTATTACTTCTCTCTTCCTGTGATGAGAGACGGTGGAAAACATAAGGGCAGGAACTAAGATTTTTTCTCCTTTGTATCCATGTATCCATGATACATCGATTGCAATGGCTCATACAAAAGCAATCACCATCTCAAGTTTTGTTTTAAAATATAAACCCTGAGACAAACATTAATAAGTAAATGTCTCTCAGAACCCCTAAGGAAACAAATGAAGGGTCTGGGAAAAGCCTGAGGGTGGCGAGGGGTGTATCAGTATTTCTTGAGAGTGCAGCTCATTGGGGACTTCCCTGATCCTGGATTCAGAAATGCTGGCAGCAAGCAGGAAAAGGCAAGTGTTTGAGCTGGATAGAAAGAAGTAAAAAGGGAGATGAGGATTCAGAAAGTGAAAGTGAATAGAGATCAGTTTTGGATTTTGTGTTGATGACTTGACCTTGCTTTCTTCATCTGTAACATTGAACCAATAACAATTGTTCCAGGATTCTTCAACAAATTTCTATGTAAATTTATTAAGCTGTGGGTCAACTTGTAGTCTCTAGAGCCCAGATATCTAATGAGAAGCCGCAGAAAAAAGTCCCATTGCCACATCACATTTCGTTTCTAGACTCATCTATTTGATTTAGCTTTTTAAATGTGTGTAGAGCTCTCAGCAAAGAGGGATATTCTAAATATCTCTCTGAACATTAAAAGGCTAGAATAGAAGGGTGATGATAGTGAAAGGGGTTAACTAGTGTTTTTCATACATTAGATAATTCACGCTGCTTCATTTTTCATACATTAGATAATTCACTTCAATGAACAATATTGAATATTCTTTGGAAATGTGTTTAGTGGAAATTCCCATTTATGCTTGTTTAAGTGGGTTGATGAGGCTTAGGTAATCAAGTTGCAACACTGGGGAAAAAAAGAGACCAGACAAGTACCAACAAGGAAATTCAACTGAAGTGTTGTTGGTGTGCCACATAGCCATGGGAAAATGAGGGCAGGATCAAAACTTGCTGGAAACTAGCTTCTCTATTTGTTTTCCTGTCTTTCTTTAACTGAAGTATAGGGGAAATTTTGGTAGGCATAGATTTCCTTTGGATATCATCTCTTTAGCTACAGATTTGCCTCTGATCATTTCTGATTATCCTTATGCCAGTCTTGTGTTCAAATGCTTCTGAGCACCAACTAAAAGAGATCATACTCTATACAATGTAGAGATTCAGTGTGCTGTGACAAAAGAGTGCAATAGCCAGTCTGGAAACATCTGTGGGAGTTTTAATTAGAGGAGAGCCACAGGCTAAATGACTGACAGAAAAAAACAAAGAAAGTAGATGACCCATCTCTGAGCCAATGACAACAGGAGTACTCATGGATTTTCTCTGCTTTTAAACACTGTGGTTGGATTAAGTGTCTGAACTCATTCCCTGCATGCCCTATATTATTGAATCCTTTTCTTTTGGTTTAAATTTCCTAATTTATGAGTCTTTCTCAAGGGTAATCATCTTTGAATAGTAGATTTCTGATATCTGAATTAGAAGAATCAGGGTAAAGCCATCACTCAATGAGGGCTGGTAGTGTGGTAGTATGATTTCAAGGACACCAGAAAAGCCTTTACTCACATTTCTTTCCAATTGAAGTTCCTTGGTCCGAACGCGAAGAATTCCTTGTTTCACCAAATGCAATCACCATGTCAAATTTTCTTTTAAAGTATAAATCCTGATACAAACATTAATAAGTAAATGTCTCTCAGAACCCCTTAGGAAACAAATGAAAGGTCTGGGAAAAGCCTGCAGGTGGGGAGGTGTGTATAAGTATTTCTTGAGAATGCAGCTCACTGGGGACTTCCCTGATCCTGGATTCAGAAATTCTGGCAGCGAGCAGGAAAAGGCAGGCGTTTGAGCTGGATAGAAAGAAGTAAAAAGGGAGATGAGGATTCAGAAAGTGAAAGTGAATAGAGATCAGTTTTGGATTTTGTGTTGATGACTTGACCTCCCTTTCTTCATCTGTAACATTGAACCAATAACACTTCTTCCAGGATTCTTCAACAATGATCAGAAGAGACTCTTTTTCCTTTGTCACACAAATTAATTATTTTTTTTTCTTTTTGTAAGAAAAATGGTTTAAGTTTGGGATTTCAAGATAAATGTGTGTGTGCGTGTGTGTGTGTCTGTGTGTGTGTGTATACATATATATATTTCCTATTTATGTTTTTTGGGCCTTCTTTTGCTTGAGATTTTAAAATTTTTTTGAAAGACTTATTAAAAAGATCACCTCCCTCTTTAAGGATGAAGACTGGAAACTAAAAGAAGTCTGCCCAAGTTCATAGTTCATGGACATGATTTGATCAGTAATTCAAAAGGGCAATATGACCTTATGCTTTTTTAACTTTCTTTGTTACCTAAGTAATCACTGGGAAAGGCTTTGATACTATATTCGAGATTAGAGCCACAAGTGACTTGATCAAACTTAATTTTTTCCAGGAGAGAGAGGATGGTTTCATGTCACATGTCTGTGAATCGTGACCCTACAAGCCTTTGAGAACAGTTCAGGATCACTGCACTTTACATCTCTAGGTTGAGGAGAAGAGCACACTTGATAGTGTATGAAAAGTGTCTAGCAGAGAGACTGCACTTAATAGGCATTCAGAGCAATTTATATACTAAACAATGATGAGGGTGGCTTCCCTGGATTTTTTACCCCCAATGTATTTTAGGCTACAAAGTGGACTGTCTTCTTTCACAGATAGAATAGGTAAAACATGGGCTGACAGAAAATTCAAATTTCAAGACACACTATATTTGTTTTATGGATACCCAGTAATGTTGTCACCACTAAATTAGCACATTGTGTTAATACCAAGCTTACTTGTTTACAAAACTAACCAACCAACCAACTAACCAACCAACCAAAGCAACAAATAAAAAACCAACTGAGTGATTCAGCAACTAGGAATGTTGAGATATCTTAAAATTTTTAATTCTCAGTTGACTTGGAGACAATTTCATGTACTAATTTAGACTTTTTCTGAAGCTTTTTTTAGTCTGTAGCAACTCTTGAGGTAAAGAACTTCATGAATTTATTTCTTAATATAAGAGATAAGTCTCCTCCTCCTTCTCCGTCTCCTCGTTCTTGTGGTTAAATTAACTCTTTTAAGCTTCAAGCAGAGTTTCCTAGGTGTAATAGATTAAAATTTCCAAATTATGTTCACCCATAAACACAATCCAATTTTGTGAGCATCCTTCACCAGTTTGGCTGTCAATCATCACCAGTCTATTGCCAAATATTTCATTCCTGTCCTTTCCATCACACAGAAAAAATTGGACTCCCACTCACTTTGATGTTAGGCATACTCATGTGCTTCACTTTTCTTCATGAAATCTGAATGAAATTGGCATATGGCTGCTACTGAGCAGAAATTTTAAGAGCCATGATTAATTTGCTCCCATCTCTTTCTCTGCCAAAGTAATTGTTGAAGATTAAACCCTTATCAGAGTGGGTGCCTGCGTTACTAGTATGAGCTGTGCTGACCTGAAATTTACAATGAAAAAGAGAAATAAATCAATTATTTTTTGGATGCTGAGATTTGGACGTTGTTTTTAAATGTAGTACAACCTAGCCTATTGTGATAAAATACAATTGCATTATAGATTTGCAACTTTTCTCTCCTCAGACTAACAATATTGGTTTCTAATCATATCTTTAAGTCAAGGCAAACATGTGCCATCTGTTGATTCTAAGGTCTTCTTATACTTTTTACTTTCTTTTTTTTTATTTTGGCTGAGCACAGGGGACTTTATTGATGGTTCGTGACAAGGAGGGGCTCCCTAGGCATCTCCCTCTTCAGGGGGTCTGCATGGAAACTGTGAGGAGGGGAGATTCTCAGTGTGGTGGGGAACTGAGTGCAGCAAGGACTCCCCAGCAGTGAAGGCCTCTCTCTTCCTCTCATGCTCTCGCTCGGGTTGGCAGTCCAGGGGTCTTACTCCTTGGAGGCCATGTGTGCCATGAGGTCTACCACCCTATTGCTGTAGCCAATTCATTGTCATGCCAGGAAATGAGCTTGATAAAGTGGTTGTTGAGGGCAATGCCAGCCCCAGCATCAAAGGCGGAAGAGTGGGTGTCACTGTTGAAGTTGGAGGAGACTACCAAGTGCTCAGTGTAGCCCAGGATGCCCTTGAAGGGGCCTTCTGATGCCTGCTACACCACTTCTTGATGTCATCATATTTGGCAGGTTTTTCCAGATGGCAGGTCAGGTCCACTACCGACACGTTGGTGGTGGGGACGACAGAAGGCTTTGCCAGTGAGCTTCCTGTTCAGCTCAGGGATGACACAGCCTTGGCAGCACCTTGGCTTGTCCACAGCCTTGGCAGCACCAGTAGAGGCAGGGATGATGTTCTGGAGAGCCCTGCATCCATCACACCACAGTTTCCCAGAGGGGCTATCCACAGTCTTCTGGGTTGCAGCGATGGCATGGACTGTGGTCATGAGTCCTTCCATGATACCAAAATTGTCATGGATGACCTTGGCCAGAGGTGCTAAGCAGTTGGTGGTGCAGGAGGCATTGCTGATGATCTCGAGGCTGTTGTCATACTTCTCACGGTTTATGCCCATCATGAACATGGGGGCGTCAGCAGAGGGAGCAGAGATTATGATCCTTTTGGCTTCTCCCTGCAAGTAAGCCCCAGCCTTTTCCATGGTGGTGAAGATGCTGGTGGACTTCACCATGTACTCAGCCCCAGTGTCACCCCATTTGATTTTGGAGGGATCTCACTCCTGGAAGATGGTGATGGGATTTCCCTTGATGACAAGCTTCCCATTCTCAGCCTTGATGGTGCCATGGAATTTGCCATGGAATCATACTGGAACATGTAGATCATGTAGTTGAGGTCAATGAAGGGGTAGTTGAGGTCAATGAAGGGGTCATTGATGGTGACAATATCTACTTTACCAGAGTTAAAAGCAGCCCTGGTGACCAGGCGCCCAGTATGGCCAAATCCGTTGACTTCCACCTTCACCTTCACCATGGTGTCTCAGGGATGAGGCTGGTGATGCACGAGAAGATGAGGCTTTCTGTCAAATGGGAGGAGCAGAAAACCTATACTTTCTACTTTCTTTCTATACTTTCTGATAAAATTCTGGCTTTAATTTCTTTACCTTTTACCATCATCATCATCATCATCATCACCAACATTATCAGTGTTGTGCTTAACAGTAAATTCCAAGCTCCTAAATTTTAAGGGATAAAATAAGTTATTTTTCCAACAGCCTTATTTTAGAAATGAGACAACTCAGATCCTCCTAAGATAAGAGATTTATCCAGGACCATACGGTAGACTTCTTCTCAATTTTAACTTGCAACTTTTTTTAGATCTTTGTACTTCATAACTCATGCCATTCATTTATTTATTCATTTTTGTGGTTTTTTGTTTGTTTGTTTGTTTTTTAGTAGTGTCATCCATGATGGATATTCATTCAAGTTTTTAAGTTAAATTTTTAAAAAGTAAGTGCTGGCTAGTGGAAGAGCCAGGATTAGTCTCAATGACTATAGCTTGAGAACAATGCTAAGTGTATTAGTTTTTTTAGGGCTGTCATAACCAAATAGCACAGGCTGGTGGCTAAGACAACAGAAATGAATTGTTTTCATGTTTTTGTTTGTTTTTTTGTTTTTTTGAGACAAAGTTTCGCTCTTGTTGCCCAGGCTGGAGTGTAGTAGCGTGATCTCAGCTCACTGCAACCTCCACTTGCTGGGTTCAAGCAATTCTCCTGCCTCAGCCTCCCAAGTAGCTGTGATTACAGGTGCCTGCCACCACGCTGGGCTAAAATTTGTGTTTTTAGTAAAGATAAGGTTTCACCATGTTGTCCAGGCTGGTCTCGAACTCCTGAGCTCAGGTGATCCACCTGCCTCAGCTTCTCAAAATGCTGGGATTACAGGCACGAGCCACCATGCCTGGCCTTGTTTTCATAGTTCTAAGGACGAGAAGCCCAAGACTAACGTGTCAGCAGGTTTAATTTCTTCTGAGGCTTGTTTTCTTGGCATGCAGATAGCTGCCTTCTCATTGACCACTCCCTTGGTGTTTCCTCTGTATGCACACACACCTGGCTTCTCTTCATTTGTCTAAATTTCCAATTCTTGTAAGAATGCCAGTCAGATTGGATTATGGCCCACCCTGACAGCATTTTACTTTAATCACCTCTTCAAACTTCCTATCTCCAAATACAGTTACATTCTGAGGTACTGGGGTTAGGGTTTCAACATCTGAATTTTGCGGGCACAAAATTCAGCACTATGATATGACAAATTGATAACATTTTAAATTAAAAACAAAGCAAAACCTAAGGTTAGAATCTCAGTATTATTTCTAGCAGCTATGATATTTATGGAGTATCAGGTCATAGAATTTAACATAAAATATTAACGAGACTTCAGTGTCATTTGCCCGTCTAACAAAAGGCATTTAATCCCAGTTTTTACAAAATATTCATCCTGATTTAGCTGATAGTTGAGGTCCTTGTGCTGAGCCATCTGCTAATTCTGTGGAAGACTGACCACACCTTTGAACGGGGAGCCTCCCAGGTGCCAAATAGAAGAAATTGTGCAGAATACTCTGACTCACACTAACGATAGTCATCATCCTTACCTTCTCCTTTTCTCCCTCCCTTCCTTTTCCTTTTCTTTCCCAGGTCTTCTGTGAGTACACCGACAATTTCAAACACTATACTAGGAACTGAATTTGGATAAATCATAACCTGCCCCAGGGGCTCACTTCTAGGAGAGGGGACAGATAAGTAATTGCACAATTATAATATAATTATAACATACTATATAATGCTCTAGGCTGTATGAGTATATGAAAGAGGAATTTATAAGTCACAATACGGGGAAAAGAGTCTTATAACTTACATCTCCACAAATGTTTTTTCTTTTCAGGGGATGCTCCTAAATTACAGCCATTATATCGCAGGAGATAGAACATATACGAGGCACAATGGCAAAGCATAGGATCTATGTTTTAACTAATGAATGGGAAATAGGCTCCAAAAGAAGATTGCCCATTAAAGCCATCCCCTTGAGAGGCTATTAATGAATTCCAAAGATGTTGCCTTTCCTTAAAGCTTTTTTGGAACTTGTATTTGGTTAGACTCTGAGCTCTTCTAGAGCAGAACAAAGCTTAACTTAATGCATGGTGCATGATTAATGTTTATAGAACAAGTAAGTGAACTCAGAGACAGTGGCTCATTTTTAATACCATAATTGGTGAGTAATACTTGTTCCTGGGGTGTTTGGGGTTTTTAGAGGCTTAAGACATCCAGATTTAACAAAACTGTGGTCAGACTAACAGTGTTTAGAGTTCAAAGTGAGGCATAGCTCTACAGTAATGGAAGTGGATTTCTTGCAAACCATCTCCAAAGAATACCAGAACAAAAGCAGGAAGAAAAGAAAGTGTGTTTTTTTTCTTTTCTTTTCCTTTCTTTTTCTTTTTTTTAGACGGAGTCTTGCTCTGTCACCAGGCTGGAGTGCAGTGGCATGATCTCGGCTCACTGCAACCTCCGCCTCCTGGGCTCATGCCATTCTCCTGCCTCAGCCTCCCAAGCAGCTGAGATTACAGGCACCCGCCACCACACCCGGCTAATTTTTGTATTTTTAGCAGAGACGGGATTTCACCATGTTGGCCAGGATGGTCTCGATCTCTTGACCTTGTGATCCACCCGCCTCGGACTCCCAAAGTACTGGGATTACAGGCATGAGCCACTGCACCCGGCCAAAAGTGGGTTTTGATGAATAGTAACGTCATCCTCAAATATGAAGAGTATTGGTTGTAATGTTGCTTGGAGGAAATTGATAAGCACTTTTTAAGAAAAGTAGATTGTATTAGAAGCATCCTTTCTTTCTTTTTTTTTTTTTTTTTTTTTACTTTAAGTTCTGGGATACATGTGTAGAATGTGCAGGTTTTTTACGTAGGTGTACATATGCCATGGTGGTTTGCTCCACCTATCAACCAGTCATCTAGGTTTTCAGCCCCGCATGCATTAGGTATTTGTCCTAATGCTCTCCCTCCCCTTGTCCCTCACCCTCCAACAGGCCCCAGTGTGTGATGCTCCCCTCCCTGTGCCCATGTGTTCTCATTGTTCAACTCGCATTTATGAGTGAGAACATGTGGAGTTTGATTTTCTGTTCCTGTGTTAGTTTGCTGAGAATGATGGCTTCCAGCTTCCTCTATGTCCCTGCAAAGGACATGAACTCATTCTTTTTTATGGCTGCATAGTATTCTATGGTGTATATGTGCCAATTTTTTTTATCCAATCTATTATTGATGGGCATTTGGGTTGGTTCCAAGTCTTTCCTATTGTAAATAGTACTGCAATAAACATACCTGTGCATGTGTCTTTATAATAGAATGATTTATAATCCTTTGGTTATATACCCAGTAATGGGATTGCTGGGTCAAATGGTATCTAGATCTTTGAGGAATCATCACAATGTCTTCCACAATGGTTAAACTAATTTACACTCCCATCACCAGTATAAAAGCGTTCCTATTTCTCCACATCCTTGCCAGCATCTGTTGTTTCCTGACTTTTTAATAATCATCATTCTAATTGACATGAGATGGCATCTCATTGTGGTTTTCATTTGCATTTTTCTAATGACTAGTGATGATGAGCTTTTTTTCATATGTTTGTTGGCCGCATGGTTGTCTTCTTTTGAGAAGTGTCTGTTCATAGCAGAAGCATTTCTTCTGGGAACAAAAGTACCATCCAAGGATTATTTAAACACCAGAGGATTTTGAATAAGCAAAAATGTCCTTTGAGCTGACTTTTGGGATTGGAGCTGGTGAGAACTGCATTACTCAGCATGGCATGAAAAGCACTTGGAATTGCTAGGAGCAATCCTGGAAGTCCACTTTAAAAAAGATCATAGGGAAGAGAAAGAGAGAAGCCACTGAGATGAAGAAAGAGCCCATGACACCAGTGTGCCTGGGTGGACAAAAGACAAGCTGTGGATTGTTTCAAATAGAGGATTGGTTCACACAGGGATTCGGTTCTTTGCTCTCTACACTGATGTTACAGTTACAAGCACCATACCTGCATGATATTGTTGATATTTTTTAAGATCAAGGAAAAAACCTGAAAGTCCATATATGAGTGAAAGTGGTGTAAGTCAGGGGCAACATTCAAGGAAGATAAAATAATTCATAAATAGAACTGATTTATGGGAGCAGGAGCTCAGAACTAGAAGTAACAATAGAAACCCAGATCCTCCAGAGATTCATAGAACTCTTAGAAAAAGCTTCGACTATGGCCTGGGGGTTCTGAGTAGCCTTAGCTTAATTGGAAGCCTTACCCCAATTGACACATGAGTTTCATATAAAATATAGCACTAGACAAAATCTGAGCACCTCTATTTTGATTATAGAAAATTGGTTCTGAAGCTTTTTTTTTTCTTTTCTGGAATTTTCTTCTTTCTTTACTAAGAAAAAAGTTCCACCCTGCTACTGCTGCCCCTACAGAGTCGATCATGGTATTTGCTGGGTTCCCACTGTATTTTCTAGAGATTTACATTTTAGCACCTGTATAAGTTTTGGACAATTTAGAAATTTTCTGCTCCTTTAGATTCTGAGCTACTTGAGGTTGGGGAACATGTCTTATTTTTGTTTATCCTGAACCCTTTGTTTCTATCAAATATCCAGTAAATGTTACTGAATAAATGAATGAATTAATGATTAAATGTATGTATGCATGAATCAATGAATGAAGATGAGTATCTATGCTCCTAGAAGTTATAACCTAAATACAGGGAATTTTAAGTAACAGAGTACAAGTCTGGGCGTAAATCAAAACTAAAGATTTTCAAATATCAAAAAGAATTTTGTTTGACTTCCTTCTTAGAGACGGTTTTGGTTTGCTTGTTTTAAACATCTTTCATCTCCATCCCTTGTTTTCTGGAATTTCTATAAGCTATCACCATCCTCCCCACCACCACCCTGCTAAAAAAGGCCCTTTTCTGAGAAACAGAAGAAGAAATAAATGAAATTGGTTTGCATGCCTTAGTGAATTCTTATGATGAAAGGGTAACCTGGAAACAATTCCCATTACACTTAGCAAAACCATTTTTCAGTCTATACAGCCCACTATCTAATTACAGTATTGGAATACTGTTAAGAATGGAGCAAAGTTCAAAGAATCAGTTATATCCCCAATCAAAGCGACCGGCCACACTTTCAGTAGCTGGTGAGAGTGAAGAGGAAGTCACTAAACCAGAAGATCTAATCAGTCTGTTTATCATGTGACAAGAAGATCTTAAGTATTCCTATTGCTGTTCTTATGGAGACTTCATGTCACCCAAATGGAGGCAAGGGACCTCTTTAAAGAGATCAAACAAGGTTGGTAACAGAAGTCCACATGTGAACCTGAACCCTGGGGAGGGATTATTGAGAGAAAACTAGAAGCGTCAATTTGCCCTGTTCCCCAGCTTCTTCGGAGACCTATGTTGAGAGCTGGCCAGCACGAGTCAACTATTGTTGCCTGGCAGTCATCCAAAATGCAGTCTATTACTGGAGAAAAAGCAGTGCATGTGGGAAGGAACTCAGCCCTCTTTTGTGGGCCTTGTATTGTTACTGCACAGCAGAGGATCCAGATAGAGGAAACTAGCTTTAGTGGCATTTTTTTAAAAAGGATAATACTTGATTTGAACAAATAGAACTGTGTAGCCTCCATAAAATTCTGTTTATTTTGTACAATTTGTTTCCAGGTATCTTTGGTACAGTTTAATCCTGGTGAGGGGTATGATGCCATGTAAGCAGAATAAAAGGTTGACATTAAGAAATCATTTTAGGTCTAGAAATAAATGTGGGCTGGAGGAAGGAAAGGATGTGGTCTGGTGGCAAGGAGAAAAAAGGGTGTGCCAGGTGAGAGGCACATGAAATGTGAAATCCTATAAGCCAGTCTGTTTCTGGGGTTGGAAGGCAGGGCTATTGTGTAAAGAGCAAGGCTAGAAAAACCACTGTGAGGCTGAAGAGTAATTATATCCTGGGGAGGAGATGCTTCAGCCTCTCAAGTCAGATCCACGGACATTTGCTTCGTTGTTTGTTTTGATAAGTAGGGGCTACTGTTCACATCTGAGAGGAACGGCATGACTAATGTGATGCTCCTGATAAGTTCTCAACCTTGGTTATATATTGGAATCACTTTAAAATTACTAATGCCTTGGCATTTTACGAAGGTCTCTAGGTGATTTTAATATGCCACATGCTAGAAGGAGCACCCTCACTTTACTTGGGCAAGTTCAATCTTACAATATACCTGATAGTACTTCTTGATTTCTTTGACTTTAATGACCATCTGCAATGTGGTTACCTGCTGATACAATTGCCTCCTAAACTAGTGGTTTTCAAGTGTCAAGGTGCATAGGCATTTCCAGTATATCTTGTAAAAGACAGAAAAAAAAAACACAGATTTGATTCAGTAGATCTGGGGTAGGGCTTGAGAATCAACGTTCTAACAAAAATCCCCTCTTCTGTTCCTCAGAACACACTGTGAGTAGTAAGCTCTTGAATTACAACTCCTCACAGCCTTGTTCCCACTTCCATTTGGTGTAGCCCTCAAGAGTGCAGGCTTTGGGTTTAGAACACTCTGGCCTCTACCCTCTACTAGCTGAATGAGTCTGGGCCAGTTGATTAACTTTAATTACCTAGTTTCTTTGCCTATAAAATGAGGATAAATGAAGGTTTTGTGAGTATATAAAAGATTAACTTAAAGTGGACTAACAGTGCAGGGCCTTGCACATGGTTAGTCCCTAGCTTTCTCTAACCCCTGAGATGCTTTGTCTTGTCACAGCTCCTTTAATTATTTTTTGGTCTCCTACTTTATAACTTCTGTAGAATCTTATAGAAATTCTCAACTGACCTCTAGTTCTTGGAATCCTCCCAACTTCCCCAAACTGTTGCTTCTTTTCTGGCCTCTATTCCCTTTCCACTCAGCCTGTGTTCTCTGGTCAATCATGTAGACCATGGCTTCTATCCGTTCATTCATTAAACAAACATTTACTGAGCACGCCATATGTGCTAGGCATTGTGATGAGCTCTAGGAGTATATTCAATGCATTCAGTGGTGGGCTGGTAAATGTTTCATGATGGTGTAAAAATGTATGTTTATGCACACATACATAAATGTATACTTTTTAATATAAAACATTAATGTAAAGAATGTATAGTGTACAATTTACTCTTTATTTTAAATGTAATATAGCCATTTTGTTTCCACAGAAATTTTTTATTTTATTTTTTGCTAAACTATTGTATTTTTAGCCAAGCTATGGTTGTATCTGATGAATGAATATAGTTCATATAAGAATATTACTTGATTCTTTTGTATTAATAAGATTAAAGTAAAATTAGGTGGTAAGTTGTAACTTCCTTTGTTTGTCAATATCATGAGCTGCTTCTTTGCTGAATCATAGGTTTTAGATACCGGAAGAATAATATTTCTTTAAATTTTTGTGTAATGGCTATAGACATGACCTGCTTTAAGCTTAATCTGTGCTGTTAACATTTTTACTATCATTTTCTCAAGTCTAAACAATCAAATAAACAATACATCAAGATGTCAACTAGGCCGGGCGCGATGGCTCACGCCTGTAATCCCAGCACTTTGGGAGGCCGAGGTGGGCGGATCACAAGGTCAGGAGATCAAGACCATCCTGGCTAACATGGTGAAACTCCGTTTCTACTAAAAGTACAAAAAATTATCCGGGCGTGGTGGCGGGCGCCTGTAGTCCCAGCTACTCGGGAGGCTGAGGCAGGAGAATGGCGTGAACCAGGGACGCGGAGTTTGCAGTGAGCCCAGATCGCGCCACTGCACTCCAGCCTGGGAGACAGAGCCAGACTCCACCTGGAAAAAAAAAAAAGATGTCAACTAGTGTTGCTGATTTATTTGGTATCAATACATCCACTATTGTCAATTTCAAGCTACCAGCATAATGTATTGTAATGGCAAAAACTGCAATTACTTTTGCACCAACCGAATAATGGCACTGAACAGGAAGTTGAAAAGATGTGCGGTAGTCCCTCAATAGATAGTATTTCCACCATAAGGATTGAATCGGGGAAAATAACTTCAAGAGAATAAATCGTAGTAAACACTATGACAATAAACAGGAAATGAATTAGAGCATTTATTATGTTTTGAGAATATAATTTGTTTTTTAAAATAATAGCTATGTTTAACAAACAGATGGAAAAATTCCTGAAAATTTAATAATAAGCACTTCTTAGCAAGGACAAGCCAGCTGCAACACATCAGGTTTGTGCAGTAGACATAGTCACTGACATCATGAAGCTTATACTCTAGAAATGGAGGCAGAGAAATAAATGAGCATGAATCTTATAAGAAGGGCCCCTCAGCCAAATTTGATGCTATAATTGTGATAGGCAGAATGTTGGCTCCCCATGGACTTCACTCTCTGGTGTTTATATCCATGAATAGGTTATATTAAATGGCAAAAAGATTTTGTAGATGTAATGTTACAAAGCAATTGACCTTAAAATGGTGAGAGTATCTTTGATTATCCAGATGGGCCTAATGTAATCACATGAATCCTTAAAACAGAAGGCAGAAGCAGAAATCAGAGTCAAAGCACAAGGATTACCAAGGCACCATTGTTGGCTTGAAGAGAAAGAGGACCATGCAGCAAGGAAATAGGGACCACAGTCCCACAACCATGAGGCACTGAATTCTGCCAATACCCAGTGAGTGTGGAAGAAGACCATACGTCCCAGATGAGAGCTGCAGCCCTGGATACTACCTGGATTTTAGCCTAATGAGACCCTGAAAAGATAAACCAACCACACTGTGCCAGATTTCTAACCTATAGAAATAGTGAGATAAATTTGTGCTTTTTAAAAGTGCTACATTTTTACAGCACAGTAATTTGTTACACAGCAATAGAAAACTAATAACAACTAGTAAAAAAAAAAATTATCAAAATAACAGTAATCCAGGAATAGCAGGGAAAAGAATGTTTCAGCACTTTCAGGGATTTAGTGGTGTTGAATATGCCTGAGTGGCATGTACAAGAGAAAGAAAAATGAGAAATCAAGATGGAAAAAAAGTGTTCCTTCCTGAAGAACCTTTTAAGCTAGGAGAATATTCTGAATGTTTTCCCAAGAGCAAAGGGAACCAATACATCATTTGTCATGATCAATTTGTGTTTATGGAAGATAGATGAAAAGGGTGTTGAATGGCAGGAGGCAGATCATTTAGGAGGCTTTTTCAGATCAAACAAGCATGGTGAGGATGGAGAAAAGTGGATTGCGGTGCCTTACCCTGTATACTCACTATTGTCTACTGTTTGTTCTTTCTCTCGTTTGCTTTTTAGTTGTGCTCAACAATCACTGTTTTAGCACTCTGTGCCAGGCACCATGCCAGGCAGTGTGAATACCCCTTCAGGCTCCCAGACCTTGGTAGGGATCATGTTGCTGCCCTTTTTCCCCCAGAAGCTGTGTAAAGTAATGTAAATACATAGTTTATGAATTCAAAAAACTAGTTCTGCCACTTATAAAGTGAACAACCTAGGGCAGGTCACTTAACCTCTCTGAGTTTCACTTTCCTGATTTGCAAATAATTGCTATAGCTACTTCAGAAAGCTATTGTGGCTAGGCGTGGTGGCTTATGCCTGTAATCCCAGCAGTTTGGGATGCTAAGGCAGGAGAATTACTTAAACCCAGAAGCTCAAGACCAGCCTCGGCAACACAGTAATACCCTGTCTCTATTAAAAATAAAATAAAAGAAAATAGAAGGCTATTGTGAGCATCAACTACAGAGTACATAAAAACTTTAAAAGTCATAAATGCTTTCCAAATGGTGGGCTGTCTTCTCTTCATCTCTTTACCTTGCATGTGTTCCAGCTTATCTCATGTTCTTTCTTTCTCCCATGTCTCTTTCATTGTTGTTAATAAATTAGTTCAATGAATAATTATTTAGAGTCTATTATATACTATTCACTCAGCTGGATGTTTTTATGTATTTGTTTACACATTCTCTCACGCACATATCTACACACACACATACACGCACACACACTTCTTGTTCTTCAAAGAGCTTACTCTGAACACTTAAGGCTATAACAACACTCATATTTTTAAGTAAAATATAAAAGTAGTTACAAAATATATAAGATTTTGCATACCTACATTTGTGTTTATATAGGTGTGTTGTGTGAAAGAGAAGATAGAGAAAAGTGTGACTATATACATAGAAACAAACATTGGAAAATATACCTCAAAATGTTAGTACATTTCTCTCTGAATAATTTCCTTTGTCTTTTTTCATATTTTTCTGTATTTTTCAAATTGCCTGCTATAAATACACTTTATGAATAGAAAAATAACTGAAAACATTTTAATAAAAATATGAAATAGCAAATACTATAAAGGAATTACATGTAGGACATTATGGGTCTATGTAAAAAAATTTTTTTTTCAGAATTAAATGATGCCAGAGTAGAGATGAACAGAAATTTTGCAGGAAAGAACCTACAGAATGCCATTCTAGGAGGAGGACCCAGGAGAAGTAGAGGCTCAGCATGGAGTGGACAAGAAACACTATCATGTGTATATAGTTCCTGTCACCTGAAGCGCAGCTTGGGGTAGAGCAGGAGACAACTCCCGAGGAAATCGGGAATATCATGCTAGGCATCTTAAATTCTGTCCTACAGATGCTAAGACATTTAATCAGGGGATTCACTAACAGTCATACTTGCATTTTTGGTAGATTACAGTGGTAGTAGTGTGACATATGGGGAAAGAAGAGGTTAGAGGCAGGTGAGAAGCACGGAGACTCCTCAGGAAACCAGTTTCAGGTAAAAAAAAAAAAATAGATGATGAAGGCCTGAACTAAGACAATATATTGGGAATGGAGAAAAATATTTTACAGATGATTAGGAAATATTTAAGGCTTAATTCCTATGCTGCTTAGGTCATACTGTGTGGCTAAATTAGTAACACCAAAACTCACATAAAAGAATACTTGTATGCGTACATATCGTGCCTGCGTAATTTTCCCACTGGAAGAAGAGTCTCAAAGGGGATGGGAAGGCCAAGAACTGACAATGAAGATTTCACAATCTGTCTTTGGACTAACTTCTGCAAGCCCAGACGAGGCATTTGGGATGAGAAATTGCTGCCCTCTGTCTCAGAACCAGGCTGTGGAGAGACGAGAAAGAGCAATGAGTTGGGGACAGGATTCCAGAGAAAGACCTGCAGGACTTGATGGCAGATAAGAACAGATGAGCAAATGTGGAGTCATGTGATGGTCACAGAACAGGCTGTGCAGAAACACAATTTTGGAAGAAAGAGAGGGAGTGCTTTTGAGTCATTTTTAGTTTCTGCGGCAGCAGGATTTCCAACTGGTATAAAGATAGTCAGGAATGAACAGAAACAGTGAAGGGCCTGAGTGTGTCATGAGAACAGGATATCAGGACTGGTTTGCTGTCAGCCGGAAACAACTTGGCTGTCCCTGCTGAGGAGGGACCCAGGGCATAGGGGGGAGTGAATTTTGCAACTCTTTCCAGCCCATGTTTCACCATATTCAATATCTGCCTTATGTTTGGGCTAAGTGAGCAAATGTTTTTGTGGTATAATTTTGAGGCTTCCCTTAAACTTCTCTTCTTGGTCATATAAATAAGAAGAATCTAAAATTCTCCAAGTCAAGAGCAAATCTTCTCCTTCGTTACAGTGAGTGTAGGGATTCAAATTCAAACTGAGCCATATGTGATTGATCTCAGCCTTCCTGCTAGCAAGATTTGATAGACATGAAGGAGATGGGATGTCGGTACGGGTAAGAGAATCCTAATACAAGATGGAGAGGGAAAACAGAAAGGAAGTGTTCTGGAGACAGTAAGGCTTTGCAGTAAGTGCAAAGAGCCTGCGTCCAGAAGTCTGAGGCACCTCTGACACTTGCCTCCTGGGGTGATGCCCAGATAGGATCATAGCATCATTTATTTGAAGAGCTCTCTGAATTATGTTGCTTGGAGAAGTCAAATCTGGACTAGTCTAAGGGGCTAGACTACCTTAAAAATAAGATTCTTTCCATTTTCATAGTCAGACTCTATGGACAAGGAGGACTTAAAACAACAAATATTTGAAGCTTTTGCAGAAAATTAGAGGAACCCTACAAAAGTGAGTTTTCCATAATGAGATAACAGAGGATTTAAGCTGAACTAGCATAGAAGACCCTAGGTTAAAGTCACAAGAATGTACTATTTTTCAGTGAGGCCTGTTCTAAGTTTCAAAGGGCCATTCCTGCACTAGTTCATTACTAAAATATATTTGGCATTTGGGAGGGTGTGTTTTTACTCAAAGGACAGTTATTTATTAGGTGAAAAGCCCCAAAGCACAGGAAATATGAGATAGCAGTAGGTAGTAGGGATAGGGGGCCAGGGCTGCTCTTGACCCCAAAGTCTTCAGAATGAGTGCTAGGAAGTAGCCTGTCATGGGCCTCCAGGAACCTGAAAACTGGAGGAACCACTTTTCTGAGAAGTCTTACTCAGCAGACATACCACCCACAGTTTCCTCTTCGCAGCTTCTCCAACTAAGACAAGAACAGCTGTCTTAATTCTTCCTCTCTCCCCCCATCAGTGAGGCTCAGAAAAGCCAGTAATTTGGCTTTATTCTTCAGAGGGCAGCTCTCTCCCAGTGGTAAACACTCTAATACTCTCCAGGGGACTTTTTTTTTTTTCTTTTTGTTTATTGACTTTCTAAAAAATATTTCTTACCTTTAACAGATTTTTTTAGAGTAGAACAGTTGACGATGAGACAGAATGAGGTTTTCTTTATCATTTTAATGCTGGTTAAGCCTATTGGGATATGCAATAAACATTTATGTTATTGTTGTTGCTGTTGTTGTTAATAATTTGTTTGGGTTACACTTCTATCAGCTAGTTTTTTTGTTTGTAGTGGCTGAAATTGTCCTGGGTTAGGGGATGTGGGTGGAGTAGAAAAGTCAAAAAGGTGGGATAGGATTTCTGTATTAATTACTAGGTAAAATTGTGTGTGTGTGTGTGTGTGTGTGTGTGTGTCTGTGTGTAAGACCTTGACTTAGGAAAGGTAAGTATCTTTCTAATTGTAAAAAACAGAGCAGATAATTTGATGAACAATTTTAAAATTGACTTTTTCCTTTTTTTTTTTTTTTAACAGACTAGACCAAGCAGTAAAAACTGAATTTTAATTATCTACTGGAAATTCCTCCAGAATAAAGGGTCTGGTTCAGTTTCTATATTGACTCTATGGGTTCCAGTCTGTGAAATGCCAAGGGTTGGACTGACTAGAAGTCTCCAGATTACCTCTCTCTTCTTTCCACCCCTACTGCTTCTTGCCTACCATATGCCATAGTGCCGGCCGGCAAAATGTACCTGTTTAATTCTCTAGGTTAGAAAAAATTCCCTAGATTTTTCTCCTTGTCTTTCTATGTCCAAATGCTACCTACTTTTTAAAACAAAGACAACAGGCCAGGCATGGTGGCTCACGCCTGTAATCCTAACACTTTGGGAGGCCAAGTCGGATGGATAACTTGAAGCCATGAGTTTAAGACCAGCATGGCCAACATGGTGAAACCCGTCTCTACTAAAAATACAAAAATTAGCTGCGCGTGGTGGTGCACTCCTGTAATCCCAACTACTTGGGAGGCTGAGGCAGGAGAATCACTTGAACCCGGGAGGCGGAAGTTGCAGTGAGCCGATATCGCACCACTGGACTGCAGCCTGGACAACAGAGTGAGGCTGTCTCAAACAATAAATAAATAAATAAATAAATAAAATAAATTAAAACAAAACAAAACACAGACAACATACCTCCTTCATCATGAAGCCTCCTTTAATTCTTACAAACAAACAAAACCTTCCTAAACTTTCAAAGGGCGTTTAAGAATACATACTAGTGTTTCATTAATCTTTAAGGAGAATTTAGTGCATGCTAGGTTCTGGGTTAAGCATTTTACATTTATTAACATATGTAGGTAGATACAACTTTTACTTCAATTTTGCATTTGAGCAGAAAGGTGCAAAGATGATAAAGTGACTTGCTCAAGGACATGGGTAAATGGCTGAGCCACTTATTTGCTGTATTAATAGAGATGATGTCCTTCATCCTTTACTGATGTTTTTACCATGTCTTATCCATACCTCGTTAAGTCTTTACATTTTACCCATTTATCAGCTAATTTATCTCAAGAACATTCTAGTGATGTGGCTATTACCATTTTCTTCATTTTATCAATTTTTTCCTCTGTTTTCAGGCTATAACAAAATATAATAAACTGGGTACCTTAGAAGCAACGGAAATTGATTTCTCATCGTTCTAGAAGCTAGGAAGTTCACGATCAAGGTAGCAGCAGAGTTGGTGCCTGGTAAGGACCCATTTCCTGGTTCATAGATGATGCCTTTTAGTGGTGACCTCAGATGATGGAAGAAGTGAAAGAGCTCAATTGGGCCTCTTTTATAAGGGAAAAAATCCCATTCCCTAGGGCTCTACCCTTATGACTTAATCACCTCCAAAATGTCCCACCTCCCAACACCATTACATTGGCGACTAAGTTTCAACCTGTGAATTTGGAGAGGACACAAATATTCAGACCATAGCAATCAATGAGTACAGCTTTACCCGTTCATGGGAAATATGTTGCAGAGCAAAAATTGGGCCAGGTAATTTGACTAAGGATTGCATCCTTCCCATGCTTCTGAGCAGCCTTGCCTAGCCTCAGTCAGGGTCAGCATGACCATGCTTTTGTAGGCCAGACCTTCTCCTTTACCACAGCCACCTGAAGGTCTAAATTGTGGAGATGGGCAGGGCATGGCCCACACTGGCCCAGGCTTAATTGAAAAGCCTGAAAGAGAGTGTGGGCAGTTCCTTCTGAAGTTATACTACTTCCAACAGAATTGGGGGTATCACTTTATTACTGGCCCATCATAGTTGGTCATAGAATATTAGGAACCAGGTCAATATAGAGATTATCCAATGGCTTTCACTGGCCCACGTCTTGGTATTGGTTCACAGAATGGTTCCTCCTCTTCTCTGAGAATGGAAAAAAGGTTCAGTCCCATTTGGCCAATATACACTGTCTTAGCTTGGGGTGTTATAATAAGATGCTACCAACTATATTGTTTAAACAATAAAAATTTATTTTTCACAGCTCTGGAGGCTGGAAATCCAACAACAGAGTGCCAGCATGATCAGGTTCTGGAGAGGACCCTCTTCCTGTTTGCAGACTGCTGACTTCTTATTGTATATTCCAATGGTAGAAAGAGAGCAAGAGAACTCTCTGGAGTCTTTTTTTTATAAGGGTGCTAACCCCATTTAAGGAGGTTTCCCCTCATAATCTAATTATCTCTCAAAAGCCATACCTTTCAACACCATTGCATTGAAGGTTAGGATTTCAACATGTGAATTTGTAGTGGGGTGACGGGGAGAGGGACACACAAATATTTAGTCCATAATGCATACTAACAAAAACTGGGGTAAAAGGTCACTGAAGTGAATCCTTGCAGTATTAAAGGACACGTTATACTTCATTTATCCTTTTGGTCCATAAATATTGAGCACACACTATGAGCTAAATTCTAGGTGCATGTTAGAGCATTGGTGGTACCACAATAAAATAGCCTTTTTCCCTATCCTCAGGGATTTTACAATTTTGTGAAAGAGTTATGCAGATAGGCAGTTAACCTGCAGGTGGTGATTGCTCACAAAGAGAAAAGCAGGGGGCTGTAAAATTAGAGAAGCTAAGCTCACTTACCCTGTATGGAGTTGGATACAGAATGTTTGCTAGAGGAAGTGGTGCCAAGTAGATTTAGATAAAGAAGAAGGTGGTGATGAGAGGACGGAAGTGATCGAAGGAATGAAAGGTAGTAGAAAGGAAATAGCACGCGAGAAGCTGTAGGAGAAAGGAGAAAGCGCACTTCCTGGCAAAAGGGATAGCACACACATAGGTTAGAGGTAAAAGGGCACAGCAAGGCTGCAGAGGCCTTGGGAGCTCAGCATGATTCGAATGCAGTTGTACAGGAGGACTGGCACACACTCTGCTTCTTGGAGGTTACAGCAACTGCTACTCTCTGAGGGTTGTGTTACTTATCTATCTACTCATCTAACAACATGTCATAACACACTGAGGGAATTCCTCCAGACCTTTGAACAAAAATGTTCTAACTTGATTCAAAATAATTTATACTCAACATTCTTAGTATCTTGCTTCAAAAATAAATGGACGAAGAATAGTATTCTGGCTACAGTTCCGTGTAACAAATTGCCCAACTGTAGTGGCTTAAAATGACAATTATTTTATTATGTTCACATAAGTGTAGGTCAGGGGCTCATAAAGGGCTAAGGGAGGAAGCTTTGCACACATCTATGGTGTGAGGCTACCTCCTAGACAAGACAAGTAATGGACCACTTGGCTTGTTTAGTGACTGTGTGGTAAACAGGGGCATGTGAGAGTTTGCTTAAAGGCAGACTTCCTCCTCTGGTCAGTTTGGTCCAGCCCATTCAATTGTGCCTTGCCTGGCCTTCCAGTTTCTGAATTCCTACTTAACATCTGAGATGGCTTGACCCTCATTCTGCACGAGAGTTTATAAATGAACTTTTGTGACTGCACCAGACTTCTAATGTCACAATGGCTCCGCCTGCATACCCTTCTACTCTATGTGGTTTCATTCTTCTTCCCTTCCTGCTCAGAATTAAGTCTGAATTGAAGCTCCAATAGTCTCATAGATATTCTCATAGATATAGATATTCTCATAGGTATTCTTATATATCTTGGTTCATTCCTGAGGGTTCTTGAACCTCTCAGTTATTTTTTCTTCTTTCACCCCTGCATAATTTGAGAAAGCTTATCAAAGCTGGGAATAGGAACCATGTCTCACTGGTTTCTTTTAAAATTTCTATTTAAAAATATTTACTTATTTTTTTGAACAGGTAATATATTCACATAGATAAAAATCCTAAGATGAAAATATAAATAAATAGGTTCCCTTCCTCCATACCATGTGCATCATAAATCCCCCCAATTTGTCTAGTACAGGTTCTCAAAACATTTACTGAATTTTTATAGTCAAGTTCCTCAATACGTACACCTAGTACATTGGTTGGATTTACTATAAAGCTGATGAATCTTAAGCCTCAGGGCTCATCACCTTCTGGGGCTCCTTCCAGGTCCTCTTCCAGAATCATCATCAACTTGCTTCTATGCCTTTGTAAAATATACAATTGTAATACATTTAAACCACATCATTTCCGTCTGTTGCCCCTTTCCACTGCAACCCCTTGGCATACTCTGCCTCCTATAAAGGGGCATTAGAGTAGCCTGTGGCAACTTTAGGATATAGAAAAGGGGAAATTGAAATGGGAGTACATTTTATTTGGGTTTAGTGAGAGTTTATGTGCTTTGCAGTCTTTTTGTAAATAGCTAAGTAATTGTTAAGTATGGCAATGTCAGTTCTATTCCTAACTGCTCGCCATGAAGTTTACTTAGTATCATAATGTGAACCTGCAGGGCCAGAGTTATTCTGCTATATATAAAAGTGCCCTATAGCATCTACAATTGGGAGTACGTAATGGAAAAGAAGATAGTAGCTATTAATACGAATATTGTTATTTTTCTGAATTTTGTGATGTTTGTGGTATCCATCAGCACTTTTATATTTGTAAATTTTTCCCATTTCTTTTCTTCATTTTCTAAACACTTTTCATACAATTTATTTGTTACTTTGCATTCCTTTTTTCTTAGTGCGGTGTCCAAAATTGTAAGAATCCTTTATCCCACAAAAAATTGATCCTGTCTTTTACAGAATTGCCCAGCAGATGTCTTTTTCATTTCCTTTGCTTGTGGTTTGCCCATCTGTCAGCTGTGAATGACCCAAACAACGTGACACGCTATTTCTAACTCAACAGTCCTGGAACTTTCTTGACCTTTGACAAAGCCATCAGATCACCATCACCATCATTATTGTTTATAGAAACATGAAAATTCAACCATAAAAAGTCATCTTGGGCTGAGCATGGTGGCTCTAACATGTAATCCCAGCACTTTGGGAGCCTAAGGTGAGAAGATCACTTCAGGCCAGGCATTGAAGTTCAGCCTGGGTAACATAGCCAGATCTCATCTCTACAAAACATAAAAAACCAGTTAGCTGGACCTGGTGTACATCCCTGTAGTCCTGGCTACTCCAGCAACTGAGGTGGGAGGATCATTTGAGCCTCAGCCTCTGGACCAGCTAGGACTACTCCCCAGTAGTGTGAGTGGTGTGAGCTCTGATCACACCACTGCACTCTAGCCTGGGCAGCAAAGCATAACCCCTTCTCCAACCAAAAAAAAAAAAAAAAAAAAAAAAAAAAGAATAAAAATAAAAAAGAAAGAAAGAAAGAAAAAAATCATCTTGGCTATGTCAATGCCAAAGTTCATGAGTTGAGAGATGAAGAAGACCAAAAAGAAAATCTTAAAGACATGATAAATTGGGGCAGGAGGGAGGAGATGGCTTCTTTGCTGCATTTTCTCCAAAAAACATTTCTGATTTTATTTCCAATTTGCTTAGCAGGTATGCTCACTCTTTCACTAACCTTGAGAGACATTGTCAGATGTGCATAAGGGAAGAACATGAAGGACGACGGATAAACTGTACACAGACACAGCACATGGAGTCTGAGTCATTTGTTTTCTCTGACAGATCTTTACCATGCTGGATTGGAAGAGAAAAGACCATCACTAAAGCAAATGGATCAAATGGAGTTATAAATCAACTCTGTACTCTACAGGATTGACTCAACTGCAGACATCTCCAATACACTCCCTCATGGCTTTATTTTTTCTGCTTATGTGGAAAAATAACAGTAAATACAGTTAACTATCCCAAGACAGAAGAGTATTATTAAAAAAGAATACAACGTTATTGATTTTTCAAGACATAATCAGATATTTTTAAACTCTGATTTAATAAAACATAATGTAATTTCTTTTGTGGGATTTTTTATGCTTTCCCAATGTTTATTACCCTGTGTGTTTCACACTTCAAAATGAGAGTATCGTAATAAGATCACTTGAGAGGATCCTGATCTAAGTTACAAAATCCCCATGGCCTTTATATCCACATTGTCACATTCCCCCAGTCATCTCTTTCTACTTTATTGTATCTATTACACTTTACACTTATTTATGTTTTTCTATTTACTTTATATATACAATATCATGGGGTACATAGTGTAAGAGGAAGGATGGCACTAGCAAGTATTCCTAAGTTGGTTTAGGGAATGGGAATAAGGGTAGGAAGTCAGGAAAGCTTCTTAGAAAGTTATTAAAGCTTTTTAAAGTAGTACTATGGCTGTTTTGTTCTCCATTCTCTACCTAGCACATAAGGGTTCTTGACATTTGGGAGTTATTGTGATATAAGGAACGGATATATGAGTAGATAAAAAATTATTTTCCAGGTAGACAACAGCTTGTTCAAAGAAGAAGGAATGACAGAGATCTGTATTTATTATTCATTGAAGGCCTACAATATGCTAAAAATGCTATATGGATATGGTTAAAGATAAATTTGAGTAGTGGCCACATTAGTAAACACATCCCCATCAGATCTGACAGCTTCACAGTTTTCAGCAATATTCAAAAAGAATATTACTTGGAAGGAGCCAGGCAGTTGGCGATGTAATTGGGCTACAGCTGAAACCCTCAAACCTCTAAATTGCAATTTGTATCAGGACATAAGTTCCCTTTGCTATTTAAGTCAGTTTGAGGTGGGTTTCTTTTATTTGCAACTGAAGCAACTGTGCTTTATGTCAGATAAGATAAAGATTAAAAAGGAGAAAAAGTGACATGTTCTCACAGAGCTGTTCTAAATGTGGTCTGAAGAACAACAGCAATAGCAGTACTGCCTTGGAACTGGATAGAAAAGAAAATTCTTGGGCCCCATCTGAGACCTGCTGAATCTCTGCGGGGGCAAGCTAGGCCTCTTCATTTAACAAGCCTTCCAGGTGATTTTTATGCAGGCTGAAATTTGAGACCTGCAGTCATGTGAGTTCCATAATCTGCATTTCTAATAAGCTGCAGGTACTCCTGGAAGGCAGGCCACCTTTTAAGTAACACTGTTGTAAAATATTCTGTTTATTGAGTGGGCTCAGGCGAGGGCTTCAGAACTTCAAGGGATGTATACTGCTTTCCTCACCAGAGGTAAGTCCCAAATAACTGTGAACACATTCAGGCTAGTTTCTTTCAAAAGGAAGAAGTGAAGCAGCTGGGAGAATCTCTCTTCGCTGTGTCAGCAGATCAACAATAAAGAAATATTTATCCCGCGGAGCGCGGTGGCTCACGCCTGTAATACCAGCACTTTGGGAAACCGAGGTGGGTGGATTGCTTGAGGTAAGGAGTTCAAGGCCAGCCTGGACAACATGGTGAAACCCCATCTCTACCAAAATACAAAAATTAGCTGGGCATGGTGGTGGTCGCCTGTAATCCCAGCTACTCGGGAGGCTGAGGCAGGAGAAGTGCTTGAACTGAGGAGGCTGAGGTTGCAGTGAGCTGAGATTGCACCACTGCACTCCTGCCTGGGCGACAGTGCGAGAAAAAAAAAAAAAAAAAAGAAACGTTTATTATCTCTTGTTCTTTGGCTACTAGCAACATGTATCAGTCTTTAATGATGATGAACAAACAAAAAGTGAAAATATTCTGAGTAATTAAAAGATAACTCAGTACAGCTTGCAGCAGCAGAAATGTGTAACCGTTCTCTTTAGAGTAGTACCACTGGATGACTTAGTTACAAAGATCTTGTACTCTTGTGTGTCTTCACTTAAGTGTGTCATTCCCAGCAGGAAAAGATCCGCTTAGCATTGGGCCCTGCTATCACCCATGTGTTTAGGGTTTTTGGGAGTTCATGATTGCCTGGCTTATAGTAATCACATGCAGCAGCTGAGATGCTGTTCCGATAAAGAGTTGCTGGAGATACAAAAACACAGATGTTCACGATAATGCCTCTAATACAGAAAAAATAAGAAAAAGAAAGTAATATATGGAATAGAAAGTTACATAAGAAAGCCAAAAGCTGAGGGATCAGAATGAATTTTGAAAAGTTATGACACTGATCTAACATGATGCATATATTTAATAAGAATACAAATAGTTAGCATATGGTAGTTACTGTGTATTCATGGTAGGTATGATGCTTGTTTCATATACAGCAGGGTTTCTCAATCCGGGCACTATTTACATTTATTTCCTGTTTTTTAGTGGGGTGGGGTGGTGTCTTGTACATTGTACTATGTACTGCAACGTCCTTGGTCTCTACTCACGAGATGTCAGTAGCTCCCCCATTCTTCACTCATGACAAACATAAATGTCTCCAAACTTTGCCAAATGTCCCCTGGTGTCAAAATTGCACTTGGTTTAGAACCACTGATTGAGATAAATTAGATCTTGGGAAACACATGCTCCAGTAAGAATAATTTTCAAATAATTTTAGGTAAAGTAAGTCTTGCCTTTGAAGGTAGGAGGCAGGTACCCGTTATCAGTGATTAGTAACTTTCTACTGATTCATTTAGATGCAAATGAATGTAAACATCTTTATCCTTCAGGAGATGTCCTATTTTTCCAAAGCATGTATTGTATAGGGGAAGGATAAGTTTTGGCAAAAGAGCTAACCATTTCTTGCTCTTTCTGACTTGGTGGCATTTGAAAATATAATGCTTTCTGAGGTTTGGGTAGAAAGTTGAAGGAAGTAAGGACACTACAGATCCCAGGTGGTATGTTCAACATTTCCTCCTATCCAGAAGACTTTAAAAGAGAAAAATGATCGTGGAGTTGAACATTTGGCTCCACAGATGGTATTGGCAATCATCTGAATTTCTGGACAATGGCCTAAGATATTGGAATGATGAAACTTGGATAATGTAGCTCATCTCACTGAAGTGGGGGACACTTGCTTGTCTGGAATAGCTCTTCTCAATATGTGGTCTGCAGAATACCAATTCTTGGGCCTTATCACCAACTTACTGAGCTCAGCAGGAAAAAGGGGTTGGAAGACACTGAGTTAGCTTCTGTAAATTAGCTTTACAGGTGCTCCTTATGCATTGAGTTTTGAGAATATATGGCCTACTAGATAGCTTTTTTGTCAATTAACAGCACTGAACTATGGAGAAGGTGAGAGAAAATGCTTTAAGATACAGAGTAAAGACAGAAAAACACCAAGTATTTTATAACTCTAAAAAAAGAAAATAATAAGACCAGAAGGGGTATATGTTCATATTCATATGTGAAGTTGAGATTAGCACATCAGGCAATCAATACAAATATATTAAAATTACTGAGACTTTCTGGGTTGAAGCTCAAACTTGGAAAATCGTGGCTTAAGGGTAAGCTCTTTCCAAAAACAGTACATTTTTGTAGTGTGGGAGTGTCAGATCCCAGGGTCCAGGTCCAGCCCATGCTGTGGTCCGAGGGGAGTGAGTGGATGGGCAGAAAGAACACGTGGGGGGCTGGGGGTGGGGTGGCAGCGGGAGGGTGTAGGCAGGTGAATATGGTTTTATTCAGCAGCCGCTCTCATCAACAACTTACTTACACTAGCTCTTTACACTGTGCACCTTTATCTTGGCCATCTACTCCGGCTCTGTGGCTCCTGCTGTCCCCATGCCTGCAGCTGTGTGGCTGGCTGTCCCTTGCCTTCAGGGTCAGCCGCTTAACTCTTTCCCTCCCTGGGCACCAGTGCGGGCCATGCTGTGGCTCTCCTTTGTCTGCAAGATGGACAGCTTTGGCTCTCTCTCTTTCTCTGGACACCAGAGCTTGCACAAGAGCCATGCTGAGCCAATCTGAGCCCCAAGAGCCCCTGTACAGTGTTAGCAGTGCAATTATACCTTTTACAGACAATAGTGGTTCAGAGCCAAGTATGAACTTATACAAACAGGTTATATAACAAAGAGAGGTGTGCACCTGTGCGCCAAACTATCTGAGTCATGAAGGCCTGGATATCTGCCTTGGCCTATCCTTGACCAAAGCACATCTATGTACCTTACACTCCACCCCCTAGGCCGAGAGAGACATTGGTTTTGGACACACAGGTTATGCATATAAGCTTTGCACACACAGGCCCAGTACATACGTATAGGCTTGACACATAAGCCTGACACATAAGCTTTGGGCACACAGGCCTGATACATACATAAGCTTCTGGGCATGCAGGCCCATTACATATACAAGCTTTGATAAACTGCCCAGCTATTGGCGCAGATTACAGTAGGTGTCACTTCCTTGGTGATTACCATCCACATTGCCCTGAGTTTAGCTTATTGGCAACTTTGCCTACACCTGGTTTTAAACCACGTGGTGTCAGTACTAGGCTGGGCTGCACCAGCACTCCAGGCAGCAGTAGCACCCCAGCTAGACCCAGCTGTGTACCATGCCCTATTAGGAATGGGGGGATGCCCTTCCTAATGGTGAAGGCTCAGGGTCTAGGGGTGCCTCACGCCCCATGGCCTTATCTTGTATTAGGACTACAAGCCCTAAAACCTCTTGTAACTCTGCTGCTAAGGGAGTCGTACTCAGCATACTCCGCTGCTCTAAGTAGGCACCCTACTTCATTAAAATGGATGTCTGCACCATCCTTGTCCAGGGGCTCATTATCCACGAATGCACCCATCCAGCTACAGGGCAAGTTGCCTGCATGATGACTGTAACCCATCCTGCCATGCTCTTATGGGCCTGAAGGGCAGCATATGCAGTCACTAGCTGCTTTCCCAGTCTGGGGGCTGGTTACCCAGGAACACACCCATCCTGCTATTACTAACTGCTTCTCTATTAACACCAGAGCTCAACTCCCTTCCACAGCTGAGACTAACAGCCCACTGGCACTTCCAATCACTCCATGCACTGCTATAGGCCCCAGCCAAAACTATCTGTGGTTAGATGTACATCTAGTGTAAATGGGCACCCTTGATTTACTACACAGAAAGGCTGTCTTAGCCTCATCATCCTAATTCCAGACAAGAAAGGGCACTGCCACTTTTCAACCTGCAAGAGAATCAGAGGTTAACATTACATTATTAACAAAATCACAACATATGTTGGGGCCATACAATAGCCCTGCAGCAACACTGTGAAAGTTCATTGTTGCCTTCCCATGAAGGCAAACTGTTCCTGGCTCTCAGTGGACTGTCCCTATTCTGTTGTCAAATGGTCCATCAAGCCCATAACAGACATCACAGTTACCAAACCATGCAAAACATTCAGCCCCAGAATGCATCAGGTATGGGAGAGACACAGTGCATACACAGAGAGCAAAGCGGCCCATGCCAAGATGCAAAGACACAGGTTTTCATTTTCACTGACTGGTCTTCACAGCCATTAATAAATGCAGCTCTGCCTGGAAATTTATCCAGGTTCAGGGACCAGTAGATTGCCAAGTCCAAAGGTAGCTCTGGTTGTCCGGTGCCCCCCTACAAGCCGCGCATCTCGACCAGTTCTCTTATCAAACAGAAAAGGCTTTACACTCCCGCTAATGGCAGCAGGTACTCTTTGAAGTGGAATGCTAGGGCAGGACTGGGTCGTGAAGCAATATCCTTCTCCCAAATGACCTGCACTAAGTCTGTACGTGACTGCCGACATTACTTGCTTAACTCCCACAACTTAGCGGGGACACAGGCAACAAAGGTAATGTGTTTCACCACAGTAGTGGGGTCTCTGGCCCACCCTTGGGGCCTGACAGCTGCTCATGCTCTATTTTCAGGTGGATCACTGGGTGAGCCTGCAATGGAGGTTCTTCCTTCTCCCTGTGCTGCGTCCTGCAAGGACTGGGCATGCACGCCCTACAGCACAGTCACAAATGGCCATCTGACTCTGCTTGTAAAGGCATGCCTCTTGTCAATGCTTGCACTTCCAGGTGATGCAGCGCCTTCTCCACACTCCCAGGAGACCCATCCACTATCATTTATGTTTCCCATCCATGCAGCACCGCTGCCACCAGGTACCACAGCTCATGCTGCAGCCTCATAGCCAACCAGGGAGCCCTCAGGGACTGAAGATCTGCCCACCTCTTCCCATCCATATTTGTCAATTGTCAGATCGTGGGGTCCAGGTCCAGCCCATGCTGCAGTCTGAGGGGAGTGGGTGGATGGGTAGAAAGAGCACTTAGGGGGCTGTAGGCAGGTGAATACGGTTTTATTCAGCAGCAGCTGTCATTGACAACTTACTTACACTACGTTACAGTATGCACCTTTATCTTGGCTGTCTGCTCTGGCTCTATGGCTCCTTCTGCCCTCAAGCCTGCAGCTGCACCACTGGCTCCCCCTTGCCTTCACGGTGAGTAGCTTAACTCTATATCTGGGCACCAGCGTGAGCAGTGCTGTGGCTCCCCTCTGTGCATCTGCAAGACGGGACAGCTTTGGCCCTCTCTCTGGGCACCAGCACAAGATCCATGTTGAACCAAGCCGAGCCCCAAGAGCCCCTGTACAGCTTTAGCAGAGCAATTATACCTTTTATAGGTAATAGTGGCTCAGAGCCAAGTATGAACTTACAAAAACAGGTGATGTAACAGATGGAGGTGTGCGCCTGTGCCTCAAACTTGCTGAGTCATGTAGGCCTGGATATGCACCCCGGCCTATCCTTGACCAAAGCACATCCATGTACCTTACAGGGGGGCAGGGTTCTACTGTATATCAAAGTGTGTATACTGTGGAAATCTTTACATTAGATTTTAGAGTCCATTTTCATGGTGATAGCAGGAGAGGAACAGAGGTGACATCATAGTAGCTGTACATACAAGCAGCAGATACCCATAACAGAAATGAGCAACATGTCCCAACTGTCATGCTCGACCCATATTTCCTTCAGTAGGGATAGCATCATGTATAAGAGGCCAAAGAAGAGAACTAGAGCCAGTGAATAAGACATAGGATTTACTGAGGGGACTCACATGCAAGGTGGTCCAATAGTAGCAGGCTAGACAGGAGAACTGCAACCACTTGTAAAAAATATGAAGTTTATATAGTATTTTCACTTAGCACCCTCCCCTTAGCACAACCTCCACCTGGCAATCTTCATTTAAGCCCATACAAAGGGCCTCGATCCTCTGTATGACCTGTATTCCATGGGATGGACTGAGGGTTCATATGTTCCTCATACATAAGGCATAAATCTCCAGGTTGGCCACTCCCAGATTCCTTAGCTCAAAACTCTGAACACACATTCTTCTTAGACCATAGGGGCATTCTCAGGGTATGCTGTTACTGCCATCAGGTGCATCTGCCATACACCAACCAAAGAAGCACACAAAGCCAATCCCACAGCATCTGCAAAAAACACTCCTTCAGCTAAAAGAGTAACAGATTCTTGACTTTTTGATGATTTTGTTCCTGAGAAAGAGAAAGTACCTAGGGGGAACTGACACTTGAGGCCTAAACATATAGTGAAGTGAAAGAGACTTGCCTGTGAGTAGAAAGCTGCCATATGTTGCTAGTTTGTAATAGTGAGAGCAGGAAACAGTAAGCATAGCCTGAAGTTTGCTTTAAGAATCAGATTTCAAGAAATTCGGAGAAAAAACGATAATGACACACCATCATAAGACATCTGGAAGGGAAGTCTACTAGAGAAATAGGAAAGTTCTAAAAAAAAAAAAAAAAAAAAAAGCAATTCACATTGTATATTGCAAGTGGCCTCAACCAACAACAGAAAGACATGATTTTAAAAACCAGTGGTGTCATACAGAGAGTTTGCTGAAATGGCCAGATTTTTAAAAGTAGTATGTATATGTCAGAATAATTGATCAGATATTAAATTGTTTTGTTTACCTTTATTTTTCCATCTCCCATTCCAAAAAATATTTCATCAGGCTAATTCATTGCCTCATTATTTTCTCTAGAGTGAGAAACAGAAGCTTCTTAGATCTATCACTCTTCTTTATTTTTCTGTAAAAGACTTAAAACTTATGGAGATTATGCTATTCATGTCCCTGAAAGGTAGAGATGACAGTGATATAAATACTTTTGAGAGATTTCCTTAGCCTGGGAAACAGATAAAGGTTGATGGGTTCTGAAAACAGCAAGTTCTCATGTCCCATTATGATTCACCCTCCAGAGTGTTTTCAGCACCATAGAGCATATGCCTGTGTGGAGCAGCTAAGGATAGCTGTATGCTATCCATATGGTAGCCATTGCCATTACCCAACTTAGAAAAGATGCCTGTGCCCTAGGGAATCAGCAAGGCAGGATCATGTACGTTAGGTCCATGAACATCTAAGAAGCCATCCGTATCGGCTGATATACAAGGACGTTCCTAATACTCTGGTGCCTACCTTGGAACTTTCACACAAACTTCGATAAAATAGTAAAGAACTCCAACAATACATTATATCAAATTTATTATTAATAAATTATGTTGAACTCTTACTAGTTGTGTGATGTTGAGAAACTTAATTAGCCACTTGAGCTTCAGCTTCATCTTCTGTAAAATAGGAATGATATATCTTATAAGGTATGGAAGATTAAATAAGATAATGTAAATATGGTGGCAACATAGTGTCAGAGACATAATGGGAACTGAGTTAATAATTGCATTCTTCTTTTTCTTTTCCAAGTTAAAAAAAAGTTCTTGAGATTTCTGGCTGGGCTGACAATTGAAGGACTATTTTAAAGTCTTCATAGGAGGACTTAGTCCACTCCTTCATGAGTGAAAAAAACTGGAGATATATTTTCTTGAGAGACTGAGAGAGGCTATGGATTTGGGGAGACTCAACAGAACAGTAAAGCTCCGTACTTAAAACAGTATGTATTGGTCACGTTTTGCATTCCTATAAAGAAATACTTGTGGCTGAGTAATTTATAAAGAAAAGAGGTTTATTTGGCTCATGGTTCTTCAGATTGTACAGGAAGCATGGTGCCAGTATCTGTTCAGCTTTTGGTGAGGGCCTCAGGAAGCTTACAATCATGGTGGAAGGTGAAGCAGGAGGCAGGTATATCACATGGTGAGAGTAGGAGCAAGAAAGAGAGGGAGGATGTGCCACACTCTATTAAACAGGTTGAGTGTGAGCTGGGCAAGAACTCATCACCAAGGGGATGGTGCTAAGCTGTTCATGAGGGATCCACCCCCATTATACAATATTTACCACTAGGTCTCACCCCCAACATTGAAGGTAATATTTCAATGTGAGATTTGGAGGGGACAAACATCCAAAGCATGTCAGGGGGATTAGATTAAAGTCTATATTGAAGGTAAGATTTCCCATCTCAGATCCATTTGTTCAACTAGCTTCAAAATGTCAGTAGCTGGGCTTATATCCCCTGATAGAAGTTTAAAGGATTCTCCTCTGGAGGAAAAGTGAAAGAAACACAACTGATTCAGAGAAGGGGCCTACATATACTGAAATTTGGAGAAGTGTAAAAAAAGTCTAAAATACTTCCTGGTCAGTTTAGAGTGATATATACCAATTAAGAAGCCCTGAATATATGCACAGAACTTTCAATAAGCTCTTTAGGGTCTCACTTTTAAATATGAATAAGAAACAATCACTGAATATTGTGGGACATACCTAAAATGAAAGACAGAAATAAAGCAAACAGAAACGAAAGAGGAACTTAGAAAAATTACGGACAACCCAATAAGTAGAAGAAAATATGAAAGAAATTATAATTAATAGCCACAGAGATAAGGGAAGATATTGTATTGGTGAGATGTAATCCAAGTGCTTTAAAAAACAATCAGAAAGCAAGAAAATTATCAGAAAATAAAATATGGTATTCAAAATTTTTAAAAATGTAAAATGTTTAGAATATAAAGTCAATGAAATCATCCACAAAGTACAGCAAAAAAGGCAGAGATAAAAATGGAAGAAATAGGCCAGGTGCGTTGGCTCACGCCTGTAATCCCAGCACTTTGGGAGGCCGAGGAGGGCAGATCATGAGGTGAGGAGATCAAGACCATCCTGGCTGACACGGTGAAACCTGGCCTCTACTAAAAAATACAAAAAATTAGCCAGGCATGGTGGCAGGTGCCTGTAGTCCCAGCTACTTGGGAGGCTGAGGCAGGAGAATGGCGTGAACCGGGGAGGCGGAGCTTGCATTGAGCTGAGATAGCACCCCTGCACTCCAGCTTGGGTGACAGAGCGAGACAATGTCTCAAAACAAACAAACAAATAAAATAAAATAAAATTTAGGGCATTACTTTAGAAGGTGTTGTTTAGCCAAAGGATTTTGGGAACAAAAGGAGCAGGAAATGGAAGGAAGGAAATTGTCAAAGAAATGATAAAAGAAAAATTCTTAGGAGTTTCCTGGTGGAAAAGGCCCACTGAGAATTCACCCAAAGAAATAATCATAAATTTACAATGATAAAGGTTCATTTTAAATTGATCTAGGTAGTAAAAAACAGTATATATAAAGATTAAGATGTATAAAATTTAAGATTCTTTATGTTAAGAATAAAAAATTGTAGATAAATGCATTAATTTTTTATTATGTACTAATCTAAATTTTGAGACGAAATTTTTTTTTCAGTGTAGAATCATAGCCCAGCTCACTAATCAATCAGGTATAAGGTAAATTTAAAATAGTTTCAGCCATATAAAATATTTGTCTGCATGTAGGTCTTCTCAGGAAGCTGCTAGATATGTGCACCACCAAAAAAAAAAAAAAAAAAAGGGAGTAAACCAAGACAGGACAACATCAAATTGAGGAAGCAGGGAACCAAACACAGGAACCAAGTGAGGAGAATTCCCAGAATGATGACAGAACTTCCAGGTCTTCCACCATGCAGCACAACTTATGTAGACCAGCATCCAGAGCAAAGTACAGGACAGGAAATCTCAGCAAAGTCTCTGAGGGGGAAATGGAATTGGCAGGTGTTCTGTGTATAAAATTGTGTATAGTTGTCAAAAAAGTAGGGCCAAGGCGTAGCTATATATTTACTCTAAACGAATGGGACAAAGAGGAGGTTTTAACACCAGTGTAAGTAGGAATTTATTCAAGAAAATAAATGTAGTGATAATAGGCTACCTGTTTCATCAGTGAATAATATTTATAATACCATAATTATACAAATACTAAACACAGATTTAACCAATACTTGTCATAATAACTATAATGGGGGAAGAGAGGGATGAAGGGAAAGGGAGAATAAAAAAAAGTTAAAATCCTCATTTTCTATAATAGGAAGTCAATTAAGAATGTTTAAATATGATCACACAGAAGATAACAGTAAATATGTATTTTAAATTTTTTTGCTTTGTAGTAATGTATAGGAGATTGAAAAAAAAAATGTCGAAGAAATCTCATGTACCTTTCACCTAGTTTTATAAGAAACTGCCTTATTCTTCCAGACTGGTCGTACCAGTTTATATTCCCACCAGCATTGTACGAATGATCCAGTTTTTCTGCATCATCAGGATTTCTTGTTATCACAAGTTTTCATTTTAGTCATTCTGATAGATGTCTGGTGGTTTCTCACTGCAGTTTTAATTTGTCTTCTTTTAATGGCTAAAGATACTGAACATCTTTTTATATGCTTATTACCATCTATTCATGTCTATTGCTCATTTTCTAGTTGAATTCTGTAATTTTTTACTGTTGTGTTTTGAGAGTTCTTTACGTATTCTAGATACTATTCCTTTGTTGGATATATGGTTTCTAAGTGTCTTCTCTCAGCCTGGATCTTACTGTCTTTTTATCTCCTTCACAGGGTCTTCTGCGGAGAAAAAGTTTTTACTTAAAAAAAAAAAGAGATCAGTTTTACATTTTATGGAGCATGGTTTTGTGTTAAGAATAGGAACTCTTTATATCGTTTTAGGTCCTGAAGATTTTTGCATATGTTTTCTTCTTTTCTTTCTTATTTAAATTGACGTGTATTTTTCCCCCCAATCTGTATGTCTAATTAATCTGGCACGATTATTTTGAAGACTATAATTGCTCCATCAAATTAGCTCTTGGACCTTTGTCAAAAATCAGTTGATGATATTTGTGTGGGGCTCTTTCTGAGCTCTTTGTTGTGTTCTATTGAATTACGTGCCTATCCCTCTGCCAAAACTACATTGTCTTCATGGCTGTAGTTGTGTAATAAGTTTTAACATTAGGTAGGGGGATTGCTATCACTTTATTCTTCTTTTTCAAAATTGTTTTAGCTATTCTAGGTCCTTTAACTTCTGTATATGTTTTATAATAATTTTGTCTATATTCACAAAAGTTCTTAGTGGGATTTTAATAGAAAGTTTGTTAAACCTATAGATCAATTTGGGGAGAATTCATATCTTTACTGTTTTCGGTCTTTCGATGCATAAATGTAGTATGTCTCTTCATTAGTTTAGGTCATCTTTTATTTATTTTATTAGTATTTTATAATTTTTATCATATAGATATTGTACAAGGTTTTTATATTTATACCCAAGTACTTTGTTTTCTTTGGAACATTTGTAAATGCCATTTTGTTTTTAATTTTGCTAGTATGTAGAAATGCAATTAACTTTTGTGTGTTGATTTTGTATCCTGCAACCTTGGTGAACTCGCTCATTATTTTTAATATTTTTTTGGTAGATTGCTTGGGATTTGCTATGTAGACAATCATGTCTTCTGTGAATAAGGATAGTACTACTTGTTCTTTTTCAATTTATATGCTATTTATTCATTTCTCTTAACATATTATGCTGGGTAGAATTTCTAATACTATTAATATGTTAAATAAGAGTGGTGAACACTTTTTTTTGGTTTTTGTTTCTTCCAGTTTTAAAATGTTTTTTTAATATCATTTCTTTGGTAATATTTCTATTTTTAATTGTTATAGGACTATTTGTAATGTTCTTATTTTTGTTATATGTGCTTTAATATCTGTGTTAAATAATTTCAACATCAGATTCATCTCTATGTCTTTTGATTGTCTTTTTGTGTTCAAGTTGAGATTTTCCTCAACTTAGCATAGGACCTTTTATCCCAGCAGAAACCTAATATACATTTGCAGAATTGAATTTACTTAAATTGAATTCTTTTTTTTACAGCAAAATGTTTTTCTCATCCCAGAAAGACAATAGAGCAATGAAAAACCTATCAACTTTAGGAATTTTGATATTCATGTCTTTCCAAATGCTTTCTCTCCCCAAATCCAGCTTTCTAGATATGCAGCTTCTCATCCAAAGGAAAGTGTTGGTGTGATGTAAGCAGTGCCAGATCCAACTCCAGCTCTCTTTACTGTTTATACCCCCCTACCCCACCAATGGAAAATTCACAGGAAGACAGACTAGGCAGCTTATGTCATCTTGCTCTGGGAAGCAGCCGAAAACCAACTTTTAAACTCTATGTGATGCCTAAAGCAAGTTACTGTTTAGCCCACATGTCTAGTATTTTGATCCTCGGTTCTTTTATATATATATATATATATATATATATATATATATATATATATATATATAAGTTCTGGGATACATGTGCAGAACATGCAGGTTTGTTACATAGGTATATACATGCCATGGTGGTTTGCTGCACCCATCAACTCATCATCTACATTAAGTATTTCTCCTAATGTCCCTCCCCTATTCCCCCAGCCCCCGACAGGCCCCAGTTTTCCCCTCCTTGTGTCCATGTGTTCTCATCGTTCAACTCTCACTTATGAGCGAGAACATGTGGTGATTGGTTTTCTATTCTTGTGTTAGTTTGCTGAGAATGATGGTTTCCAGCTTCATCCGTGTCCCTGCAAAGGACATGAACTCATTCTTTTGTATGGCGCATAGTATTCCATGGTGTATATGTGCCACATTTTCTTTATCCAGTCTATCATTGGTGGGCATTTGGGTTGGTTCCAAGTCTTTGCTGTTGTGAACAGTGCCGCGATAAACACACTTGTGCATGCATCTTTATAGCAGAATGACTTATAATCCTTTGGGTATATACCCAGTAATGGGATTGCTGGGTCAAATGGTATTTCTAGTTCTAGATCCTTGAGGAATCACCACACTGTCTTCCACAATGGTTGAACTAATTTACACTCCCACCAACAGCGTAAAAGTGTTCCTATTTCTCCACATCCTCTCCAGCATCTGTTGTTTCCTGACTTTTTAATGATTGCCATTCTAACTGATGTGAGATGGCATCTCATTGTGGTTTTGATTTGCGTTTCTCTAATGACCAGTGATGATGAGCCTTTTTTCATATGTTTGTTTGCTGCATAAATGTCTTATTTTGAGAAGTATCTGTTCATATCCTTTGCTCACTTTTTGATGGGGTTGTTTTTTTCTTGTAAATCTGTTTCTTTGTAGATTTTGGATATTTGCCCTTACAGGTGTCCCTCTTATGGGTAGGCAGAAAGAATATTTTTGGTACAGCTATTTTTAATCAGAATAAAATATCCCCCGAGGTCACTTGAAGTCAGAAAAATAATACTACTTAATATAGAGCTCTATTTTAATTCCTCAAGTTCATTTATGAGAAAGATGTATGTCTTTAACGGATCTTAGTCTGTCAATCTCTTTCTCCTACGCTTAATGTATTGAATAAGGCATGTCTTTATCCTCCAGAAACTCACAATCTGGTGTGGATATGGCCACATTAACAAACAATAATTGTATATACTATTTGATACCCTTTAGGTATGTACAAGTTTCTGTGGAGACAGGGAAGGAACAATGAACTATTTCAGGGCCTCTGGAAGGGCCTAGTCAGTGTTTGAAATCTATGGCAAGTCTTAAAGATTGAATAAGAGTTTATTAGGCAGAAGAAAAAGGTATATTCCAGAGTGGGAAGGCATGGGTAAAGTCATATGAAAGAGCCTGGCGTATTTTTCAGTGACCACAGAGGAGTTGAGCATGGCTAGAGGACAGCATAGGTGAAGGCAAGTGGCAAGAGTTGATGCTGGAAAGGGGTGCAGTCTCCAGTCCTCCTGGCTCCTTTACGTCATCACTCCTGTCCCCTAGAAGACACTAGGGCAGCAAGTTTATGAAGAGCTCCACCTTTATCTTTCTCCAAAGTGTCTCCTTTACCCAGTCTTTGCACCATTTCTGTTTGTTCTGCTTCAGACTTTTTGAATTTACTTCTGGGCCTCAGGCTTTTGTTCTCAACCCTTAAAATTTGATATTATGCATTCCTGCTAGTTTCTGTGCACCTCTTTTAATACATGACTCCTGTTCTCTGTCCCAAGAAGACTTTCTGAGACCACCTCAGTCCTTGGAGGCTTGTTCTCTAGTCCTGCAGCTGTGAGTGGCACTACGTTAGGGCCATATCACAAAATGCATTATGCAGCATGCTAGGGAGTTTGAATTTTGTTTTGAGGCCAACAGTGAACTATTTATGATTTGTAAGCAAGGGAGTAACATGAACAGAATGGTATTTTGGAAAATATGTCTCTGGCTGCAGAATGGAAACAAACTGGCAAGTGATAAGAATAGAGGCAGGGCAATCCACGGGGAAGTTTTTTAATGGTTGAGACAATGTATAGGTGATGAACAGATAACAGAATGGAGATAGGGAAACAAATTCAAGTGGGAGCTAAATAATGTGTATACAAGGGCATAGTGTGTGAAATAATAGACTTTGGACTGGGAAGGGTGGGAAGGTAGGAGGAGGCTAAAGGATGAGAAATTACTTAATGGGTATAATGTACATTATTCAGGTGATGGCTACACTCGAAGTCTAGACTTCACCACTACACAATATATCTGTGAAACAAAACTGCACTTGTACCCCTTAAATTTATTTATTTTTAAAGGGGTCAGTCAGTAGGTAGAATGTCCTGTTATCAACAATCATCATAATCAACTTAGGCCAATCTTCCCTTTTACTTCTTAGAAAGACCTACTAATTTATTTACATTTTTTCTTTTTTTTTTCTTAAATTCTTCTCTTCAACTAAAATAAACAATTATTAATTCACAGAAATAAACCTTAAAAGCTAACTTTGACATCATCTAAGGCCCTTCATTCGCTGATGACAAAATAGAGGCTAAAATTGTCAGAGGTCACAAATACAGTTGTTTTCCTGTTTTCTAATGTAGTTTTCATGCCATTATACAGGGCTTTTGTTTTTCTTTCTACTCCTTATTTTTGCTTACATAAATTCTCAGTCAAATAAAACTATGCATTGTTTTCACATTCTGAGCTCTTTCTCCAGGGAGCAGGCAGGACTTAGAAAGGTCTTGTGAGAGAGAAACAAAATCCATCTACAAGTAGCAAAGATTCTACTCACCCACAGAGCCTCATCCCTCAGTCACTGGGCTGTAGAGCTCTCTCCTGAGTTGTTTTGTGTTATCATCCCGCCTGCTTCCAGCCTGGCGCTTATGCCTCCCCCTGGAAAGCTCACAATGTCTGGTTGGGGTGACTTTAAATGGAATGTCACCCCAGTGACACTTTTGTGGCTTTCCATCAGCATCTTCCATTAAGTGCAGCCAAGTGAGTGTCTGATGGACTGTGCAAAAGAGGCAATTTCCCAATTATGAGGAACTTCAGTTGTTTTAACAGTACCAAACCCTGTCATACACTTCTACTAAGGGAAGATACTGCTTTTTAGTAGGCACAGAGTACGATTCCCACACATAATAGTTTCTGTACTGAACTGTTTACCTTTAAAAGTCCACCCACTACTTCCATGTAACTGGCAACTGTTGTTAAATTAAATTTCTAAGTCAAATAAACAATATGTTTTTGGGGGGGATTCAGGACTAAAGAGCTTTGTGAATATCAAATTGCTTTGTCGGGGTTCACTCCAGGAATATTTCTTTTTTTTTAATCCACTGTCTATAGCTAATTTCAGAGTTTGAAGGTGTCCCAGAGTTCAGGAATGATTCTATGTTGTTTACATGCCATTGCTAAGACTCTTTAGTATTTCTTTAACCTCTCCCACAGAGAAAATTTCTCCCCAGCCTTATTTTTTTCTTTCAGTGAAATTTCTCCTTAGTACAGAACGAAATGCAGCTTCAGAAGTATCTCAGTATAGAATTTATTTTTCACAGATGAATATACTTACAGTTTCAAAAAAAAAAAGGAAGTATTATCAGCTGCAGCTCATTAGTAGACTTTATGATCAAGAAGGGACTTCAGAGGTCCTGCGTCTGATAGTTTGCAAATCAAATCATACGTCAGCATCAGTGTCACCATCTACCAGGTGGGATACGGAATGTGGGAAAAGAAGAAGGGGAATCTGAGCCCCACACTCCTACAGAGGAGAATGGTGAAAAGAATAATCACAAAAGGCTAAAGAATTTGCTGTACTGGTTCCTTGGTTGGTGGGTAGAAAACATGGATCTAATTTCCAGATGAGGAAAATTGGACAGAGAGAGTCAAGGGTTGCTCAGTGTCACACAGCTAGCCACTGGGCATTTGGAGTAGCAACTCTGAGTCTCTTGGCTCTACAGTTGTTTTTGTTTTAACTTTTAGCTTCAGAGGTACAGGTATAGGTTTGTTATATATGTAAATTGTGCACCATGGTGGTTTGGTGTACAGATTATTTTGTCACCCAGTTAATAAGCATAGTACCCAATAGGTAGTTTTTCTATCCTCACCCTCTTCCCACCCTTCACTCTCAAGTATGTCCCGGTGTCTGTTGTTCCATTCTTTGTAATGTGCATCTTGTATATGACACCATAGCTGCTATTGGGTCCACGCTTATGCCAAGTAAGACTGTCAATAAAGAGAGATGGAACCTGCCTCTCTTTCCTTAAGAGAACAGCTTTTGGAGTCTGAGATGTCTGAGTTTGAACTCGTCTTTCTCCACTGTGTGACTTTGGGTAAGATGTCAGGTTTCTAAACTTCAATCACTTCATCATTAGTATGGCAATACTGATGGCAAATATATACTATACCAGGTATATATGAAGATCAAACCATAAATGTATACATTTTTTTTTTTTGCTGGAGCCTGGCAATATGCTTAATATAAGTTGTCGTTATTATTAAGATTTTTAATCTTAACCATGAGTTTCCCCCTCATTTCATCTCTCTTATAAGGTGGGAGACTTCTCTAGCTTCCACTTTATTCTTAGGGTCCTCATTAAATGCTGCTTTCTACTCTTGCCTTGGGACTCCAAAGAGAGGTCTTTTAACTACAGACTCTTTAAAATTCCCTTGAGACGTTTTAGTAGTGAGAAACCACCATCATGTCCTACCAATCAACCATGACATTTTCCTAGAATATAATCAAATATCATCACTCTAACAAAACATTGCCAGATGCCTACATTGTCTTTAATAATGCAATCAATTGTCCTTATAATAACATTTCTGTCTTAGACATGAACATAATCTTTCAAATGCTTGTAGGCATATTTTTAATGATTTATCATCTTTAACTAATCAGTCACCAAGTCTTATAGATTATGCCTTGAGCTCCTCCCCTCAGTCCCATTGCTACAGTGTTGGTTCAGTCCCTGTTTGTCTTTTCCTTATCCTCAATATTTCTCCATAGAAGTCAGGACTTTTCACTGGCACCAGAATGGTCTTTCTCAAACACAATGATGAGCTCATCTTTCCCTACTTAAACTCATCAATGACTCAGTATTGGTATTCTCATCATCCATACCTAAGGATTCACTTTAGGGTAAAAATCAAAGTCCTTTATGAAGATGAACCCCTTATGTGTATAATTTTGCCATCTCTACAGCTATGTTTCTTGCCACTTTTCTGAGATCTGCATTCCCATCTATCCCCTCCACACTGTTGCAAATTATATCTATTTGAAATGCCTTTCTACAACTCTGTTTATACCTCACATTCCCCTTCATGTCACTTTGTCTGCTTATTTTACTCCTTTTTTTCTTCACATTTTTAGACCATCACTGTGGTACACAAAATAATGGCTCTACAAAGATATTCATTTCCTAATCCCTGAAATCTCTTATTATGTGTGATGATCAATTTTATATGCCAACTAGGCCAAACCACAGTACCCAGATATTTGGAAACTTGATTTCAAAATATTCAGAACTGTAAGATAACAAATTTGTGTTGTTTTTAAAAATAATTTGCTACAGCAGCGATAAGAAACTAATATAGATTTCAGTATCTAGAAGTGGGATGTTGCTATATAAATACCAAAGATGTGGAAGTGATTTTGGAATTGGGCATTGGGCAGAAGAAGGAAGAATTTTGAGGGGCATGATAGCAAAAACCTAGACTGCCTTAAATAGACTGTAGGTATAAATATGGATATTGACTACTCTGCTATTATGGACTCAGAAGGAAGTAAGAAGCACAGTAGTGAAAACCTATATTGTCTTAAGAGAACATCATAAACAGATTGTTGGTAGAAAAATGACATTAAAAGTGCTGCTGGTGAGGTGCCAGAAGAAAATGAGGAACTTGTTACTCAAAACTAGAGGAAAAGAGAACCTTATTCTATAGTGGCAGAAAGCTGGGCTGAATTGTGTCCTATAGTTACATGGAAAGCATAACTTGTAAGTAATGAAACTGGTTATTTACCGAGATAGATTTCCAGGTAAAGTGGTGATGATATGAACCAGTTTCTTTTTGTTGCTTAGTAAAATAAAAGAGAAAAGAAATAGCTTGAGAGAAGAACTGTTAGGAAAAAGGAATCAGAACTTTATTATTTGGAAAGTTCTCAGCTTATCCAAATTGTAAAAGATGCTGAAATTAGGAGATTCTCTGTCAGGAAAGCATGCTAAAAAAAAAGGAAAGAAAAAAAAAGGGAGGCGGGGAAGCATGCTCTGGACAGAATACCAAGGGTGTGCAGATCGATGATCAACGTTTTGCCAGTTGTTTGGAAGGATAAAAAAGTCAGAGTATTCAGTCACATGGTAGGCTCTTAGAAGAGACTGGGAATGTGACTCATGGAGCCCCTCAGCCATATAAGTGGAAGTCAGGAATAGAGATGGAATTATATAGGAAAGAGCTGTGGGATGAGCCTCTTGTCTAATGGAGTGAATTTCTGAGACATACATGAGAGTCCCCCAAGGATTTTAAAAATGTTCTATCATCAGAAACACTGCTAGCTTGAACTGAAAAAGAACGAAGGAAGACAAAATACAAGAAGGCTGTTATATTCCCCAAATTCTGCAAGAAGAAACAGGCTGAGAAAATGCTTCTGCTGCAAACACATGCTACCCTTCATGAAAAAGGAAACGATGACATTGGGGCAGAGCTGGGAGCTCAGATGGCAGAGCTGAAAACTGTTAGACCAAACTGCACCATGTTGTAAGCTGCCTGCTCTTTTGCAGACCTTGGTCAGAGGGAAACGTTTCATGGGAGTTCGGGCCTTGAGAAACATCCTGCCTAACCACCTGACCACAAGGTAGTCAGAGTCCCAACTAAAGAAACATCCCTATCACATCTTGCTGGACAAAGGTCCAAGGAACACCACGATGACATTCCGCTGGAACAAGAGCCAGAACTGCCTCATTATGGGAACATCTTATCAATATCTTGCCGGGCAGCAAGCTATACTGACCAGACCCCTCCCACCCATACCTATAAATTGCCCCAGCCTGTAAGCCGCGGTGGGATCTGACATTGGGCTGGTTCCCCACTTCTATAGGTTTTATGCTGGGCATAAAGCCTGCATTTACTGTTGAGCTGCCCTCTTTCTGTGTGTGTGTGTGTGTGTGTGTGTGTGTGTGTGTGTGTGTGTGTCTTTCTTTAACCCTTGCTTTCCCTTGAAAACCTAACACAAACCACAGAGGATAATTCCCACACTTTAAATCCTAAGGAAATTTGTTCAGTAGTATTTCAAAGTAGCTTGGGGCCAGTGACTTTTTTTTTCCTACTACCATTTTCTGTTCTATTTTGGGGAAAGAAAACTTGTTTTTTTGGGCTTCACAGGTTAATAGATTAAGAGAAATTTAAATAAAAACTACAATGAAATATCATCTCACTCCAGTTAAAAAAGTTTTTTTTTTTTTTTTGAGACGGAGTCTCGCTCTGTGGCCCAGGCGGGAGTGCAGTGGCGCAATCTCGGCTCACTGCAAGCTCCGCCTCCCGGGTTCACGCCATTCCCCTGCCTCAGCCTCCCGAGTAGCTGGGACTACAGGCGCCCACCATCATGCCCGGCTATTTTTTTTGTATTTTTAGTAGAGACGGGGTTTCACCGTGTTAGCCAGGATGGTCTCGATCTCCTGACCTCGTGATCCACCCGCCTCGGCCTCCCAAAGTGCTGGGATTATAAGCGTGAGCCACCGCGCCCGGCCTAAAAAAGTTTTTATCCAAAAGACAGGCAATAACAAACAGTGGCAAAGGTATGGAGAAAAGAGAACCCTTATGCACTGTTGGTGGAGATGTAAATTAGTACAGCCCCTATGGAACAGTTTGAGTGTTCCTCAAAAAACCAAAAATAGAGTTACCATGTGATCCAGCAACCCCACTGCTAAGTATATACCCCAAATAAAGGAAATCAGTATATCAAAGAGCTATCTGCACTCCATCTTTATTGCAGCATTATTAACAATAGCCAAGATTTAGAAGCAACCTGAGTGTCCATCAGTAGACAAATGGATAAAGAAGATGTGGCATATATACACAATGGAGTACTATTCAGGCATAAAAAAGAGTGAGGTCCTGTCATTTTTAATATCATGGATAAAACAGGAGGTCACTATGTTAAGTGAAATAAGCCAGGCACAGAAAGACACACTTTGCATGTTCGCACTTATCTGTGAGAGCTAAAAATTAAAACAATTGAGCTAACGGAGCTAGAGAGTAGAACAATGTTTACCAGACGCTGAGAAGGGTAATGGGAGATGGGTGGGTGTTTAATGGGTAGAAAAATATGGTTAGAAAGAATGAATAAGGTCTAGTAGTTGATAGCACAAGAGACTGACTATAGTCAACAAAAATTTATCATACTTTTTTTTTTTTTTTGGTGGAGTCTCACTCTCTCCCCAGGCTGGAGTGCAGTGGCGCAATCTCGGCTCACTGCTAGTTTTGCCTCCCGGGTTCACGCCATTCTCCTGCCTCAGCCTCCCGAGTAGCTGGGACTACAGGCACCTGCTACCACGCTCGGTTAATTTTTTGAATTTTTAGTAGAGACGGGGTTTTACCGTGTTAGCCAGGATGGTCTCGATCTCCTGACCTCGTGATCCGCCCGCCTTGGCCTCCCAAAGTGCTGGGATTACAGGCGTGAGCCACCGCGCCCGGCCTATGGTACATTTTTGAAACTGAAAAAGTGTAATTGGATTGTTTATGACACAAAGGATAAATGCTTGAGGTGATAGATACCTTGTTTACCCTGATGTGAGTACTACACATTGTATGCCTGTATCAAACTATCTCATGTATCCTATAAATATATACACCTACTATGTAATCAACAATAATTAAAAATTAAAAATTTTTTAAAAAGAGAGAAATATGCTTGTAGGTGATTATACCCAGGATCTCACCCATACCTGATTTAGATGATTTAGTTGATAAGATTTGGGACATTTTAACTGACATTTAGATGAAATTTTAGACTTTGAGTTGATGCTGTAGTGGGTTGAGACCTATGGTGATGTTGACATGGGTGTGTTTTAACTTGTACGTGGGATGAATGTGAAGCTTTGGGGGCCAAAGTGTGGACTGTCATAGGCAGAATAATGGTCCCCAAATATATCTATCTCTTAATTCCCAAAACCTGTGAATATGTTCCCTTACATGAGAAAAGGGACTTTGCCGATTTGATTAAGCTAAACATATTGACAAGGGAAAAAATTCCCATATTATCCAGTTAGGCCCAGTGTAATAACAGTGTTCTTATATGAGGGAGGCAAGACTGTAAGAATCAGGGAGATATCTGAAGATGTTGCCCTGCTGACTTTGAAGGTGAAGGAAGGCACCACAAGCTAAGGAATACAGATGGCCTCTATATGCTGTAAAAGATAAATAAATAGAATCTTCCCTACTGTCTCCAGAAGGAAGACAGCTCTGCCAACATCATGATTTTATCCCAGTAAAGCCATTTCAGATTTCTCATCTCCAGAGCTATAAGAAAATACATTTGTGTTGTTTTAAAACTATTAAGTTTCTGATAATTTATTACAACAGCAACAGGAAACTAATACAACCATCTTTCTAGGAAGACTTCCCAAGTCTTTTCCACCTATATTCTCTATGAAAGTAATTTATTCCTTCTGGAATGCTTTAGCATTTTAATCTTGCTTTTATTATTATACTTACAACACTAATTTTTATTTTTATGGTGATGCATTAGGTTGAACTCATTCTCTTGCTTGGCTGCTGTATTCTCTAATAAGAATTTCTACTCTGAGCTTATGCAAATCCTTAACCCCTAGATCACATGGATTTTTTGTCTTACTTTTTGTTTTACTGAATGTTGGTCTGTTTTGTTGCATACCTCTGTGTCCAGAGCTTCTTCCTCTTTCTCTCCTTTTAGACAGAGCTCACTGGGTTAGCCGAAAAGTAAATGTTGTTGAAGGCATTTGTGAAACTAAGCTAATAAATTTGTACCCTAATGAACCATCTGTCACATTTCCTGGGCAACAAATGCTGGAGCTTTCAAGCAGAGCCTAGAATATTTGGTAAAGATCTTCATATCTACCACTGAGAACAGACAATGTTGATGTAGTGCCATAAATCAGCCTAGTGATCAACAGTGAACAGTTCAGAATTAAAGGTCAGAGTGTTATAGGTTTTTTTAAAAAACTTATTGTGTAGAGATTTATGATCTATTAAAGAAAAGATGGTGCTGAGCTTTACAAATATTAAGGTGAATACATATTTGCTTCCCTTTCTCACCAGCTGAACACATGGGAATTTGAACAGGTACCTAAGATTTCCCTACTCAGAAGGGTGAGGGAGTCTTGGAATTTTCTTCTTAGTATACTGTGAAGCAGAGGGCCTTCTCCCTAGTGCCTTAGTAGACAACTGACAAATTGGTAGTTTAGGTAATATTGGTCCAGAGATAAAGACTAATATAATGTGACCATGCTTATTTTGCTTCTGCTGTATTTGAGCTCAAGATTTAACCATGAGTAACTAAATAACTATAAATCGCACACTCAAGGGAGCCAAAAGCCAAATAGAAGATGAAAAGTAAAATGCTCAGACTGGGAAATTTGTAGCAAAATACAATTGAGGTAGGCCACCACTGATAACTCGAAGTTAAACAAAGAGCCTGTATGGAAATTCACCTATAGTACATACACATATTTCTGGTTCCAAAAATTAATTTTTCAAATTTAAAAATTAGATGAAGAGAAGAAGCGGACACTTTGAGACAGTGATTATTATTTTGGAAGATCAAGGGGAAAATACGTCCAAACATAAAATATAAGGAGATGGCAGGAGTGAAAAAAAAGATAAAGGACTTGGAAGAAAAAAAAACCAAAGGATTTAACTTGCTGTCAATAGTACTTATAAGAGAAAAAGCAGCTGATGTAAGAGAGGTAATGATTAAATAAATGATAGAAGAAAATCTCTCAACATTTAAATCTTCAAATTTAAAATCCTCATCAAGTTTCTGGCAAGAATGATGAAATAAAGATATGCACATACACATATTCTGGTAAAATATGTGAACTCTAAGAGTAATGATAAAAATTTAAAAGTTTTATGATATAGAAAACAAAGTCACAAAATTAAAAAAATAGCATTGGAGTGTGTTAGACACTTCGTCTGAAGTAGTAGAATCTAGAATATGAAGAATAACATTTTTAGATGACAAAGGGACTGCTACACTAGACTCATACACAATTAAAACATTATGTGTCAGAATAAAAGGAAATAATTTGGAGATATTGAAAGATTTGCAGAATATATCTATTTAGTAAAAAATATTGTTTAAAGGGTTCTAATGAGGCAAGAAATAGAACAGACCAATGAGTTATAGAAGAAAATGAGGTGGTGAGCAACGAATCAATCTCTCTCTCATTCTTTACTTCCATGTAAGGATGTGTGTAAATGGATAATTGTAGCCTGGTAATGAATGAGAAAAAATTTGAAGAATGACTCTTAAACTAATATAGGCATACTCTAAGGGAAAGTTGATAATCACTTGTCATTAAAATTTCCAAATTATCTTAAGAAATATAGGTATTCAGAAAGTAGTAGACAAGGTAGAAATGTTAAAGGTTTCTAAGCTTTTTATCCAGGGAGTAAGATAAAGCTTAGGATAGTAAAATACATTAAAATGTTTATCCTAATACAAAATGCTTATCCTAATACAATTGGAAATATGTCAAGGGTAATATGGAATATGGAATGCAAGTGAAGATGATTGTTGGTATCTTCTTTTTTATAATAGTGAAATCATAGATTTATAGAGATGGGTATTTAAGTTTCAGGAAATAGAGAGTAATAGTTGTTTCAAAGAATGCAAATCTCACATAATATAAAAAGAAAAATTATGAAAAAAAACCTACTATAATTGAATTGAATTGGAAAAGTAAATAAGGAAAACTTACATAGTGAACATACAGTAAAATAGAAAGAATGAAACCAAGTATATCAGTTGTTACAACAAATGTGAGACGGGTCTCATTAAAATACAGAGCAATGGGGAAAATACATATATTTTTGATAGATACTTTCAGACAATTGAGTATTCATCAATAAATAAGTAAAATTAGATGCTTACCACTTATGGAACAATATACTAACTTTAGATAGTTTGTAGACTTACATGTGAAAGAGAAGATTATAATGCTTTCAGAAGATTACATAAGAAAATATCATTATGACCTAGCGGTAGCTCAAGATTTAAAAAATTAAATATTATTGTCATTTTGCATAAGGAGAGAAGGGAAAAATTAACCATAGGGTGAAATATTAACACCTTAAGGAAAGTGAAAAAAGACATAAAGAGATATTTGCAACATGTATAACTGGCAAGAAACTTGTACCCAGAATATATGAAGACATCTGAAAAAATGATAATAATACAGGAGACTAAATAGAATATTAAGTAGAAGTTTTGTACTGTTAACATCTATAAATAGGAAATTCAAATGGCCAATAAACATTAAAAAAATACAGAATCAGAAAAACTTAAGCCAAACTATGCCTGAATAATAAAAATAGAAAAGTCTGACAATACTACATATTATCAATGATGTGGATAAAAATATATTCTTATTTCCATTTGTAGTAGTGTAAATGATTTCAGTTACTCTAGATGATGGTTTGACATTATCTAGTAAAGCTGAAGATGCTCATGATCTATGATTCAGTCATCCTGCTCCTGGTATATATCCTAAAGCACTAGGATACATCAAGATTGTTTAGAATGGCATTGTTCACAATGATCACAACTTTAAAAAAAAAAGAATGAAGGAAAGAAAGAAAATTTTCATCAACAGGAAAGTAGATAAATAAATTGTGGTGTTTTCATAAAAGAGAATTCTACATAATAATAAGAAAGACTAAACTTGAGTTACATGCAAGAACATGAACAAATTTTGCCAACATATTTTTGAAAAGAGGGAAAAGAAATAATGCATATGGTATGATTCAAAACCAGGTGTGCTTTTCAGACTTAAGGATGGAAACAGTACTATAGCCTGGATAATACATTATCTCTCATAATATTCCCGTACTCCTATCAAATGATTGTAAACAATCTGTAGTAAACTCTTCTCAAATTCTATAGTTTATATGTATCACCTCTTTCTGCTGGCTTCCTAAAGATTTGATTGACAAAATTATGGTACATTTAGTTTGGAAATACTATTGTCGATGATTATATTTTCCAAAGATAGCCACAAAAATATTTTTCATCACTCATGCTCTTCCTACAATGCTACATATATCCTATAGATGGGCGACATTTATGTTTTCTCCTTGAAACTGGTTGGTCTGTGACAACTGTGCGGTGCTATTTGACCTCTGAAGGTAGATCAGAAAAGGTGACACAGCTTCATCTTTCTTCTCTTGGGACTTTCACTCTTGGAACTCAGTCACTGTGTATGAGAAAGCCTAATCAGCAGTATTCAGTGATCGTTTCTAGGTGTTTATATATAGGTATGAGGTCCCACCACATGGCCAGCAAAATCCAGATGTGAGTGAGTAAACATTCAGATTCCAGATCTCAGCTACTGAGTCATCCATAGTCATTGAGTCTTCCATCAGAAGCCCCAGGCGTCATAGACTAGAAACAATCTGTCCCTACTCTACCCTTTCTGAATTTCCCAATTTATCAAAAAATATGTCTTTTCCCCACTGCTGTGTATTCTAATGAGACCCATCTCACATTTGCTGTACCAACTGATAATACTTGGTTTTATTCCTTTCGTTTTACTCTCTGTTCAGTATATAAATCCATAGGTATAATAAAATAATGGTTGTTTTTTGTCACTAAGTTTGAGGTCATTTTTTATACAGAAAAAGAGTAACTGAGAGAGATTTGGGTACCAGAATGTGGGTGCTTCCATAACAAAAACCTAAGTGGTTATCATTGACTTTGAGACTAGATACCAGGCAAAAGCCAAAAGAGCTTTAAAAAGAGGGTTCATGAAGACAATAGAGTTTTGAGGAGGCTATCAATGAAGGCCTGAAGGCAAGTAAGTAACCTTTTATTGGTAGCTGGAGGAAGGGGGACCCTTGTTATTTAGGAGTGGAAAGTTTAACAACACTATCACCTGTGGCAATAGGGAAAATGAGATACACACCGAATGAATTTGATGATCTAGCTGAGGAGGTTTCTAGGAAGACTGTTGAAAGTGCCGTTGGGCTTTCTCTCACTGCCTTGAGAAATATGAGGGAAGAGAAATGAGCCTAAAAAAAAAAAAAAACAAGTCTTAATGAGCCAGGGTTTGCATAGTTCAAAAATGTAACTGTATATCATTTCCAACTTCTCCAAAAATCAAGCAATTCTGAGTTTAAGAAATGGGTTCTAGTTAAAGATCAGAATTAGCGTAGAGCTGCGGGATCATTTGTTAAGACTGCAAAATGATGCAAGGTGATATCCTATAGAACCTTTGAGACCGACAGACCCTCTGAATGGGATGCCTTGAAGATCCTCTCCAGTAGGGTTTCTAAAAATTATGAAGGCATTGTCTGATAGAGGTCTTATGGTATGATAAGGTGGAGAAGAGCTTATCTCAAAAAGTTTTTTTTAGGTACAGCTTTTGTCTGATGACATGACTTACATATTCACTAAATTCACACACAAGAAATCCACAACTCCCCTTCCCTTCCCTTCCCTTCCCTTCCCTTCCCTTCCCTTCCCTTCCCTTCCCCTCCTCTTCCCTCTTCATCATTTTAGACAGAGAAAGAGAGCACACAAAATGAAAGAAAAAGGCCTTTGGAACTTCATATTCCAATTTCCAGCAGTCAGGCTGAGGAAACTTCTCAGTTACAAACACAGGTGATGTATTATGTAAAAGGTGTATGATTGAGAGGTAAAACCAAGAGCCCCAGAAAACATCTTCCAAGTAGTGGTACTGAAGCCTAATAGGAACAAGCAACGTGTGATTTCAGAACTTCTATGGAGTGGTAACTCTTGTGTGCTTCCTGTTTTCCCCTTTTTTGAACAGGAGTTTTTGTAACAGTTTAACAGTTATTCTATGCCTGTTTCTCCATTGCATGTTGATACAAGAATGGCAGACAACATGTCTTTTTAGATCACTGGTTTTCAAATAAAAAACAACAATACTCGAGGAATTATAACTGAGGAACAACACCTGAAGAATCTAATCCGTATGTGGACCTTATTAAGATGATAAAATCCTGGGCTTTGAGCTAATGCAGTAATGGGATGACTCGAGGGTCTTGGCGAGAGAGGCTGTGTATGTTTTGCATGTGGGAAATATATTAATTGTGATCAGTGAAGGGATTATGGCAGATTGTCTTTTCAAATGATGACTGCATTAAATCAGATGTGATATTCTTACAGCATAACTCTGATGCTCCTTCCATTGAGAGATGTTGCTTCTCCTTGATTCTAGGTTAGCTTGTCATTATGGCTGAAATGAATCTCTCAAGGTAAGGTTATAAAAAGCAATATAGCTTCTACCTACTTCTCTTGGGACATTTACTTTCAGAACCCAGCTGACATGCTTTGAGAGATCCTAAGTAATCATATGAAGATATTATATATAAGTGTTCTGGCAAAACGGGCCAGTGAATGTCCCAGCAGATAGCCAGCGTAAATAATCAGAAATGTGAATGAATGGGTCTTAGATATTTCAGATTCCAATTTTCAAGTCACCCCACACTCTGAGTCTTTCCAATTGAGACCCCCATATATTATGAAGTGGGGATTACCCTGTTCTTTTTTTGTCCTTGCTTAATTCCTGACCCACAGGATCCATTAACATAACAAAATGACTGTTGTTCTATGCCACTAAGTGTAGGGTGGTTTGCTATCATTGCAAAAATAAAAACTGGAGCAAATAAAAACAACTAGAACATCTAAAGTTTTTGGTAAAAGCCAGGATTTCAGTTAACGCTAGGGCTAAGGAAAATTAATATGATCAGAAAATATAGTTGAGGACTCTGGTATGCTGACTATTTTATATATCTTGACCTAGATATGATCCTTAATTTATAATTGTTTATTTTGCTCTAAATATATGTTTTATGCGCTGTTCTCTATTTTTGTATTTTTCCACTTAAAAATACTAAATAAAAAAGCTGATTTAAATTTAAATAAACAAACTTCAGAATATAATACCAAAACTATTAACTTGGATTGCAATATGTTCATATCTATGTTAGTATCTTTGAAATGTTAAATATTGTGTCTGAAAATGCTAGTATATATTGGCTCTTTACATATGAGTATATTTTATTTCTTTTTTTTTAAATTATACTTTAGGTTTTAGGGTACATGTGCACAACGTGCAGGTTAGTTACATATGTATACATGTGCCATGTTGGTGTGCTGCACCTAATAACTTGTCATTTAACATTAGGTATATCTCCTAATGCTATCCCTCCCCCTTCCCCCCACCCCACAACAGGCCCCAGTGTGTGATGTTCCCCTTCCTGTGTCCATGTGTTGTCATTGTTCAATTCCCATCTATGAGTGAGAACACACAGTGTTTGGTTTTTTGTCCTTGTGATAGTTTGCTGAGAATGATGGTTTCCAGCTTCATCCACGTCCCTACAAAGGACGTGAACTCATCATTTTTTGTGGCTGCATAGTATTCCGTGGTGTATATATGTGCCACGTTTTCTTAATCCAGTCTATCATTGTTAGACATTTGGCTTGGTTCCAAGTCTTTGCTACTGTGAATAGTGCTGCAATGAACATACATGTGCAAGTGTCTTTATAGCAGCATGATTTATAATCCTTTGGCTATATACCCAGTAATGGGATGGCTGGGTCAAATGGTATTTCTAGTTCTAGATCCATGAGGAATTGCCACACCAACTACCACAATGGTTGAACTAGTTTACCTTCCCACCAACAGTGTAAAAGTGTTCCTATTTCTCCACATCTTCTCCAGCACCTGTTGTTTCCTGACTTTTTAATGATGACCATTCTAACTGGTGTGAGATGGTATCTCATTGTGGTTTTGATTTGCATTTCTCTGATGGCCAGTGATGGTGAGCATTTTTTCGTGTGTCTTTTGGCTGCATAAATGTCTTCTTTTGGGAAGTGTCTGTTCATATCCTTTACCCACTTTTTGAGGGGGTTGTTTGTTTTTTTCTTGTAAATTTGTTTGAGTTCATTGTAGATTCTGGATATTAGCCCTTTGTCAGATGAGTAGATTGCAAAAATTTTCTCCATTCTGTAGGTTGCCTGTTCACTTTGATGGTAGTTTCTTTTGCTGTGCAGAAGCTCTTTAGTTTAATTAGATCCCATTTGTCAATTTTGGCTTTTGTTGCCATTGCTTTTAGTGTTTTAGACATGAAGTCCTTGCCCATGCCTATTTCCTGAATGGTATTGCCTAGGTTTTCTTCTAGGGTTTTTATGGTATTAGTTCTAACATTTAATTCTTCAATCCATCTTGAATTAATTTTTATATAAGGTGTAAGGAAGGGATCCAGTTTCAGCTTTCTACATATGGCTAGCCAGGTTTCCCAGCACCATTTATTAAATACGGAATCTTTTCTCCATTTCCTGTTTTTCTCAGATTTGTCAAAGATCAGATAGTTGTAGATATGTGGCATTATTTCTGAGGGCTCTGTTCTGTTCCATTGGTCTATATCTCTGTTTTGGTAACAGTACCATGCTGTTTTGGGTACTGTAGCCTTGTAATATAGTTTGAAGTCAGGTAGCGTGATGCTTCCAGCTTTGTTCTTTGGCTTAGGACTGACTTGGCAATGCAGGCTCTTTTTTGGTTCTATATGAACTGTAGAGTAGTTTTTTCCAATTCTGTGAAGAAAGTCATTGGTAGCTTGATGGGGATGGCATTGAATCTATAAATTACCTTGGGCAGTATGGCCATTTTCATGATATTGATTCTTCCTACCCATGAGCATGGAATGTTCTTCCATTTGTTTGTATCCTCTTTTATTTCATTGAGCAGTGGTTTGTAGTTCTCTTGAAGAGGTCCTTCACATCCCTTGTAAGTTGGATTCCTAGGTATTTTATTCTCTTTGAAGCAATTGTGAATGGGAGTTCACTCATGATTTGGCTCTCTGTCTGTTATTGGTGTATAAGAATGCTTGTGATTTTTGTACATTGATTTTGTATCCTGAGACTTTGCTGAAGTTGCTTATCAGCTTAAGGAGATTTTGGGCTGAGACAATGGGGTTTTCTAGATATATAATCATGTCATCTGCAAACAGGGACAATTTGACTTCCTCTTTTCCTAATTGAATACCCTTTATTTCCTTCTCCTGCCTGATTGCCCTGGCCAGAACTTCCAACACTATGTTGAATAGGAGTGGTGAGAGAGTACATCCCTGTCTTGTGGCAGTTTTCAAAGGGAATGCTTCCAGTTTTTGCCCATTCAGTATGATATTGGCTGTGGGTTTTTCATAGATAGCTCTTATTATTTTGAGATACGTCCCATCAATACCTAATTTATTGAGAGTTTTTAACATGAAGAGTTGTTGAATTTTGTCAAAGGCCTTTTCTGCATCTATTGAGATAATCATGTGGTTTTTGTCTTTGGTTCTGTTTATATGCTGGATTACGTTTATTGATTTGCATATGTTGAACCAGCCTTGCATCCCAGGAATGAATCCCACTTGATCATGGTGTATAAGCTTTTTGATGTGCTGCTGGATTCAGTTTGCCAGTATTTTATTGAGGATTTTTGCATTGATGTTCATCAGGGATATTGGTCTAAAATTCTCTTTTTTTTGTTGAGTCTCTGCCCGGCTTTGGTATCAGGATGATGCTGGCCTCATAAAATGAGTTAGGGAGGATTCCCTCTTTTTCTATTGATTGGAATAGTTTCAGAAGGAATGGTACCAGTTCCTCCTTGTACCTCTGGTAGAATTAGGCTGTGAATCCATCTGGTCCTGGACTTTTTTTGGTTGGTAAGCTATTAATTATTGCCTCAATTTCAGAGCCTGTCATTGGTCTATTCAGAGATTCAACTTCTTCCTGGTTTAGTCTTGGGAGGGTGTATGTGTCGAGGAATTTATACATTTCTTCTAGATTTTCTAGTTTATTTGTGTAGAGGTGTTTATAGTATTCTCTGATGGTAGTTTGTATTTCTGTAGGATCAGTGGTGATATCCCCTTTATCATTTTTTATTGTGTCTATTTGATTCTTCTCTCTTTTCTTCTTTATTAGTCTTGCTAGTGGTCTATCAATTTTGTTGATCTCAGAAAACCAGCTCCTGGATTCATTGATTTTTTTGAAGGGTTTTTTGTGTCTCTATCTCCTTCAGTTCTGCTCTGATCTTAGTTATTTCTTGCCTCCTGCCAGCTTTTGAATGTGTTTGCTCTTGCTTCTCTAGTTCTTTTAATTGTGTTTTTAGGGTGTCAATTTTAGATCTTTCCTGCTTTCTCTTGTGGACATTTAGTGCTATAAATTTCCCTCTACACACTGCTTTAAATGTGTCCCAGAGATTCTGGTATGTTGTGTCTTTGTTCTCGTTGGTTTCAAAGCACATCCTTATTTCTGCCTTCATTTCATTATTTACCCAGTAGTCATTCAGGAGCAGGTTGTTCAGTTTCCATGTAGTTGAGTGGTTTTGAGTGAGTTTCTGAATCCTGAGTTCTAGTTTGATTGCACTGTGGTCGGATAGATAGTTTGTTATAATTTCTGTTCTTTTACATTTGCTGAGGAGTGCTTTACTTCCAACAATGTGGTCAATTTTGGAATAGGTGTGATGTGGTGCTGAAAAGAATGTATATTCTGTTGATTTGGGGTGGAGAGTTCTGTGGATGTCTATTAGGTCCGCTTGGTGCAGAGCTGAGTTCAATTCCTGGATATCCTTGTTACCTTTCTGTCTTGTGGATCTGTCCAATGTTGAAGTGGGGTGTTGAAGTCTCCCATGATGATTGTGTGGGAGTCTAAGTCTCTTTGTAGGTCTCTAAGGACTTGCTTTATGAATCTGGGTGCTCCTGTATTGGGTGCATATATATTTAGGATAATTAGCTCTTCTTGTTGAATTGATCCCTTTACCATTATGTAATGGCCTTCTTGGTCTCTTCTGATCTTTGTTGGTTTAAAGTCTCTTTTATCCGAGACTAGGATTGCAACCCCTGTCTTTTTTTGTTTTCCATTTGCTTGGTAGATCTTCCTCCATCCCTTTATTTTGATATGTGTGTCTCTGCATGTGAGATGGGTTTCCTGAATACAGCACACTGATGGGTCTTGACTCTTTATCCAATTTGCCAGTCTGTGTCTTTTAATTAGAGCATTTGGCTCATTTACATTTAAGGTTAATATTGTTATGTGTTAATTTGATCCTGTCATTATGATGTTAGCTGGTTATTTTCCTCATTAGTTGATGCAGTTTCTTCCTAGCCTCGATGGTCTTTACAATTTGGCATGTTTTTGCAGTGGTTGGTACCAGTTGTTCCTTTCCATGTTTAGTGGTTCCTTCAGGAGCTCTTGTAGGGCAGGCCTGATGGTGACAAAATCTCTCAGCATTTGCTTGTCTGTAAAGGATTTTTTTTCTCTTTCACTTTTGAAGCTTAGTTTGGCTGGATATGAAATTCTGGGTTGAAAATTCTTTTATTTAAGAATATTGAATATTGGCCCCCACTCTCTTCTGGCTTGTAGAGTTTCTGCCGAGAGATCAGCTGTTAGTCTGATGGGCTTCCCTTTGTGGGTAACCTGACCTTTCTCTCTGGCTGCCCTTAACATTTTTTCCTTCATTTCGACTTTGGCAAATCTGACAATTATGTGTCTTGGAGTTGTTCTCCTTGAGGAGTATCTTTGTGGCATTCTCTGTGTTTCCTGAATTTGAATGTTGGCCTGCCTTGCTAGATTGGGGAAGTTCTCCTGGATAATATACTGCAGAGTGTTTTCCAGCATGGTCCCATTCTCCCCATCACTTTCAGGTACACCAATCAGACATAGATTTGGTCTTTTCACATAGTCCCATATTTCTTGGAGGCTTTGTTCATTTCTTTTTACTCTTTTTTCTCTAAACTTCTCTTCTCACTTCATTTCATTCATTTCATCTTCCATCACTGATACCCTTTCTTCCAGTTGATCGAATTGGCTACTGAGGCTTGTGCATTCATCATGTAGTTCTCATGCCGTGGTTTTCAACTCCGTCAGGTCCTTTCAGGATTTCTCTGCATTGGTTATTCTAGTTAGACTTTCCTGTAATCTTTTTTCAAGGTTTTTAACTTCTTTGCCATGGGTTCAAACTTCCTCCTTTAGTTCAGAGAAGTTTGATCGTCTGAAGCTTTCTTCTCTCAACTCATCAAAGTCATTCTCCATCCAGCTTTGTTCTGTTGCTGGTGAGGAGCTGCATTCCTTTGCAGGAGAAGAGGCACTCTGATTTTTAGAATTTTCAGTTTTTCTGCTCTGTTTTTTCCCCATCTTTGTGGTTTTATCTACCTTTGGTCTTTGATGATGGTCATGTACAGATGGGGTTTTGGTGTGGTTGTCCTTTCTGTTTGTTCGTTTTCCTTCTAACAGTCAGTACCCTCAGCTGCAAGTCTGTTGGAGTTTGCTGGAAGTCCACTCCAGACCCTGTTTGCCTGGGTATCAGCAGCGGAGGCTGCAGAACAGCGAATTTTGGTGAACAGCAAATGTAGCTGTCTGATCGTTCCTCTGGAAGTTTTTTGTCAGAGGGGTACCCGGCCGTGTGAGGTGTCAGTCTATCCCTACTGGGGGGTGCCTCCCAGTTAGGCTACTCGAGGTTCAGCAACCTAGTGAGGAGGCAGTCTGTCCATTCTCAGATCTCAGGCTGCGTGCTGGGAGAACCACTACTTTCTTAAAAGCTGTCAGACAGGAACATTTAAGTCTCCAGAGGTTTCTGCTGCCTTTAGTTTGGCTATGCCCTGCCCCCAGAGGTGGAGTCTACAAAGGCAGGCAGGCCTCCTTGAGCTGTGGTGGTCTCCATCCCGTTCTGGCTTCCTGTCTGCTTTGTTTAACTGCTCAAGCCTCAGCAATGGCGGGAGCCCCTCCCCCAGCCTCACTGCTGCCTTGCAGTTTGATCTCAGACTGCTTTGCTAGCAAAGAGTGAGGCTCCATGGGTGTAGGACCCTCTGAGCCAGGCGTAGGATATAATCTCCTGGTGTGCCGTTTGCTAAGACCATTGGAAATGCGCAGTATTAGGGTGGGAGTGACCCAGTATTCCAGGTGCCATCTGTCACCCCTTTCCTTGGCTAGGAAAGCAAATTCCCTGACCCCTTGTGCTTCCTGGGTAAGGCAATGCCTCGTCCTGCTTTGGCTCATGCTTGGTGTGCTGCACTCACTGTCCTGTACCCACTGTCCGACAACCCCCAGTGAGATGAACCCAGCACCTCAGTTGCAAATGCAGAAATCATACGTCTTCTGCATTGCTCATGCTGGGAACTGTAGACTGGAGCTGTTCCTATTCAGCCATCTTGGCTAGTGTCCCAAAAATCATATACCTGTTTTGTTTCTTTATAAACACTCTGATTAAAAATAATTCCCAAATTTCTATTTTTAATTGCTTTAATATGAAATCGTTTCACAGTCTTTTAAGAGATTTTCCTCATTGATAATTGTATATGTTCTTTATTTGAACCATGAACTTTAGGCAGAATATGAGTACCATTCTGATAGAAATATGTAAATACCTAGCACTTTCAATTATTAATGACAAATATTTCTTTTTAACTTTATGTTTTAATTTTTTTGGTTATATAGTAAGCATGTATATTTATGAGGTATGTGGAATATTTTGATACATGCATACAATATGTAATAATCACATCAGGGGAAATGAGGTATCTATCTCCTCAAACATTTAGGCTTTGTGTTACAATTTTCTAGTGTCATTTTCATCAAACCTTTATGTTTCAAGCAATAATATGTCACTCATTGATATTTTTTGGTTGAAATAGTCAATTTGGCTTTCTTCTGACTCTTCCACATCACCGATATTCCAGGCTTTTCTGACTTTTGCACACTATCAAAAAAAATTCTAGACTGTGGTTCATTGTCGATGTACTTTTTTCTCCCGTAGATTTAGAAGATTATTGAAATGCGGAAGTATTAGTCAAAACATAATTGGAGGAAAATGATAAACCAGTCCTTCCTCTAAAGCACAAAGTGTTTCATAAACAATCCTCAGATTAGCCTTGTGACTGACCATAACTCAGGCCCACTGTACGACAGAACCATGACTGTTTGGCAGATGCTGCCATGATAGCAATCTAATGCCCCAGTGGTATTCTGTGGCATCCTAAAAGAATCAGTGTAAACCAATGAAATGAATATAATACTTTGTTATTAATCTTGCTGTTTAGCACAATTACAATTCTATTAGTTACCAAATGATATGAAATTGTCTTAATTTATAAAGACAACAACAACAACAAAAAGCAGTGTGGCTATTTCAGTACTGAACTGTTAAAATGAAGTTCTGAGAACATAAGAACCAAGACAGTATGACTGGAAGCAGGTAGACTTAGATGGCAAATTTAAGAATCTAAGCAAATAAAGAAGGAAATATATTCTGCGTCAGATGGCAGTGAGTGTCATACAGAAAAATGAAGCAGGGTTGTTGGGAGACGTTGAGGGTGGATTTTCTGTTTCATGTTGGAGAGTCAGGGAAGACTTTCAGAAATGTCAGTAACATCATTCTGTTATGATAATTTACTGAGCTACAAATTTATAATTTGTGTACTTTTCTGTGTACTGTTTCAAAAATGTTTTAAAAATTCAATCATCAACAGTGTTTCAACTATTCAACAGTTTTACTCATTTAAAAAATTAAAATGTAAAATTCATGACTTTGAATTATTTTTGTGGTTTATGCTTATCTTGTGGACTGTTATAGACATTATATAAAGTAATATATGTAGTTTTATTATTTATGACTGAGAAAAGAGGGATTACTGAGAACTTTGAAAACTATTAAATCTTCATGCAGATGGTATAATATAATACTAAAGAAAGAGACTAGAGTTTCGCCAAAATTTTGAACATTTTTTGATGTTTTCATTGGTACTGTCTCCAAATAAAAGTTCCTCTGGACAATGCAATAATTAGGTAAGTCATTTTAATCAATTTAAAATTATATTTTCTCAGTACATTTTATATTTACTTCTAGTCAACTCATAAATATCAGGGTGAATTAAATAGTATGTCTGAGGAATTAGAAATTGTAAATTGGAAGAATATTTATGACAGCCAAATTGGTATCTCTTGTGTTCTAGCTGCAGAAATGGTTTGTAAATTGTATCAGGTCTTAGATATTTACCTTAATGGAAGTTATAAAATGGAAATCATTAAATATTTGAAAATTAATTTTTTAGCTAGGTTTGGTTTTTCTAAATGATATATTTGACAGAGATGCCAGTATTCCCTTTCCTTTCATAAAAGACGTATCACTAATAAAGCTGATAGATTAATTAGATAAACAGTTCAAGTAATTGAATGTATAAAACAAAACAAAGGATTCATAAAAGAGAAGTGAAACTAGAAATGAAGAAACATAATATACTCCTTGAAGCAAAACAAAGTAACAGTTCTAAAGGCTTAGATTGAGATTGTCTACAAGTTATATGATAATGCGCTTGTTGTAAGATGATAAAGATGAAAGTCAAAATAAAATTTTCCATTCTTTTCAACTTGTTGAGTCCTGAAATTTGGCGCAATGATAAGTGCAAAACATTATGAAATAGCAGTACAAAAATAGTAATAAAATCAAGATAACAAAATCACATTCTAGTAAATACTTAACAAAATCTAATAAATGATTTTCCTCATTTAGTAAAAAGTAGAGAGATGGAATATATGTTTTTAATTTGTTATTTTAAATTATTATGGACACATAACACGTTGTATGCTTGTATCAAAATATCACATGTACCCCCAAATAAGGTATGCTTTTATCAAATTGTACCCTATTTTTGGGGTACGTGTGATATTTTGATAAAAGCATACAATGTGTTTTGACCAAATCAGGATAATTGGGATATCCATCACCTCAAGGATTTATCAGTTCTTTATGTTAGGAACTTTCCAATTCCACTCATTCGTTATTTGAAAGTATAACAATGAGTTAATGTTAACTGTAATCTCCCTATTATGCTACCAAATACTAGATCTTATTTCTTCTATCTAACTGCATTTTTTGTACTCTTTAACCATCCCTATTTTCTCGCTTTCTCCCTACAACCCTTTCCAGCCTCTGGTAAACATCATTTTACTCTCTCTCTGAGTTCAATTTTTTTTTAGCTTCCATTTATTAGCAAGAACGTGCAATATTTGTCTTTCTCTACCTGGCTTATTTCACTTAACATTATGTCCTCCAGTTTTATCCATGTTGCGAATGACAGTATTTCATTTTTAATGGCTGAATAATATTCCATTGTCTAACTATGCCACATTTTCTTTATCCATTTATCTACTGATGGACACAGGTTGCTTCCATATCTTAGCTATTGTGAATAGTGCTGGAATAAACATGAAAGTGCAGATACCTCTTTGATATATCATCTTCCTTTCTCTTGAATATATATCAAGGTATGGGATTGCTAAGTGATATGGTAGTTCTATTTTTAGTTTTTTGAGGAGCCCCCATACTGTTCTTCATACTTACTGTATTAAATTACATTCCTACCAACAGTGTATGAGGGTTCCTCTTTCTCCATATCCTCATCAGCATCTGTTATTGCCTGTCTTTCGGATAAAAGCCATTTTAACTGGAGTGAGATGATATCTCATTGTAGTCTCAATTTGCATTTCCCTGATGATTAGTAATGTCAAGCATTTTTCACATATCTGTTGGCAATTGGTATGTCTTATTTTGAGAAATCACTATTCAGATTTTGCCCTTTGATTAGATTACTTTTTCCTATTAAGTTGTTTGAGCTTCTTATATGTCCTGGTTATTAATCCCTTGTGAGATGGGTAGTTTGCAAATATTTTCTCCCATTCTGTGAGTTGTCTCTTCACTTCATTGATTGTTTCCTTTGCTGTGCAGAAGTGTTTTAGCTTGATGTGAATCCCTTCTATCCATTTTTGCTTTTGAAGTTTTACTCGAGAAATCTTTTCCCAGACCAATGTCCTGGAGTGTTTCCCCAATGTTGTTGTCTTCTAGAAGTTTCAGTTTCAAGAATTAGATGTAAGTCATTAATTCATTTTTTTAATATTGCAAGACATAGGAGTCTAGTTTCATTCTTCTGCATATGAATATCCAGTTTTCCTAGCACCATTTATTGAAAAGGCTGTCCTTTCACCAATGTATGTTCTTGGTACCTTTGTTGAAAATGAGTTGACTTTGGATGTGTGGATTTATTTTTGGGTTCTCTATTCTGCTCCAATCATCTGTGTGTCTATTTTTCCTGCTTGTGTCACATTGTTTTGGTTACTATAGTTTGAGACTGAATATATTAAACTCTCATGTAATACTAAAAGAGTATAAAAACATTTTGAATGTAATTATTGTTTAACAGATACTCAGAGAGGATTCAGCACTATGAACAATGTTATCTTTGTTAAGACACTTTTTTTTTAACTTGTTGAGGTTACATCTTTAATGGAAGTATTCATTAAAAATACAAATGTGGTGCTCTCTGTTAAAATCTGTCAAAATGTGACACAGAAAAAGGCATTTATCTAACAGCTGAATCAATCAAAAAACACCCACCACCAATTTCTAAAATAAACTAATTATTTTGAAATTACAAGAACGATCTAATTGATAATTATTCCTACAGCTTGTATCATTTAGTATTTCACTTAGAGAATAAATTTTAATGTTTTAGACTTAGAATTTTCTATATCTCTACCAGTTATTAAATATTTCTAATACTACACAACTTATCACCTTCTAAGTTAATACATGTTGTCTTTATTTGTTGTATATTATTGTGGTTTTCTGTAAATTAGAATATAAGATCCTTAGAGTCAGACACTTTCGTCTGTTGTGTTCTCTGCTTTTTCTGCAGTACTCATAGAAGTAACCAGCACATTACAGATGCTTCATTTCATCCTTTCAAGAGAACACATACATTTTTACATATTAATATAACTAACATATGTAGTCACGTACTTAGCTATAAAACATATTTAATTTTTTAAAAGTAGAAAAAGCATTCTCTGATAGAAAGCTAACATATTGGAAATAAATAATAAAATAACATAAGTACTTGTAACCTTTAGAACATGGTAGAAATAAAAATCAAATTACTTAATTCCTGTAAAAAGTCAAAATGTGAACACTTCAAACCAAACCCATGGGAGACAGCTAGAGCAATTAACAGAAAAAAATGCATAATTTTATTTTGTTATTATTATTATTTTTTAAGGCAGGGCCTCTGTCACCCAGGCTGGAGCGCAGCTGCTTGATCACAGCTCAATGCAGCCTGGACCTCAGGGGCTCAATCAATCTGCTGCTGAGGCCTCTTGAGTAGCTGGGAATACACGTGCAAGCCACTACACCCAGCTACTTATTTTTTATTTTTTCTTTTGATAGAGATGGGTTTTGCCATGTTGCCCAGACTGGCCTTGAACTCCTGGGCTGAAGCAGTCCACCTGGCTTGACCTCTCAAAATACTGGGGTTGAGGTATGAGTCACCACACCTGGCCAAAAATGCATACTTTTAATATCTTCATTATTAAAGAACAAAAAGACTAAAATCAAGAAATCTAATATGTATAACGCTAATTTAGAAGATAAAGCAATTAAAAATCATCCAAAATATAACTAGCATAATCAATAACTTTTCAAATTAACAGAATTAAAAATAAATATATTAGAAAAATGAATTCTGAAGTTGTCATTTGAAAAGGCCAGTAAAATATATAATGCTTAAGCGAAACAGTGAGAGAAAAAAAAAACAGTTGAAATTAGGAATGAAAAAAATATATACAGTTGAACCTTGAACAATGTGGGGGTTAGGGGCACCAAAATTTTGCACACTTGAAAATCTATGTATAAATTTTGACACCCCAAAAACCTTAACTACTAATACCCTACTATTGACCGGAAGCCTTACTGATAAGATAAACACTCATTAGCACATATTCTGTATGTTATATGTATTATATACTGTATACTTACAATAAAGTAAGCTAGAGAAAATCATAAGGAAGAGAAAATACATTTTTAGTACTGTACTGTATCAGTCAAAATCATAAGTTTATGTCATCTGTTTACAAGATGAACCATCTGTCTGAATTAGCCGCCAACTGTAGCTGCAGACCTCACTCTACGGTATATAACAAGCAATTCAACTTTCATTGTTTGTCATGACTTTTCTCTGCTTCTCAGGAGTTCTAACTTCATTAGTGGCACGTTGTTGAGCCCCATGGGTGGTTATTCAACGTTTACAATATTGCAATAAACACAATGAAAAATTTCTGAGAACTGTAGGAGATCAGTCTTTACTGTGATACATAATTTGCTGGAGAGGCAATATGCTTATGTGATGACTAGTGTCACATGGTATTTTAAGTGAATACTCAGGACACGGGCTCGCTGCAATAGCAACAAGAGATAACTATGAAATTTTTACAGTGTTACAGTATGTGTTGCAGTTAATTTTATGCAGTTATGATTTAATACTGCATCTTTACATTTGTTTATGTTTCTCTGAACTACAAATGGTGCCATGTATGGTCTGTGAGTGATCTTGTGTGTGTTTTGATAAATTTTAACTTTTTATGATAGATTTGTGTGTATGTAATGGTATTAAATGATAAAATAGACTATTATCTACATATATCATATACATTCATGACATGCGTCACTTGTCCTTAATATTTTCAATATCTCTAGGCTACATGTTTCATCTGTAAGTTTTTTCAAATTGTCACAAATCTTTAAAAACCCCTTCAATGTATTTATTTAAAAGTCTGCCTCTAAGTGGACATCACAATTTAAACCCATGTTGTTCAAGGGTCAACTGTATATCCAGAGATATATTTCCTCATGAAATTGAAGCAAACACATATAAGAATATTATGTGCAACTCTTTGACAAAAACCTTAAAATCTAGAAGATGCAGAGAGTATCATAACAATTGTTATGATGGTTAATTTTACATGTTAACTTGACAGAGTTGCCAGCTGCATTTGGCGGCCACTTCAGACAATTCATTTTGTAAACAGATGACATGAACTTATGGTGTTGATTAATACAGTACAGTACTAAAAATGTATTTTCTCTTCCTTATGATTTTCTTAATAACCTTTTTTCTCTAGCATACTTTATTGTTATTATATAGTATATAATACATATAACATACAAATATGAGTTAATCAGTGTTTATGTTATCAGTAAGGGTTTTGGTCAATAGTAGGGTATTAGTAGTTAAGTTTTTAAACAAATAGCTGATAAAGCATGCTTCTTGGGTTTGTCTGTGAAGATCTTTCCAGAAGACATTAGCATTTGAGTCTAGGCATAGACTGAGTAAAGATCTGCACTCACCAGTGCAGGTGGGCATTATCTAATCTGTTGAGGGCTTGAATAGAACTAAAAGGTGGAGGAAAGGTGAATTTGCTCTCTTTACTTAAGTTGGGACATGTATCTTCTCCTGCTCTTGGACTTTGGTGATCCTGGTTTCCAGCCATTGGATTTGGACGGGAACATTACGATATTGGCTCCCCTAGTCCCCAGGCCTTCCAGTATGGACTGGAGCTACAACAAAGACTTTCCTGGGCCCCAGCTTGCAGAGAGCAGATCTCGGACTTCTCAGTCTCAATAATTACTCATATACTTTTAAAGATATTTATATATATAAAGATATATATATCTGTATTTACATATATACATAAACATTTTTATGTATAAAGACATATGTATCTATATATGTAAGATATATAGTTTCTTATCTATATATCTTACATATATAGACACACATGTCTTTATATTAAAAAACTATACAAATACATAAATATATATTATATATTTTACATATATAATATATATTTACTGTTTTCTATCTATAATATATAAATATAAACATATAAATGTATAAAAATATCTTGCATATGAAGTTCTTTATATATATATGTAAAAATGTGTGTGTATATATATGTATATTTTCCTATTGGTTTTGTTTTTTTGGATAGTCCCGACTCAGATACATATTAAAAATTGTCTAGCTGGGCGTAGTGGCTCATGTCTGTAATCCCAGCTACTTGGGAGGCTAAGGTGGGAAGATCACTTGAAGTCAGGAGATTCAGACCATCCTGGACAACATAGCAAGACCTCATTCTCTTAAAAATAAAAATAAAAAATTATTTGGGCTGTAGTTCCATCTACTCAGGAGGCTGAGGCTGGAGGATCGCTTGAACCCAGGAGTTCGGAATTTGAGGCTATAGTAAACCGTGATTGCAAAGGTGAGCTCTTAGAATGGTGTTTGTTCTATCACTAAAGTTTAGACAAGTAAAATCACAGATGTGAAATTTGGGCCACAGCCATCTAATGCCATCCAAGGGAGTAGAAGTCTTACGCCAAGACAGGACCTCCTCTATTATGAGGCGCCTATAACAGGTTTGCATATAGTATCATGCAGTTACACTTCTGATTCTATGTACAGTCATCCCTTAGTATCATGGAGGAATGGTTCCAGGAACCCTCATGGATACCAAAATCCACAGATGTTCAAGTCCCTTATAAACAATGGTATAGTGTTTGCATATAAACTATCCGTATCTTCCTATGTACTTTAAATCATCTCTGGATGATTTCTAATACCTAATACAATGTAAATGCTATGCAAATAGTTGTTATACAGTATTTTTAAAAGTTGTATTATTTTTATTGTTGTATTATTATTTTTGTTGTTTTTTTTTTCCCCAAACAACTGCAGTTGGTTGCATCTGTGGCTACGGAACCCTTAGATTTAGAGGACCAACTGTAATTCCTCACATCTTTAATTCCATATTTTAAATAACACAGTCTACATTTTCTTCTCATGAAAGTTTGTCAGAAGAGAGAAAAAGTGATGGAATTTCTATTTTAAGTATTAAATTCTCGGATTATTGTATCTTGTTACAGATTAGAACATTGAAAGTTTGTTTTTTTCCCATTTTATTCAGTTGTATATATTAGAGTCTACCACTGAGAAATGGACCTGCCCTCCTTGTGCTGAGCCTGCAAAGCTGAGGTCCAGACTGTGATGAACGATAAGTTAAACACATCGACGTGATAAGGAAACTGTGACGGGATTTCTTGGCACTTAGGGCCACTCTCTTTGCCGCAACTGCCAAAGACCAATCTAAACTTGTACCTGCATGTGTTAGCAAAACTGGTCAGCAGACTTTAAAATACAGTAGTCCTCCCTTATCCTCAGGGAATACATTTCAAAACCCTAGTGGATGCCTGAAGCCACTGAACCCTATATACACTATGTTTTTCTATGTGAAAACCAAGTTGACGGAGGGACTAATGGTCAGGTAGTATATAGAGCATGGATGCCCTGGACAGGTTTGATTCAGGTGATATGGAGCAGGGCGGCATAAAATTTCATTCATCACTCTACTCAGAACAGCGTGTAACTTAACATGTATGAATTGTTTATTTCTGGAGTTTTCCATTTAGTATTCCATTTAGTAAATGGAGTGTTCCATTTAGAATGGAATTCTGGAGTATTCCGTTCAGTATTTCCATTTAGTATGGACTGAGGTTGACCAAGGGTAACTGAAACCATAAAAAAATCATTATCACCAGTAAGGGAGGACTACTGTAATTTCTACTTGCAGTATCTTTCTTATTTTCATCATAGTATCAGAAAAGATATTTTTAGTGGAATTTGATAAATAAGGAAACTGAGGTTCAGGGAAGCATAATGATTCGACCAAAGTCATAAAAACAGTTGAAGAGCACAAAAACCCAGTTTTTCTAAATCCTGGCCAAGTACTTTTCCCATTATTTTCCTGTAATTCTGTCAGTACTTAACAATTAACCTATAACTATGTCATATCAGAGATCTGTGGCTTTCAAAATCTGTTCAGGAAATTAAATTATAATTGATTTGTAAAATTTATTTCATCATCAGAGTGCATTTTTGTTTATTCTTTTTCTGATGATTAAATGCAATGGGATTCTCCAATGTATTTGTGTCTTAATTGCTTTGAGGCTCATTAAGTAGAGGATTTGTCACTGTTTTATGCAGCGCTGTTGAAAAAATCATTTGGAATTTATATTAACAGACTGGTTGGGTGTGAGAAACACAGTATCATCAATGTTTACTTGGAGGTAATAACAGAGTTTTAAGTTATGTTACAAATGGATTCCCGTTATACAGGACCAATGTTAAAATGATAATTTTCTATGCACATATTAGATATATTTATAGGATAAATACATGTGATATATCTTGTAAGCCTAGAATTATCATCTTACCACATCTCAACCCAACAATCACTCCAAATGATATGTGAAGCTCATGACTCCAAAATCTATACCTCTACTTGGGTTCCTGAGTGCCATGTTCTGTTTCAAATCTTCAGTTGCATATTTTTTTTTTGTGAATTTCCTTTTTGTACTTCAAAATCTACCTAGCATAAACCTGACACCAGTCAGTCTCCCTGTGCAAACCTGCTGCCCCCTTGTTCCCCAGCTCTCTTTCTGCTCCTTCTTAGTAACCTGGAATCATCTTTACTTTCTTTGTCTCACAGCATCAAAGCTTTTCCCCTAAATGTCCCACTGAGTTTATCTGTGAAATGTCTCTTGCATTCATCACATCTTTATAATACTTTAATCAAACACGTATAGGGCTCAGTATATGCAGACATTAACATATTTAATCAAGTAACTCTCTGGGGCCACAAAGCTATTTAACCCTGAGAAAGCATTCAAAACCAGGTACTCTGGTCCTAAAGGGTCTTAGTGACTGCATTGTGTTGCCTTCTGCTGCCTGCCCATTGTAGTACTACCAACATGATTCAGCTTTGTTAATAGCCCAGATGGTCTTTCCTGCATCTAGTAACTCTCCTTTTCCAAACCATCAAAAAGGGAAAAGGGGGTAAAGGGAGGGAAGGGAAGCACACACACAAAAAATTATCTTGTTCTTATTATTTTATCTTCCTCCCGCTTAAAACCTTCAGACACTCTCATTACCTACCCCTTTCCTTCCTCCGCTCAAAATTCTCCCAATATATGCCTTTCCTTTATAATATGATCCCGACCAGCTATTGTCACTTTCCTTCAAGTAGCTCCTTTGATCAGTCTCATCTGATAAAGTGCTCTGTCCTGCCTCAGTACCTTGTATCAGTGCTGTTCCCTGCTTTGGAATGCCTTTTCTATGTCATACCACATATTCAGTGCTACTGGTTCCTCAAAATCAAGTTCCTCTTTTAAAGCTCTCCTCCACAAACATATTTTGAGTTTTAAATTAAGTAATCTCTTGCTCTCTCTTCTTGTGCTATCACAGCACCTCATTTATAGTACTGTATGTAAATAATTCTAGGGTATAGGGAAGATGGAGCCCATGAAAATGGAAAGAACAATTCCATTTAGGATATAGAATACTCCTCTATGGAATGCCGGTGTTAAGTAAACCACCTACTTCAGTCACCTTTTTTACAAGTAAGGAACTTAAGATCTTATGAGAGAAAGGGACTTGTTATGTATTGACAGAAACTGCTGTCTCTGATTCCAGGATATTTAATCAATACTATCCGTCTGCCTTATCATCCATAAAATAAAATGCTAAGCAGCCACTAAACATGATGATGGAAACCTTGGAAAAAATATCTATGGAAATGTTCAAAGAAGAAGATTAATAAAATGTTCATTGTATTTGATTTTATTTATGTAAGATTATGTATGCATATGCACAGATGTGTGTGAGGTGTGCATGAGAGAGGAAAAAAAGAAATAGAGACAGAGAAGAGATATCTGTGAAAGAATGTTCATCTAAGTTCTAACAACGTTCACGTATGCGTAATGACATTTTTTTCTACATCATTTTTGGCATCATTTAAAATATTTATTGAAAGAATACATTATGTTTATGATTAGAACAAAACACAAAATGGCTGAATTAATATTTGGAAAAGGATAGGAAATTACTTCCTTCATATATTTACTTGGGAGATGCAACACAGATTGTATTAGAGGATCTCTGTCATTTTTTTAAAAATGTCCATTTTGATGGTATTTTCAGAAAGGACTTTTTAACCAGGTAGTAAGGACAGAACTGACTACATTCTCTATTCCTTTCAAATTCAACCTTAGGTAAATTAACAAAGTTGCTGTAGTTCTACTCCTATTAAAAAGAAAGAACACAATTTCCAAATAAAACATCTGTACTTTTTTTCCCTGAGGTATTTCATGATCATATTACCCAAGAAGATTGAAAGTTTCCTGTGTGTTTCCTTTAACAATCTGTGTGACATGTTTATAAGCAATTTAAAAGCATGGCCAAAAGGGACATGGATGGACTGAAGGATCACACTTTAAATAAATTCCATTTAAAGATCACGTTATACCTATGCAGTCTTCCCAGAACCAGGCACACTGTAACTTTTAACAGCATTCCTGATTGACTCACTGAGAATATTTCACTAAATCTCTGACTGTTCCTCATAACAAGGACATGAGGATTCTGTTTAAACAAAAATGTTTTAACATTCTGGGAGCAACAGATTTTTTTTTCATAGGCATGTTCTTTGATTGTTTGTCCTGGTTCCCATCAGTTGGTACACTTACTTCTGCCTAGTTTCAGCATCTGTCCTGCCCACTTAAGAGCCCATGCCAATGTGCTAATCATAACTCCATGTAGTTTTAATTTGGGCAGCATCTGTTATTTCACATTGCTGAGGCAGTGCCATGTGGTGCCAAGAGTATGGGCCTTGGAGCCAGACAAACTTGGGCTTGTGCCTTGGTCTTACCCATTACCAAGTGACCTTAGATAATATGCTTAACTTATTTGAACCCCAATTTCCTCATGTGAGAAAGAGAGTAATACTAAATCCTGGTCATTGTGAGGAATTAGGAAATCAGTGTATGTGTTTGTAGAGTGTTTAGCAGTGATTGGCATATTGTAGGTTCTCTACAATGTGTAGCTATTAAGAATCTAATTAAAACCTCTTCACTTCTCTCCTAAGTGATACCATGATGCTTTTTCTCTATGATAATTGTGATGTGAAAACTGTTAGGTGGTTCATGGTCTTTTCTATAGCAATATGCGTCATTTGGACTTTAAAATATTTTATTTTACAAAGTACCTCTGAATATAGTATGTTACCACAACAATCCCATGAGATGTATAGGTATACATACATATATATACACATATACACAAGAGCACACACACACACATATAATATCCTCATTTAACTAATGAGACCATTGAGGCTAAAATGGTTAAGCCTTAAAGTACTTTAGGTAGGAAGAGGGGAGGTTAGTAATAGAATCCAGGTGTTCAGAAATGAGGAACAATTGTCTGTATAACACATCCATGTAGCCCCCCAGCTTTTGACTGCTAGTTTACAGCGATGGCTGCAAGTCTTGCTTCAGGTTGGTCATAGAAACACAACTACCTATTCAATTTAAAATATAAAAAAACTTGAGTTCTTACTGTTTGTCAGGCATACTGCTGGATATTTGTACAAATATCACATCATGTAATCTGGGTAGCAACTCTCTGGAGTAGGTATCATCTCTATTTTACAGATAAGGTCAGTTGACTTGTCTGTGGTTGCACCCCCACTAAGGGTTGGATGCAAAAATGTTTGAAAAATATTGGATCAAATGGCCTATAAATCCTAACGAGTTATATACTTTTAGGCTTCTTTTCCCCAAAGACATTGCTTATGTGGAATTCTAACTTTTAGAAGTGAGTCATTTTCATAATTTCTGAGATCAACTAAGCAAATCAAGAGAGCACAAAACTAAACAGCAATAAGAGTGATCAATCTACAAGTGCTCCAACCATATGGATGAATTTCCCAAACATAATGTTGAGTGACAGAAGCCAGATACAAATAGTATAAATTGTATTCCATTTATAGAGAGCATAGAAAAAGACACATCCCATATAGGATGTTAGAAGTAAGGAGAGTGGTTAGTCTTTGGGAGAGGCGGAGGCAGAGGCAGAAAGGAAGCAGAAGGGGCCCTTCTGTGTGTTGGTTTCATCTGTGTTCAGCTTACACTTCTGGTATGTACTCTTTTCTGTATTTATTATATTTAATAGAAAGTTGTTAGAAAACTATGTGCTTGATGCTACATGAAATTAACACTAATTGGCTATTAACTTTTAAAAATATGGTTAGATATGTTTTAATTTGGGGCCTCCTTCGGGTTGGCCTTTCAAAGAGCACAAACCCAGGAAGTAGTAAGAATGACCTCTTTTGGAAGCCTGGGGATACTGGTAAGAAGAGAAGATTCTAAAACTTCTATAGGGAGTGTAAGCAAAAAGCATTTTTCTGCAGAGGCTGTGTGTTCAAAGAGTTTGCTGAGGAAGGAGTGTAGCAGTGCAGAGGAAAGTCAGCATGCAGTCAGCAACCACCAGCAGAGCCAGGTGAGAGAGCTGATCCTAATGATCCTGGGCACAGGCTAATAAAAGGTGGGCTAGTCATCTCTCAAAGACCCCACCTCTGAATATTATTTACTGGGGTTTCAACATGTGAATTTTGGTAACATACAAACATTCAGATCATAGAAACAATGTCCTAAAGGAAAAAGACAGAAGAGAATACATAAGTGGTATTTTTGAAATCTTCATGCTGGAGCTAGAGGTGATGTGTAAGTTAGAGACAGGGAAATTGGGAAAAGAGTATACTTGAGTATCTTCTGAAACGCTGAATCATCCTGATGATGATAGCAAGTAGTAAACTTGTAAAGCCCTCATTATAACTCTATGAATGACATAGTCAGGCCATTTATTTTCTTGTCCTTTTCTATTTTTTCCCTGACTTTCTCATTTCTTACACCTGATTTTGAAAGGACACAAAGAAACAGGTCTTAATATCAAGCTTCCTCACGTCTTCAGTGAATGACAAATCTGTACTTGGCAGTCATTGTTAAGAAAAGGATGGTTGTCTCCAAATTGAAAAGCACTCCAGCATGGCACGTAACAGCTGGCTGTTTCCCCTAGAGTACATGATTATTTTATTGGCACAGTGTTTTACTAACTGGGGCTTCTTTCAACAGAAGCTGCCACACTGAGTTAATGGCCCTGGCTGAGGAGGTGAGAGAAATGGGGACAATGCACAGTTACCTAGGACGAATGCCAGTCTCATTTTACCCCACACCAAGGGAAGCAAGTGCTTGTATGTTTTTCACCTACAGAGTAAGTCACGCTCTGAGAGTAGAGCACCAGGGAGTCCTCATGAACGAGATCATTGCCCTGATAAAAGAGGCCCAACAGCTTGTTTGCCCCTTGTATTATATGAGGATAAATAAAAATGGGGCTGTCTATGAAGCAGAAAGCAAGCACTCACCAGACACTGATCTGCTGGCATCTTGATCTTGGACTCCTCAGTCTCTAGAACTTTGAGCCACACATTTCTGTCATTTATAAATTACTGCATCAAAGGCATTTTGTTACAGCAGTCTAAGTGGACTAAGACAATCATTTATGTCAGTTTTCCTCTCTGTGCTCTAGCAACAACTCGGACCAGGTCCTCAATAATTCACACCTAGTCTGTGGCCATATTCTTTTGGTTGTCTTTAGTGCCTCCTGGCTGTACATTTCAGCTCAATTCATCTTCTTTAAATGTCAATTTTATTATAACATTTCTTAATTTAAGCTCCTTTAATAGTTTTGTCTCTGAAAGTCCATCACCTGGCTTTCAAGCTCCTCTATAATATGGTCCCATCTCAATTTTCTACCTTTTACTGTTACTTAATACCTCTCTCTTATTTATGCAGACTCTCCAACTGTTCATTAGTCAGGAACTTATGGAACACTCAAGCCCATTCAACTATGAGATCTGGCACATAAGAGAGTTTCAGTTAAAATAAATCTGTGAATCAAACCTCCCCTTTCCAATCTTTCCTATATGGAATGGCCTTTACTGATCCCAATCCAAACCCAGCAATCTTTCCAGGCCCAGGTGACATTCAAGCTCTCCAGGGAACCTTCTTCTGTGCTGCTCATTTTTCTCTGAGTTTGTACAGCACTGGCTGTATTTACTGCACCATGAAGTGTTTCATTAGACACCAATTTCTCTTTTAGTTTTATATGTTTTATTGTTTATTTGGATAGTCTGAAATTTCAAAAGTGAGCTCAAACTTTGTGAAGAAAAACTACCTACTTTGGGCTATGTTGTATCTTTTTCGTAAGTCCACAATTAGTCAGGACTAGTGAATGATATTGGATAATTTGGTGTGTCTACCCAAGTCAAACTCTCTTCTCCTATAATATACTCTTGCACATAGTTTTGGCTAAGTAAACACTGTAGGCACCTTGAATCTTCCCTTGTAGTTTATCAGACCCAAGCAAACATCTGAATCAAAGTTTGGCTATCTCAACTGCTGCAAAAAGATAACCTGTAATTTGCATTTGGTTTACATATATTGATAAACTGAATTAGGGGGAAGTAGAAAAAAAGAGGTGAATTTGTTGCACACACAACTACTGAGTTACGAAAATGGCGGGCCTCCTGGAGAAGACTCTTGCCCTTTACTAAGGTTTCTAGCCCCTGCTCCTAGAATGCCCAGCTACACCAAATGTCCTGTACTAACATTTTTTGAGCCCCAACATATTCTAACCACACCTCCCTTCATTTTTTTCTAAGCTATAAATAAGGCCTTACTTATTAACATCTCTTCCTAGAGAACATACTCCTTTGGGAAGTGACCAAGATTTTCCTCCCTTCCCTGGCCCTCTGCCTAGATATTTTGGCTTTTTATGCTTTGACTCAGCCATTCTCACCATTTTTCTCATGCTTTCCTTTTCTTTTTCTGTAGGACCTTACTTTGGAACTAGAACTGAGTGAGACTGACATCCCAAGGCAGCAATAAATTACACAAATTTCATGAGCCATAAAACCAAATGAACACAACAAATTAATTTATCATGGAGCCTTCAACGTATTTGTCATGAGAGTCAAACCAAATGTTTTCCAAAAGACTCCCATGAAATAAATTAAAGACAAAATTAATATGTATCTTCCCTACAAAGACTGAAATAGAGCAAAACCAGAGCACTAAAATCTTGTAGGAACAAAAATCCAAACGCCCAATCATATTTCATTTGATTAGATTAAACATTGTTTTTTGCTGTTAGATGCAGTGGTTGACAGTAGTAACAATTTCTCATGTTTGGATAGTGCTTGGTAGGTTACTAGGTCCCTTCATACCCATGTAAGGAGTGGTTAAAAACAGACTCAAAAGCTATGTTTTATAGTGTATTGATTACAGCTGTGTGAGCTTGGGCACATTTTCTTATCTTCTCTGATTCTCAGTTTCTTCTTTTGTGAAATGGGAATAAATTGGCATCTATATCATAGGGTCAAGCATAGAGTTAATGTCAGTAATATACCAAACACTTAAAATAGTGCTCATGCATGATAAGCACTTTATTAATTTTAGCTATACTAGAAAGCAGTTATTCCATTTGGCCCTCATAATCACCCTGTGAGGTAGACTGTGCAAGCATAATTATGAGTATCTTATTTTCGAGGAAATCAAGACCCAGAGAGAACAAGTGACTTGTTAATGGTAGTTGTATAACACAAATCTAAGTTTAGGCCTTTTCAATTTCAAGTCCAAGGATGTTTGATGATAAAAAGTCGGGTAGACTATGCAATTTACAGTCATTGCCAAGGAATAACTGCCTCTTATATCAGAGATGATCCCTCCAGTAGCTGTTGTTAGTGGGGACCTTAGACCCTAATGACTGGACCGAGTTGGGCATCTACTCACACTTCAGTCACAATTCCTTTCTAGGGATTTGGCATTAGATAGAGAATAAGAGTATAAATAAGGATAAAACTGAGATAAAAAGAGTGAGAGACCCATGGGGGCTACAACTCAACTGTGTAAACTCAGGAACTCTGGGTTACCATGTTCCTCTGGTTGCCATACTCCACCAGGTGGCTGGTGAGGCAGAACTGAGAGATCAAAGCTGAATACTGCTTTATTTGCCACCCGTTTTCCTATTTTTCTTTTCATCCCTTCCTAAAGGCTGGCTACATTCCTTTTAAGGGTTTGGTATTTTGCGAGGCTAATGTTAACCATGGGGAGGTAATGTTGACTACTGATTAAGAGCCCTCTGGACAGGGCTATTTGGATTCAAATGCTACGCCTCTCCTTTATCAGCTATGCGACTTTGGTTAAACCTCTGGTGATATGAAAATACTCTGCTCATATGAAAATAGTACCTACCTACCAGTACTATGAAGAGAAGGTAAATAAGATAATAGCTATAATGCATTCTTAATAGTTCCTGGCAATGTAAATGTTCAATAACTAGTAGCTGTTACTCTGTTTATAATAAATTCCCACTTAAGGCTTACATTAGGTCAAAATGGTCTGCACCTAAAGTGTTTCAGGACATCATCATTTTCCAAGCAATCCAACCTGAAAATCTCAGTCAGTCATCTGACTTCGTTTTTCCCTTAATTTCCTGAATCTAATCAGTCACTAAGTCCTATTGATTCTTGCACTGGGAGCCCCTGCTACTGCTCTGTCCTATATATCCTCATTTCATCATATGTGGCCCACTGGATGGCCCACATGTCTAGCTGTCTTTTACACTCCTCCCAAAGTAAAGGATTATAGGCTCTGAACTGCATTGCAGAATGCAGTTGATCTGCCCTATCTGAATAAGAGCTGTCCATTTCAAGTAGAAAATATGTCTCCTATTCCCCACAAACTCTAATTAGAGAATAGCACCTAATCTCAATCTAGAGTTCAAAGCTCTTCATAATCTGGACCCCACACAGCATTCAGTTCTCATTTCCCAATTTATCCTTGACATCACTTATACTCCATCTTCATTAGACTGATTATTCACTTTTCTTAAATCCATCTAGTCCTTCTGTATCTTGATATCTTTGTTCCCTCTGGAATCTTTCCTGCCTATCGCAATCCTACTTATTCCATGAGCCTGAATCAAGGACTTTGTCTCACAAGAAATAATCCTTGCAGAATGTTTAGGCAGATTGAGGAGGGCAGGGCTTGGGAAGAAAGATGTTCCTAGCACATCCTATTTTTCTTGCTGTCTTTTGCTTTCTCACTGGTAGGCGGCAAAACTTGCAGACATTGTATAAGAGGTAGAGTTCATCTCACAGATAATGTAAACTGACATGTTATTGAAAGGCTACAACTGAGGAACTTGGCCTTTTTAACATCCCCAAACAAATCACAAAAGAAAGCTACAAAGAGGTAAAAATTGGACTATTTAAATTATCTTGTTTCCTCCTGAATAACGAGAAGGCTTTGTGCGTGTGTCATCCTTCAAGTCAACAGCTAGTTATTTGGAAAGAAACTATAATCCAGATATGTTGAACAAAATAGTGATGTGAAATGAAAGTATTTTCCCACAAGTCATTAAGTGTGTCATGTGCAAACCATTATCTATGTCTCCTTCAAGGGTGTGGGTCTCATTTCTTAAGGGAAAAAGACAGTTGGGAACCCACTGCATGTATGTACTGGGGAGAAACCATTTTATTCACCTGCTGTTTACTCTGTGCCATACCAACATTCTTTGCACATTATTAATAATCACTACAGCCTTATGAGTAAGAAACCAATATTATTTGCATTTTTAGTTGATGAAACTGAGTCTTTGGGAGGTAAAGTAACTTGCCACAGATGCCAGTTTAAGTAAGATTTTTTTCTTCACTCATGGTACCACTAGTAAGTAGAAGAGCAGGGATTGGAATGTAGGTTTGTCTGACTCCAAAGTCTGTGTATGGTAGAGGTACATCCAATGACACCCACCTTTGACTTCTATTGTCTTCTTATATTTAATATTCACGCATATATATATATCTGTCTCACATAATTTACCAACCAAATTGGTACACTTTGAGAGTGACAGTAGGTACTATCAAAATTATGCTGGTTATTCCTTTTCACAATTGCCAAGAAAGAACAACAAGGATTTTATTTTTTTTTAAGTTCACCAGGTGGTTCTGACAAGTAGGCAAGGTCATGCATCACTTTCTAAGAGCCTCCTTTTACTTATTCTAAACAAACTATCCCAGCAGTTCAATCAATAAACAATCATGTACTGGGCACTCATTATATAGTAGATACTGGGTGCAGAGGATATAGCCCTAAATACAACAAATCCTGATCTTATAGCACTAAAGGCAGTTAAAGCCTTAATTTCCAGATAGGTCAATCCTGGGAGAAACACTGACTGTAGGATAAACTCTTGTGGTTTATGAGGAACAAGTCCCGAGATTTTCACAAATTTTCAAATGTTTGAAGAGAGAACAACAAAGCCAAGGTGAAGGTTCATTCATTAGCTAAGTATAAGAGGTTTTCAAGTATATCATGGAATAGTTAAAGCCAAGACTGTAAAATTTGTGAAAATAAAATTTCTGCTAAGTTCACAATAAAATAAAAATTTGTTATTACCTTATTTTTTATGTTGCCTGTTCCCTGACTGACAGCTGATATTCAAAACATATCTTTACATTTGCTGCTTTCTTATTTGTTTGTGTAATTATTTGATTTATCTTTCCTCCTGGATTAGATGGCCCAAGAGAGTGACAACTACATGTTTCTTTTCACCATTGCATCGTTAGTGCCTAGCACTGTGCCTTACACATAGTAGGCAGTCATAAACCATCTGTTGAATGAATGAATGCATGAATGAATGAATGAGAGAGACACTTGTCCTAGTCATCATATGAGAATATTCACATTCTAAAGAATTTAGAGCACCTACAGGTAGTACCTTTGGGAAACTTCATGTTTCCCCTAATGAGTTTAGTATTACTAAATCATTTATGGAAGGCAAGAAAACCTGTCACAGACTTTGTTAAATTAATATTTTTCACAGGAATGAAACGTTATAAATTAAAGGTGGCTTTTATTTTAAGAGAAAGCCAAAGGTCACACAGTAAATAAGAAGACAATGAACATATTTGCATATAAATTTTGGTGTTAATTCCTGGGAAAATAGCCATTGCCAAAATTCTTTCCAGAGAAGCTGTGAGTTTACATTCATTTGGATGAGATTTTTTCCACTTTGAGTGTGTGACTGTTGTGTATGTTGAGTAGCATTCTTTTTCTCTGCTTCTTGTGCTTTTAGGGGGCCAAAGATCTGTATAAATTCCTTGGTTATAGATGGCCTTCATGTAGTGGTTTTCTTAAATGCTGGTTGTTTGTAGATTGTAGCAACAGTGTACTACATGTGTGAGCAGGCTTGTTGTCTCTTACAGAGATGGGAGGTGGAGGTCTCTGGAACTTTGTTCCTCAGTGCTGTGCACGTGTGTCAGCAGGAATTATATTGGCTTTTGCAGTTCACCCTACTGGCCTGTAGGTGGCACTTTCAAGTATGAGCTGCCTGAGTGCTCTATAATGGTGTCAGGAGAAGTTGTGATGACACATATAGGTTGACCTTCAGGCTAATAGGTGGCACTTGCAGGCGGGAGGTAGTTGTGGTGGTGGCCGTGGAAATTTTACTTGACCTTTGTTAATGAGGGGAAGTACGAGAGTATCCTTGGCAATGGGCTGGACCCTGGAGTTTCCAGGGGTTCCTGTCCTGTGCTCTGCCACCCAGGCAGCTGGAGGAAGCAAATCTGGGTGGGGCTGGGACAGACAAACCTGTGACCATGCTCTCTGAGGCGAGCACAAGCCCCAATCCTGGCACGGCTATAGGCAGACTCTCAGGCAGCTGGGGCCAAGGGGCTGAGTTGCCTCTCCTGTACCACAGAGTCTGCTTAAGGCAAATTGGGTGGCCTGGGGTTTTCAGCCCAGCAGGCAGCAGTGGGACTGGCCCAGCTCCCACACCCCTGGTGCAGCAGGTCTCCCTCCAACATTCTGCTGCTGACAGCAGGCCAAAATGGTTAGGCTAGACTCAAGCTATCTGCATTCAGATCACTTAGTCATTCCAGGTGTTTTGGGCTGTGAGACTCCCTTGAACAGAAACCATGGCTATCAGGCCTCACCCTTCCCAGTCTAGTCTTATGAAGGGAGGGGTACCCATCTCCCATGCCACTACATGAACCTGTGCTACACTTTTCTCTTTGTTCTGAGTGGGGGGGTTCCTCCCTGACTCAAGATCACCACGAGCAGGCTTTGTCTGCCAGTCTAAAGGTCTACACGGGTCATGGAACTCTCCTGTAGCTAGGATCTCAGAGGTCTATGGCAGGAATGTTATGCCCTGAGGTTCCTTCACTCATCCCTTCCTTGGATCTGGGTCCAGGTCTGGAGGCTGGTCCTGGCACCCAGCAATGCTGAGCAGGCAGCCCTGCTCTCTCTCTCTTCACTCATGGTGTCTTCTGTTGCCTCTTTATTGAATTTTAGTGTTCTCTTTCAAAAAATCTTTTCAACGTGTGAATGTTTACCTGATATTTTGGTTCATCTTTGTGGCAGAGGCTCATCCTGGCTGCCATCTGGAACCCTTCCCTCCAAAATGTTCTAATTTTTTTCCTTGCTCTGTTTTTCTGTGTTCCTCCACCACCCCCCTTTCACTCTCTCTCTCTCTGTGTGTGTGTGTGTGTGTGTGTGTGGTGAGTGGTGTATATGTGAGTGTGTGTGTTTCTTCTTTATGTAATCTCATAATGTGGAATTGCTGCTTTGGAGAACAAAACTTTCTCTCTCTTGTTTCATCTCTTATCCCAGTAGGAGAGCTAGTTACTTCTATTTTCTTTTATCCTGTTTCTAATGGGTCTTAAGGTTCTAATAATAACACTTACAGTGTTATTTGAAAAGGAATCAGAAGAAAATAACAAGTGTGATGTTCACTTGTTCTGAATCTTGTATATGAGGGTTTATCAAAGTTGAAGAGATCATTTTCTCTGGTGGAGCTGGCCTAACTTGGAGAAAATACGTTAGTCAATGTTTGGCTGCATATTGACAAGTGTTCCCTGCTAGATTGTACAAAGAGGTTTTTGGTTTTAGTTTCACAGAGATGAAAAGAGATATTTTATCTCTAAATTTTTAGATATCACTTAAATTTTAGACACAGGGAATCTTGAGATTAAATGATACACAAGGCAATGTATATCCTTGTGACAATAGCCAACACAATGCCTGACACATAAAAAGTGTCAGTAGATACAAGTTTTCTTCTGTACAAAACATAAAGCATAAAAAGTATTAATATCTTTTTTGAGGTCATAAAACATGACAAAGAATTTCGGTTTTAGAATAGTATTGCCAGGCCAAGCATTGCTGCTCAGTACATGCTAGTTGTGTGATCTTAAGTTAAATAATCTTTCTGTACCTTGTTTCCTCAATTTAAAATAAATCCAATTCTGTAGCAGTTTGTGTTACGTTTGGAATATACAAAGAAAGCCCAAAATAACAGTTGCATATTTCCTTCTTATGTAAAAAACCTACAAAGGCGGAAAAGCCAGGGAAGGTATAGTGGCTTCTGCTATCATCAGGAATCCAAGCTATTCCTATTCTGCATCCTTAGCAAGTGACTTCTATACTTAAAATCACACTACAGTCCAAGGCAGCTGTTAGAGCTCCAATTATTTTGTATATATTCTATGCATCAATACCCTTTAATGAAATTGGGATTCTTTTTCTAAGGATGAATGAGAGAATTGCTAATGTGGAGGAATATAGAAATAGTTGCCATACATTACGTCTTTTTTTGCAGGGTTGGTAGGATAATTAAACAGGATGATGTGTGTAAGATGTCAAGGACAATGTATGGAACATAATAATAGAACACATAAATGATAATTACTGTTGACAAATATTATAAAGCAAATCAGTCACAGAGTCAAAACTTACGTCTAGGACTCCAGATCCCCTCTACATTTCATTTCTCATGTATTAACTAAAGATGAATGAGAAAAAAGTAGTGGAGTATTTACCAGAGGCTAATATATAGTCTTTAATAGGGTAAACATATACTTGATCCTCTCAAGACCTGGAGGTTTACAGGTTCAGAAAGCTGACTTTGTTGATATATGGCTGTGAATGTGTCTCCTAGAACAAACTCACAGTAAACAAGTACATGGAGATTGATGTATGGTTACTAGGATGTCAATTATTAATTTACACTGAGAAGCATAACTTCTAAAGGAAAGGATACTGTAATCTTTTGCCCAGATATCCATTCCATGATGGTGACCTAAGCATAACTCAAAATTTTATTTGAGGATTATTAGTGAATATAATGACAAAACAAATAAAATAAAATGACCTTACATTGGAAATTGCATCATCTGATTACATCATCTTTTGTGTACTATATTGAGGTGATACTTTCTATATCGGTTTTTATTTTTCCCCCATCATCTAAGCCTCTGTCTTCCCCTAAAATTATTAAAATTGGTCTTAAGCAAATTATTTCTAAAATTTTTGATCATTTAATACTGTGTCATATACCTAGGTGTTTGGTCAGATCCACTTAATCTGAACTTCTGGGAACTTCCAGAGAAGTAGCTTAGAAACATGTTTTTAAATGTTCCCCCAGATGATTCTGCTGAAGAATTCTTTTAAATCTGTTTTTGGGAATCATTAGGCTAGTTTACAATTTTCTTTTTTCTTTTTTGAGATAGGATCTTGCTCTGTCATTCCAGCTGGAGTGCAGTAACACCATCATAGCTACTGCAGCCTCAAAATTCTGTGCTCAAGAGATCCTCCTGCATTAGCCTCCTGAGTAGCTGGGACTAGAGGCACATGATATCATGCCCAGCTAATTTTTGATTTTTTTGTAGAGATAGAGTCTCAGCATATTTTCCAGTCTGGTCAAGCTCCTGGCTTCAGATGACCCTCCTACTTCCGCCTCCCAAAGTGCTGGGATTACAGGCATGGGCATCACACCCAGCCAGCTTATGACTTCAACATCCTAATGAAGTCAATACATTGATGTGAGAGAGAGAAGGAAGGAGATGTGAAAGGGATAGCCAGATCTCTCTGAAAGGGTACTTTACTCTGCAGCAAAGTATTGCCTTCTTCCATCTCCTTCAACTTTCATCCTTAAGTTCTGAAGGACCTACTTTCTATTTGCTTGGAAAAAAATGTTATAATGAGCGACACTTACTAACTTTGTCTTCAAGGAGTCCATCAGTACTTAGCAGACATACCCAGTGAGTTAAGATGTGTGGAAAATGACTTACAGACTAAACTGGAAAGACAAATTATGGGGGTAGAGGGTAGAGGAAGGAACAACCACAATTGACTGGATGGATTAGTTGAGGATCCAGGAAGGCAGTTACATCTAAACTCGGCCTTAAATAGTGGGTAGGATTTTGACCAGAAAAAGCAGTTAGGGCAAAGTGAACACTGTGCATAGACATAAAGGCCTAACATTGTAGAATGGTCTCTTTTGGTTTTAGAATAAAAGTCAACATTGTTTCCTCTCTTGACGTGACTATCAGGTGATTCCCCTAACTTTTGGAGAATTTCAGGTGAATGCCAGGTGGCACCTATGTTGAAAAGTTGGTTTCTGAATCTTGGAGATCCTAGTTTAAAGCCAAATTTTGTAAAGAAGCAAGGAAACAACAGCAGAAAGGGAACTGGCTTGAGATTAGGTCAAGCCCTGTCAGAGATGGAGGTAAACGGTTTCATTTTTTCTTAGGTAGTCTTCAGAGACCAGGAGTTGTGTTGACACATATGTTCTGACTCATTAGCTAGACAGTTTTAAAGAAATAAAAGCCTCTTGGAGGTTATTGTAAAAGTTTTGGCTTTCACTGTCGTAAAAGTCTAGGAAGATTTTGAGCAAAAGAGTGTCTTGATCTGACTTATATTTTAAATAAATCATTCTGGCTATTATGTTGAAAATACACTGGGGAAAGGAGCAGGGAGGCAAAGTGGAAGCAAAGAGACCCTTTAAAAAGCTATTGCTGAAATTCAGACAAAAGACAATAGTATTTTGAACCAGCTGGGAGTGGATTGGTGTGAAGTGTTCTGGTTCTGTATACACACACACATTTAACTGACACATGGGAATTGTGCCTATTTATGAGGTACAATTTGATGCTTCTATAGATTTATATCTTGTATAATGATCAAATTAGGGTACTTAGCATATGCATTACCTCATGCATTTATCATTTCCTTGTGGTAAGAACATTCAAAAGCCTTTCTTCTAGCTGTTTTGTAATATACAACACCTTAGTGTTAACTATAGTCACCCTGCTGCGTAGTAGAACACCAGAATGTATTCTTCTTACCTAATTATAACTTTATTCCCATTGAACAACCTCTCCCTTTTCTACTTTCTACTTCTATTATCAACTTTTACCCCCTAGGTTTCACATACGAATGAGATCATGTGGTGTTTGTCTTTCTGTGTCTGGCTTACTTATTTTACTTAACATGATGCCCTCTAGGTTCAACCATGTTGTTACAAATGACAGGATTTCATTATTTTATATGATAGAATAATATTCCATTATGTATATATGCCACATTTCCTTTATCCATTCATCCATTTTTAACCACTTAGGTTTATTCCATATCTTGGCTATCATAAATAGGGCTGCAATAAACATGGGAGTGTAGATTCATCTTTGACATACTGATTTCATTTCCTTTGGAGATATACAGTATTAGGATTGCTGGATCATAACCAATGGTTCAATGAGGAAACCAAGGGGAAATTAAAAAAAATTCCCATGAAAAAGAAGAATAGAAACACATCATACCAAAAACCATGGGGCATCGCAAAAGTAGTTCTAAGATAGAAGTTTCTAGTGACAAGCACCTGCCTCAAAAAGAAGAAAGACTTCTAAAATACCACAAGGAACTAGCAAAACAAGCACAAACTAAGCCCTAAATTGGTAGAAGAAAGGAAATAATAAAACTCGGAGCAGAGAAAACAAAATGGAGACTAAAAATCCTTCAAAACATCATTGAAATGATGAGCTGATATTTTGAAAAGAAGAATCTACCAGCCTTCAGCTAGACTAAGAAAAAAAGAGAAAACACTCAAATAAAATTAAAGATAAAAAGGAGACATTACAACTGTTAACATAGAAATATAAATAAACATAAAAGACTAATATGAACAACTAAACAAATTTCATAATATAGAAAAAAATGGATAAATATCAGGATATATACAAATTATCAAGATAAAATTATGAAGAAATAAAAACTCTAAACAGACTAATGATGAGTGAGAAAATTGAATCAGTAATTGAAAGTCTTCCATCAAAGAAAAGTCCAGGACCTGATGGCTTTACCGCAAAATTCTACCAAACATTTAAAGAAGGACTAATACCAATTTTCCTCAAACTATTCCATAAAACTGAAGAGGAGGGAATATTTCCAAGCTCATTTTACAAGGCCAGGATTACCCTGACTCCAGAACCAGACAAAGACACAACAAAGGAAGAAAAGTATAGACCAATATCTCTGATGAAACTTAGATGCAAAATTCTCAACAAGATACTATCAAACCAAATCCAACAGCACATTGAAAAGATCATTTACTATGATCAAGTGGGATTCATCCCAGGGATGCAAGGGTAATTCCACATATGCAAATCAATAAATGCGATATGCCACATTAACAGTAAGAAAGACAAAAACAATACGAGCATTTCAACAGACAAAAAGCATTTGACAAAATCCACCATCCTTTCATGATAAAAATTCTGAACAAATTTGGCATAGAAGGTATGCACCTCAACATAATAAGGGGCATGTATGATAAACCCATAGTTAACATCACACTGAACAAGCAAAAGATAAAAGCTTCTATTCTAAGGTCAGAAACAAGACAAAGATGCCCACTTTTACCACTTCTATTCAATATAGTACTAGAAGTCCTAGCCATAACAATTAGGCAAGAGAAAGAAATAAAGGGCATCCAAACTGAAAAGGAGCAAGTGAAATTGTCCCTGTTTACAGATGACCTGATCTTATATGCAGAAAACCCTCAAGACTCCACTGAAAAACTCTCAGAACTAATAAATAAATTCAGTAAATTCGCGTGATTCTGTACATATTTTGATGTTGAATGAGAGCTATGAAGACATGAAAAAGGAAGAAAGGAAAAATGAAGTCAAGGTTAGATTTTGACTACGCAACTAGAATCGAGTTGATAGGAGATTGAACAGAAACATTTCAATATTTTAGTGCTTAGTATAACAGCTAACAGCTAGTATTTTTCATAGTCCTTTATAATTACAAAGGCATTTGTACACATTATAAAATTATTTTAACTTCAAAGCAACACTGAAATAGGCTGGACACAATTATCTTCTTCATTTTACAGAAAATAGAATTATGATTCAGGGAAATTCAATTATGTGGGCTAAGATCCCACAGCTGGTTAGTAATGGACTCCAATTTTAACCCAGGTCTGTTGAAACCAAATCTAGGTCACTGTCTGTCTGTTTGCCTCTTAATTTGCTATTGCTCCAATATTTATTCAAACTAAAAGTATTTCTACTTTCACACTATTTTCTTATATTCCAACCTATGTAACCAAAGCAGCTGTCATCTAATACCATTCTGTAGAGATGCAGACACAAGGTGAAGGGAAAGAGGAATGTTAAACTGCATGACTGTGCTTCTCTAAGAAACAAACACACTTAGCCATGTTCCTTTGTGACCCGAAAGTGGCAACTTCCTTTACAAATGCTGTGTTATAGCAGAGTTTAATAAAAAGGAGGAGAAAATGTGGTATTGTGCAGGTAGTCCTTACATCAGGACAGAAGTTAGAAGATCTAGTTCAAGTTTTAGCATTCGAACATACTGGATATATGATCACATTCCTAACAAAAAGCTAATGCAAATCTTAGTTAGAATGGAGCTCATTATAATGGAGATTAATAATAATTAACAACTAACATATGACATTGATCATAAGCATTATTTTGCTTCAGACACCATTTATCTTGCAAAGAAGGCCTTCCTTCTTTGGTAAGGATTTTGTAAGGATTTGGTAAGGATTACCTTTGGTAAGGTAAGGATTCTGAGAATGTTAGTAAGAAGCAGACCTGGGGAGATTACAAATCCATTGCTTTTTGTATGAACCTTCCCATTCTTAGTCCTCTGGAAAACCTAGGTCAACCTTCTCTTTATTTCATTTACCAATAATTTTGACTAGAATTCACAAACCTATTTAAAACTTTAAAATAAAAATGCTATCAGCTGGGCACGGTGGCTCACGCCTGTAATCCCAGCACTTTGGGAGGCTGAGGAGGGCAGATCATGAGGTCAGGAGTTTGAGATCAGCCAGGCCAACATAGTGAAACCTCGTCTCTACTAAAAATACAAAAATTAGCTGGGCGTGTTGGCGGGCACATGTAATCCCAGCTATTCGGGAGGCTGAGGCAGGAGAATCATTTGAACCTGGGAGGCGGAGGTTGCAGTGAGCCAAGATCGCGCCACTGCACTCCAGCCTGGGCAACAGGGCAAGACTCTGTCTCAAAAAAAAAAAAAAAATAATAATAATAATAATAAAATAATAATAAAATAAAAATGCTATCTAAAAGCTTGCTGAGCCCCTCCTTTCCCTCTTCTACCTCTCTGTGCATTCTCTGTCCAGATACAGTTTGTCACTTCAGTCAAGGCTAGATGCATGGCAAGGAGAATTTATATTGAGTTATTTGCCTGGTTCAGATAACGGCATGTCTCTTAGCACTCTGAATGCCTCTGATGCTATGCATGTCCTTCCTGAGCAGCAGAGGGGCATGTGATGGTGAGATTGAGTTAAAATAAATTAATCAAAGTGGACTGAGTAGGGAAAGAAAGGTATAATCTTGAAAAGCAACCATTTTCACTTAGACATTATCCCATGCAACATTGCCTATCTGTTGGAAGAATGGATTTTTAGCATATTGTCCACACAGATAGATGATGTTAGCAGTGGCTACAATCTCTTGGCCAGGGCTTCTGAGCCAGAAGTGTATCAGACTCATCTCTGCAGAATGCTGAGAGAAAAGCTGCTCTATACCCTGTCTCACTCCTTTGCTGCAAATGTTTGCAAACTGGCAATTGCATGAGCGCATGATATTCTTTATTTTAAAAAAGTGAGAACTTATTTGGGACCATCCTGAATTACTCTCTCCAGGAAAGAATTTGGAAGGAAGAAAGAGTTCCAATTCTGATTCCAATTTTGTAGAATCATTTGAACCTGGATGTCATCCTGACCTTGGCTTGCCAGCTGCTCTGTTCTGCCTCTCTAGAATCCTATCCATTTACGGTTTTCAAGCCACCTGTCAGCATGGCAAGCAGGAGAAAGGCTACAGCAAGAGGGCAAATTAGATGTAAATATCTCTGTGGGCTTTCCTGCTAATGAAATTATACATTGAACAAGCAGGGTGCCAAACCAAAGAGAAACAGCATGCTGGAGCAGAAAGCCTTTAGAATGAGAGCTAGGAAATGGGCACCAGTCTAATCCACAATGGCTTTTGCATGAGAAAAATGACATTTTATGTCTTCCATTTCGAGTTACAGGCTCATAGCAGGTGCTCAATCCTTCTTCCTGGTCGTCACTCTTTTATGAATTAATGGTGGCATTGGGCAAATTAGTACTCTCTGCAAACTCATCTCTAACTAAAAAAGACATGAAAATTAAACAAATACATATTCAGACACAATATTGCTAAGCACAATGATAGGGTTTTTTTAAATTTGTAAGTTTAATATACAATGAATGCCTTAATTTATGATTGTGTTTATTCTCTGGTTTCATGTGTCCCCATCACAGTGTTAGTTCCTAGTTACACGAATATTCAGAGATATGGAAATGATAAGCTGTGGTAGGTGGTCTCCATGGTCTTTCCTAATTTTCATGATTTGTAGGTTTTACAGATACGGTTTGGGTCTGTGTCCCGCACAAATCTCAGGCCAAATTGTAATCCCCAGTGTTGGAGGTGGGGCCTGGTGGGAAGTGATTGGATCATGGGTGTGGATTTCCCCTTTGGTGCTGTTCTTGTGATAGTGAGTAAGTTACTGTGAGATCTGGTCACTTAAAAGTGTGTAGCACCTCCCCCTTCTCTCTCTTTCTCCTGTTCCGGCCATGTAAAATGAGCCTGCTTCCCCCTTGCCTTCCGCCATGGTTGTAAGTTTCCTGAGGCCTCCCCAACTATGCTTCCTGTACAGCCTGCAGAACCATCAGCCAATTCAACCCTTTTTCTTTATAAATTACCCAGTCTTAGGTATTTATTTATAACAGTGTAAGAATGGACTAAAACACTGATTTTCCTGGTTATCAGGAAATTAGGATTACATAGACATACAGTTGTCAGTGTTACTTAAAACATATAATACTGCATCGATCCAAGAGTGACTGATTAAAGTATTGGTAATGGGCAGTCTCCTAGGCTGATACAAGGAACAAGCTATGAGAGTTTAATGACTACCCTCTCCTGGGTAAGCATATCTCATGCACTCAACTGCCATACTTCTAGGCAGCCCATCTGAGATGTGAGGGCAACTTTGAAGACAGGGAATATGACATTTCCCAGTTCCAAGACCACAGCGCCTTTAGGTGGCCCTCTCCTATAGCTGCAGCTCTTATCCATTAAGTAAATTCTTCCCTTACCCATTCAGGGCTGGGGATCATGGTAACTTCACATTGTTACTAGTTCTGCTAATCCCTAGTTAATTTCCTAACCCTGCTCCTGTCTTTGTAATTTTAGTGTATCCATTAACACATTTTCAATGATCATTTTGGGTGTGCTGTTTCCTGCTCATTCGCTTTCTCTTTCCTGAGATCTACTCCCTTTATCCACTGTTTACTGGGCATATTGACTGTAGTTTTACAGTCATCTCAACTCTGTAATCCAATATAGAACTCATCACAAACCTGCTCCTCAGCTCAGCAATTGATGCTATTCTCTGCTAGTCAAAAGACAGCTGGTGGCATCTTGGACCACTCCATCTCACTCTTTTTATATCAATTTATATTAATCCTCATTCAGAAAATTTTCTAAATTCACTGCTTCTTCACCATCTGCACAATTCTTGCTCTGATTAGTTCCCAAGTCCAGTAGATTATCATCTACATTGGCCTGACTTCTCATCCACTATTTCTTTGTTTTCATGACTATCAAAATCATATTTTAGAAAAAAAAATTTACACATGCAAATGTACTCTTAAAACCCTTTGAAGTCTCCTTATCACTTTAAAGATAAAGTCTAACTTTCTTGGTGAAGCATATAAGCCCTTAAATTTTTTTAACCTGTTTTTGCTGTTTTCCTAATATTTATAAGAACTCTGTACTTCAATTCCACCAAACCACTGGTTGTTTATTACAGATAGTTGCATTTCAGACTCATGTCTTTGTACATGCTGTTTCCACTGTCCAGAATATCCTGTGGGTAGTAGTCCCTCAATCCTACCTCTAGCATCACCTTCTCTAGAAAACTTCCCTAGATAACCCTCAACAACTAGTCTGGGTGCCTCTTAGTTGTTGCAATGGCTCCTTATCTTCAGGTGATGGCATGCCCCAGGGCAAAGTGCTCTGTGTTCTGCTGGATGAAATACCACCACTTTGTCCTTCTCTATGCCCCGTGAACACCAGAACACTTATGCCTGCTCTTCTCCTTAAGGTCCTATCTCTTTCCTGGCTATAGAATGAGGCGCAGGATTCAGATGTGGGCTGTTTTGGAGGGAAGCATCTTATTTATGTCTCATGATGTAAGATGTGCTAGAATGATTGATGGATCTTGGAGTCTGAGATAGTTTTGAATCCCAGGTCTTCTGCTGACCAGCTGCATACTTTTCAAGAAGGAAAAGTTTGGAGAGTGTTATACCAACAAATAGCTTGCTTAAGAGTGATGTTGAGTCCCCAAGTTTAATGGGGTAGTTTGCGGTAAGAGTATTAGTGAAACTGGCTCTGTACTTTGCCTTTGAGCCAGCCAGAGCTAGGATTGAGGTATTCATTGATCAAGCTTATCTCAACTACAACATGGAATGTCTGTTTTTCACTTGTGAAAAATTATTGCTCAGGTAGATATAATTTAAAGCTTCCATTTCTATTATAAAGTTCAGTGATTTTTAAGCTAAAATTAACTATAAGGATAATATAAAAAAGTATTATTCAGTCTTTGATTAGTGAACCTCTTTCATAGAGATATGTAATCTCACAACATCCCTTAGGATTAAAAAGGTCATAATTTTTAGGTAGTAATGATTAAGAAGTAACTTTAAGCTTAAAAATTTATTTTTGATCTATATATATAACAATTACATATTACATAACATTTGCTCCTATATTATCTTTATTCATTGATATATGTGGATATGTGCATGTGTGTATATATTATATATTTATATAAATATAGATATATATATCTATATAAATAATATATATCTATATATATTATATAGATATATATATATCTACATGTGGATATATAGATCTTATAAGATCTCTGTACTTCAGTTCCACCAGACCGCTGGTTTGGTTATACAACCAAATCAGAAGTATATTATATTTAATTATATAAATTAAGGAGTATATATAAAATAACCAAACCACTGGTTTGGTTATATAAATATAGTTATCTAAATATATATATATATTCACAATAGCTAGGATGTGGAAACAACCTAAATGCCCATCAGTGTATGAATAAAGTATATACATACAATGGATTATTATTGTAATATACAGCAATAATACTATTGAAAAAAAAGAAATCTTTCATATGTGACAACATGGATGAACCTGGAAGAAATTATGTTGAGTGAAATAAGCCAGTCATGGAAGGATGAATGCTGCATGATTCTGCTTATATGAGGTATCTAAGACAGTCAAATTCACAGGCTAAAAGAGTAGAATGGTGGTTGCCAGGAGCAAGGGTTAGGGGGAAAGGAGGAGCTGCTAATCAAAGGGTACAAAGTTTCAGTTATGCAGTTGAGTAAATTGTAGAGATCTGCTGTAAAACATTGTGTCTGTAGTTAACAATAATGTATTGTGTAGTTAAAAATGTTCACAAGGGTAGATCTCATATTAAATGTTCTTACCACAATAAAAAAAAAAAGAAGTTAAAATGTATGTTTATACTGCCTTAATGGTGTTAAAGTTTTAGAATAACTGAAATTTTTGGTAACACTGATCTAAGTATGACAGTTGTTTTAACTTATAAAAGAAAAAGATGGACAGAAGGGGGCTTACCTGAATGAAGGCGGCTCCAGAACTGAAGAAGTCTCTTCACTAAAGTCATATATAATGCAGGTTATATTCTTCTAAAGTTTCTTTCTTTCTCTCTCTCCAGTTTTAAGTATTTTGATTCGAACACCAGGTCTTTGCCACATTTCCCATTTTTTTTTGTAATTAAGTATTCTTTATGTATTTTCATTACTTACTAAGCAGAAACAATTTCATTCACTTTTTTATTTAATCTAATCTGGTTGTAAATGGCTATATCAACTCATTTCTTATATTTACTTCTGATATTTGTTGCAACAATATGAGTGATTAGTATTTTTTTGTGTGTTTCAATTGTTAGGGAAAGATACATATATACACAAGAATATAAGCAGCAATAACTAATTTTGCATGGGAATATTGCCACTCGTGTTTTATGTTTTACATTTTAAATATTTTATTAGTTAGATCTAAACTTCTAACACTGCTACTATTACCACTACTACTACTACTACCACTAGTAGTATTACTACTAAAGCAGCTAGCATTGAAAAAACATACTGTATGTTCCATGCTATGCTAGGCACTTCACAGAGTTTTATCTAAAAGGTTAAATATTTATTGAATAGTAATAAAGTGGGCTTATGTCCTAGTTTGTTCAAAAGAGTCCAGATATAAGCAGTTTTCCCAGGTAAAGCCATTCTCCAAATACCACTAACACTTTATTTAACTCTCAGAAATGACCTGTTTTGGACAAAGCTTACATATTCACTTTAGAAATTGTACATATATGACATACTTCTTTTACACCTGATTTAATGGGAATTCTTCTAATATTTTGTTATTAGTATTATATTTGCTATAGGTGTCTGATTTTTTTTCCTACCTTCAGAAAGTTTTCTTTTAGTTTTAGTTGCTAATTTATTTTGTTTTAGTCAGAAATTAGTGTTGGATTTTATCAAATGTTTTTATATTATATATTACATTTTCTGTTTAATATGTTAATGGAGTAAACCATATTCATAGATTTTTCTAGTTTTGAATAAAACTTACAATCTAAGGGCAAAATATACTCCTTCATAAAGTATTTAATAGTTTATTAGGTTTTATAGTGTTATATATAAATACTTTAGTATTTTACAAAATAATGATATATATTTGATATTTGATCAAATGAAATTTGATTAAATGAGATTTGACTATAATTTCCTTTTATTTCCATATTTGTCTGATTTGTGTGCCAAAGTTATGAAAGCCTCATGAATAAGCTATAAATATTTCCATATTTTTTCATCTTCTATATTTATATGTTATGGTGTAATTTACCTGTAAAACATTTAGGCTTGTACTTTTTAGAGTAAGATATTTTAAAATTCTCTTTTACAATATTCTATCATTATGGTCTAGGGTTTTTTTTACTTTTATTTCAGTTTGGTAATTATTTTTTTTAGAATAATATTCATTTTACCTATATTTTCAAATGTATTAGCATAAACTTCTACTTAGAAATTTGATATGTCTATATTTCTATGTATATATTTTTTATTACTAATTTTGTTTATGTTTATAATTTGTGTTTTCTTTTACTCAATTAGATTTGATGAATGTTAACATGTGGGTCTTTTCAAACAGATGACTTTTTTTTTTAAATTGCATCAAATTTATTTTTTCCCTTCCAAATCTATTGAGGTGCTTGTGTATTTTCATGTGATAAATACATCAATAATTTTTCTCACACTGAATTATTATTACTGAGCCTTAATTGTGTTTGGACATTATTTCATTTTGTTTTAGTTTTTATAACGTTTATTTCAGAGACCGAAATTGTTTGCCCTAATTTTTATTTCCATCAAAAGGGAAGGAGAGCCATCATGGTTACTTGGGTCTAATCTTTTTTTTTTTCTTTTTTATTATACTTTAAGTTCTGGGGTACATGTGCAGAACGTGCAGGTTTGTTACGTAGGTATACATGGGTCATGGTGGTTTGCTGTATCCATCAACCTGTCATCTACATTAGGTATTTCTCCTAATGCTATCCCTCTCCTAGTCCCCCACCTCCTGACAGGCCCTGGTGTGTGATGTTTCCCTCCCTCTGTCAATGTGATCTCATTATTCAACTTCCAATTATGAGTGAGAACATGTGGTGTTTAGTTTTCTGTTCTTGTGATAGTTTGCTGAGATGATGGTTTCCACTGTCATCCATGTCCCTGCAAAGGACATGAACTCATCCTTTTTTATGGCTGCATTGTATTCCATGTTGTACATTGCCACATTTTCTTTATCCAGTCGATGACTTTGGTTTTAATGGTTACTTTTAATTTTTTAAAATGTTTGCTTGTATTACTTTCATTTGTTCAATATTAGTTATTTGTATTGTATTTGATTTTTATTTATTTTACAACATCTTCAGTTGAATGTTTATTTTCAGTCTTCTTAAAAACATATACATTTATGATAAAACATTTTTTGAGTACTCTGGCTGTTCTATAGATTTTAATATACAGAACTGTCACCAATGTTCATTTATAAACAGGATGTGATTTTAGTTAAGTTTTTCTCTTCATTCCAGAAAGCTATCTTAAAAGAGAGATTGTAAGTGAACGTATTTCTTTTGGATAACTTTTGTTTTAAATTTAAGATTTCTTTTAGTCAGTGAATGTAGCCTGTTTAATTTTCGTTTCCTGGAATTTGTTAAAATTTTCTTCCTGGTTTAATCCAAGGTTAATATTTATGAATGTTTTAATGATGAGAAAGAGAATGTCTGTCCTCTGTTAATAGGAACAAACCTCTAAGTAGATGTGTTTGATTATTCTTGCTATTTGTGTTACTTAATTACATAGATTTTTTTTTTTCTTTTGCCTTCTTGATGTATTTGCCAGTTAAATATATTAAAGCAAGTCATTGTGATTGTGGATTTTTTTTCCTCGTGTGTTTCCAATAATCTTTGTTTATTAGGCTTTGAAGCCCTATTTTTAAGCACATATAGGTTCATCACTGTTCTACCTTCTGTGTAGATTTTTTATCAATTTTAAATATTTCTTTTAATCCTTTTAATGGCTTTTATTTTTAATTATTTCTTATTGGACATTAATATTCTTACACCTGCCTTTGTTTATCATTTGCTCCTTTAAATGCTTTGTATATATCGGAACTGGTTAACTGATGGTGCTGGTTCAGCAAATACCATCACTTAAGGACATGGTTGCATTATTCTTTTTCTGAGTGCTTCTTAACTTTCTTTAATTTATTTGGGCATTTAAGTCTGTTTGTTGGCCCTGTGGTCATCACTCACATTTTTCTTGCGCTCCTGACCTGTGCTTTGTCAATCAGAAATGGTTGTATCTTCGTCTTATTCTTTAGAATCTGACTTTTGTGCTTGTCTTTCTTTTTCTTTCATTCTATTTGTTGCTGTTGTTGTTGTTGTTTGAGACAGAGTTTCATGATCTCGGCTCAGCTAAGTTTTGTATTTTTTGTAGAGGCAGGGTTTCACCATGTGGCCAAGGCTGAACTTGAATTTCTGGGCTCAAGTAATCCGCCTGCTTTGGCCTCCCAAAGTGCTGGGATGGGTCACCCGACCAACTTTGGTCCTTTTTTGTTATAGCCATACAAAGAATAAGAAAGCATTTCCACTGGCTTCTTTCATACTGACTGGATAGAACTAGCTAGGATGTTCTCCTAATTTTGTTGCTAAGTTGTCTCGGGTTATTAGAGTGGGTACTTGTCTTCCCAAAACAAGATCTTTTTTTCTCTGTATACATTTAGATTGTTTCATTCCTCTTTGAAGAGTAAGATGAATTATTAGGGCTAATGATGGGATTTAAGCTCTTCAGAAAATATGATAGAGAGTACCACACATATAGGGAAGTAAAGGGCTAAAGTCATTATCTTAAATATGCAAGAGTAGAAATGCATTTATGTGGTATGTGTTATAGATGTGTTCATGTAGTTTTGCTCTTATGTTTTTAAGTTAGAAAGAGTTTCTAAAAATAGCTTCTGGATAATAAGCTGATAGACTTCTACTGCTTTTGAAATACATTTCACTGGTTAGGCAACATCTATTAATGCTGTATCTCACATATTGCTTCATCTGAGGCTGTTGAAGTTAAGGAAACTTAATTTCATTTGGTTCAAAACGTTTTGAACAAAAATGAAAGAACATAAATTGTAAAAGAAATCCCTCAGCTTGACCCGTGAAAGTAAAGTAAATGTGCTGACAGAGGTCTAAGAAATCAAAAAATGGGAAGAGAACAAATAATAAAATTGAGCAAGACTTCCAATGGTTCAGTAAAATGGCTCCTGAAGACAATGTTATAACTCTATCAATCTGTGTTTACTTCTCTAAAGGCCTAAGGAGATCATCATGGAAATGGCAATGAATTTTGAAAACTAAAAGAAAAAGTGTGTATAAATTATAACTTTTATATCATAGCATTTCCAAAATTCTTTTCATGAAACTCTACTCTGAGGAGACAGCTTCATTAGCAAAGTTAATGGATATTAGAATACTATAAATTGGGCCGGGCACGGTGGCTCACGCCTGTAATCCCAGCACTTTGGGAGGCCGAGGCGGGCGGATCACAAGGTCAGTAGATCGAGACCATCCTGCGAATGGTGAAACCCCGTCTCTACTAAAAATACAAAAAATTAGCCGGCGATGTGGTGGGCGCCTATAGTCCCAGCTTCTTGGGAGGCTGAGGAGGGAGAATGGTGTGAACCCGGGAGGCGGAGCTTGCAGTGAGCCGAGATCGCGCCACTGCACGCCACTGCACTCCAGCCTGGGCTACAAAGCGAGACTCCGTCTCAAAAAAAAAAAAAAAGAATACTATAAATTGGTAACTTCCGAAGTGAAGATAGCCATTTAATTTGGAATTACTACATTTTTCAAACTTTTAAGACTCTAAGAACTTTTATGAATCACCTATTACTATTCAGCAGTTCAGAAAAGCCACAATTTATTATGTGGTTTTCACGGACATAGAATTTGTATAATTTAAAATATAACATCTATCTCATCATAGAAATCTGATAGTATGAAAATTTTTATTTTTAATGTCAATGAATAAAAATACAAGCTATACATAAATAAGCCAAAGTGTCTGATATGTATATCACATAGGTATCCTGTATATAGATCATACCTCAAAGAGACTTATGTCCTGGCAAAAATAAATGTCTTTGTCCTGGTGTAACAGTAATTTAAAACATTTATTCTAGTGGAGGTTAAGTGTTCCTGGAAACTTTTGGTTCAGGATTCTAAGAGTGGCTGGAGAAGATGAGTTTAAACATTCTCTTCATAGAACTTATTTACTAACATAATAACCTAAAAGTAATAAACAGAGTGAGATGTAATAACTGATTCTGAGTTTTAAAATACTGTGAGAGAAAATGTAAATACCAAGCTTTTGCTTAAGGAGATAACTTCATTAATATAATTCTGCCTATCTATGTGCTTACCTACCTTTCTGCCTAGCTATCATACAAAGTAAATATTTGCAAATTGTTTATGTTCTAAAACTGATCATTCATGTACAGCATAACCAAAAACTTGGCCAGCATTCAGCAGCAATTATAACAGAGGAAAAGCATTCTCTCTGTGGTGTTCAATATCAATTTACTAAGTTGTCCTTGATAGACAGTTCCAAGGTTGCATATGAGTTCAAACCTCAATAGGTTTCCTCCAGGATATATGCTTTAAGTTGGACAGGAACTTGTTAAGCTCCACAAATAACATTGATATAACAAATTTAAGCTTCCTGCTGAATATTAACTGTATACTAAATACTACATTGACACTAATAATAGCTACTATTGAGCATTTATCAGGAATGTTGAAATGATAGAAACTTCACAGATTATTGTAACTCACTTCTGCATTTAAAGCAAGAGGAACAAGTTGTAGAGAAATCAGAGTGATTTATCCAAAGTCAGTTGGTGACAGGTAAGAGATCCTGGCTTTTAATTCAATGCTATTTCTATTGCATCCGCTGGTTTTAAATGGCCTTCCATAATTTGATGGAGTCTGATAAGGCTCTTTGGATTTTTAGAAGGTAATTTCCTGTACCTGGTTTGTATATGTCACTTCATCCTCAATTTTATGTGAACATATTACCATTCATATCACGTTAGAATAAAAGATACTGAAGGGAAGAGTCTGACAAAACAGATAAAATGGCTTTCTTTGTTAAGATCAAACACATTCTGTATAATATATGTATCTACATATGTATATATATCATTATGCATTTAATACAATGTCAGAAGCATAAATCAAATATATTTTTAAATATACCTTGTTTTTCTCTTCCATACATCAAGCATCTACCTTATATTCTGCTGTTAGTTTTTCACTAATTTGTGTCCAGGGAATGTATATTTGCTCAAGAATCAGTCAAAGTAAAACTTTTTTTTTTTCTGGAAAAATTATGTAATATGCACATACATCTACACACAAACACACATATACACAGAGACACATGCAGATGGACTCAAAAGTCAAATGTCTATATAAATATGTATGTTTGTAAACACACATCTATACACACACAAATAATCTATTTTATCTGTGTGATGTTACCTCTATCAACACATATAATTATGAAACTATTTCTATAATTTGTATGTCTAGATGCATAAACAATGCATATTTCCTATATATTTTTTTAAGTACTTCTTTATGTAACAGTTGTTTGTAGATGTGTTTGGGGACAACATCTCTGGTTGGTTTGTGGTTGGTTTATATTTTCATTTAAATCTATACAGTCCACTGCTTACTTTGTAAACCCCATAATTCAAATGTATAGATCATCCAGTATTCAAGATTAATTAGTATCATGGCTCTTTTCATCTCAGAAAACACTATTAAGACAACATTCTAAACATTTGAGGGGAATAATCTTAAAATCATATTATAGGTTTTTTAATTTTTTTGAAAAGTAACTGGCTTCACAAACACCAAGTACAACATGATTTAGACAACTGAGAAACAGGCAAGTATATTTTGAAGTGCTAAAATAAAACATATTTATACAAGTACAAAGCAAAACAATGCTGATAAAAATGTTAAACTTTATGAAAAAAAATCATTTGCAGTTCACATCAAAATAATTTAACATTCTCTATTATTTTAATAGTACAAGCTGCCACAACAGAGAAAGAACAGATACACGCACACAATTTTAAAACCAAATCAGTTATAAGTGCAGAAAAAAGTAAGTACAAGCACTTTTAGCCCACACAAATCTTTTAGGATTGGCACCATCTTTCTAAAACATCTATAATCTATATAGATTTCTAATTACAACACCATCAGCAGCTGCCATTGATTTCTAGAAATACACACAATATACATAGTATATTTGTTCACATTGGGAAGATCAGTGAAATTCAACCAACTATTTTATACATGCCTCATTCTTCAATAGACAGTAGAGACTCTCCCAGGCCTCAGACCCTCTTCAAAGTGAATTCTGACTTGTCTTTATGCTTTCACTGATCTGTATTTTTTCACAGTATAAAATTGTAAATGGTAACTATAGAGATTCTGACAGCTTGAGGGTTATTAATAAGCTGTTGCTAAATGTGAACTCACATAATACCTTTGAAGTCTCCAAAACATGTACATTTTACTGGGAGACTAGCATAGGAAATGCTTTTGTTTTTTGTTATTCTTAAAAAGAGCATTTAATTCCTGGCTTGGAAGTCACAGAACTGCAGCAGAGCTATTATACAATTCATTTACAGTCAGAAATAGCTCCTAGTCTTCCTGATCACTTGCTGGTAACAGCAGTAGTTTGGGAAAGATAGTTACTTTCAAGGATTAGCACGTTTGGGGATTTGCTTTTTTTCCTTGCTTCAGTCAAATCTCTTATAATTTTTCTTTCCATACTCCCTTTCTGTTCCCCATCCCTAGCCCAGAAAGACGGTTCTTCCCAATCCAGATATGTTCTTCTTAGGCTGCCCCCACTCCTTTCCCAAAATGGAAGGATGAGTGGACTGCTTAGATTAGTCAGTATAACTTGGTTAAACCACGTCTTCTTCTTTCCATCCTGGGACATATCTCTCATTTAGGGTCACTTTGCTGAGCCTTAGCATATCCCCTTCCTTTTAGTCATGCTGGTCCCGACTGAATTATCACTGGGCACCAGGAACAGATTGTTTTGAAGGAAATTCAATGAGAATGTACCCAAATGAATTGTGAAGTTCATATCCTATAGCCCTAGAATGAATATTCAGTTCTCTTTGTACTGTAGAGTTATTACTTGGAACCTGGTATTAGAATTGGCAAAGAGACAGAGTTAGCATCATTCCAAAATAAAAGATCTCAAGAATGCATTACTAATAATCTTATGTCCAACATACAATGTATTCAATGGAGTGGCAAAAGTTATAGAAATACAGAGAAAAATATATCTTGTCCTTTTCTAATTGGATAAATCATTTTTATTATTACAGTTGATTATGATAGCATGTGGAAGTATCAGATGGCAATTTACTTGCATTAAATTTAATTTCTGATGAAGTTTTTTATAAGGTAGTGTGCTTTTTAAGAGATATGTTACTAAAAAAATAGAAAATGAATTTGACCATGAACAAAGTTTAAACATGTTCTTCAACTGGTCTAGAGTGAAACGTATTGTACTTGAGAATAAAATGAAAATCAACATAAGGATTTTATAAAACAAATTTTAAAATGTAGAGCATATCAAGAAAGGTTTTTAATACCTAAGAAGTCAAGATAGGAATCCTCAGGTGAATGCCATCCTTTTGATGAGGATCCAAAGGGTATTAACACCTCAAAAGATTTCCATTTGTTTTTCAGATAGAGGCAGACATTTGCTTTTAATGAAACCATGAAACTTAGCTAGATTTCACTTACATTTTAAAAGCCTCGGTGTAATATTTGGGATCAGGGTGCTGTGATGATGTTATTTTCAAATCTAGCATGGGAGGTTCGATTTCTTTTAAATTAATACTTTAGTACATTAATGTTAGCTTTTAATGTTTTGTATTGGGAGGTTTGACTTAAAGTTGCAAGTAAGAACAAATAGCAGAAAAGAAAACTCAAGCAGAATATTTATTAGAATTTTTTAAAGTGAAGAATGATAAATTATGCCAATGGACTGACTTCTATTTCTCAGTTTATTTTCTGTTAAGTAGATGTGAAATAAAAAAAAATACTTACCAAAGTAAGGATATTGAGCTAAAAGAAAAAGTTTTATTTATTATTCTCTCTGCCAAAATATACTTCTGCCTCACAGCACATATTTTTCATAAGGCTATCTTAAGTATAAGGCTGGGTCAACTGAACTTTAAATTTATAGGACACCTCCTCCATTTATTACTATCCTTATTTAAAAATCAAAACATTTGGTACCTGAGGATAGCTGCAATGGGAGGAAGAAAGAGATGACAGTGGATTCAGGTCTTGAACTATGAATTCTACCTATTTGAGACTATCAAAGCACACTTGTTTCTGTTATACTCTAAATCTCTTTTCTGTAGTTTTAAAAAGTGACAGTATGAAGTGCACAAAATCATATTAATCATTATTTTAAAAAAGAAAATAAGAATTGCTTTGCCTCTTTTTGGAATGGCTAAGAAAGACTGTGTGGTTAATATTCATTAAGGTTCCTCTTTTTTAGTATTTTGTATTGCTTTGAAAAATCTACATTTGTCATAGTTCATAGCTGCCCTGTTTAAGCAGCCAAGAATAGTTAAAATCACTGCTCACTGGCATAGCTAAATCTCCACTAAGCTGACTTGACACAGTTAAAATTTTCAGTGTATTAAGATTGTGTTAATCCTTTCAACAACAGTCTCTCAAATCATGACAATGTCTTCATGGGGTCTATGGACCACTCTTCCAGTGGTGGGACTCGAAAAGAACAAAGGAGCTCTTTGTGCATCAGGTTCTCAAAATAAAGGAATGAAGAAGCCCCAATGCATATTTTAATATTTTAGTTGGCAATGCAAACGCAACAGCATTCCTAAAGAGTGGCCATGTTTCTTGAAAGAGATAGCCAGGCTGGAGCTCAAGAATGATTTTTATAAAGAGAATTTCCAGCTACAATGCACCCCAGTGAGGGAATTACAAAACAGTATTCCAGAAAATATTTTTTTTGCTACTCCAGTATTGATTGGCAACATGGTGAAATAGTCAAGAAATCTTCCACTGGTTTTCTTGGTTAATGGAGGTGAATCTGAAATAAGTAGGTGGAATCCCCGATGCAGGCTTTTGGAAGAGTATTTCACAACCCAATTGGAGAGGAAAATCTCTGGTAGAAGCCCTACGTAGTACATTAGCGCAGCACTCACTATCCAGTAGTGTGTTATGCATGGGACACATTCACAACGCCTCCGTAAATACTGGACCCAAGTTACTGCTTTTCAAGGTCTTTACAGGAAAGAAAAAACAAAAAGAAAGAAAAAAGAAAGAAAAAAGTTGATGTTTTGGTCCCAGATTTTGAGTTTGTTAGAAAATGTACATTCATGTTTGGTGAATCAAAGACTCTTCTGGGAAAAGAATTAAAGTAAACAAATAAAACTTTTTACAGTTGCTTATTAACTATGCTCTTCACCCTCCGTTACGCTGTTTCACACGCACTGCTTCCCTAGAGCAAAGCACTTGGTATGGAACTGTTTGAAGAGACGCCTTGTCAGCCCTCAAAGATATCAGCCGTGTTTCTTAAAAGCCCATGTTTTCTAAGGCCACTAGAAGAAAATCTGCCAAAAGATTTGTCGTCGGTTTCTTCGTCGGTTGTCATGAGATAGCACTACTGATCTCGTGTTTCCATTAAGGGGTGCCCTTGGCATCTTCCCCCTGGGCCGTAACCAGGCGACTATGCTTGCCATTGTGTGTGTGTGAACACGGGGGGCTCCGCTCCGCACGCGCAGGCCGGCGTGCTTTCCAGGGACATTCACAACGACGAGGAGCTCTGAGTGTAATCTCTTATGATAAGAGTGTCATATTTGGGAGACGACGGGATACAGAGGGCCGACTCGGACACTGGCGAGTTGGGGGTTGTGCTCCCCGAGTCCACCGAGTCTCTGAAGGGGGACGGCGGGGTGAGAGCCACCAGCTCCTCCAGGTCTGGCTTGGCGGCCGCAGCCTCGGGACCGGCCGCGGGGCTCTCCCGGGCCGCGTCCCCAGCCGCCTGCGCCCCTGCCGCGGGCTGCGCGCCTCCCGTGACTTCGATGGCCGGCAGAGGCTGGATTTCGGCAAAGGTCGTCATGGTCGTGGGCAACTGGATCTCTTTGGGGATCAGGTAGGACGAGCAGAGCGGGGCGCCGACGCCGGGGCTGGGGGCCGCGGTGGACAGCATCATGGAGTTGAGCTCGCTGATGTTGGCCGTGAAGCGGGTGACCACACTGCTGATCTGCTCCATGAGGGAGCCCTGCGAGGAGCTGCTGCGCGCCACAGGCTCCGAGTGCAGCGACGGCACATCGTCGTCCGTGCGGCTGGCCGAGCCCGCGCGGTGGCTCAGCGTGCTGATGGGCGACGGTGAGCGCGGCCGCGCGGGCGCCGGGAAGTGCTCCTCAGCCTCGGCCACATCATACAGCGCCTTGGGGCCGGCGTCTGGGGACTCGGGCCCGCCTGGGCCGGCGCCTGCGCAGCCCGCACCGCCCGTGGCCCCCACGCCCCCAGCGCTCCCGCCTGCGCCAGCGCCAGCGCCCAGGCCACGGCTCTCCGTGCTCTTGGGGAAGGGCTTGATGACGGCCGTTTGGTTGGGGTTTTCTTTCTTGTTGATGTGGATGGACAGGCGCTGCCACAGGTGCTGCCCCCGGCTGCTCTTCTCATTCTGGGCCCACGTGACGGATTTTCCATTGGAACTGAGGAGAGAAGGGAGAGGAAAGGTGACTCAGCGAGGTGCCCAGGGGGCTTGGATGCCGCTTCCCCAATGGTGGTTGCTCATGGGCCCCGGACTGGGGAGGACTTTTCTCATTCTTTCAGGAAACACAGCATCAAAAGGACATCATGGAAAGAGACCTTGGAAGTGGCTTTCCTTTGCTTGTTTTGAGTTAAAGACTGCTTTCTATATCAGGGCTTCAGTTTATCATAATCGTGAAAATGTGTCAAAGGGGATGCTTGTCAGGATGAAGGAGTGTTTATTAGGATTCTGCGGGAGTTCTGAGCCCACCTGTGAGTGCAGCAGCACACAGATGCAAGGGCTTGCAGTGTCCCGGCTGTGTGCACAAGTGCCTGGTACAGGACAGGGGCTTCCTAGAGTTAGTGGCCTCTGAAGGAAAACATTACCACTAGGACCCAAACTCACCAACAATCATCAGAGAGGAGGGAAGGGGTAAGAGAGTCAGGGATTACCAGGAGGTAGTCAGTGGTTCCAGTTCCGCCTTTATTCTGGAAGTTGGTATATATATAACTAGGGTTTTCTGTCTGAACCCCTGATTTTGAACATAGTGTTACTTAGGCTGCCTTACCTGCTGGAAAATAAAAATTTAATGAACACACATTTCTAATGAGAGCTTCTTTACTTCACAGAAATTCACCTCACAAATGTATTTTGAGTTCTGTACTTGAATAACAGTTCAATGAGTGAGAGTGCTGTATAATGCCTTCGGCACTTAGCAGAGTGATCTCAAATTAGGATCCTGGTGAATATTGAGGGACTGACAAGTTTTTTGAAGGCCTTTCTCTCTCTTTCTCCTTTGCACTTCCACCATGGGGTCTGAAAGCCACTCTCAAGATGTGATTGGTGCCTCAGCCTCAGCGCCCTAGTACCTCTCCTTACCACTAAAAGCTGACACAATAGCTTCTGAAGCTGCAGACGTTCTTTCAGAAACTTTACAAAGGTCAGAGAATGTGGCCTGACACTCAAGATTTTTTTTTTATTTTTTGTTTTTTAGACGGAGTTTTGCTCTTGTTGCCCAGGCTGAAGTGCAGTGGCGCCATCTCAGCTCACTGCACCCTCGGCCTCTGGGATTCAAGCGAATCTCCTGCCTCAGCTTCCTGAGAAGCTGGGATTGTAGGCATGCGCCACCACGCCCAGCTAATTTTGTATTTTTAGTAGATACGGGGTTTCACCATGTTGGTAAGACTGTTCTAGAACTGCTGACCTCAAGTGATCAACCTGCCTCAGCCTCCTAAAGTGTTGGGATTACAGGCGTGAGCCACTGCGTCTGGCCAGGAATGTTATATGAAGAGATTCTGGTGTAGTTTCCCATCACAAAGTAATCCAAGATCTCTGTTACTAGGGGGTCTGTTATTTTCAGTCAAGACAGCTCTGTTCTAGGGGCTGTGACCAACAGATAGCCTTGAGCAGCCTGACTACAAAAGAAGTTGAAGACTACAGTTTTATCATCACAGCCTATGGTTATTAAACTAAATTCTGTGTAAGACTCATCTAGGGCATTTGTCAAAGATATAAGATGTGACCCCAGGAGAGTCTGATTGTCTGGATTGGCTTCCAAGGATCTATGCTTTTGACAAGCATTCTGTTCTTCTGCTCCCAAAGTAAATCTGAAGCACTTTGTTTCTCAGATTCTTTCACAATCTGAGAAACTCTGGCAGAAAGCCATCCTTTTCTTCTAAATCCCCATCACTCCCCTTGGGCCCCCTTGCTGGAGGGCTGGCTTGCCTTTGAGGGGCTGGGGCGTGTACCTCATTTGGAATCCACCAGCCTTGAGGCTGCCTGACTGGCCCTGCAGGATCCACTCTGTCTGAGAAACCCACTCCCTTGGTAACAGACTGCCATTTCTGCATCCCCTTTAATGACATGCTTTTTGCCTCTTTCCACACTGCTTCCCATTTCTTTATCTGTTCCTTTCTACTTCATGGTCTTTCTTTCTCCGCTCTTTCCTGTGAAATTTCTTTCCATGTAATCTACCCAATATATTGTAGTCTCATGTCCTTCAGAATCCTGGAATATGAGCTTCTTCCACCCCACTCTGCCCTTCCTGGAAAGGATGAATGAACCATTTTCAGGTTTGGAGGTTGCTGTGCATCCATAGTAGCAGAGGGGGCACTGCCAAACAGTTGGTGTTCCTTTCTAGTAGTTTCAGGATTTATTTTTCAATTTTGCATTAGCCTGACTTACGTGTATTACAATTCTTTTTCCCAGGTGTCCACTAGCTTCTGGAACATGGCAGAGAAGAAATGGGCCAGTTTATTTACGAGATTTGATTGGGAGGATGGTTGCCAACTACACCCTTTCTCCTATCAGAAGGATAAGAAACAGGTGTTTCGAAAGGTACAAGTATTATTTCAGGTCACTAAGTCCCCTTTTAATACAAAGCATGGACTTGAAATCAGGAGACTAATTGGATTTATTCCACCAACTTTTACCTTAGGGACACTCTTGCTCCTAGTACAGAGAGGTTTTGCAAACACTAGCTTTTAAAAAGTTTCTCTCTCTCTCTCTCGAATGCCTTTAGTTGAACATGATGGAACATAACTTTGGATGTTAGCAGTAACAGTCTTTGGAATCACCTGTAGCCATGCCCCAAAACATGATAGCATGTTGCAAAACCTCTAGGTGAGTGTGTGATGAGGAAACCATCCTAATCAACCAATTCTGTACAAAGTATTGACATCTTTTTCCTGGCTGTGCCTTTGGTTACAGTGCCCATGGCCATAAGGGAGAAAGAGCACCAGACCATCTGAATAACGTGAAAGTGGACACAGGAAACACCAGACACCCAGAGAAATGGAGTCCAAATGTGAGTACTTCATTTCATTCTTTTGAACATGAAAGCTTTTTTTTCCCTGAAGTAAATGAGAACTCTTAAGAAAAAAAACAAAAGAAACTCCCTACTCACGACATTATTCTGTTTATTAGTAGAAAGTACATTCTATGAAGACACAGATCTTATCTATCTTTTTCAGTGACACTCAGCATGATCTTAATAAGCATTTGATGGATGAATAGGATTTTTAAGTTAACAGGGCCACTGTGGGGTGTCATGGAAGGTGCAATAGAATAGAGATCCTAAAATCCGGTTCTTATTCTGGATCTGCCATCCCAGATACTTGGAAAAGAATAATCTTTTTAAGCCTCGGTAAGAAGCAGACAGTGTCTCATTTGGTTAAGGTTGTTTTGAGATTACATGAGACAATGTAGGTGAAAAGAGCTGGTAAAGAGAAGGTGTCTAAGGATGTTCAGTTTTTATATTTTATGTGAATACAGCATTTCAGAAAATAAAAAGTATACTCAATGCCATTTTGAACCCTGGTTTAAGGAACAGAGAATTCAGTGCAAAGTAAAATATTTGGTAAGCCATAAAACCTTTCAGGTTCTTTCTCTTTTACCTGACCTGGAGTTCCATGATCCGTGGCCTCTTCACACCCTAAACTATCTCCTTGGGTGATCACCTCTACCCCATTAAATTCCAAATTAACCTTTTTCCTCAAATGCTTTCTCATTGTGCTACATCCTCTCTTCCTTTTTGCTTAACTGTATCCTCTTTTTTTCTTATTTTATTTTACCTTAATTGTCTTGTCTTAAAGAAAGCTTTCCTGACCCTGCTAGGCTAGATTCCTATGGCACCTGCATTCAGGCATATCATAACTCTTTGCTATATGTCTATCTCACCTGCTTGATGGGACATTATGAAGGCACAGATGGAGGGTTTGCTCTTTCCTATATGCCCAGTAGTACCCATGCATTGTTTAGAACATGGTAGTGCTCAGTAATATTTTTGGGCCAATGATTGAGTAGATAAAATGCAGTTTATTTTTAAAATTTATACTGAATTGTTTTCCTGTTAGAATTAAGTTTTTAAAATAATTCAGTGTTAATGAAACTCTATTTTGCCTTATGGATCTACTTTTACTTCTTATATACCTCCCTTTAATCAATAGTACTCAATGTCTACATATTTAAAAAATTTCATTAAATATGAAAATACAAAGCTTGATATCTGCCATGAAAATCACAAAATAATTCCTTCTTTATAACTCATATCTGTCTTAGTAAAATTGCTCAGTGGTGAAATCTCATCGAGGCAGTAGTGATAGTGGAAAGAAAGGACCCAGATTCTCAGTCCAGGATCTGACTCAGAATGATGTTGAGCAAATCACTTGCCACCTTTGAGCTTCTTTCTTTATTGGAAAAAAAGAAAAGAAAAGAAAAGAAATAAACCTCCCTTGCCCACCTTGCATGATGTCTGGGAAAAAACAAAAGGATAATACATATGAGGGTACTTTATAGAGCATAGCCCTTCTGCAAATGCAAGGGGTTATTCATTAACATTAAACCTTCTATTCAGTTGAGCTAAGATGTTGTATTTATTATTTAGGCTGAGATTTTTTTTTCAGCATCCATGTTATATGTTTGTCCTTGGGGGCTGAAGTAAGAAAAATGAAAGGGAACTTTTCTTTACCCATCTATGGCACGTCACCTTCCCTCACTGAATATTTTGGACATTAGAAAAGGAGAGGGAAAGAAGAATGAAGGAGAAAGGGACAAGATGAAATGATCTGCCACATCTGAGGAGGGGGCCAAAAGTAACGTCTTGCTCTCTTCCAGGCACCATTTAACCCTTTTGCAAAATATAATATGATGCCATCTAATGTTCTCTCTGTTATAATTATTTGCTCTTTATTTCTGAAAAACAAAAAGCAGCATATCAATAATGTTATTTGAGGATTAAGTTTTTTGTTTATTTGTTTCATTAGTTTTTGTTTACATTTTGGGTCTGCCAAAATGACACTTTCTATCTTTATTCTCAGAGGTTTATTTTTCCTGTTTTTCCCTTCCATATCAGAAACTTAGCAAATTTATTCATTTTCAAGCAGGGTCTGAATGTCATGTCAATGACCTCACCCAGTTTCTCTATTCCTCTGCTCAAACCTGCAGATATTAGAGTATTCTGCCATGGTACACCATCATTAGGAAGCAAACATTAATAGAGGAAAAAAAAGTTTGACCATCAAAAAAGTCAATGGAATTTATAATTCAATACAGGAATACAGTGTTAAGGTATTCACAAGTGTGACAAAAATGAGGATGGAAAGGAATGTACTGACATGAAAACTACTGTGGAAAAAAAAAGACTTTGGGTTTTTCTTATCAGGATTAGAAAAATTCAGAGAAAAAGTTGTTCACTGAGGAAAGAAGTTTCAAGGAAGGATTTGCAAATAAAGTGGATATTAACGAGGCCTTAAAGCTTGGGGATGTTAAAATAGCATGGATAAGCAAATCTCAATTAATACATGTATTGCATATATGGAAAGGAAACTAATTCTACATGTCTAATCCCAACTCCTCCAACAGCCCTAAGTGACGTGGATTTTCACCTCTCTCTTAAGTAGCAGTGGTTACATGTTTCCACAATAATTCCCCCAGAGAATCTTTCTTACCAGGCATTTAATCCCTAATAAATTCCTGGTGGGAGGAGAATCACTCGATCCTCTCTTAACTAGTCTTTGGTTTAACAGCAACAGGAAGCCTTTTCAGAAGCTACATGTTCATTCACGGTGGGTTATTAAAGTGCTTAATGGTACTAGTACAGTCGCTACTTCCCCTGAGTCCTCATAAGGAGCAAGCACCTTAACAAAGGAGAATATGACACGGGAGCATATGCCAAGCATTGGAATTGTGTTGAGTCATCACAGATATTTCCTTCTCAAATCAAACTATTTATTTTGATCCACAATTCTGTTACCTGGACTCAGCTTCAAAACTAAACTACTCTAACTGGTATTAGTTGGTAAAGTGATACAAAATTACAGCTAGGTACAAGGAATGAGCTCTGGTGTTCTGCAGCATTGTAGGGTGAATATAGTTAACTATAATTTGTTGTATAGTTTCAAGAAGCTAGAATAAAGGATTTTGAATGTTCACAACACAAAGAAATGATAAATGTTTGTGGTCATCGCTATGCTAATTACCCTGATTTTGTCATTACACTTGGTATACATGTAAGGAAGCATTCCGTATCCTATAAATGTGTACAATTATTAAGTGTCAACTAAAAATAAATTTAAAAAAATCTCACTAAACTACTCTTCATCCTGACATTTAAGTTCTAGGTCTTAGCTGAGATGTTTTAACAGCGATTAGCAAGAATTTTAGATTTTTGTACTTCTTTTTCAAAACAGGAAATGATTTTTACCAGCAATTACTATAAAGCTCAATTATAATTTAGTAAATAGAGAACAAAGCCAGACATAGCTGTTTTGTGTCTAGAAGCTGCTGCAGTCAGGAAGACTTTGTGGAGGAATTCAGCTTGATTTAAACCTTGAATAAAACATGGAATTGGGATTGGTGGCAAAGAAGAGGAGAATCCTGGAATGGTAATAGTTTCCATTTTAATAGAACTTTTCAGCTCACAAGGTGTTTTCACCTATGGCATCATATTTTACCTTCATAACAGCTGTCTAGGATAGGATTTATCAGATAGTTTTTTAATTACTTATTTACAAGTCTGTTCCTGCACTAAACCTAGAGCATTGCAAGGGCAGATGCTACATGTATCTCCTGTGCTTAATATGGTGTCTGGTGCAGAGTAGTGCAGAGGAGTGTTAGTGAAATAAAGTGAACTATATGATCTTGAATGTTTGATATTGACAGGTATTATTAACCTTCACTATAGATATGAGAAATGAGGCTTATGGAACTTAACTAAGTCGACCAAGTCAAAGTAAATGGCAGGACAGTGCCCCAAATCTGATGCTAAATCCAGAGTCATTCCCATTGTCTGTGTACTGAGTGCCAAGATACACACAGGAACCAAGGGGCTAACAAGACATACCCCTGTGGAGCATCCAAGATGGCAGTGCCCCAGGTTTTGCCCATAAAATAACCTGATAAATTCTAAAGCTCTGCATCAACATTGCTGAGATAAATCCTGAGGGACTGTAAGATAAAAGTTGTCCCAGGATGTTTAGAATGGTTGCTGGGAAAATAATTCCTGTTTAGGCAAAAGACTCCTTTCTGTCTTACAGCACCTCAGCTGAAGCTTGTGACTTAAATCTGATGTACGAAGGGGATGTTAGTTATGAGGCTTGAATCCTGGGTGCAGATTCACCACCAATATGTTTATTGTCAGTGAAGTCTCTTGGTTTAAGAAGGAAGTTTCTTGATTATCCTGGTTTTTTTTTTTAATTGGATAAAATGGGCATATGCCTTATATCTGTCAGTTCTAGTCCCATTTCCTGTGGAATTCTTGGGATGCTGAGCACTGTATCTTTGTACTATTAAAACAAATTTAAATCTACCATGGACACCATTATTTTGCTTAATGTCAATCTTGTTGCTTCCTCAAAGACAATAGAAATCTTTCCTTTCTCTGGACCCTTAAAAATTAATTGGGTAGGTTAATTAAGATATTTCCTTAATATTTCCAGATTAAGATATTTTGTTAATATTTCCAGATTAAGATATTTCCTTAATATTTCTAGATTAATTGTGTACCCAATTAATTGGTTACACAAACATACAGCTATTCCTGATTAATGTTTACTTTTTTCTTACAATTGTAATATATTGGCTTCTGTACACACACACACACACACACACACACACACACACGTTTCTGATCCCCTCATTTACATTCTTTTAATCTTTAAAAATATCTGTGCATATGTGTTGTCATATGCATGCTATTAAATTGACTACAAAACTGAGGATTAGAGAGGTTCAAAGAACTTGTGTGCATAAAAGTAGAAAATACTTAAGGTATAAACATCTTGGTAAAGCCAAGATTTTTGATAAGCTACTGATTCTTGGAGAATGGAAGACAGTGTGTGTAAAAGCTTAGTGTGCTTTGAAGGCATGTGAGACACAGTGGCAAAAAAAGTTTTAAAAAATGATTAATAATAAATAACATTTGTGTTGAAGAATCAGTTCAAACTAACTCATTAAACATGGGATTAGATAAAATGATTGATTTAAATTTTCAGAGCACTCAGCTTTGCTGAGTAACTTTCGTCTACATTTCAATATTACCATTATACATAATGGGAATATGCCAATAAGATTAGTTGGACACAATTCCCAAATTTTATCCATATCTTTAGGTGAGACTAAAAGTAGAAAGTATTCCTTAAAATTCACTTCCCTCTCAAGAGCATACAAGTTTGGACTTGATGACTACATGTCAGGCGGTTCCCATTTTGGCTTGGCATTTTCCATTAGAAATGATTTTGATTTCCTTTTTCCTTTTTTACAGAAAATTACAAGCTAGCAAATCTATTGTTTCAGATAAAATATATGCATATATATTGTATATAACTACTGAATTATCTACAAAAACTATACATTTGTACATAAATGTGTGCATATAGATGTGTGTGTACATATATATGTCTATTTACAAAATGTTTTTCACAGGCAAGAACAGCAGCCTCACACAAGGCTTTGACCAGCTCCTCCTTTTTTTCAGTAAAAAGAGTATTAGATAAGATGAGAATTGAGCAGAAACTGAGATGAGAGAGTCATAGAATTCAAGTATTCCTGTTACATTTCTGTATTACATTTTTTACAGGCTAAGAAAAGAGACTGTTCAATTTAATAATATAAAAAATAGAATATGTTCAATTTAATAATATAAAAATAGAATATACTCTGAGTAGTTAGTAATTCTTTCAGAAAAATAAGAAAAGATAATTAGAAATCTGGTTAATATTTGTGGTATTTAATAAAGCTAGTAAATTTCAATTCCAGTCACCAAACATTAGTTAATCTTTTTGGTTTTTGCTGGTCTTATAAGGACTTATCTGGAAAAATGCTTATAATAAGATTTCAAGGATTACTATAAGCTACTCATCATACATAATTTTGATGCTATGTTTTTTGATTAATTTTTTATAAAATTAATTGGTAAATGGTATAGAAAGTAAGAATGACAATAGATGGTTCATGAATAAATGGTTTCAGGGTCAAATAAATGGTTTCAGGGTCAAATAAGTTAAACAAATTAAACTAATTTCTGATGAATTTATCAATTTTTTATGTAACTATTCACTGAGAATTTCCAAGAAGGGCATATGAGCATATATGTTGGCTCCATTATTGTTAGCCATACTGTCATCCCTGCTTCCCTCCAATCCTGACCACCATCCAAATCTTGGCCTTATTATTGGTATCACAGATTTAAAATTTTAATGTAGACTATTGCTCTTGCAGGTTCCATCAGAGCGAGTTTTATTTCTTTATTAAGATTGTAATTTCCTTTAGGGTGGAGATTATTTTATACTTCCCCAAACACCCCATGGTCCCTAAAACAATGCTACCTACATACACAAAAATTATCCAGGCACTTTTATTGAGTGGTTGATTGACTCAATAGACTTCTCACACTGTTGAGTACTGAAGACGTAAAAGTGAACCATACATTTTTGTTTTGTGGCCTTAAAAACCTCAAGTTTAATGAGAAGACACAGGCAACTAGATAATATGCAATATCGGATGTAAAGGTAAAATACATTAGAATTATGAAGTTGGGCAGAGTTTAGCTAGACTAAGACTTTTAGACACATCAAGGAGGAATGGACATTAGAGTTGGGTTTTGAAACCTGAGTAGGTTTGCTAGGTGGAGCAGCAATGGGAGTTCCTTCTCCCTGGAAGAAGATGGATAGAAAGAGAAATGAAGGATAATCCAGATAGAAACACAGCATGTCTTAAGTCTTAAGATGTGCTGTTGTAGAAAATAGTTAGCATGTTTGGAGACTTGTATATCTGGGATGTCTGGAAAGGAGAACATATGTACAGAAGCAGAAGGAATGATGGTCAAATAGTTAGGTTAGGGTTAGTTTATGAAGAACCTTGTATTCTGAGTGCATGAGTTCGTATTTTTTTCCTGGGTGGCTGATAACATAGTGATTATAGTATGTGAATTGCAGAATCAGACTGAGTTGGGCTCTAATATGGGCTTTACCAATTTTTTAAGGAAGATTAAGTGAGCAATCATGCAGATAAAGCATTTGACACAGTGTCTCATGTATCTAAGTACTCAATAAATGTTGGCTGCTTTTATAGGTAAACATGGGAGAACATGAATTTTAAAACAGGGAAATTATATCATTGAATTTATTCTTTTGTTATCATTAGATTTTGTTTTACTTACTTTTCCAGAATTGATTTTTGAGCAAACAACCATGGTGGCAGGGTAGAGAAAGACAAGACAAAACAGTAAATACGTAAAAAACAACCTTTCTAAACTGGGTGGCCTTGGATAGTAAGAGCACATGCTAAAATTTATTGAATGCCTATTGTGTGTCAGGCAATATGCTAAGTGCTGTACTTATATAATTCCATTTATTTTTCACAGCATCACAGTAAGATAAGTGCTATAATATAATCTGACGTTTATAGAAAATTGATATTAAAGAGTTGAAATGACACTCCGTGGTCACACACTGGCTAGTGCCAGAACCAGATATTGAAGTTCCTTTGATTTTAGATTTTTCATGAGATTGCTCTACTGTGTATGTTATTTTATTTCCCTGATCCTCATTTTCCTGTGTGTAGCATGGGAAGAAAAAAAATTATACCTTCTTTATATGTTCTTGGGAGAACTTAATGCAGAACCTCCATGAAGGGACTTAGTATAGTGTGGGATACATGGTAATCATAGCAATGTTACTAATTCTTCTTCTTCTTATTTTTTAGAATATGTTAGAATATTAATATGGAATTGATTTTGGAGATAAATAAAGTGAAGGTTATTGTAGAAATTCTAATCTATTCTCAAAAACCAGCTGGCTTCTATTGTCTGTACTGGAAAGGCAGAATCTTTCTCTTATCTATGGAGTTTAAATTATATAACTACATGCCTTACACTTTCTGAATACTCAGTTTACATCTGTTATTATGTGTTATTCTATTACTTTTAATTCTGTTTGTACTGGTACAAACTATAGCATGTGGTAAGAAATGGGCACTTAATCTGAGGCATAAACTCCCCTGTGTTAGAGGAGTTTTATATTGCATTGCAGTTATCTGTTTTTCTGCCTGTTTCTCAATACACTGCAGATTTTCAAGGGCATTAGTCATATCTTGGTCATCCATTTATCTCTAGAGTCTTTTGAGTCCTTGGTTCATAATAGGTGCTTAATAAATGAGCTTTACCTGAAGGAAGAAATAATTGAATGAATGAAAGGCAATCCTAACACAAGACATTGTATTTGGGGCTATCTGAGGTCCTACTCATTTAACAAGGACTATTATGACATGACTCTTACCAAATTCTCCAAGCCTTTATTAAACATATGTACCTACTAAAATTAGATGCTGCATATCACAGGAGAAAATCAGTTACTCAACTAATTGAAAGTTAATAGTTTGCATAGCTTATATCACAAAAGAGTAATAATAATAATTCTCTTTTTGTTCAAAAATAACCCCATCCCACCCTCCTTCCTTCTGGCACTGGAGGGGGACTAGAGAGCTGTCTATTTCATTTGACTGACGGAGCCCTTCCTCAAAGAGAGACTAGGAGGCTCAGAATGTCTTTGTTTCTCCTTCGTGGCCTACATCATGAGCACATCAGAAAGCAGATTCCAGCCAGGAGTGGTGGCTCACGCCTGTAATCCCAGCTTTTTGGGAGGCCTAGGTGGGTGGATCACAAGGTCAAGAGTTCGAGACTAGCCTGGCCAACATAGTGAAACCCCGTCTCTACTAAAAATACAAAAAATTAGCCGGGCGTGGTGGCGGGCATCTGTAATCCCAGCTACTCAGGAGTCTGAGGCAGGAGAATCGCTTGAACCTGGGAGGCAGAAGTTGCAGTGAGCCAAGATCGCACCATTGCACTCCAGCCTGGGTGACATTGCAGACTCTGACTGAGAAAAAAGCAAGCAAGCAGATTCCAAGTACTCCAATGCCATGCCCCTGCTGACACAGAAGATAATAACATTCAGTGTTGAGGTTTCAGTCATTCAGTCATTCCTGAGGCTGGACCATCTTGCTAGCAACTCACATGGTAACAGTGTTTAGAGAATTTCAGTTCTTAGAGCCACCTCCCTGTTTAGGACTCTCTTTTACTTCTCCTGCAATCAGGAGGATTCTGCTCTGAATCACACTTAGACTGTCCACTGTGAAAATATGAAAAGATGACAAGTTATACTATATTCAGACATGAGGTTAAAAAAAAAGCCTCTTCACATAAAGGGAAAACAGCAACATATTTCAGGAAGCTAGTGTGCTATGGGGACATGTTATATTCTCATTCCTTTCCCAGCATGAGGGTTGAGGGAGGAAGGCAGAAGTAAAGGAGCATCTGTCTAAGGCCCTGCTAATGTTACAGATCAGAAAATAGTGCTCTGCTCTGCTTCAACTGTAAACACTGTGAAATGCTTTCTTTCCCCACCAGGCAACTTGGCTCTGGGATAATCATCCTAGGCATGAATTCATAGAGTACTGTCCATTCTACAGCTTCATTATACAAAACAGGCAAATGAGATGCAGAGTGACACTCTCGGTTTTCTGTGGTTGTTTGAGCTCCCCTTAACCCCTCCCTGGAACTAGCTATTCAATAATGGCCACAGAGGAGTCCCAGATGTTTGCAGAGTAAATGTGATGCTTGGCTTTGACTCCTGGAAGCAATAGGGGGTGGAGTAGGGATGAATTACAAAGAAAGGCCTTATTGGTTGACGCTAAAAGTACCTATAAAAGTCTCACATACATAGAGTTAACCTTTCTTCAGCCCTTCTATTCCATTCCTGAGTAAGCAAATTTGGATTAACTACTTCAACCCCTTACTTAGAAACGGCTTCCATCACAGTTATCTCCTCTCTGACAGCTTTCTCTTAATGTTCATTTTAAACTTATTTCTCCTGGATAAATATGTGTGTGCAGGCATGTGTGTCTGTATTTATGTGAACAAATGTGAAGTTGGAAAAAAAGATACCAAGACCTTGTGAATTTTGACCTCTCTTTTCATATGTCTCTAGGCCTTTTCTACTCCCTAAGGGAAAGCTTAAGCATGGCAGGTCTCTCTTCTCTCTCTCTCTCTCTCGCTCTCTCTCTCTCTCTGTGTGTGTGTGTGTGTGTGTGTGTGTGTGTGTGTGTGTGTCAGTTTTTATATAGTGCTAAAGAAATGAGAAGGAAGAGATACTAGGAAGGGAAGATCATTTGTTCCCAATTAACTCTGCTTATCTGTGTGGCTGAGGTGGATGATCTAACACAATTGTATTTATAGTAGTATGCATTATTCCCCTCTCCTCCACCAGGATATATCAGTGTAATAAGCCTTTCTATTATCTTGGCTATATCCAAACAAGTGAGGAAACAAAAATTAAATGATATCTTGCGGTTGTAGAGAAACTCAGACCATTCTTGCTGGAGATACATCAAGTGAATACCTTTGTAGATCTGGACCTGACCCAAGGAAGCCTGGTATGTTTATCTGGGATCTCCTACTCTCTGTGTACTACCCTCTCTGTCCCTTTCCCCTCATTCTCAATTAAGACAGCCTTGAGCAAATTTAATTTCTGTGATGATCAGATCTAAAGCTCTAAGTATTGACTAAACACTGCTAAGAGCATCGAATTGCATAATTGAGACCAAATGCTTGCCACAAACAGCTCCATGTCATCTCCTACATGAATGGATTACTCTAAAATATCAGTTCATGCACTGGCTTCTTTGAGATGACCTAGGAAACTTGTTACATGACAGATTCCTAAGTTGTATTGCCCAATATTTTGCCTCAGTCTGTTTGATAGTCAGCTAAGTTTGCCAGGTTTGGGAACTCCAGTTTTAGACCTCAAATTAGAAGTCACTCTGGGAAGAGCCCTTGAGCACTCATTTGGTGAAGTCACTTTAACCTTGTCCAGCTTACTCTGGTGCTGTTTGCCTAATTTTCAAGGATATGAATTATGCTACTTTGTTATATCTAAGTGGAAGGAAAATAGGAGCCCCAATAGCATTCTGTTGAGTCACTTCCACAAAATGATCCTCTGAGACTCATTTTGCAGATGCACTGAGATCCAAAGATAGCTGTATAAAGGGATTGTAGGCATAAGGCCATCAGATACACCAAAGTACACACATATATGCCTACACATGTACACACACTATCATTGCCTTGTCTCTGAGAACCATAGACAAAGTTGGCCAAGCCCTTGGCCAGGACTGTTGTGAATGATTGCTCAAACTGTATGCTGAACAGTTCTGGGCACCATTTTCATAGACTGCAATATGAATAGTCCACCAGCAGTTGTGCAATATGGTGGGCCTTGGAAAAATGTAGTTATTATTTTGAAAATAGGAAGGAGCCCACCACTGAGGAAGCAAACAAAATGTTTGTGGTGAAATTTCAACAGGATTATCTTCTTGTTATGCAATTAGGTCTCAAGCTCTGCTCTCAGCACATGGACATGCATATGCACATACTCTACTTATTGAATTTTTCCTTTTCTCTAATCCAGGATGATTTGCAAAAGTTTTCCTTCCATACCTCTACACCACAGATGGATTGAGAAATGTCACAACAAATTAGAAGTGAAGAGTTAAGTCATGGCAAGTGACTCCTCAACTCAAGGCTCCTTCAACATTCTGGAACTGTTTAATGTCAATCTTGACTTTGTCTCCAGGGCCCTTTTCTTTTCTTTTTTCTTTTTCTTTCTTTCTTTCTTTCTTTCTTTTTTTTTTTTTTTTTTTTTGAGACAGTTTTCACTCTCGTTGCCCAGGTTGGAGTGCAATGGCATGTTATCAACTCACTGCAACCTCTGCCTCCTGGGTTCAAGCAGTCCTCTGGCCTCAGTCTCCTGAGTAGCTGGAATTACAAGCGTGTGCCACCATGCCCGGCTAATTTTTGTGTTTTTAGTAGAGACGGGGTTTCACCACATTGGCTAGGCTGTTCTTGAACTCCTGACCTCAGCTGATCCACCCGCCTTGGCCTCCCAAAGTGTTGGGATTACAGGCGTGAGCCAATGCGCCCGGCCCCAGGGCCCTTTTCTTAAAACCAAATCCCATGCAATAAAGCACGTTTATTTCATGCAACACAGCTTAGTTAATGCTTATACTTCCAAATACTCCGGTTTACTAGGTACAACTCAATCAGGAGTGCCTAGTATAAAAGAACATGCACAGCACAGCGACAGAGAATGTTCATCACCAAACACAAGGAAGCAAAGGAGATGCAAAGCTATGGTAGCTAGAGGAGGATTAGCTTTCCTGATTTCAGTTTGAGAAAAGCCACTTGTCTCTACAGTCCACTAGTTTGGCAAGGCATTTGCCCTTGGCTGTGAGATGATGTTACATTCAAAGTAAGGTATATTAATTTCCAGGCTTGTCCAGGATCAGGGGCTGGAGTCTTCCTTCAATAGTAATCCTTTCCTTAAAACCAGTTCTAAGCTTTGTATTTGTTTTATTAAGTGATTGGATAGCCCTGAAATATGAGTTTCCTCCAATCTCTTCCACTTTGCAAACTCCAGAACCGTTTGACCAATAAGTTAAAACCCAGAGGAGGACTGACTGTGAGCTAAGGCTTCAGACATGCAAAGCGCACAACCCTGGGAAACAGCAGCATCTGGGACAGGAGGCTCCCATTACTACACATGAGGGTGTCATAGGTTTTGCAAATCAAACACACATAGAAAACCAGTAGTAGCCTGGGTTGGACACACTGTATGAGTTGCACAGTTGAGTGAGGACCCAGACCAGGGAGCCACATGTTCCTCTAGCTTGCATACATTTATTTCACACCACCTCAGGCCACTCATAGTTTGCTTACCTGCTCATTGTTGCTCTCCCACCATTCCCCATACTCCCTTTGGGGGTGAAACACTCTATTTCCGACTTGTGCTGGGCCAGTCTCCTGTCTTTGTACCTGGTGAGCATGAACAAGGACAGGAGCAAACAGAAAGACGTGATTGTGTGCTTAACTGCCAGGCTGAGGAACGGCCGTGACTGTGGAGATGGTCACTCTGTGCCAAAATGGGGGTTCCTGCTTCTCAATGCAATGACCAACCTGTGATACTTATTAGATGAATGTGATGGCATATGGACAACATCAGGGATGACGTTGTTACTTTTTGGTTAAACCACATGTAACCCATTCTTTCACATTGCCTATTAAACTGAATATGTCACATTTAATAGTCAATGGTAAAGGTGTGCAATTTCTAGCATCTTAGAAAAAGATGAATATCAATCAACACATTAGAATCTATTCAGTGCTTACCATGTGTCAGACACTATGCTAGAACTTTACCTAAATTGTATCCAGGCAACAGCCCTGGGCCAGAGGCTTTGTTATCATTTCCATTTTACTGATGAAGAAACCTAAGATTATAGAGGTTAAGCAAATTAATCAAAGATTAGTTAATTAAATAAGTGGTTGGGCTGGATTTTGAATACAGGGAATCTAAGTTTAGAACCCACACTTCAGCCATTATAATGTGTTGCCTTCCATTATCAAGTTTTTAAGCTAATTATTATCTTGAGCAAGCCCTCATTGAGTGATACCATTCTGGATGTTGTTAGACATTGGCAATAACAGAGGAGAGAAGACATGTTCTTTGGATATTAAAAGTTTCTGTAAACATTAAGCTGAAGTTTTACTGTCAGTATTGGGATGCCGCCATTATTTTTGTATTATAATTGGCAGTTCACCGCGCTTTGAAGATACCAGATATTTCATCTAAAATAAGTGATGAGATTCCCAATATTACTCTTCTACGTGGTGCATCAAGATGAGTTCTTGTATCTCAATGACAGTTTTTTGAGCTAACATGATTTCACAGAAATAACCTCTTTTACTCATTGGTTCGATTCTGTAAGGTTTTTAAAAAAGAACTGTTATTTCCATTTGCCAGATGAGGAAGCTAGATTTACTTAACTGACTTCATGAAAGTCACAAGCCTCATCAGTAGAGAATAACCACCTGTAGAGCTTGCAGGGGCCCAGAGCTCTTAAGGTTTTATTACCTTTTCCCTAATTAAACTGGAGCCTGGTATAACACCACTTCATCCACCTTCCTGGTATCCAGTAGGCTATGATAAAGGGAGTTACTATAATAAGACTTGTTTATCTCAGTACAGTCACACTCTTTTTAGTTTATTTTCCTGCTGTTTCAAAAGTAGTATAAAATAAAATAAAATGCAACAAAGTCAACATCATTATTGATCCTGGGGCAGAGGCCTTCCTCTTAATTTTTTTTCCCTTCTAAAATGTTTAAAGTATCTAGTATTTGAAGAAAAATGGCTTATTACATCAAGCAAAATGAATTTAATGGATTACCTATTTAACGGACATTAGTTGAGCATTTATTAAATCCTAGGTAATGGACTTTGCACTACAGATGTAAAGATAAGTAATCTGCAGGCCCCACCTGTTAGAATTTACCTAACAGTAGGAGAAGGAAGGAAATAAGAAATACGTACACAAGTAATTTTAGATGTAGGCATAAAGAAGAGAGGAAAAGAACTTAGAGACTTTGTTAAAGGAGGTAAATCATCAGACCAAGCTAGATTGAGTAGACTTAATTTTACCAAGAAAATACCTTAGAAGTACCAATGGCCAAATGATGCTCAATGTTTCAATGCAAAGTATTTTGTGCTTCTTTGTGAATTGGATTGCTCAAGCAAAATACTGCTCGACAGCTCAAATTAAAAGAATATTGATAGAATAATAAATTATTGGTGGTCATTCACTTCCTTACAAAGGGATCCTTAACATATTTTTGAATATCTTCTGTTAGGCTAATTGTGAATTAATCATTAAATATTTCATAGATGAGTTAAGAAACCTACAGTCTTCATGCTTATAAGCTCTTCTCTTTCTTTCTTTCTCTCATGACCACACACACTCTGCCAGGTGACCTCTGTTTATGAAATATGGAATAGATCCTAAGCATCTTATTCTATCAAACTCTAACCTCTGTGAAGAAAAAGGAATGCTTACACACTGCTAGTGGGAATGGAAATTAGTTCAGCCACTGTGGAAATCAGCTTGGCAATTTCTCAAAGAACTTAAAGCAGAACTACCATTTGACCCAGAAATCCCATTACTGGTCATATACCTAAAGGAATATAAATCTCTCTATCATAAAAACACATCCATGTATATGTTCACTGCAGCACTATTCACTATAACAAAGTCATGGAATCAACCTAAATGCCCATCAACGGTAAAATGGATAAAGAAAATGTGGTACATATACATCATAGAATACTATGCAGTCATAAAAAGAATGAGATCATGTCCTTTACACATGAATAGCACAGGAGGGCATTATCCTAACCAAACTAATGGAGAAACAGAAAACCAAGTACTTCATGTTTTCATTTATCAATGGGAGCTTAACACTGAGTACGCATGGACACAAAGGGAAAAATAGACACTGGGGCCTCCATGAGGGTGGAGGGTGGGAGGAGAGTGAGGATCAAAAAACTACCTACCAGATTCTATACTTATTACCTGGGTGATGAAATAATCTGCATATTATACCCCTGCAAAACACAACTTACCTATAAAACAAACCTGCACATATACCCCTGAACCTAAAAGTTTAGAAAAACCATAGAAACAAAACAAAAAACAAAAACAAAACCTAACTGCTTTTGGTAAAAGCTTTCACTGACATATAAAAAACAAAATAATGAAAATTCAAAACAATAATAACAAAACTCATTTTAAAAATGTGAGCAATATCTTAGACTTTTTGGAACTTTCAAGCAGTTTTTGTATTCAATGCAAGCTGAAAATGGCATTAATACAGAATGGGAAACTCATCATTGCTTTCAGATAGGACCCTACTTGCCTGTCTGTACCTGTAATTATATTCACCAGATATTTAAATAGATCATATTTTTATTCATTCACTTACTCATTATCCCATTTACCAGTAATGTGCTGTTCAAAATTACTAATAGATTTAATAGTCTCAACTGTTGAGTTTAAAAACTCAACATTTTTTTCCAGTTGAGTTTATTTTAGAAATATGGAATTGTCAATTAAAAATAGTTTAAGCTTTTCAGAATTTACAGATCATGGAATATCAATTTTAAAATTTCATTTCTTTTACATAATAAATTTATATATCAGATACTAAAACACCCATACACTCATACTTGTAAGGCACTGTTTCAAGTGCTTTGCAAGTATTAACTCACTTTTCAAATGAAATGTTTAATTTACTATATTTATATTCAAAGTTATAATAAAAAGTAATAATGACAAAATATTGAGCATGCCAGGCTGTTTGCTGTACACTATTGTAAATTATTAAAACAGCCATACAAAGCAGCTGCTATTATTCTCATTCTGAAGAGGCAGACACTGAAGATCAGTGTCAGTAAGCCCAACCTCATGTGGTTTATGAGCAGGGAGCCCAAGGTTAAAAATCAGGTTTCTCTGATTCTAAAGCTCATGCTATTTCCATTAATTTTTCCTCCAAGTAACAATATTACTACGTTTAAAAACAAAATTACAAAAGCTTATTATTTACCTTTTCTCTTCTTGACCCCGTTTTGCAAATAAGTAGCAGAGTTATCAAGTACAGGCAGTAGAGAATCTAGTGATAGGACTTTAAATTTTGTTACTTCCTTTAGGTCCCTATGCCTGTACCAGGCAGGTTTAGTTGACATCATTCAAAACCGTTTACTGAATAGTCCATGTGCTGGGCACTGTGATAAGGAGCATATGGGTGATTATGTCATTGATAAGGTCACAGTCTTGAATGAGAAGATGAAATGTAAACAGATAATTTCCAAACAATGTAAGAAGTTTTATTATAGAAACAAATACAAGAAGGGTTACTTAACCCATACTAGATTGGCAGAGAACACTTTAGTGAGATATGATACGTAAGACAAATCTGAAAAATTGAGCAGACATGCACCGTGAAGAGAAAATCAGGTGCAAACATGTAGAGAGGTTTAGCAGCATGGTGTATACTGGGAAACACTGTTTAGTAATTTTTATTGTAAGAAGTATAAAATAGGAGGTCAAAGGGGAAAGCAGATGGAGAAGTATATAAAAATGATGAATTTGCTTGTTGATTATGAGATGTCATTGTGGAATCCTTATGCTACATAAAACAGGATCAGAGTTGACATTTAGATAAAATGCAATGGACTTGAAGGAACAAAACTAGAGAGATAGAGAAATACTACTACAGTTATGCATGTGAGAGATGATAAGCTAATGCTTAGGGTAGCGATAATACAGATGAAAAATAGAGCACAGTCTCAAGACTATTTGGGAGGCAAAAATGAGTAGGATTTATTGGATGATGAGTATAATAGGAAGAAGTATAGAATGATACCCCAGTTACTGTGTTGGATGGTGCAGTTAACTGAGTTAAGAAAATTCAAGAGAAGGAGTATATTTGGGCAAGGAAGTAAAAAGCTTCATTTTGGAATATTTGATTTGAGATGCTGGTGGGACATCCAAGTGGACATATTCAGCAGACACATGAGTATAAACATTTGGAGGTTAGAGGATTGTTATACACAGGGGAGCTCTCAGCATACCGATGGTTGCAAATACAATGAGAATGGTTGAAAATATTCAGAACAGGAAAACTATGTAGACAGTGGAAAGAAGAGGTGAATAGCCATGCTCATTCTACCTGTCCAAAAACTTTTATAACACTGTTAGTGTAAGCATTCCCTTAAAACATTTACTGGAAAAAAAATCTGCTGAGTGCCTTGTATATGCTAGACATGGAGTTTAAGGCTCTTCAATCTTGTAAACCTGTAAGTTTTCTTATAAACTATGGATTTCTAGATTTATGCCTAATACAGCTTTGACACTTTAGTTTATAGGCCAGAAGCTTGGCATGAAAAACTCTCACAATAGATTTAATAAATTTCAGAATGACTTATTCTGAAATAAGTTTTGCTTATCTTCTGTAAAGATTTTTGTTGTTGTTGTTCTTCTTCTTGTACCTTCTTTGTCCAGGAAGTTCTAGCTCTTCTGTACTGAGTTCTACAAGAGCCTATACTCATCTGGTAAATCTAAAAGATGTGCAGGTAAGAATAACTTAGGATCAGATAGTAAATGTAATTTTCCATTATTATTTGGATAAAAAATTTCATTTCTTCACCTCAATTCCTCTTTCCTACCAATATCTACTGAATATTGGATTACTGAAATTTCTATATTGGCTATGTGATTCAGAATACATAAATGAGTGCAGAATGAAGTGAAAGACTAGAAGAAAATAAACAAGTTTAAATAATAAATGTGTATATTAGGTGAAGTAGCAGATAGATGGAGAATTGTGCCTGAAGCTGGCAGAAAAGGAGAGATTTTGATATTGGAAATAATGATGCCTTATGTGAGGCTGATCAAGTTTGAGTAAGTGACCAGGAATAGGAACATTAAAATGTATTAGAACTGGGGGGAAGAAAGAAGCTTGGTACTCATCTGTCCTTTATACAAGCACTAAATTCACTCAGAATGATAGCCGGGCTTGGGATAGACAGAAGTTCTTTATCCAGAAGTTGGCAGTAAACAGTAGTTATAAATGAAGCTAAAAGATAGAGGGATAACTAGATTCCATGAGTCTAAATTCAGTCAGAGCTTTAATTTTCACATTTTTGTATGTAAGGGTGTGATATATGCCTGGAAGCAGCGTTGAGTTGCTGACCTCCATCTCTGTGTCCTGTGAAACACGTGATATGGAAGAATAAGAAACTTTACTTGAGAGAGATATGGCGTAGAAATGTCCTTAGGAGGGAATTGGGTTTCAATTTAAGAAAACAACAGTAAATGGAGTGTTTAGTGAAGCGGTTGAATAAGAAGGGGGGTTTAATCATTAAATAGGAATTATAGACAGGGACTCTATATGGTTTGGAAGGGAAAGGTCAGTGGATGAAGCAAAGAGCAATATATAGAAGTAGAATTTACAAATGTGCTACAACTTATGAGATGCTAGGAAGATTCCATTGATGAATTCTTTCCTCATTTTTCTCTGATACCAAGGAGCAAATGTTCTCCATCCTGTATGAGTGAGGACACTCAAGATGCAAATGCTGTTGTGAGTATCCCATGGCATACTTAGAGACATGTTTTCTCATAGAAATTGCAGACTCTCTGAGAACATATTTGGTTAAAAATGAGTGGAGAAAGAGCCTAAGTTTCCTAGAGAGTTCAAGAATGGAGGGGAAAAAACACAAACACAGCAAATAAGAAAGCTAAAGGCACCAGAGGCACATTTCCCTTACTCCAGTTTTGTCATAGGCTTATCCTGCTCCAGGTTTTGTTCTTTCCAATAGATAAAATTGTCTTAAAAAATAATTTTCTTTCGCCACTTTCTCTCTCACACTGACATCTACTATGGCCCGTAGTCTTCCCCTTGAAGGAGCATTGTGCTAAGCCTTGTGAGCACTTAAACTCGTTTTCCATTCCTAAGCTAGCTGTCATTCAGCTTAGTGAAAACCACAGGGAGATATTTTCTTATATGTGTAGAAACCACAGTATACCTATTTTACTTCATGCTATAATGCTTTAAACTATTCATAGAAAAAAACAGCCTGATTTCTCTAAGAAGTCTGTGAAAGCGAGTTGGAAAATGTTGCATATTTCACATATGTCTTATGTGTAAATTTTAGTAACTCAATATGGAATGGACACTAATGAGGCAGGAGGGTAAGTCTGGGGAGTAAGTGGGTAGGAGTGTGTTCTTCAAGGAAACCTCTCATTTAAACCAATATAGATGCATCCCATTTACAAAGCAAATTTAAATTCTCTCTTTCCTCAATTACTTTTTATTATTTAGAATAGAAGTATGGTATGAGCAGAGAAAAACAATATGGGAGGAAAAGAGTCTTTTTGGCCAAGAAAGTGCCAAAAATAGTAAAAGTTATTGAATGAGGGACATTTGAACTATAGTCATATGACAAGTCACTGTGAATGTTACAGAAAATCCTATAAGGGATTTTCATACCAAAATTGCAGTAAAGATGGCAGAGTTTTAGGACTAAGCTTGAGCATAAACATGGAAGTGCAGAGACTTAAAGAAAAATGACCATGTGAATAAACCCTAAACATAGTGCCTCCATTATGTAAGCCCTCAACCAACATTTTCTGAGGGAATACCTCCATGAATAAATGAATAAAATGGAATTGTAACTTTAGGGATGATCAAATCTCCAATGAGATTTGCTGTTGTTATTTGTTTTGTTTTTAATAATAAATACAAACTGAAGACATTCTGTACATGTTGGTCAAGAGATCAAGGAAGATGGAAAATATTAAAGATGTTTACAGAAAGTGGTAACTAATGTACAGAGTTTTGAGATAAAGTAATTGTAGAAAAAAGGAGGAAAGAACAGACTTTTTTGTAATCAGTCAGCATATACTGCAGGCTCCATCTGCAAAACATACCTAAAATCTGACCATTTCTCACCAGTATTTATTACCCTGGCCCAAGCCACCAATACCTGTTAAAATTTTAACAGTTTCTCAAACTGGTTCTGCTTTGTCTGTTACTAAATTTCCCCAACCCAGACCAAACCCATTCCAACCTCCACCCAGCAAGCAGAATATCCTGTCAAAATAGAAATCTTTTCATATCATTCATCTGCTCAAAACGCTGTTAGTTACCCATTTCTCTGAGTAAATTATGAAATTTTTTATCATGGTTTACAAATCCCTACACTTACCTCCCACTCCCTGACTATCTCTCTGATCCCAAAAGTCACTTTTTCTCCCTTGCTCACATTGCTTCATCTACAATGATCTTCTTGTTGCTTGAAGACACCAGATATCCTCCCAGCATAGTGTCTTTGCTTTGGCCATTTCCTCTGCCTTTAATGCTTTCATTAAAAATATCCTCAAAGCTTACTTCTTTCAAATTTTTGCCTAAATGTCACTTTCTCAATACATCCTGCCAGACCACCCTATTTAAAAAGGCAACTACCACTCTACTCTTTCTGTTACCATTTCCTGCTTTTATCAGGAAAACTTATCTAAAATAATTTATATTTTACTTATTTATTTTATTTATTCTCTGTTTTCCCCCAGTGGAATCTGTGATAGAATGCAAGCTCTATGAAGGCATGGGTTCTGAACCGTATGCTTCACTGCTATCTTCCCAGTGCCTATGATAGTATAGGTAATAATATTTATTGAATGAGGTATGCATGAATGACTGACAAAAAGGAAAATTAAATTATAAATTTCCAGGAAATTTGCATAAGTAATGAGGAGCCAAATGTTAATCCCCAAGACAATGGGGAAAATGTCTCCAGAGCACGTCAGAGGTCTTCAGGCAGCCCCTTCCATCACAGATCTGGAGGCTTAGGAGGAAAAAGTGGTTTCGTGGGCCAGGCCTCGGGTCCCTGAGCTGTGTGCAGCCAGGGACTTGGTGCCCTGCATCCCAGCCACTCTAGTTATGGCTGAAATGGGTCAACATAGAACTCAGACTGTGGCTTCAGAGGATGCAAGCCCCAGGTCTTGGCAGCTTCCATGTGGTGTTGAGCCTGTGGGTACTCAGAAGTCAGGAATTGAGGTTCAGGAACCACCTAGATTTCAGAAGATGTATGAAAATGTCTGACGTCCAGGCAGAAGTTTGTTGCAGGAGTGGGGCTTTCATGGAGAACCTCTGCTAGGGCAGTGCAGAAGGGAAATGTGGGGTTGGAGTCCTCACACAGAGTCCTTACTGGGGCACTGCCTAGTGGAGCTGTAAGAAGAGGGCTGCTGTCCTCCAGACGCCAGAATGTAGATCCACTGACGACTTGCACTGTGTGCCTGGAAAAGCGGTAGACACTCAACACCAGCCTGTGAAAGCAGCTGAGAGGGAGGCTGTACTCTTCAAAGCCACACAGGTGGAGCTGCCTAAGACCATGGGAGGTCACCTCTTGCAGTAGCGTGACCTGGATGTGAGACATGAAGTCAAAGGAAGTTTAATATTTGACTGCCCTGGTGGATTTTGGACTTACATGGGACCTGTCACCCCTTTGTTTTGGCCAATTTCTCCCATCTGGAATGGCTGTATTTACCCAATTCCTGTACACCCGTTGTATCTAGGAAGTAACTAACTTGCTTTTGATTTTACAAGCACATAGGTGGAAAGGAGTTGCCTTGTCTTGGAAGAGACTTTGGACTGTGCACTTTTGAGTTAATGCTGAAATAATTTGAGACTTTAGGGGACTGTCAGGAAGGCATGATTGGTTTTGAAATGTGAAGTTATGAGATTTGGGAGGGGCTGGGGCAGAATAATATGGTTTGGCTCTGTTTCCCCACACAAATTTCATCTTCACTTGTACTCCCATGATTCCCATGTGTTGTGGGAGGGACCTTGTGGGAGATAATTGAATCATGGGGGCAGTTTCCCCTATACTGTTCTCATGGTAGTGAGTAAGTCTCACAAGAGCTGATGGTTTGATAAGGGGAAACTTGTTTTGCTTGGCTGTCATTCTCTCTTTGCCTGCTGCCATCCTTGTAAGATGGGACTTGCTTCTCCTTGCCTTCTGCCATGATTGTGAGGCTTCCCCAGCCATGTGGAACTGTAAATCCAATTAAACCTCTTTCTTTTGTAAATTGCACAGTCTCGGGTATGTCTTTATCAGCAGCATGAAAACGAACTAATACAGTTACATGGAAGATACTTATTTTTTTAAGATATTTGCCTTTCCTTTGCATTGTCACATTCTTCTTAACAAGCCATCCCATCCTTACCTTCACGATGTAGACACTGATTAGACTAAGATGATAATAGTAATTATCAGATTCACTTGCCACTTTACTCATCAGTTTTAGCCAATGATCATGGGAGAGAGTCTTCTGGAGACTTCTGAGAACGATTTCTTTAGTATTAATAAAACACTGGAAAACATAGTCTCTTTTTCTGTGGACAGTGGTCTGGATGTGATACCTGACAATGCTCCAACCATATGGCAGGCATGAGAGAAGCTAAGCCAACATTTCAAAAACTGTGGTCCAGTGATTCAGTGGTAGACTGGAAAGGTCGAAATAAGTAGGTCCTTGAGCCATTGTGTCCTTTGAGCTACTGAATTAGCCTTTTTAGTGTCAGAAATTCTTTTTATGTGAGATTAATTTGTTATCATTTAAGCCACTTTGAGTTAGGTTATAGACTTTCTGAGGCTGAAATCCTCCTATCTGCTATACTTGGTTTCATTAGTTTTTCTTCCAAAACTGAGTCTAAGAATTTCTGAAATTGTTATAGCATTTACTTAGGTTTGACTGTTTATAAATACTGTGTGTGTCTCTCTGTGTGTGTACACATGTGTGTGAGTGTATATATATGATGAATCTAAAGAAGTTACTACTAACAAATACTTTAGTGTTACTTAGATGTTTGTGTTCTTTTAAATAATGCTCCTTTCTGTATGTACCATTTATATAAAATAAGTGTGAGAGTTAATAAGTTAGATTTGTAAGGAGCAAAAAAGAGAGAGATCGATTGGGTAAAACAAAGTATTATTTTCTCAATAATCCACACTTAGAGAAAGCCTAAACAATTGGTCCTTATAATCATGGAAGAAACACCCTTGTTCATTTCCTGAAAGCTATGCTAGTTACAGTCATAACCAGTTACTGTGGGTTTAGTGTTACATTCTTAAACTGATTAGGTCATGGGAAATGATTCAGCTCATAGTACTGAAGCCTTATAACTACTCTGAAAACGCTTTTGTTCACATATATTGAAGAATTGGCATGGGCTTATACATATTTAACAAAAATTGTTTGCAATTATCTTTTGTGTAATTTGAATAAGAAGGTGTCACACACACAAAAAAGAAAATGAACCTCAGTGGGCTTATGTGCTTATTCCTTATTAGTCAGTGACAGATCCATATACAAGTAATCCTGGCTCAACTCAGTGATGATTTAGGAGTTCTTTCCAGCCACCATCTTCTTTGAGACCAGTTATAGCAAATTTTGGAGCCAGTTTTTATTTGTTAGCTCTCTCTTTCCCTTTGCCTCCCTGCCTTGAGACAGAATTTTTCTGACTTTAGTTTTTAATCTTGACTTTGCTGTAGTTATTGTATCCACTCCCCCTTTGTACCAACACAAAGCTTTATAACAGCTTTGAGCACATTCAATTCTGTTCCCATGTTGGTTCCTTGAACACCAGCCAAGACCTCAGCTTTTCGACCTCAGGTGAAATTTGGATCAAACATCTACCTCTAGATGATATCTTTAGTGATCACCCAGAAACACAGTTTATAATTTTAAAACATCTTAGGGAAAATATATGAGGTAGAATGCTGCACATTGCATCTTATTCTACAGATTTATTGCCACATTCCTTTTGGGACCATCCTAATTTTGGATCTTGGCAGTCATAAAGTGAAGAGAGAAACTATGGTGTAATATACTTTTGAATAGCATTCACATTATTATAGAAAAACTTTCCCTATATCATTTAATTTTCTTAACAAACTCAGGAATATAATTATCCCCATTCAGCAGATAAGGAAACTGGCTCAGAAAGCTTCACAATTTGGTCAAGACCCCATAGCTTGTAAGTCTCAGAAGTGCCACTAGAAACCAGATGTTTTACCTCCAAATCTCATGCTCTTCATTAACAACTTACTTTTTCTTTATTTCATGCTTAAAAACCCCTTATTTAAATAATCTGATGGCACATTTGAGAGACTGAAAAGGTCGTACATGAAGTTAATAGTGTATACTTAGTGGAGCTAGGCTTTGAGCACAATATACGCTTATTTTTTAAAAGGTCAAATTTGACTACATAATGGTCAAGTGGAATAAATCACCCTCTGGGCCCCTTGTTAACATGCAAACAGATTGGCATTTCTCTGGCTGGAGTTTTCCTAGACAGAAATACACCAAAAATCTGAAGGCTGTAAAAGAGGCATCACTAAGAAGAGCTGACAATCAGTTTCGATGTGTGGGATACAGTGTGATAGCAGAAGACAGACAGGGACGAGATGGTAGAATATTTTAACAACTTCAGAGTGTTACAAAGAGAGCTGAAGGAAAGCCCAAGTCAGCCTTCCAAGTCTAATTGATCAGAGGAAAATTCTAGATGAAGGCAGAAGGGAAGTCATTATGGATCTTTAGGTTAGAGGGAAACAGTGAAGCCAAATTTAAAAAGATCAATATTATGCAGTACTATTGCAAGGTAATTCCTTTCTTCAATATCATCTCTCAACCTTCTATCTATCTATATATGTAAATATATTGGAATGATTTACTAGATATTCCATCAGATCTTGTGGTCTCCGTGCGCAGAAAAACATCTTTTGCACAGACTTGAAATGTCAACTTGATTCCTTCAGATAAATCAGATTAAAAACAAAAACTGAGCATGATTAATAGCTCCAGAAACTAATGGCAAAGTGAAGATAAGCTGCAAAATGATTTGAGAAATTGCCAGGTAACATATTTCACTGTGTTCTGTGAAAATAATGGAAAGGTAAAAGCTGAAAAGTGGGGAAGCAATGCAAATAAGGAATTAAAAAGTAAAAAATCAGCTGTATTGACTTAGTAATTCTAGGAATTTATTCTAAGGAAACAATTCAACATAAGCTCAAAGGTTTCTGCACAAAGATTTTTTCCTTCAATGTTATAGAAAACAGAAAAAAAAAAAAACCTCAACAAAAAAGAACAAACCAACCACGGGAGAATAGTTTAATAAATTACAGCATAGCAATATTATGGAAATGTGTTAAATTTTGTATTGAGTAAAGCCTTTCATTTAGCTTCTGAAGAATTCCCAAAGGATGTATTTTAATCCTACTTATGATGAGAGCTTGTTTTCAGATATGAATCATCATAAGTCATTGCCATTTTATTGTGTACTTTCCTTCAACATTACTATTTGTTACACAATCAATAGAAATTCAGGAAGATACAGATTTCAAAACCAATCCTAAGGTGCTTTACAAGCTTTATACAACATCCTCAATAGGGAAAACTTTTCAGGGAGGAACAAAATGTTAACTATAAGAAGGGTCTCCATAGGAAACATTTCATTATGGCATTAATTAAAAGTTGCTAGTTTCTATCTTATAGGACTGAGGAATTTTCAGACAGATAACCTTACTATTTCTAAAGAGAGATAGGTAGTTTTCCAACAGAGATTTTTCCTCACATTTTTATACATGAACAATTGGAAATGCAGTGAAGTCAGATGAAGCTAGATAATAAATGTAATAAGAGCCATCACTTACTGAGCACTTGGAATGTTCCAGACACAATTCTAAGTCCCTGAATTTACTGATTTAATCATTACAACAGTCTTTTGAGTTAGGTACTATTATTATTCCTACTTTACAAATGAAGAACTAGGACACAGGAGATCAAGTGATTTGCCCAGGTTACTAGAATGGTCAACTGTGAGGTAAATTGCTTCTCACTAAAATGCTGGCTACAAATAGTAGCTGTGCCATTTGTTAAACCTAGTTCTGTCTTTAAATGGCCTAAGGGATACAGGTAACTGTACTATTTTTCAAACCTTATCATTTTTTTTCCCCATAATCTCCTTGGCTTGAGACACTGCCTATGCTTTTACTTGAGCCCTTTCTACCCTTTTGGATAGGAAGACTGATTCCTCTGTGATACTAACTTTGATTAAAATTTGCACCAGCAACTAAATTTTCTCAGTCTGGGGACTGATGGAGCTTAAACCTCAGTGGTGCTCGATGGAAGCAGATTTGCTCTAAAGCTGATGGAGTATCAGGGTCCCTCACTCACAGATGCCCCTGGCAAGGCCCTGTTTCTATTTTTGTATTCACATTTTGTAATCTTTTTCTTAAATAAAGCTCCCCAAGTGGAAGGAACTTTAGGTCTCACAAAGCCTGGATCTACTTGTTTACCAGAGTTTGCCTTTGACCCATAAGGGAATCATAAACTGTGTTTATGTTCATAGGGTTAGTTATGCTTTCTGAGTTACAATTTCTCCATATATACAATGGAAATATTGAGGATCAGGTAAGACAATTCATGTAAAATGCTTGATTTTATAGTTGTTTCATAATGTTCCTTTCATATCTGTCATTTTCTTCTGTACTAATAACTTCTATAACCAGGCAGGCTTCTCCCAGATAGCTCTGATACAAAATATTTGTCCTGTTTCCTCCACACACCCCCTAATACTTATGAAATAGTGCTTCCTCATACGAGACATAACCAATATAATCTCTATTAATTCTTTTAAGTTAATGCATCTTTGATTTTCTTACCTCCATCTGGACCTACCTCCATCTGGACCTACTTCCATCTGGATCTGTCTGCTCCCACATACCCTAATTTACGCTGCTGCGATTTAGGCTGGATTTGAAAATGATGTAGAGACAAATGATGCTCTTCTCTTTACTTGTCTCAGCCTGTCTCCCCTGTTAATCTGTATCAGGGCCTATTCTCTTCCTTCATACCAATTATTAACAAATTATAATTAAATATCTGCCTGACTACTAGTTTAGTAACTGTCTTTCTCACTACACCGTAAAGTTTATGGCTACCTGGGCACGTCTGTTCTTTTAACAAGCATCTAGGATAGGGCCTAGTATAGAGCAGCAACTCAACAAGTGAAATGGTAAAAGCAGGGACATTTATGAAATGCAAGGCAGTACTATTTATCTAAATCTAACTACATCAAAACTAGCCTCCCCCTTCTATCATACACAGAAGTTCATTCACCAGTTCTTGTCTCAACTAATTCATTCCGTTTGCCACCCTCCTTTCTTTCTCTAGCCTTCTTCCTTCACCTTTCTTGCCCTTTTAACCCCTCCTGTCCTATCTCAATGCATAAAACTTGTCTTTGTTTTCCTCATTCCTTTGTCTTTGGACAACTTAGAAACAAAAAAAGCTTTCTACATTTTTGCCAAGAAGCTTAGTTTCCATTTATTTCAGGATGTAAAATAACTGGATTTTCACAAGAACAAGATGAGATGGGGTGGAGGAAGGAGATTGGGATGTTTCTTTTGCCTATATACATGCGAGGGGTGAAGACTGAAGGGAGGGGAATCATGCTTACTTTTGATAGATGCAGCTGCCCACGAGTGGGAATGACACCCAGGGAGAGAGAAGCAGTTCTGGAAAGTCCTGGGCATGCAATTACAGGTAGCCAGTGTAAGTTGTGCACTTACATGGCCATCAAAAGAATCATCTCCACTTCATGACACGGGGAGGAGGGAACTCAAATCACAAGTCTATGACTAGAGATTACCTTTCCACTGCCTCTATTCTTCATCACATTGTCTTTATTTTTATTTCTATTTTTTATTTTTATTTTTTTGAGACAGAGTCTCGCTCTGTCATCCAGGCTGGAGTGCAGTGGCGTGATCGTGATCTCAGCTCACTGTAAGCTCTGCCTCCTGGGTTCACGCCATTCTCCTGCCTCAGCCTCCTGAGTAGCTGGGATTACAGGTGCCCACCACCACGCCTGGTTAATTTTTTTTTTGTATTTTTAGTAGAGATGGGGTTTCACCATGTTAGCCAGGATGGTCTCAATCTCCTGACCTTGTGATCCGCCCGCCTCGGCTTCCCAAAGTGCTGGAATTACAGGCGTGAGTCACCGCGCCCAGCCCCATCACATTGTCTTAAGATTATTATTTTAATAAAGGTAATTATATTTCTCCTGGTATTAGGATAACGTTTTATGTTTAATTATAATCACACATGATTACAACAGATGGATTTCCTAATTCTGTCATTTCCAAGCAGATTTCCACACTGCCGAGTGTCTATCACAATAAAGGAAAGTGAGATTACTTTAATTTCACAATGCAAAATATCCAAAGAAACGTTTACTGATGTTTCTTAAGTACTTAGTATTTGCTAGGTCCTAAGCTAGGAGTTTCATTGTGATCTGTTATAGATATTAGGAATTTATCATGTCAGAGTGTGATAAGCTAATGCATGAAGTTAAGTAGTATCATCTGTATACATACAAGTATATAAGCATATATAAATATATAGACACAGATACATGTATATACACACATACAATCACACACTTATACATATATAAACATACATATAGATAGATATACCATAGCTCTTCAGATTTGTCTAACTTGACTGGGCTTTAGTTTGCCTGAGATGGGCAATATATTATGGAAATTAAGTGTACTGGATTTGGAGTTAATTAACATGGATTTTATTCTCAGCAATACCACTTACTAGCTATATTGTTATGAATAACTTATATAACTTTTTCTCAAATTTTCTTTTCGCATAATGGAAGAAATACCATGTAATTTACAGGATTGATGTTTTATGTAGATTTTAGCATTTAATTTCACTAAGACACTTATATGGTTTGGCTCTCTGTCCCCACTCAAATCTCATCTCAAATTGTAATTCTCACATGTCAAGGGAGGGATCTGTAATCCCCATGTGTGGAGGAAGGGAGGTGATTGGATCGTGAGGGGGAGTTTCCCCCATGCTCTTCTCATGATAGTGAGTGACTTCTTGTGAGATCTAAAGGTTTTACAGGGGCTCTTCCCCCTTAGCTTTCTCTTCTCTCTCCTGCTCCCTTGTGAAGAAGGTACCTGCTTAACATTTGGCCATGATTGTAAGTTTCCTGAAGCCTCCCCAGCCATGTGGAACTGGGAGTCAATTAAACCTCTTTCCTTTATAAATTACCCAATCTCATGTAGTACCTTTATAGAAGGGTGAGAGCAGACTAATACACTATGAGATATGTACTATTATTATCCCCCTTTCACCGATAAAAATAACTGAGGCACAGAGTGGCTGGGTAGCTTGCTGAAAGTCACACAGTTAGATGAGGCAAAGCCAGGACTCATATTTGGGCTGTTGAACACTGAGGCTTGTATTGTAGAACACTAGATTAAAGAAAATAACCAAAATTACCAAAGGCATGGCTAAAAAGGAAAAAACAAACAAACAAAAATCAAGTAGAGGGCAAAGAATAAAGAAGAGAAAGAGGAAGAGCAAGCATACGTAACAGGCACTATACTCAGAGCTTTTTAAACATTGTTTCAAACATTGTCTCTTTACAACCCTAGGGAGGGGTATTGATGATCCTGTTTAAAAGAGATCTATTGGTCACAAAGTTTATAAATGTTGATGTTGGAATTCAAAGCTAGGTTCTTCTGTTTGTAAATGATATACTTAAACATATATTGTGTATTTTCTAGATACCTGGCATAGTACTTGGTTTTCTACTTGACATCCAGAAAATACATTTCACAGCCTCTCAACTCAAGGAGCTTAGAATCCAATGGGGATGATAAACATTGGCTGTCATAGACAAACAAATAGAGCACACTAAACTCATGGTAAAGATAATAACACCTGCCGGGCTTGGTGGCTTATGTCTGTACTCGCAGCACTTTGGGAGGAAGAGGCTGGTGGATCACCTGAGGTCAGGAGTTCGAGACCAGCCTGGCCAACATGGTGAAACCCCGTCTCTACTAAAAATACAAAATTAGCTAGGTATGGTGGCACATACCTGTAATCCCAGCTACAAAGGAGGCTGAGGCAGGAGAATCACCTGAGCCCGGGAAGTGGAGGTTGCAGTAAGCTGAGATTGGGCCACTGCACTCCAGCCTGGGCGACAGAACAAGACTTCATTTCAAAAAAGGTTAATAACACCTAGGTGTCCTAGAATGAAAAAATAAATCTCCTAGAACTAAAATGGAAAATGCCGTGGTGTAATTTGAACTTACCCTGGCCTGAGAGGCACAAGCTTGGCACACTGTGCACAACAACTATTTGTTAACTGCATAAGCGATAAGAGCTGATTAAGTGAAAAGACATGATATTCTTTATCTGTTACCTTTCTTTCTCACATGGGGCCTTGTAGAGCTGACCGTTTAAGCTTTCTCCTTCAAGCCTAGGAAGAGGGCAGGGTGCAGAATGTGTCATTGGAAGAAACAAATGGGTGCAAGCTGACTGCCTTGCTTGTGACTGTCACGTTCACCACAAATAAAATAGCAGAAGGTTTCTGAAGGCAGGGACCATGTATGTATCCCAGTGCCCACAACAGTGAGTGGGGCCTGGCAAGACTCAATAATAAAAAAAGTGCTGAATGAGAGAATAAATAAATGAGAAAGAAAAATATTATTTCAGGGAAGACATAGAGAAATCAGAGAAGAGGAAAAAAAAAACCCACAACCAGGACCCATACCATCATGTTATCCTTTTTTTTTTTTTTTTGAGGCCTTTCCTGTCCTCTCTCATCATTATTTCCCTTTTTGTATACCCACAAAGGATCGAGTTATCTATACTTCCTTACTAACATTATTTTTTATGAGTCTGAATTTATTATGAAGAGAAAAGTTATCTGGGGGAAGGATGGTATTGTATTCATTTTTATATCTCCAGTGCCTAACCTATCATCTAGCCCATAGCAGATAACATGGTTGCTATAGCTTGAAAATGTCACCAAAAGTTCACGTGTTGAAAACTTAATTGCCGTGTAACAGTATTAAGAGGTGGGACATTTAGGGGTGATTTTGTGAGGGCTCTGCCCTCACGAATGGATTAATGTTGTTATCATGGGAGTGGGTTAGTTATTGGGAGAGTTGGCTCCTGGTAAAAAGATAAGTTTGTCTCCCATTTGCTCTCACTCTCTCTCTCTCTCACACACACACATACACATACACATACACATGCTCTCTTGCCCTTCCACCATGGGATGACCCTCCCCAGATGCTGGTGCCATGGTCTTGGATTTCCCAGTCTTCAGAACTGAGAAATAAATTTCATTTAAATAGTGTTACCCAGTCCGTGGTATTCTCTTATAGCAACACAAAACAGACTAGGAAAATGGTGAAATGGTACCTGTTTATTATGATTGCTTGGGTCATAACATTCACTGAGCAGACAAGCCTTGCTTTCCTGTGACTGACTTCTGGTCACTCTTTTCTTTCCTAGCCCAGCCTTGTGTTTGCTGTCTGGTTCACATTTTAGACTTTTCTACTCCTTGTATTACGGACTTCCTTCATTTCACAAAGCTTAACTTCATTCTCCGTAAATGTGTGCATTGCCTCCTTGTGTCTCCTTGAGTGAAACTCCCCACTAACCTCTGTTTTGGGCTTTCTCCCCACTCCTGTGAGGCTCTGCTGCCCTCTAGGGGGCCTTGTTCATCACACACTTCTCAGGGCCCAGTTGGATCTGCACTTGGCAATACAGTCCTAGTGTAGGAGTGTCATGACAGTGCTGCAAAGCCTCAGTGCTCCTTTTCCTGCTCCTACAGTCCCCAGTATAAAATGTGTGGCTATATAATGCAGTTGATTTAGGAACATTAAACTTGGGCATAAGCAAGCAAGAAGTCTGTCAAGAACTGAAACTCATTACAAGAGGAGGCTGGAAGAGGCTACCACAGGGTCTCAGTGCTCTTGGTACCAACGAAATCCTTGGCTATGAGTATCACACCTGCATCTTGATAGTTTGCACATTATATTAAGGTTTGCACTATAGAATCCGGTAGCCAACTAATGAGAATGTTCTATTTGACGAATGAACATTGATTTACATCTTTGCCTGGGCCTTTGGGAGACAAAAAACTTCCTCAAAGAGATGGGACCTGAAATTGCTTTTTGCTAAACCCTCAACCAACATCTGGTTTCCATACCCAATGATGACTCTTAACTCTATCTAACCTGACTCATCTGCAACTGGAACTATTGACTACTTCTTCATCTTTGAAACACATTTTTCCTGTCATGCTATCACTTGTATCTGGGTCTCAGTTCTTGGACTTTCTTTATTTATCTAGTCTCTGGGCTCTGTTCTTGGTTCTTCCAAATTGTGCTTACAAACAAACCCCAAACTCTCCTAATTATTGGTCCAATTTTCTTGCAGTTTCCTGGACTTGTTCACTTAGATGTCTCTTAGAAATTTTAAATTTAATAGTTCCAAAAACAAACACATATTTCTTCAAACCTATTCTCTTTTACCTTACCCACCCCAATCCAAATTATTTCTAATTTAGTCCTATTATTATCAAATGCAGTTGGCCCCCCCTCCCCCACCCTTTGATTCTCTAGTCTGAACCTTTCTTTGAGCTCATAGGACATAATATAAACATGTCCAAACTTAGTTATCAATTTTACCCTTCAAACCTCTTCTCCTTGAGGTTGAATTACACAGGTCCAAATCCTCCATTCACAAAGGTAAAATCTAGCACCCATCTTTAAGTATTCTCTTTTCTTTATACGCAACATTCAATCAGTTATTAAGTTTCATCATTATACATTCTAGTTGAAACCATCGTGATTTCTCACCTATCCTGTTGCAATGGACATCTGATTTCCCTCTTCTCTTCTTGTCACTCTAAATTTTATTCTATCTACAGAAACCAGAAAGATATCTTGAACATATTAATCTTATGATGTAACTCCTCTTCTCAAAGCTTCCGAAGCTTCCTATCACATTCAGGACAATATACAAAATATATATTTTGTATATTGTCTGATCCCCAATCCTCACCTAGTCTGATCCCCAAATACCAGTCCACATTTTTCTGTTGTCATTCTCTCCTTTTCTCATTTTACTTTAATCACAATGGAGTTTTTGCTAGTCTCCTAAAATGAAAATCTGTTTCCTGCCTTAAGATCTTTTTGGTTGTTGCTGTCTTTGCTTGGGATACATACCTCCACCTCCCAGAACTCTGTGTGTCTTATTTTCTCGCTTCATTCTTCCTTCTCTTTAACTTATTCAGAAGGCTGTTCATGACACTGTATCTAAACATATCTAAAATTAGTCCCAAATCAATTTCACTGTAATACCTCATCTTGCTTCTCTTTTTTTAATGACAATTAATACTATGTATTTGTTTATGTTTTATTGGCATTCTCTCTGACTATAGTTGAAGTTCTTTGAGAGCTGAGATTTTAGGTTGTTCTTCATTTTATCCTCAAAGCATAGAACAGTTTCTGGCACACAGCATATTCTCAATGAATAGTTACTGAATGTGCTAATGAGTAAAGTCAAGATATTAAATTATAGCTAAAGTTCCCCAGAATTGTCCTCTATTACAATGACTTTTGCTTTGCTTTATGTTTAATAATTATATATGTTAAAACTTTTGTTGCAGTTTGCTTGGAATTTGGCTAAATGGAGTTTTCTTTTAGGAAGATGTATACACATATATATGTTCATAGCCATTTCAGTGAATGGTAAAGTCTTAATATGGGCCCTATGTGTTCAAAACTTCTGTAGACTAGATAGTGAAGAAAGACTTTGTACGTGGTGTAAGCTTGATGCGTGGGGATAAATTTCATGCTAATGAGATTCATGTAAATGAATTTCTGTAAATTCAATGAATTTACTTTGTAGAAACAGCAATGTACAAGAACAATTTGAGTGGTGAGGGAGCTTGGTTTATGCAGAAGATTAATGCTGAGGAGAAGCATAAGGTTAAATTGAAAAGGTAAGAAGAGCAAGCTGAAGATACTATGAGGAATTGCCAGTAGTGTATTTTTCAACAAAAATGGGGAGGTATTGAATATTTTTTAGTTGGTCAGATGTATTGGTTTCTCATTCTTCTATTAATTAAGATGTATAGATATATGATATTCAATTGTATAGCAATTGTGAAAATTAAAATGAGGATACAAAATCAAAACATTAAAAAACAGTTTTACCTATATCTGATTAAAAATGGGTAAATTGAGGACCAGGAAAAATTAAACATGATTGCATTTTCAGAGTGGGAAGTAGAAAAATTTGTTGCATTTAATAGAAAACTGGGAAGAAAGAAACTATTACAAATGGATTTATTTGATATAAAAGAAAGTGAGTTTGGATATGTTAAGGTTGAGGTGATCCCAGGTATGAAAGTGGAGCTATCTAGTTGTCATTTGTAGACTCACAACCAGAACTCAAGGAAGACTAATACTCCAGAATTGAAAGTGTAATGATGGGATGGTTGAATTCTCCAAAGAAGAGAACAAAAGTAGACAGAACTCAAGGACCACAGATTGACCTTAGGGAATACCCTCAGTTAGGAGATGGGAGACTGCCTCAAGTAGCCCCAAACCTTATCTTTGTGCCTGCCGTTATCTCTTGCTGGAATGCCTTCCCTATATAAGCAACTCAAACACTCCCATTATTCTTGTACTCAAGGCTATCTCCTCTATGAGTTCCTTTAATAGATCACTTGAGAGTTGAAATTCTATACCTGATTCCATCTTTTCAGACTGACAGGCAAATATTTTTCAGCTAAAGAATAATGGAGGCTATAATAAGGCATAGTATGAAGAGCACAAGGAGTAGGCTGGCAGTCATGGGTTCACATCAGCTCAATAACAAGCTGGGCATACAGGCTCAAATTATTTCACCTGTCTGAGTCTCAGCTTTCACAAGTGTAAAAATTAGCATATTTTTATTTTACAAGGCTATTGTACAATGAAATAAGATATAATATGAAATAGCACACAGTACTTTGAAGGAACTTGATAAATATGTTTTCTTCTTTAACCAGCCACCAGATATATCTCTATGCCTACCAACTAATGGAAATATTTGATCTACAAAATGCCTTGTGGGAGGTGGGGAAGGGAAGGAGTTGGGACATAGAAGGTGAGACCAAAAATGTGTGTCCAGGTGATTGAGAAAAGGTAGAAAACTTATTTTAGCCAAAGGGCTAGAGAAAAGGATATTCCTATCTTTTTCTTGTTTAATTTCTTTCCTTGTTACCAAAGGAATGCTGCTTGGGAGAAGAGAGTTGTTAACTCACAGAATTATGCCTGAGGCATACTTTTCTCTCATATTAAGTGTTATGTTCTGAAGGAAATATGATTTGCATGCACCAGATACGGTGCAGCAAGACCACTTCTAAGCAGGACTAATGTAAATAAAAGGAACATTTCTTGAGACAGAATTTTGAAAATAAAACTGCTTAGTTTACCTTACCATTCAGAGAATTTATAACAATTAATCAAAAACATTTCAATCAAATTTAAGTAGTAACAAATGAGGCCACTAACATCACATGCAAATTAAAAAAATCCACTGTAATCACAGCACTTAAAAATATCAATTCATTATGCGAAGGGAGTGTTTTAGATGCAATTCATCAAAATCATCCAGACATAGTCTTTAATAGCTCCACAAATATACTTCAATTATTACGGAGCCAAACCATTTAATTAATCACTACAAAGCATTTCTTCCCTCAAAATAAAACACTTTAAAATATATCATTCATAACATTACAACCTGCCAGATCTAAATCTTCTTAGCATTTACCTTCTACATCTCCAGTGAGAGACATTAATATATTTAAAAAGTATATTACTAGGCACTAGTGGAGCACTTGGAAAGTTGACTTATTCTCTTGGAAAATGAACTACTATTGAGTGTTGATTCACATTAAGGGAGGAGCTAAGACTTCACCAGAGACTAGAGAAGTGAATCTTTGCTGGTCACCCAGCACATATTTATCAGATAACTTGCTAAAAACAAGCACCAAATTAGTTGCTGAGGGTGGAGGCAAAGAAAGCAATGCCTGCAAGAAATTTACAGTCAAGCACAGGGGAAAAACATGCAAATCAATGGTACAATATAACCTGATGAGTTTTATAGGAGATCTAGAGAATCTAATGGAAATAACAGTTGATAAAATAAGTGAAACACTTGGGTTAGGAATTGGAGAGTAAGAAGGCATTTTCTAGGTAATAGAAAGGGAGATAAATTCAGGCATTAGTAGAGGCAGGAAGAATACCAAAGAAATGGCCAGGAGGCCTGGCACAGTTGCTCATGCCTGTAATCCCAGCAATTTGGGAGACCAGGGAGGGTGGATTTCTTGAGCTCAGGGGTTCAAGACCAAGTGGGGGCAACATGGTAATACCTGGTCTCTACAAAAAATACAAAAATTAGCCAGGTGTGGTGGCATGCACCTGTGGTTCCATTTACTTGGGAGGATCACTTTAGCCCAGGCCATGGACGTTGCTTATGCCACTGCACTCCAGCCTGGGTGACAGAGCCACACCTTGTCTCAAAGAAAAAAAAAAAAAACCCAAACAAAACGAAACAAACCAAACCCCAACCCCCCAGAGAACAAACAACAACAACAAAAGAAATGTCCAAGGATTGTTGAAATTGGGAACTATATGCAGTTTGGCACCGTGTTATAGTATGTGTTTGGAGGCTATATAGTATGGTATACATTTTATATAGCCATACTATATGGCTATATAGTATGTGTTTGGAGGTATAGTATGGCACTGGTGGTGGGGGCTCTAGGGGCTTGATGTAGCAGACTGGTGGCTGGATCCAAGGTTGGGAAGGCCAAGTCATCAAGGGCCAGGTCACTAAGGCTCTGTGAGCCATGTGAAAGAGTTTTAGATTTTTATATTCTAAGGCATGTATACCCGCTGAACTCAATTTGAGTATTGAATAATGTGATTACATTTTCACTTTAGGAAGATTACGCTGGTAGCTGCTGGGACAGGGTGGTGGATCAACAAGAGAGATTTAGAAAATTATGTCAGCAGTTCAGACAATAGGTTATGAAGACCTCATCCATGAAGATATCAGTGAAAATGCAAAAGATAAGGTAAAATTAGTAGGAGAAATGACTGGTTGGATGTGAAGGGTCAGAGCAAGTAAAATGTTAAGGATGACACAGGTTTGGGCAATTAGTTGAAGTTACAGCTTTTATCCAGAGAAGAAATAGAAGAAGAAGAAGAAACTTCAATCAAGGTCTGGAGAAGTGATGATAAAATCATCACTTAATTTCTTGGTCAAAATAGTATTTTCTTCTAATGATCTGATTTAAATATTAAAATTATCCAGATTGTCAAGTACACTTAATTCTAAAAATTGACTTAAGTATTTCTACTAGGTAGGTGCTTAAGAAATAGCTGATGAAATTGAACTGTACCTGACCACTTTCTAAAATACATGTTCCACAACAACTTTAGAAGTAGTTTTCATTTGAAGAAAGGAAATAAAAATAAAACTGATAAAATGAAACCGTGTACTTCATCTGAATCTGTCTTTAGGACACACATCCAACTCCGTGTACCAATTTAGTTCAAGTCAGCCCTGCTTGCATTATGCAGACATTTCAGCTAAGAAACTTAAATGTGCTTCTTGTGTACATTTGCTTTCATGACCAAACCATATTGTCTTCAGACGTTGACTGGATTATAATACAGATGAGTACTTCAGACAGTGGCTTTATATCTTCTGAAAGAGAAACTGATAAGGGAGTGGGGGGGATAAAAAAAGAAAACAGGGAAATGGACAGTCATTTATTCAGTTTATCAAGAGGCTTAAATAGGAAGATTCCTAACTGAAATCAAGTTGTAATGATGATAATTTCCCAAATGTCTTTCTCAATACTGACATTTCATTGATTCCTACAAATTCTTTACCAGTCTTTCAAATACAATCTTAGTGTTTATAATTTCTGGTAGCTAAGCTAATGGACTCTAGAGACAAACTGCTTAGATTTGAATTTAAAGTCCAATCCTTTCCAGCTGTTTGTCCTTGGGCAATTTATTTAACCTCACATGTCTCAACTTCCTTACTTATAAAATGGGGATACTAATGTTACCTGTCTCATGGGGTTGTTTTAATGGTTCAGTGAATATCTATGTGGTATTGACAGTAGTACCTGCTACTGTCAGTCTCAATTTCACATGTCTCAATTTCCTTATTTATAAAATGGGAATAGTAATGTTACCTGTCTCATGGGGTTGTTTTAGTGGTTCAGTGAATGTCTATGTGGTACTGACAGTAGTACCTGCTACATCATAAATGCTCATTGAAGTTAGTTATCATTAGCCCCTATCATCCCCTTTCCACATCCTACACTCCACTTTCCCTTCTGTGGGTTCTGCCTATTTAGACTTCAGCTGGAGTGTCCAAGAACTTGACTTTAAATCCTGTGATAGTTGCAAAAACAGTCTGACTTCATTCTTGGTCTCTTTTCTCATCTACCTCCCACCAGCAGACCTCAACCTCTTCATACTTGCATTGAGCACTTACTTAGGTATAAAATGTTGCAGACTCTGACATATTAATTTTCCCTGATAGTAAAAGGCTACGTGCCCCTTCACAATTCTTTTTTCCCCCTCCAGAAATGGGATGAGTAAGCATGTGACAAGGCAGATTCGATTCTTATTCACAAGGTCAAGCTTTAGAGAAATTGATACATTTTAGTAGATTTTAGAGCTAAAATTCTTAACCTCAACAGTTGAATTCAAACCTTAGTTTAGCCGCTCACTGCCTTGGGCAAGCTTCTTTCCCTCTCCACACTTCAGTGTCCTCATCAGTATAGGGGTCTAATAAACTTTTCTTACAGGGTTATTGTAAGAAGTGAATTAGATTAAACAGAGAGTACACATGGGCACATGGTACATCACCAATCAATGGAAGATCATGGTAGTTTGACTCTGAAGAATTAACACTGGAAGCAGAACTCATTGAATTGTAAAGGTATTTTCACTGTCAAAAGTGACTGGTAGGAAGATATTTAGGCAAGCCTTCTTCTATGGTGTGTGAGGTGTATGTTTTTAAAATCTAGCATCAACATTCTAGGAAACAGCTACAGCTCATTTTTTCCAACTTTTAAATGTCACATCTTTTTTTTTTTTTGAGTCAGGATCTTTGTTGCCCAGGCTGGAGTGCAGTGGCATGACCATAGCTCACTGTTGCCTCAAACTCCTGGGCTCAAGTGATTCTCCCACCTCAGCCTCCTGAGTAACTGGTATGATAGCTGTCTGTCACCACATCTAGCTATTTTGTTTAATTTTTTTGTAGCGATGGGGTCTTGCTATGTCATCCAGGCTGGTCTTGAACTCCTGGCCTCAAGTGATTCTTTCCCACTGGCCTCCCAACATTCTAGGATTATAAGCATAAGCCATCGTGGCTGGACTGTTATATCATTTTTATGGTTATGGAAATGTGATATCAATGATAATCAGCAAACCAAGAGATGAAATTTAGAAATTTGTATTAGGAATCTTCTTCAGCTGGTCCATCTGGGAATCAGCACCTCTACTCTTACCACTGCTTCTGCAAAAGTTTGTCTCTGCTGCTTACATTGAGCTCTCTGTGCAAACCCACAGTGGTAGTCTTTGATTATTGCTACACAAGCTGAGTGCATCTTGGGCAGAAAGGCTTTCTCACTGGAGTTGCCCAAAGAACTTCGCCTGCCACCTACTGGCCAGGAAAGGGACCTGGTCGACTGACTGCTGGGGACCAGGTTAGGGGTTGAGGGGAGAAGAAAAGGAGGAGGAAAAACAGTCCATAGACTGTTGACACACAAGGTCTGATTCTTCTCTAGCATTACTGAGGATGGTCAGAAATGCCCCAGAGTTTAAAAGCTGTCTGCTCCTCTCAGCCCATAACTCGTAGTCTGTCTGGCACTATTCTCCCTGGAGATACAGTCACAGAGCAGTGTCTGTACAGTGAATGCAATTAAACAAAAGCCTCTAAAAATTTCCAAGGGGAAATTAGATAACATGTGCTTTGATGTAGGGATTTGGAGTTTGAAGGTGAAAAAGACAGCCAAGACATCAGAAGTCTGCAACTGCTTAGCTCCAGTTCATCACATTAGCATTCTGCTAACATGTCTTTTTTTGTTGTTTTTTAAAGTTTTTCACTAAAGTCAATTTGCTCAGTTTTTCTCAAGTACCATCGGACATTTTAAACATTCTTTAGATTAAGACAAGTCCTGAAGTTGGACTTCTGTTGTGAGTGAATGATGAAATCAATTTTTCTTGTGTTTTTATTAGTTAATCAATCAAAGGGAAAAGTGCTTGCTAGTCCATTTGGGCTAGAACATTTGGTTCTCATTTTGCTATGCTGGCAGGCCGTAGCTCTGTGCATGGATGAGAAAAGTCTACTTTTGTCCTGGTCCATTCTCCAGCAATAAGCCGTACACTCAGCTGTATCCAGTGGCTAGATAGTTCCTGAGAGATGTGTCCACAGTTCACTCAGAGTTCCTGTTCCCCCTCATTTTCCTCTGATGTTCCTTCTGTGCCTTTTCTGCATTGTCATAATGTGTCTGCCTGAGTCAGAGCACAATGTCTGGTGTGCCTGACTCTCACTAATGGGCCAAGTGTGGTCCTGCTCTCTTTAGCTTCTAATCAAGACTCCAGTGGGATCCAGAGTAAAAGTGAACAGGCCACAGCATAGGGGAAAATTAAGATGGATGGTATAGCACAGCAGGAGCTTGTTTATCCCTGAGGAATATAAGTAGGGGGAATTGGTAGAACTTGCTCTCATTTTCACACCTTGTATTACCACGACAGTGATTTACTGAGTATCTACTCAGAGCCAACCTAGGGATGAATATATTCTTGTCCTCAATGATCTCTGGTAGAACATGCATGTTGGGGGGAAAAATACAGTGACTTTCTGTGTGATACGTATGACCAAAGTAAAACCTTGTAAGATGTCATAAAACCTCACAGGAGTTTTGGGTAGGGAAGACCAAAATCTCCTCTCCTTTTGCCTAATCCAAGATAGTCTACCTTTTAAGGAGTGTTGTGGTTAGGAAAGGATCATTCATCTGGGATCCAGATCTTATGAAGGGTGTATTAGTTTTCTATTGCTGCTTTAAAAGTTGACCACAAATTTAGTGGCTTTAAAGCAAAAGAAATTTAATATCTTACAGTTCTGGAGATCAGAAGGCTGAAATGGCTTCCACTGAGTTAAAATCATGGTGTCAGTAGGGCTACATTCCTTTCTGGAGGCTGTAGGGGACAATCCATTTCCTTGTATTTTTCGGCTTCTAGAGGCTGCTTGCATTCCTTGGCTTCTATACCCTTCCTCCACATTCAAAGCCAGCAGAATAGCACTTTCAAATGTCTCTCCGACTCTGGCACCCCGCTTCCCTCTTGTAATATCTTTGTGATCACATTGGGCCCACTGGATAATCCAGGATCATCTTTCCTTAACATAATTGCACCTGCAAGTCCCTTTTGCCATGTAAGATAACATAGTCACAGGTTCCAGGGAATAGCATGTGACCATGTTTGGGGGCCATCATCTGGCTACTAAAGAGGACTTCCAGGTTGATATTATTCTATCCTATTACTTCCCTTGTTTTATTCATGCTATTGAAGATGTAATAAGATTTTTTTGTTTAATTTAGCTTTTGTTTTTACAGCAATTCTACATGATGATGCTGAGATACTAGCCAACTTATATCCCAAGTTCTTTTCTAATTCCCTGTTAATTAACTATGTTCCTGCATCTGGCACTGATGCAGTTGTTTGTTTGGACCTGAATGTAGGGGAAGGGCAAATAATCTTTTGGATTGGACATTGGCTCCTAGTGAGGTGAAAAAGTGTTCCCCTCAACCAGAAGTGGAGAAGGTGGATGAAGACTTTTCACATAATCTCTGAGACTGCTATGGAATTTACCAGATGGGCAGAGTGGAGAGTATGCTTAATAACCAATAGCAAGCCTCTTATAATGGCAGTGTTATTATCTTACCCTCAGGTGGGCCAGCAATGTCCTAGAGTTTAATGAATCTGCAAAACAAAAGTTTGAATATGGAGCAAACAGGAAGGAGGGAACAATTACCCACTTGACATATCCTCTTGAAAGCTTACCAGTCATGGTACTGTGGAAAGAACATGCTGTTTGGACTCAGACAACCTTGGATGTCAGGACCATTTGTGTCCCTTACCAGCTATGTAATCTTAGATCACTTAACCTCCCTCAGCTTCAAGTTTCTCACTTTTAAAACAGAGTTAATAATATCTGACTCATATCACTGGTGTGAGCTTAGAATATGTAAGTCCATTGTTCTCAAAGTGAATCTATGTTGTGATTCCTAACCCAGGAATGTCATCATTACTTGGAAGTTCCTTAGCAAAGCAATCTCTCTGGCCCTACTCCAGACAAACTGAATCAGAAACTCTGGGTTGGGAAGTCTTACCCCATAAAATAGTAGTACGCAAAACACATGGAAAAGAGTCTCACGCGACTGGACTGGGACTTACTTAACAAATGCTGATTGTAATTATTCTTTTCACTGGGAGCCTCATTATATTCACCATGCTTTTTGCTTTTCAGTTACTGTTTGTTTTGGAAGAACATGGCCAATGACAGATTTATGTTTGTTTACCAAGTTGTGGTCTCTCTTTTTTCTCAAACTAAAAAGTCACATAAATAAATGAAAGAAACAGCATTATTAGTTTGTATTTCTGGCTGTGCCGTTTTAACTCAGCAGAGGGGGAGTCACGCACTCTGGCAACTTCTTTATCCAGAATGTGCTGTCGTGATGCCACAGAGCAAGGCTAGGCACAAAGCTTATGCACCTGAGAGATGCTGTGACTATTTTCTTCAGTTGCTTTTTTAAATTTTTTGACTAAATATACATGAAAAACATAAGCGCACACATACCTCACCAAATACAGCTTCATATTATATGATGCATAAAATTTATTGCAGTGATTTATCATTTAGTTTCTATGTAATTAAGTAAAGATGGATCCACATGTTCTGGGCCAAGTTAAAACTCATATTTTTTATGAAGAATCATAAATGCACTGCCAAACCACAACAGGAATGAGGGAAATGGCTAAAACTCACAAACCGCCTTTAAACCCTGAGGAAAGTTTGACTTCTAGAAAAGCAGTTAAGCAGAAACTTATTAACTTGCCACCGAAGGATGTAATGAAAATTTGGAGGGCCATGGATCCCCAGGATAGAGCAATGATTTCCTAGTAGTTCAGGCAGGATTCCTGAAGTCAAATATTTCCATGTCAGTAGCATTCTAAAGAGTAAAGTCATGTAACCTACTCAGATTGTCACCAGGACTGTCTATTAGGTGGGGTCATGAGATGACCCCAGGATTAGTGAAAAGAAAACTCACATTTCATGGATATGAACTGTGGGACACATTCTTTTCTTTTCTTTTTTTTTTTTTTTTTAGATGGAGTCTTGCTCTGTCACCTAGGCTGGAGTGCAATGGCGCAATCTTGGCTCACTGCAATCTCCACCTTCTGGGTTTAAGCAATTCTCCTGCCTCAGTCTCCCAAGTAGCTGGGATTACAGGTGCCCACCATCATGCCCCGCTAATTTTTATATTTTTGGTAGAGACAGGGTTTCACCATGTTGGTCAGGCTGGTCTTAAACTCCTGACCTCATGATCCGCCTGCCTTAGCCTCCCAAAGTTCTGGGATTACAGGCATGAGCCACCATGCATGGCCCTGTGGGATACATCCTGTATTATGTTCACAGTGGACCTTTGAGCACAATACAGAGTGAAATGAATATTTTTGTCCTTATTTTCTAGAGGCTCTGAGAATTTAAGTGCTTAGTCTAGGGTCCTGGCTTATAAATGTCAAAGTCAGGATTAGAATGCATGTCTTCGCTGACAAGGCTCACTTCCCTATACCACACTACTTCTGTCAAATTATGACATGAGAGACACCGACGGCTACCTTGTTCCATCAGGGTCACTTGGACTGATTTGCCTATATACCAAAAAAAGAAAAAAAATGTTGCATTTAGGGTTATTTCTCTGGGACTAAAAATCTGTGTCAAAATATGTGGCAGAAATACATTCATCATGACCTTATTTATCAACAGTAACAAGAACAAAATGAGATACATGCTTGAGAAAATAAATCCACCAGTAAAGCAATGTTGGAATGAAAAAGAGCTTTGAAGATACATAGACCTGCGTTTGAATCCTAAATTTTGGTTCTACCACCTATTAGTTCACTAACTAAAGGCTATTAGGCCTCTATGTGCTTCCGTTACTAATTTTTCTTTATATGTGGATAGGCGATGATAGTTTCTATTTTAAAATACTATGTGAAGATCCAATGAGATAACAGATAAAAGTACTTAGCACAGTATCTGTCATAAAGTAGTTGCTCATTAAGTGTTTACTGCATAAAGGATGAAGCAAGCCATTATTAATCCTTATCATCATAGCACAGATTAATTTATCTCTTCTCTAGCAGAGAGGAGGGGAAGTTTTGATTGCATATGGTGTGTGGAGGCATCAGGCTGATGCTGGGGAGGTAGCCATGAGTATTATGGAATTGGATGTCTAAAGTGGGTGTTAAGAAGGGAAAAGAGGCAACTGAAAGGAAATTGGGAAAGCTGGAAGGTGGTTGGCTGATGGCTCCTTGAGGCTAAGCTTATAAGGAAACAATAGAGGATCCTCCTCTGCCCCTTCCCTGTCAGCTTCATCTCCTGTTACCTGCTGACACACATTTTACATGCTTGTGATTCCCTGCACACACCATGTTGTTTCATACTTCTGGGCTGTTGCTCCTGTTGTTTCCCAGTATGGTGTATTCCACGGTTTTCACGTGGCTTAATCATCCTTTTTTTTTTTTTTTTAATACTTTAAGTTCTGGGGTACATGTGCAGAACATGTAGGTTTGTTACATAGGTATACACGTGCCATGGTGGTTTGCTTCACCCCTCAACCCATCACCTACATTAGGTATTTCTCCTAATGCTATCCCTTTGAGATTCAACTCAAGTGTCACCTTTCCTGAAACCTTCAAATTGGACTTAGTTTATTCTTCAGTGACTTCTGATTTCTCTGTGCATTTTTCTCTCTCATCACTTCATACTCTAAAACATTGCTTTGTGTATGAATTGATCTCCCCCACTACTCTGTGAGCTTTTCCAAAGGGCAGGCTTTGTGTCTTGTTTATCTTTATTCTCCCAGAACTCAGCAATGTACCCAGTATATAATGATTATTCTAAAAACTCTGGTTGAATTACACTGGACTGAACCAAGGTGGGAAGCATAAGGATCCTTTGCCTATTTCATTTCACTTCAGATTAGGCACTCTCTCCAAAGAAAAGTAACTATATCAGGGTTTGTGACTCAGCTCTTGGCGATTTATGGCCAGGTGAGTTTGTAAATACAGCCCCACATTCGAAACAACAATCCCAGCTTGTTGTTCTCACTGCTTTTGGGAGCTGTCATTCCAGTCAGTGTTTCTGCAGTTCCTCATTAATTGTTATTATCCAAAGTAAGCACCTGTTGAATGCCATTGTGCTAAGGGATAGGTGGGATTTGGAAAAGGGTTGCAATTTCTGCTGTTGAGATTTCACAGGCTGCACTCCTGTAATTTTGTTCTAAGGGGAGAGAGTGGGAAAGGGTTAGATGACTTGAAACATTGACCTGCTGGCAGGTGGATCATGAGGTCAAGAGATCGAGACCATCCTGGACAACATGGTGAAACCCCATCTCTTCTAAAAATCCAAAAATTAGCTGGGTGTGGTGGTGCGCGCTTATAGTCCCACAACTTGGGAGGCTGAGGCAGGAGAATCGCTTGAAACTGAGAGGTGGAGGTTGCAGTGAGCCCAGATCATACCTCTGCACTACAGCCTGGCAACAGAGTGAGACTCCATCTCAAAAAAAAAAAAAAAAAAAAAAAAAATACAACAAACAACACAAACACAAAACAGCATAATTCTCAAAGTATATTTATAAAGTTCTATTTTTTTAAGTTTGTGGGACTTCTTGGAGGGAAAAATTAGTAAATAGAAGCAGAGTAAAAATGTGGTTTATAAAGAGCTCATAATAAAAGTTTATAATAAAAACTTTGTAACTAAAAATATTATACCAAAAAGTAGTGTAAGTCTTCTCAATTCCTGTAAAAATATTATACATAATAAAAATAAGTCAGTCAGATTTTATTCTCATAAAGAAAATCTATACAAATATTTGAAAATCACCACCAAATTTCAGGCAGTTCTTAAGGTTTAAATTTTATCTCAGAAGCTTTTGTGTACTCTATTCACAATCAAATTTGGTTCATTCAGGATATGATGGAATCAGAAGTGTGCAGTGCAATAAAGATGCAGGGAGCAGTTTTCAAGGAAATTCCTTGGCGGGGAGTTCTACTCCTCACTCATTAATCTCAGTTTTTCCTCAGTTAGGGCTGCCATGTTTGTCATAAGGGCTGGAATAAGGAACACAGCTTAAAGGTTACCTGAGTGGGCTATGAAGCTAGCTTCCTTTTATTCTAATCCTTCCTCTTCTACTTACTATCTGAATGGGGAAGTCAATTAGCTTCTGTTTGCCTCAGTTTCCTCATGTGTACAATAAATGAGCTAATAATGCCTACCCCATAGATTGTTGTGGATATAAAAAGATTCATTACATTTAAGGGGTTTAGAGCAGTGCCTGGCCCATAGCAAGTGCTCAATAACTATTACTCCCTAGCTTCAGCCTTTTCTTGTTCACTGGCAAATGCCAGTGCAGCTCAGACATTAGTTATTTATCCATGTATTCATTTAACAAACATTTTTGAGTATTGAGTATGTGATTGGCACTGTGCACGGTGCAAATGATACAGAAAATGAGTAAGCTCCTCTCTTTAATAAGTTCATGGTATAGTGTGTGTCTGTGGCGAGTCTAGAGATGATGGTGCAAAAGAGTCTTTCAATTAAACAGACAATTCTAACGTGGGATGATAAATGCTCTGTAGTGAGAAGCACATGGCTCATTTGGATCATAAGGAGGGGAACTTAATGCAGTCTCAGAGGGCCAGGAGAGGCTTTCCAGCAGAATTGGTATCTAAGATGAGTATGAGTTGGCCAAGTGAGAGTTGAGGGTGAGATGGGGTAGGTGTATTTCATACCAAAGTAGCTGCCTCTCTAGAGGCCATAGAGCAAGGAAATTGTATAAGGATCAGTGTGGAAAGTCAGGCAGGGGGTGGCCAGAAGCAAGGCTAGCTAAGGGTGAAGGAGTCAGATTAGCAAGGGCCTTTCCTATTATGCAAAAGAACTTTATGGCTCTATCCTGTCCTACTGGGCGGAGAAGCCCTGAAGGCTTCTAAACAGGGTTTAAAACACTTAGATAGTTTTTCTTGTTTGAATGAGTATCTTTTAAACATTATTTCTAATTTCGGGCAGAATTTACTACTTCTACCTTTGGGTCCTTCTGTTTCTCTATAGGCTCCTATCATGGCACTGTATTGCTTTATTGAACTTAACTGTTTCTAATCCTGCCTTTCCTGGGAGACTGAGGGCTTCCCAAAGATTGTTTTTTATCTATCTCTGTATCCCTAGGATCTGGAACAGTTACTGATGCTGCTGAGTAGGCATTCAATGGAAGCTTGATTTTAAAAAGAAAAGTTGATTTTAGAAAGAAAGCATTTTTTTTCTTATATTTTTAGGACAAAGCATTATCAGATAAAATCTGGCCCATCAAGTCAGCAAAGTGAGTAATCTTGTTCACTCTGAAGGCAGTGTGAGCTCCATGAGGTGCTGCCCAACAGATCTCTAATCCACCTGTCCTTCTGTGTGCTCTTTATTAATCACTGCATGGCAAGCACTGTGCTAGGCACCAAGGGAGATATAAATACGCTGAAGACAGCATTAGATAGTTGTGAAAATGTTACATATGTACACAAAACAAACTCAATATCCCGAGGGCCTAGCACAGTGGTGGTATTGCTCAGTCCTCAGTCAATGTCTGTGAATAAATAACAAGTGAAGAAAGGGAGAGTGATATGTGTGAAATATATGGAATACATAATAAATGCTCCAAGAGTCCAGATGTGGGAAAATCTGTGAGATGGGTAAATCTGATAGGGTCTCATTGAGGTGTCCTAGCCTTGGAAGATGAGTAGGATCTGGAGAGATAGAAGGAAAAGGTGGAGGACTCTAAAGAACGAGAAATAGCATGAACATCACTTCATGCAGACTAATAATGCCTGAAGGAAATATAAGCCATTGGAAATTATGAAAGCTCTGACAACAATTGGAGTATATTGGAATTCACACAAATGAACCAGTTTTCTAGGCATATTGTAATTCGGCCAATGAATGTGGGGAGACCAGCAGTTGCTTTAGCAGACAGCCAAAGTGGGCCCTCGTGACAATGCTAATTAAAGCAAAGTTAATTAGTTAATTAAAACAGAAGTGGCAAATGGCAGTTTCTAAATTTCAGTTAAGGTGGAGGCAACACTAATGATTCTGCCCCCTGACTAGAATCCCAGGGGAGGGTTTTGACTTCTGAGAAAATTTATAACTTCCAGCTGTAGGTCTCTGTCATCAATTTAGCCATGAAAGGCCCATTGCATTTTAGAACCCCAGTTCCATGTGCCTGGAAATTCTGAATCTTGCAGAGCTAGAACTTTAGATTCATCAGATTCAATGCTTTATTTAGGTCAGAACTGGCCTTGTGTTCATTTGTCAATTTGCAGCTGAAGTGAATGCCTTAAACGGAAGCCTGGCATTATCTGCTTGACAATGATTTGATGCTGCACCATGTTGTGCTGGAAATTAGTGTCTAGAACCAAAATGTTAATCACAGGGACCTCTATACATTGATGGCATAAATAGCATGTTTCCATATAAAAAAATCTGTAGTGACTCATTTCCATTTAAATAAAAATCTCCCTTTGCTATTTCAGTGAATTGAATGGCTGATTCCGGGCCCTTTTCTATTTGTGCTCTAGGTTGAGCCAATTTAACTTCACAGAAAATTGTTGGATCTGTTAGAATTACCTCTGTTGTCTCCTTAGGTGCTCAGAGAGCTCAAAGTGATTCTTTCTCCATGATGAGAGGTGGAAATTTGCTTCGTCTAGCCCCCTTCTCACTAAAGATATGAACTACTCTTCAGGCCCCATAAACATGTCTTCTCTTGGGTCTATGATGATGTTTTCCAAAGTAAGTTCTTTGGAGCATCAGTTCTTCAGAATGTTAAGAGGTTTACTTGGAAAAAAATGGTCTTGTATACATGTTTGCAAAATGATAGAAAGAGTTAACAAATAGATGATAGGTTTCTACAGTGCAAGACTTCTCAGTGTTTATCTCCAATAAGAGAATAGAGTTTTTTCACCTTTTTGACCAAATAATTTCTTTTTCATGGAGCTATTTAATTTTTCAAAGAATATACTAATTTTCCAAAGAAAACAGTCCATATATGCTTAGCTCTAGTAATCATCAGCTAAGACCTTAATTTAAAAACTGCTCCATTACTCATTAGTCATGAAACAATAGGCAAGTATTCTCACCGTGCAGGACCTCAAATTTCCCATCTGAAAAATGGGAGGATTGTTGCTTCAACTTGCAGTATTTTATGACAATTAGAAATGTTAGACTAGTTATACATACAAAAAGTTCTGTAAGGTGGCAGAACATAGTAGGTAGGTAATAAATGAACCATTTTGGGGGACTACTCTGATTTGAAACTTTTTTCCAGTCTCCTACTTTGTGCTCCACTTCTTCTTACTTCTTTCCTCTTCTTTGCTCTCTTCTCTGTTCCATTCCTCTTCCTTCTGCGACTGCTACCACCGTGACTACTACTAGGTGCTAACATTTTAGGCACTATGCACTGGATTATCTAACAAACACCTGACACGCCATTTTTTCTTTCCATTTCCATGATAGAGATGGAAGAGGCTAAATGTCACTTTCCCATATTCTCTTATATTAGACAGTTTGGGCCAGTGAGACACAAGGGCAATTCTTATGGGACTCTGAGAAGACTTTTGTTTTCCCTAATGAAAGTACACAATGTATGGAACCATGACAACTATATTACAACCATTAGTAAAAGGCCTAGAGAATGGTAGAAGTGTTTGCCTTTGCATCACTGAACCAACACCCGAAGAAATCTCCCTCCACAATTTTTATAACATGAGGAAAATGAACTCTAAAGAGTATAAGTGTTTGAAAACAGGCTTTCTGCTACTTGCAGACACAATTCTAAAAGGTTGAGGTAGCATTTATTGAATACTTTCTACGTGCTGGTACTAAACACTTAATGCATATTACCTCATTTACTACTCAAAATAGGAATTATTATCTACCATTTTACAGTTGAGAAAACAGACTAAAGTGCCTTATTCAAATTCATAGCTGAATTGAAATCCAGGTGTGGTTCCAAAGCCAGAACTCTAAACTAGTATGCTGCCTTTGCATTTTCCATCTGTGTACATACACCTTTCCAGGAGCCTGTACAAACTTTTGGAGACATAGTTACCATAATCTTAGATATTATTATAGTCTTCATTTTGAGGTACACAATTAGTATCCTCTTTAAGATAGAGAGCCCTTACCATCTGCCATTCCATGTGGAAGGGACACACACGACCCCATCCAGAAACAGAGGGCATACCCAATCTCAGATTATAGCAGCCTGTTTCTTCATACACCTGACAGAGGACAGCAGAACAGGGCTGGGTCGAGCATGGTAGATGCTTCTCCACCAAAGACCTACATCCAGAGACTTTATTTACCTATTTAAGCCCACATGACATCCCAAGAGATGGGCTCAATAGCATATTAAAATTTTCAAGACTGAGAAGCACAACTCAGGGAAGCAATTTAGAAGAAAATGTAAAAATATTAGAAATACCTGAATTTATTTGTTTCCCATTAGTTAAGCTGAAGTGCGGTGAACCATGTGTTATACACTGGCTTTTCATAAAAGTAATTATCAAATGGGAGCTGAATCCCTGCATAACCAGCTATATCCTATAGTGTAATAAATATGCTAAACATCACAGATTTTGTATCACAGAGAAGAAATATTTAGTTTTGGAGCTCATGGAAGCCATAGAGGAAAGGAATTTTAGTTTGCATCTCTTTCTAATGACTGTGGGTTAAAAAGGAGAGCAGATATCAGATGCATGTGATACAAAAGAATTATAGCTTTCCCTGCCCCTTTTTCTTATCCATATCAAAAGCAGGTTCTAGCTTGAATATGCCAGTTGATGTCAAAAAAGAAATCTCCATATAATCAGACTGTGGCCTGTGTCAGCTATAATCACATAGACAGATCAAGATTTGCCAAGATTGCAGAAAGAAGACCAAACACTTGCCAAAGGTTTCTCTTTACCCTCTTTCAGATTCTAACATCCAAATGCACAGATTTCAAAAAAACTACATGGCCCTGTAGGAAAAACAAGTTAAAATATTGCAACAAAAATCTTTAGAATTTCCGTTTTCTAGTGGTTGGCACTATCAGTAAAATTTGTTGCTTTTGTTTGTCCCTTTGTTTATTAAATTAGAAACAAAACAGTTGAAAATATTTATTGAATGTTACTAGAGAAACTTTATAACTATAGTAAAGCAAGGGATCAGTGATCCGATTCTAGAGCAGAGACTGATGACCACAGGAGTGAGAGAGATATCTGTAATACAGGGCACTGTTGCCTTAATCTTATAAAAGTTAATAGTACAACTAGGGAGTAAGAGTGTGCACATTTGAAGACAAGCAAAAAAAGTACCTACCACATTAATACCATCCCAAATTCATTCAACAAACATACCAAAAATCATTATTGAGCATATTCTATGTGTCAAGCACCCTTCAAGGTACAGGTAGGTATTGGAGGCACAGTGATGAGCAAGGTAAAGAAGGCCTCCATCCCTAAGGAGCTTGCTCTGCTTAAATTGGAAGACAGGATGTGCTATACAGAATGGCAAAGAGCTGGACAACATGAAGATCGAGATGCCCTGTAAAACTCAGATTGTATAATCAATGTCTCCATAGGTTTGTGCTGCCGTTTATAGTGCTGTCTTTGTTATTAAGATCATCCAGATTGTGTATTGGGTACAGTAACTTTCATGAGTAAAAGAAGACTGACAATGGTTAACTTAGTTAATCAAAATAGCAAATACTTAAGAAGGGCTTACTATGTGGCAGACACTATACACATGTTAACTTATTCAGTCATCACAACCAGTCTATGAAGTATGCATTTCTTTATCTCCATTTTTTCGGAGGAAGAAATCAAAGCATAGAGAGGTTAAGTGAATTTGCCTAAGGTTCTGCACCTGCTAAGTGATGCTGCCAGTATTTAATCCCAGTGCTCTCCAGCACTATACTGTGCTACCTTCAATAAAGTGCCTACTATGTGCCAGCCATTACACATATTATCTCCTTCATTTTTTACAATCCAGTTTGTCAGATGATAGAAATAAGGTGCAGAGAGACAAAGTAGCACTGCTGTTGTTCAAACCCAAAACAATCTGGCTAGGCAGCCAGTGTTCTCTGCCACCACTCCATGCTGTCTCCCTAAGGGGCTTTCTCTAGTGAGTTTTTTACGTGCTCAGACATAGACTCACAATTCCCTTCCTCCATCAATATGCTTGTTTTATATACCAGGCTTTCCTGGGAGATTCTGTTTACAGATAGGACTTGAAGAAAAGCTGATAAAACAAAAGTTTGAAAAATAAATTTTCTTAGCCAAAAGGAAAGGCTGATCTTGCAGAAATTTCAGAAAAAGAATGGTTCATACAGGAGTCAGGAAGGCAGATGGAAAATAGGCCAGCAGGTTAGATATATGAAAGGCCTGCTGTGTACAGACCATGACATTGCCAGGATTTATTGAAAAAGAAGACATGAGTTACAGTTTAATTGAATGTCTTGTACAATGTACGTAGAAAGAGATGAGAAGTGTAAAACAAGTAGAAAAGAGTTGAAAGAGGTAAGAGTACAAGTTAATAATGTAAACGAATTGGACCTTGTGGATAAAATTCAACTATCCTCTGATTTATTTTCAAACTTCAGCAGACATAGTATCTTTACCATCATAATAAGTCATACTTTGAAGATTTAGGGCTGACAGAAAAGTAGGACTTTCCTGCAGGCTAAGTGATAGTATAGGAGAATAGTTCAAGAGATGTTATTTAGATATGTAGCTTCCATTTGAAATCTACATATCTTCCATTTATTTATCTAGATTTTAGAAATACTGTTAAATTTCAGAAGAGTTAGCAGGGCTGATGTCTTGACCAGCTCTTTTGATTACACATTACACTTCTTAAATAGAGGTGATACTTAGTCCCAGTTATCAACAATTGGTGTTGCCTTTTTCATACTTCAACATTTTTCCCAAGCCACTGATAACATGATCTTGTCTTTTGAAGTGCTTTGGGATCATTTATCACATAAGGAAGTTCCTTATATGGGGGAAATCATTGGCTTCTGGCTTTAGATTCTTTTCAGATTGAAATGGTCGAATAACTACTACCTGTGATATTGAACTTGGGGTGGGATGAGACTATAGGCAACAAAGAATTGGGAAAATGACTGGTTGTTTTTATGTGCAAAGTCACTTTGTTGTTTTGCCCTTTTCAGCTGCTTAGACATCTCCTAAAGATTTCATCTTGCCCATTAAGAACTAAAATATAAATCCTACATTCTTGTGCCTCTATTGGATGGGCATTTAAGCACTCTTCTGGCTTGAATAAGGTTTAGGCACGTACAAGTGCAGTCTGATGTGTCGAGTTCTTGGCATTTTGCTCTCAGTATAATCTTTGTTAGTAATATATTTTTACTCTGTTCTGGTGAACTAGAATTTAACCCACAGTATAACTCTGTCCCCTCAGAACTTGAGGGTCCTTGCCTTGGCTTTGTGAGCTAACTCTGCTCTGTCTGCCCTCTCAACCTCACTCCCCCTACGCTGTAACTCTGCTTTATTAGAGATTTTGACTTCCATGTTTCTAGACTTGGCCTAAGTAATTGGACCCACATCCCATTAACCCCATAAATACCATTTTATGAGAAGGTCCATGCCGTAAGTCACCCTGCCTCACATGGTTTCATTTACCCAGATTTCTCCCATTTAAAAGACCCAGGAAACACATGCCTCTGCTCCAGTTTTAGGGGCCAGCATCCCTGTAAGCCCCCACAACTTTTACCTTAAGGTTTCCCCAGAGGAGCCCCTTCTCTTCCACAGGTTGACTAGGCTGCTGGATCTGCTGGCTGCGGAGGATGACTTGCCATCCCCTACATGCATGCGCACCACGGTAGATGTGGTGAAGGCGCTGCGCACGTTTCTCTCTGGTTTGGCCAGGATGATGTACACCTTCGGCACAAACATGCAGCCTAGGGCCACTGTGGCACTGAGGCTGACCGAGAAACACATGGTGATGATTTTGTAGTTGCTGCCAAAGTAGATTGGCACAAAAGCTAGCCATATAATGCAGGTCGTGTACATTGTGAAGGCGATATACTTGGCCTCGTTGAAGTTAGCTGGAACATTTCTGGTCTTGAACGCATAGAAGGTGCAGCTCAAAATCAACAATCCATTGTATCCAAGTGGAGTGACAACTCCTAGGTTGGTGGTGTTACAGATCAGGTAGACTTCTCGAATGCTTGGGTAGTCATGCATTATGTCAGGAGGCTCCATTATAAAGAGGGCAACGATGATGCCCAACTGGATGCATATGAGAATGAAAGCAATCACTAGCTGGGCACAGGCACTCATGAATCTGGGCTTTTTGGTACAGATCTTCTTCTTGCTGCCAGCCAGGATCCTTGCAATACGGTTGGTCTTTGTTACAAGGGCTGAGTAGCTCATGGCTGGGGAGAGACCAATGCCAATTCTCTGAAGGTAGCAGTAAATCTGTTTGGGCTTCGCAATGAGGCAGAAGGTACATAAGTAGCCCAGGCAGATGCCAGCAAGGATAATGTAGCAGAGTTCCCTGCTTGAGGACTTGACTACTGGTGTATCACGGTAAATGATGAAGACTACAGTAACAAACAGGGTGGCCAGGAGGCCAAGGCAGGCAAACACCACAGCTGCAATGGGTTCAGGGTCACCCCATCGAAGATACTGTACTGGGATCAAGTCACAACCTGCAGAGACACAAACACATATTGTAAAGGAGGGAGAGATGTTGACTTGGGTCACATATCCCTAAGTTACAAGCAGCTGTTTATGACCATTTCAGTTTGTTCCCCATCTACCTTTCTAATTTCAGAATCTCCTGCTACTTATTGTTTCATGTATTCATTCAGAAAACGTTAATGATGATATTACTGAACATGTACATGGTCTGTGATAGGAACTATTCTAGGTTCTGAAACAAAATAATGCAGAACATGTTTCCTGCTCTCATAAAAAAAAATCAGTGGCCTTTTAAACAACTGTAACTGTGATAAGGGTCATGAAGAGGTATAACATGGGTTCTAAGCAGTCTCTTGAAGCAGCAAAGGCCTCCTACAATAGGAATGAGCAAATAAATGTGTTGGTTTGATGGAGTTGGGGATTTCATGGGCTTGGCAAACTTACAGTTAAAGTACATTAACTGTAAGGAAGAGAGGCATGAAGGGAAGCCACTGTATGACAGTGTAACAAGTGGCCTAAGATGAGGCTGGGAGGTAGGGAGGAAGGGGATCTTGCAGGTTAGAGAATCCTAGATCAGTAGGAAGTTATTCTAAGGATCTTTGTAGAGCAATGACAAGCTCAGATTTGTGTGTGCGTGTGTGTTTTAAACATTTCTTTGGTTTCTGTGTGGGTTTTGGATGAGATAAAGGTGTGCACACATTTAAGACTTATTTTAGAGCCATATAGAGTGTTTGAATGGATGTGGGAGTGTGTGAAAAGTGAAAAAGATATGAAATATGACCAACACTAGTAAAGAAGAGTTGGAATTTTCAGAGAATCTTGTGGTCTAGATGTTTTAGAAGATTCTGTTAAAAAAAGGAGGAAGTTCATTTTTATAAGAAAACTGACCCCAAAGGCAAACAATTGGCAGGCAAGGGAAGTGCACCACTCTCAAAATCGTTCCTTATTCTTTATTTATGATATGGAGTTTTTAAATTATTCCTTGATTATATAGCAGAAAAATAGTGACAGAATATAGCATCATTTGGATTATCTGTCTTTTACAATTTTTTAGGACAGTGGTTCTCAAAGTTGGCTACACACTAGAATCACCAAGACTATATATATACATATTTACACACATATATAAAATCCTGAGACCTGGGTGTCCCATTGGTTGAGCTTCTGACTTAATTTGTCTGAGTGTGACATGGGCATCAGGATTTTTTAACAATACTGCAAGTGCTTCTAATGTGCAACCAAAGTTGAGAACCATTGTTCTAGGAGGATCATTCCTGTCAGTTAGACTTGAAAGAAAATGGACTTGAGATAGCTTCACTGAGTAAGTAGGAAAGGAGGCAAGTAATCTGGAGCATTGGGCATTTGAGGAATGTAGCAGAAATGACTAATTGCATGTCAATATCTATTCTCCCCTTCATTCTCAGCAATAGACCTCTAATTTCATTTGGGATGGTAAAGGCATTAGTTACAATACTACATTTTTCATCAACCATTGCTGTGAAATGTGGCATAGGAATAGGTTTCAGCCAATAACATGTACACAGAGGATTCCTGAAAGGAAAATGACTCATGGTAGAAAGTAACCTTTTTCCCTTCTTTACTTTCTTCTTCTGCTGCCTGGCACATAAACATGATGGCTACAGCTCCAGCAGTTGTTTTGGACTTCAAGGTAACTTGAAGGACAGAAAATGTGTTCTGGGTTTGGAAGAGAAAAATAGAGGGGGCTCCACTCCCTGAGAACCATGGACCCCCCACTACCTGTGGACTATGCATATCCACATCTTCTTTGTTTAAGCTCCTTTCATTTATTTATTTTCTTGATATATGCAGGGAAAACAAATCCTCATTGATAAGGAGTAAAGTTTTCCTATTAACTTGTCCTATCCCATGATCAAGGGTGTTGCAGTCAGTGGCTTTGAATATCAATGGTTACTGGGAGGTAGGGGAGGCAACAACAAGTAATGACAGCAAGGAAGCATGTAGTTCTTTCAAAATATGCCTAAGGGTAGCTTCGTTGTAGAAAGGGAAGGGAAGAAGGGAAGGGAAGAAACAAAGGAAAGAGAAGGGGAAGGGGAAAGGGAAGGGAAGGGAATTATTCTTCCCCTTATTTCTGCCCTGCTGCTGTTTTGCTTTAAGATCTCACATTTCAGATAGTACTATTAGTACTATAATTAAAGTCATAATGGATTTAATAGGAGTTATGAGCTAGCCTGGGATTCTCAGCACACTTTGTAAAATGTTTCTATGGGAAAATGTATTCTTACTCTAAATAATTGTGCATTTAATATTGAAACAAAGGGCTTTAAATTTTAAAAAATTGTGGATAGCTCAGACTAAATATAACTAAATACAAAACAGTTGTGTTATATGACCTCATTAAGTATAAAAATACATATCTCATTGCTAATTAATATACCTATATCTGTATTTCTAGTCATCTACGTTCCCATGTGCTTCCTATATAGTTGGAATTCAACCTCTGATACTTTAGTATGCCATAGAGTTTAGGCTTATATTTACAAATTTGCTCCTTGGAGAGGCTGTTTTACCAAAAAAAGTATTAATAATATATATATATATATATATATTTTTTTTTTTTTTTTTTTTTTTTTTGAGACATAGTCGCCCTTTGTCACCCAGGCTAGAGTGCAGTGGTGTGATCTTGGCTCACTGCAACCTCTGCCTCCCGAGTTCAAGCGATTCTTGTGCCTCAGCCGCCTGAGCTGGGATTACAGGCACTCCCGGCTAATTTTTTTGTATATTTAGTAGAGACGGGATTTCACCATGTTGGCCAGGCTGGTCGAACTCCTTGCCCTGAGTGATCCACCTTCCTCGGCCTCTCAAAGTGCTGGGATTACAGGCATGAGCCACTGTACCTATCCCATTCCTATATTTATTATTTTATATTAGTTCATTTATAGCAATGATTTGACAATAAAATTTATTAAATATATAGAGGTCTGTTTCTACTGCTAGGTCATGTGCTGCTAACGTCCATAGCAATTTACTTATATAGGAAACGTTATGTTTGTATATAGGGCAGGAATCTTTTCATTACCTAAAAGAATGAGCTGGAAAAAGTAATTAAACACTTAATTTTACCCCAGTTTTTCCTACTGTTCTGCTAAATCTTAATTGTTTTCATCTTAATGTAATTAAGTTTAATTTCTAAATACTTTGCATAGAATAACATTTACTACTATTTTTATCAGATATATTTTTGAACTCTTCATGTTCAGCTTATTAACATCTGTGTGAAACTAAAGAAAACTCATTAGATATATGTGTTAAAAATGTACATGAGGCTTGTCTCTAATGTGATGTAATTATTTTCCCAAATCTTTCAGGATTTATATATTAAATGAATGCTTCTTTTATTTAATGTAAACCATTTAGAAAGTCTTACATTTAGTTTGATGCCTTCATTGCAAAAAATACTGTTGTAACTATTCTCTAAGAATAGCAAACTGGACTCTGATTAAAGGGTTATAATCACTGAATCTTATAATTGAATAAGATCTTAGAGTTTCCAAAAAATGGATGCGTATCACAATCACTTGGGAAGCCTACAAAACTGTAACTCAGGAGTCTAAACTCAGAAGATTTTGAGTCAGTACATTGTGGTGGGGCAAAGGAATCTTTATTTTGAATAAGCAACTTCAGTTATGCTATATTAGTCTTTGGTGCAATTTAACCTTAGAGATTATCAAGCCAAATTCTTACCCATCGTGCAAATGCCTTATATGATAACTCCAAGATGTAATCATCCTAACCTTACTTAAGGCTTTTTATAAAATATATCATCTCAAGGGCAGGACTGGTGGTGGTGTGGGGAGATAGATTGAAAAGGCAGGAGGCTGTGATGGCAAGTGAAGACTGGAAATGAAGAAACCAGTCAGAAGACTATCACAAGGAGACAGGGATGATAAAGACAAAAACTAAGTAACTGTACTAGAGAAAACAATTAGTTGGTAAAGACATTTCAGAACTGGAATTGAAAGAAATTATGAAGAAGATAGAAGAATCAAGAAGAAAGGCTTTGTAGCTGATAGCAATACTGTTAACTAAGATGAGGGCTTAGGAAGCAAAGGGTCACATTTCATGGGAATGATATCTAGCTCCAGTTTGAGCATGCTGTTTGTACTGGGTCTGACCTAGTGAGCTTTGAAAAGCTATCAGTGTGGAAGTTACAGCTTTAGGAATCATCTTTTTATAGAAGCTGAAAATAAGAGACATGGAAATAAACACAACCAATGAGGAAATTCTTAGATGTGGATGAGAGCAGAGCCTAGCAGTCTGGTGTAACACCAATACTAATGAATGAGAGAGGGAGAGAATATGTCAGAGAAGATGTAACATCAGACAGAAGGAAGGAAGTGTATCAGAAGCCAAAGGAAAGTATTAATTGGATGGCCCACCACAGTCTCCTCTAACAATATCAGTTCTGTTTTACTTTTTAAAATTCTTACCCAAATAGCTTGCACAAAGCTTCAAGCTTCAGGTTCACAGATATCTCTTCTGACATTAGATAATTATATGTTTTTTTCCCTTCACTAGTATTAGATTTATTTCTTTTGAATAAGGGATATTATACTTTCTAACATGAAACAAGGTCTACCAAATCTCAGAATCTTGAAATAATGCTAACCTCATTATGATATAAATTTAAATTCTCAGTGATAACTACCCTTACTATGTACACAGTTGTACAAATATCTGTGTAGTTATTGTTCCTAACTTCCTTATTTTCTTCTAATCACTGGGCATTTTTTCCATCAATGGTTGTATTTTTTATCCCTGTTTCATCCTTACTGTAATGGTAAGTTACTGGAAGTGTATGTAGAGGTTACCTAAGAGTCTAAAGCGCATATAATGTATAGTTTTATTATGAATTTAATCAATTTAGCATATGTTATTATATTTTAAATTAAATAATCTTGATCATGTCAGTGAAATTCCTTCCTAACAAGCATATTGCCATTTCTCTGGTTCTCAGAAAATGCACAGTATTATATTATTTTCTAGAAATGCAGATGAAACATGGATTAGAAAACTGCGGTCCATTTTCTAATAACATCTATTTAGGTATCTATTCACTTTTAATTTTTCTTCCCTTTTATACTTGATTCGTAAGTCTGTGGTTCTCTTGTATAATCCATCTTTTCAAAACTTGAACTGACATATATTGAAAAGACAAGTTTTTCTTTTTTTAAAGAGGGAAAGTGAGCTGCCAAAACTATATTGTCCACTTTCATTCTATTACTTCACTAATGTGTTCCCCATAAGTCTAATAGCAGAATGGATGATCTACTGATTTTCTGGACCCCTAAAAATGATGTGACTCCTCATTCACAGCTGGTACTCATGCTTAGATTGTTAGTTTTGCAGTATTAATATTCCTGTAGTTACTAGTTTCTAGACTGCTGCATTTTTCAAACCCTGTTCCAAGTGTCTCTTCAGGGAGAGATGCCTGATGTTCTGTAAATTGGGCTGAACAAGAGCTCCTTACCAAGCTCCTACATTCCTGTATATTTTGGATAAAGGAAGTTGCTGTTTAGAATCTCTGAGAATAAGATGTATGTGCTCTCAGCTGCTGGTTAGGTCATTTCAGGTATACAATGAGAAGGAAGATATAAGATAGATTATAAAAAACTGATCTATTAAAACTAATATGGGGATACAGAACTGACAAGGGGCTGTTGTGGGTTTCCTCTTTGATATTTGAGCAACAGATCTGTCCAGAGCACAAGGTGTTGACTGGTGACTAACAACATCATGCTTGCTTTCCATCTATTTAACTAATAAGCCATCTTTCTGCCTTTCCTTCTTTCTTTACCTCTCTGGATTTGGATCTCATGGATGTTGAACTGGGATCACAGGGTGATACAGAATCAGAATTCTGTGTCTAGTGTTCATATCCCTGATCCTTTAATATTTTTTCTTTACTTAGCCTGAGCTAAAGTTTTTCATCACTTCCATAATTCAGAGAATTTGAAATGGTGGGTGTCTGTGTGTGCTGTGAGACATTGAGGAAACTCATTTCTCTCTGTAGCACTTACTGTATTTATAATCTATTTTGTGGTAGGGGGAGTTTGATTGACTGTATCATTAAGGTCTGTCTTCTCTACTTGACTAGAAGCACCCTGATGATAGGGAGTTTGTCTCTTTTGCACACAAACGGGTCCTCAGTACTGAGCACAGTGCCTCACTCATATGGTTAATATAGCATTTTACAAATTAATATATTTTGTATACAATTAAATATAGAATTCTAATTCTAGTGCATGGATAAGTCATTCTCAAAAAACTTTTGCGTTGCCTTTAGAAGTCCCAAGTTACAGAACTATTATGTAGTGTTTTAGGCAGAAGTCTAAAATCAATTCACTACACCTGAATTTGAGTCTAGTTTCTGGAACCCAAAGAGGGCAAAACTAGATAAGCAGCTCAAAAACTTACTTCTGCCTAGGGACGTGACATGTTTCATATTAGAAATATTCCTCGTGGGCAGGTGCAGTGGCTCATGCCTGTAATCCCAGCACTTTGGGAGGCCGAGGTGGGTGGATCACAAGGTCAGGAGTTCAAGACAAGCCTGGCCAATATGGTGAAACTCCATCTCTACTAAAAATACAGAAATTAGCCAGGCATGGTGGCAGGCACCTGTAGTCCCAGCTACTCAGGAGGCTGAGGCAGGAGAATCGCTTGAACCCAGGAGATGGAGGTTGCAGTGAGCCAAGATTGCACCACTGCACTCCAGCCTGGGTGACAGAGTGAGACTCCATCTCAAAGAAAAAGAAATATTCCTCATGCTGACTAGTCATTTGGGACATTTTTTATGACTGATTAATCTAATTTTGAGTAATTCATTGGATCTGGGAAGTATGTATAGAGGAAAGAATGAGACAGTAACCAGTAAAGTCATTCTTTAGAAAGTGCCATCCAACTATGAAGGTCAGATAGATGTACTTTTCTTAAGGAGGCTGTTAATTGTAACTTTTCTTTTCTTTTTTTTTTTTTTTTACTTTAGCATAGAAAAAAAAAATAGAAAAGTTCCCAAGTTTTCTTCAAGGAAGGCATATTCTACAGTTGATTGATTTTTACCTTAGCACGAAACAAAACATGGCATGATTGCTTTCTCCAATAAAAAGAGAGTCTTTATCCAAGGTGTTAAGCAAGTTTTATTGGTAACTGCCTCAACAGGAAGCTGCCATATTCCTCTTTATGTCAGTATCAAAAGAAAAAAGAGACTAACATTTATTGAATGCCTACTATATATCATGTGTTATTCCAGAAATTTTATGTAATCATCATAATAAAAAATGAGGTAAATATCATTATCTCTATTTTTCAGAGGGGGCAGTATGAAGCTTAATTAGATATGTTAACTTTCTGGGACTGAGATTAAAACTCTGTGGTTATCTACTAACTTATTTATTTATTTTATCTTTGCTACATCAGGGGAGGCAACTTGGCCAGTTACTCCTCTGAAAGAAGTCCTGAGTCTATTTAGTAGGAAACAGAATCATGATTAATTAACAATGTCTGCATGGGCAAGGTGGGGCTAGTGGTGGCATAAATATTTGATAGCTTTATCTTGATATAAATCCATGCTTCCTCTTGAGAAATCTCATTGGTTCAAACCCTTCAGCAAGATTTTCGTTCTGGGCTATATGTCCTTAGAGTTGCTGCCAGAGACACTGATTGATCAGTTGTTTTTCTTGGGTTCCTAAAGTTTTCTAGCATAGAAAATGTTCTGAATGATCATTCATGGGACATTCCCAACTTTGCTACAGAGTAGACTCACAGCCATCCATTTGTCATTGGACCTAGCCTATTCCCCATCCTTCAAGGTTTATTACACATCTCGTTTTAGATTCCTTAATAGAATTCCTTCACAGAGCTGAAAATTCACAGCTATAGTTTTTATTTTTGTTTTTTTTAATTGGTTATATTTTATAGGGGAATTTGAAATTGTGTGCAAAGATTTATTTTATAATTAAGACATAAAGAATGATTTAATAGTACTGCAGAGTACTAAAGGGAAATGTGATCACAGATGCACATTTGTAGGAAATAGCTTTGAAAAATATGACTTCCGGTCATACTGCACATGGATAAGAGTGGAAAAACACAGCATGTGAATTTAAATAATAAAGCGTGCTGACTGGAATAATTCCCTCCCTTTCTACTTTTCTCCAGTCCCTTTTTACTAGCTAACTTCTCCTTATTCTTCTACTTTCCAGATTCTCCTTGATGAGTATGACTTTTCTGATTCCCTGAAGCTGACTGACAGGTTCCTCTCATGTGGTCAAATGGCTCCCTGGGCCTGTACCCGTCATAGCACTTGCATTCTTACTAATTGTGTATTAGTATTGTCTCTTTGAAATGGTAGATTTAGCAATTTGAGAGGAGGAGACTGTTTCTTTGCTTGTTGTATTTCTAGTGCTAGTCATAGTACCTGGCACACAATAGGCAGTTAAATAAGTTTAATGAATGAATGAATGATTAACAAAGAAGAGGGCAAGTAAGGAATAAGGAGGCATGCCCTTCATTTTCAGCTTGCACACAAATATTTCCTATTAATATGAGCCTTTTACTCTATGTCTCAATTTTTTCATATATAAAATGAAAATAATACAGACTTATCTTATCTATAATTAGGGTTTTAATCTGGAGAAACCCTTGCAGAAGAATTCACAGATGAGAAATTAAAGACCAATGACCTGAAAAAGGTCAGTGAAGCAATTTCTCAGAAATAAATTTATAAAATGCTTAAAGTTGTTTTTGTATTTTATTGAAATAAAACATTAAACTCATCATTTTAAAACCGATAGGGTATCAGTGGAATTTTGCACACATAATAGGAGCTATAATTTGGATTTTACGATTCATTTCTATTTATCCTTGCTAGCTTGCCAGACCCTTGTCAAGATCCCTTTCCTGCAGTTTTAGTCAGACTCATAAAATTGCTTATTTTGCAAATAAGCTGCATACTAAAAAGCACTTTCCTACTGTAGCTGGTCATCCATCCAAATGTTCAATAACTTTCTGATTTTGTGACTCAGAATTTTGCAACCACTCTCCAGGCCCCACTATATTCCTTCTGTGTTCCCATATACCCTTGATTTTTTTTTTCCTTTGAGGCATACCAGGACTATTCTAAGACCTGAAATTACATTACCTTTCCTAAGGAAGGTTGCAAAATTGTATGCATATTCTGCCACAGATTTTACCTCCTTTTTCTCTTTCCAAGCCTATTTGTTCCTAAATTTTAAGTATCGTTAAGTATTCTCCAGTTGAGCTATGGGCATACATTTAACTATTCAAATGCTCATGTTTATTACAGAAAGAAAATATGGGGACAAAGTGCACACATGTAAGAAAAATGTACAAGGGGAAAGATTAATGCCTCATCCCACCCATTAAAGAGATTGAACATTGTTCACACAGCACAGCTACAGCATTTCACTCTTGAGCACCTACACCATTCATACCACTTGGTCCACACTATGGTGATAGAAAGGTAATTGTTTGTTCCTTTAAAATAATGTATTGACCAAATGCTCAGGCTCTGTGACTTTACTCTGCTAGTCATTGTATTGAACACTTTATTCTTATTACCTTCTTTAATACCTACAAGGTCCTCATGCGATAGGGACCATTATTTCATCTATTTTCAGTTAAGGAAACTATTTTCTGTTGGAACTAAAGAGCATTTGAAAGGAACCATAGAAAGAGAAACACAGACATAGAGAAAAGCAGAAGAAATGTAAAGGAAACAGCCAAAATGCAAAAGTCAGATATGCAGAGGAAAAAACTCTACAGCATAGTAATGTATCAAGAGAATTACAATGTCTTTGGGAATTATTGCTGATAGTTCAGATGGGGAATTAGCAAAAGCTTTAGGAGGGAAGGTGATAATACCTATCTGCCTACATCTCAAGGATTAGTGTGAGGACCATATAAAATAAATTGGACAGTGGCATAATAATTATGAAGTGAGAGAAAGTGGAAATGGGGAAGTGTATATACAAAACGGTGTGACTCAACATCTGCTAAAGTGCCTGTTTTATTAGATTATCCTTTATTATTCTGGGGAAAAGCCAGGCTACTTTCTCTCTCTAGCTTGTTTAGGTATGTGTTGCCCCAAGTAAATGGTATTATGTTGTCTTAAATTGTCTGTAAGTACAAGACAGCCCATAATGCTTTGAATTTTTCATCACCTCAATTAATGTGATTTTTTAAGAGGTGTCAAGATAGGAGGAATTTATCTGCTTCATATTACTCATATAATATATCAATGCTTTGTGAAGCATTTTCCAAGTAGGTTAGATAATGCAATAGTTAGCACTGTATCATAATGTTTCTTGTTCTAAGGGGAAAATGTGATAATTTATTTTGGGTAAGCTACATTGACCAAAAACTGAAATCAATGAAATCACATTATTGTCTTCAGTCTGGCCATGTCAGAGTGGTTTTTGACCACAATGCCATTGTTTTGGTCAGACCACAAATTTATCATTGTGAAGAAGAACATGGTGAACATTTTTCATCGAGTGGTTTCTGGCAAGATGAAAACTGGTTTATGTTCTTTTCAGGGACCTGTTTTGATAAGTTCCACTAAGAGAGGGGCTTTCAGCCCTTTTTTTCTTCTTTAGTCAGTGGCGTTTACAAGTTTAAATATACTGACTTTTTGACTCATCTTGTAGGAAGAAAATTATTAAAAGTTAATGAACGTTGAGAAATTGGAAGAGTAAGAAGGCATTTTAGAATTTATCAATGTGTAAGCCCTGGAATCTCATTTTAAAAGAACCAGAACACAACATTGTTGTTTTTAGTGCTAACTGAAACAACTTTATCAAGCTAACTGTTTGAAAAAAAAAAGACAGTGCACAAAATTTTTCATTGCATTTTAGAGATCCTGTTAGAAAGAATCCATTGATTCACAATCACTTCCATATTTCCTGCAGCATCATGTCAAGGAAAAAGCACTAGTTTTACAGAAAGATGAAACAGGGTCTGAGCCTTACTCTCCTGCTTACTGTGTGATCATGAGCATGGATATTTTCAATTTTCAAACTCAATTTTCTGTAAAATGGAAATCATGATTCCAACCTTTTTTAAAGTTTATTTTTATAATTTTAATTTTTATGGGTACCTAGTAGGGATTCCAACCTTTTTGAGCTGTCAGGAGGATTAGGTGATAGAACACAAACTTCCTATTCTGATAGGTGACAGGTACTCAATACATGGGGATTTCTTACCTTTCTTCCATCCTGTATTCACTTCTTTAGTGAATATTCATTGAATATCTACTGTGTTCTAGCAGCCTGGTATTCTCAAATGAGGAAAATATACAAAAGTTACTGTATTTTGGCTTATATCCTAGCTGAAGGATCAACAGTATATGATCAGTGAAAATACATTAACACATAAACAATATAAAATAGTATGAGGTGATATAAGAGGTAGAGAAAAGAAGAGGTAGAACTGGATATGAGGGGGGTTAGTTTGTAGTATTAAACGGGTTGCTCAGGGTAGACATTTGAGCAAGGACTTGAGGAAGGAAAGAATAGTGGTCATGTGGTTATCTGCAGTAAAGCCTTCCAGGCAGATAACTGCTAGGGAAATTACCCTGGGATAAGAGCCTTTCTGACCTTTTAATGGAAGAACAAAAAGACCAATGTATTGGGAGGAAGAACCAGATGAAGTGAAGGGAAAAGTAGGTCAGACACATGACAGAAGACCAGGTCATACAAAACAGGAATTTGTAAGTACTTTGGCTTTTACTTTGAATGAAATGGGAAATCATTGTAGATCCTTATACAATGGAGTAACATGACCTGGCTTATTTTGTAAAAAGATATCTCTGCCTGGAATGTTGAGGAGAGACTGTAAGTAGGGGCAAGGGTAGAATCAAGGAGAAAAGTTAGGAGGTTATTTTCAGAAGAAAGATGATTAATGATGATTGTTAGACACTTTTACTGGAGGTAGTGAGAAGTGGTGGAATTTGGGATATGAAGGATTAGCCAATGGGATTTCTTTACTGACTAAAGGATGTGCAAGACGTCAGTAGATTGACTCCAAAGTTATTGGTCTTACCTAATGAAAGAACGGGTTTATTATCAGATGAAATGTAATAGTAAGGATAAAGCAGCCTGGGAGATTAAGAAGGTAAAGACCTGGATTTCAGTGATGGAAGTGTAGAATTTAAGATATCTATTAGATATTCAAATAAATATGTCAAGTAGGCAATGGAATATTTAAGTCTGGAGATTAGGTGAGAGATCTGGACAAGATACTTTACATCAAAATGTTTATTGTGTAGATGATATTTAATGACATGAATGAAACTGGGTATGATCACCAGTGAAGCAAGTGTAGACAGAAAAGAGGATCAACACTGAGCTCTGGAGCACTTCAGCACAATAGCCTTCATTTTATTTGAAATTCATAAATGTAAAAATATCAGTGGCAATAGATGCTAGATCCTTTTTGGGAAGGTTATTTTTTTATTTTTATTTTGCCAGTGAGGAAAATATCAAAAGTGTATAATGAAGTGATCAGTGAAACTAGAAACCTTTTTTATCAGGGACAATGATAAGATAGAAAAACAAATGGCAGGTGCTGTGTAGTATTGTCACGGCTTACGGCTTTCTGGGATTTCCAAGTCACCATTAAACTTCTGCAATTTATTCATTTAGAATCAGAAGGGCTATGAAGCTAATCTAAACGAAGTTAAAAGAGATGTTTATAACAGTAAGCTTAGTTCAACAAATAAAAATTGTCTACTCTCTGCCATTGATTGTGCTAGACAGTCATTGACTTAAAGGGATCTTACTTTCAAATGTAGAAGACATTTAATAAACACCTGTTAGGCCAGGCACAGTGGCTCACGCCTGTAATCCCAGCACTTTGGGAGGCTGAGGCGGCCTGACTAACAAGGTGAAACCCTGTTTCTACTAAAAATACAAAAAATTAGCTGGCATGGTGGCATGCGCCTGTAGTCACAGCTACTCAGGAGGCTGAGGCAGGAGAATTGCTTGAACCCGGGAGGCGGAGGTTGCAGTGAGCTGAGACAGTGATGTGCCACTGCACTCCAACCTGGGCGACAGAGCAAGATTCCATCTCAATAAATAAATAAATTTAAATAAATAAATAAATAAACACAGGTTAAAACTTTCCCCAAATTTTCTTCTTCATTCATTCTTAAATCAATCCATCTATCTCTCTATTCATTTTTCATCACTATATTTTAAAAACTTTATTAACAGTAGAGTGATAATAGTATTCTTGAACAGTTAATGCATACGAAACTTTTTGTATGCTATAAAATAGCTCTAATAATCTTATGAACTAGTTACTACTGTTATCTCAATTTTATGGAAGAGAAAGCTGACACTCACAGATAAAAATTTCCGTGCTTTAAGTCGCACAATGAGTCACTGGTGGAGTGTGAATTTGAACATGGGCATGTTTGACTCCAAAACCTTTTGATTTAAACCACTACACTCTTAGAAGAAAATAAAGATGAATTGTTGCAGATTGGTATTTTATGCAGCACAAATTCTCAGCTGTACTTTGTTACACTACATTTGCCATAAATTCAACTTCCTTAGATTGTACTGGTGAGTGTGTAATGTAGTGAACTTATCTAGAGAAACCTAAAAAGTGCTTAGAGACCTGGGAATTCTATTGTTAAACAAAAGTCACTTTCTTTTACAGCTGATCACCATTATGATGTTTGGTATTTAGGAAAGGATAGTTCCCATAATAGAGGCTTTGATGAAAAAGCGACCGTGAAATGGTGGTGTACTTGCTCTGAATGTTATATTGGAAAAAATATTTTGAGACACACATACATTCCTTAGATATGACATGTATCATTCCTTATGGTCTTTTTTTCTGCCTGAAAATTCATTTCTGCTTTACCTGGTTAGCATCTTATTTTCACATACATGAATTCCCTTTCCACCCAGAAGCTACCTCTGAACTTCCAAGACCTGGTTAATTTCCTCTCATCAACGTTTACTCCCATCCTAGCACTTTCTTTCCTTCCTTCATTCATTTCTTCATTTCCTCTCCTCTCTTTTATTCCTTCATTATACAAACATTAAATTGGTTCCTACACTATGGCAGGGATACTTAATGTATTGAAATTGCCTCTTTATTTGCATATGTCTCTGCCTAGGCTCTGCGATACTTGGGAGTAGGAAGTGGGGCTCGATCACCATTGTGTGCCCAATACTGGATCTAGTGCTATGTTTGGCACTAGTTGGAACTCAAATATGTGCTAATGAATAATTTCATCCTTTGTGCCACCACTGCATTTGGTGTGTGGTTTAACTATTGTATGCATTATATGTATAATTTAATGCAATTATTTAAGTAAGGTTAGGTACCTTCCATTTATATTTGTATCATCAGAACTTAGCACAGTGTTAAAAAAAGAGTAGGAATGTGATAAAATCTTTTGCTGAATGAATTAATGAATGATAGATAGCCAGCTGTATAGCATATGCTCCTGTTCAGATTACTATCTAACCTAGAAACCAAGAAGCTAGATAGCAGAATTCTGAAAGCTATTCCAGTTTCAATATTAACAAGAAATATTTATTAAAATTGTAATAATAAACTAAACTTATTTCTCATCAAAACTCATCAGAAATTTCCTCTAAAGAATCATAAACAAATAATATTTAATAGATGCCAAGAATTTTCCCTCCTTTCCTCATCTAAGTTTAATTATAATAGTCAAATAACACATTTTAAGCACATTTGGAATAAAAAATATCAGAGCAGCCTGGAGATAATTAACATGTGACCAGCTTGAAGCCGATTTTTTTTCCTTCTATAATTTCCTGAAAATATGGGGCTCTAAAATGTGATTGTGGAGAGAGACAGGTAGTATAGCATAAAAACCCCAGAATCATAGCACCTGGGATTTCTTTTCCACCAGTTTTGTGGTCTTGTCCATGTATAGAATGTTCCTGAGTTTTGTTTCATTCAACTGTAGAATAATAATCTCAACCTTAAAGGATTAAAAAAGGTAATGCTTAAGATAGTTATAATAATTGGAAATGAAAAGAAATCTTCCCCATGTTTTTATTTAATGTGCTTATTTATTAAAAGGCAAAAAAAAAAAAAGTCCCAAGAAAAGTAGGACAAGCTGAGGAACACAAATTAAATGCACATTTGTAAAAAGAGAGCAATTCCAATGCGGGAGTTATAAAACCTGCCAGTGGTTACACCTCTTGGAGCTCATCCTCTGCTCCCTCCTTGATTCTTACCAACATCTCTTTGTTTAACTCTGCGGCTTTTTTCCTCTTAAGTGAAGAGACAAATGTTCCAACCTCCAAAGCAATTAGGTAACTCAGGGAACCAAAGGAACTTCCTAGAGAACGTCCCTATTGACATTAAGCTGTTGATACATATTGCCTTGGATGGAATAAAATGGAAGCGTTTTACAGCTTTGGACTTACGTAAGATACATTTCTTTTATGATTGAAAAGCAGGAGATAATGCTAACTTCCTGTCATAGGACTTCCCACCTGGTTACTTCTTGAAAGACAGGCTATTTTTGCTCTTTCCTTTTACTTAGTTTATTGGAAGGTTGGCAGCATCTGGTAAGCCCCACCTGTAAGTGTTTCTGTGGCTTTGGACTGGGGACCTAAAGATCTTTAGAGCTCTTACTACTTATATCTCCTCCTAAATTCTTTGATACAAAACAAATAAAAAATTCTTTCTAGGACAGTTTTTGCAGATATGTGGCAGGGAATGGTGTCCCAGAAAAAGTGTCTTGGCAAATGCTTTTCAGATAATTCTCTGAACGTCTAGCTCAAATTGTTGCCTTTTATTACTTTTTCTCCTTTCTCTCTCAAACCAGACTACATTTTTCTGAGAACTAATTACCTTGTTCTATTGATTTTAATTCCTAATCAAATCTTTGTTGCTTTTGATTCACATTACATTATCCTTACCCAAACCACTGGTAGATTCACATGGATTTTTGCAAAATTTTCTTACCCTTATCCTCTCTTTATAATTCCCAACTTAGTCTTATATTTTAAAATCTTATCTTTTAGTGTTAAATATTTAAATAGCGCAAATAGTATGGAATCATTTAAATTATAAAATTTTTAAATATGCAGAGAAAAGTATATGGTATGGAACAAATAAAATCTATATTAAAAAATGTTAATATTTTGTCATATGTTTCAAATTACACACACACACACACACACACACACACACACATGCTAAAGCTATAACTAAAACCTATTTTGTAACTCCCATCTAACTCCCTTTCTTCTCTTACTAGATGATACTGCTATTCTGAAATCTGTATCCTTCCTTTTCATGTTTTTATACAATATCTACTCTTCACATTGTGACTATGTAAATAATATTTATAAAGCAGCCCATCATGATTGCATTTTCTTTCTTTTCTTTTCTTTTCTTTTTGTTTTTGAGATGGAGTCTTGCTCTGTCACCCGAGCTGGAGTGCAGTGGCATGATCTCCACTCACTGCAACCTCTGCCTCCTAAGTTTCCCAGGTTCAAGCGATTCTCCTGCCTCAGACTCCTGAGTAGCTGGGATTACAGGCATGCACCACCGTGGCTGGCTAATTTTTTGTATGTTTAGTAGAGACAAGGTTTTGCCATGTTGGCCAAGCTGGTCTCAAACTCCTGACCTCAGGTAATCCACCCAATGTAGCCTCCCAAAGTGTTGAGATTACAGGCATGAGCCACTGCACCTGGCACATTTTCTTTCATATTCAATTTTTGAATATTCCTGGAGATAATCACCTTGCTTAAAACTATTCTCTCCACTAGAATGTAAACATTATAAGAACAGATAATTTTACTGGTTTTGTTCATAGAAATATTTTCAGCATTTAGAACATTGCCTGAGATGGGGTTCACAACACTCTACTCCAAAATATGGCACTTTGGCATATTGAATTTTTTAAGCTGAAGGAATTTGAGAAACAGCAAGTGCAGAAAGACTTTATGTCCTTCTCCCACCCTTCACCCCTGAAGCAGGTCATAAGACCCTCATGTGAGAGGTGCCCTTCTTAGACCTGGAGGGAAGGAGCATCCCTATCTCAGAGGAGTCTGAAGGAACAGGCCTTGCTAAGTTTACCTGAGTTTACTTATGCCCTTTGTCCTATCTTCTTTCTCTACAACTCTTCATTTTACATCAAACCTAGCATACGAACAGCCAGGTTTAACTGCTTCTTCAGGTCCTTAGGAAGGTTCCAGTGTTACATAAAACTTATATTAAATAAATGTGTATGCTTTTCTTTTGTTAATCTATTTTTAGTTACAGGGGCCCCAGCCAATGAACCTAAGATGGATAGAGGGAAAATATATATTTCCTCCCCTGCAATTGGAACAGTGAAAGTGCTAGATACACATTTATTGAATGAATGACTAGATGACTGAATGAATAAATCTTTTTAAATTTCCCTTAAGATAAACTTTAAAATATTTACCATAGTTTACCAGGCTCCCCAAAAGGTGGCCTTTGCTTTCTTGTCTCATTTCTCCCTTATACTCTCAGTTCCATTTCAGTTCCTGTGTTCTGTGTCCACAACACTCTTCTCTTTCATTTTAGTTTGGCCAGCTCCCATCATTACTCCAATTTTTGCATGCCCACAATTCATTGAAGAGGCAATTTTAAATATCACCTAAGTTAGCTTTTACTGTTATGGGCTCTCACACCATTCTGGCCTTCTCTGTTGTCAATATTCAGTATCTTATTATTACTTTCAATATTTGGAAAAATTATCTCCATGAGGGCAGGGATCCTCTTTATCCTATTTACTGCTAGCATAGGTACCTGTTAATTATAAGACAAAGGAATAACTGCTTGCTGTCCTCAATGAAAATAAGTTGAATTGAGGACATGGGCTATGTTCTGACCTCATCCTCCATTTATTTCTCATTTCTTTCATGTCTTCTTGGTTTTCATACCAGATTCTTTATTTGTCTACCTAATTCTGGTGTTCCTAAGAATTTATGACTGCTATTGAGAATATGGCTGGCTTAAACATCATTTTAATGATTTTTATTGATGAAGATACATTCTCATAATATCATTCAATCCTCTGCATACATGTTTACACACACACACACACACACATATTCACATGTATTTATGTGTAAAAAAAGGAACCTGTAATCCTACCACCTGTAAACACCTTAACGTTAGGTAGCCTTCATTTAGGATATTTCTATGAAAAAAATATATACACATACAAAAAGTATATGGCTAAATATATAGGTAGACATTAATGTCAGTTGATTGCTACTTTAAGTTGTTTTCTGAACAATTGTTTAATTCCAGGTGGGCTGAGATCTCTTAGCCATGCTGATAATCTTATAGGATTGTGTTGACATAAAATGAAATAACATTTCCAAGATGCTGCAAACAGTTCCTGTCACATAGAAAGCATTATATATGTACTGGTTGTTATTATCACAATGAAGGCACTGACCCAAAGGTAACTTGAGCTGTCACATTATAGGCTGAAGTAAGGTAACTATAAGCCAAGTGCATATAAGAAAGGCTTGCAATATTTCCTAAAACTGGCCCCAAGCCTTTCTGTGGCAGGCTTTGGAATAGCTGAAGCCATCAGGATGTTCTTCTAGCTAGCAATTCCGAGTGATGTGTTACTTTGAATCAGAGTCACTGAGGTGGGCTTGCACACAGCTATAGGCTCTTTGGAAAAGTGCTGTAGATTCCAGTTAAAGGTTAAACTTCACATAATATCAATGCAAAGGCATTTCTAGGTTTGGCATTTTTCCCCTACCCAGACCACCCACACACATACACACACTCACATGTATGCACCTAGCCAGAGACAAATCATTTTATTCTTCTGTCTGAAAACCTCCACTGGCCCCACACTGTCTATATAGGATAAATTCCAAACTCGTTAAAGGCTTTACTCACAGGCTGGCCTTAATACCTACTTTAATCTTCATTTGTAACACTCTCCATCATTTTACTGGAGGTTGACACGTATTTACCGAAAGCTTACTCTATGTCAGGCATTGTATTAGGTGCTGAGATTACAAATATGTTTAAGGGACAGCTATGTCCATGAGAGACTAACATTTCAGTAGGAGTGGCAGATATGTATACAGATCATTAAAATTTAGTTTGCAAAGTGATTTAAAGGGGAAAGCAGAATTTGTTTTAGAAATACAGAAGGGGAAACTTAGCAGTCTAAGTATATCAAAGAAAGCTTCATAGAGAAAGTAACACCTGAACAGAGTAAGGGAGGGTAAGTGGGAGTTACTCAAGTAAAGAAAGAGGGGTAAGCACATTCCAGGTGGAGAAGACAATATGTACACAGACAGGGAGGAATAAAATAGCATTCTGTGTGGATGAGAATTATCAGCAGTCTTTGACAACAGAATGTAAAATGAAAGATGGAAAGCAGTGGTGATTGAAACTAGAAAGATCATAGGAGGGTGGGAAAGAGGACATTTTGTATGTCATATTGAAAGCTTGGAATATATCATACAGAGTTATAAAACCAGTGGTAAGTTTTGAGTGATGGGATTCAGGACACACTACCCTGAAGTGTGGCACCTTGGCATTTGAGAAAACAGCAGAAGCAGGAAGGTAACTCTCACCTTCCCCCCAGCATTCTCCCCTGAAGCAGGTCATAAAACTCTCATTTGACAGGTTCTCTCTCTGTACCCAGAGGAAGTGAACATCTGTATATCTCTAAAAATGCAAGGTCACTGACAGCAATCTGAACAAACACGAATAGCTGAGTTCTCCCCAGCTAACTATCATTAGATCATGCTTTTTTAATCCAATCATACTCCTCAATGACTTACCACTTCTCTATCAAACCTAGCATAAAAATACACAAGTTTTCCTGTTTCTTTGTGTTTTCCTTTCCCTATGTAAAACTTATCTTTAATAAATGTACATGCTTTTCTCTTGTTAGTTTGTGTTTTGTTCCAAGGATTTAATCCACAAACCTAGGCTGGGAAGAAACGATAATTACTTTCTCCTACATGAGCAAGGAAATAAAAAAGACAGATCTGTATTTTGGATACATTATTCAGTAGCAAGATCATCTTCTCCCATCAGCACCTTCTTCAAGTAATGTGATGACACCATTTCTTGTGTGCTTGGAAAAAGTTTCAGCTTGCTGTCTCCTTTGTTGTTTTAAAGAAGTGTTAGACAAAGCATTGTTTGCAAAATCTAGGGAGATAATGGAGTACACTTTGATTTGTTATTCTGTGTGAGCTATGATCTAAGTTATTGGCTCTTTCCAACTTTAAAAATTTTTGTTGTTAAAAGCACCTTGCTTAGGAAATTTTAAATATTTATGTCTGCAACAATTGTCTCAAAATAATAAACTGTGCCATTCCTGTCATTAAAAAAAGACCTGAATTCTTCCTGAAAAAATAGCAAGATCAAAAGTGGATTAAGAGGCATGTGGCATAAATCTAGGGGCAAGGGAATAAATTGGAAAGTTACTGCAATATTTAAATATGAGATGATGAGAACACCTCTTCTGACACTGTTCTCCTACCTGCTTACCCATATACAGACATTCACATGTGCTGTTACCCCAGACTGAAATTTCTTCTTAGTTATTATTTGCTAAATATTTATATTTATAATTTAGGTCGCAGTTAATTTTTACTTCTTCAGAGAGAAATTATATGACCACAAATTTAAATTACGACCTCTCGGATATTTCCATGTTTTTATTCCTGTTCTTTGACTTCATATATAATTTGTCAGTGAGGCACACAAATAGCCCATTAGCAAACAAAGAGCTGACTAGCCATGTGCATGTGTTGTTTTATGTCTCTTTCCCCACAAGATGGTAAGATGTATGAGGACCAGGATATAGGCAACAAGTGACACAGGAAGCATTGCTGTTTTTCCACCTCAATTTCTCAAGTACCTAATATTATAATGGAAATAGTAATAATAAAATATTTATCTGTTGAAATAATGAAAGTGTGTGTTCATTCTCAATATCATAGTCTTACAGAACATGAGACAAAAAGTTACATCTGTATATTCATTCACAAGGTGCTTAGCCATGCAAGTTAGTTGACGATGCAAGACAGTTTTTTATTTTCACAATAATCCAGTTTAAAATTAGAAAAACATGTAAATAAATAGTATAAAGAAAAGATAGGAATACTGCTCCTCACCCTTCTTCAAGAAAACCAATCATAGTATTTTTTTCTTTTTGGCATTTTTACTGTGTGTGTGCACACAGGTACACTATAGATCATCTATTCAACAAAATTTATTTAAGGCTTTGTGTTTAGAACTGGGGAAAACAGGATGAATAAGAGCATCAGAAAGCTCACAGTCTAATGGCAAAAATAAGATTCAAATGCGATCAAAAGGCACTTGGATGTTTTATTAAATCAGATTTTTTTTTTAAGAAAAGGAAAAGTCTCCTGTATACATACCAATCACCAAAGAAAGGTGAGCTGTCTTGAAAGACCCAGGATCATGGAATTTTTAATAACCAGACTTTTTAAATAAGTGAATACAACTACTATGAGTAAAATCATTCATCCTGGGAGGGATGGAGTCTAATACTGATGACTTTATGATCTTCTAGCCTCTAGAAGTTTTGTGCTAAATCCATCTGAATTCTAAAACCACTAGACAACCTGACATACCACATGGAGGGCTCTCTGCCTGCAAGGCTTTTTTCCTCTTTTTCTTGCATACTCAGTTCATGGGTGCCCTCCTCATGCTCCTATGTCTATAAATCTATGTCCTCTTATTATATTGTAATCATATTTTTACTTTTTTGCCTCCTTTATTAATCTGTGAACTTCATTAAGATAGAGGTAGTACTTTTATTTCTATATTTTTATTTTAGTGGTAGGAAAATAAGCACATGAGTGCATTTAATAAATGTTTATTGAAGAAAAATTGGAAGACAGTATGAAAGGAATCATATTCTGTTTATATATTGTAAAAATTAGAAAAGACTATGAAATATAGACTGGAGAACATGATGACATATTCTTTAACATCTGTTGGCACAAAGAAGCAAAAGCTAAAACAAAACAAAAAAGAAAAAAAATAAACAAGTAAAATCAAGTCTTTCCCTGTGCCAACAATACTTAAAAGCATATTAGTTGGAGACTCCTGATTTCAATTAATAAAAACAATTAACAGAAGAAAAGAACTTTAGATGACATTCTGCCCAATTCGGTGATATCTTTTTGTTCTTGGATATGTCATGACATATTTTTCTCACTGGCTAAAACTTCTTTCTCTTCACCTAAAATGACACACATAACTGGGACCCTATTTAGGAACTTCTGGGAATGTCCTGGGCATGAGGGAAGAATGCCCAGTAGACAAGCTAGGAATACTGATCTAATTTTGGAGTGAAGACAGACATATAGGCAGATCTCTCCCAGAGGTCTGAAGATTTGAATAAGTAGCTCAGACTTTGGGAAGCTTGTGTTCCCAAGGAAATTATTTGTTCCATAAATAAGACTACCCAAGATGAGTAACGCTTGGGGATGTGACCCCCCTCTCCCACGTCTGCACCATTTTTCAGTTAATTTATATGTGGTGAGATTGTGATAGATTACCTGTGAGATCATCAGTGGGCCAAGACCCCAGTTGGCATGCCTTGCATGTGTACTCATCAAAGACATACTCATTCTCCTTACAAGGTGTACAGGTCCAACAACAGCTGACTTCTCCCTTTCGGATCACCTAAGGCAAATATTTGAAATTTAGATTTTTTTTTGCATAGATAAAAATCCAACAATTCTATATTCCAATGTGCTGTTTTGCAAAGCAGAAAGGCCTTTCACATACATTATTTTAAATGTTTTCAGATAAGCAGTACAATTTTTAATATTAATTTATAATTAAAGAAAATAAGGCTGAGTTTAAACAAGTCCAGCGTCATAAAGTTAGCTTGTGGCAGGATAAAGAATTAAATTAAATGAAAGTCTTTGGATAATTAGCCTTGGAAACCTGTATTTAATTAAGTACCTGTGCTTGTGCTCATATGTAGATACACATAACTGAATTCACCCCAGGATCTGCTCTGCTTCTCCTTTCCTTAAGTTAAGAACTTCTGCTCCCTGGATTTACCTTAGCTTCCTTCCCTCCATTAGTTGAATAATTGTGAGCAAAAAACATTGTATATTTCCTAATCTTCTAAAATCTGTCCATATTGATAAAAATAATTAGGAATTTGTATTGGGTAGAACATAGCAAAAGATTAAGATTTTCCTGGAGATGATCTCTTGATCTCTTTCTACGAAAAATCTGATTCAACAATTCAACCCATTCTTTCCTATTTTGGTAGCCTTGTTTTGTTTGAAGGTAGATGAGGTCACTGAGACTATTATATACCTCTTAATCTATCTGACTTTTTTAAGGTAATGGAAAATAATTGAAATAATTTAACAGTTGAAAGAGTCACAGATGTTATTCTTTCGAAATAGATGTACCTTTTCTTCCCCACCATTGGTGCATGAAAAGCCTCTCCGGAATAGACAGCATTCATTAAATGTTCTTTTAAATAATTAAAACTGTGATTAATATTCAGCAATGACCAGAGACAGTAATGATTACACTTTATATTTCTAGTCTTAGATGCTAACTCTAGTAATGACCTTTGATAATAACATCAGCTAGATACCTATAGCCAAATATAATTGTAAGCTGACAACTGTTTGTTACATTTTTGTAGTATTTCTTGTGTTGACTCTTAAAACTACAAAAATACAAGCAGGGAATAATGGCAAAAGGGCCTGAAATAGCTTTTCCCTAAAGTAACTAAATAAGTGAGGCAAAATTGCTCCTTAGACCTGATTAAAGTATTCTTCATAATAATATCGACTATTTCCAGGCTCTTTAGTACTTGTCACATACTGTTATCCCATTAAAACATTAGAACAGCTCTGTATGAAGTAGCTGGTTTATTTTTTTCATTTTCTTAGGGGAGAAAACTAAGGTAAAGTTAGCTCACATAGCATGTTAGGGTAAATAAGGGATCAAACAATGTATGTTGGACTTCAAATGCTCATGCTTATAAACATTGAGTCTTACTGGAAGATAGACTGCGTGATATTTTGAAAGACGCAGGGGAAAGAGCACTGGCTTGGGAATCAAGTAGCACCAGGGTTCTAGTCTTATTTATAGCCACTAAGTAGTTGTGCAGCCTTGAGTAGTCCTCCAGCTAATGCTCAGTTTCTTTTAACTGGACCTGTTGCTTTTAAGATAATAATATCTACCTTATAGGATTTCCTTAGGATTAAATAAAACAACACAGTGATTTGTAAAGTGTAGAACACTCTAATAATGTTACCTATTTCATTAATAATATGCACATAAATGTCCATATACAGAAATGAAGAATTTCATTTTCAAGGTATACCACACTTGGCAAAACTATCCTTGAACAATTATTAGATTTTGTAATGCAAACAGGCATATTGCAAAGCTGAAGGAGTGTCTTTCAGAACTTAGCAGGGATTAGCAAATAAAAGCAGTTGCATTTCCCCCCACTAGAAATACCTTGATTTCTTATGGTTCAGTTTTCATTGGTTTGTGAATTTCAGGTGTTTATTAAAATAAATTCATGCCCTTTTCCAAGAAGAATTCCAACATTACAATCTCTTTTTGAATCAATAGTGATAACTTAATATGTTTTCCTCTGATAATTTAGAAATTGTTTTATGTTTTCATATTTTATGTTCTGTTTCACATCTATTTTGAACACGAGGTAGTGACAATTCTCTTTCATGGCAATTTAACATTCTGGAAGTAGTGGTGCTTTCTTTTTTATTTATTTTATTTTTTGAGACAGAGTCTTGCATTGTTGCTTAGGCTGGGAGTGCAGTGGCGCCATCTTGGCTCACGGCAGCCTTGACCTCCCCAGCCCAAGAGAGCCTCCCACCTCAGCTTCCTGAATAACTGGGACTACAGATGTGTGCCACCATGCCCAATTATTTTTGTTCCTTATTTTTTTTGAAGAGATGGGGTCTCACTAAATTGCCTAGGCTGATCTTGAACTCCTGAGCTCAAGGGATTCTCCCACCTCGGCCTCCCAAAATGTTGAAATTATACTCATGAGCCACTGCACCCACCCAGCGGTGCTTTCTTTATGAATAACAATATATAACATATCTGAAACTTTACTAGACTAAATCCTTTCATGGAAACTAAGTTTACAAACTCTGGAAAATGCCATGAGATGTTGATATCATGAATGAAATCGCTGTTAAACCATATTAAGAAAATCTTCTAAATTGTACATTTAATAGAGTAAAAATGACATCTGGTTAGGAAAATGGAGTTTGGGATTTTTAAAAAAGGACTAAGCAAATATTATTACAAAATGACCAGTATTAAAAATATGATAATAGGCTGGGTGCAGTGGCTCATGCCTGTAATCCCAGCACTTTGGAAGGCTGAGGTGGGCGGATCACGAGGTCAGCAGATCGAGACCATCCTGGCCAACATGGTGAAACCCCGCCTCTACTAAAAATACAAAAACATTAGCCAGGTGTGGTGGCAGGTGCCTGTAATCCCAGCTACTCTGGAGGCCGAGACAGGAGAATCACCTGAACCCGGGAGGCGGAGGTTGCAGTGAGCCGAGATCGCGCCACTGCACTCCAGCCTGGAGACAGAGCAAGACTCCGTCTCAAAAAAAAAAACAAAAAATTCTGCATGTGGAAGTTACATTTTCCCTTTCTTCCTTCCCTCCCTCCCTCCTTCGCTCCCTCCCTCCTTCTCTCTCTCTCTCTCTCTCTCTTTCTCTCTTTTTCTCTTTCTTTCTTTTTGACGTAGTCTCACTCTGTCGCCCAGGCTGGAGTGCAGTGGCGCCATCTCGGCTCACTGCAAGCTCCTCCTCCCGGGTTCACGCCATTCTCCAGCCTCAGCCTCCCAAGTAGCTGGGACTACAGGCGCCTGCCAACTTGCCTGGCTAATTTTTTTGTATTTTTAGTAGAGACGGGGTTTTACCATGTTAGCCAGATGGTCTCGATCTCCTGACCTTGTGATCCGCCCGCCTAGGCCTCTCAAAGTGCTGGGATTACAGGCGTGAGCCACCCCGCCCGGCCCTAGAAGTTACGTTTTCAAAATGTATTGCTGTGAAGGGTCAAAAATAAACAAAAATTATGTGGTAATTTACACTGTGTAATCTTTCTACAGGAAGCACTGGAAATTATGAATATGGATATTCTTGGTGTAATAATTCATGTAAATAATTGTACATGAATTTAAACCCCTCACAATGAAGAGTTTAACTGCAAGATAATTGGCCAAGATGAAAACCTCTTTTGTCTTGATATAACAAGTGTTAGCAAACTTTTTTTTGTACAAAGGACCAAATTGTAAATATTTAGGCTTTGGGCCATACAGTCTCTATTGCAACTCAGCAACTCAGCTATCCAACTCTGCCACTGTAGCAGGAAAGTAGCCATGGAGACTATATAAACAAATGAGCGTGGCTGTATTTTAATAAAACTTTATTTACAAAGACAGGTAGTAGGTCAGATTTAGTCTGTGGGCCATAGTTTACCAGCTGTTGCTGTATACCATAATAAGACATACAGAAAATTTCAGATATCTAATATTTTGAGCCATTTAGCAGACATTAATTAATTTATTTTTATCTTCATTTACCTTATCTTTCTTCTTTCTGGTCTTATGCTTTCCAAATCTTCAGACCTACCCTTTGAGGGCCTTACTATCAGTATTAAAATATTTCAGTTTCAGTCTTAATCACAGATGAAAAAACACATGAAATGCCTTCTAAACAGAGTGAAGGTAAGGTTGATTGAAAACACCAAGTCCAATGGCTCTAGGAATACACTGCCTGAAATGTGGTGTGGTAGTGCTTCAAGAACTGTTTGATTAGCAAATAAATTATTTTGATATCATTTTTCCTTACGGCATTGCATACCAATAGCTGCCCTAACTCCCTTTTTATTATATCTTTGTCTTCTCTTCCTTCATTGAATTTTCATTTCCTGTAAGTGTGGCCACATCTTCTTTAGCCTAAGAGTAATTTTTTAATGTCCTCAAATTACCAAATTATCCATTACATGCTTTTTTATCACATACTTCTTTTTCTTATACTCTTTATTTTTTTCAATTGACACATAATAATTGTACATATTTATGGGTTACATAGTGATGTTTTGATACACATATAACGATCAGATCAGGGTAATTAGCATAGCCATCATCTCAAATATTTATTATTTCTTCATGTTAGGAATGTTCAGTATCCTCCTTCTAGCTATTTGAAACTATAGATTACTTTTAACTGTATTCATCCTACAGTGCTAAAGAACACTAGAATTTATTCCTCCTATCTAGCTGTGATTTTGCTTCCTTTAACAAAGCTCTTCCTATCCCTCTCTTCCTCCTTCCCTTCCTACCCTCTAGTATGCTCTGTTCTAATTTTTACTTCTGTGAGATCAACATTTTTTATCTTGCACATATAAGTGAGAACACGTGATGTTTAATTTTCTGTCCTTGGCTTATTTCACTTCACATTCTGTTCTCCAGTTCTGTCTACGTTGCTGTGAATGACAGGATTTCATTCTTTGTTATGGTTTAATAGTATTCTATTATGTAGATAAACTACATTTTCCTTATCCATTCATCTTGATACTCAATTGCCATTACATTCTATTCAATCTGGCAGGCCCAGATGAAGGGTGAACCCTCAATTTTCATGCCTTTCCCTCATTGTTCCTCTTCTTTGACCTTTCTCTTCCACTGACTACCATCTTATGTGACAGTGTGCTCTCTAGTTGTCTATCTCTCTGTACCTGTTGCTGCTCAGCCTCTACCTTTTCTTCCTTTTTTGTACTTTGAAAGCAGAAATTCTCCAAGGTATATTCTTGGTCCGTATTTATTTTTTATTTACACTTTTAGGTTCTGCAATTTTATTTATTTTAATAGCTTCAACTTTAACTCTATTCAATCAATTCCTAAATCTGTATTCTTAGCTTTATTTTTCATTGCTCTAGACTAAGCTTTAATCACTGGATGGCTATTTTAAAACCAACATGCCCACAAACTAACCAATCGCTTTTTCTCTAAAGCCATCCCCATTTTTCTATTCCTGGAAATGCAACCTTTTAGTTACTAACACTTAGAATTTCAGTTGATTGTGTTGACTTCTTTATCTTCCACAACTCGGCATCAAATTGGTTGTCAGCCTGATTGAATCTACAAACGTTTTCTCCAAATGTGTCTTCTGGCCCCTTTTCATTCTGTTTCTTCCCTAATTCAAGGCCTTGTTACCACTATCACAGCATCCTTCTAACTTGTCTCTTCTTTCTTGTTTCATAAATTTGTTTATTCATCTTCCTTACCACAGCTCAACTTATGCCAGCATCTTGGTCAAAATTATTCTCTGACTCCAGTTTAATAAAAATTAAGTTCAATGTATTTAGTATGATGTTCAAAACTCTCCACAAATCTGGGTTCAACTTATTTCAACTTTCTCTTTTATAATAACCATTTAGAGCATTGCACTCTAGATTATTCACTTGTTTCTGGACAGTCTTCAATTGACCACTTTTGTCCCTTTTCTTTTACTGTTCTTTCTATATGAATGTTCTCTCCCTGAAATCATATTCATTTTCTATGGTCCATTGTTTGACATTTTATTCAGTAGAAATATCTCTATCCCTTTTGTACAAACTTATATAGTCCTCTTCTTTTCTTTCTTAACAAAATCATCACATTTTACATGATATTGCTTATCTGTGTCCATGATATTTTCTCACATAGACTGTAAGTCTTCTGACAATAAAGCGTGTCTCATTTATTTTTGCCTAATCAATATTAACTATTATATTAATAAACATTTGATGAATATTTATTAAATAAATTAGAATTAGTGTCTTTTCTAACTGTAAACTTTATTCCCAGGAAGTCATGTCTTTAAAGGCTTGTATGAGCAGAAACGGTGTGGGCAAACATGACTCATCAACTGGTTCAATCAAACCAACTAATAAGACTATTGTGAGTTGCACATGGGATTTCACAAGGAATGAGTGAGAATTTCTGACATTAGAAGCTTACAATATAAAAAGTAAAATAAGTGTCTAAAATTTTTAAAAATAGCCAATGATAGTTAACACTGTTGAATTTACAACAAAAATGAAAGAAACATAGATTCCATTTTACCTTGATCTGGCCTTTCTCACATGGTTCACTGCACACAGATCTGATGATGTTGCTTTTCTTGGACCATACTTCATCATCATCCATTTTTAATTCTCCATTGTCCCAACTTCCAACGTTGATATAATCAAAGTAATCTTTTCCCATTTCCTTGAAATTCATTATTTCATACCTTAGGAATAAGAATATGATAATTATGCAGCTTAAGATGTAAATACTCAGCTTTGAAAAGGCAATATATTTTATTCCCAAAAATGTGTCTATTGTCATATAAGTAGCACTGGAATTTTCCATGACAGTACACTTAGAATAACAAAAAAAATCTGTCTATTTTACTTTCTCTGCAGAGACCATTTTTGTACTTTCAAGCTTACACCTGAAATAGAAAGTAATCCCATGTGAGAAGGTGACTTGACCCCAGCAGGATGAAAGACAGTTTCGAAATAACTTCAAGAAGTTTAAACGAGTACTGTTAGGCTTCTACAAAAGATAGAAAGGTTTTTGTCTGTATTCAAGTAAAATGATAAAACTTACATTTACTAACCAAGTGAGAAATTTGGTAAATCTTTCATCTTATTTTCAGCTTTAGGGGATATAGGGATAATTTACAGAGGGCCTCATTTTACCTTTCTTACTTTGCCCATTATCAATGGCTAAATTCATTGTACAAAGATAGTTTTGAGAGTGATGTTTAAAAAAGTTTGAAAATAGCTTCTAAAGCACCTCATGCAATGTAAACATCCTGGAAGAGAGTAGTTCCTTGTGAGTTCTCAGCCTTTGCTAGCTATTGTTTTTTGAGTATGTGGATAGAAATGTAAAAAGAGAAAATCAATGTGCTAACTTACAAGCCTTTTCTTATAAGTAAGCTCATTTCTAGAGAAGAATCTCTGAAATAATTTTCCAATTTGAGGATATTGGATAAGCAATATCACCATTATCTCAGTTTCTACAGGTATGTCTCAGGTACACACTGTGTTCACATAATATTTTATACTGTTTACCCCCTCAGGACTTATAGTACTGACAGATAGACATATAAATGCCTCCTCCAACTTCCAATGCTCAGCATGTGTAGCTATCTGGAAACTGATATGAATGGAAAATGTTCTCGCTTTTGGATTCAAGTGATGAGATTACTATACACAAACCAATGTTCTGTACAGAAATACTGAGAACAAAACTGGCATCAATCTATTGAAACTTATGTTATAAAATGATGCCATTCTGTTTTCACTCCCAGTCACATTTTTTACTGTAGTTTTTTTTTTTCTTCAGAATATTACCTCATTCTTGTTTTGTTGGTTGTTCAGTAACTTGATAATTTTCCTGCAGTCAGTAACAATTTGGTGTAACTGTCTAAATTCTACTTCTAAATCAAAAATACCAATTTATAGGATACTTTCCTTCCCTCTCGGTCACAATTATCCTTTGGCCTCTGTGCATGCAATGAGTTGAGATATTAGAGCACAGAGCACTGAGGTAAAAAGAACTCACGTATTATGTCATTGGCTACTTCAAATATATGAGCTTTAAGTATTCAAAGGGTGACTTTCTATGAGCAAATAACCTTTGAAGATTCTAGGATGGGAGAAAGAGAAATGTCAGTGTCAGACTTGTTTCTTTGCTGCTGATAATTTGAAGAAATATGTGGGTGTCATTCCTTACTCAAAAATGAGCTGTCAACTCTGTTTCTAGCAATTCTTAAGTCTGAAAAGTTTAGTTCACACTGTTAATTTTACAGATAATGGACTGAAGCTCAGTGAGGTTAATTAGTACAGATTACAGAGTATGTAAGCATCAGAGCTAGGACCTAAACCAAGCCTTTAGATTTCAAGTCTGCAGTTCCTTCTTCCTTATTAGACTGCTCCAAATCCTGGGTACTGCTCCAAATCCTGGGTAGAGCTAAGAGATCATATTTTCCTTGCTTAAATATTGTAAAAATTTGAACCAATTTATATTGTAAGGCTTTTATCTCTATATCCATGCCTCTTTGTTTTATGTATGACAAATAGTAAAAAGTAAAGAGATCCAGTTTTTGAAAAATAAACATGAAAACTCTATAGATTGGAAAATCACATTTGACAGGGAACTTGTTTTAAGGAAAGTTAAACCTTAATTTCAGTTGAACTCAATAAACTTGTTATAATTACATTAGAGACAATGAATCCTCTCTTTGGAATTAGGCTTTAGATTTCTAGTCATTGTTTCTTAATACAAGGCAAACACAAAGATATTATCACTCACAGCTTAAGCTGTGAAAATAGAACATTGCTTTAAAAATCTTGTTTTAGTACACTAAAAAAGAGAAATAGATAATATGTCTCCACAAAAGAATATTCTCCCGTTGACTTGTGAATTGGTATGAGCCCTTTTAATTTTCAGAGATAGAATATAGCTTTTATTCTCCAACAAAAGGAAAATAAAGTGAGTGTTTAAAACATACTCTTACGTAACTTTTAGTTAAGAATCAAAAGACATAATGGCTTCTTGCAATCTTTAGCCATGATTCAATCTAGAAGACTGTATTTTGTTTTCCAATAAAATAACAGAAGGTCAGGCACGGTGGCTCACACCTGTAATCCCAGCACTTTGGGAGGCTGAGGCGGGCAGATCATGAGGTCAGGAGATCGAGACCATCCTGGCTAACATGGTGAAACCCCGTCTCTACTAAAAATAAAAAAAATTAGCCGGGCGTGGTGGCAGGCGCCTGTAGTCCCAGCTACTTGGGAGGCTGAGGCAGGAGAATGGCGTGAACCCGGGAGACGGAGCTTGCAGTGAGCCTAGATCGCGCCACTGCACTCCAGCCTGGGTGACAGAGTGAGACTGTCTCAAAACAAAACAAAACAAGAAAACAGTAATTCAGTGTGCTCTTTGTTTTTGATGGCTTTAGTAAAGATCCAACTTGCACATATTCAGTGTCAGAAGCAAAGATTAGTGTGTCATTCCAATCACAAGACACTTTAATATAAATCTCCAGCCCAGTTTCTTTTTTCTCCTTCCCATCTCCTTCCTCCCATTTATCTCCTCCTCCTTCTCTTCTTCCTCAATCCTCCTCCTCCTTCCTCCTCCTCCTCTTCCTCCTTCTTCCTCCTGCTCCTTCTCCCTCTCCCCCACCCCTTCCCCCTCTCCCTCCCCTTCCCTCACCCTCCCCTGGCCTTTCTTTTTCATTGCACCTCTTGGTTTCTATATTTCTCTGCTTCTGAAATGTTTTTCTCAGCACAGTGTGTTTGTATATGTAATTTATCTTCTTTAATACCTGTCCCTTCCTTCCCCTTACTCTCTAACTCCTCATGTCTGCTCTTCCTTAACCAGCCAAAATTTAAACCTAGAATATTCTAAATAATTTTAAAAATAAATTTTATATATTGCTCAAAATCAAAATAAACAAAATATGTTACAATAACAACAACAAAAAGTTCTATTAAAGCATTTAAGGTAAACTAGAGAAAGTCAGGTTTCAATTGTACAGAAATAAGGAACTTTCTAAATGGCTAGAACTCTGAAAATTAGAGAAGATTGTCTTCAGATGATAATGAGGGATTTATTCAAGGGGCTGAAACAGGGTTGTTGTTAGAGAAAGTGAAAAATCATTTGGAGAAGACTGAAGAGTATTACTTTTATGTGGGTCCTAAGGCTCTTTCAATCTATAATTCCGATGCTAAGGTGCTTTTGTTAAAAATTCTTAAATGTGTGCTAAATTATCTGTGGGTTGGCATAATAAGCCCTGGTCCATACAACAAAGCAATTACAATGATCTGTGCCTTTGGGGTTGGACAATCACAGAGTAATGAGAGATCACAGAGTTAGTTAGACCAAAAATGTGAATGGCACCTAATAATGCAACACTTTTATACTATATGTTAATACATTGAACCATTTCAAATGTAATATAAGAAAAAAAAAGAAGGTAAATTTTTACTTGATGATTGTGCCTGAGATTTGCGTATGTCCTTGCCCTGTTATTTAATTGACTATGCAACCTTGGACATGTCTCTTTCTTTCTATGACACAGATTTTTTACCAGGACAATCTGGACATTGAAGCAGAACATCTGTTTCTATGAGCAGAGACATATATCAAGAATCCGCATGCACACAAAGTCGTTATCTGCCATTTCTACTATTCTAGCCTCGTATTTTCTATTTACCGCATCTGTTTGTGCTCCTCTGTTCTTTCTTTCCTGCCCTATTTTGGGCCTTTTCTTTTCTTTCTTTCTCTCTTTCTCTCATTCTCTTTCTCTCTCTTTTGTTCTTTCTTATCTCTCTATTGGCTTTTAAATGCTCCTCTTTGTATTAAAATTTTTGTGGTTGCTCAAGAGATTACAATATGCATTTTTATTCTACTTAATATTGAGTCACTTAATGTAAAATATAAGAAATTTGGCTTTGTGCAATTTCAAATTCTTTTTCATTTTTGCCGTTGTTTTCAAATACTTCGCACCCATGTACTTACAAACCCCACAATATAATGTTTTAGTTTTTTGCTTTAATTAGTTAGTTGTACTCAGTCTAACATTGGGTGTCCACGTTTCCTCTGCCTATTATGGTCAATTCCGGGTGGCAGCCACGCATCTTAAACTTTAATTCTCAATGGAGTCCCTAAACCCGAGATTAGCAAACTTTTGCTGTGAGGGGATGTATGGTAAATATTTTAGGCTTTGAGATGGTTTCTATTCACCTCTGCCATTGTGGTGTACAAGCAGCTATAGCACCTAAATAAATCAATGTGACTGGGTTCCAAAAAACCTTTCTTATAAAAACAAGCAGCAGACTCCATGTGGTCTGCAGATCATAGTTTGATGACTGATGACTGGTGATCTAGTCTGTTAATGGTAAAATAGTAAAGGTCCATATTTCTTATCGGTAATTGTGAAATCTTTAGAGCTCTGAAATTTTTTTTTCTTTTTTTTGTAACTCACTTGGCAGCAAAACATGACATTACCTGAACTTTATCTAGGGATGAAATGTGACTGGAACTAAATGAGGCTATTTATAGTCTTGTTTATCACAATGTGAATATTCGTATGTTTTGCTGCAGAAATATTAATGTGTTTATTAGGGAGTGCTATTACATATTATGTTAGGGGCATTATATGATTGTTTAGGCTTTTGTAAATTCAAAAATTCTGGGTTCTGTAACACCTGGCACCATGGTTTTCATTAGAGCATTGGGTACTGATAGTAGACTAATCAGATGAGAGATTTAAAAACAATGATTAAAACGTGCTAACAGTCTGCAAGTGTGTGCCAGAGTGAGTTGCCATCTCTCTCAGCTTCCTCTGTTTAGGATCCTCCACTTTTAACTCTGGAATTGTAGAGGATTCCTTAATCACCCCAGGATCCTTTGCTTTCTCACTCAGCTGGGAATGCCTTTGATCTGGCAGAATGCTTTTGCTCCACAAAAATAACAACCTAATGTCTACAAATAAGTTTTCTCAGAATATAGTGTCTTTAAAATTTTGATCCTGGTTGATTAATTGTCAGGCTGTTGTATAATGTTAGAAGTTGAAGCCCAGGAGACAGAGTTAAAATTTTGACTCTATCATTTACTAGACTGTGTTTTTGGGCAAGTCATTGAACTTTTGTAAGCTTTGGTTTTCTTTAGCTGGAAAAAAGAATGGTAACATTACTTACCTCATAGGATTAAAAAGTAGAACACTTGGCTTAGTCTTTGGCTCAGAACACACACTCAATATATGCTAGTTATAATTTTTTTTGTAAAAGTAACTGGATTATTTGGAGAAACAAAAGGTGGTAAATCACCTTTTCCTGAGTCTGCTTCATGCCCTTAGAGGCCAACTCTGATAATTTATTCATGGGTTAATGTTATACTCAAACCTAGTAGTGCAAGGATAGACTCAAAGCAATCCTGAATTCCCAGAAGTTGTTTGCAAGATTTTAAGTATGTTGTTCTTGAAAGAATAGCTATACATTTTGTCTGAGTCTTGAAGGGATGATTGTTCCAAAAAAAGATTAAGAAACCCTTACAACATATTTGGATGATTATGAATAAGGTAGCGATGTTCTGCCAGATCCATCAAGGTTTCCCATTGGAATAGAGCTGGACCTTCTGAGGCATCTCCTCCCTCCCTGGTTTGCGGAATGGTTTGGGTACCTGATATAAAAACTCTTGAATTGGTGGAGCTACAGTCATCAGATTCTATCAGCAAGTCCTAAGCTGATGTCAGAACTCTAGAGATGCACATGGGAATAATAAATTCCTGTGCAGGTATCTGAGCCCAGGCCTTGACCTGAGCCTAAAGACTGAGCTCATTGGTCAGCCTGCCCTTAAAAGATTTACAACTGTGAAGTTTTGTTTGGCCCTGAGAAAATGCTTGTATTTTTTTCCTTCATGGATATACGTAAGAGCCAAAAAGTAGAAAACAACATGTGAAAATTCAGCTTATTTTGGCAAACAGCCTAGTTATAGCAATATTCTTCAAGTCTCTGGAATAGAAGAAAAAAAACCTGGGTTTTCACTTGGCTGTATGACCTGAAACTAGCTATCACTTATAAGTCTGGCATGTGAAATAGTAACAGCTGCATTTGGGATAAGCTCCAGCTCATCTTAGAATGTAGAAGTGTGATAAACCAAGGTTGCTGACAGAATGTGTGGGCACATGTGGTGTGAATTGTTGGGGATTCATGAAACCTTTTGGCAGGGTCAACTACAAACAGAGTGTATAGACAGTTTTCCAAGCACAGTTGTTAAGTATGAGCTATTGCTAGAAGGGCACTGAGAGACCAAAGGACCCTATTGTTTTGATACAAGGCTGAGTGAAGACTCAGCCCTGCTACAACTCAAAATATCATTTCAATGGCATTATTCCTTATAGATTAAAAGTGTCTATAAGTCTTAAATGACTATGTAGAGTCATTTAAGAATTTGGAGTAGAAGACAAATGTGAATTATGGTAAGTTCTGGGTACTTAGTGATTTCTCTGGGGACTGACCTATACTTATGAGTTTATGTTCCTCAAGTTCCTCTACAAATAATAAAAGGTAAAATTTCAGAGAAAAAAAACAATTTAGTCCTTAACAAGGAAGAAAGTGATCCAGCTGGAGAATAATAAAATAAAATGTGACTTATAATTCACTTGCTGTACGTACAGCAAACAACAGAACAGAACCTCAGCCCTATTTCTGGATTACCAGAAATCAAATTGTTCCTATTTCAGAATAGTTCTATTATGCAAGAAAATATCTGAATATGGGGAATAACATGACAAGCATGTACAGAGAAACCACAGAGATGGTTTTTATTTATCTATGATCATGTGAGTTTCCTGCCTCTTAGTTTAGGTCTCTGAAATGTGATGATTCGCAAAGCACATTTTGGACATCAGCACAAATGCTTTTTTCCTGGCCACAGGAAATGGGGCTTCTTCTCTCTATCTTTGCTCATTTGGGATGTCAGGGAAGGGGAAACATTACCAGGAAACCTAGATTAACCACAAAGGAGAGAAAGAGACATTTCAGGATCAAGAGTTGGCTGTTATTCAGTCTCTACTCTGCAGAGGAGAATTGTAACACAATACCTTCCTGGAGAGTCTCCATTCTCATCGAATAGGATCGTATCTCCAGAAACCCCAGTAAAATTGGTTTTCATCAGGGACTCCAAAAGTTTCCGTCCATCAATTGGCTTCATGGCATCACAGAGTCCTGCATAGCCTGGGCAGAGGGACATCTGCATGTTGTGGAGCCCATAGGCCATCGAATAGATGGCGTTGATCACAAATCCCATTTTGGAATCCTGAACATGATGTGTTTTCAGAGTCAGAGAACCTGTTGGGAAACAAATTAAGCATAGCTTTGAGGTACAAATCTACTCTCGCGACATTCCTGGGTACTGAATAATGGGTTACCTGTAATTAGAGAATGCACTGGAGCAATTTTATCAGAGTTAGAACCATGGGTAACACTGAGAAACAGTACCAACATAATGGGCCTGATAGTTATCTTCTGTATTCAGGTTTTTCTTCCAAAACTCTGAAAAAAGTTCTGAATCACCAACAGTAGCAAGATCCACTTTCTTCCAAAACCAAACTCTAAGTATGAATGCAGGATAGAACTGTATTTCTGTACCATAAAATGTATCTTAAGGACAGATTCATTTCATTAGTATGAGCTGTGATAATATACCTTTTTGGTTCAGAAATCCTCAACAAACCTCCAGTTTCTAAACTATTATGTTCTCTTACCTGGCGATACTAGATATTCCACCATCTGATATAAATTTACCTATTTAGATTTATCACCCAGTACGTCTAATCTCAAAGCATATGCTCTCTATAAACTGGCCTATTTGAAAGTTATAAAATATAACATTTAAACTCCTTTAATTCATTAATTAATTCAGTAAACATTTATTAGAGTCAGAATATACACAAAGCTGTGTAATTTATCATCTAGAGAAAAAAAGATGATTTGAACATGGAGCTTGTACATAAGAAACTTGTCCAATAACAGAGATAAATTATGTAAATACAGTGAAAGGTAGAATATAATAAATCTGTAAAACATGTGGAGGTAAAATCTATAGAGGCCCAAAGGAGTGAGAAATATCCCTTCCAATAGAAGGTTCTTGGGAACTAAGGAACTAAAGGAACTAAAATTTGTTATTGATGATTGATTTGACAAGTATGGACTTAGTGCCTGTTATTTCTAACTGCTCAGAACTTGCTCCGAGTGAGGGACATCATGCTGAACAAGAAAGAAGTGATTCTTGCTCTCATTTACTTAGAGTCTAAGGGCAGATGAGCATCTATCTAAGCAGGCAATTATAATGTGTTTTGATAAGTACTGAGACAGGACTGAATAGTGAATCAGACCTGGAAGCTCTCTGAAGCTGAGCATTAAGCTAAGTATCAATCAGATGAAGGGAGAGAAAGAGTGGTCCAAGCATTTTTGAAGAATAACAGATAAGATAGAGCATGCTATGTTTGGGAGACTTTAAGGAAATCAATGACCAGCACAGAGAGTAGGAGGTAGGAGAAAAGAGAGAGCTGAAATGGTAGAGGAAGGCAGAGATGCTTAAGCCATGTTAAGATTGCTGCCTTTTGGCTAGGAGCGGTGGCTCACGCCTGTAATCCCAACACTTTAGGAGGCTGAGGCGAGTGGATCACCTGAGGTCAAGAGTTTAAGAACAGCCTGGCCAACAAGGTGAAACCCTGTCTCTACTAAAAACGCAAAATTAGCTGGGTGTGGTGGCAGGTGCCTCTAATCCCAGCTACTCAGGAGGCTGAGGCAGGAGAATCCCTTTAACCTGGGAGGTTGCAGTGAGCCAAGATGGCGCCATTGCACTCCAGCCTGGGCAACAAGAGGGAAAGTCAGTCAGCCTCAAAACAAACAAAACAAACAACCAAAAAAGATTACTGCATTTTATGATAAGAGCTTTGGGATCCATTGAAGTGTTGAGGCTAGGGAGGGACATGATCAGATTTCTGTTTTAGAAAAGACCAATCTGGCTACATTGTGGAGAAAGGTTTAAAGGGCTGTAGGAGTAGGACTGTCAGGGAAACTCATTAAGAGGGAATGCAGTGATCCCAATGACAGAAGAAAATGTTCCTGCCTGTGGTAGAGGCCATGATTATGGCAAAGGTGTCTAGGAAGTGAAATCTATTTCCAGGCCTGGTGATTATAGAATGAATAGGGTTAAGACATATAGGAAGAGTGTGGTTAAAAAAAAAATAGGTGAAAGAAAGAGCTGAGGTAAAGCCAGAGCTTATCATTTTGGAAGAAATGTTTTCTTTAAGAAAGGTGTTTTTTTTTTTTTTTTTCAACAACAACAAACAACAACAACTCTCCAAAGGTAGTATGTTGTTTTATGGCTTCCCAAATTGTAGAGGCTTATCATCTCCATCTTGATTGCTGGCCCAAATACTGACACCTTTAATTTCCCCAGTAGAGAGTCTCCCTAGAGAAACTGGCGTAGTGCATTGTGACATAATATAAGATGGGAAATCCTGCTTCCATCTCAGGACTAGACAGTGGTCCCAGGCTACACTCTAGGCAAATCTTACAATTTCCTTCCCCACACAGACTGGATTCATATTTCCACATTTTACCTCACACTGCTGGAAATTCCATTATTCTAGTTGCCAAGTCAAACACTTTTGAATCACTTTTGACTCCTCTTTTTCCTTCATACCTTCACAACTCTTATTTGATTTATCTTCAAAATTTATCTGGAATTAGACTACTTAGCACTAATCTACTTCTACCAGACTCAGTATATATCCTCTCCTGTCTAGATTACAGCAATAGTCTTCTAACTGGTTGCCTGCTTTCTCCTTTTGCCCATCTTCCCTGCACTCCAGCCTGTTTTTAGCACAATAGCCTTAACTAGAAGTCAGATCATGACAATCCTCTGATCAAACTTCCCAGTGACTTTTTTCTCATTACTAAAAGTAAAAGCCAAAGTCCTTGCAATGGCCTTCAAAGACATACAGGAGCGTGCCTCATGGTATTTCACCCCTTATTCCTTTGACTCAATCTCTTAATACTCTTCTCGTAAATTATTCCGCCCTAGACACACTGACTTTCTCCCACATCTTCAAACATGCTAGGCATGCCCCTGCCTCTGAGCCCTTGTAATTGCTGTGTCTTCTGCCTAGAATGTTCTGCCCACAAGATTTGTGCAGGACAATTCTCCAGATGGCCTTGGACTGACCAGGTTTTTCTCCCTTTCTTGCTTGTAGTTCTCAACAGTAACTGTATGATGGTCTGATAATGTAACTTACTGAGATAGAGACTGGCTAGAAGAGCCTAGGCTCTGTTTCAGTCTCACCAGAACAGCATGTCCTTCAATGATTTAGCACAGTAAGTCATGTGACCCCAGGATATAACACCCAGGGCAGGCTGCTTTCCAGGGTCCCTTATCTGCTATGCAAGTGGGTTACATGCAATTGAGACTCCATCCACCCTAGGCAGATTTCTGAGCCTTGGGGGAGCAGCTCACAATGAGTCCTAGGCTTCTGATGTTTTTTGCTGCCTATCTGTAAGTAATAAACCCATTTCCCATAACTTGCATATGAGTATGTTCTGTCACACAAGTTGGTAACCAGTGCATGGTGAGCTTGCTTCACAAGTTGCAGGGCATGTTTCCTTCCCAATTTATGACTTTACTCAGGCATAATCCTCTCTGTGAGACCTTCTCTGGATATCCTGTCTAAATTGCATCTCTACCTCCCCCCACCAACACTCCCTATCTTCTTTTGTGACATTATTTTCACTTTACCAACACCTAACATATTTTATAAATTTATCTTATTATCTTGCTTATTGGCTGTCTCAAACACCACTCACTAAAATATAAGCTCTATGAAAACAGGGATTTTTTTTTTTTTTTTTTTTTTGAGACAGAGTCTCACTCTGTGGTCCAGGCTGGAGTGCAGTGGCGCGATATTGGCTCACTGCAAGCTCCATCTCCTGGGTTCACACTGTTCTCCTGTCTCAGCCTCCCGAGTAGCTGGGACTACAGGAACCTGCCACCATGCCCGGGTACATTTTTTTGTATTTTTAGTAGAGACGGGGTTTCACCATGTTAGCCAGGATGGTCTCGATCTCCTGACCTCGTGATTGGCCCCCACTTGGCCTCCCAAAGTGCTGGGATTACAGGCGTGAGCCACCGTGCCGAGCCCGGATATTTTCTTTTTTGTTTTCTACTCAGTGCCTAGAACAATTTCTGGCACACAGTTGGCCACCAATAAATATTTGGTGAATGAATTAAATTAACAAACTGTCTTCTCTAGACTACCCTTCTATTTTACTTTTTCTCCCTAATCCTACACTAATACTAGTCCTAACCATTTTCTTCCTCTTACTTTTATTTAGGCTCAGGGGTATATGTGCAGGTTTGTTACATGGGTAAATTGTGTTGCTGAGGATTGGTGTATAAATGATCCTGTCACCAAGATAGTGACCATAGTTCCTGATAGGTAGCCTTCCAAACCATAGCTCCCTACCACCCTTCCTCTTCAAGCAATCTCCAGTGTCTGTTATTTCCATATTTATGTCCATGTGTATTCAATGTTTAGCGCCCACTTATAAATGAGAACATGTAGTTTTTGGTTTTCTATTCCTGCATTAGTTCACTCAGGATAATGGTTTTGGGCTTGATCTATGTTGCAGCAAAGGACATGATTTTGTTTGGCTGTTTAGTATTTCATGGTGTATATGTACCATGGTGCATGGTACCATGCATGCATATGTACCATGTCTTTAACCAGTCCACCACTGATGGGCATCTTGGTTGATTACATGTATTTGCTATTGTGAACAGCACTGTGATGAACATATAAAGGGATGTGTCTTTTTCGTAGAATGAGTGCTTTTCTCTTGGGTATACACTCAGTAGTGGGATTCATGTCTGTTCATATTATTTGCCCATTTTAAATGGGGTTGTTTTTTGCCTGCTGATTTGGTTAAGTTCTTTACACATTCTGGATATTAGACATTTGTTGGATACATAGTTTAGAAATATTTTCCCCAATTCTGTAGGTTGTCTGTTTACTCTGCTGATAGTTTCCCTTGCTGTGCAGAAGCCCTTTGCTTAATTAGGTTCTATGCGTCAATTTTTGTTTTTGTTGCAATTGCTTTGGGGAATTTAGTCATAAATTCTTTGCTAAGGCTAATGTTCAGAATGGTATTTCTTAGGATTTCTTCTAGGGTTTTTATAGTTTTAGCTCTTACATTTAAGTCTTTAATCCATTTTGAGTTAATTTTTGCATATAGTGAATGGTAGGAGTCCAATTTCAATCTTCTGCATACAGCTAGCCAGTGATCCCAGCACCATTTATTGGATAGGAAGTCCTTTCCCCACTGTTTGTTATTACTGACTTTGTTGAAGATCAGTTGAGTGTAAATGTGTGGCTTTGTTTCTGGGTTCTATATTCTGTTTCACTGGCCTATGTGTTTGTTTTTCTACCAGTACCATGCTGTTTGGGTTGCTGTAGCCTGGTAGTATAGTTTGAAGTTGGGTAGTGTGATGCCTCTGGCTTTGTTCTTTTTGCTTGATTTGAGATCTTTTTGATTCTGTATAAATTTTAGGATGCACATTTCTAATTCTGTGAAAAATGAAATTGGTAGTTTGGTAGAAATAGCAATGTATCTGTAAATTACTTTGAGTGATATGGCCATTTTAACAATATTGATTCTTCCTGACCATGGGCATAGAATGTTCTTCCAATTGTTTGTGTCATCTCTGATTTCTTTCAGCAGTGTTCTGTAATTCTTACAGAGATTTTTCACTTCCTTGGTAAACTGTATTCCTAGTTATTCCTTATTATTATTTTTGGCTATTGTAAATGAGATTGTGTTCTTGATTTTGCTCTGAGCTTGGACATTATTGGTTTATAAAAATGCTACTGATATTTGTACATTGATTTTGTATCCTGAAACTTTACCGAAGTTGTTTATCAGTTCTAGAAGCCTTCTGGTGCAATCTATGGGGTTTTCTTGGTATAGATTCATATCGTCTGCAAAAAGAAGTAGCTTGACTTCCTCTCTTCCTATTTGGGTGCCCTTTATTTCTGTCTCTTGCCTGATTGCTCTGGCTAGGACTTCCAGCACTACATTGAATACAAATGAAGATAGTGGATATTCTTGTCTTGTTCCAATTCTCAGAAGGAATGCTTCCAGCTTTTGCCTGTTCAGTATGATGTTGGCTGTGGATTTGTCATAGATGGCTCTTATTATTTTGATGTATGTTCCTTTGTTGCCTAACTTGTTCAGAGTTTTTAACATGAAGGGATATTGAATTTTATGGAAGGCTTTTTCTGCATCTATTGAGATGATCACTTGGTTTTTGTTACTTCTGTTGATGTGGTAAATCACATTTATTGATTTGCGTATGTTAAACCAACCATGAATCCCAGGAATAAGGCCTACTTGATGGTGGTTAATTAACATTTTCATGTGCTTCTGAATTCTGTTTGCTAGTATTTTTTGAGGATTTTTGCATCTATGTTCATCAGGGATATGAGCCTGTTGTTTTCTTTTATTGTTGTGTCTCTGCCAGGCTTTGATATCAGGATGATGCTGGCTTTGTAGAATGAGTTAGGGAGGAGTACCTTCTCCTTGTATTTTTGGAATAATTTTAATAGGACTGATACTAGCTCTTCTTTGAACATCTGGTAGAATTTGGCTTTGATTCTATTGGGCCCAGGACATTTTTTGGCTGGTAGGCTTTTTATTTCTGATTCAATTTCACAATTTGTTATTTATCTGTTCAGAATTTTTATTTCTTCCTGGTTCAATTTTGAGAGGCTGGGTGTTTTCAGAAATTTACCTATTTCTCCTAGGTTTTCTTGTTTGTGTGCACAGTGATGCTGACAATAGTCTCTGAGGATATTTTGTATGTCCGTGGGGTCAGTTGTAATGTCCCTTTGTCATTTCTAATTGTGTTTATTTGGATCTTCTCTTTCTTTCTTTATTAACCTAGCTAGCAGCCTATCAATATTGTTTAATCTTTCAAAAAACCAACTTTTGTTTTCATTGATGTTTTGTATGGATTTTCACATCTCAATTTCAATCATTTCAGTTCTGATTTTGATTATTTCTTATCTTCTGCTAGCTTTGATGTTGTTTGGCTTTTGTTTTTCTAGTTCTTCTTCCTTTCCTGGGTGTGATGTTAGGTTGTTAATTTGAGATGATTCCAACTTTTTGATGTAGGCATTTAGTGCTATAAACTTTCCTCCTAATACTGCTTTAGCTATGTCCCACAGATTTTGGTATGTTATGCCTTTGTTTTCATTAGTTTCAAAGAATTTATTTATTTATTTATTTATTATTTTTTTTTATTATACTTTAAGTTTTAGGGTACATGTGCACATTGTGCAGGTTAGTTACATATGTATACATGTGCCATGCTGGTGCACTGCACCCACTAACTCGTCATCTAGCATTAGGTATATCTCCCGATGCTATCCCTCCCCCCTCCCCCCATCCCACCACAGTCCCCAGAGTGTGATATTCCCCTTCCTGTGTCCATGTGATCTCTTTGTTCAATTCCCACCTATGAGTGAGAATATGTGGTGTTTGGTTTTTTGTTCCTGCGATAGTTTACTGAGAATGATGATTTCCAATTTCATCCATGTCCCTACAAAGGACATGAACCCATCATTTTTTATGGCTGCATAGTATTCCATGGTGTATATGTGCCACATTTTCTTAATCCAGTCTATCATTGTTGGACATTTGGGTTGGTTCCAAGTCTTTGCTATTGTGAATAATGCCGCAATAAACATACATGTGCATGTGTCTTTATAGCAGCATGATTTATAGCCCTTTGGGTATATACCCAGTAATGGGATGGCTGGGTCAAATGGTATTTCTAGTTCTAGATCCCTGAGGAGTAGCCACACTGACTTCCACAATGGTTGAACTAGTTTACACTCCCACCAACAGTGTAAAAGTGTTCCTATTTCTCCACATCCTCTCCAGCACCTGTTGTTTCCTGACTTTTTAATGATTGCCATTCTAACTGGTGTGAGATGGTATCTCATTGTGGTTTTGATTTGCATTTCTCTGATGGCCAGTGATGGTGAGCATTTCTTCATGTGTTTTTTGGCTGCATAAATGTCTTCTTTTGAGAAGTGTCTGTTCATGTCCTTCGCCCACTTTTAAAAATATGGAACGCTTCACAAATTTGCGTGTCATCCTTGCGCAGGGGCCATGCTAATCTTCTCTGTATCGTTCCAATTTTAGTATATGTGCTGCCAAAGCAAGCACTCAAAGAATTTTTTGATTTCTGCTTTAATTTCATTTTTTTATCCCAAAGTCATTCAGGAGCACATTGTTTAATTTCCATGTAACTGTACGGTTTTGATAGATTTTCTTAGTAATGATTTTTAATTTGTATTGTGCTGTGGTCTGAGGGTGTGTTGGGTATGATGTCAATTTCTTTGAATTTGCTTGGACTTGCTTTATTCCTGAGCACGTGCTCATCTTAGAATTATGTGCCATGTGCAGACGAGAAGAATGTATATTCTGTTGTTTTTGGATGGATTGTTCTGTAGATGTGTAATTAGCTCCAATTGGTCAAGTCTTGAGTTTAAGTCCAGAATATCTTCATTAGTTTTATGCCCTGATGATACGTCTGACATTGTCAGTCAGGTGTTGAAGTTCCCCAAGATTATTGTGTAGCTTCCTAAATCTCTTCATAGATCTCTAGAAACCTGTTTTATGAATCTGGGTGCTCCAATGTTGGATACATATACATTTAGGATAGTTGAGTCTTCTTGTTTGTATTGTAACTTTTACCATTATACAATGCTCTTCTTTGTCTTTTAAAAAATTATCGTTGGTTTATAAGAAAAGCTACCCCTGCAGTTTTTTGTTTTCCATTTGCCTGATAGATCTTTCTCCATGTCTTTAGTTTTAGACTGTGGGTGCTGTTACTTGTGAGATAGGTCTCCTGAAGTTAGCAGACAGTTGGGTCTTGCTTCTTTATCCAACTTGCCATTTTATGCCTTTTAAGTGGGGACATTAGCCCATTTACACTCAGGATATAAATTGATATGTGAGAATTTGATCCTGTTATTGTGCTATTAGCTGCTAACCATTTTTAAAGGATCCAAGAACACTTCCTTCATGAAGACCACCATGATTGCAGATATTAAAATTAAGTTGCACTTTGAACTCTGGATCATTTTCTCTAGACCTCTCTCTGACACTCTATATACCTTATTATAGAATTGTGGGAATACTTCAGGGGAGCAGAGTTTGAAACATCCATTTCCCAGGTCAGTCTTATAACCTACCTTTCCCTATTTAACATGCTAAGTAAAGAAGAGGTTACTCACACGATCCAGAAGATTGGGTATTCAGTGACAATCTCTGAGGCCACACTTATGTGCTTTACCTTGACCCTAAGCCATGTTCTGCAACTCTGCCTCCCAACCACTATCAGAGTTCAGCAGTACATGTTTTTCTGGCTGTTATAAAAGGTGGGTTTGAGTCTCATTCTTTTATTTTTCTCTCTTTTGAACAGGGTATGGAGATCTATGTTTGAATCCTGTTATGTGTCTTCCTGGCTCTGTGGCTTGGACAGGTTACTTCAATTACTTAACATTCAGTTTAATCATCTGCTAAATGATGACCCTTCTTTTACAAGGATAATATGAGAATTAAATGTTATAGAAAAGTCATAGGTACATCACACAGAGCCTGGCACAAGATGCTTCCTAAGTAGTAACTGTGTCAAAATGTAAATCATAATAACCTTTAGTCACTATATATTTCTGGTCAAGACTTTAGAGTATAAAAGTAAGTGAAAGGTCTCACCTGATGGGATGCCCATTAGACTCTCAGGCAGTCACTATTTAGCTTTTTTTTCTGATTTTGATTTATGCCTGGTCCACAATAGACAGCAACTGGTGCAAAGGCAATTTTGAGCCTTTTTAATTTGTAAATTAAATCACAGTGTGTAGGGCATGCTTACTACACTGTTTATTGCATTGAATGGGGACAATATTGACAATTTGCATTTGCTTGGCACTTTTCAACATAATTTTGCATGTATCTGATATGTGCCTAAGCACTACAAGATAGACCTGCACAGCAGAAACTATCCACACTGTATATATAAAGAAACTAAGCTGTAGACAAGTGAAGTCGATTTTCCGTGGTCACTCAGGCGGTAAAAATCAAAAGTAGACAGAAACTTGTAATGTCATGACTAGTTTTCTTGTTACACTATATTGCTATTCATTGGAAAGAAGAAATCCCTGTATCACCTTTTTAAAAATTATTCTAAATAAGAGATAAACTTAGGGAAAACAAATGGCAACGATATTGAATTTTTCCTACACAGTTCCATGTGTCTGTTCTCTTAGATAATGCCTGCTAGCACTGCCCAAGACCTGGGCCCAGGTATGTACAGAAGGGGCCGATCAAAACAAGATCTTAAAAGCTGACGGATGTACATGTTTGTTCACAGTTCATTAAATCTTTTGTTATTATTGAGCATCTGGGAACAACTGGCCTATTTGAGCAGCATTAGGATCTTGTAGAAGTGCCTGGTGACTATTTTTCCTAATCACCCAGAGACCCAAGTGATTGCAAACTCCTCCCCCTCAAAATGATAATAATAAAAATAATAATAATTGGAAAACCAACAAAATACCAGAAGAGAACAAATAGAAGTTTAACTTTTGTAATTTCTTATTAAGTCATTTTGATGCTTATGTATTTTACAGAAAGACATCATGATTTGTTTCAGCATTCATGAGGCATCAGGACTTCAAGTCATAGAAATCCAAGTTTAAATTCTGCCTGTGCCATTTCACCTACTTTCCAGCCTTCTTCCTCCACCAGAGAAGGAAGCACATGGCTGACCTTTCACCTTCTTCAGGTAGCTGAGACAGCTCCATTGAAATGTGTGCTAACAAAATCAGGACTTTACAAAATGCTTTAATCTCATAAAACCCAATCAGCTAGGGGCTATTTCCACTATAGATTAAGAAACTAAAAAAAAAAAAAAAAAAATCAAAGTTACTGTGAATAGCTGGCAAGCTTAGCTTTTTTTTTAAATTGGGGCCAGATGTGGTTGGTATCCACATTTATAAGAGACATTTGTTAATACGTTAGTCTCAATATTATAGATGTGGTGAATATATTGGTAAATTGGGGAATTTTCTTGCCTCTTATCTCTCCAGGTTTAGGTCCCCATCTATCTTCACTCCCTCCATAACTCCACACATGGCTGAAGGGGGTGAATATGCAAGATGACATCGCACTTTGTGTAGAGAATGCCTCTCAACTATTAAGAGCAGCAGAGCAGAGCATATAAGAGCACAGATTCTGGAAGTAGACAGAAGGTTATAATCACAGTTCTGCCATTTTCTTGCTGTTCATTGTTACTAGCAAGTTAGTTAACCTTTCTGTGCCTGAAAAAAAATGGTTTTAAAAATAGTATCTAGCAGACTGAGATGATACTTAAACAAGTTAATACTAACAAAGCATTTGATAAAATAAATTGATTTATGGTACCTGGTCCCTGACCCAAGTTTTGTTAATAATAATATGATTTCTTCACATTCAAAATATAAAGATCTGGGAGAAGTTTGTTGCCAGAGGCATTAGCAAGTGCAAATATGCCTAATATGTTCTTTGAGGAATAAAAGAAATGCTGAAACATAACAAGGGGAAGAGAAATAGGATATGAGGCAAGAGAGATGGGGGTTGGATAAGATAGGGCTTTGGAGTGTTTTTTTTTTTTTTTTTTTTTTTTTACCAGAGAAACATTACAATCTGATTTTCATTAAAAATTTTTTACTTTGCTGCATGGAAAATAGAACAACAGTGGAAAAAGGGGGAAACACAGGAAATACTGTGACAGAATGCTGAGAGATTATGGTAGCTTAGTCCGGGGTAGGATTCTGAATATATTTTGAAAGCATAGAGAATAGAATGTACTAATGGATAGGATGTGGAGTGTTAGGAAAAATGAAGAATGAAGGATGAGTCCAAGTATTCAGTTAAGTAAGTAGACGGATTAGAGTGTCATTAATTGAGAAGTGAGAAATCACTAATACATAATTATGTTTCTGTTCTGTTTTCCTATAATACTAGTACTGATTTTTATCATATATTAAACATTCAATACAAAAATTGCCTGTTTACATAACTATCTCTAACCTGGATCTAAGGCTCAGTTTTGCTGTCTTGTAACATTGGCGGTGATCTGTCACTGATTTCCAGGACACTGTGGGCTCCCTAGAGACAAGGATTCTGTGTTCCTCACAGATGTAGCCCTTGTATCTAGCATAGCACCTGACACACAATTGGCTCTATTAATATATGTTAAGCACATGAATGAGGCCAAAGGTATGACAGGGTGCCTCAAGGAGTGTGATCAAATAACAGGTCTCATTCTCAGATTGTCAAGTCAGTTTACCAGACAGAAAGCATTCCTTTGTAGAACAGCACTTGTTTAAACAAAACTAAACATAGCAATGCCAATTTACAGCAGGATCTGTTAGGTGGGCCAGACAACCCCATTAAGCAATCTTGTGTATTTTTACCATCTAATAAAACTACATGGGAAAAATTTTGGTCCAATCAAGATGGAGTAAGCACACTCTGATTCTCCCACTGAATACAGCTAAAAATCCTGGACAGAGCTGGAGAAGCTAGTTGAGAACTCTGAAAAATAAGTAGTAATAAGTGAATTGGGGAAAAATAACAGAACTCAAAACATCACTGAATCATGCATGAGTTTCTTGGACCTTTTTCCCCAATATCTTCAGATTTAGACTCAAAAGCAGCCAAATCGTGGAACTGTGCACCAGATGTAAGCAGAAAAAGCTCCAACAGAAGTTTATTTCCAGTCTGAGGAAAAGAAAATGACACCCTACAAATCAGAGAGCATGGAGAAAATTCTATTTTTGTTTTTCCTTTTCTTCTAGCTAAGCCCCCAGGTAACCCTGGCAAGGTGATGATAGTAAGCGGTGGGTGCAAAGGCAACAGTGTCTGGGTGGATGCTTATAACTCTAAGGATGGAAACCCTTCTCTGTGACCAAAGGAACTGTATCCCAACAGTGTGCGGGGGAAAATTCTCTGTTGGTTTGTTCCTTTCTCTAGCCTTTCCCCACTTGGTTCCCATGGCAGGGTGATCTCAGGGACAGAAAGTGAGAGGCAGAGGTGAAAACTAAAGTCTCAGATTTCTAGCCAGAAGACCAGGAGGTGGGTGGGAGAGGCTGGAACCTGGAGTGGGACAGGGAGACAGTAGGGCAGTGAGGTGGGGAGTGCTAAGAAAGTAGTCCTATAGCATTGAGTATGAACTCTTAGTTTCCCCCTAAGTTGTACAGGCATTGATTTGACTCTGGTCAGCATACCAACTTTTGAGAACTCAACTATGGGATGGAACAATGCCCAGGGCTAAAGACTGACCACTCAATGAGGCATATGTTTGATAAACTTTGATAGCACTGCAAAGGCTTTGAAAACTGACAGTTGGAGGCGCAGCCTAAGAAGGTAAGTGGGAACTTACAGACTAAACTAACCAGGTTGTTTGCCTATACTTAAAAAAAAATCAGTATTCTCCATTAGATTTAAACAGCACCCAAGATTGCATAACATTATATTTGAAACGTCCAGAATATGGCAACTGTATACAATTATTTGGAAGTGATGTAAAGAGCCCAGACACTTTTACTAATCTTCTTGCTTCATTTTTAAACTCAGACTGTTGATACCATCTTTCTTTAAATGATTTAGTAGAATTCACTGAGTTATATTCAATTCTTTTTTCTTGCTGCTTTGGCCCTAGAGAGAAACTCTGGCTCATTAAATAATTTATTAGTTGACTCATTCAGAGATTAAGTCATTGATTAAAAAGACATTTATTGAGTACTTACTGCATGTCAGACACTGTGCTGGATGCTGCTGACAGAAACATAAGTAAGATGAATCTGTGTCCTCAAAAAAAAAAAAACGATTCAACATATAAGTATGGGCTCAGTGGTAGAAGCTTGTGGGGACCAAAGGAGTTTCATCTTCTTAGGCAAACTTTAAAGTCTTAAGTGCGCATAATAAAATGGTTCGTTTTATTCAAAGTTCTTTTCTTATCCAGTAAATGGTAGGCATGTTAATTAGTTGGCATGATAGTGCACCAAAGAACAGGACTTCATTCAGTAGTATTTACTTTGTTCAACGATTATTTTTTAGGGTCTGCTATGAGCCAGGATTAACCTAGCCATGAGGTTCTGTACTAAGCCGACTTGACTTGCCAGGTGCTCTCTGGCTGGATCTGCCTCACAGCAGCATGTAGAGAGGAAATGGAAGCAGGAAAGGGCTGCTTTTCCTTCTTTTTTTCTTTATTCAAAACTACATCCTTGAGTTAGACCACTTAACATTCACTCCTAATTTTCATATTGTTTAAACAAATCAGAAGCCTCCAAAAGGATTAGCAGAAACTACAACTCTCCAATCTGTGATTATAATTTAACTTTACAGCCGCTCAAAACATGTTCTTTAATTCATCAGGGAAACTGGAACTTTGAAGTAGCTGTTAAACAAAGGAAAATCAGACTGTCTTAACAGTGCAGAATCAAAGAATGTCTGAGATGCAAGAGATTTCAGAGAGCATCTACTTTACAAGCTGAAGAAAGGAAGCCCTTGGGCTGAATTTGGCCTTTAGATATGTTTTATTTGGCCTAAATGCCATTTTATGGAAATCTCACATTAATATCAAGCTTTGTGGATTCTCTTGATAATTCAGAAGATGTGACAACACTGGCTCCATATTCTCACATGGCAAATGCTCTGGACCCTGTCTCATCCAAGATTGTGACCTTCTAATTTTGTCCAATAAACTAATTTTAAAGATAAGGAAAATAAGACCAAGAGGACTTCCCTAAAGTCATACCTCTAGTTAGTAGCAGCTAGCCTCAGAATACTTGCCTCCTAATTTCTTGGGTAGTGTTATTTTCATTATGTGAGGCTAAGGAACCACTGTTTAAGAATGATTTGGCAAATTAACTCATGACCATACAATAATAAAACAAGCAGCAGTTTATTTTTAAAAAATCTGGAGTTAAATCTTTGTGTTAGTTCTTATTCTAGGTACTAAAATACTTTCAGATTGTCCTCACTGTTTCTTCTGTACCCATTAGTAAGGAAAGGATAGTAAAAGGAAGGAAGATATAAGGGAAGGGATCCAAGTATTTTCTTGGAAGATGATTATACATCTGGAAAACACCACTGGATAACATACTATAACATTGCAATGAAAAAAAAAACTGCAGTGAATCAAATTCTCCCTACTGTCATTTATTTTGTGAATCTACTCATTCTTTATGCATATGGCAAATGGATTTCAGTTATGCACAGTGGATGATACCATATTTTTTCTGCTGTGACAGAAGGGCAGAACATCCCTCCCTCCAAGCCAGAATTAATCTTTTGCCATTATATGCTCCCACAGAAATGTGTTTATATCTCTATTACAACACACAATACTTTCTGTCATGCATTAGAATTATCTATGTGCTTGTCTATGCCCACCACAGAGTAGGAACTCCCTGAAGGCTAACATTTGTCATGTTTATCTTGGATCTTCCATAGTTTCTAACACCATGGCTTAGACTAGGCAATCCATTTCTTCATTTTGCATTTGCTAAATGCCTATTCTGTGCAAAAGCCTCTAAACATATCATGGGATTCAGAGATTACTTCAGAGTAGAAAATCAGCACTATGTGGATCAGACACACATTGATCTTGTTTATCATTGTATTTCCAGCACCCAGAACACTGCTCGACATTGTCAGGAATATACCAGTGGATCATACTTATGATGGTTGAAGGTGGAATAGACTTACTGTATGGAATCTAACATAAAGTGGGCCCAACAGAGAAATGAATGTTGTAATGAAGGTGCAGGTAGCTTTTTGGGAACATAGATCAAGTTTAATAAAACAAATGACTAGCTATTGATTTAGGGCTTGGGCGGTGACTGGTGTTGTAGGGAAGAAAACAAATAGTCTATGAAAAGGGTGGAGTAACTGATGACATCACATAAATCATTCATCCTATGCCTAACACTATACTGCCTATTCTTTGTCAGGCAGCATGGCAATACTGGAAACCCAGAGCTGTATCCACATGCCTGTAGAGACACCAGTTCATAATATTTGCAGTGTCTCCAGTTTATTTTGTGCCTGAAATACAGGCAGTTGACCTCTGAATGCTCATATTGAAATGCAAATGAACACAGCAGCTGCAGAAAGAAGAGGCTTCTTCAGGGAGCTTCAAAAATTCAACAGGGATTGCACACTTCTCCGTGCAGAACATCAAATTTTAAATTTAAATGATTCACCATGAACAGCCAGTTGGCAGCCCTCTGATGGATATATTATTTTAGATACCATATCTCTCATTCACATTACAGTATTTTGCAGAACTTCCATATGGTGTGTAAATGAAAGAATTCCACAGGGACATGAGGGCTAATGGTTATGATATTATTTAAAAGATTGTGTGGCAAAAACCATAGCATTAGAGTCTTCTTACTATACTAAGATCAAACTCCTAGACCAGACTTTTCCCACTTGGCCCTGTCTGTTTATCTTCATCGCCACCATTCTTTTCAATGAGTTATATTTTAACTGTGTTTTATAATGTTTCCTGAAGATGTGGCTTTCTCATTTTTGTCCAATTAGCTTCTTATCATACGTTAAAACACAATCTAGTGGTCACTCTACGATGAATCCTTGATAGCCTTTCCCAGGTAGAATTGAAAATGATTCTTTTTTCAGGGCTCCCTCACTTTGAAAAGGAGAAAAATAATACTTTCTTTTAGAGTTGTGAGAATTAGAGATAATACATATGGAAGTTATGACCCCACAACAGGTACCAAATAATTAGAAACTTGCTAATTGTTATTGTACATCTAGTACAATTTACATACACAAGATCACTATTAGTATATTTACATAATTAACACTTTCCATCTTTGAAAATTTGAGAATTACTGTGCTTATTTATTCACACAGTGTTCTAGAGTTTATGCTTCTGACAATAAGAGATGCAAAAAATTTAAGTTCGTTCAAGATTTTATTTCTAATTAAAAATAATGAGCATGCTAAATGAAGATTCCATCTCTTATAATAAGCACTGTAATTGAAATGAAGTAGAAAATTGCAAAAACGAATTACATTGCAGTATGTAAACCTACAAAGAATTGAACCAGAAAATGCAGAGTTCACATATTGCACACATGAGAGATTAATCATCATCTCTAATACAAGAGATTTGATTAGGGTAGAAAGTAGATCTATATAAAATGATTAATATTGAATCATTTTTATCAAAAAGTATTTATGAAGCTCCCTCTTCTGAGTGTAGTGGCTATTGTACCAATGGTGCAAATTTTGTAGGACATAGATATTCCTTTAAAATCACAACACTATTTTCAACCATGGCAATAATTATTTTCTATAAGCCATTTTATTCTGAAATATTTCAAAGGTAGCCATTAAAGAAGAGATAGGAGAGGAAAGTAGCACCACAGGTGCTACATTCTAGATGCTTTACACACTTATGACCTCATGTAGCCCTCACAGCAAACACATAAGCTAAGCATCATTTTCTGCCCTTGCTTAGATGAGATCCAAGAGTTAGAATAAAATGCTAAATGACATAAAGCTAAAACATACTTGGGGAGAATTTCAAACCCAGTTCAATCTGACTCTTTCAACTATGCTATCTGCAGTATACCTAAAACGAACATTTTCTAAATTATTATCATGTTTAGAAAGAAGTAACAAAGATAAGAAACTGCTTAAATACACTATCCACCTTACCACTATGAATACACATTTATTTCATTATAACCCAGACTTCAATTCCTTTGATTTATGGGATCACCCAGCTCAGCACATAGCTCAGGAGCTGCATGCTGGAGGGAGCTACGAGGAAGGGGTGGGGGCGGCAGACACCTGCCTTCTGACATCTGATCTTTTAATCAAAACATGATATATATGCATGTATTTATACAACGAGTATGTATTGAGCAGCAACTGTGTGCCAGGGTGTTCTAGTTAACAGAGATTTCAGTAAATATTTGTTAAGAATCTAGTGTGTCCTAAAATCCGTAAAATTGCAGTAGAGGAATTAGTCTCATGCGTATGCATATGGTTTAGCTTATTTGGAGTCATATAACCTAGGTTTGAAACTATTTTGCCACTTACTAGTTGTGTAATCCCGGGCAAGTTATTTACTCTGTCTAAACATTATTGGATTTTTGTTAAAAGGACACTAATAGTAATTATGTCATAAAATTTGATGGGAGCATAAAATGAGATTGTATAGGGAAAGTGTGGGTAAGAATAGAGCCTAGCAAGCAACTGCTTGTTAAGTGTTAATTATGATAATGATGATGGTAATAAGATCACTTATTTTTTATTTTTTATTTTTTTGAGACAGAGTTTCACTCTTGTCGCCCAGTATGGAGTGCAATGGCACAATCTCAGCTTACTGCAACCTCTGCCTCCCAGGTTCAAGCGATTCTCCTGCCTCAGCCTTCCGAGTAGCTGGGATTATAGCTGCCCACCACCATGCCCGGCTAATTTTTTGTATTTTTAGTATTTTTTTGTATTTTTGTATTTTGTAATTTTTTGTATTTTTTGTATATTTAGTAGAGACTATGTTGGACAGTCTGGTCTTGAACTCCTGACCTCAGGTGACCCGCCCGCCTCAGCCTCCCAAAGTGCTGGCATTACAGGTGTGAGCCACCGTGCCCGGCCAGAGACCACTTATATTGTCCTCAATTATCAAATTAAGCTATAGAAATCTTCATGATTGGGCTGCATAGAATACAAATTGCTTTTCTAATTTTGATGGACCCCTTATTTTACCTAGATTATGGAAAACTATTATTCTTTCATTTGGGAAATTGAAGTAGCTTTTATTCTCCTGTATTCCTTTTACTTGACTGCCAAGCAATGGGAATGTAACCCAGGCTCAGTAAATTGGCAGCTGTATTCCAGGAATCTGGAGAAAGCTAAGTACAGCAAAAGAATGATCAGTATTTATTTGCAATCAAGTTCACGATAGGGTGCAAATGTAGTCATACTCTGGCCAAATTGCTAAAAGCAGAGTTTCCTGCTGCCTGGAATCCTTTGGACCTGGGCCAACTTTCCAAACTTGGTCTTCTAGCTACTAGTACATCCAGGTGGTGGGGGTGGGCAATATTCTTTAAATTAATACTATTTACTTCATTTATTTATCCTAAAAAAGTCAAACTAAAATTGGTTTTTAGTGATTGCAACAAAATCTCTGTCATGAGTCAAAATGTTGTTTGGAAAAGCAACCTACAGTCAACTGGATACATATTTACTAATTATTTAAGTTCCAATTCAACTATTGATTTTCATAATAATTAGTGGCTTGGCTCTATTCAGTGTTTGATGGGCTTGTATGAAGGCCTATAGTCCAAGAGAATTACATTATTCAACTTTATATCAAAGTAGAACCATGGACCAAAAGTTTTCCTGAGCCAAATTATTAAAGAAAATGCAAACATCAAATTCAGTTCACTACTGGCTTCTCCTGATCTGGAATAGCATAGGCCTTGCACCCTGGAACCTGATTTCACAAGGGAGAATACCTTCCCATTATCTGTGACTATTTGAATCTAGTAATTCTGTGTAGAGAAAGAATCACCAGATGAATTTTCTTCCTTTTCTTGTCTGCTGAATAAACTTAATTAAATATTGCCTGAGAGGATAAGAGAAAACCCGGGGCCATGCCTTATGGACGTACTCATGTATGTACTCCAAAGAGAATGATAAATATGGGAGGAAGGAACAATGACAAGAGGGAAACTGAAACAAGAAACTAAAAATTTCAGGCTGGGTATGGTTGCTTATGCCTCTAATCCCAGTGCTTTGGGGGACCAAGACGGGAGGATCTCTTGAGCCCAGCAGTTTGAGGTTGCAGTGAGCTATGATGGCACCACTGCACTCCAGCCTGGGCGACAGAGCAAGACCCTGTCTGTAAAGAATAAAAATTTAAAAATTCAGGCATCAAGGGAACCCTTATTGCAGAAAATTTGCTATGTGCTTCTTAGACAATCAATTAAAACATATGTTTTGCTTTCTAAATTTTTCCATGTGATGTTCAATAATACCTATTCAGGATTTTTAAAAAATCCCCCTTTGAAGTTATTTACTATGTTTCAGACTTAATTTTCCTCTGTGCTAGAGACAGAGGTAAGATTTTGATACAACTAAGATGGTGTTATTGCTAGGGGATCTAGGAATACAGAATTCTATAAAACTATAGCCACTGTTCTGCATGAGGTTTACTTATGTGATACAGTCTTACCAAACAATGACTGTACCTCATATGTGAAATTAAAATGCCTTATTATTCAAAACATGGTCATTTGGAATGAAATAAACCTAAATTTTACATCAAGGGGACCTATTCCTCAGCCTCAGATGCACATCTTACAATAGTAAGATTTGGCAGCTCTACAGGGAACAGGTTAAAGAACTCAAGGGTGCCGAAGTTCCAGAGAGCCAGGATTTCTACCTCACTCAGAGAACAGGGAACAAAATGGCCAGGCTTGCCTCCAGATAAGAATGTGCCCCACTTCAACTTATTTCCATAGCAAGAGTGTATGAGGAAAGAGAGAAAAGGCTATACCCGTGTCCCTGACTTTGAATCCATAGTACCTCTGCACTCTATCACAGGTGGCCCAGTAAGTATCCTGGAATCTAGCCAAATTATTATACAAAGAGTAATTTTTTCTAAGGAAAAATCCTTAGAAAAGAAGTATTTGGTGGATTTTCTTCTCCAGGGGTCACAATTTGACCTTCATATTTAAAAATTATTAAGCACTAGCATCGTACCGGCATTATCCTATAGAATTGTGGGCGTGAATAGGCCATGCAACTTACTCTTAAGATGTTGTAACCTAGAGGGAATGTTTAATTGGAGAGAAAGGGAGGGGGGCAAGGGCTGAAGAACTACCTGTTGGCTACTGTGCTCACTACCTGGGTGATGGGTCTAACCATACCCCAAACCACAACATCATGTAATAAACCTTTGTAACAAATGTGTGCATATAGCCCCAATTCTAAAATAAGAGTTGAAAAAGAAATGAAAATAAAAGCAACAAAAAAATCAGACAAACAGCAACAACACAAATCCAAACTCTTCCTAGAAAAGAAGAGATAATTTGTAGCTTTGGTCAAAGGAGAAAGCTATAATGATTTCTCCCGTGCCACAGTCTAGGCAAAACACAAAAATTCCAGGTAGAATTCAGCGGCAACAGGCAGTGAGCTCTAAGAAATGTCACACATATAGAGCAGGTCTTAAGTGACTAGCTTATTTTTTTTTTACCAGATTACCTCACACTAAACTTTCACAGACATACTTCTTGGCCAGTATTTCCAAAAATTTTGTAAATTGAGAGCAGCCTTTACAATTTACACCAAATATAGAGAGATTTAACAACTTGCCCAAGGTTACAGAGATAGAAAATGGCAGAGAAGCACTACTGCTACACACAGCTTTGTATAATGCCATGGATTACATAGCTATAGTATAGATAAGAGGTTTTAGACCATAAAACATTCTTAAACGTTGCTTTTATATTTTGCTAGAATTTCACAGATGTAAAACGTGACAATTAAAGCAGAATATATAAAACAGTCTAATCGGAAACCTTCTGGCAATAAGAGTTTGCACTTAGTTTATAAATGCACAAACCTCTCCACTGTGACTCATAGAGATTTCTGACTTGTGTTTATTTGAGTTTCATTTCTCCATACAATGTAATTTTTGGTTGAATTCTTTCTTAGATTTACATTCTTTTATGTGTTCGGAAGTGTTGTGATTCTTGGCTCTGTGAAATTGCTAGGAAAAAAGTGCAGAAGAAATATTCCTAATATTGTTGTAATTTATTGAGTTTTATTAAATGCCAGAGACTGTGTGTTATGGACTAAATTACGTCCCCTCAAATACCCTCAATATGTTGAAGAAACTCTAATTCCTAGTGTGATGGTATTTGGAGATGAAGTTTTGGGAAGTAATTAGGTTTAGATGAGCTAATGAGGGTAGCCTGTTCATGATAGGGTTAATGTCCTTAAGAGAAGAGATACCAGTGACTTGATAAAGAAGATACAAAAAAAATTTGATTCATGCCCTGAATTTCTCTCCCTTTCTGCCAAGTGTGGACATAGCAAGAAGGAGGCTGTCTGTAGGCTGGAAAATGAGGCTTCACCAGAACCCAACTATGTTCACATCCTGATCTCCGGCTTCCAGCCTCCAGCGCTGTGAAAAAAAAAATTTGTTTAAGCCACTGTGTCAATGTTATTTTCTTATGGCAGCCCAAGCTGACTTAACACTATGTTAAATGCTTCATAGGTACTATTCCATGTTCTTCTCATAATATCTCTATCTGCTAGGCATTTAATATTATCCCAAATTTACAACTGAAGAAAGTGAAGAAAGAGAGTTTAAGCAATTTGTCCAGTGTCATAGAGCTATTAAGTGGCAGAGCCAGGATATAAATCTAGCCTGTCAAATGCCAAAGCTTGTACAAAACCACTTTACTGTGATGTCTTCAGTGTGCATAACTTTTCATTTCCATAAACCCACCACTCACAAATCAATCAATTTAATCACATTATCACATTTATTAATATGAGATACATGAGTTTACCCTATAATTTCTTTGTGGCACATATTTTAGGTCTGATGGACCCAGCTTTTCCTGCAGTTACTATCTGAAAGATGCACATTAGGGATAGTTTCTAGCCTTCTATTCACTCTTAGTAATTTTGCACCAGGGATTCTTCATTACCACTGCATGTCATTAAGATGTCAGATATACTCCTCCTAATTGGCTGTACAACAGCCACATGTGCATATTTCAAATTTGAAATATTTTAAGCAGAACTCATCTTCTGTACCTCAATCTCACCCCTTTCCCTATTTCTCTACTTGCAAAATTTTCTCAATCACCTAAAATTGAATCTTTTAAGTCACCCTTGTCTTCTCCCTTTCCTTCAGCCCTGCAGAGGATCACCAAGTTTACCTCATTCTTCTGTCACCTAACAATAACTTCTGTGACACCCTCAAATTCCCAGCAGCTTAATAAAATAAAGGTAATCTCTCCCTCACCCAACAAATTCTGAATTATACTGTCAGATTAATATTTTTAAATATGGTTTTTGATTACCTCGTTTTCTTCAAAATTCTTCAACAATTAAGATATAGAAGAAAATTCCCCAAATCATGGTTTGGCATGCATGGTTAAAAACATCTTTTCAAACTTGCATTCCCAGCCTTATTTGTTACAATCTATGACACTGAGTAGGACATGTATTTTCTCAACTCCATTATTCAGTTTGCCAAACTGTTTAAGCTTGAAATACTCTGCCTCCAACTCCCTGTCTCACAGCCCAACTAAACTTCAGGATTCAACTCAAAGACTAGCTATGTCATTAATCCCTAATTTCCCCAGATGCATGCATTCTCTACTTCTCTAATGCCTAGAGCCCTTAAGTCACATTTCAACTATTTTCTACTTATCATGTGTAACCTTGTATTGAAGGTATTCCCAGATAAATTATAAAATACCTGATGGAAGAGATTAACCGCTAACTATTCTTGGCCTCCTCTCTTGTAACTCTTAAAACCAGTTCAGAATCTTGCTTAATGGATGTAAGAAGTGATAATTTGATAAAGAAGATATGAAAGAAATTTAACTCATGCCTTGAATTTGTATCAATACTTCATTGGAAAGAAATCATGTGCCATTTAGGTTATATTTAATATCTGCTCTGATAGTCATGAACCCTTGAGCTGATCAGTAAAATGTTTTCCAAGCAACAGCTCAAATATCCTGGATCTATTCCAAAATAAATTGAATTGGCAGGGTCAGTGGGAATCACTATGGTAACAGATGGATCCTTTAACTCTTGTAGTCACTTTGGTGTAGATTGGCATTTACATATCATGACAAAGCCCTGCTGCTGTCCATCAGGAGCAGGAGAAAGGTATATCAAGTCAGGGTAATTAACAGTAGCTGCTATGACAACAGACTCAAATAACCAGTAGCTTAATACAATAAAAGTTTATTTCTTGCTTATATCACAATCTAATGTAGATTGTGAAGTGCTCCTGAGTCTTTTAAGTGACTCAGAGAGCCAAGCTCTTTCTAACACATGATTTTGCCATCTTTGGATCCCTTTTTTTCTAGTCACATGAATGTAGGAGGGAGATTGAGACCAGGATCTTTTGTGAATTTTTAGAACGCAGGCCTCTAAGTAGCACACATCACTTTAGCTCATATTCTATCAACTAATTCTAGTCAGGTACTGCAAAGTAGGTTTGTAAATGGTGCTTTCCTATGTGCTCAGGAAAAGGAAATGGATTTGCTGAACATCTAGCCTATCTTTGCCATACCAAAGCTTCAGCACCTGAAGGAATTTGATATCTGGATCTGATGGTTATTATTCTGGAAGAAGGACCCTGAAAAGGCATTTGCCCTGGGTCTATTGGTAGCGGCAAAATTCTTTTAACATAAAATTCCTTCAAATAACCAGACCTTCTTTAGTAGAATTCCATGGCAGGGCTATGCTCAGTAATACCCAACAACTTTGCATTGGTATTCATTCTCTAGCTCAAATATGTCAGCTATGCGCCGTACATATCTATAGTCAGCTGCACCTTACCTATCCCACTTTATTTCTACCTATGTATAGTGTCTTCTCTCCTTGTTTTAATCTTCCTAATCCATTTCTGTCTGTGAACATGGCAGGCAAATTCTGAGACCCCCTCCAGAGGTAGAGGGTTTTGGGAATTAGAATGCCTTCTTTATTGATCACGGACAAATAGAAAACCTCTTCATGATGGACTCTTCTACTCCAGCTCCACTTCCCTATTTCCTCAGGCTATTCTCTCTACTTGGCCACTTACCCATACCACACTCGCTTACCCACAGGATACCCATGCTGTCTCCTCCAATTGCCCTTGGATACTCTGACCTGAACTGATTTCTCCTGTCCACAGACTTCCATGACTTACTCTTTGACTCACACATTCCAGTGATGTTTGATAATCAGACAATCTGCTTACAGCTCCATGGCAGTCAATGTTATCTGCTACAAAAAAGGCCAGTTCAAGTCCTGTCTTTGTCTAAGTCCTCTAGTGGCTTCATGTCTCAATTGAGTAAAAGCCAAAGTCAGCACAGTGGCCCACACAGCTTTCCAAGATCTCACCTTCTGTGACCTCTTTGACATTATCTTCTACTTGTTTCCCCAACTTACTTTGCTCCAGCCACTTTGGTCTCCCATCTGTTTCCTTACCTATGACAGTTCCCACACCTCTCCAGGCTTTATTCCTGTGATTTCCTTCTCCTGAAATCATCTTCTCCCTTAACGACTTGGGTCACACCTTCCTCACTTTCTGGGCTTTATACAAAGTTTCTCTCTTCAGTAAGGTCACCCTCCCCAACATTCTAAATCCTATCTCCCTGATTTATTTTTCTTCCAGTAATTATCACCATCTAATATAGTATATATTTCACTTATCTATTTTGTTTTACTCTGTCTCCCCTAACAGGAATGTATGTTCCACGAAGGCAAGAATTTTTGTCTGTTTTGTTTACTTCTGTAACTCCAGTATCTAAAATGCCTACTGATACATAGTAGTTATTCAATAAGTATTTGCTGAAGGGATAAATGACTCTTCTAGTTTTAATCTTTTAGTATATCTTTTATTCCTTAGCAGAATGTAGAGACCCTGAAGTTAAGTACTAGATCATATATTTGCCTTGTATTCCACTCCAGGGTTGCCCAATGTTGCAAAGGGCTTAATAATAATTTACTAATGTAATACACACACACACACACACACACACACACACACACAAACACACACACACACACATATTATGATGGAGTTTCATTCTTGTTGCCCAGGCTGGAGTGCAATGGTGCGATCTTGGCTCACTGCAACCTCTGCCTCGCGGGTTTAAGCCATTCTCCTGCCTCAGCCTCCCAAGTGTCTAGTGTTACAGGCATGCACCACCATGACTGGCTAATTTTGTATTTTTAGTAGAGACGGGGTTTCTCCATGTTGGTCAGGCTGGTCTCGAACTCGTGACCTCAGGTGATTTGCCCACCTCGGCCTCCCAAAGTGCTGGGATTACAGGCATGAGCCACTGTGCCCAGCCATTTATTATATTTTATAAGTCAAGATCTTTCACATCATTTCTTAGTGACCATATCTTTGATAGAAGGCTCTCCTGTCTTCAGTACCATGTCACAGCTGTGGGGACAGCGGTTTCTTTATTTAGTAGCCATCTGGACTAGGTGTCAGTTCTCTGTAATTTTTAAAGGTAGTGACACTGGCAATTACTGAAATGTCAAAACACTAGGCCAACCATGAGGGCTGTGGCAAAAACCTTCCCACATAGTTGTCATGGTGATGTGGGCAAACTCATATATAGCATCTGACACTCAGCCATAAAATTGAAATTAAAGTTAGCTTTTTATAATATCTTAGAGAATGGCACCTGTTATAAAACAGGTATACCGTACCAAAACACCTACATGCATATGAAGAATAAGGTTATGAATAGGCAGAGGAAACATCTGTTTTTTGTTTTTATATTAAATGTTATATTCTAGTAATATGCTGTAAATCATCATTCCTAGCCTAGATATTATTGGGATATATATTTACTAATACCACATATTGTATTTCTTTTCCACAACAACCTAAATGCAAATATTTTCTAAAGCACAATCGATTGTAAGTGTAAAGTTTTAATATAACATTTCTTGAGATCCTTTCATAGGATCTTTACCTATATCATGCCATTTTATCCCCATCATGACTCTAAAATATAATTATTGTCTGAGTTGTATAAATGAAGAAGGCAGGGCTAAGTAACTGGCCCCCGGTTACAGAGTGAGTGAATGGTGGAGCTGAATTTAACATAAGTGATCACTCCAAAGCTCTCACTCCTGTTCATTTCACAGCATGGCTTACCTGAGTCATCTGAGAGACTGGGAGAGAATGAATCACTGAGCAGCTCAAAAGGGATAAGCTTAGGGATTAAAAGCAGGAGGAGAAGAACATCCCTTTGTAAAGTAAATTTCCATTTGGTTACAGACATCAAAATCACAAAAGATATGAGAGATAAGGGACTTGGTTATTTGCTAGAATTCTTTGAAGCCTGAGAAATAAGTCTGAAAGAGGATTATTTTATGTTTTATAGATATATATGTATAAAAGGACAAATAGATATTTGTCCTTATACATTTCTGAACAGGTTTATTAAAGTACTATTGACATAGAATAAACTGCACATATTGAAACTGAACACTTTGATAAGTTTTCACACATGTATACTCTCATGAAACCACACAAAAGTCAAGATACTTAACATATCCATCACCTCCACGACGTTCCTCCCGCACCTTTGTAATCCATCACTCCCCATTCCCATCCCCAGGCAACCACTGATTTGCTTTCTGTCACTCTAGATTACTTTGCATTTTCTAAAGTTTCATAGAGATTGAATCACACAGTATGTACTTTTTTTTTTTTTTTTTTTGGCAGGATCTAACTCCTTCATCCTGGCTGGAGTGCAGTGGTGCAATCCTAGCTCACTGCAGGCTTAAGCGATCCTCCTGCCTCAGACCCCCAAGCACCTAGGACTATAGGTATGCGCTGTCACACCTGGCCAATGTTTCTATTTTTTTGTAGAGTCGGGGTCTCCCTATGTTACCCAGGTTGATCTCGAGCTCCTGGCCTCAAGTGATCCTCCTGCCTTGGCTTTTCTGGCTACTTAGACTCATAATTATTTTGATTTTTGCTGTGTTGTTGGGTGTATTAATTGGTCATTCCTTTATGTAGATGAGTAATATTCCATTACATGAATATATCACAGTTTGTGTATTCTTTCACCTGTTGGTGAATATTTAGGTTTTTTGGCGTTTGAGCTATTACAAATAACATCATTTTGAACATTATTCCTTAAATACTTAGGAGTAGAATGGCTGCACCACATGGTGGGTATATGTTTAACTTTTTAAGAAACTATCAAACTATTTTCCAAAATGGTTATAGCATTTTATATTCTCATCAACAGTACGTGAGAATATTTGTTCCTCAACATTCTTCCCAACATTTGATATGACCAGGCTTTATAATTTTATCCATACTAATAAGTGCATAGTGTTATCTTATTGTGGTATAAATTTTTGTTTTCCTAATGATTAATCATATTGAGCATCTTCTCCTGTACTTATCTGCAATCCTTATATCTTCTTTGATGAAATGAGTGTTCATCAATATTTTGAACAAGCATGTTTTGAATAGTCATTTTATCAAAGAAGATGTATGGTTGGCAGATAGGTATAGGAGATGCTCAATATCAGTAATCATTAGGAAAGTGAACATTTATACCACAATAAGATACCACTATGCACTTATTGGGTCATGTATCCTGTAAACACATAAACCACAAAAATTAAAAATGACTAAAAGAAATGGCTTTTCATTTTGCTCATTTTAAAAACTGCATTGTTATTATTTTTTAAGAATTTCTCATCTACCCCAATTATAGGTAAATTATATAGAAATTCTTCCAATCTGTGCCTTTTCTTTTCCATTCTCATTACAGAGCAAGTGTTTTTAATTTTGATGAAGTCCAACACAGTCATTTTTTCTTCTACTGATCGTGTTTTGCTGTCGCGTATAAGAAACCTTTTCTAACATAAGGTCATGAATGGGTTTTCATGTTTTCTTATAGATATTTTATAGTTTTAGGTTTCACATTTATATCTATAATTTTCATTTTTTGAGATGGATTCTTGCTTTGTAACTCAGGATGGAGTGCAGTGGTGCAATCATAGCTTACTACAGTGCTGAACTCTTGGGCTCAAGCAATCCTTCTGCCTTGGCCTCTCGAGTAGCTGGGACTATAGGCAGGCACTACTGTGCCCAATTACCTGACTAAATTTTTTTATTATTAGTTTTTGTAAAGAGGCAGGGGGTAGTTTCACTTTGTTGCTTAGACTGGTCTTGAACTCCTGGCCTATAATGATTCTCTTGACTTGGCCTTCCAAAGTGCTGAGATTATAAACACGAGCCACCGTAACTAGCTAAAATTAATTTTTAGTTAATTTTTATATACATTCATACATCACTTAATGACAAGGATATGTTCTGAGAAAGGTGCTGTTAGGCAATTTCATCACTGTTTGAACATCTTAGAGGGTGGTTATGCACAACCTACTAAATACATAAGCTATATGATATAGCTGGTTTCTCCTAAGCTACAAACCTGTACAGCATGTTACTGTACTAAATACTGTGGGCAATTATACAAAGGTGTAAGTATTTGTATATCTAAATGTAGACAAAGTACAGCAGAAGTGTGACATAAAAGGTTTTAAAATGGTATACTTCTATAGGATATTTACAATGAATAGAGCTTGCAGGACTGGAAGTTGTTCTGGGCAAGTCAGTGAGTGAGGGTGAGGGAATGTGATGGCCTAGGACATTACTGTATGCCACTATGACTTTATAAACAATACACCCTTAGGCTACACTAAATTTATAAAAAATATTATTTTTCTTTCTTCAAATTCACCATAGTTTACTGTAACATTTACTTTATAAACTTTTAATTTATTTTTAACTATTCAACTCTTTTGTAATAACACATAGCTTAAAACACAAGCACATTGTATAGCTGCACAAAATATTTTCTTCTTTATATTCTTATTCCATAATCTTTTCCTATTTTTTATTTTTTAAATGTTTTTGTTAAAAACCAAGATACCTACACACATTAGCCTAGGCATGCACAGGGTGAGGATCATCAATATCACTGTCTCCCACCTCCACATCTCATCCTACCAGAAGGTCTTCAGGGGCAATAACACACGGAGCTGTTATCTCCTATGATAACAATACTTTCTGGAACACCTCCTGAAGGACTTGCCTGAGGATGTTTTACAGTTGACTTTTTATTTCTTATAAGTAGAAGGAGTACACTCCCAAGTAATGATAAAAATATATAATAGTAAATACATAAACGTTATTATTTTCAAAATTATGTTGTATACATAATTGTATGTGCCATACTTTCATGCAATTGGCAGTGCACAGGGTTTATTTACATCAGCATCACCACACATATGAGTAATGTGTTGCACCATGACATCACTAGGCAACAATAATTTTTCAGCGCCATTATAATGTGATGAGACCATTGTTGTATATGTGGACCATCGTTTACTGAATCGTTATGTAGCACATGACTCTACGTTGCAAGGTGTAGACTGAATTTTGGTGGGGAGGAAGGGCACGTGGATATAAAAATTTTTCAGTAGCATTTGTTAAAAAGCTTATCCTTTGGCATTTAGATTATTTCCACCTCTTGGCTATTGCAGCTAATGCTGTGATGAGCATTGGGTACAGATACCTCTTTGATATACTGGTTTCATTTCCTTTGGATATATATCCAGAAATAGGATTGCTGTATCATAAGGTAGTTTTATTTTTAATATTTTTAGGAAACTCCATCCTATTTTCCATAATGGTTGTAACAATTTACATTTCTACCAACAGTATACAGGGTTCCCTTTTCTCTACACCCTTGCCAACACGTCATCTCTTTCATCTTTTTGATAGTAGCCATTCTAACAGGTGTGAGATGATATCTCATTGTGGTTTTGATTTACATTTCTCTAATGGTTAGCAGTGTTAAGCACTTTTCATATATCTGTTGGACATTTGTATATCTTCTTTTGAGAAATGTGTATTCAAATCCTTAGTCCAGGTTTTAGATATGTTATTATTTGTGTTTATGTGTGTATGTTTTAATTTTGCTATTGAGTTGTTTGCATTTGTTTTATGTTTTGAATTTTATCAGATATATGGTTGCAAATATTCTCTTCCATTCCTTAGGTTGTCTTTTCACTCTGTTGATTGTTTCCTTTGCTGTGCATGAGCTTTCTAGTTTGATTAAATTCCTTGTCTATTTTTGTTTTCATTGCTATGCATTTGGGGTCATACCCCCCAAAAAATCATCGTCCAGGCCACTATCAGGAAGATTTTCCATATGTTTTCTTCCAGTAGTTTTATGTTTCTAGGTCTTATGTTTAAGCCTTTAATTCACGTTGAGTTGATTCTCGTCTATGGTGTGAAGTAAGGGTCCAATTTTATTTTTCCACATGTGGATATCCAGTAAATGATACTAATGTATTAAAATTTTAGTTTCTAATTATTTACTGCTATTATATAGAAATACAATTCATTTTTCTATAATTCATATCTTCTATTACAAAAATGTAATAAACTCACTAGAACTTAGTTTGTAAACACCACTGCTTTTCTAGAAAGACAATTATACCATCTGTTAATAGAGTTTTACTCCATTCTTTAAAATCTGGACATCACTTATTTTTTTCTTGACTTATTTCACTGACTAGAACCTATAGAATTGAAAGCCAACCTCCTTTCCTGACCACAGGGAAAAATATTTTTAGTAGATTGAAAAAGATTCTGCCAGGCACGGTGGCTCACGCTTGTAATCCCAGCACTTTGGGAGGCCAAGGTGGGTGGATCACTTGAGGTCAGGAGTTTGAGAACAGCCTGGCCAACATGGTGAAACACTGTCCCTACTAGAAATACCAAAATTATCTGGGCTTGGTGGTATGCTCCTGTAATCCCAGATACTCAGGAGGCTGAGGCAGGATAATTGATTGAACCTGAGAGGCTTGAACACAGGAGGGGAGGTTGCAGAGAGCTGAGATTGTGCCACTGCACTACAGCCTGGGTGACAGAGCGAGACTGTCTCAAAAAAAAAAAGAGTTTCTGTCTATTTTTAGTTTGTGAGTCATTTCATCAAAAATTATTATAATAGGTTTTCTCATTAAAAAATATTATATGTTAATACAATTCCATGAATCAATTTTTGAATATTAAGCCAACCTTACATTTCAAGATAAACACCACTTGGTAATAATGTATTATAATTTTTAAATGTGTTATTAGTTTTTGTATAAGGTGTAAGGAAGGGATCCAGTTTCAGCTTTCTACATATGGCTAGCCAGTTTTCCCAGCACCATTTATTAAATAGGGAATCCTTTCCCCATTGCTTGTTTTTCTCAGGTTTGTCAAAGATCAGATAGTTGTAGATATGCGGCGTTATTTCTGAGGGCTCTGTTCTGTTCCATTGATCTATATCTCTATTTTGGTACCAGTACCGTGCTGTTTTGGTTACCGTAGCCTTGTAGGATAGTTTGAAGTCAGGTAGCGTGATGCCTCCAGCCTTGTTCTTTTGGCTTAGGATTGACTTGGCAATGCGGGCTCTTTTTTGGTTCCATATGAACTTTAAAGTAGTTTTTTCCAATTCTGTGAAGAAAGTCATTGGTAGCTTGATGGGGATGGCATTGAATCTATAAATTACCTTGGGCAGTATGGCCATTTTCATGATATAAAGACTTAAACGTTAGACCTAAAACCATAAAAACCCTAGAAGAAAACCTAGGCATTACCATTCAGGACAAAGGCATGGGCAATGAATTCATGTCCAAAACACCAAAAGCAATGGCAACAAAAGACAAAATTGACAAATGGGATCTAATTAAACTAAAGAGCTTCTGCACAGCAAAAGAAACTACCATCAGAGTGAACAGGCAACCTACAAAATGGGAGAAAATTTTCGCAACCTACTCATCTGACAAAGGGCTAATATCCAGAATCTACAGTGAACTCAAACAAATTTACAAGGAAAAAACAAACAACCCCATCAAAAAGTGGGTGAAGGACATCAACAGACACTTCTCAAAAGAAGACATTTATGCAGCCAAAAAACACATGAAAAAATGCTCACCATCACTGGCCATCAGAGAAATGCAAATCAAAACCACAATGAGATACCATCTCACACCAGTTAGAATGGCAATCATTAAAAAGTCAGGAAACAACAGGTGCTGGAGAGGATGTGGAGAAACAGGAACACTTTTACACTGTTGGTGGGAGTGTAAACTAGTTCAACCATTGTGGAAGTCAGTGTGGTGATTCCTCAGGGATCTAGAACTAGAAATACCATTTGACCCAGCCATCCCATTACTGGGTATATACCCAAAGGACTATAAATCATGCTGCTATAAAGACACATGCACATGTATGTTTATTGCGGCATTATTCACAATAGCAAAGACTTGGAACCAACCCAAATGTCCAACAATGATAGACTGGATTAAGAAAATGTGGCACATATACACCATGGAATCCTACGCAGCCATAAAAAATGATTAGTTCATGTCCTTTTTAGGGACATGGATGAAATTGGAAATCATCATTCTCAGTAAACTATCGCAAGAACAAAAAACCAAACACTGCGTATTCTCACTCTTAGGTGGGAATTGAACAATGAGAACACATGGACACAGGAAGGGGAACATCACACTCTGGGGACTGTGGTGGGGTGGGGGGAGGGGGGAGGGATAGCTTTAGGAGATATACCTAATGCTAGATGACGAGTTAATGGGTGCAGCACACCAGCATGGCACATGTATACATATGTAACTAACCTGTACATTGTGCACATGTACCCTAAAACTTGAAGTATAATAATAATAAAATTTAAAAAAAGGTATTATTAGATTTGATTTAAAAAATTTTGTTTAATATATTTACATCAGTGTTCATGAGGTCTATATGAGGTATATTGGGGTATAATTGTTTTGTTTGTTTGTTTGTTTGTTTGTTTTGTTTTCCATGAGATATTTTCGTCTGGTTTTGGTACCTGTAATTCTGTCTTCATTGATTGAATTAGGAAGTATTTCTACTTCTTTACTTTTCTGGTAGAGTTTACATAGAATTGATGTCTGTTTTTCCTTAAATGTTTGGCAGCAGTTCACCAGTGAAACCAATCTGGGCCTGGAGTTTTCTTTGTGGGAAAATTTTTAACTATAAATTCAGTTTAACAAATATAGGACCATTCATATTTTCTCTTTATCCTCCAGTGAACATTGGTAGAATGTTAATTTCAATGAATTTTTTTCATTTTATCTAAATTAAGTCATAAAGTTGCTCATAGTATTTATTTTCTTTTTCATATCTATAAAACCTGTAGTGATGTTGCCTCACCCATTCCTGATATTAGTAATTTGTATTGTTTCTCTTTTCTTTTTTTTCTGATCAATTTGATTTTTCAATTTTATTGATCATTTAAAAGAAACAGGCTTTAATTTTATTGAATTTTCTCTATTGTGTTTCTGTCTTCTGTATCACTGATTTTCACTCTGGTCTATTATTTACTTTTTCTACTTACTTTGTGGTTAATTTGCTTTTCTTTTACAAATTTCTTGAGGTGGAAGCTGTGGCCATTGGTTTGTGGTTTTTTTCCCTAATATTTAATGCTAGAATATGTCCTTAAAATATTGTTTGAGGTATCTGAACTACGTGTTTTTTCCATTCTGACTCCGTTACCATATGATTGCTGGGAACAGTGTTCTGTTTTAAGTGGTTCTGTCCCGGGTCATGCGTGTTTGATGAATACTCCGCTGAATGCTCAGGAGGGAGCCTCTACACATCTCCAGCATTCTCTCTTCACGCAGTTCTCTCCTCTCTGATTCTGTGCTCTACAAACTCTAGCTTTGTTGACCTCTCTAAACTCAATTCCATTTTCTCACTTTAGAAGGGTCACATCTTTTATTTCTTGTCTCTTGAGAATAATGTCTTCATTGTTTGAGGTCCAGTGTCTTGCAAACTTGTTTTCTGAATTTTGTCTGGTTTTGCTGCTGTTGTTATTTCAAGCAGGAGAGTAAATTCCATTTTTATTACTTCATCTTCAAAAGAAGCAGCCATTTTCCCATACATCATCATATGTAAGCCTCATGATAATCTGCAAGTTCATTTTTTTTTTTTTTGAGATGGAGTCTCGCACTGTCACCCAGGCTGGAGTGCAGTGGCACAATCTCTCCTCACTGCAAGCTCCACCTCCCAGGTTCATGCCATTCTCCTGCCTCAGCCTCCCGAGTAGCTGGGACTACAGGTGCCTGCCACCACGCCCAGCTAATTTTTTGTATTCTTCAACAAGCTTATCAGGTCTCAATTTGGTGAATTTTAAGTATCTTTAACATACCTTGGGTTCAAATTCTAGTGCCTTAGGAGTTTGTAGAAAATTGGTCTTTTTAAATTAAGGGCTTTCTTCTGGGATCTCACTGAGTATTTTTTGACAGTGGATATTCATCATTGAAAACTGCCTGCACTAAACACTTACTTGAGTGGATAATTACAATCATTTCTTAAACTCTGGAATTTAAATAAGAAATGTGTAAAATTATTTCTCTCAAAACTTCCATAGCTGGGGCTTTGATATAGCTTTATGTTCTATTTCCTTAATGCTGACTCCAACGTGGACAAACTTTCATTCCTTTGGCAATGAAACATATCAAAATACAAATAATTCAAGAATGGGTATTAAGCCAATAGTGTCACATGAAATTCTAATTAATTTTGTCTGATATGAAGACACAAATGGGCTTCTGATCGGGATATTTTACTACATGCACTAGTATCATGTGATCAAAATTTTTCTTCAATGTCTGTTATTATTGTTCTAGTATAGTCTTTCCTAAAGTATGGTGCTAATCAGTGTTAAATAATAATGTGAGTTCAGAGTTCTGAGAGTAAAAACTTGAACTCTACTTTTTCTATTCTCTCACTCAACAACAATCATCACAGAAGACTTCTGTGACCACATGTGTGGGGTTTTCTCCATGAATAAGCAAGCAATCAGTTCTGCAGCAAACACCAGCTGAGTGTCCTCCAATTAAATTCTGATACTATCTACTTGGAGATGGCATCAGATCCCACAGGTTAATGGAGTCCTCACAAGACTACCCTCCCTCTTCCCACCAGTAATAAGTCTGGGCCTCCAGAAATTGTGACCAACCGGCTTGAAGGTGACATTCACATGACCTCTGGTTGGGTTCAGTTGATTTGTTACAGTGGCTCACAAAACTCATAGAAACTTACATTTACCAGTTCATTATAAAAGATATTACAAAGATACACATGAAGAGATGTATACAGTGAGGTATAGGGGGAGGGGTGTGGAGCTTCCACGCTCTCCCTGGGTGCATCATCCTCAGGAACCTCCATTAGTTCAGCTATTGGGAGGCTATCTGAACCCTCTCTCTTTGTAATTTATAGAGATGCCATTAATTAGACATGACTGACAATACTGTAAAAATATGATTGGACAAAAAGTGTAGATTCTTCTTGGCTTCTGTGTTGGGGGTTCTTGAATTGCTATAAAGAAATACTTGAGACTGGGAACTTAATAAGAAAAGAAGTTTAATTGGCTCACCGTTCTGCAGGCTGTACAGGAAGTATAGTACAAACATGTGCTTCTGGGGAGGCCTCAGGAAGCTTTTACTCATGGTGGAAGGTGAAGCAGGATCACACACATCACATGCCAGAGCAGGACCAAGAGAGAGAGTGGAGGCTGGGACAAGTGCCACACTTTACAATAGCTAGATCCTGTAAGAACTCACTCACTGTCATGAGAACAGCACAAAGGGGATGCTGCTAAACCATTCATTAGAAAACTTCCACCATGATCCGATCACCTACCACCAAGACCCACCTCCAACACTGGGGATTACAATTTGACATGAGATTTAGAGAGGACACATTACCAAAATATATTATGCTGCCCCTGGCCCCTCAAATCTCATATTCTCACATTGCAAAACACAATCACTTCTCAACAGTCCCCCAAAGTCTTAACTCATTCCTGCATCAACCCAATCAGCAGTCCCAAGTCCAATACCTCATCTCAGACAAGGCAAGTCACTTACACCTATGAACCTGTAAAATCACATAAGTTATTTACTCCCAAGATACAATGGGGGTTTAGGCATTGGGTAAACATTCCCATTCCAAAAGGGAGAAATTTGCCAAAAGAAAGGGGCTACAGGACCCATTCAAGTTTGAAACCCAGTAGGGGAGTTATCCAGTCTTAAAGCTCCAAAATAATCTCTCTTGCCTCCATGTCCCACTTCTAGGGCATGTGGGTGCAAGGGGTGGGCTCCCACGGCCTTGGGCAGCTCTGCTCCTGTGGCTTTGCAAGGTTCAACCCATATGGCTACTCTCACGGGTTGAAGTTGAGTGCCTGTGACTTTTCCAAATGAAGGGTGAAAGTTGCCAGTGGATCTACCATTCTGGGGTCTGGATGATGGTGGCCCCCTTCTCACAGTTGCACTAGGCAGTTCCCTGGTGGGGACTGTTTGTGGGGGCTCCAAGCCCACATTTCCTATCCACTCTTCCCTGGTAGTGGTTCTCTGTTGGGGCTCCAACCCTGCACCAGGCTTCTGCTTGGGCACCCAGTTTGTCTCATATAGCTTCTGAAATCGAGGTAGAGGCTGTCAGGCATTCTTCACTCTTGCAGTCTGCATGCCCACAGGCTTAACACCATGTGGAAGCCACCAAAGCTTATGACTTCCATTCTCCAAAGTGGCAGTGCAAGATGTATGTGTTCTCCTTTGAGCCACAGCTAGAGCTTGAGTGGCCTGGATGTGGGTAACAACATTCTGAGGCTGCAAAGGGCAGCAGGGTCCTGGACCAGGCCCACAAAAGCATTCTTCCCTCCTAGACCTCTGGACCTGTGATGGAAGCAGCTGCCACAAGGGTCTCTGAAATGCCTAAGCGGCCTTTCCCTCATTATCTTGGATAGCACTTGGTTCCCTTTTAGTTGGGCAAATATCTCTAGCAAGTGGTTGCTCCACAGCCTGCTTCAATTTATCACCTGAAAAAGATCTCTTTCTCTGCCACACAGTCAGGCTGTAAATTTTTCCAACTTTTATGTTCTTCTTCTCTTTTAAATATAAGTTCCAATTTTAGGTCATTTATTTGCTCCCACATCTGAGCACAGACAGATAGAAGCAGTGAGGCTACATCTTGAACACTTTGCTGCTTAGAAATTTCCTTAGCAAGATACTGTAAATCATCACTCTTTAGTTCAAACTTGCACACATCTCTAGGGAATGAACAAAATGAGCCAAGCTCTTTGCTAAGACATGACAAGGATGACCTTTTCACTAGTTCCCAATAACTTCTTAATTTCTATCTGAGACTTTATCCGCCTGAATTTCACTGTCCGTATCACTATCATCATTTTGGTCACTAACATTTAACTAGTCTCTAAGAAGTTCTAAACTTTCCCTTATCTTCCTGTCTTTTCCTGAGCTCCCCCAAATCTTTTGACCTCTGCTTGTTACCTGGTTCCAAATGTGCTTCCACATTTTCAATTATCTTTATAGCAATGTCCCACTCCTTGATACCAATTTCCTGTGTTAGGTCATTTTTACATTGTTATTAAAAAATACCTAAGACTGGGTACTTTATAAGAAAAAAATGTTTAATTGGCTCGTGGTTCTGCAGGCTGTGCAGGAAGCATAGCGCTGGCACCTGCTGCTGGGGAGGTCTCAGGAAGCTTTTACTCATTGCAGAAGGCAGAGCGAGAGCAGGCACATCATATGGCCAGAGCAGGAGCAAAAGACAGAGTAGGGTAGAGGTATGGTGCCATGCTTTACAACTAGATCTGGTGAGAACTCATTCACTATTGCAAGAACAGTCTCAAGGGGATGGTGCTAAACTGTTCATTAGAACATATCCCCCATGATCTAATCACCTCTCACCAGACTCCACATCCAACACTGGGGATTCCAATTCAACATGAGGTTTGAGCAGAAACAAATATCCAAACTATATCAGCCTTTCTGTGCAGCATTCCTTCCTCTAGAATATGGAACAGGATCCCTTCTGAAGGAAGATCTTATGATCTACAATAAGATTAGGGAATAATCCCCAAAAATGTAACCATGGAATCCTTTTCTCACACTAGATTACTGTTCTCTCCAAATACAATCTTGAAAATGTTAATGTGGTGCAAGGATGAGGAATCTCAAATCTGGGTGTTAGCTGTAGCAGTTATTTAATTTAATTTTATTTGGCTCTTAAAGTACTATTCCGGTATTCTAGCTACTCTCTCCCAAGCAATTCTTTTCTTTCAGTAGATTTTTTTTTATTTTCCCCAGTCATATTTTCAGTTTGAGAGATACTCAAGTGTTCTGAGCTATGGCTAAGCCATTAATGAACATTTCAAAGGGCATAAAAGATGGCAGAAGACAACATTCTGATGCATAAGGAAGTATCCTCTAACAACCCACTTCAAATACTAGTGAGACATATTCATCAGAGAGATTGTAGACAACTCTAGATTGAAACTTACTTTAAGAGAAGAAGAAACACTTCTAAGCTAGTGAGACTAACCTTTTTGAATATAAACTCTTTGAATGTGAAAAACTTGCACACATTCTACAAATATTATTTGTACTTTTAGTATTTTTGATTTAGTAAGCACATAATGGCCGTAAACAACTATGATTTCAATAATTCTTAATTTATGATTTTGTAACGGCAACAGTTTGTACATACACACAAGAATATGCAAGGCACACTTCAGTCCATGAACAATGGTCAGTTATATGAGGATTTTAGACCCAGGCAAAGTATCTACAGTGACCCAGAGTCCCTGCATCCCACAAATTGGGGACTGCGGTCCTAGGTCCTCTAGCTTTTTAACACTATGAGAAATAAAGCAGCATTTATCTAACAACATTTATAAAATGCTTGCCTTATATTCAAGGCATTGGGATAGGGATTTGGAAAACAGAGATGATAAAGATAGCGCCTCTCCTTGAGACATTTATAATTTAATGGAGAAAGATGAATATAAAATGTTTGCATGCTGGTCTAACAATTTGAAAAATTCTACTTATTTGTTGATGTAATACAGCAAGAAAAAATTCTATTGACTGTAGTTACTTCAGCATCTGTGGATGGTATCATTTTTCTTTCTGCAGTAAACTACTTTCTGTGTGGCAAAGTAACTTTATCCCAAAGCAGTTTTGGGTTCAAAAGGTGAGCATCTCTGTCCAAGGGTAGAATTTTTGAAGAATACAAGGAAACAAAGAAACAGCTAAATAGCTCTACACATGAAGTGGAGAGAAACTTGTGTTAGTGTGTAGAAATACTGAGAAGAGAGGAGGGAAAGATTACAGAGAAAGAAAGGGAGAGAATTAAGCACCACAGTGGCAAAAAGCTTGTAGAGGAGTGGGAGTGTGTACAGGAGAGCACTGTGGGGAAATGCTACAGGGAAAGAAATTTATTTTGGTCACTATATTAGTGACCAAAGGGTCACTTTTATAGGGGAGTGGTTGTTAAGGTAAACACTTAGACAGTAAAGCATTAATGTAAAGAAGTTCAAAAACCACAATGGTACATGAATTGTTAAGATAAACACACCCTGATAACCACCACTGAATCAATAAATGACATTGCTACAACCCAGAGAAATCTCATTGCCAATGTACTTTTACATTGCTCTGAACCCGTTCATTTAATCTTCATTTTATTAACAGTAGTTTGGTACACATAGAGATGGTTGTGTGAGTAGTTCCTTGGGGGAACAAAAAATGGGGAAGTATATCTGTGCTCAGTGTCTGGATTCCCTTGTAGCAAAAAGAAGACAAAAGGTAAATGAGGTGAAAAGTGAGAAAATTAAAGTCAAAGTAAGAACAGAAAACTGGAGCGATTAGAAACCATGAGAGTGTGAATTCATTGGAACTGATACATGTCTTGAAGTGGACTTTTCACTGAGCAAGATTTAGCATGTACAGAAACACAGGAGCTTAACTGGGCATGCAATTTTAAAATGAAAGATCACAATTCATGAAATGGTGGGAACACAGATTTCATGGGTTTAAGAAATAGGAGATGAGGCATAAAGAATATAAATGACCAATTTGAAGAGTTTTGACTGAGGCAGAGTTTGGCTTCCTTTTGTAGACATTGTAGAACCAAGGATGATCTTTAAGAATGGGAGTAACATTGATGAGATTTGCTCTTTAGGTGAAGACCTTTGAAACTAATTTTTAGTATCAAATGGGGAAGGAAAAAGCTGTTATCAAAAACATTAGATAGGGGGATTTTAATATTTAAGGTGAGGGACAATAAAAATTATACTGAAAACAGTAGAACAGAGATGTGAATTCAGGTAACAATGAAAAGGAGGGAACAGAAGTATAAAATGGTGTAACAATAGAATGAACACTATTTTGTCACCAGTTGGCTATGCGGATGGAAGAGGTGGGGACTACTCACTCCTACACCTTGAGATACAGCATGGATGAGTGTATCATTTACTTCAACTGGGGATATAAAAAGGAGGAACCTAAAGTTTGAGGTGGTGGTTATAGAAGTTATAATGAAGTTAATTTTAGATGTTTAAGTTTGAGATGCTTTTAGGAAATTTAGGTGAAAATGTCTGTTTGTTGTCTTAAGTGACACTCCTGGAAACTACTGGAGATGACAGGGAGAAATTATAGAAAAGATACAATAAATGAATGTCAGCAAGTGACAGTATGGCTGTAAAGGAAACCATCCTTAAAAAATAGAATAGCATAGTTATTAGGAAACAGTTTTAACTTAATTATTTGTAGCTTACTTTATTACTGTTAAATATACTATTAGAGAAAAATTATACTCTTAATACTTCTTATTACTTTTAATTTATTATTAAATTCGACTTATAATTTAAGTTTTCCATAACTGTGCCATTTAAGTAAAACATACTGAAGTCAGGCTCACTGTTAATAGTATATATTTCTGGACTCAAATAATACCAAGTAGTTAAAACATTTAAGGGCCATAGTAATATTTAGATTTAAGTTTTTAAATGCTTAGAAGGAAAACAAAAATTAACAAGGCTACAAACACTTTAGACATTGTAAGTGACAAGCTTTATTTATACAACAGCATTAGGATTTCAGAAGTAGCAACAACTAAGAATAAAGAGTAGAGGAAGAACTGGTGTTAGGTAGGATGGAGAAGGAAGCAAATGAAAATTCCTTTACTGCATACTTGAAAAGGTGAAAGAAATGGGAAAGTCAAAAATCTTAAAGGCAGTGAAGATATATAGAAGCAACAAAGACAAAATGAACTAACACAAAGAGAAGAGCAGCAAAGAAGGAGGGTGTCATCAGCTTCTTTTGTTGCCTAGGATACTTGCAGGTTCTGACTGCAAAATTCAGTTTGAGGATCTCTCTTGGTTAAAATGAAGGAATGTTAATTTTCTAAGGTTGCCATTACAAAAAAAAAACACCACAAATTGGTTGGCTTAACACAGTAGAAATTTATTTTCTCCCAGTTCTGGAGGCTAGAAGTCTGAAATCAGGTGTCAGCAATGTCATACTCCCTCTGAGACTCTGGGTAGAATTCTTCCTAACTTCTGGTGATGACCGTCAATCCTTGATATTCCCTGGCTTGCTCCTGCATCAATCCAATCACTGCCTGTGTCATCCCATGGTGTCCTCCTTGTCTCCCTTTCTGTCTGTATGTCTCTTCCCCTCTTTTTATAAAGACATCTATCATACCGAATTAGGGGCCTACCCTACTACAGTATGACTTCATCCTTATTAGTTATACTTGCAATGAGCCTATTTCTAAAGAAGATCATACTTTGAGGTTCTGGCAACAGACATGAATTGAGGAAAAGGTAGCAAGTGGTAATTCAACCCAGTATAAGGCACTCCTTAAAAAAAGTATAAGACACTCCTTAGAAAAAGAACCAGTAATCCTTTTGGTTATTAAGATGACGCTTTATAAATTCCAGGAGCCCCAAAAGTATGGTAACCATTTTCTCCCATGATTCACTTGCTGATTCTGGGGGCTACAAGAGAGGCTCAAGAATCAATTCACGATGCATTAAAGACTTAAACGTTAGACCTAAAACCATAAAAACCCTAGAAGAAAACCTAGGCATCACCATTCAGGACATAGGCATGGGCAAGGACTTCATGTCCAAAACACCAAAAGCAATGGCAACAAAAGACAAAATTGACAAATGGGATCTAATTAAACTCAAGAGCTTCTGCACAGCAAAAGAAACTACCATCAAAGTGAACAGGCAACCTACAAAATGGGAGAAAATTTTTGCAACCTATTGATCTGACAAAGGGCTAATATCCAGAATCTACAATGAACTCAAACAAATTTACAAGGAAAAAACAAACAACCCCATCAAAAAGTGGGTGAAGGACATCAACAGACACTTCTCAAAAGAAGACATTTATGCAGCCAAAAAACACATGAAAAAATGCTCATCATCACTGGCCATCAGAGAAATGCAAATCAAAACCACAATGAGATGCCATCTCACACCAGTTAGAATGGCAATCATTAAAAAGTCAGGAAACAACAGGTGCTGGAGAGGATGTGGAGAAACAGGAACACTTTTACACTGTTGGTGGGACTGTAAACTAGTTCAACCATTGTGGAAGTCAGTGTGGCGATTCCTCAGGGATCTAGAACTAGAAATACAATTTGACCCACCATCCCATTACTGGGTATATACCCAAAGGACTATAAATCTTGCTGCTATAAAGACACATGCACACGTATGTTTATTGCGGCATTATTCACAATAGCAAAGACTTGGAACCAATCCAAATGTCCAACAATGATAGACTGGATTAAGAAAATGTGGCACATATACACCATGGAATACTCTGCAGCCATAAAAAATGATGAGTTCATGTCCTTTGTAGGGACATGGATGAAATTGGAAATCATCATTCTCAGTAAACTATCGCAAGAACAAAAAACCAAACACCGCATATTCTCACTCATAGGTGGGAATTGAACAATGAGATCACATGGACACAGGAAGGGGAATATCACACTCTGGGGACTGTGGTGGGGTGGGGGGAGGGGGGAGGGATAGCACTGGGAGATATACCTAATGCTAGATGACGAGTTAGTGGGTGCAGTGCACCAGCATGGCACATGTATACATATGTAACTAACCTGCACAATGTGCACATGTACCCTAAAACTTAAAGTATAATAAAAAAAAAAAAAGATTTTCAAGAGAGAGATTCAAATCTCTCATTGTTTTGTAATATTTGTAAGAAAAGCTCACTTGAGGAATGTAGACTCCTCACACTTTAGTTGGCCTTTTCCTGAAGATATAGGCCAAATTTTCTTTCTGAATCATAGAAAAAAGAAAAGACTACACAGAGAATAAGTCATATGTGTGACATGGTAAAATGGCTTAACAGCGGTGTAATTGGATAGTAGGAGTGGAGAGAGAAATGCAGCAGAAGGAATGTTTAAGAGGAAATTTTTAAACTGATGCAATTCTTTATTCTACAGGCTTAAGGAGCTCTGGAAACCCTAAGAAAGTAATATACAAAGGAAATAACACCAAAGTTCATTATGGTCATTAAAACTTAATATACATAATATATAATATATATATTATAATATATAATACATATATTAAAATATATAATATATATTAAATATATATGTAATATTTTTATATGTGTAATATATGTTTATTACATATATACATACATGTGTATGTATATATTATATATGTTATATATAATATCTATACACATATACACATATATGTATATATAGTATATATATCACACACATATGTATTACATATATATTATATATTATATATATGTAATACATATATATTATACATTACATATTACATATATATGTAATACATATATTACATATTACATATACATAATATATTAAATATTACATATATTATGTATTATATATTATATATTGCATATATTATGCATTATATATTATATATGACATTTATTATGTATTATATATTATATATTACATATATACTATATATAATTTATATATTACATATATATTATATATATGTAATTTTAAAATTCTTGAAATTTTATTTGCTAATTTTATTTGCTATATTGACACCGGGGAAACACATTAAGAATGATGGCTAACTTCTCAATGAAATCACAAAATCTGGAAGAAAATGAAATGACATTTTTTAAGAAAAAAATAAGAATGAAGCAAGCAAACAAAAGAAAACCTGCCAATATCAAATGCTATACTCAGTGAAAATATCTTTTAAAAATAAAAGGTGAAATGAAAATGTTCTAAGAAAAATATACACTAATACAACTTCCTGGCAGTATATCTGCGTATACAAGAAATACTAAAGAAATTTCCTCGGGCTGAAAGAATTATAGATGGGAGCATGGAAGTACAAGAAGGAATGAAGAACAATAGCCTCAATAAATATAAAACTATTGATCACCTATGATAATCATAACACAGTCCTGTGGTATACAGAGTACATATAAAAGTAAACTATATGGCAATTGCAAAAAAAATTCTGAAGGGGTATATAGATTTAAATATTTGCAAGCTTCTTGAATGTGATAAGAACCAACTTAAAATATTCTATATTAAACTAAGGACTCAGTTGGTAATTTCTGTTGAAAACTCCAAATAAATTATACAAAGAGATGAAACAAAAATGTTAAGAGAAAAGGAATAATAAAAATTATTGATTAATACAAAACAGCAGAAAAGACAGAGGAATAAATAGCTAAATAACAAATTGGACAAAAAGAAAACAAGTAGTAAATGAGAGATACAGTAAGGTAATAAAAAAGCCAAACTTCTGTTTTGTCAATTTTACAATTTATATAGCTGACAAAGGACTCATGTCCATACTATATGAGGAATTTTTCCAATAGATATTAAAAAGATAATAAACTCAAAGAAATGTTCAAAAGTCTTGAACAGACACAAAAGAGGATACCAGCTTTCCAAAAACATGAAAAGGAGCTTAACTTTGAAATACATCATGAAAAAGCCAATTGAAATCACCGTATGATAGAACTACACACTCACAGATTGTCAAATACAGAAGAAAAAACCAGGTATTAACAAGGGTGTGGAAAAACTTAAACTCTCATACATGATAGGGAAGAAATGTTCAATTGATATTGGATTACATAAGAAACTAGGGTCAAAAGTAGTGGGTAGTGAATATTTGAGTACCTTTTATTGCACTTCATAGTAAGACATAAATCTAATAATTATTTTCCTTGTATCTTTGAACTATATATTGACTATTATATAATGCAGATTTGATGGTGATTTTTAATCTGTTATATTTAATTTATTTAGCATGTTGGCTAAACTCTAGACAAATCTGAGTTCAATTTTAAGTTCCAATGTTTAATAGTTATATGACTGGAGGAACTTATTTTGTCTCTCTAAATCATGCTTTTGTTATATTTAAAATGAGGATAATATTATACATCTCTCATTAAGAAGAATAACAGAGGCAGTACATATAAAGTGTCCATGCCAATGTACCAAATGACATCTGTTGTCAGACGAGATTCCAAGGGGGGGGATGGACTAAGTGGTGCTTTCCATGACTGCAGTAAAGAACAGATTCTGAGCAGAGATCACACCAAGGTGCTCACATGAGAGATAGAGAGCTACAGCAGCAAGGTCAAGGGAGGATTTTACAGAACGGTTTCCATAGAAATAATATTTTCATGGAAATCAAGTAAAGTTTTCAAGGCTGTATTTAAGCAGGACTTCCAGGAAATAAAGAGTCAGAGAAACAAATAACTATTTTCAAGAGGAGGCATTTCAGACCAAAAAACAGTGGGAAAAGAAGAAATTAATAAAGAAAGAGGGTGCAGGCCAACTGGAAAAATTCCCTTAAATATACCGGTTAGTGTTGTCACTAATTCCTCATAAAGAGGAACTAAAGATGAAATCAGAGCTACTGCTTACCTTTCAGAACTCCTTCAATGAAGCTACACATAGTAATAATTATACAAACATAGAATAGACCACAGAAGGACATATGATCCCCAAATCTCAAGAGAGAAAAGAAATCTGTTGTCTTCAGAAACTAGATAGAACTGTTAAAATATGACATTAGCTACAAATTTGAAATTGTGAGCCATAAGTGACAGTGCTATTGTTTCTCACGTATTTTGCCATAAAAAATGAAAGCAAAGGAAATGCGTAAGCATTTGAGGATTTGGTCAGAGTTACAAGGATCTGAAGTGGGAGAGAAGCAAACATACTCTCACACTATGTTGCAATGATTTCTGGATTTCATTGATGGGTGTATTATCCCACACTCCAGCATTCCTCCCTTCCCCTTCTACCCAAATAGGAACTGATATGAGATTGCTGGGTTCTTGTTTTATGAAGCAATTACATTTAAAAACAATCACAAACCACCATTGACTATCTCCATCATTTCCCAAAAGAACAAACTGATACCAGAAACACAGGATGAACATGACCTCAGAGGGGGAAATCTTTATGAATAGCTCACTAAATTGTTTCTGTTTTTATCATTTTATTGCTGGTATGTGACAACCTCTTTGTGGACTAGAATTGGGTAATGGACCAGGATTTCAAGCCCACTGCCCCACTGAATTCTGGTGTTCCAGCACCATGGGTAAAGGCATCTATACCACCAACTAACAAAAACTTATCAGAGCAAGTATTTACTCTAGTAAGATTTTAGATAATTTATTACTATTTATATCATTCAAAAATTTGAACAATGTTTCATGTTCAATTTGCATTTTCCTGCAATGCAAATGCATATGGGTTTCTTATAACACAATGTAGGATAAGTCAGTTCCAAAAAAAAATCCTTTGTCAATTTTTACAAACTTTAACCTTTGCAGGCACAGATATTTGATAGACAGATGATATAGATAGATAAAGTATATGCTGGCTCTACCTGGTTATTAGAATCAAGATTCTTTTTGGACATGTTACAAATAATATTAACCCAAGCTCTTATTTTAAACACTTAGTTATCATATCACTTATAATTTTCAATTGCAATTTTTGTTGGCATTACTATCTCCCTTCCAAGATAGTAAACCTTTGAGGGCAGGAACTAGCTTTCTCCATCTTGGTATCCTTACAACTAAAGCAAAATTTGGTACATTCTTAGCATCTTATAAGTATTTGTTGAATGCTTGAATGAATGGCTCTACATAGGTTACGTTTCCTGAAACATCACAATTTTATATAGCAAATCCCTGGTACTATTTTATGGTTTATTGATGGAAGTAGCAACTCGATCTGTCCTTCAACACTCATGTATTCATTCTTTGTACATATATGAAACCGTTACTATGTGCTTCCACTGTGCTAACTACTCTGGATAATAGAAATGAGCAGAATGCAGTCACTGCATTCAAGGATGTCAGAAATAGTTCCATTCTGGAGCTCATGTGATGTTTTTAGCACAATGCCTTATGGAAATACATTCAATTTTTTGAATGATACAAATAGAAATGATCTAATCACATAAAATATCACTAAATACTTGCTCTGATATGTTTTTCCTAATGAGACTAAAACCTGTTTATCACCATAAGTGGCAATATCCACTCTACTTATGTAAGAGTCCTCCCTTGTAACATATTACAGCCACTATCCCCATGACATGGTTTACTTAAATTGGAACCTTAGCCTTATGCATTTTAAATGAAATAATAAATCTGCTTACTATTGCAAGTCTTGTTGTATTTGCTGTTCTCCTGTGGAAACCCTTCCAGTCGGCACTGAAAACGATGCTGCCAAAATTCTTGAAACCAAGGGTTTCGGTGGTTTGTTTCTGGCCGGAGCTTCAGATAATAATCATCAAACCACTTGACATCGGGAGATTGGAGCTTGATTGTGATGCCACCAACAGCTTCTCGCTGATATCCATCTGTCACATCATACCTGTCAGCCCAGCCATCACTGTGGGGAAATAAAAAAACCCTCAGCTTAGAACAGATATCTCCTAAGCAAATGAGTCCATTTGCTTTCCTTTTGACAAGATTAGTCATTAAATGGCTACCTCAGGCCCCATGATGGTCCTATATTACACCGACATGATTATTGATATAGAAGCTTGTTAGAATAAAAAGTGCAATAACACCATGGAAATTTTGGGCCTAAGAGTGCTAAAAGGCACTAACCTCACTTACCTTAAACTGCAGAAAATAACCTGGAGATTCTGGCACAATTTTACTGGCTGCAAAATATAGTATATACATGGAAGCTGCATAATATCATCATTCACATTTTTAATGGACATTTAATAGCCAGGTAAAGTTAACTTTAAATACATTATTTTCTTTGGCTTTATAATAATAATTATAATGATCATAAAATAAGAATTAAAAATATTCTCCAACATACCTAATATTAATTTAATCATCCTGTGACACAACATTTTTGATCAAATTTTACAAATGAATAATAGGTTTAAAAAACCGTTTGCCGATTATGGTTACTCTATTCAATGTTGATTTCCCAAGCCTCGAACTGAAATCTTTGTAGTCCATAGTCCATACACTATTTTCTATCCCATGGAATCTCTAAAATACATTAAAAATGTACATCTGAAATCACATTTTATATTAGAGTGCCCAAAAGAACTTCTGAACAATGTGCCATCAAAAGTGGTGAAGGGATCATACTCCTCAACATAACTATCATTCTATGCACTGCTCACTCAAAGTTATTTAGGAATTTTAAGATAAAAGTTTTTGAAATCAGAGGGCTCATAATATAATGCTAGAGGAGAGTATAACAGAATAAGAAAAAGTAAAGTCTTCTACAATGATTTGGAAAATACATGAAACATTGTATTGGAAATAAAAATAAAAGGCATGAAAAGATGTTTGTATACAATTTGGGTACACCCTAGGGCATCTAAGGAAGAAGGAAAGTGACTTGTCCCTCTTCACTGCCATTGGTATATACACAGTTTGTGCTGTATATCTGCTGGAACCCAGTGGTACTGTCTTTCCCTGGAAGAAGTGCAAGTGCTTGTAAAGGAAGTATGGGGAAAGGGAAAATTTGACTAAATTACAAGTAACCTCAAAGAGAGAAGAGAAGGAATATAGAGAGATTTAAGGGGAAGAACAGACTAGAGCCTCCTAAATGCAAAGCAGGAAAAAGTGTTAGGAGGTGAGCTGGGAGTAGGGGCAGTGGGTAGTGGGGAGAGGACGTGGGAAGAGATTTACACTACCAATCACTGCTTACCTCGGTGATATTCAAATATTTCCATTTAACAGAATGTTAATTTATTTTTACTTTCCTTTCAATGCATTTTTGCCCTTAACATTTTTTTTTCTATGCAGAAAGCATGGTCCAATATTTTGCATAAAAAATCAGTGCCGAGAAAGTATTATGTAAGTAATTAATTTAAATTATACAGAAAGCATGCACTTTTTTCAGTATGCAGTGCTGTGCCAACTTTGATATAAATATTGATAATTGGGAGTTATTCCAAATGTCATATATTACTTATTAAGATATCATAAGGGCTTGAGATGACTTGAGATATTAGCTAGGGCATCAGTGGGTGGAGAGAAGGGAAAAAATAAACAGAAAGAACACTGTTTTTCTCTAAGTCCTCCATGACAAAAAGATATTAAAAATTACCTATAGTGAAATTTCAAAAACTTTTGTGGCAGATCAAGACAAAAATATAGTAATGTAGTATGTTTTGTCCCAATGTTGAATTTGGTTACTTCACACATTATCTTCCCTCAAGTTTCCCATTTTCAGCTCCAGAAGATTTTATTTAAAGCTGACAAGTTGAAATGAAGTGGGCTTGTTTGCCTCATTTTCTCCTCTGTTTTGGAGGGTTTATTATATCACTGAGATGAGAGTGTGGGTCTCATTGGCACTCGAGGAGCAGCATGGGCGTGTTGCAAATGGGACAGGAAGCTCTGTTTGTTCAAGCAGAGACCCATTCTCCAAGGAAGTGGGAATTTAAATTGCTCCTTTTGTTAACATTAGCTCGCTCTTATGTAACACTATGATTATGAATATTACATAAGAAATGTAAGATTATAATGGCTCCAATTTACCCTTCACAGTTCATTCATTGAATTTAACAGGGATTGTAAAAAGTTTGTCTTGATAAACTTTTTTGCAGGTGATATTTCCATAAAAGAAAACTGTCAGGATGAGAGTGATAATTTACTGATCTCTCATCATGTACTTTCTCTGTTTTTTTTTTTTTTGAGGTATATATCTTTTCTGTAAGTTTAATAACTTAGAAAACTATGATGTTTTATTATTAGCCTTATAAGTTAGAGTTGTGAGTTTAAAATAATTTTTGTTTCAGATGTTTCCAATTAACAGCACAATATAAATCATAAAGGAGATAGTGTGTAAACAGAAAATCCCAATATCTATGTGACAAAACAGGGTCATTCTATTTAAATTTTTGGATAATATCTGCTATGTTAATCCCAAAAAAGACAACACTGGCTAAATTAGAGGGTGCTGTATTGACTTTAGCTTATTAAACATTAACATTTTTATATAAATATGCTTTTAAGATTTGCATTAAGATGATAGGGCATCTTTAAGTATGATGCAATAAATTCAGCAGTAAAATGAAATGCTAAGAAAAAACCTTTCTGCCACCTAATGCTTTCTATTACTTTGATAGAGTGGACCTTCAATTTAATTTTTTGGGTGACACGTATTTTACCAAAGCAAGAGAAAACAAACGGATAAAGATGGGGAAGGAAACTAACATTTGCTAAAAGTCTACCACATTTAAGGCACTTTACTAGATTTATTATTTATCCATCCATCCAATTTCTCCCTCTTCTCACTGGTGGGCATTTTGCCCAACTCCTCATAATCCATTTTATTCTTTTCCGTTGTTTGGATTTACAGTTGATCATCATTATTTACAGATTCTGCATTTACAAATTTAGCTACTTGCTGAAGTTTATTTGCAATACCAGAATCAATATTGGTGGCATTTTTGCAGTCATTCATGGGCATGCAGAGAGTGGTACACATTTGAGACTACTGAAGTTCATGTCCCCATCTGAGGTTGAAAAAGGTGACTCTGCTTTCTTGTTTCAGTTTTCATACTACAAACTTACAGTATCTATTTAGCGCCATCTTTTGCATGTTCGTGTTTTTTATTGGTGATTTCAGTGTTTAACTTGGCCTCCAAGAATAAAGCTGATGTGTTATCTAGTGTTTCTAAGCACAAGATGGCTGTAATATACATAGAAAATACAGTCAGCCCTTCATAACTGTGGGTTCCATATTCACAGATTTCATCAATAATTAATTGAAAATATTTGGAAAAATAATAATACAAATAAAAAACAAGACAGTATAATGACTATTTATATAACATGTATGTTATATTAGGGATAATAATCTAGAGATGGTTTAAAGTATAATGGAGGATGTGTACAGGTTACATGTGAAAACTAAGCTACCTGGTATAAGAGACCTGAGCATCTTTAGATTTTGGTATTGGTGGGATGAGAGGAGGAAGTGTCCTGGAGCCAATGCTCTGCAAATATCAAGGGACTAGGGATAACTGTATATAGACAATACATATGTTAAATAAGTTGCATGAATAAAGTGCTGTTGCTGCAAGTTCAATGTTAGTGAGTCAACAATTTATATTAACTAAGATGTCTTTAAACAAGAACACACATAAAACAAGGTTATGTTTTGACTAGTTGATGAACACGTTGTGACTAAAGGCTCACAGCAACCTAAGCTTGTATTTCCTCCAGGAGTAATGGTCATTATTCACTAATTTACTGTTTGCTGCATGTTTATAGAACATTACTGTGAATGATAAGAATTGGCTGTAATTACATATAGTCTTAATCTGGATGTTGTTTTAGTCAGGTTTGTAGCCTTTCTTTGGCTGTGGAATCAGAGTAACTTGGACATTTAAAATAGAAAAATCATTCTTAACTTACTTAGCTTGGCTTAACTAAAGGAGGATTCTTTATACATATGTACTGGATTCTCAAAACACCTCACTAGCAGATACTTAGATCCTTTAAATATTCCCTGCAGACATCTTAAGGACATGCTAATCTACAGAGAATTTACTTTCACTTTCTTCCCAAGATTGCATTACCAAAAATATACTCTCTTTCTCTACAATCTACTCTTCCCCTTTCTCCTTTCAACTCTAATTCCTATGATTTCTCATAAAGAGAAACTCATGAAAGCTTAATTTTTCTTTCTTTTCAACAGACAGTTCTTGTTTAAAACAAAATTGACTCTTGAATTACCCTGCTATTTTTTTTCCTAGGTCTCTATAACCTTCCTTCTTTTCTTCAACATTTATTAAATATCTACCCATCTTAGACTAAATTATTTTGTCACAATCAATAGTCCCAGTATCTCACTGGTATAGAACAGAAGTTTATTTCAGCCTTTATATTCACTGCAGATGGCCTATAACTCTGTTCTATGTCATCTTCATTTTGAGTTTGAAGTCTAAAAGAATAGTCTGTTTCTGGGACATACCAATCTTGTAGAGCAGGAGTCCCCAAACCCCAGGTTTCAGACCAGTACCTGTCCGTGTCCTGTTCGGAACCTGGCTGCACAGCAGGAGGTGAGCCCTGGGTGAGTGAGCATTACCTCCTGAGCTCTGTCACCTGTTAGATCTAATGCAGAGGCATTAGATTCTCATAGGATGGTGAATCCTATCGTGAACTGTACACGTGAGGGAGCTAGGTCGTGCGCTTCTTATGAGATGGAACAGTTTCATCCATGAAACCAGTCCCTGGTGCCAAAAACGTTGGGGACCGCTGTTGTAGAAGGAAAAACAGATGATAGGGGAATCATACAATGGTTCTTAAGATTCTGCTTAAAAGTGGCACATGTTATTTCTGCTCACGTTTCACTGACTGAACAAATCACATGGCTAAACCTGACCTGAATGGGACAGGCATCCATGGTTTTTCCCACGGAGAGGAGCAGTGTATATTTTGAAGAAAATGCAATTGACAGCATCACTGTGTGTTGAAATTGTATTGAAACTGAGAAAAAACATGAGTTAAATAGGGTTTAGAGACTCTGCTCCAGCAGTTCACAAGTCTAGTGGAGGGATGAGAAAGGAGGACAGATATAAATAAGTAACCACATACAAATGATTATTATGGGCATGTCCTAAATGCAGTGGGAGAGCAGATCAATAAATAATTGACCAACACTTCTTAGGGAGATAAGAGTTGAACTAAGTTTGAAAAGTATGGATAATAGAGTGATACCAGCATTTTGAAATATTGTTTTCTATATATTGAAAAAAATTGTTAATCAAGGAATAGTGAATATGGAGCATTGCAGCTATGTAGGGTGCACAGGTCAGAGAAGTAATGAGAGGGTGAGCTGAAGAGAATCAGTTGTGAGTGTTCTTTTGTGCCATCCTAAAGATTTCCAACTTTGTCATACAGGTAGTGGGGAACCAGTGATGGCTTTTAAAGTGGGAAATGATACAAAGACATGATGAGAAGTAGAGGAACTCTGCTAAAAGCTTACATGACAGATTAGAGCTGTCGGAGATGAAGGTTAGGGAATCAAGTTAGAAAATATGTTGCAATGGTCAAGGAAACCAATGGAGAATTGAATTAAGGGAGTGGCAGTAAGAATGAAGAGCCATATTTATAAGGAATCTTAATGTAGAACCTCCAAACTTGTGGGGCATAGAAGGTAAAGGAGCATTTTTAATGATTCGTGGGAGGAGAATAACAACATTGCATGTAGCTCCATGTCCTAGGCTGGACAGTATTGGAAAAGAACAGGTTTTTTGTGAAAAAGGAAGAAAATGAATATGAGTTGGGATCTGTGATGTTCAGATTTATCTTTATACGATCTCTCACATTTCTTTTTCTCCTGGATTTCTACATATTCTCTCCATATGCAACTGGCTTGAATGTTAAAAATGCAAGTTAACAATGTTCGTACCTGTGGTTCCAGTATGATATTAACCTACTCTGTTGTATTATTGTATGTATGTTTTTGTTTGCTGTGCAATAGCTGTTGGCATTCAAAAATATGAGAGAAAAATGGTAATTATACATCTGTAAAGATTTATACCTTACACCATTGTATGCTTATACTAAAAGTATTTTAACTTTATAATTATTTCTATCATTCATTATATTAAATTTATGAAATATAAAGCAGACCAATAGTTATAGTTATAAAATAATTATGATAGGACTTAACAACCAATAGGCAGAATATCACAATCTATTTTTGCTAGAATGTGAAACCTCCTGAGTGCTATATGCTAACAGGAATATATAAAAATAAATCTTAGACAATTACGAAGATAAAAGTCTAAGGATTATGGAATGTTAGGGCAGCGATGCCAAATAATTTAAAAATCTATCTCCCTTAATGAAATCTAAATCCATAAAATGCAGACAATATAATTTTTTCTTTCTTCATTTCCTATCCATATATGTTATAAGTTATTGCTATGGAAAACAGAAAAATACATGTAGCCCTGAAAATTGCATTGAGTGATCCTTTAGTAACAGTCTCAATGTTTTATTCATTTCAATTTATTAATTCACTAAACATTTGAATGCCTCCTCTGTGCCAGACACTGGTAGGTTCCAGGCCATGCCCTCAAGGAGTCAACAGTCCATTAGGCATGACCTGCCTGAATGGGCATTGCCAGCTTCCAGTCCATTGGGTTTTTCTCACTTATCCTTCAAATTAAACATTCCCTTTCCTTTTTACTCAATCTTTCCATAAACAGTAGAAATCATTAGATTTCCAGTCACTGAATTATCATTTACTGAAAATCACATTCCTTTCTTGCCTCCCTAAGATTATTCTCTGATCACCTCAATTAGTATTCTGGATATTTCCAAGTTCTTAATTCTTACATTTATAATCTCTTGATTTATTTATATGGAAGACTAATTATATACAATGGGCATGGATTTTCACTAGTTGAACTCTCAAATGGCAACATGGTTATTTATTAATACTACAACTCCATGGAGATTTTAGGAAGGCATCCCATGGTGCTACCTGCCATAGGCAAACAACATAAGTACATTCTGTACCCAAAGGAGCAATACCAATCTAAAAATGTTGGAATCTGAATGAATATTCCTAGAAGTTAGTGGTCATTAAACTTGTGTCAGGAAATATAACTATGTGTGGGGCATGCTAGGGCCACACAGTTATTCTTGCCCACTGAAATCATTAGTTATGCTTATCATGATGAAACTGGTACTGCTGAGACGAACCTCACACATCCTGTTGATCGGAGACATAGAACATTGATTCTTATTCCTTAGATATGTTAATAGTTTCACACTCCTAAGCCTTTGGGTGTGCTATTCCCTCTGCACAGAGTGCCATTCTTTTAACTTCTCACATGTTTTCTGATTTGATAAAATGTAATTCATCAAGCAGACAGATTTAGCTTGAATGCAACTTATCAAAAAGCTCCTCTGGGCTTAATGGTTCCTTCTGCTCTGCTTCTAAAATACAGTGACATTCATTGCTTTATTCACTGAACAAGTATTGTGTAACTAATATTCTAAATATGTGGATATAGTGGTGAACAAGGAAGGCAAGATTTCTGCTCTCATAGAGGTAACATGATGCTTTTAGTTTTGCAATTGTCATTGTATTAAAGATAGCTACATTTATTTTTGCTTCCCCAAAGTAGACTACAAATTTTATACTTTGCACATCTTTGTATCCTTAATGCTTGTTATAATGCTCAGTACATACCAAATACTCAAGAAATGTTTAATGTAACTTGTTTAAAAATTAGGTTTTAAAAGGAAAACTTCAAATAACACAGATTTCTTTTCAGATAACTACATCTACTCATTTGTTAATTGAGAAAATAACACTGTCAAATGTGCCTTATAAATGACTCTGAAAGGCTGAGTTGATTCCCCCGTGCAGAATGGTCCTCTTGTTATCTACCTGATGTTATTAAGGTTAATGAATGTATTCATTAGGCTGCATCTCAGTATTTTTTTTTTCAAAATCTGTTTGCAACCCACATAATTATTATGGAAACTGCTGTTCTACCCACATGTAATCATCATCCTGCCAAATCTCTTACTAATAGATTTTAACAGATATTTTGGGATTTTAAAAAATTCTAATAGTGGGAGTCTACGGACTACTTGGCTGTTTTCACATAATATTGCTCCGTGCACCCCAGGAGGAGTAGGAAGTCTCAAATCTCTACACACTAGTGAAAAGCAAGGAAAAATATTGAGACTCTATTTTATTTTATTTTATTTATTTTTTAGATACAGTCTCAGTATGTTGCCCAGGATGGATTCAAACTCCTGGGCTCAGCCTCTGGAGTAGCTAGGACTACAGGCCTTTGCAACTGTGCCTGGCTTTGAAATTTTAAATTAAGGTTCTTATGAATATACCCCAGCCAACACTAATGAATTAATTCCAAAAAGAATCAAAATTTAGAATTGTTCAGAAAAAGATAATGTTATCAACTGAAAATCAACTTATTTCTGAGGTGTATAAATCTCAATATTTCTCATTTCAAAGGATTCATAAAAAGTAAGTAGAGGTAGATTGGAGGAGTGATATCAGAACATTCAAAAGAAGGGAAAAAGTCAGGAACTTGAAATTTGCCACCTGTATATCATAAGATAATTTCCACTGTATGACTTTTTCTAAAGTTCTGCAGGCCTTAGAGATAATTATTAGCCCTAGTTTTTACATCTGAGGAAACTGGAGGATTAACTAGCCTTATAACTGAGGAAATCTGAGGGATTAAATAACCTACTCAAAACCCCATGACAAATGTAGAGGGGATATAAACTCAGATCTTGCTAATTCTAAAACTCCAGCACATTTCATACTTCATAAACCTGCTAAGTAATGACATACAGTAATGACAGCAGAGAACTGTGTCTTGATGAATTTTATTTAAGAGACATGTATTGGAAAACAGGGATCAGATTGTATATTGAAAATGTGTAGGTAAGATTCTAAAATGGCATCCAAGATCTCTGATCTTTGGGGTATACACACCTCTCTTAGTTATTCAATCAAACACTCATCTAGATAAGTGCTTCTCTGGAAGGATTTTAAAGATGTATTTTAGGTTCCAAACAAGCTGACTTTAAAATAGGGATACTACCCTCTATAAATCTGATCTAACTAGGTGAGTCCTAAAAGGGACTGGTGATTTCTGATTTAAAAAAAAGATTCAAATGAGGGGGACTTGACATGAGAGAGCTAGAGGAGAATCTCCGTTGTTGGCTTTCCTGATGGAGGGAGCTACAGGGAAAGGAATGCAGGTGGTCTCTCAGAAATGAGTATGGCCTCCAGCAAACAACCAGCACCAGAATGGAGACTCAAGCCTACACCCACAGACCACCAAATTCAGCCAAAAACTTGAATATATTTGGAAGCAGATTCTTCCAGAAAGCCTCCAAAAAGAAATGCAGTTCGCCAATACCCTGACTACAGCCTGTCTGACCCTGAGCAGAGAACCCAGTTGCCATACCCAGACTCCTGACATCCAGAAAGTATGAAATAATACACGCATTTTTCTTTAAGCTTCTAATTTTGTTATAATTTGTTACACAGCAATATGAAGTTAATACTCACTTCCCAACTCTATTCTGCATTTCTTCACTTGGAAGGCCAATGCCTGTTAATATTTGAAGAGATAAAATCTTAGGCGGTCTGACCTAATTCTGGGTGTGGTCAGTATAGACTGACTTACAAAGACGTGGGGATTACAGGAAATAACAGATAGTAAGAAAAACCTATTAGAATAGTTGGAATATCCATCCTGTCTTGATTTTGGTCCTAGGATGGCAGGCATTATCTCCTCTGGTTTAATGTCTTGTGGCTCCAGGGATGCTTCCACGTCATATGCATGCTTTAAATAGGAGAGGCTGATAAATATCTTTATAAATAGATTGATTACATTGTGTGTTACCCAATCTTTTGTTTCTCTCATCATATTATAGCCATTTGGAGAAATGCAAAAATTGAGGCTATTGTATAAAATGTGCAACAATTTAGTAAGCAAAATGATCCATTTCAACAGAGAAAACACTTTGAATGAGCTATTGTATCCATAGCTTTATATAACCTTGTCTGTTTTTTCATGAAGTTTCCTTTCTTAGGATGATCTTCCAGTTTTCATGCTATAATCCCTTCTTCCACTGAATTGGACTAATTCCTTCTGTTAAGCTTGTAAATTTTTATCAGTGGGACTAGTGCTTAGAGTTTCCTGTTACATGACTGTGCTGGGATAACACCTTTTCAAAAATATTTCTCCTCTTCTTAATTGCCTCTTTTATGAAGGCCAAACAGCCTCTGAGAGCACAATCAAGGTGATTGCACGGTGCTAAGTGCAATATTAAATCAGTAATTTTTTTATTGAACACCTAAGCAATAAGACAGGCTTCAAGAGGATATCAATGAATATAAACCTCACCTCCCAGTTTGTTTTATTTCTTTTTATATCATAACAGGTCACTAGGGACTTCATAATTTCAAATCTATATTTTCCTCATACTTTCCTCAAACTTCCTGCATTATTTAACATTACTGATTCATTTAGTAAAATCTAACAAGTAACATTGTACTTGCTAAGTTCTCTGCAGAGTGCTGCATATGAGGAATAAAGAGAAGAAAAATTATCATTCCCTTCAACCTTAGAGTCAGGTAAATGAAAAAAATTACTTGAATGATAACTATGATAATGTATGTAGTGTTTTTTTCCTACCAAACATTGTCCTAAGCAATATATGCTTATGCCTATATTCTGCTAAATATTATATATACAGTTGGCCCTCCATATCCCTGGGTTCTACATGTGTGGAATCAATCAACCCAGATTTAAAAAAAACTGGAAAAAAAATGGATGGTTGTGTCTGTACTGAACATGTACAGACTTTTTTTCCCTTGTCATTATTCCCTAAACAATAGAGTATGGCAACTATTCACATAGCATTTTCTTTTCTTTTTTCTTTTTTTTAAAGATAGAATCTTAAAAATCTTGCTGCCCAGGCTGGAATGCAATGGCATGATCTTGGCTCACTGCAACTTCCGCCTCCTGGGTTCAAGCAATTCTCCTGCCTCAGCCTCCTCAGTAGCAGGGACTACGGGTGTGCACCACCATGCCCGGCTAATTTTTGTATTTTTAGTTGTGACGGGGTTTCACCATGTTGGCCAGGCTGGTCTCGAACTCCTGACCTCAGGTGATCCACCTGCCTCGGCCTCCCAAAGTGCTGGGATTACAGGTGTGAGCCACAGTGCCCAGCCTCACATAGCATTTTCATTGTATTAGGTATTATAAGTAATTTAGGGATTATTTAAAGTATATAAGAATATGTATATACTATATGATAATGATTTGAGCTATTATAAAAGTGACTTGAGCAACCACGAATTTTAGAATCCACTGAGGGTCTTAGAATCAATCCCCCACAGATACTAAGGAAAGACTATATGTATGAAACTGAAGTACATAATTTTACATGTTCACATTCCACATGAGGCAACTGTAGCTTGCAAAGCAAGCAAATTGCCCAGGGTTGCACAATATTTAAACCCACTCTATCTAAATCTAGACATTAAAACTGAACTAGAACAATGTATTAAATGTGATCTTTAATACAAATCTGTGTCCAAAGGTATATACATAAAAATGTAGATAGAAGAGATAATTTAATTTATTTACACACACACACACACACACACACACACATCCCTCTTGGAATTTCTTTCTTTTTTTTCCTTCTACCTGAATCGTCAAATAGAGAACTGCCTTAAACCATTAAATTAATATTCTGATAAAATGTCTATTTCTGTATTGTTCAGTACCCTGTCATTGTTAGTAAGAGTCTCTCTAATAACATGGAAAAGACCAATTAGAAGATGCTTAAGAGACCTTGATTTCTGTACATAAACACAGAATGGGCTCATTTCCATTCACATTTCACTTTGAGGCAACATGTTTTTCCTGGACAAAATATCCCCACGACACTCAGAAACCTATTGTGAACTTCTCACATTTATTTAATATAGTTTCCAAATAAAACGTATAGGTATAGAGGAAGAGTAAATAATCAAAAATTACACTGGGATTCAGATTAAGTTTTAGAAATAATCATTGTACAAGAAGTGACACAAAATTCAAAACCTAAGTTCCTGAAAAATTTAGGTATCATATGCTCAATAACTAATCCAAGTAGACTTAAATTTTAAGTCACATAATAGAAACTGAACAGCTACTTCCACATTTTCCTGTGATAGATTAGGCAAGCCCTCCTCTGAAGACAACTAGAAAGGCTGAATATTTTTTTTTTAATTTGTTTAAGTTGTCAGAAAGCTATCTAGTCAGCCAGTACTGAGGGGGCCATGATCCAGGAGAAAAAAAAAAATGGACTGAAGAAAGACTTTCCCTTTGAAGTATGTGACAATTCATTGAAGTTGAACTCATTGATAAGAAGCTAAGAAGTTGGGACAGAAGCACCAGGTGAGCTTTGAACATTTTTGAGTTCTGGGCTAGTATTACATTTAAAATCTTATCAGTGAATATCTGGGAGGGAAAAGAAGCACAGATATCTGAAGCAGATATTATTTCCTCCCTTGAATTCTTTGCTAATTTGTAGGCATTTACTGAAAATGTCAGAAGTGGCTAAGAGATTGGACAGATGAGAAGAGCTTTAGGCAGTCATACTGAATTGAAGAAAAAAAGAATTGTAATTGTTCATTAGTCTATTTCCTGTTGTTTATAAGAGAATGCCCACAACTGGGTAATTTATAAAGAAAACAGGTTTATTCTATTTTTTATTCGGCAGGCTAAGAAGTTCAAGGGCATGCCTCTAGCTTCTGGTGAGGGCTTTTGTGCTGTATCACAACAAGGTGGAAAAGGAAGTGGACACATGCAAAGAGGGGAAACTTGAGAGGTGTTCTGACTTTATAATCACTCACTCTTCCAGGAACTAATCCATTCCCATGAGAATCAATCGAGTCTCTCAAGAGTGAGAACTCACTCAGGAGGAGAGAGGAGCAACAAGCCATTGATGAGGGATCTGCCCTCATAACCCAAACATCTCCCACTAGGCCCCACCTAACAACATCACAGGGGGGATCAAATTCCAGCCTGAGTTTTATTGAGAACAAACAAACCATTGCAGATAGTAACCACTTTGAGTTTTTATTTGGGATCATTACAGGCTATATTTTAGTTGTAAAGACAAACTGGAAAGTGATAGGCTCCAACAAAAATGGAAACTGCTTCAGATCCTCTCACTATCAAGCTAGCTTAAAATGGTCTTCCTCTCTTTTAACTGCTATAAACAAGCAACAGCAAATTCTCTCTGGATGAACATACAACCAGATGTAGCCTTAGATTACCTCTACAATTTTTATACATGTTGTCTATCATTTCAGTAGTAAATGGACAGACATATAAAGCATTAAAGAAAAAGAATGAAATGATTGAAAACCAGGAAAAACAGTCAATGAAATCAACCCCATCCCAATCATTAGAATCAATAGAGTGAATTTAAATACAAATATGAATAATATATTCAAGAGAATAGATGAAAAGTCAGAGAAGTAAGTTGAAAGCAGTAATTTTTTTAAAAAAGAGAAATTTAAGAAACTAAACATTTAAAAATTTAAGAACTCAATGGATGTGTCACCTTCAGCAGAATAAACACAACCAAAAATGAAGTTTAGAAAACTTAGAGGAATAGAATATATCCAGACTGAAACATGGAAAAACACAATTTTTGAATATAGAAAAGTATAAAATATGATGAAAACATCTAAGTCAGATAATTAGTTTTCCAGGGGGAGAAGAAAAAAGAGAATAGAGTAGAAATCATATTTGAAGAGATAATGATGGAGTATTTCCAAAACCAAATGTGCAACCAGCATGAAACCTACCAAAACACAGATTAATAAGTATGATGAATCCAAGCAAAATGAATATGAAGTAATTCACACTCAGGTTTATCATAGTAAAGCTGCTAAAAATGAAAGGCAAAGTTATTGAAAGTAAAATGCAGGAAGTGAGAAAAAGAAGCACATTAAACCCTCCAAAACTAGAGGTCATAGAAAAATAAAAATTTATGGAGAATTGCTTAAAAAAAGTATAGTAGAAAGAAAAAGTTAGGCCAGGCGCAGTGGCTCACGCCTGTAATCCCAGCACTTTGGGAGGCCAATGCAGGCAGATCACAAGGTCAGGAGTTCAAGACCACCCTGGCCAATATGGTGAAACACCGTCTCTACTTAAAAAACACAAAATTAGCTGTATGTGGTGGCAGGCGCCTGTAGTCCCAGCTACTTGGGAGGCTAAGACAGGAAAATCGCTTGAACCTGGTAGGCGGATGCTGCAGTGAGCCGAGATTGAGCTACTGCACTCCAGCATGGGCGACAGAGGGAGACTCTATCAAAAAAGAAAAAAAAAAGAAAAAAAATGTTAAAGTCAAAATTGATTCTTTGAAAAGACTAATAAAACTGATGAACATTTATGAACACTTGGCAACAATGAAAGAAATGAGAAATGCACAAGTTATACACTAAAAAGTAATTGTAAAAGGGCAGCCAAAAAGAATATTGTGAAATATGTTATGGAAATAAATTTGAAAATTTAGATAAAATAGAAAAATCCCTACATAAGTATTAAATTATGAAACAGAAACAAACATAAAACAGAATAATTTTATATCTCTTAAATCAGTGGAAGTTTATTTAAAACATCTGCAGAAACTCGCACACACACACACACACACAAAGACAGAATAATTTTATATCTCTTAAATCAGTGGAAGTTTATTTAAAACATCCCCAGAAACTCGCACACACACACACACACACACACACACACACACACACACACACAGAGTCTGGCCCACCAACTTCACTAACAAATTATTCTATACCTTTAGACGAGAAATAACACCAATACTCAACAATTTTTTTTCAAAAAAAAGCAAAGAGGAAAACTTCATTTTATAAGTCCAGAAAAACAGTAATATCTAAATATTAAAGTGATTTCAAAATAAAGACAAAATGTAGGCCAAACTCTTATAAATATCAATGAAAAATCTCAAATAACATATTAGGAAACTGTCCAGCAATGTATAGAAATGCCAATACTCATTCAAATTTGGTATACCCCAGGAATGAAAAATTATTATTGTTATTATTGTGGTAAAAACAGGTAACAAGAGGTCTGTCTTAACAAATTTTTCACTGTACAGTACAATATTGTTAACTATAAGCACAATATTGCACAGCAGATCATTAGAACTTATTCGTCTTGCAGAACTGAAACTTTGTATTTCTTGAATAGCAGCTCCCCATTTCCTTCATCCCCCCAACCCCTGGCAACCACAATTCAGTTTATGCTTTTATCAAGTTGACTGTTTTAGTCATCTAAGTTGAATCATGAAGTATTTGTTTTCCTGTGATTGGCAGACATTATGTTATTTCACTTAGCATAATGTTCTCACAGTTTATCCATAGCAAAGTGGTGCAACCACTATGGAAAACAGTATGTAGCTTCCTCAAAATATTAAAAATTGAATTGCCATATGATCCAATAATCCTATTTCTGGGTATTTATTTTGAAGAGATATATACACCCTCATGTTCATTGCAGCATTGTTCACAACAATCAAGATGTAGATACACCCTAAATGTTCACTAGTGGATGAATGGATAAAGAAAATGTGGTATATACATATATAATTATTTTAATTTTCGAAAGCTGGTCAGCTTAATTTACCACATTAACAACATAATGCCGTCAATAAATTAAAGAAAACGTGACAAATTCAACATCATTCTGATAAAATGACCTTGGCAACCTAGCTAAAAAAGATAACTTCCTTAATCTATGCCAGAGTCTTTACAGTGAAGATAACACAACAGTAAAATGTTGAAATATTTCTTCCTGATATCCAGCATAAGTAAAAGATGTCTTCACTCACTACTTTTTCCCAATATTTTATTGAAGGTTCTAGCAAGTTTAATAAGGAAAGAAAAGAAATAAAAAGGAGTAAACTGTCATTAGCCAAGAATAATGCAATTATTTACCTAGAAGATCTGAAATAATCTATAGATATACTACAGATACACTATTACAAATAACAAAGGAATTTAGAAAATTGGTGCATACTAGTTTGGCATACATAAATACATTTAATTTCTATATATCCAAAACAAATACAAATTAAAAATTTAAATATATTACTTAAAAACCACTTAATACAAAGAAATAAGCCTAAATAATATGTGCAAGATCTATTCATGCATGCAAGATAAATTATGGGAGATTTTACTTGATAAAGAGTTATACTGTATTCATAAATTGGATGAATGAATAATGTACAGTTAATTCTCTTAAAGTCGATTACAGATGGATTGTAATCTCAATCAATATTCCAGTGGGTTTTCCTTGGTGGGGTTTAGGTGGAGACGATATTTACAAGTAGGTTCTAAAATTTATAGGGAAATGTAAAAGTTCAAAAATAGCCATGATAACCTTAATAAAGAACAAAGTTTATTTGAAAAATGTAGTATTAGATATTAAGGTTTTAGAAAATTAGACATAATTTGTTGAAATTATGGGACCAATAGAACAGAGTCCCACATGCATACAGAGACTTAATTTCTAACAAAGGCAACACTGCAAAGAAGTAGGAAAAAATGTTCTAATAAAAAAGATTCTAGGTGAATCATATGTCTTTATGAAAAAAGAGTCTTGATACTTAATCCACACTGTTTACAAAAATCAAAATTCAAGATAGATTGTAGACCTAAATAGGAATGATAAAATAATAAATCTTCTTGATAATAATAAAAGGAGATATTTTCACCATAGAATAGGAAAGAGTTTTCAAAAAGGGCATAGACAGAACTATTAAAGTCAAAATTGTTAAAAGTATCTATAATATAACTAATAGCTTATTTTCATCGAAAGACACCACTAATTGAATAAAAATGTAGGCCACAAATTAGGAGAAGATCTTGTAGTGTGTGTGTATGTGTGTGTGTGTGTTGTGTATACAGATGACAGATACCAAAATGATAGCTAGATAGGCAAAAAGTCTGAAAACGACTCATATTTAAAGTATATGAATAATTTCTATAATTTAATATAAAAATAGAAAATCCTATAGAAAAGTAAGTGGTCAGGAAGCTTGAACACTTCACACCTCACAAAATATGATTTGAAATGACCAGTGAATGTTTTTAAAGTGGTTAACTTTAATCATTAGGAGAATACAAGCTAAAACCACTACGAATAGCACTACTCACAGACCAAAATGGCAAAAAGTTAAAAACGATCGACATAGTTCAGTATAAAATGGAAAGCAACTGCAATTCTCAATCATTGATTTTAAGAGCATAGGTTGGTACAACTGCATTGGAAAACTATTTGGCAATATCTCCTACAACTGAATATAAGCATACAATATAACCCAGCAATTCTGGCCCTAAGTATGTTTCTAACAGAAATGCTATTAAATACACACCAAAATGCATACAGAAGAATGTTCACTGACAGAGCAGGAGCATCGCCATCTTGGACAAGCCCCTCATTCTAAAGTTCACCTTAATAAAAAACCATCTAAATCCAAAGAGCATCAGCTTAGTGGGTAAGGTCAGCACGACCATAAACCAAAAATAACATCTCCAACAACAAGAAACATTCCAAAATCCTCCCCAAGCAGAGACATGCTAGACCCTAGATAACCCCAGTCCAGGCCAGAAAGATGTCTGCCCCAAGATAACCTCCCCTTCTCCCAGACAGATTCCAACTCTGCCATAAACTTCTCCACATACACAAATATTCCAAGCTTATAATAAGTTTGCTTACCCTAAAACCAATATATACTCTTAGTCTGTAAGAGAAAGTGCTCCTGACCAGGATCGTCCAAGAGCACCTCTCAGGTTTTGTCTAAAGTAAACCTGTCTTTAACTGCCAGCTGCATTTAGTGTTTGTTTCCTCTTTTTTCAACTCTTACATTCACAGTAGCACTATTTGAAATAGTCTCATTTTAATAACAACCAAAATGTTCATCACCAGTAGAAAGGATAATGAATTGCAGTTTATTTATATAATACAGTAGTAGACAGCAATGAAAATGAACAAACTACCGTTACATGAAGGAAAATGAATAATATAATAAACATAATACCAAGTTAAAGAAAATATACGGAAAGGAGAAGATTATACATATTCCACTTACATAAAATTTTGAAGAAGGCAATAACCCAGAATATTGGAAGTTAAAACATTGGTTCCTTTTGAAGAGTGTGTTAGACTTGGAATGAGCAAGCTGGAACGTTGGGACCTTGCTCACTGGAGCACTGGTAAAGTTTTATTTCTGGATCTGATTGGTGTTTAAATGGGCTTGTTAATTTCATGCAAATTCAATGTACTACACATCATGGTTTCTGTGCTCTTTTGGTTGTACATTATAATGCGTTAAAATATTTTTATTTAAACAGAAAACTTAAAATTTAATTTCTGATTAGTCAAGAAATTTATAATGCTGACTTGTAAAATTTCAGCAGCAAATTCTGCTTAAAGGAGATTCATCATTAATTCATTTCATTCTTAGGAGTCTTCAAATGCTCAGGCATCTTTAAGACTGTCTTGGAGTCCTTGGCCATCACTTTTTCAAAAATCCAGTGATATAATGATAAAACCGATTATAGCTAACATTAAGTTATATTATCCATATTTAGGCTTAAAAATTGAAATTTGTAATTCTTAGAAAATCCTTTTGGAATCTGAAAATAGTGGACCAAATTCAGTACAGTCCAAGTACATCAACATTTATTAAGTATCTACTATGTTCCAAGCCTAAGTCAAATTTGATGACAAACATATTATATCTGTCCTAAATCAAGCTTATACTCTGGTGGAAGACTTGAAGAAAGAAAGACTTGAAGAAGGAAAGACTACAGAAAAGTATAATTTAAATACAATTGAATAATATGTATAACAAAGACCTATACAAAATGAGACACGAGAAATTGGGCCCATGTCTTGAAGAAAAGTTATTTTATTTTTTATAAGTTGATATCTGGTCTCAAATCTAAAGTGTCAAAGAGCTGACAATTGGTGAAATGTACAAAAGTAAGGATAATTTTGAGAAAACTCTCTTGCTGAATACAGCAGAAATATTTTTACTCAAATGTGATAGGAGCAAACACTATGGTCCAGGAAACAAATGTTCAAAGTAAAATATAAAATTCTAGGCCATATTTATATAATACATAATAATTACAGCAATAATGTTATAAAAAGACATTGCTAATAACTGGAAAAACTGAAAGGTACTAAAAAGTAAAATGGACATGATTGAGACAGAATAAATCAATCAGCAAATACATATTAAGTGCCTGTTGTATGTGAAGCAGTTTATTATATGCTGAGGGTACAGTGGTAATCAAGACAGAGAAGTTACTGTATCGAGTCTTGAAGTTTTTGCAAAATTGTCAGATATAAAAATGGAGATGGCATTTGCAGCACTGCAAATATCATGAACAAAGGCAAAGAGGCATGAATCCACATTTTTTTATGTAAGGAAAATTCCAGCCACTTAATTTTCACAGAAATTTAAAATGTGAACATGACACAGTCTAATTTATACTATTTTATAGATGACTCTTATTTGCGAATGGATTTAAACGTTTTCCATTTTCAAGTACTTATTAGGAGGCCATTTCCATAAGTCAGGTGAGAAGTGATGATTTGAAACAAGGAAGTGATTATAGGATGGAAAATAAGGAACTGAAGTAAGAAATACTGTGTTTATGAGGACAAAGAGGCAGGGTTTTGTGACTAATATTCTATGGAGTATGAGGAAGGAAAACAAATCTAGAATGACACCGAATTTTCTGATTTGAGTGATTAGTAACATTTACTAAAGAGAAATACGTTTCTTGGGGAAGTTTAGTTTTAAACATGTTAACTTTGAAACGCTTGTGAAACAATCAAGTGAATGTCACAAATGCAGTTACACATATAATCTGAAATGTAGAGAAGTCTGGCCTGAGATATTTAATTCAGATATTATCAATAAATCTATATTTGGTAGAACTGGTAAAGGGAATGTGATCACCCAATGAGGATGCTGCATGTTATGAGCAATTGAGAAATTCATTTATTATAATTTTTTAGTCTGACAAAATTTCTTTTCTAGTTTGTATTGCCCCCAAATGGTTTAACTGTACTGGCTGTTCATACTTGAATGTCCAGTTAGAGCATAAGTCATATCTCAGACAGAAAGAGATAAAAATCTGTTTAGGGAGATGTATTGAGTAGAAAACATGAACCCAGGCTACAAGAGAAGCGTAGAGAAACAGGCAGTGCCAAATGGTTCATAGTTCAGTATCTGTAATTTCAGATCAGGGGATGTGACACTATTTTGAAAAAAAAAAAACAAACATACTCTAGAGTATAATTACCAAGCATTTCTGTTGTAGGTTGTGTTTGGAACAAGCAGATGTGAGGGTGAAGCTTAGACCTATATAGAGAGAAGCACTGAGAGGATTCAAACAAGTACGAGGGAAGAATCAACACATCTCATTTGTATGCTGGATCTAAGAAATGTCAGTGTCAGAGTAAAGTGAAGAATCATTCAGGGTTGTATTTAGGTGTGAGAGGGAGTGTTGGGAGTCACTGACCTTTGCTGCATTTGAGATGGTTGACTACTTTCTCCTGGAAAATCTCATCCCATGGCTTCTATAGTAACAAATTCTCCTAACACTCCTCTTGCCACCCTGTTTTCTTCCTCTCTATCCTCTAGGTGAGTCTCTCATCCTACAGGCCGAGTTTAGATATTTCCTAGAGATTTGTCTTTGAAATTTTTCTATTGCACTTTTGTATAGTTTCCCTTTTGGATTTTATCCTATGACTCCAATTACCATTTATATCTAATTACTTCTACATATCTATCTTTAGCCTTGTTATTCTTCCTGTGCTCTAGATTAAAATATTCAACACCTACTAGACAGCTTGCTCCAGAGGAACCTCCAATAAAACTGGCCTAAAATATCAGTACTGTTCATTTCACCAGTAGAAATTATTGCCCTTTCTGCCATATATCTCTAAAGGAATGCTACCATTGTTCCTCTAATTGTTCAAACAAGGATTATAGGTTTGGGGCAGTGTCACTCTTTCTCACCAGGAATCTGCTCCTTCCAGAGACAAAGTCATGATGATTCCATTGACTCAGTGTCTTGGGAAGCTATTTTTTTCCCTTGACTGTCTCAGTGATGGCTTTATTTTGAACCTTATTATCTCTCACTTGAATTAGGTGCTACTGTTCTCCCTTTGCTGTTATGAGTGAGATTTCTAAAACACAAATGTAATAATATTACATCTCTGCTTAAACATTTAAATTTGGCTCTCTTTGTCTTTAAATAAAGTCCAAACTCCTTGAGGAGGCACGTAAGATCCTTTATCCTGTAATTTCTCAGTAGTCTTTCTTTTCATTCCCCTTTTCTTTCTGTATGCCACATTACTGTAGGTGCCTGCAAGATATCACATTTTTTATTAATCATCCCTACTATGGTACCAATGTTCACTTCATGTTCACTTAGTCCAGTGCTTTTTGTTTTCATTTTCCTATATTCTGGCTGTTTTTCTAACCCCATTTCAGATGCCTTTTATTCTAAGTCTTCTGTGATCCTACATGTGGGAAAGAGCAGTTTTGTACTTTAAACACTGTGTGCTTAATTCTGCCTTAGCGTGAATGACATTGTAATTTTAATTGTTATGTGCTTCTCTTTTTCAAGACACTATTTCATTCCATTGTCCTAGCACTTCACTGGATTCATTGCTTGTCAATAAAGAAGGTGTCTTTAATATTGAGTAAATGGACGGAGTGAGGCAATTGTTAGAGAAGAAAGACTATTATAAGAAGAAAGAGAAAGATATGTCGGCAATTTAAATGAGTAAGGATCTTTGGAGGTTATGCTGAGGTTTAGGCTCAAGGAAGATATGAGCCTGTCTGCAAGAAAATTAGAGTATTTATGTCTTCAAGAAAATTAGAGTATTTTGGTTAACAAAATTTTGATATAGAAAACAACTTAGAACAACCCGAAGCTATATATAAGCAAATGGCAGTTATTATAATGTACGCATTCAGAGGAGTTGAACTGTAAGGTTATTTACAGGAATAAAAGTAGTGAGAGTAAGCTTTAAAGAAAAGACAAGACTTAAACTGAGTTTTCTCCCCAGTTAGTTACTCTGTTTGGACTTCCGTCACGTCATCCTAACCCAAAACCTTGGACTCGTTGTCCCATGTTTCTCACAGAGTCAAAGACGTGTAATAGGCATTCTGTAAATGTTTGTATAATCAGCAACAAGCAAGAATTGGGAGTCCAATGTGGCCATGTAGAAAGTTAAACACAGGATTGAATATGGAAGTACAGAAATAACAGATGGCCATATTGAGAGTCTAAGCATTCTCACACGTAAGAGAATCATAGTATTTGTAGAGTGATAAACATCCAATGCTGGGAACTGCAGCTCTGGTTCCATGAACTCTTGGATAAAAACCCTAAGGCTAGTTATAATAAAGAACTCAGCAAGGGGGATCATTAGGAAAGTCAAAGTATTTTATCCTTTAGGGAAGTTACCATCATTCTATAAAGATAATTTAATGTCTTGCATTTTATTATAACACTCTCAAACAATTCAGTTTATAATTCAGTGTTTTATTCCCCTGCTTGATTGATTTTTTAACCATGATTGATTGGAGCCCCACTCTCAGCACTTCCAGAGAAACTGAGTGAGTTGTAAAGTTCTTCAAAGGACATTATTTATTCAGTTTCACATGCATTATTTGTAAAGGTAACAAATATTTATTAGGCACCTATTATATGCCTATGCTATCATTTGAGATACAATGACAAGCTGTTCTTTATTCACCTCTACCTCCACCACCACCCCATACACACTTGAAGTTCCTTGGGGGCAGGAATTGTATATTGAATATATTTATATTCCAGTGCTTGGCAAATAGTAAACATTGAATAATTATTTATTAAATTAATGAATGACAATTTAAACATTATAAATACAATGATTTAAATATGCACAAGATGCTATAGAAACTATAAAATGAAGAATAATTACTTACTGCCTAGCACAATATATTTCAGAGAGATTTTCAATTGTGTTGATAAATTTTGGAATGAATAAGTGTATGAGACACCATGAATCCCTCAATTCAAATACTCCATTGTTTTCTAGATGCTATATAATGAAAATACTTTTAAAGTGAAAATTATAGTCTTGATAAGTTAATGCATCTTCAAAACTTGAAGTTAATTCATTTAAGTAACACATTTTTATGTAGCACTTACTGCGTGCAAGGCATTGCATTTAATGCTTGTGCTCAAATGGGGACAAGAAAAAGTCATTTTGTTGAAATAACTCGGTAATTCATCTGAATTTGTAGAACAGCTAATTATATGAGAAATAAAAATATAATCTCTTCTGATTACCTAAGTGCTTGAAAAAGTACTTGAAAACTGTGGAAGTATGGTTAGAGTAATAGGATGAAAGGTTGTATGGTAAATTAATTAAGAACTCTACACTTCTTTGATGGGCCACCTATAATTTCATATTTGTATTTATGTTAATGTCCAGTAAAGTTAATTTTACTATATTCATTTATGTGACTAGAAGATATATATACAACATGTAATAACTTTTATTCAGTTGTACATTTACAGCATTATCTAGAAGCCCTGACTTTTAATATAATGGGTAATGTTTTTCTTCCAATATTCACTCCTGTCCTCTCCTGTAGTAAATTCATATTTTAACTCTAGAGGGTCCAGACTTGTCTCTGTCAACCAGAGTAATTCTTCTCTTTGCTTTAGTTATTAGTTTAGGTAACCTTAGTCAAGCTGTTTAGCACTTAGATTTCTCTTAGCCTACTCAGAACATTTCCTGGGAATTGTGGGACACAGATATTCTCTTTCTCTCACTGGACAATAGCATATGAGGTTGTAAGGCTGGTGATTGCTACAGTGATTCTTCTACAAGAGAAATTAGCCCAAGAATGAAGTTGAAACATGGAGAATTACAAAGAAATGGAGCCAGAATCCTGATCACCCTATACCTTAAGCCTGACCACTTTGAACTTTTTAATTACATAAGCTAATAAATCCTCTTTAATGCTGAAACCAATCTACAATGAATTTTCCATTATTTACATCAATGACAAAAATATTAAATGTTATAAGGAGGTGTTAAATTGAGATGTGATTATCAATTTCTCATTAATCATTAGGCTGCATCTTTCCATTTGATTTGCTACATTAAACATTTAATTATAAGAAAGAGACATCTTATTGAATATTAGAAATTGGCAAGATTTTAGCTTGATAATGCATATTACCACAATACATGGAATGCTGTTACTATATTCAGATAATTAGTTACCAACAGTTGGGCTCCACACATTTAAAAATGTTGAAATTAATAGATAGTATTGAAAATTGACTTAAATTAAAATCACAATATATAAAGTGGAATTAAGATTACAAACGTGATGCATTTTTATTCATTTTTAATTTCTGAATTTTTTTTTTTTTAGAGACAGTGTCTTACTCTGTCTCCCCGGCTGGAGTACAGTAGCATAATCATAGCTCTCTGCAGCCTCAAACTGCTGGCCTTAAGTGATTCTCCCATTGCAGTCCCCAGAGTAGCTAGACCTTCAGAGGTGTGCCACCATGTTCAGCTAATTGTTAATTTTTTTGTAATGATGGGGTCTTTCTATGTTAGCCAGGCTCGTCTTGAACTCCTGGGCTCAAGTAATCCTCTTGCCTTGGCCTCCCGAAGCACTGGTATTATGGATGTGAGCCATGGTCCCCAGCCATGTTGCATTTTCAACTGCTCTAGTCCATCTTGAACTTCACCTTATTTGTCCATTATCTGGACCACACCATCTACATAATTACTTCTTTCATCTGCTCACCATCAGTACTCATTTTCAACCTTTCAACATAGGTTAGCAATTAGCTCATACTTTCTCCTCCATAATTTTCTCATTTATTCTTTCATCTCTTCAACTGCATTTATTTAGCATATCCTGTATGCCAGTCATTGAACTCAGGTACAAAATACCCACTGAATATAGCTTTGATGCCATAAGAGTTGAGAAAAATGCTAATACCAAATTTAAATGATATTTTTTCATTACAAATTGATGACCACAATGGAAAGAAATATAATGAAGAAACTGATTTTATCTACTCTGAGGCTACAAAGAATTCCATGAATAGTGAACATTTAATCTCAGATCCAAAGATGAGTGGTAATTAACTAGGTGAAGAAATATGCCAGTATTTATTAGCCAGGTAAATCAATATCCCAGGAAGAAAAAGTATCCCATTTGAAGCTCTGTGGTAAAAAGAAGCTTGACTCATTTAAAAAAAAAAAGTGAAAGAAGGCCAGTACAGTGAATGAGGAGGATAGTGGCAAAAGACAAACTCCACATCATATGGAAATCACAGGCCATTTTAAAGAGTTTAGTTTTCATCCGAAGTTCAATGAAAATACATGAAATGTAAATAGGCAATGAGAGGATCAGATTTATATTTTAGAAACAACTTTCTATATATGTTACAATATGAAAAATTACAGAACAGAGGCAAAAGTGGAAGATGCAATTGCAAATTAAGTTTCAGTTGCACTGATTCAGGAGAGAGGACACTGCAGTTTGGATCATGGCAATGGAGATGGGAAAGAGTGAGGACATTTAAGAAATACTGAGGAATGGAGCTATGGAATTTTCAGAAGATTATATGACTTCTAAATTTCTTGCTTAAACAACCATTAAGAAAAAGAACACAGAGAATAACTAGCTTTGGGAACAAGATTATGAGATTTATTTTAAGTATAGTGACTTGATATTCAAGTAGAAACATTACATATACTACTTTAGAATTTCAAATATTTTACATTGAAAATATGAATCTGAGAATGATGAGTCAAGCCTCTTTTGGTTGCAGTATATATATAGTATGTATATTCAATCTATCTATCCCTCTATCATCTATTATCTATCTATCAGTCTATTTGGATTTTATTGCCTTGTATTACTAGAAAGTTGACTCAAAGTTAGCTTCACATATGATAATATCCTGGGGCTCAAATACTTTTATACTTTTATGAGTCCCTTTAATTTAGAAGCTGAGAGGAAGCTAGATTGAATTTGGCAATTCTGGAAGGTGAATAGTTGAACAGCATGTGTCATTATTCTCAGCAATATCTCTGTTGCTGTCACTTAGCTTCACCATACTTGATTTATATTAATTCAGTAAGACAAAAGCTTTACCACATGCTCAACAAATCGATTTTAAATAAGGCACCATTCTATTTATGAATACACTTTCTCTTAAACCTTAGTTTCACCTTCCTCATTCTTCATCTTCTTAATCTGTTTAATAAAAACAAATAGACAAAAACGCCTGAGAGTTGAAACAACTTCAATTATTAAACCACTAATTCTCTTACACCAAATGTAGTCTATTCTCTGCTGTTGTGCTGGTAATCTATGGGGGTTAATTCTGTGACATTCTCAACATCAAACTAATTTTTTTAATTTTTGTTTATACTTTAAGTTCTAGGGTACATGTGCACAACATGCAGGTTTGTTACACATGAATACATGTGCCATGTAGGTGTGCTGCACCCAATAACTTACTCGACATTTACATTAGGTATATCTCCTAATGCTATCCCTCCCCACTCCCCCCACCCCACAACAGGCCCTGGTGTGTGATGTTCCCCTTCCTGTGTCCAAGTGTTATCATTGTTCAATTCCCACCTATGAGTGAGAACACGTGGTGTTTGGTTTTTTGTCCTTGCAATAGTTTGCTGAGAATGATGGTTTCCAGCTTCATCCATGTCCCTACAAAGGACATGAACTCATCATTTTTTATGGCTGCATAGTATTCCATGGTGTATATGCGCCACATTTTCTTAATCCAGTCTATCATTGTTGGACATTTTGTGGAGAAATAGGAACACTTTTACACTGTTGTTGGGACTGTAAACTAGTTCAACCATTGTGGAAGACAGTGTGGCGATCCCTCAGGGATCTAGAACTAGAAATACCATTTGACCCAGCCATCCCATTACTGGGTATATACCCAAAGGATTATAAATCATGCTGCTATAAAGACACAGGCACACGTATGTTATTGTGGCACTATTCACAATAGCAAAGACTTGGAACCAACATCAAACTAATATTTCACACCTTGATTTTTCATCATGTCTACATCCCACCTTCTATTACATCACCCTTATTGTTTTCCTTCTAGGGCTTTCCTGATGGTCTAAAAAGCCCTCTGAAAGAATTACATAAGGAATATGGAGAAGGAGGAGTAACAATATGAGATCCACCCTGTAATTCATCACAGCGTCAAATACTATGTGAGAAAGATAGCTGAGAAGTACAGATGAGAGACAATTACAGTAGGAAGTATGCAATATTCTGTGGTTTTTGTAAGATATCCTCATGACTCATTCTATGTCTCAGAGTCAATGTCTTCATTGTCTCTACACCTCAGATTTTTCCCTTCAAGACACATGTATGGACTTGGTCTCAGAACTCTTGTCAGTATTTCAATTTTTCTCATTGAATTTCACCATTTCACCCTTTCCAGGACATTCAAATTTACACAATTCTCAAAATCTTTTTTTAAAAAGAAGTCTTAATTTGCTCTCATCCCCTCCTGAGTTATATTTCTCTCTTTCTGTTTACTTTCAAACTTGTATTAATGGAGCACATTTTATACTTCCATTCCTTTATTAATTCCTTGCCTTCTGAAAGTCATCTTCTCTTCAAAACTTCCTACAAAATTGCTTTGTTAAATGCTAACATTCTTTTTTGCAATTTACTTTTTGCTCTTTGATTTCTCTTGAACCCTTTCTTTTTGAAATTCCTTCTTCTCTTAGCTTTTGTATCCCAGTGCTATTTGTTTTGGAACTACTCTTCTGAATTCTTATTTTTCCTTTTCATTTCTGGATCATATTTCCCCTACTGTTTATAAACTCAAGAGGTTGAGTTCTTCCTTTTTTTTTTTTTTTTTTTTTTTTGAGATGGAGTCTCGCTCTGTCACCCAGTCTGGAGTGCAGTGGTGTGATCTTGGCTCACTGCAACCTCCCCTCCTGGGTTCAAACGATTCTCCTACCTCAGCCTCCCAAGTAGCTGGGATTACAGGTGCCCATCACCACATCTGGTTAATTTTTGTATTTTTAGTAGAGACGTGGTTTCACCATGTTGGCCATGCTGGTCTTGATCTCCTGACCTTATGATCCACCCACCTCAGCCTCCCAAAGTGCTGACATTACAGGCGTGAGTCACTGTGCCCAGCCCTCTTTTTGTTATTCATGTTGTATACTCTTTTCTTTTTGTGAAAGTGGAAAACCATTTTCATGGTTATTCCTTGTCCTACTCATTAAATGATCCAAACTGTAGCCACCGACTATACTACCACACATTTAGCTATGAAAAATATACTGTTCACCTAGGATAGCAAGATTACCAATACTTGTAGTACAATTTAAAAATTATGGTTACTGTTTGATTTAAATCCAATAAACTGATTTTAAGTAACTGAGAGTCAGGGCCTCCAATAGATAACTTATTTCCCTATGGATTTGACAATCATCTCTATTGATATTGATTCTGAAATTTATTGTATCCAGGCCAGACCTCTCTGCTTGAGCTCCAGACTCATCTACTCTCTATGTATCAGTATATGCCTATTTAGGACACCAGGAAGGTGGCTGAACTAAGGAGGCAGGGCCTGTGAGATGTAAAGCAGCATCATGCAACTTTCTTGTGAATAGAATATAAACATTTAGCAATTACCTAGCCTTGGGGAATAATGATTTTAAGTGCTGAGCTTACAATTCAAACCAGAAAAAAGCAAACAATGGCTATAATCAGGTTATGTTGTTGAATATAACCATGTGTATCAGTAATACACAGGACAGTGAGATACCTATCTACTTAGCTATATGACAACTATCACCAGAATATCAGTTACTCAGCAACTGAAACATTTTTTTTTTTCTGTTTAAATCTTGCTTTCCTTCAAGGATATATTCTGGCATTAATTACTTTTTGACAGTTACCCAATCCTCCCTTCTCTCAATAATGAATTTATTTTTCATATATCTGCCTATGATGCTTTGTTTATATTTCTGTTAATGCAGTTCTCTCTAATCATAGTAAGACAGGATATATTAGGTGTTTACCTGTGCATGCTACAGCTAATTTCTGATCTCTATGAATTAAAGAAATATGGACTTTTTCCCTCCTTTCTCACTTCTTCCCTTTCTCTTCACCTTCATTCTTTCTTTTTTTCTTTGTATTTCCCACAATGTCTGGCTCATTATAGGTGCTCAATAGCTTACTGGTGTTTAAACGGAATAGTTTTTTTTTTTTTAAGTAATCAGCTGACATGTTAGGCAACCATTTCATATTAAACATTTTACATCAATTTCATTACAACTTTAAGTAGTTAATTTCTTAACTCATAACAGAAAACAAGATACTTCCCTCCCAGCTTATATCAGTATTATGTTATTAATAAAATTTCTATCCTATTTTTCCAGGCACTTTTCCTTCTAATAGTTGCTGACAATGAGTCATAGCTACAATGCCACCACAGGCAGGTCTCAGGGGATCATTGTCCCCACAAGGCAGTGCATTAATTTCACACTGTGGTTCATTAATGGTATTGTCAATGCCCCCATGGGGTATGGGTGTTTGTGAATCCCTGATGTTTCCTGATTACTTGGTTTGCACTCTATTCCTTCTCCAAAAAGTCATTCCCACTATGCTGTCACCAGCGAAAACACTGCCTAGTGGTACATCATGTAAACTATGCACATAGTCACATTCTATTACTTTAGCATTTTATATTGCACCTGTTGATTTTATTTATAAATTGATTTTCCTTCTGCTAGGCTAAAGCATGTTAATGATTTTCTGGGTATAATGTGATAAGCTATGCATGGAACTTTCAGATGAATCTGTCAGTTCTCATTGTCTTCAAAACTCACTAATATTCCCTCAGAATATTTTGAAAAGCCTTATTTGGAAATTAGTTTACCATATAAATTAATTTATAGTTGGTAGTTTAAAAGTAACTCTTTCTGCTCTTGTGTGAAATTCAACATCTACTTTAGGTAAATGTAAATTTATTATATAGGAAAAAATAATTTAACAGCTAAAAATATTTGATAAGTGCTAATATGTGTCAAGCACATGTCCAGGTACTGGCAATATATGATAAGAGATAAGAAGGGTGTTTACTTTTATGGGGCTTTTGTTAGAGAATTTAGCAGAAAAAACAAATACACACATACTCATAGATAGATAATATATTTAGATAGCAATACATGCTGAAATAAAACAGTAAAATGCGATGGAGTAGATAATAATGCTGGAGGGGATTGTGGCACTGCAGCTAGACTGGTAAGGAAATTGCATTCTGAGATGGCGGCATTTGAACTAAGACCAAAAAAATTAGAAGAGTCACATGGAGGTCTATGAAAACAATGTCCTGGGAAGAAGACACAATGAATGAAGAGGCTTTGGTGCAGAAATAAGCAGTGGTATGTTCTAAGAATAGAAGGAAGAACATTGCGGCTGGAGCATAATGTGCCAAAGGGAGACTAGTAAGAGATTACTTTGAATAGGTAGAGAGGAACACGATCACATTTGATTTGTAAATCATTTTATTCTAAATATGATATGAAACCATTGGAATGTTTTAAGCAGGGGAATTATATGATTAATCTACGCTTAAAGATTATTCCAGGTACTCTGTGGAAAATGTACTAGAGAGGATCTAAAATGAAATTAGAGGATCAATTAGGAATCTAATATGCTAATCCAGGTAAGGGATGAAGATAGCTTGGAATTGAGAAGTGCAAATGTTAGCGATATATTTTGAAGGTAAACACAATGTAATTTGCTGTTGGATTGGATGTGCGGAGTTATAAATAGAGAGGAGCAAAGGGTGAGCTTAAGGTTTTTGGCTTGAAGAAGGCATGGTAGAAACATAACTGAGGTGGAAGTGTCTGGTGCTGAAGCAAGGTTTAGAGGCATAGACTCCAATATAGTTTGGCTCTGTGTCCCCACCCAAATTGTACTCCCATAATTCCCACATGTTGTGGGAGAGACCTGGTGGGAGATAATTTGAATCATGGGGCAGTTCCCCCGATACTGTTCTAGTGGTAGTGAATAAGTCTCACAAGATCTGATGGTTTTATCAAGGGTTTCTGCTTTTGTATCTGCCTCATTTTTTTCTTGTGGCTGCCATGTAAGAAGTGCCTTTTGCCTCCTGTCATGATTCTGAGGCCTTGCCAGCCACATGGAACTGTAAGTCCAATTAAAACTCTTTTTCTTCCCAGTTTCGGGTATGTCTTTATTAGCAGCATGAAAACAGACTAATTATAATAAATTGGTACCAAGAGTGGGATGTTACTGAAAAGATACCTGAACATGTGGAAGCAGCTTTGGAACTGGGTAACAGGCAAAAGTTCGAACAGTTTGGAGGGCTCAGAAGAAGACAAGAATATGTAGGAAAGTTTGGAACTTCCTAGAGACTTGCTGAATGGCTTTGACCAAAAGCCTGATAGCGATATAGACAAATAAGGTCCAGGCTGAGGGGTTCTCAGATGGAGATGAGGAACTTGTTGGGAACTGAAGCAAAGGTGACTCTTGTTATGTTTTAGCAAAGAGACTGGCAGCATTTTGCTCCTGCCCTAGAGATTTGTGGAACTTTGAAATTGAGAGAGATGATTTAGGGTATCTGGCAGAAGAAATTTCTAAGCAGCAAAGCATTCAAAAGGTGACTTGGGTGCTGTTAAAAGCATTCAGTTTTATAAGGGAAGCAGAGTGTAAAGGTTCAGGAAATTTGCAGCCTGACAATGTGATAGAAAAGAAAAACCCATTTTCTAAAGAGAAATTCAAGCCAGCTGCAGAAATTTGCATAAGTAACAAGGAGCCAAATGTTAATCCCCAAGACAATGGGGAAAATGTCTCCAAGGCATGTCAGAGATCTTCATGGCAGGCCCTCCCATCACAGGCCCAGGAGGCCTAGGAAAAAGTAGTTTCCTGGGCCTGGCCCAGGGTCCCAGTGCTGTGTGCAGGCTAACGACTTGGTGTCCTGCATCCCAGCCACTACAGCCATGACTAAAAGTGGCCAAGGTATAGCTTGGGCTGTGGCTTCAGAGGGTGCGACCCCCAAGTCTTGGCAGCTTCCATGTGGTGTTGAGACTGCAGGTGGACAGAAGTCAAGAATTGGGGTTTGGAAACCTCTGTTTAGATTTCAGAAGATGTATAGAAATGCCTGGATGCCCAGGCAGAAGTTTGCTGCAGGATTGGGGTGCTCATGGAGAACCTCTGCTAGGACAGTGCAGAAGAGAAATTTGGGGTTGGAGCCCCCACACAGAATCCTGACTGGGGCACCACCTAGTGGAGATGTGAGAAGAGGTCGACTGTCCTCCAGACCCCAGAATGGTAGATCCACCGACAGCTTGCATCGTCTCCCTGAAAAAGCTTCAGACACTCAACACTACCCGCTGAAAGCAGCCAGGAGGGAGGCTGTACCCTGCAAAGCAACAGGGGTGGAGCTGCCTAAGACCATGGGAGTCCACTTCTTGCATCAGTGTGACCTGGATGTGAGACCTGGAGTCAAAGGAGATCATTTTGAACCTTTAAAATTTGACTGCCCTGCTGGATTTTGGAGTTGCATCGGCCCTGTAACCACTTTGTTTTGGACAATTTCTCCCATTTGGAATGGCTGTATTTACCCAATACATGTACCCAAATTGGAACCAGGAAATAATTAGCTTGATTTTGATTTTACAGGCTCATAGGTGGAAGGGACTTGCCTTATCTCAGATGAGGCTTTGAACTGTGGACTTTCGGGTTAATGCTTAAATGAATTAAGACTTTAGGGGACTGAGGGAAGACACGCTTGGTTTTGAAATGTGAAGGCATAAGATTTGGAGGGGCCAGGGGCAGAATGATATGGTTTGGCTCTGTGTCTCCACCCAAATCTCATCTTGAATTGTACTCCCATAATTCCCATGTGTTGTGGGAGGGAACTAGTGGGAGATAATTTGAATCAAGGGGGACCTTTCCCCCATACTGTCCTTACGGTAGTGAATAAGTCTCACAAAATCTGATGGTTTTATGAGGGGTTTCCGCTTTTGCATCTTCCTCATTTTCTCTTGTGGCTGCCATGTAAGAAGTGCCTTTCACCTCCTGCCGTGATTCTGAGGCCTCCCCAGTCATGTGGAACCTCCTTTTCTTCCCAGTCTCAGGTTTGTCTTTATCAGCAGCATGAAAACGGACTAATACAGACTCTCATGGCACTGACCAGATTTTGCCTCCTATTACAGTTTTAAGATTTATCTATCTCCTCTACTAAACCCACAGAGAACAGTCACATCTGAGAGTTCCATTCAGGCTGACTAGAAATGTTATTTCCTTTCCCAAGCCCTGACTACTCCCAGCATTTCATCTGGCCTATATTTATTCATTTGGCTATTTCCTCCCCAAAGCCTTCCTTCATCCTACCCCACCATCTAAATTAGGCTCTGGTACAACTCTAGATTCACATTCTCTGACAGTAGGAAAATCATTCAGAAGTTCATCATAAAAAATATATTCTGGCCAGGAGCAGCGGCTCGCGCCTGTAATCCCAGCACTTTGAGAGGCTGAGGCAGGAGGATCATGAAGTCAGGAGACAGAGACCATCCTGGTTAACATGGTGAAACCCTGTCTCTACTAAAAAAAATACAAAAAATTAGCCGGGCATGGTGGCTGGTGCCTGTAGTCCCAGCTACTCAGGAGGCTGAGGCAGGAGAATGGCATGAACCCGGGAGGCGGAGCTTGCAGTGAGCCGAGATCGCTTCACTGCACTCCAGCCTGGGCAACAGAGCGAGACTTGGTCTCAAAAACAAACAAACAAACAAAAAATACACACACACACACACACACACACATACATATATATACACACACACACACACATATATATTATATATATATATATATAATATATATATATATATATTCTCCACATGTGCCTACCTGATGGAGGAAAATGAATTATACGTGCTCTGCATCTAAACCTATTTCTATATAGTTTCACTAGGAAAAATGGTAATTTTCAATACTATATATACCCCCGTATGGTGCTTTATATTTACAAAACCTCTGTCAGCAACATTATTTAATTAACTCATCTGAGTTCTCCTGCTAGTTAACTATTTATTAGTGTTACTAAACTCTATATGAGAAAAGTAAGGGTCAAGACTCTTCAGACATTTTAATTAAGATTATGAGATAGTGATAGTACTGAGAATCAAATTTAGAACTCTGTTACAATTGCAATCTTCCTTCCGCCCTAACACAGCTTTTTCTGAAGTCCCAAATATTTAATTTTAACCTTGATTTAATTTTTAATCTTTTGCTTTCCTTCACTACATGTATTCACATACACACATTCACAGGTTTTGCATATAAATATCCATTTACATTAAGAGGTCAAGAAGCTTGGGCACTTTGGAAAGGTCTTGGACAAAGTGAGGAGAGCAGTGACAAGTGTGATTATAGTCCTGTAAAAGTGAAGCTCTATAAAGATCTTCCCTCAGTACTGGATGTAAATACTAAATATTTAAACTCAGAATCAGTTTAAATAGATGTCCTGCAGGCACTAAATAGTGGATAAAATATAGTTTACATTTTAACAACTAGTTATTATATAATCTCTTTCAATTTTCCTTAATTGTACTTAATATTAAATCATTTTATTCCCACTATTGGGGTATCAGAGGATATTTACAACTATAATAAGTGCAAATGGACAATAAGAAAACTAATTTTCTGATGCTTTGGCCCTATGAAGCCCAGATAAGAACTGAGAAAAATATACTGTGGATTTCAGTACAAAGCTCAATAGCATCCATAAAATATTGACTAAAAGTTGGAACTCTTAAATTTTAATAAGGCCTATTTGCTTTCTTAATTAAATATAGCCTAATGAAAAGTAATTAAGGTACATAGAGAGATCTGGCTAGAAATTTTTTTACTAGTCCTGAGAATTTTGTTTAGTTATATAGACAAGTTCCAAAGGAAACAAAATCATCCAATTATTTATTCACTATTGTCAAAGACATCAAAGATGAACAGAATCTCTCTTTTATTTGCTCACAAAATTAGAAAATTATATTAATTATATATATTCATAGTTGCATAGTAGGGAAATAATTGTCTTTGGATCAGAGAGACCTGGGTTTGATTCTAGCACCTCATCTTGTTAGGCGATTAGACCTGGAACAGTTAGTTAACCTCCATGAGACATGCTTTCATTAGCTGCAACATGTGAGACAAAAGAACCAAATCTACATATTTATTGTTATCATTAATGTTAAAATACTAAAAGCACCCATATAAAACGGACACGAAATGAAAGGGGTCATTGTAAGATTAAAAAATTAATAACGTAATGCTCACAGAATCTAGTACAGTACCTGGGAACTTGATAAATATTTGTTGAATAAATAAATACTAGATACTGCTAACTGTGATACTAAATAGGCTACTCAATGTTTCAGTAGTTTCCTTCCCATTTGTAAAAACAAAACATGCCTCCTTATTTCATTCAACAAATATTTACCAAATGCCTGCTCTGTATTAGGCACTGTGTTAAGCTCTAGCTACTGGGAATAAGTTCAACTTTCAGAAAAATTAGTAAAACACATCCCTGAATGAACTATTTCCAGACACTATGATGGGTTTGGCAGCACAAAGAACAATATGACCTTATAGAAAGTGTTCCCAGTGTAGTTTTGAGGTGTGAAGACTTCTTAGAGAATAACTGAGATGTATAAGCCATACAAAAATGGCAGAAGAACTGAAGTGATGAAAGTAAGTTATAGGTGAAAGGAACAGTATAAATACTAAGAAAGCATGGCTTATTCTGGGCTCGTGTGGTTTTGGTGTGAAGAACTTGTATACTGCAGATAAACTGGCTAATTTTCTTAATTTGTCACTCATCAACTTCTTTAGATGCTGATCTTAGACAGTCCCTAAGACACTGTTGTTTTCCCTTTCATCCGGATTCAGCTTTAGCAGATCACTTTCTGATCCCCAGCTCTGTTTTTCTTCTACCTGCTCAGCTTTAAGGTCACGCCTATGCCTTCTGGTGTCTGACGTCAGTTCATGACCTTCACTGACTTCCTACCTGTGCACTGTTCTTGCCAAGAAGTCAGAGGCTTGGCTGTGGAGCATAGCGATACGAATAACCAGCAGACACTATCTAAGACTAAGCCAGGGGGGTATAAACAGGCCTGATCTCTTTATTCCAAAATTAAAAGAACATTTTTTTTTTGTTTTGTCCTTTATTGAAGAGATATATTTAAAGTTCCTTCCTTATGCCAGACATTGTCATAGGTACTGGGGAATCAAAATAAACTGTCCTTTAGGAGCTTGTTCTCCAACTGGGTAAATAACATAAAACCAAATACATAACACAGCAAGGGAGGCGCTGATAAAAATCTATGAAAATGTCTATAACACAGAGATGATTCTTATCTGGTAGTAAATTTTTTTAAACTCAGATACATAAGAATACAACTGAGCATATATAACAGAGGCATCACAGTTTTATTATTTTCTGCTTTATGATTAAATCAACTTTTTTTATTACAGTAATGGTTTTACAATATGAGAAACTTGCTTTACCCTGAATTTCAGATATTTGATTCTAACTTAATTGTCCACATTTTGTTTTTGAACAGAAATCCATTTGCTTTTTGGGAGAAAAGAAACTCCATCATTATGGGAAGGCATATTATAAACCTTGAACAAAAAGGTAATATCATGAAATAGATTCATTCATTAAAATAGGATATTATGCACAACTCCCCAGTGATATTTTTATTCATGCTGCTTTATTTTTTAAAAAAAAATGAGTTCTGAAATGAATTAATTACAATTTATTTTTAAAAATTTCCTAATTCCTAAGGATCATCATAATTTGGCATTGATAGGTAAATAACTAAATTCTGAAAACTGCTGAGAGTGCCTATTTTGGATTTGATGTCACACTAGGTGTGGAGATGCCTCAAATGAATGACAAGGTCCCTCCCCTCGAGGATTTGTCACTTCAGTCACAGACAGATAAAAGCTGTTCTGATGTGGTGTGAAAAGTGCTCTTTTATTATAAATCAGGTTGGGTTGGCAGTAAGAGGGGGCCATACAAGGTTTCTTGGCCAGAGGTACAACCTGCACTGAGAATTAAAAGGAAATTCTATAATTGTGGAATCCACATTCAATTTCGACTTCACCTCTTTATTCATCTTTCTGCTCAGTGGTTTTGTTTAGCTCTTTAGATGGAACCTAAATAGGTAGAGTTTGGACAAGAAGCAATTTAAAACCAGCCTATGGATCAATTTTTTAGTCTGATATGTGAAGTTTGTAAAGCACAAAGAGGCTCCCTGCCTTTAAGGTCTTCTGTAAATAAGTTTCCACTGACACTTGAAGAGAGGGTGGAAACTAACGTTAAGCCCTTCAAATTGCAGAGAATGATGGGCTGGGAAGAGGGCTGGATGAGGAGAGCAGCACAAAAGGTGGTGTAGGAAAGGATAGTATATTTCTAATAAAGTTAAATAGAGGCTTAAATCAAACACTTTTTCTACCATAACCATAGTTTTATTTTTTTCTTGATCACTGGAGAAAGGGTCACATTTTTACATAATTTAATTATTGTATTTATCCATGTAGTCATTTTCCCATATTTGTGAGAATAATGTATAAATGTGTCAAAATTTTGGTGTGTGGTGTTTCAAAAAATAATAGTTACTTTAGCCATGTAGAATAAACTTAAAGTGACCTTCTTATTAAAAGTACAAATCACTATGCAGCCAAAGCAATTAGAAATACGGTTGGATATAGCAAAGATTTCACCTACATCCATAGTTTTAACCAATATCTCTTTATCATTGACTGTTTTATACCTCCTGATCATACTTCTCACCTTCTCTTTGCTATGTCTGCTCTCTGCCATCTGGGTATTTTACAGACTTCAATCTCAACATCTACTTTCATTTTGTATTTTCTAACACTGTGATAGATGTGCATCCACTCATGTATTTAAGCTGGAATTTTAGGGTTTATCCTGAGTTCCCACTTGTCTCTTTTCTATGACTTACACGCCCCAAAACCAGGCATTTAATCAGGATTCTGTTCTGTTATTCTATCATAAAAATCTCTTAAACAGGAGTCTTTTCCTATTAGACAAGGAATACGACAACAATCGACAATCTGGTTCTACAATAAACTTTTTATAATGTAAATTTTATAACATGATCCTCCCCTTTGAAGCAGCTCCCTGTGAGCAACAGGAAAGTCCGAAATACTTGCTTAGCATGGCCTATGGGCTTCAAAATCTGGCCTTAGCTGGTGCTCAGTTCTCCTAATCTGCTATACCTCTCTCCAGAGAAATATTCTGCCCCAGAAACACTGGAAGCTGCACACCATTTTCTTTTGTTTCTTGTTAATGCCTGCTAAAGTCTCAATGTTCAGCTCAAACCTCATATCCTTTATGAGATTGTTCTAGACCCAGGATAGTTAGAACCTCTCTTTTATCCTTTCTTAGCTCCCTTACCTTATTATAGACTTTATCACTAGGTACTATACTAATTCATTTTCTGATCTGTCATTCATTGTGGGCTCCTTAAAGGCAGAAACAATGATTTGCCTATATCTGTCTTTAGCAATTCCTATTGGATTTTATACAGAGTAAGTGCCCAATAAAAGCTTATTGAATGTTTTAAGGCATAGATGCATTAATGGATGAATGAGTGAGTAAATGAATGAACTAGGTTATTATTAGCTACAGAATAGCTTCAAATAAAGACGAATGCTGAATGAACAATTCCAACCCCCCCACAGGCCCTTATGACATCCGAAAGTCCCATCACTGATGTTCTCTGTCACCTCTAGTGAGTCACTTAGTCTCTCATCTGTAAAGCTTAATTAGTGCTTCAGCAATAAGCTCAAGCTCTTAAAATGCTAGGTGTTAAATTCATTGCTTCAGAAAAACTGTCATGTTCATAGTCATTTGGAATAAAACTGTAAGATATGCAACAAGACTCCATTTTCTGTTAAAAATGCTAGGTTTCCTCATGCCTAAAATAGACTTAATGGCAGCTGGCTCCCAGCTACTCCTGAAGATGTCACAGCTTCAAACATGGGGGTATTGCCACTTCTGAGACTCGAAGTTCCTTCTCTTAATTTCAGGGCCACCCTCCATGCCTCCATCCTGGAGGCCTGCACAGGGTGGGTAATCATAGTCAACGTGAGGAGAAACAAACAGGCAATTCTCCTAATGGGAACAGTTAACTGGCTCACTGTCAGTCAGAAGGCTGGCAATTTTATAGCTTCTCCACTGTGCCTGAATCACTGCACTGAGTGGTCTACTGCAGAGAGGAGAAAATGGAGTTTGTATCTCCTATGGTTCTTAACAGACTGCAGAATTAAGGAAAATATAAATGGAAAAAAAAAGTTTAAAGCTATACACGAAGATTACATAGCACAGAAACAATTCAATTCAATTCAATTCAATTCAATTCAATTAAACACATGTGTTTTTGAGGTCCTACTACCTACAAAACACTATGTTAGGTACTATGGGAGAAGCACTTATAAATGGGTGAGAGAAATAGTTCTGAGCTTCTACAGTTTCATACAGAGTTGTACAATTTTCCACTAATATAAATGAACATGTATAAAGGCTAGTATGGAAATACAAAGTAGTGAGGAGATAGGAAAGGGAAAGGTGATTTCTGACTGGGGGCCTGGGAAAAGCCTTTCGAGGAAGCAGAACCTGGGATTTTGGGCAGCCTCTCAAACAGTCTCCCTCATTCCTGTCTGATTCTGAAAATGTTGAGAAACAAAAGATGGAGGAAAAAAAGTATTCACCATAAATACCGATGACACTAGGCTGGGAGCTTAGTCTAATGTCAAATGGGTTTGCTGAAACTGACCCCTGAAAATAGGCAGACTTACCCACCGATCACGGTACTAGGAGACTGGGCTCACCTCTCCATATGGATGGGCTGCCCATGTAAGCCTTAGAACCCCAGGATAGCTCTTTCTCTAAAAGAATTTTCAGTCCCTAAGGAAATAAGGTAAAGATGAGCTGAGCCTAGTTACTCTTCTGAAACTTACAAAATAAGTCACTCCTCCTCCTCTGAGAAAAGCCTAGAGCCACACTAATTGATCTCCTTCTAAGGAATGAAATGTTAGGTGTGGGAAAAATACATTCCTAATGCGTGATAGGATCTTAATGGTGAGAGGGAAGGAAGGACATCTCAGGCTGGGTAATAGATAAATGTGAAATTTGTAAGCAAGTCCTGAGGAGACAGAAAAATGTCATGATTAAGAACACTCTTTTTGTAGTAAAACAGACATGGTTTAATCTTGACTCTTTTTTGATCTGAATAAGTCACCTAAATGCTCTGGCCTGGTTTTCTAATCTGCAAATTGGAGATAATAGTACCCGTTTCATAGAACTCAATAAATAGTTGCAATAATATTTAACCACCAGCATAATTGAGCATGGGGATATGCTGCATAATCAGACACTTCCTTTACAAATTAATTTTGGAATTTTAAGTTTTATTAAATGATCTATTTCCTTTTAATTTATCAGCTTGGTGAGATCAAATTCCTGTGTATTGTGTTTTTCTTGAAGTGAACTGTACCTTTTACACACCGTTAGGTCTCCTATATTGCTATTTTATATCAGTACAGGAGGAGAGTGGTATGGATTGTGGGGACAGGAGAGAGCAGCATAGGCAGGTACAATGAATAGCACACAACAAAATGTAGAGGTGAATGCAAGGATGTGACAAAGTGTAAGTGATGTGGTATGAATTTAAATGAAGACTACCAAAGGGGAATACAGGTGGAAAGAACAGCAGGCATAACTTCATTTCCAGCTCCATCCTTCTTAGAGAACTATTTTTTTTTTTTTAACGAGAGCATGCCAATGAGCTTGAAAAGTGTTAAACTGAACCAAAAAATGATATCTCTAATTCTTCAGGGTCCCAGATGCTTTTAAATGCATGATTGGACAATCATAAAACTATCATGACCATATAACTGAAGATGATTTAAGAATGTACTTTCTTGGTTATTTAGAGAGCAATGTTATGGGTGTTTTTCTTTTATTATATAGATATGATTGCTTATGATTGCAGTATCACATTAGGTTATTGATTACATGGTACTCTCGGGACAGATTATTTCTCTTGTATATGTATATGCTAGGATGCTAAAGGACATCTACCACACAGATAATTTTTGAAGAAGATGACTACATGAAAAACTGAGATCTTCAAATGGAAGCATTTTTAAACTCCTCAGTGAAGCATCTACTCTCACATGAGCTCTGAACTTAACCATATAAAACATGGCCTTGTACCAATTTAATGACTGATGCAAGAGAGATAAGTTATGCATGTGGGTCAAAAGCTATGGAATAATTGAGAGGGTTTATTCACAGCTCTCTAGGTATGACATCTGACAAGGAGAGAGAAAGAAAATAGCAAAGAGCTTGCATGTCTCTTCGTTTCCATCAAATATATTTTCAGAAGCAGACCAAAAGGAGTTGTCTCTGAAATTTAATAACCTCTAGAAATAGTTACATAACATGTAGAAATAAGTTTGTTTTATAATATGCAGTTCTTAGATGTTGAAAAAAAAAGATTGCTTGATCATTTCTTAACCCAGCCATCTTCCAAGTATGTACTTCCATTATTTATATAGTGGAGCTGTCCTACTTGCTTTGTAAGGCAAAATACTGAAATTCACTAAAAAGAACTTCTCACACAAAGGTACATTTCTACTTTGTGTGATATTACTTACTGCTTTGAATGGCCTCAGGTCAGTATTTTTAGGAAATAACTATGACTTTTTTGACTAAGTCCTCTAGATCCCAAGTAATTTTTATCTTTCCCATTGCCAAAGAAACATTCATATGAGTCTAACAAGATGACTTAGATTAAATTCACTTTTATATTTGAATATTTCCTGGGGCTTTTCTATACCTTCCAAATACAATGGTCCTGAAAGGATATTTGTAATTGAGTTTTCAAGGAATCAACACCTATTTTTGGTAGTTGTGTTATTGAAACGGGAGTGTAGTTCCCTTATCCCTCTCACAGGGCGTGAGACAGGGTGTGGCTCGCTTCTTCCATGCTCTGCTGCTAGAAGCCCTAGGGGAAGCATGCAGAAGGGTAGGTTGTGTGGAGCATTTATGGGCTCCCACCCCATCGGCGTTGTCCAGGGTTGAGTGTTTGCAGCGCCAGAAACCTCAGTAGGCATGTGTTACAGTTTGCTCTTTCAGTTTTGCCCTCTTCAGGCGACTTGTGTGAATCAGCTCAATTAGACCCTCTGCCTTACCACAAAGACAGAAGGCTTTCTGTATCCTGGATTCTTGCCCTAGTGTACCAGAAAAATTGGGTCACACTTGGGCTTGGAGGATAGATACAAAGTTTTATTAGCTGTCAGTGAGATGGATGGGGAGGCCAGAAGGGGGATGGAGTGGGAAGGTACTCTTCCCCTGGAGTCCGATTGCCCAGCGGTAGGGCTCTCCTCCCACTGCTCCTGGCTGAATTTCACTGTTGATGGTCTGCCAGCGTCTGCTGGTTTCTGTCTGTGGGTGTTCTCTTCTGCTCCTCTCCATGTCCAACTGCTTGTGTCTGTGCCTGCTAGGGTTTCCGGTGTTTTATGGGCACAGAATGGGGGCATGGCAGGCCAGAGTGGTCTTGAAAAATGCAACATTTGGGCACAAAAACAGGAGTGCCTGTTATCACTTAGGTCTGTGGAGCCTTTGTCAGGGACCCCACCCTTCTCTACCCAGCACTTCCCTGCCTCCCTGCCTCCCTTCTGTGGTTAAGAATGACATGTGATTTGAACATTAAATAATCATAATGTCCACCTTGGTGGGGTATGTGGTTTAAGTGAAGTGGTCATCTGTAAGATAATAATTGGGATTTCCAAGTCAGACACACCTGGATTCCGACATTTGATATTTGATAATGAAGCCCTGCTGGGAAAATTATGTAACATTTCTGACTCTAGTTTATTTTTTAGCAGAATGGGTTTTATAATGTTACCTATCTCATTGAATGGTTGTAAAGATTAAATGACATGAAGTACGTAAAGTGCTAGCACAGTATTTGGCATGCAGTAAGCCCTCAACATGTAATTTGGTGTTATTACCTTTGAATAAGATAAATGGAAGAAATCTTTGATAACTTATCACTAAACTCCAAAAAAAGACTAAATTTCGTGTCAAATGATTGTGAGATTTTAAAAGAATCTTTGGAGAAGGTGATGCTGTATCTCTGTGTATGTGATTTTCCTTTAAAAATTTTTTCTTTCTAAGCCTACCAGCTGCAACTTAAGCACATATCCTTTTTTCAATATTTCCAGATTGGCACAAGAGCTGATTTGGCATATAATTTATGTCTCATGTGTATACAGTATGTAGTGTATATAATTGCTATATATAGTATTTTTTATAAAATGTTCATCATGGAATTAGATTCTAAGTCAGCAATTCTCTTTCAAACGCAGCTGCATCCAAATGACTCTTTCCCTGGGGAAGGAAATTTTTTATTTTCCCCTAAGGTCACACAAAGCCATAAATGTGAAGAGCAGCTGACAGAAGGCAGTTTTTCTCTGCGGCACTTTTTCCTGACAGTAGTGCCATGATGACCCTTGTGTTTGGTTCTGTCACTAGGATTGATGCGCTTTTGTATGGGTTCCCAGAGGACCATTTATGTTTTGCAATTCCTTCCACAGATTAGGATAGTGCTCTGCAAGTGCTCACTCAATACTCATTTGTTAACCAACAGTAAAATACTACAAATGGATACCTGTAGAAGCAATGCAAGATCATGTTCTTTATCTTCCAAGTTTGTTTACTACAATGTACAAGTGCAGCCACAAGGTACACATTATAAAGATTTAGTGGTTTCCTAGCCTCAGATCCATGGACTACATAAATGCCATGTGATATGAAACTTACTTGAATGAAGCAGACCCACAAAATACATGCACAATTGTGACTAGGAAAGTGCTTTTGTCTAGACAGAGGTTTTATAACTTTTATTAATTTCCTAAAGGATGAACAATTCAAAAATCAGGGATCATAGCACTGACAAAAGCTCTAAAGTAATAGATTTCTCTTTGTATGCAAGTGAAATCTTTAAATATATAATCACATTTTGCCTGAGAATGCTTTCATGTTTATATCTTGGCACTACTTCCATTCAATTGTGCTAACCAAAAACCCAGAGAGTCATACTGGACATCTTCTTGCTCATATGTAATCCAGTATCAAGTGCTGTCAACTTTACTGACTAAATTCTGTTCAAATCCATCTGCTTTTCTCCAGCTCTGCTAGCACAGTTAATCCATGCTATCATCATCTTTCATCAGGAAAACAGCAATAGACTCAAAATTCTTTACTGTCATTCAGACTCGTCCTCTGCCAATCCATTCTCCACAGGGTAGCTAGGGAAACTTTTAAAAATGCAGATCTGATTATTAACTCCCCTGAATAAAAAGTGGTTTCCCATTTCTCTCAGGGTAAAGACAAAAGTCCTGAACATGACCCTATATGGTCGGGCCCTGCTTGTCCTGCAGATTCTCTTTATGCCATGCTCTTGTTTGGTCTCTCTATTCCAGCTAGAATAACCTTCTTTTTATTCTTTATGTGTGTCATGTCCTCTTCTACCAAGGCTTCTCAGCATGTATTGTTTCCTCTGCCTGAAATACTTAAAAACATTTTTTCTACAAATTCACTCTTAGTGCTTCTTATATGCTGCACATATTACTTTAGCAAAATCTTCCATGACTTCCACTATTATACAAATTCATGAAACCATATGCTCTGTTTCAGAGAACTTGTTACCTTGCTAGCACAATGGGCTCAAGAAGAGAGTAGTTATTGGCTACGTATGGATTCAATAGCATGGGATCTTATTCTCCAGATTTGATCTAGTTACTGCCACCATCAAAGGGTCTGCCTAGAAGTAACAGAGACCACAGCTGAGTCCCCTGTGTGGCAATATGTTTTTATTTCCTTGTTAATAATTTGATGAATGTGAATCTTTCCAGTTAGACTGCAGTCTCAGTGAAGGGAAGTATTCTTAATGGTCAAATTTTCAGGTCTTGGCATTGCTCCTGGTACAGAGAAGACATCCATATGAACAGACTGAATGAATGAAAAAATGGTCTCCTTCATTAAGCATAATATTTGTAAAAGTAGAAATTATGAATGTATGGTGGATTGAACAAAGTGGAGAATTTACAACCATCTTCCTTGAGATCAAATGCCCTTTCCATCTGCTCTCTAGCTATATGGTCTCAGATTATACAAGTGGTTACAACCTATGAGTAAGGACTATTGCTATTTCAAGGTACAGATGGAGAAAACTGAGACTTAGAAAACGAACAATTCTGCATTAGTCTCCCATTCCGACAAAACAAAAAACAAAACAAAAAAAAAAACCGAGTTATTCTCTAAGGGTCATTCTTACTTACGGCCTCTAAGAAATTTGGGAATGACAATGTGTTCTATATTCACATTCTTTACATGGGTCAGCTGTGAAAGTGACTTAGACTTGTAGGTAGAGACAGAGGCTTTGAACCTAACTTTTCACTACAGCATTTTTTAAAAAAAGCATATGAATGAAAAACTCATCGTGGAATCAGATCCCAAGCAGGGTTGAGAGTTTCCAAACTTCTCCCATTTCCTAGGCCTTATCTCTTTCTTATTATCCTTTAAAATGTGTGCAGTAGAAGCTGTGAGGTGCCATAAAGATTTCTCTTCAGGACCAAGGCAGTCATTCCTTTGGCTGCCAGGAGTGTTGATTGCTGACAACTCACAGCTGAGTCTCTGTCTGGGCCTCTCCATCATCTTCATCTAAGAGCAGCTAGGAAGCTGCCTTACCCTAGGCACTCCCATTCCATGGGGACAGCCTGCTTCGAATGAAGGGTATATGTACAAGTATAAAAGCTGCCCTCTTACTTCAAATAGAGACAACTCTGGAGGGGGCAGTAGAATTTCATTATAAGATGTAAATGTGATACATGTGGATCAAGCATGAGCAAGACTAGTAGACACTAATTTGCTGCACGAGCAGAGTGTCCAGGTCTAATGCCATTCACTTAAATATTGATTTAAATACGTTATGTCAGCATTTCTCCCAGAGCTGACACCTGTGGCTGCATGAGAAGTCTCCTATGACTCGATGTCAGAGGAGACAAAAGGTAAGCTTGATTCATGAATGAGCAAGTTCTGTGTATGTTTATAGCAAAAGAGATTTGAGGATGACACTGTGCAGTTGGAGGCATTCTATACCATAGACCTTAGGGGAGTCCTGAAAGATAATGGTAACAGGAAATCCTCCCAATGGATAAAACTTTAGTGAATATCTACTTCATGAGGGAAGAAAAGTGGCCCAAAGTGAATAAGTATGAATTATTGGACAGAGTTGAATGGCTTGGCTGATTGATTAGGAAAGGCCTGCAAATAAAATAGATAAAAGGTAATCAGGATCACCCAGAAAGACTGGGGAAAAGGTATATATGTGAACCTATGGGAGTGGCCAGGGTATGAAGATCTTTGTATTTCATGTTAAGGTTTATCAGAGACCATCTAGTACACAGGAGGTATCAAACAACCATTTAATATTAGCTATCCTCTGTTATCAGGCATCCCATTGCTAGCATGATGGGCTCAAGAAGAGAGTAGCTATGGGTGATACATGGATCTGAAAGCATGGGATCTCATTCTTCAGAATTGATATAGTTACTGCCACTTTCAAAACTACAACCTAGAAGCAATAGAGACAACAGCTGGGTCCCCAGTATGGCACAACTGCTCAAGGAGACCAACCAGCTATTTGGTGGAATGTTGTCTGCATTGTACTTCTACTTTGAAAGGGCAAATAACTTATTTTGACTGAAATCAAAAGTATTTTCCATGTGAAGATTTACTGTTCCTTTTCACAGGGTCTCAGCTAGAACCACTATGGCAGCTCATAGAGTAATCTACCACCATGGCATCCTTTATAATGTTGCACAAGACAAAGGGACTCACAGAACAGCCAAGGAGGTGTGACAGTGGTGACATGTAGATGGGACCCACTGGTCCTACACATTTGGCACCTACCAGAAACTGCTACACATATACAGCAATGGGACAGGCTCTTCAAGGTACAACTGAGATACTGGCTTAGGTACAATGCCCTGCACGGATGGGGTGCCATTTTATAAGATGAAATAAACAGCTTTAACCAATACAGTGTTTCTGTGTCCCTAGGAGGCAGAATACGTTTGTGCAGCAATAAGACAATTGATATATGAGTGGTCCCACTTAACCATCACTCCAAGTGTCCCATTTGGGTTTTCTGTGCTTTTCATCCCTACAAATCTGGATTCTGTGGCTCCAGAGGTCCTGCTTCCCAAGGAGGGAATGCTTCCAGCAAGGGACACAGTGAGTTTCCCAATAACCTTTTAGATTTAGCTGCCACTCAGCCACTGTAGGCTTCTTGAATGAAGAAGTCAACAAGCAAGGAAAGAAACCACCATCTTGTTAGAGCAGTGGGGCTGCAGATCCACAGTTTTTACCATGACAGGGAAGAGTATAATCACTGGGGTGTCTTTTGGTACCTCCTTGCCATATCTTGACAGAAAATTGACAAGTACAGTGGTCATGGACTAAGAAGGACATGGTGATCAGGAAGTCAGACCTCTCAGGGATGACATTCTGGGTCACAATTAGATAAGCGATCAAGACAAGCATAGTCAAGGGTTCTTGGAAGAGTGAGGGAACTTTAGAATGCACCGGAGAGGATAACAATAGCAACAGCTGAGGACTCAAGGTCAGCTTCAGAGGTGGGGCCTGTAGTTTGTTCCACCAAACTTGCTTTGTATATTTTCCCTGGAAAAGAAACCAACCAGAATCTTTGAGCAGCTATTTCTAGTACAGATAGTTAGGTCATGATTCTGTCTTATACATTTTAGGGAAGTAGAAGTTACAGACAAAGTCATAAATCGATACATGGAGGTTACATTGGTTTGGCCCAAAAAGGTAGAACATCTTGAAGCAGGGGCTTACAGGTCATAAATGCGTTCTTTAATTTGCAATTAGTTACAGGAGTAAAACTTTTCTAAAAACTTGGAGTGAGAATAAAGGAATGTTTAGGTTAAGACAAGGAAGGCTGTTAACCAATGTACTGGGTCAGCGTGACCTGTAGGGTTACATGACTTAACTCTTGTCTGGCATACTTAGGTAATGTTTATAATTTGATATCTTATTATCAAAAAGAGTGTCTTTTGTTAGTCTCATGATCTCTATTCTAACATTAATGCTGGCCAGTTGTTGTGTCTAAAGTCCAAAAAGGAAGGGATAAAATGAGTCATATTTGACCTCCCTTCCTATTATGGTAGGGAATTCAGTTTTAAGGTTGTCTGCTGTCCCGTTAGCCAAGGGGGCATTAATTCAGTCTGTTGGTTGGGGGTTAGGATTTCATTTTTAGTTTACACACTATCTAGTTACTATGAAGTAACTATATCTACCATATAGCCTGTGGTAGATAGATACAAGGAATCTGCCTTATCTGAGGTATTCCCCATCCATGGCAGCAATCTTCCAATACAGAGGTACAAAAAGGAATAAATACCTCAAACTGGGCCTACCCTGAAAGGTTATCCAGCTCAAGAGTTTCAAATGGTCAGTGAAAGATCTCTGTTGCAACTGCCTCACAGTGCAGCTTCTCTTTCTGTCCAGTCCTGCTTCGCTCAGCTCTCACAGGTGTCACCAAAATTACTATCCAATAAAACCCCTATATTTGTTGTGATCCCAAAAAGAAATTCAGCTACTCCTAAATGTTTGGTGTTTACTTGGCTTTCTGGGAAGGTAACATGTAGTTGACAGTAATATGAAAGATATTTTAGGGCCATTTCATATGATCACAATCATATGATCCATTGAAGACTCATTGATAAGGTGTTATGGACTGAAATGTGACTGCCCAAAATTCATATGTTGAAGCCCAACCTCCAGGACCTTAGAATGTAATCATATATGGAGATAAGTATATAAAGAGGTGATTAAGTTGAAATGAGGCTGTTTTTGTGTGGTCATAATCCAATGTAACTGATGTCATTATAAGAGGAGAAATATACACCAGGGGCACCATGCACAGAGGGACAGCCACATGAGTAGGCAGCTTGAGGTCAACCATCTGTAGGTCAATGGGAGAGGCCTCAGAGGAAACTAACCCTGCTAACCAACTTGATCATAGACTTCTAGCCTTCAGAACTATGGAAAAATAAATTTATGTTGTTTAAGCCATTCGATCGGTGATATTCTGTTAGGTCAGCCTAGCAAACTAATACCTAAGCATGCTTTAAATTGGGGGATATAATATCTTGTTTGACTTAATTAGCAAATATTTTCTCAACATGGGCAATCCAAAATGAAGAATCCAGTCTAAAATGTTGTTGTATATAAACTCTAAAGCATTGGTAGATGTCTGTAACCTGGAGAAAGCGCTGGGTCCTCTCCCCAGATAACCCCTTTCTGTCCCATGTTGTAAACCCTCTACACCTCCATGGAATAATCAAGATCACTAAGACAAATATTTAAAGAAAGAATAATTCTCTTTTCAATCACAATAGTTCCTATTTATTTTACTATACTCTAAAGAATAATAATTGCAATCTTTTGCAAAGAAACTTGTCACATTGGGATAGTACTGGACACCTGAGGGATGGTATGTAGACATCTCATGTTACCTTAAAACACTTTGTCCCCAATCTGTGATCACAGTGGGACTATGGGTCAAACCAAACCTAGTTCAATTAGGGGTTTTTAGTTTGAAACAAAAGGTTGGGCAAATGACAAGCAATATGGGTTGGGTCTGTGTCCTCAGCCAAATCTCACCTTGAATTGTAGTTCTCATAATCTCCACATGTCATGAGAGGGACCCGGTGGGAGGTAATTGAATCATAGGGGCGGTTACCCTCACGATATTCTTGTGATAATCAGTATCTACCCCTACCAACTCCTAATTGTGTGGTTTCTCACATCCTGGCTTTTTGCTGTCATCAGTGTGAAGTGGGAAGGATCAAACTATAATCATTAAAATAATAATACAATAAATGCAGTACGACAATACAAGGTCTAACTTTTATAAGCACTGACAATATGCTAAGGTCCTAATAAATTCATGTGCCTCAACCTCATCAACCCTTCCAATACCTGGAATATACCTATCTTAGTCAGTTTGGGCTGCTTTGCCAAAATACCAGCGACTGGGTTTTTTCAACAACAAACATTAATTTCTCATAGTACTGGAGGCTAGGGAGTCCACAGTTAAGGCCCTAGTAGCTTCAGTGTTTGGTGAGGGCCTGCTTCCTGGTTTACTGTCCTCTCACTATATCTTCAGATGGCCCTTTTGTGGTGCATGCATATGGAAGAAAAGAGATGTCTTGTCTCTTTCTCTTTCTATAAGGGCATTAATCTCATTATAAGGTCCCACTTTCACTACATAATCTAATCCTCTTTATCTTCCAAAAGCCCACCTCCAAATACCATCACATTGGGGCTTAGGGTGTCAATATATGAATTTGAGGGAAACAGAAACAATAATCCATAGCAGTACCTATTTTAAGAAAACTAATGCTAAAAGCAGTGAAGGACCTTGCCCCAAGTTAGGTGGTAAGAAACAGGGCCTGATTTTAAAACCAGAACTTACTCTCCATTGAGACCACACTCTTACACACAGAGCATCAGTAAAAGTCATGTCTACATAGAACACCAAACCTAGGATGAGAACCACTGATAATTCCTCTGCCAAAGAAACTCAAAGCCATTTCTGCCAGAAAAATAAGCCCAGCATATAAGAGGAACTGCACATTTTGAACATTATTTTCTCATCTCTGAGACTGTTCAGCCAGATTTAATGGACCAAGGAGAAAAAGCAGATGAGTAACTGCTTGACCCTTTTGCCCTCTCCATGCCTGCCTTTCTTCCATCTATCTAGACCTTAAATAAAACATGGGACTAGTCTATTTGCAAAGTGCTGTCCTTGGTGCTGAGGATGGAAAATGAACAAATTAGGCACAGCCCTTTGCTTTCATGGAGGATTTTTTTTTCTTCCTCTTCTTCGCTCTATACTTTTTCTGTTCTCTCCTAACTACCATTTCCCCATTCACCCTGGAAGGAAGCTAGTTTTTCCTATGATAATTAGCCTTGTCTTCCCTTGGTCTGTGAAATGAATGCATGGTCTCACTTCATATTGTTTGCATAAACTCTCCCTCTACCTCTTTTCCTTTATTTTGTAATTTTCCTTTCATCTCTTATTTTATCTCACCATCTCTAGCATCAGCATAAACATAACATATGATTGTATATCAAATGTTCAAGAGGTTCTAATCTTGTTACAAGTGTGTAAGAAACTACATATGTTATAGGTAAGACAGTTAACACAATAATTACCCATATCATAAAAGAAGCAGAATATCTGAGACTCACTTTCTACTCTGTCCAGTGTGGGGTTGGATGAGATCAATGGGGGTTCTTCAGCCTGGAAGCACATTAGAATCACCTGACGAGCTTGAAGACTCAGCAGTGCTTGAGCTGCACTCCCAGGGACCCTTACTCAATTGACAAAGTGTGAGTACTCAGGATTGGTATTTTGAAAAATCTCCCCAAGAGATTTTAATGGCAGCCAGGCTGCAGAACCACTGGACTTGACCATTCCTTTAGGTATTTTCTGGCTTTAGGATTCAGTCACCTCTAAATGTATCTTTTAAAAACAGATGCTAGAAGTATCACTGTTTTGAAGGCCCACATTTCATCCCCACACCTTATTTTGGTTAATTAGCTTTTGTGGTGAGGATGCACTATAGCATGGTGAAGGTGAAGGTTTTGACATGGAGTTAGGTGGTGCTGCATAAAATGTTTCCTGAGTAGAGCAGGGTTTTTTGTTTGTTTTTTTTTCTCCTACCTTGCTGCCATTCATCATCGACTGCAACATCTTTTCTCTCTGCTTTCTGCTAATCTCATATATATTCCATCTTCCACACACTTGCCAAGAATGATTAATCTCTAAAAAATCCAATCTGATCTTATCTCTCCTCTATGTTTCTCTCCCCTTCAATAATTATTTCCCTTAGGATCAAATGCAAACTTCTTGGGTATGTCACCCAAGAATCTGTCTCCATCTCTCAACTTATGACATTCAAAATACATATATCAAACTTATTAAACCAATCTATTAAAGCACTTACTATGTATCACACACTTTTTAGAGTGCTTAAATGTATTAATTTACTGAAGCCTCACCACAACCCTAAGTGTTAGATTATCACTATTCTCCATTGTACCAATGAAGAAACTAAGACTCACAGAGATTCACTAACTTCCCAATGGCACACAGCTAGAATTTCATAGTCTTGGGATTCAAAATCTGACATTCTTTTCCCAAATCCTGTGCTTCTTGATGAGTATGTGTTAATACCTGCCTTACATAACCCATCAAAGTTCACTTGTTTTCCTTCTATTTTGAATGTTTATCTTCCATCAGATCTTCGAGTACTGATCAATATCTGTGATCTTTGAAGGTCCAGTTGTGTTACCATTCCCAGAAGCAGTCCCTAAGCCCTCACCCTTCCTCACTCAAGATTTAGGGCTTCTTCTCTACTATCCAGGCACATTGTTTCAACATCTGTGTTCTGGCATTTATTGCACTATATTGTAATTTTCTATTAAAGTATCTCCCTTAAAGCAGAGTAAAATCCAGTCTGTGAAATCCTTGAAGGCAGCAAATATATCTTTTATCTCTGTATTACTATCCTCCACCACATTGAAGAGTGAAGTCCCCAATATGAAATGTTCTTTTAGTAATATTGCGATACAATTTATCATCTAACCCAGGAAATTTTGGAAGGTGCTATTAATAATTTTCCTGTGATGATAGGTATGAACCTGGATGGATGGTCACCTTATTTTTAAAACTGCTTTCTAAGGTGATTTTTCTAATGCCTTATCTACCAAATCCTCCCAGAAATAATACAGAAAATGTTCTGCCTTTAAGTATTTTTTTATTTTGTGAGTCAGATTGTACAAATTCTCCAAGATATGAATGCTTATAATTCCTCAACATCTACACCTTTGCTTGTAGCTTAGTGTAAGAATTAGTAATTGAATGGAATCAGTATCTTGTTAAAGGAGGTGGTACTTAGTTAAAATGACAAATGAATGGTGTTTTTGAGGGAAAGTTCTTGAAGTTGACGATCTTATATTTAAGTTTATTGCTGATTGACATGTACACATATTGCAATGTTTGAGGATCAGTGAAGTAGAACCTTCTTTCTGTGTCTTATTTCTGCTGGAAGTGCTCCAAGGAATGATTCTGCATCGCTCTGCACAACTCATTTCTGAGTCCCTCCAGGAGAACACTTGTGGATGATCAGATTGATCCTGGCTTAGTGATTAAGAGTGTGGTATTGGTACTTGAGTGTATGGGGTTCACTCCTCCCATTAGCTGTGTGATCTTGGATGGATTACTTAACTGTGCTTCAGTTTCTTTATCTGTAAAATATTACAGTAGCTATCACATATAGAATTTTGTGCATTAAGTTAATATCTAAAAATACTTAGGTCAGTGCCTGGGATTTGGTAGGTTCTATATAAGTATATCCTAATTAAATAAATGGATAGTGTCACTGTAAACATAAAGGCATTCTTCTCTTTTCCACCCACATGAGGGGAGATAGAGATGTCTTCCTATGCATAACTACTCCACTTCTCTCATATATGACACCTGTCCATATATTTTTCTCTGCATCTGGCTGAGTGTGTTGGTCATCACTTCAAGTTTCTATGCCACAGGGCCTCCAGCAGATAATATAATTTTGAGGTTTAAATCATCTAGAAATAATTTAAAGTAGACAGGAGGATGTGTGTAGGTTATATGCAAATGGTACACCATTTTATATGAGGGGCTTGAGCATCTGTGGATTTTGGTATCTGTAGGAATCCTGGAACCATTCCTCTGTAGATACCAAGGGATGACTGTGGCCAGCTAATGAAAAGTGTTACTTTCCATCTAATATATAAGTTCTTTAGGATTATTTGGAGAGAAAGGACATTTAGCAGTACAAGATTTGAAAATTCTTTGCGCCTTTAACTAATCTCATATTATATCATTAAAACCATATGCTTTTATTGACTGAAGAGCATTAAGTAGTGATAGATCAAAGAAAGATCAGGTAGCCTACAAACTTATAATTACTCTGTTACCATCACTGGAAGGCATTTCTGATTTTCCAGATTATGGTCTTTCTTTTATCACCTTCATGGATTTTACCTTATTTGAGAACCACCTGCACTACAATTTTCCTCAGTTTTCTTTATATTCCATATTTGAAAACTTAAATATGTTTAAAGAAAACACTATGTCACTACTATAAATGTAGGAGCAAAATTGCCATTTAGCTTATCATAAATAGAAGATAGCCTAAAAATAAATATGATGACAAGAAAAGAGTGATTAAGCAGATACTCCTGCTTGCCAACATGTTGAGTCCCAGGTTCGCTCCCCTTTTATTGCAAAAATACTTTAGCACATTTTTGTAAGTAAATGTGTCCCAGCACCAAAGGGAGACTGTCTTCTAGAGTTGATCTAAAAGGCTGAATGAAACAGGGAATAATTTTTTCAGCATGAGATTCAGTGGTATTTAGTGCTTTTTCTTTTCATAAATCTCTTGTAGACATCTCACATTTTGGGAAATATTGAGAGGAATAGGAAAGAAGCAAAGCAACATAATATAAAGACTAAAGACTTTGAGGTATGAGTATTGTTTTCGAATTGTGTCTCTGTCACTTAACATGTAGTTTGATCTTACAAAGTATTTTCCTTTTCTGAGATTGTTTCCATCTCCAAACATTGAAGACCACATCTACAGCAGGGATTTAGTGACAATCACATTAGACAATGTATGTAAAAGTTCCTCCCACACTAAGCCTCAAACATTCAGGGTTTAGTAAATAATTTACTTTTTCTAAATTTATTTAAAATTTATATAGGAAAATTAGCTTTTTCTATATCCAGCTCCCAAGATTTTAGGAGTAGTAAAGACTTGCTTTCCTAATTCTATATTGGATCATATCTGAATACTCTAGAGATACCACCTGGTTCATCACCCATAATATCTCTTTTGCTAATTGGAAAAAAATTCCTAGGAGCCTAATACGAACCAGACATTGTGGTAGGAACTAAGTTACAGAAGTGAGTGATTAAACACTTGTCGGCAAAAGGTCTAATGGCAGAAGGAAGTAAACAGAAAATTATAATACCATATTTAATCAGTTCTGGTTAGCCCATTTTTTTTTCATATTTTCACATTTATGTGAAATGTGCCTTATATTTGATGCCATCTTGTAAAGATGAAAATGGTAAGTACTATTTTGGAGAGAAGTCCCTGGACTTCTGGTGCTCTTGGCAGGGCAGGAGAAAGTAGCCCTCAGAAAAAGCACTCCAAAGGAGGAGTTGCTTAGTGATATGGACCAAGGGAGGAGGAAATTGGCAAGAAAGGGAGTGGCATGTGCAAAGACATAGCCATGTAAGGGATCATGTTCAGGGCCCATGAAGCATTCTGTGCAGCAGCAGCATGAGGGGAGAATGAGGGGATGGACCATGAGGCTAAAAGGTGAGTTATAGGTCAGATCATGGAGAGCCAGGGTAAGGGATCTGGACTTTTTTCTGAAGAATAAGAAATCCTTTAAGCAAGGATCTGGGATGACTTGATTTGCAATATCCATAGATTTCACTGGGTCACTGGCATGGAAGAAAGTAGGCAACTACACTGAGGAGCAAAATGAGGAAGAGACTTATCAGAAATCAAAATCCAACCCACCTCTCTGAAGTGAACTAATCAAGGAAATGCTCTGGAGAGGAGGTCACCTCAGTGTCATCCTGAGGGGTCAGAGCAGGAGCCAGCATGCTCTAGACATGAATCTGTGGCACTGGGTGGCTGGGCTGTTTGCCTGGACTCACCCTAAGTCAACAGAGGCTGTATTTCCATCACCATTTCCGGGCAAGCTTGTGCTTCTGGCATCATCTCCATGTGCCCTGGGGGCAAATTTAGCTGAGTTTTGAATGTGTGAATGCCCCATTATATCTGAGTGTCTGAAAATCTCTCTCTTCACAAACATGCACTGAACAAACAGAATCTGTTCTCAATAGGAAACAACTGTGCCACTGGAGTTGGCAGGAGGAAGTTGGAAAGAAAGCAAGTCACAGCTCTGCTGCCTACCAAGCTGCCTCTTCCAGCTTCCTGTTGAAGGCCCCTTTGGTTCTCTCTCCACAAACCAGAGGGAAAATGCTGGGTATTCGCATTCACAACTTCAATTGTTTCAAATTAAACTCCCCCAGGAGCCGAATTACCTGAGCTAATGTATCTCATTATTGTGCCTCAGTGCAATCTAAGAGGTTTCAGATAAGATTTCCTGAAGATAGCCATTATTCCTTCATCTGTTCAAAAATAAGGCACTTGCAAAATTGCAATCATGTTCACCACAGAAAGTGTTGCTTTGTTTGGTTTCATAAAAGTAGTGGGTAGAAAGAACATATTGACAACAAAATAGAAAAAGAAAGGTCTAGAAAAAAATAGTCTCCACCACATCCGTTAAATATTTTATTGAAGCCCCTTGTATTTTTAGGGCCTGACAGAAAACCTTTGTTGAGCAGCATGCAGAACAGTGTTGCCTGGGCCTGCCTCGCTAGGGAGAGCCCAAGAGGCATGAATTCAAGCAGACCTGGGATTAAATCATGGTACTGTCACTTACTAATTAAGTTTTTCTTTTTAAGCAAGTCACTTAAGTTACTCAGAACTCAGCTTTCCACTCCCACAGAATATGTGTTAGGAAAATATAATATGCTACTATAAACTGCTCCATAATAATAGGACTCTAAAGGATAAAAATTGTTCAAGAAAAATTTGAAGAAGGCAGTCTCTGGCTTTTAATTCTGCGAATTAACTTGAAAAATATTGAGATCTATTATATGTGGCAGGTAGGTTTGTTGAGTGTGTGTGTGCATGCATGCGTGTTTGTTGGGGTGAGGGGAGCAGTGAGATTGAGAAGGTGCATTGCAGGTAGAAGAAACAGGATACGTAAAATCTCTACAAAAAGAAGGTGCATCCAAGTTTGAGGATTTAAAAAGGCTCATGTGACAGTAATGCTGAAAAATGAATTAGAAAAATTAGACTATACAGGGTGAGTTGGGACCAGGAATGCTCATCATTTAGTGCTTTATAAAACTGGTATTTATCTCATTCCCTGGAGGGAATAGATGGGACACTCAGGTTAAAACAATTTAGGGAAATTTGAGGAAGATAAATAAAGGGACTGTTTATAAAGGTGTCAGCAAGGTGCAATGAAATCACTAGTGATAGTGCACCATTGGGGCCTACTTACCAGACCTAAAACAAAGGGATAATGGGAGGGAGCAATGGCCTTGAAGAGACCCAGGGATACGAAAGTTTGAATGAAGAAGGGCTCTGACAGCAGAGTTTGTGAAAGGAACACAGACAGCCCTACAGGAAGGAAACTCAACAAAGCCATAAATATTCTGACCTCACTTGCCTTCCTCTGTCTATCCTCTTGCTGGTACCTTCCACTGACTGAATTCTACCGCAGCCAAAGGCAAAAGAGCCTACTGATGCCATGATCCACTTGTGTCAGCTCCCAAGGCACTAGCCAGGGCAAGGAAAAAGGGAGAGTGGGTCTGGAGGAACAAATGAAAGGGACATTCTTTCTAAAGGAATATGTCTAATCAAATGGCAAAGAGAAGCTTCTAGCCTCAAAATCCTTTGCCTTCTAGCACCCATGGTTCTCATGCTGACAGGTACTTCTCCACTCTGATTGCTTGAGTTGATGGCCTGTACTAAGCACTTGTTGGCTAAGTAACCATAAACAAGTCATATCATCTCTCAGTTTCTTCATCTATAAAATATGAATAACAATAGTAATTTTGATTGGGATTATTGAAAGGATAAATGCAATAATACATTGAAAACATGTAAAACAGTGTCTGACAAATAGTAGGCACTACAAAAATGCTTCCTCTCCTGACTCAGATTATTGACATTTCAAAGAATAAGGAACAAAAGTTTAGAGACTTTTCCAAAAACATCATATAACTAGCCAATGTGAGAACTCAGAGAGAGAGACAGAGAGAGAGAGAAAGAGATTCCACTTCAAAATAGCAAGTCTAATAATGGTAATCTACACTCTCCCTGACCACTCTCCTACACTGTGAATTCCTTTAAGGCAAGCATTATGTCTCGTTCATTTTGCATCTCAGGAACCCATTACGCACAAGAGTTTTTTCTCAGACAGTGTTTGATGAATGAGTATATAAAGCACAGTGACAGAAGGTATAGAAGTAATTACTGGAGGACAGAGGAGAACTTTCCTTGCAAGTCGAAAATCCTTCTCTCTTGTCTTGTATAACTAATTCTATAAATAACAAGATATAACTTGGCTTTTTCAACAAGGTACTGAGATTCAGTAATATATTGTAAAAAATTAACATATTGTATGATTACTCTGAGGTCCATTATTTTTGTTGAATATTTGAATCACCATTTCTGAAGTAGCCCCGTCTCCAGGACATCCCATATATGTCCTACAAGCAGAGATGATCTATATCTTGTAGGAGCATGTTAGAGCCAACATTCTCTGCAGTCTAGGGTGTTTGTTATGGTTTGGTAGAGAAATGATGTCTTATTTAACATATGTTTTTAGTGGTCTCATTGGAGTTTTATTTATTTCATCTTGCACTGAAAGTATGACGACAGCCTGGGGCTTCTCTGTGAAATTGAGTCTGAAAGTGTATTACCAAGGTGATCATCTTAACATCTTACTTGCATGGAAATAAGGTAGGATTCTTAAATTATAGTAGAGGCAACTCAGTCATCTTAGGGTTAAAATGGTCTTATAATGAATACTGTTCGTAGTTTGATGCCCATAAAACCACACAGAAAATAGACTAGGAGTCAGGAGACACGGGCCATGTCATTGATAGTCAGACAGTTGTTTCCTAAACATTGAATAGTTGTCAGTTTGGCTTCATGTGAATTCAGAGTAATAACTTGCCTTGCCACCATCTCAGCAATGACATTAGAATCAGATGCAATTTTATCTGTGAACATGCTGTGAATAATATAAAGAATAATGTAAAGCCAAAGTTATTATTCTTCTGTTTACTGTATTTGACAAATATACATTCTTTTTCCTATGTGGTATCTTTGATATTCAGTGAGGTTTGTTTCTTCCGTTTGGTCAAGGCCTGGGGCTATGACAAGTGTAGGTAGGCTCCAGTTTACAAAAAGGAATAACTGCCTTCTATTCCCTTCTAGATTTGGGTAGATATTAGTAGGTTTATGGCAAAATTTTGGAATATTCACAGCTTGCAATTGTATACCAGAAAGCATACTGCTATATTGTGCCTCTTAGTCACAGTGAACATTTAGTTTAAAAAAACAAATATTTATTAATCACTTATTAAAAGTCAGGTGCTGCATTAGCTAAGGGGTCTCTAAATAAAATTAATAAAATTTGCTGTTTCCTAGGGATGTTCATGGCTTATTACGGTGCAGTGCAGATATAGAGTAAGAACTTTGGGTAGATAACCTGATGTCTCTCCATACCTCCATTTCCATCATGTGTAAAATATGGATAATTATATCTACCACTTAATGTTTCTATGAAGATGAAACAAGTTTGGTCATTATAAAGCTTTAATACATTGTATGTCATGTAATAGGTGCTGAACTAATGCTGACGAGTTGTTTATTATTAGGAAGGACACACAAAGAAACAGATCTCTCTATATCTGCTACATAGTGACAGACAGAAATGATGCTGTTATATGAAGAATATTTACCCATCTTCTTTTACTCTCCCAGGGTGGAGGCATGTTTTCTTGTACACTCAAATATTAGAATGTCACAGACATGAATATGATGTTGCAGAAATCATAGAAAGAAAAACAACATTTTTTCTCCAGTGGGAAATACATGTGTTTCTGTTGGTCCCTGCCAGCATATACAGGTACTCTCTGATGAAGGGACATTTTAGGAGACTTAAATTCATTTGGGGGCCTAAATGATTAAAATGCTACAAAAGAAAAAAATATTCCAATTATCTCTAGGAATTTCCCAAAATTTTGATTGTTCTTCATGAAATTAAGAAGAAATTGAAAGCAAATTTCTTTCAATTGCTTTCAATTGAAAGCAAAATATATTTCAAGGACTATGCAGAAACAAGATTGACACTTTGTAAAATTTTAAGATTTATGAATCTTATGGGCTATAATTAACTTATCAAGAATCTTTTTGAGTTCAAATAGGTGGATGTTTTTCTGTGCAAAGAACATAGATTTTAGCTTTCATATCTTTCAATTCTAATTTGATATATACTTTAGGATTTTGTTTTGTTGTTTCAGTTAACCAGTGACAAAGTGGCATAGAGAATAACTTTTGGAGAAACTTAGAAGGTGGGGAAGTCACAACAGGCTACAGTAGGCTGTGGTTTTCTTTCTAAAGGATACAGGCCATGTACTGGGTTTTTAGGGCCCATTAAGGCAGTGGTAGGTGAAAGGGGAGGGGTAGGAAGGTTTCTCAGTGAGCAGTAAAGGCATCCCTGATGTCAGGCATGCATAAAGGTGGTGGGTAGAGGGATCAGCAGACAGGCCAGCTGCAAAATGTGACATCTACATCCATCTTTGGGAAAGCATTGTGTTCATTCATGGTAAAAATGGGGGAAAATTATTGTGGTAGAGACATTGTTAAAAAAGTGATGGAAACCTAAAGCATATATCATAGTTTACATGTATAACCATATAGTATTACAAATCTGGACAGTCCTCCAAATCCCTATAATCTCTTCTTTGAGATGTAGTTGCAGTTTGATTATTTCCTAGATGGTAATGAATTTGCCTCTGCTGCTTGCAAGTGCATTTACAGTCACTTCATAAAGCCCTTAAACACACTTGTGAAGGAGCTTCATGCTCATCAGAATTAGTCTGGACTCATGTTTCCTGTGATGCATATTGACTTCATCTGTAGTACAGCTGCATCTACAACTCTGTGAAGATGCAAACTGCTAGTTCTTCCTGAGGACAAGTCAACGTGAAAAATCCCAAATGAGACTGTAAGTTCCACTAGCACTGCATGAAAAATCAGAGCCTAGATACAGGCCAAAGACCTGTTTTGGACCCTAACCTCTGACTGAGTTTTCTTCAGAATTAGAATATATTTTCAAAAGGGACATAGAATTATTTTCACAAAGATATTTTGGGGTCTGTACATCACTTGATGAAAATGAAAGATGGGGAAGGGAATTAACATTTATTGAACGACTGCAAATATACAAGGCTTGTATGTATATTTCGCCTTCATAAAAATCCTCTGAAATAGACATAATTATGCCTTGTAAATAAAAGCATTACTAGGGCAGTGGTTGTTGTCAGTGCTTAAAATAGTACCTGTTACATACTATAATAGATGCTCAATTAGTATTTGTGAAAAAGAGTAATTGAATTGAATCTTGTAGCTGAAGAAATAGTAGTAAAGAAAAGTTAAGTACTTTTCTTAGGAACGACCTGCAGAGAGACTTTGGGCTAAGGCATGGTGCATGTGGGAAGTGAGAAAACTCAGATTGGGATGCAGGTCTATCTGACTGCAAGACATATGATTCTTCAACTATATTTTAATATCCCTCCCTGATGGCATTTTTTCATGAAAAAAAAAACTATATAATTCTCAATAAGGTGGATGTTACTGATTTCTAAGTTATCTATGAAGCAGGCAGAGCTGCTGACCTCCCTGGATTATTCTACAACGAAATCCTCCCCTCCTGATCAGTAGAATAGAGATAGATTTTACACGAATCTTTGTCAGCTGCCTCAAATCCTTTTTTAGGAACAAGGATGAGAAAACATAATCACACAAATAAGTAATGCTGACGGTGTACTGTGATTTCATTTTCATTTCAACAGGTATTTACTGTGTGCCAACTATGTTTTCCTGCTTTGGGTATGCAGTATTAGAAAAGGAAGATATAGTGGAGAAAAGATACAATTCCTGCCTGAATTTGCTCAGTTTTATTTTCGGTGGAAAGAAGAATCCAATCAGTGCTTTTAAAACCTGGTTGTATATAAGAATAACCCATGGTGTTTGCTGAAAGAACCGAATTAGACTATCTGGGTTTGGGTCTGGGAATTTCTATTTTTATCAAGAGCCCCAGATCATTCTGATGCACAGCCACATTTAGGAAACACTGAATTAGATGCAAGCTAGAATCCCTTCCAGCTTTTGAATTCTATGACTTTCTATCATTACAGAACTTTCTCACAAAAATAGGGAGAAAAAAGAAATGTATGTTTCTGCCAACAGAGCATTAAGGCAAAAAAAGGATGAGAGTTTGTAAGGCAGAGATTTTGTTCTGTAAGGTCAAGGGCAGCTTGGGCCAGCACCAGCCCAAATTCTAAATGGTTCAGGCCAGATGTAGATTCCCTAGGTACTTGATAGGAAAGAGCATGGATTATGTTGGAGGGGTAGTGAAAAGTACAAAAGAGTAGGCCAGGAAGGTTTAAATGAGTGCATTTAGCATAGTGTATTGCACATAGTGAACTGTCAGTGAATTTTTGCTTAAGCGATGATTATTATTAGGGTGGTGGGTGGGTGATTAGGCTGAGCATTGAGATAGGAAAGCACCCACATTTGATCAGCAGTTAGAAAGGAGATTGAATTGGCCCCAATGAGGAATACCCAAAGGAGGTTTTAAATAAGACAAATGAAGCTGCATTCCCTCGGCATTCTATGTAGTGTGTGGGTGATTTGTATTGACTGCTTAATGCTTTCAGAGTGCTAGTCAACAATGTTAAGATACAAATATAATAAAAGAAATCAGGAGAGGCTTAGTATTTCTTGAGCACCCACACTGTACCAAATACTGTAAAGTGGCTTGCATGTTAAACCATTTAATGCTTAAATTTACCCACTGAGGCAGGTGACATTAGTCTCATTTTCCAGTAGGGAAACTGAGACTCAGTTATATTTAACCCATGGTTATGTGAAAGCCATGGTCTAAACTTCAGGCTGAGTTGAGAAGTACTTACCATTCTCTTTTAACTGTCACTTAGAAAAATCACCATGATGGTTTTTATTCTAGCATATGCCTTAGTGACCATAAATTCACTCATTTTTTCTAAGGCCCAGAATGCCCCACTGTTTTATTTGGTTTGCTTTGCACTTTAGTTCAGGTGTGGCTAACTCAAGGGACTTAAACTAATTATGAAGAATAAGCCAGCCCTGTTGCTTGTACTTCCAATGGCTTTTCTCTTAGTAAGATAGTAAATTATCATGTATGTCTATACCTTATTAGCAAAGCTAAGGAATGCAACTGTTTTCCTTCTTTAGAAAAAAGAAACTCAGTACAAAATCACCTTCTCTAGACAAAGCCACTTAAATAGGAATCAGTTCTCTTCATTACAGATAATCAATATAATGGCCATTGAGAATTACATGCTTTAAAAAAAGCCATTTATTAGTCTTTGTGTAGGCTAGGGTTGTTTTATAAACACTAAAACATAGGCAAACAGTTGTTAATGTTTTATTATAGATAAATGACATTTGTTAATCGTGTTAATGATCATAGTGGCTAACATTATTTATTGAATGGTTATTGTATCTAAGCATTAGGCTTTTGAAATGCTTTCCATATTTTATTTGAATTTCATAAAAACCCTATATACTAGATCTCTTTTGATCTCCATTTTACTGATGAAGAAATTAAATTTTACAAAGATTGAATTCCTTTAAATACCCTGCTAGTAAATTTAATGCAAGGCCTAATTTGGTTTAACTCTTCAGCCCATCTTTTGAAACACATCACTGAATTAGCTCTAAGTAAATAAATCTTTTCATATAGCAAAATATCGTTCTACAACTATGTAATTATGTTTCTGAATAATATTTAAAGGCATGAGAAAATGTCCATAGCACAAGAGTAAGGGTGTATGACACATATCAAGGAAATGTATATATACATTTAGGAAAATACTTCAAGGAAATACATTGAAACATTCACATTTTTCACTAAATGGTTGAATTATATGTGTACTCTTGTGTTCTGCTCAAAACATCTCTGTTTTCATATTTTCTATAATAACTATTTATAGTTAGAAGGATAATTACGTATTAATAATTAAAATAGAATCTATTAATGTAGTAGGATTATAAGGAAATACATCAAAATAATGAGAAGGTTTTATTTAGGCAACAGACTATGAAAATGCAAAAATATAATTCTTTTGCTTATAATTTTGACAGGCTCATCATAGAAAATATTTTAAAAATTGAAATGGCTGAGTTACCATACAAGATCCTTTGTAGTCTAGCCCCTGGCTACCTTTCCAGAATTAATTCTTAAAACTCTCTGTAAGATAAATTCTACTTCCTGATTTTACCATATCACTTGAAGGTACTATACTCTTTCACAAGTCAATGCCTATATATGTGATTCCATTTGCCTGCAATCACAAAACTGTAATGTTTTTGAGAGCAAAGGTCATATCATCTTAACTCTGGCATCCAATTTTCCTAACACAGTACTTACAATACAGTAAGCCTTTTAAAATGTATATTTGTAGAGCAAATACGTGATCTTCTTTCACCTGTTCCTCCCTCTATTTTCAGTTTAACAAAGTGATTAGATGATCCAGGCTTTAGAGACAGTGGAATTAAAAGAGTGGTGTATAACATTCACATTTACTCTATGCTTTCTGTTTCAAAGTTTTACAGTGCAAATGTATTCATATATTACTTATATAATTTAAAATCAAAAGAGGAGGAAACATATTTTATTAAAATGTTCTCTACAGAAAAGTTGAGATATTATTATTAGGCATTGTCATCTTTTAATCCTTTGTTCAAAGACTGCCTCTTTTCTAAAGCCTCCCTGAATTCCTCATAGGCTCAGTTCACTTCTCTATCTTCCTAGTTTCCATTTTGATTTTGCTTCTATACCTACACATTCTGCATGAAATTTTTCTATAATTTTCTATAATGTGAGTGAAAGCACAGAGTCTAAATCACCTTTATAGACTAAAGGCTTAACTCATAGTATATATTGGCTAACAACTGAACATGCACGTGGAATCCTTTCTCAAAGAAGTCACAGATTCTGTAAAAGACTTCACTGAGAAATTGACTTTTGATTAAATGTTTGTTTTGTCTTCTCCTTGTTATTCTCAGTGAAGCATGTTTGGCCACCCTATCTAAAATTGCCTCATGCTATCCCTTGTCAAACAAACACTATTCCCCTTCCCTCTTATATTTTTCTCCTTAACATTTATTATCATCTGACATACTTTTTTTTTTAACTTTAGTTTAAGTTCAGGGGTACAAGTGCAGGTTTGTTACATAAACTTGTGTCGTGGGGATTTGTTGTATAGATTATTTCATCACCCAGATATTAAGCCTGATACCCATTAGTTATTTTTACTAACCCTCTACCTCCTTTTACCCTCCACCCTCTGAAACACCCAGTGTATGTTGTTCCCTTCCCTGTGTCCCTGTATTCTCATCGTTTAGCTCCCATTTATAAGTGAGAACATGCAGTGTTTGGTTTTCTGTTCCTGTGTCTGCTGAGGATAATGGCCTCCAGCTCCACCCATGTCCCTGCAAAGGACACAGTCTCATCCTTTTTTATGGCTGGATATAATTACATGGTGTATATGTATCACATTTTCTTCATCCAGTCTATCATGATGGGCATTTAGGTTGATTCCATGTCTTTTCTATTGCTAATAGGGCTGCAATGAACACACATGTGCATGTGTCTTTATAACAGAATAATTTACATATTTTGGGGTATATACCCAGTAATGGGATTGCTGCATCAAATGGTATTTCTGTCTTTAGGTCTTTGAGGAATTGCCACACTGAGTTCCACAAGGGCTGAACTAATAATTTACACTCCCACCAACAGTGTATAAGGGTTCCCTTTTCTCCCAAACCTCATCAACATCTATTGGCTCTTGACTTTAATAATAACCATTCTGACTGGCATGAGATGGTATCTCATTGTGGTTTTGATTTGCATTTCTCTAATGATCAGTGATGTTGGGCATTTTATCATATAATTGTTGGCTGCATGCATGTCTTCTTTTGAAAAATGCCTGTTCATGTCCTTTGCCCACTTTTTAATAGGGTTGTTTGTCTTTTCCTTGTACATTTGTTTAGGTTCCTTATAGATACTGGGTATTAGACCTTTGTCAGATACATAGTTTGCAAAAATGTTCTCCCATTCTGTAGCTTGTCTGTTTACTCTGTTAATAGTGTCTTTTGTTTTGTAGAAACTCTTTATTGCTTGACTCTCTTCCCTAAAATATAAAAGTCCCGTGAAGACAGAACCTGGCATTTAGGAGGTATCCAATTGATAGTTGTTGAACAAATCCATGTCACGTACAAAATCACAGAGATATGCATGGAAGACAGGAAAAATGGAAGGTCTCTACTATACACCATCTAAGCCCTTTTTTGAATATTGTTTTGACAATAAATGAGTGGCTGTGAACTTTTAAGATAATACACTGGAAAAAGCTTTGAGGGGAAAGTGTTTATACCTATGACTGAGTGCAGATATGTTTTCCCTTGCAGACAATTAAGTGAAGGTGGAAGTAAGCATCATTTTATTACATATAAATAATCTGCTAAGAGGCCACTCTCAGCCTCTGGTACAAGGTAACTTGAGATAGGAGTTGCCTGCGAGCCAGCCTTTTACCTTAAAATCCTGTTCAGGATCCTGCCATTCATACCAACTGGGTGAATAAGGCTATGAAGTTTCACCCCACAAATCATAGTCAAAACAGTTTTAGCTGAAAACACTCAATGCAGAAAAAAACAGCTACTGGCCACTTTTTTTTCTCTGTAATAGGGAGACATATTCAGCTTATCCAAAATGAACACATTTTAGAAAAAGTTAAAAATAATATTGGAGAGCGTCCTTCTGTCTAATCTCCATTAAAATTGTTATGTGCCCTGTGCAAAAGCCATTTATATGGACAGACTCACACAGGTTTGCAGGAAAATCATTACTCTGTGTGTGTGTGTGTGTGTGTGTGCGTGTGTGTGTGTGTGTGTGTGTGCCTGTATTGAATTTATACTGCTTGGCACAAAACCAGTCTCTATCAAGAGCAACAAAATCCAGTAAGGTTCACAATATCTCAGATGTGTTTTTTCATAATTTAAAAATAAATACACAGTGGTTAATGTGGGATAGCCATCACGTAGCATTTCTATATGTGGCTTCAAATCCTGGCTCTACCACTTTACCACTTGTGTGATTTTAAGTACATTCTTTAACCTTCCTGAAATTTATTCTCCTTAGGTGCAAAAATATGGTAATCACACAACCTTAAAATAGGATTCTTAGGGAGATTACATGAGCGAATACATGTAAAAACATTTAGCACCACGATGGTGATACAAAGCACACTCAACAATCGTTGGCTATAACAGTGAATATTTTCATCATGAAAAGAGCAACTAATTTTTCTCCTTTCTAGAAATTCAATCTTTTTTGGTGGGAGTGCAAGGTTGAGAAAGGTCCCGGGAAGAGTTCGCATCTTGTCATTAAAGCCACCCCTGCATCATTGGAATATTTGAACTAAGAATGCACTATTTCATATTTTATTGATTCTATTAACTGAAGAATATAGCACTGCAAACTGTACAAAAGTTAGACCACTCTTCTTAATTTCTAATGTTTACCAAGTATCTGGTGGTTACAAAAACACAGTCTAATATTACAGTTTATAGCATTATCTTTCATAAGTGACTTTAATCATACATGCTTATACTGTTAATATAAATGTTAATAATTATTCCAAACAAGAATAAACATCTCCAGATTCATACTGTTACAAATGCACATCCATAACTTGATTTTGTGCCATTTGGGTAAGTCTCCATCTTGTCACTGATGGTTGGAAATAAGTGAAAAACATCCTATCTATGAACTCACTTTCAGTAATGAAGTTTTTATGCCTCTCAGTAATGAAGTTTTTATGCCTCCAAGGTGAATATAGATAAGAACATCCTCTTTTACTGAAATCATCAAATATGTGAAAAGAAATTGACAAAGGAAAAGACAGCTTTTGTTCTCCACAGTACTGGATGCAAATGTGAAAGACTGTTCACTTTTATGAAGATATACCTCATTACTTCTTAATTTCTTTCCAGAAAAACAGACTGGGGATGTAAGGTGTGACTAAATGACTAGTGATATCTAATTTTCACAAGCTGAACACATGGCCCGACACTGGGTATTTGGTCAATTCACATTTCTAAATTAATTAGCAAAGCAGTGAGAAGGAAATATCAAATAATGGAATATTCTCTTGGTTCACATTTGGTCAAAATTTCATTGCCTGGCTGAGAATTACTAACAATTAACACCTGTGCATTTAGCCTGCAACCATATTTGGCATTATGTTTGGTTTTAGCCTTTACTGGAGGGTGGAATAGCAGAATTATACTGTTAAACCACTCCTCTAAAACTGTGGAAAAATGAGTTGGTATCACTGTAAGGATGCCCTGATGACCTGGTGTGAAATCTGCCTCCAACCATTTGTAGCTTCTCAGGGAATCTGCTGAGCTTTCTGACACAACTCCAACCTGCCTCAGGGCCCTTGCTGTGACTGCGTTTTCAACACTTCTCCAAGTGTTGAGCAGAGGGAGAACTCGGAAGTGAGAGGAATTACTTTATGGTAACTTTTGTACATTTCAGAAGCCATAACATGCAGAAATCTCAGTGCAGCTGCTCTACTTCCTAGATCTCTCAGATTTGTCCAGGAGGGACTGGCACAATCAATCTTTATATACTAAGACAAGGGAGATACCTGGACAAAAAGCTAGACATATACTATTGTTTACTGTATAACAAAATGGTCTGTTTTGTTTGGATTTTCCAGCAATTCATGGCTATGCTATAATTTCTTTAATAAGTAGATTTTAATTTTTAGCATAGTTTTATGTTTATAAAGATAATAATGCAGAAAACACAGATTTCCCATATACCGCCTCATCCCCAGTTTCCCCTAATATTAACATCTTGTATTATTGTAGAATAGTTGTTACAATTGATGAATCAATATTGATACATTATTATTGACTGAAGTCTATAGTTTACTTTAGGGTTCACTCTGTGTTGTACATGCTATGGCTTTTGACAAATTTATAATGACATGTATCCACCATTATAGCCTCATACACAATAAAATTTCAGGCCCTAAAAATCCCCTGTGCCCTGCCCATTCATCCTTCTTCTCCTGCTCCCTCCTCCCTTGAAACCCGTCAACCACTAATATTTTTACTGTTTCCATAGTTTTTCTTTATTCAGAATGTCATATATTAAGAATAATACAGTATGTAGTCTTTTCAGATTGGCTTTTTTTTTTTCTCATAGCAATATGCTCTCAAGGCTCCTCCATGATTTTTCATAGCTTGATAGCTCATTTCTTTTCATCACTGACTACTATTCTATTGTATGAATGTGCCACAGTTTATACCATTCACCCACTGAAGGACATCTTGGTTGCTTCCAAGTTTTGGCAATTATGAATAAATTCATGAATACATATTTATGTGTAGGTTTTTGTGTGGGCATAAGTTTTCAGCTCAACTGGCAAAATGCAAAGGGGCATGATTGCTTGATAGTATGGTAAGAGTATGTTTTGTTATGTAGGAAACTGTTTGTTCGTTTGTATTCCAAAGTGGCTATGCCATTTCGAATTCCCACAAGCAATCAATAAGACTTCCTGTTGCTCCATGCTTTTTTTCTTGCTTGTCTCTCAAACAAATGGTTGTTACTATGGAAGAGGTCATTAAGCTACATGAGTTCTACAAAAGATGTGGGAAACCTCTGAACACTCAAGCAACTAGATAACAACTTTTCACTGTGGAACATTCCTTCCCCTTATCATTGAGGTTTTAAACAGCAGTGTCAACCTTTGTGTACTCACTCCATCACTCTTCATAGCTCCTAGCATGATCCTTATCTTAGCCAGGCATCAGGACCCTCTAACCTCATGCTTACTCTTGTAGCATCACTTCAGGCTCTTTGTTCACTTGGCAGCCAGGATGCCCTTTTTATTTATTTATTCCTTACTTCTTAAATCTTGTTTCATTTTAGATTCAGGGAGTACATGTGCATGTTGCTATATGGGCATATTATGTACTGCTGGGGATTGGGCTTCTATTTGGATATCCATTACCTAAATAGTGAACATTATACTCAATAGGTACTGAGAATGCCCTTTTAAAAATGAAAATCCAAATTTAAACTCTCTTAGGAGATAGTTCAAATCCTTAATATAATCTATGAGGACTTACATGTGCTCGTAGCTACCTATTCCTCCAGATCCATCTTTGACCATTTTCTTTCCTGCTTAGTTTAACTCATCTCTATTGGCTGCCTTCTCATTCCACATGAGTGTTGTTACTAATCTGCCACTGAGCCTAAGCACATACCATCCCTGATAGTGGAAAGGTATCTTCTTTCCTACCCAATCTTCACCTGTTAAAATCATATTCTTTCTTCAGGTCTCCTCTGCACTGACCTTTTCTCAGGAGGCCGTCGGTCCCTGCCACTCTGCTTACACTGTGTCCTAAAGTTACTTGCTTCCCAATACTCCATATACTTACTCCTAACTAACTGCCCTCCATGGTGTTATTGCACAGTTCTTAACTTGATATTTATCTTCTTCTCTAGATAGTATGTTTTGTGATGGTAGGGTTGCATCTATTTTACTCACTAGTTTATTCTTTGGACCAGTAATAGTGATGGGGCATTGTAATATATTAATAAGTACTTACTTACTGCATGAATGGATGGATAATAACAAACATAGGTGGCTGGCAAGATGGCCAAATACAAACAGCTCCAGTCTGCAGCTCCCAGTGAGATCAATGCAGGTGGGTGATTTCTGCATTTCCAGCTGAGGTACCTTGCTCTTCTCACTGGGACTGGTTAGACAGTAGGTGCAGCCCATGGAGGGTGAGCTGAAGCAGGGTGGGGCATCACTTCTTCCGGGAAGTACAAGGGGTTGGGGAACTCCTTCCCCTAGCCAAGGGAGGCTAGGGCTGTGCTGTAAGAAACGGTGGATTCTGGCCCAGATACTATGCTTTTGACAAAGTCTTCACAACCCGCAGACCAGAGATTCCCTCAGGTGCCTATGCCACCAGGGTTTTGGGTTTCAAGCACAAAACTGGGTGGCCATTTGGGCAGACAGTGAGCTAGCTGCAGTTTTTATTCATACTCCAGTAATGCCTGGATGCCATGATACAGAACCATTCACTCCCCTGGAAAGGGGGCTGAAGCCAGGGAGCCAAGTGGATCCCATCCTCATGGAGCCCAGCAAGCTAAGATACGCTGGTTTAAAATTCTTGCCACCAGCACAGCAGTCTGAAGTTGACCTGGGACACTCAAGTTTGGTGGGGGGAGAGGTGTCCACCATTATCAAGGCTTGAGTAGGTGGTTTTCCCCTCACAGTGTAAACAAAGCCACCAGGAAGTTTGAACTGGGCAGAGCCCACCACAGCTCAGCAAAGCTGCTGTAGCCAGACTGCCTCTCTAGATTACTCCTCACTGGTCAGGGCATCTCTGAAAGAAAGGCAGCAGCCCCAGTCAGGGGCTTATAGATCAAACTCTCATCTCCTTGGGACAGAGCACCTGGGCGAAGGGGTGACTGTGGGCGCAGCTTCAGCAGACTTAAATGTTCCTGGCTGCCAGCTGTGAATAGAGCAGTGGATCTCCCATCACAGCACTCAAGCTCTGCTAAGGGACAGACTGCCTCCTCAAGTGGGTCCCTGACCCCCATGCCTCTGGACTGGGAGACACCTCCCATCAGGGATCGACAGACACCTCATACAGGAGAGCTCTAGCTGGCATCTGGTGGGTACCCCTATGGGATGAGGCTTCCAGAGGAGGAAACAGGCAGCAATTTTTCCTGTTCTGCAGCCTTTGCTGGTAATACCTAGGCAAACAGGGCCTGGAGTGGACCTCCAGCAAACTCCAGCAGACCTGCAGCAGAGGGGCCTGACTGTTAGAAGGAAAACTAACAAACAGAAAGGAATAGCATCAACATCAACAAAAAGGATGTCCACAAAAAACTCCATCTGAAGGTCACCAACATCAAAGACCAAAGGTAGATAAATCCACGAAGATGAGAAAAAAACAGTGCAAAAAGGTTGAACATTCCAAGAACCAGACTGCCTCTTCTCCTCCAAAGGATCACAACTCCTTGCCAGCAAGGAAACAAAACTGGATGGAGAATGAGTTTGATGAACTGACAGAAGTAGGCTTCAGAAAGTGAGTAGTAACAAACTCCTCTGAGCTAAAGGAGCATGTTCTAACCCAATGTAAAGAAGCTAAGAACCTTGAAAAAAGATGAGAGGAATTGCTGACTAGAATAACCAGTTTAGAGAAGAACATAAATGACCTAATGGAGCTGAAAAACACAGCACAAGAACTTCATGAAGCATAGATAAGTATCAATAGTCTAACCAATTAAGCAGAAGAAAGGATATCAGAGATTGAAGATCAACTTAATGAAATAAAGTGTGAAGACAAGATTAGAGAAAAAAGAATGAAAAGGAACGAACAAAGCCTCCAAGATATATGGGACTATGTGAAAAGACCAAACCTGTGTTTGATTGGTGTACCTGAAAGTGATGAGGAGAATGAAACCAAGTTGGAAAACACTCTTTAGGATATTATCCAGGAGAACTTCTCCAACCTAGGAAGACAGGCCAACATTCAAATTCAGAAAATATACAAAAACACCACAAAGATAATCCTCAGGAAGAGCAATCCCAAGACACATAATCGTCAGTTTCACCAATGTTGAAATGAAGGAATAAATGTTAAGAGCAGCCAGAGAGAAAGGTCAGATTACCCACAAAGGGAAGCCCATCAGACTAACAGTGGATCTCTTGGCAGAAACTCTACAAGTCAGAAGATCATGGGGGCCAATATTCAACATTCTTAAAGAAAATAATTGTCAACCCAGAATTTCATATCCAGCCAACTAAACTTCATAAGTGAAGGAGAAATAAAATCCTTTACAGACAAGCAAATGCTGAGAGATGTTGTCATCACCAGGCCTGCCTTACAAAAGCTCCTGAAGAAAGCACTAAATATGGCAAGGAAAAACCAGTACCGGCCACTGCAAAAACATGCCAAATTGTAAAGACCATCAATACTATGAAGAAACTGCATCAACGAATGGGCAAAATAACCAGCTAGCATCATAATGACAGGATTAAGTTCACACATAACAATATTAGCCTTAAATGTAAATGGGCTAAATGCCTCAATTAAAAGACATAGTCAGGCAAATTGGATAAAGAGTCAAGACCCATCAGTGTGCTGTATTCAGGAGACCCATCTCATGTGCAAAGACGCACATAGGCTCAAAATAAAGGGATGGAGGAAGATCTACCAAGCAAATGGAAAACAGAAATCAGGGGTTGCAATCCTAGTCTCTGATAAAACAGACTTTAAACCAACAAAGGTCAAAAGAGACAAAGAAGGGCATTATATAATGGTAACTGGATCAATGCAACAAGAAGAGCTAACTATCCTAAATATATAAGCACCCAATACAGGAGCACCCAGATTCATAAAGCAAGTTCTAAGAGACCAACAAAGAGACTTAGATTCAAACGCAATAATAGTGGAAGACTTTAACACTGCACTGTCAATATTAGAGAGATCGATGAGACAGAAAATTATCAAGGATATTCAGGATTTGAACTCAGCTCTGGACCAAGCGGACCCAATAGACATCTACAGAACTCTCCTCCCCAAATCAAGAGAATATACATTCTTCTCAGCACCACATCACACTTATTCTAAAATTGATCACATAATTGGAAGTAAAACACACTTCAGCAAATGCAAAAGAATGGAAATCATAGCAAACAGTCTCTCAGACCACAGTGCATTAGAACTCAGGATTAAGAAAGTCACTCAAAACCACACAACTACATGGAAACTGAACAACCTGCTCCTGAATGACTACTGAGTAAATAACAAAATTAAGGCAGAAATAAATAAGTTGCTTGAAACCAATGAGAACAAAGACACAACGTACCAGAATCTCTGGGACACAGCTAAAGCAGTGTTTAGAGGGAGATTTACTAAATGCCCACAGGGGAAAGCAGGAAAGATCTAAAATCAACACATTAACATCACAATTAAAAGAACTAGAAAAGGAAGAGCAAACAAATTCAACAGCTAGCAGAAGACAAGAAATAACTTAGATCAGAGGAAAACTAAAGGAGATAGAGACATGAAAAACCCTTCAAAAAAATCAGCGAATCCAGGAGCTGGTTTTTTGAAAAGATTAACAAAATAGACCACTACCCAGACTAATAAAAAAGAAAAAAAGAGAAGAATCAAATAGACTCAATAGAAAATGATAAAGGGGATATCACCACTAATCCCACAGAAACACAAACTACCATCAGAGAATACTATAAACACCTCTACACAAATAAACTAGAAAATCTAGAAGAAATGGATAAATTTCTGGACACATACTCCCTCCCAAGACTAAACAAGGAAGAGTTCAAATCCCTGAATAGACTAATAACAAGTTCTGAAATTGAGGCCTTAATTAATAGCCTAACCAAAAAAAAAGCCCAGGACCAGATGGATTCACAACCGAATTCTACTAGAGGTACACCGAGGAGCTGGTACCATTACTTCTGAAACTATTCCAAACAATAGAAAAAGAGGGGCTCCTCCCTAACTCATTTTATGTGGCCAGCATCATCCTGATACCAAAACCTGGCAGAGACACAACAAAAAAAGAAAATTTCAGGCCAGTATCCCTGAGGAACATCAACATGAAAATCCTCAATAAAATACTGGCAAAATGAATCCAGCAGCACATCAAAAAGCTTATCCACCAGTATCAAGTCGGCTTCATCCCTGGGATGCAAGGCTGGTTCAACATATGCAAATCAATAAACACAATCCATCACATAAACAGAACCAGTGACAAAAACCACATGATTATGTCAATAGATGCAGAAAAGGCCTTCGATAAAATTCAACACCCCTTCATGCTAAAAACTCTCAATAAACTAGGTATTGATGGAACGTATCTCAAAATAATAAGTTATTTATGACAAACTCACAGCCAATATCACACTGAATAGGCAAAAGCTGGAAGCATTCCCTTTGAAAACCAGTACAAGACAAGGATGCCCTCTCTCACCACTCCTATTCAACATAGTATTGGAAGTTCTGGCTAGGGCAATCAGGCAAGAGAAAGAAATAAAAGGTATTCAAATAGGTAGAGAGGAAGTAAAATTGTCTCTGTTTGCAGATGACATGATTGTGTCTTTTTAGAAAACCCCATCATCATAGCCCAAAATCTCCTTAAGCTGATAAGCAACTTCAGCAAAATCTCAGGATACAAAATCAATGTGGGAAAATTCACAAGCATTCCTATACACCATGAACAGACAAACAGAGAGCCAAATAATGAGGGAACTCCCATTCACAGTTGCTACAAAGAGAATAAAATACCTAGGAATCCAACTTAGAAGGGATGTGAAGGACCTCTTCAAGGAGAACTACAAACCACTGCCCAAAAAAAAAAATAAGAGGACACAAACAAATGGAAAAACAGTCCATGCTAATGGATAGGAAGAATTATATTGTGAAAATGGCCATATTTCCCAAAGTAATTTATAGATTTAATGCTATCCCCATCAGGCTACCATTGACTTTCTTCAAAGAATTAGTAAAACCTACTTTAAAATTCATATGGAACCATAAAAGAGCCCATATAGCCAAGACAATCCTAAATAAAAAGAACAAAGCTGGAAAATCATGCTACCTGACTACAAGCTATACTACAAGGCTGCAGTAACCAAAACGCATGGTACTGGTACCAAAACAGATAAATAGACCAATGGAACAGAACAGAGGCCTCAGAAATAACATCACACATCTACAGCCATCTGATCTTTCTTTGACAAACCTGACAAAAACAAGCAATGGGGAAAGGATCTCCTATTTAATAAATGGTGTTGGGAAAACTGGCTAGCCATATGTAGAAAACTAAAACTGGACCCCTTCCTTACACCTTATACAAAAATTAACTCAAGATGTGTTAAAGATTTAAATGTAAGACCTAAAATCATAAAAGCCCTACAACATAACCTAGGCAATAGCATTCAGGACATAGGCATGGGCAAGGACTTCATGACTAAAACACCAAAAGCAATGGCAACAAAAGCCAAAATTGACAAATGGGATCTAATTAAACTAAAGAGCTTCTGCACAGCAAAAGGAACTATCATCAGAGTGAACAGGCAACCTACAGAATGGGAGAAAATTTTTGCAATCTACTCATCTGACAAAGGGCTAATATCCAGAATCTACAAAGAACTCAAACAAATTTACAAGGAAAAGACAACCCCATCAAAAAGTGGGTGAAGGATATGAACAGACACTTCTCAAAAGACATTTATGCGGCCAACAAACATATAAAAAAAGCTCATCATCACTGGTCATTAGAGAAATGCAAAACAAAGCCACAATGAGATACCATCTCATGCCAATTAGAATGGCGATTATTAAAAAGTCAGGAAACATGCTGGAGAGGGTGTGGAGAAATAGGAATGCTTTCACACTGTTGGTGGGAATATAAATTAGTTAAACCATTGTGGAAGACAGTGTGGCAATTCCTCAAGGATCTAGTGCCAGAAATACCATTTAACCCAGCAATCCCATTACTGGGTATATACCCAAAGGATTATAAATCATTCTACTGTAAAGACACATGCACACATATGTTTATTGCAGCACTGTTCATAATAGCAAAGACTTGGAACCAACCGAAATGTTCATCAATGATAGACTAGATAAAAAAATGTGGCACATACACACCATGGAATACTATGAAGCCATAAAAAAAGGATGAGTTCATGTCCTTTGCAGAGACATGGATGAAGCTGGAAACCATCATTCTCAGCAAACGAACACACGAACAGAAAACCAAACACCACATGTTCTCACTTATAAGTGGAAGTTGAACAATGAGAACACATGGACACAGGGAGGGGAACACCATACACTGGGGCCTGTCAGGGAGTCGGGGGCTAGGGGAGGGATAGCATTAGGAGAAATACCTAATGTAGATGATGGGTTGATGGGTGCAACAAACCACCATGGCACGTGTATACCTATGTAACAAACCTGCACGTTCTACACATGTATCCCAGAACATAAAGTATAATAAAAAAACATAAATATTACCATTCTGGATAGTAGTTACTATGAATTAAGAGCAATTTATTAATGCACTACTGCAAACAGAAACTTCTATTATCCACAAAAAATGCCATTTTTTTAATGGCTCCAGAAAGCTGAGAAAGTCCTTTATGATACACACTTATCATATGGACAAGGTTTTCATGACTTCATTCCTGCCCACTTCTCCAGCTTCATAATTCACCACTTCTACTTATACATGAGTCTCTAGTAATGTTAAACTGCTTCCTAATACCCACAGGCATCATGCTGTTTTGTAGCTCCATGGCATTACTTAGTATTATTCTACTGCTTGAAAAGCGCACTCCCATTGCCTGACAAATCACCTTTGATTCTTTGGATACACCTTAGACCTCACGTCTTTCAAGAAGCCTTCTTTGAACACCAGTGCAGACCAATTATATCTCTATGCCGTCACATCACTCTGTGTAGTCCTACATCATGGTGCAAATGTTCAACAAATGTTTAATGGAAGAAAGTGAATCACTTGCCAAGTTCAACCAACATCACTGGAATATTTTGGTTTATCTTCCTATCACTCTTGAGACTAGGAGTGACATTATTGATGGGATTTTGTTGTTGTTGTTGTTGTTAACTGCAATATCCCCAGTGTATTACAATGTGCCTGGCCTGGAGTAGCCACCTGACCTATATTTACAGAAATTAACTGAAAGATCAAGGTAAACCAGTATTAAGATGTGTCAGATTTGCTCAAGAGTAGTTTACCAAAACAATCACAGCATCCATTTTGTTCATCCTAGATAACCTAATAGTTTATTTAAAATTGAATTTTCTGACTTTCTGAACAGCTATCAGAATTTATTCCTTTTAGGCTATAAAAAGGGTGTGTTCCAGCTGCAGGCTGAGCTGACCTAAGACCATTGAATCAATGCTCAGTATAAATGATGCCTTGCAAAAATGACCACAAAAGTAAGATTTGTCCAGAGTCTCTTGGATTACATTCTAGTGTCCTTTTCACTAATTGAGGTAATAATTATTCATCCAATCCCTCTTTGAAACATCCCTGCCTACCACCAACTTTGACCACTCCTTTCTCTGAGCCCCACTACACACTGTACATGTCTCTATCATAGCACTTAGCAAACTAAACTAAAACCAATTGTTGAAATGTAGTCTCCTGTTTGACTGAAAATTCCCTGAATGCAAGATTACTTTATTAATTTCTACACTTCAAGAATCTAATCCAGTGGCTAGCCCATGGACATATCAATTAATGTTTTTCGAATGAATGAACCAATGAACCTATGTCCAAAGGAATTAGTTGAGTTGTAGTGTTATTAATAAATGTCATAAATATATAAAACAAAAAATTGCAATATTTGAAAACAAGATATAATTAACCTTGACTCTGGGGAAGGAACTGACGTTTGCTGAACTTCTATGATGTGCCACACACTGTGCTGGGCACGAGGGACTTTGTCAATGTTATCTTGTCACACCTTCACAACAATAATAAATTTGTAAATAAAATCGCCTTATTTTTCAGATGAGGACACTTGAATTTAGAGAAAAGGATTATAAATTTAAGATAATTCTGATATCAAAGTTTCTTTTCCTGCTGTTCAGAGAATATGACTTAAAGTGAAAAATACTCAGAATGAGTGTGAATATATGAAGAAAGAAGATAAAGAGACTTCTGATTAAGGGTTAGTGGAGTGAAAAATACTCTTTACCATGCAAAATTTTATTGGCTCAGATTACAAGGTCTCCTTCCATCCACTTGACTGTCCCCTGCCCACCCCTCTGGTTAGATAGAAATCATTCTGCCCTAGAGACTGTGGATGTCCTGTCTTGGCTATAGTTTTCCAGGACTGAGTGGCAGGGATAGATGCCTTAAATTAAGACTCTTGCCAAAGAAGACTTTCAAAGCAATGATTTCTTCAGTGCATTTTCCGTTTGTTTATGAATTTCCTTAGTACTTTTATTATAGCACAATCTATTGATCTTGCTAAATGAATTTCATAGACATGACCCAATAAATCTATTTATCAATATTTAATTATAACAGCAAATGGAAAAATTCATTTTCTATAGGATAGAACTCTACCTTGTACTATAACGTGTAGTTTCTCTGAGTATTGATGCATTATTCTCGTCACTAGATTAGAAGCTTTTTGAAAATGGAAACAAATTCAGCTTAGCTTAGCTGCTTATCCCCAGCATCTAAGATAATATCTTGAGTATAACAGCTGCCAATTAAAAAGAGTCAGTCATTGAATAACTTAAAATATATATCATCCTCTAATCTGTTTGGGAAGGTTCTGGAAATCCTGATAAAAATATACAGGTTGAGATAAGAAATAATTTTTCAAGTTTATATATATACATGAAATATGAGACTCAGTGAAATCAAATACTTCTCAGACTATGCATTGTGAGGGATGGAACCCACGTTCCGGACTCTGAATTATCTCTTTTCAATTTAAGCATGTTGGAGGCTAGGAGTTGTCTTAATATGGCATACCTTGAAAACCCAGCGAATTTTCTATGAGATTTTCTGTTTTCAGAAATTGCAAGCTATTATTTAAGCTATGGTAGTTTTAGACACATTAACAAGTGAAAATTAAGAAGCTGAAAATAGCAGTCTTTGTGGTTACATATTAAGATTTCTGAGAGTTGACCCACAGGTCTAGACATTTTCTCTGCTTCTTTATGTTATACAATAGCAGATAAACTTCTCGAGAACGTGTAAATTTTATTCTTGTAACTGTTTATTGTCCTAGGGGAGTGCAAGGACATTAATAAACTTTAGAGAAAGGCAGTTGGCATTCATGAAAACAAAATGCAGTAGTGAGAGAAAAATAGGGAAAAAGAGGGTCTATGACCAATCCCACCCTTACCTTAGAGGTTTCTTGCTGATTCTAGATCACTAGTTTCCTGCTGTCTGCTTGCTTGGCATTTCTAAGACCATGAACAGTATTTACCAAAGTATGGCGTAAGGGATGCTGGGAATATACAAGATTATTTTAGGTCACTATTGATGAATATTTTTATTTCAATAGTCATGCATTTTTATAATTAACTTATATTTATAAAATTGCTGTTTTTCACTTAGAGGTGGAATTCCTGCAATTCAGTAGCAAAAAATTAAATAACCTAAACAACAGAGGAGCAAATAAACATTTCTCCAAAGAAAGCACACTAATGGCCAATAGGTATATGAAAGGACCCTCCATATCACAAATTACGGAGTGATGCAAATCAAAACTACAATAAGATATCATCTCACACCTGTTATTATTATGTTTTAAAAAGATAAGTGTTGGCAAAAATGTGGAGAAATTAGACCCCTTGTACACTGTTGGGAGGAATGTAAAATGGTACAGTAGCTATGAAAAACAGAAATACCATATAATACAACAATCCTACTTCTGGATATATATCTAAAAGCATTGTAAGGAAGATCTCAAAGAGACCCACCCTCCCATGTTTTTTGCAACATTATTCACTATAGCCAATTATTTCCAATAAATGAATGACTGAAGTTCAGGAAACAGTTACAACATAAGTTGATCCAAATATCTTCTATTTTAAATTTTTTCTTGCAAAATAGTAAATTCTCTTGGTTACAGTTACTTAACATGCTGTAACTTTGTAACTTTTTAGATTACAGAATATTTTCATCATTTTCTGTCTGTCACAGATGCTAGTGACAAAATTCTGTGTATCATTTTTCTTCAAAATATAACACTTGGTACAGTAAGTGCTAAACAAAGACAACCAATTATGGATTTATTAAGTGTTTGTTATTGACAATGAATATGGAAAATTGGAAATGGATTCCAGAGATGGAGTCAACAATATTTGGTAACCAGATGGCTGTGCTAGCTGACCAAGGAGAGACATCATAGATGGATTCTGGGTTTGCTAAATTAGTATTTTAATTAGATAGTAACATATTAAAATAAATAAGTTCTCTAATCTACTCATAAACTAATTTCATCTTATTGAGATTGCACATTTGATTTTTACAATTCAAAATAAACCTATCTTAAGATCTTAAGCTAGTCCTGCTTTTCTAACACTTGAGTTATTCATTCTTAATAAAATCATCTTATATAACTCGAAGAAATACATTGTTTAGTTTTATTTTTTTAAATGATGATATTCACCACATTCTCACTCCTGTCTCATGGGCTTTTCCTTCATTTGCCCAAAGATAGCTGTTACTTTAACAGTGATATGAAATCTCTCAGCTTCTCTGGCACTTTGTGGTCAGTAAATTTTGTCTAAAAATGTAGCTTTGCCAACATTCATTTTGCTGAAAAATGAAATAAAACGAGTTTTCAGGATAAACGTTTTCTGTGCCCATTACCTTGTTGTTTGGTTTCACACTGGTAAAACTTTGTTTGTCCCTGTTGCTATCATCTTTGCCAACTTTCTCTCCACATAGCAATCTGCAATAATAACTTCCCCAGGAGTGAGCTTAGTCCTCAGTCTCTGAGCCAAGGAAATCCTGGAAGTAGGTTGGGGCTTCCTTCCCACTGACTGGTAAACAGGATCTGAAATGGGTCTGCTGCCTTCACGCCTGATATCCTGGGCAGGTAGGCAGCCCCAGGGTGTACCTAGGAACAATGCCACACACTTGCATTGACATCTGTCTGTGTATTCTGTCTTCCCATTAATTTATATCTGGAAAATAATTCAACATCCTTTCATTTTAATCTCAAATCTGTGAAGTCACCATGTCAAAATGTCAGACCGTTCGGGAGACATTGACTGCGTTAATACTGTCCTTCACACTACTGATACACTACATGCACAGCCAGCCACAGGCTCTTTCCCAAGATCATGAAGTGGTGTACTCGTGTAATTGATAACCAAATTCAAAAGATATAATTATTAATTATTTCTATGCTGGAGCAACCATATGGCCTATGTTTTCCTGTGACATTTCCTTTTATGATTGTTCTCCCAGAGTTACAACACTTCTGAGCACTCTCGAAGTTAGACAATCATTTGTGGTCATTTAGACAATCATTTAGATAATCATTTGTGGTCAACCTATTTATGTCCTTAGAAAAACCTGTTCACCACTTTTAGTCTCAGTTAAAGGTATTGAACACTATGATTTCTAATGACAATTTCAGTTTTAACATTTACAAAATATAAGGTCAGCCTCAAGTACACAGAAATGCAACAAACCTAAAAAAAACTTTCTTGAAAGTAACGGATGCCTAATGTTTACATGAAATTAACTTTATTTTTGGATACAGAAACTGACTTCTGCGGGATCTTTGTGTTTTAATGTGCAAATTGATTTTATGATTATCCAACCCTTACTCAGGTAAAGAAGGGTAAGTTCTGAAGGTCCTGGAGGCTTGTTTTCTCCCAAATTTTTGTATCTCTTTGCAAGTGGCTAGATGTGTATATCTTAGTCAACTCAAAAACAGGGCAGGTTGATGCCAGCAACTGAATTTTGGAGCCCACCTTTACTAAAAAGGCTATTTTCTCAACCAACAAATGTCTCTTATTACATAGTAGAGTTAATGTTCCCTGATTTCCTTTCCAACTTTGTTACAAATATGTGAGTGTGAGGGGCATGGGGTCCTGCTTTGCTGGCATTTTTCATGGTGCCTCCAGCTGGTCTACTCAGGCACATTTCCCTGCAGGATGGGAATTGAAGGGGATTCTGGATAATTCACTGATTCTCTGCCATGTAATCCCTTGCAGGAAAATACTGTAATACACCATGACAAGATTAAAGTGCCACTTTCATGGTATCAGTAGCCATTATACTAGGGACACTGAACTGTTTATCAATATACTAAAAATGAGGCAGCTCAGTTTGACAAGAAAAGTGTTGGAAAAGGTCTGACCCCTATGCTAAGTTTCCCGTGCTGTGCCTCAGCAGGCTTGTCGCACAGCCTCCAAGTCTGTCCCTTCATCTAGGAAATACATGCAGTGGATAGATCAGATTAAGTGCTAAACCAGTAAGTTATCTAAACAAATTGATTATAGAATCTAGGATTAGGAAGAAGGAGGTCACTAGAGGAAGAAGGAGAAATTGAATCACACATACTGTGTTGAGACCTAGGTGTACCTGCAACTTAAAGCTCACACTATGAAAAGATTTCATGTCTTCAATGAAGATGATACATTCTCATAAGTTACTGCTTCTTATGCTCAGACACAGATTTCATTGTGGATGTCTCCTTTAACAGTATAATGCTATCAGGGCACACATCTAGGTCTCAACCTTTTCACAGACAGAGGTAAGAGTTGAATTGTCCCTGCATGTGTAGCCTCTACAGCTATGTTGAAGTCAAGAAGAGTGTTTTTTCTCTGGGAGGCTTGGTGCTTTAATCCAGTAGGTATTCAATGAACACTTAAATGTTGATTAAAAGTAATGAAATTCAGGACTGTATAACATGTATTAAACATCTTTTATGGGCTAAGTTTTTACAGGTAATTTCTTGCTTCAAAAATAAGAAAATTGAACCTCAGAGAGTCCATAATGCTTATGAATGGAACAATAATTACTGATTTTTTTGAAGCCCAAGTATAGTGATCTGTCCTCTGTACTGACATGCCAGTATGGAGACAACAACAAAATAGTTACATGAGAGTCTTGTACAGAACATTTTGTGATATTTTTTCATCATATATTTAGAAAATAAAAAGGAAGGGAAGGAGCTTGTCATGATTTTAAGCAGGCTCATCTTGGCCATAGATTTTTATCACATCTAATCTTCTTTCACATCTATCTATACTACAATATGCATGATCCATTTAAACAGATTTAAAAGACAAACTGAAATTTAGCTTTAAAATAACTTTTTAAATGTCATCAAGTTATATTTGGAAACTTTATGAGAGCAGTTATACAATCCTATAATTATCATGTTCATGAACCTTTCCAACAAGTATACAATTCATGATTACAATGTTTTTGAAAGATAGATGTGAAAATGAATAAACTAGAATAAAGACAGTTGTGAAATTTCATCTAGTGAAAATAGATTTTTAAAATTCATGTATTCAGAGAGTATTTTTTGAAGCAAGACAGTTTGAGTCTGGCTAAATGATTGAAATCACAAGAATTTTTTGAAATGTTTCTGTATTTTATGTTATTTTATTATTTGTACTTTAGCACAATTATAAAATCTATTTTTATTATAATATGTGGCAGAATAGAGTGAAAAAAGATTATATAAACTGGTAACTTAAGAAACACATTTCAACATTTGTGCAATAAATAAATATTTAATAAATGTTGTGGGAAAATCAATGATCAGAACCACAGAAAAATGTTGTCTTCAGATTACAGAATTGCACTTGAAATGCTGCATTTCCTAAATTTTGTTATAATTAAATATGTATACACATCCAAGCCTTTATTTAAAACTGTCCCATCTATTGTAGGAAAAGCTGGGTAAAAAATGTATTAAGAGGTCTCTTTAATTCCACCATCTGCTTCTGCAAATGTGAAGAGCTCTGAGTTCATGATTCTTAATCAGTCCATTTAAACATGAACAACTATTTCACAGTTAAGAAAGCAATGCAAATACCTGTGGAATACTTCTTCTCTTAATGTTGAATGTTTAAATCACATAAAGTGGTCAATGGATATGCCCTGATCCTTCCTTCCACCTCATCTAACACAGTCACTCTTATACATCTCTGTTTACCAATCTTGACATTATCCTGCCCAAAAAACTTCCATGGCTTCTTACGGACTACTGAATGAAATCATGACATTTTGTCATTGCTTTCAACACTTTCCCTAATGAAATCTCAATACTCATGCCCAGCTAGCCTTCTACAAATACCCAATGCTCCAGTCCTGAACCTTTCATTGAAATCAACTGCTCTTGGCTCTTGGTCACGCGTTTCTTACACTCTCTTCTTCGCCTATCTTTACATGCTCCAATTCCAGATGTCATCCAATGTGTGGCTAAAATGCTGCCTTGGTCATGAAGTATATTTTTCACTTTCCATTAGAATACATTTCTATATTTCCAAAATTTCCATAAAATTAAAATTACGTATTTCATAGCACATAGCATTGTTTACATTGTCATTTTATATCCTTTACTAGACTATAAGCACTTGGGCTTATAAATCCTATGTTTGCTTTCTGTAACCTTCGTAGAGCTAGAACTACTATTCTCTCCTTGGCATATGGTAAACAAGACTTACAAAAATCTCACTAATGCGTAATTCTTATGCATTCTTCACTCGAATTCACCAAATGTTGACATATTACATAAATTAGTACAGTTTTTCAACACCAGGGAACACCATTTCTAAACTATTAACTAATCCATTGACCTTTTTCAAAGTTTATCAATTGCCCCACTAAAGTATTCTATAGGCAAAAATCTTATTCAGGATCATATACTCCATATACTTATTGTATCATCTTACATTTATTTTAATTTAGGACAGATTTTCAGCCTTTCTTTGTTTTTGATGACTTTGTGAAGAATAATGGCTGATATGGTTAGGCTTTGTGTCCCTACCAAAATCTCGTCTTGAATTGTAATTCCCACGTGGGGAGGGTGGAAAGTGTTTGGATTATGGGGGCGGGTTGTCCCATGTTGTTCTCGTGATCACGAGTGAATTCTCACGAGACTGGATGGTTTTATAAGTGTTTGGCAAGTTCCTCCTTCGCTCACACTTCTCTTTTCTGCCACCTTGTGAAGAAGGTACTTGCTTCTACTTACATCATGATTGTCGGTTTCCTGAGGCCTCCCCAGCCATGTGGAACTGTGGGTCAATTAAACCTCTTTCCTTTATAAATTACCCAGTCTTGGGCAATTGTTCATAGCAGTGTGAGAATGGGCTAATACACTGGCTAATTGTTTTACAGAATATAGCACAATTTGGTTTGTTCCATATTACTCCTGATTATATTTAATATGTAGATTAGGCATTTATAGTAAGAACACAACAGAAGTTATTTTGAGACTTCTTGGGACATTATATAAAGAAGCTCATGACACTGATTTGTCTCATTATGTTAGTGTTCAATTTGATCACTTGGCTAACATTACTTTTATCGAGTTTCTCCAGTATAAGTTTACTATTTTTACTTTGTAATGGCTAAGTACATTGTAGAATACTTTCAGAATATGAAAATATCCTATTTCTCATTACTTCCACACACTAATTTTAGCAGTTATTGATTACTGAAACTATTATTTTGGTGTTTACCACAGGATAATTTTTTTCCATCTTTTTAACTTTTTCTATACTCACTAATTCAAATTCTGCCATGGGGAATAATAGCTTTCTATTGCCTCCCTTATTTCTTTATATTTAGTTATTTACCTTTCTTATTATTGACTCATGGATGTTTGTTCAACTAATATTTTAATAAGACTATTAAATATATCTTGGAGCAGTACATATATTTTTAGAGAATATATGTTTAAGATTCAGTTGGGTACTGTTCTCAGTATTCCACTTGTTTCAACTATTAATTGTCATAGTAACCATAAGAAGTTGGTAGTGTTACCATACTCATTTCAAAGATAAGGAAGTTGAGACACAGGAGAATTAGGTAACCTTCCCACATTACTCCACCAGAGTGACAGAGTTGAGATTAGGACCTCAGCAATCTGGCTTTAGAGTCCATGCTGTTAACAAAAATAATAAATTTAATCTAATAAGGCTTCGTGAGACTCAGGAGTAGTTTTTCTCTCTCTCATCATTAGCACATCTTCAACCAAAGCCAGTATGTGCACAAGGCATGCTCAGATCTCAGCATCATGGGACCAGGAGATGGTGAAGGAAGCTAGGATTAAGCAGAATTTGCTTCCAAGAGTAAAGGATTTGGCAGGTTGGAGGAAGATTATCTAGCCACAGAGGTAAGTCCTAGTAAGGATGGTGGAGCAATCTGAGATATACCAGAATACGGTCCCATCATAGCCCAAATGGGATCTGTTGGTGGTATCTTCCTGCTATGTTCACTGCTATAGTAGATTAGGATTGTATACTATGTGTTCAGGATAGAAGAACAGCTTTACCTGTAGCAATTAATTAGTCAAATATAGAAGGCAGACAAAGAGTTGGGAAACTAGGCGGCAACCACAGCTTAAGAGGAGTTCACTGGTAGGTAATTAAATGATATTTATGATGAAAATAACAAATATCAGCGTGGCTAGTCAGGACCAGCTGACACTACTGGTCTGGAATACCATGAAGATAATCAGGCAAACTACAGAGTACAGAAATGAAGCAAAAATTCACTTTTGCAACTGGACCAGTACAGTAGGGAGAATGAAATATTGCAACTTGGTTGCAATAGGGCACCTGCTTCGGTAGGTGTAGCAACACAGTAATCTCACTCCCAGGTTTAGGCCTACAGTGATTAGACTTCTTGCTAAACTTCATTTGATGGGGCTGAGACTTCTGACATTCTTATTGCTTCTGCCAGGAAAGTCTTTACAGTTCCAACTCAAAAACTGTAAATATTTGAACCTATACATGGGATTCCTTTGACATTTATTCTTACATTCATGCATTCACTCCTTATCAAACACATACAATGTGCCATGAAAATGTGCAGGGGTTAGACCATGACCAAGACATAATCTATACTATAGTATATTAATCTATACCATCAAGTAATTTATTTTCTAGTAAGGTAGTTCTTCAATAATATATGCAAGACATAATCTATACTATACTAATCTATACTATCAAGTAATTTATTTTCTAGTGAGGTAGTTCTCTAATAAGTACTGAGCGCACATGGAAAGCAGTAGTGGCTCAAAGTTCTGGTGGTGTGTGTGGGTGGGAGGGTTAAGAGAGGATTTCCTGGAGGAAATAGATCCACCTGTGAGGATAATGGAGGCAGAGAAAGGTAGACAAGCAGCAACAGGAACATACACCTGTTTAATAAAAGCAAACACATTTAAAACAATATGGAAGTGGCCCAGCAAGATATCTACCCCAGTAAAAGAAATTCATGAAAACCACCCCCACTGCCATCTGATTACCATGTTCAGCTGCGGTGAAGTGGAAGGAAGGTTAGGCTGTGCCACAGATATTTATAGACTCTTAAATAGCTGTAAAAGCGTGGCATTGAATGACATTTGTGTAACCCCTTTCCTAATAATAGGGATTAGAGCTGCAGAAGATCTAGGTGGTCATGTAGTTCAATCTCTGATCATTTCTAATTCTAGAAAGGTGTAATAATAATTATTTACATTTGCATAATACTTTATAAAGCACTTTCATAGCCATTATCTTATTTGCTCCTCAAAACAATTTTCTGAAATAAGCAGGAATAATATCATCAAAATTATAAAAAACAATTTTCTGAAATAAGCAGGAATAATATTATCAAAATTATTATTGCCTGGAAAAGGAAACTTAAGACGGTAGGAAATTTACATTAATGGCTAGAGATGATAACACTAGGGAGTGGAGTCAAATCTGGGATCCAAATTTCTAACCTCTTATCCAATGTTCTTTCCATAATACCACCTGCTTTAATTTGCTAACCAAGGGAGAGCTGATACTTAGCAACTGGGAGTCTCATATCCTCTCTTGGTGACTCTCCAGGTATTTATTGTTCCTTTCTGTGAAGAGCCTATGAGGAGAGGGAGAAATCATGTTACACAGAGAAAGTCCTTCAAAGTACGACCTCTCTGGAACACCTATCTTAGTTTCTCTTTGGCAGTTTGTAGAAAAGGAATGTTTTTGTCCTTACCTCAGGCTTTCTATTTGAGAATCTGTGGGTGTAAGGAATGCATTTTTAACAAGCCCATTTGGGAATATTGATGCCATCTGGGAAGTGTAAAAGTAATTACAGAACTGCTTCTACAGAGTGTTGGTAGGCTCTACCATCTAAGACCCCCTACCCCAGTCAGAATAGATGAAGCAGAAACAAGACGAGGAGGAAGCTCCAGTCAGCTCCTCTTCATGCAGAAATGGCATCAAGGACTAGTATTAGAGAGGATATAGCCCCCGACAAATTCTATCAACTTCTGAAAAGATGCATTTAAAAACAGCGAGATTGCTATGAAAATATACCTTCAAGGAGACTCTCCTAGGCTCTCCTTCCAACAGAATTGCCATTTAGCCCTGTTTTATAGAAACCCCATGTCTGTTCTTGCATGGGCTATTACAGCAGGACCCACAGTTTTAAGGGAAAAGGGTGATGGACCATCTCACTTCTTCTGTAAGAATCCAGTAGGCAAGTAAATGTGTAAAGCTCTGAGGAAAATATCAAGAGAAAATATCTACTCAAGTTGCCACTACTTGGCACCAAACTGGGTACACGATAGACTTCATGTTATGTTCAGGTTTTACTAGTACAAGATTCTAGGGGGAAGGGGAAAGTGGTGAGCAGATGATATTTTCATAACCTGAGTATAATGGAACTTTATCTCAATCTCAGTTTCCAAACATCTAGGACATCCACACTTCTCATGCCAAATAATTTGCCTCACTGCTGGATTAAGTTCAGGGTGACTGGAAATGACAGAGCCAGGCCTTTCTCATAACGACCCTCAATGGTGACCTCCTCATAGAAGGCATTGTATCTTTTCTTCTGTGGACTCTCACAGGCTGAATGGGCTTGCAGGATTCAGAGCCAGTGAGAGATATGATTACAAAGCCTCAGGATAAGCCTTAGGCCATTTTACCAGGATCCAAATTATCAGTGAACCAAACAGCCTGGCTGGAGGAGATTTGAGGCAAATACAATCACATTGCATCGTATCAGAAACCTAATAACAATTTTCCACAAGTAGTCACTAACCAAAAATGGCATATTGTAGCCCCATAAGCAGCAGATACTTCTAATTAGCTCTAGATGATTGACCACACATACAGATTTGGCTATACATGCTAGAAGTAATTGCAGTTAATTGTCAATGGTAATGAAGCTTGTATTGACTAGTTAGGCAAACATCAAAAGCAAAATTCAAAGCTGTTTCAAGAAAATATTGAAATGATACAAAGGTTGCTGAACAAGGCAACTGTCCACAGATTTGTGAAGTTAATGTAAGAAGCATACTAGTAAGGTTCCATCCTATATCACAATTTTAAGGGCAGATTAATCATATACCTCCCATTTCCTAAGGTCTAAATTTAAAAATCTAGGACCATAGTTAGATAAATAACTTTGCGTCTTCTTTCAGTGGAAAGCCAAATGAGAGCAATTTGATTTACATTAAGTATTTTCAAGTGAATAATATTAATGAAAGGCCAGAGGGAAAAAATGACAGGAAAGAAAATTATACCGAGGCCTAATAGCAATACATTACAAACAGACAGGGAGACATTAACAGCTAGACATTCTGTGCAGCAAACCATTATTTATGACAAGGTCACCTTTGCTTTAAGTAGATATTCAGCAGTCATTGCATAATAGGCTAGTGGGGACTTCAGAAATCTTAAAACCTCGCCCCTTTATTTTATAGCTTTTGCAACTGAAGCCCAGGAGTGGGGAATGGAAGAGAAGGAAAGGAACAAGTATCGAGCACCTATGGTATGAAAATGCACATTTCTATGCCTTTCACACACCCCACCTTTCAATCCCTACATGAACCTTGAAAGGCAGGTGTCACTGGTCTCAAGTCATGCTTTAGGAAATTAACGCTTCACAGCAGAAATGGTAGGGCGTGTCCTACTGCACCATGATGCCTTCCTAAAAAGAAAATAAAGGTGGCTCATTTGGTGAACCAGCACTGCTCTGGTATTAGAATCCAATCCTGACTCAGGAATCAACCCATAACAACTCTATCAGAAGTACTTTCGAGAATCTAAAAAATAATATCCAAGAACCATTTAAAAAGTGAAAACATTTGGCAAACACTGAGTTTAAGGTTGAGGTAAGTCCTACATACTCCAGAATATGTATCTATATGCTTACTCAGAAATAAGGAAGTCTAGTAGAGTACATTGATTAAAAATGATGACTGACATTGATTGAAGAGAGAGTGTATGCCTGTCTGTATACTAGACTATTTTAATTGATACTCAATTATAATTGTTATATTTTACACATAGCAAATAAATATACCGTAGAATTGTTAAGTGACTTCACAAGTTATATAGTCAAGAAATGGAAAAGCCAGATTTTAAACCCAGGGTTATGGTCACCCAAAGCTTTTGCTTTTTCTCTACTACTCACTTCTCCTAATTTTTTTTTCTTTTTATTTTTCTTTTTTTTTTTTTCTGAGACAGAATCTTGTTCTGTTCTATCACCCAGGCTGGAGTGCAGTGGTACAATCACAGCTCACTGCAACCTCAACCCTTCGGGCTCAATCCACCCACCCACCTCAGCCTCAGCCTCCCAAGTAGATGGGACTACAGGCACGTGCCACCCCACCTAGCTAATATTGTATTTTTTGTAGAGACAGGGTTTCACCATTGTTCCCAGGCTGGTCTTAAACTCCTGAGATCAAGCTATCCACCTGTCTCAGCCTCCCCAAGTGCAGGGATTACAGGCATGAGCCACCATGTCCAGCCTGATACTCTTTACTCTTCACTATAACATTCTTAGGCTGAGCAGTTCGTTTGGACCTTGGCCTTGTAGATCTTGTAACTTCTATCTTTTATTTTCTTCATATTTTGTAACTTCAAACTTTTATGTTTCTTTTCTGTACCAGTCTTGTGTCTCCAAAAAGATGGAAAACTTAAGTGTCTCTCTATTTAATTCCAACACCCAGTGTGAGACCTCACAGATTGTTGGCAGAGAAAATGTCAATAGTGATATCTGTGAGAGGAGCTGCTTTTGGTAGGCTGTAGTGATAGAGCCTCTAGCAGCCAATCCACCTCAGCGTTTTTATTCAATCACTTTTTGCTCATGCTGAGAAATTCCTGAGGCATTCAAGAAGTAGGCATTTCTGAAAAGCCCCATCTACTACTTAAGTGACCTTGGGAATATTATTTAGTCCGTCTGTGTCTTGGTTCCCTCATCTTTAAAACGAACCTAAGATCACATATCTCAGAAGCTTGAGTAAAAATTAGAAGAAATAATTCTTTGTTGAGTGACTGGCATGTAATAAGCATGCAATAAATGTTGATCATTATAGCCCCCTTTGGTTCCAACCTTTGCTAATCACCCTTGAATAATCCTTAGATTGATAACCCTTGGAATCCCTCTGCTCCTCCTTGACCTCTTTAACACGGCCCAACAAACAGCTTAACTCAGGTGTTGTCTCTCTAGGAATAGCATCATCATTATTCTTACTCCCACAGCTCTGGCTTGGTTAATAATACATTTTTTTTGTGTGTTTCCTCTGAAATATATATAGACTTCCACAATAACTTCTACAACACTGTAAAGTAGTTTTTCCCCTTTAATTTTCCTTTTTCCTTCTACTGGGCAATAATATGCTTGACAACAGGGATGGTGCCTAAGGTATCTTTGTTTAGCCTGATTCTAGCCTAGTAAGTGTCACATTTGTGCTGAATTAATCCCAGATATCATATACAAACAAACAAATTATTCCTATACTGGAGACTATAGTGGACAATTTATTTTCTTGAGGCAGAAATGGGATTCAATTTGGCCTCAATGATTCTGGAGACAAAAAAAAAAAAATAAGCTTAAGCCAACATCTTTTTCCAATATACGAGCTGATTTATTTTCACCTGCATTCATCATATACTAACTGCTTATTAAATGAAAATAAATTATCTGAGTTTCTGACTTCTTGCTATAGCCAAAGATAGAGACTGTTAATATGCTAGAATAGCTATTTTCTATATATTCACACATCAAAGATGGTTGTAATCAGAAAAAAAGTAGCATGTAAGAAGTTGGGAATAAAGAAGTATGGCTGCTGTTGCCAATATCAAAACTTAAAAATTTAATGGAGTCAAGAAACCTAACCATAAAAATCCAAAAATCAATGAAGCATATCGTTTAGACCTTGTGTTTCTTTCTGAAACTTTCAGGTATACAGAATATCCAATTTAAACAGAATTTTTAAAAATGTCATATATTATTTTTTACTTTGAAATGAACAAGATTCACAAAGTAAGTATACTGTGAGTATAATATTGTCATTGCATAAAGAAGACACCCCGTTATCCAATTATTTTAATGAGATAATATTCCATTTCTAACAAACAACCTTCTGTTTCTCACTAAAACCAAAGGCTCTCAACCTGGTTTCCCATTTTCTGGTAGTGACGAGTTAAGGCTTCAAAACTGTTTCCAAAAACACAGCTCATTTTTCCACAAACTCTAATGATTTATTCAGATGCATGTGGTTTTCACCATGTCAATGTGAATACAGCATAACAAGCTGGGTAACACATTCCTTAGACTTAAGCATTGGAGATAAACAGATTATGACTGAAACTGACCTAAGACTTGGAGTAGATATAGAACGAAGATAAATGCCTGAATTTAGATAAACATGAAGCTTCTTACTTATGTTCCTGTTAAACTACCAGATCACTAGACCCCACTAGAATATTTCTGAACTCTAGGCTGTACGTGTACCTCTAAATTTTAAAAAGCCTCTCTAGATGATAGATACACACAGTAAAGTGTAAGGACTACAAAGTGATTTCCTAAAAATGGAAAGGTGTCAAGTAGTTCTTCCTTATCTAACATGCAGGTAGATAAGAAAAATTCACTAGAATATACATACTTTACTTCTCAGATTTTGTGGTAAGAAAAAGTGAGTGCAGTTTGTCTAACCGGCTATCCAGGAAAAAAAAAAAAAGATCACGTAACGAGGAGTAACACAGAATAATGGACTAAAAACATATAGAAATACCATTTTAATAGTTGTTCAACCACCTTCTGCTTAGAAACTGATTTGTGTTATTTTTTATTAAAATCAATTATTCATTGACCCAGAGGGCCAATTAGAAGCAGCTGTGGTCTGCAGCACTCATGGAGAGGAATATAAAAGGGTGAGTGAATTCAGCACCTTCGACTGAAATATCCAGGTTCTTACATTGGGATTGACTAGGCAAACAACCTGACCCACGAAGAAGGAAGAAAAGTCAGAGGTGAAGTATGTTCCACTCTGGAGTAGCAGAGAGCCAAAGGAACCCCCATCCCCAGGCAAGGGAAGCAGTAAGTGATTGTACAACCCTGCCCAGGAAACCACACCTCTCCCATGGATCTTTGCAACCCATGGATCAAAATATCCCCTATGAGGTGATCCCCACCGGGGCTTTGGGTCTGATAAACAGAGTTGTGTGGAGTCTCAGCAGAGCAGCCACTCAGGCACACACAGAGACTGGGAGTTTTACATACTCCAGCCCTGGGATTCCTAGCAAGGCATGAAAGCCAACCATAGCTATACCTAGGAAGGGAGCTTAATCCAGGGAGCCAAGCAGTATTGTTCTGCAGGCCCTACTTCCATGTCACCTCACAAGTTAAGAACCACTGGCTTGGAATCCTAGGCAGCCAACAGCAGTGGGTTGAGGTCTTCCTGAGATGGGTCTGAGTTCCCAGGGGGAGGGGTAGCCATCATCTCTGTGGTTCAGTTGAGTCAGCTGCTCCAGCCTGCAGGCTGTGGAGAACATAAGTGGTCTGGATGAGAAAGGGTTCACCGCAATGCAGTGTACCTGCTCTACCAGAAAGCATCCAGACTGCTTCTCTGGGCAGGTCCCTGATCCCGTTCCTCCTGACTGAATGAGACCTTCCAATGGAGGTCTCCAGCCACCTCCTACAGGTGAATGCAGGCTGGCAACAGGTCAGTACCCCCCCAGGACCAAGCTTCCAGAAAAGACACTGGATGCCATCTTGCTATTTCACAGCCTTCACTGGTGATACCTCCAGGTATGGGAAAAACTGAGGCAACTGGGTTCTGGAGTGGACCCCCAGCAAACCACAGCAGCCCTACAGTAGAGTGGCCTGATTGTTAAAAACAACCAAACCGAAAACAACAACAATAACATCAACAGAGAAACCCCACAGAAACCCCATTCAAAGGTCAACAACCTCAAAAGTCAAAGGTAGATCAGCCCACAAAGATGAGAAAGAATCAACACAAAAATGCTGAAAACTCAAAAAGCCAAAGTACCTCTTCTCCTCTAAATGACTACAACACCTCTCGAGCAAGGACCCAGAACTGGACTGAGGCTGAGATGGCTGAATTGACAGAAGTAGGCTTCAAAAGGTGGGTAATAACGAACTTCACTGAACTAAAGGAGCATGTTGTAACCTAATGCTAAGAAGGAAAAAGTGATAAAACAATAAAGGAGCTGATAGCCAGAATGGCCAGTTTAGAGAGAAACATAACTGATGTAATGGAGATAAAAAACACAAGAGAACTTCACAACGCACTCACAAGTATCAATAGCAAAATAGACCAAGTGGAGGAAAGAATCTCAGACCTTGAAAACTATCTTTCTGAAATTTGACAGACAGACAAGATTAGATAAAAAAGAATTAAAATAAATTAACAAAACCTCTGAGAAATATGGGATTATGTAAAAAGACTAAACTTATGACAGATTGGGGTACCAAAAAGAGGTGGGGAAAGTGGAACCAAGTAGGAAGACATACTTCATGGTATCATTCATGAGAACTTCCCCAACCTAGCAAGGCAGGCCAACATTCAAATTCAGGAAATACAGAGAAACCCAGTAAGATACTCCACAAAAATATCAAGCCATAGACACATAATCATTAGATTCTCACAGGTTGAAATGGAAGAAAAAATATTAAGGACAGCCGGAGAGAAAGGCCAGGTCACTTACAAAGGAAAACCTATTAGACTAACAGTGGACCTCTCAGCAGAAACCCTACAAGCCAGAAGAGATTGGGGCCAATATTCAACATTCTTAAAGGAAAGAAATTCCAACCCAGAGTTTCATATCTGGACAAACTAAACTTTATAAGTAAGGAGAATTTTTTTTTGAGACAAGCAAATGCTGAGGGAATTCTTCACCATGAGGCCTGCCTTGCAAGAGCTCCTGAAGGAAGCACTAAATATGGAAAGGAAAAACCGTTGCCAGCTACTACAAAAACACACTGAAGTACACAGACCAGTGACACTATGAAGGAACCACACAAACAAGTCTGAAAAATAACCAGCTAGCATAATGATGATAGAATCAAATTCACATATATCAATACTAACCTTAAATGTAAATGGGCTAAATGACCCAATTAAAAGACACAGAATGAAAAGCTGGACGAAGAGCCAAGACCCATTGTAATGCTGTCTTTAAGAGACCCATCTCACATGCAAAGACACACACAGGATCAAAACAAAAGGATGGAGGAAAAGGGATAGCAAGAAAATAGAAAACAGAAAAAAGAAGTGGTTGCAATCCTAGATTCTGACAAAACAGATTTTAACCAACAAAGATCAAAAATGACAAATAAGGGCATTACATAATGGTAAAGTCTTCAATTCAACAAGAAGAGCTAACTATCCTAAATATATATGCACCCAATGCAAGAGCACCTGGATTCATAAAGCAAGTTCTTAGAGACCTCCAAAGAGACTTAGACTCCCACATAATAATAATGGGAAACTTTAACATTCCACTGACAATATTAGATCATTGGGATAGAAAATTAACAAAGATATGCAGGATCTAAACTTAGCTCTGGATCAAGTGGCCCTGATAGATATCTACAGAATTCTCCACCCAAATTCAATAGAATATACATTCTTACCACCACACATCACTTTAAAATTGATCTCATAATTGGGAGTAAAACACTCCTCAGTGAATGCAAAAGAACTTAAATCATAACAAACAGTCTCTCAGATCACAGCACAAATTAGAACTCAATATTAAGAAATTCACTGAAAACCACACACCTACATGAAAATTGAACAACCTCTTCCAGAATGACTCTTGGGTAAATAATGAAATTAAGGCAGACATCAAAAAGTTTGTTGAAACTAATGAGTATAAAGAGGCATCTCTGGGATGCTGTAAGGCATGGTTAAGAGGGAAATTTATAGCACTCAATGCCCACATCAAAAACTAGAAAGATCACAAGTTAGAAACTTCACATCTCAACTAAAAGAACTAGAGAAACAAGAGGAAAGAAACAGAACTAGAGAAACAAGAGGAAACAAACCCCAAAGATAGCAGAAGCCAAAAAAAAAAAAAAAAAAAAAAACAAAGAACAAAATCAGAGTGGAAATAAAGGAAATAGAGACATGCAAAACCCATCAAGAAATGAACAAATCCAGGAGCTGTTCTTTTGAAAAAATTAATAAAACAGACCACTAGCTAGATTAAAAAGAAGGAAAAAGAGAAGAATCAAATAAATACAATCAGAAAGGATAAGGTGCATATTACCACTTACCCCATAGGAATTTAAACAACCATCAGAGAATATTATAAACACCTCTATGCACATAAACTAGAAAATCTAGAAGAAACCGATACATTTCTGGACACATACACCCTCTCAAGACTGAACCGGGGAGAAACTGAATCCCTGAATAGACTAATAATGAGTTCTGAAATTGAGGGAGTAATAAATAGCCTACCAACCAACAAAAGCTCAGGACCAGACAGATTCACAGCTGAATTCTACCAGAGGTACAAAGAAGAGCTGGTACTATTTCTACTGAAACTATTCCAAACAATTGAAAGGGAGTGACTCCCCGTTAAGTCATTCTATGAGGCCAGCATCATCCTGACACCAAAACCTGGCAGAGATACAACAAAGGAAAGTTCAGGCCAATATCCTTGTTGAACATGAATGCAAAAATCCTCAATAAAATACTGGCAGACTGAATCCAGCAGCACATCAAAAAGCTTATCCACCATAATCGAGTTCGCTTCATTCTCAGGATGCAAGGTTGTTTCAACATATGCAAATCAATAAATGTAATTCATCACATAAACAGAACTAAAGACAAAAACCACACGATTATCCAAATAGATGCAGAAAAGGCCTGTGATAAAATCCAACATCCCTTCATATTAAAAACTCTCAATAAACTAGGTATTGAAGGAACATACCTCAAAATAATAAAAGCTATATATGACAAATCTACAGTCAATATCATACTGAATGTGCAAAAGCTGGAAGCAGTTCCCTTTAAAACTGGCCACAAGACAATGATGCCCTCTCTCACACCTCCTATTAAACATAGTATTGAAAGTTCTGGCCAGGGCAATCAGGCAAGAGAAATAAATAAATGGTATTCAAATAGGAAGAGAAAAAGTCAAATTATCTTTGTTTGCAGATGATGTGATCCTATATATAGACAACCCCATAGTCTCAGCACAAAAGTTTATTAAGGTGAGAAGCAACATCAGCAAAGTCTCAGGATATAAAGTCAAAGTGCAAAAATTGCTAGCATTCATATATACCAACAACAGGCGAGCCAGAAGCCAATCATGAATGAACTCCCATTCACAATTGCTACAAAAAGAATAAAATACATAGGAATACAGTTAACATGGGAAGTGAAGGACCTCTTCAAGGAGAACTACAAAACACTGCTCAAATAAATGAGAGAGGACACAAACAAATGGAGAAACATTCCATGCTCATGGATAGGAATAATCAATATTGTGAAAATGGCCATACTGCCCAAAGTAATTTATGGATTCAATTATATTCTCATTAAACTACCTTTGCCATTTTTCACAGAATTAGAGAAAATATTTTAAATTTCATATGAAACCAAAAAAGAGCCCAAATGGGCAAGACAGTGCTAAGCAAAAAGGACAAAGCTGAAGGCATCATGCTACCTTACCTGACTTCAAACTGTAATACAAGAGTACAGTAACCAAAGCAGCATACTACTGGTCCAAGAACAGACACATAAACCAATGGAACAGAAGAGAGAACTCAGAAATAAGACTGCACACTTACAACTATCTAATCTTTGACAAACCTGACAAAAAACAGTAATGGTGAAAAGATTTCTTATTTAATAAATGGTGCTCAAAGAACAGGTTAGCTATATCCAGAAAATTGAAACTGGACCCCTTCCTTACACCATATGCAAAAATTAATTCAAGATGGATTAAAGAATTAAGTGTAAAACTCAAAACTATAAAAACCCTAGAAAAACATCTAGGCAATACCATTCAGGACAGAGGCATGAGCAAATATTTCATGATGAAATCACCAAAAGCAATTGCAACAAAAGCAAAAATTGACAAATAGTATTTAATTAAACTAAAGAGCTTCTTCAGAGCAAAATAAACTATCAGACTGAACAGACAACCTACAGATTGGGGGAAATTTTCTGCAATCTATCCATCTGACAAAAATCTTATATCCAGATTCTACAAGGAACTTAAACAAATTTATGAGAAAAAACAACCCCATCAAAAACTGGGCAAAGGACATGAACAGACATTTCTCAAAAGAATACATACATGTGGCCAATAAACATATGAAAAAAGCTCAGTATTACTGATCATTAGATAAATGTAAATCAAAACCACAATGAGATACCATCTCACACCAGTCAGTATGGTGATTATTAAAAAGTCAAAAAATAACAGATGATGGCGAGATCGTTGGTAGAAATGTACATTAGTTCAACCATTGTGGAAGACAGTGTGGCAATTCCATAAAGACCTAGAGGCAGAAATATCATTTGACCCAGCAATCCCATTACTAGGTACATACTCAAAGGAATATAAACCATTATATTATAAAGATACATGCATGCATATATTCATTGAAGCACTATTCACAGTAGCAAAGACATGGAATCAACCTAAATCCCCATCAATGATAGGCTGGATAAAGAAAATGTGTTACATAGACACTGTATTAGTCCATTTTCACACTGATGATATAGGCATTCCCGAGACTGAGCAATTTACAAAAGAAAAAGGTTTACTGGCCTCACATTTCCACATGGCTGAGGAGGCCTCACAATTATGGCAGAAGATGAAAGGCACGTCTCACATTGCAGCAGACAAGAAAAAAGAGCTTGAGCAGGGAAACTCCCGTTTTTAAAAACATCAGATCTCATGAGACTTATGCACTATCACAAAAACAGCACGGGAAAGACCTGCCCCCATGATTCAATTATCTCCTGCTGGGTCCCTCCCACAACACGTGGGAATTATGGGAACTACAAGATGAGATTTGGGTAGAGACAGAGAACCAAACCATATCATACACCATGGAATACTATGTAGGCACCAAAAGGAATAAGATCATGTCCTTTTCAGGGACATGGATGGATTTGGAAACCATTATCCTCAGCAAATTAATGCAGGAACAGAAAACCAAACATCACCTGTTCTGACTTATAAATGGGAGCTGAGTGATGAGAACACTGGACACAGGGAGGGGAGCAACACACACTGGGTCCTGTCAGGGAATGCTGGGGAGGTTGGTGGAGGGATTGCTAATGGATGCAAGGCTTATTACCTAGGTGATGGGAAGATCTGTACAGCAAACCACCATGGCACTTGTTTACCTATATAACGAACCTGCCCATCCTGCTCCTGTACTCCTGAACTTAAAATAAAAGTTGAAGAAGAAAATTAATTATTCATTATAATGTAGGTATATTGACTCTATCAATCAGGTGTGGCAGGAAAACAACATTGAATATTCTACCAGAATGGAAGGGAACCAATACTCAAAGGTAGGCACTTGAATATACATCTGAGATTCTCAAAGGTGGTCATTACACTCCCAGATGTATCCTTATCAATTCCTACATTTTCTATAAAAAATTTACAGTTATTGGGTATTACATTTTTTGAGAATTATAAGTGCATATGTGAGGGTCTGTATGTATCTGTGTTCATACATATTAACTATCATCATCATCATATTTTTCCACCTTTTTATCCCCTCCTAAATTCAAAGATGGGGAAACTCAAACTATAACTTGCCAAAGTCTGACATCAAATTCTGCAGTTATACTACAGTTGGGGTTGGTCTGTTCTCCAAATCAATTGTCTCTGTGCTCTGCCCAAGTGCTCCTAAAGACTTCAGCTTATTTTTGGGTCATCACTCATAGGCTGTGCAGCTCTGAACAATTTTACAACACTTCTGTAGGCCTTGCTCTCCTCATATGCAAAACAGAGATATATAGTCCCCACTTTCTCTACAGAATTACTGAGATTCAAATGAAATATTATATTGAAGAACACTCTGTAATCCTGCTAAACACTAGAGAAATATAATGGATTAACAATCCTTATAAGAAACTGAAGCAAATGTGTATTTAGATGTTTCAATAAGGCATTTGGAAATAGAAGATATCTCATCAAAGACAAGAGCTTGGGGATTCTCAAGAGCTCAAATTGTAACTAGCTTCTCCCAATAGTTTCAGAAAACAGAGTCTCAGAGAAGGTACAAGATGCCGTAAATTAATATATCTGAAATGGGAAAAAACATAAAGTAGAACGACTTGGTCAATATTAACATGAACTTGACCAAATTAATTTTTTCATATAAAGTTATGGTTTAAAGATGAGAGCTACCATATCTGTGTAGGTTAGGAAGAGTTTTTAATCATATGGTAGGAAAAAATTGAATTTCTTTAAGTGAACAGTGTCCTATCACAATGGAAATGTAAGTACCTAGAAAATCAGTATTTTCATTTTATATTTACATTGCAATAACAGATGTTAGCATGATTTTGTTGCAAACTCTCTATATCCACCCCTGCTAAGACAAACATAATTAAAATAATTTATGGAATTGTAGTATGCCTAAGCAGTTTTTGAGTTAGAGACACAGCAAATTTTTTCTATGCCCAAAGATGGCCTCTATGATCTTTAAGTAGTTCTGATATTTACCAGGACCCATTTGCCTCCAAACAGAGAATTAAATAATTTTGAATTTAGAAGCTGCCCTTGAGAATATTGAATCTGGCACTTTTATTGTCAAGGTGAGAATTTTCTACCTTAGGGAATGTGAGGATTTACACAGAGTCACACAGGAAATGGATGCCAAAAGTAGGATACTGTGCCAGGTTTTCTAACTACAGGTCCAGTGATGTTTTCCCTAAATTTCTTACTAAAACAAAAGCCAAAAAAATATGACTCTACAAAAACAAACAGAGGTTGGGACTGATTGTCCTCACCATGAACAAGGCTTATATTTACCTCTTTGTATCTGCTCCTAGCAGCCATTTTCTGTCTCTACATTCTACCCATCTAGGGATTGGTGATCCATAAATTTTTGCCTCCAATAGACATGGAAACAGCCTTACTTTAGCATTCTAACAGTCTGACTGTGTTTCGTGTTATTCCAGTTTCATCTTCAATAAAATTGCCATTTAGAATAAAGAAATACTAGTCATGAGTGGTCATAAATGGAAGAGATCATATAAATCATGTATTTCAATACTCAAATTTACAGATGACAGACTAGAACCCAGAGAAATACTCCATCCAAAGATAGAAAATCAGTAGAAGAGTCTACATTATAATTCAAGATTTTAGGGTCTCAGATCTTTTCATTTTATACATCTGTGCTGTCATATTCAGTCAGCAAGAGTTCACTAGGCAGTTATTCACATGGCATTTGTAGTTATAAAATAAGAGATAAGACATCAGCATGACAAGATTTTATAAAAAATATAAAGTCGAATTAATATGTCTCATATAGTACTATATGATTTTTTGAGTTTCTATAAAATGTAAATGATGAATACATACAAAAAATTATATAGCAACTATGTTATATAAACTCTAAACTATAAATTATAAACTATAACTTTGTTGTATAAACTATAAACTATAAATTATACATTGTATATTACACATTAAAATCAGCAAAATTGAAGATAGGACAATGGAAATTATTGAGTCTGAGGAACAAAAAGTAAAAAGGTAGGAGAAGAGTAAAAAGATAAGGGACCTATCTGTAGGACAATATCAAGTAGGATAACCTATGTACTGTGGCAGTCCCAGAAGAATAAGAGAAAGGATGACAGAGAATATGTGAAGAACAAATGGCTGAAAACTTCACACATTTGATGAAAGACATGAATATAAATATCTAAGAAGCTCAATGAACTCCAATTAAATGGAACTCAAAAAACTCACACCAAGATACATTAAAATCAAACTTTTTAAAGACAAACACAAAGAGAAAATCTTGAAAACAATCAGAAATAAGTGGCTCATCACATGCAAGGGGTCCTCAAAAATAATATGAACAGATTTTTCCTCCAGAAATATTCGAGGCCAGGAGCTGGGGAAAATATACATTCAAAGCAGTCAAAGGAAAAAAAACCGATCTGTCAAATGAGAATTCCATATCTGGCAAAAATGTCCTTTGAAAGTTCGGGAGATACACTGCAAGCTTCCCTCGGGACTGCAGCCACCCTCCACATCATTTTGCCAGTGCACATGTATGCAGGTAGATTTTTGCATTCCCTGTCCTGCTAGCACATGTGTGCATGTGCACTCTGCCATGCCTCTGCTGCTGGTGGAATGCACTCCACCCCACTTCCCCTACCCTACTGCCATTGCAGTTGGAGCCTTTGTGAACACAGAGCCTGCCAGCCTCACCCCCACCAATGCTGTGCTCCTGCAACAACACTGCCATTAGAGTGAAACTAGTATGGATGACGGTGGAACCACCCCTGCCTGCTCTGAGCAGCCACAGAGAGAGCACACAGACTTGTGCCCACCAGTGTCTCACCCCCATCAATGTCCCACCCCCCTGCTAACACCACCACCAGTGGAACCACAAACACAGTCACCAATAAGGGATGTCCTCCTCCAGTTACGCTGTCTCCCCCACTGCTACGAATGCAATACAGAGGCAGGAACCTTGGCACCCACTAGCACCCTGCTGCAGTCAATGAGTGTGAACCCCACCATGCTACCTCTGCCACTGGCACATGTGAACAAGAATGGATCCTGCTGCCATAGCCCTACAAAATGCTTTGGCACCTCCCATTGATGTTTAGGGACCAGTGGTCCAAGAGCACCATGGCTTCCCCAACCGCCCACCGATTGTAGTTGGTTTCTAACCTTGAGGAGCCAGAGAGGAAAGTCAGACTCGCAAGTCCCCTAGAGTTTGAGGGCACAGTCCAGGAGATGGAAGCTGAGCCTTGCCCCACTAAAATCTCCCAGAAATAAAGCCAATCAACTGAACCCACCTTATACCACAATCAAATCCTCAAATAAAAATAACAAAAACCAATCCAAAGGACAGAAACTTCAAAGATTGAAGGAACACCAGCCTACAAAGATGAGAAAGAACAAGCACAAGAACTCTAAGTCAGAAAGGCAGAGTGCCTTCTTTCCTGCAAATCACTGCACTACCTCTCCAGCAAAGTGTTCTCAATCAGGCTGAGATGTCTGAAATTACAGTAGTATTTGAAATTGGGTAGGAATGAAGATCACTGAGAGGCAGTAGTACACTGAAGCCCAATCCAAGGAAGCTAAGAATCACAGTAAAATGATGCATGAGTTGACAGACAAAATGGCCAGTATAGAAAAGTATGTAACCAACCCAATAGACGTGGAAGACACACTACAAGAATTTCATAATGCAATTGCAAGTACTATCAAGTAATAAGCAAAATAGACCATACTGAAGAAAGAACCTCAGAGCTTTAAGACTGGCTTTCTGAAATAAGACAGTCAGAGAAGAATAGAGAAAAAAAAATAAAAAGGAACAAACAAAACTTCAGAAAAATATGAGATTATGTAAAGGGACCAAATCTAAGATTCATTGGTGTTCTCGAAAGCGTTGGGGAGAATGGAATCAACTTGGAAAGCATATTTCAGGATATCATTCATAAGAACTTTTACAACCTAGCCAGAGAGGCAAATGTTTATATTCAGGAAATGCAGAAAACTCCAGTAAGATTCTTCACAAGAAGATCATCCCGAAGACACATAATCTCAGAATCTCCAAGGTTAAACTGGAAGAATAAATATTAGTGGCAGCTGGAGAGAAAGCTCAGGTCACTTACAAAGGGAAATCCATCATGCTAACAGTAGACCTCTCAGCAGAAACCCTACAAGCCAGAAGAGATTGAAGCCAACATTCTTACAGAAAAGAAATTCGAACCCAGAATTTCATATCTGGCCAAACTAAGCTTCATACATGAAGGAGAAATAAGGTTATTTTCACACAAGCAAATACTGAGGGAACCTGTTACCACCAAACCTGCCTTACAACTCCCAAAGAAAGAACTAAATATAGAACGGAAACATCATTACCATCCACTACAAAAACACACTGAAGTACACAGACCAGTGACACTATAAAGCAACCAAACAAGTCTACATAATAACCAGCTAACATCATGATGACAAGATCAAATCCACACATATCAATACTCATCTTGGATGTAAATGGGCTAAATCTCCCAATTAAAGACACAGGGTAGCAAGCTAGATTAAGAAGCAAGACCCAATGTACGGTCTCTTCAGGAGACCCATCTCACAGGCAATGACACACAAAGGTTCAAAATTAAGGGACAGAGAAAAATCTACCAAGCAAACAGAAAACAGAAAAAAAGCAGGCATTGCAATCCTAATTTCAGACAAAACAGAATTTAAACCAACAAACATCAAAAAGAACAAAGAAGGGAATTACATAATGGTAAAGGGTTCAATTCAACAAGAAGAGCTAACTATCCTAAATATATATGTACTAAATACAAGAGCACCCTGATTCATAAAGCAAGTTCTTAGGGACCTACAAAGGGACTTAGATTCCCACACAATAATAGTGGGAGATTTCAGCACCTCACTGACAGTATTAGACAGCTCACTGAGGCAGAAAATTAACAAAGATATCCAGGATCTAAAATCAGCACTGAATTAAATAGACCTGACAGACATCTACAGAACTCTCCACCCCAAAACAAAGGAATATATATTCTTTGATTGCCACATGGTACATATTTTAAAACTGACCACATAATCAGACATAAAACACCCCTCAGCAAATGCAAAAGAACTGAAATTATAACAACTACTCTCTCAGACCACAACAAAATCAAATTAGAAATCAAGACTAAGAAATGCACTCAAAACCATACAATTACATGGAAATTGAATAATGTGCTCCTGAATGACTTTGGGGTAAATAATGAAATTAAGGCAGAAATCAAGAAGTTCTTTGAAACTAATGGGAACAAAGATGCAACATACCAGAATTTCTGAGACAAACTAAGGCAATGTTAAGGAAATTTATAGCACTAAATACCCACATCAAAAAGTTAGAAAGATTTCAATTTAATAACCTAACATCAAAACTAAAATAACTAGAGAATCAACAGCAAACCAATCCCAAAGCTAGCAGAAGACAAGAAATAACTAAAATCAGAGCTGAACTGAAGGAAATTAAGAAACAAACAAACATTCAAAAGATCAATGAATTGGGGAGTTGGTTTTTTCAGAAATATTATAAAATAGACTGCTAGCTAGACTAATAAAGAGAAGATCTAAATAAATAAAATTAGAAATGACAAAGGTGATTTTACCACGGACCCCATAGAAATACAAGTAACCACCAGAAAATATTGTGAATGCCTCTATGCACACAAACTAGAAAATCTAGAGGAAATGGGTAAATTCTTGGATACATGTACTCTGCTAAGACTGAACCGGGAATAAATTGACTCCCTGAACAGACCAATAACAAGCTCTGAAATTGAATCAGTTATAAATAGCCTACCAACCAAAACAATTCTCAGTGCCATATGGATTCACAGCCAAATTCTACTAGATGTACAAAAAAGAGCTGGTATCATTTCTGCTGAAACTATTTCAAAAAATTGAGGAGGGAATCCTGCCTAACTCATTCTACAAAGCCAACATCATCTTGATACCAAAATCTCACAGAGATACAACAAAAAAAGAAAACTTCAGGCCAATACCCTTCATGAACATTGATGCAAAAATCCTCAACAAAATACTAGCAAACCAAATCCAGCAGCTCATCAAAAAGCTTATCCGTCATGATCAAGTAGGCGTTATCTCTGGGCTGCAAGGTTGGTTCAAGGGATGCAAACCAATAAACATGATGAGCCACATAAACAGAACTAAAGCCAAAAACCACATGATTATTTCAATAGATGCAGAAAAGTCTCAAAAAATGCAATACTGCTTCATGTTAAAAAACCCTTAATAAACTAGTTATTGAAGGAACATAAAACAATAAGAGTCATCTATGACAAACCCACAGCCAACACCATACTGACTGGGTAAAAGCTGGAAGCATTTGCTTTGAAAATCAGCACAAGATGAGGATGCCCTCTCTCACCACTCCTATTCACCATAGTATTCGAAGTCCTGGCCAGAGAAATCGGGCAACAGAAAGAAATAAAGGGCATCCAAGTAGGAAGAGAGGAAGTCAAACTATCCCTGTGTACAGATTATATGATTCTATACCTAGAAAACCCCATAGTCTTGGCCCAACAGCTCCTTAAGCTGATAAACAACTTCATCAAAATTTTAGGCTACAAAACCAACATTAAAATGTTCACTAGTATTCCTAAACACCAACAACCATCAAACCAAGAGCCAAATCAGAAAGACATTCCCATTCACAACTTCTCCCTTAAAAATAAAATAACTAGGAATACAGCTAACCAGGAATGTGAAAGATCTCTACAAGGAGAATTACAAAACACTGCTCAAAGAAATCAGAGATGACACAAACAAATGAAAAATCATTCCATGTTGATGAATAAGAAGAATCAACATCATTAAAATGACCAGACTGTCCAAAGTAATTTATAGATTCAATGCTATTCCTATCAAACTATCAATGATACTCTTCACAGAACTAGAAAAAACTATTTTAAAATTCATCTGGAACCAAAAAAAGGTTCCGAATAGCCAAGACAATTCCAAGCAAAAGGAACAAAGCCAGAGACATCACACTACCTGACTTCCAGCTATACTACAGGACTACAGTAACCAAAAAAGCATGGTACTGGTACACAGACACATAGATCAACAGAACATAATAGAGGACCCAGAAATAATGCCACACTTACAACCATCTGATCTTTGAGAAAGCTGAAAAAAAGTAATGGAGAAAGGACCCTCTATTCAATGAATGGTACTGGGATAGCTGGCTAGCCATATGCAGAAGATTCAAACTGTTCCCCTTTCTCAAGCCATATACAAAAATCAACTCAAGATGGATTAAATACTTAAATGTAAAACCCCAAAAACCTTGGAATACAACCTAGGTAATACCATTCTGGACATAGGAATGAGCAAAGATTTTATGACAAAGACACCAGAAGCAATTGCAACAAAATCAAAAACTGAGAAATGAGATCTAATTAAACTTAAGAGCTTCTGCACAGCAAAAGAAACTATCAACAGAGTAAACCAATAACCAACAGAATGGGAGAAAATTTTTGCAAACTGTGCATCTGACAAAGGTCTAATATCCAGCATCTATAAGGAACTTAAATCTACAAGTAAAAAGCAAACAACCCCATTAAAATGTGGACAAAGTACATGAACACTTTTCAAAATAATACATATTTGCAGCCAACAAGCATAAGAAAAAACATTCAGTGTCACTGATCATTAGAGAAGTGCAAGTCAAAACCACAATGAGATACCATCTCACACCACTCAGAATGTATTATTAAAAAGTCAAAAAATAAAAGATGCTGGCAAGGTTCCTTAGAAAAGGGGAAACTTATACACTGTTGATGGGTGTGTAAACTAGTTCAACTATTGTGGAAAGCAGTGTGGTACCTCCTCAAAGAGCTGAAAGCAGAAGTGTCATTTGACCAAGCAATTTCATTACTTGGTATATATTCAAATGAATATAAATTGTTCTATCATAAAGACACATGCACATATAAGTTATTCATAATAGTAAAGACATGGAGTCAACCTAAATGGCCATCAGTAGTAGGTAGACTGGTAAAGAAAACATAGTACATGTGCACCATGGAGTACTATGCAGTCATAAAAAAGAATGAGGTCATGTCTTTTGCACGAACATGTAATGGACTGGAGGTCATTATCCTTAGCCAACTAACACAGGAACAGAAAACCAAATACTGCATGTTCTCAATTACAAGTGGGAGCTAACTGATGAGAACATGTGGACACATAGAGGAGAATAACAGACGTGGGAGACTACCAGGGGTTGGAGCGGGAAAGGAGGGAGAGGATCAGGAAAAATAACTGATGAGTACTAGGTTTAACACCTGGGTGACAAAATAATTTGTACAACAAACCCCCATGACACGAGTTTACCTATATAGCAAACCTGCACATGTACCCCTGAACCTAAAATAAAAGTTTAAAAAGTGAGGGAGATATTAAGACATTCTAAGACAAGTAGAAGCTGGAAGAATTAATTAGCACTAAATCTTTTATACATGAAATAGGCCTTGAGGGAGTCTGTAGGGTTAAATTAAGGGACACTAGATAATAACTCAAAGCCATAAGAAGACATAACAATGTCACTGAAGGTAAATATGTCCACAGTCATAAAAATTACTACCATTGTAACAATGGTTTACAATGCCACTTCTTGTTTTCTACATGACTAAATTACATAATCAAACACTAAAATTATTAGTTTAAAGCTAGGATTAACTTTGGTTAGTAAATCCACATTTTATTTTCCTCATAATTTATAAGACAAATGTGTTTAAAGTATTATTAGCATATGTGTTTGGGCTCACAATGTGTAAAATTGTAATGGTAAAATCAACAGCTCAAAGGCGTGAGGACAGAGTTGTTAAAAGAACAGAATCTCTATATGTTATTAAAGTTATTAAAGTTAAACAGGTATAAATTCAAATTACAGTGTTAAAAGTATAAGGTGTTAGATGTAATCCCCATGGTAACCACAAATAAGATAGCTATAGAGTATCTACAAAAATAAAATTTGTCACGATAAAAAATCAGATAAACCCAAAGGAAGTTATTAATGCAGAAAATGAGGGCATATAGAAAAGAAAAAGCAAAATGACAGAAATGTCACTCCTTATCATTTATTGCCTTAAATGTAAATAATTTATCCAATTAAAGGACAGAGATTGGCAGAATGAACAAAACAATTGATCCAAATCTGTGTTGTCTACCAGAGACCCACTGAGATTCAAAGGTACAAATAGACTGAAAGTGAAAGAATGAAAAAAGATACGCCATGCAAATACAAACCAAAAGACAGAAAATATTATTATATTACTGTTAGAAAAAAGAGACTTTAAATTTGAAAGTGTCACATGAGACAAGAAGGGCATCACATATTGAGAAAATATGTTCAATACAACAAGAAGATATAAACATCTACATACACAAGAACAGACAATCAAAATATATGAAGCAAAAATGAACAGATTTAAAGAGAGAATAGTCCTATCATAACGGTTGCAGACTTCAACACCTCATTCTCAATAATGATTACAACAACAAGACAAAAGATAAGGAAGGAAATAAAGACAACACAATAAACCAACTAGATGTAACAGACATATACAGAAGAACACTCTACCAAACAACACAACATAGACATTGTTTTTATGTGCATATGGGACATTTTCCAGAATAAAATACACATATTTTACCACAAATTAAGTCTCAATAGATTTTTTTATAGATGTCATACAAAGTTATTTTCTCTGACTACAAAAGAGTGAAATTAGAAATCAGTAACAGGTGTAAAAATGGAAAACTTACAAAATTGTGGGAAATAAATAACCATTCTTAGACAATACATGAATCAAAAAAACAAATCACAGGGGAAATTGGAAAATACTTAAAGATGAATGAAAGTGAAAACACAATATACCAAAAATTATGGGATGCAGCAAAAGCAGTGCCAAGGAGGAAATTTATAGCTATAAACACTTATATTAAAAAATTAGAAAAATTCAAATCAGCAACCTAACTTTAAGATACTAGAATAAAAACAAACTAAACCCAAAGATAGAAGAAGGAAGGAAATAATGAAGATTAGAGCACATATAACTTAAATAGAAAAGTAATAGAGACTAGAAAGATTATAGAGAAAATCAATAAAACCAAACTTGGTTTTTTCAAAAGATCAACAAAATTGATAACTTTTAGGTAGATGGACAAACAAAAGGGGAGAAGACTCAATTACTAAAGTTAGAAATAAAAGTGGAGACATGATGAAAAATTCTAGGGAAATAAAAAGGATTATAAAGAGTATTATGAATAATTGTACAGTAACAATTTGATAACCTAGATGAAATGAACAAATTCTTACAAACACACAAAACCTCCAAGACTAAATCATAAAGAAATAGAATATCTGAATAGACCTGTAAGTAGTAAGGATATTGAGTCTGTAAGCAAAATGTCTCCCAAAAAAGAAAAACCCTGGGAATCAAAAAAATCTCCCTACAAAGAAAAGCCCTGGGTCTGATAGCTTCATGAGTGAATTCTACCAACTGTTTAAGGAAAAACTAACACCAATACTTCTCAAATTTTCCTAAAATTAATATGGAATTTCAAGTGAGCTCAAATAGCCAAGACAATTTGAAAAAAAAAAAAAAAAAAAACAAAGTGGAAGGACTCACACTTTCCAATTTAAAACTTACTACAAAGCCATAGTAATCGTAACAGTGTGGTTTTAGCATCTAGATTAATGGAATAGAACAGAGAGCCTAGAAACAATCCTTCACATATACAGTCAAATGGTTTTTGAGAAGGGTGTCAAGACCATTCTTGAGAAGGGAAAATGGCAGTCTTCAACAAATGATGCTTGGATAACTGGATATCCACACACAAAATAATAAGGTTGAACCCTTACCTAACACCATATGCAAAAATTGACTCAAGTGGATGAAAGACCTAAATATAATTCTTAAATTATACAACTCAAAGAAAAAAAAACTTAATGAAAATGCTTCATGGCATTGTATTTGGGAATGATTTGTTGGATATAACATCAAAGGCACAGGCACAACAACAAAAAATAGACAAATTTGACTTCAGGAATATGTTTTAAAATTGTGTATACAAAGACACTATCAACAGAATAAAAAGGAAACACACAGAATGGGAGAAAATGTTTGCAACTTATATATATAAGGGACTTATATCCAGAAAATATAGAGAAGTCCTAAAACTCAACAACAAAATCACTCTGATTCAAAAAAAGGCAAAGAACTTGAATAGAGATTTACCCAAAGAAGGTATCTGAATGGTCCATACACACATGAAAAGATGCTCATGGATAGGAAGAATCAATATTATTAAAATGGCCATATTGCCCAAAGCAATTAGTAGATTAAAATGTCATTCCTATCAAACTACCAATGATATTCTTGACATGACTAGATAAAACTATTTTATAATTTCTATGAAGCCACAAAGGAGCTCAAATAGCTAAGGCAATCCTCAGCAAGAAGTACAAAGCTGGAGGCATCACATTACCTGACTTCAAACTATACTACGGGGCTCCCATAACCAAAATGGCACGGTACTGGTACACAAACAGACAAATAGACAAATGGAATGGAATAGAGAGCCCAGAAATAATGTCACACACCTACAACTATCAGATCATTGACAAACCTAGCAAAAAGAAGCAATGGGGAATGAACTCTATTCACTTAATGGTACTGGGATAGCTGGCTAGCCATATGCAGAAGATTGAAACTAGAACCCTACTTTACACCACACACAAAAATCAAATCAAAATGGATCAAAGACTTCAATGTAAAATCCAAAACTATAAAAATCCTGGAAGATAACCTAGGCAATCGCATTCTGGACATAGGACCAGGCAAAGATTTCATGACCAAAGATACCAAAAGCAATTGCAACAGAAACAAAAATTGACAATTCTAGTTAAACTAAATAGCATCTACAGAGCAAAAGGAACTATCAACAGAGTAAACAGACAACCTACAGAATGGAAGAAAATATTTGCAAACTATGTATCTGACAAAGGTCTAATATCCGGTATCTACAAGGAAGTTAAACAAATTCACAAGCAAAAACCAAACAACCCCATTAAAAAATGGGCAAAGGATGTGAACAGATATTTTTCAAAAGACATACATGTGACCAACTAGTATATGAGAATATCCTCAACATCACTAATCGTTAGAAAAATGCAAATAAAAAACTCAGTGAGATGCCATCTCACCCCAGTCAGAATGGCTATTTAATTTTTTTCTCTTGTTTGATACAGCTGGAGTGCAGTGTCATAATCACAGTTCACTTCAACCCCATCTTCAGCCTCCCAGTATGCTGGGATTAGAGACCTGAGCCATTGTTCCTGGCCGAGAATGGCTATTATGTAAAATTCAAAAAATAAAAGATGCTGGTGAAGTTGCAGAGAAAAGGGAACACATATACACTACTAGTGGGAGTGTAATTCAGCCATTGTGAAAAGCGGTGTGTCAATTCCTCAAATAACTAAAACAGAATTGCTATTTGATCCAGAAATCGCATTATTAGGCATATCCTCAAAAGAATGTAAATTTTCTACCATAAAAACACATGTATGTGTATATTCATTGCAGCACTATTCACAATAGCAAAGACGTGAAATCAACCTCAATGCCCACCAATGGTCGACTGGATAAAGAAAATGTGGTACATGTACACCATGGAATACTATGCAGCCATACAAAAGAATAAGATAATGTCCTTTGCATCAACATGTGTGAAGCTGGAGGTCATTATCCTAAGCAAAGTAATACAGGAGCAGAAAACCAAATACTGCATGTTCTCACTTGCAAGTGTGAGCTAAACAACAAGAACACATGGATACTAGGAGGCGAACAACGGACATTGGGACCTACTTGAGGGTGGATGGTAGGAGGAGGGAGAGGATCAGAATAAATACCTATTGGATCCTATGCTTATTACCTGAGTGGCAAAATAATCTGTGCACCAAATCCCTGTAAGACCCAGTTTACCTATATTAACAAACCTGCACATGTACCCCAGAACCTAAAAAAAAATTAAAGATGCTTAGCATAATTAATCATTAGGGACATTCAAATCAAAACTATGAGATACCACCTTACACCCAATAGGATAGCAACACTATAAAAAGAAAAAAGTAATAACAAGTGTTGGTAAGAATGTAGGGAAATTGGAACCCTCGTATGCTGTTTATAGAAGTATAAAACAGTATAGCTGCTGTGGCAAACAGTATGATGGGTCCTTAAAAAATTAGAAATATAATTTCCATATGATCCAGAAATTTCACTTCTGGGTACATACCCAAAACGTTGAAAACAAGGTATCAAAGAGATAATGTTTACACCCATGTTCAAAGTGTATTATTTGCCACAGTTAAAATGTGAAAGCAACCCCAGTGCCCACTGATGGATGGACGGATGGATAAGAAAACATAATATATGCATACAATGAAATATTATTCAACCTTAAAAAGAAGGAATTTCTTTCATAGCTATAACATGGATGACTTTGAGGAGATAATGTTAAATGAAGTAATCCAATCACAGAAAAGACAAATGATGTATAATTCCATTTATATTAGGTACTTTGAGTAGTCAAAATTATAAAGACAGAAAGTAGAATGGTGGTTACCAGACGCTGGTGGGAGGAGAGAATGGATAGTTACTGTTTAATAGGTATAGAGGTTCACTTTTACAAGATAAAAAGAGTTATGGGGATAGATGGTGGTAAGGTTTGCACAACATTATGAATTTAATACCAGTGAACCATACACTTAACAATGTTGAATATGATCCATTTTTGTTATATGTATGAACCACCTATAAAAATTGAAAAAAAAAAGAGATAATTTAAAAATAGCCACACCTGAAAGGTCATCACACTGGTCCTTATATGAAAGAGACAAGAGAGTGAATGGGGAGAGAGATGGGATGACAGAAGTTGGCATGATGTGAAGAAAAGGCCACGTGAAGGGGTGATGAGGAGTTATTGAAGATGGACCAAAGGATACAGACAGCCTCTGGAAGCTGAAAAAGGCAAGAAAAAAGATTTCCCTCTGAAGGCTCCAGAAGGTGTGTAGCCCAGATGACACCTTCACTTTATACACTGGACCTCCAGAAATGTAACAGAATAAAATTTTGTTGTTTTATGCTTCCCTTCAAACCTCCATGAATAAAATAGCCTCACCAAGGAGTTGCTGGCCTAAGTTAACTTTAGAAATGAATGGAATCTGTAAGACTAGGCTAAAGAAACTGCATGTTAAGTACTGCGCTCTAGTCAATAAATTTGTTTCCCATAGGGATATGGGGTAACAATTCTGATTCTGATATATAAATATTCCTTAAGCAAGGAAGCAAATGAATAGCTCATGGTGGCAGCCAGGTTTTCCACTTCTGGAGTGGGAATTTGTGGATTGGCATGGTGAGGAGATGAGATTGATCCATATGGTAATTGTTTAGACTTGGAGACAACAATAAGAACTCATGTTCAACTTAATATAGATATAGATCGTTACATGTAGAGATATTTATGGACTTGTGTATATACACAGGTCATTATACACACATTTATTTCTTTGTTTTGCCAACTGTTAAGTGTCTAAAAGAAATGGCACTAGAGCAGTAATGAGTATATGCAACACCCAGATCCAGATCTTGATTTCTATTATTATTTTCCAAAGAAAGTAACCAGTGTTGCTTGGAGAAATGGCTGGTTCAGGTGCAGGAAATATAAAAGATGAGCCTGGAGCATGTTGTGGTTCCATTGGGTAAGGAAGCCCTCACAAAGCAACAATAACAGCAACAGCAAGAACAAAATACATTGATGGCAGTATGTCAAAAAGGCACAAGAATCAACTGAAAGAACTCCTAGTGGACAAAGATTGACAATTTGAGCAGCAAAATAGTGCTGGATTTTAATTCTAAGATTAACATCTGCAAGTCCAGACTGATGTGAATAAAAAATCGAATAAATTAATAAGTGGAGGACAATAATCAACGATGCAAAAGAATTCCAAATAAATTATGTAAATGCTTCATCCTAAAGGAGGGAGAGCAAAACTCTCCACTGTTAAGTATGAGCTGTGCAAAGGGACTTCCTTCTAAAGAGTAAAGTATGGAAGTGGGGAGGAGATAGTAAATTTACAGCAGAGTAACCTGGCACACACTACTTCAGTCAGGTGATCAAGGTCAATACCAACAGTTATAAATCATGTTGATAGTATACACCCTGGATATGATGTGATTAAAATAGTACTTTACCTCTGTGATCTACCTCTCTAAAACCCATAACCCTAATTTACCCATGAGACAAATCTCAATTTGGAGACATTCTAAAAAATGCCTGACCTATACTCATCAAAACTTTCAAAGTAATTGAAAGCAAATAAGGTATGAAAAACTGTTACAGCCAAGAGGAGCCTAAGGAGTCCAGATAACTACATGTAATATGGTATACTGGATGCGACCCCAGAACAGAAAAAGGGCATTAGATAAAAACAAAGGGAATCTTAATAAACTATGGACTTCTTAATAAATATTCTCTTACTAAATAATTATGTATTGATATTGTTTCATTAATTTTAACAAATATACTACACTAATGTAATGTGTTAATAATAAACTCTGTGTATGTCAGAGGAAAGAGAGGTAATGTAGGAATTCTTTGTACTATATGCTCAATTTTTTAGTGAATCTAAAACTTCTCTTAAAAATGAAGTTGATTCATAGAAAATCAATTGAACAAATGTTGCTTTTGGTTAATTGATGATATAACTAAATAGTTCCTGTTTTAACCTTGTGGAAAGCAGAAATTGTTGGCTTGGTTATATATTTGATTTATTACTATGTGATGGATGGTATGTGTCACCAAAACTGAACAGAATTTTATCACATGAAAGGAGTAACAGGAATATGCTTCCAGAAAAGAATGTATTCTTGACAGAAATTGATAGGGGTTACATTTTGGGGGCATCTAATGATTTAAATCTTTTATGACACATGTATTACTAGAATTTGTCAGAACGTTAATCTAAGTACAATCATGTGATAATGTATTCGGTTTGAAACAGAATAACAAAGGGGCATTTGTCACTTAGCGTCAGAATGGATTCCTGGACAGATATGACCATATTGCCACTCAGCAGTAGCCAAGAAATTTAAATGACTTTTCCTCATTTTTTAGTCACTTAAATCAGACATGTATCCCTTACTACATGGCAAACCATGTGCTTAAGAAAAATAATACTTGATAAAATCAGAAAACAAACATCTTAATATGTAGCTAATAGCATAGACAGACAAGGAAATATTTTTAGAGATCACCTAGCCCTGGCCTGTCGAGTATGGTAGCTTCTAGCCCCTTGAATGTGGCTAGCAGGAATTAAGACATGCTTGTATTAGGGTTCTCCAGAAGGATAGAACTAATAGGATATATGTATATATGAAAGGAAGTTTATTAAGGAGAATGGGCCCAGACGATCACAAGGTAAAGTCCCACAATAGGCCATATGCAAGCTGAGGAAAAAAGAAGGCAGGAGGGGCTCAGTCTAAGTCCAACAGCCTAAAAGTACGGAAACTGACAATGGAGCCTTCATTCCACGGCTGAAGGCCCAAGAGTCCCTAGCAACCCACTGGTGTAAGTGCAGGAGTCCAAAGGCTGAAAAACCTGGAGTCTGATGTTCAAGGGCAAGAGGAACAGATGGGAGCATGTAGCATGGGAGAAAGATGAAAGCCAGAAGACAGCAAGCAAGCTTCTCCCACCTTCTTCTGCCTGCTTTGTTCTAATGGGCGCTGGATGGTGCCCATCCACATTGAGGGTCTTCCTCTCCAGTCCACTGACTCAAACGTTAATCTCCTCTGGCAACACCCTCACAGACATACCCAGAAACAATACTTACAGCTATCTAGGCATCCTTCAATCCAATCAAGGTAACAGCTAACATTAATAATCACAATTATGTGAGTGTGAAATACACTCATGGTTTTGAAGACTTAGTACCAAAAGAGAAAGCAAAATAGCTCAATAATTTTTATATAATCGGCATACAGAAAAGTTTCATCTCCCTGAACATCTCCCTCCATTCCCATGGCAATCACTGGTTTGTTCTCCCTCACTATGGTTTTGTCTTTTTGAGAATGTCATAAACATGAAATCATGTAGTTTGTAACCTTTGGAGACTGACTTCTTTTACTCAGCATACTGCCCTTGAGTTGCTTCATGTATCAACGCTTATCAATCTTTTTTTTTTTTAACTGAGCAGTATTATGTGTGGATATTCCACTGTTTATTCACCCATTGAAGGACATTTTGTTTTGTTTTACTTACTGTATCTTGAAACTCTTAACATTTTATTTTAAACATAAAGATATCTATTGAAACATTATTATTGCTCTTAGTTTAAATTCAGGACTAATATGTGATTGGTAAAAACAAAAATGAAAGCAAAAAAATGTAAAAGAGAAGAAACAAAATGTGGGTTCACTCCTCTGACCCTCAAATACACATGAAGGCAGTAAGAAGCTCTTAACCGTTTTCTTTGCCTCATTGCAGACTTGCTTTATTTCTTACATTCCTTTTTGAAAACTCTTTTAAATATCAATCATGTACTTTTTTTATTTTTTTTTTACTATCTGGCCCTTTATTTATTTTTATTCATTTTTTATTTTATTGTACTTTAAGTTCTAGAGTACATGTGCACAATGTGCAGGTTTGACACATAGGTATACATGTGCCATGTTGCTTTGCTGCACCCATCAACTCATCATTTACATTAGGTAGTTCTCCTAATGCTATTTCTCCCCCAGCCCCCCATACCCCTACAGGCCTCAGTGTGTGATGTTCCCCGCGCTGTGTCCAAGTGATCTCACTGTTCAATTCCCACCTATGAGTGAGAACATGCGGTGTTTGGTTTTCTGTCCGAGCGATAGTTTGCTGAGAATGATGGTTTCCAGCTTCATCCATGTCCCTACAAAGGACATGAACTCATCCTTTTTTATGGCTGCATAGTATTCCATGGTGTATATGTGACACATTTTCTTAATCCAGTCTATCATTGATGGACATTTGGGTTGGTTCCAAGTCTTTGCTATTGTGAATGGTGCCGCAATAAACATATGTGTGCATGTGTCTTTATAGCAGCATGATTTATAATCCTTTGGGTATATACCCAGTAATGGGATTGCTGGGTCAAATGATAACTCTAGTTCTAGATCCTTGAGGAATCACCACACTGTCTTCCACAATGGTGGAACTAATTTACACTCCCACCAACAGTGTAAAAGCATTCCTATTTCTCCACATCCTCTCCAGCACCTGTTGTTTCCTGACTTTTTAATGATTGCCATTCTAACTGGCATGAGATGGTATCTCATTGTGGTTTTGATTTGCATTTCTCTGATGGCCAGTGATGATGAGCATTTTTTCATGTGTCTGTTGGCTGCATAGATGTCTTCTTTTGAGAAGTGTCTGTCTGTTCATATCCTTTGTCCACTTTTTGATGTGGCTGTTTTTTTTCTTGTAAATTTGTTTGAGTTCTTTGTAGATTCTGGATATTAGCCCTTCGTCAGGTGGGTAGATTGCAAAAATTTTCTCCTATTCTGTAGGTTGCCTGTTCACTCTGATGATAGTTTCTTTTGTCATGCAGAAGCTCTTTAGTTTAATTAGATGCCATTTGTCTATTTTGGCTTTTGTTGCCATTGCTTTTGGTGTTTTAGTCATGAAACCCTTGCCCATGCCTATGTCCTGAATGGTAATGCCTAGGTTTTCTTCTAGGGTTTTTATGGTTTTAGGTCTAACATTTATGTCTTTAATCCATCTTGAATTAATTTTTGTATAAGGTGTAAGGAAGGGATCCAGTTTCAGCTTTCTACATATGGCTAGCCAGCTTTCCCAGCACCATTTATTAAATAGGGAATCCTTTCCCCATTTCTTGTTTTTATCAGGTTTGTCAAAAATCAGATGGTTGTAGATGTATGGTATTATTTCTGAGGCCTCTATTCTGTTCCATTGGTCTATACATCTGTTTTGGTACCAGTACCATGCTGTTTTGGTTACTGTAGCCTTGTAATATACTTTGAAGTCAGGTAGCATGATGCCTCTAGCTTTGTTCTTTTTGCTTAGTATTATCTTGGCAATGAAGGCTCTTTTTTGGTTCCATATGAACTTTAAAGTAGTTTCTTCCAATTCTGTGAAGAAAGTCATTGGAAGCTTGATGGGGATGGCATTGAATCTATAAATTACTTTGGGCAGTATGGCAATTTTCACAATATTGATTTTTCCTATCCATGAGCATGGAAAGTTTCTCCATTTGTTCATGTCCTCTTTTATTTCATTGAGCAGTGGTTTGTAGTTTTCCTTGAGGAGGTCCTTCACATCCCTTGTAAGTTGGATTCCTAGGCATTTTATTCCCTTTGTAGCAACTGTGAATGGGAGTTCACACATGATTTGGCTCTCTGTTTGTCTTCATGGTGTAGGGGAATGCTGTGATTTTTGCACATTGATTTTGTATCCTGAGACTTTGCTGAAGTTGCTTATCAGCTTAAGGAGATTTTGGGCTGAGACAATAGGGTTTTCTAAACATACAATCATGTCATCTGCAAACAGGAACAATTTGACTTCCTCATTTCCTAATTGAATACCCTTTATTTCTTTCTCTTGCCTGATTGCCCTGGCCAGAACTTCCAACACCATGCTGAATAGGAGTGGTGAGAGAGGGCATCCCTGTCTTATGTCGGTTTTCAAAGGGAATGCTTACAGTTTTTGCTCATTCAGTATGACATTGGCTGTGGGTTTGTCATAAATAGCTCTTATTATTTTGAGATACGTTCCATCAATACCTAGTTTACTGAGAGTTTTTAGCCTGAAGGGCTGTTGAATTTTGATGAAGGTCTTTTCTGCATCTATTGAGATAATCATGTGGTTTTTGTCCTTGGTTCTGTTCATGTGATGGATTAGGTTTATTGCGTATGTTGAAGCAGCCTTGCATCTCAGGGATGAAGCCAACTTGATCGTGGTGGATAAGCTTTTTGATGTGCTGCTGGATTCAGTTTGCCAGTATTTTATTGAGGATTTTTGCATTGATGTTCATCAGGGATATTGGTCTAAAATTCTCTTTTGTTGTTGTGTCTCTGCCAGGCTTTGGTATCAGGATGATGCTGGCCTCATAAAATGAGTTAGTTAGGGAGGATTCCCTCTTTTTCTATTGATTGGAATAGTTTCAGAAGGAATGGTACCAGCTCCTCATTGTAGAATTCGGCTGTGAATCCTTCTGGTCCTGGACTTTTTTTGGTTGGTAGGCTATTCATTATTGCCTCAATTTCTGAGCCTGTTATTGGTCTATTCAGAGATTCAACTTCTTCCTGGTTTAGTCTTGGGAGCGTGTATGCGTCCAGGAATTTATCCATTTCTTCTAGATTTTCTAGTTTATTTGCATAGAGGGGTTTATAGTATTCTCTGATGGTAGTTTGTATTTCTGTGGGATCAGTGGTGATATCCCCTTTATCATTTTTTATTGCATCTATTTGATTCTTCTCTTTTCTCCTTTACTTGTCTTCCTAGCAGTCTATCAATTTTGTTGATCTTTTCAAAAAACCGGCTCCTGCATTCATTGATTTTTTGAAGGGTTTTTTTGCGTGTCTATCTCCTTCAGTTCTGCTCTGATCTTAGTTATTTCTTGCCTTCTGCTAGCTTTTGAATGTGTTTGCTCTTGCTTCTCTAGTTCTTTTAATTGTGATGTTAGGGTGTCAATTTTAGATCTTTCCTGCTTTCTCTTGTGGGCATTTAGTGCTATAAATTTCCCTCTACATACTGCATTAAATGTGTCCCAGAGATTCTGGTATGTTGTGTCTTTGTTCTCATTGGTTTCAAAGAACATCTTTATTTTTGCCTTCATTTCGTTATTTACCCAGTAGTCATTCAGGAGCAAGTTGTTCAGTTTCCATGTAGTTGAGCAGTTTTGAGTGAGTTTATTAATCCTGAGTACTAATTTGATTGCACTGTGGTCTGAGAGACAGTTTGTTGTGATTTCTGCTTTTTTACATTTGCTGAGGAGTGATTTACTTCCAATTATGTGGTCAATCTTAGAATAAGTGCAATGTGTTGCTGAGAAGACTGTGTATTCAGTTGATTTCGGGTAGAGAGTTCTGTAGATGTCTATTAGGTCTGCTTGTTTCAGAGCTGAGTTCAGGTCCTGGATATCCTTGTTAACCTTCTGTCTTGTTGATCTGTCTAATATTGACAGTGGGGTGTTAAAGTCTCCCATTATCATTGTGTGGGAGTCTAAGTCTCTTTCTAGGTCTCTAAGGACTTGCTTTATGAATCTGGGTGCTCCTGTATTGGGTGCATATATATTTAGGATAGTTAGCTCTTCTTGTTGAATTGATCCCTTTACCATTATGTAATGGCCTTCTTTGTCTCCTTTGATCTTTGTGGGTTTAAAGTCTGTTTTATCATAGAATAGGATTGCAACCCCTGTTTTTTTTGCTTTCCATTTGTTTGGTAGATCTTCCTCCATCCCTTTATTTTGAGCCTGTGTGTGTCTTTGCATGTGAGATGGGTCTCCTGCCTACAGCACACTGATGGGTCTTGACTCTATCCAATTTGACAGTCTGTATCTTTTAATTGGGGCATTTAGACCATTTACATTTAAGGTTAATATTGTTATATGTGAATTTGGTCTGGTCATTATGATGCTAGCTGGTTTATTTTGCCCATTAATTGATGCAGTTTCTTCATAGCATCGATGGTCTTTACAATTTGGCACATTTTTGCAGTGGCTTGTACTGGTTGTTTCTTTCCATGTTTAGTGCTTCCTGCGGGAGCTCTTGTAACGCAGGCCTGGTGGTGACAATATCTCTCAGCATTTGCTTCTCTGTAGAGGATTTTATTTCTCCTTCACTTATGAAGCTTAGTTTGGCTGGATATTAAATTCCGGGTTGAAAATTCTTTTCTTTAAGAATGTTGAATATTGGCCCCCACTCTCTTCTGGCTTGTAGGGTTTCTGCTGAGAGATCTGCTGTTAGTCTGATGGGCTTCCCTTTGTGGGTAACTTGACCTTTCTCTCTGTCTGCCCTTAACACTTTTTCCTTCATTTCAACCTTGGCAAATCTGACAATTATGTGTCTTGGGGTTGCTCTTCTTGAGGAGAATATTTGTGGTGTTCTCTGTATTTCTTGAATTTGAATGTTGTCCTGCCTTGCTAGGTTGGGGAAGTTCTCCTGGATAATATCCTGAAGAGTGTTTTCCAACTTGGTTCCATTCTCCCCCTCACTTTCAGGTACACCAATCAAACGTAGATTTGGTCTTTTCACATAGTCCCATAGTTCTTGGAGGCTTTGTTCATTTCTTTTTACTCCTTCTCTAACCTTGTCTTCTCGCTTTATTTCATTAATTTGATCTTCAATCATTGATACCGTTTCTTCCACCTGATTGAATCAGCTATTGAAGCTTATGCATGCATCACGTAGTTCTCATGCCATGGTTTCCAGCTCCATCAGGTCATTTAAGGTCTTCTCTATGCTGTTTATTCTAGCTAGCCATTCATCTTATCTTTTTTCAAGGTTTTTAGCTTCCTTGCAGTGGGTTCAGCATCCTTCTTTAGCTTGGAGAAATTTGTTATTACCAACCTTCTGCAGCCTACTTCTGTCAAATCGTCAAAGTCATTCTATGTCCAGCTTTGTTCCATTGCTGGCAAGGAGCTGCAATCCTTTGGAGAAGGGGCACTCTGATTTTTAGAATTTTCAGCTTTTCTGCTCCAGTTTCTCCCCATCTTTGTGGTTTTATCTACCTTTGGTCTTTGATGTTGGTGACCTACAGATGGGGTTTGGTGTAGATTACCTTTTTGTTGATGTTGATGCTATTTCTTTGTGTTTGTTAGTTTTCCTTCTAACAGTCAGGTCCCTCAGCTGCAGGTCAGTTGGAGTTTGCTGGAGTTTCACTCCATACCCCATTTGCCTGGGTATCACCAGTGGAGGCTGCAGAACAGAGAATATTGCAGAACAGCAAATATTGCTGCCTGATCCTTCCTCTGGAAGCTTCGTTTCAGAGGAGCAGCCACCTATATGAGGTACCTGTCGGCCCCTACTTGGAGATATCTCCCAGTTAGGCTACACAGGGGTCAGGGACCCACTTAAGGAGGCAGTCTGTCCATTCTCAGAGCTCAAATGCCATGCTAGGAGAACACCGCTCTCTTCAGAGCTGTCAGACAGGGACGTTTAAGTCTGCAGAAATTGTCTGCTGCCTTTTGTTCAGCTATGCCCTGCCCACCGAGATGGAGTCTAGAGGCAGTAGGCCTTGTTGACCTGTGATGGGCTCCGCCCATTTGGAGCTTCCTTGGCCACTCTGTTTACCTACTCAAGCCTCATCAATGGCGACACCCCTCCCCCAGCCAGGCTACAGCCTGGCAGAGTGATCTCAGACTGATGTGCTAGCAGGGAGCAAGGCTCCATGGGCGTGCGACCTGCTTAGCCAGGCATGGGAGAGAATCACCTTGTCTGCCGGTTGTTAAGACCTTGGGAAAAGCACAGTATTTTGGCAGGAGTGTCCCGTTTTTCCACATAGTCTGTCACGGCTTCCCTTTGCTAGGAAAGGGAAATCCCCCAACCCCTTGCGCTTCCCAGGTGAGGTGATGCCCCACCCTGCTTTGGCTCACCCTCTGTGGGCTGCACCCACTGTCCAACCAGTCCCAGTGAGATCAACCAGGCACTTCAGTTGGAAATGCAGAAATCACCCGTCTTCTGCATCGATCACATTAGGAGATGCAGACTGGAGCTGTTCCTATTTGGCCATCTTGGAATGCCCACTGCTCTTCATTTTTATGTTGTTATTAAAATACTTAAAACTATGAATTGGCTTATATTTGAGTCCTCTCACACTATAGTTTTATTAGACAACATTGGTCTAGTCTAAGTTGCTTTTTATGTAAAGAAAGAACCTATGGCCCAGAGAACTTATGATCAGTGCCAGGTCCTGTCTTTAAGTGATCTGGATATTTTTAAACAAAAATGTTTCTCTATTTAACTGGGGAGAAGAGTTTTTTCAAGTTATCTATCACTAAGAAAATTTTCACTTAGGCTTCATGAAGTTCAAATACATTTTACATAACATTTTCACTGTTTTCTACTCAAGGAAGATCTTGGCCTACTGCCCTTCTGGGTTAAATAAAATGAGCTACCATTTATTGAGTGCTTATGCCATGTAGACCAGTGCTGCAATTTGTATAATAAATAGCTTACATAATTTATTATTGAGTTTAATTCTCACAAAAATCTTTTATAGATGAAGAACCTGATGCTCAGAGAGCAATTTGCTTAAGCAACCACATTAATCAGAATGTGGTAAACATAGTATTTAAATGGGGTTCTTGTTCTAAAGCTTGTGTTCTCTCCACTGTTCTCAACTGCTTCTGAACACATGAAGTTATTTGTGTAAGCTGCTACAGCTGTCAATAGGAACCCTGTAAGGATTATTTAGCCTTTCACAGCTGTTTGGGATTAGTAAGAAGTTGATATTCCTTCAATTCTTCATCTGGCAGAACCTAGCATGGTAATATTTGCTCTAAAGAAAATAAGAATCTCTCATATTTTTTTCCTCTGGTGCCTGGAATACATCAGACTCCGCTGGGTTTAGAGGATCATACTGCAACAGAAGTTAAGGAGGAAGGAGCACCGTCGAGTCTAGATAAGTGCTCAGTTTTCCTGCTGTTTAGCAAACCCCCAATTATCTGAAAATTTCAATAACAGAATTTTTTTCTGTGCTCTTTCAGAAACAAGAGGAAATGACATCAAAGTTTTCTAATTTCAGAATTAAAGAAATTAATATACTCACACACACACCCTCATACCCACCCACGCACAGAGCTATACAGGAGATTCATCACCCTTGGAGCTGCTGCTCCTCCTCCTAAGTTCTATATTGCAGCTAAAATTTTTCCTTATTTGGATTCTTAGTCACCGAAAAGCAAACACCAGAAATCATCTGATTCAAATGATCCATTTTCACCTCGTACATCAACACTGTTGCTAAGGTCGGTGAATTCCAACTCCATGATGTTTCTTGCATCCTTCCCTTGTTCTTTGTCATGGCAACTGCCCTAGTCACTGGTCCCATTCCTTTTTCCTGGATTAGTGCCCCATCTCCCTCTTGTTCACTATGTTCCAGTCATTTTGTTTTTCTTTAATCTCCTCAGAATCCAGAGCTATGCCCTGTGCCTGGAATGTTCTCCCCATGCCCTCTTTGGCTAAGTCTGACTAATTTTTCAGATCTCAACTCTTCTGCAGAATCCCTTCCTGACCTGCACAGATGAGGGAGGTCTTCTTTTAATAGGCTCTCATGGTATCCTGTTTTCCTTGTGGCACTTACAATGATAACAATTAATTGTACAATCATATCCTTAATAGCTGTCTTCCCTGCTGGAATGCCCTTAAATATTATGCTGGGCTGCTTTATACTACACTGTGCTGCTTTTTTCTAATAAACAATTTCCTGTATTACTTCCATTGGGGCATCTTTGAAAATTTCTAAAATATTTATAAATGCAACAAGTGCTTATTCATTTATTTCTAACTCCCATTATAGATGGTTGAGAACATGAGTTTATAGTCATGACTTAACACTCCTCTTCTTAGCCTCCCTATATAAGGCTGATCAAGCTGCCGTTACGTTTTATGATGTTGGGAGAGTACCTTAGCTTGTGGGTGAGTCAATCTTCTCAACTGAAAAATGGGGATAATAATAGTACTGAACACTTCAGAGCTTTACAGATAAAAGTAAATCAGGTAATATTCAGATGAAAGTTAATTCAGATAATATATTTGAGGGTACAAACAAAATGTCCATGAAAGTTGGCAAGTATTAATTTACATTTCAGGGGTATCTGTATATTTATTTATTCATTATTTTTATTAAAAAATGTTGTAAAGATGGGGGTCTCACTATGTTGCCCAGGCTGGTCTCAAACTTCTGGCCCCCTACATCAGCCTCCCAAAGTGCTGGAATTACAGTCACGAGCCACCATGCCAGACCCTGTATATTTTTCCTATTGAAAAAGTGTTCAGTATAACTTCTCAGAAGCAAATTCCAATTACCAAGGGGAACAGCTCTCAAGTGTGAGACAAATTTGCATCCTCCTTTGATCTATTCATACATTTCATTTCTGTAGTCATTAAACATGGCTTTTTTTTTCCACTAAGAAATCTTTAAACTTATTGAAAATAACCTCAGGCTGATCCTAGTCTTTCTTAGTAACTGTACATATGGCATATAGAGCTGGAAAAACACATAAATTAGACAATAGAGAAGCAACCAAGCTGTGTTTTATATATATACATATATATGTATATATATATATATATATATGTATATATTTGGTGTATCCTTTTGTGCAGAGGCTTATTTTGAAGAGCATGTGGGAGAGGAAGTGTTTAAGAAAATAAGAATGAAGGGAAAGAGAAAATTCAACATCTGTAAGACGCATGTATGTGATTATCATAACTGGGCATGTCTGACTCTAAAGAGTATTAAAATATGCTCTGAGAATCAGCAGCAAAGAACTGGAAACACTACATAAATGGAGATGGACCTCACAAGATACATTCAAGCATCCTAATTATACAGGTACACATCTTTCATTTGTTCAAAGATATATTCAGGACCCAAACTACTGTATTCAGACCTCTATGCCCATATTTATGTCTGGATGTACACTTAAAGGAGGCAAAGGCACGGTGCAGTACTTTGCTCAGAATTTCCAGGCAGGCTGATTGTCCTGGCTATGATTCCAGTCATCATAAATACATTTGATTCTCACAAATGGTTCCCTGGTTGCATCCAGCAGGTCCATTTGTAAGGCAAGTAGTTAGCTTGTTCTGCTGCTCTGTGACTTTTTGAAGAGTTCCTGCATTCCTGCTAAGCATGAACAAAGCAGGAAGACATTAATGTGCTGACCACAATCTCCTCTGGCCACCTCAGGGAAACTAGCATCATGGATTAAATCATTTCTTTGCTAAATGACACCTGTTGAAACTGACAAGCCAACAAAGCTGAGATCCCATGCTGAGCAGAAGAATTACAAGCAATGGGGCTGCCCACAGCATTGCTGCATGACAGTGGGTGACTGAGAATCACATTAACACAGTAGTGAATTCACACACTTGATTTCCAAGCATTCCTCACATGCTATCCTTCTTGGGTGTAAATTTTGCATTTATTCATTGAAAAGTATTGTGATTCATAAAATTATAATTTTTATTATAATTTGGATTCTCTACAGACTTTGTTACTGTATTGCATGGTATTTATTAATATGTATATTATTAAATCTAATTTTTTTACAAAAGCTTTTAAAACATGAATTTCTAATAAGAAAATGACAATTCTTCTAGAAGTAGCAGTGATAATAATAACAATAATAATAATAATTGCTGTATTAGTCTGTTTTCACACTGCTGATAAAGATGTACTTGAGACTGGGCAATTTACAAAAGAAATAGGTGTAATGGACTTACAGTTCCACGTGTCTAGGGAAGCCTCACAATAATGGCAGAAAGCAAGGAGGAGCAAGTCACATCTTACATGGGTGACAGCAGGCGAAAAGAGAGCTTGTGCAGGGAAACTCCCATTTTTAAAACCATCAGATCCCATAAGACTTATTCACTGTCACAAGAAAAGCATAGCAAAGACCTGCCCTTGTGATTCAATCACCTCCCACGGGGTCCCTTCCACAACACATGGGAATTCATGATGAGATTTGGGTGGGGACACAGTCAAACCATATCAATGGGTAACTTTTACTAATTGCATATTTTTTTGACATAAACTTCCATATCACCTTATATATATTGGCTTATTTAAGATTGTCCCTGTTATAAATGAAGCTTTAAGTCTCTGTTCTTTGAAAATTGGAAAGCTTTAGGTTTCACCATGTTATGGAAGAAAAATTGTCTCTGTGAATATAATTCCCAAATAATTAAAATATCAATTCACATGGTCCAAAGCTGACGGGTTGTTGTTCTGGCAGGTTTCAGAGGAAACATCAATAGTGATAATGGCTGAACTCATTCATGGACCACTCACTATATATGCCAAGCCGAGTGCTAAGCCCTTCACAGATATTATTTACTTTTATCCCGGCAACAAATGTATTAGTTAAAAATTAATATTGTTTCCTTCTGACAGATGACAATTGAAGTTTGGAGATTAAGCTATTTGCTAAGGATCACCATGCTAGATTGTGGCAAAACTAGATCCAGAACTAAAGTCCGCCTGACTTAAAGGCTGGACTCTACATTACTGTGCTAACTGGTGGTATTTAAATCAATTATTTCCTAAACATTTTGTTTGTGTCTACACTTTTAAAAGGGAGAGAAAACATTTTCCCATAATCTTAGGGGTTTAACTATCCCCTCTTACAGTAATTTTGGGACATCTTCAAATCAAACTCAACATAAAGGACTTGTGTTCAAATGATTTATGAATTATAGTCAGACCTGAATCTTTAGAATCCTGTAAACAATCAAACACTAAATTTTGGGTATCTTCCTCACTGTCCATATACATTATCATTGAACTTCTGTGAAATAATATTTTATCACTCTAGATGTTATTTATCACATACAAGATGGCTATTTAAAATTTTACAGGCACTAGCACACTAAAAAGAAACAAATAATAATGCAGGTAGGTAGGTGTGTCAGAGCTGTAATTGGAATAAATGCAACGACAAGGGAAACAATAGAAGCAAATGTCATAGTTTGAGCAGCAACCATATTGTATAGTTAGGTCTATTAAACAATAACCATGATTTTCCAAGAGTTTCACTTTTAATTCAAATGTTTTGTTTTCTCCCTCTCTCTCTCTGGAAAATGAAGGCAACTCTACCCATACTCATCTTGGATGCTAGAACATCCATGTGACTGAGGCACAGATGATATATGAATGACTCAAAAGGGCACTTCTGTGTCTTACTTTTTTGTATGCACTTAGAAAACATCTTAGCATTAGTTCTCTTATGAAAATGAATGAAAATACCTACTTTTCAGGGTTTTAGGAGGATTATATAGGTTAGTACCTGCAAAGCATCTATACACTGGCACATAGGAAACATTCCATCTTTTGATCCCATAAATCTGCTAGCAGTGAGTCCTTCTGTACAAAGAAGAAAAAATAATTCCCCATTATCAGTGGAGTACTGATGACAGCCTCATACCAGCTTATAGGAGCCGATTACATTAATTTCTTCCCAGCTTCTAATGATGCTAAAAATTAAGCTCAATTTTTATACATTTACCACTATACCACCATGGCCATAATTTATCTTCCATATTCTGTCCTCTAGGAAATCTTTTAGTAGCAGGTAGGTTAGAAAATAACTACTGGAAATAAAACAAGCATGTATCTTGTTTGTGTTAGGCAGCAGCCTCATATTCTGCTGAGATGTCAAAGACAATGCAATGTGACCTAATTATATACTGATCCATTAGATGAGATTTTCAATATCTTAGAGTGAAAATCTGCTAGTTCAGAAATACCAGTAGGAAGCACACTTTTCCTATTCTCCACTTATGTGCCCACCATAGGAATAACTGATCAATACACTCTTCTCACTGAGTTTACACATACTTCTGTGCCACATATTACACTAAGTGCTTTGAATACAAATCATATTTAATCATGCAAGTAATTTTCTTTGATAAGTATCACCCACCACTTAATATAAAGGAATAAAATAAGGCTCACAAGGCTAAGTAAAGGACCTGATGTTGAAGAGCTGTGTTAGAGATTGACTGGCTAGAACACAGACTGCAAAGCCTGTGTTCTTCATCGGTGTATTCTATCCCTTCCCATTCTATTGAATAAATACTGTGTTGTAATGGGTAGAAATTATTCATTTTATAAATGAAGGTAACTGAGGGATTAGGAAATGAAGGCTTTTAAAACATGATTCCATAAATGCAGGATTTCATTTCTCCCTATAGAATTACAAAATAAAAGCAAGTCCATAAACCCGATTAGCAGATACAGGGCTGCCCGTCTTTGGGAATGTTAATCTCTGGTCACATGTTGCAAATGTTTAACTGTTCTATCCATCACATAATCTCTTCTTGTAAATTTATCATGAAATATATTTACAGCTCTCTATATGACATATAAATCATAGACTAAGAGCTGAATTTAGCCAACATTTTGAAATCATTCCCAAGAGATGTTGCGGTATAAAATTTTATATTCAGTTTAGCACACTATGTTAACGAACACACTAAAACCGCAGGACATTTCAATTACTAGAATTAAACAGACCTCTTAAAGTATTCCAAATGTATTCTGCAGAGGCTTGTCAGTGGAGGTGGAGTGTATGGGATTATCTTTCTATCTCAACTGAAATGATCCCACAGTAAGCGTTTGGTTACTTAGTAACATTAAAATTGCAGTTAAGTTCCCTTACAATTAGTGGCCTTCAAATAAATAGTTTTGAGAACTAATTACATACTTTGGCAGAATTTCATTCTTTCTGTTTTGGTAGTTATTCTGGTAAATTTCTAAATGTAGTGGGCATGATCTTCCTCTCCAAATGCTTTTTTACGTTTTAAAGAAGAAAGGCTAGTTTGTACTGAAACTTGATTTGGAGATGAATAGATCAAGAAGAAATGGACGTAAGTTGTTCAAAGAATAAATTGAAAAAGATGAAATAAAGATTTTTGTCCCATTACTTATGACCTCAAAACATCTATAGTTAAAATAATTAGGCAGATGAACAATCATATCTAAGAATATTTGTGTACTTACGATGTTAAAAACATGATAGAAGATGATGTATTATCCTCGGAGACACAACATCATGCAGTCAAAGCATTCAGTTCTTTGGCCTAGTTAGTCATTTCTACTACAGGTATTTGCAAATTTTAGGAAAACTCTGTTGTGACTGATGAAGTGAAGCCTCAAATTTTTATTGAACATTCTATAATTAAAGAAGTTAAGAAAGAGTATCCATATGTTACCATTTTTGACATGGTTAGCAACAATAGTAGTGACTATGCACCATTTATCTTCAGGCAGGGTGGAAAGTAAACTACTGGAAAGAAAACAAGCTGATACTTGATGTGTAAGAGCACTTTCCTGCTTTGCTCAGGTTCCAAAGACAATAAATGTTACCTATTCATATATTGACACATTAGATAGGATGCCCATTCACTTAGTGTAAAAATCTGCTAGTTCAGAACTACCAAGGGGAAGCATACATTTTCTGTTCTCTGCTTTTATACTCATGTGTCCAAGAGATATCAAATATTTGTCATACACTGTGCCAGGTACATGAATATGACATGGTCCCTAGTACAAAGAGAATTGTGATCTGAGAAATAGATGATAAACATACAACATAGTGAAATGGAACTATCCATAAGACGTAGCAGCAGGTGATGGAGGTAACACTGGGCATGTGTTCTGAATGTGAATAGGAATTTGATAGGTAAGAGTCATTTCATCTCAGCTATAATTTTCTCCAATAAGTCATTGTTGACATTGCTCCCTTGCACCACCCAGAATGAATTTGAGGTGGTACCTCTGAGCTCAAAGAATTCTTAATGCATTGCTTTGCCATGACTTGATATAATTAGCTAACATCACAAATCCTCTGAAAGCTTCCAAAAGCCAAAGTGCTTATAGTTCTTACATTAACCAATCTACTCTCTTTAGCTTTTTGAACTCATCTCTTTCAACTCATCTCAGCCAACTAGACTCTTTGCTACTTGCGCAATGTGTGGAACATGTTCTACTTCTGAGCTTTTGTTCTTGCTGTGCCCTCAACCTGGAGAGCTCTTTCCATAGGTACCAACATGGCTCCCCCTGCCCCATCTTTAAGTCTTCTCACATATCATCTTCTCATTAAGGACATTCCTGACTACCTTATTTTAAAACATCATTCCCACAGACACTTTTTTGATGCCCCTTTCCTGCTTTATTTATTTTTTTACGTTACATACCTTTCTGTGTCTATTATCTATCCCCTTTCCTCGCTCCACTTAAATATGAGCTTCATGAAGACAGGGGCTTCTGTTCGTTTTGCTAATTGCTGGACTCTGGGACAAGAAGAGCTTCTGGCACATAAGAGGCAATCTATAAATGTTTGTAGAATGATTTAAAACTGAAATAATGTATGTATTATTCAGAATACACAGTAAGTTTTTATAATGTTTCAGATGCCCTTTGAAGATGGCTGTTAGGTGGAAAAGACTGACAGTATACAAGTAAATAAGTAAATAAAATGTACTAATTACAGATTGTAGTTAATAGAATGAACAAAACAAGCAGATATCTTTATTTAAAAATATGATATATGATATGATGTGTGTGTGTGTGTGTGTGTGTGTGTGTGTGTGTGTGTGTGTCTTTTAAACCAGGACAATCAGAAAATGCCCCTCTGAAGAGATAAGCTGAGATCCGACATCCAAGCATCACTCATTTATAGAGTTGGTGAGCAGAGGTCAGTACTATTCAAAGCAGAGGATGGAGTAACTGTTAAAAAATATCCAGGGCAGGAAAGAAATGAAATTTTTTTATATCACAAAAATTAAAAAGGAGAGGATGTGGAAGACAGTGGAATGAGCAAGGGTTATTGGTGGAGGCCACACCATACAAGGTTGTAGGAGACATGATAAGGCATTTGGATTTATTTGAAGAGTTTTTGGAAAGTATCAAATGATTTTAATTGGGGAAATGGCATGATTTCCTATAGATTTTAAAGAGTCTTCTCTTTTAAAGATCCTGTGTAGTGCGTGAATAGGACTGTGACAAGAATGGAACTGGAATAATAGGAGGCTCTTATAGCCATCCAGGTGAGATCCCATGATTTGGGTTAAGAATATTAATGATGGTGATGCATGGATATGTTTAAGATTGACTTTAAGGATAGATCATTAGGTGTTGGATTGCATTTAGGAGGTAAAGAAAAGAGAGAGAGGAAAAACAAGTCTTCATTTTCTGGCTTTGGTAATAAAATAATATCATTTATTGAGATAGGGAATGTAGGGAAATGAATGGGGAAAAAGGGATAAAAAAGGGATAGAAATTTGGTTTCTTTCTGGATATGTTAAGTTTGAAAGGCTTATGTGATATCCAAGTGGAGATGTCACGTAGGCAGGTCAATACATAGGCTAGATCTATGCCTGTCTTCATCATTATACAATGAATTTCCCAAGGGAAGATATTTTACTGTATTCGTCCCTAGGTCAGCAGTTGGCAAAATGGTTGTTTTATAAATGTTGCCCTGAAAGACTACTCTCTTTATATCCTGCTGGGCTTACCAGCTAGACACACTGGGCACTCTAGCTTTGGGAGGAACATCTCCTTATTCTTCTTTGCTCCTTAGATCAGAACAGGCCATTGCATATAAATTGTTAGCTCCAGAATAACTTTTCAAAAATATTTTACTTCATTTTGAAAATAGACCTGACAAACCCTTTGGATATAACACAATAAGCTAGGTGGTGTATTTTTAGAAGAAACAAAGCAGATCAATCATAATAGTAATATTGTAAGAGGAAATATGAAAAATTTTAGACTCAGGGATCCTGAGAGGGATTGGAAAACAGCGGGAATAAAGTCAAAGGAAGCCATGGGCCATGTGAGGTGTTAAAGCACATGGAAAAAAATGGGATGGTAGGAAGAATTTTTATGAACAAGCAGATCATATTGTTATCCAATAATTCCATTTACCAAAAGTATTGAAATTATCATTTTATATTTTATTCCACAGGGTATATATTTCACATGACATCTCTTCTAATTGAGAACAGAAACATAGTCCAACTTGGCTCTAAAAGTTGTAAGGATATATTACTAAAAATATGTTAAAATATTTGAGATATTTAGAAATGTGACTATCTGATGGAAGTAGATTAAAACATAAATGCTTCTTAATTTCCAATTCTGTTTAAAGAAACTATGCTGTTTTCAAAATTCTGTCAGTTGCTAGGGAAACTAGAAAGGGGGCTATTAAATTGTATATGGAAAGCTATTTTCCAAAATACATTAAGTGGAAGATGTGAGTAGTTAGATAAAACTTTTCATAGGCAAGAAAACGTGTGAAATCCTAGGTGAAGGATGAACGCCTCCTCAATTGACAGTTTGATAGAGATTCTGTGCCTCCTTTACCATGAACCATTGTTATTTTAGAGGGCAGCAATGTTCTCATTGTCCTCTTGGGGAATGTATTCTTAAGGAAGGTGAGTAATCCTGGAAGAAAAGCTAAGATCTTTTTGGACCAATAATGTTAATATAGTTACAGGAAAGATCACTAGGCTAAAAATTAGGAGAATCGTGTTCTAAACCAGACCCAGATATGAACTTAGGAAAGCTAGTTCTTCCCTGGTCTCCAATTCCAGCATCTGGATATGAGTGAAATAATTGTTAGAGTTCCTTTTGCCTATAATCATTTAATCTGTGAGTGACAGGTGAATGGCAATCCACAAAGTAGAGGATAATACCTTTAACAAGAAGGAAATTGTGGGTGATGAGATCAATTGTCAAGGTCTGGAGGCCAAGTTCCATTTAAATAACATAAAAGCAAAGAAAAAAAAGAAAAAAGAAAAAAAGAAAGAGAAGAAAACTTTAAGTGAAAATTTAAGAATGAATTATTTCGGTAAGGCTTATCTGTAAGTTAATGTACCTGCTAATATATAATGATTTTCATTTTTGTTATAAATTGAACATTTTTTGTTCAAGTACACTGTATTTAGCCATTTTTGATATTTTTAATACTCAGAGAATTTATAAACATTCCTAAAATCCTTTTATGAACCTTATCTTTTAGAATGATAGAAGTCTCTTGATTATTCCCTTGTGGTACCATATTAAAAATGCAAAGGAAATTTTCTAACTCCTCAAACCACACACCAGTGGCATTCCAAAGCCTACAGAATAGCTAGTGAATATGAAGTTAACCAGTCCAAATGACCTTTCCTTCCACTTATTCTTACGGTAAATTATATGCTGTACCAATATTAATGTACTTGCAGCTTCCTAAAATTCAACAAATATTTATTGAACATCTACAATGTACAAGGCAAATTTTTTTTTTCTTTTTTTGATATGGAGTCCCACTCTGTTGCCCAGGCTGGAGGGCAGTGGCGCAATCTTAGCTCACTGCAACCTCTGCCTCCCGGGTTCAAGCAGTTTTCCTGCCTCAGTCTCCCAAGTAGCTGGCAGCTGGGAGATTACAGGCATGCAACACCACGCCTGGCAAATTTTTGTATTTTTAATAGAGATGGGATTTTGCCATGTTGGCCAGGCTGGCCTTCAATTCCTGACTTCAGATGATCCACCCTCCTCAGCCTCCCAAAGTGCTGGGATTACAAGCATGAACCACTGCACCTGGCTCGTACAAGCAACTTCTAAGAATTCTCCCATATCCTGTATGCTATTTTTGCTCTAAATCCATATTTTCTTCTATCTACCCATTAATTCATTCATAATGTATGAGTCATATTATTTACAAACACAGAACATCACACACTGCACAGTGTTTATCAATCTCTGTGTTTGTTTTTCCCATCAAACTTTGACTTGAGTAACATAATTCTGTCTTGCTTGTATTTGCTGAATAAGCAAATTAATTTTTAAAAACTATGCATGAATTAATTTTAAAGATACTCCATAACAGCAACTTTGGCTGGAAATATTTGTTCTATGAAAAATTTTACCATGTGAGTGTTACAACTTCAGATGAAGCAGGAAACTCTTCTTTTTTAATATATAGAATAGTACTAGGAGAGAAGGTATGATAACTAATTTAAAAAATAAATATATGAGGCTCGATGTATGTGACAGATAGATCAACTCTCAGGATAGTAGGAGAGGACAGGATGCCTAGAATGGAAGAGAAAAAGCATGAAGTACAAATCAGGAATAAGGACAAGGGGTAGGGTATCTTAGGCAACAGAGGTAATGGTTTGAAAGTAGGAAATATCACGATATACTGTAGTTTGGAAAGGTAAATCTGGAGCATTTAGGAGTAAAAATGAACACAGTAGAAGATAAGTTTAGAAAGGAAGGCAACGGCTAGCATATGATGGGCTGCAAATGCAATGACAAATAATTTGAACTTTATCTTGCAGGCAATGGGGAGCCTCTGGAAATTTATAACAGTTAGAATTAAATTTTAGAAAGATCACTGGCAGCAATGTGGAAGATGAATTGCAAGCACAGGAGAGGAAATGGAAACAGAAAATACTAGACAATTGGAATGGTAAGAAATTACAAAAGTCTGCAAACAGTGACAGTGTGAACGCAGAGGAATGAACACATAGGAAAGAAGTTAAACCAGTAGCATGAACAGGATTTATTCCTTAATTAAAATTTAGGGATAAAGTTGTAAGAGAAGATTATATCTACTCTCATTGTTTTCAAGACTTAAACCAGGAGGACAGGAGGAAGTGGCAATGGTAAGATAATGCACTGGCTGGGTTTGAGATGCTTACGAAAAATGCACTGGAAATGTCATATAAGCAGCTGAATATGCAGGTGAATACGTTAGGAGAGAATTGTGAGTTGAAAACATACATTTAGGAAAACATAAGATGCTTGAGAAGAGCAACTTTGTCTTGTTTACTCTTTATTCTCAACTCCACACATAAAGACTGAACCTTCAGCAAATGCTGAGCTGCTACTGCTAATGTTGAACTGATACTATCACCCACTTCCAACCTCCCTTGATTAGAAAACTAATAGATGCAAGTCTCCTGACACATAATAAGGATGCAATAAATGGAAATTTCATTGATAACTTGATAACTTGGACAAGGACAGCCCTTTTTGTTTCTATTATATATTCTAGAATATAAAATATGAATACATGACAAATGACCAACATTACAATATATACTGAAGTATATGGGGCAAGTGCTATTAAATAAAGGACATTTAAATTATTTTAAGATACTCTATCAATATTTTAAAAGCATACAAGTTTGTGGCATAATCAGTATTGAAATGAAATCAATTCTAAATCATGTTTGACTTCTAGTTAGAGGTTTATATTCTTTCATTTAATCAGTGTTTACCTTGTATTCTGTAAATTCATTTGGTTTTCACTGGGCTTTTATGTCATTAATTTCTTATTTAATAATTTGTAACATCCCATTTTAGCTTAGCTGAAAAAAGAGTAAAATGGATTTTATGGCATTGATCAGTGTACTACCTAGGTCAATGTAAAAGCTAGGTAGTAGAACATGTTTTGAAACCAAAGCAAGTTGGGAGAGCATGTTAGTCAGAATATGGAATCCCAGGAATAAGACTCACTCTTTAGGTTATTTCATCTCAGCACCCAATTTTATTACCAACAACCTAGTTTTTTAAAAAAATATTGTAGTGGCATTAGAAAGTTGGGCTTTACACTAAAATCAATAGCCCTGTTTTCTTAGTAGGGGCCTGAAAATATCTCATAGATATTATTGCTCTAGAAAGAGTCCATTTCATGCACAGATGAGTCTGCATGTATGAATCTTACCTGGGCAATATCAGTTATGAGGAACTTAGGACATTTATTCTATTGTTCTAATTTGGGCTATTTATAGGCCAGAATTAGCATCTTTGGTGCCCAATCTCTAAATAGAAAAAACAAAAAGCTAAACATATGTGGTAATGTGGTGACCAAGAAAACTACTCTTTTTATGGGTTTCCATTAACATACTGTGTTCAAAAAGCAAAACATGTTTATGACAGGACTCCTATTATTTCTAGTATCAAAGAAATGACAGTAACATTACAACTAGGGGATATTTCTAGAGATTGGTCTGATAAAGCTCCAGCTTACTTCTCCATTGTAAAAAAAGTTATCTTAAAGATGGGAATTTTTCTATACAACTCAATCAATATTTAGTCTGCACATATTGTGTGTCCCACCCAACATACTGAGGTATTTGGGAAGGGGTATGAAAACTATAAGACATGGTTCTGAGGTGAAATACTGCTTTTTAAATTGTCTTTTCTTAAACCAATTATTAGTGTTTTTTTAATGAAATTATACCATAACCATTTGTATTTACATACGCTTAGAATATGTGCAAGTATTATTGAAAAATATTTAAAAATTACAAAGTTTTAAACATGTAAGATGGGCCTTGTGGCCCATGTAAGATGGGCATGATCTATTTTTGATACTATTTAGAGACTATTTCTGATACTATTTAGAGTAAGACGGGCCTTGTAATATGCATCATCATGATCTATTTCTGATACTATTTAGAGTATAGCACTAGCCTTATGTTTATGATCACTATGCATTCTTATAGTTACAGATTATACCCTTCTGTTCAGACTCTTATCTCCAAATTGATGATATGTATTACAGAGCAGTTGCCACCTAACTGAATAACTCATATCAATCCTAACTGAAAGCACAACAGCACTTAAATATATAATCTAGCCCAAACTTAAACCTAAGGTAGGGATTTCTATAGGAACAAGAAAGCATATATATGAACTGTATTTTTTCATTGTTTCAATTAATTTTAACCTGTGGTATAAGCTATGTGCTTTCCAGATTTACACATATATAAAAATTTGACATATAATTCGAGAGAATTAATGGATTTTATAGTGAACATCTAAGGACTGCTAGGTATTTCTGGACCTCAGGTTTAAAAACATGGGAATAACTCATTGATGGTAGAACCGTAGTATCAATCTGGCATTTAAGATATGGTATATTTTTGCATATTCTGAGGAAGGTTCTTCTTTTTATAAGACACAGAAATAGAAATAATAGTATTGGGAAGAATTTTAATTAGATCTAAGAATAACATTCCTAATGTGGATATAAAAATTAAGATGTGTTTCTGGGATTCTCAGTAAAGCTTATATTTTATGATATAGTCATTACATAATTTTCCAGAACTATAATAGTTTCAGAACAAACCTACTGGGAGGGCCAATACGGGAGTCAGGAAGCACTCAAGAAGTTAAGTAAGAAAGAAGGATCTGAAAGAAGCAGGGATAGGTTGGGAAAGGAAACAACAGAGAAGACTGTTTTTTTTGTTTGTTCGTTTGTTTGTTTTTGTAGAGACAGGTCTTGCTCTGTCACCGTGGCTAAAGTGTAGTGGTGTGATCACAGCTCAGTGACACTTCAACCTGCTGGGCTCCTGTGGTCCTCCTGTCTCAGCCTCCTGAGTAGCTGGGACTGACTACAGGCACACACCACTATGCCTGGCTAATTTTATATACAGACAAGGATCTCTTTATGTTTCTCAGGCTGGTCTTGAATTCCTGGCCTAAAGCAATCTGCCTGCCTCAGCCTTTAGCCTCGAAAATTGCTGGGATTGAAGGTGAGAGATAATTAATATAATGGTTTGGAATCCTTAATATACCTGGAACATGCATGTTCTTAAGCATTCCCGTCCCCACTATTCTGCTTCAGGGGACCAGCATCTCTCACCTGGACTAGTGCAATAACCTCCTGAATGGTCTACCTGCCTCTAATGTTACCCCATGTTCAAGCCACTATTTGCACTAAATTAAAATGTTTCTAGTAATATGAGTTATTTCACTTTCCTCTGTAACACCATTCTGTGGACACTTTTTGTTCTTATCAATCTGAATTATTTACCATGGCTTAAAATTCCCTGGCAGATCTGTGAGAGTGTAGTCAGCCTGAAAAATTGGGTTACAGTCAGACCACATACTTTGAATAAATTATGTGTTTTTATTTTTTAAAAAAATATTCTGTTAGACATTTAGAGGATGAATCAAGGTGGAAATACTAGAGGCAAAATGATCAGTTAGAAATCTATTCCAGTTGACATGTTAGGAACATAAAGTAAGGTGAGTCCATGGGCATGGATGTGAGGAGCATCATGGAGGTAAGTTTAATGGAACTTGAAAATAAAGTATATGTATTTGATATTAAATAGCTTCAAACCTGAGCAATAAAGAAGATGATGATGAACGAGTGTTAAGGTGAAGCATCATATCCTGTTACTGGAGGGTTATTATGGTTACTTTGTCTGCTTGGATAAAGAATTAGGCCAAATAGTACATTTCATAATAAATCTTCCTCCTAGATGGGCTACACATAGCATCCAATGTTCTTCATGAGACCAGTTAGTGCAAAAAAATAGCTAAGATAGCTATGGCTGTAAAGCCCAGAGATCTCTGATATGGTGTGATTACCATCCTTCACGATCTATTACATAAGAAAGAATTTCCACTGTGTGCCTCCAATGAAAGACCAAAATGCAATAAGTAGAACTTACAGAAATTTCAGATAAGAACAAACAAGAATATTTTAACAATCAGAGCTAGAACATGTAGAAAAATGGTAGAATTCCCATTATATGAACATGAGACTATATTGAGAGGGATTGAGATCTCCACATGTAGAAGTTCTACAAATATTAGGGCATATGGAACTGAAAGGGCCTTTAATTCACAAGCGAGAAAGCAGTATCCCAGAGAGGGGCAGGCAACTTGGCCAAAGTTGTACAGCTGGTTACAGATTCTGATCCAGTTTCAGATTCACAGCCCAGTGACCTCCATGCTACATAATAGTGGCTACCCAAGGCCAAGGAGCCAGTGTTGTGACTACCTCAAAGACATCATAAAGGAAAGGCTTGAAGTGGACTATGCAGTTGGAAGAGAAGGGAAAATAAGTTGACCATGAACAAAGATACTCTACTAGGATGGATCATATACTAGGGAAGGGCAAATATAATAGTGAAAGGATTGCTTTCCATTTGAAGGTATCTGTGAAGCCATTAGAAATAACTAATTACTGTTAATAATAACAATAATACCTACAATATTGAACAGATTTTTTAATGCAAGCTTCTGTGATGAGTGTTCAAGATATCATGACAACCCTATCAATGAGATATTATTAGCACTCTCCATTTTACATATGCATAAATGAAGGCTTAAAGAGGCTGTATAATTTGCCAAAAATCATTTCTGTAGTAAGCAGCTGAACTGAGTCCCAGAATTCAGCCTATGTTCATAACCATTTTGCCATATTGCTAATGTGGGTATCATAGTGGATCCCTTAGCCTGAGAAAACAACGAGTTTAATAGTTGCATATGTCCCTATTGTGTAGGAGAGCCCTGGAGAGACATTTTAGAAGCTTTCTTGATAAAAAAAGAAAAACAATTAGCTAATCATCTGGATTGTTACTTATTTAATGAAACGTATTAGTAATTTGAAATAGACTACAATGAATTACTCAGAGAAAATGGGTTCAACTAATTGGTTCAGAAAAGTCTTCTGAAGGATATAATTAAATTGCCTAGTGTACTATTACTGCTAGCATAAACACTATTACTGATCTTCAGGACCACTTGCATTTCCAACGTAATTTAAAATAAGTAGTGGGAGAGACAAGATCCATGGACACAATGTGTTTCAAGGAATCAGCCATGTGGTTAGCTAATGAAAGCAAAGCAAGGTCAGTATTTGAACTGTTTCCAGCAATTAGCATTCTGTTATATTTTTGTTCCTATGAATCATCAATTTCAAATAACTCTTAAACACCTTTTTAATAGAAAATACTATCTTATTTAATACCATACTTCTGGGTCCTAGTATGCTGTTTGGAATAAAAGATCCTTAATAATGTATGCTGAATAAGTGAATTAAATTTTTATAAAAAGTGTCTTTTCTTTTAAATTTTACAAAAGACATAATTTAAAATATACATATGACACTCACCACATGACTTATTGAAGATTAGATCAGAACATAATATTTGACTTCAATTCTGTATGGTTACTTCTGTGAAGATTTATGATAAAAAAGCCAGGAACAAATGGTAAGGAATGCAATTATTTTTTAAGTGCCATGATATTTTCATGACTGATTTTCATTAAGCATGGGAAGTCATATCTGCCATGGATCCTGCATTATATATGTCTTATAAATAGGCTAAAATGATTTGAACTTCATAAACTGATAAAAATGCTCTTGAGATCTTAGGATCTTAGGATCTTTACATAATTCTTTGTCACAAGTTGACTTCTGTGAAGATCATGAAGCAATATTGTTCTCTAGGGAAGATGTGGAAAGAAACAGGTGCCTGTATTTCTTTTTGTGATTACCTAGATGAAAGGAAAGTACACACACACACACGTGTGTGTGTGTGTGTGTGTGTGTGTGTGTGTGTGTGTGTGTACAGAAACAAGCATAGTTTTATTACACTCTTAGAACCTGGATAATTTCTTAGTACAGAGTGGACAAACAGGAAATGTTTGCTGTTGAATTAATGTATACAAAATTAGTTTCAGAGACTGTACAAACATTGATATCATCTCTGCAAAATCTAGGTGTTCAACATGAGAAGACTGGATTCTTTTACTTGTTGTTGTTGTTTGTTTTGTTTTTTGTTTTTGTTTTTTTAGAGACAGAGTCTTGCTCTGTCACCCAGGCTGGAGTGCAGTGGTGCAATCTCGGCTCACTGCAACCTCCGCCTCCTGGGTTCAAGAGATTCTCCTGACTCAGCCTCCCAAGTAGCTGGGTTTACAGGCATGCACCACCACGCTCCGCTAATTTTTAGTAGAGACGGAGTTTCACCATGTTGATCAGGCTGGTCTTGAACTCCTGACCTCCTGATCCATCCGCCTCGGCCTCCCAAAGTGCTGGGATTATAGGCGTAAGCCACTGTGCCCAGCCCAAGATTGGGTTTTTAATTATAAACCCACTTAAAAAAATCCTGAGAAAATGCCAGATATAATAAGCATATCTTAAATGACCTAAGCAATAGCACAAATAATCTTACTATTAAATTATTCTAATTTGCTTGAGATGATACTAAGACACTGTAAGCAGCAGAAACTAGAATTTAGTAAGTCCAGCATCACTAATTTTACAATGCTAATAATCTCTTCTTTCTTTTGCTTTTTAAAATAGGTTCTAAATTTGTTGGATTCTCTTACCTGTCACAATATAGGATCCTATTTTGGTATAAGATAATTAAGATGGGTTTTTGATTATTTCTATCTAGATTTTGAATATATTATTTACTGCATCCCTTTAAACATTTTCATGAATTGCTGTTGTTAAAAAAAAAAAGCATTATGGATCTTGATCTCTTCCTCTCTCTCTCTTGCCTCACCTCCCTTTATATTTAGTTGGGGAGCTAAGAATAAACATAGAAAATAATAACTCTTAATATGTCATGAGTATCATGACACATGGTAAAATACCATGCTGATTTTTCCTTCCATGCATATTATAATGTTTCCTTCATCCCATGCTTCTCTCTCACTGACTGGAATCTCATGCTCTCCTGTCTGCTCTTTCTCCTTTCTCTTAGCAAATAGCAAACTCCTCTTTTTTCCTTAAGTCCCAGGTCAAGTATCAATTTCTAATGGAAATTATCTTTCTGAGACTACATGTTCTCTTTTACCTAATCAGTGTTGAGTGATATTTAGCTTTGATTTCAATCAATGTTATCATTGGATATGACAATATCGTTCAATTTTTTTTCTCCCATCCTCTTCATTTGTCTGAAAAATGCCTTGAGGGCAGGCACTATGTCCAATTAATCTTTCATCTATCAGTCCCAAAACTTTTATTAAATATTTGCTATGTGTAAAGCACTGTATTTGTTGCTGGAAATTCTTGACCCTAAGTTCAGTATATTACACAGAAAACACTTTTGTAGAATGAATAAATGGGACTTTATAATACATCAAGGAAATTCTACAAGGCTTATTTTAAGAAAAGGTCTTAAATGAAAAGCTGGTGAATGTGGGGCAGCGATCAAGGCAGGACAAAGAGCAACCATCTTCATCTCACATCATTAAGTTTAAAAGTTATGTATTTTCCCCAGGTTTAACGATATTGGTCTGGAAAATAAAGAGAAAATAAATATGTATGTTTTTGGAAAGCCTGTGGTGTTGTAAAAGTTATTTATCACGGTCATAATTGTTGTTTTGTGGATAGGAGCATTTGAGAGAAAGCTGGGATTGAAATCCCTGACACTGAGTCAAAGTCATGAGTGTTTCTCTACTCTTTGCTACCTAATGAAAACACCAAAAAAAAAAAAAAAAAAAAAACAACAACAACAACAAAAAAAAACTGCAACAGTGGAGCTTATTTTATATGACAATCCAGGGAAGACTCAAAAGGAGTAAAGCATGAAACCTTGGCACCTGTTCTAAGCTAGATCTAGATGTATGTTAAATTAAAAAGGTATAAAGAAAAAATAAAAGCTTTTGTTTTCATAAATAAATCTCTGTTTAGTATCCAAAGTTAGTAAAGATGTGAAAAACAGAAACTCTTGTGCCCTTTTGAAGGGAAATTTTATAATACGCATAAAGAGTTCTAAAAAGTACATGGCCTTCAACTTAAAAAGTATTTGGCACTTTTAGAAATTTCTCTTAAAAGCTACTAAGAAAATGTTCACATATTTTTATATGAGAATTTTCATTGAATTGCTGCTTATAATTATGAAAATTAGATTTGCATTAATTTTCTAAATAACTTACAGCAGAACCTTAAAAAAGATTAAACACATTAAAAATGAAGATTTAAAGCTAACCGTTTAACATAGCAATTTATCAACAATAGTTAAGTTAGGGACTATAAAACAGTATATACAGTATTAATATCATTTTTTGTAACTATCTATATATGTATACTTCAAGAGAATTAGGCACATTATTATACATGTGATGCATTTTGATATAGGTATGTGAGTGCATGGAAATTTTTGAAGCATATGAACAAATTATGTTTTATTATGAGTGCAGTGGAGTTATATATAATATGGATAAGTAGACAATGAAATAAATAATACAAAGAAGTAGAAACTCATACAGCAAAGATATCCCAAACTTAAAATAACACACTCATCATCTTTAATGGAAACTAGATATGCTTTCAGCCTAAGTTTAAATATGGATATATATGGCCCCCAGTCTCGAGTTTCCCTAGAGCAACATTAGCTATTTTGTGTATCCATGGTCACAGCAGTTCTACGATAATAAAAGTCAGAAGATTTCTCCTTTTTCTTATCCTTCACCTACAGAAATGAAAATGGCATTCATAGTTTAGAAAGTTCTTAGCTCAAACTAAATACTGGATAATGCAGTAAAGCACATATCAATAATCCCAATTGAAACAGTCTGGGCTTTGATCCCAGACTTCCTGGCAAACAACAGACTCTGTGGGCCAATAGGCAATGGAAATGAGAATCAACCTCCCAGTGAAAAGAGAAACCAACATCATGAATGAGGTCCTAACTTGAAAGAAAAATCTAAGAAGCAATTTCTGAAACAGCCCCACAGGGAGTTTATGCACATTTGTGAGAAAAGTAAAAAATAAATAAATAAATAAACAAACAAAACCTCGGGGCTGGCAGGGAATTTACCTATCATTTAGCTTGATTCTTTCATTTCACAGATGAAGAAATTGAGGCTTAAAAGGAGGGCAAATTGCCAAAGTTGCTCTAAAAATTAGTTCTATAAAGTCAAATCTCCTGATTCCTAACCTACTGCAGTTCTTATGTAGGACTCTCCAGCCAAAACAGTACTGTTTTTGTGTGCTATGCAATTTTCTTGACAAAGAGAGATTGTCATAGCAATTCCTTTTCTGACAATCACAGGCAGAGTTATGTAGTTCTTTCATGGTTCTACAGTACTTAAAAAAAAAACCTTCTAGATTACTTGCAAAACAATATCAAAATTTTTGCTTATCTATTTCCAGTAGTAAATTTTGTGTTCCTGAAGGACAAGAATCATATTGTGTTTACCTTAAATCCTTAGTGCCAATTGCATTGCACAAAATATAGCAGGTACTCAGCAAATATTTCATAAATGAATGATTGTTTTATTCTGTTCATTAGATTCACTAGTGAGGAGAGGCACTCCTAATGGACTAGCCAAGGGACATTATGATATGATGGAAACAGCAAGTTCTCATAGGTGACACCTGGATTTAAGTCCCTCCTCTATCAGTTCCTAATGGCAATGACACCTTCAATTGCCCTGAGCAACACATTCCTTATGCATAAGTTGGGAGAAATCATACCTGCTAGGCTACTTTCCAGTGTGGCCATGAGGATCAATTGTGATAAATGTGAAAATAACAGCAATTTTATTAATAGCAAATTATTACGTGAATGGAAGGAATATGTGTGGGGGGCTTTTAAACAGGGTCTAGCTTTTTCAGGGCATACCATTCAAACACAATGCCCATTATAGTAAAATAAAATATATAGGATTGTTTCTACTGATAAATGCTATATGCTTCAGGTATGTTTTATAGAAATCCAAAGTCATTGGCTATATTGTACTGGGGTAATGACAGCCCAGAGGCATACCATTAAGCCTTTGACTTTTGAGTGATGCATCCACAGATTTAGGGATTCCATAAACTTGTAGAGATTTTAAGTTCCAAAATTTTCTCCTAAAATGTATAAATAATTGCTGGTAGGGAATAAGAAAAGTACATTGCCATGTAGATACTGAGAAGCTGGCCAAAGGATTTGTTCCTATATGTCTCCAGATGTGAGATTTTTATTTGTGTCTCACTGAAGCTATAAATTACTGTTAAGTTGGTGCAAAAGTAATTGCAGTTTTGCCATTAAAAGTAATGTAATTACTTTTTGAGAGGCACCCTCAAAGGTAATTTGCACCAGCCTAACATGGTTCATGCTTCTGGGTTTCTTCTAGTATAGGAGACATTGTAAATGTTAAATTCCATATTGCCAGCAGTCTGCTAGAACTGCACAGAACAATTTAGTTATTTGAGACAAATATATCTACTTGTAAATAATCATCCATGCAAGGGTTATTAGCATCAAATTAAGGAACAACTGAATCTTAACAAAACCCACAAACATAAATTGTATGAGTTAAAAGAGTGTATTAAGAGGACAATGTGGGAGGCATAGGTGAGAGTGAGGCATAGGTGAGAAACCCACATGCTAGAATAACTTGACTTCTTTCACAGAGATAGTAAGTATAGTCAAATGAAAGGCACATTTGCTTCAAAGGCACACATTTCTCCAATTAAGTTTGAATTTCAATTCTAGTCCTGCTATTTACTAGTTATACATTAACAAATTTTATAACCTCTATGAGGAGAAAAGCTCCTCATGGTGTCAGGAGCCAGAGAATTTAGTATGCTGAGCAGAGGTTAACCCTTTTCTGGTTACACCCATGTGGATGATGCAATAAGGGTCAGGAATATTCCTAAGCTGCAGGAAACCCCTTCTCTGCACCAAGCAGAAACAAGCGTGGGGGAGGGAAATGTGGAGAAATGCTTTAGAATATCTCTTTTAAGTTTCAGGAAGCGAGGTTCTATTTTTCCTGGGTTTCTTTGATTTTATGCTTGCTTTCAAATCTTGCAGTGACAGTGATGAGAGCTCATGGATCAACATTAAAGAGTAGGGTCATAAAGACAAAGAACTAAGAAAAACACTTCTTCTGGTGTAGGCTTTAAGACTCTGAGATCCAGCTCAGCTCACAAAAATCAGAAGTTCTACATAGCAAAGACATAGAATCAACCTAAGTATCCATCAACAGATAATTGAATAAAGAAAATGTATATATACTATTTATAGTGTATACATAGTATTCTGCCATTGAAAGAATAAAATCATGTCTTTTGCAGAAACATGAATGAAACTAGAGGTCATTATAATAAATGAAACAACTCAGAAACAGAAAGTCAATAGATGCAGAAAAGGCGTTTGACAAAATTCAACAACCTTCATGCTAAAAACTCTCAATAAATTAGGTATTGATGGGACATATCCCAAAATAATAAGAGCTATCTATGACAAACTCACAGCCAATATCATACTGAATGGGCAAAAATTGGAAGCATTCCCTTTGAAAACTGGCACAAGACAAGGATGCCCTCTCTCACCACTCCTATTCAACATAGTGTTGGAAGTTCTGGCCAGGGCAATTAGGCAGGAGAAGGAAATAAAGGGTATTCAATTAGGAAAAGAGGAAGTCAAATTGTCCCTGTTTGCAGATGACATGATTGTATATCTAGAAAACCCCATCATCTCAGCCCAAAATCTCCTTAAGCTGATAAGCAACTTCAGCAAATTCTCAGGATACAAAATCAATATACAAAAATCACAAGCATTCTTATACACCAATAACAGACAAACAGAGAGCCAAATCATGAGTGAACTCTCATTCACAATTGCTTCAAAGAGAATAAACTACCTAGGAATCCAACTTACAAGGGACATGAAGGAACTCTTCAAGAAGAACTACAAAGCACTGCTCAATGAAATAAAAGAGGATACAAACAAATGGAAGAACATTCCATGCTCATGGGTAGGAAGAATCAATATCATGAAAATGGCCATACTGCCCAAGGTAATTTATAGATTCAATGCCATCCCCATCAAGCTACCAATGACTTTCTTCACAGAATTGGAAAAAACTACTTTAAAGTTCATATGGAACCAAAAAAGAGCCTGCATCACCAAGTCAATCCTAAGCCAAAAGAACAAAGCTGGAGGCATCACGCTACCTGACTTCAAAGTATACTACAAGGCTACAGTAACCAAAACAGCATGGTACTGGTACCAAAACAGAGATATAGATCAATGGAACAGAACAGAGCCCTCAGAAATAACACCGCATATCTACAACTATCTGATCTTTGACAAACTTGAGAAAAACAAGCAATGGGGAAAGGATTCCCTATTTAATAAATGGTGCTGGGAAAACTGGCTAGCCATATGTAGAAAGCTGAAACTGGATCCCTTCCTTACACCTTATACAAAAATTAATTCAAGATGGATTAAAGACTTAAACGTTGGACCTAAAACCATAACAACCTAGAAGAAAACCTAGGTATTACCATTCAGGACATAGGCATGGGCAAGGACTTCATGTCTAAAACACCAAAAACAATGGCAACAGAAGCCAAAATTGACAAATGGGATCTAATTAAACTAAAGAGCTTCTACACAGCAAAAGAAACTACCATCAGAGTGAACAGGCAACCTACAAAATGGGAGAAAATTTTCGCAACCTACTCATCTGACAAAGGGCTAATATCCAGAAGCTACAATGAACTCAAACAAATTTACAAGAAAAAAACAAACAACCCCATCGAAAAGTGGGCGAAGGACATGAACAGATACTTCTCAAAAGAAGACATTTATGCAGCCAAAAACCACATGAAAAAATGCTCACCATCACTGGCCATCAGAGAAATGCAAATCAAAACCACAATGAGATACCATCTCACACCAGTTAGAATGGCAATCATTAAAAAGTCAGGAAACAACAGGTGCTGGAGAGGATGTGGAGAAATAGGAACACTTTTACACTGTTAGTGGGACTATAAACTAGTTCAACCCTTGTGGAAGTCAGTGTGGCGATTCCTCGGGGATCTAGAACTAGAAATACCATTTGACCCAGCCATCCCATTACTGGGTATATACCCAAAGGACTATAAATCATGCTGCTATAAAGACACATGCACACGTATGTTTATTGTGGCATTATTCACAATAGCAAAGACTTGGAACCAACCCAAATGTCCAACAATGATAGACTGGATTAAGAAAATGTGGCACATATACACCATGGAATACTATGCAGCCATAAAAAATGATGAGTTCATGTCCTTTGTAGGGACATGGATGAAACTGGAAATCATCATTCTCAGTAAACTATCGCAAGAACAAAAAACCAAACACCGCATATTCTCACTCATAGGTTGGAATTGAACAATGAGAACACATGGACACAGGAAGGGGAACATCACACTCTGGGGACTGTTGTGGGGTGGCGGGAGCGGGGAGGGATAGCTTTAGTAGTTATACCTAATGCTAAATGACGAGTTAATGGGTGCAGCACACCAGCATGGCACATGTATACATATGTAACTAGCCTGCACATTGTGCACATGTACCCTAAAACTTAAAGTATAATAATAATAAAATAAAATAAAAAAACAAAAACAAACAAACAAAACAAATACTGCAGGTTCTCACTTGTAAGTGGGAGCTAAATGGCATGTACACATGGACATACAGTGGGGAATAATAGATATTGGAGATTCAGAAACATAGGAGGGTGGCAGAGGATGAGGGATGAGAAATTACTTAATGGGTACAATGTACCTTATTAGGTGATAGTTACACTAAAAGCCCAGACTTCACTACACAATATATCCATGTAAAAATGCACTTATATCCTTTAAATTGAACAAATTAAAAAACTAAAGAAAGAGAAGTCTTATGCCAAAAGCTTGATTGTAATAAATTCAGTGATTTTTGTACAGACTATTTCCTGTAAATGCATGTGTTGGAGGGATTGTTGCAACCCTAGCAGGCAGTTTGTTAAAGACCTGGAGCCAGAGTTTCTGTTGTATCAACTTTCACATGCATCAACTCATGAGTGCTGATATTTCTCCATATACTTATTTTAATTTATTTTATTTATTTATTTATTTTGAGACAGAGTCTCACTCTGTTGCCAGGCTGGAGTGCAGTGGCGTAATCTCGGCTCACTGCAACCTCCGCCTCCCGGATTCAAGTGATTCTCCTGCCTCAGCCTCCTGTGTAGCTGAGATTACAGGCATGCGCCACCACGCCCGGCTAATTTTTGTATTTTTAGTAGAGATGGAGTTTCACCATGTTGGCCAGGATGGTCTCAATCTCTTGACCTTGTGATCCACCCGCCTTGGCCTCCCAAACTGCTGGGATTACAGGTGTGAGCCACCACGCACGGCCCGTATACTTATTAAAAACAGAAAATATTGATTTTTAATATGTTAAATGTTGGTTTCCAAAAAATAGAGCAGTTTAACCATCTTCATAGCTTTACTAATACAAAGCAAAAAGAAATTTCAATGCAAATGGAACGGTATTGATTTGACTATGAATCTTCACTCTTCTAATCAAGCATTCTTTTAAAAATTCTAAAGACTTAGAGAGTATGTCTTATGGTTAATGTTTTGTCTTCTCCTTCCTTTTGTTCTCAGTGATTAGCACATAATATATACTCAATAATGTTTTCTCAGTAAGGGAACCCATCAATCTCATGAATAAATATATCTCTCTGACGTTTTTCCCCTAATTGACAATTACCTGAACTTTTGGGTGTAGGAATCTTCCCTTTATTTTTTTCCTTGACACTGACATATTAAATTTCTGATCAAGGCTTCTATTTCTATAACTAGCTTTGATACTCTGCCCCAGATCTCTAGGGTCAGACTCTTCCAGAGGCAGCTGTCAAGTGCTGCCAATAGCACTGGAAAGGAAGATAATAATTCAAATCCCAATTCTGCATCTACTAGTGGCATGGCATTGAACAATTTGCTTCATCCCTTTGGACCTCAGTTTTCTCATCTGCACAATGTAAAGAAAAAACTTTGTGGTTCTTAACTAGAAGTGCTCACCAAAATCATCTATGGACCTCTATTAAACATACACAAGCCAAGATTCATACAAAGAGATTCTGATTCAGTAGGTCCACAGGGAGGAGGAGAGCAAGAAAATGTCTGTTTTTCTAAAATGATCCATAAATTTCACAGTCTGTAGTTTCAGAAATTCCAGGAATTCTCAATCATTTATTTGCAAGAATTTATTAAAGATATGGTGTGTTCTTTTTATTTTAAATCCTCTGGAAGAAATACACTAGATGTTTCAACATTGACTTAATTCATTTTAATTATTCCATTAATCATCAATTTTAATGGTCAATTTAATTATTAACAAATGAGTTCGAATTCCTTTGGTTTCTGCCTATAGTTAATCAAGTTCTAGAGGCAAGAAAGTAATATAGAATATTTTAGGCAGTTGATCTCAACTGTGAAAATAACTAGCTTTCAAGAATTGACTAATGCTAGAGAGGATAGCTCTGTGGCTGACAATACTGAGGTTACTTTACATGGGGCTAGATTTATACCTAATTATGGAGTAGATCAAGCTCATCTCTGGTGCTTTTTATTCCCTTCAACACCCTCATCCTGGGAATCATGTGGGCATACAGTATTTTAGGATTTTTTTTGGTATCCTGTGAAACTTTCCCCATCTTTTTATACTTGTATTCTTTCAATGTGTTAAGGTTCTAATACACTAATTGATCCCCAGATAGTATTGTTACCTCTCCACATCTTCATTTCTTTACCCCTAAACTGTAAGATATTGCTTAAATTTTAAAAGAGAACTTCAAGACAATGATTATCTTCTTTTAAGACTTGATTCAAATATTGCTTCTTCTGTGAAGTCTTCCCTAACTTGCCCAGGCAAAACAAGGTTTTACTTTCCCTAGGCTGTATTTGCATTTTATTTTATGTTGTACAAATTATCTGTTGACATGGATTTCTCACTGGACTCTACATCTCTTAATGGTAAAGGCATTGCCTTTTTACCTCTATATCTGCATTTTCTGCCATAAACCTTGACATAGACAGTTTTAAAAAATGCTTATTGAACACATGAATGGGTGGAAAATGTCAGAATTTCAAAAAATGTTTAAAAGCTGTCTTAAACCTTCAGGCAACCTTAGAAAGGGGATCTTTGGAATCCTCTCAAATGAAGCATATTACTGAATTTGTACCCTACCTACAAACCTATACTAGACTCAACTCTGTCCCTAGCCTGTAATGTCCATTCAATAAAATCTTGTCACTTTATTTTATTTTAGAAAGCTTATCCTATCTACAATAGGAGTGTTATTTTAAAATCTGAAGAGAAAAGAAAAAGAGAAACTGGTTAGGAGACTTTTGCTCAAATGGGAAGCAATTAAGATTGAAACTAGATTGGTGTCAGTGGGAGAATAAGAAAAGGACCCACTTGGTAAGCACTTACTGCTGGGCCCTGTGAGTCGAGCAATTGATGGTATGCCATCTTTTTGAGAAACCTTCTAACTACAAGTTATCATTGGTAATCAGTCTGTTAAGCAAGTCTGTCACCAAAAGAGAGATCTGATATTCAAATTGCATTTAGTGTTTCAAAAAACAGAGTGCAGGCAGATTTTCTTCATATAAACTACTTTTTTTTAGGCATCTGAAATTAATGAATTGCAAAATTCAAATAACATGTTTTATACAATTTGAATAAAAATGTGCTAAGAGAAACTGAGTTATACGTATTAGTCAATTAACAAGCTGCTTCTCATTTGCCATGTAGTTTTTATAACACTTTAGAACATTTCTTTCTCAGTATTTGTTATCATTTATAGAATAATTTTAATCCCCAAAATAGGCATATTAGACATTTTATAGCATATGTTTTCATAGAATATTCATTTATAAATTTCTAGATACTGGTTAATCTATAATAGGGTGTTTACTGATTACTATATAATATCTACTATTCAATAATTGTGTATGTGATGGTATATATATTACATACTGGCAATTATTTATAGAAGAGACATTTTACATAGTATATATATGGAATGCACAGACATGTGTATTTAAGCCTTGTTACTTGCTATCTCATATTTGAATTTTCCACTAGAATATAAGTTTTGAAATGACTTTATTTTCTAATCTCTAATAGCAAGATATAAGAAAATCTGGCTGTCCTTAGATACTGTATATATGTACTTTACAGCCATAGAATTTTAGTTGCAGCATGCAGGGTATGTATTTACCATGTAAACTGTATAGTTAAAATAATTTACAGATGGTCAGATAAATAAATAGAAAGAATATTAAACAATGTGTTTGCATTTAGATTATCATTTTTAATGTTTCCACTATACAGGAACAGATAAGCAGAGAATGGCATGGATCTTTATAGTTAAATAGCATGGATTTGTGAAAAACCACTTTAGTGAAGTGAAAAAGTATATTTCCACAGACATTATTAAGAGGTGAGAATTTCTCAAAGCCACATTGTAACATAGTGACCATAACATATGACACTTCTCAGTGTCATCATGTTATATTGGAATGTAAAATATTATTGCAAGAAAGATAATAAAAATGGCATCAAAATTAGCTACCTTAACAGCTTCTCTTTTTCAATCTCTTAGTCTTCCTAGATGAACTCCTGGCTTGGCAGAAATCTCTGAATTCTGCTCGTTCCATGTTCATGAATACTAATAATGTACCTCGAAATATGATCCCTTAACATGAATTAATTCTGCTTCCCAGGATATATTTTTATTTTTCACATTTCACAAAGATTTATGAGAAATAATTGTTTGGCATTTATCGGCATCCATGTTCCACTAATTAACATCCTTGTATATCCATGGGGAAGAATAGACAGAATCTAACAATCCACTTCCTTTATCTTTTAACAACGTGTTTGTTTCTGTTTGGAGACTGTTAATTAGTTTAACCTTAGACTCTTTAAAAGCATTTTATTTCTTTTTTAATTCACAAGTTACTGAGAAAAAGCATAGAGCAACTGATTCAAATTAAGAACAAAGCATTATCTCATATATTTCTTATAAGGGAGGAATTAATTGAAAAATAATCTCATCGTGGAGAGAGGGAAATATCCAGCTGGAGGAGAGGAGGTGATAAGTCACTGTATTTTCTTATGTTTCATCAGACTTCTTTCCCCTCTAAGGGGCAAGTTAGAGGCTTATTCTAATAAGCTCTTAACTGTAGCCAGTTTATTCAAGTTTAAGCTCTCAGCTTCATCATATATTGGCTTTTCAATCTTAAGCAAGCCAATTAGGATGGTGGCAGAGGAGTGTAGAGGTTATATAGATTCATTTGGTCATTTGTTTCCTTTGGTCAGCCAGGCACTTTGCTTTATGTAGTTCATCTCATTTAATCTTTGTAAAGATTATTATTTTTACTGTTCATCAAAGTAGGCATGATTAACTTTGCTATATTCTAGAAAATGGAAACCCAGTGATATTAAACAACCAAGTTAATGACTGGTAAAGATAATAAACATACACTTGGGCAATTTGGGGAAAGAAATAAAATAATATATGTACTTTGAAAACAAGGCAGCATTAAAGACATGTAAGATATGACATCATATAGGGACATTCAATCAAGATGAACTGAGACCAGGTATAATGCAGTTAATATGTCAAAAAAAAAAAGTTGAGGAGATTCTTCAGGAATATGGTTGCCAGATTTAGCAAATAAAAATATCAAATATCTGTTAAATTTGAATTTTAGAAAACTAGTTAATTTAGCATAAATATATCCCATGCAATCTTAGGGATAGCTGATACTAAACAAATGTGTTTCTTAAACCTGATATTTGAATTTAATTGTGTGTCTTGTATTTTATCTAACTGCCCTACTCAGGGACTTTCCTTTATAAGAAATAAAGGCTAGAGAGGCCTCTACTACTGAGGACAGGAACTGGGAAAGCTGTTACAGTAGGACCTCTGTGCTTTGATTATGCATCTAATATGATGACTTTCATTATTGGAGATTAGGCCCCAAGTATGAGAAAGACTGAAGAGTAAAATGGTTTGGAAAAACTGCAGCCTAGATTAGCAAGTTTGAGATAATGGAAGGGTGCTATGTATGGCAGTAACACTGAGATCCATAAAAGCCAGTAATAATTAGGTTTGGATAGCTGAGTAAAGCTTTGGTTAAAAAAACTTGGGCTGGCTCTTGAAAAATGAGTATATGAAGAGGAATAAAAGAGGATTAGTCTCTGGTGGCATTAGTAAAAATAAAACATGGGAATGAGTCCTTTTCAAATATCAATTCTGTACAAACATCTGTAGCTACACAAATATTACATGAAGAAACAGCTGAGAAAAAAGTAAATGCTCATATATAAGATTAGCAAGGTATGGTGGGGCCCAGCAAGACAGGGATTAAATTAGGAAGAGAGTAGATACTGAAGATCGGTCAGGGAGCTGTTAGAGTAAGCATCCTGAAGAAGGCATAAACAGGCAGAATGAATCCTGTTCGTTGCTCCTACAAACATGCAGCATAGGAGGAAGGGAAACAGCTTTTACTGAGAAGCTGTATTTGTGTCAGTCATTGATATTTTATCATATTAAATATTCAAAGTTAAATTAATTGTGAAGTATAAATATGTATGTCAGTATGAAGATGACCAATGCCAACCAGGATCATTGAATAAAAAAGAGTTTTGTTTAATCTATTTATTGCCATCTATGTCCAAAGAGGAAGTCAATATTGGCAGATAGTCTCCTTGTGCTCAAAGAGTTCAAAAAACTATGTCACAACTTAAGAGAAACAGAACTGGAATTAGGAAATCTGGTTGTGCTATTAACAAGTTAACAGAGTTTATTCATCTGTAAAACGGGAACAAGACTATCTCAGAGAAAAAGTATAAAGATTCTATTAGATAAGTTTTGGGCAAAGATTATCTCAGCTCTAATATTCTAAGTTCCCTCCTATGGAAAAGCCATTATTCTAGAAACACCTTTTTTTGTTTTTTTTCCATTCTCAAGATGCTATGCCTTAACAACACTGGGGGGTGGATCACTTAGAAGGACAACAATTCAAGTATTCAAATACGTGTTTCCAGCAGGACAGAGACTAAGCTGGTGCCTTTGAGGACAAATAACAGAAGATTTTTTTTGGAAAACATTCTGAACACATTTTGATAGACTTTGTGACAGTTTGGAGAAAAAAGATACAGAGCATTAAAAGCGGGATATGAAATCTAAAATATAAGGAAACAAGGACTTTGGGAATCTGAACCAGGAAACAGAAACTCAGTTTGAATATTTTATAACAAAGACCTGTTGTAGAATCCACAGTATTCTCTACTATTCTGTGCTGTAGAAAAATTATGACCCTGGGTTCTTTTAGATACAGAAAGAAGAAAATATTCCAGCAGGTCTCTCTTAGAAGTAGAGAAGAACATTTGCTTTTTGGTCTGATATCAGCCTTAGAGCATTTTTGCAGATTGGGCTCACTCTGTAGAATGAAAGTAGAATGAATTCTCAAAATTAGGGAGAACGGTCTCTATAATTTAATACCTATAGGACAAACTATATGTATGACAAGATGAGAAGTAATGATACAAAATTATGTACTGTTTTATGTATTAAGTGAGATATCTTACATAAAGCATACCACAGGCACACAATATATGGTGATTTCCTTCCCTCTCCAATCACACCCTGCCCCTTCCAGATCCAATGCATATCCTCTTCCAGGGGTACCATGCGCCAACTTACCCAGAGCTCAGTGGTACAAATTTACAGCACCTATCAGTGATAACAGCCAGAAATGACATACTCTTCCCAAAAAAGGCTTTTCTCTGCAGCGTAGAGGGTAGAATTAGGTCAGTTATGTAAGACTCATATTAAACGAGTACACTTTGGGCCACTTTGGTGATATTGTTAATGTTTCTGCCTTCAAGTGGTTACAAAAGGAAGGTGAAGTTAATTTCCCTTGCTTCGGAAGTTCTGTTTTATAAGTCTGAAGGGTACAATATTGAAATGATAACCTACATTCAATATTAACCATTTGCTGCCAAAGTAAATACTATATTTCGATAATTTCATAAATATCCAAGAGAAATTGTCCCAATATTCACATATATTGAAGTTAGCTCATCAGGAAAAGTCATTTTAGTGATGAGGCTCTGAAGAGGCCCCCAAAAATTGAGATAATTATAGTGATACGTCAACTGCAAAAACCATATTTGTGAGAGATGCTCAGTTATGTCTGAATAAGAATCTTAGAATTATAGAATGTTCCAACTGGAGAGGATCTTGTCTAACACATTTATCATAGAGATAAAGCAATTAAGACCTGGAAATGTTAAATTATTTGCTTAGGATTGCCCAAGAAATGGAAGAGATGGTTCTGAACCAGGTCTTTTGACTTAATTTTTTTCTAATGCATTTGTTATAGAGATAAAGCAACTAAGACAAGGAGATGTTATTTGTTCTGCATTGTTCAGTAAGTGGAAGAGACAAAAATATTTTTCAATCAACAAACTCTTACTGTTGATGTTAATATGGCTGACACTGCCTCTCTGCCTTAAAGTGTATTACAATAAAATGCAAAGACACCTATGAAAACCTTTCATCATAAAAGACGAAATTTCATTTTTTTCCCAAAACCCAGGTTTTAACACAGAAAACTTTGAGCTCCAAGAATTAAAATACTCTTTTTGAAGCTAGAATACTAAACATCCAATTTTGCATGTAGGGAAATAGAAACAAATATTTTAAATGTTTTGAACATAGTTTTCACAGCTAGAAAATTACTTAAAAAAAGGCCTCTCAATCTCTGTCTATGCTTGTTTCATTCATATTTTATAGCTTTTCTCACCTGAATTCTGGTAAATCCTTATCTTTCTGTCTTACCTCCCTATCACTCATCCTGAATTTCATATATTTATATTTGATTTTTGTTTTAACTCCGGGGAAGATTAGTATTTATCTCATTTTAATATTTTCTCTTTGTGCATTTCAGTACATTGCTTTAGTATTCTAATGTCCTCCAAAATTTAGATTTCTTGCAAAAGAAACTGCTGATTCTTACCAGGTTTGTATCACAAATAAATCTTTTAAATACCGTCTTTTAGTCTTCCAACAAGTTGCTGACATTTTATTCATGTTTGTATCCCTGTGACTTGCAGGTAGGGGGTACTAAATGCTGTCTGCTAAGTGCATGAATGATTAATGGAACAGCACAAAGGGGAGCACCCCAGGCTGGGGATTTTTTAGTTCTCTCACTAGGTTTGCCAAGATGTTTCAATCAGTATTCCTTGAGTACCACTTCAGAGTCAGCCTGAGTGTGACTTATTCTACCACCATCTACTTTACTTCAATTTTCTATAACTCATTTAAAAAAAGAATGCCAATGAAAATTCTGTCATATGCTTGAAACATTTTGGGGCTCATGTTAGTGGAATGACTTCTAGTTTTCCCAGCTTCTTCCAGTGCAAGTTTTCTAAACATATCTCAAAAAGCCCCAGTTTTATATCACAACAGTTTCATGAGAAAGTGAAACAGTTTCATGAGAAAGTGAAACAGACTATGAACCTTTTGTACTGATCCATAGTATCTCTAGAAATTAAGCAAAGTAGATACACAGATGAGTATGCATATATTTTTACATATAACATATAAAGATTCATATAAAATGTTGAATCATCTGGAGAATTTCAGGCTTGGGTAGGAATATACAATACTGAATAAAGTGGCTCATAACGTTTTATAAAAGAAATATTATCTTTTTATTTCATCTCATTTGACTCCACCTATATATCCTAAAAATTTTTACAATAATACTTTCCCTGATTAACCATTAATTCAAAAGATAAAAAAAAACAAGACTTAGCCTTCTAAATTCCAGTTGCTTATTGGATGTAATAGTACTTTTAATTACTAAATGATTCCAAAATTAATACTATTGGACTCTGACTTCTGACCATAATGTTTTAACAGAAATCAGATATACCATCCTATGTGAAACAATTAAAAAACTGGACAAGATATACAAAACAATAGTTTTCAAGAAATACAATATTGAACAATGTAGGAGAGTAATCCCTGAGAAATGAGAAACAAACAAGATGAACCCTACAATTGCCCTAGCCCATAGCCACAAGGGAATTTCCAGGCCATTGCAACAGGAGTCTGAGGACACAAAGGCTTCTAACATCTACAAGATAGAGGACTAGAGAAGAGGACTCTGACAATCCACAGAGGGCCTTTTTTGGGTATTTAGCAAATAATTTATCAGTACCTGAATGTGAGTTAGCCATTACAGCCTGCAAAACATACAGTCTGAAAGTATTGAATCGAACAGTACTCAGGATACACAGAAGACCTGGAATAGTGCCTGTACCCATAAATCTAAGTAGGAAGTCTTATAATTCACAGACACAGTAGAATACTCAGAAGACTATTGCCTCTGCAGTGGAGAATATTTCTATATATATACTAAACACAGCTGTAGTCCTACCTAACAAATTATAAAATAGTAGCAGTAAAGAACAAGCTGCTTCCAACTAACTGAACTGCATCCCAGAACAAAATTGAAGAGATTTATAAAGATAAAAAGAATACAACAATCACAAAAGTAAAATTTACAATATCTGAATTGCAATTTAAACAAGCTATCAGGCATACAGAATAGTGGGAAAAAAACAACCAATAATGAAAAAAAATAACAAGTAATTGAAACTTTCCCAGAATTGAAATAAACATTACCATGGATCAAAGTGTCAATTCATTAAGTAGTAGAATAATCCTAATCATGTAAGCACCTAATAATAGGTCTGTAAAATACATAAAGCAAAAATGAATGAAACTGTAAAAATAAAAAGAATTCACAAGCACAGTCATAATTTAAATGTCCCTCTCTCAATAACTTGACAAAACAAGTCAACTGAAAAATAAGAATATAGTAGACTTGAACAACCCATCACTCAACAAGGGCTAACTGAAATTTATAGAATATTCCACCAAACAATGGCAGCATATACATTATTTTCAAGGACACACAAAACACTTACCAATATGGACCATATTCTAAGCCATAAATCAAGCTTTAATAAATTTAAAACAATTCAAGTCATACAAAGTATACTTTTGACCACAATAGAATTAAATTATATATCAGTACCAGAAGGATATCTGAAAAATCTTCAATATTTGGGAACTAAATAAAACATTTATAATAACTCATGTGTCAAGGACAAAAATCAAAATGAAAATCAGAAGATATTTTGAAGTATATACAAATAAAACACAACATATTAAAATTTGTGAGTTATCAATTTAGGGCATTATATGCTATATTAGAAAAGAAAGAAGGTTCTTAATTGAGTTTGTGTTGCTATAACAGAATACCAGAGACTGGGTAGTTTATAAAGCAAAAAGCTTAATTTGGCCCATAATTTTGATGTATAGAAGGTTCAAGATTGGTCATCTGCATCTGGTCAGAGTCTCAGGCTGATTTCACTTATTGTGGAAAATAACAGAAGGGAAGCTTGTATGTGCAGAGATCACAAGGTGATAGAGGAAACAAAGAAAGAGGCGAGGTGTTAGCCTCTTTTTAACAACCACTGCTTGTGGGAACTAACAGAGTGAGAACTCACTCATCTCTGACAGTGGGCATTAATCTATTCATGAGGAATCGGTTCCCATACCCACATACCTGTCATTAGGCCCCACCTCCAACATTGAAATCAAATTTCAACATTAAATGTTTGGGGGACAAGCATGCAAACCAGAGAAAAACGTCACAAATCAGAGGCTTCAGCCCCTGCCTTAAGAAATTGGAAACAGAGGCCGGGCGCGGTGGCTCACGCCTGTAATCCCAGCACTTTGGGAGGCCGAGGCGGGTGGATCATGAGGTCAGGAGATCGAGACCATCCTGGCTAACAAGGTGAAACCCCGTCTCTACTAAAAATACAAAAAATTAGCCGGGCGCGATGGCGGGCGCCTGTAGTCCCAGCTACTCGGGAGGCTGAGGCAGGAGAATGGCGTGAACCCGGGAAGCGGAGCTTGCAGTGAGCCGAGATTGCGCCACTGCAGTCCGCAGTCCGGCCTGGGCGACAGAGCGAGACTCCGTCTCAAAAAAAAAAAAAAAAAAAAAAAAAAGAAATTGGAAACAGGCTGGGTGCAGTGGCTCATGCCTGTAATCCCAGCACTCTGGGAGGCCTAGGCAGGTGGATCATGAGATTAGGAATTTGAGACCAGCCTGGCCAACATAGTGAAGCCCCATCTCTACTAAAAATACAAAAATTAGCCAGACATGGTGGCACGTGCCTGTAGTCCCAGCTACTCAGGAGGCTAAGGCAGGAGAATTACTTGAACCTGGGAGGCAGAGGTTGTGGTGAGCCGAGATCATGCCACTGCACTCCAGCGTGGGCAACAGAGCAAGACTCCATCTCAAAAAAAAAAAAAAAAGAAAAGAAAAGAAAAAGAAATTGGAAACAGAACAAATGAAGATAAAAATAAGCAGAAAATAGCAAATAAAAATCAAAGCAAAAAATCAATGAAAGAGAACACAGAAAAACAATTTAAAAAATCAGTGAATCAAAAAAGCTAGTTATTTGAGAAAAATCAATAAAACTGATAAATCTCTATCCAGATTGGTCCAAAAAAAAAAAAAAAGGAAAGAAAAGGCACGAATAACCAATATGAGTTTTTAGAGAAGTTATATTGCTACAAATTATATAATATTAAATGGATCATAAAAAAACAGTGTAAACAATTTTATGCCCACAATTTTGACAATTTAAATAAAATAGAAAAGTTCCTTCATAATTAATTCTGGAAGAAACAGATAACTCTAACAGATCTATCTATCTGTCTGTCGGTCTGTCTATCTATCTACATAAATTTGAAAAATCAATGTGTACCTTTTTACCAAACAAATGAACAAGCAAAAAACTTCAAATTTTATTGTTGAGTTTATTTTAATAATTTGAGATTGGTTTATTAAATACATAATTAAACTAAAGAACCAAAATATCACTCCATGAAGAGAACAAAATTTGGCTCATATAGTTGATTAGTGGTAAAATATCTTCAAATTGGTTTGGAATTTTTTAGTAGAAACACATATGGATATTTTACACAAATAATTTTGGATACGTTTGCTTATTTTGCCACTGTTTACACGTAAACAGTACATAAAATGCTCTTTTGATTTAGGAAATTCTAATATTAGATACCACAGAATTTAAATTTCTCTTTTTTTTTCTATTGATTATTTTTCCACCAGACTTCTTTGTTTGAACTTGTGGACCTATCCAATTTTCAGCTGTACTTGATACAATTCCCAAACCCTGAAAAATTATTTTCCAGTTTCATGTCATCATGTGATATCAACTCAAAAAGTGTTAATATTTAACCATACTTAAATTTTTGCATTGATTTCTAATTTCTTTGACTAATGTTTATAAAAATACCATCAACTAGTGTAAGGTATTTTTATTACCTACCAACCAATCAACATACAAAAATTCAAAATCACTCTGAATGTGTTAGAAAACAAACTGAATGCTCCTTGAGGGAAATATAATAACACTGAGTTATTTATTAAATTATTGGATGCTAACATTGTGGTAGCCAGGTACTAAGTCCTTTAAATATCTTTTCTGTTTCCTACAAAAATGTGAGATTAATTTATAATAATCATTATGCATAAGAAAAATGAGGTTTAAATAAATTAAGTAACTTGGCTGAGATCTCATGCTGATAATCCACAGTGTTAAGAACTGAACGAGCTCTGTTAAACTTTGAAGTCTATATTTTTAGCCAACATGTTACACTGCTTCCCTAAGTCTGTTTCTTTCATTTCTATAGTCATTGTAACTTAGAAGCAGTAAGTACTCACAGAATGCTTATTACATGCTGAGAAAGTTGATTGCTAACATTTTCATTACTTAAACTAATCTAAACCTCAGTTCCTTTTTGGTATGAAAAGATAGTTTATAAAATATAAACATAAAAAACTATAAATCTACCTCTATTATAAAAAAAGAAAAAATAAAAATGAATGAACTGGCTAAAGGATCTATGAAAGCTTGATTTTTATAATGCCTTGGAGGACAGATGAAATTTTATATGTCTTAGTTGGGACACCACATTTGGTTTACTTGCCACCATTATTGCTGGCTTTATTCAGCAATATGTTGTATCATGATTATGACAGAAAAATAATCAGCCTGTGACATTCCTCAAATGCCTCCATTCTGTACAAAAGTATTACCCAACCTGTATCTTAAAACTATATACATGATGATATGCTGACTTTTGGCTCCATAAAAATAAGAAAAATTATTTTATTCAGTAAACTTGGAGAAGCAGAATGATGAATACATCTTCAAGATGTGAATAAGTCATGTTCTTTCTAGTAGCAAGATTAGATTTATAAATGTAGGACTGCTTTGATACTTGTATAATTTTCTTATTATTTTTAAACACTTATTACATAGAAATTATTGCTTTGCAAGTGATAGTAGACCAATATATTTATTATATTTGCAGAAGGCATTATTCATGCCTGTCATTCAAATTATTATTCTGAAAGTAGCTCTAATAAAGTAGTTCATTTGCACAACAAAGCTGACTAATAAACATATGTCTCTAAATCACAGTTTATATAAATATTCAATGAAATCAGCAGAAGACACTAAAAGTAAATGCAGATTTCAATTTTATGCAAAGGGAAATTAAAAAAAGACAGCATTATTGTATAGACTCAAAAAGTTGTTATGGTTGGACAGAACCCCCAAAGTCATTGAATCCATTAATTGAATCTATTATGAGAGTTTACATTTGTCCTTGATAAATTTCAACTTTCTAGAATATGTCCAGTTTTTCCATCAGAAAGGATTTTTTTCCTTCCAATTCTTATTCTATAATTAGTCACATTGGTTTAAACTTCCAGCTCTAGGTGAAGGACAAATTTCAAAAGCAACATTTTCAAGACTTCATACAAATCACTAACAAGAATGCTTCCAAAGAGAGAGAGGCAGTCCTAATAGAGTGGAAAGAGCATAGGTCTTGGAATCAAAATAAATAGGTTTGAGGCTTGATGCCATAATTTCTGAGCTTATGACCTTGGCCACATCACATAACACTGTGAACTCCAGCTTTCTCCTCTGAAGCAGAGAAAATGTATCAAAATATGAAGATACTTTATCAACTGAAAATGACTATATACATTTACATATTTGTCTAGATTGTGCAGTAGATATGCTACTGAAGAATATTTTTCAGTTGCTATTAATAAACATTATTTAAATAATGAATCAGTCTAAATTAACATGTAGCTATTAATTCATCTAAACTCACATATTTATATAACCTTAGACAATAACTGCACAGATTTTTCCCAGATATCTTGCTAAGTTTGTTATCTCAATAGTCATTTTTTGAAACAAAAATGAAAGAATTCATGTTGTTAATGGCAATAGCATGATTTGTCATTAATTCTTGTTAAAAATGAAAATAAGTTTACTTTTTCTTAAATCATCTTTAGCAAATATTTGTGGGTTACTGTGGCTCACTTAATTCCTTTTTAAGGACTTCGTCTTAGTTAATTTTGTGTTGCTATAACAGAATACCTGAAAATGGGTGGTTTAATAAGAACACAGATTTGTTTCTTACAGTTCTGGAGGCTGGGCAGTCCAAGGTTCAAGGACCCATATCTGGCAAGCACTTTCTTGCTGCTTTATCCCATGTTGGCAGACAAAAAGGCGAGCAAATATGTGTGCGAGAGAGAAAGGAAAGGGGCTGAACTCATCTTTTTTACTAGAAGCCCACTCCTGCCATAAGTAACCCATTTCCATTATAATATAATTAATCTATTCATGAGCTCAAAGCCCTTATGACCTAATCACCTCTTAAAGTCCTCCCTCTCAACACTGTTGTACTGGGGATTAAGTTTCCCACACATGAACTTTGGGGGACATATTCAAATCATAGCAGATTAATTTTTAAAAATAAGCCAGTGTACATGCCTGTAATCCCAGCACTTTGGGAGGCCAAGGCAGGCAGATCATGAGGACAGGAGATCGAGACCATTCTGGGTAACACAGTGAAACCCCATCTCTACTAAAAAATACAAAAAAAAAAAAATTAGCTGGGCTTGGTGGCGCACACCTGTAATCCAAGCTACTCAGGAGAATGGTGTGAACCCGGGAGGCAGAACTTGCAGTGAGCTGAGATGGCATCACAGCACTCCAGCCTGGGCAACAGAGCAAAACTCCATCTCAAAAAAAAAAAAAAAAAAAGCCAATATAATCAGTAATATCAGTAATATTATTTTTCCATTATTGCTATTCTTTCTCGAGCCCTGTACCTTTTGAAATAAGGTGTTCACTGGTTTGCTGGTCTTTGCAGAGAAGTATTAGATAAAAGCACTTTATAATTTGAAAAACTATGATGAACCTGGCTTTTACAGTTATTAACCCTGCAATCTTGGGCAAATAGCTTTGCCTCTCAGAGCACTGAATTGCTAACTGATAGAAATGCAGAAAACATTTTTTAATTTGTTAATTTGTGATGAAAATTAAAGGAAATAATGTATACAAAATATTTCGTAAATGTCTAACTCCAAATGTTACCTCTCTATGTCTTGTTTTGTTATCATCTCACTTTCCTCTGTGAAACAGAATGAAGTATTTCTAAGTGTGTCCTTTGGAGGCATGGATTCCTAAACATATAATACAAGTAGAAAATACAGTGAGCACTAAAAAATAGTTTTTCTAAAATTTGCATAAGCGAACAAAAGCACAAAAATTATTCCTGATGAAAGTGATTTTCTTTAGGGGCACTGGAAAATATAGCCTCATACAAGGAAAGAAAAATTATTTTTATTCTGATGTATAAGACATCATTTCAGAAATATATACAAATGGAGGGTGTTGCCTACAGATACACATCACTGAAGCCAGGAAGTTTTTAAGCCAAGGTAACAATCAATGACCTCAGTTGAATTCCCGAAAGGGCTCTACATCAGTGTTAAAATGGCCATAGATAAGAAGATAATTAACTATCTGTCCTGAGAATCTATTTGAAAGAGCTGTTCTAAGTTTCTGAGAGCAAACCATTAAAAACAGAAAAGTGAAAGCAGAGAATTTGGGCTTATTCCATTCACTGGCCTCCTGTTTTCTATTAAAAGGGTTGATCGTAACTCCCTTATTTTTTGTTCTCTGCATCTTTGAACACTTGCTTGAGGGGCCAAAAAAAAAAAAAAAAAAGAAAAAAGAAAAAAAAAAAAGCAGGGGGCATAAAGTAGGAGGAGGAAGGGTCATAGTTCCAAAATATTTCCAGACCATCCCCAGACAAAGAGCAGCTCAGGTTTCGATGTCACCTTCCTCCATGATTTGTAAGCCATATCCTTAGTTTCTCTGTTCCTTCTCCAATACTACTTTGCTTTCAATCCTGAGCAGTTCTTCTCTGGACTATTGCAATGATAGGTCATTTGATATTCCCAAGCTCTAGTCTGATTTTCATTTTGATTCACTTCCATATTACTCCTGGAGTGATCCTTTCGATACAAAATTTGCTCCTGAATTCCCCCTGCTTGAAATCTTCTATAATTCTACTGCTTTCAGGATAAAGTTTAGTCTGGAAAATAAATCACTTCAAATTTTGAACCTATGTTTCCAGAGTCTTCTCTAGCCACAAAAAATTAAAACTTGAAAAACACCCTTAACTCATGAACACCATGAACTCATTTGTCCCTGTTAGATGAGAGACAAGAGCTAGGCCCTCAATACATTCTTGGTGAAGAATGAATTATTGAATACTGGAGTTCCCAATTTCCTACTTACATTTTATCATGAAGCGGCTTATGCTTAATTCTTTTTGATGACTCTTTCATGGAAAATCATTTCAGTGGAAGTTTTTATACATTATTTTTTGAATTGAGAAGAGATGATTACTTTCCCAGATTATTGTTTAGATCAAATCGTTTAAGTGACTTCATATACCACATATTTTGTGAGCAACTGCCAAGTGCCAGACACTGAGAATACAATGGTAAAGAAATAGATATAATATATGTCCTCTGGAATTTATATCTTAGTTGGAAAGAGAATTAATTAAATGAATAATTTCTGTACAGGATGACGCATACTTTGATATTGACCTATTGTGTTATAGCCACTGTGCTATACATAGTTGAGCTTATGATCTTGCCAATAAGAGATATATAGATAAAAATGCCGAATAATATTTAATCACAAATTACATAAAGGCAATGATTTTAAGATGCAGGATAATAAGCAATCATGCAAAAGAGGTGAAGTTATTTTAGGTAGCAAGGGAAGACTTCACTGAGGAAGTGACATCTACACTGATATTTGATGGATGAGTAGGAATTAGCTGAGCTAAAACTGTAAGAAGATCATTCCAATTAAAAGAATAGCATGTGCAAATACGGAGGCAGAGAAGAGCTTGGCATATTTTAAGAACTCAAACAAATTCAGTTCAGCTGATAAAAGATGTGAAAGTGTGGCAGCACACAGGGCTGGAATACAATTATCTTCTTAAGAATATTGACTCTTCCGGTTCCTGAATGTGGTACATCTTTCCCTTTAAGTCTTTATTTCTTCTCGGTGACATTGCTTGCCAAACTTTTCAACCTTTCAATCCATATTCTTTCTCTCTCTCTTTCTCTCTCTCCTTCCCTCCCTTCCTCCTTCTCTCCCTCCCCTTTTGTCGCCCAATTTCTCTCTGGAAATTTGAGGTATCTTTTCTTTCTCTCCAGTTTTTTGAAGTGTGACTAAAACGCAGCTCAATAGTTTTCAACCATCCAGGAATTAAAAGGGTAATTTCAATCTTGAAATTCATGTTCTTCAGTTCTGAGGATTTTTCTTAAAACATGATTTTAATAATTTATTCAATTCATTTTCTCTATTCTTTTGCAAGTTTTTCTTATTCTAATGCTGGGAAATCCCAGAGCAGTTCTCCAGTTTTCTTGTGTTTTCTCTCCTCTATTCTATTCCTTTGCCTTTTTGTTTTACATTTTTAGATATTTCCTCGATTTGTTTCTTCATACCCTTCTATTAGATGTTTTATTTGTTACATATGCTTTCATTTTAAGACCTTATTATATTCCTTTGTGGAATATAATAATGTAAATATTATTTATAATTACATTATTTATAATAATGTAAATAATGTAAAATGCTTCCTTTGTGGAAGCATTTCCTGCCACTTTTAAGGATGCTGTATATTTTGTTTTGTGTTTAAGGATATTATTATTAGTTCTTTAACTTTCCACCTCCCTGAAGAGTTTCTATATCCTTCAGTATTTTAAGTTTACTGGTTTTGTGCTCTGTCTTCAGTGTTAGAAGTTTTCCTCAGATGTACTAGTGATGTGAAATGGTCTCTTCATAATTAATGTTAGGGGATTTCAAAAAAAAAAAGACTAGAGACTGTGTCTGTGAGTGGGACCTGTCTATTGTAGATTTTACATCAGGAAGTACTACTGACTAGGATGCTCTCTGGCTGATCACCCATGTTGAGCTGGTTTCATGGGTCTCAGGGAAGGAGATACTCCCACTTTCCTGCATAGAGAGAAACTTCTGGCTACCTGCATTCTAGGATCCCAACTGGAGAAGAGAACTTGGGCTATCAACATTTAGTTTGTAAAAGTTTTCTTATTTCCACATTTCAGTATAGTGCCTTGCCTCTCACCTGATGTTGGGACCTTCAATCCAGAGATCCTCTTTTTCACCCTGTACTCTGGATACGTTTCAACTCTTTGGCTAACTAGATAGGATTCTGGGGATGCTTATTGCTTAAACAAACTTTTTATTATTCTTGCTTCTTTTGGTCCTACGATCATTCCATCTTCCAGAAGTAACTGCTATCACAGATTTCCGAGCTTTTGGAAGGTTCTATACTGCATATTGGTTTACTCCTTGGCTGAGAATTTGGCTTTCTTTGTAATTTAGTTACTACTTGTCCATTTTAAAATTTGTGTTGCTATCATCTCTTCTTGCATTCCTTCGGTCTTTGTAAGATTTAAGGGCAATGTTTCTTTATTCTATTTGGAAGCATTAAGAAAAAAAAACCCTGAAATTAAATGTCAGTGTTCAATCTGCTGTCAGTATTGGAAGTTGTTCTGATTGGCTTTTGTGGACTTCACAGAATTTTCTGGTGGCGGGGGAGAAGGACTGAGGATATTAGCAGTCTTCGATGAACATACAAGGAACTACCAGAGCTAGATTACATGGAAAGATTCTTTTATTCCTTGGAATCGCTATATGAATTGCTCTCCTCCCCACCATCCTGTACACAAGCACTGTGGCTTATTTAGAAAGCTGTAAATCAGTAGCCTCCAACTTTACTGGCACCAGGGACCAGTTTCATGGAAGACAATTTTTCCACAGGACAGTGGGGCGGGGCAGGGGGGTGGTTTCAGGGCAAAACTGTTCCACCTCAGATTATTAGGCATTACATTCTCATAAGTAGTATGCAACCTAGATTTCTTGCATCTAGAGTTAATAATAGGGGTTTTACGCTCCTATGAGAATCTAATGCTACCACTGATCTGACAGGAGTCACAGTTCAAGTAGAATGCTCACTTGCCCACTGCTCACTTCCTGCTGTGTTGCCTGGTTCCTAACAGGCCACAGACCTGTACTGGCCCTTGGCCTGGCGGTTGGGGACCCCTGCTCTAAATAATTTACCAGTACCTACATATGGATATGTGTGTGTGTGTAGACGGGTATGCATATGTATATGGCAAACTGAGGTTTCTTAACTACCATCATCTTTTATGAGTCATATTTCATATTGCATGTTCATTTTCAGAGTAACATATACTACATGCATAGTCATATTTATAAATCTAAACATGTTTTAATTTTAGATATATAACACAGATGAGTTAATATTTATGAGCTCATGTGAAAACTTCACTAAGCACGAAGTTTGCAACTAAGTACCCTGCACATTTCTTAGTGCCTTGGTCTGCCGTGTTTTCTTTTTTTTAGTTTTTCATGTGCAAGTCTTTATTTTTATTACCTATCTGATGGCTATTTAACTTATGCTAAGGATCATCTCAGTTATTTCAGTTAACAGGATAAAATCAACTACACTGGATCCTGAACTTTTTTTTTTTTGAGTTAAGGTTTGTTATTTTCTTAAGTACTGCTGAATTTTTTCTTTGTTGATGTATATTGTTTTTGTGAACACCCCTCAAATAAGATTGAAACAGTTTTGCTATTTCATCCATATTATCAGTTGCCTTCAGTTTTTCCTCTAGGGGTACTATATTTACATTAGCCCAATCTGCTCAGAAATACCAGAGACAGTCTTTACTTTCCTTACTTGCCACTCTACCATCTTCATTATATTGAGAAATGAGTTATGTCTTAAATCAGCAAATCAACATTTTCTATGACTTTTATCAAGATGAGGGAATAGATATTTGACATACAGTGTGGGTGTCTCTTGTAAAAGAAATTGACAACACAAATCACAAGTGGGATGCAACTAATGCTAGAGAGCTGCTTTATGTTTTAAATATGAATAAATCTCTCAAAATATGAAAGTGGAAAGACAAGCTGGACTCAAATGATTACAGCTTTTAGAATTAAAATAAATTAGGGCAAATACTGGCTCTAACCACAAGAGAGATTATCACTGTTTGCCTATTTCTGAAGGAACCCTCAAGGAAATTAAGGTGGCTTGGGTTTTAGTGCAAATAACACTACATGTTTTCTTTAATATTTCCATTTCTCCTTAATTCATTTCACCTGTTAACACAAGGCATGCCCAAACATTACTCTAAACATTAACCAAACTCCATGTTCTAAGTAAGAAATAAAATGCATTATATTTTTTTGGACAGTCACTGGGTTATGTAGGAAGAAGTAATTATTTTTATATAAAAGAAAATGATGAATCTCACTCTAGGTGTTAAGCTGGTGTTAAGAGGTGTTTTCTTCTAGAATAATATCCTTAAAGGTATATGAACAAATGCGGGAGGTCTTGAATGGTAGTTCGCAGAGACCATTATGATGTCAAAATAATGTAAGGCCAACAGAGTATTGACAGTTCAATTTTCAGTTTTAGCAATTTTTAAGCAAAACAAATTACCATAAATTACTGTCATCTAATACAAGAAAGAGTATTTTACTTACCAAAATAAAAAAGATGGTTTCTTCATTGTACTTACCAAAATTAAGTATTAAATATTTAGTACATATTTGCTGTTTTTCTTAGACCCTAAGTTCTGTAGGAATTAGTGATGAAAAATAATTTTTAAAATAAAGGCCATTATCAACTACAAATACACAGACACACATGTATGTACAAATAATTATATATATAATTATTTTATTTATTTATTTTTCTTTTATTTTGGACCTTTGAAAATTTCATTAAAGCCTTCCAAGGGCCAATGGACCAGCATCTGGTAGCCACTAGTCCAATGGGTATTAGGTAACTGATGTCCGTTTTCCACCATCTGGACATATTGTCACTGGTGACTGTCATATATGTACTGGACAAGAAGGATTAAATGGCATAATGCCCATAAAAAGCATTTTGTAATCTTTAAAGCACTAAATAAATATAAGGAATTAGTACTGTTATGGTTATGATATTGCCTCAGAATGCATGGTAACAAATTCTAACCTGAAAAAAAATCCCTTTATCTACTTAAAAATCACAAGACTATGTAGACTTTTAGGAATAAAATTTTCCCATAGGAGTGGTAATCACCAACTTTTTCAATTGTTTTGCTACATAATCCAGCCTGCTATAGAAACTTCAAAAATGGAAAAGTGGAAGTGTCAGGCTATAACAATCTCTTGAGATGTCATATTAAATGTAAATACATCTTGAAAGTTTCTTGGCATATCATTAGAGCAAGATTCTACTGTAGGAAGCAAGAGGTTTATTTGTAATGGAGTATTTTTTTTAAACAGCACCGTCTTCTCTGGCTAAATAAGCAATTTGTACAAATGACAAATGTGTTTATTTTGCTTGAGAAATGAGGACATCTGAACGCCAGTTATTTACAAACCTCTATGTAAATAACTTCAAATGCAAGACCTATGTAAGTAATTTAATCAATGTGCTAAGGGCAGTGCCATTCACCTCTCCTGTAATTGCATCACCCTCACCTACTGACCTCATCTGGCACTACTCCACATCAGCAATGTTACATTTTCCTCCCTTAATCTTCCAGCACACTTCATCTTTCTGGATGTCTAGTCACACATCCTTACATGCATACTCATATTTCACAGAGATTTCTAGACCTCATATTTCATGGAGATTTCTAGATCTTTTAGTTTTTAGTTTTCTACAAATATGTTATGCTCTTCTTGCTATGTAAACTTTGCTTTAGGACAAATGAAGAGTCAGCTAGTTCCCCTGCTTACGCCATTTTCATTTCACCCTAACACTCTTTGAACAGCTGACTGTGCTTATTTTGTACCAGAACATAAAACTACTCACTTGGTTGGTTGTTTGAATCCTGCTGCTTCTTCCAGACCTGCTATTTTGATCTCAGATGATTCCAGGATTCTAAATGAGAAACTTTAAAAAATCCTATCTGCTAAAATATGGATTAAGGTTTCTTCAGCTTATTTATTTCATTAGGTGCTTATTTTGTACCAGGTATTCTTTATAGTGACATAGGATAGAGCAGTAAACAAAATCCCTTTCCTCATGGAGCTTACCTTCTAGCATAGACTAGAGAGACAATAAACCAAATAAATAAGAAATTTTGTAGCAAATGTGCTACATGTTATAAGGCAATACATATTATTGACAAAAATAAAGTGGGTGGGGGGTAAAGACTATCAATGGTAGGGTATGTTTCATGTTTAAATGTGATGGTCAGAGATGTTTCAGTGAGAAGGTAACATCTGAGTGAAGATTTTACGTGACAAATCTATTGATGTTGATATCTGGGGGAAGGTTGTTTCAGGCAAAGAGAACAGTAAGTGCAAAAGCCCTGAGGTGGAAGTGAGACTAGGAACAGCAAGAAGACCACTGTGGCTAAAGTGAATTGGGACAGGGGAGGAGCAACAGGACATGGATGAGAAAGGCAGAAGAGGTATGTGTTAATCTGGTAACATAGTGTAAGACTGTGGGTTTTACTGTAAATAAATGGCAAGTAAATTAGATGGATTGTTAGAGGAGAAAAAAGATAAACTCGTATACTTTAGTTACCATCTAAACCAGAATCCAGATATAATTGTTTTGTGTTCCTTGAGATATAGGTAATTGTACATTCACAACTTAGGATCCTAATTCTCATCCAATCTTATTTGTTCTAATTTGGGCATATATATATTTTTCTTTAAAGTGTTTACTTGGAACTGGAGATATGAGGACCCAGGATCATGACAGGACAATATAAGAAGAAGAAAATAAGTAAATTGATAAAGACAAAAATATAAAATGTTATTTCTAAATAGTAAAATAACAAACCAATCCCATAAAAAGTAAAGAAAAGGATACTTGTTATCACAATTATTATACACCAGTGATTAAAAAATTTTAGTGAATGTAATAAATCAAGAAAATAGTATCATTAGTATAAGGATTGGAGATAAATTGACTCAGATACTTTGTGTTAATAAAATTATTGTGCATGTTTAAAATCCAAAACTTCTGGAGAAAACTACAAATATTAAATAAGAATTTTGAATTATACAAACATTAAGTGGCTTTTCTCATTATTAGCAACAATTAGTTGGAAATCAAAAATATACTAACGAAATTACAAAGGGTGGTAATAATTCAAGAAAACACAAAATATTTATAAAGCAATCTGTCTTTATGGCAGAATGTAAAAATAGGAATTAAATGTCTTCTCTTTTTTATTAGAATATTTAATATCATTAAAATTTCAGCCCTCTAAATATTAATATTTAAAAACTTAATTTTATAATTAGAAAAAAATCTTAAAAAATTCTTAAAGACCAACAATATTTAAGAGAAAAACAAAATTAGTATACGAAAACTAAAAATAATTAGAGTGGCATGACTTACAAGTATTAAGTATAATAGAAAAACAATGTAATCAAAACACTATGTTGGCATGCTTGGTGGCTCATGCCTATAATTCCAACGCTTTGGGAGGACAAGGCAGGCAGATCATTTGAGGCCAGGAGTCTGAGACCAGCCTGGCCAATGTGGCAAAACCCTGTCTCTACTAAAAATACAAAATTTGGTGGGTCGCGGAAGCACATGCCTATAATCCCAGCTGCTAGGGAGGCTGAGGCGAGAGAATTGCTTGAATCTGGGAGGTGGAGGTTTCAGTGAGCTGAGATTGTGCTACTGCACTCCAACCTGGGCAACAGAGTGAGACTTGGTCTCAAAAACAAACAAACAAACATCCACCTACTATGCTGCTACAAAAGAAAGATAAATAAAACAATAGTACCAAAGAGAGTATCTAAAATGATATAATAGTATACAGAAAATATATAATTTAAAATATGTATAATTCTAATGAAATATGAAGAAGTGTTGTTATTTCAATGGGAAAGAATTCTTTATTTACTAAATCATGCAGGCACATCTGATCATCTATCTCAAGGACCTCGCAATGCACCAATTTTAATTTAAAAAATTGTAGTTGGATTAAATGAATAAAGATACAAAACAAGAAAACAAAACTTTGCCAGTTTTCAGAGAAATTTTTTGGATCAAAAAGAGGAGTGAAGAAGCTATAAAATAACTTTTAAATATGTATTTGATTATGTACAAGCAAAAAACGGCAAATTTAGCATAATCAATATCCTAGAACCAAAGTATATATTGAGGGGAAATCTGTATGTCAATGATTATAAAGCCAAAGAGAAATGTGAGGAAGAGAATGTCCATATTCACATTGGTTACCTGGGGAGAAAGTAAGAAGAGACAGGAAGAAGGGAGAGGAGAAGGTAGACAAAAGGAAAAACAAACAAACAAACAAAACCACAAAAACCAAAAGAGATAATGGAAAGAAGAAAACAAAACAAATAATGGAAAAATAAAAAATATATATGCACTAGCATAATGTCTACTTATATTAATGCTACATGTTAAAAAGGATGAATGGACATATTGCAAAGCATCAAAGAGGAAAAGGCAAATGAAAACAAAGATTTGATTTGGGGATTGGATTTTGGAAAGTATTCTTCTGACATTCTGTTATAGCAATATAGTAAAAATATATTTAAATAAAATATATTTAAAATATATTTAAAATAAAAGTGAGAGAGAGAGGCTTCAAAATGGCTGACTGAAGGTATCTGGTACTTGCCTCCTCCGCAAAACAAAAACAAAAGTAAAAAATCTCCAAGCAAATGGATAATCACACTTTGAATGTATTGCCTTAGAAAGAATGCTGAAATTCAACAGAGAAGTAACAGAAAACACCTAAGGCAGAAAGGAAAGGGAAGTGAGGCATCCTTCTCTGCCAGGAGCCAGGAGAGACTTCCCAATGTGGGGAAAGAGTAAGTGAGTGACCCCTAATGGTCCATATCCCCACCACGGATTCCTGCAATACTTGCCAGAGCCGTTCTACCCACACTGGCTGTGAGACTAACAGAGAGAGCTACGTGAAGACAGCTCTGACAGCATGGCTCAAGAAAGGGAGGTCACGCTGTGTATTCGTCTGTTTTTATGCTGCTGATAAAGACATACCCAAGACTGGGCAATTTACAAAAGGAAGAGGTTTAATTGGATTTTGCAGTTCCACGTGCCTGGGGAGACCTCACAATCACGAAGGTAGGCAAGGAAGAGCAAGTCAGGTCTCACATGGATGGCAGCAGGCAAAGAAAGAGCTTGTGCAGGAAAGCTCCCCATTATAGTAACCAGATCTCATGAGACTTAGCATCATGAGAACAGCATGGGAAAGACCTGACCCCCATGATTCAATTACCCCCCACCGAGGCCCTCCCACAACACATGGGAATTCAAGATGAGTTCTGAGTGGGGACACAGCCAAACCATATCACGCTGGATCCTGCACACATCTCAAGCCCTAAACAACTACAGTGAGGTACCATTTTGAGAGCCCAGTCACCACCAGTCTGTATCCTGAATCTCCTTATTCCTGGAGTAAAACTGACATCCCCTGATCACAGATGGATGCTGCTGTCAGATGCTATGGCCAATGCCAAGTACAAGCCATTGGCAGCAACCCCAACTGCCACAAGTAGCAGGGCCATCATGCATTTAAAAGTGCCATGAAGAAAGGCTATCTCACTTGTAGCCACCACTTGGGGCTAAAGATTGAACTCCCAGCCTCCTGCCTATGGCTTTTGCCACTGAAAGCAACTCCACCATTCCCAGAAGCAGGGCCACAGTGCAGCCGCTGCCTCCCTAACCAAGCATTCTGCCAGGAATCTGGGCATCATTCAGCCCATGCCTACCACAGCCAGCATCAGCATGTACCTATTTGGGACCTCATGACAGTCACACCCCATTCAAGTATCCCTCACCCAGTGCCTGAACATGTCACTTGGCATCTGGGAGTTTGGCAATCGCTCTGCCCCATCCACCACCTCTCATGGTGCTGAGGATGAGCCCACCCAAATTGCCACTACCACCACAGCTGGCATCTATCCACACACACCAACTGTGGGCCAGCGATTGCAGCCACTGATAACACCAGCTTGGACTGCTTGGGATCCAAAGGATTGTTCTGCCACTGCTACTCCCATCACCAACACAACACCCACTGCTCAGGGACCTGAGTATCTACCTACCTGCCCAATGCAAAGCTGCCACTACCAGCACCTGAGCAAGCTGTCTGGAGGCCAAAGAATCAGCTAGCCTGAGCCCGTTAACATTGGTGCCAGTGAATGCTGTGCTTGGTGAGACCCAGGCACATTTAGCCTGCCATTGCCACCACTGGGGCCTGAGGACTATCTCAGTGGATGTTCCTGTCTCCAGCAAAACATCACTACAGACTTCACTACCAATTGTACCATAAGCTACTAAGGAAATCACAGACAATACTGACACTGCCTATACCCAAAGAAATCATACAAAAACTACACTACTGCACACACTCAGAGCCAAAGTGCCCTATCCAATCAATACCACAGATACTAATTTGTAGATGACATGATCTTACATATCTAGAAGAATTTAAAGACTATACCAAAAACCTTTTAGATCTAATAAATTTAGTAAAGTTGCAGGATGCAAAATTAAAACTAAAATACCAGTAGTATTTCTATACACCAATAATGAACTGGCTGAGGAGAAAATAAAGAAGGCAATCCCAATTACAATGGCTATTAAAAAAATCTATAAGTATACTTAGCCAAGGAAGCAAAAGACCTTTACAAAGAAAACTACAAAATTCTGATGAAAGAAATTTAAGAGAACTTAATTGAATATGAAGACATCCCGTATTCATAGATTGAAAGAATTAACATTGTTACAATGACCATACTGCTCAAAGCAATCTACAGATTCCATGTAATTCCTTTAAAAATACCAATAATATTCTTCACAGAAAAAGAAAAAAAAATCTTAAAATTTATATGGAATCAAAAAAGAGCTTGAAAAACCAAAGCAATCCTAAGTAATAACAACAAAGCTGGAGACATCACACTACCTGACTTTAAAATATATTACAAGAATATAGTGACCAAAACAATATGGTATGATAGGAAAAATGGTACATAGACCAACAGAACAGAATAGAGAACCCAGAAATAAATCCATGCGTTTTTTATCCAAATGATTTTTGGAAAAGTTGTCAAGAATATTCAATGAGGAAAGAACATCCTTTTCAATAAATAGTGCTGGGAGTATTTGATATCCATATGCAGAAGACAGAAACAGGACCCCTAACTCTCATGATATATAAAAACATCTTAAATGGATTAAAGACTCAAAGTAAGACCCCAAACTATAAAACTACTAAAAGAAAACATAGAGGAAACACTTGAGGACATTGGGCTAGGCAAAGATTTTATAGCTAAGACCTAAAAAACACAGACAACAAAAACAAAAATAAACAAATGGGATTGTTTTAAACCAAAAAGCTTCTGTACAGTGAAGAACATAATCAACAGAGTGAAGAGATAACCTGTTGAATGGAAGAAAATATTTGCACAATGTTTCATCTGACAAGAGAGTAATATTTAGTATATACAAGGAACTTAACAGCTTAAAAAAAAAACTAACTCCCGCTGCCCCCCCAAAATACAAATAATTGCATGAAAAATTGGGCAAAAGACATGAACAGACATTTCTCAAAGACGTATAAATGGCCGACAGGTACATGAAGGAATGCTCCACATCAATAAGCACCAGGGAAATGTAAGTCAAAACCACAGTGAGGTATCATCACCCCAGTTAGAATGGCTATTATTAAAAAGACAAAAAATAAAAGATGCTGGCCAGAATGCAAAGAAAAGGGAAAGACAATATTGGTAAAATTATACAGACACTATGGAAAACAGTATAAAGGTTTCTCAAAAAAGAAAAAATAAAACTATCGTATGATCAGCAATTCTAATACTAGGTATGTATCTGAAGAAAAGGAAATCAGTAGGTCAAAGAGACATTTGCACCTCCATGTTTATTACAGCACTATTCACAAAAGCAAGATATGAAATAAATCTAAGTATCCATCAATGGATTAATTGTTAAGAAATGTGGTATATGTAAACACAATGAAATACTATTAGCGCATAACAAATAATGAAATCATGTCATTTTTAGCAACATGGATGAAACTGGTGTTCATTATGTTAAGTTAAATAAGCCAGGCACAGAAAGACAAATATTACATGTTCTCACTCACATATGTGGGACCAAAAAAAAGGTTTTCGCATGGAAGTGGATACCAGAGGCTGAGAAGGGTGTGTACATGGGTAGGGCGTAAATAAGAGAGGTTGGTTAATGGGTAAAAACAATTGTACAATTAGATAGAAGAAAAACATTCTAATGTTTGTTAGCTGAGTAGACTATCATTAACAAAAATATATTGTTTGTTCTAAAATATCTATAAGAGAGAACTTGATATGTTCCCAACACATAGAAATGATAAATACGTGAGGTGATGGATACTGTAAATACCCTAACCCTAACATGATCATTACTCATTCTGACTGTAAAAAAAAATCATGTGTACCCCATACATATGTACAAATATGTATCCATGACAAAAGCAATTTAAAAAATTACTTTTTGTAAAAAAATTGCCAAATATTTTTTTAAAGTAAAATTAAGTAAGAAAACAGATTTTGGCATGTACAAAAAGGTAAATTGAGAGAATCTCTATAAATCATCTTGAAGCATAAAGACTTGTATTCATGACTTGCTAAGCTATTAGAAAACAATAAAGCTTTAAAATATTCTGAACTAATGACTGAATGATATCTAATCAATATTCACTTTATCACCTGGCAAGTCTAATAATATGAAGTCAGAGTACTGAAGAAACTACATCTATTTTCCCTGCCTTTGAAAGGAAATAAAACCTACGAAGGCTTCCTTTAAAACAGCACGTGTCCAAGAATGTATCTGGTCTTCCTTGTCTCACCACTTTACTAATAATTTGACTTTTCCTAATCCAAGTGATTGATTAGTTGAATGCATGTTTAAGCCTCATAGAAAGTGCTCATTTCTTCAGACGTGATTTGCAAAGGCCAGAAATTCACCATTCAGTAAGAAAAGCTATGAAATAGACCTGTCATAAACTCATGGGGAGGGTGTCCTAGGGAGTCACCTCTGTTCTCCACCAGGAGACTTTTAGCTGGCTTACTTGCAGAGAAACATATATTTAGTCTACTTTTTCGATTTTAGGGTGTGAGAATCCTGCCTTTTACTTAGGCTGACTGAGTTGAAGAGAACCGTTTTTCTGCCTCTCTATTACTGCCATTTTTCCCCCCCTGCAGTTTCAGCCACTCTAAAATATCTACAATGTGTTAGGTATGAAAGGTATGAAGATTTATAAACCTTTACCCACACTTTCAAGGAGCTTATATTCTAGTGTAAGAGGGAAAAGAAGAAAACAGAAAAATAAAAATGAAAAGTTCCAGGGATATTTAAGGGGTCTGTGGAAGTCTTACTGGAGTTCAGGATATCTTCCAAACTGCCTGGAAATGTCTTACGTGATAAACCTGATACATAAACCTGAGTATATAGGTAAAAGACAGGGAAGTAATTCCAGGGACAAAACAGTGTAGGTTACACTGTAAGCTAGATATGTTCAGAGAATTGTAATCATTTTGAGATAGAATAGGTGAAGATACAGCAGTGGGAAGGTGCAGAAGTGTGTCAATTCTGATATTCGGCTGGTATGCATCAGCATAAATTAACCCATTGGTTATGACTTGCATCTGTTTTGATTGGATCCACATCTTACTAGTTGTTACATATTTTAAATCTCACCTCTGAGTATCATAGGAAGTGACTGGCAGATTTTAGGCCATGTAGTGTATGCCAAATTACGGAGTGGAATATGATGGCAAAGGGGAGTCAACTAAGATCATTTTGCAAAAGGATGACACAATTACACTTGTTTTACAGAAAAAACAACTCTGAGGAAACTGGGGATGATGGGATGAGGAAAAAAGAAAAGAAGCATTTTTAATCCATGTTATTGATACAATTTAGCAAATGAGAGGTGTAAAAATAACTGTATTAAAAAGACTAATATCTATATCCAAAGAGTACATTTCTTATTAAACTTAGCACATTCTTTTATTTTAGGTAAAATTAAATCACTTTGGGTTGAATGAGGAGGTAGTTCAAATGCATTGCCTGTTGCAATTGCTTTGAACATTATGTTCCAGGATGTTGAAGTCAAAAAAAGCTCCTTTGTTCTGGTTCTCCTCTCCACTGAGAATCACGGCATTCAAGCCTGTACCCTCAACTCCAACCAACACTCCTAAGACTCTCCGATCTCATAACCCATCAGAAGCCCTTAAACCTCAAGAAGGATTGAAAAAAAAAGTGGAGTTTATGTGCAAACCATGACTACTTTTGAGTAATATTGAAAACTTAATACTGCTATGTAAGTAGGCATATTCATCTTCACAGATGAAAAAACTCTGGATCAGGAAGCAAACCTCTCCTGTAAAGGGTCAGATAGTAAATATTTAAGGATCTATGGGACATATGACTTCTATTAAAACTGTTCAATTCTGCTATTATAGCCCCAAAGCAGCCATAGACATTATGTCAATGAATGCGACTATGTTCCAGTGAAACTATCGTACAAAAATAGAATTCAGCTGATGGGCCTCAGTTAATCAGTCACTGTTTTTAGTATGATTTATCACAATGCCTGTCAACAAATAGAAATATACATATGTATATATGTGTGTATATAAATCTGTGTGTGTGTGTATATATATGTATGATAGTTCACATCTTCTGTTAATTCCACCAAATCATGTCAATCTTCTAGAAAACAGGCCAGGCGCGGTGGCTTATGCCTGTAATCTCAGCACTTTGGGAAGATGAGGTCACTGGAAATCAGGAGTTTGAGACCAACGTGGCCAAGATGGCAAAAGCTTGTCTCTAATAAAAAATATACAAAAATTAGCTGGGCATGGTGGTGCATGTCTGTAATCACAGCTACTTGGGAGGCTAAGGATGGAGAATCGCTTGAACTCAGGAGACAGAGACTGCAGTGACTTGACATACCGCCACTGCACTCCAGCTTGGGTGATAGAGTGAGTGAGATTCTGTCTCAAAACAAAAAACAAAAAACAAAAACAAACAAAAACAAACAAACAAAAAAACAAATCTAGAAAACAATAAAGAGCAAATGTTTTTGACTGGAATTCAGCACAGAATAATATTCAGTTTGCCTTTGTTTCTCTGTAGATGTTTACACACATTTATAAAGCAACTTCAAACTTTTCTGTTTACTAAAAACTAAAGTTTCATCAAAAAGTTTAGTTTCCTGAGAAAATGGAAGTGCAGTTTGAATAGTCCATCTAATTATTAAATTTTCTTGATTACAGAAAGTGTAATTGCTCCTGGTTTGTTAATCTTATTTTTTTTAAAAAAGAAACATTTTCAGAATCACCTTTAACTCTACATTTTCCTTTGTTTAAATTATCTATCTTGAAAATAGAGAAAAACATATTATCTTATACTGTAAGGACAAAATTTATTACTGAAATTGAGGATTATCAAAGATCCAGAGATGGTTTTCCAGAATGGTTTAGGATACAGGTTATCTTCTAATATCCTCACTGCCATTTACTGCCTGTGGGACCTTGAGCAAATTAGTTGTCTCTCTGTGTCTCAGTTTCTTCAGCTATAAAATGAAGTTAATAATAATAGCTTACAAATAGAATTGCTATAAAAAGTCAATAAATTAATACATGAAGATCAACCACTTAGAACAGTGCTTGTTAAATAAAGATCACTCTATAAAAAGTGATTATTATCAAAATGTTTTAAATATTTATCTAAACAAATGTTCGCAGTGTAATCAATCTCAAAGCCACCAGCGCACTTTGAGATGCAGATTACTTTAAAGCACAAGCTCTAGTATTAGAAGAGGGCTTCAAAGTCCTGGGTTGGTTTCATCCTGGACATAGGAATACTTCTTCATCCAATAACATCAAAAGCCCCTGTTCATTTTCAGTTGTCAGACCTACAGCACCTCCCACGTCAACTGGTATTATTTACATTTCAGCTTATATCTAGCAAGCAGAGTTGCCTTTAAAGACATAAGTTACGTCGGCCGGGCGCGGTGGCTCACGCCTGTAATCCCAGCACTTTGGGAGGCAGAGGCGGGTGGATCACGAGGTCAGGAGATGGAGACCATCCTGGCTAACACGGTGAAACCCCGTTTCTACTAAAAATACAAAAAAATTAGCCAGGCGTGGTGGCGGGTGCCTGTAGTCCCAGCTACTTGGGAGGCTGAGGCAGGAGAATGTCGTGAACCCGGGAGGCGGAGCTTGCAGTGAGACCAGATCGCGCCACTGCACTCCAGCCTGGGTGACAGAGCGAGACTCCATCTCAAAAAAAAAAAAAAAAAAAAAAAAAGATATAAGTAACGTCTCTGAGTTTCAGATTCTTCATCTATAAAGTTAGGTTAATATTACTCACTTCAGAAGGGACTTGTGAGAAATAAAAGAAATATCTCATTCTTTACATTTTAATAGGGGTGTTTGAGGGGAACTTTTATGCTCCAGGAGAGAAAAGCATGGAAAGAAAACACACAGCTTCATTCCACTATCTTCCTACTATCCCTTCTGGGGATAGTGACTCATCTGTCTGGTGAAACTGGAGAAGGGGTTAAGTGTGTACGACTCCATCTCTTCTTTTTATGGAGCAGTCTGTTCTCTGAACCTGAGTTTTTCTGTTGTCCTTCTGAAAGCTACCTATTAAAGCAAGCAAGTCCTGTGATTGTTCAGTCCTGTCTGTGACTGTGGGGATGGAGAAGAATATTTGGTCACAGATCAAAGATTTGGTTTTCATTTAGCTAATATATACTAATTCCATGACTTCTTGCTGGTATTTAATTTGAGGAAAGGGCTATTATTTAATGAACCTTTAAATCCCTAACAGTGAGAAATTAATATAATACTTTATGTGACTCTACAGTTACAAATGTTAAATTTGGCCTTACTTTAAAAATATCTTGCATTATAGTTTAACAAAATCTTTCTCTCCTCATTGTTTATAACAGATGGAGTAATACCTTTCAAAAATAATAAATGAAACCACTTATTAACAGTATAGGTTTCCTGGTTTCCAATCTCCACTGACTGTTTCTCAACCCACTGCCACACCCCTTATGCTACACACACACACACACACACACACACACACACACACATACACACACAAACTTCCTTCTCCACTTGCCTCCAAATTTAGGAAGAAAGGCCATCAAGTGATTTTTCTATTTCTAAACTTTTAAGCTATATCTGCCCCAACACATTTTTAAATTTCTGTTCTAGTTCTGTAGTACATCTTCTCAGTTGGTTTCCTCCACCTGGACTTTAAATGCCACCCCTTCCCACATTTTTATGCATTTTATACTATTCGTAACCCTCTTTTCATTAATTAAATCACCTATCCTACCTGGATACCAAAATTAACCAATTAAATAAACAACTGACCTTTGCATGCAAGATACAGATACTATATATCATAAAATTTTAAAAATCTAAAAATTATGAAGCTTGGCATTGTCTGAAGATCATAAAGCCCAAATTAAATGACAAGAGTAAAAATATTTTCAACATATTCCAATGAGCTACCTTCCTTAATTTATAAAGTTTTTAGAAATCAATAAGGAAAAATAAACAAAAAATGGTTTTAGTACATGGATAGGTAGCTTTTAGGAAATATTGACATAAGATAATATTTACTATCTTACTCATAATTTTAAAACTACAAATTAAAACATTGTGATGCCATTTTCATTCATAATATTATCAAAGTGCAAATGATTTAATAATGCCATGAGTTGACACAGAAATACAAGTGCTTTTCACTATACATTTTGTTCACCACTTAAACTATTTTTCATGATTATAAATTACATCTTTGGAGAGAAATAAAATGTTAATGTTAAAAAATCTCTCTTTACCTCATTTTCCCTTAAAATATACAGTTGACCCTTGAACAATGCAGGAGTTAGATGCAACATCATGTTACACAGTCAAATATCTATATATAACTTTTGACTCTCCTAAATCTTAACTACTAATGGCCTACTGTTGACCCAAATCCTTACAAATAACATAATCAGTTGATTAACACATATTTTTGTATGTGGTATGCATTATATACTGTATTCTTATAATAAAGTAAGCAAGAGGAAGAAATGTTATCAAGAAAATCATAGGGAAGAAAAATATATATTTACTATTCATTAAGTAGATGTGGATCATCATAAAGGTTTTCATCCTAATTGTCTTCATACTGTAGGCTGATGGGGAAGAGGAAGGGAAGGGGTTGGTCTTGCTGTTTCAGGGGTGGCAGTGGTGGAAGAGGCAGATGAGGTGGAAGGGGAAGCAGGAGAGGCAGGCACACTTAGTTTAACTTAACACATTTAAGGAAATGCATTTTTGCCTTTTTTTTTCATTTCTCTAAAAATGTTTCTATACAGTACCAATCCTTCTTCCACTGTTAGCTTTAATTTCAGTCCCTGTATCATAGAAAGGATCATGTCATAAAAGAAGTCAAAAGCAGTCTTGAATAACTGAAACCCTCCTGCCAGATTATCTAATGTCAATTTGCTTTCTGTTACTACTTCTTCAACATCATCTTCCTCCTCATCTGGCACTGGTCCAAAAGCACTCATCTCCATCAAAGTCATCTTCTGTTAATTCTTGTAGTGTGATGTCTGTTAGCTCTTGAATTTCTCCAAGATCCATATTCTGAAACCCTTTACCCCCACCTTTTTTTTTCCCATACCCATGATCTCATGATTTCCTTGATTGGCTCTATCATAAATATTGTGAAGTGATACACAAGATCTGGAAACAGTTTTCTTCAGCAGGAATTTATTGTATCAGGCTTGAGGGCTTTCAGGGCTTTTTCCATAACAACAATTGTATCTTCAGTGGTATAATTTTTCCAGACTTTCATGATGTTGTCTCTATTTGGATCCTCTTCAACCAGTTGATGATCCTTTCCATAGAGTACTGTGTGTAATGAGCCTTTATGGTCCTTATGACCCCTAATCTAGAGGCTGAATTAGAGACTTTGTGTCTGGAGGCAAGTAGATACTTTCCATGTTGAACTCATGAGGTTCTGGGCGGTAAGAGGCATTGCTCAATAGCAAAGGAACTTTATAAGGTAGTCCTTCCTAGCCAGGTACTTCATGAATTCAGGGACAAAGTGCCGATGGAAACAATCAAGGAAAATAGCTCTAAATGTCCAGGTCTTCTTCTTGTACAACCAAAAGACTGGTAGCTGATGTTTATCTTTTCCCTTCAATGCTAGAAGATTAGCAACTGTGTAGATAAGAAAAGTCATGATCATAATAAACCTGACTGTATTGTCAAAAAACAGGAGGGTTAGCTTACTCCTTCCTGCCTTAAATCCTAGAGCTCACTTCTATTCTTTACTAATAAATGTTCTTTGTGGTATTTTTCTGTACAGAATAGAGGACTTTGACACACATTAAAAACCTGTTACAGCAAATATTCCTTCTCCTCAGTGGTTTTCTTAATGGTGTCTTGGAACTTGTCTGCTGCTTCTTGGGCAACAGAAGCTGTTTTTCTCATTATCTTGACAATTTTTAAGCCAAATATCTTTGTAAAATTATCAAACCATCCTTTGCTAACACTAAATTCTCCAGCTTTAGATCCTTCACCTTCCTTTTGAGTAAGTCATCCTTTAATGACTTTGCTTTTTCTTGAATAATATTAGACTCTAAATGTATGCCTTTCTTATACCCAATCATACACCTACATAAAAGCTGCATTTTCAAAATTACAGAAAAAGGTATTTCCCCAGAAGAGCAAGGTTTTCACATCTGCTGGTGTAGCCACAGGGATGGCTTCATACGTTTCCTTTTCTTTCGTTATGTTGGTCTTTCCTTATGCTGGATTTGTTTATCTTGAAATGAAGGGCATCTGCAGCTGCAGACCGGAATCCACAGTACATATTAAGCAACTCAACTTTTTCTTGTGATATCATGACTTTTCTCTTCTTCTTGGGAGCAGTTTCAGCATCACTACTGACACTTTTGTTCCCATGGTGTTATTTAAGGTTCACAGTATTGCAAAAGACATGATAAAAAAATGTGCAATAATCAGGAACAATCACTTTTCACTGTAATGCATGATTTAGTGGTGAAATGCACAGTTCACAGGGAGATGATTAGCCTCATACTGTGATTTAAGCAGATACTCATAATACTTGAGATCATTGCAATATCAATAGGAGGTGGCTTTGAAATTACTTCAGTAGTACAACATGTACTGCAGTTAATTTTATGCAGTTATGATTTAATAGTAAATCTTTGTTTTCTCTTAATCAGGAATGGCTCACAAGTGTGCACAAAAGTTTTGATAAATTTTAACTTCTTATAATAGATTGGTGTAGATTTTATGGTAGTAAATGATAAAATAGTATATGTAAATATTACATTCATTTATCACACATATTTTCTTATTTTTAAAAAAATATTCCTAGTCAACATGGTTTGTGTGTGAGTTTGTCCAAATTATTGCAAATCTCAAAAATAAATTTCAACCTATCAACTGAAAAAAATATGTAAATGGAGACCTGCACAGTTCAAACTCATGTTGTTCAAGGGTGAACTGTAGATTTCATTCTTCATTCCTTATTAGTTCAACTTCCCAAAATACTGGCTTATATGTCATGGGTTCATTTACTCACCATCTACTCACTTCTTAGCTACTTCATTGTTAATCTGCTTTTATTACTCTATTCAGCCATGTCTTGTTAAATTGCCAATTCTCTCCACCTCAATAAATCCAAATGGCCATTTCAGTGTTATTTTCACTTGATCTCCTAAATTCAGTTGACACTGGTGGTCTTGCCTGTAAATACTCTCTTCCATTGGCTTGGATGACACAACACTCTTGGTTTCCCATCAACATCTCTGGATTTGCCTGTTCCTGTCTCCAATTTAGAGTTCATCTTTTTTTTTCAACCTAAATGCTGAGGTCCCTCAAAGATAATTTCTTAGAATTCCTCTCTTAATTTTAACAAACACGTCCTTGATTTGCTATTATCCTGATGAGTCTCTCAATTCTATTTACAGCCTATATATCTCTTCTGAGCTCTCAACTTACATATTCTCCTACCTAGTAGACTACTTTATCTTTGAAATGTACCTGAACTCCACTTATCCAAAACTGAACTCATGATCTGCTCTTTACTTCATATCTGACATTTCCCAAAGACCTCAGTAAAGGTACTATCATTCCTATTGTTAACTTTTATCCCACATTACAAATTAATGACACTGAATAGCCCAGTAGAAGAAAATTATGGACATGCCTTTTTATTGCACTTGATTTTATTGTAACTCCACAGATATTGCATTTTTTACAAATTGAAGGTTTGTGGCAACTCTGTCCTACACATCTGTTGGCACTATTTTTCCAATGGCATGGTCTCATTTTGTGTAATTTTGTTAATTCTCACAATATTTCAAACTTTTTCATTATTATTATATCTGTTATGGTGATCTGTAATCAGCGATCTTTTTCGCTTATATTATTATTTCAATTTACATGATAATTGTACACATTTATGGCATACAGTGTGATATTTCCATAAATGTATACAATATATAAGGATCAAATCAGGGTAATAAACGTATCCGTCACCTCAGACATTTATTATTTCTTTGTGTTAGGAACATGCTACTGTTGTAATTGGTTTGGGGCATCACAAACTGTGCCTATATAAGACCGTAATGAGGGTGGTATGTTCTGATTGTCCTACCCACTGGCTGTACTTCCGTCTCTCTCCCTCTCCTCAGGCCTCCCTAACCCTAGAGACACAACAGTATTGAAATTAGGCTAATTAATAGCCCTACAATGGCTAAATGCTCAAGTGAAAGGAAGAATTGTAAGTCTCTAACTTTAAATCAAAAGCTAGAAATGATTATACTTAATGAGGAAGGTAAGGTGGAAGCAAATATAGGCCAAAAATTAGGCCTGTTGCAAAAAACAGCCAAGTTGTGAATATAGAGAAATGATAAGAAAGAGAAACAGCCTTATTGCTGATGTGGAGAAAGTTTTCATGGTCTTGATAGAAGATCAAGTCAGCCACAACATTCTTGTAAACCAAAATTCTAATCAAGAGCAAGATCTTAACTCTCTTTAATCCTATAAAGGCTGAGAGAGGGGAGGAAGTTACAGAAGATGTGTAAAGCTAGCAGAGGTTATTTCACGAGGTTGAAGACAGGAAACTGTCTCTGTAACATCAAAGTGCTGGGTGAAGCAGCAGGTGCAGACTGATAGAGAAGTTTCAACAACATATTTTCAATGCAGACAAAACAGCCTTTTTTTGGAAGAAGATGCCATCTAACACTTTCTCAGCTAGAGAGGAGAAGTCAAGGCCTTGCTTCAGATTGTCAAAGGACAGACTAACTCTTCTATGAGGAGATAATAAAACTGGTGACTTGAAGTGGAAGCCAACAATCATTTCCATTCTGAGAAGACTAGGAAACTTATGAATTATGTTACATGTATTACTGTGTTCCAAAAATGAAAAAAACAAAGCCTGGGTGACAACACATCTCTTTAAAGCATGGTTTACTGAATATTTTAAGTCTACTTTTCAGAATTACTACACACACACACACACACACACACACACACACATATATATATATACAAAAATCCTTTCAAAATACTACTGCTAATAATTGACAATGTGCCCGGCCAGCCAGGAGGTCTGATGGAGACATACATGGAGTTTAGTGTTGTTTACATGCCTGCTAACACAATATCCATTCTTCAGCCTATGAATCAACAAGTAATTTTGACTTTCATGTCTTATTATTTCTAAAATACATTTCATAAAGCCATAACTGTCATAGATGGTAATCCCTCAGATGGATATGGGCAAAGTAAGTTGGAAACCTTCTGGAAAGGATTCACCATTCTAGGTGTCATTAAGAACATTCATGAGTCATGAGAGAAGGTAAAAATATCAGCAACAGGAGTTTGGAAGAAGTGATTCCAACCCTCATGGATGACTTTGAGATGTTCCAATACTTCCAGTCAAGGAAATAACTGAAGATGTAGTGAAAAGAGCAGGAGAACTAGAATTAGAAAGTGAGTTCAAAGATGGGACTGAACTCCTACAATCTCATGATAAATCTTAAATGGATGAGGAATTGCTTCTTATAGATCAGCAAAGAAAGTGGTTTCTTGAGGCGGAATATACTCTGGTGAAGTTGCTATAAGCATTGTTGAAATGACAACAAAGAATTTAGAATATTACCTAAACTTAGTAGATAAAGCAGTGATAGAATTTGAAAGGACTGACTCCAATTTTAAGAGCAGTTCTAACGCGGGTAAAATGCCATCAAACAACATTTCATGCTACAGATAAATACCACTTCCTTTTGTGAAAGGAAGACTCATTTGATGTGGCAAACTTCATTGTTGTCTTATTTTAAGAAATTGCCACAGCCACTGCCACCTTCAGCAATTGCCACCCTAATCAGTCAGCAGCCATCAACATTGAGGCAAGACCCTCAACTAGCAAAAAGAATCTAACCCACTGAAGGCTCAGATGATCACTTGCTTTTTTTTTTTAGCAATAAAGTATATTTGAATTAAGATTTATATATTTTTAGACATAATTCTATTGTGCACTTATTAGGCTACAGTACAGTATAAACATAACTTTTTTTTTTTTTTTTTTTTTTTTTTTTGAGACAGAGTCTCGCTCTGTCGCCCAGGCTGCAGGACAGTGGCGCAATCTGAGTTCACTGCAACCTCTGCCTCCCGGGTTTGCGCCATTCTCCTGCCTCAGCCTCCAGAGTAGCTGGGACTACAGGCGCACGCCGCGACACCCGGCTACTTTTTTGTATTTTTAGTAGAGACGGGGTTTCACCGTGTTAGCCAGGATGGTCTTGATCTCCTGACTTCATGATCCACCCGCCTCTGCCTCCCAAAGTGCTGGGATTACAGGCATGAACCACCGCGCCCCCCCCCACTTTTTATATGAATTGGGAAAACAAAACATTTGTGTGATTTTTATTGTGATACTGTTTTATTGTGGTGGTCTGAAATCAAACGCACATTTTCTCCAAGGAATGCCTGTATACTTGTTTGAAAATGACTGAATTTGGAATAGACATTCTTGCTACATGTAAAGATAAAGAATAATATCTACCTCTGGGGAATAGCCACTATCATAGTTTGACTAGAAAAACTGTAATTTCATTGGCAAGGATATTTCTTACAGTAAGTTCTTATCATTTCCATTTTGAAAAATATTGATGTAGATTGACCTCTAAGAAATGCTTCTTATAATCCTCAAGTACTTTTGAAATTTAAGTACATTTCCTTTTTGTGGCTTTGTAATAATCATCGTAGTAAAGAATATTCTCAAATTATTCAAATAAAGTTAATTATAGATCAAATGAAACTATCTTTTCAGTTGTTAATTTGCTAAAAACTAGTTGTTTCCAAGTCTTATTTAAATTTCTAACTTTTAAATAATGTATTTCAAGTAATTCTTTCCCAGATCTAGAACAAGACAGTGTATTCATTCTAGAAAATAAGCCCCTTAAGAAATGCCATTACTGTTCAGATTATTGATCTCAGCCTGCTGTCAGAGCCAAAGTGTTTAGCAAGACTATTTCAGGGACCTGAACAGGATATTTTTATTGGCAATGAGACAGCAGATTACCCACAGCTCAAATGGAAAGACCTAGTGGTGAGGTGTGTATCATTCTAACATTCTATTGATGTGCAGCACAGATGGTGAGATGTGCTGATGGATGAGGTTGTCTCAGCAGCAGAGTTGTCTTAGTCCTGCCAAGCACTTAAGTTGAACGACCTATTAAACATGGTTGACCTAAGGCAGTTGGAGATATTTATAAGTAACTACAGCTATTAAATGTGGACCTTCTAGTAGGCTCTAAATATAGCCTTTTTTTTTTTCCACATAGCTTTGACTTCTAGTTCCTAAAGCCATTCATTCAAGTTGAATTGGGGAAGAGAAGGAGCAAAAAGAGAGATTTTCAGAATATCTGTAAACAAAATAACACTAGAATACTGAAAGAAGTTATAGCGTGAACTAAATAAAAATTTTCAGGAGGTAGCACTGATATAAAATACTAATTAAAATTAAAAATTTGAATTATCTAAAATTTTAAAAAAATAAACTCAGGTTCTATGTAGAACCTAGGGTTTGCTATCAAATAATAACTTCCCCTCTGTTTCTACTCTACAGAAGACAAGTTAGTAGAAAAGTACACTGGATTATAAGTTATGGTAGTTGGGTAATTGTGTCATCCAAATTTTGGAGGTATCAGTTTCCTCATTTGTAAAATTAGAGTTAGTAGATGTAAACTTTTTCTTACAAACTATTAACTTTTGCTTTTCTGTTCCATTTCACACATCAATATTTATTGAGTCTTACTTAGAACTCCTGTGTATAAAATAGAATAGTACTTAATATTTAGGTTGTTCTTAGATATGGGTTTTTTCATAACACTTATATGACCTTCTATCTAACTTATCTGTAAGTATCATAAGGGCAATAATTATTGTTTTTTTGCTCATTGATTTATTTCAAGCACTTTTACATATAGTAAACACTCAACATTTGTCAAATAATGATTAAATGAAACAATACATGTAAAGTGCTTAGCACAGTAATTGGCACAAAGTATTTGATAAATGGTCCTATAAATGGTTCTGATAAGTGGTTTTATTAACACCCACAGTGCCATCTCACTAAGATAGTTGGAAGAAGTTAGGATATTTCAAAGAGAAGTTGGAGAGTACTGAGGACCACACTGTTGTTCCCAAATATTTGAAAGAGCATCACGTTACTTTTAAAGAAAAAAAAACATGGGCCAAGAGGCAGAAACTGCAGGGAGACAGTTTTAAAATTTGGAGTAAGGAAGACCTAACAAAACTGCTCAAAAATGAAATGAACTGATGTTCAAGTAAATGTCAAATTACTAAATAGCCAGTTAATGTGGGGATAAAAAAAATCTAACTAGAGGCTATAAATTTAGTATTCCATGAATTAAATGATATGGAAAGAACTCTATGTTTATCATATACAAAATAGATTTTAAAATACCCAAAATATAAAATTTTGCAATGCTTCTGGAAATAAAATCATACATGGAAAATGGCAAATATTATAAAAGCCAATCTATTTACTTAGTGTACATGGGATCAAAGAACATTTGCTTTTTGGCAAATACACCATATGACTGAAAACAAATGCTGCTGATTTTTCTTATTAATGCTGGCAAATGGAGCAGATAGGAATCGTGGAATTCTTTATTCCCTATCAGAAAAACAGAACTACTTAAAGCTAGATTTTTTTTCTTTTCTGTTATTTTTACTGCAGTGGTAACACTGCACTTCAGAATACAGTATAAGAATATTGGCAGTTGGCATGTTTGTGGGTTGTATGAAACTAACTGGTACATCATTCCTGCCAACTAGCGACGATTTTGACAAAATATATGACATTGATAAAAAAGGAATCTCACTCAATATCATTTTTATTGAAGGATGTGTGGCCTCATACCAAAATAGCCCCATCAATCTATTGCCATCAGATCGGACAGAAAAGAATTGGGTACATAAAATGGCTGTCATAAAATGTATCCCAGCTGGAGCTAAGTCTGATCACAGACGGTCAGTTAAGCATTTGGAAAATGAAGGAAGTACATTTCCCTTAATAAGCCATCAAAAGTTAATAACAAGTGACTTGGCTCTCTATTTGGGGCAGAAATCCTGAGAAAGATGCAGTGGATTCTAAGGTTTTTGCTGTTCTTTACACTGGCTACGTGTTAATAAAAAGATATATGGTACATAATGTTTTAAAGGTATGCAATGAAGAAGCAGCTTCCCTACCACTTATAAGTTCCAGTGTTACCATCTCAGAAGTGCACCTCATTCACACATTCAAAACTACGATGTTGTCTTACTAATTATGATAGTTAATTTTATGTGTCTAGTGCCTGGGCTATGAGTGCCCAGACATTTTAACAGACATTAATCTGCCTGTGTCTGTGAGAGTGTTCTGGATGAAATTAACATTTGAAGCAGTAGACTGAGTAAAGCAGATTGCCCTCTCTAATATGGATGGACTTCAAACAATCAACTGAAGACCTGAATAGTATTAAAAGGCTAAGAGGTAATGTTTTTTGCCTGATAGCATGAGATGGACATCGGTCTTTTTCAGTCTTCAGACTTGGACTGAAACATTGGCTCATCTTGAATTGCAAGCCTACCAACTTTCAGACTGCAAATTAATATTATCAACTTTCATAGTTCTAAGACCTTTGGACTTGGATTGAAACTACATATTGGCTCTCTTGGGTCTTTAATCACATGAACCAATTCCTTGTAGTAAATATCATATGTGTATATATATATATACACACACACATATGTATATACACACACACACAAATTTATACATACACATATATATGTGTGCAGGACACATATATGCATATTTTTTATTATATATGTATATACTTTTGGTTTTATTTCTCTGGAGAATTTGACTAATACACTGATTCAGCCACAACAACAGGGAATGTGCTGAGTTGTGTCAATCAAGTGAATTATCCAGATAATTAAAGTCAATCTCTGTAGAAGCTGGTATTTTGGTATCTTGTCTAGAAACAATGTAGGTCACCAGGCACCTACATTTTTGTGATATAAAATAACAAGCCAATTTTCTAATGCTTTAAAAATGTGCTCTGAAAGCAATCCCTCATTTTCAAACCCAAAATTCTATGATTCAACATTATAAACCAAGCTCATGTAGTCATTCTCAAAATCAGCTTTAAAAGCAACTATGAGTTTGAGTCATGTTTACTTTCCAAGTGAATTACTCAAGCATATAAAAATCCATTTCATTACCTTACAGTCATGGTTTTTAGGACTTAAAGATGCATCATCTTCATTTGTTGATTCCTGTTACTATTAATCAGCACATGGCGGATCTACTTATTTTCCATGATTTTCTCCAGGCACAGGTGCGTTATGAAATTTAAGCTCTATTTCCACTGCACAGATTAAGCTTTGAAAGAATTTTTTATCATACACTAAAAGCTACCCTTCAGTGCTGCCAAATTCCTGGTATTAACTCCATGTAAATTTTCTTATTATCACTCACCTGCCCAGAAGCAGAAATTCTCCCGCTAGACCCAGGCGCCTCATGGCCATCAGCAGACCTCTCACCGTCATGCCCTCACAGAAGCAGGCCACCACCCGGGCCTTGGGCAAGTGACTTGTGAGCTTCTTCAGCAGCTTATCAAAGCTCTGCTCCCCTGCATTACTGTAGATTTTGTAAGAGTGGGCGATGCAAATCCCTTCCTTCGCTGACATATCTTTGAAGGCTTCCATCCCACTTTCTCCATAGTTGCCTGTGTGAAAACATAGATAAGCAGAGGGATAGTGAAATGAGAGTGTTGCATTAATTGGGTATAATCAGAATGCAGGTGTTAGGAGCATGAAAGTCATTGGTATGGGACTTGCAACCTGAAGACCTGAATTTTGGTTTTTGCTCTTTTGCCGAATTGCTTATTTTGGGCAAATTACAATTGAACCACATTATATATGCATTGATCATTTATATTTTCACTGTGATGGAGAGAATAATATAAAAAGTGTAAGCAATTCATCATCCTTTTATGACTCAAAATAGCTCTTATTCTAAATATGAGCTGATGGAAATATTTATCTGCTATTTTTTTGCATTCTATCTCACTTCCCTTTACTTCTCATTAATGACAATTTCATCCCACTGAGATTTTTGTATTTAAAGATATAGTACATATAAGTAATACATGTAGTTTATATAGTATAGATGTTGCCATATAAATATTTTATAAAGTATTATATTATATATAATATTCAGTATATTATATACTTATAATCATGAGAATTTATGGTTTGGTCTTAATTGAAAAACTGAGATCCTTGCTTAAGATTTAGTCTTGTCGCAGGTGAATGTGTAAACTTATGAAAAACATTTACAGTTTTATCCTATACAACCATGGGGAAGTTATTGATAAGGAAAAAAAGTTCAAAGTCTTTTGCAAAATTTGGGGACTAAGGACAAATGTTAGTCTTTAAAAATTAATGAAAAGGGGATTAATATTGACAGTCAGCTATATGCCAGGACACAAGGACCTTTATATATGTGATCTAATTTAGCACTCACAATAAAATATTGATGTAGCTATTATGGGCTCCATTCAATACATAGATCAGAAAACAGAGCAGTTAGGTCCATATTTACCTTGAGTTACACTAGCAGTAAGTGGAGGGCTGAACTCATTCACAGATCTAATAGCATAGGTTCTGCTCCCTCTACTTGTCTAAGGCTGACTCTTGGGAGTCTCAGAATTCTAATTACATCCGCATTTCTCTTTCCCATTTCAGAGTGACAATTCTCCAATTTTAGATATTTTTGGAACATTTTAAGGCTCTATATTTTATACAGGGCTCATATTCTGAATTTTCAAAATATTAGATATATAAGGGGGATTGCTTTGAAGAATACAAGAGGCTATTACAAGATAACCAAGCTGTAGAACATATAAGGATGTGACTGACTTAAAAATCAACTTGACCTAGGAACTGGAATCTCATCAGGAGGAGTAGATATCAAATTAATAAGGAGCACTGTGGGCATTCAGTTGCATAGGGTTCACTACATGTCTATAACTGCAATAAATACAACTCCACAACAATTTGATTTTGGGAAAGTCAGTTTATATATGTTAGCTCACTGCTCCTTACAACAACTCTGTGATAAAGGTTAATGTTCTCTTCCCTTGGCTGATAAAACTGAAGTTCAAATACAGATAGTAGGTGTCAGGATCTTAGTTTGAACACAAATCTCTGATTCCTGTCCTGATGTGGGTGCTACCATACCACAGGTACCTTGCTGCAAATGAAATCTGTTAACTTTGAGGGTGGATTTTGGTGAAGTTTTATCTCCATGAACAAACTGCAAAGGGCAGAGCAGAGCAGGTCAGCTTGAATCTCAGCCAAAAATACTGGTGGGCCAGCTGCATCTTTTCCCTCCTTCTCCAGAATTAAAAGCAACAAGAAGCCTCTGTCATGATGGCAGGTGGGCAATCTAGTTATTTTGCAATTAACAAAGTTTAAAGGGCACTTTCTGAAAAATGTGCCAAAGGGCCTAAATTACCAGTTTTACACTAATGTGAGTAATCTATTATTCTTTCATTTATTTTTAGCTAACTCTGTTTTTCAACAGACTGTCTTGCATTTCATGTTTTGATTTAAGGCAGAGGCATTTGCATAAATAATTTGAAATTAGGTAAGTGATTGTGATGTGAATTTATCGAGAATTTCACATCATTTATTTACTTTTATTCTCAATACATTCACTGTTAAACAAGAAAAGACATCTAAAAAATTCAGATTATTTAGCATTTTGTTCCTAACAGCTTTAACACTGTTTATGTTTATATAATATGTTGTAGAGAAGCAGCTTGAAATAGTGGAGAGAACTTTGTTATTAGAGAAACCTGAGTTCAACTTCAATTTATATAGTCTTTTTAATCTCAGCTTTCTGAAGTAACACTGCTTAATATCCAGATATTTTAATATTATATTTAATGTATGTAAACTATCTGGTAGGTCACCTGAACCCAATTAATTGAACCTACTGAAATTATAAAGAATATTCTAGACAGAGTTTAGCTACTCTTTACTGGAGCATCCAAAACAAAACAGTGGAGAAAATGGCACTATTACTGTACACTAGACTAAAAAATTAAGCTTACACTAGCAGAATAAAGTATTATTTTCCCAGAGCAAATCCCAAGCTGTACTCTTTAAAATTAAAAAAGGCAGGGGGTATATGAAAAATTTTCACTCAATTTTGCAGTGAATCAAAAACTGCTCTAAGAAAGAAAGTTTACTTGAAACATTTAAATAAGAAACAGTTTTAACACATGTGTGACATAAAAATTTTACAGAATATAATTTTGATTTAACAAAAGAAATCCTTTGTAAGCTGGGAGACAAAGAGAATATGTCTTCCAATAAAATGGAAAAGACTGAAGTGTTGAGACTTTCTGGTAGTTGATAGAAACACTGTATTCTATAATTATACATTTTAAAATAATGAAAAAATGCAGCAAAAAAAAGTCTACAGGCTTCTCAAATAAAAATAGAACACATTTCAAGTAATATGTAGAATGAGGAAAAAGCTAAGGAAGTAACTATTACTTTTTCCAATAGAGGGAAACAAGTAACTGAGAAAGAAAGCTGTGGTATAAAATATGAAACTAACATGTGACTTCATTTTAAATAAATAGAAGTAAGACAGAATCCATAGAACGTTCTTCTTTAGGTAGCAGAGGGTTTACAACTTGGAATTATGTGGAGAAAATGTAATCATAGCCCAATGTCTTCACTCGTAGCTCACGCTACTTACAGGTATAACGATGCAAATGTCAATCATTGATTTTCAACCTTAAGAATCCACCTATAGACAAATGGAAAAACTCATTATGCAATAAAATATATTTGTTATCAACTTTTACAATGACAATTAAAGAGAAAGATGATGAAGTCTGAGAGGTAGATGCAGGGAAAGTTGTTGGGAAGAGGAAGGCCATTAAAGTCACTCACTCCCAATTTGGAAGTCAAGATATACAGAAAATAAAATGTATGTGATTAAGGGAATTATTTGATGCTAAAATAATCAGGAGGCAGCTAATGTAGTGAGATAATTATATTAAAAGAAGGAATAAGAAGATGTACAAGGTAAGAGATAATGTCTATAGTCATTTAAAAGTAGTTACTTTTTAAAAAGACATATTCATATTAGAGATATGGAGGTGAAAATAAAAGGATGAAAAACTAAAACACTTTTTTTCACTTTAAGCTCTGCTGTACTATTTGACTTTTGAAAATATGAAAATATACATTTAATAAAAAAATAAACTAGCATACTTAAAAGTCATTGAAAGGAGAGAGTTGATGCAGATAATTTTTAAAGTAATTGTCTTCTCTCTGCTTTATCATTTTATCCTGTTTTAGGGATAAAATTCACAGAAGTTCTTTATATGCTACTCTTGGTGGAAATGTAAATTAGTACACCCATTAATAGAAAACTTCACGGAAGTTCCTCAACAAAACTAAAAACAGAATTATCATATGATAATCACCCCTACCCCTGGCTACCTTTCCAGCTAATTTTAACTGCACTCTCATGTTCATGGCAGCATTATTTACAAAAGCCAAGTTATATCCATCAACAGATAAATGAATTAAAAAATGTGGTGTATATATATATATATATATACACAATGAAATACTAGTCAGCCTAAAAACCCTAAAAAATGGGTTTAAAAAGAAAAATTTCTGCCATTTGCAACATCAGCATATTATTCATTTTTGTACCGCTAATGGGACCTGTTAGATAACTAACACATGTTGAATAAAGAAATAAATTATTGAATGAGCAGTACAAAATAATCAATGTCTATTTCCAGATTAAAATAATTGCCCAACTATGTGACCAGCAATCAGGATTGCCATATTGTGTCTAGGGGGCGTCACTCTAATAAGCTATTATAAAATATTTCACTTAAAACATGAACAGAGTTGCACAATAATCAAAATATTTACCCTGAGGACCCCAGTTTTTTCCTCAGATCGTAACAGATTTTAATAATTCAACCTCAAATACTGTTTAAAGCTAGTGCTTTCACTAATACTATTTGACCTGAATTTCATCAGCTGGGATCTGGAAGTATCTGCCTACATTGACCCTATAAAGCACACATTGGAAACAGGATTTGTTAAAGAGTAACTATAAAACTTTCTTCTGTAACAGAGACTGGGGACCCCAAAAGGGAAGAGGTCAGGAAGGGAGTAAGGGTTGAAAAATTATTTATTGGGTACAATGTTCACATCTGGCTGATGGGTACACTACAAGCCTCAAATCCAACAAAGGGCAATATACCCATGTAACAAACCTGCACATGAACACCCTGGATATAAAATAAAATTAAATTAAATTAAATTATAAAATAAAAAACTTTCTGCTAACCTAGGAAAAATGTTTTATTTGAACTGTATATTAAAAGGCACCAAATCATACTTTAGTAAGTAATTTGTAATCATAGGTAAATGCTATTTCAGATGGTACAAATTCAATATCATTAACAACTGTGTTACATTGGCCACTTTAAGATAAAGATAATAAAGTATAACAGCATAGACAAGGTGTACCTAGTGAGATTTTCATTTTTCTGGCAAAATAGCCATTAAATATATTGTTTCAATTTATCAATCTCGTGTGGTAGGGAAAACTATCATTAGAATCAAAACCAAACTATTATAATAATAGTAAAGATACAAGTAATTTTGTTTTCTTTGATACTTTTCTTTTTTTCATAGTATCTTTACTTCTCTTTCCATAAATCAGACCCTGATTCACTGCATAGAAGCTTGTATACTATTTTATCTATCATCTCTTATTTTTCATTTTCCCAAACCCTACCAACCACTATTTTTTGTTTGGTACTTTTTACTATTCTCTTTCATATGTATCACAGACACCCCACATATTCTCATTTATTTATTTTTACTAATGCTGTTCTTTCTACATGGAATACATTTTTCCATGTTGTACAAATTCAATTCCCTAGATTCCTTTAGGCTGGAGACTACATCTTCTCCATAGTTCCATTATTTAATTACGGTATTTGTATAATCTCTGTAATTTGTAATTGCTAAAAAAGTTTATAATTGTGGATCCTTCACCTTTATAACAAGGCTGATTATACTCATGATTTATTTGATGCTGAAAACTTGGTTAAAAATATAAACAACGATGCTGAATTTTTTCTTAGGAAACATAGCTCACTTTAAATAATGTGTTTTATCATGGGATTTCTAAAATGCCTCAGAGTCAGGAAATGAGTTAAGGTACTAAGTATTATAATAAATTAAAATAGATTTCTGTATTATATATGTTGCCTATTGCATATATTCATTATATTTTGGATGTATTTACATATCCTTCTTTTCAAAACTGTGAGCCCATAGAGGGTAGTTAATGCTTTATTTAACTACATATCATCACATGGTAGGTACTTACGTATTTCTTGTACAGAAAAGTAGTACAGAAAAATAGGCAAAAAAAATTTTGGAAGAGTAAATACATTTTTCTAAGCAGAACACCAAGCAGATGCTAAAAGAATGTGGAAAATACTTTTTCAGAAAGTATTCACTTCAGGAAATACTAAATCTTTGCAAAGAAAAGGAATAAGTGTAACCTTCTACAATAGAACTTTATTTTCCATCTTAGTTGGTCCAAATTATCTTTTCCTCACAAGGAAATTAAGATTCCCAATATAAACAATTATTTTAAAGTATATTTCAAGTGGCTTTAACTACTAATATCCTGTTGCTACTGTAAACACAGTTCATTTTACTGACAACTACTAGTGAAGTAAAATTTTCTTTCCTTATGTCCTTATTCTATGAGCTTTTTACTATTTAATGTTGTTGTTTTTGTTTTTCTTACTTTTTAAACTTTTTTCTTAAAAGTAAAGACACAAACAAACATATTAACCTAGGCCTACACAGGCCAGGATTGTCAATATCACTGCCTTTCACGTCCACTTCCACATATTGCCCACTGGAAGGCCTTTAGGGGCAATAACATGCATGAAGCTGTCATCCCCTATGATAACAATGCCTTCTTCTGGAATACCTCCTGAAAGATCTGCCTGAAGCTAATTTATGGTGAATTTTTTAAATGTATATAAGTAGAAAAAGTACACTCTAAAATAATGATAAAAATATAGTATAGTTAATACATAAATCAGTAACATGGTCATTTATCATTGTTATCAAGTATGATGTCCTGTATATAATTGTATGTGCGGTATCTTTGTACAACGGACATCACAGTAGGTTTGTTTACATTTGCATCACCACAAACACATGTGTAATACATTCTGCTATGACATGATGATAGCTATGACATCACTAGATGAGAGGAAGTTTTTAGATCCATATATAATCTTATGGGACCACTGTGGCATATGCAGTCTGTCATTAACTAAAACATCATTATATGGCATGTAACTTTTAATTTGTTAAAATTTGCAAGTAGGGAATGAGCTAACAACAAAGACTGATTGTGTAACACGCATACTGATCTTTTTCACTCCAATGGTCTTTTTCATATCTGTATGTGTATAGATGATACTTAAGTTGTGCATAGTTTTTCATGATTTTGAACACTGTTACAAGAAACAAATTTCCTCCATTTTTGATTGTTTTCATTTCCATAAAGTAAAATCCTGAAATAAAAATGAAATTTCTTGGTCAAAATTTGAAATATTGGTCAAACAGTGTAACTATTTAGTATTTTAGCAAACTTGCTCTCCAACAAGTTCCCACCAATTTATACTTTGATTAGAAGCATATGAGAATGCCTGTTTCTCCATACCTTCACCATTACTGGTTATTGTCATGTTATTAAATTTTTGTCACCATATTGCTTGAATAAATGAGAGTTGTTTTAATTTTCAAAAAAATAAAAAATAAAACTCAGTCATCTCTCATGTGAGTTGTGACATTAGTCTGGCATGATATCATCCCCTAAATATACATATAAGCAGTGTCCAGTCTCCACTTCGTGTCCTTTAATGTGAATTAGAAGTGTTCATCAAGAGATCTTAGCCCAAACTGCCCATATTGACAGGGTTGTGGCTTAAACTAGTGATTAACCAAAATGGCCAGGAGTGGGAAAAGCTTGACAGTGAAGCACCTCTTCTTATTTTATTAACAGTTTCATAAAGATGTTCTTTTGTTTGATGCCATTTTTCCCACTACAGCCATATGTGCAATGGATGTGGCATTCTAAACTCTGTATTACACTCATTTGTTTATATTTATCTCCTGTTACTAGACAGTGTCCTTTAATGCAGATATTTCTTTCACAACAAAACATTGTATATACTTATTTTTATGCAAATAAAGAAGGAAGTTAAATGATGCAAGAAATGTGTATACATATTTTTATGGAAAGAAAGAAGGAAGTTAAATGATCCAAGAAATATTCCTAAAAATTCCTATATAATTGAGATTTAGGTGTTTAGGAACCTGGACATATGATTAATGTGAAAGTTTTAAAGCCAAAGGACTGGAATAAAAAGTTATCATTATCATGCACCTTCATCAAGGTACCTGAATTATAAATGTCATGGATACGAAAACTTTGTTAACAAACAGTTTTCCAAGTTTTGAACAATGGCCCAATTATTTCTCATCCTGCCCTGGAGTCTTTCTATAACACGACCCATATACCACAGCATTAAGCATAAGGCATGGCATTATTGAATCTCATCCAAGGTGTTTATTATTGGAAGTACCAGAAGGATCTCATTTAGAAAATTTGCTTTAGTTATTACTCTAGGAATGGATTATGTCGTAACATTTGATGAACTCTTCAACAGTAAATTAAGCAGAAAACAAATTGCTAGTATAATTATGTAACAAATGTAGATAAGTTATAAGTTTATAACTATGCATCGCCCCACTCGTGGATTTTAAACTATATGTATAAAACATTATTTAAAGGAATACTAACCAGGGCTACTGAATATTGCCATAAAAGTACATGCCAAGTGGTTTGCTGAGTGGTATGCTGAGTTGGTGAATTTTCTTCTGGCTATCAAGTATGGAGTTAGAGAAAGAAGTTTGATCTTAAGAGCAAAGGTACATGTTGACCAAATAAATTTAGATATGGTAGAAAACAGGAAATCAGATTATTTAAAGAAGAATACGTGACAGTTTTAACTGCCATACATGTTGAGGACAACAAGTTTGAGTGTCATATTTGGTTTGGTAGATTCCTGAGCCCTGGAATCGAAAGTTGATTCTCAACATGTATCTACTCCCTCCAGCAACTCTAGTTCATATAACTGGGTTGAATGAACTGATACAAACATAATTGAAAGAAAACCAAATTTGGAAAGAAATTTTTAAATTTCTGTGAAATAGCCAAGTAGAAATGCCAAGTAGGAAATTAAATAAGAACATTCTGGCTAAGAGAATAGAAGTCTGAATTGGAACTATTTGGGAGTCCTCAGTATATGGATAGCAACAATAATAGATAAAAGTGTAGGAAGTGAAGGAAAGAGAGCTCTGAGTTATACCCTAAAGAATTCAAATATGTGTGCATTAACTGAGAAGGAATAGCTCACAAAGACAATGAAGAAGAAGAGAAACCAAGATAATATATTCTTATGGAAATCAGGAAAAGAAACTGTTTTTACACTCTTTTTTTTAAAACACTCTGTTGAAAACTAAAGTAAGATGTGTAGTGAAAAAAATCCACTAATTCTGGCAACATAGTAGAAGATATATAGGAGTAGGCTTGTGTGAATGGGAGTAAAAAAAGTGAAGACAATATATTTATACAACTTTTTTGAGACACTTGGCACTGAACAAGAGCTAAGAGTATGGTGGTGATTAGAAGAGAATCTGGAAACTCAAGAAGTTTTCTTTGCTCATATTAAGAAGGGGTTATTTTAGGTAAAGTACTTAGCCCAGAGCATGGAACAGAGTAAGCACTGAATACAGGATTTTTTTATAATCATCATCATCACCATCCTCAACATTTATCTAGATCCTGTAAAATTATTTGGTAAAAGGTTAATAATAATATGAACAAATTATTGCACTATTCACTCCAAATGTGTTATTATTAAAACCAACCAACCTAATGAAGTTGCTATTATTTCCCACATTTCTAAAGAAGGTGTTGATGCTGAAACAATTTGCCAAATAATTGACAGCTAGTAAATAGAAGAGCTGAAATTTCAACCCTCATTCTGTCAAATTTCAAAGCCCATGCTCTTTGCCCTCCATATATTGTTACTCTTAAGACACTGGGTAAAAATTGTTCAATTTAGTCCTGTGGTTCTTCCAAAGGCCTGCTACTAAATGTTTCATTTGAAACTAATTCCAAATACTACTGAATTGAATTTGTCTCAGCAAACATAATATTTAATATATAAGTATTTTGCTTAATTTCCAAAAGATTACAGATGTATGTGATTTAGCACTAAATGATTCAGTCCCCATGTTGCTGATAGTTGGTGTTTAAATCTCAGAGCCTTTCTACAAAATACACAACGCTTAATCATAGCTTTTCTATGGACAAAGTCCTGTAAAATAAGAGGGGGCTCTTGAAAATAGACATACCATATTATCTTGTATTAGTTACTTAACTACATCATTGCTGAAGAGGGAGAAACTTCAGAGAGACCATAGAAAATGACAAAAACAGTGATTTTGGTGTTAAATTTTTTGGAATATTCCAAGCTTTTATTATTTTTTAAAATGGTTTGAGATTTCCATAATGAAAAAATCACTTTTTTAATCTTCTTAAAAATATTGGAGTCTTCCTCATTTTTTTCCTCTGGCTATTCTTCCTAGAGGAAAATAAAAACTTGAGACAGAAGCTATGACCCAGATTCCCACTCTAAGCTTCCAGAATTCAACTTCTTTCTGCTTTCTTTGTAAGCTGTCAAATTCACAGCTGAAGACTTCGGTGCATGTCTCATTAAAAGTAATTCCATTTCCACAGAAAGGAGAAAACTCTATACGGAGCTGTGTGTCAATGGGTCGGGTGGATCGGTGAGTTATTTATTTTGCCTGTTTTAGCTCACTAGCCACCAATGATCCTTGATTCTAACTGGATCTAATGACAATGCAGAAATTCTCCCATCACCAGCTGAAGGCAGAAAATCCTCTACAGCGCAGCCAAAACTCTTCATGCTTGACAGCTTTTGCTGAAAAAAAGTCGCTTCTTTGACAGCAGCTCCCTGGCCTGCCGCTACCTTCTCCAGTTTAGATCTGTGCTGTCTGGGTTCTGTTGTAGCCAGATTCCCTTTGGAAGGACTTGGTGTCTAAACAAAGTACTGAGAGGAGGAACTCAATTTGGATTCAGAAATGAGAAGGAAGAATTAAAATGTAGTATAATGGCTGCACTGTCATTGTTGCCAAATTTTGAGCCTCATTTAAGAGTGGGTAACTATGCTGTGTTCAGGCATTAGAGCCTTGGTGACTTTCCTCTATAATTTAGACTTGTGCTGTCCAGTTAATAGCCACTTGCCACATTGAGATGTTCAGTGTAAACCACAAAATACATTTCAAAGACTTAATACAAAAGAAAGAATGCAAAATATCCCATTAATATGTGGATTACATGTTAAAATGATAGAAGTTTAGATATATTGGGTTAAATAAAATGTATTATTAAATTTAATATCATTTATTTTTACTTTTTCTTAAAATTATAAATATAGCTAGCATTACATTTCTATTAGACAGTACCACTTTAGGCATGCAAAGAAATTTAGATCCTATACATTTCAGGGTAGAATTCAAACTTCTTAGGATATTTAATGGCATCCAAACTTTTCATGATCTGCTGCTTGACTCTTCTCTCCAGTCTCACTGCCTGCCTTTTCCTGAGGCACAGCACATGCTCCAGCCATAACAAAGGATATGTAGATCAAATACACTAGGCTTTTTTACATCTCTAAATTTCACACAATCTCTCTTATTCCTGGAATACCCTTCTATTTAGCTAATTCCTACCCATCCTTCAAGAGTTGGCTGAAAGTGACAGAATTCTCTAAATTAAGTTTTTATTGTTGTTGTTGTTGCTTTTTCTGAGACAAGGTTTCACCCCTGTCACCAAGGCTGGAGTGCAGTGGTACAATCACGGCTCACTGCAGCCTCAACTTTCCAGGCTCAAGTGATCCTCCCACCTCAGCCTCCCGGTTAGCTGGGACTACAGGCACACACTACCACACCCAGATAATTTTTGTATTTTTTTGTAGAGACTAAATTTCTCCATGTTGCCCAGGCTGGTCTTGAACTCCTGGGCTCAAGCAATCCCAGGAGGCTTTGGGAAGCCTCAGCCTCCCAGAGTGAGTGCTGGGATTACAGGCATGAGCTACCACACCTGGCCCACAGTTCTAAACAGATATCTTCCACTGTGCTGTCATTGCTCAACTCCCCTCCAATGTCATAGGATATTGTTTATGTTTTATTGTAATTACATATTTGTCTTACTCCATAAAAGACTGTGAGACAGTTAAACAAAGGGGTTAATTACCCTCTTTATCTCAAGGGCCTAGGCAACCTAAGTATTTGTTGAATAAATAAATTTTAGAAAATGAGCAGCAATTTTTCATAAGTAAATTACTGAGCATCCACTATGAATCATTGTGTATAGCAGCTTCTGTTACTGAAGCTACTCTGCATTCATTGTGATATAAAAGCACTAAACTGGGCTAAGATAAGATATATTATCAAGGACAGCACAGCTTAGTCACAAGTGCCCTCGACAGAGTGAGGAGACAGTGATTGAAAATCTATTTGTTTGATTTATCACTTACATGGTTTTTGGGAAATGGCTTACCTTTTTTATGTAAATTTGTCTCCTCAATTACAAAATTATATGTATTCTAAGAAACCTTAGAGAGTGGATTTTTAGACCTGCTTCCTACATTGTTTTGTTATATATATATTTTTTCTTTTTGTGACTAGTTTATTTCACTTAGCAAACTTTATTGTTTTTTGGGGAAATATAGTCATTTTCATAAAAACATTATTTATGTTAACATGCAGAGTAAATGAATAACAAACACTTAAAAATCCTCAGTTTTAAATTCAAATAGAATAAATGTCAATAGATATATCCACTGCATATTTCTATGGTGCCAATAGTTGCATTACTCTAATTATAAAATTTAATGTTTGTCTTTTTACTATATGGTGACTAGTGTGACAAGGACTGTGTAGTATTGATATTGTATCTACAGGGAAGATTTTATTTTTTCATTTTTTTTAAGTTCTGGGACACATGTGCAGGATGTGCAGGTTTGTTACATAGGTAAACCTGTGCCATGGGTATTTGCTGCACCTATCAACTCATCACCTAGGTATTAAGCCCAGCATGCATTAGCTATTTTTCCTGATGCTCTTCCTAATTATCATCAGAGCAAACAGACCATCTACAGAATAGGGAAAAATGTTTACAATCTATCCATCTGACAATGGTCTAATATCCAGAGTCTACATGAAACTTAAATAAATTTACAAGAAAAAAACAACCCTATTAAAAAGTGGGCAAAGGCCATGAACAAACACTTCTCAAAAGAAGATATTTATGCAGCCAACAAAGATATGAAAAAAAGCTCAACATCACTGATCATTAGAGAAATGCAAATCAAAACCACAATGAGACACCAATTCATGCCAGTCAGATGGTGATTTTTAAAAAGTAAAGAAATAACAGATGCTGGTGAGGTTGTGGAGAAATGGGAACACGTTTACACTCTTGGTGGGAATGTAAATTATTTCAACCATTGTAGAAGATAGTATGGCAATTCCTCAAAGGTCTAGAGTCGAAATGTCATTTGACCCAGCAATCCCATTACTGAGTATATACCCAAAGGAATATAAATCATTCTATTATAAATATACAAGCATGTGTATGTTCATTGCAGCACTATTCACAATAGTAAAGACATGGAATCAACCCAAATGTCCATCAATGATAGACCAGATTTAAAAAAAAATGATACATATACACCATGGAATATTATGCAGCTATAAAAATGAATGAGATCATGTCCTTTGCAGGGACATGGACTAAGCTGGAAGCCATTATCCTTAGCAAATGAATTGGGAAACAGAAAACCAAACACCACATGTTCTCACTTATAAGTGGGAGCTGAATGATGAGAACACATGAACACAGGGAGGGGAACAACACACTCATATATATTATGTTGACCACATAGACAGTAGAGCTGAAAATAGCCTAAAGAGCATAAAAAACTGTAAAATATGTTAAAAGGAATTATGTTTAATTAGAATTGTCTGATATTTAACTTTTATTTTTTTATAGCTTAATTATTGTTTATAGAATTTAATTTTTAATAATGGCTGTGTTTAACAAGAGACACTTAAAAATTTAACATTTCTCTTACAATTGCCTAGATGAGCTGGTTCCAGCACAACACTGGACTATGCCAATAAAATATCCTAAAATTCTTCTAGTCAATGATCTCTGTCATATTTTCAGTTACTCCATGACTTTGAAGGGACCACTGACTTAACTGGCTATAATAGAGACTCCCTTTTTATAAAGATCCAGTACAATAAAGGTGAACGTTTAATGATGTAGAATGGAAAATACTGTCATTTCTGTTTTGCTGTACTAGGAAAAGGTCTGTTCATAAAGTATAATTTAAATGTGACCCTGCAGAAGGAGTTGACTTTGGCATTCTAGATGGAGTAAACAGAGCATAGGCAGGTTAAAGTGGGTAGTATGTGGTCAAAATCCAGTCTGCCTACAGTTGAGGCTATATGATGGGAGGGCAAGTAGGCTAAGATTACAAGGGGGAGGCCCAAACTTGATACATAAAGAGGTGCAATAGAAGAGGTTTCTGAAGGCAGGTAACATGAATTAAACTGCAAGTAAGACTACACTGGCAATAATAGGTTAAGAGAGTACAGTGGCGCTCCAGAAGGATACAATAGAGTATTACAATGACAGAGTTTAAAATGAACAAAGGTGTATTCTTAGGTATTTTATTCCCTTTGTAGCAATTGTGAATGGGAGTTCACTCATGATTTGGCTCTCTGTTTGTCTATTATTGTTGTGTAGGAATGCTTGTGATTTTTGCACATTGATTTTGTATCTTGAGACTTTGCTGAAGTTGCTTATTAGCATAAGGAGATTTTGGGCTGAGATGATAGGGTTTACTAAAAATACAATCATGTCAACTGCAAAGAGACAATTTGACTTCCTTTCTTCTTATGTGAATGCCCTTTCTTTCTTTCTCTTGGCTGATTACCCTGGCCAGAACTTCCAATACTATGTTAAATATGGTGAGAGAGGGCATCCTTGTCTTGTGCAGGATTTCAAATGGAATGTTGCCAGTTTTTGACCATTAAGTATGATATTGGCTGTGGGTTTCTCATAAATAGCTCTCATTATTTTGAGATACTTTCCATCAATACCTAGTTTATTGAGAGTTTTTAGCGTAAAGGGGTGTTGAATTTCATCGAAGGCCTTTTCTGCATCTATTGAGATAGTCATGTGGTTTTTGTCATTGGTTTTATTTATGTGATGGATTACATTTATTGATTTGCATATGTTGAACCAGCCTTACAAGGGATGTGAGGGAACTCTTCAAGGAGAACTACAAACCACTGCTCAAACAAATAAGAGAGGACACAAATAGGAAAACATTCCATGCTCATGAATAAGAAGAATCAATACTGTGAAAATGGCCATACTGCCCAAAGTAATTTGTAGATTCAATGCTATCCCCATCAAGCTATAGTAACCAAAACAGCATGGTACTCATATCAAAACAAATATATATAGACCAATGGAACAGAACAGAGGCCTCAGAAATAACACCACAAATCTGCAACCACCTGATGTTTGACAAACCTGACAAAAACAAGCAATGGGGAAAGGATCCCCTATTTAATAAATGGTGTTGGGAAAACTGGCTAGCCTTATGCAGAAAACGAAAACTGGATCCTTTCCTTACACCTTTTACAAAAATTAATTCAAGATGGATTAAAGACTTAAAAGTAATACCTAAAACCATAAAAACTCTAGAAGAAAACCTAGGCAATACCATTCAGGACATAGGCATGGGCAAAGACTTCATGACTAAAACACCAAAAGCAATGGCAACAAAAGACAAAATTGACAAATGGGATCTAATCAAACTAAAGACCTTCTGCACAGCAAAAGAAATTAGCATCAGAGTGAAAAGGCAACCTACAGAATGGGAGAAAAGTTTTGCAATCTATCCATCTGACAAAGGACTAATATCGAGAATCTACAAGGAACTTAAACAAATTACAAGAAAAAAAAACAACCCCATGAAAAAGTGGGTGAAGGATATGAACAGACATTTCGCAAAAGAAGACATTTATGCAGCCAACAAACATATGAAAAAAACTCATCGTCACTGGTCGTTAGGGTAATGCAAATCAAAACCACAATGAGATGCCATCTCAGGCCAGTTAGAATGGTGATCATTAAAAAGTCAGGAAACAACAGAAGCTGGAGAGGATGTGGAGAAATAGGAACACTTTTACACTGTTGGTGGAAGTGTAAATTAGTTCAACCATTGTGGAAGACAGTGTGGCGATTCCTCAAGGATCTAGAACCAGAAATACCATTTAATCCAGCAATCCCATTACTGAGTATATACCCAAAAGATTATAAATCATCCTACTATAAAGACACATTCACACATATGTTGCAGCACTATTCACAATATCAAAGACTTGGAACCAATCCAAATGTCCATCAGTGATAGACTGGATAAAGAAAATGTGGCACTTATATACCATGGAATACTATGCAGCCATAAAAAAGGATGAGTTCATGTCCTTTGCAGGCACATGGATGAAGCTGGAAACCATCATTCTCAGCAAACTAACATAGGAACAGAAAACCAAACACTGCATGTTCTCGCTCATAAATGGGAGTTGAACAATGAGAACACATAGACACAGGGAGGGGATCACCACACACTGGGGCCTGTCAGGGGATTGGGGTCTAGGGATGGATAGCATTAGGAGAAATACCTAATGTAGATGACAGGTTGATGGTTGCAGCAGACTACCATGGCATGTGTATACCTATGTAACAAACCTGCACATTCTGCACATGTATCCCAGAATTTAGAGTATAATAAAAAATAAATACATAAAAATAAAAGCACATAAAATGAACAAAGGCCTGATTTTGGATGTTTACCATGAAATGAAGCATTGACAATATGCAAGGCCACTTTTTAACATAATTTGTTAGAGTTTGACATTCTCCTGGAATACAAAGTAAATAATGATCTTTGGAATTATGCTATACAATCTTGGCTTTTGTTGCCTTTGCTGTTGGTGCTTTAGTCATGAAGTCTTTGCCCATGCCTATGTCCTGAATGGTATTGCCTAGGTTTTCGTCTAGAGTTTTTATGGTTTTAGGTATTAGTTTAAGTCTTTAATCCATCATGAATTAATTTCTGTAAAAGGTGTAAGGAAGGGATCCAGTTTTAGTTTTCTGCATAAGGCTAGCCAGTTTTCCCAATGCCATTTATTAAATAGGGAATCCTCTCCCCATTGCTTGTTTTTGTCAGGTTTGTCAAAGATCAGGTGGTTGTAGGTTTGTGGTGTTATTTCTGAGGCCTCTATTCTGTTCCACTGGTCTATATATTTGTTTTGATATGAGTACCACGCTGTTTTGGTTACTGTAGCCTTGTCGTATAGCTTAAAGTCAGGTGGCGTGATGCCTCCAGCGTTGTTCTTTTTGCTTAGGATTGTCTTGGCCCTACAGGCTCTTTTTTGGTTCCATATGAAATTTAAAGTAGTTTTTTTTCTAATTCTATGAATAAAGTCAATGGTAGCTTGATGGGGATAGCATTAAATCTACAAATTACTGGCAAACTGTTACTTCATTTGGGGTTGAATATGAGAAAATTCAAGAAGCTTAGTTTAGAGGCTAATGTAGTAAGGAGTCCAGATGAGAAACAACAGTAACTTGAAAGAAAGTGATGAAAGCAAAGACTATACCATACATAGGCTGTTCAGTTTTAGGATGTTTTATTGCGTCTTTTTTCATAAGAAGTTTATATTAACTTCTTAGTGTCATGTCAGAGCACTGCTGGCTTTTGTTATAGGCCAAACTGTGTCTTATAGAAAATTCCTATGTTGTAATCCTAACCCCAAGTACCTCAGAATGTGACTGTGTTTGTATACAAGGTCTTTAAAAAGGAAACTAAGGCAAAAAAATCATATGGGTGGTCCCTAATCTAGCTGAATGGGGTCCTTATAGGAAGAGATTAAGAAATAGACATGCACATTATCGTGTGAAGATGCAAGGAGAAGATGGCATCTACAAGCCAAGGAGACAGATCCTCAGAAGGAACACAGCCTATTGAGACCTTGTTCTTGGACTTCCAGCCTCTAAACTATAAGGAAATACATTTCTGTTGTTTACGAACCACTGAGTCTATTGGTTTGTTGTTATAGTATCTCAAGCTAACTAATATAGTCCTCTGCAGCTGACCAAAACTTTCAGTCACAAAAAGTACCCAAATCCTTAGGCTACATGAAATTAATTTTATTGTCATAGAGATCATAATACTTGGAAAGGGCATTGGCCTTTGCCATATATAGACTGAGTTTGATTCCTGTATCCACAATTTCCTAGATACATGACCTTAGACAAGTTATTTAAATGTCTCTGAGCTTCAGTTTCTTTAATCATATCAGATATAGTAGGCCAATCACCAGACCAAAGTCTGGCACAGGATAGACACTCAACAAAATTTAGTTTCTGTCTTAGCTCTCATAATTTCTTCTTCTCAGTAGGCAATCATAAAGAGCTCTTATGAGAATGGCTCTGAAATTAGATGAAATTTGAACTTCACTTGAATTAATCAAAGCTGATTTCAAATCCCGGCTCTGACATCTACTAGTTTGGATGTTTGAGCAAGTTATTAATCTTTCTAAGTCTTTTTTTTCTCATCTATAACATTTTCATAAGGTGGTTATGAGGATTAAATGCGATTTTGCATGGAAAGTGCTTATATCAGAGCCTGACATATAAATAAGGCTAGAGTAGTATTTTTTAATATTAATTACACACATTTTTATGAGTTCTTATTTTGCTACTAACTTCTTAGTTGTTGGTGTTTGTCACAACTATGACACATTCCTGAATGAAAACCATCTATTCTCCATGTTTCACTAATACCTATGGCTCCTAACTTATATTCTCAGTTAGATACCTGGCAAATGTTAATTCAACTATTGCCAAGCATTCTTTCTAGAAATTTAAAACTAAAACTGCTCATTAGATATGCACTGAGTATTCAGTAGTTTTTCCAAAGTAACAGCGTCTTAGTACTTCTTAAAAACATGGTCCTTGTCTCTATTGCCTATGTGGGCACCTCACAAAGCAAATTGGAACAGATATAACCCCTGTAATCAGGGATCTTAATAGCTAAAGCACCTTGATTGGATTCCCCTAGTGTTTTAACAAAATCACTTATGGTCTAATTCTCCTGTCCTCATTTTGCTGCTGATGAAATCCCACGATAGTACCAAAGTATTGGCTTTTTTCAACTCTGCTGCACTAATGTCTGCTGTTTTCCTTCCACACTAATCCTTTAATCATACCTTTGAGATACCAGAATGTAAAAACCACTTGGGATTACCTAACACACAGGAATAGCAAGTTTTGCTCTGAAGCAGATGGAAGCAGCCAATGTGGCTCCTTTTTTTCCTTTAATCTCAAGATATCTGTAATTCTGCCCAAGCCTCCAGGGGACACTTCTGGCTAAGAAAAATCCTGGAAATGGAAGTCCTATCTATTCCTATTTCACTGAAAGGGTGAATCACTTTTAGAAACATTTCAAGGACTCAGGATTACACTGGGTCATGAGTTTATGAAATTGTGTAGGTAGCTATGGAAAAAAGGAAATAATCATGGATATGCTTTAATTTTAATTAAAAACTCATTATTATTGATACAAAAAATGGTACCTGTCCAGTTTCCAAGAACTCCAGCAATGCAATGACTGTTCATAATCCCTTTTCCTGGAAATAGATCCCTGTTTCTCTGTTTATTTGATGTGTGTACATGATCCACTTTACTTAATAAATTGTAAGGCATAAATTTTTAAAAGTGTTATAATAATTTATATTAATAAAGTATAATTTTATTTTAGATTTATAACTCTTCAACCCCCAACCTCAGTTATTGGCTTAAAGGACTGAGATGTTACCTAAACTGCTCATCGGGCCTTTTGCTTATGTTTTTCAAACTCAAGCTAATAGAGAATCACTTTATTCCTTGAAAAATATTTTTATTCTCTTCAAAAATGTGAGCCAACAGCAGTCATTAGTCATGGTTCCAACCTCATGAAGAAATGAAAAGAGAGAACAATGCCTCTATAAAAAAGAGGGGAAATTAATAGGTGTAAGGAGGTAAATCTGTCAGTATAAAATCCCTGGTTATATTTTTTTAGTGGCCCCTACTATATCCCTGTTTTTTCACAATTACATAAACAAGTAGATTCTTTTTGCTTGATTTTAATTTCCATAACTTACAGTGATAGCATCCTGTCTTTCTAATAGAAGTAAGAAAAAATATAAGGGAAGAAATAATTCTAGGGAGAGGTTAGAACTTTAGTTAGGCCACAAAGAACGGGTAGAAAAGAAGAAATACTTCACTATATGAGAGGATATTCTAGATATGGGACAGAGCTTTATAGGGAGTGGAGTGACAGATATGGACATAAAGTATGTTTTTGGTTGTCATTAGATTTTTCTGAATCATAGGGCCCATATGGGTGAACAATGGGAGAAAGCACTAAAATAAAGAGAAGTCCCCAAGACAGACAGAGTTGCAACCTAGTAATACACTAGGCAATGCAGATAGTTTATGTCTCAAGCATGAAAGTTATAGAATGAAAATAATATTTAAAAATATTTTTCTGGCAAAGGTTCATAAGGGTGACTGGAGGCAAAAATGGTGTGTGAGAGAGATCCATTGAGAAGCTACTGAAAAAAATCCAATTGTGACATGACAAGAACTTTAATAGGTCACAGACAACAGAAAGCAAAGAAAGAGTTAATCATAAAGCCACTTCTACAAAGAAATCATGGTGTTTGGTACCATATTTTGTCTAGGGCTAAGTAATGCATAAAAAGAAAGAATTAAGAATGATTTCATAGTTTGTAGTCTGATAGACCAACTAACAGATAGGATAGCCAGGCAGTAGAAGCTGATGTTTGAAAGGGAATCTTGTGTTCCATTGTGGACACATGGATTACCACAAGGAATCTACAAAACGACATTTTGGACTCAAAAATTAACCTAATAATGGAGCTCTCATGAGAGGTCTGGGCAGTGGGGGATATGGGTGTACGTGTAAAAATGAGAGGTAAAGCCAAGAAACTGAGTGAAGAGAAAGAACAGAGAGCTTACGCCAGAGCTTTTGCTCAGAATTAAATAAACGATTAAAGGGAAGAAAGGTTGTTTGAAAATAATAATAATAATAGATTGAATACTCCCACTCAATACAAAGAAATGCTAAATGTTTGGATGGTGGATATGCTAAATTAGTGTGATGTGACCACTGTACATTATATGTATGAAAACACCACTATGTACTCCATGAATACGTACAATTATTATTGTCAGTTAAAAATAAAATTTAAAAATGTTGAAAAAATGTATCAATGACATCTAACATTATTGAGAGTTAGAGTTGGGTAAGCTTTTATGCACATAATCTCAATGAATGTTCAAAACAACCCAGTGAGACTGGAATGAAATATTATCCTCATTTCCCAGATGAAGAAACTACAGCAGAGAGATTAAACAACTTACTCAAGGTCAAATAACTATTAAAGGGACACAGAATAAGAACTTAAAATCAGTTCTAATATCAAAGCTTAGGTATTTATACACAAGCCTGTTCAACCTACTGCAGGAAAGAAAAGAGGTCACTGGAAATAGAGGAGACCTACATGCATCTAAGAAAGATGATGATTCCAGAATGGAAAGGTGCCCTATAGTGTTAAATGCCATAATGCAAATAAAGATAACTAGGACTGAAAGAAGGCAGCAAGACATGGTGGTTAGTAACCTGTAGCAGCACTGTCTTAGTGAAGCAGTAGAGCATAAATCAGACTTGAGTGCAAAGTTTGGATGAAGAATAGGAGGTAAAAAGAGTATTTATGGAATGCAAATTCTAGTATATGGAAATGAAAGAAAGGAGAGAATCCATCTAAGCCAGGTAAATCCACATTAGCAAGGAAGACCCTAGCATATTAAGGAAGTTTTTATTCATGTAATATTTTCATTCTTCAGAGTTATTTAAAATACTGTGTGTACTGAAAAGGAATTTATAGGTGTTGAACAAATTGCTGTAATTTCAAACTACATAACTTATTAAAGTTATTTACTAGACTCTTAAATATCTTGTAATCCCATAACAAAAAGGAGATAATAGGTTAGAAATAATTATACCCTATAAACAGATGAAAAAAAAAGTTCAATAGAATTCATTAACATACTGAAGGTCACAAAATTAATAAATGTTAGGAAAAAAAACAGGCTGCTGAATTTTATCAAGTACTGTTTCCATTATATCACACAGAAACCTGTAAATCTAATTATCATTCAACTAACAGAAAAACCTACATTTTTAGTGAGAAACAAAATGAGATGGACAGAGAGGAACAAATTAACATTATTAAGCATTGTTAAGGTATTCCTGGAAATTTTTGTGAGACTAATGAAAGCTACATGTTTCAGAAGATATCATATTATCATAAATGCACAGAGTAATGAAATATAAAATTAATCACCAAGGAAGAAGCATATTAAGATGCAGGAAACAAGGCACTAACACAGTGTAATAAGATAAATTCAATCATCTAAAAATTATAATACAAAGAAGTGATGCAAATTAGTAATCATTTAAATTTTACATTTTATTAAAGTGAGCCTTCTAAAAGATAAATTCATTATAACTTAAGGTGAGGCTGCAATTATTTCTCCTTCAAGACCTTTATATTTTTATATATTAGCTATTATTATTAAGAGATAGGCAATATTTAAAAATATATAAATTGTGAGGGAGGCAGAAGAAGATGGCAAATAGAAAGCTACAAAGATCTTCCCTCTCCCACTGCAAGGAAGGGATGAAAAATATATTTCACACAAATAGAAACTAGAATAAGAGATTTTAATAAACAGACCTGAATCACTGACACCACCCCTTCCTCACCCTGGCAGTGACAGAGAGCATCTCTGGGAATTTAGAGAGGGAAAACACAGCAATTGTGAGGTATTGAATAAAAAACAAGGAATCAAAGCATATTACTAGAAAAAATCACTTAATCACAAAGAACAAATGTAAAAGAAGAAATGAAAAAAGGATCAACAAATCAACTGGAAAACAAGTAACAAAATGACAGTAGTAACCCCTTACCTATCATTTACCTTATATGTAAATGAAATTCTTCAATCAAAATAAAACAGAAAGGCTGAATGAATTAAAAAAAAAAAGACCCAACTATATGCTCATACAAGAAACTCATTTCATCTATAAAGATACACGAAGACTGAAAGTGAAGTAAGGAATGAAAAAGATATTCCACACAAATGGAAACTAAAATAAAGCAGGAGTAGCTATACTTACATTAGGCAAAATAGAGCTTAAGCCAAAAACTGTAGAAAGATAAAGACACTCACAATGATAAAAGAGTCAATAGAGCAACAGGATATAACAAATATAAATATACATGCACTCAACATAGGAGTGCCTAAATATATAAAGAAAACATTAATAGACTTAAAGAAAGAGATTGCACTGCAGTACAATAATAGCGGTGGGTTTCAACACCCCACTTTTAGCAATAGACAGATCATCCAGATATAGTGAAATATAGTTTATTTACATAGTTAAGCCACACTGTAGACCAAATAAACCTAATAAATGTTTACAGAAATATTCACGTAACAGCCTCAGAATATGTATTTTTCTCAGCAGCACATGGAACATTCTCCAGGATAGACCATATGTGAAGTAAAAAAAATACTCTTATCACATTTAAAAATGTTAAAATTATATCAGATAACTTTTCTAACCAAAATATAATAAAACTAGGAATCAATAACATGAAGAACCTTGGGAAATGTACAAATAAATGAAAATTAAACAACATGCTCCTGGGCAACTAATGAGTAATGAAGAAATTGTGAAGAAACATTTTTGAAGAATATTGATACAAATGAAAATGGAAACCCAACATACCAAATCCTATGGGATGTTGAAAAAGAAGTTACAATAGGAAAGTTTATAGCAAAAACACTTATATCAGAAATGTAGAAAGATTCCAAAGAAATAAGCAAAAGTTGCATTTCTAAAACCTAGAAAAATGAGAACAAAATAAACCCCAAACTAGTAACAGAGTGAAGAAATAATAAAGATCAGAGCATAAACAGAACATAGACTAAAAATAAACATACCACAGAAATACAAAGGATCATTACAGACTCTTATAAACAACTATACCCCTAACAAATTAGAAAACCTAGAATAAATGGATAAATTTATGGATATGTACAACCTACCAAGATTGAATAATGAAGACACAGAAAAACTGAACACCTGAACAGACCAGTAATGAGCAATGATATTGATTCAGAAAGGAAAGTTCAACACTGGATATATTCACTGCCAAATAATTCTATCAAGCTTTTAAAGAAAGAAATAATACCAATCTTTCTGAGATGATTTAAAAAAAAAGGAAGTACAAGGAATCCTTGTAAATTCATGCTTGCATGGTATTTGCATAAAAAACAGACATATAGATCAATGGAACAGAATAGAGAACCCAGAAATAAATCCATGCATTTCCAGCCAATTGCTTTTTGACAAAGTATCAGAACACACATTAGGGAAGGGACAGTCTCCTTAATAAAGGGTGATGATAAAACTGGATACTCATATGTTGAAGAATGACACTATAACCGTATCTCTTATCACTTACAAAAATCAACTCAAATTGGATTAAAGACTTAAATGTAAGACCTGAAACTATGAGATACTAGAAGAAAACACAGGAAAAAAATGCTTTATGACGTGGATCTGAACAAAGGTTTTTGCAATAAAACCTGAAAAGCAGAGGCAACAAAATAAAAAGTAAACAAATAAGAGAATTATATCAAACTAAAAAGCTTCTGCACAGCAAAGGAAAAAATCAAGAGTGAAGAGACAACCTGCAGAATGGGAGAATATATTTGCAAACTATGCACCTGAAAAGGGGTTAATATTAAGAATATATAGGTATACAAGGGAAATATTGCTGTTTTGATTTCAGACCATTACAATAAAGCAAATATCACAGTAAAGTGAGTCACAAAATTTTTTGCTTTTCCAGTGCATATAAAAGTTATAATACCACACTGTAGTTTATGAAGTGTGCTATAACATTAGGTTTAAAAAATGGACATACTTTAATTTTAAAATATGCTGAAACATGCTAATGAATATCTGTGCCTTCAGCAAGGCATAATGTTTTTGCTGATAGAGGATCTTGTCTTGATACTGATGGCTACTGATTGATCAGGGCGGTGGCTGCTGAATGTTTGGGTGGCTGTGGCAATTTCTTAAAATAACAATGAAGTCTGCCACATGAATTGACTGTTTTTTTTTTTTCATGAAAGATTTCTTGGTAGCATATAATGCTGTTGGATAACATTGTGCCCACAGTAGAACTGCTTTTAAAATTGGAGTCAATACACTAAAACCCTGCTGCTGCTTTATTAACTAGATTTAGGTAATTTTCTAAATCATTCTCATTTCATCAAGGCTCACAGCATCTTTGCTGTAGCAGATTCCATCTCAAAAAAGCACATTCTTTGCTTATCTATTAGAAGCAACTTCTCATCCACTCAAGTTTTACCATAAGATTGTATAAATTCACATTGTGAGGCTCACCTTCTAACTCTGGTTCTCTTACTCTTCTACCACATCTGTAGTTAATTCTTCTACTTGAAGTCTTGAACCCCTCAAAATCATCCATGAGGGTTGGAATCAACTTTTTCCAAATTCCTGTTAATATTGATATTCTGACCCACTCCCATGAATCACTAATGTTATTAATGGTAATTAAAATGTTGAATCCTTTCCCAGAGATTTTCAATTTACTTTGCATAGATTAATCTGAAGAATCACAATCTGTGGCAGCTATAGCATTATGAAATATATTTCTGAAGTAATAAGAATTGAAATCCAAAATTTCTCCCTGATCCATGAGCTTCAGGATAGATGTTGTCTTAGCAGGCATGAAAACAACATTAATCTCCTTATAATTTTTCATCAGAGCTCTTGGGTGCATTGTCATAAAGCAGTAATATTTTGAAAGGAAGCTTTTCTTCTTAAGAGTAGTTCTTAACTGTGGGCTTAAAATATTCAGCAGAGCATTCTATAAACAGATATGCTGTCATCCAGGCTTTGCTGTTCCATTTTTAGAGCACAGGCAGAGTAGATTTAGCATAGCTCTTAAGGGCCTTGGGGTTTTTGGAACAATAAAAGAACACTGGCTTCAACTTAAGGTCACCAGCCGCATTATCTCTAACAAGAGAGTCAGCCGTCCTTTGAAGCCTTGAAGCAGGCACTCACCTCTCCTCTCTAGGATGGAAGTCTTAGATAGCATCTTCTTCCAATACAAGTCTGCTTTGTCTACATTGAAACTGTATTGTTTCGTGTAACCACCTTTATCAATTATCTTATATCTGGATGACTTGCTGCAACCTCTACAATAGTATTTGCTACTTTACCTTGCACTTTTAGGTTATAGAGATGGCTACTTTCCTTACACTCCATTAACCAAACTCTGCTAGCTGCAATCTTTCCTTCTGAAGCTTCCTCACCATTCTCAGCCTTGAGCCAGTTGAAAAGATTCAAGGCCTTGCTATTAATTAGACTTTGGCTTAAGTGAATGTGGTGGCTGGTTTGATCCAGGCCACTAAAACTTTCTCTGTATCTGCAATAAGGCTATATCAGATTCTTATAATTTGTGTGTTCACTGGAGTAGCATTTTTAAATTTTTCTTCAAAAATTTTTTATTTGCATTCACAACTTGACTAAGTGGCACAAAAGGCCTAGACTGGTTAGTGTATCGGGGCTTTTGACACACCTTCCTCATTAAGCTTAATCATTTCTAGCTTTCATTTAAAGTGAGAGGCATGTGACTCTTTCTTCCAGTTGAAAATTTAGAGGCCATTGTAGATGATTAATTGGCCTAACTTCAATATTGTTCTGTCTCTGACAACAGGGAAGCCCCAAGGAGCAGGACACAAAAGGGAGAGTGGCCCATTGGTGGAGCAGTCAGAACACAAACGTTTATTGATTAAGTTCACCAACATAGATAGGCATGATTTGGGATTCCCTAAACACAGATAAAAAATGTGGTATATAAACACAATGGAGTACTACTCAGCCATAAAAAAAGAATGAAATGGTGTTATTTGTGACAGCATGGATGAAACTGGAAGACATTATGTTAAGTTAAAGAAGTCACGCACCTAAGGCCTAATAATGCATGATACCAATCATAATTGGAATCTTAACAAGTTGAGCTCATTGAAGTAGAGAGTAGGATAGTGGTTACCAGATGCTGGAAAGAGTAGCAGGGAAGAGGGGAGGGGAGAAGTCAGTCAAATGGAACAAAATTACAGTTAGATAGGAGGAATGAGTTCTGGTGTTTTATTGCACAGTAGTGTGACTATAGCCAAGAATAAGGTATTATATACTTCAAAGTAGCAAGAAGAGATGATTTTGACAAGTATTTGAGGTGAATAATATGCTAATTACCCTGGTAAATTAGCACATGAAAATATTTCCATCATTAGACATTAGAAGAATGCAAATTAGAAACAATTAGATAATTTCACACAAGTATTAGAAAGACTACAGTGAAAAAAAGAAACTAAATGCTGGCAAAGATGTGAAGCAAGGGCGACTCATACATTATTGGTGAGAATATGAAATGGTATAGATATTTGGGGAAGAGAAATATTTATCTTTTTCATTAAGCAGTTTATTATTATTATTATTAAGGCAGTTTATCATTAAGAAATATAACATATCAACCTGGCCCAGTGGCTCATGACTGTAATCCCAGCACTTTGGGAGGCCAAAGCAGATGTATGGATGTATGGCTTGGGCACAGGAATTTGAGACCAGCCTGGGCAACATGGCAAAACCCTGTTTCTACAAAAAAAATATGAAAATTAGCTGGGCATGGTGGCACATGCCTGTAGTCTCAGCTACTTGGAACTTGGGAGGCTGAGGTAGGAGGATCACTTGAGCCCTGGAAGCAGAGATTGCAATGAGCCAATATGCTGCTGCTGCACTTTAGCCTAGGCAACAGAGAGACTCTGTGGAAGAAAAAAAAAAAAGCAGAAAGAAAGAAAGAAAGAAGTAAAGAGGGAGGGACAGCATTGGGAGAGATATCTAATGCTAGATGACGAGTTAGTGGGTGCAGCGCACCAGCATGGCACATGTATACATATGTAACTAACCTGCACATTGTGCTCATGTACCCTAAAACTTAAAGTATAATAATAAAAAAAGAAGGAAAGAAAGAGAAGGAAAGTAAAATATACCATATGACTCAGCAATCTTATTGTAATCATCCAAGAGAAATAGCAATTTATGTTCACAGAAAATCTACACAAGGTTTATTTATTTACTCCAGGTATATAAAATTGCCAAATTTGGAAAAAGCAAAAAAGCACAGATGTTCTTCGATAGGTGAATTATTAAGCAGAACACCATGCACCAGTTGCCAATCCCTGGAGAAGACTCCAAATATTTCTGCCCATTGCATTTTGGTATTGCAGTTATCATGGGAATCACAACACAGTCAAGCACTGGATGGAACAACTCTTTATTCACATAGAGAGGAAACAGAGAAAAATTCATTCTGAGAGTATTTTTCAATACCCCATGGCCAGGGGGTCTCTCCCAGCAATGAATGCAGGGTAATTGTCCATGCACACTCCTTGAGTACCACAGAAGGTCCCTATTCCCTCCCCACAGTGGAGCTGGCCAAGTGCCAAGGGATACACTTGCTTAAACAGAACAAAGGGACATATACTAGGCTGGCAACGGAGAAAGATATTCTCACACAAGGCAATAGGCCCTGCACAGGTGGTGTGCACTCTTTTTATCTTGGTAAGAAAGTATTCCAGGCCCAAAATCCATTAGGTGGCTAAGTAGGAGAAAGACTGTACTCATGAGACTGTCTTTTCCAACATGAATGAATTAACGAAGTGTAGTTCATCCATACAATGGAATACTCATCATCAATAAAGAGAAACAAACTAGTAGTTCATGCAATGGCTTGGAAAAATTCCAAATGTATTATGCTAAGAGAAAGAAATTAGACTCAAAAGGTTTCATACTGTATCATTCCATTTAGGGCTTTCTGGAAAAGACAAAACTATAGGAATAAAAATCAGATCAGCAATTGCAGAAGATAAAAGAGACTGGCACAAATTACGTTTAGGCAATTTGGCGGAGGGGTTGATGAAAATTTTCTGTACCTAGTTCTGGTGATAAAAATGTGTATATTTGTCAAAAGCAATAAAGAGAGAATTTTTTCAAAAAGTGGATTTTGTTGTATATAAATTTAGATGTCAGTTATAGGATAAGAAATACTATGGAAATTGTAAATAAAATATAAAATGTGAGGAAAAATTTTGTATAAATATTTAACTGAGAAGGACTCTAAATATAAATGTAATAAAAGGGGTTATGAGTGCAAATTGAATAGATTAAATAGATTAAAATGTAACATTTTCCTCTCTTAAAAATAACAAACTGGGAGGAAGTATCTGGTAATCACAGATCTGACTTGTATCCAGAATATAGAAAGTAATCTTAGTACTCAACAACAAGAAAATAAACAATTCAATTTTTTACATTGGGAAAATTTTAAATAGAGATACCATAAAAGAGCTTAAGTCTTTAAGTTAGATATTAATATTATATTAATAATTAATAAAAAATGGCAATGCTAGTAGAAAAATGAATAATGGACAATAGCAAATTTCAAAAGAGAAATTTAGAGTAATAAATAAATGTAAGAAAAATACACACATTAAAAAAGCTGGTGAGAAATCTACCTGTAACCAGTCTCCTTCCCTTTCTTTATTTTATAATGTCAGCCATATGTTTCCAAGATTTTCATCACCTTTCTGTATTTATATGAGCATATTTTTCCTTGATTAATATGAAATAATTCCTGAGTAAATATTTTTTACCTGTTTATTTTATCTAACTTTCATCTACCTTGGTAGATGAAATGATCAGTATGGCAAGCATTATCAGATAATCTGCTTTTAGTACTATGAGGCTCTCAGCAGATTGCCTATAGAGCTGAAATCACAGCTCTTTCTTTGCAGCAAATTTTCAGTCTTTATTAAATATTACTTAATATTTCCATTAGGATGGAAGGTGGGGTGGGAGGAAACAAAACTAAACACTAGCCTTATTATAGAGAAATAGATGCATGTATTTAATGAATAAAATGAATAAGCCTTTAATGAAGTGGTTTGGGTACACAGGGAATTTCTGGAGAAATGCTTGAGATTTCAATATGAAAGACTGGAGAGGAGATGGTATGAGAATTTTGACATGAGCCAGCCAAGTCTTAGACAAGAATAGAAGCATCTTTTGCTAGGCATGAAATAGACAGCATGCAATTTTTGGCTGTTTGATTGCCAACAAAGAACGCTATGAGGCAGGGAAGAGAGAGAAAAGGAGCATGAAATAAAGGAAAAAGAAGGTCTTAACAGAAACAAAAATGTGAAGAGCAAGCAATGCGTAAATATTAGGTAGAGCACATGAATAAATAAAATGGAATTGCAAATATGCATTGAAGAGATTATGGCAATAGGAAAAAAGTGAGTAAAAACTGTACATTTTGTATATTTCTCTAACTCATATTATTCATTCATTCTACCAATATGTATTAGTCAGCTCTTTTGTGAATAGGACCCCAAATTGGCATAGTTCTATATAAGAATAACATACACTGAATTAACCTTATAAAAAGCCTTCCTTATATTTACATTTAAACAACAACCCTGGAATACAATTCTTTCCTCATTTTAAATTTGAAATTTCTGAATTACTTTAAAGTTATTTCTGAGCAAGAACTTGGTAGGAGGTCTCCTGACCCTGGTCCATTGTGTTTCCCACAAAACCATTTGACTTATATCATGACAAGACATGTGGCTTCAAAAATTTGTTATCCTATCGGGAAATCTTAAGCAAATAGAATGTTTTAAAGGAAGCAAGATTTACTGACAAAGGAGAGGTACGAACAATTAAGTGTGTTGGGAAGTGTCTAGACTTTAAAGTCTTATTGGATTGGGTTCAATTCTATTTCTGCACATACTATTTGTGTAACTTTACACAAATTACTTTAACACTCAGTGTACTGTCTGGGGAAAAAATTGCAATACCTATCTTATAGAATTGTTGTGAAATTAAATAGTTAATATAGGTCAAGAAGGACACAACACTGACCCTAAATAAATGACAGGAATTATGGTAAAAGGTAATAACATTGTATATTACAGAAGTCCAGGAAAGCCTAAATGAAGGTGGTGTTTTCTTTGATCCCTTAGTAGGATTTATATAGTCAGGGGAAGGACATTAAGTGACATGTATTTTTCAGTGTAAGCTTCAAATTTAAAAAAAAAATATTATTAAAAATAAGACTGTGTTAACTCCATCTCATTTTCTTTTAAAGGAATCCTCTTAAAAACTTTAATTTTTAATGGATTTGAGACTTTAAAAGTTTGAGACTGTCATAATGATTTTAAACAATTTCTTTAAAAATGTTACCATGCTCAACCATAATAGGCCTAAAAAAAAAAAAACTGTCACCTTGATTTCTTCAACTATGATGATCAACAAGAGATGAACTTGATGGATTTAATAACTGTAGAAAGTTACTTGGCAGAGGGCAAAAGATAAACATCTTCTGCGATAAAATAATGATATTAAACTATAAGATATCAAAAGAATCTGAAAACTTAAAAAGCAAGTTAGTTTGGTTTCAGTTATATGGAATAGCAAGCAAGCACGTATTTATTTTCTCTTCACTAGAAGAAAAGCAGTAACTCTTCAAAAAGATGAAACCGAGTTCAAGTATAAATGGAGACTGTAGTAACAAAGGATGAAAACCATGTGAACTCAGTTCTCTTAGACTTTTCTAGTTCTCATTTAAATAGTGGCCATTTGTTTTGCTCTTGCTAACTTCAGCTTCAATACTCCAATTTCCTATGGGAGACTTTCAGGTTTTGTGAAACACAAAACAGAAAAAAAAATCCTTATTGTTCTGTGAAAATTACAAACTAATTATTTAAAAATTTTGAATACAAATCATATCCTACTTAAGAAAGAATCCAATGGCATAATAAGTACTTATATAAAACTGAGGCTTTGGAGTTCTTAGAAATTTTTCATTTTCTATACAAAATACAAATCAGAATTGATGGAATGCTGGGCACGTTGGCTCACACCTGTAATTCCAGCACCTTGGGATGCCAAGGTGGGCAGATCACTTGAGCTCAGGACTTTGAGACCAGCCTGGTCAACACAGGGAAACCCCATCTCTACTAAATATACACAATTAGCTGGGTGGGGTAGCATCTGTAATCCCAGCTATGCAGGAGGCTGAGGAAAGAGAATCGCTTGAACCCAGGAGGTGGAGGTTGCCATGAGCTAAGATTCTGCCACTGCACTCCAGCCTGAACAACAGAGTGACACTCTGAATCAAAATAAGTAAGTAAATAAATAAATAAATAAATAATAAAAAGAAAAATATCATGCCTGTAATCCCAGCACTTTGGGAGGCCAAGGCGGGTAGATCACGAGGTCAGGAGATCGAGACCATCCTGGCTAACACGGTGAAACCCCATCTCTACTAAAAATACAAAAAAAAAAAAAAAATTAGCTGGGCGTGGTGGCATGTACCTGTAGTCCCAGCTACTCGGGAGGCTGGGGCAGGAGAATGGCATGAACCCAGGAGGTGGAGCTCGCAGTGAGCCGAGATAGTGCCACTGCAGTCCGGTCTGGGCAAAAGAGCGAGACTCTGTCTCAAAAAAAAAAAAAAGAATTGATAGAATGAAATTCACCTCTCATTCAGCCCCTTGTAAAATTGTGTGGAGACTACAATTTATTTATTATATTAATAAATATGTCAGGCTATCAATAGCTAATAATTTCAATAATTTCATTGAATTCAAGATCAAACAGCTGATGTTATGTTTATTATTATTATTAATTATTTGTATTTCCATATGACAAGGTTTGGCTGTGTTCCCACCCAAATCTCAAATTGTAGCCCAAATAATTCCCACGTGTCATGGGAAGGACCCAGTGGGAGGTAACTGAATCATGAGGGTGGGTCTTTCCCATGCTTCTCATGACCGTGAATAAGTCTCACAAGATCTGATGGTTTTGTAAAGGGGAGTTTCCCTGCCTATGCTCTCTCTCCTGCCTGCCAACACGTAAGACATGACTTTGCTCCTCTTATGCCTTCTGCTATGATTTTTGAGGCCTCCCCAGCCACATGCAACTGTGAATCCATTAAACCTCTTTCCTTTATAGATTAACCAGTCTTGGGTATGTCTTTAATAGCAGTGTGAGAACAGACTAATACAGTAAACTGGTACTGGTTGAGTGAGGTACTTCTGTAAAGATACCCCAAAATGTGGAAGCAACTTTGGAAGTGACTAACTGGGAGACAATGGAACAGTTTGGATGGCTCAGAAGAGGACAGAAAGATGTGGGAAAGTTTGGAACTTCCTAAAGACTTGTTGAATGGCTTTGACCAAAATGCTGATCATGATATGGACAATGAAGTCCCATTCAGGTGATCTCAGATGTAGATGAGGAACTTGTTGGGAACTAGGTCACTCTTTCTATGCAAAAAGACTGTGGGCATTTTGTCCCTGCTTTAGAGATCTGTGGAACTTTCAACTTGAGAGAGATAATTTGGGGTATCTGGTGGAAGAAATTTCTAAGCAGCAAAGAATTCAAGAGGTGACAGGGCATAAAAGTTTGGAAAATTTTCAGCCTGATGATGCAGTAGGAAAGAAAAACCAATTTTCTGGGGAGAAATTCAAACCAGCTGAAGAAATTTGCATAAGTAACAAGAAGTCAAATACTAATCACCAAGACAGTGGGGAAAATGTCTCCAGGGCATATCAGAGACCATCATGGCAGTCCCTCCCATCACAGGCCTGGAGGCTTAGGAGGAAAAAAATGGTTTAATGGGCAGACCCCAGGGCCCACTTGCTGTAGGCGGCCTCAGGACATGGTGCCTTGCATCCCAGCTGTTTCATCTGCAGCCCCAAGCCTTGGCAACTTACACATGGTGTTGGGACTGTGGGTGCACAGAAGTCAAGAATTGAGGTTTGGAAACTTCCATATACATTTTAAAGGATGTATGGAAATGCCTGAGTGTCCAGGCAGAAGTTTGCTATGGGGTCAGGGCCCTCATGGAGAACCTCTGCTACAGCACTATGGAAGGGAAATGTGGGACTGGAGGCCCCACACAGAGTCCCCACTAGGGCACTGCCTAGTGGAATTGTGAGAAGAAGGCCACTGTCCTCCAGAAACCCAGAATGGTAGATACACCTATAGCTTGCACTGTATGCCTGGAAAAGCCACAGATACTCAATGCCAGCTCATGACAAGAGCTGGAGCCCTACACTGCAAAGTCACAGGGGCAGAGTTGCCCCAAGACATAGGAACCCACCTCTTGCATCAGCATGACTTGGATGTGAGACATGGAGTCAAGGGAGATCATTTTCGAACTTTAATGACTGTTCTATTGGATTTTGGACTTGCATGGAGCCTGAAGCCCCTTTGTTTTGGCCAATTTCTTCCATTTTGAATGTGTATATATACCCAATGCCTGTACCCCACTGTGTCTAGGAAGTAAGTAACTTGCTTTTGATTTTACAGGCTCATAGGAGGAAGGAACATGCCTTGTCTCAGATGAGACTTTGGACTGTGGGCTTTTTAGTTAATGCTGAAATGAGTTAAACCTTTTGGGGACTGTTGGGAAAGTATGATTGTGTTTTGAAATGTGAAAGGGACATGAGACTTGGGAGGGGTAAGAGGTAGAATGACACAGTTTGGCTGTGTCTCTACCCAAATCTTGAATGATAGCTCCCATAATTCCCATGTGTCATGAGAGGGACCCAGTGGGAGGTAACTGAATGATGAGGGTGGGTCTTCCCTATGCTATTCTTGCGGTAGTGAATAAATCTTATGAGAGCTGATGGTTTTATAAAGGGGAGTTCCCCTGCACATGCTCTCTCTCTTGCCTGCTGCCACATAAGACATGACTTTGCTCCTCCTCTGCTTTCCGCCATGATTCTGAGGCCTCCCCAGCCATGTGGATTTGTGAGTTCATTAAACCTTTTTCCTTATAAATTACCCAGTCTTGGATATGTCTTTATTACCAGCATGAGATCAGACTAATATACCATATTTGTCCTTAAAATTGAATAATATTTCCACATTTCAAAATTTCCACATTACTGCCTTAACTGAATTACTCATTCCTAAGATCTGAAAAGAAGCCATTTTTTAAAATAATATTTTATTTATATATGTTTATAAATGTTTCTGAATTTATATATATTATAAAATGAGGTACATCCCATTCTTGTTTTATCCTATTTTTTAGGCTCTAGTTTAAATCAGTTTAAATATATAATTGTTATGTTTTAGATCTTCCATCTACTGAACCACAACTCAATGTGCAGAAAGGAAAAAAATACAAACCAAGATTAAATCCTCTGAAGCATATGTTTTATAAAGACACAAGTGGCAACTCAATAAAAGTATTATGATTATTCCACTTAAATTTCATTATAATTAGAAATCCTTCTATAGAAAAATCCATTGAGAACTTTGATTTTTAAATTACAGTCATCATTAGTAAAATTTCTGAATTCTATAGTAGGTACCATGTTTTTTTTTTTTTTTTTTTTTTTTTTTTTTTTTTTTGGTAAACCAGCTGTGTTTGAAGCTGGGAGTTAGGGGACTTTAGAAAGGTATTTAAATAGTACAGTATCCCTCCTTAAAAAGTTTTTCAGCTCCAGTAAGAGAAACAAATTAATATATAAATAAGGTTTCCACAGATAACCTGCCTTTAAAACAAACCAAACCAAAGAGGCAATATGCAGTTCTCATAAAAAAAAATCTCCAGTCTCTTTGATATAGAAGTTAAAAAGAAATCACTTAGGGAGATAGCAAGGGTTTGGGAATCCTCAGTCACACTTTTTACCTCATGAAAAGCAGCCCCAAATCATTTACTAACAAAGAGCAGCCTGGAAAGTTGAGCTGCAGAGGTAGACAAGTGAGCTGAGAGCTTGCACAGGTGAATGTTGGCAGGAACTGAGGACTAGACATTTTCAAGATGGCAGCTCCATTCTTCCCTTCTCTGCCAGCCATGTATACTGTAAAGAGCAGACGAGATGGTGCCGATCAACTGGAAAGCCTATTTGCATAATAAGATTAAGGTGGGGTGACCAGCCTTCTCTGCACTCTATGTAAACATCATACCTGATCAAACCAATCTATGAGCCCTGTATAAATCAGACACTGCCTCCTCAAACTGGACTATATATTTTGGTGCATTTGCAGCCAGCCAGTCCTTTCCACTCAGAGACCTGTATCTCTATAGAGAAAGCTGTTTCTCTTTCTCTTCTCTTCGGCCTATTAAACCTTTGCTCGTAAACTTCTCATATGTGTCTGTGTCCTAAATTTTCCTGGTGCGTGATGACAAACCCTGGGTTTACACCCCAGACATAGCTGCTTTATAATGGGGGCTCGTCCGGGATAACAACATACAACATTCATCGAGATGGTGAGTAGAGGAGCAGACTCCAACTCTGTCCTTTTATTCTGAGGCCCTTGGCTTCCATTTTAGAACCAGATCAAACCAAATACGGGGCCCCTTTCAGCCATTTAAAAATAATTAGCATGGCTGCCAGCCTTACAAGACTTGGGGGACAGGATTGCTAGGGAGAACATGGAGCATCCCCCAGTACCCATGGGTCACTGGGCATACTGGCCCTGTTTGAACCAGCTTCCTTTCACTGAGGACTTAGCTGTCATGTGGGGCTGGAAGAAGTCCTGGTGTACCTGAGGATTTCCGGCCAGGGTTACCACCATTGTTATCCAAAGGTATTTGGACGGACCCCAGCCTCTGACTACCCTGATGAGATGTCGGCAACAGAATCTCCAACTTTTTATCATAATTTCCTCCTTTCCTGTCTGCGATCATCATATCTATTTCATCCTCTCTGTGTATGCAATGTATGGGAAATTTTATAGTTCAGGGAGGTAATCTTGTTTGGCAAGATCAGGGAATGTCATAGTAACCAGCGATATAGCTCAAGGGAAGGCATCTTTGTGATTTTCGAGGAACAGAGGGTCACCCTCACCACAGGGAGCATCTCTCTCTGCCCTTGGTCTGAAAAGCACATGACATTTCAAGGCCAACAGCCCCACCTAGTGGAATAGGGATCTTTTCCATGAGGCACATCGTTGGTCCTTTACCCAAACACTCTAGCTAACCAATTCTCTCCCTTTTTGCATCCCTCTACTAGACACCATGCTTTATGCTGCTTCTGTTAACAGGAAAACTCTAGCTTCAACAATTAGGATTAAAATGTCTTCTGGAACCAAATGTTAGTTCTTGATACTGTCCCATCAGCAGGAAAATTGCCATTTAGTCCATACATTTTTAAGACACCTATTCTGCCTCCAATTAGAATGGTACTTAATTAGTAAGGGGATTTTAAGTCTGGAAGTTAACCAGAACCATTCTCTAAGGGAAAACGCTTTAGTACAGCCCATAATATCAGGTATAGATTTCAGTCTAGCCCCTCCATTAAAGAGGGCTTGCCCAACTATTATGTAGTTTTTTTTTTGAGATCTATTTTTCAGGGAGCCAGACAGGTCACACAAGTCTAGGAAGTCAAAGGGAAATCACAGGCAGAGGACAGAGGACTAGAGCCACTTGGGTGAGTGTGACAAACCCCAATCTCTAAGTGCCTCTGTTTCCATAGCTGGCAGTCATGCCTGCAACTATGGGTGGCATGTTCAACAAGGTGCCGGGACCCAGGAACCATGGAAGGAATATAGCAAGGGGAATGCCCCCACTGTCTTCCTCTCCACTCTGTCACACGAAAAGGAAGGAGACTAAAGGGATACTTTTTTGTCATTTCTCTTTCTAGATGGGTACCATATTCAGCCTGCACTCCCCTGGAGTGCATTCTGAAGCACAGGGACTCCTCTTAACCAGAGACTTTAAAGAAAAAGCAGCTCATTTTCTTTTGCACAAGGGCATGGCCTTTTTACTAGATCCTTGCAAGCACTGCAAAATGAATCCAGCTCTTTTAGCAATCATATCAGGCAGGCCAAAAGAGAATAATTCCCCAAAATGAGAAAAGCAACTTCCAGGGGAACCACCCGAGGCAGCTATTGTGTGTACCAGCCCTTCCAGTCTGCCTTAACCGGGGCCACCTCCAACCATGCCACCAGTTCTTCTACCTCCACCATCTCTAAAATTTTCCATTCCATCACCTTCTCACTTACCCCTACAGAAAATACATAATTGAGGTGATGCCACCAGGATTCAAGTACCCTTCTCATTGCAGGACCTCAGGCAATTAAAGGGAGACTTAGGCCAATTTTCTAATGACCCTGATAGGCATATAGAAGTTTTCCAGAATTTAACTCAGGTATTTGACCTCTCATGGAGGGATGTTATGTTGCTCCTAAGCCAAACCCTAACTGCAGCTAAAACAGACAGCTCTGCAAGCAGCAGAGAATTTCTGAGGTGAGCAATAGGTCTCCTATAGTAGGCCAAATGGGAAAAGAGAAGATAGAGAAAGTGAAGAAACAGGGGAAACACCATTCCCAGCAGGAAGAGAGGCAATACCTCTTGAAACCCTAATGGGAAGCCCCAGACTCTTCTATGGTGTTTTTCCTTTTTTCACTGTTTTCAATGGCCCTTTTATGATGTTCATTCAACCTGGGAGAAGTTAATTTACCCAAACCTTAAAATGCTTGGCTTACAGTTGAGCTGGGGGAGAAAGAAAACCCAGAAGCATGACATGCCGGCAAAAAGGTAAAAGTTTTTTTTTACTAGTTGGGTTTTTGGCTTCTCTATCCCTGTGCAAACCGGTAAAAGAAATAATAAGGATCACTATTTATATTTTCTGAAAAGTTTTAATTAATGAGAAAGGATTTGTGAGGTTGGCCTTAAGTTGTAGACAATCTGGTGTGCTTTGTGTGTCTTTCTGTATGGTTCTGTCCAAAGAAAAGTTACTTTAGGTTAGGATGCAGACCCAGGACCCCCTAAGCCTGCTGTTCAAGCCAGCCCAACAAAATGATCAGTAACAAACTTGGCTAAAGGCCTCCATCTTGCTTCTTGTCCTTGGGAACATGACCTGTAACCATGTGGCGAATAATTTGTTTTAGTCTCCACCATTTTACAATGTTTGCTGACTTCTTATGCTAAGTCAGTTTCTGGGTAATGGCCACAAAATCAGATAAGCCAGTTTGTCAATAAGGGAGCTGCCAGCTGATTGATCAAGGGCAGGGTTTACAAAATATCTTAAGCACTAATCTTGAGGGCTAAGTTAAGAGATGGTCAAAATCTTGTAGCCTCCAGCTGTGTGACTCCTAAGCCATGGATTTTAATCTTGTGGCTAGTTTCTTGGTCTAGTACCCAGGCAAGAGGAAAGTATATTTTAAGAAAGGGCTGATATCATCTTTGTTTTAGAGTCTAAACTGTAAACCAGGTGCCTCCCAAAGTTGGTTCAGCCTACACCCAGGGATGGACAAGGACAGCTCGCAGGCTTGAAAAAAAATAGAGTTCTTTGGGTCAGATCTCTTTCACTGTCTCAGTCACAATTTTGCAATGACAGTTTCAAAAGCTGCTTATCACCCCTTTAAAAACACCTTGTACACTCACTGTTACATCGTAACATAATTAAGGCTTGTTGGTTTCACCTGTGAGGTTACTTTTTGTAAAGTTCAGAAGCTGAAAATCTTAACTGCTTGGCATAGCTAAAGTTGAGTAACAGTGGATTTAAAGGGATTTTGTTAAAGAGTGCTCAGCTTAATTAAAACTGGGTATTCAAGTAATAAATATATTTAAAAGGCCTTTATATTTTTCTCTTCTTGGATCTTGTTTTCTGGAAAAAAATTTTTATTTTTCTCAGTTGACTAAATCATCTTTCTCCATTTTATTTCTTGACACTCTTAATGCATGTGTGAGAGGCCCTAAGATAACTTCTGGTAGTCCTTGGGAAAAACAGAGGAGGTGCCACAGACCCCATTGTGGGGAAAAAAGCAAACAAACAAACAAAAAAAACCCTTTCTTTTCCTCATGAAACCCCAGGAATTAAGAGCAGATAGTGCCCTCTCTAAATTAAAGGTTCTGTTCAGTTTTGCTTTGTGTGTTCTGACCATTTTGAGTTTTGGGTGTATCAAAATACTTCACATTAGGAGAGAGCTTTGATGTGTAATAAGTAGGCAGGAAATACACTTTAAGGGATGGCAAATAGTAGTTATAAATCAGAGAAGCATGCTCTTGGCCACCTGAAAGATATGGAAACATCCCCACATCCCCACATCCCCACCCCCGACTGAGAGATGATACTCCCATGGGGGATAAAGCTGATTAGCTTTGGGTTGCCTTACAATGAAATACATGGTAGAAGCAATGCACTGTTTTCTCCCATAGTATCTCCCTCCTTTAGGGGACCAAAAATCTAGTATAAAATGGCACACTTAATTTTAGGGATCTGCCTTTGCCTTCAGCTGTGCCTACTTATTAGGCCCTAAAAATGCATGCTACCTGGCCCAGTTCCACCAAAGGCTCCACCCTGAAGCCAGTAATCCAATTAAGAAACTGACAAATGAAAACTCTTACAAGTGCTGAATATTCTGTTTGTGTTGCTATATATGTGTTGTGTGTAATGTCTACAATAAGAGCTCTAATTAATTGGCTTAAAAAATAGTGCTTAAATCAAATATGTTTTAGTTCATGTGACTTTAATTTTTAAGAAATAAAAATAATCTTAAGGATTATTGGTAAAATGCAAGGGTCATCAAAATCCAAATAGGTGGTCTAAATCGTAAAACAGATACTAGGTTTGCTAAATGTTCAAAGGTTGTATACTGCCTGATTTTCAGATAAGTAAGGCCTGGGACACATGGAGTTAGATGCTAGAAAGAGTCAGATCTTATATGCATTTCTGCCTGGGTCCTAGGCTCCACGCCTGGTACATAATTAAAATTGCTTACTAACCAGGTTTCTCAACAAATGTAAAACTTGCTAAGAGTTAACAGTGCAGCATGTATTTGAGATCACTGAACAGTTTTAAAGGCAAGGTGTATAAAAACAGTAAAATGTGTTTTTTAGTAAAGGATTATAAGAAACCATAGAAATATAAATATTGCCCAGGGATGAGGAATTATCTTAAATTTGATAAGATAAAGCTACAGGTTTAAGCATGTTGTGGAAAGATGGTCTTTTCATAAACTGAGCATTGAAATAAAAGCACTGTAAGGCTGTCTTAAGCCACTAATCTGCCCTTTAGCAAAATGGGTTATAAAAAAGGTTTGTAAGGATTTCATCTCATGGTCAAATTGGTTAAGATTAGATGGAATTGTCTTTAGGGTGGCATTTAATCAAATTGGGGTTAACATTAATAAATTAACGCAAAGGTAAAATTTGGCTTTGAGCAGGATTTTTATGTAATAGTAAAGGCTTATGAAAGGTTTTTGCCTTTTGAGTCATCATTTTGGCAAAATAAGTAATTTATGACTATCTGGAATTCTATTTCATAACATCAACTGTTTTAAACCTCTAACATTTAACAGACATACCAAAATCAAACTTCAAGTTTCGAAATTGTCTTTCCTGATGCGTGGCTTTCTAGATTGTTCAGGGGGCCCCTGAAACATTCAGAAAATAGGTGAACAGGATTATTTGACATGTTTAATCACATTGGGATTGCCAAAATGATGTCCAGTCTTAACTTATATTTTTGTGAATAATACCAATATATGTTCCAAAATTGTATGGGATTTCTAAAATTCTAATGTCTCATAATTAATTTTAAAATTATTGTAAACCACGGAGATAACTAAACTTCTTTGTCAGTCATGTTTTTAACTGTAACTACCCTGAAAATTTTGTCACTTACAGACAATTGTTATCTTGCTATGTTCCTTCTCAAAAGATGGGATATAATCAAGCTATAAGACTTTAACAGCTGTTCTCAAATGCAGATTTCCAATAGCTTTGAAGATTGTAACATTGGAAAAAATGTACAGGACTCATGAAGAACTGAAATGTTTATGAATATCAAGTGAAACAAGAGTTGTCTTAAATGGATTGTGCTCAGAAAGCTAAAGCAATCTTTTTGACTTTTGCTTAGAATATTGCTGATCCTTATTTTGTTTTTCAGAGTCAAGGAAACTTATTTTGAACTATGTGCAGCCTTTAATAATTAAGTAAGTTATACTCTTGTGAACAAAATTCGGAGCAGGTTTGTTTCTCTGTACCTGGTTCCTCTAGAATTTGGAAACCATCTGTGAGTAACCTTAACTTACGGCAATATAGTTGTTTGCATCAGTGCCACAAGAAGTCTTTTTTTTTTTTTTTTTTCAATAAGACACAATTAGAAAAACTGGTTATTTTATCAAAGCTTTGACAGGAAGTGTATGCTTCCCCCTTTAAAGAGTCAATCTCAGCTTGCAGAGCTGATAAAAGCACCTTGGGGAAGACTGGCCTCATACCTTGTCTACACAGTCCCTGGACAGGTTTCTTAATCTGTAGTCAGTAAAGAATGTCACTTTTTAACATGTCCAGGACCTCCAAGTTTATCTTGGGACCTTAAGTGTAAAGTATTTGGGGATAAAAACCCATTGCTGAACTTGGCTTGAAGAGGTATTATCTGAGATTCCTTATGGAACAGAGTTCCATCAAAGCCAACCCAAAAGGCCTATGTAGGGATAATTATTCTTGCTGCACTTTATGCAAATATTCACGCCAAGTATAAGGCTAAAGTTTATTCTACAAAGAACACAGTCCTATCATAATTTGTTTTTACCAAAAATGAGCAATGGAGAGAGAAATTGTGCTCCAAAGCTTATCATACATTTGTCATTAAATCCTAGTCACAATAATTGTTTTTAAGCTTTTTACCTACATTTTAGACTAACCCTGCTTATTTCTGTGAATCAAGTGGTGATCTCCTGCAGCTTGGAAGAAACAAAGAGAGATGGGTAATGTGAAAATCTGGATAAATATGCTAGTTCTGGGCAATTATTCTGCAAATTCTGCCAGGTAATGAAAGTGAGTAGGGTGCCCATAACCCAGAGGTTTATTTGTTTGGGAAAATAAAGCCAAGAAACTTCATAGACTCCCCAAAGGGAAATTCTGTATCTTGGCAGGTAAAACTTTAGATGAAAATTATCTACTACACCACACTTGCAGAAATTGCTATACTCCCTCTACTATTCACAGTAGGGCTATACACAGTAGCACCTTCTAACTGGAATATCAGACAGAGAGTTTCCACTGCTGTAGTATTTTGCTTAATTATTATCCTTACAGGAGGGATAATAGTCACCAAAAAAAAAAAAAGAAAAGAAAAAAGAAGTATGAAAGTTTTACTATCACTGAATCTGCTAGAACTTCTTATTGGGTTTGGTAATGTCACACCCTGGCTATATACAAAGGATATAAAGGAAAAAATATTTTACATAAGAAAGGATCTTGTATGATAAATACTTCTCCTAAAGAGAACAGTTGGTTGTTTAAAAGAGGGATGTTTAGGAGAAGTCAGAAGATTTGAGCATGTTATAGATGGTTGTGGAAGTCATGAAAAGATTACAAGGATGGTAAATACCTGTCCTAAAAAGAATAGTTGGTCGTTTAAAAAGAAGGATGTTAGGACAAGTTTAAGCACGTCTTAGATGGTCTGTTGAAGTAATGAGGGAATTAATACTTACAGGAAAGATTTAGCCAAGGTTAACACTAAAGTTACTCTAGCTACCCAAATCCAATACCACTTATTCAAAAAAGAATGTTACTTGTATATTAATATTTCAGCAGCACCTGGTGGAGGAAAACCAGTATCACAACCCATTGGAATGACTGACAGCAATTAAACTCCAAATGGAGCTTTAGACTGAACAACACATGGATGCATCTTTCTTCCAGGAACCCTTAGATCGAACCAAGAGGAGCCCTAGCTGCTGTTCCCCACATGACGTCCCTTTTCAGCAGGAAGTAGCCAGAAAGAGTCATCATCCAACACCCCTTAACAGCAGTTAGGGTTACCACTCCAGAGAGGGGAATGATAGAGGAGTTAAGAAGAAATCACTTAGGCAGATAGCAAGGGTGTAACAGTCTTTGGTAATGCTTTTCTTTTTAATGAAACACAGCCCCAAATCATTTACTAACAAAGAGTAGCCTGTAAAGTTGACCTGCAGACATAGACAAGCAAGCTGGGAGTTTGCATCGGTGAATGCTGGCAGAAACTAAGCACTAGACATTTTCAAGATGGTGGCTCCATCTTCTCTTCTCTGTTAGCTATGTGTACTCTAAGGAGCAGACAAGATGGTGCTGATCAACTGGACAGCCCATTTGCATAATAACATTAGGGTGGGGAGACCAGACTTCCCTGTGCATTATGTAAACATCATACATGATCGAACCAATCTATAAGCCCTGTGTAAATCAGACACCGCCACCTCAAACTGGACTACAAAATTTGGTGCATTTGCTGTCAGCCAGTCCCTTCTGCTCAGAAACCCCTTTCTCTATAAAGAAAGCTGTTTATCTTTCTCTTCTCTTCTGCCTATTAAACCTCAGCTCCTGTACTGCTTGTGTTTGTCCGTGTCCTAAATTTTCCTGGCGATTGACAACAAACCCTGGGTTTATACCACAGACAATGTAGCTGCTTCATCTTGAGGTCTGCCTATGGCACTAAGGTACTTTCTCTTTGGTCCCACCACTGCAATTTTCTAACCTGTGTTCTAGTGCCTCCCAGGCACTAATCTTCAGAATTTCAGAACTTTTTTCTGGCTGTGTGCTTGAACTTGGAACTTAATGGCAGAATCGGTTTTATCTTCACTGCTTGTTTGTTCCTATTCCTGTTTGTGTTCTCCTCAAAAAATCATATGTTAAAATCCTATCCCCAAAGTGAGAGTATTAAGAAACGGGGATTTGGGGACAATATTAGGTAATGAAGACAGAATCCTTATGAATGAATTAGTACCCTCATAAAAACAGAAATGAAAGAACACATTTTTTGTCTCTCTGCTCTCCCCAACATGAGAATACAATGTGAAGATTGTCATCAACAAACCAGGAAGTGAAGCCTTTCCAAACAACAGATTTGCTGCCACCTTGATCTTGGACTTCCCAGCCTCCAGCCTGTGAGAAAAAATAATATCTGTTTTTGAAGCCACCTGGTGCTATTTTTGTTATAGTAGCCTGAACTGACTAAGAGAGTAGACAACAGTGGTAACTCTGGATTAAAATATACATATTACTGGAATTAAGTTAGTGTAAATTTGAAGCAGACTGATAAATTGAGATATATATTGTAAGCCCTATTGAAACAATTAAGAAAATAACTAAAAAAGTAAACTAATTAAAAAAAGACTGAGCTGATTTTTCATTGTAGAATTCAATTGTTTTGGATGGGGGAAAGTGATTTGTAACACATAATTAAATAATTACAATCTTTTTGAAATAGTTTCCTCATCAGTAAAGTGGAGGTAACCCTACATCCTAGTTAGGCTATAAAGAATGATGAATATAAGTTTGGCAGTAGACAAGTTGGAATTTTTAACCTCAACTTGTAGCTTTGTGACTTCAAGTGCATCACTAAACCTTAGGCTGTCTCTTTAACTGTAAAGAGGGAACAATAACCATGATCATATCTTAAACCATTATAATTGAATAATATAGTAAAAATTTTGCACAATCAACGATGAGTATTAACTATCATAATTGGATTGTGAAAATATTTATAAACTCTGAAGAATTTATTACTATTGGTATTCATTATTTTTCCCCACAAGCTAATCTGATTATTTGTAAAGGCAAAAATGGAAAAAAACAAGTCCACCATATAATTATCACTTGGTTTCTTAACATCTATGCTACTTTTAAACAATAATGTCAATATGTGAACTATTTTAAATTGGTTTTTCTATGAAAACATTTGCTGCTTATTGACATACACTGTGCAATAATATGCCTCTCACATCTATTATAGAATTAAGGTCTGTGTGATCAAATGTAATTCAACAAATGTTTATTGCACCTTCTAAGTGTTAGTCACTATGTTATGTGCTTGTGATGTAGAAGTTTAAAAACGTATGTTTACTAGTAAAAAACATTAGTTTTTATAATATTTTAGAAGAAACAGCACTAGAATTGAGAAAAGTAACATTAGGATGAAATTAGAATTTTGAAGGAGGTTCTCCAGGCAAAGAAATGGACAAGGCATTTCAAATTGTATTATTAACTGCCTATTAGAGAGAAGGTAATATGTATTGAAAGTTTTGCAACAAACATATCACTTACACAATAACTACTCCATTTCATAGATGAATTTAATGAATTTGATGAGGTAACTACATCTAGTAGAGGGTAGGCCAAGGCTCAAATCTAAGTTTGCCTGTTTCCAACACTTGTGCATCTAATCACTGACATACATAAATAAGGCAATTGTCAGAGAAGCATTTCAAACTTTCCTGAACATTCCAAAAGGGAAAGGCATCGTATCATAAATAAGAAGATAACAACAAAGATTTCCAAAGGAAGATATGTAGAAAGGGATACGAAAAAAAGGAGGAAATAAAACAATAGCAAGTATCAAAAACAAGAGTTGAGATGGGGCAGAGTGGGAAATGAGAGTATTTTAGGGTTCAACAGAGAATCAGAAGCAATAGGAGAATCTATTATCTATCTATCTGTCTATCTATTAATATAGAGAGGTTTATTTATTGTAAGGCATTTGCTTACACAATTATGGAAGCAAAAAAATCCCATAATCTGCAAGCTTGAGACTGAAGAAGACCAGTGGTGCAGTTCTGAGGACCAGAGGGCCAATGATGTGAGTCCTAGTCTGAGAAAATAGAAAGAATGGTGTCCCAAATCAAACAGAGAGAGTGAATCCTCCCTTCCTATCTTTTGTTCTATTGGACATCATAAAAGATTAGATGATGGCCACATACATTGGGAAAGTCAGTCTGCTTTTCTTAGACTACTGATTCAACTGTTTCTGGAGATTAGCCTGATTCTTAGACTAATCTCCAGAAACAACCTCAGAGATATAACCAAAAACAATATTCAGCCAAATGTCTGAGCACCCTGCAATCCAGTCAAGTTGACACATAAAATTAACCATCATAAAGTGCAAAATTTGTTAAATGTCTGAGCTTGCAGATCCTTTTAGGGCAACATCACAGACCCTGAACTCCAGGACAAAATACCCTAATCAAACGAACTGCCCAACTAGTGTTCTGAAACACAGGATGAATCATCAGTTCAATCATGGATGGCTAAACCTAAAAAATTATTCCTTAATAATAACCGTATGTCTGGAAGAAATCAACCTTCTAAAAAAGACAAAGTTGAGGAACTGCAAAAGGAAATTCAAACTCCTCTGAAACTCTTAACAGGCAAGAAAAAATATGCAGTTGGATAAACTGACATTCACCAAACTTAAAATTTTGATATAAATATTCATAGGGTTCATCCCTTTTCTTCTGTCTAGCACTACTAGCTAGAAGTCAGAATTTATAAAGGACAGCCCAATATTTCCCCTCCTGGGCCCACAGCAGACACAAAAAATTCATAATGAAACGTTTTTTCTTTAATCTGCAAAAAGTCTATTATTCCTTCTTAATACCATGTTTTGGGCAACTACTCTTAATCAGGTAAGATGCATGAAATAAATTTGCTTGCAATACTGTTGCTGGGTGAACATCAGCAAGTTACTGATGGTAGTCGTTCTCTGCAGGATCATTTTTGCCTCCTGAGGGACATTTGGTAATTGGGGACATTTTTTACTGTCTTAGCTGAAAGAGGTGCTGCTGACATCTAGTAGGTTGAGGTCAGAGATGATGTCAAACATTCTACAATGCATAGGAAAGACCACCTGAAAATATATGTATATTCAGTTCAAACTGTCAATACTGCTAAGGTTGAGGGCCTTTAGAGTTAGCCTGAACTCACAAAATTTTCCGATAAAAGGCACTTTCCTTTCCCTTCCACCTTATAAGCTTTAATTCATCCTTAAAAGGTTTTGGTGAAGATAATTTTCTTTGTAAAGGAGAAAACATGTAAGCTTTGGAACCAGGAAAGGATGATTGTGCATCACTACTTACTAGCCCCATGTTTGACCAACTTTGTTTCCTTGGGCGCTATAACAAAATACAATAAAACAGGTGCCTTAGAACAACAGAAATACTGTCTCACAGTTCTGGAGGCTAGAAGAACAAATTGCAGGACCATGCTCCCTCTAAAACTTGTAGGGAAATTCTTCCTTGCCTCTTTCCAGCTTCTGAGGGTTTGACAGCAATCTTTGGTGTTCCTTGGCCTATGGATGCATCACTCCAATCCTCCATCTTCACATGACCTTCTCTCTGTGTATGTCTGTCTCTGTATCCAAATTTCCCTCTTTTGTAAGGAAACCAGTTATATTGAATAAGGGCCCACACTAGTAATGTTTAACTCGATTAATAATAATAATTAATAATAATGTTTAACTCAGAATATGTTTAACTTGATTGACTCTGTAAAGGCCCTATTAAAAATAAGGTCACATTCTGTAGTAATGGGCATTTGGACTTTCACATCCCTTTTTTGGAGGCGGGAACATAATTCAACCAAAACACCAGTTTGCTTAATTTCCCAAAACTTCAGTTTCCTTATATGAAAAATGCAAATAATACTGACTGTCTGTAGCATTAATTGAAAGATTAAAATAAATGGACTAAGAAATAAACTATGGAAAACCAACTAGTATAGCAGCTGCTGTATCACAGGTGCTCAAATATATATACGGTCACCCTGTTATCCAGTCATATGTGTCATATATACACACACACACACACATAAACACACAGATTTGTGTATGTGTATGTATAAAACTTTCCCTTTTCTCCCAGGTATTTATGTCTCTTTGGTGTTCACACAAAACATGATGTATTTTTCTTTCCATTCGTTACATTATATTTGAACTATATATCTATTTATCTATCTGGCTTGCTACTACTTTGATATTAGAAACTGTTGCAGTAATTTTTAGATTGATACCTAACTTTGTTTACTAATTAATAATTTACTTATCAAGTAAAGGACTAAATGGAAAAATGGATGGATGAACATGACTACAGCTTACCAAAAATGCCCTTTATACCTGAATTTCTCTTAGTGGGTCAGAGTTTAGGTGGTATTCGAACGAATCAAAGGGATATACGTATTTTGCTTTTGGTATGTGTTTGTGTACATTCTCATTATTGTTACTTGTCAGTTTCCTAGGTTTCCGATTGTGATCTTTAGATTTTTTTGACTAGCCTACAAACTTAGATTTTTAAAATCCTAATGACATCTACAGCAGTTTCCCAGGAGCTTTCTTTCAGAATATCTGCCAAAATAATTTATTGCTGTCTTAGGTTATTTCATCTTGAGCAACATGAACATTCCATCAAGCAGAGGGTATAGGGAGAAGTCTCATCAGTAAATAAGCTGGCTAAAATTTAGACGTCCATCAATCTCTGTTAAATTTTATCTCATATACCCTGAGATAGGAGAGTAATATAACCATTTTAAAATAAAACTTATTTCTTGCCCATTTACTGTATTTGGAAGAAAAAAATAGTGGATAATTAGGAAGTGGATAATTCTGGAAGAAAATAATTAGTAGACTTACTAATTATTTATGAGGGAAAGAACTGAGAACAGTAATTTTAAAATATATCCATGTTCTTGAATATTTCCACCCTTAAGTAACTACAGAGGAAATGGACTGATTTACCACCAAAGATTACTTTATAATAATAACCTACAGTTTGAAATTTAAGCTCCATTTAGGAGCCAGAACCAATTATTTATAATACTAGAATGGCCTGAAATAATCTTGTATTATCCTGAAAAAAAAATCTGAAGTGGGAATAAGCCCACACCTCATTTATGTGTGTAAAACAATCTCAGCTTTACATCTTTTAAGAAAAGTCTGAATAACTGCCTTATTTCCACATTTCTTTGCATAAATAAGGCAGTGCAAAAGCTTTGTCAGCTGATTAAATTTATATGCAATTTTGGTAAGACATTGTTTTCTAGTTCCACAATATATTTTTGTCCAGTCCACCGAAATTTGAGTTTGATTCACTCACAAAGCTGATCCTCCCAACTTCATTTAATAAAATGTAAGAAGACTTTAAAAGATATATTAGGAATAACTAGTTAGATATGGAGACCGTCTCATATTAATTATTTATTTTATGAGTGTCTGCTAAATATATAAACAACTCTGCTGGTAATTATTTATGGGTACCCAGGTGGCATAAAAAATGAAGCAGAGACAGAAAATTAGATGTAGCTTCTACCGTAGATTGATAAAAACCATAAATGCAGAACTACACAGACTAGAGTGGATAGTATTAAAAACTATATGTATAGTGATGTACTGGTAAATGTATAACAACCTGGTTTCTGAGGAAGAAAAAATCTCTGCTTTCTAACATTAGTTGATTTCCATGGCACAAGCACTCCTATCATGACCAGTTTCAAGCCACAAATGTGAAATCACTGAACACAGATTTGGGAAGAGATGGACACAACTCTTGAAAGTCAGTGTGACAAACTGAAACACAGCACTGCTTACATATAGATATATAAAGTGGATGACTATTTTAACAGATACAAAAGCAAAGAATCTATGTGAATTTTTAACTAAAACTGAAAATATTATATACCTAAAAGCATGTTGGTTAAAATGATCATTTTGAATATCTAAATCTACACAGTCATAATTATACTGATGCTATTAAAACATGGTATAATGGCCTTCTGTATGGAACTCATATTAATTGTAATAAATATTCAATTATATAAAATTTTAGAGATCATCTACTGTATATTAGACATTGTGCTATGAACAGGAGTTACACAGATGGCTAGGACTTAGTTTCTATTTTTAAATTATAAAAAGGGCCACCAAATGGATAATTCCAGTAGATAAAATAATAAATACTAAGATAGAGGTAAGCATCTGTCCCGCAGTACAGAGAAGAGCCATTTAGCCCAGTCTTGTTTGGGATGGTTTTCTGGGAAAATGATGTTGTCAAAACCACCTTATGAAATGCAGGCTCTGTCACTTTACAGTTATTCCTAGTATTGCCAACTACAACTTCGATCCCATATTTGAAGTGATCTCTGTAAATTTTGTTAAAGGTAAAGCAGGTCCATGATTTTGTGGGGATAGTAAACAGAGGCTTAAAATAAGACAGAACTTTTAGGCCAGTTATCAGATCTTTAATGGAACTTAAACATATTACCTGACGTGGACAGGTAGGGAGAGCCCTAGAGGAATGCTGATGGATTGGGTAACTTGTGAGATCCGTGTGTGAGCTTAGTCAAGTCATTTTCTGGTATGTCGGTTTCCTTATCAATGGAAAAATAATGGTTTGGGGTGGATAATAATAATAAAATCATAGCTAATATCTATTGATTGACTTTGATGTTGTTATATCCCTTGACATATATTAATTCACTTAGTTCTCACAACAATCCTATAAAGTTGATATCCTTCTTTCTCTTTTTATATTAGATAAATCTGAGATAATTGTAAGCTATATACAATTTCAATGTTAGGAAAGACCTGAGGTAGAATTCCAACCTAGTTCTTTCTGACTCTAATCTCTTAGACATTCCCTGAAGTCGTTTCCAGCCTTCATGTTCTTTGACCCCAGAAGTATCTTGGAATGTTTCCCTAATTGCTGTGATGGCAACACAGCAGAGCTAGGGAAATCAAAGACCTAGGCTATGCCCCTTCATGTTTGTGCATTATGGTGAATGAGCTCTGAAAGTGCCAGGGAATTTTGCCACCAAGTCTTCACATTAACTTTTCAGCAATATTCCTCAGTTTAGGAGGGAGGCCTATCCACTCCTTGTCCTTTGAAAAGTGATCATTTGCTTGATTGCTCTCAACAGAAGTCTTCCCATAGCCTCTGATATTTTCTTTTCATTTCTTCTGAGTTGTTTATTTTTAATTACTTAACATTTTTGACGATACCTTTTCCGAATGCATCTCAAACTTAGGGCTAAAAAGCCAAATGCTTCAACTTTGTTTTCCCATCTCTTAGGCAAACAGCCAAAATAAGTTCCATAGTTGAGCGAGGTTTTTCCATAACTCTGGAATTATACAAGTAGTTCCCATTTCAGGGCGTGGTTGCCATCCTTTTCTACATTTCTTAGCATGGCTAAATTCTCTTTATTCTTTATGGTTTAGACGATCCCCTGAGAAGGTCCCAAAATGCCGTGTGTTAACTTTATATGCTGCTTTTCTCTTTCTGGCTTAGGCTGCAGACTGCCTAAGGGCAGAGAAAAGTTTTTTTGTTTTTTTTTTGTTTGTTTGTTTTTTTAATGAGTTTATCTTTTGAACCTGATGCAATGCCAGTATAACTTAGGGTGGAAGAACTTGGGATCTGTAGTTAGGATGTCTAGGTTTAAATCTTACCTTTGCTACTTAATAGTCATGTGGACTTGGGAACATTTAAAAATTTCCCCCAGACTCACATTCTATCTGGGAAGAGAAGATCCAACAACTTACTTCAAAAGGCTTTTGTGAGGATTAAGTGGTCCATGTAAAGCACTTGGCATGGTATCTAGCACATACTGAGTATTCAAAAACCATTATATTGTTATTAGGTACTCAAATGTTAAATGAAGAGTAAGAAAATGAATGTACTTATTCATTCAGAAAATATTTATTGGTGCTAGACCCATTTCTAAGACCTGGAAGGGTAGCAGAGAGCACATCCAAGTTGCTCCCTGGTTTTTCTAGAGCTTACATTCTCTCAAAGGGAGAAAGACACCAAACAGAAAAATAAATATGTGTGAAAATAAAGCAGAGAGGCCGGGTGCAGTAGTTCACGCCTGTAATCTCAGCACTTTGGGAGGCCGAAGCAGGCGGATCATGAGGTCTGGATTTCCAGGCCAGCCTGGCCAATGTGAAACCCTGTCTCTACTAAAAATACAAAAATTAGCCAGGCATGGTGGTATGCGCCTGTGGTACCAGCTACTAGGGAGGTTGAGGCAGAAGAATCGCTTGAATCCAGGAGGCGGAGGTTGCAGTTAGCCGAGATCGTGCCACTGCACTCCAGCCTGGGCGACAGACCAAGACTCCATCTCAAAAAAAAAAAAAAAAAAAAAAAAAAAAAGCAAAGAAAAGGAAAGAAAAGAAAGCAGAGTAAGAGGACAAGCAACAGCAGGGGAAATGTTACTTTAGATAAGGTAGCCAGAGATAGACTCCTGTTTATGATAATATTTATTTGTGCACCTGAGTGAAAAGAGGGATAGATCTGTAATTCTGTGGGTTGGGGCAGGGGCGAAGCAAATGCGAAGGCCCTGAGGCTAGAGGGTTTCTGTCATCATCAAAGAAAAGCAAGAGAAAGGACTGATTTGGTAGAAGAGGAGATATGAGAGGATGTTTAAGAGGGAGAATGTTAGGAGAAGAGGGTGAGCATCAAAGTGTGACACATTTTTAAACTAGTACAACTGCTATGGAAAACAGTATGGAGATTTCTCAAAGAACTAAAAATAGAATTACCATTTGATTCAGCAATCCCACTACTGGCTATCTGCCCAAGGGAAAAGAATTCATTATACCACAAAGATGCCTGCTCGCATATGTTTATCACAGCATTATTCACAATAGAAACAATATGGAATCAACCTAAGTGTCTATCAAGAGATGATTGGATAAAGAAAATGTGGCATATATACACAATGGAATACTATTCAGCCATTAAAAAGAACAAATCATGTCTTTTGCAGCAATGAGGATGGAACAGGAGGCCATTATCTTAAGTAAAACAAATCAGACACAGAAATACAAATTCAACATTCTCACTTACAAGTAGGAACTAAAATAACATGTTTGCATGAATGTAGAATGTGTAATGATGGATAATAGAGATTAGGAAGATTGAGTAGTGGAGAGGAGCACAGATTATGAGCAATTACTTAATAGGTACAACGTACATTATTTGGGTGATGAACACCCTAAAAGATCTGACTTTACCGCTGTGCAATTTAGGGATATAACAAAATTATACTTGCATTCCATATATTTATTAAAAAAGATGTGACAGATTTTTAGGGATTGTTGGCCAAGTAAAAACTATAGATTTCATGCTGAGTGAGATGGAAGGAATTTCAGGGTTTGGAATAGCATTATGAAACGAATTGAAGATGCTCTCATTGAGAATGAAATAAATGATTAAAGGGTCTCGAGATAGATTCAGATAAGTAAGGGTATAGTAGCCAACTGATGAAGAGGATGCATTAAAAAGATAACATTCGGGGAAGGGCAGAGAGTTGACAAATGAGGTGTTAAGAAGTAAAACTAGACTGACCTCACAAAAGAGAAAATTAAGACAAAGGCATTGTGATTTATGCATAATTGTCAATTTGTATGTGTACATATATGGGTCCACTTGTCAAGCTTTCATTGCCTACAGCTCTTTTGACTATTTATTTTCCTTCAGGAGCCCATACTTTAAAAACATTTTCTCAACCAAAGATAATTTATTTATAATTAATTCATGCCATCATATTTTTTCAAAGCCATAAGTAACCTCAATCTCAACTTCCAATGGGTGACAGCAAACCAATGTCATCCTCTCCTGGAGTCACCATTCTAGCCAAGAGCAAATGAACCTATGATTTCCATCAACCTGTACTGCCTTATTGCAATTAATATATTCTATCCCTTAGTTTCTTTTAAACACTGGAAATAGCTTTAGCTTGTATACTCCCTTTTCTTTTTCGGTGGAATCCCAGGAGTCTCTGAACCATAAGTGTGGTATTCAAATTACTCATGTAAACCTACAGATACAATGTGTATCTTACATAACCATTATATACATATTCCATCCTATATGTGCATGTATTACACACAATGCATTTTATCTCTAGAATATATGTATATATTGTGTATATAGTGCTTTCAAATAAGGTCATATTCACAGGTTTACACAGTTAGAATGTGTACTTATCATTGTAGGGAATACCATTCAATTCACCGCAGAGGTATTTATTGGAAAAATGTGTATTGGAAAGGAGAACTATCAGGCTGCATTATTTGTTAACCATCTAAGATTATTATGTTAATATAAAAGATCTCATAAACAGAAGCTCTTATTACCTAGTCAATAGTTGTTTTATTTCTTATTGATATATGATTATGCTGCCGAATTGTGAATTTAATTTGGGGCATGAATGTGTCATACATCTTCATCCAATCAGAAGATTCAGTTCAGATGTGTCTATATAATATATGTGTTTATCTTTCAGAAACTTTGTAAGTAAAGAATATTACCCTTACAGATAAGTCACTCTCACTGGAGAGAAGATCGTGAGGTAGGGAAGAATGTGGAAATTAACATCTCTGAGTACATGTTCCCAACGATAGGGCCATATTGATGAGGGGTCGGAAAGCAGGAGCCTGCCAAAGAGCAAAAGATAGGCCCGTGTGGACAAGAGGTTACTTTATTATTTATTTATTCATTAATTCATTCATTTATTCATTTACTTATTTTGAGACGGAGTCTTGCTCTGTCACCCAGACTGGAGTGCAGTGGTGCAATTTCAGCTCACTGCAGCCTCTGCCTCCCGGGTTCAAGTGATTCTCGTGTCAGCCTCCCGAGTAGCTGGAATTATGGGTGCCCATCATTACACCTGGCTAATTTTTGTATTTTTAGTAGAGACGGGGTTTCGCCAGGTTTGTCAGGCTGGTCTGGAATTCCTGACCTCAAGTAATCTGTCTGCCTCGGCCTCCCAAAGTGTTGGGATTACATGCATGAGCCACCATGCCTGGACAAGGTTACTTTATTAAACGGGGTAGGACCTCTTATTAGATTGGTTCACCTGGAGGATGGTCTTAGTGATACCTGACTTTGAGTCTCTTTCAGTCTCTCTGCAAAGCTCATTTTGAAAGACATTTCTGAGTCTCCTACTAAATGCCAGACACTGAGATGAGCAAATGAACAAAATAAAAGTCTCTGACTCTAGAGAACATCAACCCCGGAGTGTGGCAAGGCAGGAGGCAGTGGTGGGGGACAAGGAAGAGAAACATATGCATTCTCTACATTCAAATCTTATTATACTTTAATATTTTAGAGAATAAAACAGGAGGGGAAGTCAGAACAAATAAAGGACAAGATCTGAAAACTGTTAAGGACTTTAAAATTATATTCAAATTTATTTAAGTACCCTTAAATTTACTTAGTGTATAACAGAAGAGAAAGCTGAGTTATATTGGTTACCTTCTGTTTTGTAAACGCAAATTAATTTTACAGTGTCTCTCTTAGCCAGATAAAACCATTGATATTTATTGACAAGTAAATCAAAAGCATTTATGGTTACTGGCTTCTTAATTTCATCTACTCTTGTTTCTGTCACTGGGGAGTTTTCAGCACTTATATTGGTCTATTTTGATGAAAGACTCACAACAGAGGGCAACTAAAACAAGAGTGTTCCTCAAGTGATTTTTCTAGGATGTAAGACATAGATTATTACTTTATTAGCCCTCCCCAAATTTTGAGGACATTCGTACATAAATCTGAGAGTTATTTTCATGAGATTATCTCACCAGATGGCTTACTTAAATATTTGTACCATTGTAGAAGTAATTACTTCATCTGGGAGAAAAAAAAAAGTTCAAAAGCCCTGGATTATTTTTGTCTGTTTTCATTTGTTTCATTTCTATTTTACTTTCTAGACAGGAGTAAACTTACATTTCTATGATAAATAGATGTTGGTAAGGTTTTGGAAAATACATATATGTCAAAATATAGGAAATTCTCTGTGTCAGAAATAACCACAATTATGGTGTAATGAATGCAATACTCAACAGAGAGTTGGAAAATAAGGCATAAATTTTGAGTTTTAGTAAATATGAGCTATGTAACCTTGTGCAAGTCACTTAATCTTACTAACATCATATTCATCTGCTAAAAATTGAGTAAATAATGGAAACTCCATTGAGCCATTATATGAATTAAAACATAATGCCACATTTGAAAGTGCTAAGGAATCCACGCCAGAAAAGGCTAATTAAGGAGTTAATCAATTACCATTATCAATTTTTTAAATACTAAATAATTACTAGTTTGAACATCTAGTACTGCTAGTAACAGGTTATATTTTGCCTAGCTATTTGAAGCAGTTAAAAAGAGTTCCTTTGAGGATTTGAGGCAGTTTGGCTAACAGGGAAAGAATCCTGGCCTGGAAGCAGATACCCAAGTTCAATTTCTCGGTGTTCTATTTGCCTGAAGTGACACCTTGGGTAGATTATTTGACTTTTCAGGGCCACATGTCCTCATCTATATAATGAGGATGGTTATGAAAAATAAATTACTACTTGTAAAGTACTTAGAGGCTTGTCTGGAATGTTATGTCAGCCCTGTGGATGTTAGCTAGTAGCGATCATCACTGAGTTTTCCTGAAAGCCTTCCAACAGCTGGGAGGCCACAGCTGGCCACACTCTAGTGTCCCACAGAGGGACCACAGGAGTCTCCTCCTCTTGCCTTCCATGCCCCCACTCTGTCCAAAACTGCTAGTAGTGCCACACAAGGACATAGAAACTGAGAGCAAGACTGAGAGAATAAGACTAAGAGAGAGAGAATTCTGAAAATAGAACAAAATGCTATTTTATCAAAACAGAGCAGAGTTTGGAAGGCTTCTAGTGCTCTATCTTCTCACTAAATATTTGTATGACTTTAAAATGTCACAATTTCTCTGCAGCAGTATTTACTCATGCGAATATTAGAAATTATTATAATTACATGGAACATTTGTTTAGGGTTTTACCATTTACAAGGTGGGAGAGCAGAATAACTTAATCGTGAACACCAGAGCTTTGGAATCAAGCAGGATTAGATCCCAGGTTTGTTGTTTACTAGCTGGTCAAGTCATTTAACTTCTCTATGCCTCAGTGTTTTAATTTGAAAACTAGTAATTCAGAAATGTTCCTCAGAATTATTAAAGATTTAAATAAAATTGTTTATTCTCATATATATATTTATAGAATCTCATAGCAGAAAATTTGGCAGTGGTGATGCACATAAATGGTAGCTTTAAAAACAATTTTTTCTGTCTGTTGTATGTAATTTATATAATTTGCGTGTAATCCCACCATGATTAGAAAAAATATTATCTGAGGAGACTAAATGCAGCATAAGTCAATTTTGGAGAAAGTGGTTATAAAACAATTCCACAGAAAACATGGGAATATGCCCTAAAATATTGACTATGGTTATTAAAATGAGGGAAAATATGAGGCAATATTTCTTATCTATACTTATCCATATTTTAGCATTCCATACAAACATCATGTTTTCCATATTTGAGAAAATTATATGTGCCATGAAAATACTTGTCAACTTTGTCCATCTTGCAAACCTACTCTCCCCTGTCTTCTACCTAGGAACTGTAATAGGAGGTATTGCTCCTAAAAATCTATGATCGCATGATATATTTTGAAAATAATGGTCATAATTCACCATATTTTCTTACATGATGGAAAAAATTTGTTAGTCTCTTTTCTAGTAATATGAATAAAAATGATCATCTTGGGTTTGGTAAGTAGTGACTGCATGCTTACTACCATCCCTGCTAGGAGTTTCTTTCCTCTGCACCACCTCTTTCACATATAGCCCCCAGAATATATCTTTCTAAACCCAGATTCGGTAACTATCTTTCCACAAGCTTAAAAATGACTGCTCAAAGCATAAAAATAAGAGGCTATTTTTTGCCTGTTTTAAAAAGTAGTATGGCCTTAAGTTCTATTTTCAGCTTCTTATCCTATTATACCTTATTTTAACAAAGTATCTCATTTTCTAGGTATATTGGAATACAGTCTTCAAGTTTGGGGTCATTTTCTCTCTCTGACTGACATGAATTATGATTTCCTCATTATTCGACTGTGAAAATCCTTTTAATATCTCAGTTCAACCTAAAACTTCACCAAAAGCAGATATTAAACTGTTTGTTCAGATTTCAGAATGCCCAGTGAATGAGTCACATTTACAAAGTGTGAGTTTACCTATATGCATATGGTGGTCCCTTCTCTCCATACTGCAAGGAAACCTGTTATTCTAGCATTCTTAGTTGCCTTATATTAGTACTCTGATGGTCAGAAACCCTAATCACTTTGAACTTGGCAGCCTGTTAGTGGTAAGACTTGGACTTTGAGGCCGAAGTCCTTTCTTGGAGACGTTGAGTCCAAATTTATATATTGTACTTGAATCCAGATTTTTCAAAACGTTTAATTGGCAGTTACAGGCAATGCCCCAACTAAAATTAAAGTGGAACTTACATTTCTCATTTGTCCTTGTTCCTTGAGTATATTATTGCCTTGGAAACCTTGTGGGAAATAGATGATTTATAAAGCATGGTTCTATTAATCTTGGGTTTCTCTAGCCAAACAACATTTAACAGCAATCTAAAACTTATCGTACATGTAGTATATTAGCAAAATTGCCATCCTGTTCTTACTCATATACTTCCTCGCTCAAAGTGGCTGGTGTCTAAGGTAAAAAGTGTCTCCAGACTCGTTCATATTATTCTTTTCTACTTTCCACTGCCAAGGTAAATCAATGGCCAGACTACACTGCCATCCCTTTTTTTTCTGAATTTTTGTCTACTTTTTTTTTTTTCACTCTGAATCTCATGCTTCTTTTTAATAAAGCAGGATGTTCCCAAACTCTTCATCCTCACCAGTACACACACACACACACACACACACACATTTTCTATTTTCATCTCTAGCTTGTTTCCGTGATGGCACTTATAACTTAAATTTGCTTATTTCTATGTTTGCTTGTTGTTTCTTGGCCATCCTCACTGGTATCTCCAAGATGCAGAGGGTGTGCCTTTCTTACTCATCTCTATAACCCCAGTTACCATAGCAGTGTCTAGCACAAATGAGAAACACAATAATAACAAATTCATTCTCATCTAATATTAATGCCCAAAGCTCTGGAACATGAAGCCCACCTACTGCAATAATAGTCATTTTGGGGACAAATACGATTTTTCCTGCTACTTGTGTTTTTCCTCTAGAGATTATGAGTATATACTTTTTTAAATTATGGTAAAATACATATAATCAACTTTTCCATCTGAACCATTTTAAGGGTAAAATTCAGTGGCATCATACATATTCACAGTGCTAAGTAACTATCAGCACTATTTCCAAAATCACTTCACCTCAGATGGAAACTCCATCCCCACTAAGCAATCACTCCCCAGTTCCCACTTCCCCAGTCCCTGGTAGTCTTTACTCTACTTTCTACCTCCATCAACGTATCTATTCCAGATATTTCATATAATTGAAATCATACAATATTTGTCTTCTTGTATCTAGTTTATTTTTTCAGTCTAGTGTTTTCAGGGTTTATCCGTGTTGTGGCATGTATCAGACTTCATTCCTTCTTAAGGCTAAATATGCCATTGTATGAATATACAGGACAACATTTTGTTCATCTATTTATCTACTGATGAACACCAAGTTTATTTGGCTATCATAAGTAATGTTTTTATGAACATTGATATGCAAATATTTGTTTGAGTTTCTGTTCTCAATACTTCTTTGAGAACCTAGGAGTTCTCAAATACCTAGGAGTGGAATTTTTGTTTCATATGTAAACTCTACATTTAACTGTTTGTGGAACCACCAAATGGTTTCCACAGCAGTTACATCATTTTACATTGTGATGGGTATAGTTTTGATTGGCTTTCTTTCTTTAGCTGAGGCTGTGAAGAGGGAGTGAATTAGACAAAAACCTGAACAATTCTCAAACATATATGTTTAGACTATATATGTCTAAGATTGTCAAATGGTTAGACAAAGAGGAATATCCTATATGGTTTGAATCAGCAGCACTTTTAAGCAAGAACATGATAAACCATACATTTAAAATGTATTTCAAGCAAGAATCCAGTAGGTGAAATGTCTATTCACGTCAATATATAGCCATAGAAATGGGCTCAATACTTAAAAACACACAATGTAGAACGTATTTTTTTTTTGTTTCAGATAAAGTCCTAAAATATGCAACCCAAAATCCAAGAAATATTTTAAAATTGCTGGTCTCTATCCCTTTTCAGTAGCTAGAGAATGGGAACAAAAACAAATCCAAAGTTCTCCTGAATTTTAAGGTTTAAATCTTTTATTGAAATGCTCTAAAATAACAAGCGAATGCGTCCAGTCATGTTTGGAAAAAAAATGTTGCTTTGTAAATAAGAATATATTTTTTCCTAGTCACTTCTTGATTTTTCCATGCAAGTCACGTGTTCCCAAAAGATGAAAAAGATTAAATATTTACCATAGAACATCTAAAAACAATAAAAAAAGGGACTAGTCCCCACTGTATATAAAGCTCTGCTCCAGGCAGAAGGATAACTAGTTGGAGTCTCTGGGCACTCATAAGAGAACAGATTCATTTTTAACAAGTCCTTCGCCTACACAGAACTGTAATTGCATAGCTTGTGTGGTGTCTGTATCTTTATCATTTTCTATTTATTCATCTATCCTGTGTTTCCTGTTCATTTCCTGTGAAAAATGAATAATTAAATAAGCTAACAAATTAAACAAATTTAACAAATTAAAACAAACAAATGAGAAAGCATATAGATTTTTTGTACTCAACAGTGACACTTTCCCTCACTGTTGGAATACTCTAAACACCTTTCTATCCATATGATGGGTAGTATATTTAATTCGTGTACCACCCAGGTAGCATAGTGTATAGAAAACAGCATTAGGGTTCACAGACTTTGTTTTTATCCTGGCTCTACTTCTAATAAGCTGTTTGACTTTGAATATGTCACTAAACCTCTTTAGGCTATGTTTCCTTATTCGTAAATTGAGCAAGTTGAACCAGATCACTGGTTTACACATTGTGTTGCCTCAGAAGCTAAAATTGGAGATGAGGGGGAAGTAAATTAGTAGGGCTCTGTGCTCACTGTGCTTACTTTAAATACAGTGGTTTTACTTTCATTTGCCTTATGCATTTGGCATCTGTGCACAGTTTTATTTGGGAAGAAGAAAAAGTCCCTCTTTTGGAAATGGTGGTGGGGAACCTAGAAATATGAACTAGTCAGTAACAATTCTTTGCTACCCAAGTACGAAATTTTTTATTGTCTTAATATACAACCAGTAAAAATAACAGCATCTAACCAGTTGGGGTGTTGATGAGAAGTCACAAATAAGTATTGTACAATACTGTAAGTATTGGCGAAGTTCAGAGGAACGTGTATCTGTATAACTTCCTAAAATGACCAAATGAAGAGTATTAGAGCATTCAAAAATTGAGATTGTGAAGCAGGAGTATTGCTTCAAAAATAACATTGTTATTTTTCAATAGGTATTCCGCATCAAGATAATACATTTTTAAAAATGTACATACTTTGGTATAACTAAAATAATGATAATGCAACATTTTTCAATTTACTGCCATCAAACAAATTGATGTTTGTTACTTTCTTAAAGGGGCTGACTTATCCTAAGGAACTTTATTCTCTCATATTTCATGGAAATAACATTAGACTAGAAAACAAGGCTCTCATCTGGTCTTGGCTTCCTAAAGTGCACAGGTAAAGGCTTGCATTTGCCCTCTATGCATTTGATTTGCTCTCTCTTTCTCTGCATTGTCACACTTTTGCCATGGAGATCATTATATACTGTGTATGTATATGCATGCATGTGTATGTGTTGGTGGGAGGGGGGAGGGCTCAGGCTAACCTGTCCATAATGAAGAATAATATCTCAGTTCATAAGTTTTTAAAAAATGTCAGATTTCTCCATCTTCAGAGTTGAAAGCATCCATAATAGTCATTTTGTCCAACATCCTTGTTAATGTTCAATCTTTCTATAGTATCTCTTAAAGATTTTCCAGTAATAGAAACTATATTCCATTATGAAACAGCTGAACTTATTTTAAAACAAACAAACAAAAGCACTTGATAAAATTCCATTCCTTGGATGTGAGTTTTACTCTCTTAAGACACAGACTATTCTTTACCTATTGACCTGTTGTCCTCATGCCAGTCCCTTAAATGCCTGATGGAGGCTGACATGTTCCCAGGTCTACATACATGAGCATGGAACTTGGGATTGCAAATTTGAGTAGCAATATGCTTGATTCAATCCTCCCTGTTGCTATTTTAATATTCTTAATAACTTTTGAACAAATGCTCCCTGATTTTTATTTTGCAGTGGGCCTTGCAAATTATGTAGCCAGTTATGCATAATCCTTAAATCATCTATCCTCAAGCTTAATAACCCCAGTTCCTACAGTATCTGTTCATGATCATTGGTATTAAATAGGTTTGTTTGTCAATGACCATGTTAGAAGGTAATGGCCAGAATTGAGCACAGTGCTCTAGGTGTGGTCTGATCAGTGAGAAAATCAGAGGCATGATTATATCCCATGGTGATATCTCCTGTGCCTCTCTATTCTCACCCGCTCAAGATCCAGTCTCTCGACAATTCTCTGCCCTGCTCTGAGCCCAAGAAGGCAAACTCATGCAGAGGGTAGCAGTTGAGATCCCTTCCTGTCTGGCATCCAGCTGGGTTAATGGAAGGCAATAGGGGATGGCAATGTAGAAGAGAGAATTCAGGGTATTTCCTTCCCCTCCCCTGTCTCAGAGCTGCATCCCTCTCTGTGGTAAAAACTGCATCCCTCTCTGATGAGAATTCCTACTGGTTGGTCCCTCTTTTACAGTTCCATATCTTCTTTTTTTTTCCTTCTCTCTCTCTCTTTTTTTTTTTTTTTTTTAGGTGGAGTCGTGCTTTGTCACCCAGGCTGGAGTGCAGTGGCACAGTCTCGGCTCACTCCAACCTCTGCCTCCCAGGTTCAAGCAATCCTCCTGCCTCAGCTTCCCAAATACATGAGATTACCAGCATGTGCTCCCATGCCAGGCTAATTTTTGTATTTTTAGTAGATATGGGATATCACCATGTTGGCCAGGCTGGTCTCGAACTCCTGACTTCAAGTGTTTTACATACCTCGGCCTCCCAAAGTGCTAGAATTACAGGTGTGAGCCATGTGGCCTACAGTTCCATATCTCACTGGTCACACAATACTGTTTTCTCTCCTTGTTCCTTCAGCCCTAGTGGGTATTAATGGTTTCCTGCTGCTTCTGCTCCTTTAATCCTGATCACATACCATATGCATTCCTTTCGTAGAACCATCTTCATTTGAATCATATGGGGTAAATTCTGTACCTTGCCAATGCTCTGATAAATCACTCAGCATGTTGGTGTCATATGTCTCTTAATGTCTCCAGTTAGCATACATTTTGGACATTTCTCTAGAAGGATGAAGTTGACATTCTTTGCTTCACTGAGTCACTGATCTAGGGTCTCCTTCCACACTTCCAATCACCTTCTGAAGAGTGACAGAGGGTGCTCAAATTTCTATCTTTGAGACATCATGCTTCCAGAATATAATTAATTCAAAAATATGAAGAAATAGTTCCTACACATCAAGCATTCTCTCTCCCAAGAACTGGAGATATAGTAGTGACCAATCACATCAAGTTCTCTATCCTAATGGAGTTTAGTGAGATTCTTGTGAGAGATCAAAGATATAAACCAGAGGCCTCTAAGAAGCTAAATAACATGACTGGCCTAATTTAGAAGTTTTACTCTGGTTGCTGTATTCAGAATACACTGCCAGAATCCAGGAGAGGCAGCAAGAACAGTTAGAATAATACAAGTGAGGAGACATGGCAGCTTGGACTAAGGCAGTGGCAGCAGGTGGTAAGGTTATTCTGTGACTCAGCACACATCCTTGCTGCCCTGTTTCTCTGTTCCATTGAATCCCAAGGTAGGATCCATATCTTATCCTGTACTTTACCAGCTTACTACAAACAATTTGTGAATAACTGCATAGTGAATTAAAGGTCAACAATATCCACTTTACTTTCAAGGAAAATAATTTTCCTTTTTCTTAGCAATCATAATAGGTATTTTTCTTCTTTTCTCAAACGTAAAGAAAAATGTTGTAATATTCCTGGGGACTATGAAAGAAATTAAAAGTCAAATGAAAGTGCTCATTGAATTATTCATAGAAAATTATCTAAAATGAAATGAAAAAGGGGATTATCATCTTCAATTTGCCTCAATATTCAGGTATGGGTAAGAAAATACTCAGAAAATTAAGGTTTCCTTAACAAGATTTTTAATGGTTTTGTTAGTAACTTTTACAAAAACAAAAAGGTCACATTTTCCAGAAGATGGAATAATCAATAACTATACTATTTTGAGCACTAGGTTTGACTACTTCTGCCTACTCTTTGTAGAATAAAAAAAAATCTAATTTTTAGTTATACTGAGAGCAAGAGAAATTCAGTGAAGGAGGAGGACAGAGAGGAGGAGGAGGAGAAAAGAAAACATCAATAAATATACTATGAAGTAGTACCCCAGAAATAAAGCTGCCCGATAGAGCTTTCCTAATGTAACAAGATTGGTGGTTTATAAAACAAAATGCAACCATCTTTTGTTGTTGAATTGTAAGACTTTTTTTAATGTGCGGCATAAGTTTGATTCAAAAACCAGTGATATCGAGGTCATATTAGAATAAATTAGTGGAGAGCTGAAATGTAATTAATTGAAAATAAGGGGAAGGGGATAAGTTCTTGCTCCCTTGCCCCATTATGGAGAGTATCTGTTTCTATTACAGCTGTTGTAGCTATCCAAGACTAAATTCAATTTTCTTGCAAAGGTCATATATTCTCTCATTATCTAATCAAAAATATATTATTAATATATAATGCATTAATTAATTTAAAATTCCATTAATACTTATGTGACAGGCTTTTGGACCTGGATCTTCAACAGTTATTTGACAATCCATTTCTTCAGTTCTTAGGAAATAATCTGACAATATGTATGGGCTGCAAACAGGTTTCTTTGGAGGATCTTCAAAGCACCACTACCAACATCTTCTAACTTCATATCTGCCAGTCAGGAAGAGGCTTGATAACTAGAGGTTTTGTTGTGCAGACATTATGTTCCTTAAGAACAGTTTTTTAGTCTCATGGTTGTCTACAAAACTGAAGGCCGAATAGTCTTTTATCTTCTGAAGAAAATGAAGTTTTTACTTAAGTAAAGAAAACAAAAACTACCACAGAATAGTCAAACAATCCTGAAAGGCTATGGTCACAATAAATTTCTTATAAGATAAGATAATAATAAGATAAATTTGAGAATTAGGTAAATAATGGCTGTGCCATTTATTCTTCTTAATTATTCATTTGGTAGGAGGAGAAACAAGATGGCTGAAGAGAAGCATCCAGCAATTGTTCCCCTTGCAGGAACACCAAATTGAACAACTGTCTACATAAGAAAGCATCTTCATAACCAAAAATCAAGCTAGCAATTACAGTGTATGCCTTTAACCTCATATCAAGGAAATAGATATGAAAGAAGGTAGGAAAGACAGTCTTTACTTGCGTACACCACCCCTCCCCCATCCCCCAGTTCATCACAAGGCAGTAGGACAGAGAATCTGTATGCTTGGTAGAAGGAGAGTGCATTGATTTTGAGACTTCACATTATAACTCAGTTCTGACTTGTCACAGGGGAAAGTAATGCAAGGCAGAATTCAGCCAGCCTCCAAGGAGGAAGGATTTAGACCAGCTCTAGTCAAAGGGAAATAGCACATCTGAGGAGTAAGAACCTGAGCCATGGCTAGCACCACCACCATGAGTTAAATTGCCCTGAGATCCTAAATAAACTAGAAAGGCTGCCTAGACCACAAGGACTGTAATTCCTGGGCAGTCTTGGTGCTTTGCTGGGCTTGGAGCCAGTGGACTTGGGGTGCATGTAACTCAGTAAGAAACCAGCTGGAGCAGCAAAGGGAGTGTCATCCCTCCCCCAACTCTGGCAACACAGCTCACAATTCTGGGAGAATTCCTCCAGCTTGAGGAAAAGAGAGAGAAAAGAGAACTTTGTCTTGCAACTTCGGTAACAGCTCAGCCGTAGTACAATAAAGCACAAATCTAATCCATAAAGACCCCAATACTAGGACATAGCTCCCAGATGACATTTCTAGACTCACCCTGGGCCAGAAGGGAACCTGCAGCCCTGAAATGAAAGACCTAGGCGTGGCAGGATTCAGCACCTCTGACTAAAGAGCCCTTGAGCATTGAATATACAGCAGCCATAGCCAGACACTAGTCACCATAGGCCTTGGGCAAGACCCAGTACTGTGCTAGCCTCAGCTGTGACCAAGAAGAGTCCCAGCAATGGTAGTCACAGGAGGGCTTGTGACACCCCTTCTCCAACTTCAGGCAGCTCAGTACGAAGAGACATAGAGACACTGCTTGGGAGAAAGTAAGTAAAGAGAACAAGACTTTACCTGCTAATACTGGGAATTCTCTTGTATCTTACTGAAGATCACCAAGGTGGCACCTGTATGAGTCAGCAAGACTTAAAGTGTTACTGGGCTTGGGGTGCCCCCTAATGCACACAGTGACCAAAGATTTAGAACAACATTCAATTCCCTTTAAATACCTGGAAAGCCCTATCAAGAATTATAGGTATAAATAAGCTCAGACTGCAATGATTAGAATAAACTAGTTTTTCAATGTCCAGACATTGACAAACATCCAAAAGTATTAAGACCATCTAGGAAAACATGACTTTGCCAAACTAAATAAGGCACCAATGAGCAATCCCAGAGTGACAGAGATATGTGACCTTTCAGATAACTCAAAATAGCTGTTTTGAAGAAACGCAATGAAATTCAGGACATTACAGAGAAGAAATTCAGAATTCCATCAGATAATTTTAACAAAGAGATTAAAATAATCTTAAAAACTCAAGCAGAAATTCTGGAACAGCCCTATTAACTGACAAACAGAAAAATGCATCAGAGTCTCTCAAGAGCAGAATGGATGAAGGAGAAGAAAGGATTTGTGTGCTTGAACAGGCTATTTGAAAACACACAGACAGAGGAAAGCAATAACAAAAAAAATGAAGCATGCCTACAAGATTTATAAAATAGCATGAAAAGGGAAAATCTAAGAGTTATTGGCCTTAAATAGGAGACAGAAAGAGAGATTGGGGTAGAAAGCATATTGAAAAAAATAACAGAGAACTTTCCAAACCTATAGAAATATATCAATATTTAAGTACAACAAGGTTATAGAACACAAGCAGACTTAACCCAAATAAGACTAACTCAGGAGATTTAATAAGCAAACTCCCAAACATCAAAAATAAAGAAAGGATCATAAAGGCAGCAAGAAAAAAAGAAACAACATACAAAGGAGCACCAATACATCTGGCAGCAGACTTAAAGTCTTGACCTTACACACCAGGAGAGAGTGGCATGACCTATCTAAAATGCTGAAGGAAAAAAAAAAAACAAAAACAAACCAAACAAACAAACAAAAAAATCTTTTATCCAAGAATAGTATATCCAGTGAAAATATCCTGCAGACATGAAGGAGAAATAAAAAAATTCCCCTGGCAAAGAAATATACCTAATGCTAGATGACAAGTTAGTGGGTGCAGCGCACCAGCATGGCACATGTATACATATGTAACTAACCTGCACATTGTGCACATGTACCCTAAAACTTAAAGTATAATAATAATAAATAAATTAATTTAAAAAAAAACCTGAGGGATTTCATCCATACCAGATCTTTCCTAAAGAAAGTTTTTAATCTGAAAGAAAAGGACATTAAGGAGCAATAAGAAATCATTTGAAAGTACAAAACTGACTGGAAATAAGTACACAGACAAATATAAAATACTGTAACTGTAATTGTGGTGTGTAAACTACTCATATCTTGAGTAGGAAGACTAAAAGACAAATTTATCTGAAATAATAACTCCAACAACTTTTAAAGACATACATAGTATAAGAAGATATAAATAGAAACAACAAAAAGTTAAAGAGCAAGAAGTATGAAGTTAAATGTAGAGTTTTTATTAGTTTTTCTTTGTTTTTGCAATCAGAGTTAAGTAGTCATCAATTTAAAGTAATGAGTTATGTTATTTGCAAGCCTCATGGTAACCTCAAATCAAAAAACCTAAAAAATATAAAAACACACACACACAAAATAAAAATCAAAAAATTAAAACATACCACCAGAGAAAAACACTTTCACAAAAAGTAAGACAGGAAGGACAGAAGGAAGAGAAGACTCCAAGACAACCAGAGAACAAATAACAAAGTGGTAGTAGTAAGTCCTTATTTATCAATAATAACATTAAATATAATAGGCTAAACACTCCAATAAAAAAAATAGAGTGGCTGAATGCATTAAAACTAAACTCAACAATATGCTGCCTTCAAGAAACACACCTCACCTATAAAGACATACACTGAAAAAAAAAAAGATGGAAAAAGATATCCCACACCAATGGCATTCGAAGAACAGCAGGAGTAGCTATATATATATATATATATCGGATAAAATAGATTTTAAGACAATAACTACAAAAAGAGGCAAAGAAAGTCATTATATATTGATAAAGGGGTCAATTCAGCAAGTGGATATAACAATTTTAAATATATATGCGCCTAACACTAGAGAACACAGATATATAAAACAAACGTTATAAGAGCTAAAGAGAGTGATAGATCCCAATATAATAATAGTTGGAGGCTTCACCATCCCACTTGCAGGATTGGACAGATTATCCAGACAGGAAATCAATAAAGAAATATCAGACTTAATAGGCACTATAGATCAAATGGATCTAATAGATATTTACAGAATATTTTATTTAACAACTGCAGAATATACATTCTTTTCCTCAGCACATACATCATGCTCAAGGATAGACTATATGTTAGGCCACAAAACAAGACTCACAAAATTAAAAGAAAATGAGATCATATCAAGTGTTTTCTCAGAGAACAACAGAATAATATTAAATAGCAATAACAAGAGGTACTTTGGAAACTATAAAAACACGTGGAAATTAAACAAAATGTTCCTGAATGACCAGTGGGCCCATGAATAAATTAAAACAAAAGTTTTAAAAATTCATGAAGCCAATGAAAATGAAAATGCAAAATCCCAAAATCTATGGGATACAGAGAAAGCAATGTTAAGAGGAAAGTTTATACCAATAAGTGCCTACATTAAAAAGGCATATAAATTTTAGATAAAAAACCTAATAACACATCTTAAATAACTAGAAAAATAAGGGCAAGGCACACTCAAACTTGGTAGAAAAAAAGAAATAATCCACATCAGAGCAGAAGTAAATGAAATTGAAACAGGGGAAAATACAAAACATCAATGAAATGAAAAGATGGTTTTCTGAAAGGATAAAAAAATCAACAAACCTTTAGCCAGACTAAAAACAAAAGAGAGAAGATCAAAATTTTAAAATCAGATGAAAAAGGTGATATTACAACTGATACCACAGAAATCCAAAGGATCATTGTAGACTACTATGAGCAACTATATGCCAATAAATTGGAAAACCTAGAGGAAACAGGTAAATTCCTAGACACATACAAATTACCAGTATCAAATGATGAAGAAATCTAAAACCTAAATAGACCAATAACAAGTAAGAAGATTAAAGTCATAAGAAAAATTCTCCCAGCCAAAAAAAAAAAAAAACCAAAAAAAAAAAAACCTCAGGGCCCACTGGATTTATTGCTAAATTCTACCAAACACTTATGAGGAACTAATACAAATACTACTCAAAGTGTTCCAATATATAGAGGAGGAGGGAATATTTCCAAACTCATTGGAAGTACTACTAATTCTATGAGGCCAGTAATATCCTGATACCAAAACAGGACGAAGACACATCAAAAAAACAAAAATGCAGGACAATATCTCTGATAAACATAGAGGCAAAAATCCTCAACAAAATACTAGCAAACCAAATTCACCAATGCATTAAAAACATCATTCATTTTACTTTAAGTTCTGGGATACATGTGCCATGCCAGTTTGTTACACAGATATACATGTGCCATGGTGGTTTGCTGCACCTATCAACCCTTGTTCTCTGAGAGCCCAGTGACAATACCTGCCTCACCTCACATTACCCAATGGAAAATAGGAACAAATCTACTTTGACAGGAAAAGTGCTACATAAGTGTATGGCATTCTTATTTTTTAAAAACATATATGTGCAGGTTATAATGGCTTTCAAAGCTGGCCTCCTTATAAGTGAATGAGATATCAGCAAATTAATAGAATCTATTGTACCCTCAGTCCTGAAAATATCTTAATATTCCACACTTAAAAGACCACTGCGTTTTTTTTTAATAAAGTGAAATCTCACTGTGTTAAAAATAGTGTGATTAAAAACAATATTGTTAAAAAAAATCATTCACCATGACCAAGTGGAATTTATCCCAGGGATACAAGGATGGTTCAACATACACAAATCAATCAATGTGATACATCATATCAACAGAATGAAGGATAAAACAATATGATCATCTTAATCAATGCTGAAAAGGCATTTGATAAAATTCAGCATTCTTTTATGGTAAAAATCTTCAAAATACTGGGCTTAGGCCAGGCGCAGTGGCTCATGCCTGTAATCCTAGCACTTTGGGAGGCCGAGGCGGACAGATCACAAGGTTAGGAGATTGAGACCATCCTGGCTAACACGGTGAAACCCCGTCTCTAGTAAAAAACAACAACAAAAAAAATTAGCTGGGCATGGTGGCGGGCACCTGTAGTCCCAGCTACTCTGGAGGCTATGGCAGGAGAATGGTGGGAACCCGGGAGGCTGAGCTTGCAGTGAGCTGAGATCATGCCACTGCACTCCAGCCTGGGAGACAGAGTGAGACTCCATTTAAAAAAAAAAATACTGGGCTTAGAAGGAACATAACAACAACTGAAAGCCTTGGATCTAAGATTTGGAACAAGATAAGGATGCCTACTGTCCCTACTGTTATTCAGCATAATTCTGGAAGTCCTAGTAAGAGCCATCAATAGAAAGAAGTAAATGGCTTCTAAATTGTAAAAGAAAAAATCAAATTATCTGCATTTGTAGATGATAACTTATATTTAGAAACTCCTAATGATGCCATCAAAAACCTTTTAGAATAAATTCAGTAAAGTTTCAGAATACCAAATAAAAATACAAAAAAAACCGTATTTCTATATGCCAACAGTGAAAAATATGAAAAAGAAATCAAGAAAGTAATCCCATTTACATTAGCTACAAATAAAATAAAATCCCAAGGAAAAAACCAAAAAAGTGAAAGATCTCTACAATGAAAACTAAAAAGCATTGATGCAAGATATTGAAGATGATACAAAAAAGGTGAAAATATTTTATATTTATGGATTGGAAGATTTAACATTGTTAAAATGCCCATAACACCCAAAGCAATCTGCGATTCAAAGAAATTTCTATCAAAATACCATTTACCTTCTCACATAAGTAGAAAAAGTATTCTAAAATTTATGTGGAACCACAAAAGACTCAGAACAGCCAACGCTATCCTGAGCAAAAGGAACAAAACTGGAGGAATGACATTACCTCCAGTTATACTACAGAGCTATAATAAACAAAACAGCATGGTGATGGCACAAAAACAGACACATAGACCAATGTAACAAAATAGATAACACAGAAATAAATCCATATATCAACAGTGAACTCATTTTTGACTAAAGAGTCAAGAAAATACATTAGGGAAAGGACAGTCTCTACAATTAATGGTGTTTGGAAAACTGGGTATCCATATGCAGAAGAATAAAACTATACTCTTTTCTTGCCGTATACAAAAATCAAATCAAAATGGATTCAAGACTGAAATCTGAGACCTTAAGCTACAAAACTACTAAAAGAAAACATCTGGGAAAGGCTCTAAGGCATGAGTTTGGGCAAATATTTATTGAGTAACACCCAACAACTACAAGCAACCAAAGCAAACATGGACAAAGGGGATCATATCAAGTTAAAAATCTCCTTCACAGCAAAGGAAATGATCAACAAAGTGAAGAGACAACCCATAGAATGGGAAAAATGTTAGCAAACTCTACATCTGACAAGGGATTAATAACCAGAATATATAAGAAGCTCAAGCAACTCAATGGTAAAAAATCTGATAATCCAGTTTAAAATGGGCAAAATATCTGAATACACATTCCTCAAAAGAAGTTATACAAATGGCAAATGAGTAAATGAAAGGTTTCTCAATATCATTGATCATCAGAGAAATGTGAATCAAAACTACAATATGATTTCATCTCACCCATTTAAAATGGCTCTTATCCAAAAGACAGGAAATAACAAATGCTGGCAAGTATATAAAAGACTGGGAATATAAATTACTACCACCACTATGGAGAACAGTGTGGAGGGTCCTCAGAAAACTACAAGTAAAACCACCATATGATTCAGAAATTTTACTGGTATGTACCCAAAAGGAAGGAAAACAGTACATTGAAGAGATACCTAGACTCCCATGTTTACTGCAACATTATTGAAAATAACCAAGATTTGTAAGCAAACCGAAGTGTTCATCAGTAGATGAATGGATAAGGCAAATGTAGCGCATATACACAAGATAGCACTATTCAGGCATAAAAAAATGAGACCCTGTCATGTTCAACAGCGTGGATGGAACTGGAAGACATTATGTTAAGTGAAATAAGCCAAGCACAGAAAGACAAACTCATGTTCTCACTCATTTGCAGGGGCAAAAAATTGAAATAATTGAATTCATAGAGTAGACAGTAGAATGATGGTTACCAGAAGCTGGGAAGTGTAGTGGGGAGTAGAGGAAAAGGGGGGTGGTTAATAAGTCCAAAAATATAGTTAGATAGAATGAATAATATCTAGTATTTGATAGCATAGCAGGGTGACTACACTCAACAATTTATTGTACATTTTTAAATAACAAAAAGAGTATAGTTGGAATGCCCATAACACCAAGAAAGGATAAATGCCTGAGGTGATGAATATCTCATTTACTCTGATTTGATTATTATGCATTGTATCCATGTATCAAAATATCTCATGTACCCCATGAATATATATATTCGTATACCTGAATATATATATTCATATATATTCGTATTTATGTGAGTATACATATGAATATATATTCACATACATATTAATATATATACCTACTATATACCCATAAAAATTAAAATAAAAAAATTAAAGGGAAAAATAAATAAATACTAAAAATGGGCAAAAGGTCTGAATAGACGTTTTTCTAAGGAAGACATACAAATTGTCAACAGACACATGACAAGATGTTTAATGTCACTAATCATCAGGGAAATGAAAATCAAAGCCACAGTGAGATATCACCTCACACCTGTTAGTATAGCTATAATCAAAAAAAAAAAATAAGAAATAATCATTGTTAGCCAGGGTGTGGAGAATAGGTAACTCATGTACACTGTTTCTGAGAATGTAAATTGGTACAACCATTTTGGAAAATAGTTTGGAGCTTCCTTAAAATTTTAAAATATAACTACTATAAAACCAGCAATACCTCTGCTAGGTATCTATGTAAAGGAAATGAAGTCAGCACCTTGTAGAAAGATCTACATTCCCATGTTTATTGCAGCATCATGCACAGTAACAAAGGTATGAAAACAACTCAAGTGTCCATCAGTGGATAAATAAATTGTTATTTTATATATACATACAAATGAATACTATTCAGCCTTGAAAAAGAAGGCAATCCTGCCATTTGCAACAATATAATGAATCTGAAAGACATTATACTAAGTCAAATAAGCCAGACACAGGAAAATAGATACTGCATGATCTCACTTACATGTCGATTGTAAGAAATAGTCAAATATATGGAAACAGAAAGTAGAACACTAGTTACCAGGGACACAGAGGAAGAGAAAATGGGGAGATGTAAGTCAAAAATGTACAAACTTGCAGCTACGTAAAATGAATAAGTTTAGATATCTAATATTATAATGTACAGCATTATAATATTATTAACTACAGTTAATAATATTGTATTATATAATTAAATTTGCTAAGAAAGTAGATTTTAGGAACTCTCACCACACATAAGTCACCTATGGAAAGTGATGGGTATACTAATTTGCTTATCTATAGTAAGCATTTCACTATGTATATGTTTATCAAAATATCATTTTGTATATATTAACTATACACAATAAAAATAAATTTAAAAAAATCATTTTGGGGGAGGGAAGCTGTAAATATCTCACAGATGTTTTACTTCAGCTAGGAAAAAACCTGAAGAGTTATAAGGATCATGTGTTTTTATTAAAATTATGTAGTTATATATAACTACACGTGTTGTTGAAACATAGATAGATACCAAAGCAAAGAAATGATCGATTGGCCTCAAGATAGACAGGAAGGATTTAATTAGCTCAACAGTGTCATGATTTAAATAAAAATAATAATGATAAAATAACTGACACTTATAAAATGGCCACTGTGTCTCTATGTGATTTTAGTGCCCAAGAAAAGAGCTATTACTCTTTCAGAGTTGAGGAAAAGATCAGAGATACTGACTACTTTTTGCTGCTTTATTTTTTTCCTTTTCCTTAGAAACTAGCTTCATCTCCCAAAGTCCCACCTCATCCTCTGCCTTTACTTTGTACTATGCTTGGCCCCATTAGCAACTTAATTGCTGACCCGTCATGTATTTCTCTCTGATATTTGACATATCACATCCTTACAACATAACCTTATTCACCATCAGGGGTTCCTAATCCAAATTTCAAGGCATAGATAATAGTTTACTGAGTCAATTGTAATGTATTACACGGGTTTAAACACTTACCTAAAAATCAAAAAGCACCTCAAGAGTGTTCTAAGATGTGGCACTGGCCGGGTGCTGGGGTGGCTCATGCCCATAATCCCAGCAATTTGGAAGGCTGAAGCAAGCAGATCACTTGAGGCCAAGAGTTGAAGACCAGCCTGGCCAAGATGACAAAACCACAACTCTACTAAAAATACAAAAATTACCTGGGTGTGGTACATGCCTGTAATCCTAGCTCCTCTGGAGGCTGAGGCATGAGAATAGCTTGAACCTGAAAGGCAGAGGTTACAGTGAGCCGAGATTGTGCCACTGCACGCTAGACTGGGTGACAGAGCAACACTCAGTCTCAAAAAAAATAAAAAAGTGAGGCACATTTCTTCTTTTCCTGCCCATTAAAACTTTCCCTTTTACTATATCTGGAGGCAGCTAGGTACACTCTTAAAGGAGCCAGGATTAAATCAAGCACATGAAATCCAAATTCTGGTCCTGTAAATACAAATGTCCAGCCACTGATTGACCAGCTATTATATGCACAACACTATGTTAGGTGCCTCCTGCACCTTTTCCCATTTGATTCCCTAAACTCTCAATGAATACATTACTTCTGTGTCTTACAGATAAGGTCACAAGCAGCAGTCTGCAGAGCCCATATTCAAAACCAAATCCTTCTAAAATCAAAAACCAGGCTGACTCCCCTGGATGCTATTCTAAAGTCAAATTTCAAATTATACTTTGTTTTCTACAGTGTGAGTTGTGAAAAGTAGTACAAATTCACTGTGATTACCACTAGCATGTTGAAAGATAACATTTTATGGGTAAAATAAGTACTTATTGCTTTAAAATGATAGCCACAGATATCATCCAGGCATTAAGTTTATATCTACAGAGAGTGTTCATACAAAACTTACGTATATATCTACTGATGGTGTTCATATAAAACTTGACCTTTCCATCCATTCAGTCTTTATCTCTTCACATATACCTTTGTATTTGCTTAAAGACTACTTTGTCTATTTAGCAACTCAACTTTTGGTTCATTGGAGCTAGAATTTTCACCTGTATCTCTACAAATCTATATTAATTTTATTTCAAAATGACTGTTTTTGATTTGTTTTCCCAGATCTTACAGTATGCTCCATTGGAACTAGACTTCTAAATCATAGAGAAATCTATTTCTTAAATGACATCAATCTAAGATCCACCAAAATGTTAACCCTATGAGGGCAGTTCTGTGTTCTGTTCATTGTTTATCGCACACCTAGAATGGCTCTTTACATCTATGGGAGCTACTCAGCAAATACTTGTTCAATGATTGAGTGAATCTAGTCCATCTATTTTGACTACATAAATTAATTATTTGATAATTATATTTCAACTATTTAACTAACAGTTAAATATTTACATTTCAACTATTTACATGTTTGAACTATTCACAGGAAAATGCTATGACCAATTTCTTTTCTTGTAGCCTTTCTTTTCAGGAGACTAAAACTTCAATGCATGCAATGCTAATTTGTTGTCAGCCTCATGACATCTTAAATAAAGAAAACCCTCTTTATCCTGGGGTGGTTTGGATGAACTTAGCGGAATGCTCAAAAACTAAAGGTGAACCAAAAAGAAGGAAGTCAATATAGTTCAGGAAGCTCCCTCCTCCTGTTGGCCTTATTTCGATTCTTCTAGGGCTATTTACACGTAGCCAAATACCCCAGAATTTAAAATTAAAGCCTTTGGAATGTCTGGCAGAAAGAATATATTCTAGAAGTAAAACCTCAGACTTAGATTCTTTTGACTGTTTGGCATCATTATTTTGAATTTGCAATGTGAATGAGAAACAAACAAATGAAAAAGATAAAGTAAAAGAAAACCCTCAATTTCAAAGTTGCACATATTTGTCATTATTTAAAAAGAAGAGTACATGTTAAAGGCCTAAATATTTTAAATAAACATTTTCTACCACAAAAGATAGCATTTTATCATAAAATTGGCAATTTTTAGACCATTGAACTTAATTTGAATGGACTAAACTTTGTCTCTTGGCAACCAGAATCCACACAAATTGGTAGGCACTTTCTCTGGAGGAAGATCATGCTTCTCAATACTTATGAACTCCAAGCTAAAGGCTGGCTTTACTACTGAAAACATCACAAAGTTAAGCCACCAGTATAGACAGGAAGGATTTTAAGTTTCTATTTTCTCTTGTTTGTGTGTGTGTTCAATTAATTTTAAAGAAATAACAGTGAGATTCAGATTTCTTAAAAATATTTTTTAGGACATTATTAATAGCTCAAATAAAGCCATTAATACATGCACGTTATGATGATCAAGTGATCCTGGTTAAAATTAAGGGAAAGGTACACTTTAAAAATATGATTTAAAAAGCCCCCCCAGTCACTTAACTTCAGAAGCAGGGCCCGGTAGCCCACCCTGTCCTTGGTTTTTAACATAGAAATTAAGGTGGTAGCTTCGGCAGGTGTTATTACCAGGGGCTCATGAGTAGACCCTAAAAGGTTTGTGAACCCTCTTAGGATTATGTGCAGCGTTTCACATGGATGGGCACATATGCATTTCCCTGGGGTAAAAGGCATCTGATTCTCAAAGGAGATATCAACAAAATTGATGAGAAATTTTGGTGTAGGGAAAAGTACGTAAGACCAACATTTAGGAATTCTGGGTTTTAATTGTAATAAGGTGCTTACCAGTTATATAATTGTAGGCGAATCATTTCTCTGGGCCCCAGTTACTTCATCTGTGGTTACTGTGGGCCCCAGTTACTTCACTGTGGTTCCACACTTGTGGGTTGCGATAACTGCAACTCCAAAGAGTAGTTGTGGGTCTGTGAATCCATAAGTGTACCAAGTTTCATCTATGGATTGACAATCTATCATATGTGTGTGTGTGTGTGTGTATATATATATATATATATGTATATATGTATATATATATATGTACTATTAATTCATAATGAGTGGTGATGTTACTGTGATTTACAAGAACACAAAAGCATTTTAAAATATCCTTAAATTTATTGTAGTTTTTGGTCACTACATGTTTTCTGAATCAATCACTGATAAAATGACAATTATAAGTTTTGCCAAAACACATTGGAAGGACTAGTTCAAACAATTCTAAGCTGTGTCCAGCTCAATAAGTGTAATGTTTAGATATTTTATTAAATATTCCAAACGTGGGTCTGTGATTTTATGTTTTAATTTATAAGTTTCTGTGTAACATATACCAACATATTTTTAAAATGTACACTGTTTGTTATCAGTGCAGTAAATGGATAGTAAGAAATATGGATGAAATTTTTTTCCCTTATTGGTTTGTACCTATGTGTATGTGTATATACACACACACACACACACACACACACACACACACACACTCAAGAGTTTATTTCTTTGGTACTTTGGCTGCTGAATATGAGATTTAGTTTTAGACAATTTTAAGTTGATAACATTGCTCTTTCTCTCACCAAAAAAGTGGTCAAGTAAATTGACATATCTAAATTCAAATTCATCATGTGAAATTGGAATAATAATAACCAAATCATGGCACTACTGTTGCTCAAAAATTAGAGCCTACAATCTACCTCTGATAGGTCCTTGGTTCTGGCTTATTGGTCAGCCTGCACTCCCATGGATAGGTGTACCCAACTAAGACTAAAGAAAGTTCTTCAATTATCATTTAAAGAAAATTATTTATTAAACTATTAAACTAGTTAAATATTAATAAGCCCAATAATAAAAATATGCTTTGTAAAGCAAGATTTAAACAATTAACAACATACAATTTACTTTTCATCTTTATTATTAAACATGAATGAAATACATAAATTAAAAATACATTTAATATGTTTAATTGGGAAATTTAGTTTTTCATATTTAAACTATCCTATATATATCCAAAAGCAAGATAAAAACTCTAAGGCAATTCTAATTTATCATGAAAAGCTTTTGTTCAGTCTAATGGCCTATTTAATACTAACGAAAAGTCCGGCAACAGAATTTGGGTTTCTTAATGTTCCTTTACATGACTAAGCATTTTGTGTTATTATTCAAAGGTATTTTATTATCTTGTAAACTTAAGTTTATGTTTGTCAATGAGACCCCCAAATTCTTCATTTTTAAAATAGGTAACAATATGAAATTAAATGCATTTATTACTTATTAGTGAAGCTCTATATGTGGCTTCTAATTACATATGAATAGTTTGGTCAAGAGAGGCCTCAAAAAAATGAGAACAAGTTTTCCCAGTTCATCTGGACTGAATCACTATATGCATAAGTGATACATGTTTTATTCTCAAACACTTGGGTTTTGTTTAAGCACACCAAGGATTCTAGTTTGGCTGTTTCCCAAGTTTGCTTTAAAGTAAGATTATTGGATCAGACTGGTGTTTCAAAGAAATAAATCAAAATGTACACAGTCAAATTTGTTAGGCAGAAAAAAACTGTCATCTCTCCAAACGTTTTTTGGTGCCTATGTTTCTCAAGCTCAAAGAAAATAAGACATGCCAAAAAAGGAGCATCTGTCTTAATGTAAGTAAAGAAAAGTGATAAAAAATAATTTGTGCTGGGTGCAGTGACCTGTAATACCAATGACTTGGGAGGCGGAAGAGAAAGGATTGCTTGAGGACAGGAGATTGAGACCAACCTGAGCAGCATAGTGAGACCCAGTGTTCACCAAAATTAAAAAAAAAAAATTAGTTTGGCATAGTGAAGAATGCCTGTAGTCCCAGCTACTCAGGAGGCTGAGGCAGGACAATTGCTTGAGCTCAGGAGCTGGAGGCTGCAATGAGCTGTGTTTGTACCACTGTATTCCAGCCCGGGCAACAGAAGTAACATCCCATCTCTAATAAATACATAAATAAGTAAGTAAATTATCTGATGCATTATTCAAGGAAAAAAGGAAAGCAACTTTTATCATGTGGCCCTCAAATACAACTTTACCTCATATTGCCAACTTCTTTGTTTTTTTGAGATGGGAGTTTCGCTCTTGTTGCCTAGGCTGGAGTGCAATGGTGAGATCACTGCAACCTCACTGCAACCTCTGGTTGCTCACTGCAACCTCTGCCTCCTGGGTTCAAGCAATTCTCCTGCCTCAGCTTCCTGAGTAGCTGGGATTACAGGCATCCGCCACCACGCCCAGCTAATTTTTTGTATTTTTAGTAGAGATGGGGTTTCACTATGTTGGCCAGGCTGGTCTCAAATTCCTGACCTCAGGCAATCCACCCACCTTGGCCTCCAACAGTGCTGGGATTACAGGCATGAATGAGTCACCACACTCGGCCTCATATTGCCAACTCCTTAATGGTAGAGAACAAAAGTAAATAGATTTATGAACCATTTCAATTCTAGATGAAGGGAAGTGTAGTAGGTCTTTCTTTAAAAAAAAATGGGAGATTGTAGTTGCTGATTTTATTATTTCTAGAGGTGGAAAGTATACAAAGCATGCTTTATACAATTATATTTTATATACAGGTATATAAAAATGGAGGACATTCTTTTAATGAGAGTTTTTTTAAATGCTATTATATGTGCTATAGGTAAATACATGACTATTTTCAAATGAAAAGCTTAAAACTTCTCCTGAAAATAATTCAGTGTCATTTTTAGTGATTCTCCAATGAGTTTCAAATACTATATGCTATCTGAAAAGCATTACAAATAAAACACTTCATCTTACTTATTCAACAAATATTTTATGTACTTTGCCAGTCACTGTAATATTGAGTTCTGATTATGCTACATAATTGAGTAAAATATATACCACTTTAAGGAATATGCATAAAAATGAGAGAAATGACTTTATTAACACCTAACCATGCAAAATTAAAATGAACACAAAGATAGAGAAAGCATATTGAAAGAACCAAAGTAAAAAAAAAAAATCATCCTAATTAGAGAGATTAAGGAAGGTGCAAACAGACACTAGCCTTTGATCTGGGTCCCATTGATAAGTACAATGTAAACAGGCAAAGAAGAAACCAAAAGCAGGGCTGGAAAACCATGTTGAGGAACTAGCATGAGCAAAGACAGAGACTTGTGAATTTCTAGCCCCACACAGGGCTCTAAAAGAGATAAAATACAGTTGTTATTGTTGTTGTTTTTCCTTTGTACCGGCTCTATATCATAAACTGAGAATTATTTTATTGTGGATGATGTCACATCTCACCTTATTTCTTATTTATATTGCCATTTGTTATTTCTGTATATGAAGAAAGTGGGCTGAAATATTTTTGAGGCTTTTTCATGGTTCACCTTTGAACTAAAATGATAGTATTATTTATATCTTCGCTACTGTCTCTGATATATAAACACATTATATATGTCATGAAAACACACTGCATGGTTCATCAATTAAGATATCCTAATATTTGATCTCATCTATTAGGAGAAAGAGTAGCAATTGAGTGCATCCATAAATAAAATAAACCTGACTGTTTTTAAGATTGACCCGTCTCATCAAAGACTAAAACACATAAAACCAGAGTCAGCAAGGATGTAGGGAAGGAAGTCTCACAAAGTTTTATTGGGTGTATAGACCAGCATGGGATTACTGAGTTTATAGTTCAACAATCCATTTCAAAAACCTCCCTGTTTTCTATTTTTTATCTTTTGATACAACAGCTAAATAATGAAATTTCAAAGGAACATGTAAATGTTTTGGTTTGAGTATTATACTTCTGACAATTTATCCTGACATAATAAATTTGGATGCACAAATTAAAAAGAATCTTATGTTAGTATATATAAACACAAATATTTGGAAATTACATAAATGCCTAACAACAGTTTATTGGCTAAAAAAGTTATAATCATATAATAACACACTATGCAGCTATCAAAACTTACAGTGTATATGCACATAGTTAGCTAGTGATATGGAAATTTTCATAATATGTGTAAGTGATGCTTAGCCTAGTTCCTCATATATAGTGAGCACTTAATCCAGTTTAGTTATTATATCTGCTGTTGTGTCTGTTATTAATAAGATGTTATATAAATATATAAAAAATAAGCAGGTTTTATATCTGTAAATACAGAATGGTCACAGAGAGATAAATAGCTATATATGTAACAACTTATTAAGAGTTGTCATATTTAGGACATGATATTTTGGTAATTTAAAAATCATTTTTTATGAATAAGAAGGGGTTCTGTAGACATTTTCCAAGGTTACCAATATTTCTATATCACATTGGCTCACTTCAAATTAAAATTCACTCTAGACAAAACAGTGTAACATGGAAGCTTCAGTTCCCTGTTGATTCATTAAATAAAGTCTCTAATGTTTGATGTTGCCGAAATGCCTGGTAGGATTTCATTAAAGACCGCCTAAACTGTAAACATTTTATTTGAAATTAGTTATCTTCTCTCCTTGACCCACATATCTCTAAATCATGTGTATGACCTTTTAAAAAATCAATTTTATTTGGAAAACACACTATCTGAGATTCTTTTAAATCATCTCAGAGACAAGTCTTCCAAATGGGCAATTCAGAAAGGTCACTCATAAGTAATTTACATTTAAACTTTATATTACTTTCTATCTTTTAATAAACTCCAAAAAATTGAGAGGTTTTCAGAAAATACCTCAGGTCTGCAATTCAAATATTTGGGGCATTTTTTTTTTTTTTTTTTTTGCTAAGCATATGTTTGATTTGCCAGTGGAACAGAATTGTGTTATCCTTCTCCTCAAGTAACATCTAACTAAGTGCAGAGTTCATAATTAAAAAATAATAATAACAGCAATGAAGGTGTAAGTGAAAGTACATAAGCTGGAGTTCCTCTATTGGTGAAAGGTCTTTGCTGCATCAGCTGGGACTCTCCTGACTTACTGTTCATTGCTAAACTTCAAACTGATGTATTGAGACCAAATTAAAAGCAATCTCAACTGCTCATATATTCTATCTTATCTCTCAAAATCTATGAATGTGCTACTCTTTGGACAGATTTCTTCAATTTTTAAAAGTTTAAATACTTTCAGTAGTGTTCTCAATTTATCACTCCATGTCACATATTCAATTTAGTCTTACTTGTAAGACCTATTTCGTTTGAGTCGTAAATCAATCTAACACCACACAATTGCATAAGTCAACTTTTACTATCTTAATTCTATCCATTACTTACTGCTGCTCTAGATTCAAATCAATGAAACCAAGAAATCACACATGTTTGAGAATGTTACTTAATTCATTCATTTGCTTTCACATAGGCTACCTAAATCACTCCAAGGGGTAAAAATAAAGTATCTTTTAAAATATTCTGCAGATAATAAAATTACTCCTTTCTTCAGTAAAGGGCTTGGAACATCTCTTACATATGTTTGACACTGAAGGAAATATAAAAGTGAACCAGACCTGGGCCTATTAAAATTAAAACTTACCCTAAGAAACTAGCAAAAAGAAAAGTACTTTTAAGGACAGATAATAAGATCTGTCTTTATCTTGCTGATAATTTTCTTTCTTTGTAAAAGGGATTCAACATCATAAAAGTAAAAAGAAAAAAAAAGCAAACAAAAAATCTTCATTTCACACTGCCACACAACTCACTTCTCTAATTTTTACTATTTTGATAAGTCACAATCATCAAAACAATTACTAGAGGCCTTCTTCTTGATTCCTGTATTGGTCTTTTAATACAGAAAGATTTTCAAGCTGTGATCTCTATTTTTTGATAATAGAGTTCACAATGAGCTCTAAGAATGTGTCAAACTGTCAATTGATTTCAAAGATAACCTAACAAGGTTAATAACTCTTATCTTCCGGATGATAACCTAATAACTAAGTATTGCACATCTTTAGTGCCCAAAGCTGCTCTATTTGTCATGTTATTTTTCAGGAAAATACAAATGGCTATTCAAAATTTACATGATGCATTTGCACCAGGTGAGGGTTAAATCATACCAGGACCCAATGCTGAAATAAAAAATTTGAATAATTTAAGTGAAAAGAGACTCAAGTCACCACATAACATGGTGAGGTAGAAGCACGATGAATGCAAAAGTATATCCAGTACTACATTCAGTTGTACATCGTGATTTAATTTCAGAAAGATAACATCCTCAATCACATTAACTTAATGATTTTATTTGAATTTTATTTTATTTTAATTGTATTCAAACCTTATTTGAAAATTTGCTCTGGTCTTATAATTGAATATACATTATAAATATTAGGGTCTAATTCATAATGCAATGGTTTTATATTTTAAATATTATTATAATAAAAATGCATAAGTTAGTGGCAGGATTTCAGGCAAATGTTTTTCTTTTAAAAGGAGTTGAAAGTTAAGTCTGAAAAACACTGGACTATAGAAACAGGCCGTCAATAGACAATAAGGTTTGCCAAATTCTATGATCTAAAGCTTTCGTGAAGCAACAGGAAAGGGCAAATTAATACCTGTCAATTGCCTACTGTGGGCCTATTATATCTCAAGCACTGTGCTAGGTACTGTTGTGATTAGCAATTTCATTTAATTCTCACATGAACACTATAAATCTGCTATCAAACTGTTAATGTCCCCATACCATGGGAGAAAAATTAGGACATATAAGGATTTGGTGACTTCACCAAGCTTTCAACTTCACTAACAACAAAGCTGAGATTTTTAGACCCTGATTTTAGTTTTCTCCACAACCCCATGTTCTCTTCCAAAGCAATTGTGTTGGCTGTCAATTTTCAGGTTAGAAAGTGACAAAAATAAAAGGAATGTATAAGGTGACAAGAATGTTTAGAATAGTGAAGAAAGATCACATAGATGAAGACAAAAAAATAGTGTGTGTATGTGTGTGTGTGTATAATTTATATATAAATAAAAATCATCACTCTTCCAATTACTGACTTCCTATTTTGCATATAAGGAAATGAGGCTGAGCAAGTTACATTGCTAAAAAGGGGCAGAGAAGGAATGATCAATCTTGCTTGCTTAGGCCCAAAGGTAGTGCCCTAGTTAATATGAGCAACTGTGATTCTAAATAGAGATTTCTTTAGGAAAATCCATGAGCAAGGTGTAAACTTCCCCCATTAGGAAGAGTGTGATGGTCAAAAGTCCCTCACTACAACAAAAGGCAGCTTGGCACAGGATAAGACTCGTGTTCCAGCCTCACTCCTTCAACGGATGAATGAAAAGGGAAATACTCTTTTTGAAGACCTTCAAAGGAATACATATTTTACAGGATGGATATCCTTCATTTATAAACCACACATTTTAGGTTGTTCATATATTATTTCCCGTTAATTATATTTTTTGTTAAAAGATTTTTAAAAAGATACAGTCAAACATTTCTGAAAAGAGAATATTGCCTCATTAGTACAGAATTTATTTGGGGTAACACTAATTAAAAATTAAACTAAATACAATCCCAACTAATCCTAGTCCCTTTGACAACATTTAGATGACATCAAGAATAAATCTATTTTAATGCTTTTGTCACATATTATTCTACAAAGTAAATCCCACAGTTCATTTTTCTAATTATTAATAGAGAGCCAAGAGGAGAAGCTGATGATTAATGGAGTCAGGTACAAGACTACAGGCAGGTGTGAAAAGTGTGTCAGAAAGACTTGCGCTCAGATCTTGTCTCAGCCAACAGCAGCTATGTGACTTGATCAAGATAATTAAATTCCCTAAGATTTAGGTTGCTAATCTGACTAGCATCTTCCTTGCAGGATGGTTGTAAGAGATTTAAAATAACAACATAAATATTTAAATAAAGGCCTAGAATTGGCAAGAAGTCAATGTATGGTGAGTATTATTATTAGCCAGATGACCATATTGTTTTAAGCCTAAGTGAAAACTTAACAAATAAAAACATTTATTAAAGGAAAAAAGAGGTTTGACTATTAGGCCAATACCAGTAAGATTTATCTGGGTCATCAAGCTTTTTCTCATTATAATCTCTCATACTTTCTTCTGTTTACTAGTATGTTTACTACTATGTCAAATAAAGAAAAGCTGTGAAAACATGGAAAACAATGTGAAATAAAGTATCTTTTAACATAAACCAAGGAAAGCTGATAAAACTAAACAAGACACATGGTAAGAACAAATACTTGATATGAAGGATGGAAATATTAATTGGATAAAAAGCTAAGTTTAAAATACCTACCTGTAATATTTTTAAACTGATAACTTTAAACAGTCATTATGAACGTTAATAAAAATATCATTAACCCATTTATTCATAAACAAACACCAAGATATAAGGGCATTGAAAAAGCCCAATCACTTTACCCTTTCAGTTAGTTTTGTTTGGACCAATTGAAATATTAAAATTGAACAGCCCAACATTGAGAAAGGAGCAAAGCCTGGACATAGTTTATGAAATAGTAATCACTTTGAATGCTAATGGTATTTTAGGCTTAGCTGTTTTAGTTTTTGAAGTATAGGAAGTGGAGGATGGAAAGATTAGAAGCTGGAAGATTCCCAAAGAGAAGTTCCAATATTGGCTATGGTATAATTTACAATTTATTATAGAACAAATAAGTAGCATTGTTGAGAGTAATTTAAAAAAACTCACTACAACTCAAAGTGATCTATAACAAGTTCATTTGAGTCTGGAATCTTTAAGAAAGGTGAGTATTGAGCTTAATTTGAGCTCAGAGGGACCAACTGGGTTTGACCTTAACATGTGGAAATGTTCTCATCATTTCTTGGATAAAACATGCTACCACATATACTGGCGTTTATGGTACTTAAAGTCAAATAAATAGTAAATGATATTAGTAATGATATTCTCTGTATAGAGTATGAAAAACTTATAGTTTGAGAAGTAGATAAAGTAATACAGTATTTATATTTGCTTTACTTGTCTTCTTTCAACATTTATAATGACTTTGAAATCTGACAGATTTCTCATTTTCTAAACAATGACAACACAGCCTTCATCCTTTCTGCTAACAATTTGCATAGCTTCATTTATCAGTAGTATTATAACATATTAACCAAATAAGAACAATTATAGTAAAGTTTCTCTTACCCAGCATTCACATGGCTGGATATTTACACAAAATACAGTCTTTTAACTAGAAGGAAACAAAATGTTTCCAAACAAATTCTGTAACACAAGTTTGTTGGACTCTGCATGTCTTTTTCAAGAGAGTCCACCAGGCCCTCAAATACAGTAGAGGATCTTTTATTTTATAGACAAATTTTAAAGCAAATTCAGTCCTCCAGTTTCCAAGATGACTGCAGAATAGAAGCAGAAAATTAGAAGAGGTGTTTGTTATATTCACATACTAATACCTGTGAGCAAAGCCAGTGGATATGTGGGCAAACAGGAGAAGTAATGCATGAAATTGTATCTCACACTATCACTGTCATTTTCTAAAGAGGCAAACAGTTGTAATGATTCAATAACTTTAGATAGCACAGTTGAATTAAAATAAAATGTGATTACAAATATTCATAATGAGCATGATGCCTAGAGCTGAAAATAATGTATTATATACTTGAAAATTGCTATAAGATTAGATCTTAAATATTCTCACGACCAACAAGGAAAATGATTATGTGAGGTGATGGATATGTCAATTAACTTGATTTATTCATTTCACAATGTGTACATATATCAATATATCAAAACATCATGTTATACACTAAATACATAAAATTTTATTTGTCAGTTGTATGTCAAGAAAGCTGGGAGGAACCAAATATTTATAATGAGAAGTGTGCTGGATAAGAAGCTCTTAGCCTTATCACATTTTACTCCTCTTAGGAAGAGAAGAAAGTATTTAGTATGACTTTGATTTTTGTGTTTTAAAGCAATACATTGTTATTTTAAATGGGAGAGACATCTTTTATATTTTTCATACACGAAGGACTATATATCCATTATTTAGAAAATTTACTTAAGAAACAGAGCCTGACATTCAACAAGAAAAAGAAAAAGATAATTATTGGGTCTGTATTTAGTGTTAAACATTGTACTAATTCTTTTTATATACTTTTAATTCGCACAATATTTTTATGAGGTATTACTTCATTTTTTTTTTTTAAAGAAGAAGGTACACCCCAGAGAAGTCAAGTAATTTGTATAAAGTTACATATTCAGCAAGCAGTAGAACCAAATCCAGTCATTCTCATTCACTGGGTCCTCTGCACAAACACTGTTTATCTACTCACTGTCTTCTCATCTCACCTCCACATAACAGGGTTCAAGTAAAAGTAGGTCATTCATTTGAATGTCTTTTTTTAACGAATATTAAAATTGGATTATGTTTTTACATCTATATATCAGCACCAAATTTAGAAAAGCTTACATATATTTTTGATTTCCTAAGTTATATAAGGTTTGCATCTTTCAAGATGGTATCAAACAAACTGTCTCCATTAACATGTTCCAGGATGGATTCTAGTCCATATTCTCTTTTCTCTCCATAACTGTGAATTTGTACTGTTTTCTGCACTACTGATATTTGCCTAAAATGTTCTTGATTGCAGTATATTTTAAATTCACAATTGCTCTATTTTTTATCTTCTGCAATAATTTTCCTTTTTCTTTGCATATTCTATATTTTTAGTTTATGACTAATTCATCTGTGGATGACTCAAGAATTCTGTTTTATTCTGGCACATCTGAAATAATTTCTCTTCTCTTGAGATCACCAAATATATATTCAAATTTTATTCTCTAAATTTCACCACTGAAGGCCTAATTGTTTACTCAATTTTGTTTTGTTTTTAACTACCAGAACTTTGGTACCCGGTGTGCTTACTTTAAAATAATACTTTTATAATGCAAAATAATTTTTAATCAAGTGATACAAGGGTGCCCACATTAATCATATTTTCATGAAACCCAAACATACCAGATGCACCAACATTATCCTATCATGGCTCCTGAAGATAACAGTAGAGAAAAATAGGCCAAATGAAGCAAAAAACTTTTAAAAGTTGTAATGTGTGTATTTTAGCTGCATATGTGGGCAACAAAGGAAGAAATCATGATCATTTTTCTTTAGTAATTCTCACTTGGCCTTTTAACGATATTTACCGGATAACTCCATGTACAGCATTATCCTAAACCAAGTAGCTCACATTTTAAAAACAGATAAGCGAACACAACACTAGATTAGAATAATAATTCCAATATGATTAGAATAATAATATTCTAATACGTATGTGTGCGCGTGTTTGGCGAAACAATATGAGCACACCTGACATTTAGTACATAATGAATAAACAAATGTTGAGAAATAGAAAAGGGAAAGAAGTACCTGATGTCTAAAAAAAACTTCTATTAAGAAGTAGTAGCTTCCTAGTTGAAAAAATAAGTCAGAGGAGCATTGCAAACAATGGCTAAAAGTACAGAAGTGAGAAGCAGCAGACCATGTGCAAATAACTGTACATAGGCTGGGGTGGCAGTAGTTGAAAGATCAAAGTATATAACATGAAGAGTGAAGAATTCAGTAATAAAAGGAATCAGATTGTAGAATGTCTTTTATATTATGTGTTATCTTGCTCAAATATCATTCAATGAAGCTTACTGATTTCTCTCACACCTTAGTGGCCTAGTTTTAAACGTCAGGGTTCTTAACACAAAATTAAATACGCCTGCCCAAATGAATCAGATTCAGTCTTCTATTAGTGCCCAGGCCTTAGGTGATATATTCCATAACTCTGAAGAAGAAACCAATTTTAATTTTCTTTGTGTTCTAGCATCTATTTGCAACATTATTTAAGTGGCCCATTTTTTTCCTGATTTGAAATCATCTCACATAGTGTGATCTCATCCCAGGTTCATGGTTTTTTTTTTTTTTGGAAGACCTTTTAAAAGCAATTCAGCCTCCAGGGACAATTTTTTTTTTCTTTTTTTCTTTTTTTCTTTTTTTTGTCATTTGCTTGGGGAAAAGAAGACTTTTTAATGGGAATGGTGATGGGAGAAAGCGCTCCCATTATACAGTTTTATCTTTTGAACAATAATGTCTTACTACTCAAAATTAATATAAAAAATAAAACTGAAATTTAATAAAAATAAATACAGATAATCCTAATATGATGCAAAATAGTAACATATGGAAAATTTAATGGAACATTAAATTCCATAAACATATGGAAAAAATAATTCAAGTAACTCTGAAATACATCATGTTGACTATAAACCTATGGAAAGTATAGCATAAAAATAAAAACTGAAAAAATATTGAACTTTGATTAGTTGATTTCCCGATAATAGTCTTGGTGATGCAATTCTGAAGCTACTCTGAGTATATTGAAAAAAAGTGACTAAACGTACATATTTTGATAAATAAGAATATTCACTATAGAAACAGAGAAATACAAATATCAAATGGCAGAAGATGAGAAACAAAACCTTGTAATGCTGAATTTCATTTGAGGCAATCAGTATGAACACACTTACATGTGCACTCATATGTGACAATGTGTTAAGTGCATACGCACAGTTTTCCCCCTAACTCTATCATCAAAAGGGCCAAAGCACAATGAAACAACCAAGAGGCAATAAACACTCCAAACTTAGATCTTTGTTTCTAAACAAAGATCTTTTATACTAATTTTAATTAGTATAAGTCATTTTATACTAATAAGAAGCAAAGTTTTTCTGAAAATTGCTTATTTCATACTGAGGCAAATAAAAGTACAAGGTGAGCCTGAAGCACCTTAATGTGCCAGAAAATAAAGAAATGCTCAAAGTCTAATGGGGACATGTGAAAAAGACACAGAGGTCAGTTTAAAGGCGACCCCATTAACAAAACTGGAACACTCTGAATATCAAAAATAATCATGAAACTAATGGAACATAACACATTTGAACTTAAAGAAATAAGCCATATATATACATAATAATGAGAGAGAGAAAGAGAAGAGGAGAAGAGAAGAGGGGAGAAGAGGAGAAGAGACGAGAATAGGGGAGAAGAGGGGAGAAGAGAAGAGAAGAGAAGAGGGGAGGGGAGAGGAGGGGAGAGGAGGGGAGAGGAGGGGAGAGGAGAGAGGAGGGGAGAGGAGGAGGAGGAGAGAGGAGGAGGAGGAGAGGAGGAGAGGAGGAGAGGGAAGGGGAGGGGAGGGGAGGGAAAGCGGGAAAAAGCTTCCTTACAAAAAAGAATGCCAACTGTAAATGTAGAACAACTATAGTCAATTATTTGGCCTAACAAATGTTAGGGAACATAATATAAATTTTAATTTTACAAAGTTTAAAAATTCCTTTACAATGGAGATATTTGATGGTCAGAATCTTAACCAAATAATGGCACATATATACCTACTGATGCGATGATGTGGGAGACATACAACATCACCAATAGCATATTCTTGCTTGAAATCTTAGGTGTAAGTTTATCTCATTAGAAGATAGGCCTTTCTATACTATAAGATATTCTGCAGGACAACGGACCAGGACTTTTCAAATAATTCAATGTTACACAAAAAAATTCACATGAGGAAGACAGTTGCTTCATGAAGGGTGACTAGGAAGAAATAATGCAAATATATACACCTTAATTGGATTTTAGACATAAAAACAAAAACAAAACACAGAAATGCAAAGACAAAGCATAAAACACAGCCATAAAGGACATCTTTTAGATAACTGGGGAAATTTGTATGGCCTGTGTATAATGATAGTAAATTAATGTTGACTTGTGCTGTAAGTATTCTCAGGCTGTGTCAGAAAATTTTATCATTCTGAAAATATACACATTTTAATATTTATTGATGAAATGTCATGACATTTATAGTGTATTTTCAAATGATTTGGCAAGAGGGAAGTGTGTGGTAAGATGTTAACAAATGGTGAGCTTGGTGAGGGATATATGAGTATATATTGTACCATTCTTTCAACTTTTCTAGTGTAATTTGTCTGTTTCAAACTAAAAACAAATAGAACAGCAGGAAATACAATTTGACGAGTCTCATTCATCCTAAATCCCAGATAAGTGCATCCATTCCTTCTTCTGGGCATGAAAATTGCAGTGGGGACTGGCTTCCTGCTTCCTGCCAACACCAGTTTCTAGTCTGATGGCCCTCAAAGGTTTTCCTAAAATTATATATTCATAAATTAAACATAAGCCTCTCACACAAGAATACTTTCAATGGTTCTATTGCCCTATGGGAAAACTTTTAAGCTTAGTAAAGCATTTAAGAGCTTTCATTTGATAATATAATGACCTAGATTTGTCATTTTCCCTGTAAAATGACAGTGTTTAAATTAAAAAAAAAATGGGACACAACTGAAGTTTGAAATTACCTTGAAGTTTTGAGTTGAATTGATTTTAACAATATTTTATTTGCTTTTATAGAACCTCAACAAATATGTTTTAACATCATTGTTATCTCAGATCTATCACTTTTATTTTGTTCTAATAAACTACAGGATACAAAGTAGAATGCCAGACCAAAAGTTTTGGAACACAACATCTATCAAGCAAGCAACTTCAATTGTTCCCCCAATATGGCACCATTTCTTTATTCCTTCCAATCCCCTAGGAAGCCCAAGGACAAGTGGTCCCATATGAGTACATTATTGCTGTTGTTATTAATAACTGTTGTTACTCTGAGGCTTAGAGAGATTAACTGATGAACTCTGCCTAACAGGGCTTCATATAGGTGTCGTTAGGAAAGAACCACTGAACTCTAAGACCAACATTATGTCTTCTGTCATGTGTTAGGCAATTCCTTTTGATGTCTATGCAGTTTTACAATTTAAAGTAGTCATTTAATCAAACATAACTTTCATTTGTGAAGACTGTATTCCAGAACATTTCTCCAGACATCTAGAAATCATCACAAAATTTATCCAAGTCTCTCTTCTATACATTAGCTTCACAATTAGCAGCAATCAGATAATCTTTTTCAGATAATCATTTTCACCATTTCTTCTACATAGAAATGCTCCCAATTCTGAAATGTGAAAGTCTAGGTCTGACTGTAATGGCTAATTTTCTATTGTACATATCTATGGAAGCATATTGCTGCTACTCACTCATAACATTCCAAAACAAAAACAAAGCTTATGGTCCTCTCCTAAAAATTCGCCTTCTTCTGTAATTTCCTTATAAGTTAATGATGTACACCAAGCTCCCAAGTGGGAACTCTTGATGCCTTGTAGGACTTTACCCTTTCCTTCCCACCAGCAACAAAAAGTAGTTTTAGTATAGGAGAAATAGCAAAAGAACAGGAGTTGATCTTAATAACATTGAATTTGCTTTTACCTCAACATATAGGTTTCAATATCATTCATATATCCAGATTTCTCTCTTTTTGTTCTAATAAACTACAGTATGCAATGTAGAGGTCCATATATAGGGGTCTTGGCATCCATAGCTACAAATTCACATTTTCACTACATGTTCAACCAACCGAGCACAGACCCTTAATAGTTTTGGCCCTCAGTTTTGTTTCTCTTTTCTGAAATGGAGATGTCTAGCCTTACCTCGAGAAGTTGTAAATAGTAAACATGAATAATCAGTGTCAAATGCTTGGCACTTTAATAGTGTTTGGCAGCAAATAGATGATCCTAAAGTTGTGTTGCCTAAAGCGAGATGCATTTGAGCTGCATCTTGAAGGATAAGTTGGTTGTTGCTATGACCTCATGAAAGGACTTTATTAGGCGGGGGAAATGAGAATTTTACTCTGAAAGAATAAATGATGTAGACGCAAACAGGCTAAACTTGAAGCCAGAAAAATAGAGAGAAGCCAGATTATAAGGAATTTCCTATGACAAACTAAGGAGTTTGGATGCTAGAGAACCAATAAATGTTCATAAGTAAGAGAGAAACATAATGGAGCTTTGTGTGTGTGCATGAGTGTGTTTGGGTCACAGTGGGAGAATTAAATAGTTGTTAAATTATTCCTTTATTTTATTGAATATATTCCAAGTTTAAAACATGATATTTTGATATATATATTTACATAGTAAAATGATTACTATAGCCAAGCTAATAACATATCCATCATCTCATATAGTTACCCTTTGTGTGTGTATGGCAAAATTACCTAAAACCTACGTGCCTTTTTTTTCAAATTTCTGGTTTATGACTCAATTTTATTAACTATAATTCTCATGCAGTACATTAGATCTCCAGATAACCTGTTTTTTTAAAGAAAGACAGTTGTGTGCAGCTTATAAAAAATACACTGGATTACAAAGGGCTTAAAACAAACACTGAAATTCACCAGGATGCTTAAAATTTGTCAATTATCCAGCTATGACAAAACCACCGCCAACAATATACTGAATCAGCAAAGCCTGGAAATATCCCCCTAGAGAACTAGAACAAGACAAGGATTCCCAGTCTCACCAATCATATTCAATACAGAATGGAGTGCTAGCTAGAGCAACAAGGCAACAGAGAAAAATAAAAGGCATCCAAATAAGAAAATAAGAACTCAAACTATTATTCTTTGTGGATGAGATGATCCTATGTCTAGAAAACCATAAAGACTCCACCAAACGGCTCCTGGGACTGATAAATAACTTCAGTAAAGTTTCAGGATACAAAATCACTGTACAAAAATCAGGAACATTTTTACACATGAATAACATTCAAGCTGAAATCCAAATCAAGAATGCAATTTCATTTACAATAGACACACACACACATACACACACACACACACACATACACACAAAATGCCTAGGAATACATCTAACCAAGGAGGTGAAAGACCTCTACAGGGACAACTACTTCAAAACACTGTTAAAAGAAATCATAGATGACACAAAACAAATGAAAAAACATTTCATGTTCATTAATTAAAAGAATAAATATTATTAAAATGGACATACTGCTCAAAGCAATCTATAGATTCAATGTTACTCTTATCAAATTACCAATGTCATTTTTCACAGAACTAGAAAAATGTAATGTAGCATTCATATGGAACAAAAAAAGAGCCTGAATACCCAAAGCAACTCTAACCAAAAAGAACAAAGCCAGATACATCACATCTTCTGACTTCAAACTATACTACAATGCTACAGTAACCAAAACAGCATGGTACTTGTACAAACACAGGGAGATAGACCAACGGAACAGAACTCAGAAATAAAGCTGCACACCTACAACCATCTAATCTTCAACAAAATTGACAAAAATAAGCAATCAGGTAAGGAATGTCTATTCAATCAATGTTGCTGGATCAGCTGGCTAGCCATATGCAAAAGAATGAAACTGGACTCCTACCTTTTACCATATTCAAAAATTAACCAAGATTGTTTAAAGATTTAAATGTAAGACCTCAAACTATAAGGATCCTAGAAAAAAGCCTAGAACAAACCGTTCTGGACATCAAACTTGGGAAAGAATTTATGACTAAGTCCTTAAAAACAATTGCAACAAAAACAAAAATTGACAAGTCAGATCTAGTTAAACAAAAGAGCTTCTGCACAACAAAAGAAATGATCAACCAAGTAAACAGACAGCCTGTCAGAATGGAAGAAAATATCTACAAACTATGCATCTGACAAAAGTCTAGTATCCAGAAGCTATAAGGAATGTAAACAGTTCAACAAGCATAAATGAATAACCCCATTAAAAAGTGAGTGAATGACATTAACAGACACTCCTAAAAAGAAAACATACAAGAGGCCAACAAACATGAAAAAAATTATCATCGCTAATCTTCAGAGAAATGCAACTCAAAATCACAAAGAGATGTCATCTCATACCAGTTAGAACTGCTATTATTAAAAAGTCAAAAAGCAAAAGATGCTGGCAAGGATGCAGAGAAAAGGCAATTATTATATACTGTCGGTGAGAATGGAAATTAGTTCAGCCACTGTGGAAAGCAGTTTGGTGATTTCTCAAAGAACTTTAAACAGAGCTATCATTCGACCTAGCCCTCCCATTACTAGGTATATATCCAAAACAAAACCAATCTTTCTACCCAAAAGACATATGCACTTGAATGTTCTTTGCATCACTATTCACACTAGCAAAGATATAGAATCAATCCAGGTGCCCATTAAAATTATGTTCTTTGCAGCATCATGGATGCAGCTAGATGCTATTATCCTAAGCAAATTAATGCAAACAGAGAAAATCAAATATTGCATGTTTTCACTTACAAGTAGGAGCTAAACATTGAGTACCCACTGACATAACGATGGCGATAATAGAAACAGAGGACTACTAGAGTAGGGGTGAATGGGAGAAACAGTTGAAAAATTTTCTATGTCCTCTCTTCTGGATCTGTCCATGCAAAGTAATCAATTATTTTAGAGACCAAATTACGTTTTGCGTTTTTGACATTTTCAGAAATTCTTTCTTTTGTGGGGGTTACTTATTCAATCTGGCCTCCCTACAGGGTTCAGGGAGAAAATGAGAACAGGATGGCATTCACATTACTGACAGAACACCAGTCAATGAAACATTATCTCCTGGAGCCATTCTCTAACTGCTTTATTATTTTTGTGCTTTAATCAATGAGAATGTTTACCTATGGGGAAAATCTTTGCATAGGTAGACTCACTGAGGAATCTAACAAGTCTATCAGTAGAAAGCTTTTTGGCTTTAAAAATGGATTGAACATATTGAATTTTTTAAACAAAGAACTAGGAAACATATTAGAGACCAAATTTTTAATAATGTAAGTAAATGAGAGGTTGCAATGAGAATTGTGAAAAAAAAGATTCCCTTTTACTGTATCACTTATTAGGCCTCACATGACTTAAATAATTTCCCCATTTTATCCTACCTCCTGCATTAATATTTTGCTGTTCTTGCATGTTAATGTTTATAGAAATTTCTATTTTGGTATGCTCATTTTTTTCTGTTGAAATATTTGCTGAGTTAACTCTGGTTACTTTAAACAACATTTCCAAAAAGCATATTTACTTGCCTGCCAATGCCTTCCACATAGGGATAAATGCAAAATCCTCACTAGGACAATAAAGTCACCCACAAGCTTCACCTCCTGACTCAAATGTTGTACTTACAAATACACATCATGGAGGTTTAGGTACCTAAAACGTGTTCTTTTTACCATTGCGTCCTTGCATTGTTAGTTTTTTTTTTTTCCCTATTATCCCTCTCTAATCTTTGCCTGGTGAACTCATTATTCAAACACCATCTCTGGCTTTAAGTATTATATTTGCTAACTACCCACTTATCTGTTGGTATAGATTTAGTTGATTAATAAAATAATATAATCCATTATGACTGGAAGAAATAATCCACTTTACTGGGTTGGGGAAGAGGGGTCACCAGGGCTTCTCTCCCCTTTTTGAACAACCTTGTTCAGAGCTAAAGGAAAAGCAGTAAATAAATATCTACTATGTTTAAAGTTCAAGAAGTCTTATCATCTTTCCTCATACTACTATTAATAATATAAATAATTTCCACAGTGTAAAGATGTCCCTTGGAAACAACTGTTTACTTGTAAGAACAAGCTCTGGAGTCAGAAGTCGCAAATTGGATAGTGTAGCGGTTGGCTTTCAAATGTGATGAGCAGAAACAGAGCTTTCATGGAAATGCCTGAGAGGTGATTGGGAGAGTGGCAGGAAAATGGAGGCCAAAAGGATAGGTGGAGGAGAAGGGAGGGGAGCTTGGGACAACCTAACCTAATCTCAGCCAGAGAAGTCCCGATTTTATCTGTTTTACATATTGGCTTTCTGTATGACCGTCCTTTTCTTAAAAGAAAGAAAACAAAAAAGCTGCTTTTCTGTATGTTAATTGAAAACTACTGGTATAAACATTCTTACTGCCCATATTAGTGTTTTAAAGCATTAAGAACTTTATTCTGCAATTAATGAATCAGCTATTGGTATTCAAACCAGTTTGAGTCAGGTGCAGGTTCCTTTAATTAAGCTCCCAGTGTGGTTCACAAAAGACAGGTGGCTACAGTTTCACTGCTTTGCTCAAGGATGGCATGCTGCTTTCAGTTTCCACTGTTATCTAATGACTAGAAATAAATTTTTACCAACGATACTGAAAAATGAAATGGTCACATTATATCCTTCTTTTACACCTTTATGAAATTCACCTAACAGAAGAAAGCATTATGTTTCCCAGTTAACTTAGGTCTAACCTGGCGAAATGCAAGGGTTCAAGTTTGAGAATTCATAAAATTCGTAGAAGTTTTATGACGGTACATGGAGATCATTCCTGTTTTCCTGTATTCTGTCCAGCTAACATGCACACACCCTTTTTATTTTCATTGTTAGAAATAAACTAATTTCCAAAAGAAAATATGAAATCAAGAAAGCTATTGCTCTCCTATTATGTGCAAATATTAGTTTCCAAAGAAATAAAGTTAATTATGAAAACAATTCAAAATGCACAATAAAAGGATAAGATATGGACCTAAGAAAGTAATACAAATAAGGAAGAAGAGCAATTAAAGGCAAGTGCAAATAAAGTAATACAAGAGCAGAAATGAAGAGCAATTGTGTTCAAAAGAGGCAACAGATGAGAAACAAAAAATGGTCACTTCCTAATTTTACATCTGGAAAGATATTACTGTGTGCCCCAACTAAACATGAAGCCCAGAATGGCTTGCTTTGTTTCCTCTTTACTGTCTAGATAGAAGGTTGATGTGCAGATACTTGATTTTCTGATTGTGCTCTGAAGCCACTCCCCTAGATGAACAAGCAGTTTCTGACCACTAAGAGTAGGATTATGTAATAAAAGTACAGTGCCTAAGGCATCAAACCCTGATTTTAGTCCAGGTGTTGTCCAGAGGGAGCCAACTTTGTTTCACCATGAGCTCACATTCTTCCAATTGTTTCACCTTTATTGTTGTGCTCTTCTACTTTTGTGCTCCCACAGCTCTGGATATCTTCCATCAATAGAATCCTCACACTATACTGCACTTGCCTGTTCAGTATGTCTCTTTCATTACTGTAATTCTTATGAAGGCAATACATTGTTCTACTTGATTCCCATTACATACCCATTGTGTGTCGTTTTGAAATACAGTAGGTATACTAAATATTTGTTAAGTGAACATATTTTACCATAAAACATACAACCATGAAATATTATCCTAGTTGAAGAAACACTTCAAGTAATTGACCAGATTAATGATTGAGACTGAGGCAGTGTTCCATGGGCAATTTATGAAGTAAGAGTTTAGTTGTTAAAATATACCAAATGTAAAAATAATAACGCATAGATTTTTAAAGAAAGTTAAAGCAAAACGTAAGGAAATCTTTGAAATATATTATTTTGAACATTATTATGAATGCATAAAAAGTGTTATCTACAAAGATACTCATTGCAATATTTTTAAATAGCAAAAACTTTATTCAATACCCATACTATACAATAAGAATACAATCATTAGAAACAGTATTTTAGGAGCCAAAAATGATATATACATCAATGTAATCAATATGCAATACTTTTATTTTTTCAGGTGGGGTCTTGCTCTGTTGCCCAGGCTGGAGTGCAGTGGCACAGTCTCAGCTCACTGCAACCTCTGGCTCCTGGGCTCAAGTGATTATCCTGCCTCAACCTCCCGAGTAGCTGGGACTACAGGTACATGCCACCAAGCCTGGCTAATTTTTTTTTTTTTTTTTGTATTTTAGTAGAGGTGGGGTTTCACCGTGTTAGCCAGGATGGTCTCGATCTCCTGACCTCGTGATCCGCCTGCCTCAGCCTCCCAAAGTGCTGGGATTACAGGCGTGAGCCACCACGCCCGGCCGAATTTCCTTGTTATCTATTAGACACCATTAAGGGCAACTACTCTTTATTATTTACATTTTGTATCTGTGTTTAGAAAAATACCAGGAATATGTTCTATGCTGTACTGTTAATTGAAAAAAAATAGGTAAATGAAAATATTTCTAAACAGAACCTATTAAGAGATATTTGTGAGATAAGTGTGTGTGTGTGTGTGTGTGTGTGTGTGTAACATATGCACAGAGAGGGAAATAAGTCAAAAAGAGCAAGACAATACCAATGGTATTCTCTGGGAAAATTTTAGTTTTTGTTTTCACTCAGAAATACCTTCTTAAATTTTTGCACTAAAATGTTAATGATAAGAATAAAAAAAAACAGAACTAGAAATAATGTGAAAACTATTGAAAATAATACAAGTTTCTATAAAGTGAGATGCTTTGACATGTGACAATTCATTATTAGAATGGCAAAAAGAAGTGCAAGACTAAGAAATTAGAAAAAATACTTCAAAAAGCTGTCAGGGAGTCCTCCCAGATATTCCAAAATATTATCCTCTCCTTATTGCAAGAAAACGCTCTCCTTCTGTCATTATTTGCTGTGAGAGTAGCTACCCAAAAAGCTATTTTGTAGCAAAACCAGTTTTATTGTTATCATTGAAAAGAATTTTTGCCTCACATGTCTGACCCAAATTCCAGTGTGATTCTAATTCACAGGTTTGTCGTTAGGATCAAGGGAGATACTACTTGTGAGAGAAATTGTAAATGTATAAATGTATAAATCAAATGCAGTTATACTCCAGTTTTATGAGACCATCAGTGTTGGGAAAAACCAAGACTAGAAACCAGAAAATGAATTTATTTAGCAGAGAAAAATCAGTCTAGGAATTTTTACTTGACAATTTCTTTTTCTCAAATGGCAGATTAGAGTGTGTGTGTGTGTGTGTATCTGTGTGTGACAGAGAGTATATGCATTAGTTTTTAAAGCAATGAACAGAGGTCTATGTATTTCATTTCTGCTATGCAGGAAAAACTGTGCTGAATTGAAACCTGAAAGAGAGTGGTTAACATTTTCAGAATCAACTCCATTTCCAGAACAGTCTCTGCTTTTACAATGTTTTACTGTAAGAACTATGAGGTAAGAACAAAGATTGAAGTAAAAGAAAATTATTCTAGGGTTAAATGGGATATTGACAAATTAGATTTTGGGAGATATGAGAAGTTAAAGGGGAAGAACTTTCGCATACCGGGAAGCTCTGGGCCTCCTTGCAAGTGTGCAGGTTATATGGCCTGTCTGCCACTGAGCCTGCTGAACTCTCTATTTTGTGTTGGACGGTAAGAGCTGATGTGTCCTGTGTTTGCTTTTCCAATTTATCAATCTCAACAATGGCTCATATTATTCCCTTGGGTTGACAGTTCAATAGAGAAAGAGCATAGTATGGTAGACACAGTGTGAGTTTTCGTTCAGAGAAATATTGTCTATTTAACAGAGGAGAAACAGTAGCAACTTGCTTATCCCCTCTGAGTCTCAGTTTTCTTTCTATAAATTGTAAACAACAACGTCTATAGTGCAAGGATGTTGTGAGGCTAAAGATATTTTAAGTACAATTGTTGGCACATATTAAGTGCATAATAAATGTCATCATAGTTACTAATGACTGATTCTGGCATGGATGTCTGTTTGCATGTGTATGTATGTGTGCAATGTGTATTTATACATTATTAAAGAAACTATGCATTACTTCACTTCTCAAGCACGGGTTTCATTCAGTCTATTTGCTTTTGACTGCTCTATATTGACTGTTCTGGTCACTGTTTTGTTTATGATACAAAGAAGATACTTCAGGCAGAATTATCTTTCTGAAATGCAGTTCTGTTCCTGCCACTCTTCTCCATATAACTCATGTCCCAGCCAACTTCTCAGGTGTCAGCTCTCAGCAAAGTCTCGCTCTCTTCCACCATGTGCACATACAAACAAACACACACACACACACACACATTGCTATAATGCACAATGTTCTCTGCGTTTTCTTTAAGCTAACTCACACCCTGTCCCCATTTCCTGGGATACCCAGTCTCTGCCACTTTTCTGAAAATCTCCTATACATCTTTCAGGTTTCCTCACTGAAACGTTTTTATGACTTCCTGGACTCTCTAATGTGCCCATATAGCTCTCTGAACTTCCAACTGTTACTCAGTAGCATTGTATAGATTGTAATCCCTGTTAATTGGTATGTCTCATACACTAGCCTGAAGGCTGCACAAGAGTGGGGTTTTTCTCCCTCTTTCACTGTCTCATTGCTGGTAAATTGTAGAGTAAATGGTATTGGTATGCATTCAATGAGTATTGGTTGAATGTTCTGATGCAAAATTCATACCCCAAAACGTAAAGAAAAATTTCTACCATTAACTTCTCAGTACCGCCTACTACCTCTTGTAAATTCCATAGTAAGTTAAAAAGGTGAATGCAGAAAGAGAGCTTTTTTTTTTAATCCCCAGGAATGCTAATGTGGAAAGTCACAGGGTTTTTGATGATGTCAGTATTTTTATTTTTCTCTCAATATGTATGTATAGAGGAAATCAAACAATGGGTATCCATTTTAAAAATAAATCAGAACAATTTATTTTCAGCCTTGGGCAATCATTTCCATTTCTTAAATGAGAAAAAAAGAGAAAATAAAACAGGAACAGATGTCTATTTCCATCCATTATCCCATAATTGTTTTTATCTGTAAAACATCTTCTAAAAGGAATATAGAGAAGACAGTAAGAAAAATAAAAATTTAATAGTTATTATATTTGAGCGTTTGGATAATGGAGGATTTTCCCCTCTCTTTTCTAAACTTTCTATAATGTTAAACTATCTTTAATGCAATGAATAAAATGAATAGAGAGTGAAGAAAGCAATCATGTTTCTGAATTACCTTCATTTATCCTTCTGCAAAGATAGTGAAATAAAAACCCTGATGTTCTAGATCAAATTTATTGCAGCCTATTACAGTACCTTGCAATTTGTAAGACTCGTGTTTATTGTTTGCGGATTGAGGGTTTTGAGGAAAGAGAAAGGATCAAGACACAATTATCAACATTCCACTTTTTAAAAATTCATGCATTCATTGTAGTGTATACACATCTACACACACTTATATGCATACACACACATCTATGCCAGTAGATTAAAATCCCATACCATAGAATTGGGCAGGTAATAGGCTCTCAGAATAAGACCTGGAGAATGACTAATTTGTTTCTTTAAATTTCAACAGCCTACTTTATCATGTTTTTTTCTTTCTTAAGTCAGTATCTTCAAAGAAGCAAAAGAAGGTACACGAAGCAGAAATGTAAGCCAAATATATACACTCTGATGGCCTGTTAAAGTCACATAGGCTGACCTCTTCTAAACTATAAAACCACATGAGCCTCCACCTTCATTTGTTTCCTCTGTCCTTGCCATAGGCACTACCACAGTGCTCCATGGGGCGCTGTGGCCAGTCGCTATCAGAAAAGCACATCTCCTTGGTATCCACAATATCAACATTGCCTATGTTGGATACTTAATTCTAATATCCATGCTGCTGAATCATGTAATTTATGGTGAAAAAAATCAAAATGTCATTTAATGGAGAAAGAAAAATTGTGAAAGAATCACACAATTGAGTGCTTTATGATGCTAAAGATATTTCAAGCAGTCATTTTCATATGACTTTTGTAATGTAGCAACTCGTCTTACAATGTTTTAAGAGAAGTATTTTACCTAAATGTGCATGTCTTCTGACCATTGCATGGAGAATAAGCTTCTGTAAACACCACTGAAAGAACATATTATGTTTTATGTTAACACGTTATATTTCATGTCAGTCTTTTGGTTCATAAATGGTGTAGATAAAATTACTGTTCAAAGAATGGTTATCAACCTGCTGTTCTCCTTTCATTAAAATTAGGTTCATATTCTGGTCATTTCTTAGCAGTTTTATTCAATGTTAAGTCCATAGGTTAGCTAAAATGCTGTTTCTTCCCAGTGGAAGAGTTGGGAAAGCACAATACCAGTCATGTGGTGCCTTCTACATCAACAGTATCAAAACTGTTCCACCTAAGATGGAAATGCTGCATATCTTAAAGAAAATTAGTTAAGAATTCAAAAGCTTTTCATTGACCTCATGAGCCCTCCAAAAATAATACAGAGATACCTGACATTTTGTAGTGTTCTTCTAGAGAGAATGCTAAAGTGTTTTTGCTTAACATTTGTGTGCTCCCTAAGGTAAGTAAAGTGAATGTTATTATTCTTATCACATGTTGTATAAAGAAAAACAAGACCAGAGAGACTAAAGGATAAACGTTTATTTAACAATTTAGTAATATAATCAGGTCTAACATGAGAGCCCAGCACTGCTCAATAGAACTTTCTGCAGTGATAGAAATGGTCTATAAATCTAAGCTGTTTGATACCAGTGGCTATTGAGTACTTGAAATGTGGCTGGTGCAACAGAGAAACTGCATTTTTAATTTATTTAATTTTAATTAATTTTAATTTAAGAAACCACATGTGGCTAGTAGCCACTGTAGTAGACAGCACAGCTCTAGTCATTTCCCCTGTGTTCTGTCCTGTAATCACCTGGCTGATTTTGTTACCATTGTTGGCATGATAAAGTAGGCTGCTTGCTGTTAATTGTTCTAACCTTAAAGCCTGGTGGTAGGCATGGTACATTGTGGAACAGGTGCTCGGATGGGTGAATGTAGAAAGGCTTCAATGGCAAGGGCTAAGGATTAAAATTTAAAAGACTGAATGTAAAAGACTTTTAGATTTATCTTTCCAAAATAATAAAATACATGGGGATACTTTCCCATTTACTAAGTTCCTGAAAAATGATATGGACAATTTCTATAATGATTTATGGCCTGTCCAACGCTTTCACGTGTTTTTTTTCCCCCATTGGCATTAATAGTGGTAACACAAAGCCAACAAGCAAGTAATTTTGTGTTGTTTGTATACACACACAATCAAAAGCAAAGATAAGGTGAGTAACTTGTTCAGTTACAGAACCAGAAGGAGTTTACTGTTATCATTCTTCAAGAATAAAAAGAGCTGGGACAATTCTTTTCAATCTACTACATAAAATATTTCAAACAGTTCAGCTTATGTTTTAGAGTCATACATTAATCACTAATGTGTATAAACAATGACACTAAAAGATCTTATGGTGATTATTCAGGTTCAATGGTAACAGTTAATGATGATTACGTATGCCTTACTATAACCTCTTGAAAATTGGTAAATTTTGCAAACCATGTATGTTAACTCTTGATGAAGGCACAGATAATAAAACTCATGTAATTATAAAATTAACAAAAAATGTACATTTCCACAGCATACAGAAAATAATTTGCCATATTTATTTCTCCACTCTCAACTTCTTCGTTAGCTTAAAATGCTTTTTTTCTATCTAATTTCTTCACATTTCATCTACACTCTGATCATACCTTGTTCCGTCCTTGTCCCAAATGTATCCTGAACTTTCTTGCTTCTTTTCCATTGTGTGTGGAGTTCTGTTCATTCAGAGTGCCCTTCCCACTTGTCCACCTACTAAACCTTAACATTTTTCAGCATCTAGATCAAATGCCTCCCACTACAGAAAGTCTTTTCTCTCATCAGAATTCATCACTCCTTGTTCAGTATTTTCTTAGCAATTCTGATCTTGATCTCACACTTTGCACAATAGATATTTATCTGAAAGCCTTGTTATTAGTTAGTAGTCTGAATGTACCATGAGTTGAAGACCATTTGAATCTCTTTAAAGTTCCTATAAGATAGGTTCTTAAATAATGCTGGTTACAAATTATTTTTTTAAAAATTCAATTGTGAAACAGCATTTGTATTTTGTCTTGCTAACGTCAGATCAGCTTCACAAAACAGCATCAGAAACTCAAACCTCTATTCAGGCATTCCTGATACTATTCACAAGTGAGAATCTGAAAGTGCAAAGCTTAGAGTAGCAGATTGGCACAGAATCCCCTCAGCTTGAAAATTTTGTCGGAATAAATAATCACCTAACACTCTGCCTTCACACTCTTTGCACGTAAAAGCTAAAGTGTTCAGAATGCAAATCCCTTAACAAAATTCCAAAGTAGAGCAGTCAGAGAATAACATTAAAATCTTAGTGATAGACGATATTTATCATGGTACACTGATTCTAATTAAGTGAATTATTTTGTTGCAAGTATTTTATTCACTTATTCAAGAAATATTTATTAAGCATACATCATACGCTAGGCACTCTGCTAGGCTAGAGATTGAATACAAATATTACATTGTTCCTATTCTCAAGAATTCATAGTCTCCTAGGAAAGGCACAGTATGTAGTATATTAAAAAGAAAAACTGGGCGGGCGCGGTGGCTCACGCCTGTAAACCCAGCACTTTCGGCGGCCGAGGCGGGCAGATCACGAGGTCAGGAAATCGAGACCATCCTGGCTAACACGGTGAAACCCCGTCTCTACTAAAAATACAAAAAATTAGCCGGGCGCGGTGGCGGGGGCCTGTAGTCCCAGCTCCTCGAGAGGCTGAGGCAGGAGAAAGGCGTGAACCCGGAAGGCGGAACTTGCAGTGAGCCGAGATTGCGCCACTGCAGTCCGGCCTGGGCGAAAGAATGAGACTCCGTCAAAAGAAAAAAAGAAAAAGAAAAGCGTCGGTACAATAACTTCTATTTTGTTCTCAGCTTGATCAACTAATCTGAGCCTATTTCTTCATCTGTAAAATGGAGACACTAAAATTACATACCTTACTGGGTTATTGTGAGAACTTAGGAAGGTAATGTATGCAAATACATGAAGTATTTAGTCCATTGTTTGTAATTTAATAAATTCTCAGTAATTATCAGTAATAATAATTGCAGTTCAAGGTGAAAAGTGCTATGAACAAGGAAAATAGAATATACTATGCAAATGTGAAAGGATGGGACCTCATTCTGTCAACGTAAGTTGGAGAAGCCTTCTCAGAGGAGGATTGTTGAAAGACTTGAACGATGAGTAGGAATTTTCCAGGTGACATCACTAAGAAAGGAATGGATGCTTCCGATGAAAAAACACATCCTCAGAAGAATATATTCAAGAGAATTGTAAGCAGCACAGTATGGCTAAAGCAGAAGGCGGATGGAGAAGAGACTAAAGAACATGACAAAGAGATCTCATAAACATTCAGAAGAGGAGGACTGTGGATGTATTTCCATTTTACCAAAAGCAATGTGGGATGAAATACACTTTAGAGTGCTGAAGCATTAAGTGAGAAAACAAGCTGTAAGTTTATCTCAACAGTTCCAGGACATAGATGACAAGATCTTGAACTTAGTTCTAAACAACGGGGATGAAGATAAGAAAAAAATGAGGTTGTCTTGAAATGGTGTAATGATTGGTAATGGAGATTGAGACATCACTATAAAATCACAGAAGAAAGTATGTTCCTGTTTTTTCACCAACTTACTATAATGAAAATGGACATATAAATATATTTCATTTATTGCTGGAAAACTAACAGGATCATATCAGAAAGAATGAAGATAATTTCTCTCTATTACATTGAAGAATATTGCAGGATTAGTTCATGCTTTAAAATGATCTTCCCCCATAGAGACAATATTTTTTATTTTTACTTTAAATAATCTTAATATTTCATTCATTTTAAAATGTAAATAGAGTTTACAAAAAAAGTATCCAAATTTATCCCACAAAAGCAGAAAGGGAAGATTAGAAATCTCTAACTGTGCATAGTGTTCTAATTTTTAAATTCTAATTGTGTTTTATCCTATCTCAAATTGTAGAATCTTTTTAAGAACTATTTTTAATTTTAGAAACTTATATTTTTTATACTACCAAAGATTGAAGTTGACAAGGTATAGAATTTTTCAACACCTAAAATTATCAAAATAATTAACTTCCAGGACAACACTTTAACTCAACTACTTCCCCAACCTATGCCCTCCAGCCACCAGAAAGAAGCCTTCAGGAGTCCCTACAGCACCCACACAGGTCCTCTCCAGTTTTCCCCCTCCCTTCCTGATGCTGTGAAAACCACAGAATAAATGTTTATCACTTTCAAAAATATTTTATATATATATATATAATGTATATGAATTTTTCTTTTTACTGCACATAATATAGTATCCTGTTCACCTCTCAGATAAATAAATCATAATTATCATTTTCTGCTTTTAAATACCCTGAAAATATAATATAAAAATTACATAAAATCAATTTTTTGAAACATAAAAAAATTAAAAGAATTACAAAAACAACTTGTTCAATAAATTTTGTCTTATAAAATATCTGCCAAAGAAAATATTCTAAAGAGAATAAAAATGATTGTTCCTCTAAGGCTTAGGCTTAAATATTCACACATTTCAATATAAAATATAACTAAAGACATCTTTCATTTAGCATAAATTGTTCTGATACCTATTAGATAAATCAGTATTTGCAGTGAAGGTATTTTAAGATAAACCATTATAGTTTACAATAGCAATTCTCAAACTTTCTAAGTTTCATAACACCTTTGCACTCCTAAGAAGTACTGAATGCTCCAAATGACTTTTGTTTATGTGGGCAATATCCACTGGTATTTACTATATTAAAAACTAAAACACAAATTTAAATATTCATTGATCTTAAATAACCTATTACATGTTAACGCAAATATTTTTATTGAAAATTGTATATTTCCATAGAAAATATAGAAATATTTTTAGTGTGAAGGGTGGCATTTTTAGTGTGAAGGGTGGCATTTTTTCTTACTTTATTTTTAAAAAGTTTGCAAAGTGTCAGACTTCATAGAAGATAGTTGGATTTTTATAGCTATCGCATTTAAAATGCTGTGATACCATGTGTCAGAAAGCCTACAGAAAATTCGATCATATATTCATAAGAGAATGAGAAATAGAGATATATGGCATTTTAATACTATATAAAAATAGTTTTGACCTCACAGGACCTGTGAAAGGATTCTGAATCTCCAGGTGTCTTTGGATCACATATTAGTAATTTCTGCTCTTCAGGAAAATGTCAATTGGAAGTGTAAACAATTTAAATTTTAGTAACTGAAAATACAAATGTTAAGATGATTGTAGCAAATTTATAGAAAAAATAAAAACTGTGATGTCATGTTGAAATAAATATATTCATAAAAATACCAGTGGCTCCATCAGAGACAGATATGTCTAAGAAATTAATATTATGCAAATTTTAACTAATAATCCAGATTTTGTCATTTTTAATGTTCAGATGCTGAACATAAAATATAAACATATTATAATTAATTTTATATACATTAATATACGTAAAGTTTCTAAATAACTTTATTTTTATCTGCATTTTAGATTTTAAAATGTCAAATTCTAAAGTAAACATAGTTCTACAGGTATAAATTGATAAAAATATACTAATCATCTGACAGTTATAGCTCTTTTTAAAGCAGTTTTGAGATACTCTATTTCAAGAACAAATAAGAGACTACTAACACCCTTCCTTCCCTGCTCCACATAACAGTTTCACCTCTTATTTGAGAGAATGTTCAGATATTGACCTTAGTTGAGTCAGCCAGAGACACAGAGCTCTGGGTTAGAACCACTGCCTAGCCAGGAAGAGGGAAATGTGATAAGAGGTCAGTGTATTGCTAAAAATCACACTCCTATCTATGTTTAGATGAGATGGAATAAATCATGAAGGCAAACAAAGTCTTCTTGACAGAAGAAAGTATATATACAGCTAGACTTTGGAAAGATTTTCTTTTCTTGTTTTCCATAGAACATTTTAAACTCAGTTTAACATATGGTGTTTAGCAAAGTCATCGCTGATAAGATGACATTTGAGTAGACATCTGGATGAAGGGAGGAAGCAAGCCATGCAGACTCCGGGTAAAGCATGTTCTCAGCGGAGGAAACTGCACTTGGAAAGGATCTGAGGCAGACTTGTGCTTAGAATGTTTGAGAAAGAGCAAGGAGACCATTTGGCCAGAGTAAGATGGATGAATGGGGCAAGTGAAAGGCATGCAGTCAGAGAAGTAGTAGGGAACTGATTATGTAGGTCTATTTATATTTAGAATGAATGAATTTGGGAATGACTGGAAGGCTGTAAAAAGAACAGAGACATTATCCAATAATTAACACATATTACAATTACTGTGTGTCAGGCTCTATTCTAAGTACTTTATATAAGCTTGTGTCATCCTCACAAAAAAAAAACTATGAAGTAGGCACATAAAGGATATTGCTAAATATTAAAAGGGCTTTGTGAAATTCTTCAGATTGACTTTCTAAACCACCTTTGGGCAAAGACAAATATTTCCTAGGAAGGAACATCCATTGCTAACTAAAGTTGAGTGAGTGCTGGTTAATGCTTGGTGCAACAGACCTAATATCTGATTTAAAAGAATCACATTAGATAGTCTTAAGAATAGATAGTAGTAGGGCAAGTGTGGAAGCAGGAAGATGAGTTGGGAAGCTTACAATACCCAGAAATTTTAGGAAACTTGGAAAAATGTGTGAGATGAACATGTTTGAGCTGATTTATCCTAGATTCCCCATCACTGCTGGTGACCTAGTAGAGTTAGTTGCAGTTGACAGAAATGGAAGTAAAGGAGACCACTAAAATAACATCACAGATCTGAAACCAAATGACCGTAAGATATTTTCCTTAGTATAAACAGTAAGCCAAAAATGAATTCAGGTGAAGTCAACCATTATTTCTGATTACATTATATATAAAAAATATTCTAGATGAAGCGGTTTTTAACAGATATTAGCACTCCCATGATATTGATAAGAAAACAAGTTCAGAAAGAAGCATGTATACTGAAGAACACATAGCTAATAACTGGTAGAGTCTGGATTTCAATCCAATGGTGTTCAACTTTGGGGCCTAAAATAACTGCTAGATTATATCACTGGCTCTTTAATTTATAGTTGCTAGGGGTACTGTGAATCTCTAGGTGAGAAATTCTTCAAGAATAGCCTAAATAATTCAAGGAGGTTTAACTGGATCCAAGTGGGGTAAAAGGAGAACACCAAAAGTAGGCACCATATATGAACTCACTGTTTTAGAATATTGTTCTTAGCATCTAGACAGGTGGGTAAACAAATGGGTGCAATGTACAAGCAGCTCAGCTGTTCCCAGTGATTTGTGTTTTGTCAAAATAACTCAGCCAAGTTGTCCTCAGTAAAAATGTTACAGCATTTTTTTTTTTTTTGCTTGTTTTAAAAACACTGGCGAACCCAAAGAGACACAGCAGCCAAGAATTGAGGCTGCCATTTGCAACTGTGCCAGGGTCAAAGTCACTGTCTGTCCTTGGGCCATTCATTCAAATGTTTTGAGACCTCATTTGTCTCACAGATAAATGGAACTCTTGCTACTTATCCATTTTTCCTTTGAGATCCTTCAGATAATTTGCAATTTAATGAGAAGTATGGGCAAGATATTATCACCTTCTCTCTGCTAATTAAATTCTTCCTTTCTTTACTTCCCAAACTTCAACATAACATTCCAAGACTTACTTGACTATTCATGATCCTCTTCTTTTTCAATTTTATCATAAATTTGTCATCTGGCATTGAGCATTCCCTTCATTTTAATGGTGATAATCCTTTTATGCATGTGGCCTGTCTACCCAGAGTTACTAGGAGATCCTAGAAGGCAGAACCAAGATTACATATATATTTCCATGTACACCCGGTGATCAGTGAAATGCTGTGCAGGAAATTAGAACTGGCTGAGAATTCGATGATGGTAATGATGACTGTAATAGCAGTTACTGTTTATGGAGCACATACTTTGTGCCAGTCACATTATATAATGTCTTATTTTATCCCCACAAAAACTTGCAAGGCATTTATTATAATATGAATTTAGAATCAAGGAAACTGAGATGCATAGATAAACTGAGATGCATAAGTAGTGCATAAAAATCAGAAAGTCAGTGGCAGAGGTATGATAAAAATCCACACTGTTCTAACTCTCAAATCAGTGCAGAATGGCAGAAGTGTCATTTCAGTTATATATGTATGTAGGATCCATTCGCCATGCACTCACCAATACACTTATGCATCAGTTTATCCATCAGTTTAATAATTTAGCCATCCACCCACCTTTCCTCCAAATATCCACTCTTCCATCCACACACTCATTTGTTCTTATATTCACGTAGCCATTCTTCAATTCTTCCATTCACTTACCTTGTCTTCCATTCCACCACTCTCTTCATGCATTCAACTAACCATTCACTCATACACTAAATAATTCATTCATATATCTACTCATCCAATTATTTTCTAACTCATCCATTTATTCCCTAACATATCTGTATATTGAAACCATTACCAATCTGTTGATTTATTCATTTAGTCACTGATTCATTCATTTATTAATTTAATAATTCCTGACATCTATCCATTAATTCTATCACCTATTCAACTGTTTATTAAAATATATGCATTTATTACCATTATTAAGTATCTTCTTTGTAGCAAACCCTTACTAGATACAAGGAACACTAAAATGAGTAAGACGTACTCTAACCTACAGTATCTTACAGTCTGATTCAAATAATCTAGAAAAAAATAATGTGAGGCAAAGGAGAAAATATCTTTGTTGTGTGGAGAGAAGCAGTTCAATAAAAACTTACCATCCCAGCACGGTAGTTCACGCCTGAAATCCCAGCACTTTGGGAGGCCAAGGCTGGCAGATCACGAGGTCAAGAGATAGACACCATCCTGGCCAACATGGTGAAACCTCGTCTCTACTAAAAATACAAAAATTAGCCAGGCATGGCGGCACACGCCTGTAGTCCCAACTACTCAGGAGGCTGAGGCAGGAGAATTGTTTGAACCCAGGAGGCAGAGGTTGCAGTGAGCTGAGATCATGCCACTGCACACTCCAGCCTGGTGACAGAACAAGGCTCTGTCTCAAAACAAACAAAAAACAAACAAACAAAAAAAACTTACCAAAGGAGGTGATATACAAATGCAGGCTTAAAAGAAACAGAGAGGTTTACAAGTTGGAAAACAAAGGAAACATTTCAGACAATGGGAAATGGTAAAGCAGATGCAAATTTACATTAAATAACAGGATATATGTGGCATACTGTTGGTCATTCCCCAATATTTATTATGCCTTTCTAATAGTAATAAAATTACGAATTAAAAGCTAGGCAAAATAGTTGCCCAGAATCAAATTTACTTTTTCAGCCTCACTAACCATACAGTTAGTTAGGTATTGCCATTTATGTTAGTTTTGATCACTGAATGTGAGCAGAAGTAGTGTTTGCAACATCTGTGTTATGTTTCAAAAGGAGAAGAAGTAATAAACTTGCCATCCCTTTTATCTTCCTTCTGGCTGAAATACAGTTATGCTATTTAGCCATGTTGGACCATGTAGATAAAGCAACCTGGTAGAGGTGGCAGAATTATAGGATGGAAAAATTCTAGACCCCATGACATTGTGCCGGTCAACCTCTTCTAGCTTTGGCTTTTACTTTTTTTATCTTGTTTAAACCACTTGTAATTTCTTAATTTGGATGTTTTATGGTATGTGACCCTTTATTCTATACAATGGACTGTTTCACGAAACGAATATAAAATACGTGGCATTCTCTTTGAGACAGTAAGAGAGGCTGTGAAGATACAGATATCACATCTTGGAAAGCTGAAAACTCTCAGTACATTATGGCCAATATTTGGTAAAACTTGTCCTAATACTTGGAAAGAAAACTCCTTCCTGTGAGAGTCTATGCTCAAGAGGAAAGGTTTAGAAATATTCTTATTCTTATTTTATGTTTTAGTAAAGGCCCACAAGAGATGAAGGACACTAGGATGGAGATTTAGTTTACACAGATTGGAGACTCTACAGATCAGTGCAGGGACACACTCTTTATGTGCAATTTGTAATCTAGGTTGACTGAAAATTTTATAATTTGGGGCCTTATATATTCAAAAAGTGAATTGATTTTGTAACTTAGGTTGAAAAATAATAGTAGGCAGCCCTGAAAAAGTACTTTACCTGGAGAATAGAATATGGCACCAAGTGTTTTTAATTAAAAATTGTTAGTGAGACATTGGAGCCACCACAATAGCAAAAATCGAATTAAGGATGTTACCTTCCCATCCAAACATATTATTTTAGATGACTCAAAAGATAGCCTTCATTTTATTTTTCTGAGAGTAACAGTAGAATAGGCAGGGCACAGAGGGTTTTTTTTTTAAAGACTAGACTCTCCAGACTTAAAACTATTTTAAATTCTATATTTTGCTCAGTAGTTTTGAGAACTAGAACATGCACATTTTTAAAAAGCCAGGCAAACAGCAAGTTCACAAATTTTATTGAGCCCATCTGAGTGCTGTGGTCACAGGACAGCCAACTGTCCACCAATAAACAAATAGACAGACACCTGCAGGGAGAAGTGAAACATAGTAATTTTCCAAAATTATTGACTGACAACAAAGCATGTATCCAAGAAGTTGAGAACAAAAAGCACAATACATATCAAAAGTGCTGTAACTTGGCACATCATATTCAAGCTACTGAGAACCAAAGACAGAGAGAAGTTCTTCAAGATAGCCAAAGAATGAGGTCAAATTATACACAGTGAAATAAGAATAGGAATTATATCCATTCTCAGCAATAGACTTGGCCTACTTTTGTATATTAAAAAAGAATTATATCGAATTATTTAAGACTTCTCAGAAACTGTGCAAATTGAAAGATAATAGAATGACATCTTTAAAGTGCTGAAAGAAAAACTGTGAAAATTGCATTAAAAAGTTGCTAAGTTAACTCAAGTGGTCAGAAAAAGAACAATAAAACAACATATTGAACAAATACAATATACCTAGCAGATCTGTATATTATAATCCAACTACATCAATAATAGCATTTTCTATAGGTGTTATAAACACACCAATTACAAAATTGTTAGACTGAATAAAAATCTAAGGCATATAGTTATATTCTATCTACAAGAAACGTACTTGTTTTATTCAGTTCAGGCTGCTTTTACAAATACCTTAGACAGGGTGGCTTATAAACTTTAGAAATTTATTTTTCACAGTTCTGGAGGCTGGAAGTATAAGATCAGTTTGCCAGTGTGTTGATTTCTGGTGAGAGGCCTCTTGCAAGGTTGCAGACTTCCCATTCTATCCTCACATGGAGGAAAGAGGGCTAGCTCACTCTCTGGCCTTTTCTTCTAAGGGCACTAATTCCATTCATGAATTAGGTCATGAACTCCATGCTCATGACCTAATTTCCTTCTAAAAACCCTACCTCCAAATACCATTACATTGAGATTAGGATTTCAACATATTAATTTGGGTTGACATAAACATTCAGTCCATTGTACTACATTAAATATATAGCCTTATGTATGATAAAAGTAAAAGGATGGAAAGAGATTTGACAAACACACAAACCAAACAAAGGAAAGCTGGAGTAGCAATATTAATAACAGACAAGGTAGAATTCAGAACCAGGTATATATCATCAGGAGTAAAAAGGTACACAATCAGGTCATTTCTCTAAGAAGGTATTTTTAAAATCTTAATTTGGTATGTAGCCAGCAACATATGTAAATACATAAAATCTGTTGGTACATAAAGGAGACATATACAAACACACAATTGTAGTGGATTTGGAGGCATCAACACTCCTCAGTAATTCACAGAACAAGGAGACAAAAAGTGAGGAAGCTTACAGAAGTCTTCAAAAATATTAGCTACTACTTGATCTAAGTGACATTTTATGCAATAGTTTACTGAAGAACAGCAGAATATGCATTGTTCCCTCAAGCATACATGAAACTTTCATCATGACAGAACACAGAATAGGAAATTCAACAGACTTTAAATTTACGAAAGTAAAAATCATACAAAGTATATTAGACCGTAACATAATTTAAATAGAAAGAAATAATAGAAATATATCTGGGAAACCTTTAAGTACTTGGAAATTAAACAACACATTTCTAAGTAACACAGAGGTCAAAGAAGTCTCAAGGTAAAAATATTGAACTGAATGAAAATGGAAATAAGACATCAAAATTTGTAAGACACAGCTAAATAAATATTTAGAGAGAATGCTATAGCATTAAATGCTTATGAAAGAATAAAGACCTTAAATCAATACTCAAGTTCTAGCTTAACAAATTAGAGAATGAAGAGACAAACTCAAAGCAAGCAAATCGAAAAACTAGGAGCATAAATCAATGAAATTAAAAACAGAAAAGCAGTTTAAAAAAAAGCTGTGTTTTTGGAAAAAATAAAACTCTAGTCATACTGGCAACCAAAAATGAGAAAAGACATAAATACCAATATCAGGAATTGAATAAGGGACATCATTACATACCTTCACAGACACAAAAATAACAAGGGAAAATTGTGAGCAACTCTATATCCACAAATTTGACAAGTCAGATGGACATTTTAGTGTGGTTATACTGTTCCTACTCTACTGTTGCGTTTTGGGTATGTTATAGGCCACTGGATCATGAAGAACCATAGATAGACCTAATAAAGGTGAGTACTCATAACCTCAAGTTCATGGACTTCAATGGACTTTCATGAATGAGACTTTGAAGTCTCCCCCCTGGGTATGAGATGAATACGTTCTCTATGTGGAAGGAAGTGTACACAAATGATTGGCTGACCAAGGCGCATACTATGGCAGATAATTCTGGTTTTCCTTTAATATCAAGTGTTTTCTCCTCTCATGGAATAAACATGAAGCATAATCTTTAGCAGTGTGTATGGCCCTCCGGAATAAAGACTGCATTTTCCACCATCTTTCAAAGCTAGCTGTGGCCATGCAGCTAGGCCAAGAGAAATGCAAAATGTATGTGTGGAATTCAATGTCATACACCCTATCGGGCATAGTACATCTAATAAAATTTGAGACCAATCTAAGTGTTTCAATCAGATGATATTTTATAGAAGACATTTTTACACAGTGACAGACAATCCAAGAAGCCAAGCATAATGAATTCCTTAATAGCCACAATTTACCAAACTCACTAAAGAAGATATATGTGTGTGTGTGTGTGTGTATATATGTGTGTGTATGTATATATATATATACACATATATATATATATATATATATATATATAAAATCTTCTGAAGAGTATTTCATCTATTAAAGATTAAAAACAAAATGATGCCCCTACCACTTATAGGGATAGAGGGATATCTCAGTCCATTGTATGTTGCTGTAACAGAAAACCACGGATAAATTATAATGAACAGAAATTTATTTCTTATACTTTGGCACCTGGGAAGTCTGAAGCTATGGGGCCTACATCTAGCAAGTCGTTCTTGCCATGTAATCCTACAGCTGAAATTCAAGAGTGCATGCATGAGAGAGCAAGCAATAAAGGGGCTCAGCTAATTCTTTATAAGGACACTACTCCTGCAATAACGGCATTAATCCATTCATGAGGGCAAAGTCCTAGTGTTCTAATAATCTTTTAAAGGTCCTACCTATCAACACTCTTTAGGGATTAAATTTCAACATGAGTTTCAGAGGGCATATTCAAGTCATAGCAACAGATAATATGATGAGTCCAAAAGCTAAAGCTCCCTGCTGATGGATGCATGTTGAGAATTGAGTGATGAGAGTATGGGCCATTTGTCTGAGGCTAGAGGCACAGAGAAAAGGCAGCTTCTATGGAAGATGCACCCAAGACAGACCAAGAGGAAGGAAATACCTAACCTACCAAGGTCATCCATTGGATGATACAACAGAAAAGGAAAAAGTGAAGACTACACCTAAGAGCAAAAATAGAGTGACCATCAAATTTACAGGTGAGTCATGTTTAGGCCTTCCCCTTCCTTTGAATTCGAATTTGGATGTGATGTCTATTGATAGTGGAGCAACAGAATTGAGAGATTTAGGACTGCTAAAAATTTAATGAAGAATTTTATGTGAAAAAGCCCAATTCAGGCTTATACAAAAAGAAATACATGTCATATTAAAATCATTGTTAATTTTGAATGTCCAATACAGTAGTCAATCTGTATCTTAATTAAAATTAATACAGTATGTTACAATTAGATCTGGTCAGCTGGAAGAATATGAAAGATGGAGTTACAAAAGAGAGAAGGCTTAAACAGGCAGGAATATATTGTATAATTTCATTTACGTGAAATGTACAGAATAGGCAAATCTAGAGAGACAGAAAGTAGAATAGTGGTTTCCAGGAACTAGGGGTAGTTACTGCTAAAGGGTTCAAGGACTGAGCATGGTGGTTCATGCTTGTAATCCCGACTGTTTGGGAGGCCAACTTAGGAGGATTACTTGAAGCTGGAAGCTTGAGACCAGCCTGGGAAACAAAGAGAGACTTCATCTCTACCAAAAATAAAAATAAAAAACTTAGCTGGGTGTGGTGACTTGCACCTGTAGTCCCAGCTACTTAGGAAGATCGCTTGAGGCCAGGAGTTTGGGGCTGCAGTGAACCATAAATGTACCACTGTACTGCAGCCTGGGAGACAGAGTAAGTCCCTGTCTCTAAAAAATAAAAAATAACACAAAGTGTTCAAGATTTTTTTAGGGTGATAACAATGTTCTAATATTAGACAGTATAAGTAATTTCAAACTTTGAAAATACCCTAAAAAGCCACTGAATTGTATACTTAAAAAATAAAAACCAAACTAAAAAATAAGTATGTAAGAGTCAGATAATCAAAGGGTTTAGATGATATGACAAGAAATCTTTAATTATTTCTCTTGGCTGTGGATAGCCAGGATCGGGTTTTTTAGATGTAGTAACAATAAGATTAGATTTTTTAAAAGAAAACTTCAGCATCAGTGTGGAAGGTGTATTATAGACAGCAAAGGACAATCCTGAAAGTACGACAATTATTTAGCATAGACAGGAGGAAATAAGGGCCTGAACAAGAGCAATAGCAATGAATACAGAATGGAAGTAATGAACAACAGGTGAGGAGAAAACTAAGTGGATAATATAAGAATGCATTTCAGTCATTTAACTTTTGTTCCCATCAATTGTGCATTCTAAGAGATGACCTAAAACACCTATGCTTTAAAAAATTTTCATATTTTTTCTGTCACTGATTATATATATATGTATATATTTACTTGCTGGAAAAATAAGATGCAAGTATCCAAGCATGTGAGAAACACTACCCAATGCTTGGGGACAGTATTTTTATACCCCAAACTAAACCTTCTGCAGGTAGTTTTAGGTACCAAATTACCCTCTAAATTAAGATCTAACTGCTTCTTGCGGAATGCATCAAATCTAATTTCCCCATCAAAAGAACATCTTTATGTCAGTGATTTCTTTACTGAAACCAATCAGTGATCTCTTGGAACTCCTATTAAGAAAATGCTCCTGGGTACTAACAAAATAGAGTATAGCAAATGAGCTGAAATTACTTTTAACTTTATCAAATATGTGATATAAAGGTGTTAATGTTTATTAACATGGCTTCATGTTAATAGCTCCATCAAGGATCAGATGTTTATAGCAGTAAGAATTCTGTATGATTATTTTACATCTTTTGCTTTAGACATGAGACCATCATTAACAGGGAAGAAATAAACTGATGTCAAAAAGAAAGAATATGTATATACTTTGCATTTTCCATTAAAATGCTAAATTTCGTGCACAGAAAGAAATTCAGCATGACATATATAGCTTTATATTTCCATGACTGTCTTCATACATTTTGAGTTATAGTCATATCAAGAAACTTGACTTCCCTTAAACACAATATCCACTGCCTCATTTGCCGTACTTTTATACATGATGTTATCTCTAATGGGAACATAATCTTATTTCCTGCTTCTTTAATTAATACTTATTTTTTCCAATACTCAAGTAGGTATTACCTCCTGTGGGAAACGTTTCTTGATTTTCTTCCGTATCTAACATGTATTAAGTGACCTTATTCAGTGTACATATAATATACTATGCATAACTATTCAACAGGTATAATATTATAAAGATAATATTAGTTTAAGATGTTGTGTGTGTTTGTGTAACTTGAATAAGCTTCTGTAACAAATAGATCATAGGAGGTATAGTGGCTTCAAGATAAATGGATGCTTTTTTCTCACCTACCTAATAGTTCAACGTGGGTGGCTCTGCTTCACATAGCATAACTTACGAAGCTCTGCTTCTTCCATCCTATGGCCCCTGCTTCCCCTAGATTTTCACTGAAATCTGCATCCATCAGGCAAGAGTGAAGAGGTAGTGAAGGAGATATAGCTTCTTCTTAAACGTCTTTGTCTGGAAATGGCACATATCACTTCTACTTGCATTCCAGTGGTTAAAACATCATCATTTGGCCTCAAGTAGCTAAAAAGGAAGCTGAAATGGAGCCTTACTCTGTACATAGGAAGAAGAAACATTGATTTATCTTGGACAGCTAGCAGCAACATTAAACTGAAAGTAATTAAACTACTACATTAGTCAAGCTTTGGGTAGGCATGCCCAGTGGGGACAGAGAACAGCATGTCAGGGCCCACTTTGGGCCAACGCATTGGTATGATGAGTGTCACATATCTGGAATCAACAGTTCTAACTGATAAATTTGTCTTCCTTTTTCTCTTTCCCTTTTTGAAAGTTCAGCTTTCAGGTGTTGTACACAATATGTAGGCAGTGGGAAGTGGGCAGTGGGCAGTGGTATGTAGGGGCCCAGCTATGAGCCAGCATATTAATACAGGGAAATGAAATTTTGGGGTTGTGCTTTCTAAATGTCCTTTTCTTCACCCTTCTTTCTGCCCTCTTTTACCTTCTTCCTTTCCCTACTTCTCCCCTTCCTTTGTGTGAGCTTTTAGCCAGTACACCCAATATGGATGTGAGTCAAGGACACTGCTTTCTGCTGTCATGGTGAGGAGTTTGTTAACAACGGCAGGACTGAATAAATTAGGAAATTCATTTAGGGTAGTGGAAAACATATTTCTCATTGTTGAAAATGGGACTTATGAATATGGAAAGGAGATAGTTTTGGAATGCAAGTAGAAGCACCAGTGTGCACAATGATCAAATATGATAGAGCTCCAGTTAAAATTAAAATATAAAAACATATAGATATACACATATGTGCATATTATTTGTATACATAGATTTGCTTTTTTAAATTTAACTGTTTTTAACTTTTATTTTAGGTTCACCGGCACATGTGCGGGTTTGACATATAGGTAAATTGTGTGCTGTGGGAGTTTGGTGTACAGATTATTTCATCGCTCAGATGATGAGCATAGAAGCTAATAGTTTTTTGATCTTCACCCTCCTCCCACTCTCCACTCTCAAGTAGGCCCCAGTGACTTTTTTCCCCTTCTTTGCATCCATATGTACTTAATATTTAGCCCCCACTTATAAGTGAGAACATGTGGCATTTAGTTTTCTATTCCTGTGTTAGTCCACTTAGGATAATGGCATCCAGTTCCACCCATGTTGCTGTGAAGGGCACGATCATTTTATATTTTATGGTTGCATAGTATTCCATGGTGCATATGTACCACTTTTTTTAAAATCCAGTTTATTGTTAATGGGCATTTAGGTTGATTCCATATCTTTTTCACTGTGAATAGTGCATAAATAGATTTTTTTTATCTGACTCTCTTTAGAGGACATACATGTAATTACACCGCAGTTATGAGGAGCACATATAGTGTCCTATTATTTGTTTCTAGATACTAGGGAGCCAGAGCTTCCTGGGGAAGAGTACCTGACTCCAGGGCTGAGGCAGGGAAAATACAAGATGATCTGGTAACATCCTGTTGTGCCAGAGGTACTCTAGGGGCATGTGCAAAAGACATAAGAACCAGTTGAAGGAGCTTCCACTAGTCAAGTCTGGGACAAATTCAAATAAGTGATAATTGACACGGCAGGAGCATCGCCATCTTGGACAAGCACTGCCATCTTAAAGTTCCCCTTGATCAAAAACTGCCTAAATCCAAAGGGCATCAGCCTAATGGCTAAGGTTAGCATGACCATAAACCATAAATGACATCTCCGACCAGAAACATTCGAACCGTAATATAAACCTCTCCCCAACCAGAGACATGCCAGCCCTGAGATAACCTCCCTTCCAACCAGAGACATTCCAACCCTGACATAAAACTTCTCCCCCACACAGAAACATTTCAAGTCTGTAATAAGTTCCCTCACCCTAAAACCAATACATACTCTTAGTCTATAAGAGAGAGCACTCCTGACTGAAATTGGCCAGAAGCCCCTCTCAGGTTTATTCTCCAAAATAAACCTGTCTTTGACTGTTGAGCCACTTTTTGTGTTTCTTTTCTCTTTAACTCTTAACAATAATAATGACCAGTTATAATATTTTGAGTAAAATAAGAATTTATGAGATTTTACTAACATAAATGGATACATATATAAATTGGGGGTGGTGCTGGAATTGGAAGGGAATTCTTCCAGGCCAACTAATTAATCTACAAAGAATTATGGAATTAGGAGATTACCACTTGATAATCATCAGTGAAAACTCATTCAGGCAGAATTCATCAATGAATGCCAAATCTGGTGTGTAAAAGACTGATGAAAAATGGAGTATTCACATAGTCTCAAAGTAACTTTCCATCAATGCATAATGATTATTTATTGATAACATACTTATTAACTTTCTAGTGTAGAAATCTCACAGGCACCATTAATTAAATAATAAATGTTACCATCATCAATAATGAAACAAAATCAGCATGTATACCTTCTGATATACACACTGCAAAGAGCTCAGCATCACTTCTGTGGTATTCTTGCCAGAAACATACAAATCTTAAATATAACAAACATTACAAATGGAGTCACATTCTACACAGTAACTAGGCTAATTTTTAAAAATGTTAGGACCATTAAAGACAAAGAAAAAATAAGGAACTATTCCAGATTGAAAGGTATTAAAGAGATATGACAATGAATAAAACCACTGATTATGGATTGGCTAGTGGGCCTAAAAAGGGTATATCTGGGATAATTAGGAAAATGTAAGTGGGGTCTGTGGACCAGAAAATAATATTGCATCAATACTTATTTCCTGATTTTGATGGAAACATTGTGGCTATGTGGCAAAATGTTCTTGTGCATAGGAAATATATATTGTAGAATTAAGAGGTATGGTAGGAAGAATAATAGCCCCTAAAGGTATCAGGTTCTGAAACCTACACCTGTTTAAGTGTTGTCATATAACAAATAAGGTTCTTTGCAGATGTGAGTAAGTTAATGATTTTGAGACTGGGAGATTATCTTGGATTGTTCAGGTGGGCCCTAAAATACCACCACAAGTGCTCTTATCAGAGAGAGGCAAGGCGATACTTAATCCAGACAGAAGAGGAAAAGAAAGTGTTAAGATGGAGGCAGAAATTGGGTTAATATGGAGGCAAGCCAAGAAACATTGATAACCAACATTAGTTGAAAGAAGCAAGGAACAGATCTCTCTCTGGAGGAGACCCCCATCCTGCCAATACCCTGATTTCAATCCAATGAGGCTAATTTTGGATTTCTGGTCTCCAGAACCATGAAAGAATAAATTTCTGTTGTTTAAATCCACCAAGTTTGTTGTAATTTGTTAATGCAGCCACAGGAAACTAATACAAGGAGTAATGGGGTATCATAACTGAAACTTACTCTTAACATTTTTGAAACAAGAGAAATGTTAACAAGGAAATCTGGGTGAAAGTTATACAACAGGTCCCTATATTTTTTCAATTTCTATGTAAATTTTAAATTACCGAATAATGCTTTTAAGAATTTAAAAATTAGAAGATTAAGTAAAGGTTAAAAGCTATTGCCTGGATAACATGAAATGGGAGGAAGATCAACACTTTCTAGAGGGATTCAGACATTCAATATTCTACTATTTTATCCTCTCAAAATGTTGGCCTTTATCCTAAAGCTATTTATTTCCTAGTTCTAAAGTGGCTATAGTATCTACAGATATCATATTTGTTTTCAAGATCAGAAAGAGAATAGAGAAAGATGATAAAGGTTCATGCCAGTTGAACCTGTGTCTTTTTTATCAAGAAAGCAGATGTTGTTTTAGGTATCTCCAGAAAATATTTGTTTAAATCTTGGTAGCCAGAACTATACCCAACTGTGAGGGAAGCTGTGAAGGTGGGCATTTGCCTTCCCAGCTTCTGGAGTAGATATGAAAATGGAGAAAAAGATTGAAAAACATCTGTTGAGTTGGCTAACAAACAGTGTTATCTCCCTGGCAATAGAGATAGATAGATAGATAGATAGATAGATAGATAGATAGATAGATAGATAATCTGTATTTAGAGAGCCTAGCACAATGCTTTAAATATATGTTCAATAAATGCTTATAATATTAATTGGTGTATGTATGAATGAATCATAAATGGATGAATTAAAGAATCTTATATTCCAAGTTTATATTAGCCATGTGAATAAATGTCAGCTTTATTAGAGCATAGTCCCCAATATAGAATCATTTCAGAATACCTTAACACCCTAGGCCATCATTTGTGTTTCAGTTTGTAAGTTTTACATTCTATCATGATTTTTTGTCTTAGATTTTCTTTTGTGTGCCCAATTTTATGGTATTACATTAAAACCGTATCAACTTTTAGCATGAATTGTTACAAAAATCTCTTATCTCTCATCTCTTTAATGTCTTCTCTCTCACCCCATTAAATGAGGTAAGTAAGTAGGAACATACTAGAAAGAAAAATAGGAAAGACAAAACTTGGTAAATAATTAGGTGTAAGAAGTGATTCATAAGAAGTAGTCAATCAATATTCTGAAGACCTTGTCTTAGATAATTGCAGTGGATGGGAATATCAAACACAGAAAGATAATTGAGAAGACTTATCATGTAAAACTGATGAGTGCTGTTTTAGACATAAGGAGTCTGATGTGTCAATGGGACATACTTGTGCAGATAAATATGTATTTGAGAATTAGACGTTTAGGACTTAAATTAAGAGAAGTTAGAACAAGAGATATAAGTTTGGTATTCTTCTGCAGGTAGGTGCTAGTTAAAGCTTGTGAATAGATAAAATTTCTCAAATATATCATATAAAGTATAAAGAAAGAGGACTATGAATAAAATCTTGACGTTTCACAAACCGTGATGGCAGCCAATTCCAGCACTGGGAGAAACAATCTGGTATAGAGGAAGGGAGTGAGAAGACATCATTTCTTTTTCTGATACAAATTCAATATGCAATTTACATTAATGCTTCTCAAACTGTAGTGTGAACAAAAATTATCTTGAAGTCTTGTTAAAACACAGATTTTCAGGTCCTATTTCCAGATATTCTAATTCAAGGGGTTTGAAAGGATGCCAGGGAGTTTGAATTTCTAACAAACTCTCACATCATGCTGATGCCTCCCACCTAGGACCACCCTTCATTATATCTCAAAGCTCTAAATTAAACCTTCTTACTCACAGTGTGGCCCATGGGCCAGAAACATTGGCATCACCTGGGAGCTTGATGGAAATGTAAAATCCTAGGCTCCAACCCAGATCTACTGACTCAGAAACTGCCTTTTAACATTATCCCCAGTTGACTCATATGGGCATGAATGTTTGTGAAGCACTGCCATCTAAATGTATTATATAACATGTTGTTTCATTTCTGTTAAAATGACAATGTTGGTCTCATTTTGATTCCAACATACTATGAGGTAAAAAATTAGGCTTTGAAGCCAAACATTGGTAAGTCAATTGTGCCTCCACTAACCTTAGTTTCCCCATGTATAAAATGGAGATCATAATAGTGTCCTCCCTTGGTTATAACAAGAATGAAATAATGTTATGAATATAATGTGCCTAGCTTCCATTTGAACAGAGAGCTATGGTCTCACGTTGGTTTTACACTTTCACATGAATATTCAGGTTGCAGCTAGCACATGGCTGCTTGTGAAATTGCTTATTTGTTATGTTGGTTCCACCTATTTGATTAGTTAATTTGATAAATTTAATGATGCTTTAAGTGAAATGATTCCAGTTAATGATTATTGATTTTAACCTCAAGAAGAGGAAAATAAAATTGATTCCTAGGTAATTACAACTTAAAATACATAGAGTGTGTGCAGATACTGACTGATTAAATATAATGAATATTTAAAAACTGATATAAAATTGTGACCAAGTTGGAGAGAATCGGATTGTGGTTGTGACAGTAATTAAAACAAAAATTGAGACCTGGCTGGAGTGTACTTCGGTCTCGTGAATCTTGCGAATCTACCATTTCCTCTCCTTTCTTCAATGTCACTTTTTTTATTTCTCAAATAGAACTATGGTAGCCTGAATCTTATCTTCCAAAGGTTTTGTTTCTTTATCCAATAAATAGATATAATATATCTAATACATGGGGTTGTTGTAAGAAAATTTAAAAATCCAAGTGCTGAACACAGGGCTTGGCAAAAAAAAAAAATGAATTAATAATTGCTGTTATTATGTAAATTTTACCCATAATAGATTTGAGGAGGAGGTTGATGATGCTGAGTTTTTCAACACTGTATTCTTTAGGATTAGTAGCACTCTATTATATACAGAAGCAACACTCAATAATTGTTTGCTGAATTGAGCATCCAGAGTAAGTTTTTATATTGTGGTAGTTGCAATTAAGCAGTAAATCTGACACACACACAAATTGTTTTTTCAGAGATAAAAATGGAAGTTCTTTTATGCTGCTAGTGAAGACTTAACTTCCTCCAACTCTTTTCTATAAATACAAAAAAAAAATACTTAGATATGCTATTTTTTCCTGTATACTTAGCATATTCCCCTTAAATAATACTGTTGGAAAGAGAAAAAATGAATAATGTCATCCCTAGTAAACTAGTCAATATTGAGGGAGAAACTCTCAGTTTAATTTTCTAATAGATCATATAAAACTCTATTTCTCATGTGGGGAGATTTAGAGTCTAGCAAGATTTTATTCTCAAATAATAGATTCATTTGAAGAGATTAAAACAAGTCTTTGTCAAAATGAAGGAACATTTTTAAATGAATTTGAGAAATTCATCCCAGGTGATTTAACATAAAATATTTTTGTTTCTATTTTTATTTTATATTATATTATTTTATTTTATTTTATTTTTTTGAGATGGAGTCTCGCTCTGTCACCCAGGCTGGACTGCAGTGGCACGATCTCAGCTCACTGCAAGCTCCGATTCCCAAGTTCACTCCATTCTCCTGCTTCAGCCTCCTGAGCAGCTGGGACCACAGGCGCCCGCCACCACACCCAGCTAATTTTTGTATTTTTAGTAGAGACGGGGTTTCACAGTGCTAGCCAGGATGGTCTCGATCTCCTGACCTTGTGATCCGCCCACCTCGGCCTCCCAAAGTGCTGGGATTACAGGCGTGAGCCAAAGTCTTTAAAAAACTGAGTTCATTAACAAAAATAAAGTTCCATTCGGAACGCAGAAATTTAAATTTCCAAAGTATTATCTACTTGCTATCAGCTATGAAGGTCTTAAATATTTGAAGTGGTGTCATATACAAGAATTTGAGACTAGCTCAAAATAAGTGACCACAGCAGGTAAGAAGCACATTTCTGCAAGTGAAAGATTAAGATTTTAATTCAAGATTTCATATTTTGTTGCCCTGGATATTCAAGGAGAAGCCACTTGCTATAGAGGGAAAGACAGATGCAACATGCATAGAATTACCTCAAAATTCTGTGCTGCTTATGACAATTGACATGAATGTTATTTGGCATCACAATGCCCTGGTAAATATAGGTAGAGAGAACAATTACTTTCTCTTGCACATCAACACACCTCCCTTGTCAACACATACAAACTCATAGTAATCTTGCACAAAATTGTTTTATTACCCTTTCATTCAGCATTTCTGCTTATACATCCTTAAGTATATCATCTACTTTATTGGGTATCATATAGAAAACTGCGCATTTTCATTTGTAGTAGATCAGTTTCTGCTCCACTTGAAGCCAACCTTCCTCACAATTAGCCTGCTCTAAAATACAAGATAAATAAGTCCTAGGTATTTACTGTACAAATATAGTGCCTGTAGTTAATGTTGTATTGTACATTTAAACACTTGCAAAGAGGGTAGATCTTATGTTAATTGTTCTGTCACAAAAAGTAATAATAATAAACAAGAAAGCTGGAAGAAACTTTTGCAAATGATGGATATATTTATGGCATTGGTTGTGCTGATGGTTTCATGGGTGTATATTTACCTCCAAACTCATCAAGTTGTATCCATTAATTATGTACAGCAGGGGTGTCTACTCTTTTGGCTTCCCTGGGCCACACTGGAAGAAGAATTGTCTTGGACCACACATCAAATACAGTAACATTAACAACAGCAGATGAGCTTAAAAAAAAAAAAAAAAAAAAAAAAAAAAAAAAAAAAAAAAAACCTCATAATGTCTTAAGAAAGTTTATGAATTTGTGTTGGGGAGCATTTAAAGCCATCCTGGGCTGCAGTCGCATGTGGCTTACAAGGATAAGGGTTGGACAAGCTTGATGTACAGTATTTTGTATGTCAAGAAATTAAATTTTAAAAATGTTGAAAATATAAAATGTTGATGTTGGAGAGAAAAAAAAAAGCAGCTAATATTTTGAGCACCTTGCATGTGCCAGTAACCATAGAAAAAGCTTTCTGTTACGTCATAGAATCCTCCCATTCTCTATTAGGTATCTATTATCTCCATTTTGCTAATGAGGTAACTGATGCTCAGAGTAGGGAACTTGTCAAAGACACACATTCAGTGAGTGGAAGAGCCGAGATTGAACGCAGGATTCCTAACTTCAATTTGTATTTCTTTAAGATTGCACTCTTTACTGTGTGAGAAAAGACATAAATACTATAGAGTGTATCAAAATCCTTCATACACCTCCTACCGTCTTTAAAACAGACCTAGTTTTAAGAAAAATTCATTTCACAAAGAGCCATAATTTTTCATCTTCTTGTTCAGCAATGCAGTTTCATTCCTGATGCTGCTATTAACTCTTAAATAATCTAAACCTAATGAATAATGGGAAAGTCACAGGCAGGTGAAAGGAGAATTGGGGCCTTGGAATTCTCCTGTGATGAGTAATTAGTTTATCCTGAGAAAAACCAGTCTTTTAAAACAACAGTAGCCTCTCAAGTCATGGAGGGTCTAACTAGTCTCACTATCATGATTTCATAACGCCGGGAGGGTTTATTGAACTTTTGATTCCAAAATGTAAACAAAATGATTTTTTGAAACACTGGAACCAAATATTTCCTGGAATAAGAAAATGCACATTTATTCTCTAACTTACATATTAATACATATATCAAGTGACAAATGTTCTGTGAGTCTGACATAAATTTCCAAGTCATTACGTTACAGGTATTACAAAAATATTAATCCTTTCTAGGAGACTATCTTATTTGTGTCAAGACTCTTTAGAGATGTCTGATTATTGCTGATCTGTTTTGTGAGTATACCATGCCATTTGCTTTTTTTCAGGGCCCATCTTACTATTTGTAGAAAAGCCTTCAGCTTTGCCCAAAGTTGTCTTTTGCCTCATCTGTTTAATATTCTGGTTCTGACTTTCTCTGTGCTTAGGTCTGATGCTTCTGTGAATTCCTGTCTGTGGCTCTCCTGTGCTGCAGTAGAGAGAGGAGTACTTTATACTCCTTTCTTTGTGGAAAAAAAAAATCACTTCCTAATAGGGGCTTGAGCCGAAATCAATGAGTAACTGAGCAGACATGTGAGACAGACATTAACATTTTTTTTTTAAACACTGTTGCTGTTGAGTCACGGTCTTTCTAATTCCCAGATTCTTATTGAAGACCTCACATTGGCCTAACCAGGGCAAAAAGCTTGGAAATCTAAGGCATTTTATTGCATGGGCTATTTACCCAATAAAGGACTATACAATTTTAAATGTTGGAGGTAAAGAAATGTGGGAGATTCTGAAGATATGATCATTGGGAGATAAATAGAGTCTTAGTGTGCGGAGGTTGGATTTTGCAGACTTCTATCCACAGACTAATTCTTCAGTGCATATTTTTAGAATTGCCTCCTAGTTTTATAATTGAAAAAACACAGCTGAAAATTTTGGAAATATTAATCAGAAATACAATATCTCTATTACCTACTCAATTAAAATGGCTAAAAATAAGCATTCAAATTTTGGTAAATGTGTTCTGAGTAGTTAACAAAAAATAAATTATATCTAGGCAATGTTTGTTAATGAAATTAAGAGAGTCCTAAGTGAATGTGGTTTCTGAACATTAAGCAGGAGAGAGAACTATTGATGTCCTCAACCTAATCACTACCTCATGTTGGTGAAATATCTAAAATCTAAGAAAGAGCTAAGAAATGCACTCCTAAAAAGTTAGTTTAATTAAATAAAAGTGTTCTTATTTTTTCTAGTAGTTTTTCCATTATAAAAATGATATAACCTGGCCGGGTGCGGTGGCTCACAACTGTAATCCCAACACTTTGGGAGGCAGAGGTGGGTGGATCACCAGGTCAGGAGATCTAGACCATCCTGGCTAACATGGTGAGCCCCCGTCTCTACTAAAAAACACAAAAAGTTAGTCGGGCGTGGTGGCAGGTGCCTGTAGTCCCAGCTACTTGGGAGGCTGATGCAGGAGAATGGCATGAACCCGGGAGGCAGAGCTTGCAGTGAGCCGAAATCTCACCACTGCACTCCAGCCTGGGCAACACAGTGAGACTCTGTCTCAAAAAAAATAAATAAATAAAAATAAAAGGATATAACCTGACCTGTAGTAGTTCAGTTAATAGTATCATACCAATTGTTTGGACAAATGGTGATGTAAAATATCATTAAGGAAAACTGAGGTAAGGATATATAGAAATTATCTGTACTATTTCTACAACTTTTCTTAAAACTAAAATAGTCCCTAATCAGAAAAAAAAAATGAGTTTTTTAAAAAAATCTATGGTTAGGAACTATTTTTTGCCTATATTCTCTTCTCAAAGATAAAGATGTTAATCTAGGCATACAAGGTACTCTGTGATCTCTGCCTCTTCAACCTCATTTCATCAATGCTTTCTTTCATTTGGCTTCATCAATATATGCACGTGTTTGTTCTATGCCATACACTTTGTTAATATTTTAGATAGGCCACTGCATTCAAACATTATATGAACCTTTTTACCCAAATATTAAACATGAGGAAACTGAAGCTCAGAGACATTAGGTAATTTATCTAGTGTTACATATATTCAATGAAACATCAATATGTACAAGTCTGTGACTTCCAAACCTAGACTCAAAACTGTCCAGATTAAAATAATAATAATGAATCAGTATAAAGTTAAATTTTTAAATGGCAAAAATTTCACATGGAAGCTTAATCTAGTTAATTGTGATCTTTATGCTATTTACAGACAAAACATTGGAATGGATTACCAAAGGATTGCTCTCCAAACTATGAGTCAAGGAGAGACAGTCATTCGTTCTGGCTGATTTAGACATTTATTAGTCAGAAATAGTATACACAAAAAAAATTATTTCTCTACCCCCCACCTTGCCATAAACAACTGGGTTCTTAGTTTCAGATTATAAAATTGAAATACCTAATTGATGTTTAAGTGAAAAGAACACAGAATCAGGAGTCATTGAACTGAAGTTCGTATCTCAGCTCTGCCCTCAAATTCTGGTTACCTTCTATAGCCCTCACTTTCTTCATCTGAAGAATTAGAATAAGTCCTTATATCACAGACAGCTATAAGGGTTAAATTAGATCAGGCAAATAAATTGCCTACAGGAGAAATTGGCATCTAGGAGGCTGAATTAACTTTGAACCTGAGCTGTATCTTAATATTGATCAGCCATGTTAGTTTTTTCTTCCCTTTTGTATTCCTACAATGCAAGATAACTTGAATTTTCTATCCTCAATTTATTATGATGTATTGCTCCAACATGTAAAAAACCTTAGGGAAAGCAAAGTGACATTTCAAAATCCTGCTGTTGGTATTGGGTAACCAATATTTTTGCAAGTCAAATAGATTCCAATTTTTTGTTTCTATCAAAATTGAAGGAAAATTCAACAGATGATCAGCTGGTCACTAAAATTATTTTCTCATGTTCATCATGTGATTTTTGGAAAATAGAAAGAATTAAAAACATTCAATGTCACTGCAATAGAATTTCTTCTAGCCTACTTGTTCATTTATGTGAACAGTATTTCATAGCCCTTACATTTATAATACAATCTAAAAAATACAAATAAGTGATATATAAACCTTTAGCTTACATAAGTCTCAATTCTAATAGGAAGTAATAATTATCTATGGATCCATGAATCATTTGGAAAAAGAACTCCACCCATCTTATAAAAATTTGTCATTGCCAAATTATTTTATCTGTAATAATTCTTTTAATTTGTAATATAGTTATAATGTTTTGATCAATTTAATACTAAATTATTTATGAGAATAATACTGTTCAGGTTTTTAAAATACAGGGAAATAGACACACACATATATACATGCACCTGTACACACAATTTATCTATTTTTTGTTTTATACACACACAATAAATCTTTAAAAGTATATCTTAAATTATAATTAAATTTTGTGAAAGAAATGTAATGAAAATACAAATTATAGAGGAATATTAATTTTTAACTGTTAAAATCAGTACATTTGTACTGATTTCCATCTTATATAGAAGTTGGCCGGGTGCAGTGGCTCATGCCTTTAATCCCAGCATTTTGGGAGGCCGAAGCGAGTGGATCTCCTGAGGTCAGAAGTTTGAGACCAGCCTGACCAACATGGAGAAACCCCGTCTCTACTAAAAGTACAAAATTAGCTGGGCATGATGGCACACGCCTGTAATCTCAGCTACTCAGGAAGCTGAAGCTGGAGAATTGCTTGAACCTGGGAGGCGGAGGTTGCAGTGAGCTGAGATCACGCCACTGCACTCCAGCCTGGGCAACGAGAGCGAAACTCCGTCACACACACAAACACAAAATTTAGCTAATCTTTACAGGCATGATATAGCCTCCTTTTTCAATGTTTCTTTGGTCAGGTATTCAAATTCACATTTTTTAAGTGTATGCTATAACAATAACAGACAAATCTGGACTACTGACATAAATCTGTTGGATTATATCATTACAATTTTTTCTTCCTCATAGCAATTCTCTTACTACTTTACATTCACACACAAATAAAACTCTATTGTCTCCTTAGTTGTTTCTCAAATTTATCTTAATTGGCACCTAAAGAGTTCATGTGCATAGTAACTACAGTTATGCACCACCTATTGCCAGAATGTTTTGGTCAACAAGAAATCATATATGCAAAGGTGATCCCATAAGATTATAATGAAGCCGAAACATTCGTATTGCCTAGTGATGTCATAGTTATTATAATGTCATAGTGCACCTCATCACTGGTGTTTGTGGTGATGCTGGTGTACAAACCTCCTGTGCTGCCAGTCTCACAAAAGTCTTTTTTATAATATCTCATAAAATCTAACACATACAGTTACATACAGTACCTAACACTCATTAATGACAATAAATCACTATGTTACTAATTTATGTACTTCTGATAATATACTTTATACTTTTTATCATTATTTTAGAATATACTCCTTCTGCTTGTGAAAAAAGTTACCTGTAAAACAGCCCCAGGCAATCTATCAGGACGTATTCCAGAATAAGGCATTTTTACCATAGGAGGTAATGCCCCCATGCACATTATTGCCCCTAAAGATTTTACAGTGAGAAAAGTGGAAGACAGTGATATTTACAGGTCCTGATTCTTTGTAGACCGAAGCTAATGTGTGTGTTTCTATCTCAGTTTTTAACAAAAAGTTAAAAAATAAAAACTTTTAAAAATATTAAAAAGCATATAGAAAAGGAATATAAAGAAAATAATTGTGCACAGCTCTTCAATATGTTTGTGTTTAAAGCTGTTATTATGATAATAAAAAACTTAAAGTTTATAAAGTAAAAAAGTTACAGTAAGTTTATTATTGTAAAAAGGTGTCTTAATAAATTTAGTATGGCTTAAGTTTACTGTGTTTATAAAGTCCACAGTAGTACAGAGTAATGTCCTAGGTCTTCACATTCACTTGCCACTCACCAACTCACCAGAGTAACTTCTAATCTTTCAAGCTTCATTCATGGTAAATGACCTATACGGGTGTACCATTTTTTATCTTTTATATTGTATTTTTACTGTACCTTTTCTATGTTTATATATGTAAACACTTATCATTTTGTTACAATTGCCTATAGTTTTCACTACAGTAATAGGCTGTACAGATTTGTAGCGTAGGAGCAATAGGCCATACCACATAGCACAAGTGTAGCGTAGGCTATCCCATCTAGGTTTATGTAAGTACACTCTATGATGTTCACAGGATGAAACTGCCTAATGTTGCATTTTTCAGAAAGTATTTCCACTGTTAAGTGACATATGACTATAAATGTATATTATGCAGCTAATTAGCAATATCTTTATTATCTTAACTCTGAGAATTACCTTCCTAAATTTAAATAAAGATTATAAAATTAGAATAAATGATATTCACTTTAAACTTGTAAGACCTATATATTTTTAATCAAAAAGGGTTAAAAGTTTATGTAACATTCAAACGGTTTATTAAAGCTATAGGAGAAAGAAAGGTATTTATTTGAATTACAGCACTGCTGGGGAAACAGAGAGACAGCACTTGGATGTTTTCATTTTCCAGGGCATCATATACTAAAGAATCATTCCATCTAATTTCTTCAAATCTCAAGAACACACACCTGGCAAATCATGAAAATAAATTTTATGTTGTTATCAATGATATTTTTAAATGCCATTTTAATAATTTGACTCACTTTTTTTCTAATCACAGTATTATGTGTATCATCAATCTGGTACTCAATTTTACTCCATTCCACTTAATCATTTATTAAGTCCTTTGATACAGGTACAGTCTAAGAAATAAATACACAAGAGCCATAAATCCCACTCTAAAGGAATAAAGCCTGCCATTCCACTCTCACACCCAGTTCTCTTAATCTCACCATGTTTTTTAAGATTTGGTTGCAGTATCATCATTTCTCTGGAAAAACTATTTTCATACCCACAATCCTAAAGGTTAGATGCCATAACTCATGCTCCTACATATATAACCAATTTTGTTTATTTATTTTTCCCCAGACTCTGGCAAATTTTAGGTACATAATAAAAATCCTTTGAATGATTTCATTTTAGTCACAATTAAGAGAATGGAAAAAATTATAGGTGATTCTTCTGAGTATAAACTAAGAGTCAAGCTATTAGAGAAGCATTCCCTAAAGCAATCAAGATAACTAAAGGCACAATTTATTGTCTGTGGATCACAGTTGAGCTTACCCCATGAGTCCTCGTATACTGATCTCATGAAAACTCATGTATGCTTCGGACTATGTTTTAATAAACAACACTTTCTGACATAAAAAAAATTATTAATTAAAATGAAGTCCTAATCATACCAAGAACACCAAATGTTTCACTTTTCCATATTAAGTTTAAATTCAGCAGTTTTCAAACATGGCCAAGGATGCCTTTGGTGTCCCCAAGACACTTTCAGAAGATTTGCAATGTCAGTATTATTATCATAGCAACACTAAAGCATTTTTTGTCCTTTTCTACTGTATGGATGCTTGCAGATGCAAGTATGCACATCAATCTATGTCAAATAGGGTTAGCTAACAAAATAATACAAGTGAAAATCAGGGTAAGTTATCAAAACATAACTGCTAGTGTGTCTAAAATGCAAAATTACAATATCAATCATTTATATATTGCTGATAGTAGTATAAAATAGTATGTCCAACTCTGGAAAACATTTTGGCAGTTTCTTAACAATAATAAATAATAAATAAACATTCCACCACTATACAACCCACCAATTGCAATCCTGGGCATTTATCCTAAAAAATGAAAAATTATATTTACATATAAATGTGTACACAAATGATTATGGCAGGCTTATTACAGATATCCTTAAATGGATGAACGTTTAAATGACCATGGTACATCCATCTCATGGAGTACTATTAGGTAACAAAAAAGAACAACCTATTGATACTAATATATACAACAACTAATATAATCTCTAGAGAGTTATGCTAAGTGAAAAAGCCAAAGGTCATATATTGTATGGTTCAATTTATATAACATTCTTGAAATGACAATACTATAGAGATGGAGAACAGATTGGTGGTTGACAAGGTTCAGAAAAAAGAGAAAATGGAGGAAGTGGTGTGGCTATAAAAGGATAACATGAGGTTTCCTAGTGGTGATGGAACACTTCTCTTTCTTAACTGTATTAATGTCAATATCCTGGTGGTGATTTTATACTATAATTTTGCATTTGTATATTTTCTTTGGAAAGAAGTCTTTGGGAAAAAATGTTTATTCAACTCTTTTGCTCATTTTTATTTGGGTTACTTGTTTTTTGCTACTAAGTTGTATGGGTCCCTTACACATTTTTGGTATTAAACCCTTCCTAGATATGTGGTTTGCAAATATCCTCTTCCAAGCCATAGGTTGCCTTTTTATTTTGTTGCTTGTTTCCTTTGCTGTACAGAAATTTTGGTTTAATATAGTCAGATGAGTTTATTTTTGCTTTTTTTTTTTTTTTTTTTTGCACTCTTGGTATCATATCCTCCCCCAAAAATCACTGGGAAGACCAATTTCAAGAATCTTTCCTTCTAGTTTTCCTATAGAAGTTTTATGTTTTCACATCTCACATTTAAGTCTTTAATCCACTTCTAGTTAATTTTTGTATGTAAGACAAGAGTCCAGGCCTGGCATGGTGGCTCATGCCTGTAATCCCATCACTTTGGGAGGCTGAGGTGGGTGGATCAAGAGGTCAGATCAAGATCATCCTATCGGGGGAAGGAGCCAAGATGGCCGAATAGGAACAGCTCCGGTCTACAGCTCCCAGCGTGAGCAAGGCAGAAGACGGGTGATTTCTGCATTTCCATCTGAGGTACCGGGTTCATCTCACTAGGGAGTGCCAGACAGTGGGCGCAGGTCAGTGGGTGCGCGCACCGTGCACAAGCCGAAGCAGGGTGAGGCATTGCCTCACTCGGGAAGTGCAAGGGGTCAGGGATTTCCCTTTCCTAGTCAAAGAAAGGGGTGACCCACGGCACCTGGAAAATCGGGTCACTCCCACCCAAATACTGCGCTTTTCCGACGGGCTTAAAAAACGGCACACCACGAGATTATATCCCCCAGCTGGCTCGGAGGGTCCTACGCCCACGGAGTCTCACTGATTGCTAGCACAGCAGTCTGAGATCAAACTGCAAGGCGGCAGCGAGGTTGGGGGAGGGGCGCCCGCCATTGCCCAGGCTTGCTTAGGTAAACAAAGCAGCCAGGAAGCTCGAACTGGGTGGAGCCCACCACAGCTCAAGGAGGCCTGCCTGCCTCTGTAGGCTCCACCTCTGGGGGCAGGGCACAGACAAACAAAAAGACAGCAGTAACCTCTGCAGACTTAAATGTCCTTGTCTGACAGCTTTGAAGAGAGCAGTGGTTCTCCCAGCACGCAGCTGGAGATCTGAGAATGGGCAGACTGCCTCCTCAAGTGGATCCCTGACCCCTGACCCCCGAGCAGCCTAACTGGGAGGCACCCCCCAGCAGGGGCACACTGACACCTCACACGGCAGGGTACTCCAACAGACCTGCAGCTGAGGGTCCTGTCTGTTAGAAGGAAAACTAACAAACAGAAAGGACATGCACACCAAAAACCCATCTGTACATCACCATCATCAAAGACCAAAAGTAGATAAAACCACAAAGATGGGGAAAAAACAGAACAGAAAAACTGGAAACTCTAAAAAGCAGAGGGCCTCTCCTCCTCCAAAGGAATGCAGTTCCTCACCAGCAACGGAACAAAGCTGGACGGAGAACGACTTTGACGAGCTGAGAGAAGAAGGCTTCAGACGATCAAATTACTCTGAGCTACGGGAGGACATTCAAACCAAAGGCAAAGAAGTTGAAAACTTTGAAAAAAATTTAGAAGAATGTATAACTAGAATAACCAATACAGAGAAGTGCTTAAAGGAGCTGATGGAGCTGAAAACCAAGGCTCGAGAACTACGCGAAGAATGCAGAAGCCTCAGTAGCCGATGCAATCAACTGGAAGAAAGGGTACCAGCGATGGAAGATGAAATGAATGAAATGAAGCGAGAAGGGAAGTTTAGAGAAAAAAGAATAAAAAGAAATGAGCAAAGCCTCCAAGAAATATGGGACTATGTGAAAAGACCAAATCTACGTCTGATTGGTGTACCTGAAAGTGACGGGGAGAATGGAACCAAGTTGGAAAACACTCTGCAGGATATTATCCAGGAGAACTTCCCCAATCTAACAAGGCAGGCCAACATTCAGACTCAGGAAATACAGAGAACGCCACAAAGATACTCCTCGAGAAGAGCAACTCCAAGACACATAACTGTCAGATTCACCAAAGTTGAAATGAAGGAAAAAATGTTAAGGGCAGCCAGAGAGAAAGGTCGGGTTACCCTCAAAGGGAAGCCCATCAGACTAACAGCGGATCTCTCGGCAGAAACCCTACAAGCCAGAAGAGAGTGGAGGCCAATACTCAACATTCTTAAAGAAAAGAATTTTCAACCAAGAATTTCATATCCAGCCAAACTAAGCTTCATAAGTGAAGGAGAAATAAAATCCTTTACAGACAAGCAAATGCTGAGAGACTTTGTCACCACCAGGCCTGCCCTAAAAGAGCTCCTGAAGGAAGTGCTAAACATGGAAAGGAACAACCGGTACCAGCCGCTGCAAAATCATGCCAAAATGTAAAGACCATCGAGACTAGGAAGAAACTGCATCAACTAATGAGCAAAATAACCAGCTAACATCATAATGACAGGATCAAATTCACACATAACAATATTAACTTTAAATGTAAATGGACTAAATGCTCCAATTAAAAGACACAGACTGACAAATTGGATGAAGAGTCAAGACCCATCAGTGTGCTGTATTCAGGAAACCCATCTCACGTGCAGAGACACACATAGGCTCAAAATAAAAGGATGGAGGAAGATCTACCAAGCAAATGGAAAACAAAAAAAGGCAGGGGTTGCAATCCTAGTCTCTGATGAAACAGACTTTAAACCAACAAAGATCAAAAGAGACAAAGAAGGCCATTACATAATGGTAAAGGGATCAATTCAACAAGAAGAGCTAACTATCCTAAATATATATGCACCCAATACAGTAGCACCCAGATTCATAAATCAAGTCCTGAGTGACCTACAAAGAGACTTAGACTACCACACATTAATAATGGGAGACTTTAACACCCCACTGTCAACATTAGACAGATCAACAAGACAGAAAGTCAACAAGGATACCCAGGAATTGAACTCAGCTCTGCACCAAGCGGACCTAATAGACATCTACAGAACTCTCCATCCCAAATCAACAGAATATACATTTTTTTCAGCACCACACCACACCTATTCCAAAATTGACCACATACTTGGAAGTAAAGCTCTCCTCAGCAAATGTAAAAGAACAGAAATTATAACAAACTATCTCTCAGACCACAGTGCAATCAAACTAGAACTCAGGATTAAGAATCTCACTCAAAACCGCTCAACTACATGGAAACTGAACAACCTGCTCCTGAATGACTACTGGGTACATAACGAAATGAAGGCAGAAATAAAGATGTTCTTTGAAACCAACGAGAACAAAGACACAACATACCAGAATCTCTGGGACGCATTCAAAGCAGTGCTTTGAGGGAAATTTATAGCACTAAATGCCCACAAGAGAAAGCAGGAAAGATCCAAAATTGACACCCTAACATCACAATTAAAAGAACTAGAAAAGCAAGAGCAAACACATTCAAAAGCTAGCAGAAGGCAAGAAATAATTAAAATCAGAGCAGAACTGAAGGAAGTAGAGACACAAAAAACTCTTCAAAAAATTAATGAATCCAGGAGCTGGTTTTTTGAAAGGATCAACAAAATTGATAGACTGCTAGCAAGACTAATAAAGAAAAAAAGAGAGAAGAATCAAATAGATGCAATAAAAAATGATAAAGGGGATATCACCACCGATCCCACAGAAATACAAACTACCATCAGAGAATACTACAAACACCTCTATGCAAATAAACTCGAAAATCTAGAAGAAATGGATAAATTCCTCGACCCATACACTTTCCCAAGACTAAACCAGGAAGAAGTTGAATCTCTGAATAGACCAATAACAGGATCTGAAATTGTGGCAATAATCAATAGCTTACCAACCAAAAAGAGTCCAGGACCAGATGGATTCACAGCTGAATTCTACCAGAGGTACAAGGAGGAACTGGTACCATTCCTTCTGAAATTATTCCAATCAATAGAAAAAGAGGGAATCCTCCCTAACTCATTTTATGAGGCCAGCATCATTCTGATACCAAAGCCTGGCAGAGACACAACCAAAAAAGAGAATTTTAGACCAATATCCTTGATGAACATTGATGCAAAAATCCTCAATAAAATACTGGCAAAACGAATCCAGCAGCACATCAAAAAGCTTATCCACCATGATCAAGTGGGCTTCATCCCTGGGATGCAAGGCTGGTTCAATATACGCAAATCAATAAACGTAATCCAGCATATAAACAGAGCCAAAGACAAAAACCACATGATTATCTCAATAGATGCAGAAAAGGCCTTTGACAAAATTCAACAACCCTTCATGCTAAAAACTCTCAATAAATTAGGTATTGATGGGACATATTTCAAAATAATAAGAGCTATCTATGACAAACCCACAGCCAATATCGTACTGAATGGGCAAAAACTGGAAGCATTCCCTTTGAAAACTGGCACAAGACAGAGATGCCCTCTCTCACCACTCCTATTCAACATAGTGTTGGAAATTCTGGCCAGGGCAATTAGGCAGGAGAAGGAAATAAAGGGTATTCAATTAGGAAAAGAGGAAGTCTGATTGTCCCTCTTTGCAGACGACATGATTGTGTATCTAGACAACCCCATTGTCTCAGCCCAAAATCTCCTTAAGCTGATAAGCAACTTCAGCAAAGTCTCAGGATACAAAATCAATGTACAAAAATCACAAGCATTCTTATACACCAACAACAGACAAACAGAGAGTCAAATCATGAGTGAACTCCCATTCACAATTGCTTCAAAGGAATAAAATACCTAGGAATCCAACTTACAAGGGATGTGAAGGACCTCTTCAAGGAGAACTACAAACCACTGCTCAAGGAAATAAAAGAGGATACAAACAAATGGAATAACATTCCATGCTCATGGGTAGGAAGAATCAATATCGTGAAAACGGCCATACTGCCCAAGGTAATTTATAGATTCAATGCCATCCCCATCAAGCTACCAATGCCTTTCTTCACAGAATTGGAAAAAACTACTTTAAAGTTCATATGGAACCAAAAAAGAGCCTGCATCACCAACTCAATCCTAAGCCAAAAGAACAAAGCTGGAGGCATCACACTACCTGACTTCAAACTATACTACAAGGCTACAGTAACCAAAACAGCATGGTACTGGTACCAAAACAGAAATATAGATCAATGGAACAGAACAGAGCCCTCAGAAATAACGCCGCATATCTACAACTATGTGATCTTTGACAAACCTGACAAAAACAAGAAATGGGGAAAGGATTCCCTATTTAATAAATGGTGCTGGGAAAACTGGCTAGCCATATGTAGAAAGCTGAAACTAGATCCCTTCCTTACACCTTATACAAAAATCAATTCAAGATGGATTAAAGACTTAAACGTTAGACCTAAAACCATAAAAACCCTAGAAGAAAACCCAGGCAGTACCATTCAGGACATAGGCATGGGCAAGGACTTCATGTCTAAAACACCAAAAGCAATGGCAACAAAAGACAAAATTGACAAATGGGATCTAATTAAACTAAAGAGCTTCTGTACAGCAAAAGAAACTACCATCAGAGTGAACAGGCAACCTACAGAATGGGAGAAAATTTTTGCAACCTACTCATCTGACAAAGGGCTAATAATATCCAGAACCTACAATGAACTCAAACAAATTTACAAGAAAGAAACAAACAACTCCATCAAAAAGTGGGTGAAGGATATGAACAGACACTTCTCAAAAGAAGACATTTATGCAGCCAAAAAACACATGAAAAATTTCTCATCATCACTGGCCATCAGAGAAATGTAAATGAAAACCACAATGAGATACCATCTCATACCAGTTAGAATGGTGATCATTAAAAAGTCAGGAAACAGCAGGTGCTGGAGAGGATGTGGAAAAATAGGAACACTTTTACACTGTTGGTGGGACTGTAAACTAGTTCAACCATTGTGGAAGTCAGTGTGGTGACTCCTCAGGGATCTAGAACTAGAAATTCCATTTGACCCAGCCAACCCATTACTGGGTATATACCCGAAGGATTATAAATCATGCTGCTATAAAGACACATGCACATGTATGTTTATTGTGGCACTATTCACAATAGCAAAGACTTGGAACCAACCCAAATGTCCAACAGTGATAGACTAGATTAAGAAAATGTGTCACATATACACCATGGAATACTATGCAGCCATAAAAAATGATGAGTTCATGTCCTTTGTAGGGACATGGATGAAGCTGGAAACCATCATTCTCAGCAAACTATCGCAAGGACAAAAAACCAAGCACCACGTGTTCTCACTCATAGGTGTGGATTGAACAATGAGAACACTTGGACATAGCAAGGGGAACATCACACACCGGGGCCTGTCGTGGGGTGGGGGAGGGGGGAGGGATAGCAGTAGAAGATATACCGAATGTAAATGACGAGTTAATGGGTGTAGCACACCAACATGGCACATGTATACATATGTAACAAACCTGCACGTTGTGCACATGTACCCTAGAACTTAAAGTATAATAAATAAAATAAATAAAATAATAAAAAAATAAAAAATAAATAAAAAAAAAGATCATCCTATCTAACATAGTGAAACCCACCTCTACTGAAAATACAAAAAAATTAGCTGGGCATCCTGGCGGGCGCCTGTAGTCCTAGCTCCTCCGTAGGCTAAGGCAGAAGAAGGGCGTGAGTCCAGGAGGCAGAGCTTGCAGTGAGCCGAGATTGTGCCACTGCACTCCAGCCTGGAGGACAGAGTGAGACTCTGTCTCAAAAAAAAAAAAAAAAAAGACAAGTGTCCAGTTTCATTCTTTTATATATGGATATCCATTTTTCCCAGTGGCAGTTATTGAGGAGACTTTTCTTCCATCATTGTGTGTTCTTGGTACCCTTATTAAAGATTAGTTGACCATATATGTGTGTTTAACTCTGGGCTCTCTATTTTGTGCTATTAGTAAATACGTCTGTTTTGAACTGAGTACCATACTTTCTAAATTATAGTAGCTTTGTAATATAGTTTGAAATCAAGGAATGTGATGCCTCCAGCTTTGATCTTTCTCAAAATTGCTTTGGCTATTCAGAGTCTTTTTTGGTTCTCAAAGACAAACTGTTTCTGTGTAAAGGTAATGTAATATTATATATAGAAAACCCTAAAGACCCCACTGAAAAGATATGAGAACTATAAATGAATTCAGTAAATTTTTTTTCTGGTTTTATTTCTGGTGTTTTTAGTTTGTTTGTTTTTTGAGACAGGGTCTCACTCTGTTGTCCAGGCTGGAGTGCAGTGATGTAATCATGGCTCGCTGTAGCCCTGAGATGCAGTGATGAAGTGATCCTCTCACCTTAGCCTCCTGAGTACGTGGAATGACAGGCTTGAGCCACCATACCCAACTAGTTGTTTTGACTTTTTGTAGTTACCTCCATATGTTGCCCAGGCTGGTCTCAAGCTCCTAGGCTCAAGCAACTCTCTCGCTTTGGCCTCCGAAAGTACTGGGATTACTGATACAAAGCACTGTACCAACCTCAGTAAAGTTTTATAATATAAAAGCAATATACAAAAATCAGCAGCATTCAGTTACTAACAATGAACCATCCCCCCCAAAAAAAATAAGAATATAATCTTATTTAAAATAGAATAAACTATAAAAAGAATTAAATGCTTGGGAATATATTTAACCAAGGAGGTAGAAGATACATACAAGGAAAACAATGAGACACTGATGAAAGATATTTAAAAAAGACACAAATAAATTAACAGATATCCTGAGTTCATGGATTAGAAGAATTAATATTGTTAAAATGTTAATATTACTCAAAGCAATCTACACATTAAATGCAATCCCTATCAAAATTCCAATAGCATTTTTCACAAAAAGAGAGAAAGTATTTTTAAGTACCTGGTAGGGTGCCTGACACAAAAACCCATTATTATTATTTATCACTTTAACTGATTATATATATATATATATATATATATATATATATATATATATTACAATTGCTGCAAAGTATTGATATGACAATAATATAGACATTGTGAATCCTCTGAGAGAATCTTGGAGACAGCAGAGTTAGCCATGGTCATTCTTTGAAAGCCACTGAATTAAAGCATTACAGAAAAAAAAAAAAAAAAACAGTAAAACACTTTGTTGGTGTTCCTGGGATGATTTGGATTTAACTCAGATTAAGATTTTAATTTACTTTATATCAGAAAGTTCTTTTTGTTTTGTTTTGTTTTTTTACAAAATCATTGTCTCAAGTATGTATGAGGTTCCATAAGATCAAGATCCAAGGACTGGTGGGGGTTGAAGTTCTATTGATATCTATAGAGCTTCCCTGTTACTGTACATTATGGTTTTAGTTATCTTAATTGTTTTAGGGAATGCTTCACCTATAGCTTGCTTCTTAGTTTATCCTCATAACATTTACCTATGCTTTCATTCCTTCCCATAACCATAACTAAAATGAAATTATTTAAAGAATGTTTATTACTTACCTATAAATTGCCAAACCCTGGAGATAAAGAAATGAGCAAAATGGTCTAGCTGTAGAGCTCCTAAACTTTGAGAATTGTGAGCATGAGCCTGGTTAGAAAAATTCCCAGAACAATGATGATACTGAAACTAAGCTTTAAAAATCATAGAGTAATTTGAGGAGAGAATAGGAGACAGTTATTATAGCATCCACATGTAACAAGATATGAAATAAGAGATCCAGCAAGAATTGGTTGTACAGAGCAAAAGTGAACATATGAGTTAAAATAAGGCCAGTGACCAGGCACGGTGGAGCATGCCTGTAATCCCAGCACTTCGGGAGGCCAAGGGAGGTGGATCACAAGGTCAGGAGATCAAGACTATCCTGGCCAACATGATGAAACCCCATCTCTACTAAAATACAAAAAATTAGCCGGGCGTGTTTGCAGGCACCTGTAGTCCCAGCTACTAGGGAGGCCGAGGCAGAAGAATCACTTGAACCCGGGAGGTAGAGGTTGCAATGAGCTGAGATCATGCCACTGCACTCCAGCCTGGCAACAAGAGCGAGACTCCATCTCAAAAAAAAAAAAAAAAAAAAAAAAAAGGCCAGTGAAGTACATGGTATAAGGTACTGAAGTGGTGTGCACCAATGTTGTAGAATATATTCTTGGGCAAGGACAATTAAAGATTCTCTGGACTTGACAACTATGATGGCTGCTGCAATCTGTAGGATGTAAATCATTTGACATTTTCTAAATATCAGTTCTCATTTCTAATGATATGATTGAAAAATGGTATATAGGTTGTATCAGACATGTGAAGGGTACCCAGCAAAACTCAAATCTTGAAATTCCAAATAAAATATCTACAAATGTATAAGAAGAATGATTACATATTGGGGCTCTGGGCATGGAAAGAGGAAGAACCATATGGCTGCTTTCCTCACCTGAATCCTTCATCCAAAGACTTTCCAGAAATTGACATCTCCCTCAGAAATGGTCATCAAAACCATAACCAAAGAAAGAAAAAAGAAAAGAAAAAAAAAAGAAAAACCTCACAGAGAAACAAGAGTATATAGCTGCTAGTCAAAGTAAATGTATGCTTGTATGAGATCTTACAGCTTCACGTTTTTTAGGACAGTTTTAATTATCACCCAACGTATTAGTTTCACAGTTCAACTCAGCATGATAAACCCTGTGGGATAATTTTACTACAAAATGGCCTATTTTCCATACACACAATTTGATTACAGCTGTGTCTTTATCTCTGAAATCCATGAGAAATATGTTCTTCCTTTGGAGAAGAACAATACTGATAAACTTCCAAAGGACATCTCTGAGCACTTCTGAAGAGAAGAAATGGTATTTGGTGTACTTGGGCTTCATAAGCCATGCAACACAAATCAAGTTATAACAATTCTGACACTATCTATGGCTGCAACTAATTACTTGTCAAATTTGAATGATGATACATCAGGTCATTATACTACAGAATGATAAAAAAGAGGACAACCCAATCCTAAAGTTATATGCAACCAACAACAAATCTTCTAGTAATGTGAAGCAAAAGCTGATACAATTTAAAAGAAAAAGGGACAAAACCACATTTTAGTGGGGTACTTCCATGCCACGCTCTCAAAAATTGACAGAACTAGACATAAAATCAGTAAGGATATAGACAAACATATCTAGTAAAACATCTAATTGGCATTTATAGAACATTCCATCCAAGAGAAGAATACGTTCTTCTTTTTCACGTGCCTTTGGAACATACACTAAGATAGAAAACAAACCACAACAAACTTGAAAGACTTGAAATCATGCAGAATGTGTTGTTTGACCACAATGGAATCAAAACATAATCAGTAACAGAAAGATACCAAGAAAATCTCAAACACATAAATATTAAACAATACACTGCTAAATAATCTACATGCTAAAAAGGAAGTATCAAGATAGAACTTTTTTAAATCATTGAACTAAGTTGACAATATAACAAAATTTGTGGAACACAGCTAACACAGTGCTGAGAAATGAATAGCATTAAATGATTTTATTAGAAAAGAAGAAAATCTCTGGATGGGTGCAGTGGCTCACACCTGTAATCCCAGCAGTTTGGGAGGCTGAGGCAGGTAGATCACCTGAGGTCAGGAGTTCAAGACCAGCCTGGCCAACATGGAGAAACCCCAGCTCTACTAAAAATACAAAAAAATTAGCTGGGCTTTGTGGCAGGTGCCTGTAATCCCAGCTACTTGGGAGGCTGAGGCAGGAGAATCACTTGAACCCAAGAGGCGGAGGTTGCACTGAGCCAAGATTGCGCCACTGTACTCCAGCCTGGGCAACAAGAGTGAAACTCTGTCTCAAAATTAAAAAAAAAAAAAAAAAGAATGAAAGAAGAGAAAAATCTTAAATCAGTAGCATGACTTTCCACCTCAAAAGAAAGAGCAAAATAAATGCAAAGCAAACAGAAAGAAAATAATAAATATAATAACAAAAATTAATAAACTTGAAAATAAAAAATAGAGAAAATCAGTTACTTCATTTAAAAAAATCAGTAAAATTGACAATCCTCTAAGAAGACTGAAAAAAATGAGACAGAGAGAGAGAGGACATGAATTCATGAATTACCACCATCATGACTGAAATGTGCAACATCAATACAGAGCCTTCAAATATTAAAGGAATAGTAAGGGGATACTACAAATAGCGCTACAAACACATACTTGAAAACTTTGAGGAAATTAATCAATTCCATGAAATGCATAGACAATCACAATTTACTCAAATACTTAAATATAAATAGATAACTTCAACATCCTATAACTATTAATAACATTGACTTTATAATGTAAACTCAAAAAAGTCATCTCCAGGCCAGGATGATTTCCCTGGAGAAATTTATCAAGCATTAAGGAAGAGTTCAAATATATTTTATACATTCTCTTTCAGAAAAGAGAAGAGTAGGGAGTACTTCTCAATATGCTTTATGAATATAGTACATTCATGATACCAAAACCAAAGAAAGTATTCCCTGGTATGAAAACTAATAACAAAAAAAAATGAGAGGGGGCAGGAGAAGAAAAATATGAGAGGCGGAGAGAGAAGAAAAATAGTAAAGAGAGAGAGAGGAGAAGCGAGCAGTAAAGAAGGAAGGAAGGAAGGAAGAGGGGGAGGGAGGGAGAAACTACCTTGCAAATATAACCACAAAAGTTTTTAACAAAATATTATTAGGTAGAATTCAGCAGTACATAAAAACGAATTCAGCAGTTTATACACCATGACCAAGTGGTGTTTATTCCAGGGATGCGAGGTTGGAGTGATATTTGAAAATCAATCAATGTAATATACCATATGACATGATCATATCAATGAACGCAGAGATACCATTTGATAAAAATCAACATAAATTCATTGATTTAAAAAACCCAACTCTCAGGAATATAGGAATAGAGAGAAATTACTCAGCTTGATGCTTGATAAAGAGCATCTCCAAAAAACCAGCAGTAAATGTTATACTTCATGTTGAAAGACCAAATGCTTTAGTCTAAGATTAGGAACAAGGCAAGGCTGACCAATCTTCCCATTATTCAAAATAGCACTAGATGTTCTAGCCAGTGCAACAGGCAATATAAGTAAATAAGAGGTAAAACTAAGATTAGAGATGAAGCAATAAAACTGTTTCCATTAGGAGATGGCATGGCAGTCTAAATAGATAATCCCAAGGAATCTACAAAAATACTCCTAAAACTGACAAGTGAGTTCAGCAAAGCTTCAGTATTCATGATAAACATAAAAATCAAATGTATTTTTATATACTAGCAATGAGCATATGGACATTGAAAATAAAAAATTACCATTTACAATCACTAAAAAATGGTGTATAAATCTACAAAGTATACAGGCTTTTTCTATATATAGACAAGATTATTCTAAAATGCATATGGAAAGGTAAAGGAACTAGAATGCCGCATGTCTACAACTATCCGATCTTTGACAAACCTGACAAAAACAAGAAATGGGGAAAGGATTCCCTATTTAATAAATGGTGCTGGGAAAACTGGCTAGCCATATGTAGAAAGCTGAAACTGGATCCCTTCCTTACACCTTATACAAAAATCAATTCAAGACGGATTAAAGACTTACATGTTAGACCTAAAACCATCAAAACCCTAGAAGAAAACCTAGGCAATATCATTCAGGACATAGGCATGGGCAAAGACTTCATGTCTAAAACACCAAAAGCAATGGCAACAAAAGACAAAATTGACAAATGGAATCTAATTAAACTAAAGAGCTTCTGCACAGCAAAAGAAACTACCATCAGAGTGAACAGGCAACCTACAGAATGGGAGAAAATTTTTGCAACCTACTCATCTTACAAAGGGCTAACAATATCCAGAACCTACAATGAACTCAAACAAATTTACAAGAAAGAAACAACTCCATCAAAAAGTGGGTGAAGGATATGAACAGACACTTCTCAAAAGAAGACATTTATGCAGCCAAAAAACACATGAAAAATTTCTCATCATCACTGGCCATCAGAGAAATGTAAATGAAAACCACAATGAGATACCATCTCATACCAGTTAGAATGGTGATCATTAAAAAGTCAGGAAACAGCAGGTGCTGGAGAGGATGTGGAAAAATAGGAACACTTTTACACTGTTGGTGGGACTGTAAACTAGTTCAACCATTGTGGAAGTCAGTGTGGCGACTCCTCAGGGATCTAGAACTAGAAATTCCATTTGACCCAGCCATCCCATTACTGGGTATATACCCGAAGGATCATAAATCATGCTGCTATAAAGACACATGCACATGTATGTTTATTGTGGCACTATTCACAATAGCAAAGACTTGGAACCAACCCAAATGTCCAACAATGATAGACTAGATTAAGAAAATGTGTCACATATACACCATGGAATACTATGCAGCCATAAAAAATGATGAGTTCATGTCCTTTGTAGGGACATGGATGAAGCTGGAAACCATCATTCTCAGCAAACTATCGCAAGGACAAAAAACCAAACACTGCATGTTCTCATTCACAGGTGGGAATTGAACAATGAGAACACATGGACACAGGAAGGGGAACATCACACACTGGGGCCTGTTGTGGGGTGAGGGGAAGGGGGAGGGATAGCATTAGGAGAGATACCTAATGCTAAATGAGGAGTTAATGGGTGCAGCACACCAACATGGCACATGTATACATATGTAACAAACCTGCATGTTGTGCACACGTACCCTAAAACTTAAAGTATAACAATAATTAAAAAACGGAACTAGACTAGCTAAACAATTTTGAAAAGGAAAAATAAGTCAGTCTCCCTGGTTTCAAGTTTTATTATATAATTACAATAGTCCACAATATGTTATACTGGCAGAGGAACAGACACAGGTCAATGGAATGGAACAAAAAACTCAGAAACAAAACCACATAAATATGCCCAACTGATTTTTGACAAAGGTATTAAAACAATTCAATTCATAGCCTTTTTAATAAGTGATATTGGAGTAAGTCATCATCAGTGGGCAAAGAAAAAAGAAACGAATCTCAATCTAAACCTCATAATTCAAGCTGGATCATGGACTTAAATGTACAACTTGAAATTATTTTAAAATTTTAGGAAAAAATAGAACAAAGTTTTCATGACTTTGGACTAGGCAAAGAGCACTTAAATTTGACACCAAATACAAGATTAATAAAAGGAAAAAAATTGTAAATAGAGCTTCAACAAAATTAAAAACTGCTCTGTACAAGACCCTAAAAGAATTAAAGAAAATCAACAAAAAATAAGCTACAGACTGGGAGAAGATATTTGCAAACCACGTATTGAACAAAGGATTACTATCTAGAATATAGAAAGACTTAAAACTCAATGTTTAAAAAGAATGCTCATTAGTATATGGGCAAAGTCCTGGTCAGACATTTCACTGAAGGGAATATACTGATGAAAAAAAAGCACATAAAAAAATTCCAACATTATTGGCCACCAGGGAAATGCAAATTAAAACCACAGTGAGATAGCACTATACCCTTAGCAGGATGGCTAAAATGAGAACATAAATAAATAAATAAATAAAACCACCACCAGTCATTTATACATTATTCATGAAAATGTAAAATAACCTGCTAGGTTATTTTACATAACTCCAGGAGACAATGTTAAGGTTTCTTGGTGGAAAAAAAAATTGCCAAACTACATTTTCCACTATCATACAATACAGCAATCACTCTCCTGGGCATTTATCCTAGAGAAATGAAAACTTCTGCTTGCACACACAAAAAGTGCTAGAATGTTCACAGCAGAATTATTTGTCATAATCAAAAACCAGAATCAGATCAGGCATCCTTCAATTGGTCAATGTTTAAACTTCAGTGGATGGTATATCCATATCAGGGGACAGAGATATTGATACAGCCAACAACCTATATAAATCACCAGAGAATAATGCTAAGTGAAAAAGCCAAACCCGGAAAGTCATATTTGTATAGTTCCATTTATAGAACATTCTTGAAGTGACAAATTTATAGGAATGGAGAACAGGTTAGTGGTTGTCAGGGGTCAGGGACGTAGTGGGTAGGGAAGTGAATGCTCTAAAAAGTAAACATGAAGGATCTTTGTGGTGGTGGAGCTGCTCTGTTCTTGACTGTATTAGTGTCACTACACTGGCTATAATTTGTACATAGTTTTGTAAAAGGTTACCATTTGAGGAAAAACTGGTAAAGAGTATTTGAGACCTCTCTATATATTTCTCACAATTGCATGTGAGTCTACAATTATCTCAAAATAAAGGGTTTACTATAAAAGGGTCCTAACATCAGCAACCTGGCTTATTAAAAATGTCATCCGAAGACTGTCATATCACATTAATCATAATTATGTCAACAAAAACAAGGTACATATATTTTAAACAGACTGTCATTTTTAAAACAAAAATACTAAATCTTATTTGTTCTTAATGCTCTAACTGAAGCGTAATTTTTACTTATACTAAAACAAAAAGCACCTACATTTCTTATATGTGAGCTATTTTCTCCCCCTAGAGAGCTGGAAATATGGTTGATAACAACATTTTAAAAGGCATGTGGAAGGACATAAAGTGAATGCCTGGAGCTCATATTGTCTTCTAAGATTCTTGGATTGAACATATTTCTATTTTAAGTTTAACTATTTTTGGCATGTTTTCCAAACAGTATCTAGGCTAAGAAAAATGTAACATGCCAAAGTAATGGTAATTAATAATTCCAGAGGATTATGCTTTAAATAAAGTCATAACAAAGAGCTAACATGCTTTTATTAAAATGTGTAAGTTATTTGCATCAAGGAAAGAGCTAGTGGATATATTTAGCAAACCGGATATGCACTGATTTTGTTATTCAAGAACATTAGATAAAGTGCACAGAAGAATCCTGTTTGGGAGCTCTGGCTTCCTAAAAAAAACTCAAAAATAAGAGGCTGCCAAAGCTAATAACTAGATTTGTTGCCCCTGATTCCCACATAAAGACAAGCCTCTTTTGTAATGAATCCTGATAGGTTATCCCCTTGGCAACCTGTCATTCAAGTTCATTAGTTCATTTATTCATCTACTAAATATGTTATCTGCAACAAGGGCAACTTTTACTTTGCATGGGTCACTTACTACTAAAGCACAGAACCAGTAGAGATGAGTGTTTAATAATCTATTGCAGGACATTTTACCACTGATTATATTCTCCTGTATTTTCACTTGTGTATTTTAACATAAATCAGAGAACCTCATCCTTCCGTTCAAAACCCTCCAAAGGCTTCCATTTTTATGAAGGATGCCACACTATTCCCACTGCTCAGAATGCTTCCCCCCCAGAGAGCCACCTAGGGAGCACCTTCATCTCTTTCAGATCATTGCTCTAAAGTCCTCTTCTCAGTAAGGCTCACCCAGAGAACCTTATCTAATATTCAATTTAGCCTATCTTGCTCTAACACATTTTAGGGTTCATTTACTTTTCTTAGTGTCCATCTTTACATTTCCTTTATAGGATTTTTTTTGTGTTCTTGTTCACTGCACTATCCCAAAAATTTTTCTCATGACAAGAACAGAATATATGCTCAACAAAAACATGTTAAATGGAAGAACTTACGTTTTTCTTGGTTTGCTATGCTTTCTACAAACACTTGCTTACTATTTATAATGTACCAGGCATAATTCTAGCAGTGGAATCAACTACATGCTACACAACCCTTGCTCTCACAGGTCTCACTGTGGAGGAAAATATTGCAGTTGGGGTGAGAGGAAGGTATTAAAACCGGACGGATAACCGCAGTACAATATGGGATATAGTGCCGGGCTTCTTGAAAAACCCCGGGATATAAAAACAAACAAAACACAGCACAGTCCTTGAAACTCTTATCCTTAGGAATCTAATTACCTAATGAGGGAATGCCATTTAAAAGAGAGAGCAGGGTGAGGGGGGAAGATAAATAAACAGAAAAACTTTTAAAAGCAATGTAATATAGCATGCATTGAGATGAATGCAAAAAATGGGGATTCTTAAAGCATGGAAAAAGGACTAGCTAGATGGCCTGGAGAACTCTAAGAATAACAATGAACCAAGTCTTAAAAGATTAATGGCAAATTTTTAAAGGTGCTTTTTAAATTATAAAACTAGGATGAGTTTTAAAGGAAATCTGCTAAGACCCCGTCTTTGAACATTTAAACAACTTATTATTATTATTTTGGAGAGTGGGAGAGTAAATTGATGAATAAAATGTAGTTGTGGTATTGGCCAGAAGTAAATTGAAGCTATATAAGGTTTGTGATAATAAATTTAAGTAAAGCCAGTCAGTAGTGTTTTGTGTTTGATCCAGCCCTGTTGAGTGGCCCAGGCACAGGTGTAAATTAGGCAGACAGGTAGAATTAGCCAAAGCTGGAGTTGCTCCAGTCAAGTATGGTGGCAGGTACATGTACAAGGGAATATAGAGATATCCCAATAAGTGATTCTAAAGCTGAACTGGAAATATAAGCTGAATAAGGTCGGAGTGAAGGCTTAAGAAGGATAATGAACATTGAAGGGTAGGCAAGATCAATAGTGAGTTGTAGATCCTTTTGAGATCAAAGAATTATTGGAGTTCAGGGTGTTGAAGAGGTATAATTCAAAATAAATCAAATAGCAGAGGTCTTCGCAAATTAATAGGTACTAAATGCTATGTTTTCAAATGAATACTTAACAACTTTCTCTTAAATGCAAGAGGCTGGACCAAATGATCTATTATCCTCTATGATAAATTATAAGAGAGATGTCTAAGGTAGGTTTTTCATTTCATTCAAGTTTAAATTGTTTGCTGTATGATTTTATTGGGGGTAGATTATTAAACACAAATAATATTTTAAAAGTCTCTAATATTGACATTTATATGCTGGAATTTAAATGACATTGAACTTCTCAAATTATTATAGATTTGATTATCTCTGTCAAAAATCTCTTATACTTGGATCAAAGAGCTTTCCTTCTTTAAAATACTTTCTTACTAAGCAGGATTGGGGACCACTGGTGAGTACAAAGTTTGGGCACATTATATAAGGAAAGCTTATGGAATTTGAGAATGCTTAACCTGAAACAAAAAGAAAAAATTTAGCAGTCCTAAGATGTTGAAAGTGGGCATGCACAAGGTAAGATCTAAATAGTTCCGAATTTAGGCTCTGGAATCATTTAGATCTACATTTGAAATGTAGCTTTGTGACTTGGGCAAGTTACTTATCTTACTAAAAATTATTTTCCTCTTTCTGAAGCATTTCTGAGGAAGTCATTTGCAAGGTTGGTGAGAAAGGGAATTTGATTACATGAACTTAAATCTACAATTATTTAATCCCATATGCAAATAGATGAAATATTTATGTTTTTGAGACTAGAAGCCTGTCTTCTATTTAAAGACACTGTCCTTCAAACAGAGCTCTTCTTCGTTCCTCAGTCTAATCAAGAACTCTAAAACCAGGAAAAACAGCATATGGGTTACATGCAATTGAAAACTCAATGATTCCACCTCCAAAACTGGAATACATTTTGGCAGACCAGACTGCCTCTAGGCTTAGGACATTACTGACTTCTCTGACTATGGGATTTCACAGCTGGGAGCAGGACCAACTTAGCAAAACTCTTACATAGATGAAATCTATCTTTGGATTTATGCTGACAAGTAAGATTCTGCAACTGGTTTTTAAAATATTTTACTAAATTTTATGTGTTTAAATGTAAGTATGAAAGAAAGAAATTTGAAGTTGTCAGAGCTTGTTGAAAGACTCCTTATTTAAGCAGAAGTTGACAAATTTATTACATTGTGTAATAAAAGCAGGCTATACATTTCATATCGGGAAGGAATTGGAAAGAGCAGAAATAACAGGAGTCAGGAAGAACCACTTGCTTGTATTAGTTTGGCTTGGCTTGGAGAAAATATCCAATTTGTCAAGCTAGGGTCAGGAAAGTCAAGGTGTAATTTTCCGTCTAACAATGGATAGTTATAAAGGGCCAAACAAAGGTAACAGTAATGGGAATGGATATATTATAATCTACATCGAATATCTCTGGATTCAGAATGCCTTTAATGTTGAATTCTGGAGTATGTTACCTTAGATAAGTTACTCGGTTTTTCCTCAGCTATAATATATCTATTTTTAGAGATTCTGCGAGTATTAAATATGGCAAATTAGTAAGTATTTATATCTGTGCCTGGCATTTAGGAGGTGATCAGTAAGGTATTACCAGTAATGTAACGGTGGATGCCTTCAGTGATCATTGGCCAGAAATGTTGTACGAAGGATACAGGGAATGTTTGAGGGCTTGATTTAAATGGTTATCACAAGCATTCATTTAATTTAAATTTTGTTGCTCACCTACCATATTGTTGTCATTTTGCTAGGTATTGGAACTATACAAATAAAAGCCCTATTCCTTGTATTTAAGAGTGCAGTCTAGTAGAGAAAGAATAAAACAACAGGATAACAAAATGTGCTATGAAAGCACAAAGGACAGATATTAGCAAAGACCGGAAGCATAAAGGGGCAGTCGTTGAAAAAGGCGTCCAGGGGTTTGAAACAATGGAAGCGTATTTCAAGTTGAGAAAAAAGCAAATGAAAAGTTATAACATGTAAAAAGCACAGTGTTGCAGAATACGGAAAGAGAACAGTATAGCAGAAAGAGGACGTAATTTATAATTAAAGAACCTGGTTTCCGTGGCCTGGCTATGCCATATACTGCCACAGGACTAAGCAAATTGATACAACTTATCTAAGTTTCAAAGTACTGATCTGAAAAGTGAGATTCATAATATCTACCCTGCCATAGTTGTGAGGCTTAAATGAGATAAGTTATGCATTTACTTCAGAAAAGTATTTCTTTTTATACCCACTATTTCCAAATGAGCTGACAGTCTTCCTTTCTTTTGGACTCTAGTCATTAACTCTAACTCTCTCCCTGCTTCCACCTGGACCCCTGCTCCTAACCCATTCTCCACCATCCAGGCTGAAGAACCTAAATGCACACCAGATCAAGTCACATCCCCACTTAAAAGCCCCCAATGACTTCCCATTGCTCCTAAAACCAAATTATTAATGATGGGCTAACAGATCATTCATGATTTGTCCCCTGACTGTCTCACTAAAGTCATTTTCACGCCTTGCTTTCCTCACTCTCTGTGCACCAGCCACTTTGGCCTTCTTTGAGTTTACACATATCCATGCCCCTTCCTGCTATTTGTATTTTGCATATTACCTTTACCTTGTCCTTGTCCTCCTCTTTCTCCCACTTTGCCTATATAATTTCAAATCTTTTTTGTTTTGTTTTGTTTTGCTTTGTTTTGTTTTGTTTTGAGACAGATTCTCTCTGTCACCCAGGCTGGAGTGCAGTGGCGCAATCTCGGCTCACTGCAAGCTCCGCCTCCCGGGTTCACGCCGTTCTCCTGCCCAAGCCTCCTGAGTAGCTGGGACTACAGGCGCCCGCCACCACACCCGGCTAATTTTTTGTATTTTTAGTAGAGACGGGGTTTCACCATGTTAGCCAGGATGGTCTCCATCTCCTGACCTCGTGATCTGCCCGTCTTGGCCTCCCAAAGTGCTGGGATTACAGGCGTGAGCCACGGCGCCCGGCCCAAATCATTTTTAAAATCTTGCATCAAGTGTGCCTATCCCACCCTTATTTATTAGGCCACATGCCCCTATCATAGGATCTCCCAGGACTTGCTTCCTTTACTTTTTAGCACACAACAAAGACAAAATTTTGCATTTGTTAAGTGATAATTTGCATCCTTCCAACCAGACCATGACCCCAGGAGAGTAGTGAATATTTGCTTTTTCTTGTACTATAACACCACTGTTCTTTTCATGTCAGCATATCTCTCTGCTAAGTTTAGTGCCAAGTATATAGTATGTGTTCAGGGGCATCTTTTGAGTGGAGGAATAGATGAAACTTCAAATCCAGTGATTGGTCACATTATTAATAATCAATCAACAAGAGTGATTTTCATTACTGCCATTATCATTCTGCTGCTATTTTATGTTTAGGGTTTTTATAAATAGAGCATAGATGCAAGACAAGAAGGGAGAAAAGTGATGCTGGGGGAAGTACAAAGAGACTAGATAGGTAATAAAGGTTTATTTGTTTTATACCTTGTTAGGTCATACGGGTTTTATCCAAGTGTATAAGAGGAAGAATTAAAGGGGCTTAAGCAGAAGGGCATGATGAATAGCTCAATGTTTAAGAACCTCTGGTAGCAGAATGCAAAATTAATTACAACTATGAAGTGAAGGCAGGGAGGGCAGTTAGAAGACTCTTATGAAATCAAGGTGAGAAGTAAAAGAAAGTACTGAATGAAGACTGTGAATCCTCAGTTTCTGTAGTTTTCTAATCTTCCTGTGTTTAATGCTGTGTCATTAATAATTTCACATGATTGGTGAAAGTGGCAACCTTTCATTCCTTGTTTAATCACTCACAATATTAATGTATCTATAATATAACTTCAAATAAAGAAACACAGTCCTGGATAATACTTAAAATTTGAATTCCAAACTTCAATACCATTGTATGTACTCAGAAAGAAACTATCTTTGTTGTAAGAGGAGAAATATGTAATACAATTATATGTTTTTTTTCTGAGTCTTGATTTAAAAGGAAACTGTGAAAAAACAGTATGGCATAAAGATGAAAAAAGTCTCTTTGGACCAAAATTTCTTCTTTGAAAACCTATGCTGGAAAGAATTCGTATGCAGTGCTGACATGTAAATTCAAGGATATATAATGTTTACTACTTAAACCATTTACTTTACTAACCAAAATAAAAGACATGGTTAGCTGGATTATCAAGCAAATATTCAAAATAAAATTAAATTTAAGTATGCTCAGATCTCTATCATAAATCATAAATTTCCTCTGGTGTTATTTCTCTCCATTATATGTAAATAGACAAGGACTATTCCTGCAAAATTGTTTTACCACACAGTCTGTATTTATGCATCTAAAATGTTATTCTTCATGGCTATGTTTCTATAGACATCAAGGTTATCTAAATTTGATTTTGATAATAGTATATATATCCAAAACTATGATAAGTGATGGTTCACTAGTTGTTAGTACTTTTGTTATAATTGAACTCAAAGAACACAATCATGTTGTTACTGGTTTCATCGTAAGGTTAAGTTCTCCAGTATAAAATTTCATTACTAGGCACTTATGTGGGAGAAAATAGTTTGGTCTACTCTACTGTCTTTATATACTCTGCTATTTCTAATTCAAACTCATGAAAAAAATGTTTCTTCACATTACACTACAAATACGATTACCATCCATAAGTAATGATTTACAGTAAAAGGCAATCAAGAAAAATCATGTTTAGAAGATAGAAGGAACAATAAATATGCATAAGTTTTTGAAGAATATTCTTGCATTTTCATTTGCCTCTGTTATTCCTTTAGTTTGTTTCTTAATTAAGGGCATTTTAGCATAATTTTAAAAACATAACTGACAAGTGATAACTTTTTACTTACAACTAATTAGGAGCCTAATTTACCTTTAGCCCTATTGTTTTACACACCTCATAAAAGATAACATCAATGTCTGATCCCTCTTACGCATCTCTTCCTTCTTTGTCCCTCTACCTAAAAATAAAAATAAAAAACCTTAAGATGTATAAGATAAGCAAAGGTTTTATAAGTTAATTTTAAGTGTATAAATGAATAAATTTGTTAACACAAAGGTAAGTTGACATATTAGCATACCAAGATGTAATGTCACTAAATTGTAAATCAAGTAATTACACAGAGTTTATTCATACCTCTTTTCCTTCTTTGGTATTCCTTAACCTTTTCAAGTTTAATGAGCTAATTTCAATTTTGAAAAAAGGAATTGAAAATTAGATAATTACATCCAGCTTTATTTTAACCACTAATTGACCTAAGTTTCTTAGCAGACCATTGAGAAAATTAAAGCTCAGAGAAACAGAGGAATTTACCCAAGATTATCAAGTTAACAGATGAGAAAACTAGGACTCACATATTGGCCATTATATTCATTAAGTAATATAATAAAGTATGTATGAAATTGTGCAGAATACAAAAAGTGTTTAAGATCTAAAAGCAATGATCTCTAAGCCATAAAATAAAAACACAAAATCAGGCCGGGCGCGGTGGCTCACGCCTGTAATCCCAGCACTTTGGGAGGCCGAGGCGGGCGGATCACGAGGTCAGGAGATCGAGACCATCCTGGCTAACACGGTGAAACCCCGTCTCTACTAAAAAAAAAATACAAAAAATTAGCCGGGCGTGGTAGCGGGCGCCTGTAGTCCCAGCTACTCGGGAGGCTGAGGCAGGAGAATGGCGTGAACCCGGGAGGCGGAGCTTGCAGTGAGCCGAGATCGCGCCACTGCACTCCAGCCTGGGCGACAGAGCGAGACTCCGTCTCAAAAAAAAAAAAAAAAAAAAAAAAAAAAAACACACACAAAATCAAAATGTTTACAATTGTAATAAATATATTTAAATTGAAACATCAATTAGCTACAAACTCCACATATGTATATACACACATATTATATATAATATAGTTATATATTATATGTATACATGTATATTAACATATATATATGTACACATGTATATGGCCATATACATTACAAAGGATTGAGGCAAATATTGAGCAAATGATTATTAAATGTAAATTTTCAAAGTCTTAAGATCATGGCCTATTATACACGATTATATGCAATAAAAGCATGCCCACAGAATACTCTCCCTTAAAGTTAGAGTGTGAATATATGACGTAACCATGATTTGCATTGAGATCTTTTGGATTCCAAAGTCTAAGATTTTATCATGACACTACCCTATAAACATGGCCCACAGAAACTGTGTAACTTGGTCAAATCTTACAGCAAATTCAGAGCTAGAGAATGTGTAAAATATACATAACCCCTGCTTCCCAATAAACCCTATGAGTATAAGCTATTTGAGAAGGAATTTAAATGCCCAAGGATCACAGAATTATGAAGGTATCATGTGGCCACCTAGATTAGGGTCCTTAGCCTAGAATTCATGCAACTGTAAGGGATTTAGGGTGGCACAGAATTGTTAAAATGATATATAGCTGTATTTTGTGAAAATTTCATGTTTATGCCAATTAAAATTATAGACAACATGTTATTCTTAAAGGGAGTTATAATTGTTAAAAGTTTAAAAATTATTGATATAAACAACTTTTTAGATGACTAAGTGGAAACACAGAGAGCCAAAGTGACTGTGGAGAACCATACAACTGGATAATGGGAGAATAGTTATTAGAACGTAGGTTTCTTCCTTCCTTTCCCTCCTCAACTGACCATGTCATGGTGCCATATGTATTAAGCCACACCATGAGCTTGCAAAAGCAAAGCTAATATCTGCAGAGGATGGCACATGATTATGAGAAAATGAGAAGCCTTAGTGGTCTGAGGCATCCTGATGGACTCTAGGTAACTTACTCCTTTGCTTTCCAAAAGAGTAATAAGAAAAGCTATATTTAATTTAATGTGGTTCCATTTGTAGAGAGAAATAATATCTGCTTCTTTATTAACTTATGGTGCAAGGATAACTCAGGCCATTTTCTAAGGAAACTCAATGAGTTAGAATCTGCTAACCTCAGTAAACAAAACCTCAGTTAGCTGTAATTAATGTTCATAGTGCATCTGCTTAATTTTCCTAATGCACTAGCCCTTTTTTCTTTCGTTTTCTTTTTTTTCTTTTAAAACTTCTGTAATTCTTCATGAGCTTTACTTTCAGTAACTTATGGGGAGGTTTCTTAATCTTATTTTAACATGGTATTGCAATATTAATTTGAATTTTTTTGATGGTGGAGGGATTTTAAGAAACAATTTTAAAACAAATAGGTCTATTCATCAAAATGTTCAGGCTAAAACAGTTGTGAATATCGTGGGAATAACTTATAAGGGAGACGACATCTTCATTATTAGTTCAGTGGTGTCTAGTTGAAAATGTCTATATTACAGAGAAGTTGGCAGGAGCTGCTAAAGAATGCTTCAGCTTGTCCACAAGTAAGAATTAATCCTAACTGATTACTGAAAACCAGAGCTTTGCACAAAATTGCCTTTTCATTCATAGTGGCATCTCAACACTGATTACGTGAAATCTGCAATGTACTTTCAAAGAAACTGAGATGATATACTTGATAAGGCATAAAAATTGATCTCTGCCACCACCACCAACCATGAAGCAGCCTACAGCATCTTGACCATTAAATGAATTGATTATTAGGGGCCAGACAGTCTGCTAAATACATTGCATACATTATTTTATGTAACCTTCATGGGATTGCTATTATATAGATGCAATTACTCTTAATCTATCTACATTATAGCAATGTTATTTCATAGATGTTTTCATAGATGAATAAATTTGCATTTAAGGAGAATTAAAAATTTGATCGTTTCACAGAATGATTAAGGGAAGAAATTCTGGATTTGACCTCAAATTACCTTGATTCCAAAGCTAGTTCCATTAACTATCAAGTTACATCCTTTCCCATTCTGATAGCAATAATGCATAGGCTAATGGATACATTTTTTATAATGATCAAAAAATTACAATGAAAGAAAAAAAGGGTGGGAAAAAGAGAGAATGGAGGGAGTGAGTGAAGAATGGAAGAGACAAAAGAAGAAACAAATAATTTAGAAGCAGAAAATCGACAATCAGAGGAGAAGACATTGAAGATAAAAATAAACAGCAAAGTAAGAGTAGACTTTTTGTTGCCATGGAGATTTCGGAAATGAAGGTAAAATGTATCTGCATATAATACTTGCAAATAAAGATCTGTAGGGGTAGCAGGAATTCCTCATGCCAATGAAGTAGGTGCCCAGCAGGAGGAAGCTGACTCGCACTCCTTACATCAGAGCATCCTGGCCTAATCCAGCGAATTCTGACATCAAGCTCCCGTGAGCAGAGTCTGAACCATTTAACCTAGCATGGTGAGAGAGTCTATTTGGTCATCTTTATTGTTGCAAATAGGGGTATTTTTTGGGAAAATGTATGATGCGTAAAAAATATAATTACCTTATGACTCTACATTGAATGCATACATTATTCTCTCTTTAGGATCAAATCCACTAAGAGAATCAAGAACTGCTGCACAGAAACCTTTGATAGCCAATGTCCTAATACGAAGAAGAAGTAAATGAACAGAAGGAGACATAGACTTAAAGCTCTCGCAAAATTGAACAATATTTCAAGGCCCTACATTGACCAAACATTAACGTTAAAAGAGCCTCACCATGTCAGCATTCCAGCCAGCCCAAATCGTCAAAGAGCAAGAAAGCAATGCTAAAGAACAATGTGAAGGAATCATTACATACCGTTTGAATAGTTTCCTAAATTCACTCAGTGCTCTATCTATTATTAGCTATAGCACAGAGAACTTGTTTCCTATTACAGATGGTAGAGAATTTCTAGTTTGCATAAAATCAACATCCTCTAAAGTTCTGAAAAAACATATGTTTGCAGACGCTTACCCAAAGATAGCAACGGAACATTCATTATTCATTAGCTGTTTCATTTCAAATTTTTTATGATCTATTTGCCATATTTCACTGAATCTAAGATCTTGCAGACAAAGTTGATAGGTACTCCCTTTGTAATACAGTTAAGATCAGACTTTAAGATAGCACGTCGTGTTGCTACATGTAAGAGTTCTGTAAGTCTAATGCGATAGATGACAAATATTGGAAGCTAAGCATATGTGTTATTTTTCTGCATTTGTCAATTACTATTTTAGAGGAAATATTTAGGCTTTCCTTGCTCATGTTCCTGACTTGGTCCACAGAGAACAAATGTCCACAAATAATCTTGTCTTTATGAGAATATTAGAAAGAAACAAATAACTTCTTTTTCATTTTATAGCTTTAAAAGCACAAGAAGAGGGAGGGTACTACTTCATTCTCCATGTATGGCTTGAATCAAGCTGGTTTACGGATCTCTGCATTGCACATTAGGAGCATCATATATTGGTCAGAATCCTGATGGTGAAGTCAACAATACAAATTCAGGCGTCAAGCCTCACTCTCACACCTGACAATTCTGTGTATTTTGAAGCACTCCGAAATCTTTATGAGGGCAGACTTGCCCCATACTACTATCAGGGAAGAATTATCTTGCTTCTCAGTGCAAAAATAGTTGTAAACTGTCAAAGCTATTTATCTTCTCATGTCAACTCCCTGCTCATTATTAGAGGTTCAGGGAAATGTCATTTCTACTGAGAAATGGTTTTTACAACCCAAATCCAAATCCAATGCTACCTCTTCTGTGATCCCTTAACAATTTTAATCTTATTTTAGCACTTATCACAGCCTACCAGATAGTTATTAAAATTATTTGAGCATGCACCTTGCTCATTGACTAGAAGTGAATCCCTAGTGGTTAGAGATTAGGTAACACTTATTCATGTAGCCTCCCACTTCTTACAAAGTACATTACGTTTGAAAAGTATGGAAAGACTTGAATCTTTAAGGCTTATATTTTTTATTCTAGTTCAGAAGAGACAGTGTGCCCAACATCAGTAAGTCAGGTATTCTGGAGATATTTGCTACATAGTCACAAGTATATCCATTATCATATGCACACATACATATACACAAACATACATATATATGTTTGTGCATGTGTCAAATACACACACAAACACATAATCACAAATACAACACTACAGGTATCTTCCCTTTTCTTTTCACAATTGTTGCTAGTAACTCCACCTCTATTTCTTAATAGAAATTTAGACTACTTAAGGAAAGAAAATTGTAGAGATCATAGAGATCTACCAAGACCATTAGTATCACAGCACATGGTACAGAAAACAGAATTTGTGTTACTACTCAACAGTGCCGGCTCATCATAAAAGCACAAAGACAATTTGCTGAGCTGAGCTGAGCTTGGTTTCAATGCTATTACTTCAATTCATTTTCCCCTAAAGATAGGGCTGTTTTTTTTGCCTCTTTCAATTGAACTAATGTACATAGAGAGTAGAAAAATGGTTACCAGAGGCTGGGAAGGGAAGTGGGGGCTCTGGGAAGTGGAGGCACAGATGATTAATGGGTACAAAAACAAAATAGAAAGAATGAATAAGACCTACTATTTGATAGCACAACAGGGTGACTATAGTCAAGAATAACTTAATTGTATATTTTTAAATAACTTAAAAATGCAATTGGATTGTTTGTAACTCAAAGGATAAATGTTTGATGGAATGGATACCCCATTTTCCAGGATGTGCTTATTTTATATTGCATGCGTGTATCAAAACATCTCATGTAACCCATAAATATATATACCTACTCTGTACCCACAAAAAGTCTTAAAAATAATTTTTTAAAAATTTTAAAAGCTTTGCTTCAATTAGTCTTGAATGCTTGGTTCTGGCACCGCCTACTTCTTGTGGGCATAGTGCCCACTGTACGTGTTCAAGTGAGCTGCACTCATCCATCTTTCACTAGGGCTGATTCATAGGGCGGCCAGAACCCTATTTAGAACCATAGCTTGCTGCTTACATAAATCAATGAAATCATATGAAACACAATATAACATGGTTTCATTGAAAGAGCACAGGTGTCAAAAGGATGTGAGTTTACATATTACATAACTTAATATTTATTTGAACTTGGACTCGTCACTTAGCCTGGTTGAACTTCAAATCCTTTATTGGTGAAATGAGCATCCACTCATAAAATTTCATAAGCCTATTTCAAAGGATTGCTACCTTATATAATTTTATAAACTATGAATTCTCATACAAAAGTCAGTGATACCAGATCACACAATTTAAAATTTATAGGCAGACACTTCACTACTTTTGCTTCCCTTCACTGTGAAGTAACACATGCTATCACCTTGGTGGCACTCGCAGGGTATCTGTTGGCTGGCTGTTTTATTGGGCTTCTTCCTGCCACTCAAGTGATCATGACTGAGAAGAAATCAATGGGTGTCTGTTGGCAGTGTTTTTAAAGACATATTCCTTAGGTAATACAGGTAGTCACTCATAAAAAAAACTTTTTTTCTGGATATTAGTCTGCCCTCGTGGATATCTCAGGGCCTCATACTTCATCAGGCAATGGCCAGTTCATTTTTTTAATCCAAAGCTACACAGAGTGAAACACTTTATTCTGTGTGTGTTTTAAAAGCCCAGGTAGCACTAAATACCATTTTCCAGGAAGTGTGCCAAGTACTTTGGAGGATGTACATTGAACTTTTCATTAGAAAAGCTTCCCAAATGGATAAGAGTTATCTGACAGAAAATAGTTTCATATCTCATTATACCTTTGAGTGTGATTACACAAACCAGCTTGGAAGACTACCAGGCAGCACCTGGCTGTTCTCACCTTGACTCTACCATTAGCTAACAATGTGAGTTAGGGGGCATGTCATTTAACCTCATCGCTTTTGTTTTCTCTCCTGATCTAGAAGGCATGATATATTTGCCACTTGAGGTCCTCCCTGTTTCTAAAAGTGATCAAATGTGGTTTTTAGTAGAGCAGATTGCAGATATTGAAACAATCAAAACCCAGTTGGAAGGAAAGAGAAGATATCAGTGATCTACAGGGAAAAAAACACTAGATTCAAAAATTTATTTTAGTGCTGAGCTTTCTAGTGTTAAGGTAAAACTAACTAAACACATGTAAATTATATCTATATATAAATATGTTATAAATATATAGAACCATTATATATGTTATGTATTATACATATATTTATTTATATATACCATAAAACATATTTGTGCTTATCTATAACACATAACATATATAATATATATTCATCTTTCATATTTATTATATATACATTATACATATATGTACATGTTATGTGCATGGGAATAATGGTTTTTCATATAGACAGATATTTTCATAAAATTTGTTTCAAAAGTAATTTTTATGCTGACATGTCTTTATATAAGGACTTTGAATAACAATATTCTTGTTGTCTTTAATAATAGTCTTATAGAAAGAAATTAATATTACATTTCCAATATTTTGTGGTGGTAGTATTTGCTAACCAATGCATAATCCTTTATATACACTGTCTGTTGTTATTTAAGTGTCCCTGAAAAGTAATTGTTATCTCCTGTTTGAGAAAGGATGAAATTAGCATTTAGAGAAGTCGAGTGATTTTCTTATTGTCAATTAGCAAGTATAACAGTAAGCCATTATGATGTGGCTGTTTCTACACATCTGGGTGTACTTTAGTGGGCATGCTTCTTTTGTGAGGCCAAGTCAATAAAGACCATGTTGGCTCCTGAAATTTAGTATATGCATACTAAGGTCTACCTCTAGTGGGATAGGATAAAACAGTCAGGAAGATATTTTCCTAAAGTAAATACTGTTTCCACTCAGTTTTTCATTGCAAACTGGATAATAGCCATCTGCAGACAAAATTTTTGATGGGAGTACATGATGAGAGTACTTTAAGTTGTTTGTAGAAAGAAAAGCTATACATTTTAACTACCAAATACAGGTAGCAAGGCTAGCACTATCATTAACACCAAGAAGCTTTCTTCATATTCTCTCATTTATGACTACACAGAGGTAGATATAAGAATAAATTTGATGAGCTCTCAAGCCCTTCCAAACTTTAACATTCTGTCACCATAGAATAAACTATATATAAACTAAGCAAACGTTTGACTCCACTAAAAATATGAAATTCATCAGTGCATCCTTGTTCTGGTATGACCCTCAGACCACCAAGGTTTAACTAATGGACTTCTGAGTATTACCTTGGCTCTAGTCTGTAGCAATGCTCAATGAATAGAAGATAAGTAGACTCTTCTGTTAATACTAGTTTATGCCCTACAAAATAAACTTTATTGAGAATGTCATTCTTGAGACAGATTCATTCAACAAAATTAAAAAACAAACAAGGCATAGCATAATGTACAGAAATTGAAAGCTGGCCTTCAGCACACCTCCTCCTTCCACCAGCTACTGTGTTTTACTTCTCTCCACAGATGTAATGAAAATGCCTCTTACCATTTATCCAATAAATACCTACTCTGCTCTCAGTACTTGATACCTATGACTTAATCCTTCCAACAACCTTTCAAGAGAAGAATGATAACTCCCACTTACAAAAAAGGAAGCAGAAGCTGAATGGCCAAGGTAACAGAGCTACTAATGGCAGACCCAGGATTTCAGTCCAAGTGTATCTGATTCCAAGCTTGAACCCTTTAACACAATATGCTTCTTCTCACAAGTACTATATCAGATGCACTGTTGCTTCCTGTTATTTGTTGAGTACCCACCATAGAGTTTCTATTCCAGAAGGAAAATAAGAGATTTAGAAGAAAATCTACAGAATGTTTGGTTTTCAGTTCCTACAGAGAAAGGGTCATAAGTGACCCAAGCATTTAGATAAAAGTCTAGGTCAATATGCCCATCACTAGCACTTTGTTTTTACTTCTTACCACCTCTTTCTCCAGTACCTCCCTCCTACTCTTTCAGTTATATATCCACTGCTTGGCACATGATAGGCCCTTTAAATAAAATTACTTAAACTATCTGCCTCAATTTCCTCATCTATAAAATAGGATAATTTAAATTTCAGGTTTGTTGCATGGATGAAATTAGTACAATACAGCATCTGACACAATATATGGCACATAATTATCTAATAAAGGGTAGTTATTGTTGTCATTGCCATTACACATTTGTTGAATGATTTAGTGAATGAAGCTCACATGCAGGGCACATGTAGTGTCTATAGGCCAAATAGTTGTGCTTAACACCAAGGAGTATCTGTGTACCAAATCCAACCCCCAGAATAGAGCCTTGCCCCTCAGAAACAAGCCACTTGTCAGTAATTATGTCATCAGTGATGCAATAATATGTGAAATGTACTGTGGCGAGATCCCTCAGTCATTGTTCTTTTCAACATCATATCAGTACAAAGGCAGCTGATGTCACTTGCTGGGCTTAATATTTCTGCCCCTTCAGTTACTAATTCATTAAAAAATGCATTTATTTGTTCTAACATTGATTTATTCAATATTTTTAAAAATTTATTCTACTATGTCTTGGACATTTATCTATCTATCTATCCCAAATGCTATGAGAGGCACTGGGATACGGAAATTAAAGACCTGTCCTTGAAGAACATTTAGTTCTGTGAAAAAATGGTCATACAATGCAATAAGGACTAGAGAGGAGGGCTGATACAAACCATGGTGATGGGGGATAGTGGGAAGTTATGGGATTATAGGATTACATAAAAGGTTAGGCTTCCTAAAAGAGCACCCAGAATTTTGAAGGATAAATAAGAAAAATAATATTTTAAAATAAACTTTTCATTTCAGAATAGTTGTAGATTTATAGAACCACTGTAAATATTGCACAGAAAGTCCCTATATACTGCATACCCACATTTTCCTGCTAACATCTTGCTTTAATATGGTTCATTTGTCACAAAGACTAAACTAATATTGATACATTATTATTAACTAAAGCCTATAGTTAGTTCAGACTTCCTTAGTGTCTTCCTAGTATCCTTTTGCTTATCTGAGATCACATCCAGGTTACCACACTAGATTTAGTTGTCCTGCCTCCTTAGGCTCCTCAAAACGGTGACTGATTGTCATGTTTTTATTGTTTTAGATCACCTTGACAGTTTTGAGGAGCACGAATCGGGTATTTTGTAGAATGTCCTTCCATTGGGATTTGTCTGATGTTTTTCTCTCAGATTACATTGGGGTTGTATGTTTTGGGGAGGAAGATCACAGAAGAAAGTGCCATTCTTATTTACATCATATTGAGGGTATGTGCTGTCATCATACCCTTATCATTGTTTATGTTACACTTGATCACCTGGTATTAGTGTTTGTCAGCTTTTTCCACCATTCCATACTATCTAGGCTTTGTATAGAAAAATGTCATATCAAGAACAAACCCTTTCAGCTGGGCATGGTGGCTCACACCTGTAATCCCAGTACTTTGAGAGCCTAAGGCAGGTGGATCACCTGAGGTCAGGAGTTCAAGACCAGCCTGACCAATGTGATGAAACCCCATCACTACTAAAAATACAAAAAAAAAAAAAAATTAGCTGGTCGTGGTGGTGGGTGCCTGTAATCCCAGCTACCCAGGAGGTTGAGGCACGAGAATCACTTGAGCCCCGGAGGTGGAGACTGCAATGAGCCGAGAATACACTGCCACTGCATTCCAGCCTGGGCAACAGAGCAAAACTCTGTCAAACAACAACAACAACAAACATACCCTTTTATCTCCAATACTTCCCAAATTTCGGAGTGGAAGGATTATTTCTGATGCCAGAACCTGTAGAAAAGTTTCTGCTATAAAACAGGAAGACAAATCAGACACCTTTGGTTTAATCATTCATATGATTCAATGAAAGAGGCTGTACTGCCTGAGAGATGTGACATGGCTCTGGAGGCCCCTCTTATTATGATTTTCTTCATACACACAAAGAGCTGTTTTATGGGCTGCAGCTGCAGCAACCATTAGGAAGTACCTCATAATCTCAACAGTGCAAAATCTGGGCAGGGACAGGGTGAGTTCAGCCATGCATGGTTTATGCAAGGTCAGGGAGGTAAGCCAAAGCATTACCAATTGTTAATTCTCACTATTCCAGGGGCTGAATATACCTTATCTAATTTAATTTAACCCACATAATTACCATGTGAGTTAAGCATTTCTGGTCCTATTTATAGTGTACAAGTGAAAGTCTCAGATAACACAAAATAGTAAGTGCAGAATTGGAATTTAAGCCCAGGTGTTTGGACTTCCAATCTCATGTTTATAGCATCAAAAGACATTTTAGGCAACAATCCAACATTAATAATATGTCACATCCATTTTCCACCACAGATTGTTCAGAGCATGCTCCCTTACAGGAAACATTCTTAAGCTAAGTCATCATCTTTCCTGTAATGGGAGAAATAGTAGAAGTCCATACTAAGAATGTGGACCACAGTAGAATTTAGTGATAGACTGTTGGAATTGCTAAAGATCAGTGGGTGCTGACAGTCAGAGAATTAAAACTATAACACTGTTAGAGGAGTAAAAACAAGCCAAATTATGGCCATGATGGTCCTCATTCAATTACACTAGTAGGTAGTCCACTTAAAAAACTCCATATAATCTGGTCTACATGTCCTAGACACAGAACCGGAGGAACCATCGATTCCAGCTTCATGCCTATCTGGTTTTTGATGAATTAATGATCCATTATCCCTGTGAGACCATTCATTACATATTATTCTATGTTAAAAATAATGTGTGACATACATTTATGCAATATATACTATGTGCCAAGCATGATCCTTAGGGCTGTATTAATCATTATCTCATTTAATTCTCAAATATCCTTCCATGTAATCACAATGAATCTTATTTGGCAGGAAAAAGAAAAAACTGGCTTAGTGAGATTAGTGCTTTCTAATGGTGGCAGAATTAGGGCTCAAATCCAGGATATTCTGTTTACCAAGGCTATTTCCTTTCCAATACCCTGTGAGAGTCTCCATGAAGAACGATAAATAATACATTTGACCACAGTCCCCTCATTTCACCATCTAAATTCCAGGTCATAGTTATCTTTACACAACTTCATTAGTGAATACTGAATGGATTTGTTATTACAACAGTCTGATACTCAATATTTTGAAGCTAATGAAAAAAAGAACAGAAGGGATTCAGTGGATATTTGGAGTCCTAGAAAAAAGAAAAAGCTTTATGAAGTTCCTCAGAAGTCCTCTGCTTCCCTCAATGTAATAAACAGAAAGCAAAATGTGCAGGAAGAAATAAAAAAGAAAATATCACTAACAAGGTCACTCCATCACCTGCACAAGCCTCTTTAAAATCAGCCCACAGCCAAGGTTCCTGCTGTCAGCTCACTGGACTGGCAACTCATTGGATAACTGCTTCCTTAATCCTATCTTTCTGCTTCCTTGATTCTCAAGGAAGTTTCCAAAAGCTGGGGCTGTATATACCAGAATTATTGGGAGAACAGGTGGTATGTAAGGTTGCAGTATTCATTTCAACTCAAGAAAATGATTAACTGCACAGCTCAGCACAATTTGGAGAAGTTTTCAAGTGCAGGCAGTCAGTACTAAAAAACTGCAGCTCAAATTCCCGTGATCCCTTGAAAAAACTGGAGACAGATATGTTAAAAGGGGAAAAATCATGTGAAGATGAACGGTAGAGCTAAGAAATGCAATTTTTAGAATTGGAAAGAATTGAGCTTTAAACTCTAGACTCTATATTTTTTGGGCATGTCACTTAAGTTGTCAGAGTCTCAGTTTGTCTATGATGGGGTTATAACGTCTTCCTCACAATGTTACTCACTCTTTAAGTCATTCATTCATTCAGAAGTATTTTTTTCCATAGATATTATGTACCAGGCTGCCCCTGACATTTGGGATACAACTGTTAATATATTAGACAAAGTCTGTCTCATGGATTTGGGAAAGGGGCAGACAATAAACAAGAGAATGAGTTAAACCACATGAGAATTTGAGATGATAACAAACGTTCTTAACAAAACAAAACAGAGTTTTGTGATAGATCATATCCTGGGAGGGGCTGGTGAAATATTTTTCCCCAGCATATCACATGGGGCCTGGTTTATAGCAGTTATTCCATTTACATTTTAACTAAACACATGCCTGGACTCTAGTAAGTGCTCATTTCATGCATTTTCTTTCTATGCTTGTGAAAGCTGGTTTTTGTAGCCTAAAGGAGCCAATATTCACTATACACACTAACCGTAACTTCAACTATTTTGATATTATAGAACTTTTACTCCATATTCATCATATACCAACTACTTAAATATGAATATGATCCACCACAAGGTAGAAGTTATGCAAGATTAAAAATAAAAGAATAGGCTGGGCGCGGTGGCTCACGTCTGTAATCCCAGCACTTTGGGAGGCCAAGGGGGGCAGGTCACAAGGTCAGGAGCTCGAGACCAGCCTGGCCAATATGGTGAAACTCCGTCCCTACTAAAAATACAAAAAAAAAAAAAAAAATAGACAGACGTTGTGGCACATGCCTGTAATCCCAGCTACTCAGGAGGCAGAGGTAGGAGAATTGCTTAAACCTGGGAGGCGGGGATTGCAGTGAGCCGAGATCGTGCCACTGCACTCTAGCCTGTGTGACAGAGGGAGACTCCATCTCAAAGAGATAGACAGACAGACAGAGAGACAGATAGATGGATAAAGAGTATTTTACTCTTTTTTACTTTCCTTACTAGTCTGGCCTGGGAGGTAAAATGTGCTCAAATAGAACTGCAATAAACGACAGTGCATTATAAGGTCCTTTAGTATAAAATGTTTTCTGTGTCAAGAAGTGGATCACTTGTCATGGGGCTAGAGGAGGGTTCAAGCAGGAAATGGGTTTTGAACTAGGTCTTAGATTTAAAAATGAAAATGTAGGAGCAAATGCTTTGTAGGAAATCTGTTTAAAATGTCTCATCCCCAGAGTTTCTGATTCACAAAATCAGGGATGGGTCCCAAGAATGTGTATTTCTGACACGTTCCCAGGTAATTTTCATGCACGTTTCCAGCTATGTTTTTTTCCAAACAGTGATGTATTATACTTGGAAAGTTACTGTATCACTGCACCCTCCTGTACTATTATGGGGCATGAATGAAGTATATGCAAAGAGTGTGTGTGTGTGTGTGTGTGTGTGCGCGCGCGTGCACATGTGCGTTCATTGTGTGGGTACATGGAAAATATCAGAATAATGATGAAGAATCTTTCATACACCATCAGGGGGGTAATTGTTATCCCTTTCTTTTGTCTCTGCTTTCCATCTTACACAACATGACCCCCAAACACTCTTCTTCTGCTCTCTTCTCCATACTTCCCAGACGCATCCTACCTATTATAATGTTAAATCAATGGAGTATTGCTATCAAGTTGAGATTAAAAACTGCTGGGGTCCTTAGAACCTCTGTAGTCTCAGAGTAATACAGAGTAGATCACAAATCTAGTCCCAGACATACCAGGGTCTTTCCTTGTCCAGCCATGCGTGTTCATCATTTCCTTAGTATTTTACCTTACAGTGGGTCAGTTAAGAAATTTTAAGGCCAGGGGCTGTGGCTCACGCCTGTAATCCCAGCACTTTGGGAGGCTGAGGCAGGTGGATCACGAGGTCAGGAGTTCAATACCAGCCTGGCCAACATAGCGAAACCCCGTCTCTACTAAAAATAAATTAAAAAAAAATATTCAGGCATAGTGGCACATGTCTGCAGTCCCAGGTACTTGGGAGGCTGAGGCAGGAGAATTGCTTGAACCCAGGAGGCGGAGGTTGCAGTGAGCCAAGATCACACCACTGCACTCCAGCTTGGGCAACAGAGTGAGACTTCATCTCTAAATAAATAAATAAATAAATAAATAAATAAATAAATAAATAAATAAAAATAAATTTTAAAATAATGATCTTAATATTAAAGTTGTCCATCAGAGGCCAGGCACAGTGGCTCATGCCTGTAATCCCAGCACTTTGAGAGATGGATCACCTGAAGTCAGGAATTCAAGACCAGCGTGGCCAACGTGGTAAAACCCCGTCTGTACTAAAAATACAAAAATTAGTTGGGCGTGGTGGTCCACATCTATAATCCCAGTTACTCGGGAGGCTGAGGCAGGACAATCATTTGAACCTGGGAGGCAGAGGTCGCAATGAGTTGATATCTCCACGGCACTCCAGCTTGGAGGACAGAGTGAGACTCTATCTTAATAAATAAATAATAAAGTTATTCATCAGATACCAAGTATCTTTTTTAATCCCAAAGATACTCATTGAAAGATTACATAAATACAGGTTCAGACAGCTAGCCCTGCCGGGCCAGAGATACTGAGGAGACTATGCCTAATGATCCCTCAACTGCACCATCACTAAATTATCTGCAGCCTCCTTTAATTTCAGACTCTTATATCAGGATCTTCATAGCAAAAATAATTCTGATCATCTACCAAATTAATGAAGAAGTTTATTTTGGCATTAAATTCATTTTTAATTTGCTTCAAATAATGTAAGTTTTCAATTGAGGTAGAGTTTATTAAACATAAAATACTGGCAGGGATGTTTATGTATATCTTATCACCTCTTTAGCTCAAAGATCTCAAGATCAAAATAACAGAAAATATTTGTATTCTATTATAATATATTATGACCAAAAATATCGGGAAAACAAATATTTTCTACTTTGTCCAACTTTCAATGACATATTTTCAATTCTTATGTGTATTACTGGAAAAAACAAATCTAATACCTTGGCCAATAAGCTTGAAGTATGAATCAAGCTTTGAAATATAATATTGGACCTTCACAGTCTGCTAACAAATTATCTACACCTTGGCCCAGAATTGCTTCATAGTAGACTCTCTAAATAACCATAACTGACTGTTAAACAAGTGAATATCTCAAAGGACAGGTAATCAAATGAGCTCTACACCACTAACAGACAATTTTTCCACTAAAAAAGATTTATTTATATCTTCTTAATGTCTGCCTCAAGCCACAAATCTATACAATGTTAGTTAGCAGGAGAAGCTGAAAATTAGGTGTGGTAAGAATGAAATCTAGAAAGTCATCTTCACGTTATACTGGCTTCATTTTTTCTTCTGTATCTTGTAATGTGAGGATGTGGGAGTACTGGCATAAGGAAAAAAATGTTATGAACCATCCTTTTCTAGTCCGAAGAGAAAACCTCCATTTGTGTCTCTAACTACCAGGAAGCAACCTTAACTCTGTTCAAGAGATATCACTAGACTGGATCTGCCCTGGTGGCTGACAATAAATTGTAAGCTCAGTGGCTCAGATGGACAGCAAACATGTTTGGAAGTTGCTAAGGATGGCAACAAGAGACAACATGGAAAGGTAAAGATAGGTCATATTGATGAAGACTTCAGTGAGAGTGAAAATATGAGAAAGGTTAATGCAGACATAAGGAGAGTAGAGTCAATATACTCTACACTCTTTAATTATAAAGGAGCATGCAATAATAGGAACTACGCAATAACCTGGAAGTGATCTATGCTTACAAAATGCATCAGATGGAATTGAAAACATGTTCATGATATATCATTATTGTTTTTTAAATTAAGTCACAAAGGAAGGTGCAAAAATCAATCTCAATTTTTGTTCAAATATGATTTAATAAAATATAAAGATAGAGAGGGAAGGAGGAAAAGAAATGGATGGTGAAAATTTATGCTGGCAAGGTTGCATAGAAAAAAGAATACATTGCTGGTAGGGATATAAATTTGTTTAGCTGCTATGCAAAACAGTTTGGTGATTTCTCAAAGTACTTAAAACAGTACTACCATTCAACCCAGCAATCCTGTTACTGGTTATACAACCAAAGGAATATAAATTGTTTTAACATAAAGATACATTCATGCATATGTTCCTCACAGCACTATTCACAATAGCAAAGACATAGAATCAACTTAGATGCTCATCAACTGTGGAGTAGATTTAAAAAATGCGGTACATATACGCAGTGAAATACTACACAGCCATAAAAAAAGCAAAATCATGCTCTTTTTGGCAACACACATTTTCTAAGCAAATTAACTCAAGAATAGAAAAATACCACATGTTCTCACTTGTAAGGATGAGCTAAATATTGAAAGCAAATGGACACAAAGAAGGGAACAATAGACCCTGGGGACTACTTGAGGGTGGAGGGTAGGAGGAGGGAGAGAATAAAAATCTACTCACTGGGTACTATGCACATTACACAGGTGACAAAATAATCTGTACACCAAGCACCCACAACACACAATTTACCCATGTAACAAACCTGCACATGTACCCCCTGAACCTAAAGTAAAACTTAAGGGGAAAAAATTTAGAGAAAAATTAGAAAATTTAATGTGAAACTGCCAATAGTAGTTGACTCCATGAGTAGAATTGAGGGTCAGGGTTTCATATAGACACTTTATACTTCTTTAGCATCTGCATTTGGAACACTGAATATAGATAGCATGGTGTAATAGAAAGAGTCTTTGGAGTGAGAAACATCTAAAATAAAATTTTGTCTCAAGTTTACTGTGACTTTGTAATATTACTTATTTTCTCTGTACCTTAGTTTCCTTGGTTCCTATAAAAGACAATTATATCTGCATTGTAAGACAATGTGAAAATAAAATGAGATTCTATATATGAAAATACTAACACATGAGAGTCATTCAGTATATGCAATCTACTATTATTTCTCATATTCTAAGCCCTGCTGGAAGGAAGGAAAAGGAATACATTAATCACTCTTTCTTTACCTTTAAATGGAATACTTTTAAGAAAAGAGAACTCCATAGGGCAACAGGGAAAGTCACCCTGGAAAATTAATCTTATGACTAGTTATTTCTGTCTTCTCACAGTATTTCACAACCTATTGAAGTCATATGTTTTAAGTAACCCATGTGACGAAGTGGAGGTGTTGAAGTAAGGAATGGTCAAATGATTGCACATGGGACAGAAGAAAAAGGGCTTCATCCCATCTTCTCAAGAGACAGAGACAAGTTTTCCTTTCCAGGTGTTTGCCTTCTCTTTTATATTGGATGCTTGCTCACTGGCCACCCCCACAAAGCTGTACCACATTTTCTTTCTTTTTTCTTTTCTTTTTTTTTTTGAGATGGACTCTCCCTCTGTTGCCAGGCTGGAGTGCAGTGGCGCAATCTCGGCTCACTGCAACCTCCGCCTCCTGGGTTCAAACGATTCTCTGGCCTCAGCCTCCCAAGTAACTGGGACTACAGGTGCATGCCACCACATCCAACAAATTTTTGTATTTTTGGTAGCGACAGGGTTTCACCATGTTGCACAGGGTGGTCTCAATCTCTTGACCTCGTGATCCACACTCCTCAGACTCCCAAAGTGCTGGGATTATAGACGTGAGCCACTGCACCTGGCCGGCATTTTCTTACTCACTCAAATATTTTTCAAAGCCTGAAGGAATTAGTTACTAAGTTACAGTGCCAAACAGGCTACTGAAACAAGGAAGACTAGGAAGTTTGGTTTATTAGATGAAAATAGTTTATGACAAAGCTTCTGATTTTCACACTTCTACATTAAGTAAAAAATCCTAACCCTGGGGTTGCAGTACTGACCAAGCTCTCATAAATTAGTCACCCTGGTCTAGTCTACAAAATAAGACCGTGACATCTAAATCCTGAAAGGAAACACTTCCATATTATTTAGCATTTCTGTTTTCATTAGGACATGTGAACGTATTTAAATTCAACATTGAATAAATATAATTCAGTATGTATTTATTTGACCTCCATGTACTCAAAACTATGGCAACTGCTATGAACAATGTCAAAGAAATTTAATATCACTGCTATGGTCTGAATATCCTCTCCAAAACACATGTTGAAATTTGCCCTTGTGGTGGTGTTAACAGGTGGGACTTTGGGAGGTGATGGGGCCATCAGGGCTCTCCCATCATTTGTAGAATTAATGCCATTTTAAAAAAATGAATTAGGCCCCCATTTGCCCTCTTTTCCTTGGATCTTCTGCCATGTGAGATGAAGTATTTCTTCCTCCAGGAGGACAACACAGCATTCAAGGCACTATCTTAGAATCATCAAATCTGCCAGCGTCTTGATACTGGACCTTCCAGCCAACAGAATTGTGAGCCAATACATTTCCGTTTATAAATAATCCAGTCTGTGGTAGTCTGGTATGGCAGCACAAAACAAACTAAGACAAACCCTTACTACAAGAAGCCCACATCCTCATTAATTATAACTAACATCCACGCAGCACTTATCCCAATTTTTATTACCTGTTTTTTTAACAATTTAAGTATCAAATTTTGGCAGACATGGTGGCTCCTGCCTGTAATGCCAACACTTTGGGAGGCCAAGGTAGGAGGATCACTTGTGTCCAGGAGTTTGAGGCCAGCCTTTGCAATATAGTGAGACTATGTGTCTACAAAAAATGAAAATAAAAAATTAGCCAGGAGTGGTGGTGTGCACCTGTAGTTCTAGATCAGGGACTGAGAAAGAGGCTGAGACAGGAAGATCACTTGAGCCTGAGAGGTCGAGGCTGCTGTGAGCCATGATCATGCAACTGTACTCAGCCTGAGTGACAGAATAAGACCTTGTCAGAAAGACAAAAACAAATCCAAAACACATTTGAAGTACTATAATTTTTAGCCATATATCACATGACGAAAGTGTTTGGTAACCCTTAATAAACACACAATGTAATGATCTTAAAAAGGAAAGATGCCTCAGTACATCTCTAAAAGAATTGGTTGATTTCATTTTGTTAGTAATAGAAAATTAAATTAACCTTTTCTGTTTTTTAATTATACTTTAAGTTCTGGAGTACATGTGCAGAACATGAAGGTTTGTTACATAGGTATACACACACGTGCCATGGTGGTTTGCTGCACCCGTCAACCCGTCATCTACATTAGGTATTTTTCCTAATGCTATCCCTTCCCCAGTCCCCCACCCCCCTACGTACCCTCCCTGTTCTCCTTCCCATGTCCATGTGTTCTCATTGATCAACTCCCACTTATGAGTGAGAACATGCATTGCTTGGTTTTCTGTTCTTGTGTTAGTTTGCTGAGAATGATGGTTTCCAGCATCATCCATGTCCCTGCAAAGGACGTGAACTCATCTTTTTTATGCCTGCATAGTATTCCATGGTTTATATGTGCCACATTTTCCTTATCCAGTCTATCATTGATGGGCATTTTTCTAACCAAAACATTACAGAATTTGTAACACAAATAAGCTTAACATGTTAATGAGAAAAGGAAAACTACAAGTTATCTGGTAGAAACACTGTTAAAAAATTTTTTGGATTATTCTGTCAGTATAATATTTGAAGGAATCATTCAATATAATAGGAAATAAGCTGTGATAATTAGTGACATAACAAAGTCAGATAAATTAACTCAACCATACTTAGTGAGAAGGTTGATAGAAAACTTAAGTCTCCTTAATACTAGTGCTTTGTTCTTCAGATTCTGGTATAATTTGATAGCAGGACATATACATACATATAGCATATATTTCAATAAATCTATAGAATGCTTTTCTAGTTTTCTATCACCAGCACTCTGAACATTAACATTACACATGTTAAAATTTAAGCGTTGAGTTTATTGAGGCTTTCTTCAAGTTTTCTTAACACCAGAATGCTGTATACTTGATTATTCCAGATGCATCCCTAATGAGATTTTACAGGAGTCATTGTGGTTGTGCATGAAAAGGATGAGGCCTACTGAAACTTTTTATTTCCTAAATGCCTTATATTAAAAAGTCCTTACATCTCTTATTCAAGATTTCCTACTAAATTGTTTACAAAACTTCCTTGCTGAATAATCACGGTAAGGTGGTTAGCTGGGTAGTAGACACTAAGGAATGCTGGGTTTCCAGGGAAACAGTGCCACGGGAAGCAACAAAAGAGACAACCAAAGCTGTAGATGTCATATTACACAACATTTTATTTTTTACTACTGTTATATTGTTATACTTTGTTATTCTTGCTTTTTCCTTCTTTCTGGGAGACATTGTCTCTCTTTAAGAACTCTAAAATTGACACCAATAACAACACACAAAGCATGACATTAGTATAAAATCTATTAACCAGAATTCATCTTTTTTCAAAATAATACAATGACAACGGGTGCAATTATGAAACGTATTTTTTTGATCAGCTGACCCTAATGTACTTCCTAAATGATAAAACTTGGATATTTGACTTCTTCCCTAATTCTTCCAGTAAAATTCTTTTTCAATAAAAGTGTCTTCAGAATGATTGGCCTTTATAAGAGAGCCCAAATGCTTTTTTTCTTATACAATATATTGTGTCTCTTTGGCTTTATCAGTGGTTACAGAGCTTTGTGGTAATCTCAAAATATCAACACCATCCATCCTGGGGAAGTATTTTCTCCAGCAAAAGGAGAAAAAGCAAGACAGAAACAATCATAAGGCCATGTGAGGTTGACTTTCTCCGGGAGCACTTTGATAAATACGTTCTTTTATTTAATGTCTTTGTGCCTTCATTTCCTCATCTGGTAAATGGTAATTAAAAGTACTTAACTCATAGCATTATTGTAAGGACTAAATAAAATAGAACCACAATGGCTGGAACATATTAAGCAGTTAGTATTAGCTATGACAATAAAAGTAATCATATATTTAAAGAATAACTCTTTAAAAATATATAAAAACAAAGTCCTTAAGATGGGTTGTTTGATGTTCTCAAGTTAGTATAAAATTGAGAATCTTAGGAACAGATGATCTGATTCAAAATTCTATGATCTTATGCCCTATTATACTTAAGAACACTGAATTATTGGTAAAATATTCTAATACTATGGACAAACACCCTATAGTTTACATGCGTATTTGACTAACTAGTCCATGGTGGAAGTAAAACTAAACATGATTCTAAATATAAATGTGTCTAGGAGGGGAAAATTTATCCAATTAGATGATTTAAAGAATTATTGGAAGAGTTGAAATAAAAATTACTTGTAGAGTTAAGAGTAGAACTTATGAAGAAAGATTAAAGGATGATTTACCTTAGAGTTGAGGTCTAACAAAAGTTTAGTAAAAATCTTACTCTGGATATATGGACACATTATATATTTAAAACTTCAAAATTATATTTTGTAGGACAAAAACTTTATTTCAAGAACAACTTAAAGTGGGATATCCATGGGAAGGGATAGGCACAATGTTTTCTTTCTTAAGCCAGTAGTAAGATGAGTGTTTTTATACTAACTAAACTTTTTATGCCAGCAATTATTTATTTAAAACACTTACAATATTGCTATTATAAGTAATAAATCTTAAAAACTATTAATATATTTTCAAGTTGTACAAGAATTTAATCTTTTTGATTATTTTTGTTTTTGTTGTTATTAAGTTAATTAGATTTTTTAAATACAGAGATAAATATCACATATTTATGTTCCTTTATGTGCTTTTTGGAATTGTGAAAAATAAAAAAGACTCTGAGGGCTCCCAAACTGGCAATGTTGTGGAGAAAAGACAGGATATTATAATGCCACGAATAACAATGTCCATAAAAAGTATGAATAACAAGAGAAAATGTGCTCCTTACAATGCTCAGTAAAATGAAAAAATGCAAACAAAAACATCCAATATTATGTATATAGCTGCTTTTTTAAATTGTGCATAAGATAATTAGAAATGATGATAAAATGTTAAAAGGTTTTATTTCTGTTGCAATATTAGTGATTAAAAAATTTTTCTTCTCTTATTTCTTTTCTAAATGTTAAATAATACCTAGCTATTAAATCACTTTTATATTTGGAAATCATGTATCTTTTAAAATATATTATTTGCATCCTCCTTATTTTCACTTAATACATATAGTTTAAGTTGTTCTCAGACACCAGAATATTAGGAGAATAATTCAAAATGCAAAGAAAGGACTCGAGAAGTTACAGTTGAAACCATGGCTAGGCCAAAACAAAAATAAGAAAAATAGTATTAACAGATAGCATTTATTGACTGCCTATTATATACTACACATCATAAATATTGCATACATATTTTTAAAAATACTATTAATTTAATTTGCATAAATATTTTATGTTTGTTTACCATTATTTTCATTTTCTGTGACTTGGTTTAAATAAATTAATGAATGCAATGTGCTCAGAAAACTGCCTGGACACCTGATAAATTTCATGTAATTGTTTTCTAGCAGTAGCAGCATCAATCATTTTACAATTGATGAAGTTGAGATTTACAAAGGTTAAATAAGTTGTTCAAATTCTAGTTTATTTAACCATAGAGTCTAGATCTATGTCCTTAAACACAGTGATAAAAACAGTAAACTAAAAAAAGCATATAATATATATACATACATATTTCAATTATAATAGAACATACATTTGTTGTGAGAATGAGTGCCTTAAAATAAATATTATCTGAATATTAAGCATATTTTCCCAACAGTACCCTGGCACCAGGAGCCTCGTTCTGTGCAAGCACTCCTACTCACCAGCTCTGTGACCTTAGACAAGTTGTTTAAATTTCCTAGACCTGAGTTTCTTTTCTAAAAATGAGGAGGTTAAAAAAGAACAAATACTAGCAGGAACTAACATTTTTGAACCCTTATTGTGTGCCAAGTATTACGCTAAATTAATGATCACAACTGTCCTATGAGCCAACAATATTGATAATCATCCCTTTTTTGAAATGTGGTAATTTAGGCATAGGGAACTTGCCTCATTTCCACAGCAAATAGTGATGGACCAGCAAATAAGATAACACCTGGTATTTAAACTCAAGTGTATCTGAATTCAATGTCTGCACTCTTTCTTGATGACTACTCAGAGCTCCCACTGTTAGAAATCTCAGATCTGTCCCTTCCAGATCTGAAACTTAATGAATATTGTTAATTACTGATGGAGCATAAATATGTGAAAAAGGAGTTTAACTTCTTCCCCCAGCCAATCAATATCTCACTATTTTTGCTGTTATAAAGACACCATTAATGAAGTCTTTGATTAGCACCTAATTTCCAAAGTACTGTACTCAATATTTTGTAAGAAAACTTAAAAGCCTAGTCCAAGTGCATAGATCTTGGCACATAGTGAGTGTTCATTTAATAATTAATTTATCAGGCAGTCTTACACTTACAAAGTGCATTAACTGATTATTCAATTGACCATCATAACAAAACATTAGTACAGAAAGTGCAGGTACAGCCATCTGTCATCTTGCAAATGAGGATCTGTGTATTTATAAAGGTTAAGTGAGCTGCCCAAGGTCATCCCAAAGTGGAAAATAAAATATGGTTTCCAGAGCAATTCCAAGATTAATACTCTTTCCACTGACCTTGAAACCAAATTGTTTTTATTTTATAAAAGTATCAGAAACAAAGTTTTACATATTCAAGCTGAATTACTTCAGCATTAATTTCTGCTCTTTCTTAGGAATGGTTAAAATTTATTTCATTTGCCTATGATTAGAAATTGTGTACAATCTACAAAACTCCACTCATGTCCACTTTAGTATTTCACATATAAAATGTTGAATTTTTAAATTTTTCTTTTTTGTGTTTCTAAAGGACATTTTTTTATCCAGCTAATGGCTCAAGTGTTATACTCTCTTCAGCCTCTTCAAATTTTTAAATTGTATGCATTAATTTTCCATGTATTGATAGATTGAAGGTAAAAGCAAAAGTATGTAACAGGTTTTGAAGCTAGGAGAAAAATTTCCAGCCAAACATACTCAAATTACTAATCTCTAAAGTCACAAATAATGCAGTCTCCTTTAAAAAAAGGTACATTCCAAATACGTGAAAGCAATTCAATCCAAACATCAATTATATTGATTATTCAAAAGAAGAGAAAAAGTAAAAAGCTAAGACTCAGAAAAAAACAGGAATAAAAATAAGATTGAGAATTTCAAAAAAGAGACAGATATCAAGAAATATTTGAGATTATGAATCAATTCAGTCAAAGATGTTAAATTTATACCAAGAAAAATGTAGCATGGTTAAAATATAAAAAGTGTTTATTTAAGTCTTTCCAGAGTTCCACACAGATAATTAGATAATTATTATGAGGTCGAATAGTCCTAAAAATAAATTGTTTCACTGTTAAATAAGCCAGAGAATATCTTAATTACTTATTATGGATTTTATAGGTTATTGTTTAAAGTTGTATGCTATATCTGTCAGTGTGGAAGATTTAAAATCTCACTCTTTTATAAAAAAAGATATTAATGGTGTGCAACTCAGACTTCGTATCTCAAAGGGAACAGTACTGATGATCTTCATACTGAATCAGAGCCATTCAATAGCATAAACAAAAAGGAATTACTTACTACACCATCTACGGTGCTCTAAATGATATAAAATAACATTATATTAAACAAAAACACGACACAATTTTTTTTACTTCAACCAAAGCTATCCATACATATTCTATTCATCTCTTGCCATATAGATAACTTTGTGAGTTTCTGCTTACATATGAACATATTCTTTCTATGAGGGGAAATGTTCTATTTTTATGCAGCCATGGCTTTGTATATATCTGAGAAAACTCATGTGCTAGCAAGTGCTTCCAGTTCACTTTTTTCACAGTATCTACCACAGAGCTGAGTACAGAGTATCTACCCAATAAATATTTGTAGACTAATGAATAAAATAATTTATTTGTGGTAGTATCACATGGACCTCAAGCTCTATTTGGTGTGCTTTCATGGACTATATATTTGCATTGAAATGCAAATATCTGTATTTCATTGAAAATTATATTTTGTCCAAAAATTTCTCTCAAAACACAAGTTTTAGGTTATTTTTATAAGTTCAAAATCTTGTCAAATTAAAGTACTACCAAGCCCTCAAATCCTTTTTTTTTTTTTTTTGGGAGGGAATGTATTAGGTATAAGAGGCTTTGCTGTTATCAATTTTATATAAATACAAAGTCGTATAATATTGCAAGCTTGATTTTTAGCATATGTATTTTAATAAAACCTATAGTTTTAACATAATATATAATGGAATCTATAGTTATTTACATGTTTTTGTATCCTCTGAGCAAAAAATTAATATCAGTTATTCTCATCCAAATTATAAGAAATGAATGAATGTATTGAGAATTGAAAACAGTAGAATTCAATTTTATTACAAATAATATAACCAGAGAGTATAATATTTCTGTCTTCATGTATTTCCTGTTTTATGAAATCATTTCCATAAAAACATATTGTCAACATCATTTGTAGCTTTTATTATACTTTAAGTTCTAGAGTACATGTGCACTAATTCCATAAAAGTGAAATTAAACTGACATGTACTTCAGTATGTCTTACTTAACTTTTATATTTTTTCAGCTTCTCAAAGGATAAAATGCTATCATATGTAATTCAGTAATATATTTTTCATTAACAAAAATGGCACTCTAACTTTATTAGGGAAAGTCAAGGATTGAAATCCTAACCCAAATCTAGTGAAGGTCAAATATATGACAGTTGAAAAGAGGGTATATAACCAAGCAATATGAAGACAGTTTCTGAAGAAATCATTAAAAATACAAATAATTATATTTTTATTGTTCTTGAGGAAAGGAATGCAGAAATATCTTTTCATTCTATTTTTATTCTATCTACTTTTCATTGCAGCTATGAATGAGACTACTGACTTTCAGGTAGTATTAATAATATATTAATAACAGCACGAAAATCCACCTTGATATCACTTTATAGAATAAAGGAACTTTGACAATTTCTGAAAATAAACACTTCATAAATAAGTTATATATTCATTGTTATAATTGGAACTACAACAATCTGGCAGAGCATTTAATTTAGTTTTCAAACTAATGCAGCAATTAAATGTAATCTGCCTATTTCCTAGGGTCCATGTTATTTTTTTTGGTTTTAAACTCAGGCCCATGGCATATCTCAATGTACTACAACTTGTTTCTAATAACGAAGTTTCTAGTTGGAGAAGTAAAGGCACATAAGCATGTCCAATTTGAAATTTACAAAGAAGTTATCTATCTACTGCTTGTACCTATTTTTTTCACTATAAAATTTGCTTATGCTTGTTGAAAATGTAAAAAAGAATTCAAAAGTACTTGAAGTATAGCGTTAAGTTTCCATCTTTAATCCCCTCTAGTTTCATCTCCTACACCCACTCACATCAAAGATAACCATGTTCACAGCTCTGGAACTGTCCAGGCCTTGCTCATCTTACCACAGCATAATGCCTCTCAACATATATCACCAATTGGAGGAGGAAAGCGTGGGGTGTATTTGTACTTATGCCAAAGCAATAAGCACCCTACCTTTTTCGTGCAATTGCAAACTTATCTTCTAAAGTGAAAATTAGTAAGAGTCTAAAATTCACTACATATATTGGTAACTTTCCTGACCAATTCTCCACTCCATTATGTTGTCAATTATAACTGGGCAATGATGAATTGAAACATCATTTATGGTTTTTTTCTTCAAGGCCAAGATAAGGCAAGACAGGTTCTTGGCAGGAAAATTTAGAAGATACTTACTGAATGTTTTCTGTGTGCCAAGCTTGATACTAAGTGCTTTATATTTAGTTTTCAAAACAATCTTATAGGGCAGGTATTTTTATCTCAATTTGATAATGAGGAAATTAAATGTACTTGTCCAAAGTCCCTCAACTGGCAAGACTATTAATCAGTATTTGTACTCAAATTTGCCCCAAAGTCCCTCAACTAGCAAGACTATTAATCAGTATTTGTACTCAAATTTGCCTGGGTTCATCCTACTACTTAAATGAGAATTATTTCAAAGCGTCAAAAAACAGATTCCAAAGATATTTTTGCAACAAACTGTGAATTTAAGTTATTGCACTGTAGGTTACTTATTTCATTAAACTACTTTTATAATACTTTTAAAAGCACACTCTCATATATTATCATACTATATTTTACCCATAGTATTTGGTCCAAGCTTCTCATTCTCAAAAGAAGTCTAAATTTTAGACTTGAGTATATATCAAATGAAATTATTCATATAATTTTTGGGACACTCAGAGAATAGTGGAAGACTGCCACTTTATATATTTAAACTTGTGGCTTATTACACGTAGTGCACATGTGGTGCACTATGACTTGTTTATATAGCCAAAAAGTTATCTTGTAAATGGCACAAATGCCTTATATTTTATGTGCTTGTACCTGTATGTCTCTGTGTATGTGTGGGGGGGAGTTAGAAATGTTAATTTGTTAAATGTAAATGTTTAATGTCAAAATAATAATATTTTTGGCATTTATTTCTTAGTGTACTACATTGGGATATTAAAAATTAAAATGCTCCCAGCCTGTCTTTATCATTGATAAAAACTAGGACTAGAAACTCGCCTGACCTCCTTGTCTAGTATCCACTCCATTGTCCTATCCTGATGCGTATACCATTTACCAAAATTATACCAATTATTTACATAATTGGTATAATTGTTCAATGAGTAACCTACAGTGCAATAACTTAAATTCACAGTTTGTTGCAAATATATCCTTGGAATCTGATTTTTCACCCTTTGAAATAATTCTCATTTAAGTAGTAGGATGAACCCAGGCAAATTTGAGTACAAATACTGATTAATAGTCTTGCTAGTTGAGGGACTTTGGACAAGTAAATTTAATTTCCTTATTATCAAATTGAGATAAAAATACCTGCCCTAAAAGACAGTTGTTCAATGCTTCTATCATTTCCTACCATGGGTGCCTTGAAATTTTTGCTCGTTTTAAATGAGACCTAAAACCCATCACTCCAGAAAATATAAATTAAATGACATTGTCACAGAATAATAAATTCATGTGTATCGGTTACATTTCTCTAGAAAAGTATTTAGGAATAACATGAAAAAGAGAAGTAGAGTAAGTCACTTTTAAACTTTTAATTTTTTAGCTTCAAGACACAGAAGAAATATATTTTAAATGGTAACCCACAGGCTATTTATGGCTATGTGTAACTAAGGTGAAATTTACAAAATACCTAACCTATGATGTAATACATGTTGATATTTATATTTTACTCTAGTCTATTTTAATGTATTCTCTATTAAATTCTGATTTCAACCCTCTAAATTGGTTTTACAAATAACTTATGAGTTATCCACTATTTGAAAAAAAAGAAAAACACCGACTAGATAATCTCTTTCTTTAGAATCTCATTGTGTGTGTGTGTGTGTGTGTGTGTGTGAAAATCAATGTGTAAATGTAACATTGGGCTGAAATCACATTACAAAGTCCCCTAAAATAAATGTATTTGACTATTACACCTCTTGCCAAAACATCTCCTCAATTCAACATTTGAATGTTTGATAAATCTTTCTGGAGTATTTGCAAATGTGCCAAAATGAGATTTCATAACCCACAACCCTGATGAATTCCAAAGAATTGCCTTTCATATATAAGGCTACATTATTTAACAATATATCCTCCAGCTCTTAAAAAATTCTGTACCATATTGCTTCCTGCTATTATTGGCATCTGAAGGACAGAGTGTGGAGCCTGTGATGGAGATGTAAATAGAAATAACCAAGCACAGTCTGTGCTTTTCATCAGACTCACAAAGAGGTCTTCTGTGAGGTCAACTTGTTACCACAGGCCTCCTCCTTAATTTGTTTTCTTTTCACTATAATTAACCCATTCCATGGGAACAAGGAAAGGTGCTGCTTTCAAAGCTAGATAAAAAGACACAAAAATATGCTCAAAAGATACTCTCAGTGGAGAAACAAGTAGGGTTTTTTGTTTCCCAGGGAAGGAAAAAGAACCAGGTGATGTCCATCCTACTTTTCCTTGGAGCCACACCTACTCCAATGTAAAGGAATGAGATTTAGATTTGTTTCAAAGGAGTTGGCTTTGGATCTAAATCCTTGCTCTGCCACTAACTTTAGCTGCAGAAAAAAATCACTCTTTACTTGTCCATTCTACTAAAATGGTTACCTTATCAGACTGTGTTATGAAATAAACAAACTAACCAAATTTAAAATATAGTATATATGGTCAGGCGCGGTGGCTCACGTCTGTGATCCCAGCACTTTGGAAGTCCAAGGCAGGCAGATCATGAGGTCAGGAGATCAAGAACACCCTGACTAACATGGTGAAACCCCCTCTCTACTAAAAATACAAAAAATTAGCTGGGCACGGTGGCACGCACCTGTAATCCCAGCTACTCGGGAGACTCAGGCAGGAGAGTTGCTTGAACCTGGGAGGCGGAGGTTGCAGTGAGCCGAGATCGCGCCACTGCACTCCAGCCTGGGCGACAAACTGAGACTCCGTTTCAAAATAAAAAAAAAATATATATATATATATAAAGTGATTATGTTTCAACTCACAAAGTAGTAAGATCCCAATGGCAACTGATTGTCAACATTGGGAATTATCAGAAGAACAAATAGTCCAACATCGTTCTTTCCTCAACTGAGGTTTAAGTCCATTTTCCAGAGTCCTCCAAGTGATTGTCCATTGCAGGTTTGTGCACAAGGAGTTACAGAGAACTAACTCACTATCTCCTAAGAGTGGCAATTCCTTTATTGAACAGTTCTGCTAATAAACAAAAAAAAAATTTTTTAAATTAAACCATACTTTGTTACTCTTGTATTTTAGTAATTAGCTGTCTCTGTCAACTGCTGGCCAGAGTGAACCTAGCTCTTTTCCACCTGAATTTACAAATATCTAAATAAACAAAATATGTAAATATATCAGATACCTAAAGGTAGCAGTCAGGGCCCTGCTGTGTCTTGTCTTCTCTCTACTAAATTTATTCTGAGGATATGATTTCAAATTGCATAACCATTTGGGCTACTCTCCTTTGAACAGGCCCTGCTTGGTTGCATTTGATATTGGTCTTGCCCTGTCACCCAGGCTGAGTGCAGTGGTGCAAACTTCGCTCACTTCAGCCTCAACCTCTTGTCCTCAAGTGATCCTCTGCCACAGTCTCCCAAGGAGCTGGGTGCACACCACCATGTCTAGCTAATTTTTCTTTTTCTTTCTTTTTTTTTACTTTTTGTAGAGATAGAGCCTTATTATGTTGCCCACCCTATGTCCAACATTTAATGTAGCCCAGCTGTAGTCTGCAGAAGTTTGAGCATAGCAAGTCACAGAAACTTAGTCTTGAAAGAAATCTGTACGAACATTCTTTGTAGTGCCTGTTTGTATAAAAAAAAAAGATGCAAGGAGTTGAAGTGACTTTCTTGGAGTCACAGAGTAAAATCCTTAGTTCTCATGTCAGTTATCTTACTTTTAGCACAGTTAGTAATTTTAACTTATTTTTCCAACTCCAAGATAGCATTAATGTAATCATCATATTTTATCTATTCACTATCAAATTAACAGGATAATGACCAGACTTACAGAAGAGCCTGCAAAAACAAAAACAAAACAAAACAAAAACGCTTCCAGATAAAAAGAGATGAGGAAAAATGATAAATAAGAAAGAAAGACAATGTCGGTTGTCGTAGCTCACACCTGTAATTCCAGCACTTCAGGAGGCCAAGGCAGGTGGGAGTTTGAGACCAGCCTGAGAAACACAATAAGGCCTCATCTCTACAAAAAATTAAAAAATAAAAATTATTCACACGTGGTCACATGTGCTTGTAGTCCCAGATACTTGGGAGGCTGAACCAGGAGGATCGTTTGAGACCAAGAGGTTGAGACTGCAGTGATCTATGACCATGCCACTCTTCTTCAGCCTGGGCAATAGAGAGAGACCCTGTCTCAAAGAATAAAAAAGAGAGAGAGAAAGGGAGAGAGACAAAGAAAAGGGAAGGAGGATAGGAAGGTAAGAAGTTATAAAGGAAGGTAGGAAGGAAAGAGAAGGAGGATGGAAGAAAAGGAGGAGGGAAGGAAGAAAAAAAATTCTCAAGATACTCCCTCTAGAGTTTTGAGGATCTCTATTCTTGCTTTCTCTTACATGCTTGCTTAGTTTATGTTGGGCAGAATTTACTGTGCATAATTTGCTTTTCATTCTGTGTTTTATGTGTTTCAAGCTGTACACTGGAACATAAACATCTCACAGCATGCCCTCTCATTCCCCAGCATTCCTTATGCAGAAGCAACTTCAACAGAAGTGGCTGAACACTATAAACCTAGAAGCTAAAAGGTTTTAATGACATCTGGAATAAGAGTGACCAAGGGAAAACATGCATGTGTGCAGCTGCCATCCATAAGATGGGTAAATACTGAATACCTGATAGGCTACATCCTAAGAGATGATCTTCACATTTAGGTAAGCATCTGATTATTTAGAACTGTGGAAGTGTCCACAATTGCACATCACCAGAGATATTTCTGCATTATGGGGGAGCAGTGCAGTGAAATCCGCTGAAAACAAAATTCCTTTTAACTCAGCTTAGTCATCCTGGACATGGAGTATTTGTGGGAGTTTTCTAGTATTTTCAGCAATTGATGACAGCAATGGTGCCTAAGAGAGAGGAAGGTGGGAAGCTATCCCAGGCATTAGTCTCTTATAGGTGAGCCAGAGTCTAAGCCAGAAATTGTATCATTAGAAATGAATCTGAATATAGAAGAAACACTGCCCAAACCACATGTGGATATGTCAGCAAGCTCTATATTTTTCTCTGAAAGAGGCAATAATAACTCTCTTAGAAATTATTTACTGAGTCCATAGACTGTTCCTTCTGGAAGGGAAGAGGAGGGAATGCCCCTCTAAACGCTCTTTCCAGAGCTATCTGTATTTTTTTCACTGCTAGCAATGAAGTTTCTGACAGTGATATATGAATATGAAAAACTGTTTCTTTACAATTAGAGTTGCCCACTGTGTTTCCCAGATTACGGATCCAGATCCAACTTACTAAAGAATTCCCCTAAAAGTTTCTGCATCTTCTAAATTGTATATATTGTTAAGTCAGTGGTAACCAATATAATTATACAATCAATCCATAATTTCAAAGATTTCTGGGGATCTCATGTTTTCAGAATTTTTGTGGAGCAAAGGAAAATCTTTCAGAGTTTCCGCAAACCTTCGATACGACCCAGGAAAAGGAGCACTTCATCTAATTTACAGATCAAGAGCAAATTGATCATGCTATTTCTCAAGGCTAATTTTTATTTTTATTTTTTGAGACAGTTTTGCTTTTGTCACCCAGGCTGGAGTGCAATGGCATGATCTTGGCTCACTGCAACCTCCACCTCCCAGGTTCAAGCAATTCTCCTGTGAAGGCTAATTTTTAGATGAATTATTTCATTTGTGGTCCCTTCTACTATTTCAGATAGTTATTAACACTTTCAGCCAATTGTTTAGAAATATTGGTGCCACTGAGATAAAGGGAGAGTGAATAAAACAATGCAATGGAGAGGTAGAAAAATGGCAAAAAGGAACCTGACTAATAATCTCCAGCAATGTTTTGGAAACCAAGTTCTGGACAGAAATCTTGAGTTCCAAGACACAACTCTGCAACTAATTATCTGACAAGCAAGGTAGAGTTATGTGACCTTTCTATTTTAGTTTCCTTAACCGTAAAATACAGAAGATTAAATGCTGGCCTGAGACACAGTGTTAACATTCTATGGAATGAATAGTAATTTATGTGTCTTTATTATTACCATGATCATCCCAAAATTTGTTTTAACTCTCAGCACTGTTCAATTCCTGGAGAAACAAAATAAAGTCCTTTTAAAAATTATTCAGTAGCTTCCACAGTACCATTTATTATTTTTCCAAGGTAAATTGTCTTGTGTAATGATAATTAGTAGAAATGCTGAGATGGGAAAAGTGTACTCCCAGTTTTTAGAAGTCAAACAAGCATATAGACTATGAATCATACTGAAGTTCCTTCAATCAAAGCTGGATTGTTATCACATTTTTAAGTAAATAACTGATGGGAAGTCATATTATAACCTGAAATTGCAATCTCTAGGTTAACCTGAAGACCATATCTTCAATAATGTATGCTACCAGTACAATTTATTGGTACATTTTTCTCCCCAGAACATCACTGATTTGTTTTTTGCTGTAACAAATTAACATTCCTGTCATTAGACAGAAATAATAAATTCAAGAACCAGTGAAAACAGAAAATGAAGTGTAGCGTGAACAGGATTTTACAATTAATCAAGGGAGTCATTTTGACACCTCATTTTTATAAAGAAGCAAAACTAAAAACTTACAAGTGCCTGCTATTTATCCACATACTATATAGTCATAAATGGTGAGCTACGTACTTCACTAACACAAATTCCTCTATTCAGCAAATAGTCTTTGAGCACATATTATATGATGGGCACTCTAATAGGCCCTGTGGATATGCTGTAGATTTTCAACTAAAGTCAGGAAAACTAGTGAAGTGTGAAATCTTGTCAATCACCCAGGAAGTACAATATAAAATTTTTTTTTGTATAAAACACAATACAATAATTACTTTTCTTAATGAAGTTGAACTAGATCAAGGTAAAGAATATAATAATGAAATATATTCAAGCGCTTAACTATTTGAAACATTCAGACTTTAAGGGAACTATCACATCTCTAGCCACAGAAGTATAGGCAAAGCATTTTAAATATTCTTTCTTGCCCACAGCATATATTCTGTTTTATTTCATATTCGAATTTCAAGAATATTAATGCATGTTATTTTTTTTTTTTTGCTTTTGAAGTTTAAGCAATAGTATCTGATTTGGGAGAAGGGAAGTTAGAGACTAAAGTGAGAGGGATGAGTATGTTTATACTGGACTCCATCCTGAAGGCATTTTTTATTGCTAACAATAATAGTCAGCTGGGTAATGTTGAGGGTTTCAGCTGGGCTCAATTATGTGATTGCAATTAGCTGTGGGTTGGAAAGGCAATTTTGTTGATCTGCATTGCACGCTCTCACATGTTTGAGGTCAACTGGTCTAAGATGCACTCATTTGGAAAACCTGGGTGCTCTCATACTTCACAGGGTGACAATAGGGTTCCAACACAAACTAGGAAGAAAGTTCTCACGTCAACCAAGTGCTATTGGTCAAAGTGTCAGAAGGCCAGTGCTACATGAAAGTAAAAGGGAATTATCAAGTCAAAAGCAAATGATGTGAATACAGAAGCACCATTAGTAGACGTCATCAATGCAATCTGCCACACTGCTAAATGGGCAAGCACCATCAATCCTGTGTCATCGTGGGCACATGTATCAAGGTTTGCAAAAGTACTAAGGCAAAGGACCCTTTACATTTCCTTAGTGCAGAGAGAGTTCTTACTCCATTAAAAGAAGTGATTTTACTTTTCTTCTGAGTCATTGCATATTCCTTTCCTCTGCCCAGTTGAAGAGCTAGTTTGATCTGCTCTTTAAAAAATGCTTTCTTTTTTCTTCTTCTTCTGTTTTATACTATAAATCTCTTTGCCTAGAAGTTCCAGGCATAATTTCTGTGTAATAGAACAAGCCACAGTAAATACCCAGTCACACAGCCTACTAAAGCCATAAATCACAGGAAATAGCAAGTGTAAGAGATTAACATCGAAGCTGAAACCCAGTTTTCCTTGTACACTCCTCTGGAATTCTGTGATGACATACACTTTCTTGAAGGAACATCTTGTGGTACCCGTGACACAGTACGGTTAGGTTTAAGTATAAAACACATAGGCAATTAGGAGAAAAAATGTTTTTTGAAAATAGGACCACATCTTTTCACAGACCTTAATGGTTCATGTGAAAGCATTTGGAAATTTCCATACTCTTCAAGAAAGAGAATATTGATGGAACAAAGGAGAATAATTATAAGAATATGAAGATAAATTATCAAGTACTGGGATTAATTCTCCTAATGCTAGAGAAAATCACCTCAACCCAGTGAGAGGAAGAGACTGGATGATAACTGACACTATCATTTCATGGAAGATCCCACCAAGACTTTCTGAAAAACCAAGTGGGGAGGAAAAAAAAAAAAAAGCATGACCTTAGAGAGTTCCCACAGTACCCAACAAAGCTGTATCCTGTTTGACTCTCACTTTTCTGATCCTGGAGGTGAGTTTCACCTTGTGAAAATTCCTACCATGCCATTCTTGTACTGATAAATCATAAGACTTAACACTACATAACCTCGTTATTCACATACTTGCTTGGGATCAAAGCAAGATAAATATTTCTTGACACAACCACATAAACAGTAAGCAAACGAGTATTTCTTCCAACCTTTGAATGTCCAATTCCAAGGTTTGTTCTCTCCTGAATCCTGGTGGTACAACCTAAATATTTTGCCTGAATTTGGCATTGCAATTTCTATTGTCTTTTGTTTTCCCACAAATAGAATGTTTTCATGTAATTGTTATATTTCAGTAGGTAAATTATGTATTTAATATAGAGCTTAAAGTGTATGTATATAAAAATTATGCATAAAATATTCCACCTCATTTCTTAACTTAGATTTCTTCTCAGAAGCAGCAACTCTTAGTAGTTTTGCTCTTCTCTGAGAACAATTCTATGAAGATCCAATCAAATTGTTTGCATAAAAACCCCTTTTAGAAAAAATAAAATGTTATATATACAGAAATGCCCCTTGTTTTATTCACCTAAGATGATCTTGGAAATTATAATCATTACCTAGTAGAATGTCTCACTTATTTTAATAGCTAAATGATAATGCATTGTTTGAATACATCATAACTTATTTTATTAGGTTATTAGATTGTTATTGGGGTAAATTTAGGATAAAACAACAGTTTAAACTAGTAAAAGCCAAAGGTCATGACTAAGAGTTTCACTTGGGGCACAATTGAATTAGCACTTGCCACACCGTGACCAAGCACTGATCTTCTGAAGCTAGAAGGGAGTCCCTAATAAAATGCATGATTTATTTGATGCAAACCAAAACATACCTTTACAATTGGCCTTTTCAAGCACATTTTTACTTTCTCACCTAGTCATATTTTCTTATGCTTTTCACTGAAAGCCATCCCTGCTAATTTTCACCAATTGTCAGTATTCTTCTTGTTAAATTTCAATTGTCAAATTCCATTTCCTTCTGTAAGATTCCCACCATGACCCCCATAACCACAGAGGAGGAGGTGATTTTTTTCTCCATCAATTTCCTTTAGAGTCAGATTTGTAACATTGTGTCATTTTGAATTATGATTATGTAAGTATTTGTGCATGCCTCATCTCCTTTGCCAGATTGCAATCCCACTGAAGTCTGTGATATAGAAAACAAAGGGCTATCATTCACAGGACGGTCAGAGAGCCTTGCATATGTATTTGTGCATAATATGTGTTGCATAAATATATTCCTAACCTCTGAAGTGGGGTTAGTAACTTAATTCCACATTTTACCAGACCGAAATATTTGGACTATATTGATATGTTAATGCAGAATTTTAAGAATCTCAACAAATACAATAATTCGATGATTTATAAAAAGTATTTTGTATCTTCTTCAGTATTCTATAGTGTTTAATATACACATTTTTTTTTTTCTAGAAGAAGAGCTGCATAACAAGCGAGTCTGCCCATTTGGGTCACAACCTCTGTAGGTCAAAACAAATTTTTTCCAAACAGCCATGGTCAAGAACTAATGATTTTTAAAACACCATAAAAAACAAAGGGCTACTTATTATTAACTATTATAAAACATCAGTCAGATTTTTCTTTCCTCACTATTCTTGGAGCACAAAGAAGCAATAAATTTTAAAACAAACATGTTGAATTATTTAAAATTATACTTCTCAAATATGTTCTATACAAGGATAAAATTAATTTATTCTTATCTCCATTTTGGATTTGACCATGAATTCTTCTGAAAAAATAGCTGTAAGACCAAACTTTTTGGTAATTCTCTATAACAACACACCTAGGTTAGAACTGGCTACTACCTTCAATCCTATGTGTATTTATGTGTACCTTGCTTTAACTATTAGAAACAATAGGCACCTAGAACAATCGCGAAATGACAAAAATATGAGGTGTTCAATGAAGATATAGAGACTTGAAAACCTCTAGTAATGAATATAAAAAATCATTAGAGTAGAAGTATAATATAGCATCAGTATAGCAGAAGTAAATAATGTAATTCACAATGAAAACAAAATTATATTTCACCAAATATTGGCCACATACACCCTTCTGTAGTTTAAGTCTTTGTCTCTCTAGATATATGCCATCCAGTCTGTTCTTATAGTACTGGTATAACTCGGACAATTCAAAATATCCAAAATAATTAGGAATAGTTTACTCTTCCCAAACCTGAAATTGTAACTGTTGAGTGCATAATAATATATACTCGATGTATGCAAAGGAAACTTACCTTCTGTGTGCACGGCTGATACATAGGTCCAGTTGTACCTCTTCACTATGTCCACCATGGCCCTTGCCTGCTGAGCATCTGAAGGCACAACCCTCATGAAATATTTGAACAGAGTCTTGTCACTCAGATCCATGCTGGTTGCTGAGTAAGCAATCTGAGGTATGTTGAAAAGCTGGAGCAAATTCTGGACCTGAATGGCTACAGAACTGGAGCCAGGCCCAATGACCCCTACTATGGGCTTCTTGGAGCGGAAGGAAGAGGAGGAGCCATCCACACAGCGTACCAAGCCTTCTTCCTCTTCTGAAGAAATGAGGGAATCTCTTATGAACTCAATGCTCTGCTCTAGGGCCACAGCCGAATGCCAGCAGGAGTCCCTTATCTCACAGCCCAGTGTGATGTTGGGCAAGAGTGTGGGGTCTGAATTGATCCTTTCCAGGGTATGCAGCATGGCCTCCACTCTCTGAATGCCATACTGTTCACGGACCGCCCCACACTTCCTCTCATGAACTTTGTCCACAGTAGGCTGGTGATGAACAGAAAAGAGAGCTCCAATAATGATGTCACCCGGCATGTGAGCCACCACCCTCCTCTCACTGGACTGTGCACTCCCACGGACATCTTCTTTCAAAAGTAAGACTGACAGGATCAACAGAAGGACCATTTTAGGAAAGGAGTTCAAGCCAATAAAGATAGCATGGTGGGGAAAATTCAGGAGGGTTCTGATAGCTACGAACAAGCGATGTCCTACGTTGAGTCGCAAATCAAGAAATTAGCCAGCAATTCAGATGTATTTTCTAAAGGACCATTTTGTCCCCATGTACCATTTAGTTAGATGATCCATGTGGTCATGATCTTCTAAACCTGAAAAAAAAAAAATAACATGGGTCTTTAACAAACATAAATGCAACTAGTTTGGGGAAGTTCTATAATCCATGTTAGCAGAGAAAATATTTTGATGATGCAGATAACGAAGAAAAAAAATTCAAAAACGTTTCTGACTTTCCTTTGTCTGCTTCCTTTGTGATTTGATGAAGCAGCTGATGTAGCTTCTTGACCCTGCCTTGCTTAGATTAATAGTCTTTTTTTGTTCACCTGCAATACACAAAACTAAATCTTGAGTGTGGCAGGCAGAACTGTATTGTAATCTCAGGCAGAGATGACAGAGCATCCTAGAAGCAAAACTACGCCATGAACAGAAAACTTCAAGAAGTATGCACCCCAGAATATTAAACATTGGTGATCTCTTGGTAATGAAAGTGTGGATAACTGTTGTTAAATTTTCATTAGGCTTTCTTTTCTTTTGAAATCTTTAGCCTTGAGCATGTAATTAATTATGCAATTACAAAAATAAAATTATCTTTTCAAAAATACCTCACATATTCTCTCTCCAAATACAATGTCAAGCAAGTTGAATAATCTTCTCAGGAATAAATAAGTATTGTCTAATTAATGTGGAAGATATAATAAAAACAAATGAAGAAAGGTGGGTGTTTCATGTTAAATAAACTGTAGAAGAGAAAGGAAAAGGTTGGGGAATTATAGAGTACAACATCCCCCAAATAGGCTGCAAGGAAGAGTCAAATTAGCACCAATTTTTAGAGAAAAGAATATTCACATTTCAATCCCTGTTCTTATATTAAGAAGTATTAGTAAACTGTTTAACCTCTTGGTACCAGAATTTGCTCACCTGAAAAATGGGGATACTATGTGCTAGGCTGTCCCTTATGGGAATCAATACAAGATATCAACGAAATAAACGCTTTACAAGTTAAAAAGTGCTATATATATTCAAAACAACATCTTGTTGTTATTAAATTTTCAAGGGCATTTTGTGGCTAGGTCATGAAGACAGAAAATTCTCTGGCAACCTACTTGGTCCTCCAGAGAGTCTTCAAAGTAATTACACAGTCTTGCAATACATTTCACAGTAATCAGTCCTCTAGCCCTGATCCAGAAAAACATTCCACATCACTAAGGCTCAAAGGCTAAAAGGATGTATGTTTGGAACTATTCTGCCAGGTAGAAATTTAGTATAGCTATGAATGTCATCATCTATTTCAATTTAAATTCCTGGGAAGAAAGAAATTTTGTCCCAAATTTTCCATGGCAAATTCTAGCATAATTTGTAAAAGAGAATTGACAAATTAGTGATTTGATCACTTAGGGGAATTGTGTAAGAGACTTACTTTGTTATCAACTTTGCCAGCCAAGGATCTCAAATTATTTTAAAGTGACTAACTTTCTAAGCACCAACTTTCAAATACAGGTGATGTTTCTTCAGGAATGTATGTAAATATCGCACTTTTACAAGAATACTAATGGTTTCAAAGGTCATCAAATCTACAAAAAGTTAAGTCCAGACACAAAATGAATGTAACTTGAATCATGTTTCTAATCACTCCTACCATCATTTTCACTATTTCCTTCTACTGTTTCCTATGGCAACAGAGAAAGTCTTCCTATGTACAGTGACAAAAGCTAAACTTTTTAATATTTCATCAAATAACCAGATGTTCCAGAATAACTAGACATTTGGGAATATATAGAAAAAAATAGTTTTGGTACAAAAGTTGGCATTGTAGATACAGAGGAAGAAATGAAGACTGTTAGATTTTTCATTGGCAAGTCATTTGAATATTACCAAACCTTTCTTTCACTTTCCTTAGACCCAAGCTTAAAATAATTATTCTCATGGTCATGTGAATTCTGCTGCAGACAAAAAGAAATATCTAAAGTTAAAGAAAGCACAATTTCTTATTAAATCAGAATGTTAGCGAGTGAACAAATAACAAAACACGACTCATTTTTTATGTAAGAACATCAAAGTGATATGAGAGACCTGGTGTCCTGTCAGGCTCGTGTGGCTGAAATATCAATCCCATGCATTTTATTCATTTAAGTTGTTTTATGAAACCCCTACATATTGAGATACAGTATACATGTTAAAACACTAAGATATTGCCTTTTGAAGGTATGCGAAGTTTGTTACTTATTTAACAAAAAATTATTAACTATTCAGTGAAAGAGACTAGTGTAACAAAGAACTGTAATAATATACATTGGTAAGTATCATTATTATCTTTCATTGAGCACCTAACATGCCCCATCTATTCATTAACTCACTTAACAAATATTTATGGTATGTATATGCTATAATTCTGTCCTGGGAATTGAATATTCAAGTATGAGCAAAATATACAAGCTCCCTATACTTGTGGGCCTTACATATTTGTATTCTAAAGGGTAACTTTAGCTGAAACCTGGTGAATACAAAGAAAAATAAAGATCAAATGGTATTTCTGTCTTTAGGTCTTTGAGGAATCACCACGCTGACTTCCACAATGATTGAACTAATTTATACTCCCACTGCAGAAATTCTATTCAACCCTGCAATCCCATTACTGGCTATATACCCAAAGGAATATAAATCATTCCATTATAAAGACACATGCTCATTGCAACATTACTCACAATAGCAAAAACATAAAATCAACTTAAATGCCCATCAGTGATAGACTGGATAAAGAAAATGTGGTACATATACACCACGGAATACTATACAGCCATAAAAAATGAGATCATGTTTTCTGCATGGACATGGATGGAGCTGGAGGCCATTAACCTTAGCAAGTTAACACAGGGACAGAAAACCAAATACTGCAGGTTCTCACATGTAAATCAGAGGTGAATGATGAGAACACATGTATACATAGTGGGGAACAACATACTCTGGGGCCTGCTGGAGGGTGGGAGGAGACAGAGGATCAGGAAAGATAACCGGTGAATACTTGACTTCATACATGGGTGATGAAATAATACGTACAACAAATCCCCATGACACCAGTTTATGTAACAAACCTGCACATGTGCCCCTGAATTTTTAATTTTAAATACTTAAAATTAAAGTTAAAAAAAGAAAAGATAGTCCCAGCTACTCGGGAGGCTGAAGCAGGAGAATGGCGTGAACCCGAGAGGCAGGGCTTGCAGTGAGTGGAGATTGCGCCACTGCACTCCAGCCTGGGCGGCAGAGAGACTCCGTCTCACAAAAAAGAAAAAGAAAAATATACAGAAGAATGAAATAAAGGCAGTCACGTAAAAAATATGCCTACAACATGAAGAACATGGGAGGCATGATGATACAAGCTGAAGATGGAAAGGCAAGAAAGGTCCAGGCCATGCAGGATGTTGCAGGCTCTTATAAAAAAAATTTAATGTTGGCCAGGCGCGGTGGCTCACGCCTGTAATCCCAGCACTTTGGGAGGCCGAGGCGGGCAGTTCACTTGAGGTCAGGCTTTCAAGACCAGCCTGACCAACATGGTGAAACCCCGTCTCTACCAAAAAGAGAAAAATTAGCTGGATGTGGTGGTGCACGCCTGTAATCCCAGCTACTCAGGAGGCTGAGGCAGGAGAATCGCTTGAACCTGGGAGGAGGAGGATGCAGTGAACCAAGATTGTGCCACTGCACTCCAGCCTGGGTGAAAGAGTGATACTCCGTCTCAAGAAAAGATAATAATAATAATGTTAATTACAACAGAAAGCCATTGAGGAGATTTAAGCAAATGACTGGAACAATTCAATCTTAGAAAGGATTATTCTGGCTGCTCATTTTCCTGGATAATCAATTGAAGAAATCTTATAAAGAAACCTGTAATAATCTAGCAAGAAATGATGGTGACTTCTCTATGATTGGCGACAGTAGATATTGAGAAAAGTGGTCACAGTCAGATATATTTTCCAAGTTGAATCAACTGTATTTGCTGATAGACTAGATGTGAGTAGTAAGGTAGAGAGAGGAATCAGGGTCTACTCCTAGCTTCTAGTTTGACAGCCTAGTGCATTTTGACAGCATTAATACAGATAGGGTAGACTAGCACATAAACACGTGAGGGGCAGAAGAAAATTAATGATCTTCTTTTGCAAATGCAAAATTTGAGATGCCTTGGAGATATCCATGTAAAGATGTCAAACAGGAAAGTGAATATGTAAGGTTGGACTCAGGGGAGAGTTTTGGTTTAGACATGCAAATTGAGGGTCATCAATATATAAAATATTTAGAATGCATGAAATCGCCTGGAGAGGAAGTATAAATATTGCAAAGGTACAGCTAAAAAATAAGCTCTGCTGAGGGGCCAGATTTTGGAAAAGCCAGCTATGAAAAGGAGTCAACCCAAAAAGTAAGATAAAGTGAGAGTAAATGACGTCATAGAGGGCAAAAAAGAATGTTTTAGGTACTTTATTTTTAAAGACATATGCAAGACTTATATATTTCAGAGAAAAACGTATCCGATTCACATGGAAGATACTATATTCCATGTACATTCTATACACTGAAGATTTCTGACACATTGGCTATGTTTTTGAGTGTGTCTGTATGTGTGGCATATGTATACCAAGAATCCTTATAACAACTCTAAAATGTAGGTACAGGTTGAACAACCCCTACACAAAATGCTTAGGACCAAAATTCAGATACAGAATCTTTCAGATTTTGGAATAGTTACATTACACTTACTTACTGCTTGAGCGTTCCAAATCCTAAAATGTGAAATTGGAAATATTCCAATAAGAATTTCCTTTGAGTGTCACATGAGTACTCAAACATGCTGCAATTTTGGAGGATTTCAGATTTTTAATTTTTGAATTTGGGATGTTTGAACTGTATTATTTTATTACCTTCATTTTACAAATGATGTAATGGGTTTTGATAAGTTAAAAACTAGCTGATCACTTAGAAAATAATGGAGCTAGAATTTATGTCTATGCCTGTTGACTTTATAACACATTGTTTTAACTATTTCTTGCTGCCTCACAGCCCCTTCCTACCAAAAAAATGAAAGATACTACCAATGTCCATGAAAACAAGAAGGGCCACCCAGACACAATTTGAACATCCAAGAGATATAGAATCTTACAGGAGTTGCCTTTCAAACTATACATTAACGAGCATTCCAGGGAAAAGATGATTCAGCTCATAGAGACACAGAAGGTACAGTGTGTAGGTTATCTAGTACAAGTGTATTTACATTGCCTGAATATCCACCCCAAATTATAGCTCATCAGATTATGAAGCCTAATCTGATGAGGCAGATATTAGCTATGAACTTAGATACCTGGAATACACTTTTAAAAAAATCATGACATAGAAATGCGAAAGAACTGTGCCATTACTCAGATTATTATAAGGTTAAATAGAAAGTCATCTTACGTGCAATCAAAATACAAGAAATACATAGAGTATAAATTCCAAATAGACCTGAAAGGAATACATCAAATCTATCAGCATCACTCATGTGTTTTCTATAAATGTTTATTCAGTAGCACACCCTTCTATGCCCCAAGGATCCAGTTATGGACAAAATAGATATAAAGTCACATCATTATGGAGCCTGTATTCGAAGAGGGTTTGCGAGACAAGAAACAAAATAAATACGTAAAATATTGTGTGCTACATGGTGCTGAGTGTTTAAAAGCAAAAAAAAAAAAACAAAATGCAGTGAAGCAGTATAGAAAGTGCCAGAGATATAGGAAATTTTGAGTAATGTGGCCAAAGAAGCATAAACTGAAAAAATAACATTTGAGTAAATAGCTAAAAGAATTAAAGGAATGAGTCATGCAGATCTCTAGAGAAACAACATTCCAGGTAAAGGATAAAGCAAATACAAAGCCCCTAAGACAGACTTAATATTTAGTGTGCTGAGGAGTAGCAAACAGCCTCATGTGGCTGTAGAAAAGTTAAAATGCAGAGAAAGGAAGACATGGAGAACAAGAGGTAATGTGGTGATGTTGAACCTGTTTGGACTTTAAAAGACTTTGGCCTTAACATTTCATGAGAACGTTTTTCTGAGAGGATTCCAACAGCGGAGGAACACATTCTACCTAAAATTTTAACAAGAATAAGGGCACGAAGGCAGAAAATGAAGAGAAAATTAGGAAACTTGCACTAACTTAGGTGAGAGAGATGATAGTCGTTGGATTGGAGATACGGTAAGTACAAGTGGTGAGAACTGCTGGGATTCTGAATATATTTTGAAGGTAGAGTGAACAAATTGGCTATTAGAGCTGACGTAGGATGTTGGAGAAAGAGAAAAATCAATGAGGACGCCAAGATTTTCAGCCCGAACACAAAAAGGATAGAGTCGCATCGGCTGTGGTGGAGAATGCGGCGGCAAGGATGTGGATGGAAACAACAAAACAACATAAGTTCAATTTTGATATATCAAGTTGCACATACTAGAAACTCAAGAAGAGATCATTGAATGAGCAGGCAGATGTAGGGGGCTGAATTCTGAAGAGAGGTCTGAACAGGAGATAAAATGTGAAGGTGTGAGTATACAGAAGTCCTTTTTGTAAGCCATGAAACTGGATTAAATCACCGAGGAAGTGGAAAGAGAAAAGAATCTAGTGCCAGAGGTTGTGCCCCAGGGAATTCCAAGGTTCAATGGTAAGGAATAATCAGCAAAGGAGACTGAACGATTTTTTGAATAGAAACTTCCTTTTGTGAAGTGAGGAGAGAGAAGCAGTAAAATGTGAAGTATTCATGTTGTATCATGCAGAAATAAAGGGACGGTATGCTTTGATTTTCTCAAGAAATATTATGGGTGGGCATGTATGCATACATAAAGACTGGAAACATATACATTGACATTAATAGAGTGTTCTCTGGGTAGTAAAAATATAGTACTTTTAATTTTATTTTCTTCATCTGTGTTTTCTAAATTTATAAATATAGTAATACAACATATTTGCTAATCATTAGTATTTTTAATTTGGAACTGAGGGATATGCTTTCTAAATTTCTGCAACTTTCTCCCTTGAGACCTTATCTCCTTCCATCCATTCCTCCTTGGGAGCCTATTAGTCAAGTTAGGCTCTTGTCCAAGTATACACTGTTTTATTCCAATGGCTTTGCACATGCTGCTTCTGATCCCTGATATGCAGTTGTTCCAATTGTCTTCATAGCAGAGTTGTTAAGAGCATGGGCTTGGAGTCCAATGACCTGAATTGGAATCCTGGCACAGCCATTTATTGGCGGTGTGTCCTTAGGCATTTAGCCTCTCTGAGCCTCATGCCTTTATTGGCAATTGGAGTGACAGCAGTACCTACCCCAAAGAGTTTTAGTGAGTATTGAATAAGCTAATATTTAAAAATAGTCCCTTCCTAAATTATTACCATATCCCTCACCTGGCAGTGTTTGCTCTATCCTCCAAGCTCACATGGCAATTTATTTATACTTTCTTATAGTATTCATTACCAAGCTAATATTGTAGGATGTTTAAGGAAAATAGCATCACAAAACTAGAGAGGGCCCTGGAGATGATTCCATTTAACTGAGATCCATGGAAAGCAAATGATTCATAGCAGACCTGGGACTTGAATTCAACAAAATGTCACTCAAAACACAATTTTAATCATAGTTTACAACTTGGTATCAGCTCTTATATAATTTTCAAAGCTTATAATATTTTATTTTTTATTTAAATAAAATTTTAATATGAAATCTCTCTCATAATATATTTTTATTTTCTTTGTATAATATAAATATCTTTCATATAAGTTCATTTGGATGATGGGGACAATTATAACAACAATTAAAATATACAGAGGGCATATCATGTGTTGTTCACTTTGCTAAGTATCTCACATGAAATGACATTTAGTTGTCATACAAACTGTAAAATAAGTTATGTATGCACATTTTACAGAGAAAAGAACTGAGGCTCAGAGAGATACAGAGGCTTGGCCCAGATTCCCAAGCAAGTGGGTAGTACCAGAGCCAAGAGTCACATTTAGAACATTTATTTAATTTTATCAGTTGCATGGCATTCAATTATATGTGTGTACCAATATTTAATTATTCCTTATTGTTAGATATTAAGGTTATTTATAGATTTGTCTTAATATCATAAACAATGTTGCATTTTGCTTGCTTTTGAAAGTATCTTTGTAGCACAATTATTTAAAGATGATATTTCTGGCATAAATGTTTCTCCTGGTTTACAACTGATGAATGTAGAATATAAAAGATGATATCAACTTCACTCCAAGATCTGTCTCATTAACATCATCAATTCTGAGAACTATCCAATATTCTTTCTGTGAGGATCTACTCTCTCTTGCTTCTATATAAGTTCCTGAGTAAGGCCATTTCTCCTTGTGGTGAGATTTCTCCTGTGCAACGTCACCACAAGATTCATTCATTATTTTAACAAGTGTCTAGTAAAAGAAAAGATGAAGAAAAATACCACAATACTTTATTTTCAGCGTAAAGAGCCTTTTTTCATTCTTGATCTCACATCTACCTAAAAATAATACTTCTAGAAATGTCTAAGAACACCAATTTCTTATAGTAGGAAACAAATTCTCAAGTAAAATAAATTATTTTCTTTAGGTTATAGCTTTTAGATGGTGGGGATAATATGTCAGTAGAAATAAAGGGGCAGGTTTATCCTGTAGATAATGGGGAGGCATTAATTCTTGTAATGATAAAAAAGCTTTTAAAATGTTATGATCTACAGTCTAATAATATGGTGACATTTAATTCACTAAAAAGTGGGTAAATGTATTAATAGTTTGATTATATAGTATATTAGTTCAAGTACCTATTTTCAGAAGTATGCTTTACTCAGTGTTATATTTGTGGGTCCTTAGCAGAGTAAATTAATTACTAGCACATTATAGAAAACAATAGACATATTTTAAATACATACAAAAGTATTTCACATCAGGTAACCACACACTCTCATATTATATCCTAAATGATATGAAAAAGAGATATTGATGGATAAACTTTGCCATAAATTGCAATCTACACTATATAATCAGATTCACAGCTCACATTGTCCTTTATTTTCAACAATCTTCTAAAATACTGACCATCTTTCTGGCACAGATGTCTCTTATATAACTTAATCTCCACACAAGCAAATCACACAGCTCAGGACATAAACACTAAAATGATTTCTTCTGCCTGATCAGTGGCCTCATCACAAACAGTCAGGGCTGTCAATATTGCATATGCCATCAATGCATCTGATATATTTTTCTGAAAACAAGTGCATACCACAGATAAGAGACAGCCTGAGGTGCAATGATACAGAGAACCCTGTAGTCTGAGGAAAGCTCCATTGTCATTACTATCTCAATCACACATTTGTGACCCTGTAAACAAGAAAATGCAGCATCCCCACTGTTTAGCCCCACAAAATATAGGCCATATTTTAACTGAAACCCCCTCAACAAAAAAAGGGCCATAAAACACTATTGTACAAAGATGAAATCTGTAATTTTATCCATTAATTAAAAAGTTCTGGCAGTTCAATAGAGCTCACTAAATCATTGTAAATCATTTAAACAAGTGGTTTAGCAGTCTATGAAGACCTGGAACAGCCTTCTGCAGCAAAGCAATAAACATGATGCAATCCACTGTTAACTAGTCTCAGTTTAATTATAAAGCAGGGATTTTAGACTTTTACACATCCTGTAGCCTTCAGCTGATTTCTTGTTATTAAGGGTATACCTCTGAAGACTGTAAATCATTATTTATATATTACATTACATATCATTAAATGCTTGAGACCGTGGTTTTACATTTCTATAACATGATCTCCACTTACTTATTAATACATAATATTTATAAAGTGCCTTCTTTCTGTTAAATAATGTATAATAATTATTTAATGTAAGACTCACAATAACCCTGTAAGGTAGGTATAATTACTACCTATGTTACTACCTCTAGAAATCGAAGTTTAGAGGTCAAGAATCTTCTCCAAAGTATCAAACCTACAATAAATGGCAGAACCAGGACATGAATCCAACTATATTTGGCTCCAAAGCCCAAACTTAATAAACAAATAATGAGGTCTCCCCACAAAAAAAAACAAGTGAATTGGTTATTCAAACCTCATGCATTGATTGCAAAGCATTTTGGAGATTCTGCTTTCCATTAAATTCTTATGTAACGTACATAAATTCATCAGAAAGCATACAAACAAATCAAGTAAATATAGGAAACTCTGTTTCCTAGCATCATTTAGATAAGGGTTTCTCAACCTGAGCACTATTGACATTTTGGAGTGGATAATCTTTTGTTGTGGGCGGATGTTGTCTGTGCACTGTTGGTTGTTTAGCAGCACCCCTGGCTTCTGTTCACTAGACGACAATGCCATCCCCTCCCAGCTCTGATAAACAAATACGTCCTCAGATATTAGCAAATGTCGCCTGTATGTCAAAGTCACTTCCAGTTGAAAAACACTAATTTACATGAAAGTTAATCCTGGCAAGATCGACATAGTCATGAAAGAAGAGCATACCTAAGAGCCAATCATCTGGACCCATCAGTCTTAGAAATTCTCTACCTGAAACTTCCAAATAATGCTAAGGAGAGACGGTTGAAATAGGCTTGCCTTACTCAATGTTTATGCAGTTATTTGTCTGTATTATCTTGTTGAAAAGGTAGAAATTTCAATTTGAGAAAGACAAATTTAAGCTTTAAGAGTCAAGGTTGATATTACCTTACATTAAATATGCATAGTTCTAAGTATCACAAATTACAAGAAATGAATGTGAGGAGAGTATCCTACGATATACTTCCCGAATTCAAAGGCTGTTCTTGATAGGAAATGCAAAGTTTATTATAATTTTAACAAGACTGCAACAATAACGATAACTTTATAAATTAATTTACATGTTGATTTTTCATTTTATTTATTTTTAAACAAATGATATAATAGTGTATTATTTACTTCTATGTCTTTGAATAATTCTACATTACTATGCATTTAGACAAATTGTTTTTCAAAAAATATTTTTGATTATTCTTCTGTAAAATATAATGAATGTAAGAAGGTTGCATTATTAAAGTGCTCACTATTATCACTGTGATTACAAGTTTTCATTTTCCTCAGAACATTTATACTCAAAATTTTAAAACCCATGGCCTGAACCAGCATTATTGTGAACAACTAATCATTAGAGAATTTTTCTTGAATCTGATATATTTGCAAGACCAATAGAATAATATATACAGAAAATATATATTTTGCATCTAAGTCTTTCTTTTACACTTCTTCTACAGTCTGACTAAAAAAGGAGATATTTGAGATAGCAATTACGTATTATTTTGATTTCTGATTATCTTCAAGCATTTGCATGTTTATTTTAAAATATTCTTGAATATATGAGAAAAGTAGATATTTGCACATTCCTTTGCAGAGGAAGGGATGCTGACTCAAAATTAGTAGAATTCAAAAAAATTGATATATGTTTGTAAGCTGTAGGTCAGTATCATAAAAGTTTGGAAATCAGATGATCCTAGATTTAAATACCGGCTTTGTCACCTTTGTTTGTACTGTGGGACATTGGACAAGTTATTTAATCTATGTTAGTATTATGTTTTATCATTAAAGTCATAAAATAAAGATAAGACACAATCCATAGGGCAGTTGAACATTAAATGTAATAACATAGGAAACGCAGAAAACTCGACATCCAAAGGCCTGGGTAGGATTGATAGTTTGCACTCTGTTCACTATGGGTCAGATACTTTATTTTTTTAATTTATTTTTCTCTTTATGTCTTCTAAAAAAAATGGGATACATGTGCAGAATGTGCAGGTTTGTTACATATGTCTATGTGTGCCATGGTGGTTTTCCTTCTGCACCTATTGCTTTTTTTCTAACTTGTGCAATTTATTCATCATATTCACTCCATGCCATGTACTGCTATAACCCATCCCCCAATTTGAAAATAGTGAAACTAAGGTACATAAATTTAAGTAACTTGCCTAAGGTCACACAAGTAGTAAGCCACAAAGCTGAGATTCAAACCCAGGCAATTTGAAGCCAGAGCCTGTACTTCCAACATACTACAACTCACTGGAAACCACAGTAAAATAATCCCATAATGTTTATTGTTTAGCCACACCACAGAGTAAAGCAGCTCAAAACAAAGGAAACACGGTAAATTTTAGTGCCAAACAAATCAAATCTCTCTCTTTTGCGTATGTATGTATATATATTTCCATTATTTTTGCCTTTTACATATATGGTAAATGGTATATATATATATATATATACACACACACACACACACACATATATATGAATGAAATATATGTTTCCTTATTTTGAAAATGGGGGATGGGTTATGGCAGTACATGTTATTGAATAAGTATAATGAATTAATTGCACAAATAAAAATAAAGTGACCCACAGTGAACACTGCATAAACTATGCACTGTTCTTTGACAGTAGAATAAAAAACGTAGTTTTTATAACTGAAAAGGAAAAACAAATAATGCCTTGTATTGTTGATATGATAATTAAATAAAATAACATACCTACTGCTTAGCATGATGCCTGACGTGCTTAATAAATAGTAGTTATTAGAGCAGGGATGAGTCTGCACCAAGACTTTTGCCTGATGGCCCTTCTGACAAAAGTTATATATAGTTAAAAGATGATTCAGAAAGGTAAAATATAGATTTTCATCTCCTATGAATTTAAAGGAAATGAAAGCAAACCTATGCCTTAATGTTTTTTAGAAACACATTTTAAACAACTAAGATAAAGGAATATCAAGATACTATCTCATTTACAAATAATTGAAAATTCAAAACTAAAAATTGAAGTTTCTTTTCTTGGGTTATATAAATACATCATGCACTAAAAATATTTCTTTTGATGCTCATGTCTTCTTATGTTCTCCTAAGCTTCACTCACTGACTAAAATGACTAGAATTAATATTTCTCTGAATATGAATATAACACATAACACATATTTCTAAAGTGCAGAATCTTCCTGCTTTGTAATAATACATCTTCAATATATCCAACCTCTAAACCAGCCAAATCAGCTTTATCATATAACATATATGTATATCAACATATATAAAAAGTAGTATCTAATATTTTATAAAGTTGGTTTATACATGATCTATCTATCTATATCGAGATACACATAAAAGTACCTCACATGTACGTATACATAATACAATAAGAATGTGTAAGATAAAACATTTGTATATAGCTCTGTCTTCATCCCATGAGGATAGAAAACCTGGGATAAAATTGGTATACAAATAAATACAATATTTTTAATGATCAACCTCATCTCACATTTTCTACTTGTAGTACCACCTACATTTTATTGACACTTAATTTAGTTTCTCTAACCAAAATGATCATTCTGTAAAAGACAATATAGTAAGACTCCTATAAAATATTAAATGGGTTTTGGAAAGAAATAAGAAAAGTAGAATTATTAAAATGCTTTAGTCACAAAAGTGAGCACCTTTGATGAGGTAAGTCATTTTAACATGAAACACAACAATGTTAATAATCAGAGCCAAAATTAAAAATGGTATGTAGTTAATCAAGTATTCCCAAAGTCTGGATAGTTTTTGCTGGTTGGTTATAATAGATATGAGTGAATTTTTCAATTTCCCCCTGGGTGTTTGTCATCATGTCCATAAGGTATACTATAAAGTGATAGTAAAGGCCTGTGTCTACCTATGGAAGAAAAGTGAAAAACTTGGATTATTCAGATACCAACTCCCTCTCCCAAATCATCTCGACACATCCTTTCATAAGTGAACATTGAAGAGTTTGGGCTTTTTGTGAGTGTGTAGCCCGCAGCCAAAACATTCCCGTGTGATAGCACAAACCTCTAGGGGTGCAATTAAAATATCTAGATTGTATATTTTGTCATGTGGAGTGTAAATGACTAGAGAAAGCTTTTTCTCTTAAGAGAAGCTGTTATTTAGGAAGTGCTATGTACATTTTTCTCCTAAGAAACTTGAAAGATCTGTCCAGAGTGCTGACAAGATTTCACAGGGAGAAGGCTGGAAATTTGACGGGACGCACACTACTAACCCAATGAGTTCAGGACGCAGTATTTTCAAGTCCTAAACCAATGGCATGTTTAAATGGAAATAAACATGCATAAAGGACAGAAATAGCCACAATTGATTCTTACATGTGTAATTACATTGAGGTAACTGAGAAATTAAAGGAGGAAACTCCCTGCACTCCATAAAGAAAACAGCATAAAGCACACCTAACAAGAGGTAGCATACCTGAACACTCCACAGCTGACAGTAGAATGTCATGCAACTAAGACTTCCACAGAAAACCCCTGCTTATGTCCCACTGGAGGAAGGGCTGCACGTAGTCCTGGTCAATGCACCTTTGGCTGCTTCAAATGGCCAGTGCCCAGGATTAGAGACACAAATTAGCTCTAGCTTTGTCCTGAGAAACTCTGAACAATAAAATCCCATGTAGCGAATGGAGAAGAAGGTGAAAAGGAGAAGCTGCCTTCTCACTGGTCTGTATCAATTTCTTATTGAAAAAGTAAAGTATTGGAGACCCTATCTTGGTTACTCGATGTTAACAGTCCAGCTAAGGCAGCATCAAGATTGTGTCTAAATAAGCACAAGCGCTTGTTATCCTCTCCTAAATTTCCCTTCCACACAGCAACTCCTCTGAAAGGAAATGAGGGCAGCTGTAAATTCGAGTACCAGGTGAAAGAGCCCTCCAGGTGGACCTGTCACTTCCCTGGAGAGGTCCTAATGCACGTTGGGCTCGGGCCACCGGCTAGCCTCCGCACTCACGGGCCTGCCCTGGGTTTTCTTCCCTAAGTCGCTGTAGCCTGGGCTTCCTCCTTGGCATGCCGCTCATGCCCCCGCCGTGGGATAACTAGCAGGCTTTGTGTTCGAGGGGAAAGATAAATCCATGGAAGAGGAAAGAGCGGGAGGGCTCAGGCTGGTGTTCAAAGAGAGGCAATATAGCCTGAGTGAAAGAGATGTGCTTTCAGCACCACCCGCTGTCCCCCCTCTTCCTGCAGCAGGCGCCACGAAGCGGCCCCTAACAGATCTATTGAAAAGCAATTCTCTGTCCTCTTTTCCTCTCCACCTTTGCTTCTCACAATTCCGAGCCCTCGGGTGGTTTGTGGGAGCACACTCTGCATTCGAAACCACGCGCACCTGGCCTTAGAGAGCGGGAACTCGGATGCGAAGGCATGCAGAATCTCCTTTTCAACCCTTGCAGCTCTTCCCTCCTTCACCCCATTGCTCGCGCCTTTTTCCCCAACAGGTTTAATTAAGGCTGTTCGCAAATGGAACAGACTTGAATCTTGTCGGCTTTGGCCACCCCTGCTCCACCCGCGTCCCCCTCCCCCAAACCACACTATGAGCTACTCAGCAAGCCTATAGATCCTAAATCCTTCTCTGGCCAGGGGACACTTGGGCACACAGACACTTAGCAAGCTTACCCCCCTGTTGGCTGCGCTGCGAGCAGTGAGACTCGGTCTAGCTAGCCCCCCGAAAAGTTGGGCCACGGGGATCAGCAGGGCAGAGCCGGCCTCTCCAGTCCCCGGCTTCCCCCCCAAGATGATCTCAAGCTCATTCCCTCCGCTCAGCGTGCGCAGAACAGCCGAGCTGAGGGCGGCGTGTGCAGCAATCTCCCCGCTACTGAGAAAGGGGGGATGGGGGGAAGGGGAGAGAGCGGAGGAGGGAGGGGTGGTAGTTTGTATTTATAGAGAACAGAGTTCTTTGCGCAACTTTTTGGTGCCACCAAGTGGCACAGTGAGTTCCTTTAGGAACATAGACTCCTGGGTGAATCTGGATGGGTAGACCAGCTCTGTCAACAGATGCTCACATGGCAAGGGAGCTGGAGGCACTCCCAGGACTTACTTTTCACATGTTTACCGTCATATCTCAGCACCTGGGATACAAATCCCTAAATTCTAAGAATAAACCTGTATTGAGTGAGAAAGGGCACCTGTGCCTTCCTCAGACAGGTGGAAGGAGTGTCAAGGACATGGTAGGTCCCAGTTGTCTCCTAGGAGTGTAGACATCCTTGTCTCAGGGGGAATATCCATTATCTTCTTCTTCCTAACCCCTCTGCCTAGATTACATTGCATTTATGTTTTACTCTAAAACCTTCTTCTTGCTGCCCTGACTACCTAATCTTTAAACTGGATTGGCACTTATTTTCCTTGCCACCAAACCTTCTTCCTCAATGCTAACCTTAAAAATAGCATATGACTTGTTCACAACGTGCAGGTTTGTACCCTAGAACTTAAAGTATAATAAAAATAAATAAATAATAAAACACTAAAAAAATAGCATATGACTTTAGGCTCTGTGGATCTGAACATTTCTAAACAGCTCTCAGAACTCCAAGTTCACTGAGCTACAGGCTGGAGGTTGGATTTTCCTCACTCATTTCCACAGACCTCTCAGCATGCATTATCCCAACAGCACAGTCAGGATCTTGCCAACTGCCTTTAGTACTTTGAGGAAGAATCCCCTGAAGCTTCCTTTATCCATATTTTATGAGTGTTCTTACTTCTTAGTATGCAGATCTTCAAACACATACATAGACACTACTGCATGGGACCTTCATGTCCCCAAATGCAGAAGATCCTCTACATTGTTCAATAGAGAAACTGAGTACATGAAGGTTAAGGGGCTTGTTCAAGGTCATGTTTCTCTAGAGATCTGTCCAGGAACTACCTAGGGTAGAACTGAATGAACGCAGTGATGCCAAACCCGATCACCCTGTTCTTGTTCCTTCTACTACCCCACTCAGCCTATTCAGGCATATTCAGCTCCCTTCTCTTCCCTGTATTCATTTTTCATATTCTCTCTCTCTCTCTCTCTCTCTCTCTCTCTCTCTGTGTGTGTGTGTGTGTGTGTGTGTGTGAGAGAGAGAGAGAGAGAGAGAGAGGGAGAGAGAGATATTATTTTTGCCAAAGTTCCATAAAGGAACCAAGAGTAAACATGTCTTCCAAGCTCCACTGGGAGTATATGAACTTGAGTTTATAGGTCCAGAGCTGCAGGTGTACCATCTTTACATGACCCACAGTTCCAGAAAACCTCTCCCTCCTAGTACTGTAGTCCTTTTAGAAACGGAAACTGACATTTACACCCAGTCGGGTCCCTTCTTTGCTGCCTCTTTTTGGGGTGAAGCACCAGCAACTGCCATTAGCTCCCTCAAACACCTAATGGGCTCAAAGATAGAGGAGCCCATCTCTCTTCCTAAATCCTTGCCTTTCGTGCACATGTATTGGCATCACACACACACACACACACACACACAGACAGAGGGAGAGAGAGAGAGACAGACACACAGAGAGAGAGATCCAAACGTATCCTTTGGCTCGGATCTTTATCTTTTCCTCCTCTGTTTTTTTTTTTTAGTTCGTTTTCTATGGAAACAAGCCCACTTAAATCCCTCACTTATGCAAATAAAAGCAAAATGATCTTCATAAACCTCCCATTGGAGCGATACCGCGGTAGCCCAGGCTCCTGACTTAAATTTATGTCTGATTCACACAGCACACGTCCTTGCAGGGTGACTTTTCTAAACTTGCAGGACCTCGTAGCGTTCCTGGCTCTACCAGCCCTCCACCTGCCCACCACTTGCCCTCCTGGGTCTTTTTAGCCCCAGCTCCCGCCCCTTGCTTGATTGCTCTCCATCCCTGCACTGGGGGAGGGGCTCCAGCGGTATCCTATATCCGTGGTAACTATAGCCAAGAGAAAGAAAAAGGCGCTGTGCTTACCAGGTGCGCGCCCTGAGCCTTGCGCCCCCAGGCAGCCGCTCCTCGAGGGCTTCCTGCGCTCTCGTAGCGGCCTTGGCTGCAGCTGGAGCGCTAGTGTCGGCGATGGAGGCAGCGGTGACAGCAGGCAGAACGGCTGCGGGGCCCGCGGCGGTGGCGCTCGCTCTCTCGCGCCAGCGCCGGGAGCACGTGCCGCGCTCGGGCAGACGCAGCTGGAAGCGCAGCGCAGGGCTGGCTTATACTCCCGCAGCGCGCGGCGGGGGTTGGCAGAACGGCCAGGGCATAGACTCAGTGGGTGAATAAGGGTCTTAAAGCCTCGTCGTTTCGGGGTTCAGGCGAGGGTAGCCTTGGTCTCTCTCTCCTGCTCCTCACGTTCCCTCTGGGAGCCATGGGAGGAGGAAAGCTGTGCGGAGGAGGCGTGGGTGGTGTGTCACTCAGAGAGAAGCTGGGGGAGCAGGTAGATAATAAGGTTCTTTTTGACTATGGCACTGAAACCCCTGACAATGATTGGGAGAAGGGGCGTCACTGCTGGAGGGTACAGAAAGCTAGGAAGTCAGGGAAGCCCGAGATGATTCAGAGGTGTGACTGGTTAGAAAGAACGGCCTCTAATGATGTTACTTATTAATAATACCATTTTGCATTTTCTGCACTTCTTACAAACGATTCTTCCTACATCCGTTAAAATTTATTCTTCGTTGGCAGTTGAATGTCTTTACTTTCTCAAATGACTTTGCTTCCCTTCCTTCACCACCCCCATAACTGCCCAGGATTGTCAGCTATGCTGAGGTTATCTTTAAGTACAAAAGCAGACTTCATTTCTGCCTCTGAAAAGGCGATTGGTATAAATTACTTGCATAGCTTAATTTAAAGAAAAGAAAGACATTGCAGTAATATGATTATTATTCCCATTGTATTTCCCTAGCTGAATTTTGGGAACCAGGTGCTTGCAGCAGCTGGGTCAAAGATTAAAAGATGAGTGCACTACAGACAAGGGGATTGATGCTGGTGCATTCATTACTAATGCTCATTAGATTTTCCACTAGACCCTTGTCAATAAGGTAAGTTTTTGTTTGATAGCTTCAGGATTTAACAACAAGAAAAAGAGATGTATCTACCACACCTTGTTGGGTTTTACAATGGCATCTTTCTTCTTGCATTTTCACGTCTACTGATGGGATCATTGTTACTTTTTGTATTTCTTTGACTGCAATTCACAAAACAAGTTTTAGTACTTTGGAGAGAGGCCAGGAAAGCTGTGAGTGAGCTTCCTTAATTAAAAAAGAAAGAAAGAAAGATGGCATAGATGAGAAAATAGAAAGATGGCATAGGTGAGAAAATACATAAAATAGTGAGTTCGCAAGAAAATGGAGGGTGACATGACTAGATGACTCTGGTGATGTGATTAAGTCTGATGAATACAGTGATTTGTTTATCCAATTTTCTGAAGCGTTAACAATAAAGATAAGGTCAAATTTGGGTTTTTGTATGAGACATTTAGCTTTGAGTGAGCATAGGGCACTCCAAGCTCCCAGTTTTTCTCCAACAGTTGGAGCTGGATCAAAATACATTAGTGAATGGGAAAGGAGGAGATATCATGTTGGCCACTCAGTCACTTAAACTTTTCAATTTCCTACACAAATTTCCTTCTCTCCTGTCTTCCAGTGTGATGATGAGAGTGGGATGACATAAGACATGTCAAAGCATGTCAAAAAAAATGACAAAGCACTCCACAAATGTAATACCTACTTACCAATAAATATTGACTTCCTATGCTCTAAAGGCTAAAATGTGAAGGACATTCTCCATGTTGAACAATAGTAAAATTTTCAGATGAGAAGGAAAATGTGATTATATAATCTTAAAATTGCTCAGTGACATTTTAAAATATAGCTTCATCTCACAATTGTAAAGTGCTGAATTAGGCAAAATTAAAATTAAAAGGAATATAGAAACAATGTTTTACATTCCAATAGTAAGTTCTGATTATAAATTGCTCAAGGGTATAAATTTTGCCTTAGGATGATCTATTAATGAACAAAATATTTTAATTCTTATGTAGAACAGTAGAAAAAAAGAATGGAAAACACGGTCATTCTCAGAATTGATCAAGCTTAAAACTCGAAATCTCCATTTATTTCTGTCCTTTCTTATATGTGAGAATTTGTCATGAAATCCTGTTAGCTCTGCCTTTAAAATATATCCTAGAATCTTACCACTTCTAACCACCTTCAAAGAGAACCTGTTGAATCCATCAACTATCATCTTTTACCTGCCTTACAGGAATAAATTCCAAACTAGTACAGGCTACATTCAGCACAGCATCCAGAGTGATCTTTTAAAGAATTTATCTTAAATCGAATCTCTCCAGTAACTTCTGATTTCACTGAGTAAAAGCCTAAGTCCTCTCAATAAATATTTAGAATATTTAAATGAATATTTATGAAAATAGAGGTATACCTGTTATATGCTGCCCTTCATTGTACAAGTTGGCAACACTGATGGTAAATCATGTGAATGTTTGCAGGAGGTCTGAAAGACTACTGAGTGACAGCACCTTTTCCGAATATGGGCACACTTACCCACTTCTTAAATTGTGTTTTTGCATTTGTGATTCTCAGACTTAGCTAGCTCATGTTCTAGACTTCAAGGGGGTTATACAAATTCTAAATGTTTTGCAAGTATGTGGTTATCTGAGCTTATTAAATAAAAGGTTATAAGTGGCTTAAAAATTTTTGAATGTTTTTATCAATTTAATGAACACTCATTAAACATTTATTATTGCTATTATTTTTTGCCAGTTACTGTACAAAACACTATAATAGAATGATACACAAAATATTAACATATACTTACTTGGCCTTAGAAAACTTAAAGTTATTACATACATGTGTGTGAGTGCATATGTGTTTAAATTTATTCATTCATACCATTTATTAAATATTTATTAAACTATCATGTACCAGGAATGGCTGGGTGTTGGAGATAAAATGATGGATGAAATAGAATTCGTCTCCTGTCCTGTGAGGCTTAAAGTAAGGAACACGTGAATAAACTAACTGATGTGTCACAATTTATGGGAAATACAATGAAGAACAAGGTACAGTTATAAAGAATAGCAGGGCATGAGGAGGGGGCCTGGTATCTTGTTTTAATTGGACATTAAAAATAATTCTAAGACAAATATTAAATCAAGACCTAAAAAAGTGTATTATTATGCAAAAAATGTGACATGTGTCTATGTTTCTGTTTGAGTTAAGAGATGTGATCAACAAGGGGTGGCTGATCAAAGAGTGGGAAGAAAATTAAGGGGGTTTACAGGCAGAGGGAACAATATGTGGAAACTCTGAGGCAGAACAACATTTGCTGTGCTTTAGAAACTGAAAAGACATCGGGGTAGATGAAGTAGAGCTTGACAAACCTTAACTATAGCTCAGCTTGTTCAACTCCCAAATGAAGGTAATTTTATCTAATTTTATTTACTAAATTTAATCTGCAAACTTTCTAGACGTGAATGAGTCAATTATATATGTTATTAAGAATGGAAAAAGAAAGCCATGCAGAAAAAGGAAATGACAAATACTCCTATCACATTGACTAAAGTGGTTTACCAGAAAATATTTAGTTATATCATTATCTAATATAAGAAATTTAGTCTGTTCATAGAAAGAATTTTATTATTGCTGCTGTTACTAAATGCTAGTACTATTATATAGACCCTTATATACATGGTCCCTAAAAACTCAATGTCTTCAACAGGGATTTTATAGCAAAAATAGGAACCTTGTTTATATTACGCACTCTTATATAAAGCTTCAATTTAAGATCTAGACAAACCATGGAAATTTAATGCAAAGAAGCTGTTATTTATGAATCTATGTTTATTCATCTCTCTATTCTTCAGGGAGGACAGACCTATAAATATAGCCCTGTGAATTAATTTTTGTTATGATACTTGGTAAAAAATACAGTAAGAAATGTATTTAGTCTTTTAGTGCTTTTGAACTACAACTCCTTTAGACAGTGTTTTCCAAGATGAAGTCCTCTGTCCAAGCAGACTCTTGACACATGTATGGCAAACACAGAGATATTCATCTTCACTCTGGGTGCACAAAATATAGTGTGTGTGTGTGTATGTGTAACTGTCTCATCACAAGGGGCAAAGGACTTCCTTTATATCCCAGGTGAAGACACAGAGCCCTTATCCAAGGGTGAGGCAGAATGTCCACTGGATTTCAGTCCTAACTGATTGCATTTGGAAACTGAATTTTGGCTGTTTCTTGAGTAGGGGACTTGGAAAAGCTGCTGAACCTTGGAACCTCCTTTCCTTATCTGGAAATGGGAAAATCAAAAAGGTGATGTAAAAAATACTTAACTTTCTTTGTTATACATAAAGTCACTCTGGAAATCAAAAGTGCTATAAAGTCTCAGCAAATCGTGGTCCTTCTTTCCCTCACATTTCCTCACAATATGGCTCTCTTTGTTCCAGTACAATGTGATGTATAGGCAAGAATTTGAATAACGGTGTTGGATTACTAGGAAGGGTCATGTATAACAAAAGAAAATCCTTTTCTAAATTCTGTTTTTATGTTGACAGGAAATTTCTTGTTTTGTGTTTTCTGTAAAATGTGAATAATAGTACCTATGTAGAGGTTGCTAAGATAAATAATAATAGATGTGAAGCAATTGTACAGTCCTTGAAATGTGGCAGGTACAGGGTATTTGGTGGTGATGATGATGATGATGGGAATGAGGATAGGTTTACTTTAATTTCCAGTTATTTACATCCCACATTAGCATGACCAAGACACTAAACATAGCCTGGGACATAAAGTCCACTTTTTAAGATACTTGGAAATTTGAAAACTACTTTCTAGTCTAGTAGAGCTCATCTCTTTGTAAATATATTTAAATTATAAGACCAGGTCTTGTAGTAATTCTTCATCAATACTTTTGGAAAAGATAGTAAAATTTTTCACTTACAATAAAAAATAGGTTAAGTAAAATGGCAGCAGTATTCTGAACTGCGTGTAAATGACCAAGGGTATACAGAAGTTTTTGTCATTCCAAACAGAACCTCAGACTCATTGCTTAATAGAATTGCTGGGAATGTTTCACTATATATATAAGAGACAATTATGCTCTTAATGGCTTAGATATAGCTGTTGCAACTATTTATAATACATTTAGTCTTGAGGACTCTAAGCCACCTGAAATCTAACATTATGTTTAACACACTATAACTCTAGTGACTTGGGAAATTTATGTTGTTTTTCAGTGTTACATTTCCTAGAAGCAATTCATTGAGCTAAAGCCAGTAATTATTTTAAATTATGTAGTAAGCAATGAAAGCCAGAATTTTGAAAATTGATGAGGTGAGAGCTTATTTATATTACTAAATATTTGCTTTTTATACCTCTTTAAGATTAAGTAAGAATGTTGAGCTGGGCTAGACACACAGATCTATCAGAAACGTTGATGGATAGACCAAGAGCCCATGTGCTTGTTGAAGCAGTAAATCATTCAGTTCTCTTTCTCAGTGTTTTTATCTGTAAAATGGGAAAAAATGCTAGTTCTGTAACTTATCTTATTAACTTATTGTGAAGACTAAATTAGTTCCACTTGCAAAGTGCAGAGCTTGGTACATGGTGAGCATTTAACACACTGTAGCACATGAGTAAAAGCATGATCTCTGAAGCCAATCTGCATGGATTTGACACTTGGCTGTGTTGCTTACTAGTTGTGTATTGACTGTTTAAGCTTTCTGTACCTTAGTTTATTTATTTATAAGTAGAGAGAAAGATTAGTGACAACTACTTCATAAAGCCATTGTTAGTATTAACTGTTAACTCCTGCTAAGCCATCAGAACAGTGCCTTGCTAATAGTAATCATACAATGTTAGTTATTATTAGCTTATAATAATTTAGTAAGCACTTTAGATCCAGGCATCATTCAACTTAAATGAGTCCTATAATCAAATTGAACCTGATAATTCAAGTCCCAGGAACTAGGAAACACTGGGCTTTCTAAACCTTATATTGGTATGAATATCTTCAGAATATTCAGAAAGAGTAGAAGTTCTCACTAATCTCTAATTCCCCTTTTTCCCTTTTATCATGACTCTTTATTGTTTTGAAAGACATTTAATATTAATCTCCTTTTTTTCCCTCTAATGAATGCATGTTTACCCTTCAAGATTAACTCCAGTGAAACACTGCCTGCCCAACTCCCTTGAAAGACTGGACACCATGTCTTTCAGCTACCATAAAACTTTGCTAAAAAGCCCTAGCGTATCATATGATATGGCGATTATTCATTAGGTTCCTGCCTCATCAGGTTGCCTTATATAATGCAAACTCTTCTTAGGCATTTTATTTTATGCATTCTCTGTACTGGCTATTGTGTCTAGCATGTAGTGGTTACCAAACACACTTCTAACAAACAAATTAATGTGTTCTAGCAATTAATCCAGATTTTCGCAAGCTAGATTCTAAAGTAGCATAAAGTAATTCAGATACATAGACTTTTTAGTGCAGGGATTCTGAACTTTGGCTACATGTTAGAATCACGTGGGAGATCTTTTAAACCCACTGACTTACTTGATATCAGGTGAGGCCTCAAGGAATGTTTAAAGAGTTTCACAGATGGTGCTAATGTACTGCCAAGATTCAGAACCACTCTTCAGTCTTTTTTACATCCTTTGTGTTTATTTTAAATTAATTTGGTACAAATGACATAGATATGAGTGTAGTTGCCATTTTATCAAGTAAAGCACAATTTGTCAACATGAGAATAAATGAGCTTCTATATGATTAATGCCCTGTTTACCCCTTCTGAGAATGAGAATTTTTTTTCCAATGGATACCCCCATTTCAGATTTGTAAAAATTTTAAGGCATACTTTATGTCAAAAATAGACATATCTCTCAAATATTCTTCGTATCAACTATGGGAAGTAACTGATGAGACCCAAAGAGGTGAAGTTGTTAGCACTTACCATATTTTTTTTAAGAGGCAGTTTCTTGTTCTGTTGCTTAGGCTATGCAGTGGCAATCACAGCTTACTGTAACTTCGAACTCCTGGGATTAAGAAATCCTCCTGTCTCAGCCTCTCCAGTAGCTAGGACTACATATGTGAATCCCCACACCTGGCTAATTTTATTTATTTTTTTGTAGCAATGGTGTCTTGCTATGTTGCCCACGCTGTTCTTGAACGCTTGGCCTCAAGTGATTCTCCTACCACAGCCTCCCAAAATGCTGAGATTACAGATATGAGGCACCACACCCTGCCTAGCATACAATTTTAAAATAGCAACTCCAATATGTAAAATCATATCCTAGAACCCCAAACTTGTGCTATTTCCAGTTATCTTATGCTGCATCCTAACTCTGTAAACACTCTTTCCCATTGACTCTTAAACTGTGTAAATCTTGAATATTGACATACTTAATTCACATGTACCAGAATAAAATATTTTTGTTATAAAATCTCAAGTAGACATTACAGCATTTCTAGAAAAATTTTTAAAAGAAAAGTCATATTAGCAATTCATTATATAAAAATATATTGGGAATTAAAATGTTCAAAATATTACAAGATAATTTATTCAATATTTTATGTGAAAACAAATAGGATGACAAATATTTATTGTCCAGTAAATTCAAACTTAAGTGAATATTTTTCGCATTTTGTTTTCAACTGTTAATATATATTTGTACTTCTGTGCATCCATGTACTTCTTAAGTAAATATTAATTGAGCAGTTGTTATATGCTACACCCTGTGCTATGTATAGAGGTTACAAAGAGCAATAACCTCAAGGTTCTGAAAGTCTAGTTGCATATATGTTATACACAAAATCCTAGCTTTTGTTTTACTTGAAATTGTTTTCTAAATTATTTCCTATATTTGTAAATACAGTGGCTAATGATTATTTTCAACTACATATTTTTCGATTTTATTCATATATAAGGACATCCTCAAGCAAGTGTTAAAATTTAAAAAATTTACATTTAAGCTCATACCTATTTATGAGTTTACTCTGAACTACATAGAATATTTAAGCAATCCATTTTCCAATTATTGCTCACACTTCTATTTTTAATAGAATGTATTGCTTTCCCCACTTCTTAGTAATATTTTTAGTGTAGAAAAGCCAAGAGATTTGTAGGCTTATCTGTAGATCATAGAACTCCGGAAGGGAATGTGGCTGGAACTCTCTACTAGCCAAGTCACCCTGTGAATTGAACTGAAAGTGCTTTATTTCTAAAGAATGACAATAACTAGGTTGCTATAAAAAACCTTTCTGAATGTGATTTTGAGAGAAGGTGTATATTATCTCATTTCTAGAGAAATGACTAGAGGCCTAGGTCAATTGACTGAGGTCAGTAATGGTGGTAGCCCCCATCCATTATGGGGAGTTCTCTATTAGGGCTATTACCCCCTTGCTACCTCTAACATTAATTAGTCTGGCAAACAACCTCAAAGGAAAAATTAGAAGCAATATACCTGTCCTTTTCCCTGAATACTAATAGATGGCCTCCCTCCATCCTACATCCTCCAAAGACCAAGTGGTTAAATGTATTTTTGTTAATATAAACAAACAAACAAAAAAAACCTTTCTAACTTTTTTCTCTCATTAACACTGGTTTCTGCACATATCCAGAAGCTGACCACTGTTACTATGAATGGAAATCTTTAGACAATATTTCATAAGCATCTTCACTGTATGCAAACAGAGACAGAATACTATAATATTTTAGGTCAAGAAATACGAAATTTCAAAAATTAAATAAATAAAAATAAAAAAATAAGAAGTTGGAAAAATAAAAAAGGAAAGGCAAGAAAGTTTTCTGTCATCTCCTTTCTTTTTGCATGTCACATTGTCACTCAAAACAATGAAGAACAATGGCAGGAAAAGAAGAAAGAGGAGAAAAAAACATTTAAATAGGAGATATGGAAGAAAGGGAGGGAGGGAGGAAGGGAGGGAGGGAGGAAGGAAAGAAGAAAAAAGAGAGAGTGTGAGAATAAAGTGTGGGAAGAAGACAGGAAGGAAGGTAAGAAGGAAGAAGAAGAGAAAACAAATGCCACAGAGAATTATGCAGAAACTTAAAAATCCAAGGGCTATGTAATCTAAAACCTCAGAATTTATAAAGAAGTTATCATCAAATGAGGATTAAAATTTATGTCAAATTTCCAAATTTAAGACTGAGAGTCTCAGCTCAAGACCTCTCTTCTGATCTCTTGATGTTCCATGGACTCATGTCTTGTTTCCATAGTGACCGTTTTCATGAGCCTTTTAAATAAGAAAAATTGATTTTCTCTCAACACTTGTTTTCAGAATCTTTCCTCCATTCCTGAAGCAATCCAAAGAAAATTGTCTTTAACTTAAATACCTTTAAGTTAGGTATAAACTATCAATGGCTCATTAGAAGGAAGAGAAATGAACAAGAGGTATTGAGCACCATAAATTAAATATTTAGAGATATATAGATAGAATAATATAGCCTTGTATTTATTCCTGAGTAAATGGTTATAAACTTAGATTTCCATCTTTCATGGAAACATGGACTCTGTAAACTAATCAAGAGCTAGCAAGAAAACAGAAACATATTTGGAGCATAAGTTTTGCTATTGGGGGATTAGTTAATAACCAATAACTGCTTTTGATTTTTATATGAAACAAAGTCTAAATATTACTCTCCTTCATTAAATAATCTGAAAAATACAATTCAGAAAGTTCCCTAGAAACCTTGGCCTATTCAACCAGAAACATGTGCTATCTAAATGTGAGCATTCAATTTTGTCAGATCCATAATTATTAGTTCAAAATTTTAACCTTATTATTTTTCTATTTGATCATTATATATCTTGTATCACAGTAATCAATTTCCAATTAGCAAAAGTAAATAATACATTGAATTAATATATAACAGTAAACACTAGTGGCTTCCTGATATAAGCTTAATAATCTCCACCTCACTCATATATCTTGACAAATTCCCTTCCTTAAAGTATGAATCAGGTCGATTTTGTCCCAAAGTCCCACAAATTTCTATAATCACACAATTTCACAGTATATAGTCATTTACTATTTATTTTAATGATTTCTTTTTATTTCTATGAACATATGGCCAATTTTATCTTTATGAAAGTTCATTTTTTTCTATCATGTCACCATCTCTGCTTAGAACATGTCTGCCACATTTTAGCCACTTAATAAATATTTACTGAATGAATACATGAATTGACATCCTTAAAGTTGCCTTTCATTTACTTCAATAACTCATTAATTCACAAGAAAAAAATTGAAATGAAGACCTATTCAGATTTATGGTTAAAAAAATTAACAGCAGAGACTAGGATTGCAACCCCTGCTTTTTTTTTGTTTTCCATTTGCTTGGTAGATCTTCCTCCATCCCTTTATTTTGAGCCTATGTGTGTCTCAGCACATGAGATGGGTCTCCTGAATACAGCACACTGATGGGTCTTGACTCTTTATCCAATTTGCCAGTCTGTGTCTTTTAATTGGAGCATTTAACCCATTTACATTTAAGGTTAATATTGTTATGTGTGAATTTGATCCTGTCATTATGATGTTAGCTGGTTATTTTGCTCGTTAGTTGATGCAGTTTTTCTTAGCATCGATGGTCTTTACAATTTGGCATGTTTTTGCAGTGGCTGGTACCGGTTGTTCCTTTCCATGTTTAGTGCTTCCTTCAGGAGCTCTTGTAAGGCAGGCCCGGTGGTGACAAAATCTCTCAGCATTTGCTTGTCTGTAAAGGATTTTATTTCTCCTTCACTTATGAAGCTTAGTTTGGCTAGATATGAAATTCTGGGTTGAAAATTCTTTTCTTTAAGAAGGTTGAATATTCGCCCCCTCTCTCTTCTGGCTTGTAGTGTTTTGTAGTGAATTTGAATGTTGGCCTGTCTTCCTAGGTTGGAGAAGTTCTCCTGGATAACATCCTGAAGAGTGTTTTCCAACTTGGTTCCATTCTCCCCGTCACTTTCAGGTACACCAATAAGACGTACATTTGGTCTTTTCACATAGTCCCATATTTCTTGGAGGCTTTGTTCATTTCTTTTTACTCTTTTTTCTCTAAACTTCTCTTCTTGCTTCATTTCATTCATTTGATCTTCAATCACTGATACCCTTTCTTCCAGTTGATCGAATCAGCTACTGAAGCTTGTGCATTCGTCACATAGTTCTCGTGCCATGGTTTTCAGCTCCATCAGGTCATTTAACGTCTTCTCTATGCTGTCTATTCTAGTTAGCCATTCATCTAATCTTTTTTCAAGGTTTTTAACTTCTTTGTGATGGGTTTGAACATCCTCCTTTAGCTCGGAGAAGTTTGTTATTATCAATCTTCTGAAGCCTTCTCCTCTCAACTCGTCAAAGTCATTCAGAGTGAACAGGCAACCTACATAATGGGAGAAAATTTTTGCAATCTACCCATCTGACAAAGGGCTAATATCCAGAATCTACAATGAACTTAAACAAATTTACAAGACAAAATCAAACAACCCCATCAAAAAGTGGGCGAAGGATATGAACAGACACTTCTCAAAATAGACACATGAAAAAATGCTCATCATCACTGGCCATCAGAGAAATGCAAATCAAAACCACAATGAGGTACCATCTCACACCAGCTAGAATGGCAATCATTAAAAATTCAGGAAACAACAGGTGCTGGAAAGGATGTGGAGAAATAGAAACACTTTTACACTGTTGGTGGGACTGTAAACTAGTTCAACCATTGTGGAAAACAGTGTGGTGATTCCTCAAGGATCTAGAACTAGAAATACCATTTGACCCAGCCATCCCATTACTGGGTATATACCCAAAGGAGTATAAATGAGGCTGCTATGAAGACAAATGCACATGTATGTTTATTGCAGCACTATTTGCAATAGCAAAGACTTGGAACCAACCCAAATGTCCATCAATGACAGACTGGATTAAGAAAATGTGGCACATATACACCATGGAATACTGTGCAGCCATAAAAAAGGATGAGTTCATGTCCTTTGTAGGGACATGGATGAAGCTGGAAACCATGATTCTGAGCAAACTATCACAAGGACAGAAAACCAAACACCGCATATTCTCGCTCATAGGTGGGAACTGAACAATGAGAACACTTGGACACAGGGTGGGGAACACCACACACCGGGGCATGTCATGGGGTGAGGGGAGTGGGGAGGGATAGCATTAGGAGACATACCTAATGTAAATGACGAGTTAATGGGTGCAGCACACCAACATGGCACATGTATACATATGTAAGAAACCTTCATGTTGTGCACATGCGCCCTAGAACTTAAAGTATAATTTAAAAAAAAAGAAAAACTTTTAGCTAACAGAAAAAAATTAGCAGCGCATTACATGTATACATACATAATATATATATAAAATATATATGTATGTAGATATAGATATAAGAATATAACCCAGACTACAATACTTGATAAAAGGGTTGATTAATTTTTTTAAATTCTGATTGCTATGGACTAAATCATGTCCTTTATTATTAAGTGCTATTTAAAGATAAAATTATAGAATCTTCAGGCTATGATACATCTTTAAAGTAGAGTTTTCAGATAAAATACAGGAAGCTGTTAAATTTGAATTTCAGATTAACGAATTTTTTAAAGGATACATTCATAATGAAAATTGCATAACTCTGTGCCCCAAAGATTTCATGGGACATTCTTACACTAAAAATAAGGCTGTTTTACTGAAATTCAAATTTAACTGCGAGTCTTTGCGGGGAAAACAGTGGTAATATGATCTGATGGGTGCCAAGATTATGTCCAGTTGCTACATGAGAGCAGATTACAAGCACTTTGGACGCATTCACAAGACACAAATTTAAGATCTCGAGGTCAAATGTTAGAAAGCCATAGTACAATATGAAGCTACATATACTGAAGTCAAAAACATATAACTGGCATACAAGAGTGGGATTATAGTGGAGGGCCACGGTAAAATTCTTTCAGGTGTTTTGAAAAGGCCCTTTTTCCTCTTTAAGCTGAATTGTGAAATCAAAGAGCCTACATCCTGTGGTAATTAATTACAGTAGATATCAAAGAAGAACCATCAAAAAGCAACACCCAGACTAATACAACGTAGCTATTGATGAATTTTTTAAGATGCATGAAAGCATTAGCACATGAAGCCTCCGGCAGTTTCTATGAAATTTTGAAAGTAATTTTGATGAAAGTTACCCTAATAATATTTGAGTATCTAAGAACAGCAACTCAGCCTTACACATCTCAGTATTTCTAGCACTTAGCACAATGCCTGATACTGAGTTAGTATGTAATAATATTTTTAGAATAAATGAGTGAATAACTTCTCACCCCCTTAGTTATTCTTTATCCTCTCTGCTTCAAATTCACTTTGTCTAACGGTTGGTCTACTGGGGATTATCTCAGTTAAGACACAAACTTACAGGGACTATGGAAAATAACTTAAGTTGTAGAGCTTCCTTCAAGGAAGAAATGCAACCAGAATCTCTGCTCACAGTATGCAAAACAGGGTAGCAAAGTTATACTGGGTTCGAATGGGCATCACCATCTCTGAGAAGCAGCCTGGTACATACATAACAATGGCATCGGGGTGGCTGATGATTCTTGAAGTCAGATAGATGGAGGCATTCTAGTGCGTGACCTGCCAGGGCCCTAAAGAGTAGCAAATACCTGTTTTCCCCTAGTGGAAATGATCAGGCCCAGGTTATGCCATTTTCATTATGAGAAAGGTGTGCTGAGGTTCGTAACATTCAATCCTAGCAAGAAATGGCAGTGTGGGTAGTATATGGTTAGTGTGACATAAAGGTGTAGGAAAATAATGTTACATAGTAAATGAGATCTATTGGACACCAGGACAGATTTATTTTAGGATGAATAATGGTCCTAAATCTCCCCACTCAAAACAAACAAGCAAACAAACAAACAAAAGAAAGAAAGAAAATGCTTAAGGTTCACCCCCATAAAAATTCAAAGAAAATTTAAAATTATCTTTTAAAAAGTTCCAAAAAGTGTTACAATATTTTGATTTATCCCCATGATAGATGCTTCGATATTTATTTTCAAATAGCAAGAATAAAACAGAAAATCTTTTTTAAAGTAGTGCATGTTTTTCATGCTCCTGCAACACTTGTGATGAGTTTGCCCTTTAAGTAGCCCAGTAGTAGGTGTAAGATGCCAAAACTAATTCTAGCCAGTCCCTTCCTACTGCTGAACCCAGGCTAAAATTGTGACACCTCCATTGGTAACATATGATTCTATGACAGGTAATTCCATTCAATAGTCAACAGAGGCAGTCACGTAGAATATACCTGTGTGCTGACTGTGGATGCTTTGTCACTATGTCCTTAATGCATTTAAAAATTGTATTTACTCATTGTGAATATCTTATACATGCACATGATATATCATTTAAAATATATAATACATTAATGAGTAAAAGTAAGTATACCTCCTGTTTTCTTATGTCCTTTCAGATGTATCTGAAATGTTTATGTGTTCTTTATTTTTATATAAATTGAGTATAGCATATTAAGCACACTGTTCTACACCTTATTTTTTTATTTTTCAGTACAACTATAGTGGTTTCATGAATGTACAGCATTCCTTTGAAGTGATGTACTGTAATGTTTTACCAGTGCCTATAAACAAGGTGATTCCAGAATTTTTGTATTATCAATAATATAACAAATACCGTTATTAAACATATCATTTTGCACAACTGTGAATATGTTCTAGAATATGTCCAAATGGTATTTTCAGTTGTTGTTTTGAAGTATATTTTCAAAATTCCTTCCTTTGTACTTGTTTTAATTTACACATCAACAGGAATTACTTGGTTTTGAAATGCTCATAATTTTATCTCCTTCTTTTCCTAATAACTACATATCCATCTTTCAAGATCAGCTACTTCCTCATACACCCACCAATGCAGCATGTCATCACACATGTGATCTTGGCCAACAGGACATAAGAAAGATTATATATCAATATGATCTTAATTTGCATTTTTTTATAAATATGTCAAAATATTATTTCATATGCTTAAGAAACAGCTATAATTTTTCTGTCAACCACTCCTAATCTTTACTACTTTTTGTTTTGAGTTCATCCTGTTTTCTTTATTGATTTGTAATTTTTTCCTAACAAGGAAAGTAACTCCTTGTGATTCAAGTTGAAATTATTTTTCTAGTTTCCCATTTATCTCTTGACTTTATCTTGTTGATAAAATGAGATTTTTAAAAATTTTTCAGGGATCAAACCTGTCAATCTTTTCTAATGACTTCTGAGTTTTGTTCCTATTTAGAAATACTATTTTGAATAATCAAATTGTTTATTTTCTTCTAAGACTTTTATAGTTTATATTTCATGTCTATTTCCATTTCATTGTGTGAGTTATCAGAATTTATTTTGTTCTAAAGTGTGAGGTATAGATCTATTTTGATTTATTCCAGAATTCTATCCACTTTTACCAACCATAAAATTAAATAAACTATTTTTTCTCTACTAATTTGAAGATTGTGTTTATTGTATATAAATAGCCAATTATATTTGGATATATTTTTATATCAGTAGGTATTAAATAACGGCAACTTTGCGCCTTTGGGGACATTTGGCAGTCTCTGGAGATGTTTTTGATTGTCACAACTAGGGAGAGATATTGTCATTTTTGGGTAAAGGCCATGGATGTTGTTAAATCCTACAATGTACCAGACAGCAACTGACAAAAAAGAATTATCCATCCCTAAAGTGCTAAGTCTTTACTAATGTTCTAGTTACTCACTACTCTTCTAGACTTTATATTCTGGTCCATTGATCTGTTTGTTTATATCATACAGTATAAACTATTACAGTTTTCTGATATAATATCTGTGATGGTTAATACTGAGTGTCAACTTGATCAGACTGAAGGATACAAACTACTGATCCTGGGTGTGTTTGTGAGGGTGTTGCCAAAGGAAATTGACATTTGAGTCAGTGGGCTGGGAAAGGCAGACCCACCCTTAATCTGGGTGGGCACCATCTAATCAGCTGTCAGCATGGCTAGAATATAAACAGGCAGAAAAGTGTGAAATGAGAGACTGCCTAGCCTCCTGGCCTACATTTCTCTTGTGCTGGATGCTTCCTGCCCTTGAACGTCAGACTCTGTTCTCTAGTTTTGGAACCTGGAATACCTCTCCTTGCTCCTCAGCCTGCAGATGGCCTATCGTGGGACCCTGTGATCATATGAGTTAATACTTAATAAACTCCTATAATATATATAGACTATGTGTAATTATTTATTTGCCTTGTTTTGTAGGAAATAGAAAAGAATTTTGTGGGAAATAGAAAAAATAGGAATTTATAAGTATATATATATAATAGAATATATATATATAAATAGAATGTGTATACATATATATATACACACACATATATATATTCCATTAATTCTGTCCTCTAGAGAACCCTGACTAATACAACATCTAATAAGGCTATTCTCTCCTCAGTATGTATCTTTTTATTTAAAAAAAAAATAAAATCTTGGTTTTTACTGATTGTTTACTTTACAAAAAAAAAAAATGTTTCCCTACACCCCAAGCTACTAAGTAAATCTCAAAGCATTTTTGTTGACATGGTGTTAAATGTTAAACAATTTAGGGAGAATCGCTGTCTTTATATTTTAACACCTCTTATTTCAAATCATTATTTGCACTCAACACCTTCTTTTGTATCCCTTTTGTCCTCTAAAATTTTCTTTATTGAGTCCTCCTGTGCTCGTTATATTTACTACCTTTTAACATTTATTTGAAATGGGAATTTACCTTCATGATATTTTTGTAGTGTTCTTTGTTTTAAACTAATTGGTTTTTATAAATTAATTTTCAGCTTAATTATTTTATCCTTTATAAATATTTTTGACTCTACTAAGTTTTGAAAAAATTTTGTTTTACAGTAAACAATTACAAGATCTCCAGAGAATAATTTCATATCCTTTCTAATTTTTATACCTCTTATTTTCCTTTATCTAATTGTATTGTCTTATAACTCACAGACAATACTATATAGTGGTGGTAATAAAGAGTTTCCTTGTTTTGTTTCTGGCTTTAATGAGAATGCTGTTTTCCAATAAGCGTAATATATCTCTAACTGTTGCTATTTTGTACAAAATAAATGTTAAATTCTGACATTTTTTATAAACTTTTTTGAGATTATTGTGATTTGTCATTCCTAGGGAAATTTGTTAATAGGTTACCCAATAATAAAACATTGTTTTATTCCTGGAAAACTGTAGCTGGTAATGATTTGTTATACTTCTAATATGTTTCTAGAATCTGTTTATTAAGCTTTTTAAAAATGTTTTGTGGTAAAGTATGCATAATGATAAAAATATTAATGCATTTTAATGCAGTAATAAAATATTATTAACATTTTATCTTTTTATATTGTGGTAAGGTATGCATAACATAAAATGTATCATTTTAACCATTTTTAAATGTTCAGTGATATTGGTTACATTTACATTTTTGAGTTATCCAAACAATTTTACTCTGCTACTCATAACTTTAATAGAATCTTTAAGTTGTGCATCGCTGATTATTTTTTCAAACTATCTTATTTGGAGTTTTATCTTTTATCTTCTTTCTTTCTTTTCTTCTTGTTAACTTTGATCCATCATTAAAGTATTCTCTTGAAACACTTTAAAATTCTTATGTTTTTACATTTAAACAACAGGAAAACTGGAAAAGAATGTCACAAATATATAACATGTTATTTGCCTAATGCTTTATCCTTTCCATGGCTCTTTCACGTTCATTATCTTATGTGAATCTCAAGAGAGTACCCATAGGACATACACAATGACTATCATAAACAGCAGTCCCTATTAGTACATATGATGTAACTGATTACAATGCAGATGTTCATATTTAGACAATGTGCAATAAAATAAATATTTATTACTTAACTACTTCTTTGAAAACCAACTGTAAATTTATAAGCTTAACAACTTCAGGACTAGCATATCATAGTCATCAATGTAACACTACTATGGATGTTGCTAACTTTTCCAAAATTCTTTTCTATTGCCTACAAAACAAGGCAAATAAATAATTACATGTAGTCTTTGGATGAAAGTTTTTTGGAAATAATAAGAAATTTAGAATACAAACATTGTGTTCCTGCATAGCATTCTAGTTTTCATTCTAGAGTCACATTTTTAATTTAAAAACCATCTGATGCCCCAGGTCGATTTACCTAATAGATAATCATGTGAATGTCCATAAATTGAAATCATATTTAGAAATTTGGTGAACAAAACTGAAGTAAAGTGAAAATATTTACTGACTCCTTCCCACTTATCCTTCAGATCTCAGCTTAAATGATTACTTTATCAGGGAAACCATAGCTCTTCAGGCCAAGTTAGATCTCCATGTTAATATACACTAATTACATTCTATTTGTTACTTCTGCAACTCTTTCAATTGAAATGAAATAAGAATGTGTATTGTCATTTCTTTATATATGTTTCTCTTGCTAGACATGACCCTGGTTAATATATCATAGTATCAATATATTATTATATCTGTCACAATCCAATATAGAGTTAAATAAATGAGGTAGCCATCAACTATACAGTTTTGGACTAAGTCATGTGAGACAAACCACACAGTTAGGGTTTTACCCTCAAAATATTCATGATTGGGTATCCACAGGGCACTTGCGTGAAGTAGAGTTGAAACCATTCAACAAACACTTATTACATATCTACTCTGAGTAAGCTCCAATCTGAGGATTGTGAAGCCTACACAAGCATCCAAATGGTACAGAGTAATAAATTACAGATCTAATTACTAGATCAGAGTGGCATAAAATTTTTCATAAAATTATTCTTTACTTTCTGAAGGAGCAGCAAAATGTGACTTGGAAAGAGCAGAGAGATATTTGTATGTGCACGGAGAAAGCATAAGCTCTTTGTGAGAGATGGCAAGGATATTGGTTTGGCTGGCTGAGTCTCAGTAGCAGGAAAAATGAAGAATGGAACTGGTTGTCTTTGTTCCCTTAACAAAATGAATTATTTCTCACAATAATGAAGAAGGAGGTCTAAAGAATTTAAATAGAAACAAAGAAAACTTTATATAATTTTACATATTTTATTTACATACATATATACATATATGTGTATATGTATATATGCATGCATGTGTATATGTATACATACATGTGTATGTGTATATACATACACACGTTTACATGTATATGTATGTACACATATGTGTATATATATTTTAGTATGTATGTGTGTATATTTGTGTGTGTGTGTGTGTGTGTGTGTGTGTGTATTTTACACCAGTCCCGGTATCTCCTCTTGAGTGACGCTGCATGGCATGCTGTGTTCTCCCTAGGGAACTATGAGTAACAAAACTCTATAACTCTTTCAAGTTTATCTCTCTTGATCTGTGTTTGCCCTCACAATACCTCACACAAAGTAATGTGGCCAAACCACTGTTAACAGGGCATAAATATTCAATCAATTTCAGCAAAAGTATTTTCAGTCTCAGAATCAAATCAACTGAAACTCCCAGAGCATCTTATTTGTCAGCATGACCCTAATCGTCTGTGTATAAACTGACAAAGGAAACTGAGACATTTACTTCTGTTATCTAAGAGAGTAAGCTGGAGAAGTTGAACCAGTTGAATGCCTGTGTCCAAGCCAGTTGTTAACTGAAAACATTCACAATGTCACCAACCTGTAGGAGGAGGACACCCAACTCTAGAAAAATAAAAGAAAATATACTTTTAATTGACAAGAACAATTAGGTTTGGACACCTTAAAAATAAATCAAGACAACAGCTAAAATTTATTATAAGCTTTTTCCTGTAAAATTTGCAAGTATATCAAAATAAGAAAGCCTATTGTAAATGTAATGAAATAATTTTACAGTTTTATACAACTAACTGAATGTTAAGTTTTAATTCACTTAAGAGCTATTTTTCATGTCTTGTTTTAATGGATCATTTTCTGGGGCTTATTTTTAAAGAGACTTGAGATGAAGGAAGAAATAAAAGGGACAGGATATGGCTTTCCCCAGGAGTACTCAATGAACTTATTCTGTAGCAGCTGTGTTTCTTAGGCATCTGTATGAGTCCAGGAAAGTTTCAGGTTTGAAATAATAATACTATGAATCACTATTAGATGTATTTATCAAACTGTGTTTTTAACCTAGCTCTAAAATTCTCTGGAGAAAAAGCAGTAACAAAATAATTTATAATTTTGACTTATGTCCTACTCATAGCCTGGGGCATCAGATGTTTTTGATTCCTTTCTCTATTAGATAAATTATAGCTTGATTTATCTAAACATCTTTTTGTCAAGTTCTGTTAGCTACTTTTTGCTTTTATGGAAACATTAGATCTACTTTCCTAGGGAAAGAACAAAGACCTCTGGATTAGTGTGTGGTTGAACATCAAGGATCTGACCTAATTTGAATTCCAGATCCTAGATTTACTAGTTGTGCAAACTTGAGATGATCACTTAAAATCTCTGAGCATCTGTTTCATATCTTTAAAATATCAACAATGATAGCTTTCTTTTAGAGTTCTCAGAATTTAAAGAGCTAATGCATATGAATACTCTATATAAAACCTTCTACATAGGAGGTGCTAAATAGTTTGCAAATGTGGGTATAATTTACATAGGCTGTATATCTGTACATATTAATATAAATTTAAGCCAACAAAAGAAGAATTTGCCTTTCCTGATCAATGTCTTGCCTTCATTGTTATCTTCGGCCTGATTATAATAAACACTGAACTTATATTTCATGATACATTTAACACTCCAGTGCTTTCCTAAGTATTTTACACAGAAATGATTGTTTTTATTTTAACAAAATTTAAAAGCTACCATGGACTGAACATATAATACCTACCAATCATCATGCTAAGCATTTTGTTTTAATCTGAAAATCTTCCTGTGGGTTTGGTGTTTATTTGTAGATTCTTTTTCTCTTGTTTTCTCTCTCTTCCTTCCTTTCTTCCTTCCTTCTGTTCTTATTCCCTATCCCCTTTTATATATTCTATGTAGAGTTTATACAGAGAGAACACCTAGCCCTCCTTGTGCACAAGTTTGAACTTAGTCAACATTTATTAATAGTTGCCTAATTTAGCAATCTATGATTGTTAAAGCAAATTATTAATAGTTTTTTAAAAAACTGAACATGTTAATATTGCAAATACTAAACTTCACCATTTAGGACACCTTCAAAGGAGAACTATACATGTTCCATGAAATTGTTGCCTAGGAAACAAATGATTTCCTCTTATTTTTAGCATAGAACTGTAGGTGTATGGAAGCTCTGAATCGGCCCACACACAGCATGAACACTGATATTTATGAAACCAACATGACAGTAGGGGAGCTTCTACCTAGTGGTCATCAGAGATGAAATGTCTAAATTTTGTCTAAGAATTATCTGACAGATTATATGGATAGGGACTTTCCTATAAATTACTGAGAGAAGATGGAAAGACAGGTCATACGACTAGACCCTCAGAATAAGGTGACCAAGTAGATTTCAACAAGTATTTTGTTCCTTTTTCAGATAAGGAGTACGAGTGCAAGGACTAAAAAGGGAGATTTAGTCCACTCAAAGAAACTACCAAATATGTATAAGTAAGCAGCACTGAAATATTGCCACAAAATGTCTAGACTCTGCTGAAGGAATAGGTCATACTGTGAATAAAGGTGCAGTTCAGTTTATCAACCTAGGCAAAAGAATAATCTGTGCCCTGTCAGGATAAATAAGATGCAGGTGCAATTATCTGAAACAATCTAATACCAACACCTTGGAAGTATAATCAAGGTATCCTGTGTCCTCCTTTATGGTTTAACCATTTAAGTGAACTACGGTTAATACATTTTTCATGTTTAAACTGCTTAGCTAAGTTGCATATAAATTATTTCTCCTCAAAGTTCTCAGTATACACATCCAAAAGTTTAGCTTCAAGGTAAACAATAACATAAAAATAGTACCACTGGTTTCTTGGAGAACTTCCAATATTTGAAGTATTAATATAAACACATATTTATTAAAATTATTGCTTCTTAATGTGTTATGTTTCCCAATGTGTTATGTTATTTATTAAAATTATTGCTTCCCAATAAGGTGGCAGAACCCTTCAAGGAAGCTTATGTTAAATACATAATTACTTTGTTTACACTGGTTTCTTAAGACATTTCTTTTCAGTATAAAACATAGTTTCTTATCAGAATCCTCATTCTCTCCATTCTATTCAGAAAAAACTTGAAATTTGAAGAATAGTAGAGGACAAAGATGGTTGATTTATTCTTTGAACATTTTTCCCTGATTTAGCACCTGGAACAGAAGTAGATGACTTTGCCTTTAAACGTCCTTCATGTTTTCTCACTATCCTAGTTTCTCGTTACTTTACCACTGAGGCAAAGAAGAAGAATTGAGAGAAAAATAATCCTCTTTTGTGGCTGCTGATATGGTAGTATAGAGAAGGTACCCCTGACCTTACTCAATTTGATGCTCAGATGCTCCAGGGGTATGTTGGATTCTGTATTATTGATGAGCCTAGTTTTCTGATGGTATCCAGATTCATTTAGTTATCTCTCTTCAAGAACCCACTCATACAATACAGCCAAGCTCCTCAACAATGTCACCAAAGATATATGCTGTCAACCACTTCTCTAGGTTGGGCAATTTATTGCTTGACCATTCAGCTGGCTAGGATGCTTCCTAAATTATGCCTCCCAGCTAACTTTCATTAACTTTATGTGGAGCTATTGGAACACTGGAGCCTGCTTCTGCACTTCCAAGATCATCAGAGAATTAAAATGTTGTAGGGTCACCACCATATTTTCTTCAGACACCATATTTTATCTTAGAGTTCTGCTGGCCTAGGTTGCTCTAGAAGGCTCTAGATTTAAGATATGCCTATACTAAAAATAGATACCAAATATATCTATCTTCATATGTATACCTAAACTTTAAGTCAAGCTCCCTCAAAAATTATCTCACCATGCCCCAGACTGACAGGCCAGATAATTTGTTTTTCAATCACCACTACTCAGGTAGTTAATAAGATACCAATATCCTCTTTTCATAAACCAACCCATTCTTAATTAGAGATTCTCCTGGGACACTCTTTACTAGATCTTAAGGAAGATAACATCTCACTTTTCTTTTTCTTTTTTTTTTTTTTTTTTTTTTTGAGATGGAGTCTTGCTGTGTCACCAGGCTGACGTAGAATGGTGTGATCTCGGCTCACTGCAACCTCCACCGCCTGGGTTCAAGCGATTCTCCTGCCTCAGCCTCCTGAGTAGCTGGGACTACAGACACATGCCACCATGCCTAGTTAATTTTTGTATTTTTAGTAGAGATGGCGTTTCACCGTGTTGGCCAGGATGGTCTCGATCTCTTGACCTTGTGATCTGCCTGCCTCGGCCTCCCAAAGTGCTGGGATTACAGGCAACACCTCACTTTTCTCTCCATTTCAAGAAAAATGCTTGTGTCTATGCCTGTGCCTAATCCAACAGCCAATGTGGTGACAGCCCAGTCCTCCAGAGAGCCCACCACACAGCCTGTTGGCACACTGTGCTCATATGCACCCAACATGACCAGCCCAGAGACACAACCTCAAGCAATACCACACCACCACCATCACAGACTCCTATAGCCTAGACCACAGAGGCAATAACAGATATCATGGACAAGGATTTCAACTGAAGTAACTGCATGGAGATCATACTACAGAATCCATCCACAGCTAAAGGCAATGCACCATACCCAACTGACGTCCTAGGATCCATCTTCAGGGAAAAGTCTTTTCTTACAAAAGTACTCATAAAATAGGGGAAAAATGAATGTTCTACTAGATTTGCAGATATCAACACACGGGCACCAGACACTTAAAAAGACAAAGAAATTTGACACCCCAAAGGAACATAAGTCTTCAGAAACAGATTCCAAAAAAAAAAAAGTATGAAATGCCTTAACAGGAAATAAAAATAATGATCTTACAAGAACTCAGGATACAACAAAATACAGACAAACAATTCAATTAATTCAAGAAAATAATTCGTGATATGAATGAGAAGTTCAACAATAAGATAAGTATCATATAAAAGAACCAAGCAGAAATCTTAGAGCTGAATAATTCAATGAATGAAATAAAAAACACAACTGAGAGTTTCAACAAAAGACTAGCTCAAACAAAAGAAGGAATTTCTGAACATGGAAACAAGTCCTTTGAAATAACAAAGTCAGAAAAATATAGAAATAAAAGAGAATAAAGAGATACTACAGGACTTACGAAACATCGTTACATGAACAAATATTTGGAGCATCATATTATTGAAGGAGGCACAGAAAACCTATTTTACACAATAATGACTGAAAGCTTCCCAATACTTGAGCGAGATATGGACATCCAAATCCAGGAAGCTAAAAATTCCCCAATTAGACTCAGTGTAAAAAGATTCTCTCTAAGCCACGTTATAATCAAAATGTCATTTGTCAAAGACAAATTTTAGCTCCCACATATGAGTGAAACATGCAGTATTTTTCTTTCTGTGTCTTATTTCACTTAGCATAATATCATCCAGGCTCATTTATGCTGCTGCAAATTATAGCATTTAATTCATCTTATGGTGGATAGTGTTCCTTTGTGTGTGTGTGTGTGTATATATCTCCAGATATAGTGTTCCATTGTGTGTGTGTGTGTTTGTGTGTGTGTGTATATATCTCTATATATAGTGTTCCATTGTGTGTGTGTGTGTGTGTGTGTGTGTAACATTTTCTTTGTATATTCGTTTGTTGATGGACACTTAGGTTGATTTTATGTCATGGATATTGTGAATAGTGCTGCAGTCAAGTTGTGCTCATAGAAGTAGAAAATAGATTTATGGTTATTAGAGGCTGAGAAAAGTAAAAGAAAGGGGAGGATAGGGAGAGGTGATTAATACATATAAAGTTACACGTAGATAGGAGAAATACATTCTCAGGTTCTATAGCACCATAAGGTAACTATAGTTAATAATGATTTATTATATTTGTCAAATAGCTGAAAGAGAGGTTGTTCAATGTTCTCAACACAGACACACACACACACAATGTTTGAGATGATGGATATACTAATTACCCTGACTTGATCACCACCTATTGTATTCATGTATCAAAATATTACTCTCTACCCCATAAACACATATAACTATTATGTTTCAATTAAAAACAACTTTTTAAAAAAGTTGTAAACAAAGAATTCTAGAAGCTGCAAGAGAAAAGCATCTAGTTACATATCAGCAAATTCTTATTACTCTGTCAGCAGATTTCTGCAAGCATAAAATTGCAGGCTAGTAAAGAATAGGGAGATATATTCAAATTGGCAAAAGAAAATGCATGGTACTCAAGAACCTATATTCAGCAAAGCTAGTCTTCAAAAATGAAAGGGAAATAAACACCTTCCTAGACAAGCAAAATCTTAGGAAATTCATTACCACTATACTGGTCTTACACAAAATGCTTAAGGGAGTGCTACAACCAAAAATGAAAGGATGGTAATTACTATCATGAAAACATGTGAAAGTATAAAGCTCACAAGTAGAGATAAGTTCAAAATCAAACTCAGAACACCCTAGTGCTGTAATGAGCCATGTAAATCTTGTATTCCTCTAGTATCATGGTTTATAGTCAAAATGATCAAAAACAATAGCTACAATTAGTGGCTAAGGAACCCATAGTAGATAAAGATGTAAATGAAGGCAACAAAAATACAAATTGTGGAGTGTGAGGAAGAAAATTTAAATGGTATTTTTATGTGGCCAAAGTAAAATTTTTATTAGTTAAAAATAGTCTATTGTAACTACAAGACTTTAGCTTCATGATAAGTATAAAGAAAAAAATTACAACAGATATACATATAAGAAGGAAAATAAAGTTTAGCACAACAAATAACCACCAAACCACAGACAAAAACAATAAGAGAGGAAGAATGGAATAAATAATCTATGACAGAACCAGAAAATAATTAACAAAATGGCAGGAATATGTTTTTACTGATCAATAATAACATTGAAGTAAATTGATTAAGTTCTTCAATTAAAAGATTTAGATTAAATGGATATAATAAGACACAACTATATGCTGCTTATAGGAGACTCACTTTATCCTTGAAGATACATGTAGACTGAAAGTAAAGGGATGGAAAAAGATATTCCAAATAAATGGAGACCAAAAGTGAGCAGGACCAACAATGCTTAAATTAGATAAAACAGGCTGTTACAAAAACTGTAAAAAGAGACATAATAATGGGGGGAAGAACCACATGATCATCTTATTGATGTTAAAAAATAGCATTTTACAAAATGCAGCATACTTTCATAATAAAAACACTCAAAAAACTAAAAATAGAAGGAAATTTTCTCAGTAAAGGCCATATAGGAAAAACCCACAATTAACATCATTTTCAACAGTTAAAACAAAAAGCTATTGCTCCAAGATGAGAAAGAAGGCAAGAATACCTACTTTTGTGATTTCTGTTCAACATGGTACTGGAAGTCCTAGCTGAAACAATCAGGCAAGAAAATGAAATTAAAGCCATCCAAATTGGAAAGGAAAAAGCAAAATTATATCTCTTTATAGTTGAAATAATCTTACTTGTAGAAAATACTAAAGATTCCACAAAAAAACGTAGTAAAATTAATAAATTCAGCAAAGTTGAAAGATACAAAATCAATTTCATATACTCATGAGGAACAATTCACAAAAGGATATTGAGAAAGCAATTTTGTTCACAATAGTATCAAAAAGAGTAAATTACTTAGGAATAAACTAACCAAGAAGGTGAAAGACTTGCACACTACAGACTACAAAATATTGATGAAAAAATTAAAGATGTAAATAAATACAATGAAATGTTCATGAATTAGAATAATCATTATTGTTAAAATATTCATACTACCCAAAGTGATCTACAGGTTCAATACAATTCCTATTAAAATCTCTATGGCACCTTTTTCTTAGAATAGAAATCCTAAAATTCACATAGAATTCCAAGGACCCCAAATACCCAATACAATCTTGAGAAAGAAAAACAAAGCTAGAGATCTCATACTTTCTGGTTTCAAAACATATCATAAATCTACAGTAACAAAAACATGGTACTGCTATAAAGACTCAAATATAGACCAATGGAACAGAATAGAGAGCCCCAAAATAAACCCACACATATATGGTCAATTGATCTTTGAAAAGGATGCCAGGGTTACACAATGTGAAAAGGAGAGTCTCTTTTTCAAATGGTATCAGAAAACTGGGTGTCTACATATGAAAGAATGAAGTTGAACCCTTACCTTATATAATGTACCAAAGTTAACTCAAAATGGATTAAAAACCTAAACATAAGACTTGAAACTATAAAACTCCTAGAATAAAATTTAGGAAAAAACTTTATTACGTTGGACTTGGCATGATTTCTTGGAAATTACATTAAAAGCACTGCAACAATGAACAAATTAACAAACTGAACTACATCAAATTTTAAAACTTCTCTACCAAAAAGAAAACAATCAGCTAACTAAAAAAGCCTATGGAATCTGTAAAAATATTTACAAAGCATATATCTGATAAGGCGTTAATATTCAGAATATAAAAACAACACCTACAATTCAGTAACAATGACAGCAACAAAACAAATAACTTGATGGAAAAATAGGCAAAGGACTTAAATATAAATTTATCCAAAGATGTAGAAATGGCCAATCACTATAGGAAAGGATGCTCAACATCACGAATCATCAGGGAAATGCAAATCAAAACCACAATGAGTTACCACCTTATATCAATTAGCATGGTAACTATAAAAAACAGAAACAGAGACCAGAAAATAACAAGGATCAAAAAGGATGCAGACAAATTGGATTCTTTTATAGTACTGGTGGTCATGTAAAATGGTACAGCACTTCGGAAAACAGTATAAAAGTTCCTCAAAAAATTAAAAATAGAACTACCATACAATCCAGCAATCTCACTTCGGGGTATGTACCCAAAATAATTAATAACTGGGTCTGGAAGAAATATTTTCACACCAATGTTTACTCTGCAGTGTTCACATTAGCCAAGAGGTGAAAGCTGTCTCAATGCTCATCAACAATGGAATATTCAGCATTAAAATAAGGAAATCCTGTCACATACTACAACATGAATAAAGCTTGAGGACATTATGCCAAGCAAAATAAACCAGTCACAAAAGACAAATATTTCATGTTTCAATTTACAAGACATATCTAACGTAGTAAAACTCTTAAAAACAGAAAGTATAATGGTGTTTGCCAGAAGCTGGGGGAGGGGAAAGGAAGAGTTGTTCAATGGGTATATATTTTCAGTTTTGCAAAATAAAAATAAATTCTAGAAATATGTCGCACAACAGTGTGCATATAGTTAACACTGCTGTACTATACACTTAAAAATGGTTGCAATGTTGAATTCAGTTATGTGTTTTACTATAATAAAAATTATTAAAATTGTTTGGCTATTTAGATTTTTTGTCTTTTCATATAATATATTGTCCCTTTAATATATGCAGTGTCTTTTTTTCCTAATATTGGTAATTTGTACTTTTTATTGATCCTTTTGAACAGAGATTAATTTTATTGCTCTTTTTGAAGAAACAGCTTTCAGTGTCACCTTTTCTCGATTGTTTTTAGTTTCCTATTCTTATTGTACTGATTTCTATTTCATTAATTTATTCCCTTATATTTTTTCTCTCTTTATTTAGAGCTTACTCTTCTTATTCTAGTTCCTTAAATTGAAGGCTTAGACCATTGATTCATTGCTTTATTCCCCTCTAATATTAATATTTAGTGCTATAAATTTATCTTTAAGTTGTATCTAGCATTTTAATATATTGTACTTTTCTTTCCATTTATTTCATTTATATTTTAAAATTTCCCTTGAGATTTCTTTCTTATCCATGTGTTACTTACATTTCCAAATATTTGAAGATTTTCTCATTTCTTCCTTTATTTCAATTTAGTTCCATTGTGCTTGATGTGCATACATGATTATAATCATTTTATTAATATTTTATAGGTCCAGGATATATATCTTGATGTGTTCTATGCACATGTGAAATAATGCTTTATATGTTTTGTTGGCTATAATGTTCTATAAATAACAATTAGGTCAAGTTGGCTGATAGCTTAGTGCAGATCGCCTATATCCTTACAAATGTTTTTCTAATTATTTTATCAATTATTTTGAGAGAAGCATAGAACTCTACAAATATAATTGTGTATTTTCTATTTATTCTATTAGCTATTTCTTTTTGTATTTTGAACCCTGTTATTCTTTGCATACCCATTTTGGATTATTACATATTCTTATTGAATTTAACCCATCATAACCACATAACCACCTTTGTCTCTTATTCCGAAATCAATTTGATTATAATTTGGCTGATATTTGCCTGGTATATCATTACAAATTGAATCCAGCCATATATTTTCAAAAGTGTAAGATATCATTATTAAATAAGTTTAATTTTATAAATCCAGCATTATGTCAGTGGAGATTAAATTACTGGAGAGTAATTTAATTAAGTATATAAACAAAATACAAAAAAGTAATAATTATCTCAACTGACCTACACAAATATTTGACAAAAATTCAAAATGTATTCGTAATAAAAACTTGCACGACAGTAAGAATTGAAGAGAATTTTCTCAAACTATTAAAGTGTATCTTTGAAAAAACTCACATAAGAGTGAAGAATTAAATGTTTTCTCTCTTGAAAATCAGAAACAAGTCAAAAATATTTTTTCTTTCTAAAATCTCTTTAATATTGTACTGGAGATAGATCATTACTAAAACAATATGACAAGATAAAGACAATGTATATGAATTTGAAAGGAATAAATGAGTATTTATAGATGTCATGATAGTCTATGTAAAAATTCCCACAAAATACACCCCTCAAAAGCTACTAGAACTAATCAGTTTAACAAAATCACAGAACAGAAAGTTAACATACAAAATGTAGTTGTATTTTTTTACACTATCCACAGTGTTATTAAGAGAAGTCAAAAGAGGTGCTTAGCACACAAAATTTAGGATGGCAATCACTTTCAAGGCTGTAGTACTAGCAAGAAACAATTTTAAATTAAAATTTTAAAAATGTTTGCAGTACCATCAAAACCCTAAAATAATTAGTGATGAATCTGTAAGATAAGATATAAAGTTGAAATTATAAGGGTAGAATCAGATTTTTTTTTGTTGTTTTGGTAAGAGCTAGTGGTCGGGGAAGAGTAATTCCAAAATTAAACCAGGGAAGATTCTATGTCTTGACTATGGTAGGGGTTACAAAACCTCATACAGTTGGCCAAATTTATGTAACTAAATTATTTAAAAGAGTATATACTCTGTGCACATTGAACATCAATAAACTTGACCTCATCTGCAAAATATGTCAATGAAGAAATATGAATTGCCTAAAACCTAGTATTGATTAATCACATCAGATTACTATATTAGTGATTCAAATGAATGTCTTGGTTCAGAATGATACCATGTGGTCACTATCAGCTTTCTCACATTCACCTATTTTAACACTGACTATGCTATCACTTATTCATTTGTTCACTAAATCATCCTCACATTTATCTGTTCAACAAATCTTAATGTGTGTGCTGCAGGACAATCATTGTACGTAATAGAATAACCTAAGGGAATAGATTCAGGGGTCCTTTTATCTGAGTCACAGTTCACCTCTATTTTATCAGTGTGACCTCAGGGAGTTATATTATGTGTGATGCTCATGTTTTTTCATCTGTAAAATAATGTTAATATTTACCTCCATGTAAAGCTGTCTTGGCACAGTGATTCTGTGGTATATCATGTGTGATTCTCATGTTTTTTCATCTGTAAAATAAGGTTAATAATATTCACCTCTTTGTAAAGTTCTCTTGGCACAGTGTCTGGCACATATACATAATAGAAAGTAAAATATTTTCCCTTCCCTTCCCTTTATGCCAGCATTTCTACGGTATGACTTCTGTGCTTTTGGTGTCAGAATCACTTGCTATATATTAAAATCTAATCTTTGAGAATATAATTGCAGAAAGTACAATTTATTAAGCATTGAAATTGGGCATGCAATGATCATCTGACGCCCCTAGGCTTCACTTGTTTTCACCTTCTGCCTCCATTCTTTTTTTTTTCCACAAGCAAAATTCCCACCTGCACAATCTCCCTTAACCTCCAAAAACAATTTTAACCTCGAACTATGATGGGTTTTATTTTCCTAAAAGTGTCATCAGAGGGCCTTCTGTATTATTTTGAGGGTGCTTAAGAATTCAGATTTTGAACGTCCATCCAGACCCACTGAACTATAATTTGGGGAGGTAGGAATTCAGGAATCTTCATCTAAATAAGCCTCCCAGGTTATTCTTATGCTCTGTTAACATTTGAGAACTTTAGCCAAACCCAACAATCACACTTTCCAAAACTCTGATGATATTTGGGCTTAGTTCTGGCAACCCAATTCATATCTACTGTCCTATTCCTGGTCCTCACTATCTAAGCAGCAGGACTGGGAGACCTCATTGTATTTTTACTATGCAGATTTTTTCTCAAACCTGCAGTCCCATGAATGAGGGTTGTTTCCTACTGATATCTCTTTATTCTAAAAGTATTGATTGGGCAACTAGTGGGTGTCAGGTCCTAATATAAGTGAGGATATAGCAGTGACAAAAGAAAAAACAAACAAAACATGTTTTCCTGAAGCTTAGTTTTTAATAATATAGACAGCCAACTAAGAAAATTGAATAAACATAGCATGTTAGATGGTAAAAAATGCATTAAAGAGAAAAGAGAAACAAGGATGGACATAGAAATTTGAAGATATTTTAAGCAAGATGACAAGGAAAGGCCACACGAGGAGGTGCTGGTTTACCTGCTGCTGCTTGTGCTTTCTAATATTGCTGAATGAAAAGTAATATTTTCATTGTTATTGACATGCCTACCCTCTTATTGGAAGCATGAGAGTAATTTAGCATGTTCCTGGCCTCATACAGCCTGCTTGCCTGGCCCACCACATGAAGTCTCTTGCCATAGCCTTAAGATGTCAGATTCCGTGAATGGACTTGGTTTTCTAGAGCCAGGAGCTGGGTCTGGCTATGTTTTCTGCCCCATGTCACTTTTCCTAAATTGGCCATTACCAACCACACTTAGAATAGATTCACCTGGATTTGAAGGGTTAATTGCAGTGACAGGCTACCACCAGAAGAGGGTAGCAGAGGGTTGCAGAGTAAGAGCTGCTGCTGGCCTAGGTCTTCCCCTACTGAAGAATGAAGTTGTCTTCAAACAAATGGCTAATATAGTCAGTCAAGAGGTGAGTTCACTGGCTAAAGCAATGGCCTGAGAAGAATGTTATTTATAAGAGCTGGGACTGGTCTTGAATTTCACATGCCTTGGAAGAAATAGGGAGTATAGTGTATCAGAGACGATTCTAGTGCCCTTAGATAATATAGATCCTTAAAGTATATCCCATAACATGAATGTCTACTCTACTATGGCCTCTGTCTATTCTTCAGGTTCCTCTCCTGTCATTCCTACCCATTCAACCCCTGTTAAGTTCCACCCAATGAAGAACACAATGGCTTCTAAGCATACCATGAGATCTCAAGATTCAGACCTTACTTTTCTTTCTTTCCATAGTAAACATTTATTAATCTCAAGTCCCTTGCTTAAACTGGGTATATAAAACTGAAGCCTCAGATCATTCCCTTATTTGGGAATAACATGAAGGTGGGACCCAAGACCACCTCTGGGGTTTATCGCTGCAATTCCAGGGACTAGCACAGTACCTGGTACCTTATAAACACTCAATAATTTTTCTTGCAAAAATTAATCAGTTGATTATATGAGGTAATTAACACAAATGGGAATTATTACAGTTCTTCTTTCTTAAAAGGGCAGCAGGATGACAAATTTTATTTCTACATTGTGCTCTGCAGAAACCAGATATAATACCTCCTCTGTGAGGCATACCTAGCAGGAAGCCTTCCACATATTGAATGCTTTGAGCAGTCCCCTGACAGTGATATCAAGCAGATAAAGTTGAAAATGTATTAGAGGGAAGCAGTAGTTTCTTAAAACGGTCATCACCCATGACCCTTGGTTCAAAACAGCCCAGAGGTCATCCTTGTCCCTTGTGTTCCTCAGGACCAGGACACTGCCACCTGTCAACTGCAGCAGATTTGCCGGCATCTCTCTCAAAACAAAACTAACAGGAATTCTGGTTTAAAAGTCACACAATATTCTTACCATCTAAAGCCGAAAAAAAAACAGAGAAAGGAATAAGGATTGACGTTTTTTTTTTTTCCTTTCCGACAATGTTGTAAAAACGAACAAAATAAGACAAAAAAAAAAAGCATTTATCTTTCTTAACCTTTATAAGATACCTGTAAAAATGTATTATTTTAATTATTATCATTTGCCTCATTTCTGAGAGGTAGTGAAATAAAGGGACGTAAAAAGGCTTGTTTGGGTCAGCCACTGAGGTCTTTTCATTTTAGAGCCCAGGTTTGTTTGTTTGTTTGCTTCTCTTCTGCCATGTTGCCTCAATTCAATTTAGTGTAACTCATGTATTGTGTTTTATAATTTACAAAGTGTGCTAACATTGATTTTCTAACTTATCCATCATAAGTACCCTATTGTACAGATAAAATACTAGTTCTATCTTTGGACCGATAAGGATACTGAAGTCATAACAAGAACACATGAATTTTGACTGTAAATATGGTCTTCCTTGAACAAATGGGCTCCCCTTGCAAAACGATTCAGTCTGCTTAAATTATAACCAAGAATAGGCCAAAAGCAGGTCTTTGCAAGGGGAAATCTGTGCTTTTAGTCTTACATGGGTGCTTAACTGCAACTCAAACTTGTGCATATATAAGGCAGTAAAAACTTATACAAAAATTGCATTTTCTTTATTCAAAATGCAGAAAAGAAAGCAAAAATCAACATTATCATTTAATCACAGTCCCCACTGCTCTCTCATATATTTGTGTTGGGGAGGGAGGTTGTGGATAGCATTAGTATCATTATTATCAGATAAGTAGAGGAAGAATAGAGACCAGGTGGAATTGGCCCAGTCGTTTGGCAGAGTGAATTAATGAGTTTTGGGTTGTTTAAAAAAAAAAAAAAAAAGTAAATGTTAGTGCTTACTTTGGCAATAGGGTCTTATAAGGATTAAATTAGTTACATAAGAAAATTAGGGGAATACATTTGGTTTTACCTGAATTAATACCAGGAGGTAATAAAGGGAAATTCCCACAATAGCAAAGAATGATCCTTTGGCAGATCTGAAATCCAAATTGAAACATGGCTATGAGAACTGACCTTCCTCATAATGTCAGCAATATTAGAGAGAAACTCAAGTATGGAACGTGGGGTTCAAGCTAATGCAATGCAGAAATTAAGAAGTAGGGAGAGCCTAACTGAGATATAGATTATACTTGAAAATCGCAAGATGACTAGTCAATTTTTCTTGAGCAATTATTGTATGCCAGCCTTATTTAATGCATTTTCCATACATTTTTAATTTAATTATCACAATTCTATTAAGTAAATACAATGATCATCAACACTGTACAAATGAACAATGAGGCTTAGAGATATTAATTTTTTCTCAAAATCCCACAGGAAATAGAGACAGGCTGGGAATATTTAGGTCTATCTGATCCAAGTGCCTGTGACCTTAATTATTATTCTTCATAACTTCAGAACCTGGAAATATAATTTATAGCAGAAACTTTTTATCTCTAAATTATTCATTAATTTATATTCAACTCTGTCACATAGAGTTAACAAGACTTCCAAAAATTATGCTAATAAAGCCATTGCTTAGGATGCTTCCTTATTATCACCACTTAAATTATAATCAAAATGAGCTATTTAAATGAAATTATCTCACAGTTTGCAAGTTTCTCTTCATTATACCCAGGAACCAAATGCATATGTCAAGGAAAAGCTTAGGTGAGGCTTTCCTATTTAGCTTTTAGAAATGTTGACTTCCAAGGACAACTTGGTATTATAGAATTGTTTAACAACTCTCAGGTTATTTGCATCTATATAATGGAAGTGTGAAGCAGCCTCCATATGCAAAGAGATAATGATGGTTCTGGACCTACAGCTAGTTTGAAAATGTTCATTTCAATAAGCATGTCCTCTGTGACTGGGTGTGGTGTCTCACACCTGTAATCCCAGAACTTTGGGAGCTGAGGCGGGAGGATCATTTGAGGCCGGGAGTTCCAGACTAACCCAGGCAGCATAGTGAGATCCTGTTTCTATAAAACAAAACAAAAAATAAGTATGTTCTCTGAGTTGGGCTGTGATTGGTTGTGGCACTGGGGATGAGGGGAAAGGACTAAAAATAAAGGTAACATTTGAACCCTATCCAGGAAGAATGTATGCTTCGAATGAAGAGACTAATTTATTACATATTAAATAACTGAGAATTTTTTCAAGAAAATTCACTAGGGAATGATAATATGCTGCTTTCATAATGTAAATGGATACCAATTCCTGAGTGATTTCTACTGCCAGGCACTATGAAAGAAAATTTTCATAGACTATTGTATTTAATCCTCACAACAGTTCTATAAAGTATTTATTCTTTACTTTCATCTTATGAATGAGGAAACCCGGATTCTGTCATGGTCATGGATATTTTGGGAATGAAAGGTATGGGCTTTCAGTTTGAGTGTATGAAGTTCTTGGCTTCCTTTCAATCTGGGATCCAGTGGGTCTTTGAAATATTATCATCTAGAACAAATATGAAATTACTTCCACCTATCAAAATCATATAATGTCTTACAGTGCCTGCTATGTCTTATTCACTCTAAAATTGCCTTGTTGGATGATCAATGTATCAGTTAGGAGTGTTTGGCGATGCAGGTAAAGAAAACCTGTTAAACGATTACTTAAGATACATGGATTACAGCTCTCACATAACAAGCAGTCTGGCAGTAAGATGCTGCCAGTATGGTTAAAAGGTTCAGTGAAAGCTGAGCCAACATTATATTGTTCTCTTTGCTGTTTCCCATGGTGACATGAATGCTGCCCCAACTTCAAGTATCATATTTTCATGGCAGTAAGAATGAGTAAAGGGATCAGTTCATCTCTGTGGGTCTCCAGATAGCTAAAATCACAACAATAATAACCATAATAATAACTTACATGCATTTGTTGCTGCCTGTTTGCCAGGTTGTGTAATATTTTTCTATAGTTTTTCACATAACTCTTATAATAAAATGAGATGGCACTATTATTATTATCCTCATTTTACATATTATAAAATTGAGACACAGAAAAGTAATGTCATATAGTCAAGGTCCTACAATTAGTAATAATGAAAAGCAAGATTGCAGCTCTGTTCTTTCTGGCTCTAAATGTGGTGTTTTTAATCCTGTGCTACGCTGATTCTTACAATCAGTAGATAAGGGCTTGAATATATGGTTATGCATCTAACCTTTAGAGCCTATTTGAGGTGTCTCCTTCTACATCAATCCCTTCATAACCCACCACACTTTCAAATTCCCTTTCCCCTCTTTTCATTTGCTATGTATTTGTCACATCTTTTACAGCACTGTATTCTTTATTCTATTAGTCATTTACCACATTTTCTTATTTCTCAGATTCAGTTCTAAGAACCTAGTAGGCAGGATCCATGTCCATTATTAAGCGCCAGCATGCTGCAAGTGTTTAGTAAATGTGTGTTGAGAAGTCAGCTGAAACCCCTCTCCTCTGGTCCCGCTACTTGCTACCTAAACTCTCTCAGTGCCATTTTAAAAAGTATGCTGAAGCTGGGATTTCCTTTGGCTAAGTCCTATTGCTTGGCTTCTTTTTTGACTAGATATGCTAGTCATTAAACATAATTTATGATTTTTGGAAATATAAATAGGAATACAGTAAGTCAATGACTGTTATACTCAGCTATTCTCACTAATAATCTATAAAGTAAAAAACACAGCCTTTTCTCCCCCTTCATGACTTCTCAACACACATTTACTAAACACCTGTGGCATGCTGGTGCTTAATAATGGACATGGATCCTGCCTACTAGCTTCTTAGAATTGAATCTGAGAATTCTATAAAACAATTAAGTAGTCTGTCTTTGTGGTATACGAAGTATTTGTAATTTATAAGGTACTGATCCTTTTAGAATCAATGTAATAATAATTGTCCCTATCTCGTTGCACACGACATCTCCTTACTCTAGAGCTGTTCTTAAATATTTAATATTCATCAGGTGTCTTCACAGTGCTGTCTCATCTGTTAATTATTTCCTTTACCCATAAAATATTTAATAACATATTCTGTGTATGTCACTGTATAAGACACTGGGAATATAAAAATATTTTAGTATAACTATTAAGAAGAATCATATTCAAGGCACATTAACAGGCAAAGGAAGGAGTTGATGTTCATTAGGGTGGTATGGAAGGCATTATAGAAATTATGTGAACAACATCTTGAAGGAGGATAAGAATGTTATCAGATAGACAAGGAGGTAATAGGATGAAGGAAAAATTAGATATAAAGATGTTAAAAAATATGACCCTTTGGGGAAATGTAAATAATTATATGTGTGCTAAGTATGAATGGCAACAAAGGAGTGTAAAAGCCAAGTTAACACAGTAAGTTTTCAATAAGTCATTGTACAACATACCAGTTCAAGGTGCTTTCAGTCCTTCTGCAGACAACAGCTCAGGGAAAATTAAGTAGCAGAAACCATGTCTAGATACTACTGTTGTTTAGTGATCATATGGATTCTACCTTTTTTTTTTTTTTTTTTTTTTTTTTTTTTGAGATAGAGTCTGGCTCTCACCCAGGCTGGAGTGCAGTGGCGCGATCTTGACTCACTGCAACCTCCCACCTCCCAGGTTCAGGCAATTCTCCTGCCCAGAAAGTAGCTGGGACCACAAGCACACACCACCACACTCGGCTAATTTTTGTATTTGTAGTAGAGACGGGGTTTCACCATGTTGGTCAGGCTGGTCTTGAACTGCTAACCTCAAGTGATCCACCCACCTCTACCTCCCAAAGTGATGGGATTACAGGTGTGAGCCATACTCCCGGCCTTCCACTTCAATTTTTATCAGGTGAGACAATAAGACAGGGTGATGCTCAGATCAGTTTCACCACATACCATTATTCTGGACGTGTGGTGTACTAGTTATCTATTTTTGGTGAGTAGAATACCCCCAACACTTATCAGCTTAAATCAACATTTTATTCATATTAATGGTTTATGAGAATCAGGGATCCTGGAGCAGATTTGTGAAGGGTTTGAACTCAAGGTCTCACACAAGGTGGCAGTCAAGCTGTCAGCTGGGGCTGCAATCATCTGGAGGGTTGACATGGGCTACAGAATGTGATTCAAATATCAATTGTATAGGTTTGTTTATAATGAGAGAGAGAGAGAGAGAGAGAGAGAGAGAGAGAGAATTTTCAATGTCTTTTATGTCCTATAGATTCCAAAGTCTCACCCTGTCTCTTCTGTTTTATTCTATCAGACACACAGACCTTCCATAATAGAATGTGGGAAGGGAATACACAAGGACATGAGTACTAGGAGGTGGGGATTAGTTGGGGGTATCTTACAGGATTATTACCACAATGTGCCCTGTGGCTGTAATGATATGCATACCTCCCACATGTGAAACACACACTTCTATATACATTTACAATTCCTTTTCAATAAAAGAGAGAAATGAGCGGCACATACTAGTCTTGGTTTCTAGCAATTCTGAGATCCAACTGGGAAAATGTAGCAAGTTCTTTGATTAAGTCTCAGTTTGCTTCTGCCCAGAAGTCATAGCCCTTGGCTTTCCCTTCTGGATTCTTGTTTCCACTGAACCACTCTTCCTTTTACAGGAGATGTAGTATGTATTTGCAGGTAAGTAGTCCTTTCAGCCTATTTCCTGCTAGGAGAAATTTGGCAGGCCCAAAAGCCTTTCATTTTGTACTCCTTCTGTCCCTTTTCATCCAAGCTGGCATTGTTTCTATTGATATATTATCTTAAAAACTTTTTAAATCTCTTGTGAATCTTCTTGCAGTTCATTCCATTATGTAAAATCCACACCCACAAATTTCTCCAAAATAAGCCCTTCTTTACCTTGGATCTCTACAGATAACACTCCTAGAAGCCCAGTCTGTCTGGAAGGACTTTTACCTGACAGAACGGTGTATGTGGAAGTACCGTCTTCAAATTACCTAAGATAAACATAATTTTTAAACATGGTATTTACTGCATCTTTGGACCTTGTTTTCCTTGCTCTTTGTTCAGAGGCCATGTCTTAATTTTAAAATCTTTTGCTACCTGTGGAAGCTTAAAAATTTAAAACTATGAAATCTCAACTTTTTACACATATATTAGCCTTTCCTTTTATTTACTTCTCTCATTTCTCATTTACTATAAGTAGCAGGAAAAAAGAACACATGCTCAACATTTCAATGAACACTCTTCTTAATATCATTTCAGCTTGTAACCACTTCCTAGTTTTCAAGTTTTTAGATATTTGTTATGATAGCATACCCACATTGCAGTAGCAGAATCAGTATTACTTATCTAGCCTGCATAAAGTATTACTCCAAAATTCAGTGATTAAACATTTAATATCTAACATAATTTCTAAATATTAGGAAACTGAGTAGTGTAGCTAGTGATTCTGGCTCAAGATCACTCAGAAGGTTGCAGCCAAATATATGCTGAAGCTGTAGTCATCCGGAAGCTTGACTGGGGCTGGAGGAGCCAATCCAAGTCACTTGCATGGCAGTTGGTGGGAGGCCTCAGCTCCCTGTGACATGGACCTCTCCATATGACTGCTCATACAATGGCAGTTGGCTTTTCCCAGAGTAAGTTATTTTAGAAAGGTCTCCAGAATCACAAGCTGGCATTTCTTTGTTTCTACTTTATTCTATTGGACACGCAGACCAGCCCTGATATATTTTTGGAGGCAACTAAGCAAAGGAATGAGCATCAGAAGGAAGATCTATGAGGTCCATCTTAGACGCTGGCAACTATGCGTGGGTATAGTCACAGTCTCTACCTTCAGTGCTTTCATATGTGAAAGAAGCAGTTTTATATCTGTTGTGGAAAACACAGGTAATTAATTCAGCAGGTTAATTCTGTTTGATTTCTATAAAATTTGGAGGGGGAAGGGCGGGAGCTCCGAGTCTAATCTGATAAAACATAGTAAAAAGTATTTTCTTCTGTAACACATTTCAGACAATTCTTTTAAGGGGATAGATTATCCTCTATTTCTTCCTCATAAAATAAGAAATTATGTTACCTTATGGGCTAAAGTGCATATTCAAATTATGCTAATTTATTTTTGATTAAGGAGAATGAGTGGAAGAGAGAAACTAACATTTGATAAAACTCTTAAAAAGTAGAGACATTATACCATGTCTGTATCAAGGTCAATATTATTTAATCCTTACCATAACACTGTAAGGTAATGATAATATCCTTCATTTTACACTTCCAGAAAATAGAGCTATGAAAAGTTGAGAAACTTAGTTTAAACCATACAGCTAACTTTTCATTTACAACCATTATAGAATAATAGGGACTGGTTTTCCTTTTCATCTTAAGTTGTTGAACTTAAAAAATGGGCATAATATATGCAAAAATAGTTTTCAGTTATTTCACAACCACTATTTAGGACAAGTAATTACCAAGATATGGGAAATTTCAAGGTGAGCCCTACTATTATGCCAGGTTGCTTTCTGGATAATGTCCAGGTTTTAGCATGGGAATTGGAGTCCTGAGAAAGCCTGGCACTCTTTCTCTCTATCAAAGTGACAGGATTGAAATATGAAGAGGTTGTGGTGGCTACAATTTTGGGGGCAGGTACCAGAGCAGAGAGTGGCATACAGTGGAGGGAACTACGTTGTTTGCTCTAATTTGGCCTCGAGGTGTTTTTCTGGATAGTGACTATAATCAGTAGCTTTACTCTCATGGGAATCCAAGGGATGTGGTTTTGAATGTTTGCAGTTTGCCTTTTGGGGGATACTTTTTTTATCCTGGCGAATAACCTAATGCCTAAGTATCTGACCCATGACCAGGTGTTCCTCTCAAAACGTGTTGTTTATACTCACATATACCCTTGTATATCTTTTCTTACCCTTGTCCACTTTATTTCTACCATCATATCTACTCTTAAGGAGAGCCTTGACCAGGAGAAAAGTTAGGTCCATGTGGGTAAGTCAGGTGAGACACAGAGGAGTCAACAGAACAAAAACACATAAAATAACAGAAGCCATTTATTATTTATAGGTCATCAAAAGAGAAGTACCAACAAGGGCCAATGGAAAGATCGCAGGGGCCATGTGTTCAACCTGAAAGTGAGGAGCCGGAGAGACAGATGGACCTATGGGCCAAGGCCTTTACAGGGATCCGGGGTGTTATCCAAGGAACTTTCCTGTGGAGAGTTCTAATTCATGGGTTTAAAACAAGCATTCAGTGGGGCCATACTGTGACTAAGAGGTGATCATTAAGAGATATCTATGCAGTCCATGTGGAGTGTGGGAGTCAGTGGGGCAAGTCAAGTAGATTGTATCTCTAAATCCCACAGGGAGGTGTTCACCAGCTGTAGCTGTATAAGGCACATATCTGTCTTTTATAATGAAAAACTGGGAGGAAGCAGAAAAGTGTGAGTTTTGTTAAGAGTAGCTAAGCCTTGCTTCTGGTATGAGAAAGTTAAACATATATTCAAAATGGATACCAAGGTGACATAAAATTACAAGAATTCACTACAGCCTACATAAAAAGCAGGTGAGATCTACATAGAGTTCCACCTGAATCTTCCACTGAGTAATGGCTGTGCATGAGTGTGATGAATTAATCAAGACCAAGGAAAGAAACACCACAAAGAGGCGAGAGGAAGAAGCTGTGAAGCTCACAAATGGCCAGAAACAGTTTGTGTTCCCACTAAACAGGGTGAAAAACGTCATCATAATTCATGAAGCATCAGGTAGAGGACTCAGGAGGCTATCACCTGAATAGGGTGGAAAAAAGCGGCACTGTTCCAGACCAACTTAAGAAAGCTAAGAAAGCAGGCTTCAAAGGAAAAAACTGATCCTAAGAAACTGAACTGCACCACAGAACCACAGAATAAAGCTTAAGAATATTTAAGGAAACTAATACCTAGTACTCATCAAGCTAAAGTTCACAATGCCTGACATCTAATAAAATATTGACAGATGTGAAGGAAGTGGAAAATATATGACCACTAATAAGGAGAAAAATAAATCAATAAAAAACAAAAAGACACAGGTGACAATTAGTAAACAAGAACATAAAAGAGTTAAAATACATTCCATATGGTAAAGAAAGTAGGCAAAACCATGACCACTTTAAAGAGAAGCATAGAAGACAGAAAAATGCAAAATTGAATTTCTAGAGAGAAAAACTAATTGCACGAGATGAAAACTATCCTGAAGAGGGTAAGGAGCAGAATAGACACACTGGGAAAAATATTGGTGAAATTGATGCATAATAAAAGAAACTGTCTAAAATGAAACACATAGGTAAAAGTAGTTAAAAAATCATAGCATCAGAGAGTTAAGGAAAAAAACTCTGCCTCATATTATGCATAATTGGGGCCATAGAAAGGCATTAAAATACATGAAAAAATAATCACCAATACACATCATAATGAAATTGATTAAAAATTGGTAAAGAGAAATATTAAGGGTATCCAGAGATAAAACAGAGATATTTTGTGCAGAGAATCAGAGGTAAAAATGACAAGGAAATTATTTATTGTTAGAAACAAGGCTTGTCAGAAGACAATGAAGCAGTATCCTGAAACTTCTGGAAACAAACAAAACAGTCAACTAAGAATTCTGTGACCAATGAATAGGTCTAACAAAAATGAAGATAAAATAAAGTGTTTTTCAAATATAAAATGTTGAAATAATTCAACAACAGGTTTTCACTAAAACAAATTTTAAAGAAAGTCCTTCAGACAGAAAAAAAATAGATGGCAAATATGTGAATGAATATATTTTCTCTTTTAAAAATATGTTTGAAGATAATTGACAATACAAAAACAATAACAATGTATTATATAGAGTTTATGAAATATGTACAAATAAAATTTATATTAACAACATTACAAAGAATTTCAGAATAAAGTGCTCTGGTGTTACCAGTGTACAGAGAGTATATCACTAAATAATTTAAAAATGTATGCTATAAATCCTAAAAGAACTATAAATCCTAAAGAATATTCATATTTTATTAATACATAGGTAAAACTAATAAACTAAGAAAGAAGATAAAGCAAAATAGTTAAAAATGTTGAATTAATCTAAAATAAGTCAGAAAATGAGAAAAATATTGATAAAGTAAAAATGAGACAAATGGGAATAAATAGCAAGATGGAAGATGTAATCCAAACTATATTTGTAATCATATCAAATGTAAATGATGTAAACACCAATCAAAAAGCAGAAAAATAGATTGAATGTTATCAAGGCTCTGTGCTGCCTAAAATAAATTCATCTTAATTATAAAGACAAATCAAATGATAGGAAATACTACATCATGCTAACACTATCAAAAGAAAGGTAGAATGGCAAACTTAATATCACAGTATAATTCAGAGTAAAAATTATTACAAAGAATAACTGAATAATTTTATAATTAAAAAGAATTAATTCATCAAGAAGATAATAATGCATCTAATAGCAGAACTTCACAGGACAGAAAGCATAATCTTATACTAATAAAAGGAGGAATGAATTCAAAATGTATTTGAGCATATCTCTCAACATTTCACAGAACAAGTAGACAGACAATTAGCAAAGATATATATAACTTTAACCTATCAACTTACCTGATTTATTTGACATTTATGCAACTCTTCATCCAACATCATAATATGTGTATTATACAAGTACATAAGAAACATTACAAAATTAGACCATCTTCTGGTTCATTAAACAAACCTTATTAAATGTGTATATTCTGACTACAATGAAATTAAACCATAATCAATAATAGAAAGACAGCTGGAAAATTACCAAATACTTGGAAACTAAATTGCACACTTACACATGGTTTGAAGAAAAATAAAAAAATAGAGATTAGAAAGTATTTTTAAGTGAACAAAAATAAAAACATGGCATTACAAAAATTGTAGATGCAGCCAAAGCAGTAATCAGAGAAAAATTAGAGCACTAAAAGTCTATATTAAATAAGAAGGAAAGTCTCAGATAATGACTTTTTAATTTTTGCCTCAGGACACTTGGAAAGTTGAGCAAATTAAACCTATAAAAAGTAGAGAAAAGGAAACAATGAAAAGCAGAAATCATTAAAATAAAGAACAGTTATACAATATAGAAAATCAAAGAAACCAAAAGCTAGTTTTTTGAGAAAATAAATAAAATTAATAAATCCCTAGCCAGACTGCAGAGAGAGAGAGAGAGAAAAAAAAAAAAATCAACATTAAAGGAATAATAGGAAAGTATTTTGAAAGGTAAAAATTTCATGTCATTTATTAATTTCAACCACTTTGAAAAAAATCAAATTCAAATTTTAGTAAAGGAATAACTTAAGTGTGTGTGTGTAAATTTCCCACAAAGAAAACAGGGGGCTTCATTAGTGAATTCTATTTAACATTTAAGGGGAAAATACTGATTATATTAGGTTGGTGCAAACATAATTGAGGTTTCAAACCATGAATTTCAAATCATTATAACTAGGCTCAAACACATCTTTATTAATCAAAATAGGAAGGATTATAATCAACACTTTTTTTTTTTTTTTTTTTTTTTGAGATGGAGTCTCGCTCTGTCACCCAGGCCGGACTGCGGACTGCAGTGGCGCAATCTCTGCTCACTGCAAGCTCCGCTTCCCGGGTTCACGCCATTCTCCTGCCTCAGCCTCCCGAGTAGCTGGGACTACAGGCGCCTGCCACCGCGCCCGGCTAATTTTTTGTATTTTTAGTAGAGACGGGGTTTCACCTTGTTAGCCAGGATGGTCTCGATCTCCTGACCTCATGATCCACCCACCTCGGCCTCCCAAAGTGCTGGGATTACAGGCGTGAGCCACCGCGCCCGGCCAATCAACACATTTTTGCCAGCAAGATATGTTTGTTTATTCCTGTAGCATAAAAATCCATGCTTCAAGATTTGACCAAGTCTTGGAAAGCGAGTAGTCTGTTTTGTCAGAGACCAGGATTGCAACCCCTCCTTTTTTCTCTTTTTCATTTGCTCATAAATTTTCCTCTATCCCTTTATTTTGAGCCTATGAGTGTCTTTGCATGTGAGATGGGTCTCTTGAAGACAGCACACTGATGGGACTTTACACTTTATCCAGTTTGCCATTCTGAATTTTTTAATTGGGGCATTTAGCCCAATTACATTTAAGGTTATTATTGTTACATGTGAATTTCATCCTATCATCATGATGCTAGTTTGTTATGATGCAGAGTTGTTTATGTTGTTGCTTCATAGTGTCGTTGGTCTGTGTACTTCAGTGAGCTTTTGTAGTGGCTGATAATGGTTTTTCCTTTCCATATTTAGTGCTTCTTTCAGGAGCTCTTGCAAAGCAGGCCTGGTGGTCAAGTGATTTTTGTTCAAAAGTACTAAAGTGATTCAATGTGGGAAAAGATAACCTTTTCAATAAGTTGCCCCAAAACTATTGAGTAACTATATATAAAAAAGTAAATCTCGAACCTTTCCTCGTAGAATGTATGAAAATTAACTGAAAATAGATTACAGACCTAAAGCTAAAACCATCAAACATCTAGATTTAAACAACAGAAGATTTTGGATTTGGCAAAGGTGTTTTAATAGGACATAAAAGAATAAATAGGTCTTTAAAAAAATGTAAAAGTTTTGCCCTTTAGGAGACTCCATTAGATAAGAGAAAGAAGAAACCCATTGACTGGAAAAAACATATTTGCAAAACATGCATTTCACAAAGAACTTACATTTGTAGTATATTAAATAGAACACTTCAACTCAATAATAAGTAAAAAAAGGCCAATATTAAAACTGGAAAAATATTTCAACAGACACCTTATAAAAGGAGATATTAAGATGACAAATAAGTATTTAAAAATTTACTCAACATCAGTCATTAGGAAAATGCAAATTAAAACCGCAACAAGTTAATGCTTCACAAACTGCTAACGTACCTACAGTTGAATGGTGACAAGAGTTGGTGACAGGCTAGAACTTTAATACACTGCAAATTGGAATATAAAATGATATAAGCCCTTAGGAAAAGTTTTTCTATTTTTCCAAAAGTTAAACATAAGCATCCTATGCATTCTAGCCATTGGATTAGTAGGATTCACCTAAAAATAAATAAATAAAAGCAAACACCCAAAGATTTGTATATAAAATTTCACAGCAGTTTTATTCTTATTAGCCAAAACCTAGAAACAACCAAATTATCAAACTCTGTTTACTTTTCCTGTATTTGTTTCCATGCAAATGAACAGATGTGTGTTTGTGTTCTAATGTCTCTTTTTCTTATACAAATGTTATCAACATAAAGTAGGCTGAGGAGAGGAAGAGGAGAGGTTGGTTTTGTTGTCTAGGTGGTGGCAGAGGCAGAAGAAAATACACATATAAGTGGACCTGCACAGCTCAAACCTGTGTTATTCAATTGTCACCTGTATGTATGTGTATATATATATATGTGTGTATATATATATATACACATACATACATACATATATATACACACATATATACATATATACATACATATACACACACATATATACACATACATATATACACATATATGTGTGTATATATACATATATGTGTATATACATATATATGTATATGTATATTTGTGTGTGTATATATGTGTGTATGTATATATGTATATGTATATATGTATATGTATATACGTGTGTATATATACATATATATGTGTGTATATATATACATACATACATATATATATATATATATATATATATCTATGTTGCAAATGTATTCTCCCAGTTTGTCAGTCTTTTAATTAACTTCATTTGTAGTGGGTTTTGTTTTTGTTCATGAAAACTGTTTTTAGAAATTATATGTATTCAAATTTATCAATTTTTTAATTGTATCTGGATTTTGATTTACAGTTAGAATGTCATTCTCTACACCTATGTAAAGAAGAATGCACTGCAATTTAACCTGTTTTATTTAAAGGTGAATAAAACATTTACAAATGTTGCTGTCTTCCATTACCTTCATGGTGTGATGTCTTACTATTACATTGCCGATCTTTTCAGAGTGCATTCTTAAGGACGGGCCAAAGGATGGATCAAAATTATATTCCAAATGACTAATTGTCCCAGTACCATCTATTAAAAAGTCAATTGTGACTCAGTGATTTGAGGTGCCGCTTTTTTGTACTCGATAGACTTCCATATTAATTTGGGTCTATTTTTATGCATTCTACTCTATTCTGCCTGTTTTTCTATTCTTGTGAACTTTCTGTCAACTTAGATTAACACATACTTTTATACATCTCATGTGTCTAAGATTTCCCTTCTTATCACCAACCTAGAGAAATGTCTTCTGCAAGTTTATATTTGCTCCTGGAACACTGCTATAAAGTTTGCCCAAAATTTAACATCTTACCTGTTCCCTTCACTTCACTCCACTCCATGTGAGTCCTCTGATATCCTCTTAGAAATACTGAAAAATAGCAATCAAGTGATTTCATTACTTTACAATAAAATAATTTGACACAAAATAAATACTTATCTTAAGTTTGATGGTCCTGTCAGTACTGAAGTACTTCCTGAATACTATTTTATTCTGTACATCATTGCATGGCTGTCAGGGGTTCAGCTTTATCCAGCAAGAGCATCCAGCACATGAAATTCAAGGCTGTGCTTTAATGCTGAGACAAAATTTGGAGCATGGAACCTATCATTTCTTGGGGTGTGTAAATGGAAGGTGTATGAACATCTAAACATTTGTCTCTCAAAATAACTTTTACTTACTTCTTCATTGATGGTAGATACAATTGCTTGTTCAGTTGACAACAACCAAAAATGGAGTGGATAAGTCAGTCAAATGATAGGCAAAGAAGAAATTTGAGATATTCTTTCCTGCAATATTGGTTTGTTTCACACGTGTCATGGCAGAAACATAGGTTGTTTAGATTAAGGTGTTTGGTACAGGCATGCCTCATTTTCTTTGCTTTATTGCACCATATATCTATATCTATATAGATATATATACTGTGTGTGTATATATTTTTTAACAAGTTGAAGATTTGTGACAACCCTGCAAAGAGCAAGTCTATTGGCAGCATTTTTCCAGCAGCAGATACTTATTTCCCATCTCATGTCACGTTTTGGTAATCCTTACAATATTTCACACGTTTTCATTAATATTGAATCTGTTACAGTGATCTGTGATCAGTGATATTGATGCTACTATTATTGTTTTAGAGAATCACAAATCATGCCCAAATATAAACCATGAACTCAATTGATAAATGCTGTGTATGTATGTTCTGCCTGCTCCACCAGCCAGCCCTTCCCCTGACTCTCCCTCCCCTTTGGACTTCTTATTCCCTGAGACAAAATAGTATTGAAACTAAGCCAATTAATAACCCTACAAGGGCCTCTAAGTGTTCAGATGAAAGAAAGAGTTGCACGTCTCTCACTTTAAATCAAAAGCTACAAATGATTAAGCTTAGTGAGGAAAGCATGAAGAAAGCCAATAAATAATGAAAGAACGGCCTCTTATTCCAAACTGTTAACAAAGGAAAAGTTCTTGAAAGAAATTAAAAGTGTTACTCCAGTGAACATATGAATTATAAGAAAGTAAAACAGCCTTATTGCTGATATGGAGAAAGTTTTAGTAATCTGAATAGAAGACCAAACCAGCCACATTCTCTCAAGCTAAAGACTAATCAAGAGAAAGGTCCTAACTTTCTTCAGTTCTACAAAGGCTGAGAGAGGTGAAGAAGCTGCAGAAGAAAAGTGTGAAGTTATTAGAAGTTGGTTCATGAGGTTTAAGGAAAGAAGCTGTCTCCATAACATAGAATTGTAAGGTGAAGAAGAAAGTGCTGATGTAGAAGCTGCAGCAAGTTATTCAGACATTCAGAAGGTCTAACTAAGAGAATAGATGAAATTCAATGCCTGATTTAAAAGGCTAAAAGGATAGGCTGATTCTCTTGTTAGGGGCTAACACAGCTGATGACTTTAAGTTGAAGCCAATGCCCTGCTAACATTCCAAAAATTCTAGGGCCCTTATAAACCCTTAAGAATTATGCTAAATCTACTCTGCCTGTGCCTATAAGTGGAACAACAAAGCCTAGATCACAACATATCTGTTTACAGCATAGTTTACTGAATATTTTTAACCCACCATTGGAACCTACTTCTCAGAAAAAAATAATTTTATTTTAAAATATTACTACTCATCAATAATGCACCTAGCCAAGCAAGAGCTCTGATGGAGATGTACAGGGAGATTAATGTTTTCATGCCTGCTAAACAACATCCATTTTTTAGCCCATGGATCAAGAAGTAATTTCAACCTACAAGTCATTATTTAAGAAATAAATATTGTAAGGCTATAGCTGCCATAGATAGCAGTTATTGGGCTGATGGATCCAAGCAATGTAAATTGGAAACCTTCTAAAAGGATTCATCATTCTAGATACCATTAAGAACATCTGTGATTCACGGGCAAATGTTAAAATATCGTTATTAACAGGAGTTCAGAAGAAGTTAACTCCAACCCTTATAGATGACTTTGAGGGATTCAAGACTTCAATGAAGGAAATGACTGCATGTGTTATGGAAATAGGAAGAAAACTAGAATTAAAAGTGGGGTCTAAAGATGTGACTAAATTGCTACAATGTCATGATAAAACTTGAATGGATAAGGAGTTGCTTCTTGTGAATGAGCAAACAAAGTGGTTTCTTGAGATGGAATTCAGTCCCAGTGAAGATACTGTGAAAACTGTTGAAATGAGAACTAAGGATTTAGAGAATTACATAAACTTAGTAAAGCAGGGACAGGATTTCAGAGGATTGAGTCCAATTTTGAAGGATGTTCTATTGTGGGTAAAATGCTATCAATCAGCACCACATGCTACAGAGAACTCTTTTGTTAAAGGAAGAGTCAATCAATGTGGCAAAGTTCCTTGTCTTATTTTAAGAACTTGCCACAGCTACCCCAGCCTTCAGCAACTACTGCCATGATTAGTCAGCAGCCATCAATATTGAGGCAAAACTTCTCACCAGCAAAAAATTATGACTCACTAAAGGCCCAGATAATCACTAGCATTTTTAGCTATGAAGTATTTTTAATGAACGTATGTACTTTTTAAAGACTTGAACACTTAATAGACTACAGTATCATATAAAGATATATGTATATGCAATGAAAAACCAGAAAATGCGTGTGACTTACTCTCATATGACTTTTTTCTTTATTGTGGTTGTCTGGAACCAAACCTGCAGTATCTCCAAGGTACGTCTGTATTTTCTATTTTGTTGTTCATTTCAAATGGACCATGTATTAAATTCCTCTTGAAATTTAGTTCTATGGGGAAAAAAATGCTGTTTCCAAGGCTAGATCCACTACACCTAAATAATCTCATAAGCTACATCATATCATTTTGGTGGGGCTTGAAGGGGGATGGAGCATCAAACAATCAACCAAATAAATAACTTTGTAGTCTTATGGTGTCCAGAAATAGAAAAATAGATGCTTGTTTGACATAATCACCGCAAGGAGCAGCATAGTAGGGGGGGAAAGAAAAGAAATCTTTCAATACGAAATTAAATGGACCATGAAAGGTAAAATCAAGTTAATTGATTATTCTGACAGGAAAAAGTCAAAGATATCTAAATGCTGATATCGATACCTCTGTTAAAACAAATGAAAAATCCTTCTTCAAAAAATTTACCTTAAGTTTTAAATTCACCAGAAAATAAATTAGTCAAAATGTTAAATGATAAGTATATTAAACCTTTTATCTTGCTCTCCACAATGGTAGAGGACAGATTTTGAAGTTGTGGAGTACAGTATTAAGATTAGTGACAACACATGAAGTGAATTGACTGATTATGCATACTCTTTACTTTGGGACTAGACATGCCACTTGATAATTAAAGTGTCAGTGAAGTCAAGAATATTTGTAAAATTTGTGTGAAGAGATTATTACTGTAAGATTTGTTGATTTTTCCATGCAAATGGTGTCATTAAATAATGTGTATTTGCTACGAAGATTTTATTTAATGCCACATAAATATTTACAATAACGCATCTCAACACAACTTCATGGGCCAAATTTTTAGACTAAAGAGGAAAACCAGTGTAAGAAATTTTATGTTAACTTGTCAAGAATGAGAAACAAAGACCCAGGATCACTTTGGGCCTTTGAATGGTCATTTTTATATATTTTCTATGCCCTTTATTTCACGAAAGCTTTATTCTTGCTTTTATATATGTATTTTATATATTTTCTATGCCCTTTATTTCATGAAAGCATAAGAAGGAACAGAAGAAAGTCACTGGTAGCTTGATGGGGATGGCATTGAATCTATAAATTACCGTGGGCAGTATGGCCATTTTCACAATATTGATTCTTCCAATCCATGAGCATGGAATGTTCTTTCTTCACAGAATTGGGAAAAACTACTTTAAAGTTCATATGGAAACAAAAAAGAACCTGCATTGCCAAGTCAATCCTAACCCAATAGAACAAAGCTGGAGGCATCATGCTACCTGACTTCAAACTATACTACAAGGCTACAGTAACCAAAACAGCATGGTACTGCTACCAAAACAGAGATATAGACCAATGGAACAGAACAGAGCCCTCAGAAATAATACCACACATCTACAACTATCTGATCTTTGACAAACCTGACAAAAACAAGAAATGGGGAAAGGATTCCCTATTTAACAAATGGTGCTGGGAAAACTGGCTAGCCATATGTAGAAAGCTGAAACTGGATCCCTTCCTTATACCTTATACAAAAATTAATTCAAGATGGATTAAAGACTTAAATGTTAGACCTAAAACCATAAAAATTCTAGAAGAAAACCTAGGCAATACCATTCAGGACATAGGCATGGACAAGGACTTCATGTCTAAAACACTAAAAGCAATGGCAACAAAAGCCAAAATTGACAAATGGGATGTAATTAAACTAAAGAGCTTCTGCACAGCAAAAGAAACCACCATCAGAGTGAACAGGCAACCTACAGAATGGGAGAAAATTTTTGCAATCTACTCATCTGACAAAGGGCTAATAACCAGAATCTACAAAGAACTCAAACAAATTTACAAGAAAAAAACAAACAACTCCATCAAAAACTGGGCAAAGGATATGAACAGACACTTCTCAAAAGAAGACATTTATGCAGCCAAAAGACACATGAAAAAATGCTCATCATCACTGGCCATCAGAGAAATGCAAATCAAAACCACAATGAGATACCATCTCACACCAGTTAGAATGGCGATCATTAAAAAGTCAGGAAACAACAAGTGCTGGAGAAGATGTGGGAAATAGGAACACTTTCACACTGTTGGTGGGACTGTAAACTAGTTCAACCATTGTGGAAGACAGTGTGGCGATTATTCAGGGATCTAGAACTAGAAATACCATTTGACCCAGCCATCCCATTACTTAATAAATACCCAAAGGAATATAAATCATGCTGCTATAAAGACACATGCACACATATGTTTATTGCAGCACTACTCACAATAGCAAAGACTTGGAACCAACCCAAATGTCCAACAATGATAGACTGGATTAAGAAAATGTTGCACATATACACCATGGAATACTATGCAGCCACATAAAAGGGTGAGTTCATGTCCTTTGTAGGGACATGGAAGAAGTTGGAAACCATCATTCTCAGCAAACTATCTCAAGGACAAAAAACCAAACACCACGTGTTTTCACTCGTCGGTGGAAACTGAACATTGAGAACACTTGGACACAGGAAGGGGAACATCACACACTGGGGCCTGTTGTGGGGTGGGGGGAGGGGGAAGGGATAGCATTAGGAGATACACCTAAAGTAAATGACGAGTTAATGGATGCAGCACACCAACATGGCACATGTATACATATGTAACAAACCTGCACATTATGCACATGTACCCTAGAACTTAAAGTATAATAAAAAAAAAATATATATATATATATATATATATAAAGGACAGAATATAACTATAAGCAGTTTGTGTTTCTTCAGTATGATATATAGGGCAAAAAATGGTGACAGACAATGTTTATTGAATGCTTACCATTTCCTGAATATTGTGATATACTTTTATAAATATCTTAAATATTCACAAAATTGAAGAAAATTACAACTCAGGGAAATTAAGCAAATTCTTAATGACAGTGCTATACTACAATAGAGACTGACTGAAAATTTTTAAGCAAGAAAATGATGTTACTGTGTATATATTGTTAGTCCTCTATTATTGACTCCTAAACGAGTTCAAGGAATATTAAAGCTATAATGGGCCTTAGAGACCATCTAGCTCAACAACTTAAACCTACACAATAAGGAATTGGAGCTTATAGAAGCACATTAATCTGCTAAGGCCATACAGATTTGGTGGTAGAGTATGATTATAATCAAGGACTCCAGATTTATCCCGCATCTTTATGCTGTACTTCTTTCATTAACACTCTCTTCCCAGCTTTTTTTTCTTAATTTCAATCATCTGTTCAAACCAGTTGCAATGACTCTAACTCTGACCCTAAGGTCATCTCCTTCTTTCCTTTGTTTTTCAAATCTGTCATATCTATTGTGCAGTTTAAAACACAAAAGAAGCTGACAATCCTTTTCCATTACATGGAATTAGAATAGTTGGCATTCTTTCATGCTCATTTAGTCATTTCAAACAGACTTACTTTCATCCTATTAGAGCTTTTTGACCAAACTCCTGATAATTACCTCATTAAATTTAACTCTTCTAATAAATTCCCCTGAGAATTGTCAAGAAGGTATTTTTGAGATGGTATTGGGAAAAGATTGTGGACTTAGGAGCCTAGATAGCAGGGCTAATGGTCCTGTTCCATCACCCACAGGTCTAGTGATTAGGACCAATCACTTAATACTTCAGTGCATTAGTGGTGGCGTTAAATAACAACCTTGCCAACTTGTTGTATAAAACTCCTACCACGAGAAATAGGCATATTTTTGTGTTCAGCACATACTTTAGGAGAAATTAAGTTTTTTCTCTTGAAAAAAATTTTATTTATTTTAAATTTACACATAATACTTTTACATTTTGTGGGGTACAGTATGTTTTAATACATGCATACATTGCATATTGCTGATGCTGTGCAATGTACACATGTAATAAAACATCACACTGTACCCCATAAAAATATTCTAATTACACATCAACTCAGACATTTATCATTTCTTTTTGGTGAGAACATTCAAAATTCTTTTGTAGCTATTTTGAAATATATGTTTTATTGTTAACTATAGTCACCCTAATGTGTAATGCAACACTAGAACTTATTCCTCCTTCGTAACTGTAACTTTATACCCATTAACCAACCTCTCCTTATCCTTCCATATCCTTTACTTTTTCAGCCTCCGGTCACCATTATTCTACTCTCTACTTTTTTTGATTTCACATATGAGTGAGATAATGAGGTATTTGTTTTTCTGTGCCTAGTTTATTTCATTTAACATAATGTCTTCCAGGCTCATCCACGTTGCTGCAAATGGCAGCATTTCATTATTTTTATGGCTAAATACTATTTCATTGTGTGAATATACCATATTTTATTTATCCTTTCATTCATTTATGGACACTCGGGTTGATTTCATATTTTGGCTCTTGTTAATACTGTTGCAATGAATATAGATGAGCAGATATCTCTTTGACAAACCAATTTCATTTCTTTTGGCTATACGCCCAGTAGTGGGATTGCAAGATCAAATGTTAGTTCCATTTTTAATTTGGGGGCAAACCTCCATACTATTTTTCATAATGGCTGTATGAATTTACATTCCCACGAATAGTATACAAGAGTTCCCCTTTCTCCACATTCATGTCATTTTTTTTTTTTTGTCATTTTAATAACAATCATTCTAACTGGACTGAGATTATATCTCATAGTGGCTTTGATTTATATTTCCCTAATTATTATTAATGTTGAGCATTTTTTAATATACTTGTAGGCCATTTGTATGTCTTCTTTTGTGAAATGTCTATCCATATGTTTTGGCCTTTTTTAAGTCATTATTTGATTTTTTTGCTATTGAAATGTTTGAGTTCCTTATATATTCTACACATTAACCCTTTCCAGATTTATAGTTTGAGCATATTTTATCACATTATGTAGATAATGTAGATTATTTCTTCACTCTGTTTATTTTTTCCTTTTCTGTGCAGAGGTTTTTAATTTGATATTATTCCATTTGTCTGTTTTTATTTTGTTGCCTGTGCTTTTGAGGTTTTATCAAAACAACTTGCCTAGACCAATATCACAAAATAAATGTTTTATGTATATTTTTTCTTCTAAGAGTTTCATACTTTAGGATCTTACATTTAAGTCTATTCCTTTCTGAGTTGATTTTTTAAGTACCGAGTAATAGGTATCTAGTTTCATCCTTGTGTGTGTGGATATATAGTTTTCTCAGCACCGTTTATTGAAGAGACTGTCCTTTTCCCATCCTTGTTCTTGTCAAAAATCAATTGGCTGTAAATCCATGGATTTTCTGGGTTCTCTATGCTGCTGTGTTTATGCCGGTATCATGCTGTTTTGGTTACTACAGCTTTGTACTATATTTTGAAGTCAGATCATGTGATGCTTACAGATTTGTTCCTTTTTCTCAAAATTGCTTATGCTATTCAAGGTTATTTTTGTTTCATACAAATTTTAGGAATTTTTGTGTGTCTGTGAAGAATGTCTTGGGTGTTTTGTGACTGTAGATTGCTTTGGAAATTATGGACAGTTTAGCTACATTAATTCTTCTAATTCATGAACATGGTATCTTTTTCATGTATTTGTGTCCTCAACTTCTTTCATCAATATTTTGTAGCTTTCCATCACAGAGATCTTTTACTTCCTTGATTAAATTTTTATATATGTTTTATTTTTGTTGATATCTATTGTAATGGGATTGCTTTATTTTTTTATCAGATTGTTCACTATTCGCATACAGAAAAGCTACTGAAATTTATATGTTGGTTTTATATCCTTCTACATTACTAAATTTGTTTACTCATTCTAACAGTTTTTTGGTGTAGTCTTTAGGTTTTTCTCTATATAAAATTATGTCATCTGCAAACAGGGACAATTTGATTTCCTCCTTTCCAATTTGGATGTCCTTTATTTATTTCTCTTGCTTAACAGTCTGGCTGGGCTTTCCATTATTCTGTTAAATAAATGTGGTGAAAGTAGGCAACATTTTCTTGTTTCAGATTTGACAGGAAAAGTTTTCAACTTTTCCCTGTTCTTATATAATATTAGCTGTGGATTTGTCATATATGTGCTTTATTATGCTGAGGTATATTCCTTCTATACATAATTTGTTGAGAGTGTTTATCAGGAAATGGATGTTTAATGTTATCAAATGCCTTTTCTGTCTATTAGTCATATGATTTTTGTCCTTCATTCTGTAAATGTGATGTATTACAGTTATTAACTTGCATTTGTTGAACCATCTTTGCATCCCTGGGATGAATCCCACTTTACGAGGGGAGTAATCTTTTTGATATGCTGTTAGATTTGGTTTGCTGGTATTTTGTTGAGGATTGTGATATTGGCCTATATTTTTCTTTTTGTGTTGTGTTCTTTTCTGGTTTGGGTATCAGGACAATGCTAGGCTCTTAGAATTAATTTCAAATGAATAGTTTGAGAAGAATGGGTATTAGTTCTTCTTTAGGTGTGTGTTGGAATGCAGCAGGGAAGCCTTTAATTAGGTCTTGAGCTTTCCTTTGATTGGAGACTTTTCTATTACTGATTCAATCTTGGCACTCTTTATTGGTTTGTTCAGATATTCAATTCCTCATAACAATCTTAGTAAGTTGTTGGTGTCCAGGAATTTGCCTTCTTCATTCAGGTTTTCCAATTTGTTGATATATATTCATAGTAGTCCCTCATGATTCTTTATATTTCCATGGTATAATTTATAATGACTCCTTTGTCATTCCTGATTTTATTTATTTGGGCCTTCTCTCTTTTTTCCTTAGTTTAGCAGAAGGCTGGTAAATTTTGTTTATCTTTTCAAACAACAAAATTGTTGCTTCATTGATCGTATTAGTCCATTTTCATGCTGCTGATAAAGACACACCCAAGACTGGGCAGGTTGCAAAGGAAAGAGGTTTAGTGGAGAACTCACAGTTCCACATGGCTGGGGAAACCTCAGAATCAGGGCAGAACGCAAGGAGGAGCAAGTCACATCTTACATGGATAAGGCGAAGAGAGCTTGTGCTGGAAAACTCCCTGTTACAGCAACCATCAGATCTTGTGAGACTTACTCACTTTCACAAGAACAGCACAGGAAAGACCTGCCCCCATGATTCAGTTACTTCCCACTGGGTCCCTCCCACAACATGTGGGAATTGAAGATGAGATTTGGGTGGGGACACAAACCGTATCATTGTACATTTTTAGTCATTTATACATTTAGAGCTTTTGCTATATCCCATAGGTTTTGTTACGTTGTGTTTCCCTTTTTGTCTCAAAAAATTTTTGTCAATTTTCTTAATTTATTCATTGAGCTATTGGTTATTGCAGAGCATGTTGTTTATTTCCACGCATTGTATAGATTCTAAAGTTCCTCCTGTTATTAATTTCTAACTTTAGTCCACTGGGGTCAGAGAGGATACTTAATACAACTTGATTTTTTAAACTTCCTTATGACTTGTTTTGTGGTCTAACATGGTCTATTCTGCAGATTGTTCCATGTGTTGTTGAGAGTAATGTGCATTCTGAGGCTGTTGGATGGAATGTTCTTTAAATGTCTATTAGTTCTATTGTGTTTAGAATGTAGTTTAGCACTAATCTTTCTTTGTTGACATTTTCTCTGAATGATCTATTGCTAAAAATGGGGTGTTAAAATCCCCTATTTATTGTGGTCTGACTCTGTCATTAGATCTATTAATATTTTCTGTATATATTTAAATATTCTCATATGGACTGCATACATATTTTAATTGCTAAATCCTTTCCCTGTAATGTCCCCTTCATCATTACATAATGGCCTTCTTTGTCTCTTTTTACAGTTTTTGACTTAAAGTCTATTTTACCTGATATAAGTACAGCTACTTCTGCCTTCTTTTGGTTTCTGTTTGCATGGAATATCTTATTCCATTTCTTCACCTTTAGTCTCAATGTTTTTAACAGATGAAGTAAGTTTTTTGTAGACAGCATGTAATTTTTAAAAAATCCACTTAGCTATTCTATGTCCTCTAATTGGAGAATTTAATCTATTTCTATTCAAGGTAACTACTGATGGGTAAGAACTCTCACTACAGCCATTTTGCTACTTGTCTTCTAGTACTTTTGTACACCCTTTCTTCCTTTCTCTCTTACTGTCTTTCCTTGTGCATAAGTGTTTTTTTCTCATATGGTATGTTTCATTTCCTTCCTTTTTATTTTTAGTGTCTTTTATAGGTGTTTGTTTTATGGTTATCATCACGCTTACAAAAAGTATTCTATTGTCATAGCAAGTTATTTTAAACTGGTAACAACTTTGAGTGCAAAGAAAAGAAAATAACAAAAAAAAATGTATATTGAACTTCATTTTGTCCTTTAAAATTTTTGATATTACATTTTATATTTTCTTATTTATTTCATAACAAATTAATGTAAATAGTAGTTTTGTATTTAGTCTTTATACTAAAGATATTCTTTACAAACAATGATTAAAGTAAATATATTTTGTCTATATACCTTATTTTACCAATGGCTTTTATGTCTTCAGGTATACTTTTATACCTTCAGGTTTTCTTATTACATGATAGCATCGTTTTTTTCAGTTTAGAGAACTCCCCCAACACTTTTTTTTTTTTTTTTTTTTTTTGCATTACTTGTAGGACAGGTCTGATAGTAATAAATCCCTTTAGTTTGTTTGAGTGGGAAGGTATTTATTGCTACTTTATTTCTGAAGACAGCTTTCCCAGGTGCTATACTAGTGGTTGACAGTGTTTTCTGTTTCTTTGTTTCAGCACCCTAACTATATGTCCCCACTCCCTCCTGGCCTGCAAGGTTTCTGCTGAGAAGTCTGTTGCCAAGGGTATTTGAATACTCTTATATGTTTGCCTCTTTTCTTTCACATCTTTCAGAATCCTGTCTTTGACCTTTGAGAGTCTGATTATAATATGTATGTATTTTCAAATAGCTTATGTTCAAGTTAAGTGATTCTTTATTGTTTTTTTTTGACTCTACTGTTGATTGTTTCTATTGTATTTTTCATTTAGCTCATTGTTTTTCTCAGCTTCAATATCCTGTTTTATATTATTATCTCTACTGAATTTCTCTGATGAGTTTCTGGACTATTGCTTTGTGTTTTCTTGAATCAGGTTTTGCCTGTGCTCATTCTTCTCATTGGGCCTTCTAGCGGTTTTAACCAGACTGTTGTGTTGCCAGAGCCTGTCACCACTGCAGCCATCTAAACCCTAGAGGGTGCTCTGGTGCTCTAAGCACAGGTTTGCCACAAGTCTTGCAAGGGCTCTGTGGTCAGCATGATTTTTCTGGCCCAAATGGACCTGGGGAAAACTCAAGGTGGGGGTACCTTGGCTTTGTGGGAAAGCTGGCCAGAAACTTGAGCCAGAGATTTTCCCAGTGGCCCATACAGGTACACCACCCAAGCACTACTCTTTTAGAGGCAGAATGGTCCCTCAGCGGCAGTGAAACGGTTTGGAGAAGGGATTGGGCCCCCTCAGGATCTGTTATGAGACAGAGGCTGGTGACTTGTTTCATTGGCTCTGCCAGGCATACATCTCACTGAAGCTCCCTGCAGAAGTGGGATAGTTCACCACCTGCAGTGAAAGGGCTTGGAACTGAATGAGGGCCCACTCAGAATCTGCTGTCGGGTAGAGGTTGGAGCACCCATCTCCTTGGCTCAGATAGGTATGTATCTCCTAGCATGTCTCTTCACCAGTGAGAGTGGGCTCCAACTGCAGCACAAAGGGTCAGAGCTGAGACAGGGCCCCTTTGGGATCTGCTGTGGGATGGCTAACTGTGAGCCTTTCTCTTTGGCTCAGATGGGTGCATGTATCTCAGCAGCACCTCAAACAGGCAGGAGAGGTTCCTGACTACAGCATGTGTGGCTGGAGGTGAGCTGGGCCTCCTGGTGATCTGTTGTGAAATGGAGGTTGGGAGTCCATCTCCTTGGTTCAGATGGGTGTGTGTCTCTCAGGAGGTCTTGGCACAGGTAAGATAGGTCTCTGACTGCAGCAGGAGAAAATGGAGCTGATAAAGGGGCTTTTTGGCCCTCCTGTAGGATGGTGGCTGTCAAGCCCATCTCACTGAGTAATAAGGCAGGCATGTGTTTCCCAGCAGGATCCTGCACAGGCAGAATAGTTCATGGACTATAGTGCGAGGAGCTGGAGCCAAAATAGGGCACCCTCAGAATATGATGTGAGACAGAGGCTGGTGAGCCTGTTTCATTAGCTCAGCTGGATGCACATACCCTTGTGGGTCCCTGCACAGGTGGGATAGTTTTCTGATTGCAACAAGAGGTCCCAGAGGTGAGACTGGGCTTGCTCAAGATCTGCTATGGGATGAAGGCTGGTAAGCCCCTTATTTTGGCTCAGATTCTGTGTGCAACATATGGGAAAGTCTCTCTGTGGTCCTTGTGTGAGCAGTTCTAAGCTGGAACTTCAACTGGGCTGGACTGGAATTGAGCCACAGGACAAGTTTCAGTTCCATTGCAGAGATCAATGTCAGCAGGAAAATGATCTTTTCTTGCTGAGACACTGGTGTTCATGATTCCTTCTGGCTCCCTTGGCAAATGGTTTTAGTTGTAGGCTCAAGGCCAAATGGTGCTGTAGCCAAAGCCTTTGGGGAATGGAACTGATTCTGGGTTTGAACCTGAGAACATCATCAGTGGATCTGCAACCTGGTTGCTGTTCTGCATTCTCAAAACAGTCTTCCTGGTTCCTGTGCTTTACCAGGGTTTCACAGAACTCCTACCTAAATACCAAGGCCACTGCAGAGAGACTTTTACCTGTGAATGGCTACAGAATTCTTGTTGTTGGGGAATTTGAGCACGTTGCCTTCTACTGTGTCATCTCGATGTCACTTTTCCTCTTTTTATTTGTTATATTTTTGTAGTCCACTACATTGCTAAAAGTAAAGTGGTCATACAAGTGGATAATAAATTGTAAGACCTTAGTTGCTTGTAATAATTAACATATAGCTGAATGCCATGTGATGAAAAAAATTTAATTTTTTATAAGAAAACAATTTTAAACATTGATTTTTCTCATGAAGCTATGACAGGCATTATACAACTTTAGAGTAGTTAAGAAAAAAATATCTAAAATATGGAAACAACACAAAAAGATGATTTTATGTTTTTCTGTGCCACACTCAAGCACTAATAGACCTATCCAAATTTTCCAAGAGTATTTAAAAAATGCAAAGTTATGTAACCACTAAAAAAAGTAATGTGAAAATGGTTTGCTAAATAAAACACACAATTAAAGGTTATCTTGTTTTTAAGGTGAATGTACTCATAAGTAAATTTCTCTTGCTATTGATTAGGACCCTACTCATAGATTCTATAAATATTGTGAATTCATTAAACTAAAAAAAAAATTCTGAACTTGCAAATTTTTTTAGAAAAAATGGAGATTATTTTTGTATAGTAGAAAAGATAACCCCAAAGGTTATAGTATAATTGGCATGTAGGATATTAGCCAGTTTTGTATTTTAACTTGATAAATGTATTTATACATTTCTTTTCTGGCTGATTGCAAAAATCTGTACAAATGTTTTTTGAACCTACTTTACCATCTTGCTGGCTCCCTCAGAGAATTAAATACATTTTGAAATGTGTTCAATATATACTTGTATGAAAGCCATCTCTATAAATATTTTTTAAATTATATTTTGATGGAGTGGGCCTTTTCATCTTATTGTTCTAGGAAAAATCTCTTGATTGTTTCTATCTAGCTAAGGTCATATAAGGAAAGATGGTCCTTGGTACTCTAGCAAAAAAGTGTGGAATAGATTATATTTGGTAAGTGGTGGTGGTTAATTGATAATGTGTATTTACTTAATATCATTGATGAGTGGGTCAAAATATCTACATAGACACCAAGTAGCCTCAGAGAAAAATACAGGTCCTAGATTCCAACCTTTCTTTAATTTGTTTTATACTTGGTTTTTGCAGGTATATTGTAGGTATATATATTTATGGTCAACCTTTCTCTTTTTGAGACTCAGTTTCAGTAAAATCTCTCTGATCTCATGGCTTGAAGTCAACTAGGCTGAGGAATGCTGGCAGAAAGTAAATCAAGGTCATCCAAGGGATACTCACTTGGAATAGTCTGGGCAGGTGAATCAGGCTTACTTCCAGAGCTGTGTGGTCATGGAGAAAGAAGTATCCAAAAAAATGTGTGGAAAAGGCTGAAAATCTCTGTTTCTCGTTACTTTGGTCTTGAGGGGCTGATATGGAAATAGTCATTTAGCATATAATGCCAAAAAAAAAACAACAGTGATTTTGGAAACCACAGGGAGGGCACCTCTGGACATTTTCCAAATAAGAGTTGCCACAGACTGTGGAGGGATGTGCATCAGCATGAGTTGCTCAGGGACAATCAGTTTGATAGACCAAACTGTCCATATGGCCACTAATACTAACTGTCCATATGGCCACCAAGCATAACACTTTGGGGAAGACTTTTTTTTTTTTGGCCCTACCTTCCATAACCTGAGTAAGTCCTGCCTGACGAGTAGAGGAGCTACTGGAGTAGTGGACAATGTGAACATCCTCACTATATGTGTGTGTGTGGGGGGGCGGTGGGCAGGGGCGTTCTTCTTACAACAATGACATTATATGTCAGTGATGGAAGAAATGGCACCAGGAATAAAAAGGCTACTACTAGAATAGATCAAATCCATTAAGCCTGTGGTTCTATGGTCTCATTCCAGTTGTTATGAGTAGAATTGTTCCCCCCCTCAAATTAATATGTTGAACTAAATTGCAGTGCCTCAAAATATGACTTTATTTGGAGATAAGGTCTTTATAGAGGTAATTATGTTAAAATGAGATTATTTGAGTGAACCCTAATCCAAAATAATTGATGTCCTTATAATAAAAGGGAAATGTTGACACATAAATGTGTATAGGGAGAATGACATGTGAGTATGAAGGCAGCCATAACAAGCTAAGGAGAAAGACCTTGAACAGAGCCTTTCCTCACAGGCCTCAGAAAGAGCCAACCACATCAACATCTTGGTTTCAGACTTCTTCTACCACCAGGACCACAAGATAAATTTCTGTTGTTTTAAGCCACTCAATTTTTAGAATTTTGTTATGGCAGCCCTAGCAGATGAATGTGTGACTTTTTATTTGGACAATTATCTAGACTTACAAAAACACATAAATTCACAAATACTATATAAAATCTTAATGTATTTGTATTATATCATAAATATTTCTATTTGCAAATGTTCACTCAGTTTACCCTTGTAAGAGGAGATAACTCACACCAATGATGCAGTTGTTGATCAAAACCATTTTAGAAACTAATTTTAGTTTTACTGTCGGCATCTGTCTAATAACTCTTATTTTCTGCTTCCCCTTGAACTGCAAGCACATGAGTGGACATATGCCCAAGACTGACTGATCATGTTATCTCCTGCACCTAGCACTATGATTCATCTGGTCATGAAATGTCTTCAAAATAGATGCTTTTTTTGCCTTCCAAGAAACTTCTCCCAATTTTAATAATCTATTTATTTCAAATAAATAATAAATTTATTTCAAATCAATTAATAATTATTTATTTCAAATTGTTTTCCTATAACTTACAACTGAAATGTAAAAGTCTTGGTCAATACCTTTTCTTAAAAAAAAATCTTTCCTTCATAGTAATATCCACAAAGATTAAGTGTGGTTATAAATCTTAGATATTTTTAGAACTGGAGTATTTAACATTATAGAATTGGAAATCTGGATCACCCTTCCATGACCACACAGTTATAAATAGAATTAGAATTAGAAACCAACCCTTATAAATTAGTTTAAAAAAACATATAAATTACCTCTTGGAGTAAAAGGTAGAAATAAAACTCACATATTCTAATTCCCAGTCTAATATTTGAATCCTCTTGATAAAAAATATTAAATTAATATGTCATATTTACTATAACACCTTGCCTTCCATCTTGATGGAAAAAATAAATGATATTTAATTCTAAATATTCCAAATGAGGAAAATAGTAATGCTGTTTTGTTCTAGGCATGCGGCAGTTGTATAAAGTAATGGATCTACTTTCCTATGGAGTTTATAAATAGATTTTACAAAGTTCAAAAACAAAGATGCTCCATAGTCTTGATTGGATGGCTGGCTACCAAATTTGTCATGCAGAAATAGTTAACATCAATAATAATATCTATGTAATAATATTCACTCTTATGACAGCTTAGAAATATTGACATATTATATCCCAGACTTGTGCTTTCAGGTATACAAAAATACATTTCACTTGGCATAAGATTTCTTTTTAATATTCAAACCCTTTTTCTTGCATTGAATAGAACAATGTGGGGTGTGAGTGGCACAAGATAATCACTATAGAACAATTGTTCTTTTAGTTCAAATCTAGAATATGTATTCCTATGTAGGGAAATAATACCTAAGGCTAAAGTCTCATACCAGATAAAATGCTGTTTCGATGATCACAAATCAAAGTTATCTCACAGGAATTATGTAAACTAACAATTCTATTATTGTATACCAAGCACTGAGGGAAAAGTACTCATGAATTTATATCTATTAGATTTGCTTATTTTAATCCACTCAAAATATAAACAAATTACATATAAAACAACTAAGACAATATTACATGAGGCAATTAATTTATAAATCATATTACCCTGACTTCTCTGCTACTACCAGATTTTTCCAGTTTTTATACCAAAGACCCACAGTTAAAATAGCTAAAATTTAATATGTACTTATTATCTACCAGGTATTCCTGTAAGCACTTTACAATGTATGTTTGTGCCAGAAAGTGCTGGTTGTCCCTAATATCTATTAATTACTTCCTCTACTGTAATAGAATCCTTTATCTTCAACACATGGCCACCCAGAATGAGGATTTCATTTCTAAGTTCTAATTAATCGGGAGTTCATTGAAAACGTGGTACAATTTTCAGACTTGCCTTTAAAGGAGTGGCATCTCTATGTTGGCTGAAATGCTGATCTTTTTATGTGCCACCTAGCAATAAATATCATAAGATAGTGGGAAAAAAATTTTAGAAAACTGAACCTGAGACCATTTCAGAAAGTAAGGCTACATATTACCCTGAAATTTTATTTGAGGAAGAAATAAATTGCTATCACAGTAAGATTTCAGAATTGGGGGTTTCGGTTAAGCATATGTAGTTCATATGTACTAGTATAATCCAGTATGCCTCTATGAATTATAGGCCTTTTCTATAATAAAGTGTGTATCCATGTGAATTTTGTTTAAATTTTTGGGTATTCTTCTCCTTGCTGAAGTCCATTCATTTGCATTTGAATCTGAGGTTAGAAATCATTGATTTAATGAATCTGTAAATTGCCTTGGGTACTATGGACATTTTAACAATATTAATTATTTTAATTCATGAACAGGATATTTTGCATTTACTTGTATCTTCTTCACTTTCTTTTATCAATATTTTATAGTTTTTAGTGTATAAATCTTCACCTCCTTGGTTAAATTTTCTATTTTATTTTTTGATGCTATCGTAAATCAAATTTTTAAAAATTTCCTTTTCAGACAACTTGTTGTTATAGAAGTGCTACTGATTTCTGTATATTGATTTTGTAACCTGCAACTTTACTTAAATTTATTAGTTCTAACAGTTTTTTGGTGGAGTCTTGAAAATTTTCTATGTATCAGGTCATGTCATCAGCAAACAGAGACAATTTTACTTCTTCCCTTCCTGAATGAATTATTTTTATTTTTTTTCTTCCCTAATATTCTGGCTAGAGCTTTTAGTATTATGTTGAATAAAAGTGGAGAAAGTCTTAAAATGTCCATGCAAACTAAGCTATCTACAAAGTCAATGAAATTCCTATTAAAATTCCAATGTCATTTTTCACAGAAATAAAGAAAAAAATCCTACAATTTGTATGGAACCAGAAAAACCACGAATAGCCAAAGAAATTTTGAACAAAAGGAGCAAAGCTGTAGGCATCACAATCTCTTTTTTCAAAATACATTATAAAGCTATTTTAAGACATTATAATATATTATAATCAAAACACATGGTACTGCCATAAAAGTAGAGACATCAACCAATGAAGCAGGATAGACAGCCTGGAAATAAACTCAAGTATTTATAGCCAAGTGATTTTTGACAAAGATGTCAAGAACACACAGTGGAGAAAGGACAGTCTTTTCAATAAATTATGTTGGGACAACTGGATATCAACACACAGAAAAATGAAATTGGGCCCTTCTATTACACTACATGCAAAAATAAACTTAAAATGGATTTTAAATTTGATCCAGCAGTCTCACTTCTGGGTATCTACCCAGAGGAAAAGAAGTCATTATATGAAAAGGATACTTGCACACACGTTTATAGCAGCACAATTCACGATTGCAAAATCATGAAACCAATCCAAATGCCCATCAATCAACGAGTGAATAAAGAAACTGTAGTATATTTATACCATGGAATACTACTCAGCCATAAAAAGGAATGACTTAACGGCATTTGCAGCAACCTGGATGAGACCGGAGACTATTATTCTAAGTGAAGTAACCCAGGAATGGAAAACCAAACACCATATGTTCTCACTAATATGTGGGAGCTAAGCTATGAGGATACAAAGGCATAAAGTGATACAATGGATTTGTGGACTTGGGGGGAATGGTGAGAGGCGGGGAGGGATAAAAAACTACAAATAGGGTGCAGTGTATACCGCTCAGGTGATGGGTGCACCAAAATCTCACAAATCACTGCTAAAGAACTTACTAATGTAAAGAAAGGATCTCACTATCTATTTAATTTCCTCTATACAAAGGTAATTATTCATATGCTAATGAAGCAGCTTTGGTATGTGGTTACAAAAACTCCTGAAAATATAAAAATAATGTTACATTTATGGGTCACTGAAGAATGTATCTAAATTTAACATTTAAAATGACTCATAAAATAAAATGCTGATCCTTATAAACATATCTCATTGTTTATAATTTTATTTTCAGAAAAACACAGCACATAGTGCTCAGTCATTTTTATTAATAATAGTAATATTATTGCCTTAAAGGTACAAAAGCAGTACTTCCCCAAGTGGTTTCTTTCTGGAAATGTAGTTATTTACTGTTAATTTTATCTTTTGACTTGATAGCAACATTTACATCATAATTATTCTTGTATTGTTGGCGGAAGCACCATGTCCGTCATTTATTGGCTGCCTCCCACCCTTGTTTTAGTTACACTCAATTTAATAAATTGTTGGGGTATACCCAAGTCCTCACCATTTTAACAATTTGTGCTAATGCATTTGGAAAAAATTTTACTTCCAACCTATAAATCCATTATCTGTGTTAACAGGAGGCATTTCTGAACACAGTACCAAGGCTCATTTTACCTTTTTACAGTTCTTTCTTAATGTTTGACCTTTATCAGAGTTATGTTTAAAGAAACATTAAAAATTTAATGTTAACAAAAAAAAAACTTACTGATGTAATCAAATGCCACCTCTACCCCAATAACTTATGGAAAAAAAAATTTTAAATGCTTAAACATAAGATCTGAAATTTCACAGCTACTAGAAGTCAACATAGAGAAAATCTCCATGACATTGGTTTTGGCACTGACTTCATAGATACAACATGAAAAATACAGGCAACTAAAGCAAAAATAGACAAATGTGATGGTATCAAATTAAAATGTTTCTGCATAGCAGAGTAAACAACAGAGTGGAGTGACAACAAATGGATTGGAAGAAAATATTTGCAGACCACATATCTGTTAAGGAGCTAATATCCAAAATGTATAAAGAACTCAAATAACTCAATTGAAAAAAAACTATTAATAATGGGCAAATGATCTGAATATACATTTATCAATAGAGGACATACAAATGGCCAACAGATTCATGAAAAAATGCTCAACATCTCTATTTTGGAAATGCAAATTAAAAACAAAATGAGATATCACCTCATACCTGCTAGAATGGCTACTATAAAAAAGATGTATAAGTGTTGATGAGGATGTGGAGAAAAGGAACTCTTGTACACTATTGGTGGAAATGTAAATCAGTACAATCATTTTGGAGAATACATGTAGGTTCCTCAAAAAACTAAAAATATAATTACCATATGATCCAGCAATCCCATGTCTGAATATGTTTCCAAGGAGATTGAAATCAGTATGGTAAAAAGATATTTGCACTTCCATTTTCATTTCAGCATTATTAAAAATAGCCAAGATTTGAGAGTAATGTAAGTGTCCATCAACAATTGAAAGGATAAAGAAAATTTGGTATAGACACAATGGAATATAATAAACCTTAAAAGAGAATGAAATGCTGTCATTTGTAACAACACGTATAGAACTGGAGGACATTATGTTAAGAGAAATAAGGCAGGCAGAGAAAGATAACTGCTTATAGTCTCCCATGTACGTAGAATCTAAAAAAGTTGGTATCATAAAAACAGAGCGGTTAGGGGAGGCCAAGGGATAGGGAAAGTGGAGATGCTGATAAAAGGATACAAAGTTGTAGTTAGACTAGAGGAATAACTTTTAGTGATCTATTGTACTGCACAGTGACTGCAGTTAGTAATTATGTATTGTAAATTTTAAATTGTTAAAGAAATAGATTTCTAACATTCTCACCCCAAATAAATGGTGCTGTTAGTGAGCTGATAGGTAAGTTAATTAGCTTTATTGAATCTTATCTACGACATATACATAGATCAAAACATCACATTGTACTTCATAAATGTACACAACTATTATTTTTCAATCAAAAAGAAAGAAAAGAACAAAAGAAGGAAGGAAGGGAGGGAGGGAGGAAAATAAAAGAATCATTGGTATAATGGATGAATGACTTTCCCATTAACAAAATGTTACTTAAAAATAATGTTAATCTTGAATACCCTTAGCTTTCAAGCCTTGATAGTTGGTACTGCAAAAAAAAAAAAAGTCATTAAAAACAGTATATATGTACATATTTATTTAAAAATACCACTTAAAAACAGCATATACATGTTAAAACATGTATTTGTTAAAAACACACACACACATATATATATATAATATTTGTTGTACATAAAACAAACTATTTTCAAATAAACTAACTTGCTTGGTTATTGATAAGGCCTAGAAATAGTCTGTGGGGAGCTTTAGCACCTGCCCGTAAATAATCTACATAAAATCCAAAGGTGAGATCAAATATTGTTTCATAAAGTAGTACTATTTCATAAACACATTGACATTTTTAAAATTTTACATAAAACCAAAAAGAAGCATTTTAGAAGGTGTACTTGCTCTTTTTATTCGTATTATATAACCTAAATAAAAAGAGAGTGCCTTCTAGGCACATCCAGATTTAAAACTGCCTTGACTGACCCTTCCACCAGACTGCTGCTCCCAAAATCAAGCTATACAGAAATTTTGAGCTGTCACTAGGAAATAGCTGCTAAAAGTCGGCAAAGCAAAGACAACTTGGTTGAGAAAATATGAGTGCTTGGCATCACAATTTACACAAATAAGAATTTGTATTCCATTTATTTTATTTTCTTTCTGTTTTCCATCTCCAGAATATAGAGGAGGTAACAGTCTTTGGAGGGTAGTAGGGCAGAAAAGTGAATTAAATCCTTCCCCATGATTCAGTCAGACAACTCAGGCTGAGTGAACAGAGCCTGTGGTCAAGTCAGAAAACATGTGACTGCTTCAAAGATAAGTGGCTCTAGTCTTTTGATGTTCAGTAAGGGTTTCCAGCTCTAAAATTCTATAATTTCTTATAAAACCAAAAGAACTAGCTAAGACACAGGGGAGATGACAAATAAAAAGTAAAAATTGATGAGAATAACATACACCTTTAAAATATTTAGCATTACATCTAAAAAAGTGACCTATGATGAAGATTAATTTATATCAGATACATTATTATATATCTGATAAAGTAAACATATAAGAAACGTAATATAGTACATTATATAATACCCAAAAATGTTGCAATCTACCTACAAATATCAATACAAATGCAAATATAAATATGACAATTAGACTATAGTTGAGAACTATGCCCAAAGACGTTATGTAGATCCTGCTTTGGGCATGAATTGTTATAATTTCCAAAATGATTATCTGATGATCTGATGATCTCATGGCAGTATCACTAACTTTAAAGAGATTATTACACACACACACACACACACACACACACACATATTTGAGCATATATTTATATATACACACATATATACACATATATATGTGTATATAAGGCTATATGTTTTATATAGTTATGTGAACAAAATAAAGAAAATGCCATACTATAACTATACAAAATTGGCCCATTAATCAAGCCTAGAAACATTCAGATGATAAAGTGAATTGCTGAATTATAAGTAATGTTTCCCTGAGGAATTATAATAATTATAATAAATAAATTATAGACATCCAGCAATAATCTTAAATAGCTATTACCATGGACATCTTTTCACTCAGGCAAACAGACAGCATAGTCACCATAAAATATGTACTTGCATTTCAACAGAACATGTCAACCTGGAGTGATAATGATGAGGTCTCTGCATTGACTGTTCAGCATGTCTGGTATTGTAGAGAATACACAGGGTAAAAACTTGAGAGGTTTATTCATCAGGCTGAAAAAGAGTTATGATCTTAACAGCTCACAACATATTTCCTCTTAAGGAATTAATTATACTTGTGTTAAGAAATCATTTTCAAAATCACTTGGCATGTATGGTGAGACATTGAAGGCATCGGTAGACAGTGACAAGACGTCAAAAAAGACAGTTAAACTGCATACATTAGAAATGAACGGAAAGATAGGATTAGAGGAAAATTTAATAGAAGGAGAGGAGAGAAAGCCAAGGACAATGATGCAATGGCCAAAGACTTTTTAGGACAAGCATATTTAAGGTATCATTAGACCTACACATATCTTGTTATTTATACTGCCTTTGAGGAATCTGAGCAGCTCATATTCTCATACTTATAACTATCTTCCTCATTGTCCATGAATTTAGCTTATCAGATTACCTCTTTGCTCTTGGAATGAGTTATTTTCCATAAATTTCCTGAGTGCATTTTACAAATAGATCCTTGGCAGTTCGGCTATACCAGCTGTCTGGAGAGGTCAGTTACTCTGAATTCCCTAACGGTAAGCAACATGACGGTTCAAATTGGGCTCCCAGCTTGTTAAATCCCAGTTCAAATCATTGCCCATCTTAACTTTTAAAGATTAATCTCAGGAATAAGAAGTTGTCTTTTCTGTGTTGATCATGACCTTCCTTTGAGGCAACAGTGGGGAGATAGGGACTCAAATTCAGAATGTTTATGAAAATAATTACAATGTGACAATGTGTGTCCAATCCCTTTCTTGGAAAACAGGGCAGGAGAAGCAATGGGAGAGAGAAAGATCAGAAGATAAGTGTTGTTGACTGTAGGTATGAGTGATATCAAAACCAAGGGGGTAGAGAGGGATGAGAGTCAACTGGGTGAGGTATCACGCAAGGTTCCTAAAGCAGAGAGGGACTCTAAATAAGCTATCCAAGAAAAAGCCTAAGCCAGAAACAAAATTTGAGTGTAGAAATTGGACAGTCTGAGGGGAACAAAAAGATAAAACATACAAAGTGATAGGACAATCTAGTGGTGATAGTTCGATTCTGGGTAGAACTTAAAGAGACTTGAAGGATGACCATTTTTCAAAGACCAGATAATGACGTTGATAATGCAAGCGTAATATAATGAAATTTAAATCTGCTGCACAACCCTGAACATAAACTAACTACATCATTCATTGCTCACAAAAGAGACATCTAATATTTGGAAAGTACTAGTTTTGTTGGGGTTGAGATACAAGATAATCATCTCCTTGAATATACCTTTCTTAGGGACTTTCAAAGTTTATTTTGACTATGTCTAAGGTTTGTCACTAGCCACCACATGTGAGACTGAACAGGTGGAAAGATAGACATGTAATCATACTAAATTCTCTAGTCCCATTATTGTTAACATACTCAATATAATTAACAATGAGGGTAATGTAATTCTCTGAAAATGTTTGTTTCTTGAACAAAAGGGTGTATAGATTTAACATATTTTAGTAATATGATTCTTCTCTGCCTCAGAAAACATTCTGATAACATTTAAATAAGTTAGACTGAAAATCATTCTATATTTAAAGGAAAATGACAAGGATCATCTCTCTCAAGTATGCAGAATATAATATTTGCTATTTATTTTTGTCCTTGAATTTAAAAAAATATTATCAATTGTATAATTTGGTGAGTGATCAAAATTTTTTTAATCTACATAGAATCACACCTACATAGAATCACACTAAGAAAACATAAGTTGATTTTATAGTACAGTTATTTGAGCTATCTATTTTGCTAGACTGTAAAATTTATGAGAGTAGGGACCACATCTGGTTTTCTGATTTAGCACACCATTACAAAGTATAGGTTAAAACATGTTAAATGAGTCAGTAGCTCTCCTTATATCAGATGCGTGGAAAAAAAAAAAAAAACTCAATAATTAGAATTATTTTTAAACCACAAATTTTGTTAAATAAATTTCCCTGAAATGAATGAGAGCATTAGCATTTTGCACTTAAATTCAAAATATTAAGTATTGATGATGTATCACACAGATACATAATCAAAAGGTTTTTTTTTGATCATTCGGTTAATATGTATATGGTGTTTTCTATGTGTCATGCTTTTGTCTAGGCTTTGTGGATACAGCTATAAATACAAGATTCTGAATTCCTGAAATTCATATTTTAAAAAGGAAGACATAATAATCAAATAAATATAAAATACAATTTTAGGTAGTATGATTGGTGCTATGAGAAAAATTAGAACAAAAGAAGGAGCCAGAGAGAAATAATCATATAAATTGAGAGGGGATTGTCAGATACAGATATTCTGAATAATGGACATCTGAATAAAGGACAGAATGAGTAATATCTGGGACATAATCATTACAGACAGACAGAACAGCAAGAGACTGTCCTCAATCATCTTCTCATCTAGTTTCCAAATAATGGAGACAATAAACACAAATGCAGTCTAAAGAGAGATCAAAGAATACATTTACTAACAGCTAAGAAAATGTTCAATTATCCCTAAATTTAGGATTTCTGGAATGATGAATTAGAGAGTATGGATTTAAATTGGTATTACAATGGACCATCTTACTCTCTCCTTGAATCTAAACCTTGAAGCATACTGATGGGGACCACAGTTTGATATCACAAGTTTCATCTACTTTGCCAGGCACCTGCTCATGCACCAAATTGCCTGCAAAGTGGACAGCTCAAGAATGCCAAGTGAAATTCTGAGAGGGAATGACAGGTTACATTATGGCAGGTCAGGGAATTGATCTATCTTTTTCTGATGGTGTGTTAACTGCATGGATGCAATGTATATTGGAGAAGATAAGATAATATGTGTACCCACTGGAGAGTGAATATAACATAATTCAAACAAGAGACTATGTCTTACATGAGCAGTGACTTTCTGAATACAGCACACCCACCAGTAGGAGAAACATGGCCTATTGACAAGTTCTCACCAGTCCAATTATTTGTTCTTATTGCTAAAAGGAAAAGTAAGGGGAAAGGTGGGATAGGAAGATATTACAGAAATTTCCTTAAGTATTTCTTCAGACAAGCTAAAGTGAAACTATTAGACAAAAGTTTACCTTCAACATTCCTCAAATATTGTTCTTTTATCCCAACAGACAATGACAACACCTATGGTCAACCAGGAGTGTGTGTGTGTGTGTGTGTGTGTGTGTGTACACATACATTGACGAAAAGACCAACAACAAATCATGGTTGTTCTGAAGTTCCCTTTATCATGTTGTCCCCTAATCTCTACTACCAGTAAGCCTTTGTGTTATCCTAGGATGAGGCATGAGTGGTTCAGTGTTTATAATAAGATGAGTCTAAAATGGACAATAAAGGGATTTTAGTTATATATTATTTTATTTTTTGTCTTAAATTTTCCTTGTCATGTAGTCCAGTGTGTCTGGTCAGAGGATATAGGACAACCAACACTATGAAGTGGAATGAAAGTATTCCAGGGCCAGGTGCAGTGGCTCATGCCTATAATTCTAGCACACTGGGAGGCTGAAGCGGGAGGATTGCTTGAAGCCAGGAGTTAGAGACTAGCCTGGGCAAAAAAGTGAGACCACCCCCCAACCCAAATCCATAAAAAAAAAAAATAGTATTTAAAATAATATAACTTTTGCAATATAAAAAGTACATAGGGAAAAAAATCAAACCTCTCAATAAGAAAATTTAAGTCTGAAAAAATTAAATGACTGACTATAGTCAAAAGACATTCAAATCAGACGTTTTTAACTATTTAATATCTTAGTATGCTCAGTCTCCACCCAAAGAATTTCTCTCAAATAATATCCGAGTTTCTCTGCACAACTCTGACTCCTTCAGCATCTTTAGATGGATATCACAAATTATCTCTTCAACTACACATGCTTCTTCTCTGTAAAAAATGCAAAAATAATTATAGTACTTTAAAAAATTATGCTAAGCAGGATTTTGTTTTCAGAAACTAGGACTTAAAAGAGTTTAGATCGTCATTTTAAAAAAAAAACCATAGCAAAGACATCTGGATGGTATTTTGGAAAAATGGGAATTAGAAAAAAACAAAGGCATGTAAAGAATCTGAAATGCACTTATATTCTTTCAAAACTTAAACATTCGCAAATATGTCACATCTAGACACCAAGTCTTACTGAGGCCTCCTTCCTCCCCACGGTGTATTTCTCCCATCAATATTTAATTTTTTTGGTCCAATCCAAAAAGAGTCTTATTTAAATGGAATCTGGTTTCCTTTGTAATAGTTGCCCTCTGGAAGACTCAAACTTTCTCATTTATTCTGCATTTTTAGAAGAATCTGAATCAATATAACCACAAAATGGCTGCTACCACCTTTTTCCCAATACTCTGCAACCACCTCCCTCCAATACACCAAATATGCTGGAGATCAGGTAGGAGGGAGGGTGTCCTACTGGTTCTATTTGATGGGAAAACTAGAAACAAGAAAATAAAAACAAAGTGAAAACCTTTTAATCAGCAAAGCATATGCCTACTAACCCCAAAGCACACAGTGTTCATGGTAAAAGTGGATTTAAGAATGTGGTTTAGATAGACATCAAACAGGATCCTTATATATTCACCCATGTTTATAGTCTGGAACACTCAACCTAAGGAAGGAGCTGAATTTGCCAGGTACAAATAATTCAGATCTTCCACATTTACCAGTTACTTACAGGAAAAGGAGAGAGGAAGACAATGAGAGAAACTGACAGAAAACCCATCCAAAGATAGGAAAAGAGAAAGGAGACAAAGAGAAACACAGAACAGATGAAGGGATAGAGACAGGTAAAAAGAGAGACAGAGAGGGAGATGAGGGGTGGGTAATTGAGGATATTCGGCCTGCCTTTAGAAAGCAACTGTAGGACTTTGACCCAAGTGTTCATACCACATGGAAGCAGAAAACAGAGAAGAGTCCTTACATTGATCTTCCTACTCATCTATGAGGTGGTCAGAGCAAGGAGAATGGTAAAGTATATTTCCAATGTTGCTCACTCTACATCCGTGTTTCACAAATTATATTAACTACTCTTTATCTTATGAGCAGGGACAATAAAGATTCCTAGAAGATGGAAACTGCCTTCTTAGCATGATGCCAGAGGACACACGGTCTAGAGAAATGCTCTCCTCTGAGAGCCCAGATAGGAATGTAGGAAAAGGAAAAAGATTTCGTCCACCATACACAGCACTTTGCAGATTTTAACGTGGATTTCTATGACAGGTTGTATAACAGTGTCTGCAGCCATGAACAGAAAAGTGACTGAAAAATAGAAATGTTGGAGAACTTTATGCAGAGGAGGTAACAATTGTAAGAAGCTATAAAAATTAAGTAGGATTTTCATCAGGTTGTCAAATGAAAAAGACCATTCTAGGTAATAAGAGCAAAAACCTAGGGATATAAACTATATGTCTTGTTTAGCAAATAACGAGATTCAGTCAGAAAATGGTCGTGTGACTGGAATTGATAGAGAAGGAGAAATGGAGAGGTGGTGTATGCCTGTGAGTGTGCCGAGGTATGTAAAGAAGGCTACTTGTTATTATGATGTGGTTATTTTAAATGTCATACTAAGAATTTATATCTTAATCTTCAGCAATGGAAAACCAATAAAGGAATGTTCAGTAGAGGAATGACAGAATATGATGAGTGATTTAAGAAAAAATATCTTTGGTGGCCATTTCAAATGTGAGAAAGAAAAACTAAAGTTGAGGTGATCACAAAGTCTTTCTGGCCCAGGCAATCTCATCTACATCACTGGTACAATGGTCCCCATGAGGTATGAGGTTTTATATTTTCACGAGACAGAACCTCTCTGACAACTTTGGGCCTCTGTAGCTTTTGGTAATGCTCTGAATGAGTCTTTGACAAATCTAGCTATGATACCAGCAGAGTTCAAGGCTTTATGTAATAGGCCAAAGACAATGGGGAAGATCTAGACTCAGAGAGTTGCAGTGAATAACATTCCCAATTGACAAACTTAATCATCCTGTTCTTTGTGCCTAGTGACCAGCTACAAAATAGTTCTCAACCTTGGATGGCATCACTGACTTGAAAGTGCTAGGTAATTTATGGGAGTGTGTTTGATTACTGAAATCACTGGGGAGTGCTGCTGCATTTTACTAAACGGGGTTCAGAAATGCTAACCTTCCTGAAACATGTAGGGAAGGTCCTTAGCAATAACTAGCATCATAACAATCCCATTCAAAATGCCAACAGTGCTCCTATGAGAAAAATTGTTACATCAATATTTACCAAAGTGTTCTGGGGAGCATTTTAGTCCCAAGGAATTCTTTGAAAAACAAACCAGTACCCAGAAATAAACCCACATATATATAGTCAACTAATTTTTGACAAAGGTGCTAAGAATACACAATAAGGAAAGAATAGCCTCTTCAATAAATTATACCTTGAAATGAAAAAGAATGAAACTGGACCCTTATAATACATCTCACACAAAATCAACTCATAATAAATTAAAGACTTAAAAGTAAGAACTGAAACAATAAAGTTTCTAAAAGAAAACATAAGGAAAAGCTCCTTAACATGAGTCTTGGCAATGCTTTTTTCAATTTTACACCAAATGTACAGGGGACAAACACCAAAATGAATAAGTGGAATTACAGCAAACTAAAAGTCTTTGCACAGCCAAGGAAACAATCAACAAAACAAAAAGGCAATCAAAAGAATGGGAGAAAAAAGTGCAAGTCATATATCTGATAAAAAGCCAATATTCAAAATATTAAGAACACATGCAACTCAATATCAAGAATAATAATAAACACAATTTTAAAATAGGCAAAGAACCTGATAAGATTTTTCAAAGAAGACATATAAATGACCAACAGGTATATATAAAAATGTTCAACATCACTAATCATCAAGAAAATGCATATCAAAACAGCAATGAGCTATTACTTCACACCTATTATGATGGCTATTATTTTTTAAAATGAAAGACAAGTGTTGGTGAATGTGGAGAAAGGGGAATTCTTTAACACTGTTGGTGAGAATGTAAATTGTTTAGAGCCATAATGGAAAACAGTATGGGGTTTCCTCAAAAAACTAAAATTAGAACTACCATATGGTTTAGCAATCCCAATTCTGAGTTCATAGCCATGGGACTAAAATAACTGTATCAAAGAGATATTTGCACTATAATGTTCATAGCAGCATTATTGACAAAAGCCCATCTACAACTGAACGGATAAAGTATGGTATATATTATTCAATTGAATATTATTCAGCTTGAAAAAAGGAAATTCTATTTTTGTGACAACATGGAGGAACCTGGAGGACACCATTTTAAGTAAAATAAGCCAGACAGAAAGAAGAACATTGCATACTCTCACTTATATGTGGAATTTATAAAGAAGTCAAACTCATAGTAACGGAGAGTAGATTGGTAATTATTAGTGGCTGAGTGGGGGGCGGTGAGGAAAAAGGGGGCATATTAGTTAAAGGACACAAAGTTTCATTTAAAGATAAATAAATTTCATGGACCTAATGTACATCATGATTACTAGAGCTAATAATAATGTGTTGTATGTTTGTAATTTGCTGAGAGTAGATCTAGGTATTCTCACCACATACACACAAACGGTAACTATGTGAGATAATGAATATGTTAATTATCTGTATTGTGGTAATTATTTCACAATGTATATGCATCTCAAAACATCAGTTTGTACACCGTGAATGCATGTAATTTTTATTTGTCAATCATACTACAAAAAAGCTGGGAGGGAAACAAAGATACTGTTCTGCAATAAGTTAGTTTGCCAATTCTGAATACTATACTTCCTCCTAAGAGAAATTCATACATTCGCATAGGTAAAGAATTAAACACCTCTGTTATGCTTTAAGTAATTTGATTTTAAAAAAACATATGTGTTTATAACATCCTATGGACCACTTTCAAATATGTACACTTCAAATAGCAAGGGAAACTGCTGGTTCTCAAATTTGCTTTTGATTAGACTCAACTAGGGATCTTTTAAAAAACAAAAAAACTCTAGTGTAAGATTCCCACCTCCAGAGATTCTGGTGTTGCCTATGCAACAGCGTTTTTTAAACTCCCTTGGGGATTTTAATAATCTAGCCAGGTTGACAACTACTGCTTTGAATTATCACTGCCTTTACTCAATAGGCACTCATTTCTCACGACAGATGCCAATGGCATTTGTTTATTTGTTTATTTATTTATTTAGAAGCTGTCTTAGTTTGAATTAGTATAACAGCATGATAAGCAAAAAATTAAAATCAGGACTATAATCATATTTGCAGGGCTATCTTCAGATATTAGAGCAACTACAGACTCATGTCTTTCAAGTTTCATTTTTCTAATTTAAGAAATGACTAAGTATGCATTGGTTTATCACGTGGCAATAATAAATTGAAAGAGAAATAGATATTATGTTGGATGGAGCACATTTTGAAGAGACATAACAAAAATCACTACAGACCAAGGAGAGACATGTTTAGGCACATATTTAGAAAGAAGGCTCCAGCAAATTACAGAAATAGATGCAAAAAAGAGAGACTAGAGGTGGGAATGGTCAGCAGGACTTACCAAATAACCAGAGAAGTGATTATGAAGCTTCAAATTATGGCTGGGCACTAAGGATGAAGGAAATGACTCAAGTAGAAGAAGTATTTCTTTGTTAGGATCTTGCTGGAATGCTTAGAATGCTTATTGGTATAAGTGAGAAAAATGACAAAATGAAAATTTTTACATATAGCTCCCAGATTTTTAGTTCAGGAAGCTAAAATACAGGAGAATGAAATAATTTAGAAGGCATACATTTAGAATCGTGTTTTTTTTTTAAAGTACATATTTAAAACTATTAAAATTTAGATATTTATCCAGGCAGAAAAAATAAAGAAATTAAAGGAAAAGACAGAGAATAGAACTTGAGAAACATCTACATAAGGGATGACAGGCAGAAGAAAAGCAAGTGAAGGAGAAATAGATAAAATGATTAGAGGATGACAAAACCACAGAAAACCAAAATGGGGAGATATTCAATGGGGAAGAGGAAGATAACAGGACCGGGGTACAGAGAAATGTCAAAGAACGAGAACAAAGAAAAACTCATTGTTCTAGCTACTAGGAACCTACTGCTGACCTGTGAGAGTTGTGTCTCCTATGCTGAATGGAAGTATGGGACATGGGGAGTTGGGCTGTGAAATGAGGGCAAGGAACAGCAACCCTGAAAAGGTCAAGAGAAAGTTTATCAATGGAGAGACCTGACGAGTTTCTGGGAAGACTGAAAGGACTGAAGTAGGGTGTCATAAGGGGATGGAGGTGGGGTTTGGGAGTACAGATGAAAGAACAAGTTATAAGAGAAATCAAAAAATAAGGGTAAGGGTAGAGAGAGTATTAGCTTCTGAAGGGTAGAAAGTCTCCTTCTGAAGCAGCAGAAAGGTTTTAGAAAAGTAAGACACCAAGTATGATGGCTAATTTAATATGTTAATTTGCCTGGCCCATGGTGTCCATATATTTTGTCAAACATTATCCTGAATGTTTCTGTTAAGCTGCTTTTGAGATGAGATTAACATTTAAATTGGTAAATTTTAAATATGCAGTTTACCCTACATAATCTCATACAATCAGTTGAAGGCCTTAGTAGAACAAAGACTGATCTAGAATTCTACCAGAGCAAGAAGGAATTCAACCAGTAGACTGCCTTTGGACTTTAACTGTGACTAATTTCTGAGTCTTCAGCCTTCTGGCCTACTCTTAAGAGATTTTGGATGAGCCAAGCCTCCGCAGTCATGTGAGCCAATTTCTTAAAGTGAAAAAAAAAATCTCTTTCTCTCTCTCTGTATAAACACAGACACACACACACACACACACACACACACACACACATGCATATGTACATACAGGTACACATATATACAGATCTGTGTATAAAAACACATACATATACATCATATTGGTTCTCTTTCTCTGAAGAACCTTAACTAATACACCAGATTATCTGCCAAGAAGAAGAAAGCATGTGAGATAGGTGTCTAGCATCTACTGTGGAAAAAACTCAATAGAAGTACCGAAGGTCCAGTTGAAGTTTAACAAATTTGTCTTATATTTACCTAAGATGTCTTTTTCCTAGTGGTGACATTCTGGGAATTTAGGAGAAAAATGTTATTAAAAAATGTTACTGAATTTCTCACTTATTTTGAATAGAAAACAGTGTAAAAGAAGTCTCTATAATATTAGTGAGAATTTTTTCTTTAGCAGTGTATTAAAAGATATGAAAAAACAAATGTCAGAACTATTAACATTTCATCCTCTTCATGATCACAAAACGGATGACAAAAAAATATCATAAGCTTCTGACTGAATTGGGTCATTAGTCTAGTAACAACTCTAAAATTGATGTGAGTGTGAAAACTTGGGCCAACCGAGGGAAATAAATAATCTCTGTCATCAGCTTCCTATAAGTGATTTTGACTGCTCAACAAATACAAAGAGATGTTTTAGGTGATTTATTGCCTGTCATAACAGATTCAGACTCAAACCCTAGGTATACCTTACTCAGTGTCAATCTGATCTATAAAAAGATAAGTGGCACTCCTGAAGTTTTATGGACACAGAGGAAATCAAGAAAGAAGTTAAATGTAAACATTGCAAAATCCATTTCTTATTTGTCCAGTGTCTACTGTTATAGCATGTTTGAATAGAAGTTCAAAAGGTAGTGTGGCCCAAGGAGAGAGCATTTAGATGAAATTACTCCCATAGATGGAGTAATTACAAAGTCCTCAATGACAGATTTGGAGCATGTCAATATTCAAACTCTCAGAGACTTCATTTTGAAGTCTGCAAAAGTCTCAATTGCAATTTACTGTTCTTCACCCCATGGGGTTTTACTAAAAATGTGATGAGGAGTTCAAGTAAATTTAATAGTAGTTATTGATGCCTATAGTGTCCACACAGAAATAATCATCACTATGTTTTCCACTAATTAGGAATCAATAGTGTTCCTGTTATAGTTACCCACACCATCCCTTCCCTTTTTAATGGATGTGGCCTTTTGAGGGATCAAGGTATTCTTATGTGAAAATAAAATACAGAAAGAAGTGGAAGCCATTTGTCTGGCAGATCTTAGGAACTTTTACTGATGCATGACCTTGCTTTGTAAGGAGAGATTTCACTGTTTAAGAGTTAACGTTGAAATAGCAAAATACTACAACCAGTATCCCACAGTTCGTGCCTCTTCTCATCATCCCACATAATACAAAAGATTAAAAAATGTTTAAACCTAACTTGTCCCATTGCCTTCCTTTATCTTTGCAAGAATTATTCCTTTACCAAAAATTTGAGGACTATAATTTAGAGAAGCAACCTCTTATTACAAGAGTTTTTTCCTGTGTAGGAGTGAAGAAGAAAATACAGCAGTGGTGTTCTAAAGGAATTTTTTTTAGAAAAACAGAAAGAATTGAGGAATGTCCAGATAAATTATGCCAATAGTAGTTATTCCCTTTTGTTATCCTTTGAGGAGCCTTGGTAAAATTGGGAGAGGGCAGTTAGTCAATTTTGATTCAAAATATACTTCTTTAATACCCTTTAAAATGTACTCAAAAATATGGAGAAAACTGTAAAAAGTAAAAATCTGTTTCAATTCCAACCTTTAAATTTTAATCCTACAAAGAATTTTAGCTCTTTCAATACTCTAGAACCAGAGGCAATCACAAGTAACAACGTTAATATGTATACTTCAATTTTTTGTGAACTCACAGAGGCATATTTCTATTCTTAACATATTTGCACTTGTCAGACTTCCATCAAAATGCAGTCTGTTTCTCTATTCACTTGAATCAGGAGACCCTGTAACTTCTTTGATTAAAAGATGTTACATGAAAAAATGCTATGCTGGTTACAGGTCCAGCCCTTCATTATACTGAGAACTTCTACTTCCTCTTTCTTAGAACATGCTTTGGAAGCTCCCTCTCTGAACTCAAGTTTTCATGTTGTATGAAGCCTATACATATAGCAATGTCTTGTGTAGCAATCTCTTCAACAGCTCCAGCTAAGCTCCCCTTCACTGGTAGCATCAATTGCCATCTATGGGATGCCTATCCTGGTGTCCTCCAATTCCTGCTATCACTTCTATCAATGAAAAAACATGCTTAAGAAAACTCAAGAAAGAATGGCTTGGTTTAGCCAAGTCAACCTATAGAACCATGAAAGATATATATATTTTTTTGTATTAAGACACTCAGTTGCGGGTGGGTTGTTATACAGTAATAGATAATTGAAACAGCCTTTTCATATTTTGAATTTTCTACTAGTGGAATTACAATGAATGTGGTAAGAAGATATTTCAGTGTCATTTGCAATAACATCTTTCTCTCTTAACAGTACATAAATTAATGGTTCGATTTATAATCAGTACATCTAATAATTAATGGTATCTCAGATTCAATAAAATATAATTCTTCATGATGCTGTGAATGAAAGCCTAACAGTTGTGCTGATTGAGATGTGTTGGGGTATGTGTGGAGGACTTGGTATGCAGATTATGCAGACCGTAAACAGCTAGAGTTGCAGGACCAGAGATAAGAAGTGACAAAAAGGAGGGTACAGAACAGGGTGAGTAGGAGCACAAAAATAACCATCTACATCACAATATCTAGTGGAGCTTAAAAGTCAAGCTGTTTGCAAGGAGGTATCAGAAAATTGATCTGGAGGTAGAAATTTTATATTTCAGGATAATAGCTATATTAAAGTGCAGACCTCTAAGTGCTAATAATGAACTTAATAAATTGTGAGAAATTGGGCAAGGCATTTTATCTTCCCCCATTTCAGTTGCTTTATCTAAAAAATGAAGAAAATTATTTTTTTCTGCAGGATTCTTGTAATGATATTATAAAATAATGCTTATGAAAAAATTTTAAACTCTAAATTGATAATACATGTATTTTATTAATATTGTTAAAGTAAAGTTACGGCTTATACCACAATCATATACCAGAATGGCTCAGAATCATATACCAGATTCTGAGCCAAAATTTAGCCGGGGATTCTCTCTTTATCTTATTTTAAAATATTGAGACTATAAAGCATATGATCATATTTAGATCACAGGGATGCAAAAATTTCTAACAAACATAAACATATCAGATACAGCAACATACAAAAAGTATAATACCTCATCATAAAGTGGAATTTATCCCAGGAATATATGGTCTGAAAACAATTTAAAAATTAAACATTATAATTCACCACACTCATTGACTGAAAAGGACAAATCATATGATTATCTCAGTGCAGAATTAAATATTTCACAAAAATTAACATCCATTTATGATAACCACAATAAGGAAAGAAAAACTGTTAAAAAACAATGAATAGAAGAAAACTTCCAAAAAATGATCAATTGTATCTACAAAAATCCTATAACTATCATCATAATTAATTTTCAAAGGTGGAATGTTTTGCCCCTAATATCAAGGACAAGACAATGATTTCTTCTCTCACCACTCATATTCAAGATTGTGCCAGGTATTATAGCCAGTACAGCAGAGAGAGTAAAGACATACGGTTGGAAAGGAAGTCATAAAATTTCTCTTTTTTTACCAGATGACGTGATACAACATACCAGAAATTCCAAAGAACCACAAAAATTATAAATATTAATTAAAAATTTGTCTGGAAGCAGTGGCTCACACCTCTAGTCCCAACACATTGGGAGGCCAAGGTGGGCGGATCACTTGGGGTCAGGAGCTCAAGACCAGCCTGGCCAACATGCTGAAATCCTGTCTCTACTAAAAACACAAAAATTAGCCAGCCATGGTGGTAGGTGCCTGTAATCCCAGCTACTTGGGAGGCTGAGGCAAGAGAATTGCTTGAACCCAAGAGGCAGAGATTTCAGTGAGCCAAGATTATGCTACTGCAGTTCCACCTGGGCAACAGAGTGAGACTCCATCTTAAAAAAAAAAAAAAAAAAAGAATACAAAGTAAACATACAAAAATTACCTGGATAATAAAAATATCATTTGCAAAATAGTATTAAAATGCATAAAATCCTTATGGATAAATCTAACAAAATATGTACAGAAACACGTACAAAATTTTTGTGCTGAAAACTATAAGACATTGAAGGGAGAAATCAAAAACAAAAATTTTTGTTTTGTTTGTTTGTTTATAGTGATGATGAACAATGCGCCATGTTCACAAATTGTAAGTCCCAATATAGGTGATATATCAATTCCCACAAAATCTATCTATAGATACAACATAATTTTAATCAAAACTACATTAGACTTTTTAGAAAATGGCAGTTTAAAAACTATGTGGGAAAACAAAGGACCTCAAATAGTCAAAATAATTTCAAAATACGAATAAATATGGAGAACTTATATGACTTCATGGCATCATTTGAAAAGAGCAATTAAAGCAGTGTGGCATGGGCATAGCATAGATATAGATTTCCATGGAACAGAATAGATTGTCTAGTTGTAAAGATCTCATATACTTCTGGTTGGAATGGAAAGTCACGCAGCCAGTTTTGAAAACAGGTTAGTAGTTTAACCAGTTTAATCAAATACTTAACATATGGCCCAGCAACCCCAATCTTGTTTTATCCAAGAGTAATAAAAATTTGTGTCCACACAAAGACCTGTACCTCAATGTTTATAGCAATTTTATTCACAATAATCAGAAAATAACAACCCCATATTCATCAACCAGTAAAAAAGAATTTTTCTACATCATAAGGAGTTGCTGATACATGACATAACATAAATGGATCTTGAAAATATATTATGTGGAAAAGCCAGGTTTGAATGGATTAATGTATAATTATTATACGATTCAATTATATGGCATTCTGGAAAAGACAAACTATAATGAAAGAAGCAGCCATTCCTAAAGGTTAGTGGGGTGACGGAGCGTACTCAACTACAAAGGGATGAGGGAACTTCCAGCAGTAATAAAAATAATCTTGTTTATAGTGATGATTACATGGCTGTGAATGTTTTTAAAAATTCAGCAAATTACATACCTTTAAAACGTAAATTTTTTTGTATGTAAGTAATCTTTATTTATTTATTTATTTATTTATTTATTTATTTATTTTTGAGAAGGAGTTTCACTCTTGTTGCCCAGGCTGGAGTGCAATGGCGCAATCTTGGCTCACCGCAACCTTTGCCTCCTGGGTTCAAGTGATTCTCCTGCCTCAGCCTCCTGAGTAGCTGGGATTACAGGCATGTGCCACCATTCCTGGCTAATTTTTGTATTTTTAGTAGAGATGGGGTATCTCCATGTTGGTCAGGCTGGTCTTGAACTCCTGACCTCAGGTGATTTGTCCACCTTGGCCTCCCAATAATCTGTACTTTAAAAAGTAAACTATGTCATTTATCACAATAATAGAAAAAAGAGAAAAACATTCAAGTCAATAGAAGCAGAAAGGTATTTTGATAAAATGGGTAACAACTGCATTCATTTTAAGAAAAGAAACCCAAAACCTCTTAACAAACTAGAATGAGAAGGAAATGTCTCCAATCTGATGAAGACTGTCTAATCAAATTGAAGAACATAATTAACGGTGATACAGTAAAAACTTTTCCCCTGTGAAGGAGACCCATTTTGAATGCTTATAGGTTGCATTCTGCATAAAGTCTTTGCCAGCACATTAAATAAAAAGAAATATAAAAATTGTATGAGAAGTAGTGTAAACGTCATTATTCATAGAAAAACCATTATTTAGAAAACTACAAAAAAGTACACATATAAACAATTACAATAACTGAATTTACCAATATCAGTGGATATAAGATCAATATTAAAATAATATGTTGTCATCGTCTATTCAGGCTGCTATAACTAAATACCTGAGACTAGGTAATTTATTTAAAAAATTAGAAATTTATTTCTCACAATTCTGGAGACTGGGAAGTCTAAGGAGAAGGCACTACCAAACTTGGTGTCTGGTGAGGGCCTGTTCCTGAGTCCTCACATGGTGAAGGGGCAAGATTGCTCTCATTTACAAGGATATATATTTTTTTAAAAAAATAAAGGCACTAGGGAGGCTGAGGCAGGAGAATGGTGTGAACCCAAGAGGCAGAGCTTGCAGTGAGCCAAGATCACGCCACTGCACTCCAGCCTGGGAGACAGAGCAAGACTCCGTCTCAAAAAAAAATAAAAAAATAAAAATATAAAGGCACTAATCTCGTTCATGAAGACAGAGACCTAATGATTTAATCACTCCCCAAAGGACCCTACTCTTAATACTATTGCATTGGTGATTATGTTTCAACATACTAATTTTAGGGGGACACACAACTTAAGACTATAGAGCAAACTATTTTTAATAATACACTTACATTAGTGTAAAAAGGCCACATATACTTACAGAATAAATCAAAGCTCCATACACACAAAACTACAACATATGATTGAGATAACTAAGATTGAGTATTTCAATGAATGTGTCCTGTGTATAGATAGAAACACTTAGAATTGTAAATTTATCAATTTACAAATGTTCTCTAGATTTGAAATAATCCCCAGGAAAGCATCCCAGCTGCTTTTCTTATAGAAAATGTCAAAATTATTCCAAAATTTATATGAGAATATAAAGCCCAAAGAACAGCCAGGACATATGTGAAGAAAAAAAATTTTAATTCTTGTTGATATCTAAACTTACTAAAAAGACACTTTACTTGCTAAACTTACTAAAAAGACACTTTAATTATGACAGTGTGACATTGGTGCAAGAAAAGCTAAATAGATCCCTAGCACTTACTAAAAAGTCCAGAAAAAGATTCACTGGGACGGTCACTTGATATTTGATAAAGATAAACTGCAAATGATTAAAAGAAAAGAGGACATTTTAAATGAATTATATGGGTCCAACTATATAACTATATGAGAGAAAATAGACTTTGATTCCTACTTTACTACAATTCCAAGTGGATTTTAAATTTCAAAGTGAAATGTAAAACAGCAAAGCTTCTAGATGATGATACAGGAGAATATTAGTATTGTCTTGAGTTAAGCAACAATCTATTAAAGGGTCACAAACTGTACTACTAATAAAGAAAATGAGCAATATATTGTAATACATTAAAGTTATCTGGTCAACAAATTATTCCTATGAGAGTAAAAAGGACAAGTAGAAGGATAGGAGACTATATTTCTTACACATGTATCTGACAAATAACACATTTAAGATATACAAAGAATAGCTACAAACCAAATAAGGAAAAAAAAAAGGAAATGATTTGCCTATCTACTTTTTAAGAGAAGATGTCATAATTATCAATAAATGTAAAATAGTGCTCAATTTCATCCATCAGAAGGAAGCAAATTAAAATCACAATGAGATACCACTATATACCCACCAGCATGGCTTAAATTAATAATATTAATAATTCCAGTGTAAGTCAAAATGTAAAGCTATTGGGAGTCTCATATTCTGCTGGTAGAAGTAGTAACTGGGTGATATTGCCTAGGTTTTCCTCTAGGGTTTTTATGGTTTTAGGTCTAACATTTAAGTCTTTAATCCATCTTGAATTAATTTTTGTATAAGGTGTAAGGAAGGGATCCAGTTTCAACTTTCTACATATGGCTAGCCAGTTTTCCCAGCACCATTTATTAAATAGGGAATCCTTTCCCCATTTCTTGTTTTTGTCACGTTTGTCAAAGATCAGATGGTTGTAGATATGCGGCATTATTCAGGACATAGGCATGGGCAAGGACTTCATGTCTAAAACACCAAAAGCAATGGCAACAAAAGTCAAAATTGACAAATGGATCTAATTAAACTAAAGAGCTTCTGCACGGCAAAAGAAACTACGATCAGAGTGAACAGGCAACCTACAGAATGGGAGAAAATTGTTGCAATTGACTCATCTGACAAAGGGCTAATATCCAGAATCTACAATGAACTCAGGTTCACAAGAAAAAAACAAACAACCCCATCAACAAGTGGGCAAAGGATATGAACAGACACTTCTCAAAAGAAGACATTTATGCAGCAACAGACACATGAAAACATGCTCATCATCACTGGCCATCAGAGCAATGCAAATCAAAACCACAATGAGATACCATCTCACACCAGTTAGAATGGTGATCATTAAAAAGTCAGGAAACAACAGGTGCTGGAGAGGATGTGGAGAAACAGGAACACTTTTACACTGTTGGTGGGACTGTAAACTAGTTCAACCATTGTGGAAGTCAGTGTGGCGATTCCTCAGGGATCTAGAACCAGAAATACCATTTGACCCAGCCATCCCATTACTGGTTATATACCCAAAGGATTATAAATCATGCTTCTAGAAAGACACATGCGCACGTATGTTTATTGCAGCACTATTCACAATAGCAAAGACTTGGAACCAACCCAAATGTCCAACAACGATAGACTGGATTAAGAAAATATGGCACATATACACCATGGAATACTATGCAGCCATAAAAAATGATGAGTTCATGTCCTTTGTGGGGACATGGATGAAGCTGGAAACCATCATTCTCAGCAAACTATCTCAAGGACAAAATACCAAACACCGCATGTTCTCATTCACAGGTGGGAATTGAACAATGAGAACACATGGACACAGGAAAGGGAACATCACACACTGGGGCCTGTTGTGGGGTGGGGGCAGGGGGGAGGGATAGCATTAGGAGATATACCTAATGTTAAATGACGAGTTAATGGGTGCAGCACACCAACATGGCACATGTATACATATGTAACTAACCTGCACATTGTGCACATGTACCCTAAAACTTAAATTAAAAAAAAAAAAGTAGTAGTAAGTGGGACTGAAACATGTAAACAGTATGCTGCAGCAATGTAAATCCCAGGTATAGTCCCAACAGAAATGTGCCCCTTTTGTTCACAAAAATCATGTTTATCACAGCACTATTCACGGTGGTAAAAAACTAGAAAAGGTTCTTCTCCTCAGATGAACAATGAACATAAAAGCCGCAAGAGCAGAATGAAAAAACTGTGTGTGTGTGTGTGTATGTGTGTGTGTGTATGTGTGTGTCTTTGATTACTATGCATCATGAAAATGAATGAACTAGAGCTACCACATCAGAAACTGCCGAAATGAATTGATGGTGTTTGGATAGTGGTTACCTGTTCTAAGGTTAGTAATAAATGACTGGTAAGAGGCATAGAAGGAGATTTTGGGTGTTGCACTGTTCTCAATCTCGCTTTCTCTTTTTTTCCCTTTCTCCCTCCCCATCTGTATTAGTCAGGGTTCTCTTAGAAGGACAGAACTAATAGAATGGATAAATGGATGGATGGATGGATGAATGGGAGGGAGGGAGGGAGGGTGGAAGGAAGGAAGGAAGGGAGGGAGGGTGGAAGGAAGAAAGGAAAGAAGGAAAGAAGGAAAAAGAAAGAAGGAAGGAAAGAAAGAGAAAAAGAAAGGAAAGAAAAAGAAAAGAAAAAAAGAAAGAATTTATTAAGTACTAACTTATGCAATCACAAGGTCCTACCATAGGCTGTCTGCAAGCTGATGAATAAGGAGAGGCAGTCAGAGTCCCAAAACGGAAGAACTTGGAGTGCAATGTTAGAGCGTAGGAAGCATCCAGCACAGGAGAAAGAGGTAGGCTGGGAGGCTAGGCCCATTGTCTCCTAGCTTCAAGTTTTTATGCCTGCTTTATAGTCACTGGCAGCTGATTAGATGGTGCCCACCTGTAAAGGGTGGGTCTGCCTTTCCCTGTCCACTGACTCAAATGTTAATCTCCTTTGGCAGCACCCTCACAGACACACCCAGGATCCATATTGCATCCTTCAATCCAATCAAGTTGACACTTGGTATTAACCACCACACCATCCCCCTCTCCTCTTTCCCCTCCCTCTTTTACCAGTGGTACACTGATGAGTTTTCATTAAAAAAAAAATTTCAACTTTTAGTTTAGAGACAGGGTAAATATATATATATATTTTATATGAAATATATATATGAAATATATATATAATATATATATAATATATATAAAATATATATATTTTATATATATTATATATATAATATATATATTATATGTATATAAAATATATATATGTATATAAAATATATATATTATATGTATATAAAATATATATATATACACACATATATACATATACACGTGTATATGTATATATACATATACACGTGTATATACACATATATATACGTATATACGTATATATACACATATATACGTATATACGTATATACGTATATATATACGTATATATATACGTATATACGTATATACGTATATATACATATATACATATATATACACACACACAGATATATATACACATATATATACATATATACACATATATACATATATATACACACACACAGATATATATACACATATATATACAATATATACACATATATACATATATGTACACATATATATGCAGGTTTGTTACATGGGAATACGGTATAATGCTGAGGTTTGTGGTACAGATCTTGTCACCCAGGTAGTGAGTACAGTACCCAATAGGTAGTTTTTCAATCTATGCTCCACTCTTCTACTTCCCCCCAGTAGGCCTGTAGTGTCTATTGTTCTCATCTTTATGTCCATGTGTACTCAGTGTTTAGCTCCCATGTAAAAGTGATAACATACAGTGCTTGGTTTTCTGTTTTTACATTAGTTTGTTTCGGATTATGGCCTCCAGCTACATCCATGTTGCTGCAAAGGACATGATTTTATTCCTTTTTATGGCTATGTAGTATATACCACATTTCTTTATCCAGTCCACCACTGATAGGCACCTAGGTGGTTGGTTCCATGTTTTTGCTGCTGTGAATAGTGCTGCAATAAACATATAAGTGTCTTTTTGGTAGAACAATTTATTTTCTTTGGGGTACATACCTAGTAATGGGATTGCTAGGTTGAATGGTAGCTCTGTTTAAAGTTCTTTGAGAAATCTCCAAACTGGCAGTCAGTTGGGGCTAGAGTGTCTCAGAAAGACATGAAGAGTCCTGGGGGATGGGCACTTAAGGCTATGCTCCATCAGAGATGCTCCACGCCAAAAAAATTAAAAAAGCCCCTGGATGCTAAATAGTAGATGGATGCTAAATATTACTTGTAATGATAAATTAATGTCCTATTCCCAACACCAAGTCTTGAAAATGCTCATTTTATATATTTGCTTCAAATCCTATTTTATAATAGGAAGTATTTACGGATAAAGTTTAAGTACCTTTGCCTCCATTTCCAGTCTTGATGTGAAATCCTTCTCTGAGGCAAAATTGCCATGAATTTTATTCTTATCTTTCAGTCATTTTATTTTACATTTGCTGCTGTGTACCTGTAAATCATATACAGTATCTTAAGCTTTTTAAAGCTAAATAAATAGCATACTATATGTATCCCTCTGAAACTTGCTTATTTCACAGTGCACTTTCAAGATCCCACAACGTTGTTTCAGGACCTAGTCCATTCTTCTTAACAGCTGAGTTATATTTTATAATTATACTCCAACCTAGTACCCATCTTTTTATGGTTGGTATTTTATTTCTAATTACAATTTTTACATCTGCAACAAACAATATTGTAGTAAAGAAGCTTGTACCTGTCTTTAGGTAGAAATACAAAGTTTCTCTAAAGCAGTGATTCCTAAAAGTGTGGTCACCAGAATAGCCTCATCATCATGTCTCAGGAAATCACCAAAAATTTAAAATAAGTTTCATCTCTTATTTTCCTAGAACATATTTCTAAAAATGACTAATACCTTTACAGAGACTTTAACAGTATTTGTTTGACATACTAATTGTCATACTAATTGACAGATTGTTTTCAGTAAGTTCAGACAAATTATATCTTTCCCCAGGCAGTATTTAAGACAGCTTGTTTCACAACCGTCTCATAAACATCTTTTTTAAAAGTATTATTTATCTTTTCTAAAAAATATTTTTGATACATAAAAAATTATAATGAAGCTACATAATAATTTTGACATTATTAGTTTGGTTGAAAATGTGATTTTGTCTTTTAGTGACATTATATTTCCTTTATTTCTTCTTTTCTTTTTTATGGAATTATATATTTATATCCTCTGACCCCATTGCTTTAGAGAAATTAATATTTTTAATAGTAATTAATTGTATATATCAATTTACTTACTTTGCTTTTATTAATACAGGGTTATTTTCTAAACTAGGGCCAACAAAATTCACATATACTTGCTTTTGACTTTTTGTTATTTGAATTAACAAATAACAAATTACAAATAACAAAAAGTCAAAAGCAAGTTAACAATATACAAATAACAAATAACAAATAACAGAAAGTCAAAAGCAAGTATAACAAACAACAAATAATAAATAACAAAAAGTCAAATAACAAATAACAAAACATTAACAAATAACAAAAAGTCAAAAGCAAGTATATGTGAATTTTATTGGCCCTAGTTTAGAAAATAACCCTGTATTAATAAAAGCAAAGTAAGTAAATTGATATATATAATTAATTACTGTTAAAAATATTAATTTCTCTAAAGCAATGGGATCAGAGGATATAAATATATAATTCCATAAAAAAGAATAAAGGAAATACAAATAGTTAATTCACTAAAAGACAAAATCACATTTCAACCTAACAATCTCAAAATTATTATATAGCTTCATTATAATTTTTTATGTATCAAAAATATTTTTTAGAAAAGATAAATAATACTTTTAAAAAATATGTTTTGTTATTCACTCGCCCCTTTCGTTCCTCTCCAAGAGTGCGGCAGACCGCAGCTGCTTCTAATTGGACATCTTGGCCCCTCCTCTCCCCTGCAACATCTTTATGAAATTTGTATCCTTCCTATAAAGAGAAGAAGAATTATAAGAATCCAAACAGATAAAATAAGTTATCTATAAATAAATAAAAATGAGGTTGGCCTCATATTTCCCTGTAGAACCAAATGTCTGAAGTCAGTGGATATTGCTCTTTAGATTTTGATGGAGAAAGCTTCTGACTTAAGAGTTTCTGTCCAAATATATTATTGTTTGTATCAGCTAGGGTTTACAGTTTCTGGCACATCTTTTTTTTTTTTTTTTAGTGTTGGAAATTTCTTCAGGAATTGGGTGATGTTTGCTCATACTTAAACTTGAATCACTATAAAGTTTATTGGTAAATGTGGACACCTGGAAGAGTCTTGTAGACCGTAATCTACAAGCTTAATCAAGGAGAGGTCTGAAGAAGTGATTTCACTGGGAACCCCCACTCGTAATTTGTATAGTTACTTGTTTTCTAGGGCTGGTCAGACTTCTCAGAAAAAAAACTTCCAATCTCTTCCCTAACAGGAAAATAAATAAATAAATAAATAAATAAATAAATAAATAACAGCTTCCGGAAATCTAGGAACTAAGTTGAGGATGAAGATTGAGGTTTGGCAGCTCAACTGTCAATGGAGGGTTTTCCAGTTCCTCTGTTTTCAAAGCCTTACACTGTGTCTTGTGTCTTTCAATGCAGAAACTGCAGAGGTCCTCCTTAGAGAATATGTCTGTGCTTCTGACGGCAATTTATTGCAATGGAGACAACCTCTACCTTTGCAGAAACTGGGATGTTTGATCCGGAAGCAAACTGCATCTTAAAAAGACTTTAAAATAAGAACATTGTTTTTGGTTTTCCCTCCACACCCATTCCAGAGGTACATTGTTCAATTCCTGAGCCTTTCAGAATTTCTGCAGTGCACGTTGCATAGCTTTGTTGCTGTCCACTCTTCCAGTGTAGGGTTCAGCTTGATCAGTACGGCTACCATTATTATTCACTCTTTTCATCCCACCTTCCCAGACGGGTATGATCTCCTCCTCCTTTTAGGCATGTCCTTGTGAGTTTATTCATTTAAGAATCACCTTTATCATGTGTTTTTGTTTAACTTTAGCAGAAAGTAACATTAAGTGGTTTAACCAAAATCTATTAATGAATTTTCCAATTTTATATCATAACTAGAAGAGTGACAGATGAATCTTAGTTGGTCATGTAGGTTTTTAATTTCTTTGCCAGTTTTGTTTGCTAAAATTTTATTGAGATTTCTGCATCATGTCCATTAGTGACAGTCCCCTATGGTTTTCTTTTATCTTGTTGTCTTGATTTGGTTTTGCAATAAAGTAAACTGGATTCATATAATTAGTTACAGAGATGTCTTCCATTTTTATTGTCCATAAAAGATTAATATAGAGGATATATGTTCCTAGGTATTTTGACAAAACACAATTGTAAAACCATCAGGAAATGTTACTTTTTCAAATAGACATTTTAATACTGACTAAATTTCCTTAGTAATTTTGGTTTACTTAGATTTTCTATTTCTTATAAGTCAACATTGTGAATTGTATTTTCCCTTAAATATATACATTTTATCCCAGATTTATAATTTTATTCATAAAATTTTTGGTCGAATTATGATTTTATTTAATGACCACTGCATCTATAGTTATAATGCTTTTACAAGTTAAGAGTTAATTTGTGCTTTCTCTTGGTTTTCTTGATTAAATTTCTCAGAAACCTATTTTATTAGTTCTCAAAAATATATTCTCTTTAAAATATTTTAAAAATTACTAATCTTACATTTATTTTTTATTTTGTTCTATTTTTCTTTTTTCTCTAACATTTTGTATTTAACATTTAAAAAAATAAATTTTACAGTTTTACCTCTATTGTAATATATGTTATTTGAGGTATGAGTTCCTATCAAAAAGCCATTTTTTTCTTCATCTTCCAAGTTCTGATATATAAAGCTTATATTTTTCAATTATAAATATATGGTCATTTACATTAGGTATATCTCCTAATGCTATCCCTCCCCGCTCTCCCACACCCCATAACAGGCCCTGATGTGTGATGTTCCCCACCCTGTGTCCAAGTGTTCTCATTGTTCAATTCCCACCTATGAGTGAAAACATGCAGTGTTTGGTTTATTGTCCTTGCAATAGTTTGCTGAGAATGATGGTTTCCAGCTTCATCCATGTCCCTACAAAGGACATGAAATCATCCTTTTTATGGCTGCATAGTATTCCATGGTGTGTATGTACCACGTTTTCTTAATCCAGTCTATCATTGATGGACATTTGGGTTGGTTCCAAGTCTTACATATGTAACAAAACTGCACGTTGTGAACATGTACTCTAGAACTTAAAGTATAATAAAATAAATAAATAAATATAAGGTGAGATATATTTTTACTTCTTCTATAATTTATACATTTACAAATATGTCATTTGTGGTTTTTGGCTTTTTGCAATTAATTTATATTTTTATTACGATACGGCCAGAAAACACATCTGGATAATTTTGCTTATTCAGTATTTTTTAATATTTAGTTTTTGGCTAGGTTGATGGCTGTTTATTAAAACATTTCATATTTTACTAAACAAAGTTTGATGTATCACTTTCTGAGAGATTCATTAAAATTTTGTGTTACAGTTAAGGATACTTCTATATCAATGTCCAATTTTGTAGCTTTATTGATAGGAGCAAAAATATTTAGGGAATTGTATATTTCTGGTACAAAATTGTAAGATACTTAGAATCAAACAACAGAAACTATAATTAAAATTTTGTATAAAAATAAAATGCTACTGAATCTTAAGAGCCTTTAATTTGTATGGTAGAGAATTATTGCTTTTCTTGTCAAGAAATGATTTTATCTTTAAAAAATATTTTTGGCTTAAAGACTATTTTATGTGATAATCAAAGTTATAACAGCTTTAGCTCGGCTAATAATTTCCTGGTTTTCTTTTTCTATCCCTATCCTTTTAACCTTTTGGTATATTCACGTTTGTATTCTAGATTGGGGCAATAAATAGGTATAAGCAAATTTAGAAAATGTTTAGCTATCTGGTAAATGAATTGGTTCTTCCATCTGTAATAACAGCTTTTTTTAATCCTTAATAACAATTTTAGCTTAAAGTCATTTTGTGTTATGTATAATATTCTAGTTTCACAAAATTTTTAAACCACTGAAATTATTTGTCATCACTCTTGTTTTTATGGTCAGTGTATTTCTCACATTTTTATCTAGTTATTTTTAAAATTTATACAAGAAAATTTAATATAAATGTGAAGTTTTCTATTAGGTTTCCATGGACATGAACATCAAATTAAAAATAGGAAAAAACAGATGAATGCTGGAAACTACAAAGAGAACCATTCTAGTTCTTTCAAGGAATTTTAAATAGATAAACCATAGAATTGAAGAAGGCCTGGTGGACACACCATTTTCCTGACAGTGAAACTATAAATTGCTTTTTAAACAGTTTTTTGAGATATTATTTATATAAAATAAAAACTTGCACATGTTTAATGTATACAATTTTAAGATGATAGATATTCATATACACTCAGGATACCATCACCACAATGGGGGTAAAAAAAAAAATCCATCACTTTCAGAAGTTTCTTGATGTCCCTTTGTGTGTATGTGTGTGTTTGTTTTGTTATTGTGGTAGAAATTCTTAATCTAAGATATGCTCTCTTAATATATGTTTAACTGTATAATACTGTATTATTAACTGTAGGCACTATGTTGTATAGCAGATCCTTAAAACTGTTTCATATTGCATAACTGAAACATTGAGAATGTAGAAAGATACTGCCATTATGAAAAAACAGTATGGAGGTTCCTCAAAAAGTTAAAATAGAACTACCATACAATCTAGCAATCCTGCTACTAACAATCCTATATATACGAAGGAAATGAAATTTGTATCTTAAAGACACACATGTACTCCCATGTTTATTGCAGCACTATCCATAATAGCTAAGATATAAAATCAACTGATGTGTCCATTGACATGCATGGATAAAGAAAATGTGGTATATATACACAGTGGCATACCACTGAGTCTTAAAAATGAAACAAATCCTGCCAATTGCAACAACATGGATGAACTTGAAAAACATTATGCTAAATGAAACAAACCAGCCAATAGCCTCTGAAAGAAAAATGTTGCATGATTCCACTTATAAGGTACCTAAAATATTCAAACCCTCACAGAAACAGAAATTAGAGTGATTCGTTGCTAGGAGATGAGGGAAGGGGAAACAGGTTGTTTTTAACTAGTTATTTTTGCTCACTATTGTTTCTGAATTCTTTCCTCCACAATCACGTACATGGTTTAGTCATTCTCTCATTGAAAAGCTGTGAATGGTAAATATTCGCAGCCTTTCCCCTCAAAATACCTTTATTTAACTCCATTCTTAAATCATAATACATTAAACTGAAATTCTATGTTTTGATGCTATTTTTTCTTAATACATTGGATATATTCCTTTATTATATTTTTAATTGTCTAATTTGGGGGTGGGGAGGAATAATCTGTTTTTTCTGTGAGGTTTCTAATATTTGTGTTTTATTTTGGTTTTACTATAATATTACTATAATATTTAATTATAATGTAATATAGTAATATATTACTACATTTTAGCAGTATATATATCATTTAGCAGTATGTATATACTGCTAAAATATTATAGTAAAACCATATATATATATACACACATATATATGTGTGTATATATATATATACATATACACACATATATATGTGTGTATATATATATATACATATACACACATATATATGTGTGTATATATATATACACATATATGTGTGTGTGTGTGTGTGTATACATATATATATATATATATATATATATATATATATATATATATATGTGTCAACCTCCATCTCCCGAGTAGCTGGGACTACAGGCATGAGCCACCATGCCCAGCTACTTTTTGTATTTTTAGTAGAGATGGGGCTTCACCATGTCTTAAATTGTGAGCTCAGGTTCTATGACTCTATAAAAGTTTATATCATTTGCGGCTGTAACTTTCCTCTTCTGGTGGATGTTTTTCCCATCTAACTCTTCCTGTAAGAGCAGCCTTTTTACATTGCCAAGTTTATGCAAGGTTTTCTATTTCAGCTCTCCTTTTCTTACATGCCTAGGACCAAATCTCCTGATAAGCGTTAAAGTCTCATATCCCAACATGAAGAGTCTATATCTGGATTATTAACCTCCTAGAAACTAAGTGCATCAGATTGAAAGATTAATGCACTGGCTTTAATTTAATTCATTTCCAGAACCAATAATTTTTTTCTTATTTGATTTTCAATAATTAATGTTTATTTAAATATTTTTCCAGAAGCTAAATTTATTTTAAATGGTGAGAGTCTGGACCAGTTTTCTCTCTGGATCATGTTTCTGTAAATATATATTATATTTATAATCTAGAACAAGAAAGAATCACATGAATTCCAAGGAGTTTAATAACCATAAGCTTATATCTGATAGCTTCTCTTACGCATTCGTAATGTAGCTGCTAAAAGAAGATTGTATAACTTTTATGAAGAAAATAAGTCTGCTAGCCAGCTCTTGGATGGAAAAATTCAAAAGCATTAAATAACAGCTTTGACAAGGTAGCCTAACTTTGAGGTAGGGCCTAGGCTGTGAAATCAAAGAAAAGCCTCCCTTTGTGTCATTCTGAAATAGCCCTGATTTCCTTAGTTCACCCTATGTACACTTTAGCCTTTTTTAAAGCTTTGTATTTAATCATTATACCTCAACAAAGTGAAACTGAGTCATACAGTTAGCATAAAAGTATATCTGAACGCATAGAAGTATATCAGTGCTTCATATATTCCTATTTTATAATAAACTATCATCTCTTGACAGAGGAAAAGATGGGAAGCAGGTTGGTTTTATAGTTATTGGGAGGAACTGAAGTTGTATGTAACATGATGTGGGTAGGAGTTCTTGCTTCTCTGGACAGATGGACAGTGAATGTAGATGTTGAAACCTGGATTTTTCCCCAGTTTCTCTTTACCCAGACCTCCATCATAAAATAAATGAGATGTGAGGGCATTTGCCTGCTCTCCAGCTTCTTCTACACTGACACAAGGCAAAAAGTTCATACTACATCAGAGTTGCTTTCTTATGGTATGAAACATGTTTTCTCTATTTCTCAGTGCCATTGATCATATGATATAAATATGTCTTCCTGTACAGTAGCAATTTTCATCTGATGATATAAAAGACTTTACAAATGTGAGATCCTTAGGGGATTAAGGGATCGAAATGAATTGAGAATTCTAGGCCTGGGAATTTAGTTACAACTATGAAACTCTCAAAGGATCAAGAAAAAGTTTCTTAATCCCTCAGCCTGTTTTCCTAGCATATAAAATAAAAATAATATAGAATCTTAGTAGCACAAATATAGATTACTAATTAATTGATACAACGGGTGATGGAAAAAGAGTTCATAATTCAAAATTCTGTATATTCTTTTATATTCATTACCTAACTTTTTTTAGAAATGCTACTATAAGAAGAAAACTGGATACAGTTTGATTCTATATCTTTAAAATTCAATTGTTTTAATATATAATAGATGTACATGTTTTCAGGGTACACGTGACCTTTTTATAGGTTCATATAATGTGTAATGATCATATCAGGTAAATTGGGATATATGTCACCCCAAACATTTATCTTTATGCTGGGAACATTCAAATTTTTCTCTTCCAGCTATTTTAACATATATAATAGTTATTGTTAACTCTATTCACCACACTGAACTATGGAACACTAGATTTTATTTCTTCTACCTGTTTTTTTAATCCATTAATCAACCTCTCTTGTTTGAAGATGACAGGATCTTAGATTTAGAAAAACCTAAGGACTCCACTAAAAAACTGTTAGACCTTATGAACTAATTCACAAAAGTGACTATATACCAAATCAACATACAAAAATCAGTATAATTTATATATGTCAACGGTGAACATCTGAAAAAGAATCAAGATATCAACTTCATTAACAATAACTTCAAAAATAAAAAATATTTAGAAACAAATTTAATCTATGAAGTTAAAAGAGCTCTGCAAAAAAAACTGTAAAACACCAACGAAAGAAATTGAAGAGAACACAAAAAGCTGGAAAGATATCCCATGTCATGGATTAGAATAATATTCCAATTAATATCGTTAAAATGTCAATACTACCAATCCCATAAAAATACCAATGGCATTCTTCAAAGAAATAGGATTCCACATCTGTTTGTTTTCCCTGTCCTTCCTAAGTCAAGTAATGGCATGTCCTCCAGAAAGGAGATGTATAAAATATGAAGTGAAGTATATAGACTATTTGGGGATCTGGGAAGTAGAAGCTTTCTTTTATGAAGACATTATCTAATTCTAACAGTAATGCTATGAGGTGATTTTACTGTCCCTATTTTACTTAAAGAGAAACTGAGGAACAAATGAAATTGATGGTTTATATAAGACAAAACTTTAGTTTTGTATGATGATCTATTTTGTTTCAAGGGCCATTTTTGTGTGTGTTTGTTTCCTTGATATTTCTATGTATCATGATTGTCCCTAGATAAAAGGCTGTATTTTTGGCCATAGGATAAAAGAGGCATGTTTGACAAAAAAAGTAGAGTTTATATGTAAGTGATATGGGGACCACACTATAACAAATGTACTATTATAGAATTTCTAGAAGTCTTCATAATATCTTTGTAGCCTTGCATTATTGATTGACATTTTTACATATGCAGGATTTATGATGAAGCTGTGAGCCACATCAATGGCACAAATTATATTGTATGCAGCAGTAACAGTTATACATTTTATAAAACTTCTGTAAATTGTTGGCATAGACCTCAAAAGTGATAAATTGAGGGCCAATGGTGAAAAAGATGGGTTTCAGTAATAAGCAAGCACATTATGTCTTTGTTATAAAAATCTTTCTATCTCCCTTATTTTCACCTAAAATAATCCTATTCATTTGTTCCTATGAACCTTAATATGTACACACAGTGAGACATAAACCATACAATCTTTAACTCATCTAAATGTCCCTAAATTATGTTAATTTTTCACAATGCTACTATAGAGATCATATTTTCTCATTACTTCTGCCCTCTCTGTTTCAAACATAATCAGCTACTTGAAGTCCTAAAAGAATATGTCATCTCTATATTTGGCTGCCCCCTTTACCTGGGCAACAGTTTCTGTCCCTTTTTTCCTCTCTATTTTCTTACACCAATCTTCTTTCAAGCTCAGTTCAGGCATCATCTCTCTCTAGGAAGTCTTTCATAGCAATCTTGCCTCCCTTGGCCCATTTGCAGATAGTATGGGCTACATGTTTCTCTTGTGGTCCCATCATTTCCTACACGTAAATCTCAATACACAGACCTGGAGATGTAGCCACACTGGTGAGTTCAAACCCTGAATCCACCAGTTACTAGTTGCATGCCCTCGAGTAAGTTGCTTAAACTTTGTGAACCTCATTTTCTTCATTTGCAAAATTAAAATAACCATTTCCTACAGGGTAGTTGTAAAGATGAATAACATTATATAAAAAGCATAGAGTAGGCATTTGTGTTAGATATTATTCCTCTAGCCCCCTGGACCTATTCTTTTCCCTTCTCCACCTTGTTCTGGGCCCCATGAGGCTGACTTGTAAGAATTGCATCAGTAGGCTTCTTGCTCCTCTGGCTTGAGCTTGGCTTCATCCCCAGAGGTGCATGACTAGAAGATCAGAGGGCAGAAGAAAGTGACTTCTGTGGTCAGGATATTTAGTTCTCAAATCTCTCTTTGCCATGTAGACAGTGGTTGCCTGCATCCTTCTGTAAGGCCACAGATCCTGCCAGCAGGCTCAGTCGATACAGTGATCTTCTCTGTGTTCCAGTTCAATTGTTCATTGCCCTTGCCCTTCATTCCCAGTGTACTGCGTGATTACTTGTTTGATTCCTTAAACCCTACTCCCAAAATTGTAAATAGTCTCTTTGTTAAGCCCTTCTCAAAAAAACAGCTTCAGTGCGTCAGCTGTTTCCTGCCAGGGCCCTGACTGATACCACATTCCATATTTTGAACAATATGCACTTAATAAACTGTCCTGAAATTGTCTCTTGATTTCTCTGACTTCCTTACCAGGCTGTGAACTACTCCAGGACAAGGACCATGCTCATCTGTCACTGTTATCGTCTGTTGTCGTGCACATGGCTTGGCACAAAAATTAACATTAAATAAACAATTGTTTGATTAAATGAAGGAAGGGAAGTAATGCATATTGTTCTGACACCTTAAAAATAGTCACTGCCTCATATTTTATCTGAACTCTGGATGTGGTACTTCATACTGGGTGTCTAAATAAATGTTTTCTATAATGGTTGTAAATTTGTTCAGAAATAAGAGTGTGAGATGATGAAAAGGAATGTTTCAGGGCAAATTAATCTTGTGAGCAATCAACAGGCCATCAGGTTAAGCGCCACATTAAATAAGCTTAGGAGGATAGGCAGGGCAGGCTGAACTCTAAGGGAGGCACACAAGTTGACATCAGGTATGTTAAAAGACAAATTTAGGCAAATTATACTTAAAAGTTTTATTGAGCAAAGAATGAATTTGTAAATCAGGTAGCCTCCTGAGCCAGAGAAGGCTCAGAGAGACTCCAGTACAGCCACAGAAAATGGAAAGTGAAGTATGGGAAATGGAAGTGAGATACAGAAACAGCTCAATTGGTTATAGCTTGGCATTTGCCTTATTTGAACACGGTTTGAACAGTTGGCCACCTTTGATTGGCCAAAACATGGTGTTTAGCATAAGAGTAGATTACAGTCTGTTTACACATCCAGTTAGGTTTCAGTTTACCTGTAGGGAGATACCTTTAGGCTGAACTTAAAATATGTAAGGAGGCAGCATTAAGCTAAACTTAATTTAACAGGTAAATATCTCTGTAAACCCAAACTTAGTTTGGCAATTTATGTAAGTATTTGGAGAAAGGTGAGTGAGAAATAAGCATGATATTGATAATTTAGGTAAATATGCTTTTCAACCACTGACTTGCGTAACAATATTTGGTGCATCTATTTGAAAAGATATCACTTGAAGCTTAATCACTGAGATTATTTTCTTTTCATCATAGGAGGTATGTTAATTTTGCTAATTTGTTAGAAATTTTAAACTTTTGAGAGTTGAAACTACTTCTTCCGAAATCTGAGTCCCTATCACAATTCACAATTTCTGATTGTCTACTCAAAACCTGTTGTCCTTTGTCTATGCCTAAGCAACTCCTACTGTGCCTGAATGTCTAATTATCTCTATGATACAGAGATTGTAATGCTCAGAATTAGGCCCCTGGGGTAAAGAAGAATCTAAACAAGCAAGGCCTTCTCCCCCTGACGACCCACCTGTCACATGAAGGTCCTCTGGGGAAAAGGAAGGAGGTCAGAGAATGACCTTCCCAGGTCTTATGGCTTGCTTTGGGGAGTTCTGGATTCTATGACCCACTTCGAGGGAGAAAAAGAGGCCAGGGGAAGGGCAGAGAGACCTTCTTGTTTCTGTGGCACTCCCAATCTCCTTCAGCTGAAAATACTCAGCACACCAGGAAGTCATCCTTTGGGGGTATCATGTTCTGAGCTCTGAGATAAGAGAATTACTTTACTGACAGTTTGTGTCATTATTTATATTCAATAAATATTGAAAGCCATGTGCTTTCTCCTAGAGGATCTGTACAGTTTATTGACATTAAAATGAGTTGGTTTTTTAAACTTGTGAAGGTTGTACATTTTAGTTCTACATTTTGGTTCATCAGCTAGTTCTGTTCTGAATTCATCCGAGGTTGTGCTGTCTCTCAGCAGCCATTCTTCAACTCTACAGTTATATTTTCCTGCTAGCCCATTTTCTCCATAACGTGTCTTAGATTATTCTTGCTGTTCTTATAAAGCATATTTTGCTCTTTGGTAATGCTATTTAAATAATTTTAATAGATTTTAATTACAAGTGGTATAGGCATTAAGTGATAGTAAAACTAGTTCTGCATGTAGTAGAATATATGTAATCAGGAAATTGGCTTCCCAGAGATCAATACCCTCTGCCATTAAAATAATTATAGACAGTTCAACTGAAGCAAAAAAAAAATATAAGTCATTCAACATTGTGGCGACCACAATTTTCTTAACACTTCAACAACCTATGAGGATCAGTTTTAGGAGGAGCTTTAGTGCATGATTGAGGTTGTGTCACTTACAAAGAACACTTTGAAACTGGAGCAGAGGGTGGCTAAAGACACATCTGTATTCTAGAAGCCTATCAAAAATGTAGCCAAGTAACTAAAGCTGACATTCAGAACAGATATGAGAATATAGAACATGAAAAGTATGAAGTCTAAAACTAGAAGCAGGATTAGTATAGTCCAAATGCAATCAGCAAGTAAAACTAACATTAGCATGGAAGATAACACAATGAAAATATCTGTGAGACATGGAAGTACGCAGAAAGACATGGCTCTGCAGTTTAGTAGTTGCTTAATCTTAAGCATAAACATCAGGTTATTTAACTATAAAGGGATACAATATGTACCTCACAGTCTTGTTTTGAAGACTGAATCAGAAAAAAATGCATGCAAAATGCCCATCTCAAAGTAGACATCCAATAAATAATGTGGAATGAAAATGACAGTTGAATAAATCCTAGGTAAACACTTGTCTCCTCCTTCTAGCTAGACTTCTACCAAGATTCTGGTATAATTCATCCCTAATTCTGTTCTGTGAGTCTCTTCTCATATTAGGCCTTCTCATCTTCTCTGCTCTATGCTGAATGTATGGATGGGTTCTGCCCTGCATGACACTTCATTCAATGTAAGAGCTAGTCTCATTCATACTTTTACCTTTCCTCCTCTAGCTTTATTTTTCGTGTGTCCGAAATGATACTATGTGATCTTAAAAGTGCATCCATTAGTCTAAAATTTTAAAATTTATTAAATAAGTAATGAATTCATGAGTGCTTATTGTTTATGTTTTTCTGCATGTTTGAAATATTTTAGAACATGTATTTTACAAAATAAGGAAAACAAAAGAAGAAATTGAACTGTTAATTCACTCATCCATCCATTCTCCATCTCCTAAGATATTTTTTAACATGCAATGTTCTAGGCATTTGGTGTGAATCACATTTTTACTCTTAAAGGATTCATGATATAGAAAGGGCATGAGAAATATCAGTAGATTTTATGCATTGTGGTGAGTGCAATGACAAAGGTTAATTGAGGGTAGAATGAGAAAATGCAAGATAGTCCTCCAGCTTATCCTCAGAGAAGGTCTGTAGATCAGAAAATGCTTTCTTGAAGCTATGACACCTGAGATGTATCTTACAGTATGTGTAGAAATTATGCAAGTGAATAAAAGAGAAAAACATTGTTTGTTAAGAGAAAGAACATGTGCTAATTTCTAAATTCTACAGAAGTATGACATCTCAGTGTTATTGCAGAACTTCAGTATCCTAAGGAACAAGGTTTTAATTGGAGAAAAAAAGGCAATTGAGGTTGCTAACATGAGAAGGAGAGACCAATTTAAAACAATGATATTTAATTATATCCAATAAAATACTTATTCCCTAGCTCTCTAGACCAAAAATAGCCTAAAAGTATTGAAAGCATTATAGTGATAAACACTAACAGCACCAATTTATGGTCTTTAATGAAAATGGTGAACATTTATTAAGTACTTAATATGTGTCAGACCTTATATTGAATGTTTAATATCTATTAAATTATTTGAAACTCCAAATAGTCCTGTCTAGTAGAGTTGAGAACACTCAGGTTGTGATAAGTGAAATTACTGAACAAATCTTAAGTATATGCTGATTCTCTTCCTCCTTTTCTCTTGCCATGGGGCCTGAGACTAATAACTGGCAGTCCTTGGATATTACATCAGAGATTCTGACTTCATAACATCAAATTAAGGGTCAGTGACTTATACAATTTGTTTATGCCCCAGGTATTTACCATAAGGTGTTAGGAATAATAGATGTTCAATATTTATTGAACAAATGAGTGAGTGTAAACTTCAAATATAAAGAGATGATGGCTACATATTTTTTTCTTGAACTTCAAACGTGCACACACAAATATAATCATAATGATCATTGACTCACAAATCATAATGTAGGTTGACTAATATCCACTAATTAGCAAAATATTGAACACAAATGCATCAATTTGTCTCCCAAAAGAAATGCACTAAATACACAAAACTTTAGAAGTCTTCACTACAGTTAAAAATATATCATGTTTAGAGGTTGTTAGGTAGCCACATTATTATTCTGAAAATTGAAAAATGAAGGACAAGAATCAAACATTTACCCCGCTTTTCTTGTACAGGGTAACTAAATAGTTCATGAAGAAAGTTATTCTTTACAAAAAAAAGGGGATAACCATTCTTGCAACCTTTAATAAAATACCAAATGTAGGATATACTTATCAGTGAAAATAAAACCATATAAAAGTTTGCTAGAGAATTATGTAATTGAAAGGACAGTCTGACATCACTTCAAGCTGCTGATAAATTTTAAAAACAAATACTGAGAAAACCAGATAATATGGTCCTCTAGTATATCAAAATAAGTATTACTTAACAATGCCTGTGAAGTAATTGTTAAGAAAAGCAATAACAAAATTCAACTTGTATATAATAAAATCTCTAGATCTAACTCCCTGATTGTAGAAAATGCAAGATATTATTATTGAAAATGTATAAAATGATAGAAAATACAGGATAATGAGCATGTTAAATTCATAGAGATAAAAGTTGTTAACCCCGAAATGTGAGAAATCCTTAGGGCAAAAACTCAGTTTCCTCTAAAAATAAATTGCATTTTTTTTTTTTTTTTTTTTTTTTTTGAGACGGAGTCTCGCTCTGTCGTCCAGGCTGGAGTGCAGTGGCGGGATCTCGGCTCACTGCAAGCTCCGCCTCCCGGGTTCACGCCATTCTCCTGCCTCAGCCTCCCAAGTAGCTGGGACTACAGGCGCCCGCCACTACGCCCGGCTAATTTTTTGTATTTTTAGTAGAGACGGGGTTTCACCGTTTTAGCCGGGATGGTCTCGATCTCCTGACCTCGTGATCCGCCCGCCTCGGCCTCCCAAAGTGCTGGGATTACAGGCGTGAGCCACCGCGCCCGGCCGCATTTTTTTTTAAAAAAGGAAACTTATAACTTAATAGAAATTGATAAAATAGATCAACCAAAATGCAGTGTATATACCTGTTTGAATCTTGACAAAAATACTTTTGAGATAATTAAAGTAAATTAACCATAAATTTGATACCTGATATTAAAGAATTATTGTTCTTTTTGTTTGAGATGTGTTTGTGTAAGATACGTGGTTTTGTTTTTATGTTCTTAATTGTTAGCAATATATACCGAAATTAGAGGTAGAATATGCTATCTGAGTTTTGTTTTAAAACATTCCAGAATTTTTAAACTAGTAGAAACAAAACAGAAAAATGCTGGATGTTGAAACTTGGAGGTAAGTAAATGCTAGTTTATTATATTATTTTTTACTGATTTGAGCATATTTCTTTCCACAGTAAATTTTTTTCTTTAAATGGTAGCTACTGATACTGAGATAATTATATTAGTTGTATTTAATAAATGGTAGCTACCATTATAATTGAAAGGAGGGCTGAGAAACAAAGACAGAAAATGGATTCAAACTACTACCAAATAAAAGAGCAAATACCAGTGATCTGAGTGAGGAAAATGAGGAAAATTGACCAGGTTAACACAAGTGAGTGGCTGAATAATCTATACAAATACCAGAAGTAGAGGACCAGTGATTGTGGCTAGTTGATACTCAAACTCAACTTATCTAAAATTGAGCCTATATTCAATTCCCATAAACATTTATCCTCTATTGTTTCTTATTTTAGTTAATGGCACAAGCCAAAAACCTAGCACATAGCCCTAAATCTTCTTTCCCTTCACTTCTTACTGCTCTTGAATTTATCACCTATGTATCTCTCAAATTCATTAACTTATGCCCATCTCAGAGATCATTACTCTAGTCTAAGCAATGTCATGTTTGCCTGGTTTACATCAATAATATCCTAACAGTAATCTCCACATTTAATCTAGCTCCCACCCCACATCTGTTCTCACCTCAGTAGCTTGAGTGAAAAGTTTTAAATTCATGTATCGTTACCCAAAATTTTGCTACAAAGCCTTTATGGACTATGAGCTGGTCCATACACACACCTTCATTCTTATATCACGCCTCTACCATATTGGGGGTTGCAGCCACCTTAACTGTCCTTAAATCCCTTGAATATACCAACCTACTTCCACTTTGGAGACTTTGCACATGCTATTCTCTCTGCCTGGAAAGCTCACACTCCTACTGTTCTCTCTGTCATCAAACAGACTTCTAGTGATCCCTCAAGTGTCACTTGAAATGTCACTTCTCCCATAAAATTATCCCTGACTATCCCTTCTCTTGTGAGACTAGAAAGGCCCTTCTGTCATGTTCCCTAATTTCTCTCTTTAATTTTCTCTTATAGCAACCTAAAAAGTAATTTAATCCAGAAAAAAAGTTATTTAAAGTAATGTAGTTAAAATTATTATTTAAAATCACTAAAATTAAAATAGTATTTTAAGAGGCAATATCCTTCCTGATGATAGAGATTTTTGTTGTGCTTACCATCACATTCCCATCTCTCCCCATGTCTGCAAGTAAATACTTGCAGAGTATTTACTGAACCCCTAATTCTACTTTATAGAGCATTGCAGTAATTTCATGTCAGGTCATACAATAATCTCCCAAAATAGGATAGGACCCTTTCAAATCCCACAACTGAAGATACCTAAAGAATGTACATCTAGAGTCAGGAAGAAAGCACTCTAAATGGGATTTAATATTTAGGAACCCAAGACTGGCAATAAGACTGAAGACTACAACACGTGTAGGCCAGAGGAGACAGTGGCCTATACTGGGGACAAATAAAGAGGTCTGTCCTATTTAAGAAAATCAACCCTGTAAAGGAAATTAATAGGACTAAGTACATTTTAGTAATTCCTCTAAGCAGGCTCTAAAGATTATGAAAAATAGACGGGACAGCAGACACAAAAGCCCTTAAAGAGCATGATGAAGACTTTCTAAGTTATTTCACTGGAAGCCTGATAGTGGGGCAAGTGTAAGGCAAAATTCTTAATTAAATTGAACATGATAAGTTGAATTCTGTCTTCGAGAACATAGAAAAGAATTATGAAATGCCACATGTGGTTACAAGTAATGCAGACCCAAGGCTCCCCAGGGACAAGAAGTCTTGTGTTAATCTCTTTGTGGCTCTGAAAGAAAGAGAGAGAGAAAAGATTAAGCCTCCTTGTGGAGATCATGTGATGACTTCCTGATTCCAGCCAGAGGCAGCATTTCCATGGAAACTTCTCTTCCTCTTCACCCACACACTGCTCCATGTACCTGCAAAGCCTGTTCTGTCTCAAAAAAGTTGTTTGGATGAGCCGTGACTTTTTTTTTTCTTAAATAATGAGACAAACTCCAGAAAAAGAGAAAAAAGCAGAGCAGTCTGACATTCCGGCATCATCGAAATAGTGATGGCTTTTCCTAGAATGCTTCAGCTAAGGACCCAAATACTAATGATCTCCTCAAAGCTTTCACTTTCTTTTACTTTTTCATTAATTTCAGTGGACCCCCAAACTTTAAGTATGGAAGAGGACAAAGAAGGAAGCTTCAGAGGGGCAACTTTGATTTGACTACTCTTTTTGTCACTCTTCAGCTCACAAAAGAGCTCACTTTAGTTCAAAACACAAAGTCTTTAAGCCCCTCCATAGATTGGTCCCAGGTTTAATTTTCTATGATGTGTGGAGGCCTCAGTTTAATGCTCCAACTTGATAGATGAAACACAGTTCCCACCTCTACACATTTCCCCTGTCTCAGGAGTTGTATATATTCTCAGTTGTCTGTCCAACTTATGCCCACTCTTTGAGATATTAATCAAGGCACTCCCTTGATAACACTTGCATATTATTATCAAAATTATGCAATTCTTTCTAATATCAGCCCACAAATACATCTCTTCCATTAAAAGTTTGACTTAATTATCTATACTACTCATTTGAAAACTAACATAGTTAAGTTGTATTTTTAGCCATGAATTTCAGTTTCCCTAGCTCACTATACACAGAGAAGGAACTTTTGAAATAATTGAGATGATCAAAAATATTTGCTGAAGAAATATATTTCTCCTTTTTCATTCACTCACTAATTGAGAATGTCTTTGCACAAAACACATTGCAAAAACATTTTCAAAAAAATTCCTAATTTCTAGAATTGATAGGAAAAACAATATGGCTACAGCATTGGAGAGAGAGAGAAAGGAGAGAGGAGAAAGGAGAGAGAGAGAAAGGAGAGAGGAGAGAGACAGAGGAGAGAGAGAGAGGATAGAGGGGAGAGAGAGAGAGGAGAGAGACAGAGGAGAGAGAGAGAGGATAGAGGGGAGAGAGAGGGAGAGGGAGAGAGAGGGAGAGAGAGGGAGAGAGAGAGAGAGAGAGGGAGAGAGAGAGAGAAAGAGAGAGAGAGGGAGAGAGAGAGAGAGAGCTCTTTAACGTGAGATATCCCCACAATGAAGCAAATCGCCCAGTTATCAAAGTGAGCTATCCTTAGGAGTTGTCAGAAAATGCATCAGGATTATCAGAGAAAAGTATCAGAAAGATTTTTTTTTCTGATACGTTGTATAAAATAAACAAACTGAAATTCAATAACATATAAGGAATTCTGTCTGGGCTCTGAAGACAATCTCTCTCTGCATATTGAGTTCTTCAAACATTGTAGCCTCTTTATGGTCTCTGAGAAATAACTACCTTAAACCCATAATCTTTAATACTTCCTAAACTTTCTTAATAAGAGAAGCTCTATTCCTGACACTACCTCTCATTTGCAAGGTCAAATCATCATTAGTTTTGTAGTCTATTAACTGGGTTTGCTTAGGTCAGGCATTATTATTACTAACCTTATTGTTAATATTCTAACCATAAGAATTAAACTATTAATGGTGAATAGAGTTTTTCACTTTAACATAGGCCTATCCCACTGGTGGGATACGAGCCAATTCGAAAGAAAAGTCAGTCATGTGCTTTTCAGAGGATGAAAGCTTAAGATAAAGACTAAAAGTGTTTGATGCTGGAGGTGGGAGTGGTATTATATAGGTCTCAGCCAAGACATGTGATAATCACTGTAGTAGTAGCTGGAAAGAGAAATCTGTGACTCCAATTAGCCAGTTCCTGCAGACCTTGTGAGGACTAGAGGAAGAATGCTCCTGGCTGTTTTGTACTGCCTGCTGTGGAGTTTCCAGACCTCCGCTGGCCATTTCCCTAGAGCCTGTGTCTCCTCTAAGAACCTGATGGAGAAGGAATGCTGTCCACCGTGGAGCGGGGACAGGAGTCCCTGTGGCCAGCTTTCAGGCAGAGGTTCCTGTCAGAATATCCTTCTGTCCAATGCACCACTTGGGCCTCAATTTCCCTTCACAGGGGTGGATGACCGGGAGTCGTGGCCTTCCGTCTTTTATAATAGGACCTGCCAGTGCTCTGGCAACTTCATGGGATTCAACTGTGGAAACTGCAAGTTTGGCTTTTGGGGACCAAACTGCACAGAGAGACGACTCTTGGTGAGAAGAAACATCTTCGATTTGAGTGCCCCAGAGAAGGACAAATTTTTTGCCTACCTCACTTTAGCAAAGCATACCATCAGCTCAGACTATGTCATCCCCATAGGGACCTATGGCCAAATGAAAAATGGATCAACACCCATGTTTAACGACATCAATATTTATGACCTCTTTGTCTGGATGCATTATTATGTGTCAATGGATGCACTGCTTGGGGGATCTGAAATCTGGAGAGACATTGATTTTGCCCATGAAGCACCAGCTTTTCTGCCTTGGCATAGACTCTTCTTGTTGCGGTGGGAACAAGAAATCCAGAAGCTGACAGGAGATGAAAACTTCACTATTCCATATTGGGACTGGCGGGATGCAGAAAAGTGTGACATTTGCACAGATGAGTACATGGGAGGTCAGCACCCCACAAATCCTAACTTACTCAGCCCAGCATCATTCTTCTCCTCTTGGCAGGTAAGATATGCTAGATATACGATGTCAGAGTAGGGAGGAACCTTAACAATCACTTCTTCAGGCAGGGTATAAACTTCTCACCTGAACACTCATTGCAGCCCCCATCAAGGACAGAAATGGTGCCCTGTTAAGAACTCTCAATGTATCTTGTATTTTTCCTTTATAGCACACTTTAGATATTTGTGTAATTATTTGTTTAATGACTTCTACTAGGTTTCTAAACTGCAATGAACAGAGTACTTGATTCATTATTGCATTTCCCAGAACATAGTATGGTGCCTTTAAAAATGGCAATAGTGCATTATGTATTTTGTGAATTGAATAAATGAGTGAATGAATGAATATCTGGATGATTAAAAAAACAAATGATATACACTAATGTCTCTGAAAAATAAAATTATTATTCACAACAGGATTCATATGGTGTACAAATTAAAAATGCAAATTCCTGGCCTTATCCCAGACTAATTGGTCAGAATCTTCAGGAGAGAGTCCCGAGAAGGCACAATTTACTAAATGTCTATGGTGATTCTTTTAATCAGGAATGTTTGGGAAATAATTATTGGATTAGATCTTCATTTTTGAAAGTATGAAGATCCTGAGGCTTAAACAGGTAAATAATGAAGATGGCTAATATTCATTGAACATCTAGCATGTGCAAACCCCGTGGCAAGTGTTTTTGTGCATTCGTTCATTTCATGCTCTTATCAGTCTTTCCCTATTTTAGAGGTTATAAAGGTATCAGGTAACTTGTATAAGATCATACAGCTAATAAGCAGCAAAAAAAAAATCACATTTATTCTCTAATAGTCCAGCTGTATGACCACTGTATCCTATTTCCAAGGATGTGACTGCTGTGATATCTTTAGCTAAAGGATCTGGTTCATTCTGTCTCACTTTTTCTTTAGGCTGCATTAGAAGTTAGCTTTCTTTCTCAGTCCTTGAAAACTTTAGATAAAATATGAAGCATTACTATTTGGAATTGAATTCCTATTTCATCTATTCTGAATTTTTCATTCTGAATTAGGGGCAAATGGTAACCAAAGAAATATGTGCTTAATTATTTATCATTTTAAAACCATATGTTAAAGGAATGCTTTTCTGCCTGTCTTCCAAAAATTTCTAATACAGCACTTTTGACTAGCAATGCTCTATGAAATTAAGCCCAATATGTGAATGGGATGGGAAGAATCTTGCACTCAATTTCCCACAATCTGCAGTTTTGAAATGTAGATGGCCTTCTCCGCCCAACCAAGTTTGTACCCCATCCCAATGGAGTCTACTGAAGTTCATTTAAAAAATAGCCACTGTATAATTTCTGGTGTTATTAGTCAGCTATTTACCAAATGTAATGGGTTTTGTGCAGGAAAGGCTAGAAAAAATGTGCTTGGAAAAAAATCTATTTCAATAAGCTTTCAGACCTCCTACCTTAATCTATAATGTGCAAACTCTCATCTAGCTCTTATATCCTCTGTTCCTGTTTAAAAAACTGCCAGGATTGGACATGGGATTTTCAGTCAGTTATGATGCTTTATTTAACTATGTGGCTTAACTTGACCCAGAAAGGTTGGAGGACTGTCTAAATTACCAAAATAAGCTGCAACATCCACAGGAAATCTTAATAGATAGATACACATTAATTTTTAATTACATGAGATGTGTAATACCAGATGCTATCCACAACTGTATGAGTATTATTTTCCTAATTACTTATTAATTGTCAAGCAGAACTTTTTCCTTTTTCTCTCTTCATGAATGTGTTCAATTTTAATACTCTCTAGAAAAAAAAAAAAGTGTGTCAAGTCAGTAAGCCCTGAACTGAAATTGATACAATTATCAACTTCAACCTTGTTCTATGATTAAATTGCTGTGTAGAAACAGGTTTCAAAAATAAAATTAGAAAACAGAGTGGAAGGAAGATGACTGAAGAGAAACAAGCAAACCACAGTTTAAGAAAGGTGAAATGAGCATTTGCTGCTCACCTACTATGTTTTAGTAGTGTCAAGGGCTTATTAGTGGCAAAGGTGACAGTCAAACCCCACTCACATTGGCTGTTTCCATTCCTTCACACAGCCTCTCTGGTTACAAAGTCCTTAAAATAGTTAAGATCGATTGCTTACATTGCTTTAATTCAGAGTTCTCAATGTCAAAATCACCTAGGAAGCTTCCAAAAAACCATTTAAAAAGTAAAAATAAAAAACTGTTGCAAGGTTTTTATGCACCTAATTTCTTGCCAGAAATTCAGATTCAGGTGGTCTCCTGTGAGGTTGTAAAGTTCAAGAGTCTTTTTTTTTGGCAGTGGTGCAATCTCCATACGCTGCAACTTCCGCCTCCCAGGTTCAAGTGATTCTTCTGCCTCAGTCTCCCTAGTAGCTGGGACTACAGGGGCCTGCCACCACTCCCAGCTAATTTTTTGTACTTTTAGTAGAGATGGGGTTTCACCCTGTTGGCCAGGCTGCTCTTGAACTCTTGACCTCAAGTGATCTGTCCGCCTCAGACTCCCAAAGTGCTGGGATTGCAGGCCTGAGCCATCAAGCTGGGCCTTCAAGTGTTTGCATTTTTAAACCCTCATTTTGTGATTCTAATGTGCAGCCAGCACTGAGAATCATTGAGTTAATGGAGATTGTTTTGGTATCTTTTTACTTTCACTTTACAAAAACGCATGTTCTGTAATAAACACACCATTAATTTGAATGCCTTTGTCCAAATTGAATGCTTAAATTAAGAACTAGACTATTTGTGTGAGATGAGATCAAATAGTTTCTAGATTGAGTTAAGACCTTCCAAATTAGCTAGGCTGATGCACCTTTCACATAAAGCCTTCTTTTTTTATTGGTTTCAGATATCATTTTACTTGACCCCAAAATTGAGATTTGAGAGATTTGATAGCATTTATTAACTCTGAGCTGAGAGATCTTCAATTTTATTTAGGGTAACCTGTGCATTTTATTAAAAAACTATAGAAAAGCCTAAAATGGTAGGATGATTGTCCAAAGTCACACATCTGAGGACTAAAACCAAGCGGCTCTGACTGCAGTGCTTTTTAAGTCAACAATGTTATTTCTTGTTTATAAGGATCCATTTAGGTTCAGAAGGGGTCAAGTAACCCGCTAATTTCTGGGTGTATAATTTGACATTTGATCACGTTGACTCCCTTAAAATTGTCCTGCCCCAGACAACATAGGCAGACACAGTGATGTAGTCCTTTTAATTTATATCATAATGAAAATATTCTGAGACTTTTACTGATCCACCTCTGTTACTCAGGTAGAGTTGACCCTCTCCCCGTCTTTGTGCTATCATTGTACTTTATACAGATTTGTATCATAGCACTTGTAACTTTTCATTACATGTAGTGGTTTTCCAGCCTGTCTGTATCTGCCAGCCTGTCAGTCGCTCCAAGGTGGTGATCATTTCTAAATATTTTTGTATCCACAGAGCACAGGACTATAATATACACATGGAACAGGCTTTATAAATACATGCTGAATTTAACATCAAAGAAACGTTAGCTCCAATGCTAACATACATAAAATATTAAACTCTGCATGGGTAGATTTCTAGGACCATTCACTGCAGTTTTTTTATAGCACTGGATTCCCAATGCCAAGGATACAACAATGTCAACAATAGCCACTTACTCAAATTTGGGTATAATATATCTTGTGTCGTTCTCTCTGGTAGTTCCATATGTATGTCTGCGTGTGTGCATGCAAAGAAAGACAATACAAGAGAGAAGATGAAGCAAGGTGCAACATAGCTGAGTGTGATTTAAATGAAGTTAATATTTATTGGTCAGAGTTTTCTGTTAAATATGTTAAAATCAGGTAATTAATTTATTTGGAAATATTGTGTTCCTAATTCATGTCTGTTGTTTGCTCATTTATTTAACTCCCAAAGCTTTAAATTAGGGGCCATGTTTATCATCAATTAAAATAGTTCATTATATTTGGAGGTGGAGGGTTGCTTAATAACATTTAAGTACAAACTACCCATGCTCAATATAATTAGATCTAATGTTATGCAACCAACAGATCAGCTAGCTACAAAAATAAAAGGGGTATCAGGAATAGGTGTCATCATGAACAGAAACAAAGAGGAAAAAACATTTCCTAGCTGATACACATGAGTGAATTGTGACCAGGGAATTCACTCATCAGGTGAAAAGCACATCACATGGAAGCAAAGAGAAGAAAAAAAGTCACATTTCAGCAGAGAGTCATGGGTTTTAGGTAACCATGACGACAGCTCAGTGAAATAACAGCTTCTCTTTTTTCTTTATGAAAAAGATTTTGTGGAATGTCATACGGTTTACATTTTTTCCCCCAGATAAACCTCTAATGCTATAACAAAATCTTTGCTCCCAAAAGCTTTTAATATCTGGCAGTTTATTGCTATTTCTTTAAATTTAAGAGAACAGTATTTAGGTTCACCTTCCTCATTAATATATCTATTTCTTCTATCTCCCCTTTTTTCTTTGACTTGGAACACTTGATCGTCCCCCCAGCATATGTTATAAATCACTTGCGTTGAAATAGAAAAAAAACAGAGTCATCATCAGAACATCCAGGCTCAAATTCTACCCCTGCCATTTAGTAGACGACATTGGACCAGTTATTTAAAATCTTTGACCTTTGTTTTTTCCAAAGAGAAAAAAAATGAGGTAGAATTACCATCTATACATGTTTTGTGTGTGTGCTAATAGGAGGATTAAATGGAATGGGAAACAGAATAATGTAGTGGAAAGAGTATAGTCTTTTCAGTCACATCAGCATGAATTTGAGTGAACTTTCATACTTACTTAGCTACAAGACCCTAAGTTACTTAATTATTCTGAGACGATTTTTGTCCCTAAAATTAGAATAATATAGGTTAAAGCATTACTGTGAAGGGATTCAATAAGATGTGTTTATATGGCTTGTTTAGGATCTGACCTATTGTTTGAGTTTCATGTGTGGAAATAATATATTTTTAAATGATACATCAAAGTTAGATATAATAATGAATATTCAAACAGTGTTATACACCCAAAGTTAAAAACAATTTGGTGACCTGCCCAATGGTCTTGTTTTCAAAAATAATTATGATAGTTGTCATTATTAAACACTTTACACTTGGCACTATGCTAAGTGCTTTATACATGTTAGATTATTTGATCATTGATAGAAACGTATAATTCCCATTTACAGATGAAAAAACTTAATACCCAGAGAGCTTAAGTAACTTGCCCAAGGCCATGTAACTAATAGGGTCAGTATTGGAAACCAGGTCTTTCTGACTAGAATCTTCATGATCATAAGCACAATGCTAATATAATTTCTCCTAGCCTGCCTCCTCTCCTGTATGCAGTGTAAAGACTAAGGTTTGGAGTTTTTCAAATTATTTCTGGAACCAGGGTAGATTTTCTCCTCGTTAGTAATACCTCCAGTCATCCGAACACTTAGTCACTTGGCAGTTGGCATTTCAGCAAAAATAGTTTCATTCAAGCCTCTCTAATTTAACTGAGTTGGCTGTAGGAGTCTTTAAGGCAGCAGGATCTTTTGAAAATATCCTGAGATTACTCAAAGAGGAATAAAAATGATTTAGTCTACATACTTGTAGCGTCCAGTTAACCCAAATTATAAAAGCATCCAACATATTACATTCAATGTAAAAGTTAGGTTAGTTTTATTCAACCATTCCTAAGCCATTAACACGTCATAATTAATGTAGTGGGTATTGCTTCAGAATAAGGAAACTTGTGTTTCAGTGCTTTGGTTTTGACTCTAAATATCATATGGCCCTAAGACAAGTCACTCAACAGTTCTAGTTCTCAATTATATATGGATAAAAGGATTTAGGAACGTTATGAGGTATAAGGCAAACTAGAAACTGGCATTTGTTGAAACAGAAATTATTTGTTGAATAGTTTCTTTTCGTATATTATGTCATAGTACAGTTTAAAAAAATTGAGATTTAGCAAGTCTAAAAAACATGTTCATTGCCAGTAAGAAAATTAGCCAGAATTGAAGTTGCATCTACCTGTATTACGGAGCCCAATTTTTTCTCTACCACACAATGCATAAATTCTTAAGTTATGTCTTAGTGACCAAAAATTAAGAGTAGGTTCTCTAAGCATTTCTTATCTAACACAGTAGCAGCCATCTATGGTGGGGGGACTGCCCATTCAATTCTATTTGAGATGACTACATTTGTTTATACATGCTTATAGATAGCAAATTCAGTGGGATAGGAGGACCAATAAAATAGTCTTGATTATTTTCAAATGTGATGCAAACAGTTGACCGGGAAGACATTTTACCTTCAAATTATTATTCTATACGTCTCGCCTACTGTTCACAAAATTATAAATCATAACATGGGTCTTTATATCCCGTTAGCCTTTTGTAGTCTTCCACAGTCTGGCTTAGTATCCTCATCATGAAAATAGAGATAAAATCATAAAAATCCACAGGGTAGTTGTGAGAATTTCTAATTTTAATGTATATGGAGATATCTCCCTTATGGCCTAGGACAGAGTAGTGACTCAATATAGGTTTAAAAAAATAAGTTCTAGAAATATATTCTATGGTAAAGGTGGTACCAACAACATGACCAAGAAAAATGAGCACTCAACACATACTTTTTGTAGGAGATTCTTTGGCTCATCCACTGACTCTGTTCATTCATCCAACAAATTCTTACTGCACATCAACAGGGTGCTAGAAACTGTACTAGATTCTGAGAGAAAAGAAATAAACAACAATGTGAAAATAAATGTGTCTTCATGAAGGATGCGTTTTTATAAGGGACGTAACAATCATTGTTTATTAGAGACGAAAATGAGTAAGTGTAAGTTGGGTAAAGAACAATGTTATCTCCCTAGTGGCCCCAAGCCTCCCACGGAAGCATGCACCTGTTGTGAACAGTCAATGACGGCAGGGTGGACTCTCCTGAATTTCATCTTTTGCTTCGAATGTATCTCTCACTACCTAATTACTCTATTTTATTAAATCTAAGGTATCAATGAATTTAAGTGATGCATTCATTTATGTACCACTAAGAAAAATAAAAAAATATATTTATCTTAAAAGCCCTTTTTGGCTTACGTAGTCACATATTTTTATCATAGTTTATTCTTCTGCCTCCATATAAATGAAACTACAAGAAAAATAATTTGGTGAAGGATTCCTGAAATGTTTTTACATTCAGAGTCAGCCCCTTTTGAGTTACTTTTAAAGTCAGAGTCAACAATGCCTGTTTTTACTAATTATTTGCTTTGGCCTTAAAGAATGGGTAGGATATTAGATGCATGGCAAAGAGTGGGCATGCTTAGCCACAATCAGAGTCATGGAATGGAGAAGCACAAGCAGTGTCCAGAGAAAGTAGGCCATCTGACTTTAGCAGCAGGATCACACAGGATGTGAGCACATGGAGAATGGTTGCCTGACTCGAGATATTTTTTGGAGGTAGAATTGCCAATATAAAAGCAGTGCCATCGCACAATGCTCCATGCTCAGAAGCAGACCCTACATTTGAGGTTTAATGATCTGTGGTCTTGGTGTTGAAATTCTTATTAATCTTATCTTTGGGTTTGTGCTTTATAAGTGAAGTTATAGGGACAATGGAGCATATGCTTGGTTCATATGCATCCTGCAGACCTTTTGTTCTTTGTTTTCCTGGGATGGGTCTTGGCTACCACTACCCATCCACCAGCCCTACCTAGTTTCCACCTCCTCACCCTCTGCCCAAGGCCACTGGTGGGAGGAAAGAGGTCAACATTTCACTGTCACTCTCCATCCCTGGTGGGGTCCTTGGTGCAAGCAAAAAGAGGTGTGAGGTTGGGTGTTGATCCCATGATTTGTTGGTTCAGAGTAAAACAGAGGCCTTCTCTACCGAGGCTGGCTGCACCTTAGCACGGTGCACAGGTGATTACATATAGACCTCTCAGCCAGTATTATGGACTGAATTGTGTCTCCCAAAAATGTGTGTGTTGAATCCCTAATTTCCAGTGTGACTATTTGGAGGTAGGTCTTTAAGGAAGTAATTGAGGTTAAGTGAGGTCATTAACAGTGGGGTCCTAATCCAACAGTACTGATGTCCTCATAAGAAGACAAAAAAGACAGAGCCATCTCTTTCTTTGTGTATGCGTAGAGAAACGGCAATGTGAAGACAGAGAAAAGGTTTCCTCTGCAAGACATAAGAGAGGCCTCAGCAGATACCTTGATCTTGGACTTCCAAACTCATGAACTTTGAGAAAATAAATGTCTGCTGTTTAAGCCACCCAGTCTGTAGTATTTTCTTATGGCAGCCTGAACTAATCTACCCACCTACTCAAACAAGTCTTAGCATGGAGGTTTCAATCCCTAGGGAGTCACCTATTCACTATAGACTGAGACTGTGGGATACCTATTCCCTGTAGATTGAGAAAGTGAATATTGATTTCCCTACCCCCAGCCAAGGCCTCAACATTTATCTGGTGCTGCAAATTGCATAGCCAGTCCTGCCTAGAGCACCACAATATTTACAGGTAAGACAGACGAGGAAGAGCTAGTAGGACACACCAAGTAGTAACAGCAAGAGAGAAAGGCAAAAATCAAAGGGGATGTGATTATAGAAATCAGTACATAGAGGAATGTGTTTTGTGAAAATGAAAGTGGTCAACTGTGCCTAATGCTATCTTAACATGGGGACTTGCAGGGATAATTGGATTTTATAATATGGAGTCTTTGAAGGTTCATAACAAACTCATTGGCCAAGAGATGACAGGGGAAGATGACTAGAGTGCCTTTATGTGGGAATGGGTAGCCAGGAAATGGAATTTTCATTTAAGATACTTGCTAAGATTTAAGCTTTAAATCATGTAGTCTATATTCAAATATTAACTCCCCCCGTTTTATAAACTATAAATGTTTGATGAAGCCACTTAACCTCTATAAGCCTGTTTTCTCATTGATGAGATGGAAATATCAAAAGAACTCCTCTCATAGAATAATTGATTTACTGTTATTGAATTTCAAACCAAAGTTTTCAAATGTCTTTGTGTCAGGCACCATACCATTACACAATAATACATAGTGAATAGGATACAGTTTATATTTTGATAGAGTTTATCACCTAACAGGTATGTTTATAAAGATTAAATATATACACCATATTGCCTTATTCATTGATTTAAAAATTCATTTACAAAAATATTAGCACTTTAAGTATTGAGTATTTTATGTAACTTATCTTCTAGTGGAGTAGGTCTAGTAAGTGTGTGTGGTGAGACAGTAAAACATTATATATAATATTTTATTTAAAAAAGTTAAAGGAGTTAAAAAATATAATAAGTTATATATATTGTTTTACTGTCTCACCCACTCACACTTCCTAGACCTACTCCACTAGAAGGTAAGTTACATAAAGTACTCAATACTTAAAATGCTAATACTTATTAAAAATGTTTAAGTCAATGAATAAGGCAATATGGTATAGACATTAAATCTTCATGACCATACTTATTAGACTGTAAACTCTATAAAAATAAAAACTATGTTTATCGTGTTCAGTATGTATTCTTGTATTCTGGTATAATGCCTGACACATAGACATTTTAAAACTTCGGTTTGAAAAGCAGCAACAATAAATCAATCATTCTATGAGAGTTCTTTTGATTACATAGTTTGTTAGAAGGTGCTAAGTGCACAGATAAAGCAGAAATTAGTGGTGTACAGTAAATGTTTAATAACTTGTTCTCAATGGAGGAGTGGGAAAGTAGGGAGAGATGATTCTGATTTGCCAATTGTTGTGGTGTAAATACTGACAATGGTAGATTTCCATCTAATGATGGGATACTGCTGAACATTCTAATATTGAGAAGGGTTACACACTTTGAACTTTTGCTAGCTAGTGCTAACCAGCTCTACAACACTGCTAAAGTGGGTAAGGCTGAATATGATGTTAAATAGATGTTTAGTGTAGATTTCATTAAGATAATGAAGATATGAATAACCCAAGCAGGTATCAAGGGAAAACAGTCTACCCAGAAAAAATAACCAGTACAGGAACATGTTGCATAAGAGTGATTGGTGAGTTTTGGGAAGGGCAAAGAGGCCAGTGAAGTTATAGAAGAGAGGGAAAGGGAAAGATCAGTAGGAAATAATGTTTGCATCAGTCAGGATCTCAGTAGGAAATAGATACCCAAACCAAGTTATATTAAGACAGTTTATTTAGAAAAATTTGATCAAGGTTTAGGGAAACCAACAAAGAACAACATCCTGTTGTCAGCCACAACTGAGATACAGGACTAGAACTCTCTATTTTATTTTAACCTAGAACCTACTTTTAAAAATTTTTTAATGTTGAGTTCTGCTAGACTAGTTATAAAAGCACAAAATACACTAAAGATGAAGTTGGAAAACTTGGGTTGCCATCACAACACTGCCATTTATTTGCCATATAACCTGAGAAATGCCACTTACCCTCTCTGAGTCTCATTTTCCTTATTTGTGAAGCGAAATGTATTGTTTTGTGATGTAAATGAAACAATGCATGTGCCGTGTTTTCTTAAAAAGTTTTGCTTATAGAAAGGTGAGAAATTCTTATTTTTAAGACGGTATTTCTACAATGAAAATCACCTTGGTTCTAGCTAAAGGATCAGAGAAATTTCTTTTCTTAAAAAACAATCAACCACGAGTATTGTACTGCACATCAAAAAAAAAAGGGACAATAATAGGATATTTTATGAACAAAAAGCACAAAATGAAACTATTTCTAGTCCTTGACATTCTGAATATAATATAGATTAATGTTTTTAAAGCTACTGTTTATTGAGTGTTTTCTGTTGGTCATGCCATGTGCTATGGGCTTTATATACAGTAAGATGCCTATCTCTATTGTTACCAACCCCAGCCTCAGCACTTGGCACAGTGCTTAATATATAATAGGTGTTTAATAAATATTTTATTTTCTATAACTATGTGAGGTAGTTGTTATTATCTTCATTTGATAGATGAGGCCTAGACAGTTAAATCATTTTCTTAAGTGGTAGATGCAACACTAGAATCCTGTTCCAGGTTTTAACTTTTATGGCTCATTCTGTAACCTTCAAAAAGCTAATTCTAAAATACAGTAGTATGCCACACAATGGCATTTCTGTCAAGGATGGACCACATATATGACAGAGGTCCCACACTACTATAATGGAGCTGAAAAATTCCTGTCACCCAGTGACATCATAGCAGTCATAATATTATACACAATGCATTACTCATGTCTTCGTGGTGATGCTGGTGTAAACCTACTGAAATCCCACTTGTATAAAAGTCTAGCACATAGCATTATGTACACTACATAATACTTGATAATGATAATAAACAACTATGTTACTGGTTTATGTATTTACTATCTATATTTTATCATTATTTTCGAATGTACTTCTTCCACTTATAAAAAAGTAAGTTAACTGTAAAACAGCCTCAGGCAGGCTCTCCAGGAGGTGTTCCACAAAACGCCTGGATGTTTTATAGAGATTGTTATAGAGATGATAGCTCCATGTGTACTATTGCCCCTGAAGATTTTCCAGTGGGACAAGATGTGGAGGTGGAAGACAATGATATTGACAACTTTGACTCTGTGTAGGCCTATGCTAGTGTGTATGCTTGTGTCTCAGTTTTTAACGAAATTTCAATTATGTTTATAATAAGTAAAAAATTAAATAGCATAAAGCTTATAGGCTAAGGATATAATAAATATTTCCTACAGTTGTACAATATGTGTTTTAAGCTAAGTGCTATTATCAAAAGACTCAAAAAGTTTTAAAAAATTAAGTAAAAAAGTTACAGGAAGCTAAGGTGAATTTATCATTAAAAAAGAAAAATATTTTTATAAATTTAATGTAGCCGATATATATATAGTGTTTATAAAATCTACTGTAGTGTAGAGTAGTATCTTAGGCCTTTATATTCACTCCTTATTCCCTCACTTACTTACCCAATGCAACTTCTAGTCCTGCAAGGTCCATTTATGGTAAGTGTCCTGTATATACAAGTATGCCATTTAAAAAAAAATTTTATACTGTATTTTTACTGTACCTTTTACATGTTTAGATAGGTTTAGATGTATAGATACTTGCCATTATCTTACAATTGCCTATAGTATTCAGTACAGTAATGTGCTGGACAGATTTGTAGCCTAGGAGCAGTAGGTTTTACCAAACAGCCAAGATGTTTAGTAGGCTATACCATTCTAGGTTTGTGCAAGTACACTGACTATGATGTTCACGCAATGACAAAATCACCTAATGATGGATTTCTCAGAACATATCCCTGTCATTAAAGACACATGATTGTAGTAATCTCCTCAGGAGAAGTCTAACAACGATAATTAGGAGTTCCAACATTTCTGCCTTCTCCTACTGACTCAGTGGTGGTGACAATTTGTTTAACATGAGGGTGTTTTGTACAGATTGTCTGTAGCCGATTGGAGGAGTACAACAGCCATCAGTCTTTATGCAATGGAACGCCCGAGGGACCTTTACGGCGTAATCCTGGAAACCATGACAAATCCAGAACCCCAAGGCTCCCCTCTTCAGCTGATGTAGAATTTTGCCTGAGTTTGACCCAATATGAATCTGGTTCCATGGATAAAGCTGCCAATTTCAGCTTTAGAAATACACTGGAAGGTAATCTCTTTCTTTTCACTTTTAATTTTTTTTCTGAATTCATATTTACAGTCTCTTATCCAAAGTCCTAGGAGGTATTTGAGAATTCAGAATTTTCTGAGTTGACCAAGAATATGTGTTGTATATACTTATATCGACAATGACCCTAGCTGACACTGGTCAGCACGTTATAATTCAACGTGTTAGCTTCAGGAGCCAGGCATGGTGGCTCATGCCTGTAATCCCAGTTTACTTGGGAGGCTGTGACAGGTGGATCACTTGAACTCAGAAGTTTCAGGCTGCAGTGAGCTATGATTGTGTCACTGCATTCCAGCCTCGGTAACAAAGTGAGAGACTCTGAGGAAAGAAGCAGCAGCAGAAGCAGAAGAAGCAGCAGTAGCAGCTTTAGTGAAATATATGAATATATTCATCATGGTAATAAATACAGGCAATAGGCAACCTAATGGTGAGTAAAGTCAGTTTTTTCCATTAAAAGAGAAAAATTAATTTCATTTCCAGAACATTTTGTATTGTGGAATTTCAGATATAAGTCTGTGGACTGATACTATTTTCCTACGTTTTAGTGTTTTAGTTTTCTCCTGTTTAAAATATTCTAGGCAGTGGGTTCTTTGAGGTAAGTTCATTCATTTAACTGTAATAAGGACACAGCACATAGGTAAAGCCTCCCTCTCATTATCCCTTAAGTTTTCTGTTCTTCATCAGAGATTACATCTCATGATCTTCTCTAACTCCTAAATATTTATCCTACAAATGTTTTCATCTTGCTTGCATTTTGCATTCAAACATCGATTCATTCTTTTCTGCTTATAGCTGACTCAGTCATGAAACCCATTTCACTCACATAAATTTGCATTAGGAAAACAAAATCACAAACAAACACAACAAAACAAAAACAAACAAAAAAAAACTCAATCAAGTCACAAATTTACCAGGAGTTTGGGGAAGACATAGGCACTGACTTGTGGCAAGGCAGACAACTCAAAATTTAACACTAGACATCGCAGCTCCTAAAAGGCCTGTGACACCTTAACATGTAGAAAAACTTTCCTCTCTTTTGTAATCCTTTCTCCTTGACTTGTTCTTTTTTTTTCCTTTTTGTCATTGTTTTACACCCCAACTTTTATTATTGTACTGTGCAGAGTGGTTTTACTGTTTCATTCATTTCCCTGTTTTATTCAAAACCATAATCTCAGGGTCTTACATCCAGAATCAATTGAAGCAAGGCAAGTCTCATCCTAAAGATGAATTCTGTTTTCCAGCTATGAAAATAGAAATTAGGTTTATTCTTCTATGGTAATATTCATGATTAACTTTTTAAAGTAATCACCGTATCCAAAACACCATGTCAAACACTTTGTATGGCATTAATTCACTCAATTCTAATAACTATCCCCTGAGGAAGATTGTATTTATTATTCCCACTTTTAAGGGAGGAAACATTATCAGAGATATTCATCTTTTGGTTATTGATTCCCATTGAAAAGTGGTGGAGATAATCTGCCCCCAGCTTTATCAAGTACCAAAGTCCAAGTTCTTTCCATTGCACTCTGATAATCAACAGTGGGTTGAGAGTTTCTTTAAAGTGGACAATACCAGTTTGGTCTTTTGACATAAGAAGGCAAGACATAATGCCAGGTAATCTCAGAGCCTATATAACAAATCTAAGGTACACAATTTCAAAGTCACCATCTGGGAGGATTGGGTGACCCACTGGACTCTTCAGGGATTAACAACAGTACTCAGAATGCTGATATTAATGACATTGCAAAGCGAAGCTACATCTTTAAGGAAACTGGAGCATTTTGCTGTTTTTTCAGCCATAAGTGACAAAGCATATATTTTATTATTAAGAAGCATGGGTTAGTTGCAGAAATAAGGCAGGGGAACATCACTCGTCTAGGGTCTCAAGTCAAAGAAAAAAAGTGGCTCAAGATGTGTCAACTCAGCCAGTGGTTTTCAAGTGAGAGTCTAATACACACAGGTGAGGAGGGAACAGCAGATTTACTACAAATAATTTGCTACTACAAATAATTTATGTTTGTAAATTATTTTTTCCCATAATTTATTCTCATTCTTACACACTTTAGTAGGCAAAGTGTGTGAGAAGCAAACAGATGCAACATAGCATATTGTCTGGCACACAGTCGTTCGGTAAGTATCTGATAACCGAGTATGTAAATAATAGCTAGAATCTTTCAAATTGCATCTAAACCACCACTTACCTTATCCATGCCTGTTGTATGAAGTCCATGTCATGAGAGAAAATGTGAGAAACCATTAAGCTCAGCTGCTAAGAAGAACTTTTCTTTACCAGGTACACATTTTAAAATTATTTTTTCTTAAATTTGTATTCAGCAATAATTTTAAGCTTACAGAGATGTTGTGAAAATAAAAGCAATACAAAAAACATGAATATATATTTTACCCAAACTTACTTACATTGTATCCTGTTTCTCTCTCTCTCTCTCCCAGTCTGAGCCATTTTAAGGGTAAATTGCATAGACTGTAACTCTTTACCCCTGAATATTTTAGTGTGTATTTCCTAAGAATAGGAATAGACTCATATAGCCACAGAACAGTTTTCAACTTCAGTAAACTCTATATTGATATAATGCTTTTATCAAATCTACTGTATATCAGTTTTTAAAATTAGATATAATAATATCCTCAGTATTTTTCCTCTCCAAAATAGAATCTAGTCTAGGATCAAATAGCATTTAGTTTTCATGGTTCTTTAGTCTGAAATATTTCCATAACCTTGTACATATGTGTCTTTATGTGCTTGACAGCTCTGGAGGATATAGTTCCTCCTCTTCCTCCTCATTTTTTTAATAGAACATTCTTCATTTTGAGTGTATCTAATATTTCTTCATGACTAGATCCAGGTAATGCACTATTAGCCAAAATTCCACATAGGTGATTATGCATCTTTCTGAGATGGTGTCACATCTGGAGGCACATCATGACCATCTGTCTCACGTTGGTGATGTTAATCACCTACTCCAGATGTGGTCCAATTTTCCCACTGTATAATTATTTCTTCCCCTTGTTTAATAAACTGTCTACATGGAGACATTTTAAGACTATGCAAATACCTCACCTCTTATCACAATTTCTTCTACAGTTGGCATCGTCGATGGTTACAAATTTATGATTTTTCAACTTCAGCACTGCTTTTAAATTTATTAGCCAATATTCAGGATTCTACTATTAGCAAAAATCCTCCATTTTTTCTATCTATCTATCTATCTATCTATCTATCTATCATCTATCTATATTAATGGTATGGAGTAAAGGCTTTCCATTGTTTGATAGTGTATAACTCATTGATGTGCTTAATTATCTTTGTGTTCCAATGGTTCCAGAATTTGCCCATGGTACACCTTCAAGCTGGTTCTTATGTCTCCATTTCATATACACATTTTTTAAAACACACATTCTCTCTGGTAAGCAAATTATTCTAGAGCATCTTGTACCTACAATGCTCCAGGCCTGAAATTAGCCATGACTCCAAGGAGTAATGTTTTCTTTCATTGGGAAGGAAACTCAAGATCAAGATTCGGAAGCAAGTTTTCCTCACCAGAGAGACACATTTTATCTCACATCATGAATAGGACAGGGATGTGGGGTGTCTTGGTCTATAAGGAGTACACAAGTGAATATAGCAGTGAGGACAGTAGGACTTGAGAGGAGAGCAAATGTCAAAATTATACTCTGCTCTCTCAATAAATGCATATGAAATGGAATTGTTACTTTTGATTATACCTCAAAGTTATTGCTTCCTTTTCTTTCTTGGTCTCGTGAGAAGTGTATAATGCACTTCCCATGGAACAAAATATTCATAGTCATTGCTAGGACAAAGGAACTGTTTTATTTTTGTCTACTGAAGTTATTTAAGTAAACTCAGCTTTCCTCTTAGATTTCATTGCTGAAATAGTGAAGATGTGTAATTTGTGAATTGTGTAAGAGAGACCACATGGCCGGGTGTGGTGGCTCACGCCTGTAAACCCAGCAATTTGGAAGTCCAAGGCAGGTGGATCACCTGAGGTCAGGAGCTTGAGACCAGCCTGGCCAACATAGAGAAACCCCGTTTCTACTAAAAATACAAAAATTAGCCAGGCATGGTGGCACATGTCTGTAATCCCAGCTACTTGGGAGGCTGAGGCAGGAGAATCGCTTGAACCCAGGAGGCAGAGGCTGCAGTGAGCCTAGATCATGCCACTGCACTCCAGCCTGAGTGAGACTCTTCCCATAAATAAATAAATAAATAAATAAAAATAAAATAAAAACCTCATGTTTCTAGATAAAGCAAAGAAAAATAAGTCTGTATTATAAGAAGTTTTCTGATTAGGTTAAATAGGGGACCCTGTGCAGTGTCAGTTGTCACATTAAAACAGAAATTTTCTCTCATGAAACTCTCTATCCATTATGTCCTGTATTTCAGAGTTTACAAGAGATTTTTTGTTTACTTTTTCTTTTATTTATTTTTTTAATAGCACTGTTGGAGAATGGGACATGGGGACTGAAATTTCAATGAATTGGTTAAAAGTAATCAAACTGACTAGGATTACATCCTAGCTCAACCACTTCCTAGATGTGTGACCTTGGGTATGTTATTTAACTTCTCATATGTAAAATGTGGATAACAATAATAATGTATAAGATTCAAAGAATTAAATGATGCAATACATGTAAGGTAGTTAGAACATTTTTTCAACAAAGGGCACAACAGTATTGTGTTAAGCTGTGGTTAGTTACTGACAACTTAGCAATCATTAACTTCTCTGGCAATTAGCTTAACAAAGTAAGTTTACAGTGAGTCCTGAGAAAATATATTATAATGGCCTACATTTAGTGGAAAAATAAGGGAAAGGGGAGGATGGAAAATTCATGAAGATAGAACCAAAAATAAATAATGTTTCTGGAGACAGATAGGATTTCAGGACAAGTTTCAAAAATGAGGTGACAGCAGGAACAAAGGTATCTTCTGTTACCCAAAAGGGAAAAAGGAGACAGGAACAAGGAACAACTTCTTGGCGTTTAATGGTGTGTTTCCAATTCTGAGCACAGTGGCTGCCTATAGTAGGTGCTCATTAAGTATTGGCTGACAGACTGATAAATCAATAAATAAAAGAAAACTACCTTCATTGTAAAACTTACATATACCAAGAATAGTGTAAAATCAAATTAATCATAGGTAGGACCAAGTCAATCTTGGTTGATCATATATTGTTTCAAACCACCCCCTTCTAACAAATGCAGTTTATGACTATGGAAACTTACTATTGGAGGAGACTTCTCAGTATATTCAGTCCGACATCCCACACTATGCTAAGATGCCCATTGGGATAACACCACCATGTGACCCATCAAGGGAAAACCTACCCCACAAGGGAAAACATGAAGTTCTTTAGGCTAAACCAAAATCTAATTCCATTCGACTTAAATAGAGCCATCCATGAACCTGGTATTATGGTATACTATGGAAGTACAAAAAAATACAAAGATGACTTACACAGCTTATCTTACTGAAAAGCTCACCATCAAGTGAAGAAACTCCACGTAAATACATAAAATGGTAATTGATATAAAATGAGGTAGGAACCCAGATACACCAGAAATATTTCCTAAGGAGGTGAAAATAGAATTGGATCTTGAAATATCAGTAACTGCTCACTGAGCAGAGAAGAGGAGGAGAGGCATTTCCAGCAGAGGGAACAACATATGCAATGACACAGAGGTGTGAAAGTGTGAGATGAGTTACCAAAAAATGAGAAGTTCTACGTGGCTAGAATATTGAGTTTGTAGTGGGAAATAACAAGAGATGTAAGGAGTTTAGAAAAATCCGTGTATACCAGTGTCTCTCAATCTTCTTGAAGGAAAAAAACACATTATAGGCCTCTAGGAATATGTTCACAAATCCCTACAGAATTAAGAAACTGAAGTTTATTCTAAGATTCTTTCAAATCTTCACTTTTAAAGAGTTATAAATTCATTCGTAATACATTAAATGTTAGCTGTCATCACCATAAAAACCCAATGTTTAAAAACCATAACATTCTTATCTTCAAAAGTATGTCTGAAAAATTTGCCTTGAAAACATGCCATTGACAAGGGTAGTTGTGATAGGTTATTAAACAAGGAATTGATATTATCCTACCTATACTTCAAAAGATATGATGTTAGTGGCATTAGTAGAATGCAGAAAGATAATCAGTGAGCTATTGGGGGGAGTCATGGATGAGAGCTTGATCTAAAGTAGTGAGAATGAGGATGAAGATGAGTTGGTTAGTATACAGAATCAGAAGCTCTCGGTGACTGACTGTAAGGCAGCAAGGAAAGCAACAAGTTCAGGATGATTCTGACACATCTGTGATTGATTTCTAACAATTGGTCCTTGTTTTTGTCCTAGTAAGCTATACGTCATTTTAAAAATGTAATTTCTCTTCATATAACAGCACTTATAAAGCTGATATTATGCTTCCTTCTCTAGAACCTTAACTTTTTTTCTGCAGCCCTTCAGCTCTTTTTGTTTCAATGTCACTATCAAACACTTCACTAGGAACTATTTCACCACTTCACATGCAAGGACTTTTTAAGGAGCAATCTACAGAGTGGTAAATGAGCTGTGGGCTTTAATGAGAAACAAGGGAAGTTTTGAAATTTTTAATGACATTTAAACAAGAATAGTGTGTGTATTTGCAGAGAAAAGCCAGCTGGAAAACTACAATGAAGCCTCCATAGGTAATCTAGTTTTCAGTCTTCCTGCCTGAGAAATGGACTTCCTTAGTTCATGCAACAACAACAACAAAAAAAAAGGTCACACAGATTCAAAAAATAAATTCATTTGACACTAATTGTATAAACTAGATAGCCAAGGAGATAGTTAACATGGAGTGACGCATTCTAGTAATTGGAAGGCTAAACTATTTCCCTAGTATCTTCCTCACTAATTCTGAGGGAATCAGAAACTCAGTAGTTTGGTGTACCCTGACTCCGAGAGAGGCAGAAGGTTTTGAAAGATGATTGCCAGACCAGGAAAACCTTTCCGGGCCTGTTTTAATTAATCCCCCAGATTTACCACCTTGATAACCACATTGGTATTCTGATCAGGCAATAATCCTGATAATAACAATAAGAATTCCTATGTGCCAGACATTAATACTCCTCACATGTTATCTTATTTAGTCCTCACAACAGTCCTAGGACATTTCATTGATTAAACTAAAGCACCATTCTCAGCAAAGTAATTATTCTAATAAATTTAGGAGACAGTCTCTGTCCTTACATTATAAGCTCATTCCACTCATTTTACTCAAAAGGTAACTTTTTTCTCATATATATATATATATTTTTATACTTTAAGTTCTAGGGTACATGTGCACAACATGCAGGTTTGTTACATATGTATACATGTGCCATGTTGGTGTGTGCTGCACCCATTAACTCATCATTTACCTTAGGTATATCTCCTAATGCTATCCCTTCCCCTTACCCCTACCCCATGACAGGCCCCGGTGTGTAATGTTCCCCACCCTGTGTCCAAGCGTTCTCATTGTTCAGTTCCCACCTATGAGTGAGAACATGCGGTGTTTGGTTTTTTGTCCTTGTGATAGTTTGCTGAGAATGATGGTTTCCAGCTTCATCCATGTCCCTAAAAAGGACATGAACTCATCCTTTTTTATGGCTGCATGGTATTCCATGGTGTATATGTGCCACATTTTCTTAATCCAGTCTATCATTGTTGTACATTTGGGTTGGTTCCAAGTCTTTGCTATTGTGAATAGTGCCGCAATAAACATATGTGTGCGTCTTTATAGCAGCACGATTTATAATCCTTTGGGTATATACCCAGTAATGGGATGGCTGAGTCAAATGGTATTTCTAGTTCTAGATCCCTGAGGAATCTAGTTGTACTGGCATATGCAATTTATTGTTCATGCCAAATATGAATATTGACAAAGTAAAGTGAATTTATGTAAGCCTTGTGTCATCTTCACTCTGAATTAAAAGGTGCAGGTATTATCTTATGGCAAGTACTGTCTTAGGAAGATTCACTGGAAAGAGAGAAAGAGAGAAACTTCCCAGATTAGTGCAGAGTCCTTTAGGGTCAATGAAAACACTGATATTGAAGACATATAGAACTGGATTTCAGTATCAGTTCTAAAATTCTGGGCATCTACTTCCTCATTTATAAAATTTCTTCAATAATTACATGCTCAGGTTATCATGAGAATTTATGTACATCTAGCTCCTATTACATACACAAAAAATGTTTCCCTTTTTCTCCTGCCACCTTCTCTGTAATCTTCAATAGTCTTCTCAACTTCTCTTATAATTTAGCATAGGCTGTCAGTCTTCATGATGTGTATTTATCCAAGCTAAAGAGCTTTTGTTTAATTTTTCATGATTTGAACTCACTGCTGTGGAAAATGGCTATTTAAAAGGGATAATGTCATTTTCCAAGAATTCAATTGAGGGTCCTAGAAGATCTTTATGGAGCAAAATAATAATACACCTTTTCTAAGTATAGAGTCAGGCATTAAGACATATAGACATTTCACTTCCTTGGGATAAGTCTTGGGAAAAATATCACTACACATTAGCAATACATATTGCAAATAAAATTTATAACTCTATTTTATGCATTTATTAAACAAATACGAGTTAAAAGACTTCAGGAGTTTTGGTCTGTAGCCCAGGCTGGAATGCAACGGTGCAATCTTGGCTCACTGAAACCTCTGCCTCCCGGGTTCAAAGGATTCTCAAGCCACAGTCTCCCGAGTATCTGGGACTATAGGTGTGTGCCACCATGCCTCGCTAATTTTTTTGTATTTTTAGTAGAGATGGGATTTCTCCATATTGGCTGGGCTGGTCTCAAACTCCTGACCTCAAGAGATCCACCACCTTAGCCTCCCAAAATGCTGGGATTACAGGCTTGAGCCACCACACCTGGCCTAACTTCAAGGTATCAAAGACAAATTAACAATGTCTGATGCATACATAGGACTGCTTTGTAATCTTCTACACTAATGATTTGTACTATTTTGGTTTCAGAATCCATTTATAACTCTTACAATATATGAAAAATTTCTGCCAGCTTTTATTTATGTGGGTTATATTTATGACTACTTCTCATTTGTAAAACTGAAATAAAAAGATCTTGCATATTTGTATTAATTTATTTAAAAAATTAATTTGTTATGTGATAGTATAAATAATATAATTTTAATATTTCAAAAATACTAAGTGGAATGAGATTACTTTATATTTTTTAAAAACACACTACATCTGACTACTTCTACATTCAATATATTATAATTTATTGTTTGGTTGAAGAACTTGATGAAAATCTAGCCTCACACAACTATGTAATCAGAATAGAGAGAAGTATTTTTAAAAACATTTTCAGATAATTGTAGATCCTTTCTTTTTGATACTAAAACTTCACAAATGGTAATTTCCTCAGAGTTTAATTACACTGTCAAATCTGAAATCATATCAATGAACTTTTTGTCCTTGCTACATTAAAGTCCATTGATCTGTCTAGCATCATGAATGAGTATTTTACCCATTAGTGATTTTATAATAGCATGCATTGGTCATTTGTAAAATACTCAGTTAAGTGATCTTCCAAATGTTAAAATATCTCATTATACAATATTCAAAATCACATTATTAATATCACCACCAATCTCATCAGAAATATCTTTAAGTATGAAGACATTGACAAGCTCATAATGATGTTATCAATTTTTCTTAATTTAAATTTTTGCTTGAAAACTCAAATTGTAGCATTGGCAAAAAAGAAAAAAAATACCATTAGCTTTTTTTTTCTGTTTAAGTGACAGACTTGCTTTGTTCACATAAGAAGTCTGCCAAATGCCTGTCTAAATAGCCAGTTTATCTCTGAATCCTACATTCAAGTGAAAATGATTTCCTGTGGGAAACATGATTATTTCAGCTCTCAACACAAATAATGGCACAAATGTTTTTTCCCTAGACGAACATATTTCAGAATGCAGCATAAATAGTGCATATGTAGGTTCCATTTTGTGAAACAGAAAATTAAAAAGGCATGTAAAAAAAGATAGTTTAAAAAATTGTTTTGCTTCATTATGGACATTAAGTGAAACTTGCATTTATTCATTTTTACTGCAAGTCTGTGGCTGGTGAAGAATATAATAATTACAGTACACTTGGTTGCCACTACCTTGATTTGTGCTAAGACACCAGAAGATTTGCCCACCATTGCTTTTGCACCATCAGTGCAAATGTGAACACAGAAAAAGGCAAAATCACATCATAGTATCATTAGGAAAATAGTTTTGACATTGCAAATCCTCTGAAAGAGTTTCAGGGACTTCAAGGGGTCTGTTGGCCCCATTTTGTTAAGCAATAAAATATTGGGATTGTAGAATAATTTCTTTTTTAAAAATAAGGGCATCTGGGAAGACCTTATTAATTTCAAATACAATTCTGCATTTTCAGGATGAAATGTCAAAGAATGTTGATATCTAAAGGCACATTTGCGAAATCCAAAAAGACATGGTGGCTAACAACGTACATTATCAGGCCTTTCCTCTAGAGATTTTGGTTCAGTAGGTCTGGCAGTGGAAGTGGGGGTGTTTATGACCTCCAGTGAGCCACAGTGACTTATATAATAATGTTATATATATATGTGTGTGTGTGGAGATATAGATATATCACATAATTATTTGTATTTATATATTAAACCTTATTATCAATACAAAGAGCACACACCCACACACTTATTTTTGTGGGGGCAGGGTAAAAGGTGTTTTCCTGCAATGGTACATTAGTCACCTTGCTTCTCTCTCTGGTGGCTGTTGAGGTTGTCTACAGTGGATTGGGTGCATCCTGAGGGCCCTCAACAGAATGAGGTCCACACACAACCTTCTAGTATTTGGAAAGTTGAGGGACAGCATGAAAATTGCACAGTAAAAGCACACACTGTTGAGCTATGAAAATGAAGCAGTTTTTTTTTTATAGTAAATAGTAGGTCATTGTGTTTCCCAAACGTGATCTAATTGGCTATTACAAATTATCTGGCACATATATTGATTCCAGATGTGATTAGTGTTCACTTGGTTTTAGGGTTTTACATATACGCCAATTTGGCAGTCCTAACGTGTTGATGTTGATAATGTTTCATGGCCAAAACTAGAATATATTTTCATAATACACACACACACACACACACACACACACTGTATAGCTGGATCCTAGGAAACTTTAATTTTAGTAAATGCCTCAGATGATTTTTATGATCAGGCATACAGGGCAGCTCTGCTCTATAGCTGGTTACTATATTCACATTTCTTTTCTTAAGATGTAATAATTAATGGAGGGGGAGCAGATTTTATAATCAACTGTAGAAATATGGTTATAAAAACTCGTTATTTCATGGCTTATACTTCTCTTCATTGCAAGCTCCTCTTACCTCAAGGACAGAAAAAAATGATGCTGTTTCTATGAAAAGATTTTTCTGTTTAGTAAAATCTCTAGTGTAAAAGGAGTGGCCTGTTTTCAATTTGCAAGTCTGATCATTAGCCTTTGATTCATATAACATAAATAGACTTCTTTGATATCTAAAAAGCTTGGCTATATTAAAGTAAGAAAGTAATAGATACTTGCATTTCCACATTACAAGTGAGCAACAGAGAAAACAAAATTAGTACTTGTTGAGCACCTGATACCTTGTACATTTTCAAATAAATCACTTGAAATTTGCAATTACACCATGAGACAGGTTTTCCCTTGATTTTACGGATAGGGAACCTGATAGTCACATGGTTGATAACAACCATAGTTAAGTCTACTATTCCAAATTCATCTGACTCCAAGGCTGATACAAATTCCACTTCACTACAAAGCCTTCTTCAGCCTGCTAAAGTAAAGCTGGGGACTCTGATAAACTCCCAACCCTGCCTCTGGTATATGACCCAACACTAACCACTCTGCTCAGAGTAGGTATCTAAAAGAAATTCTTGTGTGAAACAATGAAATTTTGGTGGGAAAACAGAAACATGATTGTCAATAACAAAAGTATACAACACAGACTTCTACTTCTGGGAAGGTAAAGTAGGTACACTTTTCTCTATTAGTCCCTCTAAATACAACCACAATCTCTGGACATGGCATATAAAAGAAACAGAAAGAATGTAAATAGTGAAGAGAAGAAGCCAGGTCAGCTAGGAATATTGGGATCTCACGGTATGATGGTGAGTCCCCTGGGTTTTATTTTCCTCATATATTCAAGATTTGGAGCTGAAGAAGCTTGTAACCTAGAAACACCCAGAGGTACAAACAAAAGTAAAACAAAACAAAACAGAAAGAAAAAAACACCAACAAAAGCCTTCTCTCTCTAGTCAAATGACAAAGAAAGGTGCAGAAAAGTTTTAAACAGTAACTACTCTATTTCATTCAAATTCAAAAACAGAAAAACTGAGGCACAATCCCCACCCAAGTCAGCAAAAGTTGACTGGGGAGACTAGACTTCTACCCTTACTAGGCTATAACAAGGTGCCTCCTCAATTCCCTTCCAGGGTGATGTAAGAGAAGGCTCAGTTTGCATTCCAACCAGGGAGGAATTAACCACTCTTCCTACTTTACATGGAGGCAATGTGGAGGACCTGCAATTCTATCCCCACCAGGCAGTAAAAAGAGGAATCCTTTCTTCCCTTCTGGATTGTTGTCAGAGGAGGCCTACTGGATAGTTAGGTCTTCTAGCACTGTCTAGTGGTAATTAGGCCACCCAATCCATGGCATTAGGGGAAAGTAGTTGAGGAGCAGTAATGAGGGGTATTCTTACCTCTCCTAGCAAGGAAGACATCAGTAGAGGCCTAGTGGGGAGCCAGGTCGGTGGGGAACTTGGACTTCTATTGCTACTTAAAAGTAATAATGCAGTGTTTCCCTTCTGCTGGAGCTGAGTCAGAGAAAGCCAGGAGATTATACATTTTTTTTTTTTTGAGATGGAGTCTTTGCTGTGTTGTCCAGGCTGGTGTAAAGTAGCGTGATCTCAGCCCACTGCAACCTCCACCTCCCAGAGTAGCTGGGATTCCCCTGCCTCAGTTTCCCGAGTAGCTCAGATTGCAGGTGCCCACCAACAAGCCCGGCTAATTTTTTTTATATTTTTAGTAGAGACAGGATTTCACTATGTTGGTCTGGCTAGCTCCCAACTCCTAGCTTCAAGTGATCCACCCACTTTGGCCTCCCAAAGTACTGGGATTACAGGTGTGAGCCACTGCGCCCAGCTGAGATTATAAACTTTTATAAAACAGAAGATTTAATAAGATCTGTAGTCTCATAAAATACCCAAAATGTCCAGGTTGAAAACAGAAAATAATCCCTTATCATACTAAGAAAAGTTACATCCTTGAATTAAAAAAAAAAAAAAGACAGCAGACGTTAACACTGAAGTAACAGATATGTTAAAATTATCTCAAATAATAGGTTGAAGCAAAAGTAATTGTGGTTTTTGCCATTGAACAGAATGGTGAAAACCGCAATTACGTTTGTACCAAGTTAATAGATTTAAAACACTCATTTTTGAATTCCTCAATGAATAATTATAAACATAGTTGAAACAAATGAAAAAAATAGAATGACTTCGCAAGAAAATGGAAGATATCACAAAGAACAAAACAAAATTAGAACTAAAAAATACAGTTACCAAAGTAAAAGTCTCAATACTAGGTTCAACAGCAGAATGGAGAGGAAAGAAGAAAGAATAAGTGAACTGGAAGATAGAAAAATAGAAATTACCAAATCTGAAAAACAGAAAACACACTGGAAAAAAAATTAAAAAGGCTCAAAGAGTTGAATAACTACATGAAAATGATTGAACTTTTGTGTTATTAGTGTCCTAGAAAGAGGGGAGAAAAATCAGTTCTAAGAACTCAATGAAATAGTGACTGAAAACTTCCCAAATTTAGCAAAAGAAACTACAAATTAAAGAATCAGAGTTAAACCCAATTTAATAAATCCCATAGCAATCCACATCAAAATATATCACTATTAAACTTCTAAAAACTAAAACAAATATTCAAAGTAGTGAGAAATTAATTATATCTTATCTATTGTGGAAAAAAATGAATGACAGATCTTTCCTTTGACACTATGGAGGCCAGAAGGTGGCACTGCATTTTTCAAATGCTGAAAAAAATGAACTGTTAACCCAGTGTTCTATGCCCAGGGAAAATACTCAGGAATGAAGGAGAACTCAAGGTCTCCTCAGATGAAGTAAAATGAAAAGATTTTGTCACCACCAAGCAGACCTGCCCTGAAAAAAAAATGGTTAATAGAAGTTTCTTAAGAAGAAGGGAAATGATAAAATAAACTTTCTTAAGCAAAAATATAGGGAATTCAACAGACTTCTGTTGAGTTTTCTAAATTGTGATTTAATGGTTGAAACAAAAATAAAATTTTATGTCATTCATCTAAATGAACATAAGATAAATATTTAAGACAAATAAGGTTTTACACTTAATTTGAACTAGTTGAAGGATGATGCCAGCAGAGATAAATTATGTAAAAATAATGTAATACTTAGATAAATCACCAATAAAGTGATACAAAGAAATACATTCAAAAAACTTGATAAATAAAAATGGAATTTGTAAACATTTTCAAGCAACTCAAATGAAGACAGGAAAAATGAACCAAAAAATTCAGAAAAGTAACAAACAGGAAAAAAATAGGTTTAAGCCATAACATTATATAATACTTATATTAAATGTGAATAGTCTAAAAATACCAATTAAGAGATTGGGAGACTAGATTTTATTTAAAAATGACCTATATTGAGCCTAGAGGAAATTCACTTTAGATATAACAATATTTGTGAAAGTTAAAGGATGGAAAAAATCATAAAACATTAATCAAAACAAAGTTAAAGTGGCTATATTAATATCTAATAAAATAGACTTCAGAGCAAAAACAATTATTGGAGTAAGAGAGGCACATTTTATCAAGATTAATGAGTCAATCCAGTAAGAAGACATCACAATCCTAAATGTGTATGCACCAAACAAGCTTAAAATTTGTGAAGCAAAAGCTGGTAGAGCTAAAAGGAAGAAATAGACAAATTCACAATTACAGTTGGAGAATTCAATACTGCTGTTTAACCAACAGGACTAGGCAAAACATCTGCAGTGATAAAGAACTTAACACCATCAGCCAGAAGAATCTAATCAACATTGATAGAACATTCCATTCAATAACAACAACAAAAAATATTTATTTGAAGTGCTGATAAAACATATGCTAAACATATGACTGCCCCTTGAGCCATAAAGCAAATATCAACAAATTTAAAAAGATTGGAATTATACAGACTGTGTTCTCCTACCCCAATGGAATCAAACTAGAAATCAATAACATGAGGGAAAGATCTTCAAACACTTAGAAACTAAACAAAGCACTTCTAAATAACCCAAGGAGTAAAGAGAAAGACTTAAGGAAAATAAAATACATTTAAATAAATAAAATTAAAAACCAAACTTACCAAAATTTGTCAGACATACTATAAAATTGTGCTGAGAGGGGGAAGTATAGTACTAAATGCACACATGTGGAAAGAGGTAAAGTCTCAAGTCAGTAATACAAACTCAAACTCCAGAACCTAGAAATAGAAGAGCAAAATAAAACCAAAGCACAGAGAATGAAGGAAATAATAAAGATAGGAGCAGAAAGCAGTGAAATTAAAAACAGGAATCAATACAGGATATGAATATAACAAGCAGCTGGTTTTTGGGAAATATTAATAAAATTGACGAATTAGCAAGATTGAAAAGGGAAAAAGAGAAAAGACACAAATTACCAATATCAAGAATCAAAAAAGGGATATCAATACAGATCTTGCAGACATCAAAAGGGTAATAAAAGCGTACTATGAGCACTCTATGTACATAACATTTGACAACTTAGATGAAATGAACTAATTCCTAAAAAAGCGCAAACTATACCACTCACCCAATAAGAAATAGACAACTTGAATAGCCCTATAAATGTAAAGGAAATTGAATTGGTAATTTTAAAACTACCAAAATAGAAATCCTAAGGAATAGAATGTTTTCCTTGAGAATCAACCAGGAATTTAACAAATTAACATAAATTCTATACAATCTGTTCCAGAATGTAGAAGGGAACATTTCTGAGTCATTTTATAAATCCAGTATTACCTTAATATTGAAACCAGATAAAAGGATGCCAAGAAAATGAGACAGATCAATATCCCTCATGTACATATATGTAAAAATTCTTAAAATATTGACGAATATAATTCAGCTGCATATAAAAAGAATTTTATGCATTGAAACAAATGAAATTTATTCCAAAAATACCAAACTGCTTCAATATGTAAATATTCTGTATCTTGACCCTTTCAATACCAATATCCTAGCTGTGATATTCTACTATATTACATAATATTTTTTCAAGGTTACCATTGAGGGAAATTGAATAAGGAGCACATCAGATTTCTCTCTATTATTTCTTACAGCTGCATATAATTCTATAATTAACTCAAAATAAAAAGTTTTTAAGGCCAGGGGCGGTGGCTCACGCCTGTAATCCCAGCACTTTGGGAGGCCAAGGCGGGGGGATCACGAAGTCAGGAGATCAAGACCATCCTGGCTAACACAGTGAAATCCCGTCTCTACTAAAAATACAAAAAAAATTAGCCAGATGTGGTGGCGGGCACCTGTAGTACTAGCTACTCGGGAGGCTGAGGCAGGAGAATGGTGTGAATCCAGGAGGCGGAGCCTGCAGTGAGTGGAGATCGCGCCATGGCACTCCAGCCTGGGCAACAGAGCAAGACTCCGTCTCAAGAAAAGAAAAAAAGTTTTTAAAAAGACAAAGTTCTTTAAGGCAAATATTTGAAATTTACATTTAAATAGATAGATGAGATAAAAGACGTATTAGGAACCCTATTTCAGTCAAGCAAGGAGCAATACTTACTTTTATTTATTGACCTTTCTTGATGCATAAACATCAAGAGAACCAATGTGTAACATCATCCAAGATAATATCAACAGTTATCAATATATGTGAGAAAAGACTTAGGGAGGACTTCCAATATATATTTTATTCTAAATTTTACATTATACAAACAGCTATTATCACTTTGTTTTCTGCCAATTTGAGATGAATAATTATTGTGCCAGAGAATAAAATAATTGCTCAGTGAGTATGCAATTCATCTGAATCTATGGATCATTTACAGAGAATCTCCTTAAAATATGCATCATAATTTTAATCACTAACATATACCCAAATCCCTAATTTTGTAAGTACTTCTAAAACATATCTAATGATCTTTGTAATCATTCTTCTTAGACGTATTTACTTTGTTTTTATTTATCCACCAGCATTAGCAATTGCTTATTTTTGTTGCTTACTTTATAAAGAAAGATTTTCCATATCAATCAATTTTTATGGCCACTATTTATGTTATTGTAAAGTAAGAACAAAGGTAAGACCTTTTGCTCAACTTTCAGTTGAGTTTAAATCCTTGCTTTGGGAGAGCTTCCAAGATGACTGAACAGGAAGAGCTCTGGTCTACATCTCCCAGGGAGATCAATGCAGAAGATGGGTGATTTCTGCATTTCCAACTGAGGTATCTGATTCATCTCATTGGGACTGGTCGGACAGTGGGTGCAGCCCACAGAAGGTGAACCAAAGCAGGATGGGGGGTCACCTCATCTGGGAAGCACAAGGGGTTGGGGGATTTCCCTTTCCTAGCCCAAGGAAGCTGTGAGTGACTGTACCTGGAGGAACAGTACACTCTTGCCCAAATACTATGTTTTTCCCATGCTCTTTGCAACCAGCAGACCAGGAGATTCCCTCCCATGCCTGGCTCAGCAGGTCCTGTGCCCACAGAGCCTTGTTCACTGCTAGTGCAGCAGTCTGAGATAGACCTGGCATGCTGGAGCTTGGCAGGGAGAGGGGCATCCACCATTGCTGAGGCTTGAGTAGGCGATTCTATGCTCACAGTGTAAACAAAGCAGCAGGGAAACTAGAACTGGGTGGAGCCCACTGCAGCTCAGCAAGGCCTACTGCCTCTTTAGATTCCACCTCTGGGGGCAGGGCATATCTGAACAAAAGGCATCAGACAGCTTATGCAGAATTAAACGTCCTTGTCTGACAGCTCTGAAGAGAGCAGTGGCTCTTGGAGCACAGCGTTCGAGCTCCGATAATGGACAGACGGCCTCCTCAAGTGGGTCCCTGACCCCGTGTAGCCTGACTGGGAGACACTACCCAGTAGAGGCCGACAGCTGCCTCATACAGGCAGGTGCCCCTCTGGGACGAAGCTTCCAGAGGAAGGATCGGGCAGCAATATTTGCTGTTCTGCAGGCTCCATTGGTGATACCCAGGCAAACAGGGTCTGGAGCGGACCTCAAGCAAACTCCAACAGACCTGCAGCTCAGGGGCCTGTCTGTTACAAGGAAAACTAACTAACAGAAAGGAATACCATCAACATCAAACAAACAGGACATCCAAAGCAAAACCCCATTTTTAGGTCACATACATCAAAGACCAAAGGTAGATAAAACCACAAAGATGGGGAGAAACCAGAGTAGAAAGACTGAAAATTCCAAAAACCAGAATGCCTCTTCTCCTCCAAAGGAACACAGCTCCTCATCAGCAAGGCAACAAAACTGGATGGAGAATGAGTTTGACAAGTTGACTGAAGTAGGCTTCAGAAGGTGGGTAATAACAAACATCTCCGAGCTAAAAGGGGATGTTTAAACCCATCGCAAGAAAGCTAAAAACTTTGAAAAAAGGTTAGATGAATGGCTAACTAGAATAACCAGTGTAGAGAAGAGCTTAAATGACCTGCTGGAGCTGAAAACCACAGTACGAGAACTTCATGAAACATATGCAAGCTTCAATAGCAGATTCAATCAAGAGGAAGAAAGGATTGAAGATCAAATTAATGAAATAAAGTAAGAAATAAAGTAAGAAGACAAGATTAGAGAAAAAAGAATGAAAAGAAACAAAGCCTCCAATAAATATGGGACTATTTGAAAAGACCAAACCTACATTTGATTCGTGTACCTGAAAGTGATGACGAGAATGACCAAGTTACAAAACACTCTTCAGGATATTATCCAGGAGAACTTCCCCAACCTAGCAAGGCAGGCCAACATTCAAATTCAGGAAATACAGAGAACACCATAAAGATACTCCTCGAGAAGAGCAACCCCAAGACACATAATTGTCAGATTCACCAAGGTTGAAATGAAGGAAAAAGTGTTAAAGGCAGCCAGAGAGAAAGGTTGGGTTACCCACAAAGGGAAGCCCATCAGACTAACAGCAGATCTCTCAGCAGAAACCCTATAAGCCATAGGAGAGTGGGGGTCAATATTCAACATTCTTAAATAATTTTCAACCCAGAATTTCATATTCAGCTACACTAAGATTCCTAAGTGAAGGAGAAATAAAATCCTTTACAGACAAGCAAATGCTGAGAGATTTTGTCACCATCAGGCCTGCCTTACAAGAACTCCTGAAGGAAGCACTAAACATGAAAAGGAACAACGGGTACCAGACACTGCAAAAACACACCAAATTGTAAAGACCATCAATGCTATGAAGAAACTGCATCAATTAATGGGCAAAATAACCAGTTAGCATCATAATGGCAGGATCAAATTCACATATAACAATATTAACCTTAAATGTAAATGGAGTAAATGCCCCAATTAAAAGACACAGACTGGCAAATTGGATAGTCAAGACCCATCGATGTGCTATATTCAGGAGACCCATCTCACGTGCAAAGACACACATAGGCTCAAAATAAAGGGACTGAAGAAGATCTACCAAGCAAATGGAAAACAAAACAAAAGAAAAAAGCAGGGGTTGCAATCCTGGTCTTTAAACTAACAAAAATCAAAAGAAAAAAAGAAGGCCATTACATAATGGTAATGGGATCAATTCAACAAGAAGAGCTAACTGTCCTAAATATACGTGCACCCAATATAGGAGCACCTAGATTCATAAAGCAAGTTCTTAGAGACCTACAAAGAGAGTTAGACTCCCATACAATAATAGTGGGAGACTTTAACACCCCACTGTCAATATTAGACAGATCAATGAGACAGAAAATTAGCAAGGTTATCCGGGAATTGAACTCGGCTCTGGACCAAATGGACCTAATAGACATCTACAGAACTCTCCACCCCAAATCAACAGAATATACGTTCTTCTCGGCACCACATCACACTGTAAAATTGACCACATAATTGGAAGTAAAACACTCCACAGCAAATGTAAAAGAACAGAATCACAACAAACTGTCTCTCAGACCACAGTGCAATCAAGTTAGAACTCAGGATTAAGAAATTCACTCAAAACCACACAACTACATGGAAACTGAACAACCTGCTCCTAAATGACTGCTGGGTAAATAACAAAATGAAGGCAGAAATAAAGTTGTTCTTTAAAACCAATTATAACAAAGACACGACGTACCAGAATCTCTGGGACACATTTAAAGCAGCGTGTCGGGAGAAATTTATAGCACTAAATGCCCACAAGAGAAAGCAGGAAATATCTAAAATTGACACCCTGACATCACAAGTAAAAGAAGTAGAGAAGCAAGAGCAAACACATTTAAAAGCTAGCAGAAGAAATAACTAAGATCAGAGCAGAAATGAAGGAGACAGAGACAAGAAAATCCCTTCAAAAAAATCAATGAATCCACGAGCTGTTTTTTTGAAAAGATCAACAAAATAGATAGAACATTAGCAAGACTAATAAAAGAGAGAAGAATCAAATATATGCAATAAGAAATGATAAAGAGGATATTGCCACTGATCCCCCAGAAATACAAACTACCATCAGAGAATACTATAAACACCTCTATGCAAATAATCTAGAAAATCTAGAAGAAATGGATAAATTCCTCAACACATACACCCTCCCAAGACTAAACCAGGAAGAAGTTGAATCTCTGAATAGACCAATAACAGGTGCTGAAATTGAGGCAATAATTAATAGCCTACCAACTAAAAAAAGTCCAGGATCAGATGGATTCACAGCCGAATTCCACCAGAGGTACAAAGAGGAGCTGGTACCATTCCTTCTGAAAATATTCCAATCAATAGAAAAACAGGGAATCCTTCTTAATTCATTTTATGAGGCCAGCATCATCCTCATACCAAAGCCTGGCAGAGATACAACCGAAAAAGGAGAATTTTAGGCCAATATCCCTGATGAACATCGATGCGAAAATCCTCAATAAAATACTGGCAAACTGAGTCCAACAGCACATCAAAAAGCTTATCCACCACAATCAAGTTGGCTTCATCCCCGGGATGCAAGGCTGGTTCAACATACACAAATCAATAAATGTAAATCCATCACATAAACAGAACCAACCACAAAAACCACTTGATTATCTCCATAGATGCAGAAAAGGCCTTCAACAAAATTCAACAGCTTTTCATGCTAAAAACTCTCAGTAAACTAGGTATTGATGGAACGTATCTCAAAATAATAAGAGGTATTTATGACAAACCCGCAGCCAATATTATACTGAATGGGCAAAAACTGGAAGCATTCCCTTTGAAATCCAGCACAAGACAAGGATGCCCTCTCTCACCACTCCTATTCACATAGTATTGGAAGTTCTGGCCAGGACAATCAGGCAAGAGAAAGAAAAAAAGGATATTGAAATAGGAAGGGAGGAAGTCCAATTGTCTATTTGCAGATGATATGATTGTATATTTAGAAAACCCCATTGTCTCAGCCCAAAATCTCCTTAAGCTGATAAGCAACTTCAGAAAAGTCTCAGGATACAAAATCAATGTGCAAAAATCACAAGCATTCCTATATACCAATAATAGACAAAAAGAGAGCCAAATCATGAGTGAACTCCCATTCATAATTACTATAAAGAGAATAAAATACCTAGGAATCCAACTTACAAGGGATGTTAAGGACCTCTTCAAAGAGGACTACAAACCATGGTTCAAGGAAATAAAAGAGGACACAAACAAATGGAAGAAGATTCAATGCTCATGGATAGGAAGAATCAATATTGTGAAAATGGTCATACTGCCCAAAATAATTTACAGATCCAATGCTATCCCCATCAGGCTACTACTGACTTTCTTCACAGAATTGGAAAAAACTACTTTAAAGATCATATGGAACCAAAAAGAGCCTGCATATCCAAGACAATTAATTCTAAGCAAAAAAGATCAAAGCTGGAGGCATCATGCTACCTGACTTCAAGCTATACTACAAGGCTACACTAACCAAAACAGCATGACACTGGTACCAAAACAGATATATAGACTAATGGAACAGAACAGAGGCCTCAGAAATAACACCACACATCTACAAACAACAGATCTTTCACAAACCTGACAAAAACAAGTAATGGAGAAAGGATTCCCTATTTAATAAATGGTGTTGGGAAAACTGGCTAGCCATATGTAGAAATCTGAAACTGGATCCCTTCCTTACACCTTACACAAAAATTAACTCAATATGGATTAAAGACTTAAATGTTAGACCTAAAACCATAAAAACCCTGGAAGAAAACCTAGGCAATACCGTTGAGAACACAGGCAAAGACTTCATGACTAAAACACCAAAAGCAATGGCAACAAAAGCCAAAATTGACAAATGAGATCCAATTAAACTATAGATGGTTCTGCCAGCAAAAGAAATATCAGAGTGAACAGGCAACCTACAGAACTGGAGAAAATTTTTGCCATCCATCAAACTGACAAAGGGCTAATGTCCATCAAAAAGTGGACAAAGGATATGAACAGACACTTCTCAAAATAAGACATTTATGCAGCAAATAGACATATGAAAAAATCCTCATCATCCCTGGTCATCAGAGAAATGCAAATCAAAACCACAATGCCATACCATCTCATGCCTGTTAGAATGGCGATCATTAAAAGGTCAGGAAACAACAGATGCTAGAGAGGATGTAGAGAAATAGGAACCCTTTTACACTGCTGGTGGGAGTGTAAATTAGTTCAACCATTGTGGAAGAGAGTGTGACGATTCCTCAAGGATCTAGAACTAGAAATACCATTTCACCCAGCGATCCCATTACTGGGTATACCCAAAGGATTATATATCATGCTATTGTAAAGACACATGCACGTGTATGTTTATTGCGGAACTATTTACAATAGCAAAGACTTGGAACCAACCCAAATGTCCATCAATAATGGACAGGATAAAGCAAATATGGCACATATACACCATGGAATACTATGCAGCCATAAAAAATGGATGAACTCACAGGTCAGACCCACTGAAATAGCACCAAATATCAGAGCCAAGGGATGAACAGAGCTCTAAAGTAAATCAAAAGCCCAGAAATCAGGAGACTAAGAGGCAGTAAATCATGTGATTAAGAACATAGATTTTAGCATCAAACATGCCTCATTTTGAATCCCAAAGCTGCTACATCTAGCTACATAATCTTTGGCAAGCTGCTTATTCTTCCCTAAGCCTTCTTTTTCTCACCATAAAATGGTGCTAATATTTGTAGCCATCTAAAGTTACAGCTTTGATTTTTAGTACGATATTGTAAAAATATATATGTAACAACGTTCTTAGCACACAATTACTAGATAGACAAGGAACTTGCTATTAAAATATTTGCATTCTAGTGAGGAGAAGCATAAGCAAACCAGAAAAGAAATAAGCACAAAATTCAGTTAAGCACTATGATGTGATATAATATCTATATATTTTATAAAGAATTACTTGGGAGAAGCTTGCAGTTGAGATAGGCTACTTATAGCTGACTTCTCTGATGAAGCTGAAAACCATCATTCTCAGCAAAATATCACAAGGACACAAAACCAATCACCGTATGTTCTCACTCATAAGTGGGAGTTAAACAATGAGAACACATGGACACAGGATGGGGAACATCCCTGTTTGGGGGTGGGGGGCTGGGGGAGGGATAGTGTTAGGAGAAATATCTAATTTAAATAACGAGCTGATGGGTGCAGCACACCAACACGGCACATGTACACCTATGTAACAAACCTGCTCATTGTGTACATCTACCCTAGAACTTAAAGTATAATAATAGTAATAAAATAAAATAAAAATTATTGCTTTGGCAAAGAATAAATGGCTATATCCCATTGGCTTTAAAAATTTGAGTCTAAGCAATCCATTAAAATAATCTATTTTAACTTAAAATTTTTTATAGATTTAGGGGTACAATCATGATTGTGTTGCACAGATATATTGCACAGTGGTGAAGTCTGGGCTTTGAGTGCACCTGTCAATCAAATAGTGTTCATAGTGTTACTAAGAAATGTTTAGAAATGTCATAAGAATCCCACCATTTTTGGAGAGAGATCATTAATACTAAAGACGCAAGACCCTCCATAAGTCATTTAACTTCATACAGCTCATGTTTTTTATTTATAAGGTGAAGATAATATTTCTGTTCTATCTGTTTATGTAATTATCAACTAAGATAATGTTTGTTAAACATAGAAAACCTCTGTTACTATATTATTATAATGAAGAAAATAATTTTTAGGATTTATACAACATACTAGGATTTTGGTATCTTTAATCAATAATTTTAATTGAAACCATATTTATTTTTCTTTTTCATCCTGCAGTAAATTCAGATTTTGTGCAGTGAGTGACTTCACTTACCAATAGAAGGTGTGAAAGCTTATGAACCTGGTGAAAGCTTATGAACCTGGAATTGTGACTTTAGTGTATAAATAAACAGAAGAAAATGCAGTAAGAAAAAGCATCAGATTTATAGGTGAAATACTTAAAGGATGGCACTTAAACAGAGTAAGAAATATGACTTGTATGTATACTAAAAGCAACTGTGGCTCAGATTATTCCTTCTGAGGTTCTATCTGCCATTCATTTCATGGAATATTGTGGAATTAGCCTATTTCACCTTCTATTAAATGAGGCCCACTTTATGGTATCATAAGAAAACTCAAGGCTGAGGTGCACTGATTGCCTCAGCTCTGGAGTTTGACACGAGCCCAGGCAACATGGTGAAACCCCATCTCTACTAAAAATACAAAAAATTAGCCAGGCATGGTGATGCACCCCTGTAGTCTCAGCTACTCAGTAGGCTGAGGCTGGAGAATCGCTTGAACCCAGGAGGCAGAGGTCGCAGTGAGCCGAGATCGCACCACTGCACTCCAGCCTGGATGGAGTTTTTCCATCTCAAAAAAAAAAAAAAAAAAAAAATAGGTAAACCCAAATAATATGCCTTTTAAGAAAAAGAAGTTGATTTTGCTCTTATGAAACAATATGAAGTTAGATCTTCAAGATCTGGTAGTGCAATTCTGTCATCCTTAACTCACAGCTTCCATCTCTTGATCTTCATCCTGTTTTCACCCTAATCGAAAGGGTGAAAGTGGGAAGAATAGCGTATGACTATTTTTCTTTAAAGGAATTATTTAGAAGTGTTTCTTATCATGATCAAACAGACATGGTAACATTTAGCTTAAACTGGAAGATGTTATCTCCAGCTAGTGGCCATGTGTCCAACAACATTTAGATTATTATTAGGAAAAAGAGAAAAAATTAGCATTTGTGAAAAAAGTAGTAGTCTCTGTCACAATCTTTTACCCATGTTTTGTAAAGTATTTAAAACAAAAATCAAGCACTCTTACCATAATGTTCTGTCACAGTGTTGTTTTAAATTTCATGTAAAACAACATTAGTTCTGTAGTGGTAAATGAAGTGTTAAAGTCTCTCTTTAACTCCAGACCTTTCAAGTTATTAAAAATGCGAACATTTATTATCTAACTTAGGAAGTAGAGAATATTGGAGTAAGTAATACTATGCAGTGTTAACAAACGTATGCCAAAATCTTAGTGATGTAATCCAATAAAAATGAATTTCTTGCTCATCCAAAATCCAATTTGGATGTTTCTGGTTGGGGAATGACCTTCCCTATGGCTATGTTAGTGAGTCTACTGTCCCCCACTTATCTGATGTATCTTCTCCATCTTCCTGGGAGACTGAGTATGAGGATGCATGGAGAATTGTACATGAGAAATATATGGGCCAAGCCTTGAAGTGGCCCACATACCTTCTGCCTACATGTCATTGACCACTACTTATTCACAGGGCCACATATAAATGTGAGGTTCATTGTGCATCCAGGAGTTAAGGGAAAGTGGTTTTTTGAACACAGTGAATGGATGTGTCTTGGGTGTTTCTGTTTGAGTCTCTTCGTTGTTTTATTTTTCCCTCTAGGATCCAGTAATTCCTGAACTTTAGTTCTGGCCTGGGCTGGCCTGCCTCATTTTCACTGAAGCCTCGATTCTTAACTGTGAAAGAATAGATAATTTTCTCTTTCTTACCATTGCTTGCTGCCCTACTCTTTCTGAAATAGTTTCCCATGTTATCCCATTTTCTACTACATGGAAAAAGATCATGCTATTCTGTTTTCCATAATCATTATATATTCTTTTTTCCCCATGGTATTTCCCAAAAATTTATTATTCCATGTTTTATGGGTGAATAGTTATTTCTATTAACTACTTTTTTAGAGTGAAGAATCATCGACCTCTTCTATCCTAACATCTACTGTTATCCCCTCCATGCTGAACAACACCAAAACTATTTTTCATGTAGGTTGTTCAGGGCTTTCTCTCTATTCACTTAATTATTCCATCAGGAGACTATTGAGAGAGGCCTATAACATAAAAACATAAGGGTTAAATTCAAAGCCATCGTCAATCTTACTCAAAGACATAAACCTTAGAACATTATAGGAATCTTCAAAAAAGTTAGCTTAATTGATTTTAAAATTATGCCAGCAACTAAAGCTACATGTTTTAGAAAGAGAAATATATGCCTCATGTTTATTGATTAAAAAACATTTATAGATACTTTGCAATATACTAGGAATAAATGACATATTCTGCCCTCTTGAAACTTAATATAATTAAGAACTAGATTGTGAAAAACTAATTATAATCCAAAGAAAATAAATGATTAAAAGAGGCAAATTTAAGTGTCATTAAATGAAGGAAGCTAACCAAATATTTCTTGTCAAAGAAATTTTTATGGATGATCTGATATCACCAAGAATGAGCTGGAATAGTTTCAGTAAAGTACAAAGAAGAAAAGGAGGAAAATTGACAAATTCTTTCCTACATCTTTACAAAATAACCTTACAAATTACCAGATAGCCTCTGTAATTAATAACAACAGTTAACATCACTACAATCCTACTTTTCTAAAAACTTTTCACGTCCATTATCTTAATTATTCTTCTTAAATGCCTTATACCATATTTATTATTATGCACACTTTATAAATGAGGAAACTGAGATTCTGATAATTTATCCAATTGACAATGTTACAGAGCTAACAGGTAGAAAACATGGATCATTAGCAAGGGAGATCATGTCCTCAAGTGTTCCAAATAGAAAAGCCAAGTTTTAGATGCAGCTAGAGAAAAGCAGTTAAGAGTTGGACTACCTGGGTTTAAATTCTAGTACTATCACTTACTAGTTAAATGACTTTTGTAAATTTAACCTGCCCTTGCCTGAGGTCCCTCACTTACAAAGTGATAATAATCACAATACCTACCTCATATGCTATTGTGAAGATTACATAAGTCAGTATTTGTAAATTACTTAGAACCATCCTTTTATTGCAATAATGAAAGTTCCTTAAAGTTACTGTCTTGCATGCTGATGCACACACTGTAATTTTCTAGCCCTATATAGAAGCCAAATTCCAAACAATAGACTAGGACTTGAGACTCAAACTGGACAAAAATTGTTTCAGGAAAATATTAGTCCTAAATTAAACTTATATCCAAAGTGTAAAGAGCAGCAGAATGACAGAGTGACTTTTTTTTTTTTTTTTTGGAGACAGAGTCCCACTCTATTGCCCAGGCTGGAGTGCAGTGGAGCGATCTTGGCTCTCTGCAACCTGTGTCTCCCAGGTTCAAACGATTCTCCTGCCTCAGCCTCTCGAGTAGCTGGGACTACAGACATGCACCATCACCCCTGGCTAATTTTTGTATTTTTAGTAGAGACACCATGTTGGCCAGGCTGGTTTTGAACCCCTAATGTCAAGTGATCCACCTGTCTCGGCCTCCCAAAGTGCTAGGAGTACAGGCGTGACCCACTGTGCCCGGCCTGATAGAATGCTTTTAAAAGCAACCTTTAGGATGAAATTATGTCCTTCCACAAATTCTTACAATCTAGTAAAAAAATTAAATTTGATAAGAACAAAAATTGGCCATAAGTATGTGGGTATTGGGTCTTATACAATATCTTGGTGACACTACCAAAAATTCTTGCCTTCTCTGATCCAGTTGACTATGTGCCCTGGAGTCCTGTGATAGGAAGCTGATGAAGTTTTCATCCAGAGAGTAAGAACCAGCATGATAGGGCCTTTTCTACCCCAAGAGAGTACTCTGTGAAAAAGCTGGGTTGCAGCTTTTTATTCCAATGGATATGACAAGAATTAAAGGAAATAAAGGAACTATCATAACTGCAACAGAACATCTATTGTCTATTTTAAATTTTATTGCAACTAATGGCTTTATATCAACTGAAAGAATGTAACAGAATAATTAAGAGCAAAGCTTGGAAGTTTGGCAGATAATTGGCCAAAATTCTGACCCTGCCACTTATCTGCTTGTGGTAGGCCGTTCTCACATTGCTTTAAAGAAATCTCAGACTAGGTAATTAAAAAAAAAATGGTTTTATTTACTCACAGTTCTGTAGGCCGTACAGGAAGCACAGTGCTGACATCTGCCTGGCTTCTGGGGAGGCTGAAACTTACAATTATGGTAGAAGGCAGAGAGCACGCACATTATATCGCCAGAGCAGGAGCCAGCGTGAAGGGTAGCAGGTGCCACACACTTTTAAATCATCAGATCTTGCGAGAACTCACTCACTATTGTGAGAACAGCACCAAACGGATGGTACTAAACTATTCATGAGAAATTTGCCCCATGATCAAATCACCTTCCACCAGGTCCCACCTCCAAAAGTGGGGATTACATTTCAACATGACATTTGGGCTAGGACACATATCCAAACTATATCATTACTGAATGACCTTAGATAAACCACCTATCCTCTTTGAGACTTAGTTTCAACACCTGAAAGTTGGTTAAATAATATCTTCTTTACAGAGTTACTACGAAGATAGCCGGGCGTGGCGGGTGCCTGTAATCCCAGCTACTCAGAACGCTGAGGCAGAAAAATCGCTTGAACCTGGGAGGCGGAGGTTGCAGTGAGCGGAGATCACACCACTGCACTCCAGCGCCTGGGCAACAAGAGCGAAACTCCGTCTCAAAAAAACAAAACTCAAAACAAAACAAAACAAAACAAAAACAGAGTTGCTATGAAGATGAAGTTCTATAAAAACTTAAGGAAATGCAGCCTAGCACCTACCACATAGGAATAGAAGGTGTAGTAATAGCAGTAATCTTTGTTGTAGAGAGGCAATTAAGTAGTAGAGAAGAGAAAACACAAACACCGAGGTTAACAAGTAGAGAAGCCCACTTAAAATAATAAACACTTTAATAACACAAAAACCTTTCTTGAATTTATGGAAATGACTTATAATTCATTGTGATTTGTCATTGTCTTTGTGCAAACAATGAAAAGAATGAGAGCAGCTGTTTTCAAACCTTATTTGCATTAGAATCACCTGTAGAACTGGTTAACACACACGATGGGTCCCCACCTGACTTTCTGTTCAGTGACTCACTGTTAGGGTTAGAGGATTTGTGTTTGTAACAAGTTTACAGGTGATGCTGCTAACTCTGGGACCACATTTTTGAAAAACACAAAATATGTGGAGTGTTTGTGCCCTGGGCTCTGCTGTAATAATTACATAGTATGAAACACTCATGCACCACTTCATTTGCTTCGTTACTCTATTCCTCATAATCAAAGAAATCTCCTGAGTCAAATTAAAAGTATTTTCTAATAAACATAAATGCTAATTAATTACATTTATGGCTGTAGAGCTAGCACTTTGAGCAAACTGGAAGTTGGTTGAAAGTTAATGCTTCTCGTGTATCTAGGGACTTGCTTAGATCCAAAAATGTTTTTTGATCTGCAATTCTGTATTTCTTCTGTAAGTAGTTTAAATTACAAGCCTTTTCAAAGTATTCAGCCATCAAATACAGCCTCCTAAAACCATTGTGCATAACCTTTTGAAGCTGTGTACTTAATTCCTCAATCAAGTTGCACATTAGGAGAGTAAATTGGAGGAATATAAGTCAGTGGGTCTTAAGTCACTTTTTAAAAAATCTTCAGATGCACTAATGTACATTTTCTATCTTCTTTTTATTTCCTCTTCTCCAATTCCATCTCTGAAACACTATGAAATGTTAAAATAGGTTAAAAATGCACTTAAATGAAATGCAATAAATTAAATGTGCTCTATTCTTCTGAAGATTTAACTACACACCTTTTCATATTTCAGACTCTTAGCAGGTATGATTAAAGTGCAACATCTGTAACTCATCTTCCTCAAAGGAAAGATACGGAATTATATGAGATGATTTATGTGCCAATGCCTAGCCAGTGACTGTTACATAGTAGTTGCTCAATTTCTTAAATCATAATTTTCAAAGGAACATGGAACAGTTACCAGGAAGAAAATATGTCAAGGCATAAGTTTATAGTGTAAGATTTTAAAGGCAGAAGGATTTTTGGACTGTCAGAATATAGAAGGTGAAAATTTCATATCAAGGAAATCATATATTCACAGGTAGTTTTTGAAGCATGAGCTCAGGTTTAGAGAATGGAGATCAGTCCAGCTTAATTCAGTGCAGTGCAACCCTGGTCACATGTTAGAACGACCCGGAGTGGTTTTCAAACTCCAAGTGCCTGAGTCCCATTCTAAACCAGTTATATCTGAATCTCTAGGTATGAGAGCTAAGCATCAATATTAAAAAGAAACAAACATAAACTTTTCAGAGTAGTATTAGGGAAGAAAAGAGCAAAAGAGATCAACTAGTTGCAATTTTCTATTGTTGGGTGCCGGGCACGGTGTCTCACGCCTGTAATCCCAGCACTTTGGGAGGCCAGGGCAGGTGGATCACCTGAGGTCAGTAGTTTGAGATTAGTGTGGCCAACATGGGGAATCCCCACCTCTACGAAAAATACAAAAATTAGCCAGGCATGCTGGCTTGTGCCTGTAATCCCAGCTACTCTGGAGTCTGAGGCAGGAGAATCACTTGAACCCAGGAGGTGGAGGTTGCAGAAAGCTGAGATCACACCACTGCACTCCAGCCTGGGCAACAGAGTGAGACTCCATCTTAAAAAAAAAAAATTCTATTGTTGCCATTGACCTGAAACTGGGTTTATTAATTTCCTATAGGAATGTAGCTTGCAAATGTTAAGGCATAACATAATTTGGGGGAACTCTTACTGCCTTTCACAAAGAACATTGAGCTATTTTGGCATCTGTGACTAACATGTCTCTACTGGCTCAGTAAAATTTCTTTCCATGAGGAATTCGTGGACAAGGTTGAGATAATAACACATTCTGCACCTTGCTGTAATTTGGTAGCTAAAAATGACAAGTCCACAAATTCATTGCAGGGGTATAGTGCAAAGAAATTTCCAAGGGTAAGTCAGTACAGACACTACCCAACTGTATATGCAAAAAGGAGCACAGGAATTGGAATCAATTATTCAGTTCATTGATTCCCCAACTACTAGCTTTAATGTATGTGTTATTTAACTTCTATAAGCTGTAGTTTTCACATTTGTAAAACTGAGGTAATGATAATATTCATATCACAAGTAGCCCTGAGATTCAAATGAGATTATTTACATGAAAGATATTTGAAAAGCTGGATATATATGGGCACTATTTTGGGGTACTTAGAATTTCCTCTTTGACTTATTCTTCCAAAACAGAGTCAAATCTCAGCCAGAGAAGCTACCGATGTTGGAGTAATTATTTCTATTTTTTTTCAAGTTGACTTCACCAACCAAGAAAATAAACTCTATGAAAAGATAAAATAGAAAATAGTTTGTTCACATTTTTATATTATTTGTCATTCATAACATTTTCTCTGTTTTGTCACTTGACAGGTGCCAGAGTAGAGCTCTCTAAAATTCCCTCGTAGGTTTTTTGGAAATTGTCTCTCTTATTCCCAATCTCTGTAGGATATATAAGTGAAAGATTGAGAGTATTTTATATTTGTTTATCTTTTAAATATGAAGGTGTTCAAGTCTCTGATTTTGATTATCGGAAATCAAAACAAACAATTTGATCTCTAATTCTGAGGTGTCTCTAGTCTATTTGAAGAGACAATATATACATTATTTAAAATTGTTACTATAATAAAACTGTTTACAACTGTTTATATTAATCTGGTATGTATTACAAAGAATCTTGGTTCAACCTGGGCCTTTACATTATTTCTAAGCACATATCACAATGTATTCCGACAAATTCCTTGTGCTTTTTCTTTAGCTGTTTTTTTTTTTTTCTTAATAATATTAGGGGCTTTTCTAGATGCAACATCTGTCAGGTCAGTATAGTAGTGAGTAATGAAATACCAGCCTGGCTGAAAACGCTCTTAAAATGTCGGTCCATTCTACTTCCTAAGACACCTAAGAACACCTGATATAGGATGAGAGCAGGCAGCAGGCAGGTTTCTACAGAACAATGAAGTTTAGGAAGGAGGGAGATGCGTGATGCTAGGGTGGTACCTAATGGTTGCAGCAAAAGAGATACTTTTGCATTGAGAGTGCACCATATTCTTGGTTAGCAGCAACTATTTACCACATGCAACATGATTATAGAAATACTAGTTACTACTCAGGAAGTATTCACTTTGCACCAGATCTGTACTAGGTGCTTTTATACCTGCTATCAAAATTAATCCTTGCCACCAACTGATAAGTGGACATTATTTACTTCCTCTCTTATCATTGAAGCCCAAAAAATATAAATAACTTGACAAGGATTATACTTCCAGTATGTAACACAGAATTTAAGCCAAGTTCTACTCAGTTCAAAAATCTTTTTTACAGCAGTATCTTCAAAGTGGCATAGATACACTACTGCAGGTTCACAAAAACTTTCTAAGGGGTACATGGTGCAGAGAGTTTTAAGAAAATTTATTTTTAGCTCATCCTTCCAAGCATACTTTTCCAAATGAATCTGATTGAGAAGACTCCTGAAGATTCTCCTTCACCAACTCTCCTTTCAAAATCTCCCTTCTCTGATGTTTCAGAAGAGCCTATCTTCCACCTATCCTGAATTCATTCTCAATACAGTCTGCTCCCAGAATGGGAAAAACTTCCAGAGTGTTTAACAAGTGGGGAATCCGAAACATTGGTGCTAGTGTTGCCAACATGTATAACTTTAATTACTAGGCAACAAACTTCTTACAAGTTGGGTAGTTTATAAATAAATTCATCATTTGTGAAATTGCTTTTATCAAATAATTCTTGCTTGAGTTGTCAGTTGATGGATCAAATTGTAAAAACTATTTTTTTTTTTGCTGGATTGTATCATTATTAGCATATTTAGCTCAAATGAGTTCAAAAAGATAAGTAAAATTTAAATAAAAATTTCTTTACCCTTATCTAGTTATTTATGGGAACAAAGCTTCTTGGCAGTTATTTATTTTTTTAAAATTTAGAATATAATTGATATACCTATTTTTGTTACAGAGAATTTTGGTAGGCTACTTATTCTTTTCCCTTTTTAAAATTTATAAATAAAAATTGTATATATTTATGGTGCATCACATGATGCTTTGATGTATGTATACATTGGGAAATGGCTAAATCAAGCTACTTAAAATATCTGTTACCTCACATACTTATTTGAGTAGTAAGAACATTTAAAATCTACTCTCTTAGCAATTTTCAAGTATACCATACATTATTATTAACTATAATCACCATGTTGTATCATAGATCTCCTGAACTTATTCCTCCTATCTAACAAAAAATTTGTATCCTTAGACATAGATCTCCTGAACTTATTCCTCCTATCTAACAAAAAATTTGTATCCTTAGACTAACATCTCCTTAATCCTCACTAATATTTTTCAAATATTTTAAGCATAACATATATAACATTTAGATATAATTGTGTAGAAAAATAGTATACAAATACAAGTTCAAGTATAAAAAGGTAACTCCAGAAAGTTACAGACTATCAAAGAAGAGTTTAAGTTGTTTTTGATATGGATGATGGAATCAAATAATTATGGTGGATACATTTTTTGAAAGTAATATTATATGTTCATTTTTAAATTGACACTATTTGCAATATCCTTTTATTATATCCTCTGAAACTATTTATGATTATGATTAAAACAATTTGATAGTACAGTAGGAAAATTATAGTTAACAACAATTTATTCTATTGTATATTTTTAAATAGCTAGAATAGAAGATTTGTAAGATTCCCAACACAAAGAAAAGATAAATGATCGAGGTGATTGATATTCCAATTACTCTGATTTGATCATTACACCTTGTACATTATAGGCATCAAAATATCACATGTACCCCAAAGATATGTACAATTGTTACATACCAATGAAAAATATAAAACTTTAAAAATTCTTTTAAATTAAAAAAATCAGTTTGGGACCTACTTTAAAAAGTGTGAGAGTATACACTTTAAAAAGTGTGAGAGTTTTAAATTTTTCATTTGGTGCTACTCAGAGATAAAATCTTGAAAACAACTTCTATGAAGAACATTGTCCTCAGTGACATGATTTATTGCTACATAGCAAAGGAAGTAAACCATTGTATTTAGGAGCATAAGTTCTACACTAAAACAGGCATCTGCTCTAACCTTAATGTCTAATTTGTTATTTTACCTTAGACAAGTTCTTTGTCCCCTCTAAGCCCTTTCTTTCCATTTCTATAATAATGTAGGTACTTAATTGGTCAGATCCTTCTAAATGTCACATAAAATTATGTCAAGATCTAGAAAAATTTCTACACAGATTAAGTGTCATGTATGTATATTCACAGAAGTTGTCATAGACAAAACTGTGTAAAGGAGAGGGATGTGCATGTTCTTAGGCTAATCTCCCAGAGGGATCAGGGATTGGTATGGTCTCCCAGAATGAATAAAATAAGTTCAAAAGGAGGTAAAAGGAGGAAAAAACATCACTACCCGAAGGGGCAGAAACACTGTCAGTCACAATAGTGGGAGAGCACAAGGCATGTGATGCAAAAATTAAGAACTGCACCTTTAATAAGGAAGATATTGCCAATAAAATAGTTCTACTTGTATGAAATAAAGCTAGAACTTCCCTGCCTAAATCCTGTCTTTTTTCACTGTTTCTGTTGTAACTCTGGTTTACATTATGATCTTATTCACAATTTCTGCTTGCTTGATATTTCTTAATTCTGAAATTTAATAATATGCCCTTCGTCGTGTTCCCCCAACTTGGTTCCTGCTTACAATTCAATTTTGTTATCCAAACTTCTTTTTCTGGTCCTAACTCTCAGTTTTGCCTGAGTGGGCACTAAAAAGTTATCTTCCTCTTCCTCTTCTTAATGGGCACATGGGAGAGAACACAAAATTCTAAGAGCTCATATCTTAGCGTCTAATTGATACGGATTAAAATCCCAACTCTACCTGGGTAGCTTGGTAAACTCAGAACTTCTCTGAACCTCAGTTTTCTTTGAATAGGGATAATAATTTCTAACCAACAGAGTTACTGTAAAGATAGAAGAACATATGTCACAATAAACATTTAGCATACTCAACATTTAGAAAATAATTGCTCTTATTAAAATTTTTCCCATTATTACTGTTGCTGATGCAATAAATGGAAATATTTATTGGAGTTCTGAATATTTTTGAAATGAATGTTTTGTAAAATCAGACACATTATGAACTGATATGAAAGATGTTCCTGTGAAAGAGGAATTGAAATGTGAAGAGTCACAAATTTTACGCTTTCTCTGGAACCAGAAACCAAACTTAAAGTGTTCTCCAGAACTGGAAAGCAAGGGGACACATAACAGGCTGAAAAGATCTGCTATGAGTGTTGTTACAGACTGAAGTGAAAGTGACTGCTGGTTATTATAAAATGTTCCTATGACTTGTCCATATTGAAACAGAAATTATAGGCAGAATGAACAGGAGGGAACACAAATTGGCTCAACCTCTTTTACCTGGTTAAGCTCTCCATTGTACCCAAATTTGGGCCATTTAATTCCACAAATATTTATTGAATACACACTGGGTATCCAGAATGTAAAGAGTCTCAATACGGAATGAATTTTATTTTTGATTTTATATTTTGAAACAGTCTTCAAGTTATAGTTATAAATCAAATGGGATAATCACATAGGTTTTCAGTCATTAAAGTAAACATATTTTTTTCATTTTTTTTTAATGAACAGGATTTGCTAGTCCACTTACTGGGATAGCGGATGCCTCTCAAAGCAGCATGCACAATGCCTTGCACATCTATATGAATGGAACAATGTCCCAGGTACAGGGATCTGCCAACGATCCTATCTTCCTTCTTCACCATGCATTTGTTGACAGGTTGGTTAATATTTCTTTATAAATAACGTGCTCATTGGATTTAAATAGAGGGTGCCTATCAAATGTGATTTAAGTTATTAAATAAAAGCTAAGAAGTTATGGTAGTCTATTGTCTGTGATCAGGTTGTCACCAAAACAGACCTTAGGCTAAGAATTTGCATGCAAATGTATAATAAAGAAAGTGTTTATAAAGATAAATTAAAAGAAGGTGGATTAGGCAGGATACAAAAGAAAGAAAAGTAAAATAAGTGTACAATGTCAGTTGAAATCCAAGACTCCACTAGATCCTGGTAGAAGGTAAAGTATACCCTAGTTTGTCCTACCTTAAGAAAAAGACAGATGAGTCTTTGTACTTCCATGCTAAATAGCCATTGGCTACAGGATGCCCTGAGGTAGGGGATGTAAAACTCCCAGGAGCTTGAGTCCAGATAGGCTTTGTGGCCCCAGTACCCAAGGGCAGCCTTCTAAAGGCTTCAGGAGAAAGTTGTTAAGAGCAAAGAATGAAAAAGCAGGAGGATGGACACACAGAACTGCTATAGGAATTTAAGGCCATGTGGGCCTGGCACTAACCTACTACATCTGTCATCAATACATCTTTCCTTCTGGAAATTGTATTGTTATTTCTTCTCTTTTTGAACCTAACACACTTTCATATAAGGAAGTACAAACTGATCTCTTCCACTGGCCTGAATAGTATATGATTAATTCTCCAGACAGAGTGCACTATGGCCCAACTGTCCTATTTAATGTGATTTAATTCTCTTGGAGCTTTTATTTCCCTTATTAGCCTTCTTCCATTACATTTGTAATGTCTTAGATATATTAGGTTTTAGACTTAATTGTAGGTGATGATAGCAGAAAAGAAAGTATTCAGAGGAAGGTCAGCTGTCTACTCTTGAAATTTTCAAGAAGAAAGGAGAAAATAAAGCATCAAATCATGACTGACAAATGCTATGGAGTGTTCTTTGTCCCCTCTACAGTAATTTTCTCACCACAGTTAATGAATAAAGGGCACAGATTTATACCTGCCATTAAGATAATACTATCATCCTCTTGGGTAAAAATAAGAGGAGTTATTTTTCGTGTTTTAAAGATAAGGAAACTGAAACTGAGAATTAAAGATTTTACTTAATTTACCAAAATCTTCTCTTCATTCATGTCCACAGGAACATGGACATAAAATCAAATAAGAAAGTGACCATTATCCAGGAAAATCATTAGGCAGATTTTTATTGGCTTCATGGCAACTCTCATATAATGAGAATTAAGTAACAGTCTGTGTTAAGTTTTATTCAGAAATCAGTGTATAAGAACATGTATGAACACCAAAGTGTTGGTGTCAATACCAACATCACAACCACCTATACCCATACATAAGAGAGAAAAGCATAGTGCTGGAATAAAATGTTATCAGAAAAGATAAATTGAACGCTTTTTAAAGAATCATTTTTATATCACTTTTTGGTGTAAATTTTTTGCCATTTTTAATATCTAGAACTACCCAGTGAACTCTAAAGATTTAAGTATGACCACTCTTGCCACCTCCATTCAATATAGTATTAAAAGGTCTACACAATTAGCAATTAGGCAAAAAAAAAGAAAAAGAAAAACTATCAAAATATGAAAGGAAGAGGATATTGTTTCTGTTTACTGATGATCTGCCCTTATACACAGAAAAGCCTGAGAATTCACTGGAAAACTGTTAAAACTGATAAATTAAGTAAACTTGCAAGATACAAATGCAACATACAAAAAATTAGTAGTGTTTCTGTACACTAACAATGAACTATCTCAAAAAGAAACTAAGAAAACAACCCCATGTACGACAGCATCAAAAAATAAAATACTTAGGAGTAAGTTTATCCAAGAAAATGAAAGATGTGTACACTGAAACTATACAATATTGATAAAAGTAACTGTAGAACACAAAAATAAATAAAAAGATATCCTGTATTCATAGATTAGAAAAATTAATGTCGTTAAAATTACTATACTACCCAAAGAAATCTACATATTCAATGTAATCCTATCAAAATACCAAGACATTCTTCACAAAAATAGAAAAACAGTCTTCAAATTCATACGGAACTACAAAAGAACCTGAATAGCCAAAACAATTTTGAGCAAAAAGAACAAAGCATCATATTTCCTGATTTCAAAATATACTACAAAACTATAGTAATTATAATGGCATGGTAATGGCATAAAAGAAGATTTATTGTTCATTGAAACAGAATTGAGAGCCCATAAGTCAATCCAATAATTTACATTCAATTAACTTTTGACAAAGATGCCAAAAACAATGGGGAAAGGACAGTGTCTGCAATTAGTCGTTTGGGGACAATTGGATATCCACATTCAGCAGAATGAAATTGGACCCATATCTAACACCATATCCAAAACCAATTCAAAATGAATTGAAGACTTAAATATAGGGATTAGAAATTGTGAAACTGCTAGAAGAAAGCATATGGTAAAAGTTCCAAGACTTTGGTCTGGGCAATGATTTTTTTGGAGAGGAGCCCCAAAGCAAAGGTAACAAACACAAAAATAGACAAATAGGATTACTTCAAACTAAAAATCTCCAAGCGACCAAGAAAACAATTAACATGATAGACAGACAACTTACACAATAGGAGAATATATTTGCAAACTATACCTCTGATAAGGGGTTAATATTCAAACTATATTAAAAAGTCGATTCAATAGTTAGAAAATAGAAAAACTAATTTTAAAAATTGGGCAAAGGATGTAAATAGACATTTCTCAAAAGAAGATATGCAAACGTCCAACAGGTACATGAAAAGATGCTCAACATCACTAATCATCAGGAAACACAAATCAAAACCACAATGAGATAATATTAATGTTACTTCACACCTTTTAGAACAGCTATTAATAAAAAGACAAGGACAAGAAGTATTAGAGACTATGTTAAAAAAAAAAAAAAGAGGGACTTTAGGAAGCCAAGGCGGGCAGATCATGAGGTCAGGAGTTTGACACCAGCCTGGCCAACATGGGGATACCCCTTCTCTACTAAAAATAGAAAAATTAGCCATGGGTGGTGGCAGACGCATGTAATCCCAGCTACTCGGGAGGCTGAGGCACGAGAATTGTTTTAACTTGGGAGGTAGAGTTTGCAGTGAGCCAAGATCATGCCATTGCACTCCAGCCTGAGTGACAGGGTGAGACTTCGTCTCAAAAAAAAAAAAAAAAAAAAAGGAAGGAATTGTTGTACTGTTCATGGGAATGTAAATTAATATAGTCATTTGGGAAAACATAGCAGTTTCTTAAAAAATTAAAAATAAAACTATCATATGATTCAGCAGTTCCACTCCTGGGCATGTATCGAAAGGGAAATATATCTGAACTTCCAAGTTCATTGCAACATTATTCATATAAGGCAAGATACAAAACCAACCCAAATATTGATAACGATGGATAGATTAAGAAAATGTGGTATATATACACAATGGAACACTATTCTGCCATAAAAAAGGAAAACCCTCTCATTTGCAACAACACGGATGAACCTGGAGTTTAGTATGTGAAATAAAATGAGTCAGACACACAAAGACAGAAACTGCATGGTCTCACTTATTTGTGGAGTCAAAAGAAAATTTAAACTCCTAGAATTAGAGAGTAGAGGATGGTTACTGGGGGCTGGAGCTGGGGTGGGTTGGAGGGAAGTTGGACAAATGATACAAAATTTCAGTTAAGTATAAGAAGTAGGCTGAGCGCAGTGGATCATGCCTGTACTCATAGCACTTTGGGAGGCTGGGATGGGTGGATTGCCTGAGCTCAGGAGTTCGAGGCCATGCTAGGCAACACAGTAAAACCCCATTTCTACTAAAAATACAAAAATTTCGCCAGGCATGGTGGTGTGCGCTTGTGATCACAGCTGCTCAGGAGGCTGAGGTAACAGAATCTCTTGAACCTGGGAGACCAAGGTTGCAGTGAGCTGAGATTGTGCCCCTGCACTCCAGCCTGGGCAACAGAGTGAGATTCCATCTCAAAAAAAAAAAAAAAAAGTAAATTAAGAGATCTGTTGTACAGCGTGATGACTAAAGTTAATGACAATATATTGTATTCTTGAAAATTGCTAAGAAAGTAGATTTTAACTGTTCTTAGCACACGAAAAGTAAAAAGTAAGTATGTGAAGTAATGCAATGTTAATTAGTTTGAATTAGTCATTCACAATGTATGTATACAGGCACACATCAAAATACTGTGGGCTTAGTTCCAGGCCACTACAATAAAGTGAATATCTCAATAGAGACACAAAGTTTTGGGTTTCCCAGTGCATCTAAAAGTTACGTTTATGGAATCAACCCAGGTGCTCATCAATGGTGTATTGGACAAAGAAAATGTGGTACATTTACACCATGGAATACTATAAGAAAGAACAAAATGATGTCCTTCGCAGCATCGTGGATGTAGCTGTAGGCCATAATCTGAAGTAAATTAACACAGGAACAGAAAACCAAGCACTGCATGTTTTCTCTTATAAGTGGGAGGTAAACATTGGCTACATATGAACATAAAGATGGGAGCCATAGATATTGGGAACTACTAGAGTGAAGAGAGAAGGAGGGGCATAACAGCTGAAAAACTACCTAATGTATAAGGTATACTATGTTCATAACCTCGATGATGGGTTCAATCATACCCAAACTTCAGCATCATGCAATATACCTTTGTAGCTAACCTACACATGTCCCCCGATTCTAAAATAAAAGTTGAAAAAAAAAATTAAAATTAAAATTATGTTTATACTTTAATGTAGATTATTAAGTGTACAATCTCATTATGCCTAAAAAGCAATTTATATACCTTAATTTAAAAATACTTTACTGCTAGAAAATGCTAACAATCGTCTGAGCCTTCATCAAGTCAAAGTTTTGCTGGGGGAGGGTCTTGCCTTGATTTTGATGGCTGCTGAATGATGAGGGTGATGGCTGCTGAAAGCTGGGGTGGCTGGAGCAATTTTTTAAAATAAGACAAAAAGGAAATTTGTTGCATCAGTTGATACTTTCTTTCACAAAAGATTTCTCTGTAGCATACTATGCTGTATGATAGCATTTTACCTATAGTAAAACTTCTTACAAAATTGGACTCAATCTTCTGAAAGCCTGCTGCTGCTTTATCAACTAGGTTTATCTGATATACTAAATACTTTGTTACAATATCAAAACATTCACAGTATCTTCACCAGGAGTAGATTCCATCTCAAGAAACTACTTTCTTTTTTTAACCATAAAAATCAAATCCTCATGTGTTCAAGTTTTATCATGAGATTGCCACAATTCACTCATACCTTTAGGCTGCACTTGTAATTCTAGTTCTCTTGCTATTTCCATGATATCTGCAGTTATCTCCACCACTGATACCCTGATCCCCTCAAAGTCATCTATTAGGATTGGAATCAACTTCTTCCATACTCCTATTAACGTTAATATTTTGTTCTCCTTCCATGAATCAGAAATGTTCTTAATGGCATCTAGAATGGCGACTCCTTTCCAAAAGGTTTTCAATTTATTATGCCCAGATCCATCAGAGGAATCACTATCTATGGAATATATAGCCTTACAAAATATACTTCTTAAATAAGATTTGAAAGTCCAGATTACTCTCTGATCCATGGGCTGCAACATAGATACGTGTTAGCAGGCATGAAAACAGTATTCATCTCCTAGTATATCTTCCTCAGAGATTTTGGGTGACCAGGTATATTATAAATGAGCAGTAATATTTTGAATGGAATTGTTTTTCCAGGGAGTTGGTCTCAGCAATGGGCTTAAAGTATTCAGTAAACCATGCTGTAAACGGATATGCTATCATGCAGGCTTTGTTGTTTCATTTAAACAACAAAGGCAGAGTAGATTTAGAGTATTTCATAATGGGAGTTTCAGACCAGTAAATGAGCACTGGCTTCTACTTAAAGTTACCAGCTGCATTAGCCCCTAGCAAGAGTATCAGACTATCCTTTGAAGCTTAATCCTTTATTATCCTTTGAGCATTAATTTCTCCTTAGTAGCTGTGAAAGTTCTAGATGGCATATTCTTCTAATAGAAGGCTGTTTTATCTACACTGAAAATCTATTGTTTAGTATAGCCAACTTCATCTAATATCTAAATCTTCTGGATAACTTGCTGCAGCTTTCCATTGCACTTGTTGCTTCACTTTGCAGTTTTATGTTATGAAGACTTCTCTTTCCTTAAATCTTGTAAACCAAGCTTTGCCACCTCAAACATTGTTTCTGCAGCTTCCTCACCTCTTTGACCCTCCATAGGATTAAGAGAGTCAGAGCCTTGCTCTCAATTAGGCTTTAGTTTAAGGAAATGTTGTTGCTGGTTTGATTTTCTATCCAGACCACTAAAATTTTCTTCATATCAGCAGTAAGACTGTTTTTCTTTCTTATTGTGTGTGTTTACTGGAGTAGCACTTTGCATTTCCTTCAAGAACTTTTCTTTTGCAATTGCAACTTGACTAACTTTTGCACAAGAGGCCTAGCTTTCAGCCTACGTGAGCTTTCAACATGCCTTCCTCACTAAGCTCAATCATCCCTAGTTTTTTATTTAAAGTGAGAGACATGCAACTCTTTCTTTCATTTGAACACTTAGAGGCCATTTTAGGGTTATTAATTGGCCCAATCTCAATATTTTTGTGTCTTGGGGAATAGGGAGGCCCAAGGAGAGGGAGAGATTCAGGGGAGTGGCTGGTCAGTGGGGCAGTTAGAACACATGCATTTATTAATTAAAGTCACCTTTTTAACATTGGCACTGTTTGTGGTGTCCCAAAACAATTACCATGGTCACGTCAAAGATTTCTGGTCACAGATCAGCATAACATATACAATAATAATTTAAAACTTTGTAATATTGCAAGAATTACCAAAATGTGACAGACATAAAGTGAACACATGTTGGAAAAATGGGAGTAACACACTTGCCAAACACCAGGAGTAGATTCCATCTCAAGGTTGCCAGAAACCTTCAATTTGTAAAAAAAAAAAAAATGCAGTATCTGTGAAGCACAATAAAGCAAACCACAATAAAATGATAACACTTATATTTCCAAACATAAATAGCTTATAAGCAGATGAAAAAATGCTCAATATCACTAATAACCTGTGAAATATTAACTGAAACCACAATGGGATATCACCTCTGACTTGTTCAAATACCTCTTATCAAAAAGATAAAAGACAAATGTTGGAGAGGGTGTGGAGAACACGGAACACATGCACATTTTTGGGTGGGAATGTAAATTAGTCCATGGAAAATAGCATGGAGCTTCCTCAGTAAACTAAAGATAGAATCATCATATGATCCACTCATTCCACTTCTGACTATATATCAAAAGGAAGTGAAATCAGTATGTCAAAGAGTTATTTGTACTTCCATGTTTGTTGTAACATAATTCACAATAGGCAAGATATACAATCAAACTAAGTGTCCATAATTGGGCAAATGGGTAAAGAAAATACAGTATATGTACACAATGAAATACTATTTACCATTTAAAAAGAAATTCTGTCATCTATCATAATATAGACAAACCTGGAGGACATTACATTAAGTGAAATAAGCCATGCACAGAAAGACAAGTAACCACATAATCTCTTTAGATGCAGAATCTAAAAAACTTTGAACTCGTAGGAGTAGGAAATAGAATCGTAGTATCACAAGGTGATGTGCAGGAGTGGAAGGGGATGAATAGGGTCAATGAAAATGTTAGTTGAAGGGTACAAAGTTTTAGTTAGACATGAGAAGTAAGTTCTACTGGTCTTCTGCACAGCATGATGATTATAGTAAATAATGATATATTGTATCTTTTAAGATTGCTGAGAGTAGATTTTAAATGCTCTTACCACAATAAAATGATAAATATGTGAGGTGATTGCCATTTTAGCTTGATTTAATCACTCCACAATATATACATATATCAGCATCACATTATGCCCCATACATACCTGTAATTATTATTTGTCAATTAAAAATAAAATTTTTAAAAGTGTCAATTTGTCTAGATGCCTTGATGTTTCCCACTTGTTTTTATAAATAAGGTTTTATTGGAACACAGCCATGATATTCATTTACATATTGTCAATGGATGCTTTCGGGCTACAATGTCAGAGTCGAGTAGCTGTGACCAAGACCACGTTGTTTGCAATGCGGAAAATATTTAATAGCTAGCCGTTTGCAGAAAAAGTTTGGGGATCCCTGCCAAACCACAAAATTCCATACACACTCACACACACATACACACACACACACACACACACCAGACAAGAGAAAGAGGTTTTTTCTGTAGCCCACCTATATTTAAAGAAAGTACTATCATTAAATTCAATGTCTGTAGGCATGTTTGTTTAGTAGAGAGAATGTCATTCTGTAGATATATAGCTGTGAAAAGCCACTCTGCAACCTTTGAAAATTAGAATTTTCTGCTCCCTTAGAATTCTCTATTAATTCTATTTTACTATTAGACATTTGCATAATTATTAAAATAACTCAAAAATATTAAGCAAAGATCAAGGTAATTTCTGAGCCTTTGTAACAAAGCTGATGAAGATTCTGATGATTCAATTATCATTATACAGAAAGCTAGAGAACTGTGGGTTACCACAGAATATTGTGTGGCATCTGAGCCATCCTCTCAAGTTGCTACCTATGAAGACTCATTTTTCCGATCAGACAGGTCTATTGACTGCCATTCAATTATGCACAAATATATTTATTGGCAAACTATGTACTGAGTGTATTTTCTTAAACATTCCACATTTATTCCTATTTCTGGGCTCTGATTAGACCATTCCTCAAATCTGTAGCCTACTTTTCTTGACCTATCTAGTTTGTACACAAACTTCAAGACTAGTTTCAGTTTTGACCTCCTCCATAAACTATGCCCAGGTCATGTCTGTCTATAACTATCACTCCAAAATCTAATTATGAATACCATTTCCCAACTTGGCATTCAGTGACCTCAGGTCGGTATCCTGAAATCAGCCATGGTGAGAGTATTTACACCATGAAATTGGCAAATGGTACACGTCAGGGCTTTTATTCCAAAAGACCTAGTTGTTAAAATAATGGCCAACACACCACTGCTCTAATCTATTAACTCACAGCACATTCTTTCTATGTCCCTTATTTTGGACACATCAATTATCTTTTTATTTTTATCTCCTCATCTGTTAACTGTTTTCTTGGCTGCAGGAAGCTTTTTTGTTTAATGTAATCCTGTTTGTATATTTTTTATTTTCGTTGCCTGTGCTTTGAGGATCATTTCCAAAAATATTGCCCAGACCCATGTCATGGAGCGTTCCCCCCATTTTCTTCTAGCAGTTTCACAGTTTCAGGTCTTACACTTAAGTCTTTAACCCATTTTGATTTGATTTTTATATATGGTGTGAGATAAGTGTCTAATTTCATTATTCTGAATGTGACTATCCAGTGGTCTCATCACAATATATTGATGAGCCTATCCATTGTGTATTTGTGGCATCTTTGTTGAAAATCAATCATAAATGCTTGACTTTATTTCTGGGATGTCTATTCTTTTCCATTGGTCAATATGTCTGTTTCTATGCCAGTACTATTCTGTGATAATTACTACAGCTTTGTAGTATATTTTGCAGTCAGATACTGTGATTCTCCTGCTTTGTTTTTATTACTCAAGATTGCTTTGGCTATTCAGGATCATTTGTGGTTGCATAAATATTTTAGAATTGTTTCATTTCTGTGAAAAACATCATTAGAATTTTGGTAGGGATTGCATTGAAACTGCAGATTGCTTTAGGTAGTATCAACATTTTAATAATATTCTTTCTTCCAAATTTTGTATTTTATTATTTTTATTTATTTATTTATTTATTTTTGAGACAGAGTCTCACTCTGTCACCCAGACTGGAGTGCAGTGACGTGATCTTGGCTCACTCCCACCTCCACCTCCCAGGTTCAAGCGAGTCTTGTGCCTCAGCCTCCTGAGTTGCTGGGATTACAGGCACACACCACCATATCTGGCTAATTTTTGTATTTTTAGTAGAAATGGGGTTTCACCATGTTGGCCAGGCTGGTCTCGAACTCCTGACCTCAAGTGATCCACTCGTCTCAGACTTCAGATTGCTGGGATTACAGTCTTGAGCCACTGCTCCCAGCCAATTCTTCCAATTTTTGAAGAAGAGATATATTTCAGTTTATTTGTATCTCCTTAAATTCCTTTCATCAATATTTTATAGTTTTCAGTGTATAGCTATTTTACTTCCTTGTTTAAATTTATTCCTAAGAATTTTTAAAATTTTTATTTTTAATTAACAACTAATGGTATATATTTAGTAAGTACAATGTGATGTTTTGATCTATACATTTTTGTGATGCTATTGTAAATTGATTGTTTCCTTCACTTTTTTTGGATAGTTCATTGTTAGTGTATGGAAATGCTACTGATTTCTGTATCTTGTTTTTGTATCCTGTAACCTTACTGAAGTCATTTTTTAATTTTTAATAGAATTTTAGCAGATTTCTTAGGGTTTTCAGTATACACAATCATGTCTGCAAACCGGGACCATTTAATTTCTTCCTTTCTAATTTGGATACATTTCATTTCTTTTTCTTAGCTAATTGCTCTAGCTAGGACTTACAGTATTTGTTGATTAGTCATGGTGAGAGTGGGTATCCTTGTCTTCTTCCTGATATGAGACAAAAGAAGTTCTACTTTTTGCCATGAAGTATGATGTTAGCATTGGGTTTGTCATATATGCAAACTTTATTGTATTGAGGTACGTTCCATCTATACCTAATTTTTTGAGAGTATTATCACAAAAGGATGTTAAACTTGTTGAATACTTTTTTCTATTAATACAGCTATTAAAATGATCATATGATCATGTGATTTTTCACAAATATAACTGTGAAATTTGTATATTAACTATCCTTGCATCTTTGGGATAATCCCTCTTGATGATAGTGAACCAGCCTTCTGTTGAATTCACTGTCAAATTCAGTGTTTTAGTATTCTTTGAAGAGTTTTGCATCTATGTTCATTAGGAATATTGGCCTGTAATTTTGTTTTGTCATACTCTCCTAGTCTGGCTTTGGTATCAAGGTAAAGCTGGCCTTCTGAAATGAGTTTGAAAGTATTCTCGCCACTTAAATATTTTGGAAGAGTTTTTGATGGATTTGTATTAGTTCTTTAAATGTTGGCAGAACTTATCTCTGAAGCCATCAAGTCCTAAGCTTTTCTCTGATGGAATAATTTTTATTACTAATTCACTCTCTGTACTCATTATTGGTCTATTAAGATTTTCTATTTTTTCATGATTCAGTTTTGGACATTGTGTGTTTCTTGGAATTTATCTATTTTCTTCTAGTTTACCCAATTCGTTGTTCTTAGTAGTCTCTTATGATTTTTATATTTCTGTGGTATCTGTTGTAATGTCTCCTCTTTCATTTCTAATTTTATTTATTTGCATCTTCTTTTTTTTCTTATTCTGGATAAAGGTATGTCAATTTTGTTTACCTTGTTAAAAACCAACTCTTAGCTTCATTTATCTTTTGTGCTATTTTCATTTACTTCTTCTCTGATGTTTATTATTTCCTTCCTTCTGTTAACTTTAGGCATAGTTTGACCTTTATTTTCAGTTTTTTGAAGTACAGCATTGGATTATGTATTTGAAATATTTTTTGTTAATGTAGGCATTTATTGTTATAAATATCCTTCTTAAAAATGCTTTTGCTGCATCCCATAAGTTTTAGTAGTTTGTGTTTCCATTTTCTCTTCTCTAAAGGTTTTAAATTTCCTTTTTAATGTTTTAATTGACCCATTTGTTGTTCAGAAACATATTTTTAAGTTTCTATGTATTTGTGAATTTTTTGAAATTCTTTCTATTGTTGATTTCTAGTTGCATACCATTTTGGTCAGAAAAGATACTTGATTATTTCAGTCTTCTTAAATTTGTTAAGACTTGTTTTGTGTCTAACCATATGATCTATCCTTATGATAAACCATGTGTGTGACAATAATGCACATTTTCTGTTGCTGTTAGAATGTTCTGTATACATCTGTCGGGTCCATTTGATCTAAAATGTGGTGTAAGCCCTATGTTTCTCTATTGAGTAGGGTGGGGTGGAGGGAGAGCATCAGGATGAATAGCTAATGGGTGCTGGGCTTAATACCTGGTTGATGGGTTGATCTGTGAAGCAAACCACCCTGGCAAACGTTTACCTACATAACAAACATGTACATCCTGCACATGTACCCTGAACTTAAAATGAAAGCTGGAAATCAAAAAATAAAAATAAAAATAAAACATAAAGGATCCAATTGGTAAAAACTATCTAAAACCTATCCTATCACCTAAAAAATATTCAGAAAATACAAAAAGTGGAGAAAGAAACAAAATAACAAAATTAATGATATTTCCTTTTTGTGAAATTTCTATTTACTTCCTTTGCTATTTTATATTACATTTTGGTTTTATTATTGCATTGTATAGGTTGTTCACAATTTTTAAAAATTAGTTCTTTTTGTCATAAACATTATAAATATTTTTTGGTTATTATCTTTTAATGTTTTAATGGTACTTTTTTGCTATTCAGAAGTTATTCCTTTTCATATGGTTTCTTTTTAATTCAGTCATTTGTTCATGGCTTTAAGGTCATGAACATTTGTTTCTTATACAGTAGTACTATCTGTAAAAAGAGTGAATTGCTCTAAATCTCTAATTTTCTTTCTGGACTTTGCAACTGGATAATCTCTTTTTGAAGAAATGACAGTAATACATTAGTACAGTTGCAGGTCTTTATTGGGATTTTTAGTTACAGCTTAATCATGCTTTTAGTTATGATTAATAGGTAAGTTACAAATAGAGAAGTTCAATTTATAGTTAAAATTATTTTTCTCCTCTATTCAGTTTAAGGTTTGACAAGGGACTCTAAGCTGTTCTCAGGTTTGTAAAAACAAACAAACAAAAAACTTTCTGGCGTGGATATGGGGTTGAAAAGTTTGAGAAGGTTGAAGACTCCAAAAGAAAGAATTGGTTGAAGAGTTGTTTATTCTGTTTCTACACAAACATCAGATTTGGGAAAAACTAAAGACAAGGGTATCTGGGTCATTAAATCAGCCTAACACTACAACAGCCATCAAGCAAAGCTGATGGTGTCTGTAAATGCTCTTCAACTTGGATGGTGGGAGAGGGTGTAGAAAGCATGAAGAACTATTTAAGAACATACTAAGTTCCAGGTCTTGTGACAGAAATTTTTCATATGTTACTTCTACAGATGTGACCTGCCTCAGGAAGAAATGTCTGCCTCATACACTTAAATTTACCCTCGTATGTACTCTTGTCTACCCTGTGGATCCTCCTCATGCTGTACTCTGCTTACTTGCCTGTTTTCTTAACAGTGTTCACCATTAGTTCTGCATTGATCATATCTAGTTTGTTCATAGTTTTATTGCTAGGACCTAACAAAATGTCAAGAAATACGATATGTGTCTGATAAATATTTAAGCCCTTTAAATATTATATTCAATCATTCATTCATATTTATTAATTCAATGAATCTATTCACTCATTAATTCATTTAGAAAATACTTATTGAGCTCCTGACACTATACTAGGCAATAGGTTATAGCAGTTAACAAAAACCTCAAAAGCTTAAGTTATTATCAATATTATTTCAGTTAATTCTTACAATTAACTAAAATTGTATCACTACAATTATATAAAGTATTGCAGTCCATTTGTATAGATGTTAATATAATTTAATATATTAATATATTTTATATTATATATTACTATAATAGATATTATATAGTACATTTTATATACTATATAATATAGTATATACTATACATATATATATTTCATATTAATATAATAGTGAAATTGTCTCACTACAATTATGTAACGTATTGCAGTCCATTTTTATAGATGAGAAGACTGAAGATAAAGAAAAAATAATTCACTTTTCTTTAAATGGATACTAAAAGATGATACCACGTTTTGAACCCAGATTTTTTGAGCAATTTAAATCACATTATACTGTTTCCAACCATAGATTATATCATAAATATTTTGGCATAGTGAAGAGCATGGAAAGAGTCAGGTTGGATACACTTCTGAAGAAGATAAAGATATGTTATTATTTCAGAGAAAGATGAGTGTCCAGGATAAAATTTCAGAAGGGGCTTCTTTGGCTCTTTATTAACTTTGTTTTTTGGGTTATCTTTGTTTGTTTGTTATGTTTTTTGAGATGGGGTCTTTCTCTGTTGTCCAGGCTGGAGTGCAGTGGTGCAATCTCAGCTCACTGCAAACTCCACCTCCCGGGTTCAAGTGATTCTTCTTCCCCAGCCTCCTGAGCAGCTGGGATTACAGGCACCCACCACCACGCCCAGCTAATTTGGGCATTTTTTTTTAGTAGAGGCAGGGTTTCACCATTTGGCTAGGCTGGTCTCAAACTCCTGACCTCAGGTGATCACCCATCTCGGCCTTCCAAAGTGCTGGGATTACAGGCATGAGCCACTGTGCCCGGCCTCTTTATTGACTTTATAGCACATAGACCTGCTAGTGTGGAAGGACTTTGGTGAAGGTGGTCATTTGGATCTTGGAGATAAACTAGAGAGCTCTATTCTGACAACTAGCATTTCAGAAATTTTTCCATGTAGAACATTGTGTCAGGAGTGGTTAATGGCAGTGTGGGCCAATGGAAGAAAACTTTTTTTACATTTAGAATCTGTTAATTAGTATCCCTGGGAGTTCAGATAAATAATGTAGCTTTTTTGAGACTTATTTTCTTCATCACTAAAATGGGAATCCCTAAAGAGGTCCTGACCAACTCAGAAGTTATAGAAATCAAAGAAGGTATGCATCTAAAATGCTCTCTATAAAGAGTAGGGAGCATAGTGTGGTAATGAATTAAAGAGTCAGAGAGACCTCGACTGAGATATGAGTCAGTTAACCACTCAATCATGGAGCCTCTGCTCTATATAATGGATATCACATAATTCCACCTTTGTCAGCGTGTTGGAAGTATTTTAAATAACACTCAGGTGATACTGAATAATAAGATGCTACAATAATTATCATTCTCCAACAATTTGAATAACTATTCTTCAAAAATTTGTTATTCTCAAAAGTTTGTAGGTTTTGCATTATTCCAGAGCGGGCATGGCAAAGGAATACAGTGCTTTATTGGGGTTTAGAGGTCCCAATCAGTTGATATAAATGTTACAGGGTAGTATTAATGTTTTAGAAGATTCCGTTTTATTGTTTTATCTATTCATTCTACATTCATTCAATAAATACTTATTTAGCATGTGTGGGCCACTCACTGGACACTTCAGCTTCTGCATTCTTCCTAAACAGGCATGTTAATGTACATGCAAATGGGGATTCCACCTATACTTATAAGTCAAGAGGTAGTTCAAGCATCACCTTGTCAGTGCAGCTTTCTCCACTTCCCCAAGGTCCTTACTCCAGTCTTTTGAGTCTCCAAGAATTTGGGGGCTAACCTTTTATGTCAAGCTTAAGACATTGTATTAGAATTGTATTATTATGAATTATATTATAATTGTCCAGTTTACCTAGCAAGATCTTGAATTATAATTTCAATTCTCATTTTATCTATCACATCTTTGTATCTGTAGTTTTCTGTGCTCAGGGTAATTCCCAGCACACAATGTTTAATCGAATTAATAAAGTGTAACAATGTCCAACTGCAGTGTGTTAACTAGCAAACTGGCTAAGAAATGTAGTTGAAATATACTCTCTGCTGTCATTTCTCAAAGCATTCTATAAATACATTTAGTGAACTCTTGCATACAATGGAAAATTCAGTAACCATTAAAATTATGTGTATTTATAATTGTTGGGTTTTAAAATATTTATTATTTATTATTAAATAAGGAAGGTTATAGAATAGGATATTTAAAAATATTCCATTTCAAAAGCATATGCATGTATATTCAAACGCAAATATATCTATTAATAGAGGTGAGAAGGGTATAAAAATGTTGGTAATGGACCCCTGGTTGGTAGAATTATGCATAAATTTTATTTCCTTTGTGTTTTACAAATTTTAAAACTTTTTTGCAACAGATATGTACATTTTTGCAATAATATCAAAAATAGAGGCTATTTCCAAAACTGCACAGATAAATAAGCAAACAAACATACAAAAGGGTAGAGAGGGATATTTTATCATTTGCCTATACTCTTAAAGTTGCTTAAACTTGTGTTTGTTTCCTTTTATCTATTTTTATTAAAGTAATTACTGGTGACTCATATTTTACAGAATTATCTCTCTCATAGATTGATTCAATAAAGAGATCTACTAGGCAGTTGAGCTCCAGGTCCTGCATTTTTCCTGACATACTCTGTATTTCTCTCTGTCCAGCTCCAGCTTCTGAAATGCCCTCTCAGCTTAGCACGGCCTGCTTATGGCGAGAACCATGTATTCAATGGCTCCTCCTTATTTCTGCAAGTCTTCAAATTCTCCTTTTGGTAATTCTCTGCATGGAATTAACTCTTGCAAATCCATGTCTCACTTTTGTGTGACCTATTTTGTCTTATGCTACACATTGTCCATGTTTTAGCAGTAGATTGGAAGCTTTTATGTGCATAGCCTTCCCAAGAGGAAAGTAAAAGGTTGGTGCTAGATGGTGCACCTTCGATAAATGTCAGAACAGCAAAAAAAGGGCTTTAGAAATATTTCCTTCTTTGCACATTCCCATTCAAGAATGGCTTATACAGAAAAAAAACAAGCACACCTCTGCACATATGCATTCCTTCATCTGTTAATTCAACTAACATTAAGTACCCTTTATGTGTCATGTGTTATATTAGACCATGGGGATGAAGTGATTACTAAATACTATTATTCTCCAACTAGTTTCCTCGAGGGCAGATATGTCAACAACTAAGTAATGTAAAGCAAAACGTAACTCTGCAGTAATAGTGGCTCAATAGGACAGGATATTTGGAAGTGAGAAAAAGAGCACCAAAGAACGGGGACCACAGGAGTAGTCCTCTTTAACCCCTGAATCTGCAGCACCTATCACTATGCCTAGCATAAGATAGTCAATGAATAGCCGTTTGATACTATTGTTTGGAATACAATTTTATGACTGGTGGTTCTGTGAAGAATGAGTAGATTTTTTACTTGTGACATTTGTGTGTAAAAACAGTCAATATATAGAGAACAAAACAAAAAGGTGTAGAAATATGTGGTTGAAAGAAACTTCAGAAAAGTCAATAGTTACAACATTACAAAAATACTAAAAACAAAACTAAGGTTTATTGTGTGCTTACTACACACCAAATTCTAAGCGCATCACATGAATTGACTCATTCAATCAATAGTTACAGAAGAATAGACTGAAATTCCGAGAGGTTAAGTAACCAGTACTAAATACTGTTTCATAAAGGGTTTAGATGGAGGCTTAATAGAAGGAAAGTGTATATTGGATATAGACAAAGAAAGTATACTCTTCCTCCAACAAGGGAGCAGGAACTATCAGGATAAGGGATTATTTTGAACACTAGTCAAGCAGTGCAGTTACTGCTGCAGGAGGCATTCCAAGCAAAGCAAGTTGATAAAAAATTTAGCATGCTCAGTTGGGGCAGGCAGACAGGGAAATGAGGATTAAGAAGAATCTGGAGGAACAGGCTGGGCGTGGTGGCTCACGCCTGTAATCCCAGCACTTTGGGAGGCCAAGGCGGGCGGATTATGAGGTCAGGAGATCAAGACCATCCTGGCTAACATGGTGAAACTCGGTCTCTACTAAAAATACAAAAAATTAGCTGGGCTTGGTGGTGGGCACCTGTAGTCCCAGCTACTTGGGAGGCTGAGGCAGGAGAATGGAGTGAACCTGGAGGCGGAGCTTGCAATGAGCCAAGATCACGCTACTGCACTCCAGCCCGGGCGACAGAGCAAGACTCCATCTCAAAAAAAAAAAACAAACAAACAAAAAAAACAAAACAGAATCTGAAGAGGAACAAACAGTGGGCCAAAATTTAAGGGTGGGGAGATGTGCCATTTAGCATGCTCAGAAGCTTGGGCCAGCAGTTTTAACTGATTCTTAAATACTCCGATGTGGCTGGGGCTCATAGGAGTCAACCTGACTGGACAGGCACTAGCTTAGGAACTGAGACCGAGGTATAAAAGGCAGGACATGACATCCACCACTAAAACTCACAGTCTAGATACTAAATTCTAACTGTGAAGAGGAATCCTGTAGTGGAAGGATCATGAAACCTGGAGTCAGAAGTTCCGTGATTATGTCCTGGGTCTGCTTCATGCTTCTTTTGTGTGATCTTAGGAAAGTTGCAGATCTCCAAGCCTAATTTTCCTCACTTACAAAAAGGCAGTAATAATACTACTTTCCTCATAAGAACCTGAGTTCATACTTTATAAACTATAACACATTAACAAAGACTAGCTCCTGTAAAGAGCTAAAGTATAAGGGGCTTAAAAAAATATTCAATGCTTTTGTTCTTTACTCACTGTACTCTAAATGCTCTCCAGTATTGGCATCACCTCACTGATTCTCCCTTAGCGTGTCTCTTAAATGTGTAGGAATCTAGTTTAGGTGCAAACCTGAAACAATACATTCCAGGAATGGCCAGCCTGCCTCCCTCCTTAGCTACAGATTAATTACATCTTCTGGAGTGACATTTTGGCTGTATTTTCCAGTGAGGCTTCTCTTCTACTCTACTCCCCAAGCCTCCCCTTGGCCATCCTGCTAAGAAGACTGTCCTAACCCACATGCCTTCAAACCAGACGCCTTGCCAACTTGGCAGCCCAGAAACAGTCCAACCAGAAGGGCGGCAGTAAGAAAGGTCCCTGGGGCTTCAGGAATGAACAGCAGATTGCTTCCCTGCTGGTGACTGCAAGGCTGAAGCTTGCTCAGAAAGGCAGAAATCTCAGGGTTATGGGGGTAGGTAAGCTTGGAAACCAGAAAAATGTCTTAAAGTCTATTCTAGCAATCAGATGGGATGGCAGAGGAGGACCTATCTGTTTCTGGGTTTCTTTTCACACTGTTGGATTGTGACCAGCTTTAAAAACTGCTCCCTGATTTGTTCTCTAAAGCAGAATTAATGCCCTAGAACAAAGAGCGGTTATACCATTATAGTCATATTTGTCTATATTCTGACAGCTGTTTTTCTTTTTGATGTTATTGTTAGATTTAGCTCTTATACCACTCTGTGCTTGTTAGACTGATTCATGGTTTGTCCATCTCTCCCACTAAATCATGGGTTCGTGGCAGACAGCATCTATGTATCGATCATTTTTAGCACCTAGCACAGAACCTAGCACATAGGAGACATTCATTACATACTTATTAGACTAAGTTGTTGTATAATTGATAACTCTGAGGCAGGCAGGCATCGACTGGGTTATCAGTAGCATTTTGTTGTGGAGTGAAATATTAATCTAAGAGAGTTGAATTGCTTTCTATCAAGTGATGAAGACATCATGTACTATAACTAACAACCTAAAGAATGTTCCTACAACAATGTAGCTGCTCTTTGTAGGATTAATATATTCTAGTACTAGGAAAGTTAAATTGCTTAAATTAAAATATTGATAACTTAAAAAGCTTAAAGGCAGGGGGAAAAAGAAACATGACTTGTCATTATTGCTGAAATCTTAAAGAGAATTTCAAGATCATAATTCAAATTGTTTATTTTACAAAAAAGGAAATTGGGGCCCAGAGAAGATGATGTGCCCAAAGGCACACAGTTTTCTGCAAAGCGGAGGGAAGAGTGTCAACCTCTTGCCCTGCAGATTAGGAGATCCTGGGGGCAATGTGGAATATACTCAACATAGCAGGAGGATATTTAGGCAGACAGAAGCAGCATGACTGTAGGATAGATCTTTACCATAATTATTTCGAGAGCCAAATGTCAGACCCACTGAAATAGCACCAAATATCAGAGCCAAGGGATGAACAGAGCTCTAAAGTAAATCAAAAGCCCAGAAATCAGGAGACTAAGAGGCAGTAAATCATGTGATTAAGATCATAGATTTTAGCATCAGACATGCCTCATTTTGAATCCCAAACCTGCTACATCTAGCTACATAATCTCTGGCAAGCTGCTTATTCTTCCCTAAGCCTTCTTTTTCTCAGCCATAAAATGGTGCTAATATTTGTAGCCATCTAAAGTTACAGCTTTGATTTTTAGTATGATATTGTGAAAATATATATGTAACAATGTTCTTAGCACACAATTACTAGATAGACAAGGAACTTGCTATTAAAATATTTGCATTCTAGTGAGGAGAAACATAAGCAAACCAGAAAAGAAATAAATAAGCACAAAATTCAGTTAAGCACTATGATGTGATATAATATCTATATATTTTATAAAGAATTACTTGGGAGAAGGTTCCAGTTGAGATAGGCTACCTATAGCTGGCTTCTCTGAGGAAATGACCTGTAATTTGACACTGAGACCACGGAGAAGAGGTAGCCATAGAAATCCCTCTGGGACAAGATTTTTAGGAAGCAGAAGGCACACATTTAAAGGTCCCATGGCATAAAAGAGCTTGTCTTGCTTCAGGTTTGGAAAGGAGACTAGAAAAGCTAAATACGGTAAACAAGAGGAACTTGGTGCAATATGAGATTGAAGAGATCAGCAGAGATCAATAGAGCCCTAAGTACAGTATAGAGGAAAGAGTTTAAATTATTTTAATCCAGGTGCTGAAATAATTTTTAGATTGACATTTTTAAAAGTTGTCTTGGCTATTGTGACAAATAGACTGTTAGAGTGAAAACTTCAAAAGTGACATGGATTACTCTATTGCATTGGTCTAAATGAGAAATGATGGTGATTTCAACCACAGAGGTGACAATGGAGCTATTGGGAAACAGAAAACCGAACCTTATGTATTTCAGAGGTAAAACCAACAGGGCTTGTTAATGGACTATGTGATAATATAGATGTAGTTAGTAATTTTAAAAATAAAGAAAAAAGAGTAATCAAAGATTACTCCAATAATTAGAAGCATTAGAGAGAAGAGTGGAGATGTTTACTGAAGTAGAAAGGATGGGTAAGTAATAAATTTAGCAAAGAAAATGAACTAAAGTTCTCTTTGAACATCTTTGGGTCTTTTTAGGATAGGGCAAATAGATACCCGAAAGAGGCTGCCAAGTAGTCAGTTGAATCTTGGAGTATCAAGCTCAAAAGAGAGAACCAGGTTAGATACATGTATTTGGTAGTTTTAGCCTTATCTATTTAGCATTAATCACTTCGTGTTATTTAATCATTTAAGTTTTAAAACTTAATTATTTAGCATTATTTAAAATCAATGGAGTGAATGAGGTCACAGAAATTGAGTATAAACACAGAAGAAAAGGAAGCAGTCTGGCATACCCCATCATTAAAAGGATGAGCCGATACAGATGAGTCAGCAAAAGCAAAGAAGACAGAGGGTCATTGACCAGTGAGGAAGCAGGAAAAAAAGGACATTAAGCCACAAAAGCCATGTAGCCAAAAAAAAAAAAAAAAAAACAGTGGAAAAATAAATCAGGTACTCTTAAGAGATCCATAAAATGAGGAGAGAAAAGTACTTGTTGGGTCTGAAAACACAAGGATGATCATGCCCTTGGCAACAGAAAAGTTTCAGTAGAATGGAAGCTTCGGGAGCCAGACTGGAGCAGATTCTAAACAAAACTTTTGAAAAGTTTTCACAAAATAAGGAGCATTTTTAAGTGGGAAGCAGGAAAGAGGATATGAACAAGAAAGGAGGATTTGAGATTTCCTTTTTAAGAGAGAGGATATGTATTAGAGAATGATTATATGTTGTTGAAAATGAAAACATTCAGAGAAAGAGACATAGGAGAAAAAGGAAAAAATTGCCACAGCAAGGTACTGGAGATGTGAAATCTAAAGCCCAATGGAGAGAGGAGCCTTTGCCATGAGTTGGAAGGAAGCTTCCTTCATGCCTGAATGGAGACACAAGATAGAGTATAGATGCATGTATTGTTCTTGGACAAATTAGGGTGTACTGATCTAGTTATTTCTATTTTCTGATTCAAGTGTGAAGGGAGGTCATCAGTTCTTAAGGGGCTGGGGGCTGACTAGGAGAATAAGAATTAGAAAGGAAGAGTTTGTGTAAGTTAGAGAAAACAATATTAGACAAATCATCCATTATTTATGTCATTAAATATATCAGTGGTCTGAATTTAGGAAGCATGTTGGTCTGGACAACAGGAAAGAACTATAGTGTCATGAGTTTCATTATTATCTGCTTGATATTACACAAGGCATTTCCATGTAACCATCCTCTTTAATCCTTAAAAATGAATATTAATTATTTCCTTTTTTAAAGTCTGAAGGCGGAGGCAAAGAAAGATTAAATAATTCGCCCAAAGTTTTAGCACTATTAATTGACTAAAATTAGGACTTTGACTCACTTCTGTCTTACTTTAAATTCCCTGTGTTTTGATTCTGTCATTATATCAATTAGGAAGTAACTGATAATCATATCAAAAACATTATTTATAGGGTGGTATATTAGTTTTCTAGGGCTACCATAACAAAATACCACAGACTAGGTGGCTTAAAAAACATAAATTTATTTTCTCACAATTCTGGGGACTAGAAATCCAAGATCAAGGTGTCTGCAGGGTTAATTTCTTCTAAGGCCTCTCTCTTTGACTTGTAGATGGCCATCTTCTTGCTATGTCTTCATAGGGTCTTCCCTGTCTGTGTGTCTGTGTCCTAAACTTCTCTTCATATAAAGATACCAGTCATATTGCATTAGGGTTCACCCTAATAAGGTCTTTAAAAACTTTATCTTAAAATACACTCACATTCTGAGGTACTTGGGATTAGGACTTCAACATACAAATGTTGCAGGGAAGCAATTCAGCCTGTTACAAGTAGTGAGAATGAAAGTCAAACAGTAGTGGAATAATGACAGACTTGACGTTGAAAATGTTAAATCAGACCTAGCTTTTAAAATTGTGATGATAAAATAGAGAAATAAGAAAACAAATCATTTGAAGGGAGCAAGAATTAAGAAAATAGTATTTTAGAATTTTTTTTATTTTAAGATACAGGTGACTGAATCTATAGTTTAAGTGAAATTTGCTGAAGAAATGAGAGAAAAAACATTAAAGCATGTTGAAATGTTTAAACAGGTACTATAAAACATATGGGTTTAATTCCAAAAGATATTCTGTAGGGAAATTATCTCAGATTTTCCTCAAAGGAAAAATGAATTAAAGAACAATAACTAATGTATAAAATATCTATAAGAAATGCTATTTTGAAAAGCTCCTTTACCAGATTATTCATAACATATCTGTTTATCATATGACTGTTTATTAATGTAATTTTGATGACATAAGGGTTTCCTGAAGTATCAAAACAAATTTCTGCTTGTCGGATTGCCACAGCAGAAAACAAATAATAACATGCATGGACAATACAAATGTTATTTTTATCCTAAAGTAAAGCATGCCCAAGATACATCTTGTTAAGTACAAAATGTCACAACAATCTAGAATAACAATAAGGATAAGAATCTGTTGAATACTCAGGAAAGAAATATTACTAAATTCAAAAAGTCAAAGAGGAAATGGCAGCTGAAAGTTTTCTGTAGCTGTGTCCTTATACAAAGCATATTTATTGAAAGGAAAAAAGTTTTGTTTCTGTTTTTTTAGAAAAAGTGCTTTCCCAAGAGAAAAAGAAGCAGCACAGCTCCTGTACGTCAGGTAAAAAAAGTCAGGAGAAAAAGCTTCAAGATTCACATGATGGGGTATTCTTTTACCAAACCAGGAATCAATTGCTTTGGAGAACGGAAATAACATTTTTGAAATCCCTTAACACCAATGATCCCTGTTCTGTGAGGTGCCTTGATGCTAATCAGACAGTTGCTCATATCAGTTAAATCATTGAAATGTAATTACCTCTAGTACTCAGTGTTGAGGTATGGAGGTGAGGGAAGCAGGCCTTGAGAAAAGCCCTTACTGTAGTAGTGTCACTCTTAAGTTGCGTCGCCTTCAGTTATGCCATCCCCATATATTTCCTTTTATCCTCACTACAAAATGAGGACATTGGCTTTTCTGATTTCCAATGTCCTTCTATTTTTTCATGTTCTATGAGTAAGGAAGATATTTGATTTATTTTTAAGATATTTTATGTGCAATTCTTAAAGTTGATATATGGCTTTCTGTTCTAGTGAGATATTAGACTATGAGAATCTGAAAATTCCCTTGAGACGATCAGTACCAAGCCAGAAAAATATAATAGGAAAATTTATTTTACATGCATATCTATCTCTCAGAACAGTAAGGCTAATAAGATTCAGAAAGAAAAAATAAATTAAAACAGGAGTACTGATCTAGGAAGCTGGCCTGTACCTTACCTTGGCTGTTGGGGTTTTGGTCTCAATAACCTAGGGCATAAGATTTTAAAGTCCATAATGGGGCAGAAATGAAAGACTTGAGCCCACCCAAGGCTAGGATCAAAATGTCCACATAAATCAAAGACCCTAGAAATCTGTATCATTCATGAATGAGTATAGTAGAAAAACAAAATCCACTACAAGTCAAAGGAAGATTTTAGCCTTCAAGACCTGGATAGTAAAATAATTCCCTGAAAAATTAGAAACCTGGTGCTTGCACTCCACATAAGTTTTGTGTTTTGAAATTAAACAAAGTACTGATTCAGAAAAAGCAAGTGCAAAACCTCTGAAATTAAAACAAACTAAGAATTTCAAGGAACAGATTGATTAGAATAACTGGACCATTGTAAACTAGGGAGACTGTACAGGAGAATAAGATCGGGGACGTAATGAGGCTCCTTGAGGATCATTTTAAGGAGTTTCATGCTTCAACATGAAAAGGAAAGCAACATTCAGGAAATACTCCTTTGTTATGTCATTTAATTATAGAAACAGTCTCATACAGTCATTTGTTTTTAAAATAAATAAATAGAGTATTTTGAAAAAGTGCTTCTGAAGTACAAAGTGGTTAAGTGGTAAATTGAATCACAATCTGATCCCAAATCCAGGTTAATTTCTCTATATTACATGACTTTATTTCTTCTTTCACATAGCAAGCAAATTAGTCATACCTCCAAATTTAAACTTCAGAATTCTAACTTATTTCAGCTGGATTAGAATTTCTCTTAATTCTTATGCTCTCTTTCTGTACTTGTCAATGAAAGATCCTTTCACTTTCTTCCTTTATAGTTAAGTCAGTACCTATTGCAAAAGTAGACTTCTTAGCCTATAAGCATTGCATACAGGTGACAAGAATTTGCCAACTACAAATGTTAACTGCTTGAAGAGTTGTTTTTCAAATATCTGTTTTTATTGAGGTATTTATTTAGTATTGTTGAGTTCTGCTCTTACATAATACTTCGTTTCCAGGTAACACACAGCCCTGCCAAGTATTGGTATCTAGGTAATGCTGACCATTTTAAATGAACGTTTCAATATTGAGTCTACCCATCCACGAGCATGGAATGTGTTTCCATTTGTTTGTGTTGTCTATGATTTCTTTCATCAGTGTTTTGCAGTTTTCCTTCTAGAGGTCTTTCACCTCGTTGGTTAGGTATATTTCTAAGTAATTTATTTTATTTTATTTTTGCAGCTATTTTAAAAGGGGCTGAATTCTTGATTTGATTCTCAGCTTGGTTGCTGTTGGTGTATAGCAGAGCTACTGATTTGTGTACATTAATTTTGTATAACGAAACTTTGCTGAATTCATTTATCAATTCTAGGAGCTTTTTGGAAGAGTCTTCAGGTTTTTCTAGGTATATGATCATATTATCAGCAAACAGCAACAGTTTGACTTCCTCTTTACCAATTTGTATGCCCTTTATTTATTTCTCTTGTCTGATTGCTCTGGCTAGGACTTCCAGTATTATGTTGAATGGAAGGGCGAGAGTGGGCATCTTTGTCTTGTTCCAGTTCTCAGAGGGAATGCTTTTTTCTTTTCTCTTTCAGTATTATATTGACTGTGGGCTTGTCATAGATAGGCTTTTATTACATTGAGGTATGTCTCTTGTATGCCAATTTTGATGAAGGTTTTAATCATAAAGGGATGCTGGATTTTGTCAAGTACATTTTCTGCATCTATTGAGATGATCATGTGATTTTTGCTTTTACTTGTGTTTATGTGGTATATCACATTTACTGACTTGTTTACATTAAACTATCCCTGCATCCCTGGTATGAAACCCACTTGATCACGGTGGATTATCTTTTTGATATGCTGTTTGATTCAGTTAGCTAGTATTTTGTTAAGCATTTTTGTATCTATGTTCACCAGGGATATTGGTCTGTAGTTTTTTGTTGTTATTGTTATGTTCTTTTCCGGTTTTGGTGTTCGGGTGATACTGTCTTCATAGAATGATTTAGGGAGAATTCACTCTTTATCTTGTGGAATAGTGTCAGTAGGATTCATAACAATTCTTTGAACATCGGATAGAATTCAGCTGTGACTGTGTCTGGTCCAGGACCTTTTTTGTTGTTGTTGGTAATTTCCTTACCATTTCAATGTCGCTGCTTTTTATTGGTCTGTTCAGGCTTTCTAATTCTTCCTGATTTAGTCTAGGAGGGTTGTGTATTTCCAGGAATTTATCCATCTACTCTAGGTTTTCTAATTTATGTGCATAAAGATGCTCATAGTAGCCTTGAATGATCTTTTGTATTTCTGTAGCATCAGTTGTAATATCTCCCATTTCATTTCCAATTGAGCTTATTTGGATTTTCTATCTTCTTTTCTTGGTTAACCTTGCTAATGCTCTATCAATTTTATTTATCTTTTCAAAGAACAAGCTTTTTGTTTCATTTATCTTTTGTATTTCTTTTGTTTCAATTTCATTTAGTCCTGCTGTGATATTGGTTATTTCTTTTGCTGGGTTTGGGTTTGTTTTGTTCTTGTTTCTCTAGTTTCTTGAGGTGTGACCTTAGATTGTCTATTTGTGCTTTTTCAGACTTTTTGATGTTAAAGGTTGTAAACCTTCCTCTTAGCATCACCTTTGCTGAATTCCAGAGGTTTTGATAGGTCGTGTCACTATTATTGTTCAGTTCAAAAAATATTTTAAATTTCCGTCTTCATTTCATTGTTGATACAATGATCATTCAGGATCAAGTTATTTAATTTGTATGTATTTGCCTGGTTTTGAAGGTTCCTTTTGGAGTTGATTTCCAATTTTATTCCACTGTGGTCTGAGAGAGTACTTGATATAATTTCAATTTTCTTAAATTTATTAAGATTTGTTTTGTGGCCCATCATATGATCTATCTTGGAGAAAGGTCCATGTGCTGATGAATAGAATGTATATTCTGTGGTTGTTGGGTTGAAAGTTCTGTAAGTATCTCTTAAGCCCATTTGTTCTAGGGTATAGTTTAAATCCATTGTTTTTTCATTGACTTTCTGTCTTGATGACCTGTCTAATGAAAAATAAATTAAATAAATAAAATAAAATAAAATGAATGTTCCTTCCTCTTTTAGTTTTAGGAAGGGTTTGTATTTAATTGGCAATATTCCTTTCTTAAATGTTTGGCAGAATTCACCAATAAAGTCAGCTAGATTAGAAATTTTCCTTGTAGAAAAGATTTAAAATTAAAACTCAATTGGTTTAATAAATTTAATGTTACCCAACCAATCTATTTCTTCTTGAATGAACATTAGTAGTTTGTGGTTTTCAAAGAAGTAGTTCATTTTGTTTAAATTGTCAAATTAGTGGTATACAATAATTCATAATGTCTACTTCTTATCCTTTTGATATCTGTAGGTTCTGTAGTGATGCTGCTAATTTATTCTTGTTGGTGGTAATTTCTATCTCTTCTAATTTTTTATAACCAGCCTAATTAGACCTTTGTTCATTTTATTTGTCTTTTTTTAAGAGGCAGCTTTAGTTTACTTGATTGTCTCTATTGTTTTTCCATTATACATTTCAGAAATTTTTGATATTTATTATTATTATTACTTGCTGGTCTAGTATCTTCTGACAAAATAAGTCACATATTTTAATTAAACAGTGGCATTTTACTTCTGTTCTCATCTTTGACATCATTAAACTGCCATATATTGTTCAAAAATTTTACATATGGTTTGTTATAGAATCAGGGTGAAATATGAGTAATAAAGACAATGACCTATATCTGCACATGTGGCTAATGAGCACGTAAAATATTGTTAATAAAACTGAAGAATATAATTTTAAACTTTAATTTAAAATCGGGTATTTGTTTGTTATTGAAAAACTTACAAATATTTTTAGAGCAACTTGGATGTGTGAACGTAAGTTATTGCCTGTAAAATGTATGAATTCTAAATACACACGAAGTATTTCTGATACTGTCCTATGTCATATGCCTTCAATATATACTCTATAATTACTAGGTTTTTCTTAACTTTGTATTAAAAAAAATCACATTAACCCACATTCGACTAGCTATAAAGAACTTTGTTTTCTATAGTTTTATACAAAATGATAGAGGTATGTGTGTGTACTTGTGTATATGTGTGTGTGTGTGTGTGTATATGTGTGTGTTCATGTTTCATATTAGTCAAGATTCAATGAGAAAAAACAGAAACAATGCTAGTTGTTTTAATAATGTCAGTTGTTTATATAATAATAAATAATAGCTTAAATAGATATTTGAAAATTCAAAAGTGGAAAAAAAACTGAAAATGCCTAGAGATAGGCATTGGAGGAAGCAGTACCACTCCTAGGACTGGGTAAAAATAACAAAGTAGTAAGAGATATTAGAATCTAATAGTTTTGGGAAGGGCTTCAAAAACCTGAACTCAGATTTCTGAAGAGGGGACACTGTTTATTTAGTAGTGATATCTCATATCACCTGACATTGAAGGAGGAGCCTCACAGGGCAGTAATTCAAACTCCTGAGTAGGAGGCTTTAGTCAACTGGTACTGATAGCTCATGAGTATACTAGTGCTCTACAGAACTAGATCTCAGATTTTTGAGCAGAGAGGGATGTAGGGGTGTGAGGGAATGGGGAATACGGCCTAAAGCATGTTGAAACTTCTTAAGAGGAATGATAATGCTGATTCTTGGTGTGCTGATAAGAAAGCTAGAAGCTAGACTCTACTGCTCTTCCTAGGGTCAAGAACAGTCACTGAAATAAACAAGAAGGAACAAGTCCTTTGCTGTTCTAGCCTATATGTAGTGTCTATCAGGGGTTCAACTAGCAAAAGAGAAATGCAGCTTACACATTCTCAGCCCCAGTATCCCAAAGTGGAATGTAGTAGGACATCGTTGGGGCTGGAAACAATAGCTTAAAAACTGGCACAGTCCACCTCTTGTCTATCAGGCATTGATACACATTTACCCTCCCATACATAGGTAAATTTCACACAATAACAATAACAAACTTAAGGTATTTTTTTCAAACGAAGATTATTTCATTCTATCTTCATGAAGAGGTAACTAATGTCCCAAAAGCCATTTCTGATTAATTATTCCTTTCTGATTAATAGCCATATTATCCGTCTCTGGGAGATGTTATATAAACTTCAAATTTTGTCATGGTTTATATAAACATTCTGTACTCTAAAGAGGGAATTATAAGATTAAATATCGTTGATCACACATATGAAATAATGAGACATGAAATGTTAATATATAAAAATACTGTATATGTATACACACAGACAGACACAAATTAGGTTATATGTGAAAACACAGAAGGACCAGGAAAGAAAAGATGCGTAGCTGCTGCAGACCTCATTTTATTTATGTATTTTTTTTACTACCCATTAAATGTTATATTTGCACTCAGCCAGCATTTCAGCTGGCCAACGCTCTCTACCTATCAAATGACTCAAACTTTCTTTCCCAGAGAATTTGAATTCTGAGTGATTTTCACCTTTCTTTGGTTACTGTAGTCTTCCATTAAATTATTGAACACAGAAATGCTAAAAATTCCTCAAAGAAGGCCTTGAATTTCATGCATATAGTCTTTCCTGCACTACTATGTAGCAACACCCCAAAAGTATCTTGAGAATATGGATTTTTTTAAAAAAATCATGTTCTTCATAAAACTTAACAATGTGAAATTGTGTTTTGGTGCAAAGTCCCAAAAGATTGTGCTAATTGATTCCACAACACTTATTTTTATGCCTTTAAATTCATGTTGAAGGTGTGGCATTATGACAATGGAGTGATTGATTGCTATGGTGAAAGGCGGAAAATTTTCTTCTCAAATGGATTCTATCTGAACACAGATGAGAAACTTTTTTTATGTTTCTTTTAACTATTTATAATTTGAGGAATTATGACACCTGATACCTTGAAAGTAGTGAAGGAGAAAAATTGTGTTTCCATATTAGCTATCTATATCAAATCAGGCAAGAACAAAAAAGAAAATTGATTTTTTTTTTGCTAGAAGCCTGATGGATGTAACAACTTTTCCTCAAAGGAAAAATAAAGGAAATCTCTTATTACCTATATGGCAACATCTGGCCAAATGAAAATGTGCAAAAAAAAAAAAAGTGAAATAAGTTGGGGCTGTTTCTGGCTCAGTGTGAAGTATGAAAAGATTTTAAAGTTAGGTGTTAGATTGGAAAAAATGAGGATTTATGATCATCTTCTTTGACACTTTTTATAATGTGCATCATAGAATATATGAGAAAAAATTCCCATGAAATTATGAAGAAACAGATATGATAAGTGGACAGATATTGGGTGAATTTAAGAAAAACAAAGTATTTTTATTGTACATTTAATTGTAAACAATGTAAATAGGCACTGGCCTGTTTTCTAAGCCTTTGCATAGGTTCAACAATACGGCTTTCTTCCTTCCAAAGGCTGACCTATCTATTCCCACTATACAGGGTCAAATCTAATACCAGAGACCAACTATGAGGCTCTGATAAAACACCATTCCTTCAGAGCAGAGTGGGGAGCAGCCAGTGCCTTTGCCACCCTCACTCAGCTGGAGTTACTCAATACATTGTTATTATGTCTGTTTCATCTATTTTCTAAGTCATACCTACCGGAATAGGTAATCTATTGCAAAAGTATTTCTCAATCCTTGCTGCACGAATCAGTGGGTGTCTTTTTTTAATACCCATGTGCAAGCCCCAAACACAGAAATTCTGAATTAACAGATATGGAAGTCTGGGCATCAGTATTATAATGGGTTGAGAACCATTGCATTCATGCCCAAAATGAATGAGTCTAGAATTCGTAACATTTACGTAACCACAGATGCGCTAAAAATGAATTCTAAGAACACGATGACTATAGCACTCTCCTAATCTCTTTTTTTACACAGCCTAGACATCTTCCTTGCAAGCTTAGCACTTTCCTTCTCATACTGAGAATCAAATTCTACCCTGTTGTGTAGAATACTTGGCTAGAACATTAGTATTTGGCCTTATTCTTTTTAGTCTTTTTCTCAAGAAGGTTGACACTATTTAAACTTCTATCACTGAGAAAGTAATGCCAAGCAGGCAGACTACCCAAAGCTATAACCTCAACCACCTGTTTCTGAACAATAGATCTTACGCTAAATTAGGTCCCTTTGGAAATAACATCAAATATTACTACTCTGAAGTAGCGAATGTAGTTAGGTTAAAAAAATATATCAGAAGTTGGAAAAAATAGGACCAAGAAATAAAATAGTAAGCCAAAGTCAAACCAGAGTTCATAAAATTCCTCGAATGTTCATGTTTAGACCCCTGGATCCCCTTTCAGAGGCTTACCCTACCTAAAACCAGAATAATATTCTAGGCACAGCTTACTTGTGACCCCACATCTTTCCTTCCAAGCTGGCATTCTACCAACTTCCCAGCATATCTGCTGGACAATCATCAATGCATAATGACAGAACCATATGTAACTTCTTAAAAATACATACCACTGTTGTTATACTGAATCTATCTTAATTTTGATTAATAATGATTCCCTCTTATTTAATTATATTATTCTTTTTAGTTAGGAGTTGATGGGCTTAAGAACCAGATTGGTTCTTAAGAACATTGTTTTAATTCCTGGCCCTGCCATTTACTATTCATGTAACTTTGGACATGTTATTTCCCAGGGGCTATGTTTTCTCTGATAACAAAAGTTATTCACTTGTAGATATTCTTTGGTGGTTAAAAAGAGATTGTATATTTTTAGTTTATCTTCTTTTAATTCAATGGAATGAGCAAATAACTGGGTTAAGGCAAGGACGTGTGCAGTAGTTTCTCATCTACTATCAGACAGTTTTATTACCTTAGACAAGTCCCTGAACTTCTACTTCCATTGAGAGTAGCCACTTTGAAGAATAAAATGCAAAAAAAAAAAAAAATTAAAAATGAACAAAACCTAAGAGATCTGAGCAACATCATTAAGTATATCAACATATGTGTAACAGAAGTGCTAGAAGGAGAGAAGAGAGAACTGACTTCTTACCAGAAACTATGAAGGCCAGAAAACAAAGGATTGGCATATTCAAAGTGCTGAAAGAAAATATTGTGACCCCAGATTTCTATATCTGGCAATGTTATTCTTCAAATATGAAAGAGAAATAAAGAAATTTCCCAATAAATGAAAAACTGAGAGATTGCATTGCTGGTAGACTTCCTCCAACCATGCTAAAGGAAGCAGTTCAAGCTGAAAAGAAAGGACACTAAACAGTGACTCATCCACCAGAAAAAGTAAAGAGCACTGTGAAAGATAACTGCATAGATAAATTTAAAAGACTACAAAAATGCTCTTTGAGTTTGTAACTTATTTTTTCTATCCTATTTAAAAGAAAATATATAAGGCTATAAATCCAGGTTGGTGGGCATATAATGTATACAGATAAAATGTGGGACAATAACAGCATAAAAATGAGAGCATGCTCCATATAACAGGGGTCCCCAACCCCTGGGCCATGGGCTGCTACTTGTCTGTGGCCTGTTAAGAACCAGGCCACACAGCAGGAGGTGAGTGGTGAAGTGAGTATAACCTGAGCTCTGCCTCCTGTCAGCTAAGCGGCAGGTGAACTGGGCATGTGAGGGATCTAGGTTGCACATTCCTTATGAGAATCTAACGCCTGATGATCTGAGATGGAACAGTTTCATCCCAAAACCATCCCTTCAACCTCCATCCATGAAAATATTATCTTCTATGAAACCAGCCCCTGGCACCAAAAAGGTTGGGAACAGCTAGGAATTATGTATTCAACACAAAAGAAGGCAGTAATGGAAGAACTGAGGAACAATAAAGAAAGACATAACATGTATAGAAAACAAATAGAAAAATGTCAAGAATAATGACATTTTATCAGCCATTACATGACATATAAGTAGATTAAGTTCTGCAATAAAAGGACACAAATTGGCTAACTGGATTTTTTAAAATGACCTCAATATATGTTGTCTACAAGAGACTCACATTAGATGCACAGATAGGTTGAAAAGAAAAAGATATTTTATGTAAAAAATATTCAAAAGAGAGCTTGAATAGGTATACTAATACCAGACAAAACAGACTTTAAGACAAAAATTTTAACAAGTGACAAAAGAAGACATAATATAACAATAAAAAGGTCAATTGCTGAAGAAGATACAAGAATTATAAATATGTATGCACTTATCAACAAAGCCACACAATACATGAAGCAAAAACTGACAAACTGAAGGGAAACATTTGCAAGTCAACTATAATAGAGACTTTTTAATACCCCACTTTCAGTAAGGGATAGGACTAGACCAAAAATCAGCAAGAAAAAACTTGCGCAATACTATATGCCAATGAGACCTAACAGATATTTATAGAACACTCTACCCAACAACAGAATGCACATTTTTTTCAAGTGCACATGGAGTATTTTCCAGGATTAATTACATGTGAGACCATAAAACAAGTCTCAAAACTTTGAAAAGATTGAAATCATACAAGGTATATTCTCCAACCACAATGGAAAAAAAATAGAAACTAATAATAAAAAGGAATTTGAAACATTTATGAATATATGGGGAAATTAAGCAACATACTGCTAAATAATAGTTGAATTAAAGAAAGAATCACAAGAGATTTAGAAAATGCTTTGAGATAAATTAAAAACAAAATATACCAAAGCCATGGAGAATAGCAAAAGTGGCAATGACAGAGATTTTTTATTTTTTTTTGAGATGGAGTCTCACTCTTGTTGTCCAGGCTGGAGTGCAACGGCACCATCTCAGCTTATTGCAACCTCTGCCTCCTGGGTTCAAGTGATTCTCCTGCCTCGGCCTCCTGAGTAGCTAGGATTACAGGCACCTGCCACTAGGCCCAGCTAATTTTTGTATTTTTAGTAGAGACAGGGTTTCACCATGTTGGTCAGGCTGGTCTTGAACTCCTGACCTCAGGTGATCTGCCAGCCTTGGCCTCCCAAAGTGCTGGGATTACAGGCATGAGCCACTGTGCCTGGCCTGAAATTTATGGTTATTAATGACTACATTAAAAAAGGAAATATCACAAATTAATAACATAACCACCAGCCTTAGAAACAAGAAAATAAAAAATCAAACTAAACTCAAATAAGAAGAAAGAAATAGTAAAGACTCGAGTAGAAATAAGCAAAATAGAGAATACGAACACAGTAGAGAAAATCAATGAAACAAAAAGTTGATTCTTTGAAAAGATCAACAAAAATGACAAACATTTAGCTAGACTGGCCAAGAAAAAAAAAAAAAGAAGATTCAAATTACTAAAATCAGGAATGAAAGAGGGGACATTACTATTGTCTTTACAGGAGAAAAAATTACAAAGGAATACTATAAACAATTGTATGGCAGCAACTGATACTAGATAAAGTAGATAAAATAAATTCCTAGAAGCACACAAATTACCAAAACAGACTCAAGAAGAAATAGAAATCTAAACAGACCTGTAGTAAGTAAAGATACAAGCTACTCATCCAAAAAAAAAAAAAAAAAAAAAAAAACAACAACAACAACAACAAAGAAAATCTCAGGACAAGATAGCTTAATTAATTGATTTTCTCACATGTTTAAAGAACATCAATTAAAGTCTTTCAAAAAAAGTAGAGTAGGAGGGAACATTTCCTGACTTACTCTATGGGGCCAGTATTATCCTGTGAGCAAAGTCAGACAAAACTATCACAAGAGAAAACTACAGAACAATAACACTTGCAAATACAAATGGAAAAAAAATTCTAAGCAAAATACTGAAAAACTGCCCAGCAGCATATAAAAATGTTTATGTCAAAGCCAAATTGGATTTATTTGAGGAATACAAAGGTGGCTCAACATATTAAAATCAATAAATTTATTATACCACATTAATATAATAAAGAGAAAATAAAATCCCATGGTCATCTCAATAGGTGCAGAAAAAGATAGTACCTTTCATGATTTAAAAAACAAACATGCATCAAGCTAGGAATAAAAAAAGAGCTTTCTCATTTTGATAAATAACACCTATGAAAAAGCCACAGCTAACACATCATACTCACTTATTAAAAACTGAAAAAAAAAACTCAAATAATTTTCCTAATGTAAAGAACAAGGCAAAGATGTTTGCTTAGACTACTTCTGTTTCACATTGTATCGAAGGTTTAAGCCAGGGCCATTAGGCATGAAAAAGAATAAAAATTGTCCACACTGGAAAGGAAAAATTAAAACTATTTCTGCAGATAATAGTGTCTTAAATCATAAAGAAGCTACAAATAAACAGTTTGAATGAGTTTAGAAAAATTGCAAGATACAAAATCAATATATAAAAATCAGTTGTATTTCTAAACATTAGCAATAAACAAACTGAAAAGGAAATTAAGAAAACAATTTCAGTAATATCAGAAAGAATAGAATACTTAGGAATAATTTTAACCAAATCAGGGCAAGACTTATATACTGAAAACTATAAAACACTATTGAAAGAAATTAATAAAGATCTGAATAAAATAACAGGAAGACCCCCCCTTGTTCACAGATTGGAAGACTTAACTATCATTAACATGACAATACTTTCTAAGTTAGTCTATAAATTCAACACAATCTCTGTCAAGTGAGAGGAAGTTAAAAGATCATGATTCAAATGCCACAGAGCCTCACTGCTCTTAATGTTGTAGTAGATTTTCTTGAATAAATGTTTCAGCATTTGCTGTGTACCCTTAGAATAACTTCTAGAGACTTTAAGTGGGGGAGTATTATTTTTTCATAATTGTTACTAGTTACACTTGTTTTGCAAAGGAGAAGATCCGTGAAGCTTCTCCCACTGCCAATCCAGAGGTGGAAATGCAGAAACCCTTTTTAAAAAAAAATTCCTACACTGAATGTAATTTCAATATGTAAAACAGATACAAATAGAACTGCTCTAATTGTGATTGGGGTAAAGTCTCCAAAGTCCATTTGGGTGGCAAGTTCTCAAATATTTCACGGACTCCAGATGACTTATTTATCAAACCTTGGATTAGATGACAGTATTCTTTTTTTTTTACCTTTTAAGTTCAGGGGTACATGTGCAGGTTGATTACATAGGTAAACTAATGTCATGGGAGTTTGTTGTACACTGTTGGTTGAAGTATAAATTAGTTCAACCCTTGTGGAAGAGAGTGTGGCAATCTCTTGAAGACCTAAAGATGGAAATACCATTCGACCCAGCAATTCTATTACTGAGTATATACCCAAAGAAATATAAATCATTCTATTATAAAGAAACATGCATGCATATGTTCATTGTAGCACTATTCACAATAGCAAAGACATGGAATCAACCTAAATGTTCATCAGTGATAGACTGAATAAAGAAAATGTGGTACACATACACCGTGGAATACTATGCAGCCAAAAAAAAAAAACAAACAAACAAACGAGATCATGTCCTTTGCAGGGACATGGATGAGCAGTGTTCTTTCAAGCCCTAATATTTGTGAAGTGTCTAATATGTTATTTATATATCTAAGAACTCTCCTCTCTCCTTTGTAAGGAAAACTGCTTTTCTTAAGTGCCATTTCTCTTTCACTCCTTCAAGGAAATCTGTTCACTTTTCCTTATCTTCTCAGTAAATGATATCTAAGTATTTAGTGCATACTTAATTCTTTTAAGCTTTATTGACAGTTACGTCAGTTTTGAGTCTAAGCCCATTAGGTAATCAGGCCTCTGAGAAGCTCATATTTTTTCAATGAGTATACCTAATAACAACTTCTAAACAACTACAGATTCTCAAATGTTTTGGGCACAACAACAAAAAATGATAAATTGGACCCTCACTGATGCTTTTAAAAGTAAATAAGCAAATCATAAGAAATCAGGGATATGGGAGATAAAAACAATGATTCTCACTGTCCAAGGATATATAAGTGGGTAGGGGAAAGCCTTCAAACAAGGAGTTTACTCCTTTGACCTTTGATAAAAGGATAAGCTTTGTCAGACGGGCCCAAAGAGGAGCTTGCTGATAAGAGTTGTCACAACCACTCCACCTCTCAGAATTCCTCTGCCTTCGCCACTTGGCTGTGGAGTGAAATATGTCTTCATAGCTCCTATTACCCTTGATTTTTCTTAACTGGGCCTTTCTCATTTCATGAATTTTACTACTAATCACTTGGAGAAAATAGATAATAAGTAATCAACTTGGGATTTTAATAGAAATTTCAAAATGTTCACTATCACAAGTCCATTTGGTTTATATTCTGGAGTCTTCTTGAGATGTTTCTGAGTTTTCTCCTTTGATGTTCTACCCTCTGTTATTTGTTTGTTCTCAGAGGGGGTTTCACTAGTCTCTCACTCTTCCACAAATTGTTTGTTAGCAGAAGAAATAGGAATCCTTTTCTCCATGTTATCTCCCTTTCCATAGTGGAGATTTAATAAAAATAAAATAATCCATTTTCCTTTCTTGAAAGTGGCAATTAATATTTTTAACTCCAGATCGAATGATGCTCAGATCACTAGCTTTTTTAAGACATACTTTAGTTTGTCAATTTTTCCAATTGGAATAGAGGATTAGAAGAGTAGAAAAGGAAAAAAACTAAGAAATATTATGTAAATAAAAATTTTGGCTGGAGAAGGAAATAAATGGTAAGTACATGGGAGGATATCTAACTACTATTTTGGGGCAAAACGCAAAGAAAATAGTCTGTTTTTTAGCATTTGATCGATCTTTTCTTGGGCTCCTTTTTCCAGCAGTCCAGATCATTTGTTGTGATTAAGATGTCAGGTTGTCAGCTTCAGTTGAATTTGCTCTCTGAAGAATGTTTTACATTATCTTCTTTGTTCATTAGGCTAGACTTTAACACATCATGCTTTTTCTTATCTAAATTGCCAATGATATTAGTGTTATTCTTGCATAAATTATTTGTGTATTGGTGTTCTGTATATTTCTATAATTGTAAACCATAAATACTCTTAGTCATGCATAGAATATTTGCTGTTCTTTGGAAAGAAGCATTTGAGTTCATAGATAATTCATAGAGAATTTTGCTTCTTTTAGATGGCATCTCTGTGTTCACATATTTTTTACTTTCTTTGCTTTCTTGTCTTATCTACAGATATTACCTCTGATTTTTCTTACATTTAGTATGGGCCATAGGTACTTAGCCCCATCATATGTATTGGTCCCCTGCCTCTAATCCCTCCAACAACAACAACAACAACAAAATCCAATCTGCGTAACACCTCCATATAATTCTTTCTATGCACCATTTTTTCACACAATTCCACTCTTCAAAGGGCAATAGTCTTCCACTGCATATATGTTACATACAGAATAAATTCAAATACTTTGGGCTGATACCCATAGATTTTTGCTATTTTGTTCTTGCTGCCCACTTTTCTACTATTGTTTTAGTCTATAAGCACCAAACTAAGCACTAATTTTTCTCATTTTCTGAAGCAGAGGTGGAAACAAACCTTGCCTGTTCATATGCAGATTATCATGTAGGTAATTACATGAAGATTATCATGTAGATTATTACATAAAGAATAATTCCTCTGGATTCCTACCAAACCATGTCAATTACTGGGGAGGCTACAAGTGTTAGAGTTTGTGTCTGAAGGGCCTTATGCACAATAGGAATGATATCCTTTTGTCTGGGGGAAAGACTTGTCATTCAAAATAAAGGAGTTCTATATCTGTACAGATAGTAGATATATGATAAACTTTTCCACTGTAATTCTCAGAATCAAGTGAAATCTACCACAGTTGGGGAGAGCAGTAAGGCTATTAATGTCACATGAAAGTTGATGCTTAGGGCTTAGGGATATAGTACTGGGAATATTTCAGTGAGGATGTTGGAAACCAGAAAGTATTGTCTGCTATGACAAGAGTGTTGGGTATGTGAAAGTGTGCCTGTACTACATATGCTCAGTTTGAACTTATTTAACTGTTATTACCTTGAATAATGACTCTTACTTTATAGCACTTGAATACACCTTTCTCCATCAGATACACGTTCTTGGTCTTTGACTGAAGATATAAAAATCATATAAATGATTAAAGATATAAAAAGAGATAAATAGATATAAATGGTTTAAGTGGCTTTCTTCCCTGAAAATTCCTTAAGGGAAGGACTCTGCTTTCTGAAGCTTTTCATCTCCCATTTTACTACATACATTTCCTGTACTTGCCTGTAGGTAATAGCTTGTTAGTATCTATTTTCTGAATATATGTTTTGAAGAAACATAATATATTCTCCTCATTCCCAGGGGATACTTCTGAAAACCCTCTGGGATAGTTACTTATCAAATATTTATTATCAACTGTGTACAGGCACGATTCTCTTTTCTATGGACATAGCAGTGAACAGATGAAGTTTTTATTTGTAATGTAAAATGTCACGTAGTTTTCCACTCAAAGATCTTTTTCAATGTTTTTCTTTTTCCTGATTAACTTAGAAAATGGGCAAGTCATATAGGCTTACTGAGTGTATGTGTGTGTGTGTGTGTGCAGAATACACAATTGGAAGCACTTGGTGTCCTGGAAAGTGCCAAGTACAAAAGACTCAGGTTTGATTCCTACTGCTCCATTTACTAACTAAATAGAGGAAAGTTGCCTAAACCCTCACTTTTTGTTTGTTTGCCTATTTTTATATGTATTTTAATGGGAGTACTTTTGTACAAATACCTCATTAAGGCTAAGAACACTTATCATATTTAGACTGCAGGTTTCAAATGTTGATTCTGCCACTTCACACTTACTGGCTGTGTAACCTTAGGCAAGTTTTATATCCCTTTTGTCCTCCAGTTTTCTCATCTGTAAAATACAAGTATAACATAGCTCATAGGGTTGTTCTGAGGTTCAAACGAGTTCCTGTATGTGAAGTACTTTGAATAATACCTGGCATACAGTGGTATATGAGCTAACTCTCACTACTGCTACCATACTACATTTCTTGCAGTTTTGTTGGAGAAATAAATATGATATATATATATATCAAAATTCTCAGCATAGCACTGGATGCATGACTGTCATCCAATAAATTGAAATTATTACTGAAGCAATCAGTCATTTTTTATTATTCTAAGAGCCTCAGAAGCATCACTCTAGTGAAGAATAGTAGAACAATAATGTATGTTAAATGAAGAGAAATTTTGGAAGAAAGAGAGGCAGCATAGCCATCTTAAGAAAAGTAATAGCTATTTGTCATATGTAGAAGTTGTCTTAGTCACTATTGCTCCCCTGGCATACTATGATCTCCACTAAACAGAAGTATTACATTTTGATTTATTATAATTTAATATAATACACACATCCATTATAATCATAGTTCTAAAATTAAAATCCAGGAACAGTTACTTCTTATCTAAACCACTTAGATTCAATTTAACCCTTGGGATCAAGCCCAGACTCCCCACCCTGATATGCATAAGGCCTTTCACAGTGTGACCCACCTCCACCTCTCTGGGCTCACTTGTTGTTGATCCCGCACTGCTCTACATTGCATCCCACACCAGATCACTTTTATTTTTTCAATTACATCAGTGCCCAGGGTCCCTGTCAGTCTACGCATTCTATGTGATACCTTTCCCATAATTTACTCATCCAATTTAAATACCACTTTCTCGTTTCCCATCTGGTTAGCTGCTTCTGCTGTAATCCCATAGGCTTTATACACATCTTTAAGAGCATCATTTATATTACCTTAACACTTTTTGTATGTGTTTATCACAACATGGAGAGAGATCAATGAGGATAGGGACTATGCTTCTACATCACTGGAGCTTGACATGTCATGATTCTTAACATGATAGAATATTTATTGAATAAATAAATGGACAACTCAGTGAAGGGAGTAAGGTAAGTTTTGTTATCACCACTTCACAGGTAAGAGGGGTGAGGCTTTGAAGGCCCATCAGTAATTCCTACTGAAAGCCAAGTTAATAGCAGACCTCCCATTTACACCCAGCATTGTCTGGAGGTCTGTTAGGAGACATTTTCTAGATTCATCTTGACTACTGTGGCCAGTGTGGCCTGGCTCATTTTATTTGAGTGCAATTTCTGCCTAATGCAGTGTATCTCAATCCTGGATGCACATTGAATTATTCATAGCAGGGTGCCTGATACTTAATGATATTAAATGTTTTTTGGAAAAGGAGAGAAAAAAACACCGAAACTGCCTTTCTTTCTTAAACTTTTAATTATTTAGGCCTTTTTGGTTCTTATACTAAGTTTCTCCAAGTTTCATCATTAGTTTAAGTATTTTAATCTGATTTTAACTGCCTTACTGATTCCCCAAGGGTTTGTTTCCCCTTTTTTCAACTAAGTTAAGAACTTCTAGACTATATACTTAAAATTGTAGTTAATTGAGATCGGCCACAGTTGAATTTCTTAGCTATGTAACAGGATTTTCATTTGAAGCTATTTATTCCTGACAATCTCTACTCTTAAAGTGTGGAGTTCTCTTAAAGGGGCTGTTTTTCAGTGAAAATTTCCAGATACTCCTCAAATGTGTTTCAACATTAGCCAGGAATCAGGAGGAAATAGAGCTCCTGGGATGCTATTATTTCAAACCCAGGTAGATGCTCCAAGTTTTTCCCAGTGGTCTCAGTAAAAGTAGGCTGTCTATCTACTACCGTGTTGCTCCCTTTGAGCTCCCAAACTCAGCTGTTGGTCCATTGAATTATACCGTAACTAGGCACGATTATGTCACTGCATGGCTTAAAATCCTCCAATGGCTCCTCACAGCTTTTAAACTAATATTGACTAATTACCTTTCATGCAAACCCTACAGTGTCTGTGTTAAACCACATATACCTACAGATATCCACATAATATCCTTCCTTTCAATCCATCTGATCTACTTGCAGGGTCCCAGAAGCGTAATTCTTTTCCTTCATGCTTGTGCTTTACTCCTACTAGAATGCTTTTTTTCCCTCTTATTACTTTGCCTAGATCTCTGCTATTCATTTTTTAAAACTTAAGTTCAAGTGTCACCAAAGGGGCACCTTGACCGACACCACTCAACCCTCATCCAAGTGGATACTAACTCCTCTTTCTCTTTTTTCCCAAGGCATGAAGGGCCCTTCTCTGCTGGCATTCACACTGTACTGTGCTGAATTATTGACCAGATTTTAGCTCTTTGTAAGACAAGCACCTTTCCTCATTTGGCTTTCTACTTCCAGCACTCGGTGCAATGCTTATTACATGCCAGGCACTGTCCTAACTGATGGGGGTTAATGAATGGTACAATCTACCAAGATTCAACCCAAAGTCATCAACATTTCTTAGATCCTTTCTTCTCCAAGTTCTGATATCTAAACACTAAATTAGTGATTCATAAAATGTTTAAATAATTTGAATAATTTAAAAAATTTAATCTTAAATAATTTAATCTTGAACAATTTGAAAAAATTTTGGACTCTCTAGGGAAAAATATACAATTCCTATGTATTTTATATATGATTTATGAGACTTTATAAATATACTAATATGAATTCAGTCTCCTGGTTGAATTCATATTGTTTTTAACTGGCAGGCACTGTAATGGACACAGGACATATAATGACCAATAAGGCAATATCATTGCTTTCGGCGAATTTCCCATATAGGCAAAAAATTACACATGATCAAATAACTGCAATGCAATATGACAAATGTGATAATCAAAGGAGGAATATGTCAACTCTTAAAAGTTTTCACAGATGTAGCCATTGAGCTAATCTTAAAGGGGCAAAAGATGTAGGAGAATATAAAAGTTTAAAGAACCCCTATGGAAGAAAAATCCCAAAACAAAGTATTTATAATTTTAATAACAATAATAATAACATCTATACTTACTCTATGCTACACGTTACTCTAATTGATTTTACATACATTAATTCAGTTAATGCTAAAAACAATCCCTTGTAGTAAGTACTATTACCTATTGGTTTCTTAGGGCTTCCATAATACAGTGCAAGCATAACTCTAAGATATGGAAGGTTTGGCTTCGGACCACCACAATAAAACAAACATTCTAATAAAGTTAGTCACATTAATATTTTGATTTCACAGTGCATATAAAAAGTTATATTTACACTATATTGTAGTATATTTATGGTGCAGTAACATTATGCCTAAGAATAAAATGTACATACCTTATGTTAAAAATACTTTATGCTGAAAAATGCTAAGAATATTCTGAACCTTCAGCAAGTTGTGATCTTTTTTCTGGTAGGTCAGACCTCTGGTAGGTCTAGCAGGTTGATGGTTGCTGACTGATCAGGGTGATGGCTGCTGAAGTTTGGAGTGGATGCAACAATTTCTTAAAACAAGAAAAAAATAGAGTTTGCTACATTGATTGACTCTTCCTTTCAAAAAATATATTCATGTAGCATGTGATGCTGTTTGATAGCATTTTGCCTACAGTAGAACTTCTTGCAAATATGGAGTCAATCCTCTCAAACCCTACTGGTACTTTATTAGATAAGTTTATAGAATATTCTAAGTACTTTGTTGTCAGTTCAACAGTGTTGACAGCATCTTCACCAGAAATAAGTTTCATCTCAAGAAACTATTTTCTTTGCTCATCCATAAGATGCAACCCCTCATTCGTTCAAATTTTATTATGGGATTGAATAATTTGTTTCCATCTTCAGGGTCTACTTGTACTCCAGTTCTGGTGCAATTTCCCCCACATCTGCAGTAACTTTCTCCACTGAAGTCTTGAACCCCCTCAAAGTCATCCATGTGGTTTGGATTCACCTTCTTCCACACTCTATGAATGTTGATATTTTGGCCACCTCCCATGAAAATTAATGTTCTTAATTGTATCTAAATAGTTAATCCCTTCCAAAAGGTTTTCTATTCATTTTGCTCAAATTCATCAGAGGAATCACTGTATGTCGGCTATACCCTTATAGCATGTATTTCTTAAATAATAACAATTGAAAGTCAAAATTACTCCTTAATCCATGGGCTGCTGAATGGATGTTGTGTAGGCAGGAATGAAAGCAATATTCATCTCCTTGTGTATCTCCATCAGAGCTCTTGGGTGACCTTGTCAATGTGCAGTAATATTTTGAATGAAATCTTTTTTTTTTTTTGAAGGAGTGGGTCTCAACAGTGGACTTGAAATATTCAGTAAATCATGGTATAAACAGATGTGCTGTCACCTAAACATTGTTCTATTTACAGAGCACAGGCAGGGTAGATTTAGTGTTTTTGATGGCCTTTGGACTTTTGGAATGGCTTCAACTGAATAAGCACTGGCTTCAACTTAAACTAACCAGCTGCATTAGCTCCTAACAAGAGAGTTAGCCCATCCTTTGAAGCTTTAAAGCCAGGCATTGAGTTCTTTCTAGCTAAGAAAGTCCTAGATGGCATCTTCCAATAGAAGGCAATTTGTCTACCTTGAAATTTGTTTGTTTAGTGTAATGGCTTTCATCTCTTATCTTAACAAGATCTTCTGGTTAATTTTCTGCAGCTTTTCCATCAGAACTTATTGCTTCACCTGGCACTTTTATTTTATGAAGATGGGCTCTTTTCTTAAAACTCTTGAACAACTGCCAGATTCAAACTTTCCTTCTTCAACTTCCTCACTGCTCTCAGGACTCATAAAATTGAAGAGAGCTGGGGCCTTGCTCTGGATTAGGCTTTAGCTTAAGGGAAGTTTGTAGCTGGTTTGATCTTCTATCCAAACCACTAAAACTTTCTTCATATCGGCAATAAGGCTGTTTCACTTTCTTATCATTTATGTGTTCACTGGAGTAGCACTTTTAATTTCCTTCAAGAATTTTTCTGTTGCATTTACACCTTGACTGTATTTCACATAAAAGGCCTAGCTATGTTGGCTTTGGACATGCTTTCCTCATTATTATTCTTACCTCTAATATTTATCTAATATTATTCCTACCTCTAGGTAATTATTCCTACCTCTTGATTTAAAGTGACTCTTCCTTTCAATTGAACATTTATAGGCCATTGTAGGGTTATTAATTGACCTAATTTCAATATTGCTATGTGTCAGAGAATAGGGAGGCCTGAAGAGAGGGAGGAGGACTGTTGGTGATGGGGGCGTGAGGGAAGGAGGATGGCTGGCAGGTGGAGCAGTCAGAACATACACAAAACTTCACCATCTTATATGGATGTGGTTTGTGGCAACCCAAAACAATTACAAGAGTGACATCAAAAATCACTGATCACAGATCATAATAAGAGATTTAGTAATATTGAAAAAGTTTGAAATATTGTGAGAATTATCAGACTGTGAGAGAGACATGACACGAACACATGCTGTTGGAAAAATGTCACTGACAGACTTCTGCAATTGGGGCTGCCACAAACCTTCAATTCGTAAACAATGTAATATCCACATAAAGCAATAAATTGAATTGCAATAAAATGTGGTATACCTGTTCCACAGACTGGGTAGCTTAAACAACATAATTTTTTTTTCTCACAATTCTGGAAAATTAAAGTCTGAGATCAAAGTGTCACCAGGGTTGGTTTCTTTTAAGGCTTCTTCCCTTGACTTGTAAATGGCCATCTTTTTCCTATGTCTTCACATAGTCTCCTCTCCATCCCTGCCCATGCTCAAATTTCCTCTTCTTCTAAGGACTTCCTTCATATTGGATTCTGGCCTACTAATGTCTTCATTTCAACTTAATTATCTCTTTAAAGATCTTATCTCCAAATAAAGTAACATTCTGAAGTATTAAGAGTTAGGACTTAAAAATTTGAATTTTACAGAGACACAGTTTAGCTCATAATATGTTATAATCCCCACTTCACTGAAAAGAAGAGTGGAGCACATGAAGTTAAGTAGCTTGCCCCAGTTTGCAGAATTGTTAAGTATCACAATCATCTAGCTCCAGAATCTGTGAGGCTAACCTTTAGATTGTATGATTCTCTTTTTATATTTTAAAATAAGAAATAAAATTCATAGACCTATTGAATTAATTTTAGGACAACTCTTTTATTTGTGGTACACCATAATTCACAAATAGCAAAAATTTGCCTATGTCTATACCATAGGCATACCAATTTCTTGAAAGAAAAGCAGGGTCTAGTCTGGTTAGTACTTGGATGAGAGACCAAATAGCAAATACTTAAAATGTCTTTTCTAAGGAAATTAAATTGGCTCCTATATTAAGCTGTAGAACTAATGGCTTCTGCTCTGTGCAAGTATAATGGCCACAACTAACCTCACTGCATGTTAAGTACTGCCCTTAGAGTACCTGATCTCATTTATGTCTTACAGCTCTTTAAAGTTTGTTATTATCCACATTTTACAGATGAATAAACTGAGACTTCCAGAGATTATCTTCTCTCTCCTCACAAAAATCAATAACAGGAATTTGAAACAAGTTTTCTTATGAGGAGGTTTTGTATTTCTGACTTCTCTTCTTGCTGCCACATCCCAAGGCCAAAGTTAGGATGCCTTGTATAAGCCTTTGTGCTTGTGGAAATTGGACTTTCCCCTCTTTTGTGTTCATCTGGCAGGTTCTTCCTACGTTCATAACAAGATATATTGTACGGCTTTCCCCAATTCCCCTCACTTTCACTGCCTGTTGTCAATGTGAGCTGTTTAGGTCCCTTTCAGCACTCTTAAAGTCACCTCCCAAGTACTCTGTGGCCCTCCTCAGGAGGGTATTCTAAGTTAGTCATCATAGATACATCTAAGTCCAGATCCAGAATCTCATGTTCATGGCATCCTCTTTGACCTACTTAGCTGTTGCCGCCTCATACCCTACTAAGCCAGTGATGGTCTTTGGCTCCTCATAGCCTGTGAATAAAAAAGGGTTTAAATTCTACAGGGATAAATCATATGTCTTTAGACTACTGTTATTAGTGTTTCACAACTGTGCCGTCACCCTTTCTTACATACTCTGAGAGATTTTGTAATCAAATTCTGTCACGTAAGGTGAAATCAGAAGATGCCTAGTTCTCACTTCTGTGTATAGCTTTGAAAGGCCTGCTAATGCTTGGAACAAAACATGAAAGCCTTGTCCACCTTTCTGTTTTAATTCCTAATTACTAATTTCTTGCATGTTAGTGGAAAAGCATTAAACTTGGAACAGAGCACCTTGATTCTGGTCCTAGCTCTGCCACCTGGGTGTTATAATAAAAGTCACAGGAATCTAAAATGGAACCCCAGATCTTCTACTGCTTTCTAGTTGAGTTACTATTGGCAAATTCTTAAATTCTTTGACTCAATTTTTTCTTCTGTAAAATGGAATCAATAAAATATTAAGCAAGATATTGTTCAAAGGAAAACTTTAGCCAAATTAAATTTAAAAGAGTTTAATTGAGCAAAGAACAATTTATGAACCAGGTAGCTTCCTCAGCTAGAGTAGGCTCAGATTCTCTAGCACAGCCACATGGTGGAAGAAGATTAATGTACAGAAAAAGAAAAATAACGTTAAAAAAATGGAAGTGAGGTACAGAAACAGTCAGATTGGTTATAGCTTGGTGTTTGACTTATTTGAACATGGTTTGAACAGCTGGCCACCTTTGATTAGACAAAACTCGGTGATTGGCACAAGAATAGACTATAGTCTGTTTACAACTCCATTTAGGTTATAGTTCACAATGTACAGAGAAACCTTCAGGCTGAACTTAAAATATGTAGGAGACAACTTTCAGCTAAAGTTGATTTAACAATATATTAAGAGTTTATTTTATAGACATTGCTTTATTGCTAACTTTGTCATCTGGGTTAGATTATAAACTCAAGATTATTGGGTAGATAGTTGGCACCTAATCTGTGTGCAAGGCACTGAGAAACAAAAGATAAAAAGCTGTTGTTCTTCAGCTGGTTGGCAGCATTGATATTCCTCCAATGTACTTGTGCCTGCTTTGAAAACAACAATGCCTCTGCCTCTATTTGGATTTGTTCCCTCACAGTGAAAGAAAAAAGAGTGATTGTGATCCTGAATTTCTGAAATAAGGAGCATGTTTAACTGACAATCTAGCATCTGTTTTCTGTACCTTTCCCACCCAGTTGACAAATTCTCCTCCATCTGCATCGCTTAAAACTTAGTCAGAAAGTAACAGAAACCTCCTCATGGAGAGAAAGGAAGGAAAGAACAGAAACCTAGATAGGGAACACTAAAGTGTCAGAGAAAGAAGCAGAAGAACTGGGTTCTCATCTTAACTCAGTCCCTTACCAACTTTGTTCACTACTTTCTCTCTCTCTGCCTTTTTTTTTAAAGTATGATTTCACATTATCTCCTTCGTTGTATTTCTTATGCTAATACATATCCTTTCCTGATCTTGTAATGTATTCATTGCTGCTTCTTGAGTATAAAGTGTGTGAGTCCTGAGTCCTCTGAGAAAAGGAACACTTAAGGTGTTTAATGCTAATTAATGCAGGTGTCTGTTGGATAAACAGCTTACATTTCAAGATGAAGGTCAAGCAGAGCGTCTTCCAAGAGAGAAAATCTACACATCAGACTTTGGTAGAAGCATATGCATACTTGCAACTGCAGAAACACCCCTGTCATCCTGTGTAAACACACAGAGAACAGGGTACTTACTATTATTAGTAACAGAGTGGTAGCCAAGACCCCTTGATTCCAATGTTGGTTGTACCGTTAACTGTGACCTTTGGATTCAAATTTTATTTTGCCTCTGTAAAATGAGGGGTTTGGAAGGGAAGAAAACAAATTACTGCTTTTTCAGAACTAAGCCAATCATTTATATTGTCTCATTTTATCCTTAACTATTGTTACTTGACATTTCACTTCCTTATTTTATTTTTGTTCTCATAAATACATTAAAATAGATAGTACCATCCCTTTTCTATAAATGAGCACACTGAGGCTTAGAGAGTTTTATTGGATTAAGTTTAAATGGAAATGTTTATTATCATTTAAAAATTACAAGTTTGTTTTAACAAGTAACTGCTTCAAAACAAGTACTACATGAAAAAAATAAATAATAATAAAAGAAAAAAAATTTAGGAATGCACTGGCCTTGCTATTATACAACTGCAATTCAATAAATTTTGAGTGACTAGAAATTCGTGTGGCTGGAGGCATCGCAAGCTGCAGTTCTCAAAGAGAGTGTGATTGTCACGTCATCTGTCCTGGCCTTTCAGAAAGATGATATCCAAGAAAAATAACTCCAGATTCTCTTGTATTTTCATTATCTCATTATTCCCATGGCTTCAGTTATCAGCTAGAGGTTGGTGAGCTGACTTCTCAATTTGTGTTTCCAAAGTTAATCTTACTCTGAAATCCAGACCCAGATATCTAGCGAATGACCTGACATCCCCACTGAAATGTCTCAAAAACATCTTACAGCACATCTCATCTAGAATCATGACATCAGCATCCTCCCCTAATATTCCACTTCTTCAGGGGTTTCTGCATCTGGTAATACAAACACTTTGCTCAGTAGCATAAGCCAGAAAAGTAGGCATTTTCTGTGGTACCTGGCCCCTCAGTTGTACTGCTTGGATTTCCAGACATCATCTATTTTCCTGGACATCATTTTCTCACTGATTTCTTTATCCCCCTGATGCGTGCATATCCACCAACTCCTACTCTTCCTCAGTCCCTTCTCTGCAACGAAATCTGTGTGGTCTTTTACAAATGATAATCTGTTCGTGTTATCATTCACCTTCCCAGATACAAACAGTGACTTTCTGTTAGGAAAAAAACACAAATCTCCCTAACATGGCCTCTGCTACCCTTCATGATTTGGCCTCAGTTCACCTTCCTAGCCTCATCTGGAGCTATTTGCTCCTTGATCCCTATAGACATATTGGTCAATTTTTAATTCCTTGAATTTGTCGCATACTTCCAATCAAAGATTCTTTCCAAATTCCATTCTGTCCTTCAGAAATATTCTTCTACCATTTCTCTAAACAGTCATTCTTCAACTCTTGAAGAATGCACCATCAAAGACTTTTCCTCAGGCCACAGACCAGATGAGGCTTCCCCATTAAATCCTGTTACCATGTTACATTCTTCCATATTTGCCAGTCCATAACTATAGGTTGATTTCTGAAATTGCTAGTTACTGTCTATCTCCACCACTAGACTCCAAATACTATAGGGCAGAAAACTTCACCAATGCTGGGCCCAGAGCCAGTTTATTATAGATATTTAGAATATATTCATTCATTTTTTAAATATATGAATGAATAAATAAATAAAAAGGTCTTCTATTACATATGTGTATGTAAGTTTTTTTTGTGTGTGCTCATGGTGGTGGTAGATGTGTTACAACGAATCAGTTCCCAAATATCCAACTATCTTAAGGCTTCCTTGTTTGTTCTTTTTTTAAGTAAATATTTTATAATTATTTTATTTGTAAAAATGTTGTGAAGATAGAACGGAGAGTTCCTACATTTTCCATACCCAATTCCTCTATTATTAACATCTTCCCTTGGTATGGGACATTAGTGGACATTAAAGAACCATGTTGATATAATTATTATCAACCACAGTCAATACTTTAGATTACTTAGTACCTAATATCTTCTTCTGCTCCAGGATCCCACCCAGGATACTATATTACATTTAATCATTCTGTCTCCTTAGGTTCCTCTTGCCTGTGATAGTTTTTCAGACTTTCTTTGTTTTTTTGATGACCTTCACAACTTCGAGGAGTACTGCTCAGGTATTTTGTAAAATGTCCCACAGTTGATATTTGTCTGATTTTTTTCTCATGATTAAACTGGGATATGTGTTTTGGGATGGACAACCCTAGAGGTAAAGCACCATTCTCTTCACATCATATCAAAGGTGTAGAGGGACTCAAAAATGTACCCCAAAGTATGGTGCCTTGTGATGCTGAGTATTTTGAAGTAAAGGAGATTGGAAGGCCTCAGAAGCAAAGTCTCTGGCCCCTCTTTCTCCTGTGAAATAAACCATAGAAACTAGACTCCCTCTTCCCCAAGATCATAAAAACTAGAACCTTTCTTTTCCAAAACAAGCCATAAACCCTAAAAATATTACTATCATCTTCTCCCACCTTTCTTTGTAGCAGCTGGCCATAAAGAAATACTCTGACCTACATTATTTGATAGTAGGTCATAAAACCTTCATTGCTAAGGCCCTGCCCTATACGTAGGAGGAGGGACTGCTGCACAGAGAGGTCAAGAAGAATACAAACAGACAGGGCTTACTGGGTTGTTTCTCTCAGTCTATTACATTAGATCATACTCTTTTGTCCAAATTTCTGCAACACTGGCCATAAGCATAAAATCTAAGCATAAAATAAACAATTTTCCCTGGGTCTTTGGCTCTTCTTTTCTGAAGTCTCCCATGTCATATAAAACTTTGATTAAATTATTATGCTTTTCTTTGTTAATCTGTCTTTTGTTATAGGAGTGTTGGCCATGACCCTTATGATGGGTAGAGAGCAATTATCACACCTCTATCACCCAAAAAGGGCTATGCTATTAACATAACTTACCATTGTGAATGTTAACCTTGATCACCTGGCAGAGGTAGTGTTGGTCAAGTTTCTCAAACTGTTAAATGATTTCACCATGTTTTTATACTGCACTCTTTGAAAAGAAGTCACTGTGTGCATCTCATACTTAGTGAGTGGGGAGTTATATATAGTACCTTCAAGACAGAGTATCTACATAATTATTTGAATTCTTTTACATGATAGATTCATATATTTCTCTCCATTTATTAATTTGTATATTTATAGATTATATCTGTACAGACTCCTCTATATTTATTTTATACAACTTTATTTTGTGGCTCAAACTCTTCCAGCTTTAGCCTTTAGGAGTGATTTCAGTTGACTACTCTGTTCCTTTGAAATATCTCTAACATTGTGGGTGGTTGTCGTTTCTTTGAACATATCCTTAGTTTATGGCACTAAAAGATGCTCAACATTCATCTTGTATATTTCTTACCCCAGCCCTAGAACCTGCCGTTTCTTCGAGGAACCCCAGTTCCCTTTACTGGAGAATATTTCTTCTGTTCTGCCTACTTTTTCTTCTTCTGGCATTCCAATTATGCATATGTTACATTTTTTGGAAATTATCCCATAATTCTTAATTATTTTTTATTCTTTCTCTTTACATTTCAGTTTGGGAAGTTTCTCCTAACCTAGCCTCAAGCTCACTGATTCTTTTCTTGGCCATATCAATGTTAGTGATATATACAACACTGTTGGAGTGTTTTTGATTTCTAGGCTTTCTTTCAATTTTTTCTTAGGGTTTCCGTCTTTCTGCTTACATTATTCATGATTTTCTGCATATTATTTACTTTTTCTATTAGAAATGTTATTCTATTAATTTTATATTATGTATAGTTTTTTAAAATTGATATTATTCACAATTATTTCAGATTCTATGTCTCATAGTTCCAAAATTTATATCATATCTAATATGATATAAATGATTCTAATGATTGCTTTATCTCTTCAGATTTTTTTTCTTCTCTGTTGCCATGACTTGTAATTTTTTATTAAAAGCCATATGTTTTATTAGGTAAGATAAACTGAGGTAAATGGGCTTTTAGTGTACAAATTTATGTTACTTTGGCAAGGAGTTGCACAATGTTTAAATGTTTGTCCTAGTTGTTACAGTTTTGAGATGAGAGGCCTCAAGTTTCTCTAGTGTATTTGTTTTTGTCTCTATTCTTGGTTTTGGGTTTCCCTACATACTCTTCCTCAGAGATAGTTCATGTATTTCAGCTCTTTTAGCTGTAATCCACTGTTGTTATACTGGAGATTTGTTGGATGCTGGTAAAGTATGAGAGAGGGGAGTGTTCAAAATATTCTAATTAAATCTTAGTCCTTTAGTAGGCCAGTGCATTGGGGCTTCACAATACAGCTTTTTCTTCTTTTGCCTCTGCCCCTCTATTTGCTTCCCTGGTTGCAGTATTTCTATTTATTTCCTTGAAACTCTGACCCCTGTGGCTTATATTTACTTCCCCTTAGGTGAGACAGGAAGACTGAAAGAGGCTGGACTGAAAGGAATTCTCTTCCTGAAACTGGGATAAGGCTCTAACAATTTCCCCTGGATCATAGGGCTTTGATATGGAGAATGTCCTGGGCATATTTCACAACGGTCACTCTCCTCCTCCCTGTAACAGAGTAAGGAGAGTATCTTTCTGAGGTCTTCACCATAAAAACCTGGTGGAGTTCCTGGAGGTAAAGCCCCAAACATGTGGAAGTTCCCCTAAGACAGCAGCACCCAGGAATTTCCCACTATCTTCACTAGTCTAGACTCAGTCTCCAGCCATTCATCGAAGTGTTTCAGTGTTCCTACCACTTTAGGAATCCAGCTGCTCCTGCCCCTGGTAAGCAGATCTCAGCTATGTACCTCTGGATGAACCCATCTCTCCACTTTTGAGGATGGCAGTTTGCCCCGCAACTTCAATTCTCTCATGGGTCCAAGAAAATTTGTTGATTATTAATTTGTCTATTTTGTTCTTATTTTAAGGATAAGGGTGACCAGAGTCTTTACATGTCTGACCTGAAATCAGAGGTCCCATGCCAGCTTTTATTTATAAAACACATCTTTCCATATTTCCATCTGTGTTCATCTTTACATTTTTCTAATTTTTCTGTTGTGAATTTCACTGTCACTCAGATTTTCAGAAAAACTATCTAGATTCAGTTCAAATTAAGTTTTGCTAAAAAGATGACTACCCCCTCCTCCCCAAATGTCAATGTAATTATCTGAGTTAAACATTAATATTCCCATGTGAGCTATTCTAGTCATGGTTTGGTGAAATTAACTGAAGTTGAGAATCACTGGTGAAGAACTTAATCAAGATTAATACCTTCATTTGAAAAGGTTGATGAGGTGGGTGAGCACATTAATGGTTTCATCCATTAAATCTTTTGGTGCTGAGAATTGATGTCCTTGTCCTACTTAGGTAAAGAATTTTTATTTCATGGCAGAAACAAGATTATTTATAAATTGAACTATAGAAGTAATTTTTCTCGATTGACAAAAGGTACAATTTTTGCCTCCAGCCCTTATTTAGTGGCTCACTGTATATCAGGCTGTTCCCAAATCAGTCAAAATTTGACAGGGGTGGTGGAGGGATTATCAGACAGCCTCCTTCTCATTTTAAAAATTTAATTTACCAATTGAAAACACATGGTTAGTACGAATAAAATGTCTACTAAAAATTATCTATAATGTGATTTCCTTTTTTGGTAAAATACAGGTAGAGTGTTGTGGATGCATATTTTAAAAACTAGATATAACAAAAGCATAGAGCAATTACAGGTGATTTTTTCTTTTCTCCTTTTTCTTTGTATTTTCTCTATTTTACATAACAAACAAGTACTGCTTTTGTAGAGAAGAAAACCATAAAAGTTAAAACAAAAGGACTAGTTTATAAAATCATAGGACTTTAATAAAATTTGGGGTTTATTGTCAAGCCAGTTTCTAATTTCTTCTGTTGAGGAAACTGAAGCACAGAAAAACTCATCTTCTTAAATCTTCTAATTTCTCATTTTTGCCTATCAGAATACTAACCATCACTAAAGGCACTGCTCACATATGCAAGGCTTTGGCATTTCTAAAACAGCATATGTTATGTCTCATCAATTTTAAAGTTTTTCCAGTATAGTCATAATACTTAGGAGGGGGAAGAAGAGAAGAGAGGAGCTGTGAGAAAGATAATAGCTTTTATGTACCACTTAACTGTGTATTTTGTGTTATTTTAATTAATCCTTACATTACCTTCATGACATAAATATAATTCCCATTTTGTAGAATAAAGAAGATCAAACAGATACAATTTTACAAATCTTCCCTGTCTCAACCTATAGAACTCAGATTTTTACACAGTTCTTTGTGTAACTTGACCTACAGTAGATACTCAGTAAATATTCGTTTAATAATTGAACTAATTTAGAAAGCATTTGGTATGCATGGACCAGATTTTTAGTGTTTATCAGTGGACTGCCAATTCCTCACTAAATTCACAACTGAAAACCAACTTTGACCACAAGTAGTGTGTTCAAGTTCAGATCCTCTAATAAACAGAATTGTTTTCTGTCATGGAAAAAATGATCACCATTTCTTCCATTTGGCTTCCTTGTTCTCTTCATTATTGTGCTTCAAAATGTTGAAAATGGTTTTCTAAAATTGTATTCATTTTGTTTGAAGCATTATCACTTCTTTTTCAATACCACCTTTTCTACCATGTACCAACCTTTGACCTGCTAGCTTAAAATGTACAGCTAAGTAACGATAGCTTATTATTTAGTACTTTCACAAAAACTATCATATTGGAAACAGGTAGGACAGATATTATTACTCTTATTTAAGGATGAGGAGGCTAATTCTCCAAGTTCAGTGATTTTCTTAGAGTTATACAGCCAGATGAAAACACAGAGCTAGGCCTCAAGAAGAGTTCCCCAACTCCAGCTCTTGTGTTCTTTCTTCTATGTCATATGACTCGATAATGCAAAGCCATTCTCTTTGTCATATTGTTAATGGCTCTCTATAAATTACTCTACAACTTGAGTTTCTACTCCATTCTTACTGGACTTTTTTCAATCCTTTAATTTTTTAGTTTTTTTCCAGTCAAAGTTTTTAGTTGCATGAAATAGAAACTAACTCTGCCTGATTTAAGTAGGAAAAGAATTTGCTGAGAGGCTACTGAGTAGCTCACAAAATCATGGAGCAGCAGGTTCAGAAATAGGTGAGAATAAGCAAGAAGGGCATCAGCTAAGACGGCTGCCAAAACCATGCTATAGAACACAGGGCACTTGCTGGGCAATGGATTTCTTTGCTGGTACATCTGGCTTTGCTGCCCCTGAAAACTAAATATTGTTATATCAACTGCCACTGCCCATTTCTAGGATGGTTTCTGATTGTCCCTGCTTATTTGTGTCACTATCTCCTGTTTCGAAGTCATGAATGAGTATGTCAGATTGGCAGAATATTTATCATATGGTCATACTCTAACTTTAGAAAAAGCCGAGAAACAAAGTTTAGGTATCTAAACCATTGTCATTGGAGGTAAGCTCTGTCTCCCATCAAGACTCATTAAGCCCACACTTCACCTATCACAACATGAATGTTTAAATCATTGAAAGCCTCCCACCAGAACCAAAAAAATGACCAAATTCTAGCACTGTTTCCAATTTAGTTTTATACGTTCTTTCTCTGGTCTTTCTTTGGGAATATATTTAATTTACAACTATGACTCAATTGTCACTCAACCAATAGTTACCTTTATTTTGCAGCATTCTGGAGGTTCAAAACTCAATGTGTAAGTTTTATTCACCTGCTAAGAAATTATTTTTTCAAAGCTAGCCTCAATATTTATTTTAAATGAGTGAACTTCAAGGCCTGAAAGAATAAACTAATACTTTACGAAATATTTTTGAAGTATAAAGAATATATTCAACATCTTTCCATGTCTCCAGATTTTAATATATGCCTTATTTTACTTTAAAAATTTTCAAATGTTTCTTTTATACACAATATGTTTCTTAGTCTGAATAACCTTTTCCTCTGCAGTATTTTTGAGCAGTGGCTCCGAAGGCACCGTCCTCTTCAAGAAGTTTATCCAGAAGCCAATGCACCCATTGGACATAACCGGGAATCCTACATGGTTCCTTTTATACCACTGTACAGAAATGGTGATTTCTTTATTTCATCCAAAGATCTGGGCTATGACTATAGCTATCTACAAGATTCAGGTAAAGTTTACTTTCTTTCAGAGGAATTGCTGAATCTAGTGTTACCAATTTATTTTGAGATAACACAAAACTTTATGCTTCGACAATGTTATTCCTGAACACTTTAAATCCTGAAAGTGCATTATAATCCTTAATTTATTACCAGTTTATTATCACAGGAATCAAATTCTGAGGATCTTTAAAGTCATGGTCATTTTGCTTAACATAGGCCATTTTGTACATGGCAACCATGTGAAGAGCAGTAGAATCAGAAGAAGAAAAAAAAAGGTTTTGAGACATGACTCTATCAACTGACTGTAAGGTGACCTGGGAAATTCACTCTACATCCCTGAATCTCAGTTTATTCACCTGAAATACTGGGACCAGAACACATTAAAGAATTATTTAGAATGATACATTAATGAGCCTAGTACAGTGTAACACAGGGTAAACATCCAGCAGTTTTGGAATCATTTTTGGAAGTTTCTTGCTAGGGTTACCAAGAAAATTTGTAGAAATCTTGAACTTAAGTGTAGTTAATAATAATAGCTATTATAATGTTTATTGCTCTATGATGACGATAGTAATATAAAACCCCAGGATTAGAATTAGATTTGAGCTCTAAATAATCTTCCTGCATAGAACCATGTCAGTATCTTCTTGACAAAATGAGGAACAGATAGTAGTGTTTCCTTCTACCTGAAAGTCCACTACATGCATATTCTTTACATGTATTATTAATAAACCATATAGGAGGTAAGTTTTATTCTCCTAAGATAAAGGTGAGGACACTGATACCCAGAGAATTTAAGTGACTTTCTCAAAATCAAACACCAATAATGTGGAGAAGCAAGATTTCAATTCTAGGAGGTCCTCCTCATCTCACCGCACTGTAATTCACCTAACGCATGAGGGTTAATTATCAAAAACAGTGTGGCTTATGGGTAGGAGGTATTTAACAAGCATTGATGTTTCATTGCATTCATTGATAATGACACATAAATACATAAATAAATAAATATATAAAATAAACGAATGAAACTCAACCCTCTCACTCTTGTGCTCAAATCCAGTGATACATGACTAGCATAGTTTCATACCTGAAGAAGCTCCAGTGTGGAAGTAAGACAATTGTGCAAGGAAGTAAAAAACATCAGGCTGTGTTATGTGCAGTAAAAGAGTCATAAAGAAAATCCCACAGCAGTGCTGAAGAGAAAGCCATGACTTTTGAAGGGTTCAACCTAAAAAGAGAAAACAAGGCCTTGAGAATGAATAAGCAGGTGGCAGATAGAAAAGGGCAGGGGATATGCTAGGCAAAGAGAATAGCAAGAACAGTAGAGGTGGAAAATGTACAGCATATTTATGAAATGCTGAATTATTCTATTTGAGTAGTATGAACAGTGGAAAAGGACACGAAGAAAATAAGTTGACCCAGTTTATAATAGTTCACACATACTAAGTATTTTTTATTAGCCAGGAACTCTTCTCAATGTGCCCTATGCATTACTTCCTTAAATCTTCATAATTACTCTATGAAGTAGGTATCATTATTTCTTTTGCTTTTTCATAGATGAGGAAACAGAGTCATAAAGAGTATAAATTGATTTTCCCAGGCCACTTACCTAGTATATGGTACAATATATACACAATTTGGGGCTAACAGGAGAGGCTATAGGTCATCAACCTTGTTCTGCCCTTTGAGGGATGATTAATTGAAAAGATATGGGTTTAATTGAACTTTTCTGCTTTATCTGAAGACTGTAGCCAATGCACAAAATGCTAACACAGCTGACAAAGGAGATCAGTTTTTGGAAAATCTTAAGATCACTAAGAACAGAGAAATTTGCAAAGGGTGGAGGTGTGGTAAGAGGAGGGGTTTCCTGTAAGTCTCAAGTGACATGTCTTCTCTTTCTTCTATGAAAACCACAGTACATAAAAAAGGGAGCTTATTGGTAACTATTTTTCAAAGATTTTCCATTTAGGATTTTATGATTTAGTGTCTGTTTCCATTTCCAAAACACGCTAGACTTTCATGGGTTCATGCTTTTAAATATGCTATTGTTTCTGCCTGAATTCTGACTCTCTTTCTCCATTTGTCAAACTCTCAGATATAAAAATCATTTTATACTTATAGTGATGTTTACTCACGCCTTTCTCATAGTTACATAGCATTTCTTTCTGTGTATGAATCTGTCCTGGGTTTTATTCTTCCCCAAACCCCCAAGATCAGAATTTATCTTGCAAGCTTCTCCATTCTAAGCATCACATTGTATCTGGTATGGACTGAAATCAATAAATCAGTTTGAGTACAAGTGATATTTATCATGAAGTGTCATTTCTCTTAACTAATATAAGTGAAGTTTTCTAGAAAAATGCCACACCTCTTAATACTCTGGTCACTTTTGGATATATATTTTAAAACACTATAAGTATTCTATCACACCAGGTTTTTTTTTATGTGTCTGTACTGAGTTGTTTATTCTTTACATACACATTTATTGAATACGTACTTTGAATAACACATTGCCTTAGATACTATGGATACAATGGTAAACAACATAGTCTCTATCTTCACAAAGTTTACCATGGAAGAGAAAGATCTTAACTGCTTGCTGAAAAACTCATTTATATAGAGATATGCCTAACTCCAGGGGTCAATGAAGTGATACTTCAGATGACATCAATATGACAGGTAGAATTAACTAGTTGAAAAGGAGGACATGGTTATGAATTTGGGCCATATTGTTAGAATAATGCAAGCCACTGATAAATTTTAAGCAGGTTATAATCAAATTTGAATTTTCAAAAGATTATTGCAGCTTCAGTATGCAGAAAAATTTTAGTAGTTGGAAAGCACATGCAGAAAGCCAGTGAAAATGCTATTATAAGAGTCTGAGGAAGAGGTAAAGGTAGTTTAAGTTGCAGTGGTGGTGGCAGGAAGGGAGACAGAAAGCATGATTAATTTGATATTATTTTGAAGGCAAAATTTACAGAACTTGGAAAATTATTTATATATCAGATGAAGGAGATTAGGAATGGCTTTACGCTTTCTGGCCTGTGAAAATGATGAATGGTAGTATAATTCACTCATATAATAACAAGAGGAGCAAAGAAAGACATGGAGGAAAGCTTATGGTTTTGTTATACAGTGAAATGAAGTTATATGGGACGGCAAGGTGAATGTCTCTTGAGAAGTTGGATACACAGCCTGAAACTCAAAAGCGGTGTCTGGCCCTCAGATCCTAATGCGAGAGACATCAGCATATAAATTATTGACTCAGCTAATTTTTAAAACCCCATGGAAGGGTGATTTTTATTCTGTTTTACAGGTAAGTAAATTGAGACTCAGAAAGATAAAGTGATTAATTTTAAACTACAAAGCTAGTAAGTGTCAAATACTGAATCCAAAACTTCATCACTCCATCACTGCACAGAGAAGAGGGTTCCCTTTAACCCCTACATTGTCTTCTACGCATATGCTCCACCTCTTTGTTCCTTCCCTAGTGTCCCAATGGATACTTTTTACTACAAAGGCAACAAAATTTCCTGGATGAGCCAGGGGAGAAGAGGCTCAATGAGTCATATTAGAAGCTTGAAGGTATTTATTTCCAATTAAATTTAAAGAAACAATTTACTTGAAATGCTTTAGAGTAATTTTCACACGGCTTTGAATTTACAAAGTTAATTTTAGAGAAGTTTGACTTTAAAATAAGCAACAGCAGATACTTGGGAGGCTGAGGCAGGAGGTTCTCTTAAGCCCAGGAGTGTGAGGCCAGTTTGGGCAACACAGCAAGACTCATCTCTAAGAACAAAGCAAAACAAAACAGCTAAACTAAGTAACACCAATTGCCTATTTTCTATTTTATGAATTTTTCCATATTGTTGCCTCTGTTGTACTTTCAAGGAGTTTAAAATTTATCTCTATTCATAGCTAAATTTTAAGCTTACTAAAAAATTATTTAAGATTTCTTGATATAATTTTGTTCAAGGGGATTATTATTCATCAACCAGGTACTCATGTTTATAATTACTTAAGTGGTTTCTGTAAAAAGGCAGCTGATGTCTGCCATTTATCAAACTTTTTCTCTTATAATTGAATTTAGTGATTCTTTAGAAAATTGAGTAGCAGGTGATTTTCTCATATGTATAACTAATTTACAAGGGGAGGCCAAAAATCTTTGGCAAAGAAGGGTTATGTCTTCAATGTTGTTGATAAATGTAATCTTACTTTCTACGTAGCAGAAAAACTCTGTTGAGAGCTTCCTTCTCCCCATACATTACAAAAGACCTGGAAATTTGGTTTCAAAAATGAGAAGGGGAAACACTGTTCACAGTAACTGCAGTGCCCCATTCTGCCAATGGAATTTGATGACACTTCTATCATTCATGAATTTGTTCAATAGCTCTGTTTGGCTGTGTATACCTGTGTGCATGCTGTTCTTTTCTGCCTAGGATGGATTGCCATCAACATTATATGCTCAGAGTCTAATTCATTCTTTTACTCAGTGGGACAGTCTTCTGGGGTGCATTCCCTGACTTCACAGAGATGTAGGAAGTCTTTTCTCCATGATGCCTTTCTATCTTCATCAGAACAACATTACTCTCGAAATGATTTGTTTACCTGCCAGGTGCTGAGGGTGAAAAGGTAAATGAGACAGAGTGCCCCCCAACTCCCCGCCTACAGGTAGTGTATCTCAATGAATAAGTGATATTTTAATAAATGAGTTGAAGAAAGATAAAACAAGTAAGACATAATACTTGCTCTTGAGAGTTTGTGACAAGCTTGAAAAATAAGACATATATAAATAGATATAATTATAATAAATGGACGTTTGTGCCAAATGTCACAAGGCAGCAAAGAAACTAGTTTGAGAATCCAGAAGAGAATGGAGCTGAGTCAGCAGCTGAAGCAAGTTTGGAAAGAAAAACTCAAATTGTAAGCTGATTTAGGTGAAATATTGATGAAATTATCATTCTATCATGATAAGAATCAACAGCAGTTGTAAATTGTTTTCTATATGGTAGACATTGTACCAAGGGCTATACATACATTGTCTAGTTTAATCGCTCCAGGCAGACTCCTAATTCATTTGAGTAATGGCCCCTAACTACTTCATGTGTTTGTTTTGTGAATAAATGGGCATGTTAATGCACTTTGGAAATGATAGAGCATAAAACAAAAATCTACATAATTATTCTGAAAAGAATGGATGACAAGAAAAATAGGACTTCACAGAGGGAAGGATGATCAAAAAATTACGATATTGGGACAGAACAAAAAGGTGCACTATTGGGGCTCAAACGCAGATGGCTTACAAAGAAAGTCTGAATTTGAAGGATGTTGAGAAATAAAAGTATCTCAAAGACAGTCCCTTGGTGACAGTAAAAATTGAGACCACTTGGAATGAATTAAAGTGGAGCAATAGTAAGAGAAGCTGGAGAACAGGACTGACATAGAAATAGTATTTAAAAGCTGTGAAAGCACTTCAGCCAAGCCTTTAACAAAAAAGAAAATATTTATTATGTAGCCTCTATGTATCCTGCCTTTTTTTGGACATTTTAAATGTACTATGTATTGAAGCCACTAACAGCAATTTAAGCTAAGTATTGTAGTCCCATTTTCAAAATAATTTTAATATATATTAAAAACAGTAACTTTCAAGGTCTAGGGTTTACCCTGGGTTATATAGTCCATGATGGCTCACCAACAACCTGTCTGTATTCTAGCTAGTCAGAAAGGAAAAGGTAAATGGTTAAAGATATATTCTTTTCTTTTTAAGGGAACTTCCCCCAAAGTTATACATATATTTTTGCTCTAGACTTGAGTCACATAGCCATGACTTGCTGCAAGGTAAGCCCAGGATGCACTCTCTTCTTTCTGCTATGTCAAAAAGTAAATTTATAGTATCTTCTGTGTATGTTCTACATATATATCTTCTATATGCATTATAGAGAGCATCTTCTATAAAGGAATTGTTTTGTTAGAAAGAATCCATTTGCTCTTACTGAACAGATATTCAGTACGGACTTCCTCATTTACTCAAATCTTAATAGTCTCCTAAATAGATTCTATAGTTATATTTACATAAAATTTAAACATCTCTCCTTAACTGCTACGTGCCTTAAATATGTAGTTGATTGTGAGAATGAGATTTGTTTTTCATTAAAACAAATCTTTCCTTCCCATTTCCACAGCTGCCATTCAGGGACATTCCTTCAACATATCTTCTGGGTCCAATAACACATTCAGTCATTCAGTAAACATGTTCATTCTCTCATATGTGTTTCAGACACTGTACCAGATTCTAGAATTATATCAATGATGAAAGCACACTATTGGCCTTCAAGGAGCCATTTTAATAGAAACAATAGGTTAATTGTTGATGTATAGGGAAGTTTAATTTATGTAATACTTATCTAGCCGTATTTTATTTTTTTACTATGCATTATCTGATTATGGATTTCCTAAATATATAGTTATATCATCTATTAATTGCATCAGGTACTTTTAGTAGCATGCTTTCTAATTGTATCAGTAAAAAGACTTTTTTTTTATTTTGGAAAATTAATAGAATAAACCAAAAATAAAAATCAACTGTAATCTTATTGTTAGATTGATCACTTGTGCTGTTTTAGTCTCCTGTGTACTTTTTCTTATACTTTTTTCCACATACACATAAGTTGTTAAGCATATCTTTTAATTAATTTTGTTTTATCAAATATTATAAGCATGTTATTTTACAAGCCAAAGAGTGCTGCAAGTCTTATAACAAAATGTTTATGCCCCTATATCAGCTACTGTAACCCTTTTACCTATTTATTCTGCTATATTGCCCTGTATTTCTAAATAATAGGGAAATATTACTATCTGTTAATTCATCAAGTTTATCTTTGGAGTTCCTCATATTTAAATAATGATTTTAACTCTCTTACAGCTTCCCTGTTCTTTCATTCATCTTCTCAGTATAGTATTATCATATTTGGGGGCAAATCCACATCTAGGAATTTTACTGTTTTTACTACTACAATATTATTTACAGTTCAACCAAATAGTATGCTATGATTACGTTTGTTTTCCTGCATTACTTTTCTATTGGAATTAAGACTTTTTTTTTCATTTTAAAGCACCCATCACTGTTTATACCAAATTTTAAAAGGAACTGTAAATACTACCTCATAACATAGTGAAATATGAGTAATTTATAAATTTTTTCCCTGGGTGACATCCTTTTGTATATGTCTGCCCTTCTCATTCCACAGCTGCCATTCAGGGACATTCCTTCACCATATCTTCTGGGTCCAATAACACATTCAGTCATTCAGTAAACATGTTTATTCTCTCATATGTGTTTCAGACACTATACCAGATTCTAGAATTATATCAATGATGACAATATACTATTGGCCTTCAATGAGTCATTTTAATAGAAAAAATATTCATATAATAGATAACTGGAATATAATGTGACGGGTATGATAATAGAGGAAATGCTAAGCCAGTAACATATTGGATGCTGTCTCTCCTCAGTGCCATGTTCTTATGTGGTTTGAAGGAATATAAATAATCAGGAGGCTAAAGACTTTTCCTTGTTCAGAATTATTGTTTAAATATATGTGGTCAAAATCTGTTGTTGCTTTTTAAAGTAATGTAAAACGATTGACCACTATTCACCTTTATTTACAATAAAGGAATCAATATACAATTGGATAACATTCTGATTACTACCAAGTTATTGTTTTCCCTGGTTTCTGCTGAACCAGAAAATCGAATATTGAAAAGACTGAGTCTACCTGTAAGGAATGAGTTAAGGTAAAGAAAAAATATGCAAGTCAATACATTACAAAAGTTGTTCATCCATTTATGGCAGCAGATTCTAAACTGCCAAATCTCCAACCATCTGATTGGGTTCCTAAAGCCAAGTCTTAGACATCCCATGAATCATTACCTTTTAGTCAGTATAGCACAGGGATTTCAACTTTTTGTAAAGGAATGGCCTGCTAGAGGAATCGTTAAATGTCCATTAAATTAAGTCTTGTTTAGATAATTAAAACACAGCAGGATCTGTCTAGTTCCCTCATCTGGTTGGGGAGGTTGTTGGTAGTAATAAAATTATTCCTTTTAGGAATTTTACAAACTGTTCATTTATATGACTAAAGGTGTAGATAGGGATTCTTATATGGCTACTATTAAATGATACATTTAAATTGTCCAACTAATTATAGAATCATCTGTTTTATTTGAAATGTATGGCTTCAGGAAAATTTTGAATTTAATTTGATGTGATTTATTTCTTAGGTTGCTCAGTATGATGGCATCTCAAAAACATGGGCTTACCCATGATTTTTGTTTGGTGAATGTTTAAAAACAACACAAAAAGCCATTTATGTACACATTTTATGCATACACACACACACACACACACACACACACACACACAACCCAGAATGGTCCTTAGGATAAACGCAAGTTCTGATTGAGTAATGACTATGGAAATTTTCCCCGACATTTAGAAATGCTGTTCTCTAATGCAGAGGAAATAATACATCATTTTATGAATACGTTCATAGAAGAATAAGATATCAAATGTTCTTTTATGATAAAGGAAGCAACTACAGAAAGCTTTTATTTGTTCAAAGTAACAAGTGGTATTGATGAAAAAAAAACACACACACCAAAAAAACCCAACTCTCCCAATACTACTTTTAAAATGAACATATCAAAACTGATTTTCATTAGAATGTAGTTATTTTTCCACACTAGTTAATTAAAAGCCAAGACCCAGATATATATATCACAATGCAAACAATTAAGCTTCATCATCTGGACAAGAATGCCAACTTAGTCTCTCTTTGTAAAAAACAATTACAATTTCAAGACACTTCATATTTGCCGCTTTTGCCAGCAGCAAGTCGGCCTGATGTGAATATTCCCATTTCAGGAGAAACATCCATTCTCCACTGCTGCCTGTGGCACCAATTATTCTTTCAGGATCAAGATCTCTGGTGAAGCCTCTTGGTTTGTCGGCAGCATCTCTTTTCTTTGATTTGCTGTCATTAGATTCATTGTCAGATAAAGACTTTCTTTCTTTTTGTAATTTTTTTTTACCAGGTTTTTTAGAATTAAGGAATGTTTCAATTAACTCTGGACAATCTAAATTTTCTGCGGGTTCCCAAGTACTGTCAACATCTGACGTCCCTTAAACTTCAGGAAATGCTCCACCTTCCCTTTTGCTGTAATTCGATCCAGTAGTTTTTCCACAAATGCTTCAGGCTCTGCCTCTTCGACTTTTTTACCCTTTTCATTCTGTTTTCTTTTTTCCTCCCTTTTTAAAATTATTTATTATTTTTTGCACTGTAGTTTCATTTCAGGCTTTTGGGGTTTTTTTGTTTGTTTGTTTTGGTTGTTGTTGTTTGATTTTGGCAGACCCGAAGGGCTATTATTCTTACATATATCGGCTCCCCTAAGCCCCGCCCCTCCAGGCTTTACTTTCAGAGTCCTGAGGCCTATAAAGGCCAGGCCCCTGCCCTCCAGCAGGGAGTGCGTCTCTGAGGAGAAACAAAGGCCCAGAGTGCGGACGCTCCAGGGTACCGCGGCACAGGGCCCACTCCTATGCCACTGCGGCCCGGTAACCAAGAGCGCCCCCAACCCCCGAAGCCTTAGGACAGAGGGACGGTGCCCATGCGCCAAAATCTGTTTCAAGATTTAAGACTGTGACCTCTGTGAATACAGAGATTGTTCAAATGCCCTAGGGTTCTTGGGAGGCTACTAAGATTGCTGAGCATTTGCCAACATTACTATTAATGTCTGTCAAATAATTAAAAGACTGGATTAGTGAATGGTTAATGATATAACGGTGTTCTATTGATAATCGGAATAGTTACAACATCCTTTCACAGAAAAAGATGGAAAAATCACAGCTAACATTTAATTGAGTACACACTATATACCAGGCCCTGAATCACTTACGGATGTTATCTATAAAATTCAAACGTTCCAACAAGAGGGGTATTATTTTCCCATTTTTCTGATGAAGAAACTGAGGCTTTGGAGTATTAGGTGTAACTTTCCCAAGCTCTTACAGTTAATAAGTAGTAGAGCTGGCCTTCAAACCCAGGTGTCTACTCCAAAGGACTGTGAAAGGATGAAGATGATGGTGATCGTAACAATGGTGGTAACAATAAAAACAATGGGATGTCTTTTTATTTCAGACCCAGACTCTTTTCAAGACTACATTAAGTCCTATTTGGAACAAGCGAGTCGGATCTGGTCATGGCTCCTTGGGGCGGCGATGGTAGGGGCCGTCCTCACTGCCCTGCTGGCAGGGCTTGTGAGCTTGCTGTGTCGTCACAAGAGAAAGCAGCTTCCTGAAGAAAAGCAGCCACTCCTCATGGAGAAAGAGGATTACCACAGCTTGTATCAGAGCCATTTATAAAAGGCTTAGGCAATAGAGTAGGGCCAAAAAGCCTGACCTCACTCTAACTCAAAGTAATGTCCAGGTTCCCAGAGAATATCTGCTGGTATTTTTCTGTAAAGACCATTTGCAAAATTGTAACCTAATACAAAGTGTAGCCTTCTTCCAACTCAGGTAGAACACACCTGTCTTTGTCTTGCTGTTTTCACTCAGCCCTTTTAACATTTTCCCCTAAGCCCATATGTCTAAGGAAAGGATGCTATTTGGTAATGAGGAACTGTTATTTGTATGTGAATTAAAGTGCTCTTATTTTAAAAAATTGAAATAATTTTGATTTTTGCCTTCTGATTATTTAAAGATCTATATATGTTTTATTGGCCCCTTCTTTATTTTAATAAAACAGTGAGAAATCTACATTAACTGACTCCTTTAGGCTTCAGAAACACATTTTTATTCTCTTCAGAAAGGATGATATTCCCCTTTATTTTACATTTCTGCTCCAAAATACATTATGGACTTCAAATAGAAAAGAACCTTTAGCTCTTTCCTGTCATAGCTCTGACGATATTTTTTAAGGTCACTGAGAACAAGGGCCCAGCGTCTATAACACATCCAGCTAAGTGCCTGTCTCAAGATGTGTCCATTAAATATTTTAATGATGATAACTATATTAACATCTTTTCACCTCCTAAAAAGTATCTTATTAGAGAAAGTTTAAAATGCAATCAAACATTTGAAGTTTGAACAATTATCTGAATATTAGCCTTTCTGTAGTTCTAGTAAAATAACTCATTTCCATTTTCCTCGCCTATTAAGATTTCAAATTAGAATGTTCAGATAATCCTACTACTTAAATTTTGGGGCCCTATTGATTTCCAAAAAAAGTAAAATTGATATTGCATTTGTATTATGGCTATGCATAGCATAAAAGACTAGGATCAGTGGGAAGAAGTTATAGTGGGCCCATTTTAGTTCAATAAGGGGAAACATTGTTCAATACTCAGAGTTACAAAATCAAAATGGACACCTTTGGACAATAATAAGTGGTTACCACTGGAAGTCTTCACATACTGGATTGGGTGGCTAATTTGATTTGGAATCTATAGAGAAAATTTAAGCAGTGAGTCTATATTATCTTTATTTAAATTGGCTCAGGGTTCTTACCAACTCTCCCCACTGTAAAGCAAAGTTAACCATGCTCTATAAAAAGTCCCTATTACTCTTCCACATTATTTTAGGGGTTTTCACCATTCTTTCTTTCAGCCTCCAACCAAATTAATTTACTTTGTCCAGGTGTTCCCAGTCTCTTCAGTTTCCTTATACCTAGTTGTGCTTGTCTGCTTAGGATTTTCAAATAGTATCTCAGTTTGACTACTTTTGTTTCCAGTGTCATCTTTGAATACCATACTTTCTCTGTTCCTTGGTGGTATATTAAAGGCAGACCTACTCAATCCAGGCTCCTAGAAACCTCTCTGGGTCTGGCATCTGAGCCCTACATCTCTGGGAAGGTAGTTAAGACGAGACACACAGGTTTTTCTGAGGTACCTTTCAGTCACAAGATTCTATAACTACTAAAAGTTCTGCAGCATAGCATTCTGATAGTTTATAAATGCATTTAAAAATAAATTGTCTGAAAAATTTGAGCTCTTGGAAACACCTTTATCTGTATAAGACTGACCTAAAAATCAAGACCACATAATTTTCAAATGATTACTTTTTATTTAGTCCCATTTTAGATTTCAAAGAGAGGCAAATATCATCCTACTTTACACATGTCCTAACCACACACATGTCCTAACCACACATTTTGGTTAATTTTAAAATCTACAATAAGGAAAAATTTATGATTATTTCTGAAGTTATCTTATTAATTATCAGAAATTCCGAACAGTTACTAAACTTGGTAATAGAGCAGCAGTCATCTTCTGACTCTCATTAGTTGTCAGACTTAAGCTAGCATGTCTAATTTCTGATACTGACTGCAGGAAAATCTAGCAAGAAGTGGGGAGTAGCACCCATGGACACAGTGGAAGTCTGTGGGAGGAAACGATAAATACCAGGGAGTATATCCTCAACTCAGTACATAACCAGCAAAAAAGATTTCAAGAAGATCATTAACAATGGTGTCTGAGGATTAGAGTCAATTATAGATGGGAATTGAAGCTAGTTAAATGAAGAGCAAGAAGGAATGGGAAAAGAAATTTGCACAATAGTCTGTAGAAGACTCTGAAGAAGGAATAACGGTGATTGGGGGCACCTTTAGTCACAGATCACACATGTGGGTGGGTCTGGCTTACCTAACAGGGGCCAAGGTGTTGTGGACACTGCAAAACAACTATGTGTGGGTCACTTATCTAGGAATGATTTGAAGGCAAGATTTTAGTCCAGGGTGGTATGTTTCAATCATTTTTGCAACACATTTTGAATAAAAGTCCACCTAAGAAATTGTCATTGTTACTGAGAGGGAGCCATATAAAGTCATTTTTTTCCTTTGTCACAGGCAATTCCCTCCATCACCGCACCTCAATATAGAACATCATTTTGTTTCTCTAGAGGCTTGAGGTGTCTATTTGTATAAAAGCAACATCTATGATGAAACCATCATCACTTTAACTCCATGGTTTTCTCAATATGGCACAGAAATTACATGACTGATATTTCAAACTGACAGTTCCATTAAATTATAATCAACATTATATTCTATGGTTTTGTTTTTTACTGAGACCTTTACAAATTGCTTCATTTTATGCTTCTGCTCTGATTATTTTCCATTGCTACATTATAAGCCACATTCTGTTGGAAAAAAAAGAGAAATAAGCAGCTGCTACTCTTTTTTTAATCTTTCTGTGTTTTGTAAAAAAAAAAAAAAAGTATTTTTAGTATCCAACCTTTCCAACAAGTCAAATATGTAATTCTCCATCTGTAGAAATCACATTTGCAATTGGCACAAGTCATTTCAGCCAGTGTCTCCAGCAGGCTAACAACTGGCATTAGTGGCAGATGTTTTTAGCTTTTTCCTTGTTTGTGTAGGCTTTGATTTTGTGGGATTTCTTTGTCATCATAAAAACGGCCTAACTGGGGCCACCTATTGTGAGCTTGTTTTGGAGGACATGTCAGTAAAACAAAGTTCCACTCCCCCTCTGATTAGATGCCTTCTGAAAGCTGCTGAAATGCAAATGTGAAAAGAGTTTTGATTTTCTAATAAACTTTTTATTGCTTATTTTCAAAATCATTTGCCATTTTGTACAATGTAATGAAAATTAAAATTGGCTATGGAAGCCACTTAGACCTCAAGAGCTTTCAAATTGTTCACCTACTTAAAACAATATGGGAAGAATTTAAGTATTTTTTTAAAGAAAGGCTTGCCAAAATTCTATATTGTTCATGTTTATCTTATTGTTTTATGAGTTTTCTTAATAGCAATGTAAGAAATTACTCTTATGACTTCATGTTCATCTTCCAATTTTTATGTTTCATAATCATGATTATAAGGCATATTCTTATGATTTCTAGTTTTTCAATTAGAAATAAGTAACAAAGATGTTACAATTTAGTCAGTAGTTGTGATATTCAAAGAACTGTGCTAGGCACTTTCATGTATTTTAACTCATTTAACAATCGACATGTTACCAACATGTGAATAAGTACTATTCATATTGTCAAGGGAGGAAACTGGCTGAAATAGGGTAAACACCTTCCCAAGTTTACATGTCTGCTCAGTAGTTTAGGCAATTTATCTTGGATTTGAGTTTAGTTATTCCTAGGTGCTTCTTATTATAAATTTGTTATATTTTACTCAATTATGTTGAAGTGTAATAACCAACTCCTTGCTACTCAATAGTTTTGATTTAGCTGTTGTCATCATTTTGTTTAATATTGTAATGCATACCTTGGTTCATATACCATTTTATTTATCTGAAGTTATTTTCCAGGAGTAGGTTCTCTGGGTAAAAGCACATGAATACTTTTATAACTTTTCTAATGGACTGCCACAGAGCTTTTGAAAAGGGTTGTGTGGACTTAAAAATGCAAAGAAAAGAGTCTAAAAAACAGGACATCAGAAAGAATAAATGAGAAAATTAAAAGATAAATAACTTAGAAGAAAGAAGACATGCTGCAATTATCTTTGAGGGGAACTGAAGAGCCTTATTTAAGTTAGAGCCTTAACTTCATGTGAATTTAACATGGCATAGGCTGTGATATTAAGTGCATGAAGGATTTGAGAAAATTTTTAACATATGTGGGATCTCAAGTCAGACTCTATGAATTTGATTCCTGGTTCAATCTCTCACTAGCTGTATAACCTTCTGTGAGTTATCCTACCTCTGTGTGCCCCAGTTTTATCATTGTTAAAATGCATGTAATAATAGTACTTTCCTCAGCATGTCCTGAAGAGTAAATCTAAAGCCTTTACAGTAGTGCATAAATATTATTATTTCACAAGTTCTCATAGAGTATGTTAACTCAACATGTTACCTGTTTTAAGAAAGAAAGATAAAAATATAACCACACATTTTGTTTTTCAATAATAATTTTGCAAACCATGAATAGTAATGTACCTATTTAATAAAATGATATTATGATAAATGTACTTTTAAGACAGAGAAACATTTGGGGACTAGAAGTATTAATCATGCAAGTACATAGACTTCTATCTCATAAACAAAAGTTGGCTATTAAAGCACCTATGATGTGGTACTGGGCTTGAACCCAGTGCATATCCTTGGCCAAGAGTCCCTATCAGGATAAACTCCTCTGAGCTAGAGAGTGTTGGTTCATTTTTAATCATTCACTCATTCATTCAAGGAACAAGTCTTTATAGAACACCTACTCTGTCTTGGCACTTTGCTAGAGATACAAATGTTAATAAGATTTAGTTTCTATTCACAGTGAAATCACAGTACTCTGAGAAAAAAGCCTATGAGCAAATCATTGCAAAATTATAAATACCATCATAAAGGAATATTCCATGTCTTATAGAAGTAATATAATTAATACTGCAGGGGTACAGTATCATCAGGGGAGCTATAGAAGATTTCAAAGAAAAGCTAATAATTGAATGGTATTCCTGGAAGTTCACAAGGTAGATGAGGTGATCGATAATCTGAGCAAAATGATAACATGAGCAAAGGTAAGTGCCGACAAGCTATGGCTAATGGGCTAAATCCTGCCTGGCAGTTGTTTTTGTAAATGAAGCTTTATTGAAACACAGCCAAACTCATTCATTTACATTACATATCGTCTATTGATGTTTTAATGCTACAATGGTAGAGCTAAGTAGTTGCAACGGCAACCATATGGCCCAAAGCCTACAGTATTTACTATCTTGCCTTTGATTGAAAAAGTCTGCTGACCCCTGGCATAAACCAAATCAGAAAAATTCAGATTAGGTGAAGATAGATCAATGTAGATAAAAAATCATGAAAAAGAGCTTCACCTTAACAACTGAGAAAACAATAGTTGATTAGGGTTTTTGTTATTCTACTGTTTTGCCAGTTTATTTTAAAGATATAAAGTGCTTTGGTGCAGATATGTAGATATAGATATAGTAACAGACATACATACACACACAGACACACACTGAATTATATGAATAAGGTATGTGGGATTTTAAATATTTTTTCTGCCAGAAAATCTACAAATTTCCTAGATTTTTGTTTTATTGATCTTTTTATTCCCTACTGTATCAGTCAATTTTCACGCTGCTGATATAGACATACCTGAGAGGTGGCAACTTACAAAAGAAAGAGGTTTAACTGGACTCACAGCTGCACGTGGCTGGGGAGGCCTCACAATCTTGGAGGAAGGCAAGGAGAACAAATCACATCTTACATGGATGGTGGCAGGAAGAGAGAGAATTCGTGGAGGGAAACTCCACCTTATGAAGCCATCAGATCTCATGAGACTTATTCAGTATCACGAGAATAGGATGGGAAAGACCTTCTCCCGTGATTCAATTACCTCCCACTGGTCCCTCCCACAACACGCGGGAATTCAAGATGAGATTTGGGTGGGGACACAGCCAAACCATATCACTCACTGTTGCCATTAAGTGTCCTTCCTATGGAACACCCATCTCTTTGTAAGCTCAGGAACCCAACCCTTCTGAAATTCCTGAGTTTTTATTTCACTAATTTTCCTCATTCTTCCCTGTGTCTTCAACCCTTCCCATACTGTAGGGTCCTTAATGCTTCAGCATTCAGATATGCTTAACTTAAAAAAGAAAAATCACTCTCCATTAATAGCACATGAGCTAAAATAAGTTATGCACAGGTGAGAGTTTCTTTGACCAAGAAAGGCCAAAATAAAAAAAAGCTGAGTTTCCACTCAGCTTTTGCCCTATTTCTTTCTATAGCCAAGCTTCTTAATAAGGCTGATTATATTTGTGGTCTTTACTGCTATGTCTTTTACTGACTACTTAACACACTTCAATTTGTTTTCTGTTCTGCCTCTCTATGGAAACTTTCCTTACCATGGTCACCAAAGGTGTCTATACTGACAAATTAGATGACATTTTTGGTACTCATTTAACTTGATTCTCTCTTCTACATAAACACTCTTTCCTTATGGTTTCTAAGCAGTAACTCACCTGTAGGCATTTTCTTCCTGTCTGCTTTTTCTTTCTTGGCATTTCCAAAAGGTTCAACTCTTCTATCTCTAGATGTTGAAGGTTTTTCAGTTTGGGTTCTCTAAGGCAGATGTTTGCATGCAGGTAGTTTTTAGAAAGTGTTTGTAAAATTTGTTCTCACTCATAAGTAGGAGCTAAATAATGTGTACATATGGACGCAGAGTTTGGAATGATGGACAATGAGGAATCCACGGGGTGGAGGAGTGGGAGGAGGATGGACAATGGCAGGTTTCTTGGTGGGTACAATGCACATTGCTCCAGTAATGAATGCACTGAAGGCTCTGACTTCACCACAATGAACTATGTCAATGTAGCAAAAATTGCACTTCTATTCCATGATTATAAATAAATAAAAATTCAAATAAAGGAAATAATAAAAGAAGAAAAGGAAAAATGCTTGCAGAACTAATATCTCTAATGGCGTAAGAGAAGTATGGAGTGAAAGGAAGAGAAAAAGCAATGTAGTAGAGGCTTCAGCCTACCCTATGGGGAGCTCTGCAGCTAGGAGAAATATGAATATATATACAAACATATAAACATACATATAAGCATATGTATAAACTTTTTATAAGAAATTTGTCTCACATAATTATAGGGGTTGACTAAACCAGTCTGAATTTTGTAGAACAAACAGGAAGGGAAGATAAGCTGACTGAAACTAGAACCTCAAGGACATGAGCTAATGCACAGGTGAGAGTTTCTTTGACAAAGAAAGGTCAAAACCCTTTTTAAAAGACTTTCCAATGGATTAAGCTCCACATTTCAGCTTAAATTGTAGATCCCTTGGGTTCACAATTCATTTTAGTCACCCCTAAACTTTCATTGTCATTTTTCAGCATCAATGTATCAATAGCACTCAACAAAAGCCACTTCCTTTGAACTTCCCAAATCCCTAAATTATGCTTTAGTTACAGGTGCATTCAATTCTTCTATAAGCCCATTCTAGTTAATACTGATAAAGTTTTTAACAATTGCCCACTATGTCATGCTAGGAGCTATCCGTATTTCAACTACTACTAGTGATGGAGTTTTCATTGCCAATTAACTGGTGGATAATCCAGCAGCAAAATCCTATTTCAGAGAATGCTTCCTAAGACTACTTTGGGCACCAGTAGTCTTCAGGTTCCCCAGAAGTCTCAGGTGATCCAACAGCTATCTGCAGTTGGGATGGTCTTTTAGAACTGTCCCACATCAAAGCCAGGAGCTTCAGTATTTGTTTTCCCACATTGTCTAGTCATTGCATTTGAGCTGCCCCAGGCAAGAGACTCAGGCCAGAGACTCCCTTCTGTGAGCACAGTTCTTGAAGAGGGACTCAGCTATGAGCAATCAGCAGCCAACAGTAACAGTAGCTGGGGGAAATGAATGCTTTGGTCCTTAAGGAACAATCTGTTCAGTACAGCAGAGCATCCACTACACGTGGATGATCTTATCACTCTCATCTTTCTATTCTACTTCCTGCTAAAGTATTCTTTTCTAAAATTCCAGAATTGTTGATGACTCCCAAGTTTATATCTCTAGTCCAAGCTTCATCTTAGAGCTTCTGATTGATATATCCAATTGCTTATTTAAAAATTTACTTAAATATTTTACAGGAATTAAAACTGAACACATCTAAAAGTGAACTCTTACTATCATCCTAAATATCAATTCTCAGTGAAGTAATGTCTTTTGTAGCAACATGGATGGAGGTTATTATTCTAAGTGAAATAACTCAGGAACAAACCAAATACCATATGCTCTCACTAATAAATGACAGCTAAGCCATATGCTATGCAAAGGCATACAGAGTGGTGTAATGGACATTTGAAACTCAGAAGGTGGAAGGATGGGAACAGGGTGAGGGATAAAAAAGTTACCTGTTGGGTATAACGTATACTATTTGGGTGAGGGGTACACTTAAAACCCAGACTTCACCATTATACAATTTATCCATGTAATCAAAAACTACTTGTACCCCTAAAAATTATTGAAAAAAATTACTTTCTCATCCAAACTTCCACAACTTAATAAATGGCACCTGTACCCAGGTTATTTCTCATGCAATAATCTTGGAAGTCTTCTCAGATATAGTTTCCCACACATCTAATCTATTTGCAGTAGTCCTATTTCTGCCTGCAATATGCAATCACTTTGGCATGTCTCTACTTCATTCTAACGTGCCCTCACTGTCACATCACAGCAATCTCTCTATTTCAGTTCTAGACTAAGTCATAATCTTCTGTTGTTGAAACTACTGCAATAGCCACTTAACTTAATTCTAACTCCCCCACTTGCCTTCTTCTAATCCACAGAGCAATTAAAGTGACCATTTAAAAAGATGCTTATAACACTTCAGAAGCTTAATATTTCTCTCCAGTTAAATTCCAAATCCTCAACAAAGACCTCCTGTTTTAGCCCCTGCCTGCCTTTCCAGTTTTATTTCATGCTATTCTGCAACTTACTTCCAGTACTTTGGCAAGTAAATTCAATGAATCCGTTTCCACTAGATAATAAATTTCATGAAGATAAATTCTGCATTAATTTTGAGAAATTATATTCCCAATGTCTGGTCCATAGTAAGAATAGGATAAATATTAAACGGAAGAATGACAGTGAAACTCATCAAAAATTAAATCTAAGCAAATAGAGAAAAGTAAAAACAGAATAAACATATTTTATGCTTAACAAACAATAAGATCTAGCCCTCACTTCAGTAAGTCAAGGACTTCCAAAAAGTGAAGATTGCTGATAGCTCTGAAAGAAGTCCAGGTTGCATTAAACTAGGTAATACTTCAACTAAAAGGAAATACAGAACTCAAACTGGTAAACATGGTGACACTGAGAAGTGGGAACTACTTATAGAAAAATCCTCAGTACGAGTTGAAGGCATGCTGATGTGATAAATCTTTCAGTGACTCTAAAAGACAATGTTCTTAGATGGAGATGGTGAACATTTCCATCAGAGCTTCCATAGCATGATAGATCATAAAGAAAAGTTATTAATAATAGGCAATACTGGAATAATTCATAAAAATAGTTTGGTTCAAAAAAATTATTTTCAGATATCAATGGACGAAACATGAGTTGAAATTAGAATACCAGGCTAAGATATGTGGGGCTACAGAAGTAACTAGAAAGAAGTTCTGGCCCTTAAGATGGTTTCAGCCTAGGAAGAAATATAAGAAATATTTATACTCCCAACCTATAAAAATATGATAGATTTGGCTTAGGGCTATAGAAGAAGAGTTATGAAAGATGAAAGATTTTATGGACTTAATACTTAGGGAGGATTTTATAATATGTATCAAGATCTGGGTATTTTACATATTTGATCTCATTGCATTGTCACTAAAATTTTGTGAATTTATTATTATCGTCACTTGCAAGATAAAGAAACTGATATGCTAAGAGGCTTAGTAGCATGCCCAAAGTCATACTGCCACTATGAAATTGAGATCCAAACCTACGGCTTTAAGTTCATAGATTTTCCAATATACCGTGTTGGTATAGATTACCGCCAGGTGTGTGTGATTGTTTAATGTGTGTATATGTATCTGGTAGTAGCATCAAGGAAAAATCAAGGAAATAATTACATTTAAACTGATCTTTCTAGTTATTCAAATGACTGGTATATCTTAAATCAAGGTTTGAAGGCCAACACCAAAAGAGTGTGTTGAGAATTTTAAGTTTGTGTCCTTTGATAATAATGTAGCTTTTCTAGAAAAGAAACCCTGCTCTCCTGCCCGTCAAACAACTACAGGTCACCGGGGTGTGCATCTTGTAAAACTTCATTAAGGTACATACTTAGCTGATGCCTAAAAATATTTTGAGTGTAGGCACAGACATTAAGTAAAAAAGAAGACCAGGAGCTATAGATATTAAAATTTTTATGAAAAGCATTTACAAGTACCCATGGAAAAAACCTTTTTTATTGCTAGTAGTCTAATGTTAGTAGTCTTGAATTTAATGCTGCTCTATATTAGGAAATGAATTAACTAGCTGGTGTTAAATTATCTCTAAAACTAGGATGGTGGCCATGGAAGGAGAAAAGGACAGATGTGAGAAACCTCAAAATGAGAAAATTAAGAGGACTTAGTGACATAAATAATAGAGAGGAAAAATCAAAATTCACATTCAACTTGAAAGTCTGTTTTTTCCCTAAGTTTTCTTTTTTTTTTAACTAGACCAATAACTAGTCTTTTCTCTAAATAGACTATTACCTAATTTTTAAGTACTAAAAAGTAACGTGTTGATCATATACATAATTAACTGTTTCTATTTAGTTTTTCTTTATAATATTTTTAAGGAAAACTATTAAGATTCTTTTTATGGTTCTAAGTACCCCTAACAATACTCAATATTTCCTATTAGGCATGGCTTTTAGGTATAACAACACAATGAGAATTACATTTAATTTACCAGTTACTGAGAACTTATTGAAAATCAGAAATTTTGCTAGAACTCAGGGGTGAAAAGATGATTAAGACTCTAAAACCATGTACTACTTTGAAGAAACGCACACTTACTGGAGGTGACAGGCAAGCTGATAAATACCTATGAAATTATAATGAAAATGTAATCACTTCTGAAAAATATTTTAAAAACACACTTTCGTAAATAAGTTCATAATATAGAAAAAATAAATTATCCATAGTTCACTACATTATTTCCTCAGGTTGGCCCAATTTCTTTCATAATTATTATAATAGATGCCTTTCTATCTTTTCTATGTTAGACATAATTCAATCACTATTACTATATAATTGACATATAGTTGTCATATACACACTGGACATGAGTATATTATTTCAATTTTAATAAGGAGGACACTTGAAGAACAGAGAACTTCTCAAAGTCACACAACTAGTAAAATGGAGAGACCAGGACTTTTAATCATACATTCCTGATTTTACATCCTCATCCTTCGTGCTATCCATACTATTTCCTTGACTTTCAAATTCATCTTTGTCTAATTAGTAAAATTATCATTATTAATAGCATTTAGAATTTACTTTGTGACCCTAGACGCCTTACATCTTATTGACTCATGTAACCCTCATTCTACAGATAAAAAAACTAAAGCTGATAATCATTTTTAAAACATCGTCCAAGGTAACAGAGCTCACACTGATGCAGGCAGGATTTTAACTCTAGCAGTATGACTTTACATTTTAGAGAGTTTGTCTCAGAAGAAACTGTAACCACCACATTATATGGTCAGTTCTGGAATTCAATAGGTCCAGAAAGATATCAATCTATAAAGTCAATTAAAAGAAATCATCAGCCATCATCTTGACAGAAACCTAAAAGCTCCTGGACAAGCAATTGAAGCAGCATCACTGTGTCATGTATTGACCTTAAAATTGCTGTCTCCGGTAAACCGTTTATTCTGAATTTAAAAAAATAAAGACTGGAAGAAAAACTCATCACTGGTAGTATATAAAAACATCATAAAGAACAGGTGATGAGGTATATTCTATTTTTCCTAGGAATATAACCTGTTGTCTAGGTTAAGGTTGGAATCATGAGATTCAATGAAATGAGATAGATTGGAGAATGCAGGAAAGATTACTAAGACAAGAAAGAAGACTTTGGAAAAGCTAATTCTACCAACACAGATGACATCTACCACAATCCACTTTGGAAAAAGATGGGAGGAGATGGGTTGAGTAGAAAAATGAGCAGAGAAAAAAGCAAGGAATATTAGGGCTTTGGTGATATTATAATGTTTTAACTCTGCCCTGCCAATCACCTCTGTTTTGTGTTAGGGAACTGACAGAGGAATATACAGTAAACAATATGCAAAGGGGAGAGAAGGTTCTATTAACAGCGATGTCAGTGACTAACTTTAGTTTGGGGTTCTCTGCTAAAGCTAGGTTGGTGCACAAGACTTAAGCAATAGTCTCAAGTGAAACTTTCAATGGTTAGAAAAAAATGACTCCAAATCTGGGGCACTTACCACCCTTAGTCTATCAAATTGTGAAAGGAAGGCAAAGAGAGAAAAGAAGTACAACAAAGATGAAAGCAACCTCATTGACAGTCTAGCATATGTATGGCATAGAAGAAATGGAAGAGAGAATGAGAATATGGGATAAGGTCCTGCATCCACTTTTCTCCCAGGGACAAAAGACAATGAGAGATGAAGGTACTAAGAGGCACGCAAACTGTGTCGGGGTGCCCAGTATCACCTAGGTTTACTAATTCTCTAAGGATACTCAAGATCTCAGTATAGTTTTACTCACAGCTATGATTTACTACAATGAAAGAATACAAAGCGAAATCAGCAAAGGGATAAAGTGTGTGGGGTGAAGTCCAGGGGAAATCAGGCACAAGCTTCCAAGAGTCCTCTTCAGTAGAGTCGCACAGGAGACACTTAATTCCTCCAGCAACAAGTTGTGACATGCATGAAGTGTTGTCTATAAAGGAAGTTCTTTTAGACACTCAGTGCCCAAGGTTTTTATTGGAGGTTCATCACATAGGCATCTTGCCCAGCACTTATCAAAGTTCCAGAGTCCCAGAAAAAAAGGTGTTCAGTATAAACCTTATTGTTTGCACAAAAGTTTTGTAACATTCAGTCATTGTTATCATTTAGGGTAATCAGAATTGTCCTGAAATTTCAAGTTCCCAAATGCCAGCCAAGAGACAAGCTTGCAAGCACACTTTTCTAAGAAGGATATCAGTCTCAGGCCTGGTGTATTAATTTTTTTCTGCACACAGATATATGTGTAATCCTTTACACACAAGAATCATAGCTATTAATAAATGTGGACCAATAAAAATTTCACACCCTGTCCAAATTATTATTCTCTATTCTTGAAGGCAGAAGAAAGAAAGGGACGAGAGGAAAGGCCGACCAATCAAAATAGAAAAGCATCTCTGTCTCCTACAGAAATGCCGAAGTTGGTTCAAAACCAGTAAGTGAAGAATAAAAACTAAAGATATAAAAAGTCGCAGAATCTTCCTTCCCATTTACCACATCTAGAAAAAATAGATACTGTCAAGCCTCATTATATGCAGATTCCATATTTGCAAATCACCTGCTTGCTAAAAATTTTTGTGACCCCCCAAATTAATACCTGCTGCACTTTCATGGTTATTTGCAGCCATGAGCAGAGCAGCCAAACATTTGTCTCTCCAGGCTGACATTCCCAGCTGAGCCCCAAGTGTAGTGAAGTTTTGTTTAGTGTTCCTAAGGACCTCCCATTAAAGTCTTTTGTCAGAATAAAACAAAAAGTCTATCTCCTTGTCTTGTGGATTTTATATATATATATATATATATATATATGGTAGATAAACTTTGTCCAGGGATGAGTTCAATGTTAGTTAATCAACAATATATATTAAATAAGGTGTCTTTAAAAAGAATCACACATATACAAGGTTATATATTAAAAGGTTGATGGAAATTTGATCATAGGTTCACGGGAGCCTATCTGAGAGTAATGGTTTGTTATTCACTAATTCAGTCTGTGTGGCAACTTTATAGAACAAAACTACCATAAATAATGAGAATTGACTCCACTTCAAACATCACTTCATACACAAAGAACCACTATCTACCATAAAGTCACCGGGTTCTGCAGCACATTGTGCATGTCAGTGAGCTATAGCAACCATGGGCACAGAAGGGGCTGTGACTGGGCAGGGCCAGTGCCTCAATGACTCCTCTGAGCCCTGGGGCAGAGAAAAACTCAGAATCAAGGATAATAGGCTAATTCAAGCGCTGAATTGGGAACAGACAAACTCAGAGCTTGGATTAATTAAAAAACCCAAACAAATAGGTTTTTGCCAATTGTGGCAGTGAACTTTGGGTCTTAAAGTCTGTAGCTGGGTTATTAACCAACAGGGAAAAACAAGGTTCAAGGTTAAAGTTAGGTTCCAGGAAATAGGTGAGGAAAAGAGTTTATATTAGAAAACAAAACAAAAGATGTAGTCATAGTACAACTTCAAGGTATAGCTGTGGCTCTCAGGGCTCTGTCTGTCTGTTAGCTCTAATTTGAAGCACTCTTCTTGTTACTGGTAGATAAGGGTTAAAGGGAAGGGGCAACTGCCCCAAAAGACAAGGCTTAACAATGCCCACAAGGTCATAATATATATTACTAGATATTTTGTTTCAATCTGCTTTGGAAAACAGGTATAAGGTAACTATGACCTCAATATTTCCCAAGTGTCCCATTAGATATTTAAAATAAATAACTAAACAAACCACTTCCTACGATCACTGTAAGAGAAAACCAAGGCACAGAGGCTGCTATTTAAAAATCTTGAAATCTGAGTTTATTTACCAGTCAAAACCTCCATTAAAGTATTTTATCAAAATAAAACACAAATTTAATTTCAGAAATCACCTTGTGAAAATGCATGTGCATTTGGAATCTGTCATAATTAGCAGTTACTCTAAGTGTATTTTTTCACACTATATTTGGGTCTATATCTAAAATGCAAAGCCAATTATGGCATGTATGCTTACATCTCCCAGTTGATTACACATTTATCAGCAAGCTGCAAACTTGGCCTCTGCAACACAAGCCACTTGTAAAGATTTCTCAGAGATTTTCTTGCCTAATAAAAAGTCTGATGAGAAACTTTTACTGTCACACATTTTCATATTTTTTAGCCCTAGCAGACACATTCCTGACAGGTGAATCAATATGAATAAGGGAAGACATTACAGAGAAACTGTTAGTCTTCAGAATTGAGATTTGCATCAATGCCTCTCTGATTTGTGCATCCTTCAAATATTTTTTCCCCAATTATCTTTTGTGTTATTCTCTCGCTGGCTGCTGCTGACGAGTAATTTTACAACACTTGTGCTATTAAAGCATACACTCATGACCCCATTGTGACACAAAGCAAATAGTGCACATAGCGAATGCAAGCACATAACTACTAATCTTGCCTTTTAAATGCATTTGAACTTGACCTATTGAAATACCCATTACAGAATGTATGACAGCTTGGTGAAATACATGGGGCAAGACACCATCTCAGGAAAGCAGACTCTTTGAAAATAAATCACTTGAAAGACTGCAATATGGTAGGAATTGATTGAGAAAAATGCAGTACCACATAGTGAAGTAACCTGCTTAAACCCTACAAAACAAGTCACTACTTCTAAAAGCTCTGTAAGTTAGAGCTCAGTGGCATCTAATTTAATCCATAAATGACTCTAAAAGAAAATAATGGCTAATAATTTAATGTAAAGAGCATATATTTAGAAACATCAATAATATAATGTCTTGTATTCTGAAGCAAATATATTTTCTTTTTTCTTTTTCTTTTTTTTTTTTTTTTTTTTCATATGGAGTTTCACTCTTGTCGCCCAGGCTGGAGTGCAATGGCACAATCTCAGCTCACTGCAACCTCTACCTGCCTGGTTCAAGTGATTCTCCTGTCTCAGCCTCATGAGTAGCTAGCATTACAAGCGTGAACCACCACGCCCAGCTAATTTTGTATTTTTAGTAGAGATGGGGTTTCACCATGTTGGCCAGGCTGGTCTTGAATGCCTGACCTTAGGTGATCCACCCACTTCGGCCTCCCAAAGTGCTGAGATTACAGGTGTGAGCCACCATGCCCAACCAGCAAATATATGTTCATGCTGCTGATGCAGGAATGCATTTCAACTTGGTATAGCCTAGGCATATCTTAGGACCTAAAGGTGCCCACAGTCCTATATACTGAAGCATTTTTACTCATCCTATCCACTATAAAATTATCAATTCTACTGAGAGTCAAAGTCAACATAGAAACACAAGCTATAATGATTCTCAGAGAGCATTTTTAGAAAAAAATCTGATATGCATTTTACTGACAGGAAAAGTAGTTTTCAGATGATATCAGAACACTGGTCTCTAGGACAGGGCTTATGGCAAATGGTTCATATCCCACCTTGGTAAATGTCAGGTAAATGTTACTTGACAGTAACTCTACTATTATTCTTTATTTTACGTAATTTGAATATTTCAAAAAAGGGAGATTATGATGTGCTGGATAAAATAAACAAAAATCTGTAAGCAGGAGTTTTTACATGTGTGTAAATATGTACGGTACACTCAATGTTTAGGCAAAATTGACTCCTCAATGGTCAAACATAAACACTCAACATTTAAACTTCATAATGAACATAGTATGTTTTATTAATTTTCTGTGCAAATATATATATATTTAATATTTTAAAATTATATAAATATTTAATGTTCCTATCTTACTGAGCACAATTATGAGATTTAAAAATAATAACAAAAAACAAACCAAAATAAAACCAAAATCCCAAACCCAGCATGTTAAATTTAAATATCAGAATCCTATCATTCCCAATTACATATCCTGCTGTAAGGAAAATTACAGAAGCGTTGAGTGACTTAGAAATTAGAACACTTTCAAAGTGTTTCAAAGGAGCAGTTCTTAAATACTACTTTTTTATTATCTTCACATGGAAGACTGATCCTTCTTTAGGATGAAAACAACACTATGCTGTTCTCAAAATCCTAGAGAAAATTCTTGATTATTATTGCCAAAAGTGCGTAATTCCCAATGAAAAGAGATTTTAAGTATGTTTGAACAAATTTTATTTGTTTCAGTTGTAAGCACCGTGTCATGTTCTAAAGCAATAAAGGTTTTCCTACATACTATGACTTTATACATACTATGACTTTATAGGAATAAGATTATATATAAATATATGCATATTTTCAATTATTTATGAATATTGAATTTGATTTAGTGCTTTCTCTTCAGCATTGTATAATGCCACACTTCCATTTAACTAGATAACAAGGATCAAATGCCAAACCTGGACTGCTGAGCATCTCACACTTGGATGAGAGGACTACACTTTCTCTAACTGCAAACCCGAAATTGTTGAATGCTATGAAAGCTGGAGGGTGTTACTAAGCATTATTCTAGAATTTCATTTTCACTCGAGTTTTTTTTATAATCCACCATAAAAATACACACATGCACACACACATTATTTAAATATAAAAATCTACAACATAACATGAGATTTGATGAAAACCCATAATGAAAAATATCTCCAGTAAGAGTAAGAAAGCTATACATTTACTTTATTCCCATCTAAAAAAAAAAAAAAAGCAGATAAAACGTCTTGCATTTTTGTAAATAGAAGGATTTCTAGTGATAAGACATAGGTCTTGAATTTAATTCAGCAGAACATCTCATAAACATCTAAATTTTCCTCCATTAAATCTTAAATAAGTGGGATAACTTATGCTACCCTCTGCAATTCCTAACTTAATTTTCTTTTTCTTTTATTATTATTACTATTATTATTATTATTATCATTATTTTAATTATACTTTAAGTTTTAGGGTACATGTGCACATTGTGCAGGTTAGTTACATATGTATACATGTGCCATGCTGGTGCGCTGCACCCACTAACTCGTCATCTAGCATTAGGTATATCTCCCAATGCTATCCCTCCCCCCTCCCCCCTCCCCACCACAGTCCCCAGAGTGTGATATTCCCCTTCCTGTGTCCATGTGATCTCATTGTTCAATTCCCACCTATGAGTGAGAATATGCGGTATTTAGTTTTTTGTCCTTGCGATAGTTTACTGAGAATGATGATTTTCAATTTCATCCATGTCCCTACAAAGGACATGAACTCATCCTTTTTTATGGCTGCATAGTATTCCATGGTGTATATGTGCCAAATTTTCTTAATCCAGTCTATCATTGTTGGACATTTGGGTTGGTTCCAAGTCTTTGCTATTGTGAATAATGCCGCAATAAACATACGTGTGCATGTGTCTTTATAGCAGCATGATTTATAGTCATTTGGGTATATACCCAGTAATGGGATGGCTGGGTCAAATGGTATTTCTAGTTCTAGATCCCTGAGAAATCGCCACACTGACTTCCACAATGGTTGAACTACTTTACAGTCCCACCAACAGTGTAAAAGTGTTCCTATTTCTCCACATCCTCTCCAGCACCTGTTGTTTCCTGACTTTTTAATGATTGCCATTCTAAGTGGTGTGAGATGATATCTCATAGTGGTTTTGATTTGCATTTCTCTGATGGCCAGCGATGATGAGCATTTTTTCATGTGTTTTTTGGCTGCATAAATGTCTTCTTTTGAGAAGTGTCTGTTCATGTCCCTTGCCCACTTTTTGATGGGGTTGTTTGTTTTTTTCTTGTAAATTTGTTTGAGTTCATTGTAGATTCTGGATATTAGCCCTTTGTCAGATGAGTAGGTTGTGAAAATTTTCTCCCATGTTGTAGGTTGCCTGTTCACTCTGATGGTAGTTTCTTTTGCTGTGCAGAAGCTCTTTAGTTTAATGAGATCCCATTTGTCAATTTTGTCTTTGGTTGCCATTGCTTTTGGTGTTTTGGACATGAAGCCCTTGCCCATGCCTATGTCCTGAATGGTAATGCCTAGGTTTTCTTCTAGGGTTTTTATGGTTTTAGGTCTAACGTTTAAATCATTAATCCATCTTGAATTGATTTTTGTATAAGGTGTAAGGAAGGGATCCAGTTTCAGCTTTCTACATATGGCTAGCCAGTTTTCCCAGCACCATTTATTAAATAGGGAATCCTTTCCCCATTGCTTGTTTTTCTCAGGTTTGTCAAAGATCAGATAGTTGTAGGTATGCGGCATTATTTCTGAGGGCTCTGTTCTGTTCCATTGATCTATATCTCTGTTTTGGTACCAGTACCATGCTGTTTTGGTTACTGTAGCCTTGTAGTATAGTTTGAAGTCAGGTAGTGTGATGCCTCCAGCTTTGTTCTTTTGGCTTAGGATTGACTTGGCGATGCGGGCTCTTTTTTGGTTCCATATGAACTTTAAAGTAGTTTTTTCCAATTCTGTGAAGAAAGTCATTGGTAGCTTGATGGGGATGGCATTGAATCTGTAAATTACCTTGGGCAGTATGGCCATTTTCACTATATTGATTCTTCCTACCCATGAGCATGGAATGTTCTTCCATTTGTTTGTATCCTCTTTTATTTCCTTGAGCAGTGGTTTGTAGTTCTCCTTGAAGAGGTCCTTCACATCCCTTGTAAGTTGGATTCCTAGGTATTTTATTCTCTTGGAAGCAATTGTGAATGGGAGTTCACTCATGATTTGGCTCTCTGTTTGTCTGTTGTTGGTGTATAGGAATGCTTGTGGTTTTTGTACATTGATTTTGTATCCTGAGACTTTGCTGAAGTTGCTTATCAGCTTAAGGAGATTTTGGGCTGAGACAATGGGGTTTTCTAGATAAACAATCATGTCGTCTGCAAACAGGGACAATTTGACTTCCTCTTTTCCTAATTGAATACCCTTTATTTCCTTCTCCTGCCTGATTGCCCTGGCCAGAACTTCCAACACTATGTTGAATAGGAGTGGTGAGAGAGGGCATCACTGTCTTGTGCCAGTTTTCAAAGGGAATGCTTCCAGTTTTTGCCCATTCAGTATGATATTGGCTGTGGGTTTGTCATAGATAGCTCTTATTATTTTGAAATACGTCCCATCAATACCTAATTTATTGAGAGTTTTTAGCATGAAGGGTTGTTGAATTTTGTCAAAGGCTTTTTCTGCATCTATTGAGATAATCATGTGGTTTTTGTCTTTGGCTCTGTTTATATGCTGGATTACATTTATTGATTTGCGTATATTGAACCAGCCTTGCATCCCAGGGATGAAGCCCACTTGATCATGGTGGATAAGCTTTTTGATGTGCTGCTGGATTCGGTTTGCCAGTATTTTATTGAGGATTTTTGCATCAATGTTCATCAAGGATATTGGTCTAAAATTCTCTTTTTTGGTTGTGTCTCTGCCCGGCTTTGGTATCAGAATGATGCTGGCCTCATAAAATGAGTTAGGGAGGATTCCCTCTTTTTCTATTGATTGGAATAGTTTCAGAAGGAATGGTACCAGTTCCTCCTTGTACCTCTGGTAGAATTCGGCTGTGAATCCATCTGGTCCTGGACTCTTTTTGGTTGGTAAACTATTGATTATTGCCACAATTTCAACTCCTGTTATTGGTCTATTCAGAGATTCAACTTCTTCCTGGTTTAGTCTTGGGAGAGTGTATGTGTCCAGGAATTTATCCATTTCTTCTACATTTTCTAGTTTATTTGCGTAGAGGTGTTTGTAGTATTCTCTGATGGTAGTTTGTGTTTCTGTGGGATCGGTGGTGATATCCCCTTTATCATTTTTTATTGTGTCTGTTTGATTCTTCTCTCTTTTTTTCTTTATTAGTCTTGCTAGTGGTCTATCAATTTTGTTGATCCTTTCAAAAAACCAGCTCCTGGATTCATTGATTTTTTGAAGGGTTTTTTGTGTCTCTATTTCCTTCACTTCTGCTCTGATTTTAGTTATTTCTTGCCTTCTGCTAGCTTTTGAATGTGTTTGCTCTTGCTTTTCTAGTTCTTTTAATTGTGATGTTAGGGTGTCAATTTTGGATCTTTCCTGCTTTCCCTTGTGGGCATTTAGTGCTATAAATTTCCCTCTACACACTGCTTTGAATGCATCCCAGAGATTCTGGTATGTTGTGTCTTTGTTCTCGTTGGTTTCAAAGAACATCTTTATTTCTGCCTTCATTTCGTTATGTACCCAGCAGTCATTCAGGAGCAGGTTGTTCAGTTTCCATGTAGTTGAGCGGCTTTGAGTGAGATTCTTAATCCTGAGTTCTAGTTTGATTGCACTGTGGTCTGAGAGATAGTTTGTTATAATTTCTGTTCTTTTACATTTGCTGAGGAGAGCTTTACTTCCAACTATGTGGTCAATTTTGGAATAGGTGTGGTGTGGTGCTGAAATAAATGTATATTCTGTTGATTTGGGGTGGAGAGTTCTGTAGATGTCTATTAGGTCTGCTTGGTGCAGAGCTGAGTTCAATTCCTGGGTATCCTTGTTGACTTTCTGTCTCGTTGATCTGTCTAATGTTGACAGTGGGGTGTTAAAGTCTCCCATTATTAATGTGTGGGAGTCTAAGTCTCTTTGTAGGTCACTCAGGACCTGCTTTATGAATCTGGGTGCTCCTGTATTGGGTGCATATATATTTAGGATAGTTAGCTCCTCTTGTTGAATTGATCCCTTTACCATTATGTAATGGCCTTCTTTGTCTCTTTTGATCTTTGTTGGTTTAAAGTCTGTTTTATCAGAGACTAGGATTGCAACCCCTGCCTTTTTTTGTTTTCCATTTGCTTGGTAGATCTTCCTCCATCCTTTTATTTTGAGCCTATGTGTGTCTCTGCACGTGAGATGGGTTTCCTGAATACAGCACACTGATGGGTCTTGACTCTTTATCCAACTTGCCAGTCTGTGTCTTTTAATTGGAAAATTTAGTCCATTTACAGTTAAAGTTAATATTGTTATGTGTGAATTTGATCCTGTCATTATGATGTTAGCTGGTGATTTTGCTCGTTAGTTGATGCAGTTTCTTCCTAGTCTCGATGGTCTTTACATTTTGGCATGATTTTGCAGCAGCTGGTACCGGTTGTTCCTTTCCATGTTTAGCACTTCCTTCAGGAGCTCTTTTAGGGCAGGCCTGGTGGTGACAAAATCTCTCAGCATTTGCTTGTCTGTAAAGGATTTTATTTCTCCTTCACTTATGAAGCTTAGTTTGGCTGGATATGAAATTCTGGGTTGAAAATTCTTTTCTTTAAGAATGTTGAATATTGGCCCCCACTCTCTTCTGGCTTGTAGGGTTTCTGCCGAGAGATCCGCTGTTAGTCTGATGGGCTTCCCTTTGAGGGTAACCCGACCTTTCTCTCTGGCTGCCCTTAACATTTTTTCCTTCATTTCAACTTTGGTGAATCTGACAATTATGTGTCTTGGAGTTGCTCTTCTCGAGGAGTATCTTTGTGGCGTTCTCTGTATTTCCTAAATCTGAACATTGGCCTGCCTTGCTAGATTGGGGAAGTTCTCCTGGATAATATCCTGCAGAGGGTTTTCCAACTTGGTTCCATTCTCCGCATCACTTTCAGGTACACCAATCAGACGTAGATTTGGTCTTTTCACATAGTCCCATATTTCTTGGAGGCTTTGCTCATTTCTTTTTATTCTTTTTTCTCTAAACTTCCCTTCTCGCTTCATTTCATTCATTTCATCTTCCATTGCTGATACCCTTTCTTCCAGTTGATAGCATCGGCTCCTGAGGCTTCTGCATTCTTCACGTAGTTCTCGAGCCTTGGTTTTCAGCTCCATCAGCTCCTTTAAGCACTTCTCTGTATTGGTTATTCTAGTTATACATTCTTCTAAATTTTTTTCAAAGTTTTCAACTTCTTTGCCTTTGGTTTGAAGGTCCTCCCGTAGCTCAGAGTAATTTGATCGTCTGAAGCCTTCCTCTCTCAGCTCATCAAAATCATTCTCCATCCAGCTTTGTTCCGTTGCTGGTGAGGAACTGCGTTCCTTTGGAGGAGGAGAGGCGCTCTGCGTTTTAGAGTTTGCAGTTTTTCTGTTCTGTTTTTTCCCCATCTTTGTGGTTTTATCTACTTTTGGTCTTTGATGATGGTGATGTACAGATGGGTTTTCTGTCTGTTAGTTTTCCTTCTAACAGACAGGACCCTCAGCTGCAGGTCTGTTGGAATACCCTGCCGTGTGTGGTGTCAGTGTGCCCCTGCTGGGGGGTGCCTCCCAGTTAGGCTGCTCGGGGGTCAGGGGTCAGGGACCCACTTGAGGAGGCAGTCTGCCCATTCTCAGATCTCCAGCTGTGTGCTGGGAGAACCACTGCTCTCTTCAAAGCTGTCAGACAGGTACATTTAAGTCTGCAGAGGTTACTGCTGTCTTTTTGTTTGTCTGTGCCCTGCCCCCAGAGGTGGAGCCTACAGAGGCAGGCAGGCCTCCTTGAGCTGTGGTGGGCTCCACCCATTTCAAGCTTCCCGGCTGCTTTGTTTACCTAAGCAAGCCTGGGCAATGGCGGGCGCCCCTCCCCCAGCCTTGCTGCCGCCTTGCAGTTTGATCTCAGACTGCTGTGCTAGCAATCAGCGAGATTCCGTGGGCGTAGGACCCTCCGAGCCAGGTGTGGGATATAGTCTCGTGGTGCACCGTTTTTTAAGCCGGTCTGAAAAGCGCAATATTCGGGTGGGAGTGACGCGATTTTCCAGGTGCGTCCATCACCCCTTTCTTTGACTCGGAAAGGGAACTCCCTGACCCCTTGCGCTTCCCAGGTGAGGCAATGCCTCGCCCTGCTTCGGCTGGCGCAGGGCCACTGGCCTGCGCCCACTGTCTGGCACTCCCTAGTGAGATGAACCCGGTACCTCAGATGGAAATGCAGAAATCACCCGTCTTCTGCATCGCTCACGCTGGGAGCTGTAGACCGGAGCTGTTCCTATTCGGCCATCTTGGCTCCTCTCCTAAGTTAATTTTCATAAGTCAGTACAACTATCTCTATCCATATTGGGCCCGACCAAAACTAGCTAAGAGGAATTCAGAAAGCATATACTAGATTTAACAAAAGACTTTCTTTGTGGGGAGCAGAACGAAGACAGACAGTGGTGCTGGTTTGCTGTGTGTGTTTCTCTACTCGCCCAGAAAATAAAATTAAATAATCAATCTTTCAGGTACAATGGACTGCAACTCATAAAAGCTTGAGTTTTACTTTCTTACAACAGTGTTTGATTTTTACTCTGTCATCAAAAGTCTACTAAGGGAGATTTGCCTAGGAAATCTCTCTCTTCACCACACTTCTCCTCCCTCTTCCACATTTTTGCCATACTACATCCCTGGTAGATATTATTCCCATTTTTATGTAAGTGGTCTAATATATTTCAGGGATGAAGGCTCCAAATTTTCTGATTTCTCTCTCAGAAGCCTATTTACTCCATAACCATTGAATGTGGCTGAATAGAATGGTAACACTGGCACGCTCTCAGGGTAGAACAGCATGTCATCCAATTGTATGCTTAATTTTTAAAGTGATTTCTACTTTTCCCACCTCTAATTTAATTTTTTTTGTTATTATTTATTTATTTATTTATTTATGAGACCCAGTCTCGCTCCTGTCCCCCAGGCTGGAGTGCAATGGCCAAGCTTGGCTCACCACAACCTCGGCCTCCCAGGTTCAAGTAATTCTCTTGCCTCAGCCTCCCAAGTAGCTGGGATTACGGCTGTCTGCCACCATGCCAAGCTAATTTTTGTATTTTTGGTAGAGACAGGGTTTCACCATGTTGGCCAGGCTGATCTCGAACTCCTGACCTCAGATGATCTGCCCGCCTCAGCCTCCCAAAGTGCTAGGACTGCAGGCGTGAGCCACAGTGCCTGGCCTTAAAATAAATTTTAATGAAAAGAGAGAGAAAAAAAAAGATAATCTCCTGCTAATGCCTTTTGGTAAGCAGATAATTGTCATATTTAAATAAAGGTGTAATTGCACCTGGTGGGCACCCAGTTCTGCCATTAAACATGCCACACTGACTGAAGAGATTGTATTTTCCTAAACCTGTTAGTCCCTGGGAATCTAAAGAATAAACTGTGCAGCACATCTAATCACAGAGTGTAGGGTAAGTCCCAGGTCATGTTCCAACATACATGCAGTAAGGTATTTTACATTCCTTTGAGGTTCAGCTGCAGATAAAAACCTAGAAAATTTAACAGCTTTGTCTTTAGCCAATGTGTTGGCTGCAGTAAATTTTTAAGCCAGTAAGCAAAGCTCCCATTTTATGCACTGTGGATATTTCTCACCACTAAAATGAATTACATAGTCATACTAAATTGATACTAGGTTCAAGTGAATATGCTGTTATAAGTAAATATATATACTTTTATGTTACAACAGAGACAATGTGTGTATCTCAATGTCTACAATTGTTAAGAAGGTTTTCATTCCCTGGGTGAAAGGATAACGGTTGTGAAATATGACCTAGCAATGACAGAATTTTAATGCATTGTGTATGTGACTAAAGCAATGCATGGCATCCTGGCCTTCTTTATTGCTATGTATATTCGAGTATTTTGCAGTGCTGGCTCTCATCTAAGTGTCGAGGTCTTCTCTAGGTCAAATAGCAGCTCGTCAATGCTTTATTTCTTAAAGAACCTAGATGTAATTTTAATCTAAGATAAAGTTTCTTGCTAAAATTCTAATGTCAGTGAAAATGTGAAAAGTTCCCTAAAATCTAGCCAAACATCACATTCTTTCACATTCTTCCAAACCAGAGAAATAGCCAGTTTACCATGTATTTAAGCATCTTTTGAGTTATAAAAGGAAAAACATTATTACGTCCTGAAGTGTTAAATGATTTTGCTTTCTCTGACAATTTTTATTCCTCCTATGAGACATTTCTTGCCCTTCCTAGTTCCAAAATGTGAATTTTAACACTTTGCATCAGGTTGTTGGTCTCCGTTCTAAAGCAACATTAAACTTTCTGCTAATTTTTATAAAAGATCCACATGGCCTTTTTTTCTCTTATAATAAACCCCTCTTTCCTAATTAGATGTTTTCTGCTTTTTCTCTTTAGAAAACTTAGTTTAGCTAGTCTTTGCAATTCTGTCCTTTGAGAATAAAGAATATAATAGTATAGAATAGAATAAAGAGTCTTACAGAATAGAATAATAAAGTTAGCGCAATAGAGAGGAAATTTAGAAGAGAAATAACAGTGAGTTCTCATTGTCCTGAGGTGGCTGAAGTAAATGCCAATCTCATTACATTTGATTTCATTTATTTCCTGTCTCACTAGTTTACAAAATGCTGACTCTTTTCTCCTGGACAAAAAGTGAGTTATGGTCATGTGAGTAGTGAACAATAGACATTTGTTTTGACACCAGTTTTTCCTGGGTGGTTAGAAAGCTGGCGAAGTTATAATTTTCATCTATGAACTTGAATTTAAAATTATATTATTAGCATTTCCTAGAAACTACACTATTACAGATTTCTCCAATGCAAAACTCTGGAGATCACAATCCCTTTACCACAATTATCATACTTAAAAACAGGTATATGAAAATGGTTTTTAATAGGCAAAACATACAAGACTAACAAATTTAGAATAAGAAGATAGATTCGTAAGAAGAGTATAATTTTCTGAATCTGAATCTGGAATTAACACTCAGTATCATGTTTTCCACATGGCACTAAATAGGGTTTAACAGGGAGATTCAAACTCACAGCGCAAGATATTTTTATTAGATGAAGATTTCATGGGGAGGTGAAGAGCCTTTCGGTAGAAGAGATTAAAAAAACTGAACTCCAGGCTGGGCGCAGTGGCTCACGCCAGTAATTCCAGAACTTTGGAAGGCCAAGAAGGGCGGATCACAAGGTCAGGAGATGGAGACTATCCTGGCTAACACGGTGAAACCCCATCTCTACTAAAAAATAAGTACAAAAAATTAGCCGGGCGTGCTGGTGGGAGCCTGTAGTCCCAGCTACTCCGGAGGCTGAGGCAGGAGAATGGCGTGGACCTGGGAGGCGGAGCTTGCAGTGAGCCGAGATCATCGCGCCACTGCACTCCAGCCTGGGCGACACTGCGAGACTCTTCCTCAAAAAAAAAAAAGATAAATAAAAATAAATAAATAAATAAATAAATAAATAAATAAATAAATAAAAATAACTGAATTCCAGTCTCAGCTCTGCTACAAACTCAATAGATGACTTGTAGCAATTTTGGGCTTCAGTTTTCCCAATCGTAAAATAAGACTACTCTTACCTTCAGTATTTTATATTCAACAATATAACTGTATATGGAAAAAGTCCTAGCTAGCATAAGAAAAGGAAACTTCTTAAAGTGAATAGCAACTTAAAAATGTTCCCCTTGGTTTGTTTAGAAAACTCACTTTTTGGCTAGTATAACCATCCTTAAGAATCAAAACATTTTTTCTTAAAATTTCTTCTCTTTTATATAATGAGTATTCTTCATCACTAGCATTATCTGTTAATGACAACAGTCCATTTGCCTCCAGTGAATCTCTTTAACAATGGCTCATAATTTAAATCCATCACCCGCTGTGAATGCTCCAAGTAAACACTGATTTGTGGGTTTATCAATCACTTGGCTGTGTAGATTAAATTGATTCACCCTGTTCCTTGTCTACATTGCTTTTATGCTGTTGTTTTAAATGCCTATACTACCACAGTCACCCAACTGGCATTTTAACATCACTGAATGAAGAACTATCAAGCATTTCACTTTTAACTTGAAATTTTTAAAAAAGCAAATGAAGTCCCAATTGTATGTATGTATATGTATGGATTTATGTAGTATATATGTATGAGTGTGTGTGTATGAATCATAGTTTTTTAGAATTATTTATATTTAAAAATTATAGCCTTCCCTTGCATAAATCAGGTGATACAGCAAGATTAAAAACCGATGGAAAGTCCTATTGAATTCTCTGTTTGGGAACATATAAAGAGAATGCCCTTGTCCACAAAATAAATGTCTTGGTATAATCCTATAGAAATTGGTAGTTTGGGGCAGGCGTGGTGGCTCACACCTGTAATCCCAGCACTTTGAGAGGCCAAGGTGGGAGAATCACTTAAGCCCAGGAGTTTGAGACCAGCCTGGTCAACATTGTGAAACCCCTGTCTCTACTAAAAATACAAAAATTGGCTAGGTATGGTGGCGTGTGCCTGTAGTCCCAGTTACTTGGTAGGCTGAGATGGAAGGATCACCTCAGTTCAGGAGGTGGAGGTTGCAGTGAACTGAGATCATGTCACTGCATGCCAGTGTGGCTGGAAGACCCCGTCTCAGAAAAAAAAAAAAAAAAAAAAAAAAAAAGAAAAAGAAAAGAAGTGTATGAGTAGAAAGACCTATAGCAATAGCCATTTTGTTTAGAGGTTCTTAAACAGATGTGCTTCTTTCTGGAGTGTGTTTGTAGGTTCCCCAAAATTGTAGGGATGTGCTGTATGTCATGCTAAGCATTTTAATCAGATTCTCAAAAGGATACACTATCCAAAAATTAATAAAATGATACATTTTAGTCTATGTATGAGAAGTAATTTGACTTAGTTACACCATTAGCCTGTGACAACATTGATAGTTCCAGAACTCAGATTCCTAAGGCTTCTCATGCTAGTGCCAATTCCTTTTTTTTTTTTTTTTTTTTTTTTTGAGACAGAGTCTCACTCTGTTTCCAGGGCAGGGTTGGAGTGCAGTGGCGCAATCTCGGCTCACTGCAACCTCGGCCTTGCCTCCCCGGTTCAAGTGATTCTCATGCCTCAGCCTCCCGAGTAGCTGGGACTATAGGCACCCACCACCATGTCTGGCTAATTTTTGTATTTTTAGTAGAGATGGGGTTTCACCATGTTGGCCAGGTTGGTCTTCAACTCCTGACCTCAAGTGATCTACCCGCCTCGGCCTCCCAAAGTGCTGGGATTACAGGTGTGAGCCACCACGGCCGGTGCAAATGCTAATTCCTGACAAGCAGAGTGTGTTTCCTAGACTTGCATCATCTTGTGAACAAATGTTGCTGCTTTATTTGTTCCAAAGTTATAGTGAGCTTATAGAAACTTCAAGGACACCATTTCAATTTTAACATTTATTGCTACTAAAATTAGTGATTTAAGGCTTGTATTATAAGAATGATCCCCAGAGAAATAATCCCTCAAAATAAAACAAAGTTCTCTTAAACATGCAAGATGAAGCCCTGCAGAAGCAAAGATGACCTATGTTTAACATTTAACATTTGAACACCTACTGGAACTTAAATAAGCAAGGAGGCTCATCTAGAATGGCAGACCAGCTTTGAAACATCATCTTTCTTTTGAAAAATCTTCTACCTGTTTTAATGAAATTAGGTCTATTAATATGATCGCATAAATAAATTATGATCAGTATAGAGTCAGTATTGCACATTAAGCCTGGACTAACTCAAAGTGTCTTTTTACTAGTTCTTTCTGTTAAATGTTTCCATGAAAATTCTTTTTAATCTAAAGACTGTTGTCAAGACATACTAGTTATTAAATATGCCTTCAGAGCTAAATCTGCATGAGCATTCCACATTTCCTATCACTTTTTTGGGTTCATCTTCTTTCCATAGAAAGGAGAATTTCAAGGAAAGGAAGAAATATCTACAAGTAAATATCATTCAGTATGGGTTAGCATGCTTGATTGCTATTGGTGAATTATAGCAAAAAAAGGCCTTAGCATCTATCATGTTATGTTTTATGTAACATTTTAACAATGGCAAGGTAAGTCACACTGCTGATTTCAGCAGTGTTATATTTGATAGCAATTGATAGCCGACTACTAAACAAAATCACTAAACTGTATGAATGCTTTAATTCTTTTTTTTTTTTTTTTTTTTTTTTTTTGAGATGGAATCTTGCTCTGTCACCCAGGCTGGAGTGCAGTGGTGCAATCTTGGCTCACTGCAACCTCCGCCCACCGGGTTCAAGCGATTCTTTGCCTCAGTCTCCCGAGTAGTTGGGATTATAGGCACCCGCCACCACACCCGCCTAATATTTGTATTTTTAGTAGCGATGGGGTTTCACCAACTTGGTCAGGCTGGTCTTGAACTCTGACCTCGTGATCCACCTGCCTTGGCCTCCCAAAGTGCCGGGATTACAGGCGTGAGCCATGAATGCCTTAATTCTTAAGATAGTAATGGGAAATATTGTTCTGAGCCAAGAATATGATAGCCAGGGAACATAAGTTTATAAGATCACACAGTGTAGTTCCAACGGTGACTTTAAACCCAATAGTTCCCTATGGAAACTCAGGATACCAAAAAGTGCGACAGTAATATTCTGGATTCTAAACTTAAGTTTGAATAAGAATATCATATTTCCTCTTACTTAAAAGGTAAAATACAGGTTTTACTGTTCAGGAATATGACTAGACTTTCAATGTCTCCATCATAAACCAATGTGTGGCAAAGGAGATAAATCTTATATTCAGTCCCTACTGACACACATGATGTCCTTTGGTCTCAAAGTGCAAATTAACTAACTATCCTTAGAGGCTACAGCCTAAGACAAACCCTACCTGGGAAAAAAACAATAATAATAATAGAGACAAAAATGCTGAAAAAAGGGAAAAGTTATTAGTATATGTGTATATATATATATATATATATATATGTGTGTGTGTGTGTATATATATATGTGTATATACATATATATATCCATATATATATATCCCTTTATAATTTATAGTAGGAATATTTTCATTACCATGCAATAGTGATAGATTTAAATGAAGATGAAAGGGACCTATTAAATCATTATGTCTAATGCATGCTAAGGGAAGGCATATTTCCCTAGAGAGAGGAATAAAAAGAAAAAAATATATAAAAATAGATACTATAACAACATTTGAGGAAGGTTCAGTTAGCATATAGTCTTCAGATATCAAATAGAGGTATTAGCATAAGTAGTGGAGACGATTAGATATTGACACAAAGTACCCGTATCAATACAGAGTCTTGTGCTGTGTTTTCAAACATCTAATATATTTGCCTGGAGTGCTTGCAAATTAAAGCTACTCTGTTTATACACAACACAGAAAATGGAATTTCAGCTTCAATGAATTTTTAATTTTGTTCAATCTTGCATTTGTTCAACCAAAAACAATTTAAAGAGGAACACGACAATCAGCCTTAGATTGAGCAAGTTCAGCTCCTCACTAGGGAGTTCTTGAATCCACCATGAAAATCAACAGTGTGCATCTAACAGTTTTCTTTTAATTTGAGAACTGAAAAGTGAATCATCACATCAAATATTCTTCAGGGTCTCTTTGGTTTCCAGATTAAACATGTAATGTGACGGTCATCTTGCCACATTCTCACATTTCCATTTTAAATAATCATAAATAAGAAAACCTTACTATTCTTTGGCATAACACAGCTGATTGATTCCGCTGAGTTTCAAAGTCTTAGAAATTGCACTCATTCCTTCTTTAGAGTCCTGCTTCATGGCAAAAGTTTTCAGCTGAAAGACTCTTTATTGTATTCAAATCTTGTCCCATATGAGTTGTTCTGGTTACTCAGTTTATGAAGAGTCTTGGATAGTGAATTGGGTCCACAACAGAAAACACCAACTGTTTTTCTAGAACAAGAGCAGAGAAAATGGAAAATCAGGTGTAAAATTAGGCAGAACATGACAAGAAGTATGCTTTATGAGCATGGTTTAAAGTATTAACAAAGTTGATTTCTTGCTATTTTACATATTGAAAACAATTTTCTAATTATTTCCAAATGTAAATGTCAACCAGGAAAATATTTTATTTACCTCATACTTTTCATTCTAGAATTTAGGATAATTCAAAGAATGTACCTATGAGCACAAATATGCTTATTATCAGGTAGAGATTTATCAGTTTGCCTTAGTCTTTTCATGACTTGTCATTGGTGAAACCAGCAACCTCATTAAGAGCAGCAATTGATAGATGTCAATTGCTAAACAGGTGACTTCTGAATAGATGTTCAGTCCACACTGAACTATGTACATTCTTCTTTTATTAGACACTTTACACATAGTTATCTAAAATTCCTACACGGATTTGCAAAAGCAGCGATGAATAAGGAAGGAAAGAAAAAAGATATTACCAATTTGAAATAATAATTTTAAGTGGCTAATTTATATTCACAGTAAAACAAAAAACATATTCATCTAGTTCTTTTTTATTTATGCACTGCAATAATGGTAACAAATTTCAAGCAGTTTTTATTATTCTCTAATATAAAATTTTAGTAGTTAAATAATACGTATCTCTAACAAATAGACTAAATAAATCCCAGGAAATAAATAATATTTCAAATTGACCTTCTTCCCAAGTTTGATTTGTATTTGATTCTTCCTAGGATGTCAAAATTATTAATATTTCATCTCATATCTTGGGAAAATCCAGTATGTCTTAATTATGTCAGAATAACTCGCACTGAACAAAAGACATTGAATCCATTAAAATTGGTACCAAAAATTAATAGTAAATACTGAAAAAAAGTTATTAAAACTTTTTACCTTGAAAAATGAAACTAAAAGCTGTGAAAATAGAATTTTACTTGCAGCCATGATGGGGTAATAGGGAGTAGATCTACCCTTTTACATTAAAAATCTAGAAAAAAAGCAAACAAAATAGATGAAATAAGTATTTTCGGACACTGAATAATAGGTAGCATGGAACTATGATCCCTGAGAAAAGGGAAGAAAACAAGCTAAGCACCGTCACTCTCTTTGCTTATTGCCTGGAGGCAATCTGCTGGCTGCAGCAGACAGGGGAAACTCCAGCAAAGATTGGTGACTACACTGAGGAGACAAAGAACGGAGTTACATTAAGGCCCAAACAGCTGGAATTTGTGGAGCAGAATATGGAAGGGAAGGGAGATCCACAGAAAGACGCCTCGGAGATTGGTAGAGGAGAATCCTCAAGTCTTTGATTAATAATCAGTTCATATATGATAAGAAACTTCATGAATGTGAGTAAAGAGATATCAGAGATCAACAGGACAAATAATTGCCAGAGTTTACACAGGACTGCAAATAATTTGTATTCACACACACCAGAATAGAAAGTCCTATAAATACAGGGCAATGGGTTGTATTCTCAGAAACGTATCACCTTATTTGCAAGGAGTAGAGGGGATATTGGTAAAATTAGCCTTGGACTGAAGGCTGCTCTGGACCTCCACTAACAAATCTTAAAAGTGAGACTTGTAAAGATCAAACTGAACCCGAGTAACTTAACTGCATGTCAGAACAAGTCCAACACTATTAAAATAAATAAATCAAAATTTGGCAACTAACATTTAAACTTTAAAATGTACAGAAATCAACAAAAAAGTACCAGGAATTCAAAAAGCAAGAAAGTATGAACTATAACTAAGAGTGTTATGGGCTGAAGTCTGCCCATCCAAAGCCCGTAGGTTGAAGTTCTAATCCTCAGTGCTTCAGGATGTGACTGCATTTGGAGATAAGGCTTTAAAGGAGGCAATTTAAGTTAAAATGAAGGTACTAGGGTAGGCCCTAATCCAATCTGAATGGTGTACTTATAAGAAGTAATTTGAACACAAAAAGAGACACCAGGGAAGTGCATGCACAGAGAAAAAGCCACCTGAAGAGGCATCAAGAACATAGCCATCTGCAAGTCAAGGAGAGAGATCTCAGGAAACCAGTCCTGCCTGCATTTTGACCTTAAACTTCCAGCCCCCAGAACTATGAAAAAATAAATTGCTGTTGTTTAATCCACCAGTCTGTGGTATATTGCTATGGTAGCCCTAGCAAACTAATACAAGGAGAAAGGGCATTCAACAGAAACAGGCTCAGAATGATAGAGATGACAGACGTGGTCATTGAAGCAGTGATGATACACAGGCTTCATATATTTAAAGAAAAGCATAATCATGATGAGATGATAAATGGAATATTTTTTAAGGCCCAAACATAAATTCTAGAGATGGAATGCAATATTTGAAATGATAAATATACTAGATGAGTTAATAAAAGAACAGGCATTGCTGAAGAAAAAGTAAACTTGAAGAAAAAGCATTAGAAATTATCCAAATTGAAGCCCACAGAGAAAAAAACTGAAAAAAAAAAAAAAAAAAAGAACAGAGCATAAGTGGCCTGTGGGACAATACCAACTAGTCAAAACAACTAGTCAAAAATACATGTAACTGCAGTCCAACATGAGAGAAGACCAAGGGAGAAGAAAAAAAAAAAATAAAAGATCTCATTAAATCTCAAGGAGAATAAACACAAAGGAAACTATACCTAGGCAATTGATAATAAAATACTAAAAACGAGTGACAAAAAGAAAAACATAAAACCAAACAGACTGGGAGAAAAGACACATTACAAATCATCAACAGAAAATATAAGAATGAAATATAAGAATGAAAGTGAACTTTTTGTCATAAACTATGCAAGTCAGAAGGCAATGAAGTGATATCTTCAAAGTACTAAAATATAAATCAAGACATCAACTATTATATAACAAGCAAATTTGATGCCAAACAAAAATATTTTTTCAGAAATGAAGATGGAATAAAAACTGTATACAAACAAAACCTGAAAGAATTGTCAGCAAACCAGCACTATAAAGGACACTAAAGAAAACTACTCAAGAAGTAGGAAAATAAAATTAGATAGAAATTTGAATCAACCAAAGGAAAGAAGGACACCAAAATAGTAAAATCTGTCAGTAAATATAAAATATTTATTTTGTCTAATTTCTAATATTTTTAATATATGCTAGATGTCTAAAACAAAAAATACTAATAATGAGAACTATAACATATGTATATGTAAGATGAATGCAAAAATAGCAAAACGGATGGAAGAAATGGAAGTACATGAAGTGTTACAATATTATTCAAAGTACCAGCCTGGCCAACAGAGTGAGATCCCATTCCTACAAAAAATTTTAAAAATTAGCTAAGCATGGTGGTATGCAACTGTAGTTCCAGCTACTCAGGAAACTGAGGTGGGAAGAGCTCTTGAGCCCAGGAATTCAAGGTTGCAGTGAGTCTAGATCATGTCACTGCACTCTGGCCTGAGCAACAGAGCAATACTCTGTCTCTAAAAAATAAACATAAACATAAACATAAAAAATAAAATAGGCTGTGATAAGCTAATGATGTATACTGTAAACTTAGAACAATGTTTCTTTAATTTTGGCTTCATCAGAATCATTTTAGAGACTTCATAGAACACAAATAGCTAGGTCTCCCCATCCCTAGTTTCTGATTTGGCAGATCTTGGATAGGGCTCAAGAATTTGCTTTTCTAACAAGATTCCAATTGATGCTGGTCCAAGGAATCCAGTTCAGGAACCAACAACCTAAAGCAATTACTAAAAAGAAAAAAAAAAAAAAATACAGAGGCATGGCTAACATTAGAGAAAAAAGTGGAATTATAAAAAAAAATTCAACCCAAATCAAGGTAAAAAAAGAAAATAAAACAAAGAAAGAACAAATAGATAAGTACAAAGCAATGGTGAACTGCTAGATTTAAAGCCAACTGTATTTTCATTAAATTAAATGTAAATGATTTAAACACTGAAAATAAAAAGCTTCAACATAAAGCAAACACTGATGGAACTGTAAAGACAGATAAATTCATAATTATAGTTAATTATTTCAATACTCTGAGTAATTAATACAAGCAGACAGAAATTCAGTAAGCATATTGAAAACTTGAACATCACTATCAACCTATTGGAACTAATTGGCATTTGTAGAATGTTCTATCTAACAATAATGGAATACAAATTCTTTTTAAGTGCATATGGAACATTCACCAAGATTGAACATATCCTGGGCAATAAAACAGGTGTCAATACATTTTAAGGGATTAGAATCACAAGGAGTTCATTTTTAGATCAAATCCCAATTGAACTAGAAATTAAGAACAAAAAGATATCTGGAAAATTTCCTCATTTTTGGAAATTAGACAACATTTTAAAATAACCCATGGGTCAAAGAAAAAACATAAAAAATAAAAAATATTTGAACGAGATGAAAATGAAAACAAATCAAAATGTATAAGTTTTAGCAAAAGTGGTGTTTAGAGGAAAATGTATAGCATTAAACACTTTTATTAAGAAAAACAGTCTGAAATCAATGACCTATGTTTCCATTTTAAGAAACTAGTAAAAATTAAAAAAAGCTAATTAAACCCAAAGTGAGCAAAAGAAATAAAAATATATGAAAATAAATGATGTTATACTTAATAAAATTTAAATTACTATTGAAACATAATGTAGCTTCCATTAAAATGAAAAGAGAATTGAGTCATTTTATTTCTTTGTATAAACTTTCTGTCAACGCCATATGATGGCAATAAGATACCATTATTTTCTTGCTTGGCTTTGACAGGGCAATTATAGAGTTAGTTTGGCAAGTCTTTCAGATTTCCTAAAGGCCCTTGTTAAATACTTGATAATAAAATCAAGTATTAATTATAAAATAAATAATAATAAAAATCATTATTTTTAAATCACACAGGATGTTATGATTTTTGTGTTTCTTTAACATTTTCTTTTGCAATTATTAACTAGCTTAACTCTCTGATATCCTCTCCGTGTGTGTGCGATTTGAGGATTCCCTAATGTCACTCTCACTAACTTAATGAAATCTTACTTTTTTTTTTTTCTTTTTCGAATTCTACAAGGAATCTTTGCAATTCATTTGTACTAAATTTGCATTAGAATGCTGCAATCCAACAATTATCTGGAGACCTGTCTACTAGACCTTTGATGGAATGAGTGGAGGTAGATTCGGGTACTAAGAAAATGTGGTTTGGGGGTAGACATTAGAAACTAGTTCTATAAATGTTCATACTTGCTTTTTCATGTAGATTTGTAAACGCAGGATCTTACATAATGAGAACTTAATCACCCCGGAGAGCTTATTCACTCGTTGTATTACAGATCCAGGAGAAGTCACTTGACTCAGGGTCACAGGAGTAAATGTGAGAGACTAAACCTAGTTATTCTTAAATTGTATTGTTTGAAAACACTACAAGGCAGTAAAATAAAGATATAATCTCAAAGATTTCACCCAATCCCAGAGTAGTAATTCTCTACTCAAAAAGCCAAACAAAGTTCAAATTTTCTTTCTCTCTTTGCATCATGAATAAACTTCACAGCTCAAAACAGGATATACATTTTAATTACAAACAATAGGAAACCAAGTTTGGGTTAGATATAATAAATAATTTTCTAATAGTTTATTAAATACTAAATGGTTTACAATGTAATATTTAGAATATCTCTATTTCAAAATAATTAGTTATTAATTCTTTTAGTGTTACAGTTAACATTCTGCTACAGCATTCATAGTAAACATGGGAATTTCTTGCAGCACCTCCCTACCTCCCATCTAAGGGGAACATGGTAAAATAAGATTGCCACTCTTTATCTGTGACAAGCTGACTATGCCCTGCTGTAAAGCACAATGAACTTGCAGTCAGGAGACTTGTGTTCATATCTGCATTCTGGCTCATTAACCATGGCTTTTGATAAATCATTATATTTTGAGGTCCTAGCTTCTTCATTTGTAAAATAAAAATGAAGGCAGGTTGACTCCCAAAGCTCCTTCACTTTCCATGATCATATAATACCATCATATAATTCAATTTCTGAATTTAAAAAAAGCAACAAAAGAAAGGAATGACTGTCACACACATGTGGAAAGTAAATTAATTCTGACTTTTAGTTTTTGTAGAGCAGTACCTAAATGTGTATACCTGTTGAGCCAGCAATTCCAACTCAAAGATCTTAATCTACTGCAATACTCTCACATGAGAAAGTATGTACAAAGATAATTACCACAGCACTATTTTTAACTGTAAAGAAATATAAGTTATCTAAATATAAAGAATTAGGGTAGTAGGAGTCATGTTATTCATACTCTAGAATACTTTGAGGTACAATTATACAGAAATTGTCCATGATCAAAAGAAGCACATCATTAAAAAGTTAGCTCGTTCTTCCTAGCAAAGCCAAGAAAAAAATAAAACAACAAAAACAACAAAGTAAGCTGAAGAATTACTTGTCATAGATTCAATTTTTGTTAAAAAACTAAGGTTTTGATTTTAAATATATATCACACACACACACATACAAACATATGTTTACATATACTTTCATAAGTACACATACACACTCTCACACAAACTTACAAAAGCTTCTGTAAGAATACATAACGAAGAGTTACCAGTCATTACCTCTGGGCCAGAAGGGTTTAATGCAATTTAAATTTGTATTCTACATAGTATACTAACCTAATGCCTACTGGTTTAATAAGTAATCACTTTCTGAAAGATAAAAACTGTTGCCCAACCCATGATATTTTAAAATCTTAACTTATATGCCTGTCTTCCCTACTGTTATCTCTATATGTTTTCAGCAATTTGTGTGCATGAGGTTAATCAAAATGCTACATTGTAAATGAAACCATCCATTTACACAGTGCCTTTGTCCAGTTAATGAGACCTGAAGAATGTTGATCCATTCTTTTCCTAAGTATGCTACATAAAAATCCTTCAGAAAATGTAAACACATTTCAGGCACCTGCCTGAGAACCAATACACAAAGTCAAAGTGTTGTACAAAATGTCAACAGCAGATGGTGCACATTTGCTCTTCTTAAACCAGTTTTCCATTGTTTCCAGAAAAAGAACAAACTACCAAATATATACACACACACACAAATCGCTCTAAAACACAAACAGCCTAACAAATGAGACTTCTTGAGAACTAACTGTAGGAACCAACAGCCTCAATCTATTTCCCTGTAAATAATCTGCTCTTTAGGGATTTGGTTTCTGAATTCAGCCAAAGAACTATCAGTTTTCAGCAATATACAGTGAAAATCAACAAAAAAATTCTTGTCAGAAGTCAGTAAATGGCACTAAAGAGGAACATGTCTGCAATGCATAGCAAGAGACAGATGAGTATGACAAGATTATCACATCTAAGATGGGTGATACTGGAGAAAGATGGGAAAGGAAGATAGCCAAAAGTGGGTTGAAATCATTTTTTTCTAAATTTCAACTCTGAATATTACAAAAAAGTTCTGCTTTGTAAATCATGCTTACATCTTCATCCCAAAACTACTTCATCAAGGGAAGGGTAATACTACAAAAGTGTTTTAAACATGACTGTAATCTGAATCACATGGGTAACGTTATTCCTTCATAAATTTTGCTTCCCAGCCTCCATTCTGTAACTTCTAAAACAAAATCTTTGAAGGTAGAGATAGGGATCATCTTGAATCAGTGATTTCTTCAATAAATAATATTCATCCATGATTTCCTAAATTGGATTTTTTAAAAAATATCCATTTAATAAGCTGGCCTGTACATTTATAATCAAATATCCTTTTGATGTTTATAAAAATATATTTTAAAAATTATGAAGTGTTCAACTATATAAAGTAATTGAAATGATAACTCAAGCCAGAAGTAAAAATTAACACTAGAGTCTTATGATTACAGGCAATTTTAAAATGAAATATTTAATTTATGTTCATTCTTTTTGCAGAAGTATGATTAGGATTAGGTTAGCAATAAAAATATGATTAGTTCAAATGTAAAAATAAATTGAATTTTAATAAAATTATATGGGTTAATGGGACAGAAATACAACTTAAATGAAAGAAAAAGAATGATGTAAAACATCCAACTGCTAAAAGAAGAGTTTATGTATTTTTGTAATAAATGACAGTATCATCTAGCTGTATTTATATTCCAGTGGATATGTTTAAAGAAATTATGTTAATTACAAAATGTCAATATCTGCAATATGTTAGAAATCACATCTTTTACAACTGTGTAAACTTATGATGAAACTATTTAGATGTAAACCTAAAAATACGTGAGTGGTTATATAGTTTTCAAAATCTTCTTAGAATTCTTATAGATCAGTGCTCTGCACTATGATAAATTTACAAAAGACAAATGGGCTGGCTGGTCTGTGCCCTGAAATGGAAGCTTTCCTTCTTAGTAATTTCTTCAGATCATAGACACGTAGTCCATAAGAACAAGATTCTTTATAAAATTATAGTTTCTAAATAATATTTTTGGAAATATTCTAGGTTTAAAGACTGCATATTACAATGCAGAGAGTTTTTTGAAAAACAAACAAAAAACATTCATTCTGGTAAAAAAAGGTACAAAAAATGTGATTTTTAAATGAATTCATTGTTAGAACTAATTGTAAAATTCTTTGTTTGGAAACATGATTTTGAAAACTTTTCCTAGGATCACCTGATATATGCTGTGGGAGCGAATACCCATTTTTAATATAGGCCTATACAAATTTATAATCAGATAGGAGAGTTTAGCTCATAAATACACTGTAGACTATTTCTAAGCCAAACTTTAATTATTTGGAATTACAAAAATGTAGGACGATACCTGCCTTACTTCTTCCTTTGATAGTGAAAGAGTGTTTCAGTGAATTTGTCATTGGTAAACTCATTGCCAATTCATTTTCAAACTTCATGTAATTATTTGAAAATATTTTAATTATTTTATTAGCCACATATCAAATTTTTGAGGTATAGTACTTACCCTCTGTTATATTTTGCTATTTCATCAAACAAAAGTTTCCACCGAGGACGTCCTATAAACAGTCTTGAATTCAGTGCATGATATTTTTCTCCAATTATCTTCTGCCAAAAAGAAAGCACTACATTATTCGATATTTAGTTAAGTAAACCAGTTCTCTAACATCATTTCTGCTGGTGCTGCGGCTTCCCACCAAATTGCTGTGATATAAAGAATGTAAGTATCAAATGGCAACCTATCACGTACAATTATTTCAAAATATCATTTCCTTTCTTCTTTCTTTTAAAATTCATTATCTCCTTGAATTCCATTTGTTTGTTTTTAAACAAACAAACAAAATCTATTCTGGTAAAAAGGTAGAAAAATTTGATTTTTAAATGAATCAATTGTTAGAACTAATCTCCTTGAATGCCATTCTGACAAATGGCTAATTTTCTTAGACTTCAGTTAGTTGTTTCATCTTTAAAGAACTGCAGTGTAAGACAAAGAATGAATTCTAATTGGTCAATCTCAAAAAGGCTCAGCACATAGACTTCAACATTGAAGTATTTTGGCACCACAAATACAGTTGTCATATTTGGCTCATTATATAAGTAAAATACTACAAATTGTCATCGTAAATTTGGGGAAATAATCCTAGACAAGACAGCTCAAGACAGCAAAACTCCAAAATTGGGTCTATCAACAAATGGCTGTGAACAGGCTCCTGTTTGCAATTAACAGAGCATTAGATCTAAATCAATGTGAAGAGTCAGAGTGAACTGCGGAGAAAGGAGGAAGTATCTGAGTCCCAGGCAGGCAAACTGAGAACCAGATGCAAATTATGCTTCATACCTTAATTATCGCAATACCAGGAGGAAAAGTGATATTGACTTACTTCGTGAGACTGGTAAAATGAAATACTATTTACATACCAAGTAGGGTAGAAATACGACTGGAAAACTTAGAGTTAGATTAGTTTTGAGGTAACTGAAAACATTCAAATGTTGTATTCCAAGTATTGTGAAAATGTATGACAAAAAGTACTAAAATAAAATTTGTGAATGCATTCATGCCTAGATTTATACACCAGTCCAGCTCTTCAATGTTGTCTTCAAATATTAGTTTCATCACTTGCAAAATGGGAATAACATTTACTGCTTGACTCTGTTTTAATTACATAAACTAATATATGTGAAATTATTAGCATAGTTCCTAGAACAGTAAATAAATAATGCATGATGGCTATCATTATTTTTTAGTTTTCTTTGTCTAGAAATAAGCTTAACTGTATACGAACTCATCTTCTCTCTCCACATAAAACATTCCCTCAATAAAAAGAAATCATAAGGCTGTTCATGTGTAGTCTGAATTTTAGAAGAACTTGAGGCGATAGTGAAGAGGGGAGGGGCAGACTCAAAAGCTCCCTGTGAGAAGGACAAATGGAAGGCATAATGTGGTTGACTTCAAGGACAAGCTATGACTTTCCTGGACATATTCCAAAGGAGGCTTTCCTCTAGGAAACTTCTGTTCGAACCACCTGCAGGAATTTTCTTCCACCACAGCTCCTACAGTAAATCTATTATCAAGAGGCTTGTTTAATTTACGATAACATCAACCACATACCTGTATCCCATCTGTTTGACTGAGGTACAGCTGGATGTTGACATAGTCAGGTCTGTTCTCTTGCCAAAACTGAGAGGACAGAAAAAGGAATAGACTTATTACAATTCTGTGGGTATACTCAGATTTTCTCCTATTCTAACATACTTGATTCTAGAATTTAACACAACCTAGCTTATCATAGTCAATATCTATAAGAAAATGAATACACACACACATACATACACAGAAATATATATAACAGATTCTAACGTTAATAATCTGGCCTCTTGGTATTAATTAGTTCTGATGGTGGTAGTGGTAGGGAATAATTTTCTGTTATCTTTATAGATACAAAATTTAGCATGCTGAATGCTGTACAAATATTAGTCCTTCTGAAATACTCCTTATTTTATTCCTTAAGAGTCTCAAAATTGTACCAGTTTACTCATCAAGAACATGATTTTCTTGAGAAAAAAAGACAATAGTGATTTAATTTATGCATGCTAGCAAATATAAAACAAAACAAATAGACACTTTTTCCTGTTCCTTCCTTCCGCTTATTCAATAATGGGCTCTGGTTTCTCTTGTACAAAAATGCACGAGGCAAAAATATACCTGCAAAAATAAATAGTCTAGAAAAAAATATGGAACAACAACCCCTCACTTCCCCCTCCCCGAAGGCTTTGGCAACCTGAGAGGATTTTACTGTATCTGAATTGTTTGAAATATTTTTAGCAAGGATGCATATGTAGAGACTATTCTACTTCCTGCCTCTGCAAATGAAACTACTCTAGGGACCTCCTATAAGTGACAGCATAATATATTTTTGCTTTCGTGTCTGGCATATTTATTTAGCATTATATCTTCAAAGTTCATCCATGTACTATGTGTCATAATTTCCTTCCTTTTTAAGGCTGAATAGTTATGCATTGTATGTGTATATCATAATTTGTTCATTCAACTATTGATGAATATTTGGGTTGTTTCCATCCTTTGGCTATTGTGAATAATGCTTCTATGGGCATTGGCATACAAATATCTGTCCAATTGCCTGCTTTTAATTCTTCTAGGTACATACCTAGAACCAATGTTTTCATTTATTTTTATTTACTTATTTTGCATAAAGTCTGGAGGACTTACGTAATCCACCTCTTCCCAGAAAAGCACAGACACTACCTCTCTAATTGCCTGTCCTACTATTCTTTCTCTTGCTTACTCTGCTTCATCCACACAGATCTCCTTTCTCTTCTTTCAGGACACCAAGCATACTGCTGCCTCAGAGCCCTTGCCTATGAAGTTAGGTTTCTCTACCTTGATTTTTTTTCTCCAAAATATGTGTCTAGTCTGCTCATTCACTTCAGTCAAGTCTGCTCAAATGGCATTATAGCATTTTGTTTGATGGTTGTTCTTGAACATGCAATATAAATTAACACACTCTCTACTGTTTACGCTGCTTTACTCCTACTTTCCCTTCCTTCTTTGTCCTAACCTGAATCTCAGAACCTGATGCTGGATGTATTTATTGGTTGTTGTCTATCTTGCCCCCTTAGAATGTAAACCACATGAGATCAGAAACTTGGTTTTATTTTGCCACCTGATGAGTTTTCAGATCCTAGAATAGTTTCAGATTGATAGTAAGCAGTTAATAAATATACACTGAATGATAGAATGACTGACTGAATGAGTGAATGCATGCACAAAGAGGTATATATAATGATATCCATTTCAGCATTCTTTGTAATAAAAAAGTATCTAACATTAGAGAATTGTTCAGTAAACTAGATAAATCTATACAATGAAATACTCTAAAAGAATCTGGTGGGTCTATCATCTCTAACTGTTGGCACAGGGAAAAACAGTGAAGTAGTTCTAGATGCACTAATACCAAAAAATAGTCAAGACACAGTAATCAATTAATAAAGGAATTTGCATAAACAATATAAATAGTATGATATAATTTATAGAACACTTAAGAGTTACCTCTGTTTACATAGATTAGGTAGGGAAGGTAGTAAGAGAGGATTTTACTTTATCAGAATTGTTTGAAATATTTGTAGCAAGGATACATATGTGTATCACTTGTATAGTGTGAATAAAGATAAATAGGTCAAATGTTACACGTAGGATAGGAAAAGATTCCTGCTTTATCTCTGCAAAAAATAAAACACAAAATTTGGGATTGTTGAGATTTGTATAGTATACCAAAAAGTCTGGTGATTTGCAGTATTAAAGATGGCAATCAAGGGTAAGTGCTATCAGAACAGAGGATGGAAGGTGTTACAGCAGGAGCCTTCTGGTATTTCCCTCCATTGTCTTCCCTCATCACCTTTAGCCATATGCATACATTTCTATGTGAAACACCCTATGTTAAAACATAGAAATGAATGTTTCCATGTTAAAATATATTAGATATATATGCATACTCACAAATATCCATATCTGAAAAGATGTGTGTCTAATTGCTAACAGATATTATCTCTGATTTTTTATGTTTAAGAGACTTATTTCTTTCCTTGCTACTTATCTGCATAATTTCTATGGTTTATTCTATGGCAAGCATTTATTGCTTTTGTAATATAAAAGCTATAACATTTTTAATTTGAAAAATTGCAAAACTAGAACCAACCCTAATGTTACCTTGTTATGCAACATACAGAGTAAATCTGCAAACCAACGGAAGGACTGGATATCTCTGCATACCCAAATAAAGTATAGTCTTCTAAGCTTGTATGGTTTCCAGTCATCCCTTTAAAATGAAAATAACATGATAGTGATTAGGATGGCAAACACAAATATTAAAGAATTCGTATATTTTTTAAAGTTTCCTTTTCATTAGTAAGCAACCAATAGAAATATCCAATAGAAACCAACAGAAAAATCAGTCATTTACATTCTAGCGTCTGATAGCACGAGACCTAAATGAATTTAATATGCAATATACTGACTCAAGGATACGACATACTTCATGAATTTAGGTGTTTAAGTGTTAAATGTTAAATGAATTTAAGTGTGAATAATATTCACAAGTATGCATATCATCCATTTCCAGTTGAAGGCCATAACTGAACTGGACCAGAATAATATTGGGCTCTGCATCTCAGAAAAAAAACAAGTTTTCAACTTTCAGTGAATTCTATCACAGACTGAGTAGGGCTCCAAAGGTCATTCAGTCTTGCCCTGGCTTTTTGGCAAAATGAGCCAAAACCATTCCAGAAACTTGGTTGTTTATCCCCTCTTAAAAATCATTAAAGAAAGAGATTTCACAATCATGTATGATGTAATGCATTCCAGCAACTCATAATTCCAAGTCTGGATCCCCATTTATAAAGTAGGCTTGAGGTTAAGAAAATTTTCTTCCTTTTTCATAACATTAGGTGTCCAAATAACTTGTAATGTGTTGTCAGAAACAAACTATTTCTGGCTTAGAGCATGATCATTTTTGTAAGAACCGCCAGAAAGTACCAAATTTACATCTAGTATTTAAAACTGAAATAAAATATCATTCAAACACATCACTTAAATTTATTATTGCTTTTTTGGTTCTGCAAAAAAAATAGTAAATGGAATAGATTTGAGAATAACTTTCTACTTTCATTTTGCTTTGTGTTTTCATAAGAATATCAATCAATTAACTTTTGCTTATAATCCTGAAACTAAAATAAGTTTTAGTTTAGTATTTCCTGGTCAGACAATTTCACCTTTTTTTTTTTTTTTTTTGGCAGAGTCTCGCTCTGTCACCGAGACTGGAGTGCAGTGGCGCCATCTCCCCTCACTGCAACCCCCACCTCCCAGGTTCAAGAGATTCTCATGCCTCAGCCTCTGGAGTAGCTGGGATTACAGGCATGCAAAACCACGCCTGGTTGATTTTTATATTGTTAGTAGAGACAGGGTTTCACCATGTTGGCCAGGCTGGTCTTGAACTCCTGGCCTCAAGCGATCCACCCACCTCGGCCTCCCACAGTGCTGGGATTACAGGTGTGAGCCAATGTGCCCGGCCACAATTTCACCTTTGAAGTTACTTTCTTTAGTCTGTTGTAAATTTGCTAAGTAATAAATGAAGGAATGATGTGTTCAGTTGTCATCTCAGAAAAGCCTGACCATACTTCAACAATAAACCCAGCCCTTTATTTCCATATCCATTAATGTCTACCTTTTGTCATAATTCTAATATTTTCTGAAATAATTTTATTTACATTTCTCATTGCTTTCTTTTTTACTTGCCCCATTTGAATGTAAGTTTTTTAAGGGCAGGGACTCTGTTTTCATTCATTGCTGTCTTCCCAATACCTGTAAGACCTATTGGCACATGGGTGTTCAAAAATATTTGTTGACTGAATGAATGAGTAGAACCACTTACCGCTGATGAGGACATAGAAAATGAAGGATGGAGGCGAATGACTTTTAACAGAGGAAAAGGACAGAGGAGTGCATAACTGTGATATGACATCTTTCTACAAGAGAATATGCTAGCAGCCACAGACCACATGTTGAGAATCACTGAATTATTCCCCTCACCAATCAGGAAATGGAGGTCCTTGATCAACAAGTAGAATAATTCAATAAGGAATTATTTTATACTAAAAAGAGAGATATCAGAAATATTGGCAGTTCTCTATTTGGATTAACAAAATAGATCAAAATGACATACAACAGGGTGTTGAGTATTGATGCAAATGGAGTTACTCCAATGCCTCCAGCCACGCAGAGGCTGACCTCATAGTTCAGTGATTCCTCAAATGGACTTCCAAAAGGACCATCAATATACAGCCTGTAGAGCAGTCAGAAAAAGGTGGGAAAAAAATGAAAATAAGTGAAATTAATTTTCTGTACCATATAGCAAACATGCTGAATGCAATCTCTAGATTTTGTGATGGGTCAGGCCTTATTTCATGGTTTCTCATAGTGATTAGCCTAAAGGAGTAGCAAATGTTGCTTATGAAGTGTCAAGATTAAAATAAATACGTCTGTTTCTAAGTGTGTCTTTTTTGAGGAAACCATTAATTAAAAGTATAGGGTAATGTAAATATGATCATGCCAGGTAGCTAAGGACAAGTTAAAGCTCTGATCATATTAGACTATATGTCTAATATAGTCATATATTAGACTATATATGACTAAATTAAAGTAACAATTGCTTTACTGTGTCTAAATTCAATAAACATTTTTTCAATGGCTAGATCAGTACTGGAAATACTTATTTAAACATTTACTATGTGAACAGAAAAATAGCAGGAGTAAGGAAAAGAATCTAACACTGTCCCTCCTCTTGCCCTGGTTGTTCATAAGTATAAAACTTTACTTACAAACTGATAGTTCTTTAGCTGTAAAGGACAATCACAAAGGAAGCTCTGCAGCTCTAATTACTCTGCTCATGTTTATATATTCAAGTGTGTGTGTGTGAGACAGAGAGAGAGAGAGAGCATAGAGAAATCCTTCTTAACTGCAATAGAAATGCTAATTGTTCATATAATATTCATCCTCCCATTCTTTCTTAGTAACAGACAATTAATTTTATTCAGGGAAGCAAAAAGTCCAGCCAAAATACTACATTTCTCAGACTCCCTGCATCTGTTTTGGCTGTGTGACTATATTTTGGCCACTGCCCCCTCCTTCCTACTTGTCTGCTTTCTGAGCTACACACCCACACACACACCCTCCCCACTCCCCACAAAGCTACTCTTTGGTGTTTTGAAATAACTTTGGACAGGACGACTAGAACTCAGCGTTCTAGTCATTTACTAAGGCTGGGATTCCAGACAAATAACTTTTCCTCTCTAAACTGGATTTCTTTCATCTATAAAAGGGTCAATAAGTTGGGATGCTACAGAAAAAAAGTGTGCTAAGAATTGTAGAGGGCCACACAAATATCAGAAATACATTTTATTAACGGTATCAATGAGTGCCTACAGTATACTGACAGGCCTTCTGGGAGGCCCAGTATTGATGCAAGAAATGGGCTAAGTCCAGTATGAGCTGGGAAATGTAGGTGGGAATTTGATTTCAAGGCCCTTAGAGAATCAGTTGTTTTTCATTTGATTTTTTTTTTTTTGTACCAGGAGAGAGAAAATTTTGCTTTTCTTGGAAAAAATAAGAAGATAAAATTACTAGTATTTGATTACTTCATGACATCTACTTTTTTGAGGGAGATGGAAACGGAAACTACTTAAACCACTTTTTTTACATATTTAATCTGATTAATATGTGTGAAATACACTGCGTTTCACTTATGAGCAGTGACTTTCTCCCTATCATAGTACATGTTCTTTAAAAGAATGTTATGTTGCTATTATCATAATATATGTAACCAGATTGTAGAAATTAAAGGCAACTCTTTAAAGTCTTGCTATAACATAGTAGAGATGAAATCAACTTCATATATTTTTAAATTTCTGTTGATAACTAATGAAAAGATCCTTTATGAAGGATTGTGTATCTAAGATAATTCTAAGAATAAGAGATATCTTCCTCCCTGACCCACTCAAAAGTATATAAACATTTTTTGACATTTAAGTTTTTCCTTTGAAAGTAGAATTTATTTACATTTAAAAAAACTGATTTAAATCTTTTATTAAGGTTAATGAGTTTCAAGCTACATTTCTGTTTTATGTGGCTGAATGTGAATATACTTGTTAAAGCTTTTAACATGGTGCCTGAACATAGTAAGAACCTGATAAATATTAGATATTTAAGAATAATATAATAAATATTATATTATTATTAAAAGTAAAGGTTTGTAATTTACAACATTTAATGTTCATATAAGTGTAAATTTTTGAAAAATATTTGCCTTTTAAAATCTTCTCTGATCATCTGTCACTTTAAACAGTTCTTTTAATTAATAAAAAATTTCAAGGGTCTGGTGCAGTGGCTCACACCTGTAATCCCAGCACTTAGGGAGGCTGAGGCAGGAGGATGGCTTAGGGCCAGAATTTTGGGCCCAGCCTGAGCAACAAAATGAGACCCTTGTCTTAAGTATTAGCTGGGCACGGTGGCACATGCTTGTAATCCCAGGTACTAGGGAGGCTGAGGCAGGAGGATGGCTTGAGTCCAGGAGGTTGAGACTGCAGTGAGCTATGATCACACCACTGCACTCCTGCCTGGGTGACAGAGTAAAACTCAGTGTCCAAAAATTTTTTCTTTTTCAAGACATGCCTGAGACTCTTACCTCAGAAACCTAAAATAAGCTATATTAACAATGGATACTCTTCACCGAACATTTAATCCAAGGTTGGTACTGAATGTTCTATGTATACCTTCACTGTTAATCCACACAACAACTTTCATAGGAAAGTATAATGCCCATTTTGTTGCATTGGGAACTAAAACTCAGAAAGGTTAAATAATTTTCTTAAGGTCACACTTATATTAAGGGGGGATGACTTTTACTAAATTCATTCTGAGTCTAACTCCAAAGCTTAGTTTGTTAATAATCAGATAATAATCTTTACAATTACCAGTTATTTTGGTGAGGGGTATTATATAAAGGTAAAAACAAAAAAAGCTTCCAGGACAATTATCATCTAACAATTCTCTCTTCATGTAGGAAAAAAGTGAGTGTGATAAACTATTCCTCAGGAGAGGATGGTATGGCAGTTTTAGACCATTCTAGTCTCAGGAGATAATCATATCAATAGAAACAATAAACAAAAGGAATGAGTTTAAAAAGCCCATGATGGTTCTCCCTTGATAGCTTTCAAATTTTACTGTGTATCAGAATTTCCTGTAGGGCTTCTTAAAACACAGAATGCTAGGCCCTACCCCAAGACTTGCTGACTCAGAAGTCTGAGCATTTGTAGTTTTCACCATTCCCCCAGGAGCTACTGATGTTGCTGATAGAGCAGGTAAGGAGGATCAGGAGTGAGCTGGTACAGGTGGTGATTTTACAGAGGGTCCCCAACTTAGGATGGTTCAATTTAAATGTTTTTGACTTTATGATGGAGTGAAAGCAATATGTATTCAATAGAGACTGTACTTAAAATTTTGATTTTTGACCTTTTCCTGTACCAGTAGTATTTGGTACAATATTCTCTCATGATGCTGGGCAGCTGCCACAGCTTCCAGCCAGACACATGACCATGAGCTTAAACAACCAATACTGTACTCTACAGTGTACAGCAGCATTCAATACAGGTAGGTAATTTTTTCAATCCCTGCACCTTTCCCTCCCACATCTTGTATTCCCCAGTGTCTATTGTTTCCATCTTCATGTCTACGTGTACCCAATGTTTAGTTTTCTGTTTTTGCATGTAAACATAAATAAAAACAAATAACCTATTTTCATCTCAATAGATGCAGAAAAAGTTTTTGATAAAATCCAACATCCCTTTATGGTAAAAACCCTCAATAAACTACACATATAAGGAACATACCTCAAAATAATAAGAGCCATCTATGACAAACCCACAACCAACATGATCCTGAATTGGCAAAAGGTGGATGTGTTTCCTTTGAGAACCAGAACAAGACAAGGATGCCCACTCTCACCACTCTTATTCAACATAGCACTGGAAGTCCTAGCCAGAGCAATCAAGTAGGAGAAAGAAAGGAAAGGCATCCAAATAAGAAACAAAGTCATACTATCTCTCTTTGCTGATGATTTGCTTCTATACCTAGAAAAACCCACTCTGCCAAGAGAACTGATAAATGACTTCAGTAGTTTCAGTATACAAAGTCAATGCACAAAAATCAGCAGCATTTCCATGTACCAGTAATGTTCAAGCTGAGAGCGAAATCAAGAACTCAAGCCCACTTACAATAATTTGTAATTATTATCTAATGCAATCTCATGTTAAAAGGAACATGGTTTGAAAAAAAACCAATTTGATGTTTATCTCTTGGAATTCTGAATGATTCAGTCAAGGCCTTACAAATTAATTAATTTAAAGTCTGTAAGGATAAAAGTTCTTTGGCAAGGAGTCCCCATAAAATAATCATGCTAACAAAATTATGCTCCAATAACCATTATGAATGGATACATTTAATATAAGATTTTTAAGAAAGGAAGGACTTTAGGCTACTTTGTCGACTGACAATTTCTGCCTAAAAATAAAAAAAAAAACCCCAAATAAACAACAAAAATCCCTCAAACATAAAAACTAAAGAGTCTGAAAAGATGTATGGCAGCTGAATGCAGGATGGGGTAACAAAGAAAGAAAGATGGAGAATTACCTGTGCTTAATCTATCTCCAGAAAGTGGCTACATCCCCAACTTGTTCTGAAATTTTAGCCACCTAACCTCCAGCTATAGACTCGGCTTGGCCCTATCCTTCAACCAATTCTTATCTGAGTCGGGAATGAGTTGTGCTCTCAGTCAGCACTAAGGCTTGTTTATTGCTTGCTCATTAGTCTTGCGCTAACACAGCTTCTTGACTTAGATCTCTGAGCCAAAATCTTTACAATTTAAGCAGTGCCTCAGTTTTACAGTCCTGATGACAGGGTTTAGCCTTGTGAATCCCAGCCCAGGGGTTGGGATCCACTACCTGCTGATAGACCAGCGTCCTTCAGACATCCTACTTGCGTAGTTTTGCAAACATCAGTAGCATTAGGCATTCTTATAACTACATTCCACACTCTAGTCAGAATACTACCTTTTAGATCTCTTGCCATCCAGGTATTCGAATTTCACATACTATATAAAAGAAAGCCTAAATTTAAGGATTAGAAGATGAAAGACAGTAATTCTTTAATGAAAGACATTATGTATACTGTGGAAAATCTTATGAATTACTGTGCTTGTAGAAACTGTACCGGAATAACCACTACCACAAATATGCAGACACACAAGGGAAAGGGCTCCTTCCTGACTAATCTAAGCAGAGCATATCACCCAGAGCCACCTCTACCAGACAGGACAATGTATCTCTTCTGACAGGATTTAGAATGGATTGAAGATATAAAAGCAGCCCACATGGCAGAGCCTTTCCCCCTGCCCTGAGGCAAGCAATTGCTTTGAGAAATGGCAGAACAGAGCTGACAACGAGAATGGTGATGAGAATTCACTTTTGCAAGAGGCCAGGTGCTTTTTATAATTTTATTTAAATATCACAAAGACTTACAAGAAAGAATTGTGTCATGCATTGGGCATTCCTCAAAGCAACATTAGAAGGAAGGTATCTCCATTATCATCATTTGTAATACAGAACAAAAAGTCAACATAAAGATGCTCAGATTGCCACTCTCCCTCAATCATGAGGACTTAAACCAGAATGTGACTCAAGGGAAAAAGCTTGAAGCCACCCAAAGCTCTTTCCTTCTCCCTCTCTCTCCTCCTCTCCTTCTTGCATAATAGTCATCACATTCTGTTAATTATGCCTCCGAACACCCTTAGACATCTATCTGATCTTCCATATTACTATTACCACAGTACAAACCATTATCATTTCTTGCCTGAATATGAAATTGCCAAGTAGCTAGTGTGCTGGCCCCATGCGGTAGCTCATGTACCTCTCTAGTTTCATGAGAAATCTATAAAAATGTAAGTCTAATTATCTTTCTCCTTGGCTTAAAATCCTTTCATGGGTCTTCATTGTCTTTACAACAAAGTCCAAGGTCATTTAAGTGGCAGTCCAGGCCAGATGCAGTGGCTCATATCTGTAATCCCAATATTTTGGGAGGCTGAGGTGGGATGATTGCTCGAGGCTAGGAGTTCAAGAGCAGCCTGTGCAACAAAGACCAGGCCTGTGATAACAAAGTGATAAGACCTATGTCTCTGGTCAGGTGTGGTGGCTCATGCCTGTAATCCCCACTTTGGGAGGTCAAGGCAGGCGGATCACCAGAATCAGGAGTTCAAGACTAGCCTGGCCAATATGGTGAAACCTTGTCTCTACTAAAAACGCAAAAATTAGCTGGGCATGGTAGCACATGCCTGTAAGCCCAGCTACTTGGGAGGCTGAGGCACGAAAACTTCTTGAATCTGGGAGGCAGAAGCTGCAGTGAGCAGAGATTGTACCATTGCACTCCAACCTGGGTAACAGAGTAAGACTCCATCTCAAAAAAACAAAAAAAAACCTATGTCTCTAAAAAAAAAACTATATATATATATATATGCCAGGCCTGGTGGCACACACCTGTGGTCCCAGCTACACTGGAGGCCAAGGCAGGAGGTTCACTTAAGCCCAAGATGTTGAGGCTGCAGTGGGCTGTGCTGGCACCACTGCACTACAGCGTGGGTGACAGAGTGAGACCTTGCCTCAGAAGACAAAGGGTATTCTAGGCCCTGTCCACATTTCTCCTTATACCTCGACTCCAAGTGTATGTGTGCTTGCACATGCATGCACACACGTGCTCCACACATACACAGTTTTCAGCCACCTGGGAGTAATCCCTCAATGACCCACCACTTCTAAGTTAAGTATAATTTGAGGGGCCAAACAAATCTGGATTGGAGACCCAGCTCTGCCATGTGACTTTGGGTAGGGCATTTACCTCTTTGAATCTCAGTCCTCTTATCTGTAAAATTAGGGAAACAGTACTACCTAACTTATAGAGGAATAGTAAGAATTAAATTAATAATGCATATAAAGCACAATTCCTGGATGTGTAGTGCTCATTATGTGTTACTATTATAAACAAAAATAACTTGGGCCAGGTACAGTGGCTCACACCTGTAATCCCAGCATTTTGGGAGACCAAGACGGGTAGATCACCAGGTCAGGAGTTTGAGACCAGCCTGGTCACTATGGTGAAACTTTGTCTCTATTAAAAATACAAAAATTAGCCCGGCATGGTGGCGAGCACCTGTAAACCCTTCTACTCAGGAGGCTGAGGCAGAAGAATTGCTTGAACCCGGGAGGCAGAGCTTGCAGTGAGCCGAAATTGCACCACTGCACGCCAGCCTAGGCAACAGAGCGAGACTCTGTCTAAAAAATAAAATAAAATAAAATAAAATAAAATAAAATAAAATAACTTGGCTCAGGATCAGATGACAAGTACATTACAGACATGCAGATTGAACAGAAATTATTAAAGATAGATGATATCTTGAAGAAGAACTCAAAACTTGGCTAGGAAAGAGAAAGGAGGATAAGCTGGAGAACAGACTATGGAAAGGTCATCTGAGGCTTTGCAGTTTAAGGGTATTACCCAAAATCACCATTTGAAGTCATTTTTACGTAGCCCATTAGAAATGAGATTGAGGTAGGACATTGCTTTTATTGTCCAAACAATCAAGGTTGTTCTTTGGCAGCAAACCAAGTCAAAAAAGAACAGCTCTAAAATTTGTCATAAATGATATTCCTCTCTCTAAACAGTTCCGATATTAGGAAGCTCAGAGAACTTGATCTTTATGAGAACCAAGTAGAAACAGTTTATTCTTGTATTTTCACAATATTTTTACCTACATTGTGGTTAAAACTTCCAGAGCCAATGGGTCATGTTTTGCTGGTTTAATTGCCAAAATGGTTGCAAGTAATTTGTGGATAAAATTATACCAGATGTACTTAACCATTTTACATGTCCAAGCTGTATTTACAAGGATAAAAATATATTATAACTACTCTCTAGTCTACATGTTATGAACCTAAATCCTTCAGAGTTTATTAGCAATAAAACTTGTTTTTTATCTCCATTTGTTTCCTCCAACCTATAAATCAACAATATGCATTTTGTATTAGATGCACATTCTTTTTTTATTCCTTTCCACTCATCTGTCTCTTTCTGACAACTGTCACACCTATTCATGTTCTGAGAATTTTCATGGAGCAATGTCTACAATTACATCCTGATGAGAATGGATGCCCTGGCTTTGGCAGTGGGTCAAATAAGAGCTCACAAATGTAAAAATTGATTAATGAACATTCTTGTATTTTAGAAGAGTGTTCCCAAGCACCATTGCAGGAGTTATTTTTTAAATGCCTTTCCTTTAAACATATACATACATACACATATACATTTCAGAACTAGTCAGTTCTCTTCATGAATATTTTTCACCTATATAAAGGACATACATTTCCATATTTCATTATTTGTTAGATGTCTCTTGGTAACAGGAAGTTAAAGATTATAGGGACACTATGTTGACTAAATAGAAACCCAAGTCCAAATCCAAACTACCACAGCTCACACTAACCAGTGCACAATGAGTCCATGTTAGTGATGTTATGATCTATGTTGGTTATGCAATGATCTGTAAATACTCTGTGATATGGTATAACTTTATAGGGCAAGGAAGTTGCTTTGTAACCCATATTTTAGGTCTTAAAACATATTTCAATCAGAAAAATGAGGAAAAAATATCAATGTAGATACATACAGCAGTGGTTGTGAATGAAATACATTCTAATTGTTTGACTCACCTTTCAACTTTACAGAATTTTTTTTATGTTACAAAGCTACAAATTCTTTGACTTTCAGTTATCTGCAATGATGAATAAATGTGTGTGTTCTGACTGCAACTACCAACCATTTCTCCTTCTTATTCCCTTACCTGGGACCATCCTCTTCCCTGAGACAAAACAATATTGAATTTAGGCCAATTAACAACTCTAAAATGGCCTCTAAGTTTCAAGTGAAAGGAGAGTTGCATGTCTCTTACTTCAATCAAAAATTGGACACGATTAAACTTAGTGAGGAAGGCATGTTGAAAGCTGAGATAGGCATAAAGTTAGGCTTCTTGCGCCAAACAGTGAGCCAAATTGCTAATGCAAGGGAAAAAGTTTCTGAAGAAAATTTAAAGTGCTACTTCAGTGAACATATGAATAATAAGAAAGCAAAACAGCCTTATTGCTGATATGGAGAAAGTTTTAGTGGTCTGGATGATTAAACCAGCCACAACACAACATTCTCTTCAGCCAAAGACTAATCCAGAACAAGGCCTTAACTCTCTTCTATTCCATGAAGGCTGACAGAGATGTGGAAGCTGCAGAAGAAAAGTCTGAAGCTAGAAGAAGTGGTTCATGAGGTTTAAGAAAAGAAGCCATCTCTATAATATAAAAGTTCAAAGCAAAGCAGCAAGTGCTGATGGAGAAGCTGCAGTATATTATCCAGAAGATCTAGCTGACATAATAGATGAAGGTGACTACACTAAACAACAGATTTTCAATGTAGACAAGACAGCCATCAAGTGGTAGACGCCATCTACGGTATTCACAGCTGGAAAAGAGCAGTCAATGCCTGTCTTCAAAGCTTCAAAGGATAGACTAACTCTTGTCTATGGACTAATGTAGCTGGTCACTTTAAGTTGAAGCCAATGCTCATTTACCATTCTGAAAAACTTAAGGCCCGTAAGAATTATGCTAAATCTACTCTGTTTTCACTCTATAAATAAAAGAACAAAGTCCAGACGAAAACACATCTGTTTATAGATAGCATGGTTTACTGAATATTTTAAGCCCACCAGAGAAAAAAAAAGAAGATTCTATCCAAAGTGTTACTACTCACATAGGCAGTAAGCAAAGCTCACACCAGAACAATAACAATGAAATGGATTCAACCTAAGTGTCCATCAATGGATGACTGGATAAAGAAAATACTGCATATACACATAATCAAATACTGTTCAGGAACAAAAAAGAACAAAATAATGACTTTTGCAGCAATATGGATAAAACTGGAGACCATTACCCTGAATGAAATAACTCAGACACAGAAAGTTAAATACTTCATGTTCTCACTTAAAAGTGGGAGCTAGATGATGTGTACACATGGATGTAGAGTATGGAATGATAGACAGTGGAGACTTGAAAGGTTGCAGGGGGGCTAGGAAGTGGGTGAATAATGAGAAATTACTTATTGCATACAATGTATGTTATTCTGGTGATGGATACCCTAAAAGCCCTGACTTGGCTACTACACAATCTATCCATGTATCAAAATTACATACGTACCACAAAAATTTATACAAATAAATTTTTAAAATTACTGCTCATTGACAATGCACCTAGTCAACCAACAGCTATGATGTAGATGTACAAGGAGATGAATGTTGTTTGCAGGCCTGCTAACATTACATCCATTTTGCAATCCATGGATCAAAGAGAAATTCTGACTTTCAATTGTTATTATTTAAGAAATACTTTTCATAAGGCTATAGCTACCATAGACAGTGATGCTTCTGGTAGATCTGGGCAATGTAAATTTAAAAACATCCTGAAAATTATTCACCTTCTAGATGCTATTAAGAACATTCATGATTCATGGGAGGAAGTCATAATATCAACATTAATAGGAGTTTGGAAGAAGTGATTTGAGCCCTCATGGATAACTTTCAGGCGTCCATGACTTCAGAGGAGGAAGTAACTACAAACATAGTATAAATAGAGAACTAGAATTACAAGTGGAGCCTGAATATATGATTGAACTGCTGCAATCTCATGATATAATGTTAATAAATGAAAAGTTGCTTACTATGGATGAGCAAGTAAAGTAGTTTTGGTTTTGTTGTCTGTTTGTCATTTTTTGTTTTGTTTTGTTTTTGGAGATCGAGTTTCACTCTGTTGCCCAGGCTGGAGCGCAGTGGCACAATCTCAGCTCACTGCAACCTCCACCTCCTCGGTTCAAGCAATTCTCCTGCCTCAGCCTCCCAAGTAGCTGGAAATACAGGCGTGTGCCACCACAGCTGGCTAATTTTTGTATTTTTAGTAGAGATGGGTTTCACCATGTTGGCCAAGCTGGTCTCAAACTCCTGCCCTCAGGCGATCCACCTGCCTCGGCTTCCCAAAGTGCTGGGATTACAGGAAGAAAGTAGTTTTTTTGAGATAAAATCTACTCCTGGTAAAGAAGCTATGAAAATGCTGAAATGACAATTTACTTGATAAAGCAACAGCAGGGTTTGAGAGGATTGAGTACAATTTTTAGAGAAGTTAAGCTGTGGGTAAAATGCTATCAAACAGCATCACATGCTACAGAGAAATCTTTTGTAAAAGGAAGAGCCAACTGATGCAGCAAACTTCATGGTTTTATGCTAAGAAATTGCCGCAGGTGCCCCTACCTTTAACAACCACCTTCCTAATCAGTCAGCAACCATCAACATCGAGGAAAGATCCTCTACCAGCAAAAAGTTTATGACTTGCTGAAGGCTTAGATGATTGTTAGCATTTTTAACAATAAAGTATATTTTAATTAAGGGATGTACATAGTATTTCTAGACATATCTAGGCTACTGCACACTTAAAAGACTACAGAATACTGTTAAAATTACTTTTATATGCAGTGAGAAACTTAAAAAAAAGTGTGACAGCTTTATTGCAGTATTGACTTTATTGCAGTGGCCTAGAATCAAACCCACAATATCTCTGAGGTATTCCTGTAGCTGCAAATAGATAACCACCTGAGAAACTACTATGACTACCCTCTTCAAGCAAAGGCATTAGGCAAACTGTAAGCCTAAGAGGCAGAAAAGCAGGCATCATCAGCCTCTGCCAACAGCCACTGTAAGTAAAAATACAAATAGGCGTGCACCAATCCTTTTAGGCACATTCATGCTCCTGGTCAACATGTACGTATAGAGCAAAGTATGCATTCAAGGCTGTATAGGCACATGTATGTCTTTGTGTGTGTTATCAGGGGATTGCAAGTTTATTGCTAAAAATTAAGCCTGGATTAAAATTTGAAACAATGCACAAGCAGTATAATTAGGATTCTGCATTTATTTTTGTGATCATAATTAAGTGAGTATTATCAAAGCTAAGTATTAGAGGGAAAATAATTTCCCCGGAAAGCAAAGTTTATGAATACTTGAAAAAACTCTCAAAGCGATGAAAGAATTTGGCATAGTGATTAGATGAAATATGTATAAACCAAATTCTATTCCTTTAAGTTGATGGCCTTTCTTTTCTATTTTAGATATTAGTTTATTTATTCTTTAGCCTGTTGCACACTAACAATTAAAGAGAGTTAAACACTCATAGAGGAGGCCCCAAGATGCCACAGGAATGATCAAGATTCAGCATGCGTCAGTCTTTAGGGAAGGAGATGTGTTATAAGAGTCGTGGTATTTCCTTAACCTTCGGGAAGATGAAGGCATATTCCTTCAACAAGGACATACGCTTGGGGCATCTATGAGAAGGAAAGGTCTGCTTCACATAACAAAGCGTCAGAAGATTTCATTTCCCCTGTTTTCAATACGATAAATAAGAATATGTAGAGATTGTCAAAAATCATAAGAATATGTAGAGATTGTCAAAAATCATATCTAGCCCACGGCTATTTTGAAAATGACTTGCTACAATATAAATGAATCCTTGCATTTAAAGGACAGTAAATAGAAAACCAGATGAGGCATCACTGACAAAATACTGTCCCTGTTGATATGACATCAAGCAAAAAGAACCAGACACAGATGCACACAGCATGTTGTCTGCACTGTGCGGCAGCTCCTCAGTCAAAGCTGGGTTGCAATTACAAGTAAGTATTTCTTCTATGACCCAGCTGCAAGGAGCCTGAGACATTATATTGCAGAAGATGTCTTAGTTAGTTAGGGTAAGTTATTCAAGATTTTCAGAAATCTTAAGAAAGATTACATTTTGTTTTTGCCTGCCCAAATCTCTCCCAGCACTATGCCCATTGCCTCATCAAAACCCAGTGAACTCCTTTTGCTTACTTGGGATAATTTCTAGATTGAATGAAGGGCAGAATTTCGGAGTCTTGACTAGATGGAGGCAGTAGTAAATCTCGAAATCGTTCTGTCAAAAGAAAAATAAACATCAAGCTGTGAAAAGATAAAAGTCATGAAAATAATTTCAAAATGGAAGTATTTCCTATTGGTTTATTTTGTTAGACATTTTGACTGTATATCCATCCTTTATTAGAAATTTACCCACCATTTTATGTATTACTAATATATACATAGTGTATGTATGTGTGTGTGTGTATATATATATAGATGGATTATAATATTTTAATCATAAATATATATGTAGCCATTAAGGATAAATAGGTATAAATATATAAATAATATATATTCATATATATATTTTAAATATATAAAATTAAGCCTGGATTAATATTTGAAATAGTTATATTTATCCTATAAATATACATAATATATACATTTCTACATATAGATATTTCTCATATATAAATATAAAAATATATTTTTTTTCCTTAATGGTAACATATATCTTTATGATCAAATCTTATCATTGAAAGGTTAGAGAAAATATACATGACCAATAAACATACTAAGAGATGCACAGTCTCTTTAGTAACCCATGCAATGTGAATCAAAACCAGACACCATTAACTAGCATTTACATCATGTAGCATTCAATTGACAGAAATTAGTCTCCCAAGACCAAGTGTTGGAGAGGATGTTGATCAACCTAAGCTCTTATGTACTGCTGGTGGGAGTCCAAATTGGTACAATAGCTATTGAAGACAATTTGGCATTATCATTTAAGTTTTACTTTTGCAAAGTCTGTGGCCCAATATTTCCATTCTCAGGGACACACCCTGCAGAAACTTTCACATGTGTCTTAGACAGCAAGTATGAGCATGTTCACAGTAGCACCACTCATAGAACAACATAAATGGAAGCAGCTCAGTTGCTCATTGACATGAGAGAATGGACATTTGTGCTTATTCGCAAACAAAATGAAGTACTAACTGAAGTGAAACTGAATGATTTTATTTATAAATAAAAACCTAATGAATCATATTAATATAATGTTGAGTGAAATAAAATCTCCGCAGATTGCATGTAACAGAACATAATTTTTATTGAGTTAAAAAACTAAGCAATGTATTATTTAAGTATGATATATATGAAATAAAGCAAACCAATTAAAAAGGAAGGACATGCACAATTCAGAATAATGACTATCTTTTAGGAAAGGTAGGGGGATGAAATAGGAGAGAAGCAAAAGGGTAAATGTAAGTAATTGTTGGTGTTTCATATGTATTAATTGTAATATCATAAATGAATAAATAAATAAGTGAATGACGGCCAGGAAAAGACCAATAATGACTGCATATCATGAGCTAAGAATTGATTTAGTAAACTTCAGTGCATATGAATTCATAATGAAGAAAAGAGAGAAAATAGGAGGGGGAGGGGAAGAGGAAGGGGGAAAAAAAAAGGACAAAGGAAAAAATCCTAGATGTTACCTTGGAAATACTTACGTTGCATAGCTATCTGCATGGCATAGAGTATGCACATTTTCAGGAATAGGTATGCATTACCTCTAGAGTCATACCTATGGAAAGGCTTCCTTGATCCCTCCATTACTTTTTTGTTCTCTCCTCCTGCCCAATTTGGAATAGGCTGGACCTACTGTACACTCCCAGTACAACTTGTGCTTCCACCTTCACAGAGTTTATCACACTATGTTTTATTGTTATATGTATTTATCTCTCTATCCCTCTTTCTTCTTCTAGTAGATGAGTATTGTGCCACCAAGATACAGAACATTATCTGATACATAATTAAGGTGCTGGATAAATATTTGTTGAAGAAATATTTCCAACATCTATTTTTACTGGAGAAAACTGTTTGTTAAGGTTAATCATAATAACTCCCAGCAGAGACCAAACGGTCATATATCAACCATGAACAGCAAGTGGACCCATACTCCTGTCTTGATACGGTCGCACAGTCAGGCTTAGATAGTATGCAAAGCTAACACTCCCCAGCTGCAGTAAATCCTTCACTAACTGAAGGTGAGCATTTCCACAAAATGATGAAAATATACACTTGATGACAATTGCCATTTCCTAGTTTATGAATAACTAGATGTTAAATTATTTGGAATACGGCAGTCACAAAGTGGCCAGTGCTTCCTGAGAAGCAGAATGTATATTTTATCTTCATATTTATTAAAACATACTGAATCAGAGATACATAACTGGCTTCTACTGTTTTTTTTTCTCTCAAAATTCTGACATTTCTTACAACATAGATGAGGAGGAACTAATGAGATCCAAACACAGATGTGCTTACACTCTGAAGTCTAGAAATCCAAAAAAATACTCTGTGTTTTTCTCGAATTATACTCTTTTAGTTCACATTTTTAAATATTATATTATTGGCTGATATTTGGGCTGATATTACTCTGTTTAATTTACAAAATTAACATTTCTTTCAATCAAATGACTAGTAAACTTTCTGATGATAAATAACCCTTGGTTTTCAGTCTACTTGCCAATTTATGCAGTACTCATTAAATGAGTAATGTGTAATGCTCTATCTTTTCAATTTTTTTCCCACTTAGCCTTTTCCTAAAATGAGTCTTGAAAAATCAAGCCAAAACCCAACAGCAAACAAGAACTTTACATATCAGGTAAAGAACCGTTAAATCAAACAGCTATATGTGTTATGATATTCCTTGAAAGGTAATAGTATAAATTAAAGTTTAGTGAATTTCTCCCAAACTTGTTAAAAGCAAACAAAATTCGGAATTCTTAATGCACACAACTATAATATAATACATCCTTTTCGCAGCAATAAGTGTTTCTCTTTTTACATAACCATAAAGGACATATGACAATAATTCCAGAGAAAAGAATCTCTGCAGATGACATATTGACAGGACTAAAAACACATACACAGATGCACACGTGTGTGTGCATACACACACACACACATACAGCAAAAGCAGCAAAAAAGACATCACTTATAAAGCTATAAGGAAACCTATAACTAATGTTCCTATATTTGGAACATCCTTTAATCAGATTATCAGAAATACAAAGAATACCAAGCAAACATCTTGAATAGCTATCGTGGTTGTCAAAAAGGTTCATAGGCAGGGCATGGTGGCTCACACCCATAATCCCAGCACTTTGGGAGGCTGAGGCATGTGGATCACCTGAGTTCAGGAGTTTGAGACCAGCCTGACCAACATGGTGAAACCCTGTCTCTACTAAAAATACAAAAAATTAGTCGGGCATAGTGGTGGGTGCCTGTAATCCCAGCTACTCAGGAGGCTGAGGCAGGAGAATCACTTGAACCCAGGAGGCAGAGGTTGCAGTGAGCTGAGATCATGCCATTACACTCCAGCCTGGGCAAGAAGAGTATAACTTAATCTCAAAAAAAAAAAAAAAAAAAAGAAAAGAAAAGAAAAGAAAGGGTTCATATATACATAAACAGAAAGTAAACACAGAACTTTAAAAGCATGTCTTTTAAAAAAATTTTATTTTTATCATTATATTAATAAATTCTTAAATGTGAACAATTAATTTTATCTTATAAAGGCATACTGATTATTCATTTATTTCTTTATAAAAATAGATAAATGATAACAATTATCCTTAGAAAAGTTCAAGTAAATGGAAAAATTATTTATAATTATTTAGTTCTTTAGTCTCACAGATTTTTGCCTATCAGTTATTTAATTAGCATCCTGTTGTCTATTTGATTATGAGGAAAAGGCCAAAATAATTTGATGTTTTATTTGTTAAGTAAAAAAAAAAAAAGATATATTAATGCTACTTCTTTTGCAGGAAAATGTCAAACCAGATGACCTACTTTCTCAGCAGGCTCAAACTGTTTCTTAAGAAAATGGCACAGTTATCCAAATACTACAGCTCAGTCCTTTCACAGGACTTCTTAGAAGAAATTCATTAAAGCCACTGGAAAAAAAAAAACAGGATTTTCTGCGAAGTGATACCGTGATGAGCTGACTAACGATGTGATAATGTCTGAACGTGATTTTCTACCAGTAGGAGATATATCTTAATTAACACAAGCTTTTGTAGACCTTCATCCACTCTTTCTTTCTCCCATTCAATCAACAAAAAGATTATGAGGCCCTTAGACCTGGATGACATACTGCACACAATTATATTAATTTGCATTCTCTGGTTAATCAACTGTGACACAATATACTTAATTATTTGAAAACAAAGATGAGAAAATTAAAATCCTCTTTCAATTTCTAATTGAAACTTTTTCTACATCTTTTTGTGACCAAGATGTTTCATTTTCTCCTTTGCAGAAAATGACCAATCTCTAATCCACCCCAATATGCAGAATATACCAAATGCAATAAGGATTTACATAACAATAAAAAGCAGTAGGCATTTTTTTTTTTTTTTTTTTGAGATGGAGTCTTGCTCTGTCACCCTGGATGGAGTGCAGTGGCATGATCTCAGCTCACTGCAACTTAGCAGTATGCAAACCTATTCCTGGGATGAGAAGAAAATAAAACCTCTTACCACTACAAAAAAAAGAAAGAAAAAAATATATAAAAAACAAAAGTAACAATGATTAATGCTATTCTTGTATAACCTAAAGATCCTTTGCATCTAGAGATGTGATCACTGTCACATAATTAGTTTTTTTAACAGCAACCTAAGAAAGACCTATTGTTTGCTAGAGAGACCCAGACAGGTTTTGCCAATTCCAAATCATTGTTTTCCTTCAGGTAATCCCCCTTCCCTAACTGCCTCTCTATAACCTCCTCTATAAAAATGAATATTTTAACTGTTTTGAGTATTAGATTTTTCAGGGTAATAAAAGAAGTCATATAAAATATTTCTAAGAGAGACAGTATTTCCCTAAACAAAAGGTACTTGAACAGAAGTTCTTTGCATTTTTATTAATAGGTTAATTTTTTTATCTTTCTGTTAATGCTCACATTATACTAATTTGCCAGTTTTAATTTTTTTTAAATGGCATCAAAACGAAATCCTTAAGGGACATTAAAGATTAAGACTCTATTAAAGTCTTTACCTTAGTTTTAAGAACACCTAGTATATTGTAACCTATTAATAGTATTAGAAGTTATATTGCAAGGAATCAGACAGTACTTCATACCCCAAAAAGGGTCAATAAGATGAATGCACCATAATATCGATATTATTTCACATTGTTTTGGCAATATAGGCTGAGGATTACTTCTTAATGCAGGAAATATTATCAGAGAGTATACATGAGAAAGGAGATACCAAAGGACAAATCTTTCTTCACTCATACAGTCTGCAGTATTTAGCAGCAACAGGTCATAAGAGAAAAGACACCGTTGCCAAGTAGATCTTAAGTATTCTTACCACACACAACAAAGGTAACTATTTGAGGTGATAAATACGTTAATTAGCTTGAGTGTGGTAATCACTTCACAATGCATATGTATACCAGAGATATGTACTCCCTGAAAATACATAATTTTACTTGTCAATTATACCTAAATAAAGCAGAAAAGAAATTCTCTTGGAAAAAGAAAAAATAAAAGAAACAACACTCAACTGGTTGTCAGAGAGCCTGAGTTCTTGACCTTAGTCTGCCTCTATTCTTAATTCCTTTTCTGAACTCACAACTGAGTCAGATGAGTTCAGTGATCTTTAAGCCACCTTTTAACTTTGAGTTGCTTAAAAAATATTTGCTTATATTCTCAAACTTTGCATCTGACAAAGGACTAGTTTCCAGAATCTACAAGGAATTAAAACAAATCAACAAGAAAAAAACAAATAATCCCATCAAAAAGTGGACAAAGGACTTGAGCAGACATTTCTCAAAAGAAGACATACAACAGCTAACAAACATGAAAAAATGGCCAACATCACTAATCATCAGGGAAATGCAAATTAAAATCACGATGAGATGCTACCTTACTACTGCAAGAATGGCCACAATTAAAAAGTCTAAAAACAATAGATGTTGGTATGGATGTGGTAAAAAGGGAACACTTTTACACTGCTGATGGGAATGTAAATTAGTGCAAATGACTATGTACAATACATGGAGATTCCTTAAAGAACTTAAAGTAAAACAACCATTCAGTCCAGCAATCTCACTACTAGGTATCTACCCAAAGGAAAAGAAGTCATTACATGAAAAAGACACAGGCACATGCATGTTTACAGCAGCACAATTCACAACAATAAAGATATGGAACCAACCTAAGCACCCATCAACTAACAAGTAGATAAAGAAAATGTGGTATACATACAACATGGAATACTACTCAGCCATAAAAAGGAACAAAATAATGTCTTTTGCAGCAACTTGGATGGAGCTGGAGGCCATTATTGTAAGTGAAGTAACTCAGGAATGGAAAACTAAATATCCTGTGTTCTCACTTATAAGTGAGAGCTAAGCTAACCTTTGAGGACTCAAAGACATAAGAAAGATATAATGAATTTTAAGAACTCTGGAGCGGGAATGTTAGAAGTCGGGTGAGGGATAAAAAACTACATATTGGGTACAGTGTACATTGCTTGGGTGATGGGTGCACTAAAATCTCAAAAATCACCACTAAAGAATTTATACATGGAACCAAAATCTACCTGTACCCCAAAAACTATTGAAACAAAACAAAACAAAAAAGAATATTTGCTTAAGGAATGAAAAGAAATCTTAATTAAAGTCACTGAAAGGGAGTGGGGCCACATGTCTTTGTTTGACTGAGACTATTCTGGTTTATTCCTGCTGTCCTAGCATCCTGCTCCATTTCATATTCACATGAGATTTTATTTTTAATTAAATATTAATAAGAAAATAAGCTAGGGGTCATGTAGTTGATACAGAGAAGTATCCCCCAAGTGCCTCTTCAGTGAAGAACTTGTTGCCCAGCTGTGGAGAGCGCAGTTGGCAGGCAATCTCCATCTGTCACTTCCATCAGGGTCGGCCTCAGATGCAAAGCAAATACCTCTCACAGAGCAGCTCACATCCATTGACTGAACAAGGCAAGGATATTTCAGCACTACACAGGCAACTCTGATGGGCAATATTTGCTCTAGTTCTTCCCACCAATTTGGCTGGGCTTTGTTGAACCTGCCTTGTTTCAAATTCTTCCTTCCCCCAAACCCTCTTTGTTCTCTTTCCTGTCATGGGTATTGATCCCTAATAAGCATTTTACATTACACACAGACACAGACACACACACACACACACACACACACCTTCTAGCTAATCCAACCTGAAACACAGGTGCTTCATAGATCTCCACTTTGTACTGAGAACTTCTACCAAGTTCTCGGCTACTGTGGGGTGTGATGCATGTGCATGTGTTTAAGTAGAATAAAGATCAGCAATAAATCATTTCTCTTTTTCCAGAACCTTCCAGATGTTACATAAATAACACCTCTGTGGCATGTGCAGGCGGTCACTGTCAATCCATTTTGATTACTCTTCCAGCCATGCTGTCCAGTATCTTGATCATGCCCACCTTGACTCTATCAGTTAAGTATTGCCTGTTGGCTCCTGATCATATATAATAGCTTTTTATTTTATCTATATCTTGTTTGAATTTTTAATCTTTAGATTTGTTTGAATTTTAGTTTTCAGTATTTATCTAAAAGTAATCTATCAATCATCTATCTATACGTGTGTGTGTGTATATATAGATATATATTTAAAGAGTAGATGTAGGGCATGGATGTGCACACTACCACACATGAACATATCTTCAAGAGTAGTTGTCATTCATTCATACTCCCCATATTATAGATCTTGGAGTATTATCCCCTCCTCCACCTACCAAGGAAAACACCACACCAATGCAGACACACAATACACACAAACACACACACATGATGCTTGAAATAGAAGGTACAAATGAGTTTTCTCACAACATGTAGGAATTACTATTTAAATATGTAGACACAAAATGTGAACACCTAAAATAAGTAATTTCTCAGTAACATTTCTGAGCATGCACTGTAAGTCAGGCACCAACTGAGGTTCTTCATGGGCTAAAGGTCTAGCAGAGAAGAGGTCTAAATAATGTGCTTCTTTCCTTTTTTAAATAATTTTGTAATTGCATTCTAAATTATTTATCAAAAGATACAAACGCTACAAGTAAATAAGTGCTAAAGGTATGCTCTGAGAGTTTGGAATAGAACAGTCAACTTAGCCTGGATATGCTGGTAACAAAAAGCAAAAGAAGCGGAGAGGTTTTATAAAAAATAAAACAAACCAACAAAGGAAGTCCTTTTGAGCCGTGGTACTAGATAAGGTGAATATTTTTGCTCTGTTACATATATATCAATAATCTATAATGATAGAAAATTTAGAATTGAAAATAAAATCAATATTTTGGATAATCAGAATTTCATCAGTTAAAGCATGTTTTATTCACTTTTTCACTCATCTAACAAACTTTTATTGAGTACCTATCATTTGTCACATACTGTGAACAAAACAAATTATTATCACCAAGGCAGCTCTGTTTATTAAGCACACACAAAAAATGCCAGGACAACAAAAGAACTTCAATGCCATTATAGCTACTTGAAAAGAATTTAGAATGTAATTACAAAATTATTTAAAAAGGGAAAGAAGCACATTATTTCTAGGGATTTAAAGAAATTAATGGTTTGTCAAAATTTGGTATTTATTTTCCTTAGAAGTATGCATATTAATCTTAGAAAAACAAATTCCTTCTAAAAAGAAGAATTAAAGGGCAAACTTAGAGTATATCCATACCAACTAGAAAGATATGGAGCATACATCTCCCTACTGAAAAGTTTGTTTAAATCAAGCGAATGTCCTTTATTACCATGGTAACTCAATAATAATACATGGTAATGCATAGTAATACATGGTAACTGAATAGTAACAATATAATAGTAACAATGTTGCTATTTAAACTATTGGTTTCAGATAAACATGAGAGGCTCTCAAATTAGTACTACTTTACATAAACCAGGAAATCAAGTTGCAACTTATTAAAGATATAGGCAGGCCAGGTGTGGTGGCTCATGGCTACATTCCCAATATTTGAAAGCTTGAGGCCAGGGATTTGAGACCAGCCTGGGCAACACAGCAAGACCCTTGCTCTTCAACAAAGTTTAAAAAATTAGCCAGATGTGGTGGTATACACCTGTAGTCCTCACTACTTGGGAAGCTGAGACAAGAGGATTGCTCAAGCCCAGGATTTTGAGGCTGCAGTGAGCTATGATTATGCTACTGCACACCAGCCTAGGTGACAGAGTGAGACCCTGTCTCTCTCTCTCTTTCTCTCTCTCTGTTTGTGTGTATATATATGTTTACATACACACATACATATATACACACACATATATATTTGCCTATATATATTACATATGTAGACAAATCTTGTGTCATAAGATTCTAGGATTCAAATGAAAATGATTTATAATTCTAGAAGAAAATAAAATGATTTACAATTCCAGAAGAAAAAACCCTATCACTCGCATGCTCTGGTTATATAAAACTATCTTTTTTGCAAATATTAAGGCCATGTCAAAGCAATATAAAAAACAGAACTTTATACTGTCTTACATAAGGGGAAAAAAATCCCTAAACCCATACATGTAATTTTCAGAAGATGAGATGTATGTACAACCAGAGCTAATGAATGAATAAGAACACTAATAGGAAAACAAAATAAGCAACATAAAAATCCTCTACTTGACATGTATTCTCCATAGTATTCCTGTAATATTTTCTGAACTATACCAAAATTTATCTACTATCATTCACACATTATGTGGAATTGAATTATCTGTATCTTAGAATTTATTTCTTTCAAAATAATTATACCACTTTACAGCAATAATGAACTGAGAAATTAGGAAACAACTCCCTCAATTTGGTATGCTGTAGACAAGGAAACTAAAAACCAACCAGCTGGCTGATTGTCTCAAGGTCACATGGCTAGAAAGAGGCAAAGATACTTAAAGAAAAGACAAAAACAAAACAAAAACACTCACAGTCCAGGGTTCTTTCCACTGCCGTCATACTGCCTTATTCTCTCCCGAGAATATACAGTACTCCCTTTTCTCCCCTCCCTCCTTTTACTTTCTTCTTGCCTAAGGATTACAGGATAAGAGAAAGCTTAGCAGGGTCATATGCCATCTGCATGCCTCAACATCTGGTACTTTTAAATACTGTAAGGTCTGAAGGTAGACAATGCAGTATTACACAAAGGAAGAATATTTAATGGATCCTTTTATTTCCAGGGGGAGCAGAGTGATAAAAGTCTATTTCTGTGATACTCATTATTTTGCTTCTTATTTGTTTAACACTTTATTTTAAAAAAATCAAAAGCAGTTTTTGAAAGAACTACAGACAGACTTCTTGGCCCCTAAATACATCAATGAATCAATGCCTAGAACTGGATTTCTTATAAAATATAAATTGGCGTTTATTGCCACAGAGGCTAAACTATAACAAAAAATGAAAGAGGGTGGGAAAAAAAAAAACAGTTTCAAAGAAAGTGAAGGCAAATAACAGACATTGTTGGGTAAACACATTATTGCTACTAAGCTTTCTACAATCCACCTTTTAAGAAAAATGTTATATTTTCATTTGTCACATCAAATGCATTTTTTTTTAACAATGTTGGCTTTCATCAAAAGAAACACCTCAGACTGATCAAGACTCAGCTCCATACTAATTCAGTTCCTGGCTTCTGCAGAAACTGAATATATCTTAGATGTGTATTCAAGAAAAAACAGGCCATTTTATCCAAGACCAAGACCACGCCCACAAAAAAAAAAAAAAAAAAAAAAACAGGAGATTTTCTTTTATGTTTTATGAAGTTCAAATCTAAAGAACCGAGCAAATAAAATCAATGCCATGCAATATATGGGCCTTTAAAGCCAATAGAAAACAGCCATGTAGTGAGTCTTCTCTGTTCTTAAATAGAAGATGTCTTGGCCGAAGACCAAGACTATGGATCAGGGAAAAACAACAAGCAAATACATAAAATGATTAGCAAGTGTATCAAGAAAATGAGTACTTAAAAATGTTCCTGATAATAATGATAATGGCACAAAACCCTTGTCCTTTTGCTTCCTTTGAAATTACTTAGTCCATTAACGCTAGGCTCATTTGGCAAACTGACATATGCCTTCTTAGCCATTCAGTACATTATGTGGTGTTTTTGACATTGATTAATAAATTATGTTACCAAGAAAATCCCTCATAATTCTTATTTTCTTCCATGTTACATAGTAAAATCAAGTAGAAAATACTGGATAACAGAGACTCTAAGCAACTTTTAGGAACAGAACAATTCTAATAAAAATATAACAATCCATAAAAAGAAACCACTTCACCACAATAACTCTACTTCCAGGTCCAGTAATTGTATGATTTGTTTATTTTCAAAACTAAAAAGTAACATTTTGGCCAGGCACAGTAGATCACTCCTGTAGTCACAGCACTTTGGGAGGCCGAGGTGGGCTGATCGCTCGAGCCCAGGAGTTTGATTAGCCTGAGCAACATGGCAAAACCCTGCCTCTACAAAAAATATAAAAATTAGCCAGGCATGGTGGTCTGAGCCTGTGGTCCCAGTTACTCAGGAGGCTGACATGTGAGGATCCATAGATCCTTCCATAGATCCTGGAAGGTCAAGGCTGCAGTGAGCCATGACCATATCACTGCACTCTAGCCTGGGAGACACAGCAAGACCTGTCTCTAAAAACTGAAAAGAAAAAAAAAAAAAAAAAGAACATTGTGAAAATTGGATAGAAAACAAAAATTTGGTATTTACTCCTATGTTTGGGTTTGTGAAATGGCTGGAACGAATAAAACTTAATGACTGGTGAATTCTTTATTTACTAAGCAATTTTTATATTTCTGTAGTATTTTAAGTGAGCTGTAACCTACTAAAAAACATGACAGCATATATTTAACGTTCATAAAATGAGAAACCAAGGGAAAAACAATTTATCTTCTTTCCTGAGAATGGATGGGCACTTAAATTGTAGTACACATATAATGTGCCTCTCATTTTCCTGATAAAAAAATTTCCTTGATTTCTGAGGCTGTAGAATTTATGCCCAGTTCACATTCATTGAATGATTTATTATATTGTGATAGTAAATAAGCCATGTTAAGTTTCATCATTATCCTAAATGATTTCCACATAGACTCACAAGAGGCCAGAACTACAGTGTTTCATTATACAAAGCATATATACTTTAAGATACAATAGGTTAATCCTCATCCTGACACAGATCCATCTAGATATATACACAGGTAGTTACATCTGTATTTGCCATTCATCTTCTGCTGCTAATCACAAGCCAGATCAGTATAAAAATCAATCATTCTCATAGTTCTGGGGAAATGTAGAAACAGGAAGAATTTAGCAATAGGCCCATTTGCTATGTGCCTCTTTTTGTACACTAACTCTCTCCACTTACTGGTCTCCAATGCCCTCAGTAATTCGCAGCAATATGTACCATCGCCAGACCTTTCCTTTGCATCTTCCTAATGACATGATTTTTATGAGGCTAACAGTGATATTGCTCAGTCTTATTTATTTATTTATTTATTGGCTTTTTGCAGCAATCATAGATCACTCCTTTCTCAAAACTCAAAAGATAAAGTCTTCCATTTGCTTGACACTAAAAAATCTTTAATGTGATGTGTTTGCCTCCAGCCTAGTCTTCTTCCTTTCTATTTGATATAACATTGGCAGGGTGACCCATATAAAGGGCAAATTTGATTTCAGTTCCTGTTTAAAACTCCTCAATATTTCACCAGCATCTTTTGGGAAACGACCAAGTTTCATAGCAAGATCTACAAGCTCTTCCTTGGCCTAATATTTGGATGCCACCCCAGCCAGGCCTCCCAATAGCATGACATTTTCCTGACATTCCAAGCTAGTTCACCCTTCTGAGCCATTCAAGCTATTTTTTCTCCGTGGAATAATCCCCCACTCTAGGCAAGTTCTATATATCTCTAACACTCAGTTTGACCCAGAAAGCCTCCCAAGTTTTCTTCCCAGAAACTTGTACATCTTCCATTTGCTCCTGGAACTATATCCTAAATCTCTCCAGCAATATAAAACTTCCTGTCTCCACTTCATTCTCATCATTCAAATAAGTGTATAAATATATTATAACATAATTAGTATATTGTTATAATTATTATAAAATAATCATATATCTTTAACTTATATCTTCTTCGTCCTTATTTCCTCCTTTCAGCTGCTGACTTATTTCTTTATTTCACTTTACATACAAACTTCTTAGAATTTGTCCAGTGGTATTCTGGCAAATGTTTAATAGCCAGGTCTAATGATAGATAAATACATAAGACCTACTTTATGGTTGTCTTTGTTAGAGAGCTGCTATAACAAAATACCACAAATTAGTTAATTTATAAACCACAGAAATTTATTTATCACAGTTCTAAAGGCTGGGAAGTACAAGATCAAGGCACCAGCAGCTTTGATGCCTGGTAAAGTCTGCTCTCCGCTTCTAAGCTGGTGCCTTACTGCTGTGTCCTTACATAACAGAAGAGCAAAAGAGCAAAGGGGGAGGAACACACATGGTAGAAGAGCAGAAGAGAGTCAATCAACTCCCTCAATCCCTTTCATAAGGCACTAATCTAATCCATGAGGGCTTTATTCTCATGATTTAATCATCACCTAAAAGTCCTACCTCTTAATATTATCATATTGGTGATTAAATTTCAATATACGAATTACAGGGGACACATTCACACCATGGGAATGATGTTGGTCAATTTCTGTGGAATAACTACTATCACTGTGAGTGATGGGAAGCTATCAGACATGACTTCACTGACTATGGAGGTGGGAAGAGAAGCACTTCTCTCAAGCCCTAGGAGGTAACCCAAGCATACTGCCAGACTGGTCTATACTTAACAACTCCACATCCTCTCTTACTTTATTGCCTCTTAAACTTTTTAAAGATATATTTTTATAGATATAAAATACTCTCTTACTTTTATTATCTCTTAAACTTTTTTAAGATATATATTTTTAAAATAACTCATTTATGGAGCTATTTTAAACCTGTTCTTTAGTCCTTGTATGCTGCAAATGCAATTCCCCTATATATTTCTCCTCTTTATTCAGGGCTCTGTTCAGAGAGCTTTTCTAACCTTGTGTAACAGTGCAGATCCAGGCAGAAACATGACTGCATAAGTTAAGTGGAAGAAGTTCATTAGAGGGAACTAATGACTCAGGTGAGGGAAGAAGTGAGAAGCCAAATTGAGGATGGTGAAAAAATACAAAGAGTGGAAGAAAATTACTACCATCCACAGGGGCTGGGAGGACATAGGGTATAGGTGAGGCTACTACAATCTATAAACCATGGCTAAGTGGCAGGAGATAGAGTCACACCAAAACATCTCCAAAAAAAATGATAAACTCCCCATGGACCAAAACACAATCTCTATAAGAGCGGAGACTTTGTCACTTTTGCTCAATGCTGTATCTCCAGTGACTAATAAACAGTCTGGAACACAGTAGCTGTTTAACATACATTTGATTATTAGCCAAAGTTAATAGTTTAAATATTATCTTCCACAAATGACTAATCGTTGTAATTCACTAGTCATGGCAACAGCAACAACAAAAAGAGTACTTCCAGGCACTCCTTTGGGTATATAGCAGTTGATAATGAATATTTGTTATAAGCTTAAAGTTTACATTGTATGAATATGAATTATGTAAAATCTGTGAGATTCCATATATCCAAATATGATTTATTTATTTATTTGTTTGTTTGTTTGTTTGTTTATTTATTTATTGGCTTCTTGCAGCAACCAAAAGCCATTCACAGTGATATCTAGTGCAAGGTGGTTGATGTAATTGGCCTAAAATATGTTGTCATAATAAAGTAATAACATTAATATAAATTAGTGTGGTTATAATCTGACTTACAAGGAGTTTCCAAAAATGAAAAAAAAAATACTTTAAACACGTAACACATGTTCTGTTTAAATCTTTTCATGAAAAATCTGAATAAAGCCTATAACACGACTGGCTCCTACAGTGATATAGAAACAAATAAGAGAGTTATCAACTCTTTTGTGGCCCAGTCCTTAACTAAACCTATATTTAAGATTACTTGCACTGTGAGAAGTCAATATATTATGTGACTGAGGCAAATCCACAATAATATATGGCCCTGTCTTCTCATTTTTAATCCTAAAAGATAACCATATCTTCTCACTGTAGAAAACTTTTCCAGTAGACAACATGGGAATTTATACCCAAGATTCATAGAAACATCATGTGATACATGCTACAAGTCCTTTATTGAATATTTACTCACAATTATTGCTAATTCATTAACTGCTGAAGGGATCAATGGCAGAAAGTTTACATTAATTACATGTGGATGTTATGTATTTAATTCTGTTGTAGCACAACACAAACACCTGTGGAATAAGTGGCTATTTAGACCACCAAAATAAGCAAGGGTATAGCATTATCTCAGACATTAATCAATACTAATCATATGTAACGAAGAAATTAACAAAACATTTTTGTACACTTAAAATGATAATCAAGTCAATAATCTCTGACCATATGTTTGAAACTGGAAAGAATGGCTGCTTCTAGAAGAGCAATAAGGTATTCATTCAATTAAAAGAGAAATCTACTTGGGTAATCCACTCCATCTACTGTACTAGCATCATTTCAAGAAAAAACACTGAATCATGTCTAAAATGTTTTAAGGGTCTTCTAAACTTTAACAGGTCTTCCACGTATCTAGGAGATGCAATTAGAGGTCTGGTGAAAATGAAAATCTAGACAACAAATATGAGACTTGGTGCTTCTTTGTCTTGTGCCGCATAGCTGCTTCCCTTGCTCCTCCAGCACTCTATAGCTAGGTATAGTTGATTAGTCTTGGAGAGATCATTTCTGGAGCTATTTTAAACCTGCTCTTTAGTCCCTGTATGCTGCCAATGCAGAACATATTTCAGCAAATAAAAAGTCATATTAAATATCTCTAAGTCAGTTTTAAAAAAATAAACCTTTGATATTCAACCTCTTAGGTATCTCTTTGGTATTTCCTATACCTACTGCTCTTAATACCGAGTTTTAATCAATTCTTTTAGAATAAAAACCAATGATTCTTGATTTTGAAGGTAATGCTCCTACTTTTCCTTCAATAGTTGTAATCTCATTGTTGTAAGGCAGCTAAATCTCTTTGAACTAAAGTGTCAGATAATGACATGACTATTTAGGTGTTCTCTGCATGACTGCTTATATTTTTTTCCAAGTCAACAAATATTTCAAGTCAACAACAAAGAAGGTCTATTAATTGAAAAGCATCTGACTAGAACTGAACTCTGAATAGAATGATCTTGTTTCTCTCAGTGACATAATACATTAAAAAGGGAGAATAAAATTAACACTATTAAGTGTTCCTAATAGAGATGATTAAAATAGTAAGACATCATTTATTTTAATGAGCTACTGGTAATAAAAAATAACTTTGTGAAAAAACTCAGTAACAATAGCTAATAATAAACCATCAGGAGTTTCTGCTTAATCTTATGAATTAAATTATGTTTTCATTGCATGTTTTCTTTCAGATATAGAATTCTATCAATTTACCATTCATGACTGAATTTAATTCCTACTATATTGGGATTCTCACCAGAAAAGAACTTTCCTTATTTTTTATTTCCAAAACAGTAGAAAAAAAAAACACTGTGATAATATCAACTTATATTGGGCATATTGTGATTATTCATATGTTCATACTCCACCAGTGTATACCTATCAGAGGACGACCATGATCTCTTTTGAATGCTACCATCTGAAAATTATCCATGTAAGCCTGGTTTTTCATGACTCTGAATGAGTTATTACTGCTCAAAGATCTTTTTAATTCACTTAGATGTTTGCCCATTAAATCCTATGTTGCAGATTTCCTTCCTTTTTTTTAAGTCTCCAATTCCAAGCTGGCTACCCTTTCTAAAGACATTACATTTTATACATACCAATATTATTTTTTTTAACTCTATGAAATAACCTCCTTATATAAACTATTGTTCTCCTCATTTCAAAACACATCTTTCTTATTATCCAACATCTTATCCTTCCCTGGTTTTTAGAGATATTAGGTTCTTCCTTCTAATGCTACCTTCTTAACTTGTATTCACAAATCCATTACTTCCAATTTCCATCCCCACCCCTCCACTGCCTCCTTCCCCTCTGCCTTTAAGTACCTTCAAGTCTTCCCTTGATTTTAATCTGTCCAACTAGCAACTTAATTAATACCATTTTCATCATAGTGCTTCAAATGCTTCAAAAATTCCCTAAAGTCCCTTGGTTACTCTAATATTTTGCTGAGGCATTCATAATCTTCACCAAGCTGGCCCTAAATGGCTTTTCTGTGCTACTACCCAGAACAAAATCTTTGCTTTTGTTTGATTGACTTTGTCTTTGTTTCATTTTGTTTGATTGACTTTGCTTTTGTTTAATTGATTAAAGACTGATTGGATTCATCCTTTCCAAAGAGAGTTAATCATTGCCTTTCCTGATTTTTGACAACACTGTGACTTTCACTTAAATTACCTACATCTTTCTTCATTTGCCTGACTCCTAAGCTTCAGTTCAAATTCTGTCTTTTCTGTGAAGCTTCTCTTACAGCCCTAGACCACATTTAATCTACACTTTTCTGGTTCCCTACAGATTTTACTTACCAACTCCTCGTTTAGCACCTAAGTATAAGAATATTTAAATTTACTTTTGCATTCATGTTTATATCTGCATTCTTTCCTGTAACAATAACATAACCAACCAACTAACAAGCCAACATTTACTGAGTACTCACTTGTCAGTTACTCTGGCGGGTCAAGGAAATATTAATATAAGAGAGAATAATGTTTCTTTTATTTACTCAAAGCTCTTACTACAATGCATCTCTCAGGTAATAAAAAGTATTTACTGAAGACAAGTAAAGTATCACCAACAGGCCTGCTGTGAAAAATATCTATTCCAAAGTTACTGTGAAGTTGCCCTATATACTGGAACACCACAAAAAATGTCATGCAAGAACTGGAAGATTTGTGTGATCTCAATATCAGGTGTTGATTATTTTGACTCATGTTTTCTAAGAAACACATTTCAGCATTCCCACTATTGCCAGCACACCTGACAAGTAGGTAGAAACTTATGATTTGCAAGCACACTGAACAATATATTATTAATAATTACTGATATCAAAGGTATTCTGATTGCAAAAATGCATCTTAAAAGAGAAAACACAGATGTCAAAACTGTACAAGCAAAAAAAAAAAAAAAAAAAAACAAAAAAAAACCCAGAACAGCTTGAAACACATACACATCTCTATACATGCTGGTAGTTATATTAAAACACATTCAAATTATTACATTCCACTATTTTCAAAGAATGTATCTTAAAACTGTATGTTCTACATACCTGTCCAGTCTCCTACTATTTTAAGATGAACCCCAAATGTTGCTTTGGTTTCAGTTGGACACTAAAAAAAAATACTAGAATCAATTGTGATTAATAATTACATAATATGAAATTATAATTCAATTACAACTTTTATCCTGATAGCAAGTCCCCCATATCAATAGATAACAGGAAGGAACAGACTAAAATCTATACAGATCCTTATTAGTGGAAGAAAAAAAAATCAATGTCAACAGGTCAGTAAGACAATCTACATTTCTCTAAAACCCAAAAATACTTATGTAAAACAATAAATTACACACGTTAAAATTGCTAGTGTATTTCATTTAACTACAAATCTTGCTAAAACATCTTCTAAGTTAAAATATATATAAGAAAAGCCAGTTTTAAATCACAAAGGAAGAAACAAAAACTAATGCTTTTTTGTGTCATTTTCTCCCTAGATAATATATACTTACCCTAACAAATTCCAGGGAGAAAAAAATTCTTAATGTGACATTAATTTTCCATGCCCAACAATTATGCTCCTACAGAAATAACTCTATTTCATTCCCTCCCTTAATTCTCAGAAGACATCTGGAGTGGTGAGGGTAGCTGGGGAGAGGGATGAGTTGTGGAAGTGTAGGTAAAAAAAGTGCTTTATGGTCCCATATTTAGGAAACCTAGAAAACATCCAGGTAGTCAAAATGAAAGAACAAAATTTAGTTTACAATAAGAAAAATGAAAAATTTCTTCTTGTTTTCTGGATTCCTACTCACTTACCCTCGATTCCAAAATTTGAATAATGGTTTTTTCATAACTCATTTGGTAACAATACCTGACTTTAATTAATGGGAGGCTAATATTTCTGTGTAAAAATTCACACATAAGCATTGTCCTACAGAATTATCCACTTGTTTGAGATGCTGACTAACATCCTGTTGGATATATTAAGTACGATATGAAATATGCATACCTTTTAAAGTCCATAAATTCTGAATTCTAAAAATGCATCTAAACTAAGGGCTATGGGTAAGGGACCATCTGCCTGCGACTACCCAGCTTTTATCAAGTACCATGTGTCACGGGAAGTGTTAAGTGATTTATTTTCAAAATCTACAATAACTTTACAGAGTTGTCTTTTATAGATAAGAAAATTGAGTAATTAAGGCTTAAAATATTGACTTGCCCAATAAAAAGACAAGACAAAATTTGGATCCAGGTCTCTTAATTCTTAATTATTGCAGGTCACTGTCTCTATTAAAGTAAAGATACATAAAATGGGTGAGAGTTGCATAAGAAATCAAACGAAATAGGAGGAAAAAAGGCATGTGTTGATCATTAGTAGAATTGGTATGCCACAATATGAATTAAAAGGAAATAAGGGCTGAAGTTATGGCACAGGTGAAAGAAAATGGCAGTGGAAGGGCCCTGTGATTAGCGATTGGGTTACATAAAGCAAGTCCAAGACTTCAGAGCTCACTGTGCTGACTAGTTAATGTAGGTCTTGTAGGGATGCTATAAGGAGAGAAATAAATGAAGATAAAAGTACCATATCTTATGTTAACAACTCATTAGGCAAAAAGGAACGGTAGCCTGAAAAATCAGTGAAAACACTAAATATAAAGGTAGGTATTTGTCATTGATTCATAATAAATTATGAACAAACTGAAAGCACATAATCTATGTCCAAGGTTTGGAATTAATGTACCATGGAATGTCCAAGCTACTACTTTACAATCAGTGTTTCTTATAGGATTTTTACTGCTAACAGTAGTATAAAATATTAAAATTGAAATATTTTTAAATAACATTGTTTAAATATTTGTATTATTAAAATTATTTTATTTATAAGTGTGATTCTGTACTTAATTGTTTTATTTACATTGTAACTTTTGTTGTTGTTGTTGTTGATAGTTGAGTCTTACTCTGTCACCCAGGCTGGAGTGCAGTGGCACGATCTCGGCTCAATGCAACCTCTGCCTCCCAGGTTCAAGCGATTCTCCTGCTTCAGCTTCCCAAGCAGCTGGGATTACAGGCATGTGCCACCATGCCCAGCTATTTTTCTTGTGTTTTTAGTAGAGTTTGGGTTTCACAGTGTTGCCCAGGCTGATCTGAAACTCTTGGCCTCATATTATCCATCCACCTCAACCTCCCAAACTGCTGAGATTACAGGCATGAGCTACCACACCCAGCCCACACTGTGATTTTTAATAACTCTGAAAGCAAACAGTTTTGTCATCAGTAAATCTCCAAATAAAATATTATCTGCAAAAACCACCCACGATTTAACTATATACTACTGAAGGCTGACCAGAGTCTCTGTATAATAAAAGTTGTAGCTCTCAGAACGCAAGATACCCAACAGAGATCTGAGCTACCAATCCGATTGTCCACATGTCACTGGATGTCCTTCACTGTGAACTAGATCTCAGGTTATGAAAAGATGACCTATAGCCAAGAAGATATCAGAATGGAAGGCAAAGAATGTTTGTCCTTGTGTGCCTGAGGGCAAATGTGGCTTGAGTTAATCTCATAATGCATTCTAAAATAAAATACATATTTTGCCAAATATTCATATCTCTATTCAATTATTTCAAAGCAGATACTGTAAAAGGTAATTACACACAATGTTTAATATCTCACTGGGTCTCATAGGAAACTGTAAACTTCTCCCTTCTAAGTACCAGTCCAAGGTATCAATATATCTTCGAATGCTAATCTGGTTTTGAACGGATAAAACAAAATATTGTTTCTCTCAACCTCTTGGAAATGAAGTCTTTATAAGTCACTGATACTTCTCCAAACTAAGACAGACTTTAACAGTCTTTAAGCATGTAACCTCATATTTGCAAGGAGGCTTCACAGAATAACATAAAGAATGAATTCAGTATATGTGGTTTGAAAACGTGAATGAAGATCTTAGAATCACATTTTAGTATCTTTGCATAAAAAATATCCAGATTCACTAATATTGCCTAGATCACATTGTGGTGATTCATTGTTTTCTCACTGTCTTTTTGTTTTAGAAAACATCTCAAAGGGAAGAAATAATACAAGTATTGATATCTACAGCTCTATCGTTCTCCTAAAACATGAATTAAAAGATATGCTTATGGCAATTTTTCAGTTAAAAAGTTACAGTATAATATGTGTAGTTAAGCACATATTAATATTAAAATAAAAACATGGCTGGCCGCAGTGGCTCACGCCTGTAATCCTAGCACTTTGGGAGGCCGGGGCAGGTGGATCACAAGGTCATGAGTTCAAGACCAGCCTGACCAAGATGGTGAAACCCTGTCTCTACTAAAAATACAAAAAATTAGCCAGGCATGGTGGTAGGTGCCTGTGGTCCCAGATACTCGGGAGGCTGAGGCAGGAGAATGGTGTGAACCCAGGAGGTGGAGGTTGCAGTGAGCTGAGATCACGCCACTGCACTCCAGCCTGGGTGACAGAGCGAGACTCCATCTCAAAAAATAAAAATAAAAAATTCAAAAATTAGCTGGGCATGATGGCAGGTGCCTGTAATCCCAGCTACTTGGGAAGCTGAGGCAGGAGAATCACTTGAATTCAGGCGGCAGAGGTTGCAGTGAGCTGAGATCGCACCACTGCAGTCCAGCCTGGGCGACACAGTGAGATTCTGTCTCAAAATAAATAAATAAATACACGCATAAAAAATAAAAAGACAGATATTTGTGCTTTTTTTCTCATTGAAGAGATTTATATAATCAAATTTTAGGAATACTAACTTGGGAAGTATAATTGAAGACAGAGAAAACAAGAACTCTTACAATCATTTCATACACATCTATGCTTTAAAATTTATCACAAGCCTTTGCTATGATAATAATTTTAAGTATTTTGAAATTTTAATTTAACTGTAAACATGAAAATGTTGCTGAATCTATCTAGTTCCTTTGACATAAAGTTTGGATCATGTCGACCTTAATATAAATTCTAGAATACACATTCACCTAAGTCTAAGGATAAGAAAAATAAAAAGTGACAATCTGACTGTAACAACAGATCTGGAGAAATACGTATTTTAATATCCTGGAGAAAATATAACCTTTACCTTCCAATTATTTCTTCAATATGGCATTGGGTTTTTAATGTGCACAAATGACTAATAATTTTATAACAGTCCCACAAAATATAAAAAGATATTTGTAACTTGTCATATGTTTGGGAATTAAATGTAAAAATGATGTAACTGCACATTATTTTTAAATAAATATGAATTTATTCAATATAAAAAATTACAAGCTGCATTTTTTGTTTGTAAAGAAGCGCCTTTTAATAAAAATCAAAAATGATTCCAAAATAGCAACTTTTCAAAAACTAAATGTGTTAAACCTGAGAAAGTGATCACATAATATGATGTTCTTTAATCATTTTTGTTGTCTTTATTTTAACCCTTTCTTCCCAAGTTCTTAGTTTCATATTTTCTACTGCATGTTAGACATTTATACCTGAAATTCACTCTAAATTTACTATATCTAAAATTACTATTATCCTATTAATACTTCCAAAACTATCTTCTCCTAATTCCCATATATCTGGAAATAGAACCTACATCCTTCTCAGAGACTCAAATCTCTCTGATACCACTTATTTCTCTTGCCAGCATTCAATCACCTTTCATTTCTTTCCAACAGGCTTCCCAAAGAAAATGTCTGATCACAGCAATCTCCTATGGATTAACCTTTTGTGTCACCCTGTGAAAAACCACCCATATTCTTTCTGTCCTATTGCCTATGGCCAAGCACATCTGTTTCAAATTCTTTCTGGCTTTATATTCCATGTTTCTCCTTTTTTTACTCTAATTGAGCTAAACGAATACTTATCAACCAATACATTTTCTCGTCCCTTCATCTTCACACATGCTAGCCTACTCATTTAGAGTGACTTCCTTTCCATTTCTTAGGTTGAATCCCAGTAACTGTTCAAGGCTTATCTTAAAGCCATCATTTCATAAAGATATCCTAATTTTTCTTGCCAAGAAAATTCTCACTCCCCTGAACCCTTAAATTATTAGTACGACTCTTATGCTCCTTATTACAGTCTAGCCCTTTATTTTTACATGATTTTTCTATATTAATAAACTGTAAATGTCTTGAGATCAAGAACTATTTCTAAATCAGTATTATATATTCCACAGCACCTTACACATAGAAGGTATCAGTTGAATAAATATTATAATATCAATGGAATAGTAAATACTGGAAGAAAAATATAGGAGAAAAATATAGGAAGAAAAATATGGGAGAATTAACCTCCTATAAAAATATAGGAGAATAAAAACGTCAAAGGTGGGCAGCTCTTCGAGAATTTATTTATTCACTCAAGAAATATTTATTTAGTGTCCAAAATACTCCAGAGACTATTATGCTAGGAGCTCATGCAATTTCACAAGTGAAGATTGCTCTAAATGTCTGAGAGGAGATCACGCGGAGCACCGAATCTCCCACAATTAATGCAACATCATGACAGTAAACATTTTGACAAATTAAAACTTTAATGCTTTTGCATTTGTATGAAAGAAAAAAGTGTTTAATTGTATATTTGAATGAAAAATATATTCAATATTAAAAAGAAAGATTCTGGAAGAATATGCAAGTGGAATTTTTATTAACTTGGATTGAACGTGTGCATTTATCTCAGGTCCCTTAGGCAAACAGAATACTAAAATAACAATTTAGAGATATAAAAATAGATGCCACAATGGCAAAAATAACATGGGGAGTGATAAGAATAATAAAGAGATGTCAACACATTTTTGAAAAGTGACAAGTGGATGAGGTAGCCATTTAGGAACTGACTAAACAAAACATATGAAACCAAAGTCTCATTGCCTTCAAACAGAGATTACCTTGAGAAGTAAGCCCATCTTTTGATCACAACACTGGAAAAACCCAGGTCTCAGTGTAATAGGAGGAAGTTAGAGTTGGGGCTCATCATTAAAAAAAAAAAAATCTGTTTGTGTCTGTATATGGGGTAATTTTATCCCCAGATTCACTTTGCTCTGATCACCAGCCATGTAACTACTACTCCACAAACCCAAAGACAAGGAGACGTGAAACACAAAGCCTCTATGTATAGAAATAACTGGTCGTGGAAGGCAGGGCTGAGATGCCAGTCATTTGCTCAATAAATATTTAATGAAAGCACTCTAAGTGTCATCTCAAAATAACACTTCCTAAGTGGAGTTGCACAAATTTCCATCAGAACCTCCTCTCCAACCCCAACCTTCCCTATCTCAGTTAATGAAATTCCAGTTGCTCGGACCAAAAACTCTGGGGTCAGCCTTGACTTCACTTCCTTTCACATTATATACAATCCATGGAATACATTTTGTTAACTCTAACTTTAAAATATATTCAGAATATGACCACTTCTCACCATTTCCACTATCACCACCCTGGTCAAAATCATCATCATACTTCGACTAGATGACTGCAACAGCTCCTAACTGGACCCCCTGTTTCTGCACTTGCTTCCCCTCATCTACTCTTAACACAGCAGCCAGAGTGATCCTGTTGAAAAGTAAGCCATATCATGTCATTTCTCCATTCACACTCTCCCACAACTCCTTTATCAATCAAAGTAAAAGCCAAAGGCCTAAATGTTCTGGATATATGAGCCTGAATTACAGAGTTAAAATCTGGGCTAGGAATATAAACTTGGGACATGAAGCATATGGATGTATCAACAAGATGAGAGAGACTACCAGAGAAATGTGTACAGCTAGAGAGAAAGAGAGGTTGAAGAAATGAACACTGGTATGTTGTAATACTTAGAGCTTGTGGGGATGATAAGGAACAACAAAAATAGACTGAGTAAAAATAGCCAGAAAATGTGGAGAAAAACAGGTAAGTGGAAAAAAGTGTTTCAGTAAAGTGAATGATCAGCTGTATTAAGAGCTGCTTATTGGTCAAACCCATTGAAGAGTGAGAACTGAACAATAACATGGTCACTGCTGAACCTGGACATTTTTAGTAGTGTGCTTAAATCAACAATCAAAAGATGGTTGATTTAAGAGAATGAGAGGAAAGGAACTGGATTGCTGAGAGAGGGAGCAGTAGCTAGAAGGGATGTGAGTCAGGAAAGAAACTTTCATTGATCATTTCCTTTTGGTACTTAGGTAAAAACAGGCACCCAAAAATAAGGATTGAATAAATTAAGCTCAATATTCAATAGATTTACCCTAAATACACTAACCTTCTAAAGTTCATACTTATCATGTAGACTCTTATTAGACACTAAGGGAATATTTTTATTTCCCTTGGAAAAAAGCCAAACTAGAGCAGTTAGATGATGTTTACATCTCAAGAAACTCAGATGTCCTATTAATTTTTCATGAACATTAATCATCTTCTCAGGAAATTTTCACCACTTTGCTTCATCTATGGTTAAGATAACATTGTCACCATGCTAACCTATCATGTATCCCAGCTGATTTTTGACAAGCAATAAAATTATGAAAACATAGAGCAAAACAATTTTTAAGATTTAAATAGTTGAGAGCAAGACCAGAGATCAAAACTGCTGCAGATGTCCTGGTTTCATTTAAACCCACTAAATTAAATAAACAATAGCAACAAAATGTTGCCAGTCTTTGTGAGATCCATAGCCATTCTTGCCTGGTTTTCTTTGAAAACGGGAAAAACTATTCCTGGAAAAACTCTTCCCAAAGTGACTGGTTAAAAGATTAAAAACACAAAGTAGAAAAATGATGGCTAGTGCAGGCATGCTATGTAAAAGTACAGACAATAACAAACTAACAGCTAGACATGCCTCTGACTCATGGAAAAATATGTGAAATCAGGTTATTCAAGCTTAAAAACAATGAATCACACAAGTTAGAATACAGATGTCAGGAAAGCATGTTTGTGTCAGGCCTCCGAGCCCAAGCCTGCACGTATACATCCAGATGGCCTGAAGTAACTGAAGAGTCACAAAAGAAGAGAAAATGGCCGGTTCCTGCCTTTGATGACATTACCTTGTGAAATTCCTTCTCCTGGCCCAAAAGCTCCCCCACTGAGCACTTTGTGACCCCCATCCCTGCCTGCCAGAGAACAACCCCCTTTAACTGTAATTTTCCATTACCTACACAAATCCTATAAAATGGACCCAAACCTATCTCCCTACCTTGGCTCTCTTTTCAGACTCAGCCCATCTGCACCCAGGTGATTAAAAAGCTTTATTGCTTAGCTTAAGCAAAGCCTGTTTGGTGGTCTTTTCACGCTGACATGAGTGAAATTTGGTGCTGTGATTTGGATCGGGGGGACCTCCCTTGGGAGATCAATCCCCTGTCCTCCTGCTCTTTGCTCCATGAGAAAGATCCACCTACAACCTCTGGTCCTCAGACCAACCAGCCCAAGGAACATCACCAATTTTAAATCGGGTAAGCAGGCTCTTTTTACTCTTCTCCAGCCTCTCTCACTATCCTTCAACCTCTTTCTCCTTTCAATCTTGGTGCCACCCTTGGGTCTCTCTCTTCTCTTAATTTCTGTTCCTTTCCTTTTCTGGTAGAGACAGAAGAGATGCATTTTATCCGTGAACCCAAAACTCCGGCACCAGTCACGGACTCGGCAAGACAGTTTTCCCTTGGTGTTTAATCACTGTGGGGACACCTGTCTGATTATTCACCCACGTTTCAGAGGTGTCTGATCACCGCAGGGACTCCTGCCTTGATCCTTCACCTTAGTGGCAAGTACCACTTTCCTGAGGGGGGAGGGCAGGTACCCCCCACCCCTTCTCTCCGTGTCCCTACCCTTTCTTTTCTCTGGGCTTGCCTTCTTCACTATGGGCAACCTTCCACCCTTCATTCCTCCTTCTTCTCCCTTGGCCTGTGTTCCAAGAACTTAAAGCCTCTTCAACTCACACCTGACCTAAAACCTAAATGCCTTATTTTCTTCTGCAATGCCACTTGACCCCAATACAAACTCGACAATAGTTCCAAATAGCCAGAAAACACTCTCAATTTCTCCATTGTACAAGATCTAGATAATTTTTGTCGTAAAATGGGCAAATGGTCTGAGGTGCCTGACATCCAGGCATTCTTTTACACATTGGTCCCTCCCTAGTCTCTGTTCCCAATGCGACTCATCCCAAATCCTTCCTTCCCTCCCACCTGTCCCCTCAGTCCCAACCCCAAGTGTTGCTGAGTCTTTTCAATCTTCCTTTTCTACCGACCCATCTGACTTCTCCCCTCCTCCCAAGACTGCTCCTCCTCAGGTCACTCCCTGCCAGGCTGAATCAGGCTCCAAATCTTCCTCAGACTCCACTCCCCCACCCTATAATTCTTCTGTCACCTCCCCTGTTCACACCCAGTCTGGCTTACAGTTTTGTTCTGTGACTAGCCCTCCCCCACCTGCCCAATAATTTCCTCTTAAAAAGGTGGCTGGAGCTAAAGGCATAGTCAAGGTTAATGCTCCTTTTTCTTTATCCAACCTCTCCCAAATCAGTTAGCATTTAGGCTCTTTTTCATCAAATATAAAAACCCAGCCCAGTTCATGGCCCATTTGGCCACAATTCTTAGACCCTTTACCGCCCTAGACCCAGAGGGGCCAGAAGGTCATCTTATTCTCAATATGCATTTTATCACCCAGTCAGCTCCTAACATTAAAAAAAAGCTTCAAAAATTAGAATCGGGCCCTGAAACCCCACAACAGGAATTAATCAACCTCGCCTTCAAGATGTTCAATAACAGAGGAGTTGCAATTACTTGCCTGTGCTGTAAGAGAAACCCCAGCCACATTTGCAGCACACAAGAACTTCAAAACGCCTAAGCCACAGCGGTCTGGGATTCCTTAAGGACCTCCTCCCTCAGGATCTTGCTTCAAGTGCCAGAAATCTGGCCACTGGGCCAAGGAATGCCTGCAGCCCAGGATTCCTCCTAAGCCATGTCCCATCTATGCGGGACCCCGTTGGAAATCAAACTGTCCAACTTGCCCAGCAGCTACTCCCAGAGCCCCTGGAACTCTGGCCCAAGGCCCTCTGACTGACTCCTTCCCAGGTCTTCTCGGCTTAGTGACTGAAGACTAATGCTGCCCGATCGCCTCTGAAGCCTCCTGGACCATCACAGACACTTTGGGTAACTCTTACAGTGGAAAGTAAGTCCATCCCCTTCTTAATCAATACGGAGGCTACCCACTCCACATTACCTTCTTTTCAAGGGCATGTTTCCCTTGCCTCCATAACTGTTGTGGGTATTGACAGCCAGGCTTCGAAACCTCTTAAAACTCCCCAACTCTGATGCCAACTTGGACAACATTCTTTTATGCACTCCTTTTAAGTTATCCCCACCTGCCCAGCTCCCTTATTAGGATGAGACATTTTTACTAAATTATCTGCTTCCCTGACTATTCCTAGGCTATAGCCACACCTCACTGCCACCCTTTTCTCCAGTTCAAAGCCTCCTTTACATCCTCCCCTTGTATCTCTCCACCTTAATCCACAAGTATAGGATAACTCTACTCCCTCCTTGGGGACTGATCATGCACCCCTTACCATCCCATTAAAACCTAATCACCTTTAACCCACTCAACACCAATATCCCATCCCACAGCAGGCTTTAAAAGGATTAAGGCCTGTAATCACTCGCCTGTTACAGCATGGCCTTTTAAAGCCTATAAACTCTCCTTACAATTCCCCATTTTACCTGTCCAAAAACCAGACAAGTCTTACAAGTTAGTTCAGGATCTGTGCGTTATCAACCAAATTGTTTTGCCTATCCACCCCATGGTGCCAAACCCATATACTCTCCTATCTGCAATACCTCCCTCCACAACCCCTCTACAACCCATTATTCTGTTTTGGATCTCAAACATGCTTTCTTTACTATTCCTTTGCACCCTTCATCCCAGCCTCTCTTCGTTTTCACTTGGACTGACCCTGACACCCATCAGGCTCAGCAAATTACCTGGGCTGTACTGCCACAAGGCTTCACGGACAGCCCCCATTACTTCCGTCAAGCCTAAATTTCTTCCTCATCCATTACCTATCTCAGCATAATTCTTCATGAAAACACACATGCTCTCCCAGCTGATCATGTCTGGCTAATCTCCCAAACCCCAACCACTTCTACAAAACAACAACTCCTTTCCTTCCTAGGCATGGTTGGCTACTTCTGCCTTTGGATACCTACTTTTACCATCCTGACTAAACCATTATATAAACTCACCAAAGCAAATCTAGGTGACCCCATAGATCCTAAATCCTTTCTCCACTCCCCTTTCCATTCCTTAAAAAACATCCCTAAAGCTGCTCCCACACTAGCTCTCCCTAACTCATCCCAACCATTTTTCATTACACACAGCCAAAGTACAGGGCTGTGCAGTCAGAATTCTTACACAAGAGCTGGGACCGCACCCTGTAGCCTTTCTGTCCAAACAACTTGACCTTACTGTTTTAGGCTGGCCCCCGCATTATTTCAGATACCACACCTGACCCCCATGACTGTATCTCTCTGATCCACCTGACATTCACTCCATTTCCCCATATTTTCTTCTTTCCTCTTCCTCACGCTGATCACACTTGGTTTATCGATGGCAGTTCCACCAGGCCTAATTGCCACTCATTAGCAAAGGCAGGCTATGCTATAGTATCTTCCACATCTATCCTTGAGGCTACCGCTCTGTCCCCTCCACTACCTCTCAGCAAGCCAAACTCATTACCTTAACTGGAGCCCTCACTCTTGCAAAGTGACTATGCATCAATATTTATACTGACTCTAAATATGCCTTCCATATCCTGCACCACCATGCTGTTATATGGGCAGAAATAAGTTTCCTCACTATGCAAGGTTCCTCCATCATTAATGCCTCTTTAATAAAAACACTTCTCAAGGCCACTTTACTTCCAAAGGAAGCTGGAGTCATTCACTGCAAGGGTCATCAAAAGGCATCAGATCCCATCCCTCAGGGTAATGCTTATGCTGTTAAGGTAGCTAAAAAAGCAGCTAGCATTCCAACTTCTGTTCCTCATGGAAGTTTTTCTCCTTCTCATCAGTCACTCCCACCTACTCCCCCACTGAAACTTCCAACTATCAATCTCTTCCCAAACAAGGCAAATTGTTCTTGGACCAAGGATCTCCTTCCAGCCTCATAGGCTCATTCTATTCTGTTGTCATTTCATAACGTCTTTCATGTAGGTTACAAGCTGGTAGCCTGCCTCTTAAAACCTCTCATTTTCTTTCCACCATGGAAATCTATCCTCAAGGAAATCAATTCTTAGTGTTCCATCTGCTATTCCACTACTCCTCAGGGATTTTTCAGGCCCCCTCCCTTCCCTACAAGTCAAGCTCGAGAATTTGCCCCTGACCAGGACTGGCAAATTGACTTTACTCACATGACCCGAGTCAGGAAACTAAAATACCTCTTGGTCTGGGTAGACACTTTCATTGGATGGATAGAGGCCTTTCCCACAGGGTCTGAGAAGGTAACCATGGTCATTTCTTCCCTTCCGTCAGACATAATTCCTTGGTTTGGCCTTCCCACCTCTACATAGTCCAATAATGGACCGGCCTTTATTAGTCAAATCACCCAAGCAGTTTCTCAGGCTCTTGGTATTCAGTGGAACCTTCATACCCCTTACTGTCCTCAATCTTCAGGAAAGGTAAAATGGACTAATGGTCTTTTAAAAACACAAATCATCAAGCTCAGCCTCCAACTTAAAAAGGAATGGACAATACTTTTACCACTTGCCCTTCTCAGAATTCTGGCCTGTCCTCAGGATGCTACAGGGTATAGCCTATTTGAGCTCCTGTATGGATGCTCCTTTTTATTAGGCCCCAGTCTCATTCTAGACACCAGCCCAACTTGAACCACACCCCAAAAATTTGTCATCCCTACTATCTTCTGTCTAGTCAAACTCCTATTCATCATTCTCAACTACTCATAAATATCCTGCCCTTGTTTACACTGCCAGTTTACACTTTTCCTTCAAACCATCATAACTGATATCTCCTGGTTTTACCTCAAACTGCCACCCTTAATTCTCTCTTAAAGAGGATAGATGATCTTTGCTGACAGGGTACCCTCCAAAACTTTCACCCTGATGAAGTCCTATTCTTTACTTTTATACGCACTGTTATTCTTGTTCCCATTCTTATGCCACACTCTACCTCTCCCCAACTATCCCCACCACACCATCAATCTCCCTCACTCTCTCCTAGCCATTTCTAATCCTTCTTAAACAATTGCTGGCTTTGCATTTCTCTTTCCTCCAAAATCGTGGAGGCCTCGACTTACTCACTGCTAAAAAAAGAGGACTCTATTTTTAAATGAAGAGTGTTGTTTTTACCTAAATCAATCTGGCCTGCTGTATGACAACATAAAAAAACTCAAGGATAGAGCCCCAAAAACTCTCCAACCAAGCAAGTAATTATGCTGAACCCCCTTGGACACTCTCTAATTGGATGTCCTGGGTCCTCCCAATTCTTAGTCCTTTAATACTTGTTTTTCTCCTTCTCTTATTTGGACCTTGTGTCTTCTGTTTAGTTTCTCAATTAATACAAAACCATATCCAGGCCCTCACCAATCATTTTATACGACAAATGTTTCTTCTAACAATCCCACAATATCACCCCTTACCACAAAATCTTCTTTCAGCTTAATCTCTCCCACTCTAGATTCCCATGCCACCCCTAATCCTGCTTGAAGCAGCCCTGAGAAACATCGCCGATTATCTCTCCATACCACCCCCAAAAATTTTCGCCACCCCAACACTTTACCACTATTTTGTTTTATTTTTCTTATTAATATAAGAAGACAGGAATGTCAGGCCTCTCAGCCCAAGACTGCATGTATACATCCAGATGGCCTGAAGTAACTGAAGAGTCACAGACTAAGTGAAAATGGCCGGTTCCTGCTTTAACTGATGATATTACCTTGTGAAATTCCTTCTCCTGGCTCAGAAGCTCCCCCACTGAGCACCTTGTGACCCCCATCCCTGCCCGCCAGAGAACAACCACCTTTGACTGTAATTTTCCATTACCTACACAAATCCTATAAAATGGCCCCATCCCTGTCTCCCTTCACTGACTCTCTTTTCAGACTCAGCCTGCCTGTACCCAGGTGATTAAAAAGCTTTATTGCTCACACAAAGCCTGTTTGGTGGTCTCTTCACAGGGACGCATGTGACAGTTTGTTCCTGAATAAAAATAATAACAGAAGAATAAAGAGGTATTCATGTAAACATCGATTCATTACTTCTATTTAAAAGGCAGATTCTGCATTATTTCCATAATTGAGAATCCATGAAATTAGTATGAAAATAATGTCTACCTCAGCTAAATATGAAAAGATGCTACATTTTGTAGGAAGCACTAGGTTTCTTGCTCTCTTACGTTAGGGCTTTTTCCAATCATCTCTAATTTATACAGGTAAATTAGGTGAGAGCACACCTTAATAAAGGATTTGATTTGGTAGAAAGTCTTAAATTTGGTAATCACAGAGCACAGCTGGAAAATACTTGCAGACATCCATTACATACTTGAAGAACAAAACGTTACATTCTACACAGGTTTTAAATCAATAAAGGTGTAAAGCAGGAGAAGAGTCAACAAATGGGTTCCAGCTATTGATTGTATTATTTTGATTACTTTGGTCACTTCAACAGTCTATGCTTTAGACTTCTCAAATGTAAATAAATTTGTAGTTTGGACAACAGATTTTTAAAGTTCAATTAGTATAGATAAACTAGAGTTTATATGTACCTCAAATTTAATTTCTAGTTTTAAAAATGGAGAATTATCTCATAAACGATCTATGTTTTTAAAAGCTACTTAATGGACACTGTGCTGCACTGCTCAGACCCTTTCCCTTCCCAACCTCTGCCCAACTTCCAGGATCAACACACTCATTCACCATTCTTCCAGCTTCTGAAAAGGTTGCCTGGGAGGGCTCACCACTGAGACCTGCCCCAGGAATCCACAGAACAAAGCTTCCTTGCCTATGTCTAAGTGCCTCACCATGGAGGTATCTCAAATCCAATGACTGGTCAGTTGGGGGTTACAAAGATTTGGCCCCCTGACTTCAAGACAGGACACTATAAGCTATCATTTCATCTGCAGAGCTCCTGTCAGATCTTCTGAGACCTCTATGGACCTGTATCACATAGTTCAAGTTCTGCCTTGCCTTTTTAGTCAATCGTTATTGACTGTTGTCCTAAGCATCCTTCCCAACAAATCTGCTGCATGCAATATGCCTGCCAGCCTGTTTTCAAGGAAACCTAACCTAAAACGTCATTCATCCTTAAGGCTAGAAGACCATAAAAGGCAAATAAGTCATCAGTTCCCCTCAAATGACTGTTTCTACACCAATCTGTGGCCAAAGCTTAGTCAGTTACTACATACTGAAGAACGAGGCAAAAAATCTTAATTTAATCCATGTCTTTGGTCCCTTAGTCACTATCTGAAACAACCATAACTAAATCCACTTATGGAGAGTTTACTATATTCCAAGCACCACACATACCACTTAATTATATGTTTTGGATTAATATTCAGAGTAACTCCATGGAGAAGTTGCTATCATTAACTGCACTTTTATAAAGAAGTAAACAAAAGATTATGTTAATTTTCATGTCCACAGTCATAATACTAGGAAGTAGAGCATACAGGTCTCCATCCCAAGCTGTGGTATTCCAAAATCCATGATCTGATACTACATAAGGTCCTATAATTTCCATCAATCTTGTCAGCAAACATGTGTGTGAGATTTTACCATGAGAAAATATAGGTGTACCACAGCAAGAAACAATCACAATTTCCTTGGAAAACCCATCAAATCAGGATATCCTTCTTGTGTAGGGAAGTCAATGACATGTATGAAAAATAGTGAAGCATTTTAAATAATCAAAACTCCAACCTTTGCCCTCCTAATAAATTCGTGCTTAAAGCTTAGCTTTACCTTGACCAAAATAGTATTTCTGTGCCCTGTCTTTTGTACTTTGAAGTTATACTTTCAGTATGAAAAGCTTAATCTCCATCTTAAAAAGTGAGCTAAAACTCAAACTACTGAATTTGTAATAGCTGTATATATTATTGATTTGATTGTTTCTAACTGGCACAGTATATGAAAATAAGTATTAGACTTTTTAAAAACAGGGGGATTTATTCAAATTTCACCACTTCACAATATTAGAAGAGCTTAGTAGTATGGACAATCGAAAGCTTTCACATTACTATAGAAAACACATATTTGTGCTTTCAATAAACCTCAGTTCGAAATGGTAATTTTACTTATTTTTGTTTTCTGACTCCAGCAACATAGATGTCCAAAAGTAAGAGCAGTGTTAGCAATATGAAAGCCCTCAGCATGGAAGGATAGTGTGGCAGGAGAGAGACAGTGCAGAACAGTTAATAACATGCCTTCAGCCAGACAGGTCTGTGTTTGTATCTCACCTCTACCTCAACTAAATGTGTGACTTTGGGCATGCTATTTAGTCTCTCTGAGCCACATTCTTTTCTGTGTCACCGAGTTAACAATACGTGTCTCATAGGAATATAATAAGAATTAAATAATATAATATTTGCAAAAGCTATGAAAGAACCTCTTAGGCACTTAATTAGTAGGTACTATTATCTTTGACAAAGATGTGATACTCACTGTTTAGTGGGAATCACCATATGGGAAATTGCTTTGTTTTACTTCAAGGGAACTCTTAAGACAACTATGCAGTGAAAATGTTTGAAAGCATGCATTTTACATTTCTAAGTGCCAAATAGAAGTAATTGGACAGAGAAGGAAATGGCAGGAAGAGACTGTAAATTAGCATAATAGCATAATGTAAAATTTAGCTTAGAAATATTTGCCCTACTCAAATTCATTTCTAGGTAGCAGCAAGTTTGCCTATTTTCCACTTATGAAAACAAAAACTCCCTTGGGGGATAGTACAAATGAGCGAGCTTGTAACCCCCCAAATCTGGGGAAGCTATAAACCACTTCCTAAGCCTACATGATAAACAGATGGTCTGATAAAAATAATTTCTTTGCCTTAAAATTTTATTTAAAGCCAACTATTGTAACAATTTAAAATATCTATGAGATAGAGTGGTTTTAAGAAAACAGTTAGTATTTATAATTGAGATTTAATAAAGCATAAGTAAAACATACAGAAACTGATGTTTAAAATATGAATGAATGTGAATGCAAAACCTAACCTTGTAGAGTCAAGTTCTACTTCAGCCTACAAGGTGCTAGATGAATCCAAGAAATATTGACGGCATTTGTCAGATAAGCACAGAATTAGGAGCAAGTAATTTTCTGTTATTATTTGTGCTGAGAATAAGGGAGGTGAGGTGAAAAATGACTTCATCATAGACCAGATATAATCCACAAATTGCGTCTATTTGTCTTTGGTGGTTCTTTCTAAAGACCTTTGCCATAGGTACATTTTCCCCTCCTCTTTTGTTAGAGAGAAATAAGCACCATGATCTCAAATATTAGACTTTAATTAAATACTCTATTCTGACTCAGTCTACTCCAAATGAGAGCCACTTTGGAAATAAATATTTCTCCTTTCTTCTTTATCCCTCCAACATTTCCTTTTCTGTAGTTGCACCCTCTAAGGAAGACTGTGCTATAAAGAGATGGGGGAAGGAGGCTCTGTCTACAAAGCATTTCTCAAGCTAGGTCCTGAACTCTATATATTAGGTGGTTTTTACTCTTTCAACAGATATGCATTGATTATGCACCACATACTGTGCTATGAATTCATCTTTCAAAGGGCTCATGGAGCTTATGGTCTATGAGGAGAACAGATATTAATTAAACAAATAATTTAATGACTGGTGTTGAAGAGTGTACATGGGATGCTCATAAAAGGAAAGGTCAGGAAACTTAATCTAATAGGGAAGGGTCAGTGAAGGCTCCTCAGCAGAAGTGATATGAAGATGAGATGTGAAGGATGAGTAAGAGTTCCCAGACAAAGAGAATGGGTGGAGTTTAAGGTGTGAATACATGGAAGAAAATGAGGTTGTTTCCCAGGGTGAGACCCAAAAGTGGGAAAATGAGAAAGCATTAACTAAATGAGTGAACAAAATTTAATGGGATTGGCGGCATGGGGTGGCTCATGCCTGTAATCCCAGCACTTTGGGAGGCTGAGGCAGGAGTATTGTTTGAGGCTAGGAGGTTGAGATTAGCCTGGGCAACATAGCGAGGCCCTATCTCTACACAATTTTTTAAAAAGTTTAGCCAGGCATGGTGCCATGTGCCTGTAGTCCCAACTACTCAGGAGGCTAAACCCAGGTGTCCAAGTTGGAGTGAGCCATGATCACACCACTGCTGCCCAGCCTGGGTGACAGAGGCAGACCTTGTCTCAAAAAAAAAAAAAAAAAGAAAGAAAGAAAAAAAATTAATGAGATTATATATTAAAGAACTCCTCAAAACCATTAATACATTAGTAGGCACTATGCACTTTAAAATACATATTAATCAGCATTTTCCAAACTAGGCCATTGAAAAATGTATTTTATTTCATTCTCTCCTTCCTTTTTCCTTTTCCCTTCCCCTTCCCCTTCCCCTTCCCCTTCTCCTTCCTTCCTTCCTTCCTTCCTTCTTTCCTTCCTTCCTTCCTCCTGTGCCCCCTCTCCCGACCTGGGATAATTTCCAGAGAACAATCTTTCTTTAAAAGAATGGAAGAAGTGGTCTCCAATAACCTGCTTTACTACAATTATCCTTTTTTCTCCTCTCTGTCATTTTGGTAAAATATTCTTACAGAACCAGAAGAAATAAGACAATTTTTTTTCTTAAATGAAAAAGTAAGAAAAGAAAAACTATGATGGATATAGACTGTACACACCCAACCTCTTTATCTTCATCTCTTGCACTTCTGAACCTGAATCTTCTGAAACAAGCCTGCAATGGACTCAGAGCCTTCATACTGAGGGCTCCCTGGGCCACCTCAAGAGTGAAGGCCCGGGGTGAGATGTCCTTTGCTGTAGGAGGCAACCCATAGGGAGGCTCCAGAGCCTCATATAACTAATGGAGCTTCCGTGAGGTGAGGAAAAGCTCTCTTGTCTTTTTTCACCAACCCAAACACATTATTTCCCAAAGTGGTCACTAAACCAGTATTTGTTCTCCAAGAACAATGTACTGTTCTTATTTCCACACTTCGAGATTCCACAGGGGGAAAGAACAAACCTTTCATTTATATGACAAAAATATCAAGTACATGAGGCTATCCTCATGTCATTTTAATTATTGATGAACGTGTTAGAGTTTTATACTGCTATCCCACTTTTCCTTTTGATTCATATCCAAACTGTTATTTGGGCATTGATGACAGTGAATATGAAAAAAAAGAATTCTGAATTTTAAAAGTAATCAAATTCTCTTTCAAAGGTCTACATGACATGAAAGTATTCAGGAGCTCATGGTAACCAAAATAATTTTCATGGAATTCCAAAAAGGATTCAAGTTGAGTAAGCAAAATATGTTTTTAGATGATGATGTTTATATGAGTACTTTAGCAGAATCCTCATAACAGAGACCATTTGGAAGTGAGCTGTTCTCACTGACATGATCGGTGTCCCCAGAACAAAAGATAAGCACTCCCATCCCTCAAATTCTCTATTGTGCTTAAATTCTCCTTTCTCACAGTGGCCTCTAAAGTGCTGAAGACCTTTAGCACTGGAAGCTATGTTGGACAACTATCGATCTAATGCGGTGGTTGTCAACTGTAGGTGATTTTGCCCCTCAAAAGGCATCTGGCTACATTTGGAGACACTTTTGGAAGTCACAGTGGGGGATACTATTGGCTTCTAGTGGGTCAGGGCTAAAGATGCTGCAAAACATCCTATAATACACAGAACAACACATCCTATCGAAGAATTGTCTGATCCAATATGTCAATACTGCCATGATTGAAAAATCCTGATCTAGTGCAATAATCCTTGCAAACACTTCTGTGAGATAGCTCTTTGTAATTTCTAGACTGGTCTCATTGTTAGAAATGTCTTTATTATGTTAAATAAAAATGTATTTTCCTAAAACTTTCTGCCTATTGGGATCCCAAAGGAAAAAAAAAATCAAATCTTTCACCCACACGACAGATTTTCAGTACCTGAGACTACTTTCATATTCCCGTTTCTCATTTTCAAGTTGAAAAGCCACATGCTCATGTCTTGTACTTGCTTCTCAAAAAAAGCATAATTTCAGAAATGAAAGCAATAATCCAAGTTAAAACCAGGTATTTTAAGATTATGAAAGTAATAATAATATCTGTATTACCAAGTATTGACCACTAATGATGTGCCAAGGGTTTTATACACATTATTTTATAAACTAATATTGACAATATCAAAGATGCCCTTCCAGGTAAGTATCACTAGCACTGTTTTGCAGATGATGAAACTGAGCCTTAGCAAGGTTGAGAGATACATTCACAGACACAGAAGTAACAAGTGAGGGATCTGGAATTGAGTTCTAAAATCCTTGCCCTTTGTCTGAATAGTTACTACTATTTTATTTCACATATAATTCAATTTTCCTTTCTCAGTCGTCTTCTACCTCCAGTTCCTTTTCTTCTGTCTGTACCTACATTCACTTCTCTCCTCTTCCTTTTCTTCCCATCTTTGCCTCAAGCTGGCCACAGGGCTATCACATCTGTTACCATAATCACATCTTAAGAAGCAGGCCAGGCCATAGAAGGGACTTACTTAAAGCCCTTCCAGCTCTACACACTACTTCTTTTGTGTTTTCCCTTTGCCTTGTGAAAAGGGCCTAGGCCTGCTGAAAGAAATTGATCTAGAAGCCTCTCTTCAGTGTGAACATAGGTGAAAAATTCTTTGATACACTGTTTTAAGAAAGTAAAAAAGTTTTCAGTGATTGAGTATATACTAAAAAGTAAACTAACCTCTATATTTTTTATGAATACAAGGATTCATTATACTATTCTCTCTACTTTTGTTTATGTTGAAAAATAGTTTAAAAAACAACAAAAAAAAAACTCTTGCTGCTCTGTACTTGACACTCAGCAACTGATTTCTTTTCTTATTCCATATTTCCTATTTAATGTTATGGTGAAGAAATGATTTTCAAAATAAAGTTGCCAACACAAGGGAAGGTTAATTTCTGAAGTAATTTTTTTATTATTATTATATTTTAAGTTCTAGGGTACACGTGCACAACGTGCAGGTTTGTTACATATGTATACATGTGCCACGTTGGTTTGCTGCACCCATAAACTCGTCATTTACATTAGGTATTTCTCCTAACGCTATCCCTCCCCTAGCCCCCCACCCCATGACAGGCCCTGGTTTGTGATGTTCCCCGCCCTGTGTACAAGTGTTCTCATTCTTCAATTCCCACCTATGAGTGAGAACATGTGGTGTTTGCTTCTCTGTCCTTGTGATAGTTTGCTCAGAATGATGGTTTCCAGCTTCATCCATGGCCCTACAAAGGACATGAACTCATCTGTTTTTATGGCTGCATAGCATTCCATGGTGTATATGTGCCACATATTCTTAATCCACTCTATCATTGATGGACATTTGGGTTGGTTCCAAGTCTTTGCTATTGTGAATAGTGCCGCAATAAACATACGTGTGCATGTGTCTTTATAGTAGCATGATTTGTAATCCTTTGGGTATATACCCAGTAATGGGATCACAGGGTCAAATGGTGTTTCTAGTTCTAGATCTCTGAGGAATCGCCACACTGTCTCCCACAATGGTTGAACTAGTTTACACTTCCAGCAGCACTGTAAAAGCATTCCTATTTCTCCACATCCTCTCCAGCATCTGTTGTTTCCTGACTTTTTAATGATCATCATTCTAACTGGTGTGAGATGGTATCTCATTGTGGTTTTGATTTGCATTTCTGTGATGGCCAGTAATAATGAGCATTTTTTCATGTGTCTGTTGGCTGCATAAATGTCTTCTTTTGAGAAGTGTCTGTTCATATTCTTTGCCCACTTTATGATGGGGTTGTTTGCTTTTTTCTTGTAAATGTGTCTAAGTTCTTTGTAGATTCTGGATATTAGCTCTTTGCCAGATTGGTAGATTGCAAAAATTTTCTCCCATTCTGTAGGTTGCCTGTTCACTCTGATGGTAGTTTCTTTTGCTGTGCAGAAGCTCTTTAGTTTAATTAGATCCCATTTGCCTATTTTGGCTTTTTTTGCTTTGGCTTTTGCTGTTTTAGTCATGAAGTCCTTGCCCATGCCTATGTCCTGAATGGTATTGCCTAGGTTTTCTTCTAGGGATTTTATGGTTTTAGGTCTAACATTTAAGTCTTCAATACATCTTGAATTAATTTTTGTATAAGGTGTAAGGAAGGGATCCAGTTTCAGCTTTCTACATACAACTAGCCAATTTTCCCAGCTCCATTTATTAAATAGGGAATCCTTTCCCCATTGCTTGTTTTTGTCAAGTTTGCCAAAGATCACATGGTTGTAGATGTGCGGTGTTATTTCTGAGGGCTCTGTTCTGTTCCATTGGTCTATATCTCTGTTTTGGTAGCAGTACCATGCTGTTTTGGTTACTGTAGCCTTGTAGCATAGTTTGAAGTCAGGTAGCATGAGGCCTCCAGCTTTGTTCTTTTGGCTTAGGATTGTCTTGGCAATACAGGCTCTTTTATGGTTCCATAGGAACTTTAAAGTAGTTTTTTCCAATTCTGTGAAGAAAGTCATAGGTAGCTTGATGGGGATGGCATTGAATCTATAAATTACCATGGGAAGTGTGGCTATTTTCATGATATTGATTCTTCCTGTCCATGAGCATGAAATGTTCTTCCATTTGTTTGTGTCCTCTTTTATTTTGTTGAGCAGTGGTTTGTAGTTCTCCTTGAAGAGGTCCTTCAGATCCCTTGTAAGTTGGATTCCTAGGTATTTTATTCTCTTTGAAGCAATTGTGAATGGGAGTTCACTCATGATTTGGCTCTCTGTTTGTCTGTTATTGGTGTATAGGAATGTTTATGATTTTTGCACATTGATTTTGTATCCTGAGACTTCGCTGAAGTTGCTTATCAGCTTAAGGAGATTTTGGGCTGAGACGATGGGGTTTTCTAAATATACAATCATGTTATCTGCAAACAGGGAAAATTTGACTTCCTCTTTTCCTAACTGAATACCCTTTAAGTGCCCCAATTAAGAGACACAGACTGGCAAATTGGATAAAGAGTCAAGACCTATCTGTGTGCTGTATTCAGGAAACCCATCTCACGTGCAGAGATGCACATAGGCTCAAAATAAAGGGAGGGAGGAAGATCTACCAAGCAAATGGAAAACAAAAAAAAGCAGGGATTGCAATCCTAGTCTCTGATAAAACAGACTTTAAACCAACAAAGATCAAAAGAGACAAAGAAGGCCATTACATAATGGTAAAGGGATCAATTCAGCAAGAAGAGCTAACTATCCTAAATATACATGCATCCAATACAGGAGCACCCAGATTCATAAAGCAAGTCCTTAGAAACCTACAAAGAGACTTAGACTCCCACTCAATAATAGTGGGAGACTTTAACACCCCACTTTCAATATTAGACAGATCAATGAGACAGAAGGTTAACAAGGATATCCTTGACTTGAACTCAGCTCTGCCCCAAGCGGACCTAATAGATATCTACGAACTCTCCACCCCAATTCAACAGCATATACATTCTTCTCAGCACCACATTACACTTATTCCAAAATTGACCACATAGCTGGAAGTAAAGCACTCCTCAGGAAATGTATAAGAAGAGAAATCACAACAAACTGTCTCTCAGACCACAGTGCAATCAAGTTAGAACTCAGGATTAAGAAACTCACTCAAAACTGCTCAACTACATGGAAACTGAACAAACTGCTCCTGAATGACTACTGGGTAAATAATGAAATGAAGGCAGAAATAAAGATGTTCTTTGAAACCAATGAGAACAAAGACACAATATACCAGAATCTCTGGGACACATTTAAAGCAGTGTGTAGAGAGAACTTTATAGCACTAAATGCCCACAAGAGAAAGGAGGAAAGGTCTAAAATTGGCACCCTAATATCACAATTAAATGAACTAGAGAAGCAAGAGCAAACGAATACAAAAGCTAGCAGAAGGCAAGAAATAACTAAGATCAGAGCTGAACTGAAGCAGAGAGAGACACAAAAAACACTTCAAAAAATCAATGAATGCAGAAGCTGGTTTTTTGAAAAGATCAACAAAATTGATAGACTGCTAGCAAGAATAATGAAGAAAAGAGAGAAGAATCAAATAGATGTAATAAAAATAATAAAAGGGATATGACCACTGATCCCACAGAAATACAAACTACCATCAAAGAATGCTATAAACACCTCTACACAAATAAACTAGAAAATCTAGAAGAAATAGATAAATTCCTCGACACATACACCCTCCCGAGACTAAACCAGGAAGAAGTTGAATCCCTGAAAAGACCAATAACAGGCTCTGAAATTGAGGCAGTAATTAACAGCTTCCCAACCAAAAAAAAGTCTAGGATCAGACAGATTCACAGCCAAATTCTACCAGAGGTACAAAGAGGAGCTGGTACCATTCCTTCTGAAACTATTCCAATCAATAGAAAAAGAGGGAATCCTCCCTAACTCATTTTATGAGGCCAGCACCATCCTGATACCAAAGCCCGGTAGAGACACAACAAATAAAGAGAATTGTAGACCAATATCCCTGATGAACATTGATGCAAATATCCTCAATAAAATACTGGCAAACCGAATCCAACAGCACATCAAAAAACTTATCCACCGAGATCAAGTTGGCTTAATCCCTGGGATGCAAGGCTGGTTCAACATATGCAAATCAACAAATGTAATCCATCACATAAACAGAACCAAAGACAAAAACCACTTGATTATCTCAATAGATGCAGAAAAGGCCTTCAACAAAATTCAGCAGCCCTTCATGCTAAAAATTCTCAATAAACTAGATATTGATGGAACGTATCTCAAAATAATAAGAGCTATTTATAACAAACCCACAGCCAATATCATACTGAATGGGCAAAAACTGGAAGCATTCCCTTTGAAAACTGGCACAAGACAGTGATGCCCTCTCTCACCGCTCCTATTCACCATAGTGTTGGAAGTTCTGGCCAGGGCAATCTGAAGTAAATTTCTTATGAACTCAGGATTAGGCAAAACTTCTTAAGTTATTTAAGTAAAGACAAACTTACTTGTGTATTTTCTCCCTTTTCAATTATTCCCTTCTATTTTCATGTTACCAATTTCATGTATATGGGATGTATAGATGCAGACAGATGGGAACATGTTTTACAACATGCTTTACAACATGTTCCCATCTGTCTGCATGTATACATACCATATATATAAAATAGTTTTGCTATCTTTCTTAAGTATACATTTAAACATGTGGTCTCTGTTCTCAATTATCTTTCTTAGAAAATGAATAAAGTCCAAATATCCAACTTCAATGAGAATATTAAATAAATTACAGTACTTTCCTACTGTGAAATATTATATGGTCATTAACATGAATGAGGCACATACAGTAATATGGAAAGATGTCCATCACATGTAGTTGAGTGAAAGGAGCCAGTTACAAAACAATATGATCCAGCAAATAAATGTTAGAAACTCATGTATGCAGAAGCATATGGGAAAATATCTGGAAAGACATATGTCAAACAGTAGAGAAAAGGATTGGAAAGTGGGGAAAAATTTTTTTAAGTTTGTATTTTATTTTATATCTGTGAATTGTCTAAATGTTTATAATGAACTCATGCTATTTTTATAATTATAATAATATTAAATGATATGCTGACTAGCTAATCATATTTGATGGTGTCCATTATTTAGCTAGATGCCCTCCCATGCCATTATTTACTCCATTTGATTTTTCTAATTTTATTTCCATTCTCTCTCCCATTACACTGGATTTTACCTTTTCTAAACACTGCCTGTTTTGTTTAATGTTTCCACCTCAACCCAGAGTATCCGTATTTCCCCTAAATTCCATCTCCAAAGAAAATTGTGCATATATAAGATTTCCATATACATTAAAATACTCCATAAAAGGAGAAAAGTAAATATTCAAGAAATTAAATATATATATATATATATATATATATATATATATATATATTTGTTTTTTGAGACAAGGTCTCACTCTCTTGCTCAGGCTGGAGAGCAGTGGTGGGATCAAGGCTCAATGAAACTTCAAACACTGGGGCTCAAGCAATCCTCCTGCCTCAGCCTTCCTAGTAGCTGGGACTACAGATGTGTACCACCACATCTGGCTTTTTTTTTTTATTTACTGTAGAAACAGTGTCTCCTTATGTTTCTCAGGCTGATCTTGAAATCCGGGGCTCAAGTGGTCTTCCTACCTTGACCTCCAAAAGTGCTGGGATTACAGGCCTGAGTCACTGTGCTTGGCCTATATTTTGAATCAACAAGCTTTAATACGTTTTAATTCATTACTTCCTGAATTGCAAGGTGTCAAAAAATAATAAAGTGTAGTTACACAGTTCTTGAGCAGATAACTATTTTCCTTGTAAAAAGATAGCTTACTTAAACATCAAGAGTACTATGATAGCCTTGAATACCTTTTAGAATGAGACAGGACACAAAAAAAGAAAAATATGCATAGCACCCTACAAATGTGAAAAAGCAAGAGATATGTTTCTTACCATTGTGAGGGTAAATGGATGATTTTCTAATGCAGATACACTGGGACAATGTAGAGTAATATACTAAAAAGCAACAAACAGATAAGTTTTAAATGACCAATTAAGAATTTCAACTATTTCAATGATGCTATGTTTGCTAAATTCCAAAAATTACATAAGGATAAAGGCTATTTAAAAAGTTGCTGACCACTGACTCACCTGACCAGGTCTTGCTTTAAAATTTTCTTTGACCATTCGGATTTCCATGACATCTGAGGGATGACTCATGACCGAAATGATGGTGACTGGCTTATTGCTCCGGATATACCTGTAAAGTCTTTCGGCACAGTACAGGCACAAAGGTCCAGAAATCCAAAGCCAAGTCTAAGACAAATTTTTGAAAATATACTTCAAGAAATACTCATATTGTAGAAATCTACACCCTGCCCAATTGCTTATTGCATACATTACAGTAATAGTATTTTAATTTGTATTTTAAATAAGAAAACATAACAAATGAGTAAAAAATAATAGATGCTCACTATCATTCAAACAAACAAAAGTATAAAATAAAACAGAAAGTAATATCAAGACCCTACCCTCAATCTCATGCCCTGGGTGTAACTATCCATGAGCAAACAAGTATATATTCTTTCATACACCTTTCTATGCCTACAGATATGTAATGTATATACACAATATATTTAATAAAAGAATAAAGGGGAGTTAACAATCTCCGATAAATCTGGGGATAATTTTAGAAATAAGGTAACAGTCTAATGTTTATTAAATAAGAAAACCCTAGATTTTTAATGTACATAATGTATATGCATAATATACATACATATAATATGTATATATATATATGTTAAATATGTATAGCACATATGTTTAAAGATGCAATATGCTAGGCATGTTGTTTACCACTTACTTTTATATAATATAATAAGAACATAAAATAATATTTATAATTTGGAAACCATGACAGTTTTGAATATGTGTTGCATGGTTAGCCCTGATCCCAGGACACATGCAAACTTTGGGAAGTGCAGAAGCCTATGTGGCTTACTGTTCTCCTAAAATTACACACTTTATCTTTCACATCCCTTTGAGGCCTCCAACTAAAACTTGTCTTAATGGTCACTTTTTAAAGCCTCACTTTAGTTGTTTCAAATCTTCCTTCTTTCATGCAGACAGACCATGCCTCTTCTGCATATAATAACATTTAGCCCCACACTGTGTTATGAGTAGCACTACAAGACAAGGTCTGCAATGTAGCAGCCTTGCACCTTTGAGACAATCACTTACTCTTTGAGTGTCAGGTCCCACATGAGCAAAATGGGAGTCGCCATACCTGCCCTAATATTTGTGAATATTATGTGAAACTCAGAAAAGTTCTGAAAATTATAGAGGCTAATAGGGATCTAGAGGATTATTATTAATAATAATAAACACGACTAATACACTATTCCAAAGTCATCTACAAATTCATTCTAGCTTTTGACTTCTCTTTCTTCTCTTCCAATAGAGACATTTGACATCACTATTTCCTACTTCCACTTTTTATAGGTGAGGAATAAAAGGTGTAATTTGCACGGGGGCAGTTCTCACAGGCACAGAGGAAGATAAGGGCCCTTATTGAACTAATCGCTGAATACTTATGGACGTTTACCAGGAGCAAGCATATTAGTCAAAGACCTGGGTTTACATGCTTCCTCTGCCACTTACTGGTTTGGAGATTTTGATCAAGGTAAGTACAATTTCTTTATCAGAAAATCGAGGGTGATATTAATTACTTCAAATAGTCATTGCGAATATTGCAAGAAACATTCTGTATGTCTAATAAGTGTTCTGTATTAGGCATACAGGACATTTTAGCACAATGCCTGGCAGATAATATTAAGCATTCAATAAATTGATTTTGCTATTTACTATTTACAATATTATACATAATAATATAATACAATAAAATAATAATTTGTGGTATTGGTGGTAGGTTTTTTTAACTACTATTTTTATTATTCAATCAGCTTTTCTCAAATGATGGGAAAAAATATTTGTCATCTCTTGGCTGCAAGCACCAATGCTGTTGTATGCAAAGGTCATATGGTCAGTTAAGTAGAAATGTTATATATCCTCTAATATCATAGACCTTTTGCATTGAACTCTCAGGTACCTGTAATGGAATAATAGGTACTAACTTACTGTTGAAACATCCTGAAATATCCTATTATGCATGAATATATAGCTTGAAAAACACATTTATATGTGATGTTGATCAGTCAAATGGAAACAAACTTTGTGGAGATCAAACACAAAATTAATCTGACCTGTGGAAAATTAGCTTGGAATCTGGGCTCTTCCATACAAATCTTCACAAATTTGTGCTGGGTAAACTCTGCCGGTTTTGAAAATCCTTCAGGGAAAGGTTCATGAAAATGTTCTGAGAAATACTCTGGTAAGGAAATATTCTGAGAGCTGGTTCGGTTAAGACTGATGCAGCCGGGAGGGTGGGTATCTAAATTAGTTTGATACTTCAGCAGCCCTCTAAAATTACATTTAAAACAAACAAACAGAGAAATGAAAAGATTTGAGATCAGGGGACACGGTAAAAGAAAATAATGTTTTTGTTTTTGTTTTTGTTTGCTAACTTTACACAGCATTTATCCAAAAAGTGTTCCTTATGTATTATGTTTAGGAGAAATTGAAAAATCTTAAAAAATTTTGAGAAATTCTTATCTATAGAACTAAAACAAAAATTTTGGCACTCCAAACAAATGCTATAAATATGTGGTAGAGAAGAATACATGCAATCTCTCCAGGCATTATTGAATTTGATGGCCTTTACTTCAAGACTATTAGGCATTCATACAATCACATACAAGTTTTCACTTCAATAAACAGTATAATGAGGAATATTTTGCTAGATATCCAAACATAAGGGAAAAATACAGGGAATATATTTAACTTGGCCAAGCCTGGATAAAACAAGCCTTGCTGATTTGCAGAGAAATGTTAAACAGAAATAACTGGAACTGGAAGTTTGTCTCTCCTATGGTCTGAAAACAATGTATATACAGCAATCAGTCCCTAAATCTGTTTACTTTTCAATTTCTCCATAGACAGAACCACATAAAAAGTTCAAAATAATAAATCAGGCAGGAGAGCCCACACCATAAAAATCTCATTCTGATTATTTCTTATTTTGTGAGAAACCAAGACAAACCATTCAACTTTCTGTGTCCTGCCTTTCTTGTCAAGAAGTGGTTAACATCTACCTAGTAGGGATAATCCATAAAATGACAGATTGTACATAGCATCAACAAGGTCACTGCTGCATAAGCAAGTATTGCATGACAAAGTAAGATTTGGAAATGCTTGAAAATTTTGCAGTATATTTTATTATTTTAAAGAATACTAAGGAAAAATTTATTTCCAAGATTATCTGTTTTTGGTTGGTTTACAGTACATGCTTTTTAAATTATCTTTCATGCTCTCAAATACTTAATTTTAGTAGTTTAATTGCCTGAGGTCAGGAGTTCGAGACCAGCCTGACCAACAGGGAGAAGCCCCGTCTCTACTAAAAAACATACAAAATTAGCCAGGTGTGGTGGTGCATGCCTGTAATCCCAGCTACTTGGGAGGCTGAGGCAGGAGAATTGCTTGAACCCGGGAGGCGGAGGTTGCGGTGACCCTGAGATCACACCATTGCACTCCAGCCTGGACAATAAGAGCGAAACTCCGTCTCAAAAATAAATAAATAACAGCTATGATGCTTTTACAAAAATAATATTTTTAAACAAAACTGTATAATGATACTAAGAGATCCATATATGAAGGTTAGGAAAGCAATGACCAGGCCAGTCTCTGGTTGTATTCACCATCTCCTCATCCTGATCACTTTCCTTTCTTCCCTCTTTGCTTATGCTCACTTCCTTTTTTAAATTTTATTTTCTTCCTTAAAACTAGTCATCATGAAGTCATTAGGGAGCATTCAGTACATGTCAGGGGCATGCATTACATGACATCATAGTAGACCACACACAAACATACATTTTTTTTAAAGTAATACAGTAGATATAGCCTATGTATGAGATAAATTGATAAATATTATACAAAATTGAGCCAAATTTTTGTCACTAATCATTTATAAGTTTCTAGTCACCCAATACAATTGCTGGGATATTATACTTAGACAACCTAGGAATTTGATTCAGCTTTCTTTACATTAATAATTTACCCAAACCTTTTGCTCCTATTGGCCATCGGAAGGATAGTGACTGATAGCTAAGTAGGTAGAAAACCCCAAGCATTTATTCTACTGGCCAAAAGTTGAACAGACATGAGCATAATGCACTTAGCACTACTCCAATGGTTCTTCAGACTTCAACAGAGTCAAATCCGCCTCCTAACACTCCAGAAACTCATGATCTAGTTTGGAAGATATCTTCAAAGAAGCTGAACATAAATCAGACTACAGATAGTAACTGGGGTAGTGTTTTAATAATAGCTTAGTAATGTATGGAAAACACCAGGTCTAGCCCAGGGAAATGTATATGCATTTTACATTATCCTCACAAAAACTGCATGAACTAGGATCATTATTCCCATTTTAAAATTTAAAAACAAAAATATTTTAAAAGATGAAATAATACCCCAGTGTCACACAGTTGATAAGTAGCAGGGCCAAGATTTGAATTCAGATCTGATTCAAATTCTATGCTCTTCACCTCTCATGATATATCACATTAGTTCACTGAATCCTCACAACATAACTCTGAGAAATGTAAGGAAGGGGGAAGATTAATGCTTGCTAAGAAAGTATCATATCAGTAATTTTTAGAACATCTATTTCTCATTTAAACTTCAAAACAAAATAATCATACAAGGTAAGTGTTTTTATTTATATTACACAGATGAGAAACCTAAGGCTTTCATTCAGGTAAGAGATTAACTAAGTATAGTCAAAGCATAGGGTTCAGAAACCTACCTAGCTCACTCTATGCCCCTATGTCACGCAAAGCAAATCAGATGGTTAAATAGGTAGGCATTGTAAAAGGGGTTCAAAATAAACAAAAGTCAGATTGTGTGTGTGTGTGTGTGTGTGTGTGTGTGTGTGTTGGAATGGGGCTGCTTATAATTTAGGGTCTTAATACCAGGCAAATAAATGTCGTTAATCCCTTCTCCTGTCATAACATTCAAGTGGACATAACTCTACCATGCTCTAGGTCCTTAGAGTAGTGAATGTTGTTACTATACAGTAAAGTTCTTCAGGCCAGCCCAATCAAACATTTGTGCTGTTCTTGGCACATAAAGTGGCACGTATTATTCTAAAATTCCTTTTAATTTTGAGAGCTTTGTATTATGTTCAGCTACACTCAAGCTAAATAGCATAGGCCATCTCTGTCCTAAAACCCCATTAAAACTGTCCTTACTTTGTCTTCTTTTTTTACTTTCAGATTTCAAGCTTTATTTCAAGACTATAGTAATAAAAACAATATGGTATATGCCTAAAAACACAAAAAACAAACAGAATAGAGAGCTCAGATTACTTTGTCTTAGTTGTAACTCTTGCCACCAAAGAAATATGGATAAGATCTAAAGACAGACAATGATAAAATCATTCATCAAAAAAAAAAAAACTCAAGTATGACATCCCAGGTCATTTGGCTGTAATTAGGTGGTGAAGGTACTGAAAGTTCACTGGAAGGCAGGTTTTTAACTCAGTATTGAAAGGCCACCTACTGGTTAAAAAAGAAAAAAAAAAAAAAACTTGCATGGTAAAGATTAGTGGCCTTAGATTGGGAGTACTTAAGTATCTCCCAACACAATAATGTCAGTCTGCAGAGCTGGGACTGAAAGCCCAGTTAGTCTGATTCCAAAGTCTGTGCTCCTTCCTCTGTACCAGGCCTATTCCCCTTGCAAAATATCCACACTACTTTATGGACAATCTTTAAATTGAAGACCAATGTATACATTGAGCAAAATTTGATGGCTTTATATGGCTATAGACTTAGAAACGGAGGGAGCATGTTTTATCAAACCAATACTTTTATGTGTTATTTTTCAAGCTCAATTGAATGCAATAACTTACTTTTTCATTGTATGAGTAAAGAGTAAAAGTGCTCATTTCTTTGGTATTAGTGCAGAATTTCTTAGAATTCTTATATTTGAAGGCCATTATAACAATCTTTTTCTAAAGAATATTGAAAAGGAATGTAGACTAGATATTAAGGATATTTGGATTGATAGACAAAATCTGATATTATCTCCCTAATCCATTTACTTCACTGTGGCCACATTTATTAAAATTTGAGGCACATGTTCTATATGATTTTTATGGTGTTTTAAATTCCTGGTACCTTTATTTATTTTAGATGCATGCCTTTCTTTAAAGTAGAATGAAATCTTCTCAAATGTAACAGAACCCACTTAAGATAACACAAAGCTCTGTGTCTATTTGCCAAACAATACTGCCCCTGCTTCTTGCCCCACACCGCCACTGTGATATACCTCATTTAGACATATTATTTTATTAATTTTGGAATCTTATTAGTTTCAATATTATGGTCACTGCCTTCAAAGGCATGCACAGTCTAGAGCAGCACTGTCCAATAGAGCTTTCTGTGATAGTGGAAATGGTCTAAGTCTCTGATGACCAACATAGTAACTATTAGAGAAAAGTGGCTATTGAGCAATTAAATTTGGCTAGTACAGGTGAAGAACTGAATTCTTAATACTATTTCACTTTAATTTAAATTGAATAGCCACAGCACAGATATAATGGGTCAAATCAAACATAGAACCAAAAATGATAATTAAAAAGGGCAAAATTATTAATGCCATATAAACATATGATAACCTCTTGAGAGTAGAGATGGGTAATGAACTTTGATTATAAAATTCCAGAAAGGCTTCACAGAGAAGAAGGCAGCTGAAGGATGTAGAGATTCCAGGGGTTAGAGAATAGGAGAATGGCATTCCAATATGAGGAAGCCATATGCACAAAGGTACTTGGTTTATTCCTGAATAAGTAGAAGGGATCATGTCTTATGCATTTATCCCTTATACATTCATACTCACTGCCAAACCTCTGCATCCCTCTAATACTTTTCTTGCACATAATAGATCTCTAATGCATTTCTAGTGAATTGATTTTAAAAGCAAACAATAAACACATAATTTGTTTTAATATAGCAAATCATGTAGGAATCAAAAAGACAGCATTCTTGTATGTATTGTTGTAGCTTTCATAAACAAATGCTAAATAATTTTAAAGCAAAAAACAAGAAGGGAAAAAGACATTAGTGAATGGTAAACAGAGAGTCTTGCCAAGTTATAATGACATGGTGAGGGATGAGGAAAGGAGGTGCACAGACTATGTGGAAATATAAGTGTTTATTATTAATGTTTTAAGTTTCATTATATGATGTTCCAAGGAGAAATTTTGAAGTATCTGTGGAATGTCTAGTGTTCTCCTATCATGAGAAATAAAGGATTTTATGGAGTTTCAAAATTGTTTCTGCATTCAAAAGGATCTTAACATGTGCTATCAAACTTTCAACCATGTTTCAAAGTTGTAGGTTTCTTTTTTTTCCCTTGTTTCCCTCAAGAGGCATTATAATTATACTATCTTGGTGTTTTTGTTGTTTGTTTTGCTTTCTGTTTGTTTCTTTCTTTTTAATACCCGGCTGTGACAAAGTCTTATAAAATAATATAATACATTAAATGAATCCTACTAAGTAATAACAGGATTTTATGGTAATCAAAACATGATTTTATGGCAAAAGATAAATATTACAAAATACCACACCTGACAAAAGGACAATGCCAGAATCATCCCTACTTTAATTTCATGTTAAAAATATCCCACAAATGAGTGTCACTTATGTGACCTTTATATTTGTGGTATTTTAATCTATCTTGAAGGAGGAGAAAAAAATTCTTATCCCTTAGGAACCTACTTTTTTTCCTAATATTTTATAATATGATTTTTTTTCTTTATGGTAAAAATATATCTTGATTCTGACAGTTATTTTTATTTTGCTTCAAGTACAAAGAAAAAGAGTTTAATTCAAACAATAAAACCAAATTGTGTATTTTAAAATTTATTGCAGTTCTCTAACTTCTGTAGAATCCACCAGAATGTGCACTTCTTAAAGTCAAGGGTTTATCCTGCTCCACTGCTATTTTTCTACTGCCTAAAATAGTGCTTATGACTTATAATAAGTGCTCAATAAATATTCATTGATTAACTTAGTGACCAGAAGTATATAAACAACTTTTGTTGTGATTGTTGTTGAAACACTTGACTGGGGAGTCATCTGGTTTTAACAGATATTCGACCTCATTTTCAACCTTCAAAAAGGAGGTCTATATTTTAGCAAATGGCATGTAGTAACATGACAGTTATTAAGTAACAGACAGTAACATTAAGTAACAGACAGTTATCAAGAGAGTAAAGTCTACTTGCTAGGTGCATTTAGAAGTAGAGTGCTTTCCTAAACTACAGATCCAGTGTGCCTCAGGAAATCCTAAGTATCTGGGTACCCACCCTACCAAAGCTTTTACTCCCACCCCTACTTTGTTTTTCTGGCCTAACAGAGTTCTTGCCTCTGCATTCTTTCCTGGCTCTTGCCTTTGATAGCTAAGAGTACTGTCATCTGCAGCTTAACCACAGCAGGAATTGTGTCTAGCTCTTACTGGTGGGGTGGTCCAAGCTTACAAGATAGGAATAACATCATGTGTTTGTAATCTGTGCAGGTGCACCGGACCTTGCTCTTTAGAAAGACCCTGCTATTGGTTTACTGCTCTGTTGTCATTATCTCCAAACGCTTAATAATTTTTTGATCAAAGAATCCCACATTTCATTTTGCAGTGGGCCCTGCAAATTAGGTAGCTGATTCTGCCACAATCTCTGTGCAGCTGACTAATGTATAGCCTAGGGTCTTAAGGGCTTAGGATCAACATTTACAACTTCCTTGAGTACCTGAAGTAAAATAGGTCATTTCCCTAAGTTTCCTTAACTGAAAAAGAGAAATAGTACCTGTTCCTCTGTACTTCACGGGTATAAAAAGGGAAGAGCTTTGACCCCTTGCAAAGAAAAAAAAAGGTAAGCATCCATTACTTCTTAGTATTTCCTCAGCTTTCATGCTTCACTAAAATGACAGTGGAGGATAAAATATTTATTTCATGTTTCAGAAAGTACTATACTGAAAATGTTTCTTAAATAAATACAGTGCTTTTTCCTCCTCCTTTCCCCCAACTTTCTCATCTTGTAATACCAGCTGTGAACACTGGCTAATATAAAAAAGTTCCCTGCAGAAAAACTGAGATAAAAATTATGTGAAAAAGTATTTGGTCTATCTCCAAAACTGGGGAAAAAATAAACTCGCAGTTTGGAAGTTTAAGAAAATCCATTAATATATACAACTTACAGCATAAATGACTTCATGTACATAAAAATGTTCTGTATATACTATATGTATATAAGCAGACATATATACATACAAGCTATAGAAATGTAAGGCATCGTTAATGGGGTAAATATCACATGACCTCAATCCCTACTGCCAACTGGCTTACAGCATAAAATATCAACAAATGTGAATAAACCATAAGATCTTAGTCCATAATTACTATAGAGAAATACTACTTTTTACATAAAATTTAAAAATCCAATGAATAAAAAGTTGGAAGTTGGCAAACAAAATTGGAAGTTGGCAAACAAAAGATATAAAGTTAAAAAAACTTTATATCTTAAAGATCATAGTTATATAGGACATTGTATTTATTAACATATTGAAAATATGTAAATATTATGGAGGAGAAGAATTTGGATTCCATCTAAGAGAGATCTAATTATTCAATAATATTTTTCACCCCATATATTTAAGTGAAAAATTGAAGAACTAAAAAGTGAAATAAAACAAATCAGGAGAGCTGGGTCTGAGCATGCTGGATCATGCCTGTAAACCCAGCACTTAGGGGCTGAGCTGGGAGGATTACTTGAGGCCAGACTTTTGAGACCAGCCTGAGCAACACAGAAAGACCATGTCTCAAAAAATAAAATAAAATAAAATAAAATAAGAGGCATGGGTTTTCTTTTCTTTCAGATTTTTTAGCCACAGAAATGCATAAAGACCCCGAACAAAAATGTGCCAGTCTACAATATAATCAAAATAGTTAAGATTTAAAAGCTAATTCCTTTGGCGTGGGAATCAATATACTAGTTGCCATAATAACTAATTACCTAGATAAGACTAAATATAAATGATAGTTACAAAATGACAGTCCAAGTTATAGTTAAACAAATTTAGAGATTATCCTTTATTGTCATCTGTAATGCCTTGATACTTGAGGAAAATTGGAAGAGCCTAGAAGGACAACACATTCCTAGCTTAAACTAATTAATGCAATTCAGCTTCATCCAGTAAATACTGAGTGAGTGATATGTGAAAGGGATTCCCTGCATAAAGATGGGAAATAAACACTCCTATCCCCAGAACCACTATAGTTTACCTAGAATATGGCACAATGTTCTATTTTATTTTTCTTTTTTGGGTTGGAACTCGCAGATACATAAGGAGGTTAGGGAGAAGAGAACTCAGTGTTGCCCTGTCACAATGAAAAGCAACACCAGGAGGAACTCAGCCAGAGCCCACAGAGGGAGCATTTAGACCCAGTACTAGCCAAAAAGGAATTGCCCATTCTAGCAGTCAAAACCTAAGTCTCAGCAAGCCTTGCCATTTTGGGCTAAAGTGCTCTGGGATTGTAAATAAACTTGAAAGGCAGTCTAGGTTTAAAGGACTGAAATTCCCTGCAAGTCCTGGTGCTGTGCAGGGCTCACAGCCAGTGATGTGGGTGGCACACGCCCCAGTGAGACACTAGCCAGAGCAGCCAAGAGAGTGCTTGCACCACCTCTCTACCAAGCTCAGGCAACACAGCTCACAGTTCTGGGAGAGACCTCTTCCTTCTGCTTGAAGAGAGGAGAGGGATGAATAAAGAGGACTTTGTCCTGCCTCTGGGATGCCAGCTCAGCCACAGTAGGATAGGGCCCTGGGCAGAGGCCTGAGGCCCTGATTCCAGGCACTAACTGTCAAATGACATTTCTAGACACACCCTGGGCAAGCAAGAAACTTGCTGCCTTGAAGAGAAGGACCCAGTCCTGGCAAGATTAATCATCTTCTGACTAAAGAGCCATTGGCCCTTGAATAACCAGCAGTGGTACCCACGCAGTACTCGCCATGGGCCTTGGGTGAGACTGAGAGATGTACTGGCTTTAGGTGTGACCCAGCAAATTCCCAACTGTGGTTGTTATGGAGAGGGACTCCTTCTGCGTAAGAAAAGGAAAGGGAAGAGTGAATGGGACTTTGTCTTGCAGGTTACATACCAATTCAGCCACAGTGGGGTAGAGCACCAAGCAAGGTTCCCTGATTCCAGGCACTGGCTCTCAGATGACATTTCTTGACACTCCCTGGGCCAGAGGGGAATGCATTATCCTGAAGTAAAAGTCCCAAGCCTGGAAGCATTCACTACAAGCTGACTGAGGAGTCCTTGGGCCTTGAATGAACATAGGCAGTAGCTACGCAGTACCTCACTGTGGGCCTGAGGTGGGTTATATTGGTTGCAAGCCTCATTGTAACCACAAATCAGAAAACATACAACAGATACATAAAAAATAGAAAAAGAAGAAATTAAAACATAACCCCAGAGAAAATCACCTTCACCAAAAGGAAGACAGGATGGAAGGAAAGAAGAAAGAGAAGACCACAAAACAATCAGAAAGCAAATAAGAAAATGGTACAAGAAAGGCCATACTTATCAGCAATAACATAGAATGTCAATGAAATAAACTGTCCAATCAAAAGACTTACAGTGGTTGAATGGAGAAACAAAAAGACCCAATGATCTGCTGGTTACAAGAAACACACTTCACCTATGAAGATACACACAGACTGAAAATAAACAGATGGAAAAACATATTCCATGCCAATGGAAACCAAAAAGGAAGAGGAGAAGCTATACTTAATATCAGACAAAATAGATTTCAAGACAAAAACCATAAGAAGAGACCAAAAAAATCATAATGTGATAAAGGGGTCAATTCAGCAAGATGAGATAACAATTGTAAATATATATACACCCAAAACTGCAGCACACAAAAACGTAAAGCAAATATTATTAGGGCTAAAGAGAGAGAAAGACTTAAATACAACAATAGTTGGAGATTTCAACATTCCACTTTTAGCATTGGACCGATCTTTCAGACAGAAAATCAAGAAATAAACATCAGACTTAATCTGCACTATAGACCAAATGGACCTAATAAATATTTACAGAACATTTTATCCAATGGCTGCAGAACACAGATTCTTCTCCTCAGCACATGGGTCATTCTCAAGGATCATATGTTAGGTAACAAAAAAGTCTCAAAACATTCAAAAACTTGAAATAATATCAAGCACCTTTCCTGACCACAATGGAACAGAACTAGAAATCAATAAGAGGAATTTTGGAAACTATACAAATACACAGAAATTTTACAATATACTCCTGATAACCAGTGAGTCAATGATGAAATTATTGAGGAAATTTTAAAACTTTTTGAAATGCATGATAATGGAAATACAACATGCCAGAAGAATAAAACTAGATCTCTATCTCTTCCTAAATTAAAAAAATCAAAATTGATTGAAGACTTAATCTAAGACCTGAAACTATGAAACCTCTAAAAGAAAACACTGGGGAAACTCTCCAGGACATTGGACTGGGCAAAGATTTCTTGAGTAATATCCCACAAGCAAAGACAATCAAAGCAAAAATAGACAAATGGAATTACATCAAATTAAAGAGCTTCTGCACAGCAAAGCATACATCAACAAAGTAAAGATCTAACCCAAAGAATGGGGGAAAATATTTGCAAACTATCCATCTGACAAGAGATTAGTAACCAAAATATATAAATAACTCAAATAGTTATGTAAGAAAAAAATCTAATAATCAGATTTAAAAATGGGCACAATATCTAAATTGACATATCTCAAAAGACATACAAATAGCAAACAGGTATATGAAAAGGTGCTCAACATCACATCATCAGATAAATGCAAAGTAAAACTACAATGCGATATTATCTCACCACAGTTAAAATGGCTTATATTGAAAACACAGGCAACAACCAATACTGGTGAGAATGTGGAGAAAAGGGAACCCTCATATACACTGTTGGTGGGAATGTAAGTTAGCATAACCCTTATGGGAGAAAAGTTTGGAGGTTCCTCAAAAGACTAAAAACAGAACTACCATATGACCCAGCAATCCTATTGGTAGGTATATACCCAAAAGAAAAGAAATCAGTATATTGAAGAGATACCTGCACTTGCATGTTTATTGTAGCACTATTCACAATAGCCAAGATTTTGAAGCAACCTAAGTGTCCATCAACAGATGAATGGATAAAGAAAATGTGCTACATATAACAACGGTGTACTATTCAGCCACAAAAAGGAGATCCTCTCATTTTCAACGACGTGGGTGGAACTGAGGTCATTGTGTTAAGTGAAATAAGCAAGGCACAGAAAGACAAATTTCACACGTTCTCACTTATTTGTGGGAGCTAAAAATGAAAACTGAACTCGTGAAGATAGAGAGTAGAATGACGATTACCAGAGGCTGCGAATGAGAGGGGGAGAAGTGGGGATGAGTATTGGTTATAAAAATATAATTAGATGACTAGAGTCAACAATAATGTACATTAAAAAATAATGAAAACAGTACAATTTGTATGTAACACAAAGAAAAGATAAATATTTGAGATTATGAATATCTCATTTATGCAAATGTGATCATTACACATTGTATGCCTGTATCAAAATATCTCATGTATCCCATAAACATATATGCCTACTATGTATTCATAAAAATTAAAAATAGAAAAGTTTTTTAAATGGAGAACATTACATAGACAACAATAAAAATATATGTGTATATATGTATATGTGTGTGTATAGTGTCAATTTTATGTATGATAGCTAATATTTCTCTTCTAATAGGTCTGGGAGATACAATTATTTTTCTTTATTGCACAAATCAGGAAGCTCTATAAAAAACTGATTTGTCTAAGATTAGTGATCTTCTAGGAATCAATCCTCTTTCTTCACTATTATAACCCAGGGCATTTGTTTCACTATTTTTAAAGTCAAAATACCAAAATGTGTGGGATAGCAAAACTATGGTAATTCACAAATTGCATGCTTACTTGGGTTCGTTTATGTATTTACTTTGGAATTCCATTATCAAATTCATCCCACACATTTGAATAATAACTGGATGGGTAATCTAATATTTAGAGAAAATTCATAGCAAAATTCTAAAAGGTATGGGTTTTGGAAATCTGTGGACTTAATTGATTTTTCTATATGATGAATAATATATTTTCCCCATTGCTTTCTTTGCTATGTTTTGACTTAATCCTTTTATAAAGACACACTGGCAATAAAATACTGATAAGAATATCTCTTCCACAGCATTTTTATCTGCTCCAGTCTAAATCCTAGTCTTCTTCATTGTTATTTTCAGGTTACATGGAAGAATTCTGGCAAGTAAAGTATCACATTTTTTTTATTTTATTATTAGATTTATTATAAAATGATTACATTATATTATAGAGTTATCATATTATTATGTATCTTAACAAGGTCAAACATTTTAGGAAACATTTATCAGGCAGCACCATAAAGAAGCCATTTTCTTCTTACTCCATTTTCTGGGAGCTAGTTAGATTTCACCTTCAAAACCTTGAACTCTATGTACCCTGAATCAAAATTGAACTTCTGATTCAAAACAGGCAAACATATATGTATATATACTCACCAACTTACATGGACGAATAGAAAAATATATCCTAGATTTTTACAATACATAAATATTTTTCATTCATAAGCAAGAGTACTTTCTAAATGACAAATAAATAATTCAATAATTCAAGAAAAGGGTAGAAGTTAAATTCAGGGGTCAAACTTCATGGGCTCAATCTTAGTTTTTTCAGTTATTAGCTGTGTGACTTTAGACAGTTACTTAATTTAATCTTTCATGCTTCAATTCCCCATCTGTAAAATAGAAATGATAGAAGAACTTATAGTACTGTGCATATTAAAAACAAACAAAAAATTAATGTGTGTGTGTGTGTAAAGTGCTAAGAATAGTCCCTGTCACATAGTCAACATTATCTAAAACTAGAGAATTATTATGAACAGTATAATTATTATCCTCTAAAATGATAATGCAGTTGTTAAGTTGTTCATTATATTTGTCAAGTTCTTTTTCCAGTAGCCTTCATGGAAGAAAAAAAATGCCCCAGTGGCTTTTATTTTTCCCACAATGCAGTGATTCTAACTCTAAATAAAACTGAAGTAGGCTATATAAAATGTGTCAATGTGATATTAGATATTACAGCTCTTTGGTTAAAATCTAGCTTTAAAAACTTCAGTTCCATATTTTTTGAAACGTTTTTGACCACACAAACTTTACGGTATCTAATGAAAGTTGAGAAACTTGTTTTATACAAAAATATACATATGTGTCTCAAAATTAAACTTATACATAAATATGCAGATACGTGTGTGTATGTATTTCAGGAATTAATGAATCCCTGAATCCATTCAATTAGTCCTAGGGATTATGGAGCCATGTTAAAAACCCCTATCCTATGGAAAGAGAAGTAGAATTTTGTGATAGAAGTAATGGGCACCAAACTGATAACGAGTATGCCAGACTCATTAGAAACTAGGCATCTAGGAAGTATTAGAACAGGTCATCTATATCAGTGACAGAGAGTTTATAAAAGATTTTACCCACTGTCATGAACAACCAAATCCTCAGCCTTCTAATGACCATGGTAGTGGACATCTAATTACAATCTCTAAAGTGAGACAAAGCTAGGCAAACCTACAGTGTGTATTATTTGAAGGTTCTGTTTCTCAAATACACACACAGAGCCCCTATTCAAGGTAAGGACTCCTTTTGTGGCTCTAGCTCAAAGTCTACATTAAAACAGTGCATTAGCCTCTCTTAAAACTTTCCCCACTGCCTAGGAGTAGGTAGAATACCTGTATGACCTGGTTTTTCTATAGCCACTGCTGAATTATCAATAGCATCCCCATTCATTCTCAAAAGTATCTGGTTTGGACAATAAATTACAAAGTCACTGCAAATGTACAGGCAAGAAATGGGAAACTGAAAAGAACATAGAGGAAAGTAAAAATTTTCTCCCTCAGTACTAGAATAGGATTGTTTAAAATACAACTTGTGGGCCTTCCATTCAAAATGCAATTTGACTTTCTAAGAGGAGCAAGTGCCTCCCACCAGTAGCAAGATGACCAAGCTTTTCCCTCTGCCACATCAGTGTGGGTGAAGGAAGACTTCCACGAAAGTGGCTTCTAAAAGGGAAGATACTTGGGTATCAGCAGTCCTTAACACTTCACTATATTGCACAAATATCTCTATCCTCTAACAGTATATCCTTAATGTCCTCCTCCTGAGGCCCGAGGCCATAATAGAGGGAGGTTATTTTCCAGTCAGCACAATAAGCCGACCCCCACAATATCTGTCTAACCCTGGTTAACATCTTGAGTCTAAACTCCTGTGATGCTCCCTGTTAAACTATCCGCCTATGACACTGCCGGGGGTTCATTAATGTCACTGTTGACAAAGCCTGCCCACTGTGCTCCCCTGGCATAAAGAATAAATGTTTTTAAAAACATGCACATAAAAATACTCCTTTTAGATTTCCTAGAAAAAAAATGATTCAAGTAGAATATAAATCATGCTCTATGATTAACTCTTGCTAACAAGTAGTGCCAAATGGCAAAGAGTTCTGCTTAAAAGAATAATTCAGGTATCATTCATATAATAAAAAGATCTGAGAAGTGCAGCAGAGCTAGCACAAAAAAATATTTACACTTTTAATGTGCTGTCATTGTCATCCAAACATTTGAGGAGGACCTTCCCCTCTATCATTTCCAGAATTATCACATTATAGTCTCTCTCACTCAGTTAAATAAAGACATAAAATACAATCACCACCCACACAGCACTCTCCAAGCTAAAGCCAGTGGGAGTGTTGACTATGGTAAGACTGCAGAAGCTAAGGTGCCAAATCTCATTTACAATGCATTCCCTCCACATTTCTTCGAAAGGAGCTGGGTTGGGCTCTTAAGCAGAGACTGTGACATTCGTAATTTATTTTCCCTCCAATACTCTTTTTATCAGTAAGTGAGAATAGCAGTATGCATCTCCTTCTGAGTTTTTCAAAAGAAAATGAGGAAAGAGATATCCAGTTCTATACATGTTTGGAAAGAGGAAATGGTTTTGTTTTGTTTTGTTTTCACCAGGTATCTTAGGAATTGAATACCTTTAAATTCCTAAGCACACCAATAGCAACCTCCCAAAAAGGTATATTAAAAATCAAAACAAAAAATTCCTCAGGAGGAAGGCTTGTTTTGCAAAGATAAACCTTTATTGCTAAAAATCAATAGAATGTTAGAGATCTTAGAATATTATAATTGTTGCCATATCAAGGAATATTCCTTTGAGCTGCTAAGTAGTTTTCACTATGTTCATCAAATTACTTTGTTGATAAGAAAATCTGGGTTTTTCAAAAGTGTTGTGTCTTTATCAAAAAACCTGATTTTTCAAAGTTAAATGTGGAGTGTCATTCTTACAAAGCTATAAGTATTGGTACTAGTATAATTTGTTCTTACTAACATTTATTAAGTATGTCTATATTCTGCCTACTTTGCTGCATTACTTTAAACCCAAGACAACACTATGATATAAGTGATTTTATTAATCCCATTTAATTGCTAACAAAAAGCAAGGACAAATTATCTGCCAAGTTCATACGGGTATTAAGTGATGTATCTTTTAACTTCTATAATATACTAACATCTTGGAGAAGAAAATTAATGTATTTTAAAGATGTATTTTAACACTAAAAAGAAACATCTAGTTTAGTGTACATGAAATGTCATCTTTTTAGGGTGGCATGCAACAGATTTATTTATAAAAAATGAAGAAAATCGCTAAAATATACAACAAGAATGAAAACCAGGTTAAGCCAAGGGCACAGATAATCATAGAACAAAAAATTTGGGTCCTAAATAATACCGATTGCAATGTTTGTAGTGAAGAAAGTGAGACTTTCACTCTGCCAAAATCAGATCACATACTCCAAGAACATTTAGTTTGGTGTAAGTTTTAAAAGGGATACAGAGAAGTGTTGCCAAATGGGGGCCAGCATAACTTAGTGGTTAAGAATGTTAATTTTGGTACCTGATACCTGGGTTCAAACTGGAAATCTACTTACTAGCCATGGCCCTCAGCAACTTATCTCTCACTGCTCCTATTCTCTCAGCTGAACATTGAGAATAATAATAATAATAATAATAATAATAATAATAATAATAAATTTACAGGGTTGTTAGGAGGATTTAATGAGAGCAAATGTTAGTAAAAGAGAAGCATTCAATTAATATTAATTGTTAATATATTCGAAGAGACAGTTCAGAAAATTGAGATCTGAAATATCACAACGTGAGAAACAGATGAATAGAATTTAGAAAAGTGGGCGACTTAACTTCCATGGCCTCCAGAATCACAGACTTTTAAATAGCTAGACAGAAATTACAGTAAAATAATTCCAACCAAAAACGAAAGAACATTGTGAGAATTAGAACTTCCCCTAAGACAGAATGGACATCTTCAAAATTAGGCATTGACTTAGTAGATAAATTGCAGAGGAGCTTAAAAGAGGCTTGATCAAGATATCTTTTCAGCTTCCTTTAAAATTTAAGATTCTATGAAAAAAATGACCTTAGAAAATCATATGAAGCAAATGCTCTTACTGTAAAAGTCTGCTTAGGTAGAAAAACCAGTCAACAATGTCTCATCACCTCATCTTTGAAGCCTAATATTTTCTAGAATTTCTAGCCCACACTGATAATTCTCTGAATTGCTAGCATTCATGTAAATAACACATGAATGTTTACATTTTAAAAATATGCAGTTTTATAATATGTCTAGCTTTTCCAATTGATTTTTCAAAATTCCAAATCAATGATCAATGCTGGATGACTAGACATCATGCAATATATTGCTCTTCTTTACCTTATGGTACTTACCACATTGATGGACAGAGAAGCTAATGCTAAGCAAATAGTGATTTTCTGTTCAGACCTAAAGCATACTGTTGAACAGAAATTTCAATATAAATCCAAGAAATTTACTTTGAACAATTGTACTTTATTTGTATAACCAAAAGTTGAAGAACAAAGTTATCTAGGTATTTCAGAAGTTAAAATATGTCTGTTTCCAACATTTGCACAAATAAATAGACTTAATTATAAGCCAATCCTTCATCAGTATAGTTTTTTTTTAATTTTGAGAAAATGGTAAAATGTTATCAGTAGTAACATTTCTCATACCAGAAGCATATCTATTAAATTTCCTGGAAAAAATGTGCACTGTAGAATGCTTATTGTATTATGTATGGGTTGCATGACATATTTCAAAATTAGAATAATTGCTTTCTTCATTTCTACCTATAATGAATAAATACATATTAATTTAGTTTAATAATTGATTGATTATATATAATTCATCCTATAGATGCCTACTATTTCTCTGTATAAATTAAAGTCACTTTCTATGACACTTGTTCTATAAAAGTAAAAATCAAAATTTAAATATGCATTCCTTTTACTTCCAAAAAAGTAAAGAACTCTCAATGTAATCCTCCTCTTTAAAAAGAAGTCTGTTTGAAATGCTGATCCTTTAACAAAAAATTGACACTATTTTGATTTACAAAGAAATAGTTTTTTTTCAGAGTTTTAATTTAGTAAAACATAAAGGCAAAATAATATATAATTATACTAATAAATGATTGCATTTTTATTTTCTATATCTATCTGATATAGGGACATAGATGAATAGACAGATCACAATCTCAAAGCAGTAAAGATAAAGGCATTTAAACAAATACTAACATCAAATTCTCAGAAGTACAGACCTCTCCAAAAAAATAAAGCCTTGTAGTAAAAACTTAGGAGTTTCTGAATCAGAATGCCTAGGTTTGAATCTAGGATCCATCAGTTAAGTAAACTTCAACAAGCTGCTTAATCTTTCTAAACATCAGTGTTCCCACTTCTGAAAGAGGTTTAACAATATTATTTATTCTCATAACATTCTGAGCATTTAATAACATAAAGTATGTGAAGCATTTTGAATTTATACTTAGCATAGAGTAAGCATTATGTAACTATTTTAGATTACTGTTATTATCATTAGTTGTATCTGGTTATTCATAGTCCTCTTCAGGAGCATAGCCCTGGACAGGTAACCAATCCCATTTAAAGAGCAGAATGTAAAGCAGTCTTTTATCTACCAAGGGCTTTCTCGGTGCCCTGAGGCTCCAGAGAATTAGTTATAATGTGTGGCCATGTTTCCAGTGCTCTACAACTATGTGTTCTGGAACCTTGGTACTGAACAAAGCTAACCAGGACATATGGGATATTTGATACTGCTGTCTTAATCAGCAGTCTCTAAAATCAGGTGGAAAAAAGCCAAAGCAACAGTTTGAATATGTACCCTGAAATAAATATATGATCAATGTAAATGACCCACTGTACTGATAAATTACATTATAAAACATTCTGAAGAAAGAACTAAACAAAGGTCTGAACCTTTCTTCAAACTGTTTCCCTGGAAATATTTCAGGTTAAGAAAAATAGGGATTGTCAGCTGTGTTACCAGCAACATTGTTTATTATCGGTGAAATGCATCTGGACAGAAAGGACTGTGATTGAACTATGAAATCATTTTGGACCTCACAGACCTCAGCCTCCTTGTGTACAGTGTGTTCTTGATCCCAAGGGCATCCCTTGAGGGGACCTATGCTGTTCCCAAGATACAGGTTCCTGTGGAGTACGAATGAGCCTTACCCAATGCAAGGTAGACCATGCTTACCCACATGGGTTTCTTATCTTAGAGTTGCTACATGAAGGAGTGGGGGTAAATGCTTCTGAGCAAATATAGGGATTTCTACTTAATAAGCACCTGACATTATCCTGTTGACATTCTGTGTGTCCTGCCCTGTATCTTGCCAAACCAAGTAAAACTGCTGCCAGACTTATTATGTCATGCAGGTGTGAATGTCACGCCAAAGCCATCAAGTTCACTGCCGGTGGCCATACAGACATATGCATGTACAAAAATACATTATTTTCTTCATCTATCTTCATGTATTGTTTTAAGCACCATGTTTTTGAGTATACTGCTTGGGTACACATATTTTTGGAATACTTTAGGTATACTCTTTGTAATAAGCTTAGGATACATTATTTTTTCACTTTATGTTTTTTTTCCTTGGTGATTTTGACAGATCCTTTTCTTTGGTTATTTTAAATCTTTGGCTCTCTCTGCAAGTATTACTTCCTGTAGAACTTTTAAAATGAAAAACTGGAAATTCCATTATTATAAATCTTGCTTTAGCAGGACAGTTTCAGGAAATACAAATACTAAAATATATTCCTGATGTTCTTCATTCTTAAATTTTTTCATTTAGAAGATATTAGGATATATCCATAGGAAGATTTAGAAACTGAAAGGTTGTTGGAGAGGTAATTCTAGCTTTTAAATTTAGTATACTTTATACTGGTTTCATTACAATATGCTATGCTAAAAATAAAACTATTTCTTCCATTCTTGACGTTATCCTCAATAGTAGAGAAACTATTTCTTTCACTCTTGACACTTTTACCACCTCCTATGAAATTTCCTATAGAGTTTTCTTTCATTACCCCATTTTGGGGCACAAATGGTTTTAAATACATACATTTGTAAACTTACCCTGAAACATGCAACGTCAGCAGCATGTAGAAGACAAAGAAGAGGTTATGAGTATACCAGAAGATATCATAGTTAGAAACTCTGCAAAAACAAATACACTCATTTTAATGCTACTTTACATTCCATCTTACTAAAAATATCAAAAATACCATGTATCATTTCAAACATCTCACAATTTAAAAAAGCTAAAACATGAGTACATCATATTAATCTACTAATACCAAAGTATTAACACAGTATATAGAGAGAAATGACAAAAATTATGAGTAAGATTTTATCATTTTGTAAGTTCTTTGTATTTCAAATAAAGACACATGGAAATAATAAAAATAAGTTGTTTATTTTCAAGTTATTATGATATAAGGCTAAGAAGCAGATAGTAGTCTGCTAATATGTACTTTGGCTATTATTTTATCAATATTCTCAGTTTTCAAATAATTTCCAAAACAACCAAAGCTCCTCTTTCAATACATATTTTGAGAGTAGTTCAAGGGAAACTCAAAAAGAGATAAATGAAATAGATGACGACCAAAGTGTTATATTTTTTCCTGGACAGTGTAACAAGAATGATACCTCAATGTTATTGCTCTGGGGGAGGACAAAGACACTGAAAAGACAGAGAATGATAAGCATAATCTACAGAATGTTTGAGAGAAGTAAAAGAGAAACAGTTATTTTATTTCATATATCCTGGGTGGATTTTATATATTAGAATATTGGAATTAGAGGGCAGATATTTACAAAAGCTTCCTAGATGAATCTGATGCTTCCCATAGACTCTTAGAGAAACCCTTACTTAAGCAGCAAGCAATTGCTTTACATTTACTCCACTCATAGTATTTGGTATCATAAACAGTATCATTACCATCCCTTGTAACATATACAAAGTTCTGATTTTTTTTTTTTTTTTTTTTTTGAGATGCAGTCTTGCTCTGTCGCCTAGGCTGGAGTGCAGTGGTGCAATCTCAGCTCACTGCAACCTCCACCTTCCAGTTTCAAGTGATTCTCCTGCCTCAGCCTCCTGAGCAGCTGGGATTACAGGCACTCGCCACCATGACCAGCTAATATTTGCATTCTTGGTAGAGATGGGGTTTCACCATGTTGGCCAGGCTGGTCTCGAACTCCTGACCTCGTGATCCACCTGCGTCAGTCTCCCAAAGTGCTGGGATTACAGGTGTGAGCCACCATGCTTGGCCCTCTGATCCTTCTTTAAATCAAAACCATTAGAATTTGAACTGCAAAATTAAGGGATACACCTTTTTAATGCTTTTAATACACGCTGCCAATTGCCCTCTAAAAATGTATTTATTAATTACAAACCCAACTGTAGGCTAGGAGTGCCTGTTTCCCAAAAACTCAGACTAAATTTTGTAAATTTTCATTATTTTTTATAAGTAGGATGGGGTATTATTTCATATGTCTGTTACTTTTAATTCTTCTGTGACCTTTCTGTTTATAATCATTACCCATTTCTATAGAGTATTTTTAATTCATATGTGTAATTTAGATAGACCTACATTTGCTTAAACTTTACTTTCCTCATAAGCTTGTAATGCCACCTTTATTATCTGCAGGTTCTTATATATTGCAAGGTCATTTACAGGGCTTTTTACTGACTTTGTCCCTTGGTTCAATGTGTTAGTCATTTTTGCAAGTAAGTCCCATTCTCTTTTAAGTTACTGAAGTTTAATTATTTTAATGTTTAGTAAGGCACATCCCTCCTTTTACTCCTCTTTTGAAATATGTACTTGGATGTACCCCAGACAAACTTTGGAATCACTTTGCTAAATTAAAAAAAACAAACAAAATAACCTGTCTGAGAACGTTGTTGAAATTGCAACACTCCTTAAAAATATATATATATATTGAGGGGTCAGGCATGGTGGCTAATGCCTGTAATCCAACACTTTGAAAGGCAGAGGTGGAAGGAGTACTTGAGCCCAGGAGTCTGAGACCAGCCTGGAAAACATATTGAAACCTTGACCTTACGAAAAAATAAATACAATTAAAAAAAATAAAATTAGGCATGGTGGTGTGTGTTCGTGATCCTAGCTACTAGGGAGGCTGAAGTGGGAGGATCACTTGAGCCTGGGAGGTCAAGGTTGCGGCTGCATTGAGCTGTAATCTTATCACTGTATTCCAGCCTGGATGAGAGAGAAAGACCCTGTCTCAAAAAAATATATATATAATAATTAAGGAAGAACTATATCTTTATAGTACACAGTCTTTATTCAAATCTCTACATATTTCTCTTAGTGAACATATATCTTTTGTCTCCAGATATTATATGTTTTGCTGCAATCGTAAGTGGTATATTTTTATTTTATTCAATTTTTCAAACTAATTATAGTTAATAAAAGGATTATTTTTATATTTGATTTATATCCAATTACCTTTTCAACTCTTTTACTTGGTGTTAACACCAAATTTTTCCGTAATTCTCTTGGATTCTCTTAGAAACCTAATAATTACCATTATTTCCAGAAAAAGTAGATATATCTACTTTTTCTGGAAATAATGGTATTTTATTGTTGCACTTTTTCTAATAATTCCAAATGTTTCATTTTTTACTATATGTAAATATTGATAGAATTAAAAATACTTTTGCTTTTTTCCTGATTTTCTTAGGAATACATCTAGTGTTTCACTCTTGAGTATAACCCCAATACTGGCTTTTATATTTTTTAATTCTACAATGTAAATAATTTTAATTTTTAGCTTATTTACTCTGATTATTTTAAGTCAAAATTTGAGTTCATATTAGTAAGTGCCATTTTAAAATCAATTGAGATGAGAAAATTTATTCCTGTCATCTAATAACGGGATACATTAATTATTTTAACAGATTGACCCATATTGAACTCTCCTTGAATTAGGAGGCTACATTTCACTATCAGAAATCAAACACTGGGGACTTATTCATTCACTTGATTTGTCTAGTGCTTTAGTTTCTTACTGGTAAAAAGAAAAGGTAAAATAAAAGAGATATCTGTCTCCATGATTCATTTAAGAATTTCATGATTCTAACAATAAAACAGAAAAGCAAACTAGGTGTTATAATCTTGTTTAAACAAATTTTAAACAAAGCATAAAAAACACTGAAGATTAGGAAGGGCTTAAATTGTTTATGAGAGCAAATATAAAAGCTCAGGATTGAAGCTGATCTTTTTATTCCATTTGACAAAACTATACCTCAAGGATTTTAAAATAAGTATGTCAGATGCTCTAATTTTCCTTCAAGAATTCCTAAAATTGAAAAAGTGAGGTTTTTTAATGATTCCTCTATCTAAATAAAATAAAATTGCTCCCCACAAAATTGGCACCCTCATGTACTGATGTTAGTGAGTTGCCTTTCTGTACACCAATTTTTCATTCTTATGAAAAGCTTTAAAAGTGTTCTTACAATTTGACTCAGCTATTCTACATCTAAGAATTTTTCCTTAGGACATCATTGAAAAAGCATGCAAAGACATATGGATGGGGGTGTTTGTTTCAAAATTGAAATACCAAAAAAAAAAAAAAACAAAACAAAATCTACCCAAAACATTTAGTAATATGGGTCTGGGAAAATAATGTATAAAAACCTATATTGCGATGTGCTGTGCCATCAGTAAAGAGAATAATAACAGAATATTTATTAACGTAAAAATGTTCATAATATAAATTTAGGCAAAAAGTAAATTAAAAGTAATACTCTAATATGGTCCTATTTTGGTAAAATACATATGTATATAAGAGAGAAAAAATGATTTGGGGGTAGGAGGAGGGGAATTAGTGAAGAAGAGCAAGAAGGATTTAATCTATAAAAATACACTACATATGTACAGTATTAATCTTTGGGTAGTGAGTAGACTTGTGAAATTTTAGGGTGTATGTATGTGTGTGCACAAAGGTTAAAAACTATAAAGACAGTTTCATTTAAGTATATTATTTGGCAATTACTTTCAAAGCATATATACATATATATATATCTGTGTTTCTGTTAAATTTCACATCTGAACAAGTAGAACAATTGGAGATTCTTGAAGATTAGAGGAAATATATCTTATATTCCTTTTTTTGCTTTCTTTAACTAAAAAGTTTGTTCAGAAGCATCAACACTATAAATATTCTGAAAAACTGAATGTGTCCATTAGAAAGGACATGTGAAAGTGCTCCTGATAATGTGTATCTGATTTTGCTCAAAATCTCTTAACTATAAGAATCAATATGAATGCAGATAATTTGTTATTTTAGCAGATGCAAACAAACAATTTCTCCAAAGTTTTGTATAGAACATCATGTTAATTTACAGCAAGACAAACTCATATCAGGAAAATAGCTTTAAAATAATTTTAACAAAGGTTCCAAAATGGCCAAATAGGAACAGCTCCAGTCTACAGCTCTCAGTGTGAGCAACGCAGAGAAGGGTGATTTCTGCATTTCCAACTGAGGTACTGGGTTCATCTCACTAGGGCTTGTCAGACAGTGGGTACAGGACAGTGGGTACAGCCCACCGAGCATGAGCTGAAGCAGGGTGAGGCATCGCCTCACCTGGGAAGCGCAAGGGGTCAAGGAATTCCCTTGGCTAGCCAAGGGAAGCTGTGACAGATGGCACCTGGAAAATTGGGTCACTCCTACCCTAATACTGTGCTTTTCCAATGGTCTTAGCAAACGGCACACCAGGAGATTATATCCCACGCATGTCTCAGAGGGTCCCACACCCTCAGAACCTCACTCGTTGCTAGCACAGCAGTCTGAGATCGAAATGCAAGGCAGCAGCAAGGCTTGGGGAGGGGCGCCCACCATTGCTGAAGCTTGAGTAGGTAAACAAAGTGGCCTGGATGCTCAAACTGGGTGGAGCCCACCACAGCTCAATGAGGACTGCCTGCCTCTGTAGACTCCACCTCGGGGGGCAGGGCATAGCCGAACAAAAGGCAGCAGAAACCTCTGCAGACTTAAATATCCCTGTCTGACAGCTTTGAAGAGAGTAGTGGTTCTCCCAGCATGGAATTTGAGATCTGAGAACGGACAGACTGCCTCCTCAAGTAGGTCCCTGACCCCCGAGTAGCCTAACTAGGAGGCACTCCCCAGTAGGGGCAGACTGACACCCCACAGGGCCGAGTACCCCTCTGAGACAAAGCTTCCAGAGGAATGATCAGGCAGCAACATTTGCTATTCAGCAATATTCACTGTTCTGCAGCCTGCACTGCTGATACCCAGGCAAACAGCATCTGGAGTGGACCTCCAGCAAACTCCAACAGACCTGCAGCTGAGGGTCCTGACTGTTAGAAGGAAAACTAACAAACAGAAAAGACATCCACACCAAAACCTCATTCGCATGTCACCATCATCAAAGACCAAAGACAGATAAAACCACAAAGATGGGGAAAAAAACAGAGCAGAAAAGCTGAAAATTCTAAAAATCAGAGCGCCTCTCCCCCTCCAAAGGAACGCAGCTCCTCACTAGCAATGGAACAAAGCTGCACAAAGAATGATTTTGACGAGTTGAGAGAAGAAGGCTTCAGATGATCAAACTTCTCTGAGCTAAAGGAGGAAGTTCGAACCCATTGCAAAGAAGCTAAAAACCTTGAAAAAAAATTAGACGAATGGCTAACTAGAATAACCAGTGTAGAGAAGTCCTTAAATGACCTGATGGAGCTGAAAACCATGGCACGAGAACTACGTGACGAATGACAAGCTTCAGTAGCCGATTCAATCAACTGGAAGAAAGGGTATCAGTGATTGAAGATCAAATGAATGAAATGAAGTGAGAAGAGTTTAGAGAGAAAAGAGTAAAAAGAAATGAACAAAGCCTCCAAGAATTATGGGACTATGTGAGAAGACCAAAACTACGTCTGATTGGCGTACCTGAAAGTGACGGCGAGAATGGAACCAAGTTGGAAAACACCATGCAAGATATTATCCAGGAGAACTTCCCCAACCTAGTAAGGCAGGCCAATATTCAAATTCAGGAAATACAGAGAACGCCACAAAGATACTCCTCGAGAAGACCAACTCAAAGACACATAATTGTCAGATTCACCAAAGTTGAAATAAAGGAAAAAATGTTAAGGGCAGCCAGAGAGAAAGGTGGGGTTGCCCACAAACGGAAGCCCATCAGACTAACAGCTGATCTCTCAGCAGAAACTCTACAAGCCAGAAGAGAGTGAGGGCCAACATTCAACATTCTTAAAGAAAAGAATTTTCAACCCAGAATTTCATATCCAACCAAACTAAGCTTCATAAGTGAAGGAGAAACAAAATCCTTTACAGACAAGCAAATGCTGAGAGATTTTGGCACCACCAGGCCTCCCCTAAAAGAGCTCCTGAAGGAAGCACTAAACATGGAAAGGAACAACCGGTACCAGCCACAGCAGAAACACACCAAATTGTAAAGACCATCGATGCTAGAAGAAACTGCATCAACTAATGAGCAAAATAACCAGCTAACATCATAATGACAGGATCAAATTCACACATAACAATATTAACCTTAAATGTAAATAGACTAAATGTTCCAATTAAAATGCACAGACTGGCAAACTGGATAGAGTCAAGACCCATCAGTGTGCTGTATTCAGGAAACCCATCTCACATGCAGACACACATAGGCTCAAAATAAAGGGATGGAGGAAGATCTACCAAGCAAATGGAAAACAAAAAAAGGCAGGGGTTGCAATCCTAGTCTCTGATAAAACAGACTTTAAACCAACAAAGATCAAAACAGACAAAGAAGGCCATTACATAATGGTAAAGGGATCAATTCAACAAGAAGAGCTAACTATCCTAAATATATATGCACCCAATACAGGAGCACCCAGATTCATAAAGCAAGTCCTTAGAGACCTACAAAGAGACTTAGACAACCACACAATAATAATGGGAGACTATAACACCCCACTGTCAACATTAGACAGATCAACGAGACAGAAAGTTAACAAGGATATCCAGGAATTGAACTCAGCTCTGCACCAAGCGGACCTAATAGACACCTACAGAACTCTCCACTCCAATCAGCAGAATACACATTCTTCTCAGAACCACATCGCACTTATTCCAAAATTGACCACATAGTTGGAAGCAAAGCACTCCTCAGCAAATGTAAAAGAACAGAAATTATACCTATCTCTCACACTACAGTGCAATCAAACTAGAACTCAGGATTAAGAACTCACTCAAAACCGCTCAACTGCATGGAAACTGAACAACCTGCTCCTGAATGACTACTGGGTACATAACAAAATGAAGGCAGAAATAAAGATATTCTTTGAAAACAATGAGAAAAAAGACACAACATACCAGAATCTCTGGGACACATTTAAAGCAGTGTGTAGAGGAAAATTTATAGCACTAAATGTCCACAAGAGAAAGCAGGAAAGATCTAAAATTGACACCCTAATATCACAATTAAAAGAACTAGAGAAGCAAGAGCAAACACATTCAAAAGCTAGCAGAAGGCAAGAAATAACTAAGATCAGAGAAGAACTGAAGGAGACAGAGACACAAAAAACCCTTCAAAAAATCAATGAATGCAGAAGCTGGTTTTTTGAAAAGATCAACAAAATTGATAGACCGCTAGCAAGACTAATAAAGAAGAAAAGAGAGAAGAATCAAATAGATGCAATAAAAAATGATACAGGGGATATCAACACCGATCGCACAGAAATATAAACTACCATCAGAGAATACTATAAACACCTCTACGCAAATAAACTAGAAAATCTAGAAGAAATGGATAAACTTCTGGAAACATACACCCTCCCAAGACTAAACCAGGAAGAAGATGAATCCCTGAATAGACCAATAACAGGCTCTGAAATTGAGGCAATAATTAATAGCCTACCAACCAAAAAAGGACCAGATGGATTCACAGCCGAATTCTACCAGAGGTACAAGGAGGAGCTCATACCATTCCTTCTGAAACTATTCCAATCAATAGAAAAAGAGGGAATCCTCCCTAACTCATTTTATAAGGCCAGCATCATCCTAATACCAAAGCCTGGCAGAGACACAACAAAAAAAGAGAATTTTAGACCAATATCCTTGATGAACATCGATGGAAAAATCCTCAATAAAATACTGGCAAACCGAATCCAGCAGCACATCAAAAAGCTTATCCAACATGATGAAGTGGGCTTCATCCCTGGGATGCAAAGCTGGTTCAACACATGCAATCAATGCATGTAATCCAGCATATAAACAGAACCAAAGACAAAAACCACATGATTATCTCCATAGATGCAGAAAAGGCCTTTGACAAAATTCAACAACCCTTCATGCTAAAAACTCTCAATAAATTAGGGATTGATGGGACATATGTCAAAATAATAAGAGCTATTTATGACAAACCCACAGCCAATATCATGCTGAATGGGCAAAAACTGGAAGCATTCCCTTTGAAAACTGGCACAAGACAGGGATGTCCTCTCTCACCCCTCCTATTCAACATAGTGTTGGAAGTTCTGGCCAGGGCAATCAGGCAGGAGAAAGAAATAAAGGATATTCAATTAGGAAAAAAGGAAGTCAAATCGTCCCTGTTTGCAGATGAAAGGATTGTACATTTAGAAAACCCTATCATCTCAGCCCAAAATCTCCTTAAGGTGATAAGCAACTTCAGCAAAGTCTCAGGATACAAAATCAATGTGCAAAAATCACAAGCATTCTTATACACCAATAACAGACAAACAGAGAGCCAAATCATGAGTGAACTCCCATTCACAATTGCTTCAAAGAGAATAAAATACCTAGGAATCCAACTTACAAGGGATGTGAAGGACTTCTTCAAGGAGAACTACATACCACTGCTCAACGAAATAAAAGAGGACACAAACAAATGGAAGAACATTCCATGCTCAGGGATAGGAAGAATCAATATCGTGAAAATGGCCATACTGCCCAAGGTAATTTATAGATTCAGTTGCATCCTCATCAAGCTACCAATGACTTTCTTCACAGAATTGGAAAAAACTACTTTAAAGTTCATATGGAACCAAAAAAGAGCCTGCATTGCCAAGACAATCCTAAGCCAAAAGAACAAAGCTGGAGGCATCACGCTACCTGACTTCAAACAATACTACAAGGCTGCAGTAACCAAAGCAGCATGGTACTGCTACCAAAACAGAGATATAGACCAATGGAACAGAACAGAGCCCTCAGAAATAATACCACACATCTACAATCATCTGATCTTTGACAAACCTGACAAAAACAAGAAATGGGGAAAGAATTCCCTATTTAATAAATGGTGCTGGGAAAACTGGCTAGTTGTATGTAGAAAGCTGAAACTGGATCCCTTCCTTACACCTTATACAAAAATTAATTCAAGATGGATTAAAGACTTAAATGTTAGACCTAAAACCATCAAAACCCTAGAAGAAAACCTAGGCAATACCATTCAGGACATACACATGAGCAAGGACTTCATGTCTAAAACACCAAAAGCAATGGCAACAAAAGCCAAAATTGAAAATGGGATCTAATTAAACTAAAGAGCTTCTGCACAGCAAAAGAAACTACCATCAGAGTGAACAGGCAACCTACAGAATGGGAGAAAATTTTTGCAGTCTACCTATCTGACAAAGGGCTAATATCCAGAATCTACAAAAAACTCAAACTTACAAGAAAAAAACAAACAACCCCATCAAAAAGTAGGCAAAGGATATGAACAGACACCTCTCAAAAGAAGACATTTATGCAGCCAAAAGACACATGAAAAAATGCTCATCATCACTGGCCATCAGAGAAATGCAAATCAAAACCACAATGAGATACCATTTCACACCAGTTAGAATGGTGATCATTAAAAAGTCAGGAAACAACAGGTGCTGGAGAGGATGTGGAGAAACAGGAACACTTTTACACTGTTGGTGGGACTGTAAACTAATTCAATCATTGTGGAAGACAGTGTGGCGATTCCTCAGGGATCTAGAACTAGAAATACCATTTGACCCAGCCATCCCATTACTGGGTATATACCCAAAGGATTATAAATCATGCTGCTATAAAGACACAGGCACACGTATGTTTATTGCGGCACTATTCACAATAGCAAAGACTTGGAACCAACCCAAATGTCCATCAATGATAGACTGGATTAAGAATATGTGGCACATATACACCATGGATTACTATGCAGCCATAAAAAAGGATGAGTTCATGTCCTTTTTAGGGACATGGATGAAGCTGGAAACCAACATTCTCAGCAAACTATCGCAAGGACAAAAAACTATACACCACATGTTCTCACTCATAGGTGAGAACTGAACAATGAGAACACTTGGACACAGGAAGGGGAACATCACACACCGGGGCCTGTTGTGGGGTTGGGAGAGGGGGAGGGACAGCATTAGGAGATATACCTAATGTAAATGATGAGTTAATGGGTGCGGCACACCAACATGGCACATGTATACATATGTAACAAACCTGCACATTATGCACATGTACCCTAGAACTTAAAGTATAATAATAAAAAAATAAATAAAATAAAATAAAATCACAATGTTAAATCTTAAAAATAATGAAATAATAAAATAAAATAATTTTAAGTCACATATTCCTAGGAATTTCTAAGGTCCCCATATGTACACATTGATTTCAATCCCGTGTCCCATAGAGATACACTATCCTTCAAAAGATACTCAAATTCTGAAGAACTCTAATTCTTTTGATCATCAAATGCAGTCTCCATACACAATTTCTTACCAATCCAGAAAATTTGCTAATACAAGAGAACTTTCAGAAACAAGAAGTCATGTATAGAAACAGCTATACTTCACTCTTACTTACCCAGAATAGTCCATTAACCAGGACACTACAATGGTTAAACATTTTGATTACTCAAGACTTTTTCTAAATAACCTGACAGATACACATCAAAATAATTGATTCTGACACTTACCTTATTGCATATGTAGAGGCTGTGATCATGAGGAATAGCACCACCACCATGCAGACCCCTGTCAGGCCAGGAACTATAAAAATGTATACAAGTAGGTTTTTACTTAAATCATAGTGAGAAAAAAATACAAAAAATGATTATATTAGAATCCGAAATACTGTGCTGTTCTGTGGGAAGCCTAATTCAAATCCCACATCTACATGTATGTTCTCCCTCAAACAAGCCCTTTACTTTTTAATTTTTTAAATTAATTTTTGATTGACAGATAATAATTATACATAGCTATGGAGTACATAGTGATGTTTCCATACATATAAAGTAAAAGTGATCAGATCAGAGTAATTAGCATATCCATCCATCATCTCAAACATTTATTATTACTTTGTGTTGGGAACATTCAATATCCTTCTTCTAGCTATTTGAAAGCATATAATACATTATTGCTTACTATAGTCATTCTACAGTGGTACAGAACACCAGAACTTATTAAAATCAGTACAGTTTCAAAGTCGTTTAGACCAATCAGGATCTTTTATCTATTTTACAGAATATTCCATTTTTTTTAATTCCCAAATATTCTACTCAGAATGGCAAATAGGTACTTACTTCTAAAAGTATACACTAAACATCAGTAATTAATGCAACAGGACAGGGTTAACTTTCAGCACTCTTTCTGTTTTGGTTTTAAACACCATAGTACTAAATCTCCCTCATGCTCTCCTTCCTCTTATGAAACTAAGCAGTGCCTTCAGTTTCAATTTCAATTAACTGCTTTTAGGCTTCACTAACTAGAATAATTTTAAACAAAAAATAAAGCCTAAAGTGTTTTCAAAAATCACAAAACACAGAACAAAAATTGGAGGTTTCTAGAATAAACTACAATGTTGATGTTTTAAAAATACTTGCAGACATATTTCTCCTTAGTATGAAAAATATGTTGAAATCAAGTGCTTCAGATATGGCATAACATTTGTTTTTTTAAAATAATAAAATGTGCAAATATATTGTCAAAATTATAATGGCAGGATAGATTGCTACAAATCCAACATTAGCACATATAGCATGTCCAAAATGAATAGCTAACTGAAAAACAATATCCTAAACAGCTAAAGTGTCAATGGTCTCCTTTAGTATTGTATTATTACAAAATTAAATATCCTGTCAATAAGTTACATTTGTTTACTCTCACAAGCAACAGTAAGTCCTGAATATCCCATCTGAGATAATCTTAAATCAGACTACAAAGAAAAGCTATTGGGACAATTCCATCTGGAAAAGTGACATTCCTCTGCTTCTTTCCTTGTCAAGAAAACTACTATGAAATAGAAGGTCTGTCATAGACTATGAGCCACCAGCAGAAGCAGACACCTTGTGTACAATGTAAGAGCAACACAGGTGTGTATCATTAGGATTCCAGAGTTAGAATCACTGGAAAATAACAGCATTCGAAATCTCAGTACAGTAGAAACAAATTTCACTTATAAAGCACCACATGAAAAATAAGAGAATTAGTCTATGGGTTCTCAGCACTTGAGTACTCGCACCTCCTCACTTTCCCAGTAGACAGTTTTAGAAGCCTAACAAAAGGTGCCCTTCCCTAATGTACCTAATCCAAATCATTTCTTCTTTACGCTTCCTTCCTAGAGGAAAAGTACTTCCTTTTTCATGATTTTTCCATTTCCTACAGTGAGTGCTTACTTCCCAGTTGTAAGAGATGGGTAAGATAACTAGTCTAGTTCACTCTAAAGAACTAGCAGCATGAAAAATACACTATTTTGGAAAAATAGCATGCCTGCAAAGTAACCCAGCCATTGCACTTCCAAGTGTTTACCCAAAAGAAACAAACATATATCCATGCAAAGACTTGTTTAAGAATGTTCATAGCTACTTATTTTTAACAGTCAAAGTCTATAAACGACTCTGATATTCATCAACAGATTAATGGATAAACAATTGTGGTACTTATCTGTACCTGGAAAATTAATCAGCAATAAAAAAAAAATAAAGTGTTGATAGATAAGCAACAATATACATGAATCACAAAATTGTTAGACTGAATAAAAGAAGCTAAACCACTCCAGTCCTGAAAAAGTACAAATTCTATGATTCCTTGTATATAACATTCCAGAAAATTCACACTATTCTTCAGTGATAGAAAGCAGATCAGTTGCTAGGAGGGGTAGAGGGCAAGATGCGTTATAAAAGAGCACAAAAATATTCTGTGATAATAAAAATATTTATCATCTAACTTTTGATGATGGTTCCACTATTGTGTATGTATGTGTATATATGTATGTATCAAAACCAATCAAATTGTATACATGTGTATAATTAGTGTACTTCAATTATAATTTCATAAATTTGAGAGAAAAAAGAAGAGGTCAGTCTCACTGTTTTCAAGTGTTAAAAAAGAAAACCTTTATTTGTCCACATGAATAACTAAATGATAGAATCCCAGATGGCTACATAGTGTGAAATTATAGTTAGAGGGGCCTTTCCAATATTTTATTGGGCCTTTATTAGTGTTCTTCTATGTCTGCATACACTTTCCTATATAGTTTTGAACATGCCAAAATTAGTCATGGGATGTCTGCAAATTACTTCATCGAAAGAACACCTGGAAAAATGGAGTATGTTTAGAATAGAGCCACAATTTCCAAAGTGTATTATTTGAAAATTAATTCCTTGAAATATTAGTTTCTATTACTAAAAATACTATAACCATTCCTTAAAAAGTCACAGGGTACATTAATGTATAAAAGTCTCTGAGAAGTATTAAATTCAAGAAACCTGATTAAACTTAAATATTTTCTTAAACTTATTAGATCAGAGTATTGCTTTTAGGTCAGAACATGAAAACATATTGGAAAGACTTAGAGGAAGTAAAATAGTTTACTTCAGTCATTTGAGGATAAAATAGAAGGGCCAGACGACCCAGCCAATGATGTATATGGTCTGGGATTATACTCTTGTTACTGTCCCTTACACAAAACTCCAATCTCACTGAATCTCATCTGCAAACTAAGGAGAATAAATCTGAAGATTTTCCATGTTCCTTCAGATTTATAAAGTTATCTCTTTTATCTAAAGAATTTGTTTTTCCTTCTTATTTCTCAAAAGTAAAAAAGACCAAAGTGTACAATTAATAAAGTAATAGATTTCAGATCAATGAAGAAGAACTTACAATTAGCAAGGGCAGAAAAGCATACTATAATCAGAGTGATCAAAAAGTCAGGGGTAACTGTTATCTGGGATATTACAAGAAGATCTATGCATCAAATAAAAGAGTTAAACAAATGACTTTTATTCATTCAGTGAACAGTTTGTAGGCATATACAGTGTACTGTTAGATGTTAAATGCTAGAGATAAAATAAATTCTGCTCTACAAAAATTCCCAGTCCACTGGTGGAGACAGACAAGTTAAGCAGGAAATTGCAACACACGGCATTAAGTGCTGTAAAGAGAGCTAAGCACTGAGTGCTTTCAGGGCACATCAAAGGGCACCCTAAGCTAGCCTTGGTTGACAGCTCAGCTAAATCCCAATATATTAGCCTTATTACAACACATTCCAAGAGTCTGAAAACACCGGCTGGAAATCACTGGGCTAGTCTAATCTCACCGGGCAAAGTTGCTTGTCCAAGTGAAGTACCTTGATTCTCCTGTGAATTTTTTTAGTCCTTCAAGTTAGGAAGCCAAACCTATACTTGTTTCCTTAGCAAAATACATGTTTACATGTTTATTCTTATGGCTTTATATTTATGCATATTAAATTTATTAATTAGTAGCTTTTAAAATGAATAATTGCATGACATTGTAATTTCTAGATGAACCTGAGAGATTGTTTTCATCCATACCCAGATGTGGTCAGAAATATACCATTATCTATTCATTATCCTATTTTACTAACATAATTGGAAACATAATTATATTTGTTTCTGAGGGTTTTTAAAATTAAAGTTAGATATTATCCATTTTATTCTCACCATAAAAGCTACTACCAAATTTGGAGATATATAGTAAGCATTTTTAAATGAACATTTAAATAATTCAATCTATTAATCTTACCTTAGAAATCCTTAATTGGAATGTTTATAACATTTCTTATGTAGTAAGTTTAGCCACTATATTTTATGTCACTTGTATAACCAAAGACTTTATTTTTTACAAGACAATCTTAATTTGTCAATACTAGATTCCATTGAAAAAAATTCCAACACACAGAGATAGAAGACTCTATGTAATATTAAACAAACAAAAATCCATGAAATCTATTAACTAATAAAAATACTCTTTATCAGCTGGGCGCAGTGGCTCACGCCTGTAATCTGAGCACTTTGGGAGGCTGAGGCAAGCAGATCATGAGGTCAAGAGTTCAAGACCAGCCTGGCCAACATAGTGAAACTCCATCTCTACTAAAAAAAAAATACAAAAAACTTAGCCGGGCATGGTGACGGGCACCTGTAATCCCAGTTACTTGGGAGGCTGAGGCAATGTTTCCTAGATGCTGTGCCTGAGAACATTCAGAGATGGCTGTGGAATAGTTTTAGTCAACATTAGTGATATAAAGTTGGATTCAGTTCATTGATAGAAAAAGGTGTCTTTCATGCCATTACCATCCTTAGACTCTACTTTGCACTGTCACCTGCTAGTCTTCAGTGGGGACAAACAGATGCCTTAGGAGCTCCAGACTCACGCTTAGGGAGCCCTGTGTCTGAGCCCAGTTCCAGACTGATGACCTGGGAAGTGGATGCCTCCTGCTGGCCAGCATAGTACTTCTTTTCTTGAAATTATGTGAGAATGGGCCACCAAAATGGTGCTAATTTGCTGAATTGGGTGAGTCAAATTGTTTTTATTGCCAGAGGCCATAAAAAAATGTTTACCTAGGACCCTGCATACTCTAGAAGCAGCCCTTCCCAACCCAAGAGAAGCTCACCTACAAGTGGAAAAGACAGTACATGTAAGGAAATAAACTATTCTACAACACAGTATTTTTACAGTCATCCTTCAATATCCATGCGATTGGTTCCAGGACCCCTCACAGATACCAAGTTTGAGAATGCTCAAGTATTTATACATAACATGTGCACATCCTCTCACATACTTTAAATTATCTCTCGGTTACTTACAATAAATACCTAATACAAAAGGCAGGCAGTAGCGAGACGGTATGCTCAAGAGTATGATGAGATGTTCAGTAGTGACAGGACAGCAGCTCCCAAAGTACCTGGGAAGGTTAGTAAAACACTTTGCCAAGTCTTTCCCAGACACACACTAAGGTAGACCCAGGAAATTTGTATTAAGTGTCTTCTCTACTAAGTCCAACACCACTCATGGGGACCTCTGGGAAAGGACATAGGATGATAGGGTTGCATGCTAGGTAGTGAGATTACCTGCTTATAAGAAGTATTAGTTATTAGTATAATAATATTAGTATTATTAGTATATTAGTATAACATAGTAATATATTATTATTATATATAATATATAATAATATATATACTACATATAAAATATTTTGAGATGTTAAACTTGCTTATATATAGTATATATCATTATATACTATATATACTATATATTATATAATATATATAATATATAATATATAATTATAATATAAATAATATATAATATATAATTATAATATAATATATACTATGTATATTATATAATATACAGCATATATATTATATACTATATATACTATATAATATACAGCATATATATTATATACTATATATACTATATATTACACACTATATATAATAATATACTATATATAATATAATATATACTATATATTATATACTATATATAATACTATATATAATATATAGTATATATTATATACTATATATAATACTCTATATAATATATACTATATATTATATACTATATATACTATAAATAATATATAATATACTATATATTATTATATTATTATATCATATATACTATATATAATACTATATATAATATAATATAATATAATAATATAATAATATATAGTGTATAATATATTATATATTATATATATTATATAATATCTTATATATTATATATATTATATAATATATTATATATTATATATATAATATATAATATATTATATATTATATATATAATATATAATATAAAATATATATAATAATATAATATATATTATTTTATATATAATAATATATAATATATAATTATATATTATATTATTAATATAATATTAGTAATATTAGTATAATCATAATAGTGCTAATAGTAACAATACTAATAATAATACTACTAATAGTATAATAATATTAGTGCCTTAATGTGATAGCTTAGTCACATAACAAATCTCTTTGTGTCTTTGTAAACTAAACTTTTCAAAGCATTTTAAAGGTTCCAAGGCTTCAATTAAACTTTATGTTTTAGAAAATAATATTAAACAAAGCTTTTGTTTCTCTCTCTTAAATGAATTCACTGTAAACCAAAAAATACATTGGTTGATACGTAAAGTTTTCTTTTTCTGTACTTTTTGTTCTCACCCAATTCTTCAGGCCTAAATGAAAACATGTTTTCAATGAGCAAAGTTGAAAGCAAAACTAAATTGTGTTCCTAAAGAGAAAACTGTGAAATACTTTGCAAGTGGCAAGTATTATAAATCTATAGACAAAAGTAAAATGTATCTTATAAATCTAAATATATAGCTGTGACATGGATGGGGAAAGCACTAGAATTATTGTGACGTTTCATCATAAAATTGATTCAAAAGAAAAATAATGCATTTGCCAGGGTAATGTGCCTCAGTCCCATGTGCAATTCCAATACTTAATTGGGTATTACACCCAACAATTTATGATAGAGCATCTCAACTATGCAATCATCCTTGTCCCTGAAATATGTGCTAAAAATTCCCCAAATGCATCTTTATTCTTTCATCTTTATAAATCTAAGGTTGGGAAAAAGAAGACTTTTAGCAAAAATTGTTTAACATCAGGGGAAATTTTGAGATGTTCAAACGTGCTTTAACAAATTAATAGTCTAGACTGAGATTTCATGGACAATAAGCTTGAAAAGGAAAAATAAATTACAAATGAAATAGGAGACACATTTCAAAGAAATAACTTATTTTAATGACTGTTTCTCCTCTTTGTTGTAAATTTTAAGATTAAAAAAAGTTGCACTAAATTACTGAATTATAAGAACTCCATGGATACCCACAGTGCTTGGTGTTCCTTTCCAATACATTGAGGGCAGGAGCCTGTTAAACATGCATTATCTCCTACAGCACTTGCCACAGCAGCAGGCACAAAGCAGGCCCTCAATAAGAATGCGGTTGCATTGTTTTGATTGGAAGAATATACGACAGTGAAATGTATTTGCTTATTTTTACTCTCCATTTATTCACACCCCAATGTTTGCATTGTCTCTGTTCTCATTGCAACCTTATCCTTTAACTCCAAATATTTATTCTTACATGCAAATTGTCCATATGTTATATTTGTAACATATATCTAATTGTTGTGTAATTTGATAATGCTTAGTTTTATTTTATTTATTTTTATTTTTATTTTTTAGACGGAGTCTTACTCTGTCACGCCCAGGCTGGAGTGCAGTGGCGCGATCTCAGCTCAGTGCAATTTCTGCCTCCTGGGTTCAAGTGATTCTCCTGCCTCAGCCTCCTAAGTAGCTGGGATTACAGGCACTTGCCACCCACCATGCCCGGCTAATTTTTTGTGTTTTTAGTAGAGATGGGGTTTCATCATGTTGATCAGGCTGGTTTCGAGTTCCTGACCTCAGGTGATCCGCCCGCCTCAGCCTCCCAAAGTGCTGGGAATACAGGCATGAGCCACTGCGCCCAGTCCGATAATGCCTACTTTTAAAGATGTTCCTAAACCTAAAGAAAAGGCTAAGAATAACAACTTACCAGTTGTGAAGAGAAGTTTTCTAGGATCCTGAGAAAAAGAAAAAAAAATAAATGATTAAAAACTAAAGCACTGATGATATATAATTCTATAAAGAGTATGCAGGATCTACAAACCACATACTTGTCATGTAAAATACTGTTCATCCAACGGAAGTGAGAAAGACTCGATTAAGTTTCATAACATTTTCACAATGCTAGAGGAGATTACAACAAGTAAAAACCCAATTCAGAGAAATCTATCCATCTGAGGCAAAATACTGGATGACTCAAAAGGCCCAGAAATTATTCTTAATGGTTACCTACAAGCTGGTGGCACTGGTTTTAAGCCCATCTTTGACCATTTTGAAACTCAATATCTTAGCCATGATGTTAAACTATTATTATATACTCTGTCTACCAAAACCGTGAAACTGCATCACAAGATGTGAAGACAGAATTAAAAACCAATAAAATATGTAGGGGATTTGCGCATTGTAAGCTCAGTACGAAGAAGACTAATTGAGAGCTTTCTGTGTTTCAAATATAGTGAAAAGTGGTGAGGATACTCAAATAAAAACCAGTTTCTGCTACTTAGAAATATGAAACATTAATATTGCTAAAATATTGTATGATTTCCTTTAAACTACATCTCTTATGCTCTAATGGTTATAGTCAGCACCCTTCTACCTTCTGGAAAACCAATCGCCACTAGATTTGTGGATTTATTTTTTATCCCCGTGGTGCTTAATATTTCACAAGCTTTTGAATTTCTTTCTGTGTGCCTCCATTGAATCTGGGGTCAGGCCAGACTATGTACTAAGAAGGAAACGATTGATATAGTGTCATCTGGGGGTCTTTGAATAAGGACCACTTGCTTAGGAATAGCTCCTCACCTGGCTTAATTCAATTGACTTCTATTCCAACTATTAGAAACATGGCTATAGGGTGATCTAAGAAAACTGAATATATAAACAACCCATAAAAATATCATATGGGCTGAACAAAGTGGTAAGAATAGAAATGTGAATAAATACCTAAGAAAACCCAGAAGATGGAACAATTAATATTGCTAGAGAAAGAAAATGAAACATGAGAGTGAGAGATGTTTTCACAGTGGCAAGATGAGGCAGATTTAGCCGGGCTATCAAGGAAGTGCAGCAGTCACAAGGTGGAGGGTGAGTCCTTGCATGCAGAGTAAAAGCATAAAAGAAGAACAATAGGGTATATTGGCACAAAACCATCTTTTTCAAAAGTGCTTCACAAAATAACATATGTGTTGACTATATATATATATATATATATATAATCAATATATAAATATATCAATATATAAAATATAATCTATATATAATAGATATGCCATATATTTATTTACATAATATTTAAATACATAAGTATATATACACTTATTTTCATCTACATCTAATGCATGGCCTTGTACCTATTAGATGCTAAATACATATTTATTAAAAAGAGAGAAAAAAGCATAAAGAGAGACATGAAAGAAGGAATACAAGAAGAAATAAAGGCAGGGGAAATACTAACTTAAAACGTTGAGTTGCCATTTTCATCCCTTAGATTGGGAAAAAAAAACAGAGATGAGTTGTAGAAATAGGCATTCTAATATTAGTTAGAAGTGTGAAAACAGGAGAAGACTTTTTAAAAAGGAATTTGGCACTGTCCATCAAAACTAAAAATGTACAACCTTTTAAACCAAAATTCTACAACTACAGATCTGTGTAGAAGAGGACAAAGAAATACATTCACTGGAGTGTGGTTCAGAACAAAACCCTAGAATCAATCTAAATGTCTGAATAAGAAAAAGACTAAAAATAAATTATGGCATAGTCATATGGAGAGAATGAGATAGATTAAGATATGTTGATACAATAAGCTATAAAAGTATATTTATGCAAACAAGTAAATCGCCAAGGAATATATACCATAAAATGCGACTCAAAATATCAGAAAAAAACATAATAAACTGTGGCTTGTTTTGGAGGAGAAGCTTTCACTTTTAACTTCATTTACTTGAGAGTTTTAAAATATTTTATATTGAGCATGTATAACTTTTCAAAGAAAATAAATTTAATAACTGAAAATTTTGAAATCACTAAAAATATTGGAACTTAAGCAAAAGTTTATTCCATTAAAATGAGAAAACCATTAAAGTTATTAAAGACATGAATTCTGAAAAGAGAAGAAAAGAAGGAAAAGAGAAACAAAGGAAATGTTGGAACAGGGGCAGGAAACAAGTAGCTAGTGATTTGAGCAGAGGGCAGCAGGAGAAAGGGAAGCAGGTGGAAGTGAGATGGGCAGAAGTGGAGGCTGGGTCTGAAATTACATGTGAAGCGCTGTCACTGGCCTGCTAAGGAGCGGGAATTTTTCAGTGGTTCTCAGTGCTGGATGCACTCTACAAGCCTGGTAAATTTTTACAAATTATCAATGCCTGCCTCCCATCCAAGACTAATTAGATCATGTTGGTATTTTTTAAAATACCAATAGAGACAAGGGCTATATCAAAAGTTGCTGGCTATTTTGGTTTTGTGATTTGTTTCTGAATTTGTTGTTACTTTTTCCTCTGTTTTGTTTTGAGATGGAGGTCAAACACATGAACACAACAGTATTAAACCTAGAAAACTCTGGTGATATGTGGAGGGGAAAAAGGAGTGGGGAAGGTGGGGAAAAAAGTTAATAAGTCACTACCAAACTTAGTCTGCAGAACAGGAAAATAAGGGGGGGGGATGCTGATTTAAATGGGACAGAACAGTTTGTTTTTGATGTAGTCTTGGCATTGTGAAGCAAAGGCAGCCTGAGGACTGTATGAAAGCATCAACCAACAGAGACCTAACTGGCTGAGCATGTGCTGTTCATCAGGCTCTGGGCTGCACCTTGCAAATATAATTTCATTTCATGGATGGCTTCACATGGAGAAAAGCACTCTACGTCAGATATTGCCTGCTACAGAATTGAATTCAACATCACTTAATTCGAGGAATGTTTTTAAATGAATGAATCATGAAAACTCACTAACATTTTTTAAGTCAAATAAATTGATTTGTCCAGGATTCACAAAAAATCAACCTACTTTTCTTCCCTTTTCCCCAAAACCCAGTATGTGAATTATAAAGTATTTTTACCCTGTAACGGCACTGTCAACACTCTCAGCTGAATGATAGGAATTAGACAAAAGCTGCTGGGAGTCAGAGGCAGACCTGAGTGGCAACCATCTGAACATTGCAATATAAAAAGTAGACATTCTACCAACTCTCACTTTCAGCAGGAGACACTATGAAATAGTAATTACTTATATTTTCTACTGAAAAGGAATAAAGCTCAACTTGACAACTGCATTTTAAAAGCACTCAAAAGGAGCAGTAAGGTACAAATTTTCAGGGAAAAATCACAGACCCTCATTAGTCATCTCATGACAAGTGAAAGAAAAATGGGAAGACAGAGACCACCCACCTCATCTCGGTATCTTGCTGCATTCAGTTCAACAAAGTCTTCACTGTAATTCACTGAGAAGTTGAGGGCATTCACCAGATGGGCAGCCACATGCACGCCTACAGAATTACACCAGGGGTAAGTTAGTGGGATTTGCATATATGCTCTATGTCAAGGACTCAGTTCTTCCTCTCCCTAAGTAAATACAGGGCCAAACTTTGACAGCTATGTGGACAATGAAATATTACATTGAAAGGTGAAGTTTTAAAGACACAAAAAACTGAACTATAGACAGTTTACCAAATTTTCAAAGGCTGTAATGAAACAACCCTAGTAAGTCAGGGATAAGAGAAACACACACACACACACACACACACACATACACACACACATCCTCCCCCTAACACACATACACACACACACACACACACACACACATAAATATGCATCTAATGATATGAGTATTTATTTACTTGAGCACCTCCCTGATATTTTAGGTATTCCACATCTTTCACCTCTTCCATAGTTCCAAATCTGCTATTAATACATATCTTGCATACTTCCCTACCCCATAAGGTAAATTATAGGCCACTGAAAGACTTTCAACTAGTAGAAATTTTTCACAATCCACAGATTTAAATCATAATATTCTTAACCCAACAGAAAAAGTGTTGGGAATCACTTCATGGGACAAAATTCAGGAAAACAATAATCACAATAAACAAAGGGCTCGACTGACTTAGAGCTCACATAAATAATAGCAGTGTTAGGAAATTACTAGAGATGTGAAGATGAACTCATTTTGGCAAAGCTAGGGTAATAAAAATTATTTTGAGGAGGTTGGGTAAGGAAGGAGAAATTGAGATGTGCACGGGCCCATCACACCTTCCCCCTTGCTCAAGCTTTGCTTGTAGGCAAAATAAGGTGTGAATTAACACCACATTTTAATGTATTGAAAATACAACAGGTAACTCGCTGGAAAATTTGTGATCTTGGCCATATTATTTGCCTTTCAGGGGCCTTAATTTACTTCTCTGTAAAATGATGGTGACAGAAACAAAAGGCTTAATGAGATAAGTGATCTGAAATTGCTTAGTAAACCATTATAGTTCACAATATGTGTAGTGCAATGGTTCAAAAGAAGACATAGCCTGGAATCTAGAAAACTCTATAATTTCCCACAACCCATAATGTAAAATGTAGAGGGCTTAGAGTTCTAAGGTACTCACACACACACACACACAAAAATAATGAAAGTGAGAGAGGATTAGAATGCTAAAATGCCTGAAAGTTATTTAAAAGATTTATAAGGTCCTTCAAGTAATCAAATTAGAAGTAGGGGAAGAGTCAGGACTTACTATGAAGTTACAGTAATCAAGAATGTATGGTATTAGCAAAAGAAAAGACAAATAGATTAATGGAACAGAATAGAGAGCCCAGAAATACGCCCACATTAATACAGTCAATTGATCTTTGGCAAAAGAGCAAAAGCAATACAAAGAAGAAAATGCGTTTGTCACAAATGGACCTGAAACAAGGAAGCATTCACATTTAAATAAATAAATCTAGTCATAGACTTTACACCCTTCACAAAAATTAACTGAAAATGAATCAGAGACCCAAATGTAAAATGCAAAACCATAAAACTCCTCAAAGGATACACGGGAAAAAGTCTATATGAGCTTGGGTTTGGTGTTGGCTTTTTAGATACAATGTCAGAGACATGATCCATGAAAGAAAGAATTAATAAGCTGGCCTTCATTAAAATTAAAATTTCAGCTCTGCAAAAGACGTTTTGAACACCATGAGAAGATAAGCCACAGACTGGGAAAAAGCATTTGCAAAAGACATATCGATAAAGGATTATTATCAAAATATACAAAGAACACTTAAAATTCAATAACAAGAAAACAAACAACCCAATTAAAAAAATGTGCCAAACATCTCAATAGATACCTCACCAAAGAAGATATACAGATGGCAAACAAGCACGAAAAGATGATCCACATTATATAACATCAGAGAAATGCAAATTAAAATGACAAGTTACCACTACGTACCTATTAGAATGACCAAAATCCAGAATACTGACAACACCAAATATTGGTGAGATTGCACAGCAACAGAAACTGTCATTCATTGCAGGTGGGGGATGCAAAAAATGGTACAGCCATATTGGAAGTGAGTTTGGTGGTTTCTTAAAAACTACACATACTCTTACCACATGATCTCGCACTCATACTCTTGGATATTTACCCAAAGGAACTAAAAATGTATGCCCACACAAAAACAGGCACATTAATGTTTACAGCAGCTTTATTCATTATTGTCGAAATCTGGAAGCAACCAACATGTCTTTCAATAGGTGAATAGATAAAAAAAAAACTGTGGTACATCCAGATAAGGGAATATTATTTACCACTATAAAAAGATGAACTCTCAAGCCATGAAAAGACACAAAGGAAACTTAAATTCATATTACTAAGTGAAAGAAGCCAATCTGAAAAGACTACATATAGCATGATTCCAACTATATTGCATTCTAGAAAAGGCAGAATTATGGAGACTGTAAACACTAACCAGTGGTGGTCTGGCGTTAGTGGGAAAGGAAAGATAAATAGGCAGAGCACAGAGGATTTTTAGGGCAATGAACTATTCTGCATGGTACAGTAATGGTGGGTACAGGTCATTACACATTTGTGCAAACCCATAGAATGTATAGCATCAAGTGTGAACCCTGATGTAAAGCATGGACTTTAGGTTATAATGATATGTCAATTAATGTAAATTTATCAATTGTAAAAAATTGTACCACTCTGGCAGGGGATGTTGATAATGGGGGAGGCTATACATGCATGAGGACAAATGATATACAAAAACTCTCTATATCTTCCTCTCAATTTTGCTGTGAACATAAATCTGCCCTACAGAAAAATAGTCTTTAAAAATTTTTAAGAGGAAAAAAAATGGACAGGAAGCTAACATGAGTTAAATAACAAGCAAGGACAAGTTTCCAAAGTAGTAAAACAAAGGGGGTCTAAGTGTGACACAACTATGGCACAGGTATAAAATACTATTTACACAAAACTCTCTGTGTCATATAGCTTCATCAATACCCAAATGTATAGTAAAATAATCCTTTCATATTAAATTAAAAGCTTATATATTAACTACATACTCTATGGCTAAAAAATGCAAAGTCATCTATAGAAGAATTACTATTCTTTCTGAATTTCTCTGAAAAAAAATTTGTAGGTAACAGCTATAGAAAATACATAATTAAGGGATATATTCACCTTTTTAAAGGACCTCTTAGGTCAAAAGAATTCAGGGCTTCTAATTTTAGGCAGCAAGGAAGCAGCTCAACCAAGCACTTTACATAGATTTTCTCATTTGATTCTCAAAACAAAGCAATGTGGTAGATAGAGTCATCCCTATTTTACAGACAAGAAAACTGAAGTTAAAGAAGGGTAATGTAGCCAAAGTCAGACGACTAGTGACTGGCAGAATGCAAACCCTCTGGAACACAAGCTCATGCTAGCTCAGTTGCTTGGTTGCTCTCCAGTTGAACCAGAATACTTGGACATGATTATAGTTTAGAACAAATTGAGTCACGAATATGCTGGTTTCCTGATCCTCCTCCATTTCTGACCTTTCACTCTCCCTCTCCCTAATCTATCTCTAACCCTTACTACACCCTTGGTCCTTATCTCATCCTCACTGAACTGCTAATCCTATCCCTGAGCCTCTCCCCATCTAACACCTGCAGAGGTGGGACTACCAATTGGAAGACATTCAGAGATAAAACAATGAAGTTACCCATTTCAACAATGCTTGGCAATTTTTTACCAAGTTAAAAGTAAAATAATTTCTTGGCAATAGCTGTATCAAAACATTCATTAGTCAAAATGGCCCTGCTATCAAAACAGCTATGTCATCAAATAATGGCCAGGTGAAAATACCAGGTGCTATGCCACTGGAATAATTAACCCTTGCAACTGTAAATTACAATTACTAATTCTATCCTAAAAATTTCTATTCATTTTCTCATTTTAGTCTTAAATCTATGAGGTAAGTCCTGCTGTCAATCCATTTTACAGTTAAAAACAACAACAACAACAACAGCAAATTGAGGATCAGAGAGGTAACATCACACATTAAAACAGAAGGGCAACTGAGGATAGAACCTACGCATGGACTCCTCGGAATCCATGTCCTTCATCACTATGTTTCTTACTTTCTGTTCCAAAAATTTGAAAAGTATCATCTAAAAGCTCAGGATCAAAATGTATTTTAAAAAGGCTTATAATAGCACAAAGATCATTGCTTTATTTCTTAATTTGGAAAAGAGCAAGATAAAGCTTCAGAAATTTTGACATTGGTTTTTCTACCAAATATTAATATCAAAGAAATATTGATCACATATAATTCGGGATGGAATCCTAATCTACTAATGAGTATTTCACATTGTAATTTTCATTCATTTGGCCAGGTACAGTGGCACCCGCCTATAATCACAGAGCTTTGGGAGGCTGAGGCAAGCAAATTGCTTGAGCTCAGAAGTTCGAGATCAGCCTGGGCAACATGGTGAAAGCCCGTCTCTACAAAAAAATACAAAAACTAGCCAGGCATGGTGGCACATGCCTGTAGTCCCAGCTACTTGGGAGGCTGAGGTGGGAGGATGGCTTAAGCCTGGGAAGTAGAGGTTGCAGTTAGCCAAGATTGTACCGCTGTACTCCAGCCTGGGCAACAGTGCCAGGCCCTGTTTCAAAAAAATAAAAAATAAAATGTTCATGCATTTAAACTCATATCACATCATCACTTTCAGAGCTTGAAAACTTTTAGTCTGTTTCTTCCAGTATTTCTTACTGGAATGAAATTACTTACTTTCAGGAAATAGTCATTATCAGCTTGGGGGCCAACTTTTGGATATCATAATGTAAAAATCACAAGACACATCCATTTTCTGTAATTCCCTGTAGACAACCCTTTTCAAAAACATGGAAAAGAACTACTAAGCTATTTAATAAGAAAATCCTAAGTTGCTGACAGCAGATAATGTACAGAACAATAAAATCACACATTTTCCATGTGTAATTTTACGTGTGGTTTAAAACACAAACCACACGACAATCTTACATTGTTCACCATTAATGACATTATATGTTAATATATCTGCAGGCAATTACCCCAAATTGTCATCAGTGGTTGTTCTGGAAGAATAAGATTAGGGAAAACTTTCTCTGATCATTCTGTGTATGTCTGGAATGTTTACATTTAAATGTGTAATTCTAACAAATTATTTAATATCTTGTGGCTTTCTCACCTGAGAAAATACAGATAGTAACACCACAGGTAATATGGAATGTTCTGCTTTTATCCAACAATCTCCTGGTTCTCCTGCTTGGAACCTAAACAAAAATCATTTAATATGGTAAAAATAATGCAACAAATGTGATAAAAGTTTTTCAGTATAGCATTGTTCATTATGTCAAAATTTTTAAAATATGGCGGAAGCCTATTAATCAAAAATTGGTGAGATGAATTATGATCTATCTAGTTAATGGGACACCTAAACCATTAAAAAATATATGTGAGAAGTCCATATTATTGATATAGAAAGATGTTCAAGACACATTGTTAGGTTAAAAAAAAAGTTACAAAAAAACTGCACTGTGATCTTATATTGATCAACACTAATGGCATTAGATGTTAACGTATCTGCAGGCACTTACCACAAATTGTCATCAGTGGTTGTTCTGGCAGAATAAGATTAGGGTAAACTTTCTCTGATCATTTTGCATATTTCTGGAATGTTTAAGTTTTAAAATATATATGATTTCCTTTTACAGTCAAAAAATAAGATTATTTTAAAATGAAGCAATCTCATCTATAGTTTGAAATGCCTGTTTGATCTTATAACAAAATAAAATGTCAAGCACCTCTGAATCACTGTTTCACACTCGGGGCAAATCTTTAAGAATGATTAAATACTGAGAGACTTAGGTGGGAACTTTTTATTCCCTGCCACTTATCTTCTCTTTCTCCAAGCCAAACCAATAGCCAACCACAGGGATCAAAACCTAGCAGTTTAAATGGTAGGCAACCTAGAGAGAGTTATTTTCACAGATTACTGCATTAAAAGGAAAGAGTTTCTAAATATAATTATGTAGAAAGGGTTGAGAAGTTTTCCTAGAGTAAATCTGCACACATTAAATTCATAGAACATCAAAGTGATCTCAAGTTAACAACTCCTTTTAAAATATCAATATCTATCCAGCGGTGCTTTGCTTAGTGAATCTTAGGGAAGAAGAATCAACACGCACACACACAGTCACACATATACACAAAATTAGTCAAAGACAAAAAAGAATTTTTGTTGATTAGCAGAATGACTGTTTTTGTTTTCTTACATACTTCATTTTACAACACTGCATATAATACATGACATCACTATTTATTATTATTATTATTATACTTTAAGTTTTAGGGTACATGTGCACAATGTGCAGGTTAGTTACATATGTATACATGTGCCATGCTGGTGTGCTGCACCCGTTAACTCGTCATTTAGCATTAGGTATATCTCCTAATGCCATCCCTCCCCCCTCCCCCTGACATCACTATTTAATCAAGACATATTTCTCTGCACACGTATGTTTATTGTGGCACTATTCACAATAGTAAAGACTTGGAACCAACCCAAATGTCCAACAATGATAGACTGGATTAAGAAAATGTGGCACATATATGTGGAATACTATGCAGCCATAAAAAGGATGAGTTCATGTCCTTTGTAGGGACATGGATGAAGCTGGAAACCATCATTCTTAGCAAACTATCACAAGGACAGAAAACCAAACACCACATGTCCTCACTCATAGGTGGGAAATGAACAATGAGAACACTTGGACACAGGATGGGGAACATCACACACCAGGGCCTGTTGTGGGGTGGGGGGAGGGGGGAGGGATAGCATTAGGAGATATACCTAATGTTAAATGACGAGTTAATGGGTACAGCACACCAACATGGCACATGTATACATATGTAACAAGCCTGCATGTTGTGCACATGTACCCTAGAACTTAAAGTATAATAAAAAAAGACATGTTTCTCAAGCCTATTACACACTTCAAAATGAGTATATGTGTTAAGCAGAGATAAGTTGTTGCCAACACCAGCAATCATTTCATGTATTGCTCAGAATCTAAAGGACTCTAGTTTGCTCACCTGGATTTAGCTAAGTGAAAATACAGAATCTCAATGAGACAAGACATAATGGAAAGAACTCAAATTAGGATTGACCTTAGCTCTGTCATTCCCTAGTCTCGAAGTTACTCAAAGCCTCTATGCCTGAGGTTTCTTGTGTGTGAAATGAAACTAACAATACCTGATTGTAGAATCCCTGTAAGAATTGTCCAGCATGTATGTGAAACACTAAGCATAGTGCTGGAAATCCCTGTTAATAATATTACTATTATCCTCTGCCCTTATCTGGTATTGCAGAATAACTCACAGATCATCTTGGCAGGTGACATGTCTTTTACCATCATCTTACAAGAAATCACTCCAGTCAAAAGTCAGACTATGAAAAGTAAACAAACTAACATGCGACTGTTACACTTGATTTTTATGCTGGAATTTGAAAGTAGGACTGTTTTTTCTTACCTTCTGTGATCCTCGGAGGTAAGCCAAGAGTGTTCGGCACATGGGTAAAAGGATAAGGCTGCAGTTGAGGTTAAGAACAGATGCTGAGGCTCTGCTTAGACACAATCCTAGCTGAACAAATAAGGCAAGGTCAGCACACAGTTAAGGACAGTAGTAAAGCCCTGTCCTGGCTCTAGAAGCTAGAGGTCTCACCCTATTGCTCTTTTAAGAATCATGCCAAATACCAGCTCCTTCAAAAGCCTTGAATAGTCTTCCCTTTTCCTCTCACTAAAACCCCCTTTGAACGACTTCTTTCTGTTCTGCACTGCCACAAAACTTAGTACTCCTCTCATTAATGCTAATGTTACAATCACCTGAAAACACTGTTTCCAAAGAAACTCCATTTCTTGTTCTGCCCCTACCCCATTGTTCTGGCTGTTAAGAGCCTTAAGAGTTTCTGTATATACTGCACCTCCACATTTATGTGGTGTTGGACCCTTTATTCACTGATAAGGTCACAGTTTTAAATGACATTTTTCTCATGTGTTCTCTCTCTCTGGAACACTCTCAGTCTCCACACAACCCACCCATTTACACACCACAGCTTTTCTGCAAGCTCTGCTTATCACTAACTCTACTCATCTTTCTGGTCACATAGTAAGCACGACTCTTCTAGACTTCTTCCCTGATCGGAAACTAGGAGAGAACCCACTGGTATACAAGCATTCATTGCTTTCTGTACTTCCCTGATTATGTCTCTAACCTCCTTTCTAATGTTTTTTTAAAATTTTTATTTTATTTTTAATTGACAAATAATAATTGTATATATGTATGGGTACAATATGATGTTTTAATACATGTATGCATCATGAAATGACCAAATCAAGCTATTTTACATATCCATCCCCCAAAACACTTATCATTTCTTTGTGGTAAATATATTTATTTATATTTATTTTTTAATTTTTTTGAGGCAGGGTCTCACTTTTTCTCCCAGGCTGAGTGCAGTGGTACCATCAGGGCTCACTGCAGCCCCTTCCTCCTAGGTTCAAGCTATCCTCCTGCCTCAGCCTTCTGAGTAGCTAGGACTACAGATGCATGCCATGTGGTGAGAATATTTAAAATCCACGTTTAGTCAGGCATGGTGTAATGCACCCGCAGTTCCAGTTACTCTGAAGACTGGCACAGGAGAATTGCTTGAACCCAGGAGCTTGAGGCTGCAGTGAGTCATGTTCATGCCACTGGAGTACAGCCTGGGTGAAAGGGCGAGACTCTGTCTCAAAAAATAAAAAATTAAAATTAAAATACACTCTTAGCTATTTTGAAAAATACAATACACACTATTATTAACTATAGTCACCCTGTTGTGCAAAAACAGGCCTATTTCCAGGCCTATTACTAGGCCTATTTCTTCTAACCGAAACTTTGTACACTCTGTCCACTCCCATCCCCATGCTCTGGTAACCAGCAGCATTCTACTCTCTACTTCTATGATTTCAACTCTTTTAGATTCAAAATGTAAGTGAGATCATACAGTATTTGTCTTTCTGTGCCTGGCTTATTTCACTTAGCATAACATCCTCTAGATAATCCATGTTGTTGAAAATGACCAATCTTAAATAAGATAGTGCCTTGAAAAACTGAGATTCATATATTTGACTCTGTCTTAGGAGGAGGATATATCCATTCTTTTGAGAACCATTTTCATTTGGTGATAGCTAACTTAAAGCATTATCTTCATATGTTCACACTGAAAACATTATGTTCATACTAAAACAAATGAAGAACATAACGGAATAAAAATGCAGAGATGTTAGCAAAAGCACACCTATCTCTTACTATTAGCCACACATAGTTTGGATCAATTTACACTTATTAATACATTAAACCTCTTTCTGCAACCCTAGGAAGTAATTAACGATATTGTCTTCCTTCTTAAAAAATAAAGAATATTGAGTCACAGTGAAGTTAAGAATTTACCCAACATAAGATAATCAGAAAGTTGTGGAGCCAGAATTCAAACCCAGATATTCTGGCTCCAGCATTTATACTATTAACCCCCACTTTATCATGCTGCTAAATTGCCTTTAAAAAGAAAATGTCCAGAAGGCACATATTAGGTAATAAACATTTTGTTGAATGACTTGATGAATGAACAAACATTTGAGGTAAGTGGTTTTAGACAACCACCCTAGATAAGACTTCCCTCCTAGTAACCCTCTCCAGCCCCAAAAAGGTTATTGTTCTTGTTCTTTTATCATTAAAGAAAGCCCAGGTATAAATATTTGAGAAGTACTAGACAAGGTCACAGCCTCATATACATTAAGGATTGCCTACACAGTGTGATTAGGATGGGATTCCTAGCATAATTATTCTGTTACTTCCATTTAGTGTGTGACATGTTACCTTGAATTTTTTATGTTTTAACCTTTTTCTCTAAGTAAATGTTAAACCCCTCAAGACCAGGGTAAATATTTCTAAAATGTTTTAATATTACCCTACATTTTTATTTTAATTATCTGTTTATCAATCACTTTTGAATATATTTTTAATGTAATCATCAGATCTACTCTGACAAGCTGAGTAGATGTTATTATTGCCATGTTGGAGATGAAGAGCTGTTACAAAATAATAATAATTAGGTCCACAAGAAATCCTGAATTCAATGACTTTGGGTAGTGTCTGAACATTGGCATTTTTGAAAGCTTTCCAGATGATTCTAATATGCCACCTGGGTTGAACACCACTACCTAAGACTATTTAGCCAACTGTACTGTTTACAAGTTATGAAACAATGACAACCATTAAATTATAATAAGAAAGTGTAATTGCATATTTCCAAACTTACTGGCCAAATGTAGCTTTAAAAATAGCATTTTTATATTAAAAATACAAAAGTAAATAGTCTGGGCATAAATAAAAAGCAAAGCAGGAACAACAAAGATCTCATCTACAGAAAGCTGACATAGTAAGGTACAACTAACAGGTTTACCATCTCTTTATCATCCAATACAGAACAGTCGCCAGGCTAAGCGTTTTTAATGAATCACTGAAAATATTTTCAAAAACCTTGTAAAGTAAGAACTATTATACTCAATTTACAGATGACTTGTATAAAGATCTTAGAAGCTGTTTACCTTGTCAAAAGTCAAACTAGTTGAAAAGGAATTCTGTACCCTGGAATCTATGACTCTTTTCATCTCAGGGTTAAAACTAAGGCAAAAAATGTACTGAAGGATACGGAAGGATAAATATTAAATTGAGAGACATGAGAAAAGCCTACTCCAATAGCTCCTATAGGCCATATACATTATGCTTAGTTGCCAGTAAAGTATGTTAGTTAAACACAGGTCTTGCGTTTCATCTTCCATCAAGCATGACTACTTTAGTTTATTACTTACTCATGAGTTACCCCTATAGTCCTAGCCAGCACCATTTCCTCTTTAGTTGGTATATGAATTAATGTGTTTGTGTCATAATACCTCAAACTTTTCTGACTTTCTATGCATTACCTTGATTCTTATATATTATCACAAGGACATTCCATGGAGAAGCAGAAGCCCCAAAGGTACCTCATTTCTCCTTATAACTTCCTCTCAACTCTAGGATCTGGCTTACTCCTCCTTTCTACTCTTTTCCTGCACCCAGGTAGTAAGTTTTTCAAAAGCAGGATCCATTTTTTACAGCTATGTATCCTCAGCCCTAACACAGTGGTAGTTTTCAGTAAATCTTTGTTGAATTGAGCTGAATTTTTAAACACAGGTACCATGCTCTGATAAGCATTTTATTTGGTTACAACTCTCAAGTTTGTTCAAATATTTACAATCTTTGTGGTTATTTTATTCACAAAGCTTGTATGTCCACCAATAACTTTAAATTGCACAGCTTGCAGTATCATGGAAAATATTATGAAGTGGTCACTGAAAACTCCCCACTGTTATCAAGAAGATGAAGTCATATATATATATATATATATATATATGAAACAAAAAGCAGGCACTTCAAGAAAATTCCTAGTTACATTATTCTTACTCCCACAATCTGTAGGCAACTCTATCCATCAAATTTGGTAATCAATAAATCTTGAGTGAATACACATATGGGAGCTAAAAAAAAGAAATTGAACTCATGGAGACAGAGAATAGGCTGAGAAGAGTAGTGGGAAGTGGGGAGATGAAGAGGCAATGGTTAACAGGTACATGAACACAGTACCCATTAAAAGGAATAATATCTATTGTTTGATAGCACAATAAGGCAACTATAGTTAACAATAATTTACTGTATATTCCAAAATAACTAAAAGAGTGGAATTACAATTTTTCCAACATAAAGAAATGATAAATGGTTGAGGTGATAGATATCCCAGCTACTCTTATGACATATTGCATGTTTGTATCAAAATATCATGTGTATTTTATACATATATACAATTACTATAATAATTAAAAATTAAAATTGTTTAAGAAGGTAAATCTAAGCAAGCTTCAAAAAGAAGTCTTGTGTGAATAAATGAATGGATGAATAGAAATAAATAATAAGTACATTTAGAATACATATATTTTGACAAATATAAATGCACAAATATTTCTATTAACAGATTTTGAAAAGACTAAAGATTTAGTCTGAAAAGAAAGTAGGACAAGACCCAAGATGGCCGACTAGATACAGCCAGGAGGAACATCTCACACTGAGAGACAGGGACATGGGGAAGACTAGCAAACTCTGAGCAGATCTTCAGCAGGAAAGCATTGAGAGTGGATGCAGTTAGGACACAGACAGTGGGCTGAACTTGAGGAGGAAGCTGGGAGCCCTGTAGGGGGCTGCTGAGCACTGGGGCTCGCTCCTGGACCCCAGCAACTCCTGCGGAATGAGCTAAACAGGTGAGGAGTGCTCTGTCCTCACCAGGAATCCCCAAAAATCCTGGCAACAAGACAGCCCATGACTCCCACGGACACTTGAGCTGGCAGAGAGTTGGCAGAGAGATGGAAGAAACAGGATTCCAGCCTGTGCAGAGCCCACAGGGTTTGGGACAGGAACAGCTGCAGTGGAGTATGGCTAGGGTGCCCATCCCCAAAGACTCTCCATGGCCTTCTAAGTGACGTCAGCCTTTGAGAGACTGTTGGACCTGGACAGAACATGGTGGTGTTGCAAATGGGATGGGACCAGTCCAAATTGCACATCCTCTGTCTGCTGGCCTCTCCTGGGTACAGCCTGGCTATATGTACCTGCTTGAAGCACAGCCTCTGATGGCCAACCAAGTTGCTTCCCAGGGGTTATCATCATAGCTCCTTCACTGGAAGACTGTGTCTGTTTGTTGAAGAGCTCCAGTAGACCAGCCCCTGACGATGCACACTAGCCAACCTGCAGCCTTGACCCACTACAGTCTCCCTCTCCCCATGTGGGCAGACCTCACCTCCCTTACCCAGCCAGTACGTGTGTGTGAATGCATCCCACTGTGTCACCACAGATGATGCAAACAGAGCTAACTGTCCAAACCCTTGCTGATGCAGGAGTGCCCTGTTACCCTTCCACCAACAGCACAAATGTGTACATGGACGCTGGCAACTCTGCCTCTGCCACCGCCCTGCACCAGCCACACTGCCACTGCCATAGGCATGAGCATACACAGGACCACTTCAGGCTCACTCCCACCAGTGTGCCACCCAAGCCAACAGGAGTAAACCCTGCCAGCACCAGCTTTGTAGAGTTGTGGCCAGTAGACTGGGACACCTCAGCCCCCCGAGTGAATCAGATTCCTAACCTCAAAGGGCCAGAGACTGCAGCTGAGGGCCTAGTACAGCCATCCAGAGTTAACAGGCAGTCCAGGAGTGCTAAGCTGATCCTTGGCCCCCTAAAACCTTCCAGAAATAAAGTCAGTCTACTGAACCTACCTCAAACCACAACCAAACTTCCAAAGGCATCAAAGAAAATAAAATTGTAAAAAACTCCATCCAAAGAACAGTAACTTCAAAGACTAAAGGAACATCAGCCCACCAACAGTGTTCAAGCTGAGAGCCAAATCCAGATCATAATCCCATTCACAATATCCACAACAATAATAAAATACCTAGAAATACAAATAACCAGGTAAATAAAACACCTCTGTAAGAGAATTACAAAACACTGCTGAAAGAAATCAGAAATAACACAAACAAATGAAAAAAAAATTCCATGTTCATAAATGGGAAGAATCATTATAGTTAAAATGGCCATACTGGCCAAAGCAATTTACAGATTCAATACCATTCCTATCAAACTACCAATGCCAGTCATCACAGAATTAGAAAAAAAACTATTTTAAATTCATATGGAACCAAAAAAGAACCCAAATAGCCAAAGCTATACCAAGCAAAAAGAACAAAGCTGGAGGCCTCACATTACCTGACTTCGAATTATACTACAAGACTACAATAACAATATAAATGGTGCTAGGAAAACTGGCTAGCCATTTGCAAAAGATTTAATCTGGACCCCTTCCTTAAAGCAATATAAAAATCAACTCAAGATGAATGAAAGACTTAAATATAAAGCAATATAAAAATTAATTCAAGATGAATGAAAGACTTAATGTAAAACCTAAAACTACAAAAAGCCTGGAAGATAACCTGGTAAAAATACCATTCAGGACATAGACCTTGGCAAAGATTTCATGATGAAGACAACAAAAGCAATTAAAACAAAACCAAAAATGGACAAATAAGATCTAATTAAACTAAGTAGCTTCTGTACAACAAAAGAAACTACAACAGACAACCTACAGAATGGATGAAAATATTTGAAAACCATGCATATGACAAAGACCTAGTACACAGATTCTGTGAGAAACTTAAACAAATTAACAAGCAAAAAACAAACAATCTCATTAAAAAGTGGGGTAAGAACATCAAAAGACACTTTTCCAAAGAAGACATACAGCTGGCCAACAAGCATATGAAAACAATATTCAACATCACTAATTATTAGAGAAATGCAAATCAAAACCACAATGAAATACCATCTCACACCAGTCAGAATGGCTATAATTAAAAAGTTAAAAAATAACAGATTCCGGGAAGGTTGCAGAGAAAAGGGAACACTTACATGCTGTTCATGGGAATGTGAATTAGATCAGCCCCTGTGGAAAATAGTTTTGCAATTTCTCAACGAAATTAAAACCAAACTTTCATTTGATCCAGCAATCCCATGATTGAATATATACCCAAAGGGATATAAATCATTCTACCATAAAGACACATGCACACATACATTCATCACAGCACTATTCACAAGAGCAAAGACATGGAATCAACCTAAATGCTCATTAATGACAGACTGGAAAAAGAAAATATGGTGTATACATATACCATGGAATACTGCACAGCCATAAAAAGAAACAAGATCATGTCCTTTGCAAGAAATATGAATGGCCTGGAGATGATTATCCTAAAACAGAAAACCAAATACCGAGAACATGTTCTCACTTAAAAATTGAGAGCTAAACACTGAGTAAACAGGAACGTAAAGAATGGAACAACAGACACAGGGGTCTACTTGAGGGTAGAGGGTGGGAGGAGCGTGACATTCAACAAACTATGTGGTACTATGCTTATTACTTGGGTGAAAAAAATAATCTGTACACTAAATCCCCATGAAACACAATTTATCCCTATAGTAAACCTGCACATGTACCACTGATCCTAAAATAAAACTTTAAAAAAAACTCAGGATACAAAATCAATGTGTAAAAATGACAAGCATTCTTATACACCAATAACGACAAACAGAGAGCCAAATCATGAGTGAACTCCCATTCACAATTGCTTCAAAGAGAATAAAATACCTAGGAATCCAACTTACAAGGGATGTGAAGGACCTCTTCAAGGAGAACTACAAACCACTGCTCAATGAAATAAAAGAGGATACAAACAAATGGAAGAACATTCCATGCTCATGGGTAGGAAGAATCAATATCGTGAAAATGGCCATACTGCCCAAGGTAATTTACAGATTCACTGCCATCCCCATCAAGTTACCAATGACTTTCTTCACAGAATTGGAAAAAAACTACTTTAAAGTTCATATGGAACCAAAAAAGAGCCCACAATTCCAAGTCAATCCTAAGCCAAAAGAACAAAGCTGGAGGCATCACACTACTTGACTTCAAACTATACTACAAGGCTACAGTAACCAAAACAGCACGGTACTGCTACCAAAACAGAGATATAGACCAATGGAACAGAACAGAGCCCTCAGAAATAATACCACACATCTACAACCATCTGATCTTTGACAAACCTGACAAAAACAAGAAATGGGGAAAGGATTGCCTATTTAATAAATGGTGTTGGGAAAACTAGCTAGCCATATGTAGAAAGCTGAAACTGGATCCCTTCCTTACACCTTATACAAAAATTAATTCAAGATGGATTAAAGACTTAAATGTCAGACCTAAAATCAAAAAAACCCTAGAAGAAAACCTAGGCAATACCATTCAGGACATACACATGAGCAAGGACTTCATGTCTAAAACACCAAAAGCAATGGCAACAAAAGCCACAATTGACAAATGGGATCTAATTAAACTAAAGAGCTTCTGCACAGCAAAAGAAACTACCATCAGAGTGAACAGGCAACCTACGGAATGGGAGAAAATTTTTGCATTCTACCTATCTGACAAAGGGCTAATATCCAGAATCTACGATGAACTCAAACAAATTTACAAGAAAAAAACAACCCCATCAAAAAGTGGGCGAAGGATATGAACAGACACTTCTCAAAAGAAGACATTTATGCAGCCAAAAGACACATGAAAAAATGTTCATCATCACTGGCCATCAGAGAAATGCAAATCAAAACCACAATGAGATACCATCTCACACCAGTTAGAATGGTGATCATTAAAAAGTCAGGAAACAACAGGTGCTGGAGAGGATGTGGAGAAACAGGAACACTTTTACACTGTTGGTGGGACTGTAAACTAGTTCAACCATTGTGGAAGTCAGTGTGGTGATTCCTCAGGGATCTAGAACTAGAAATACCATTTGACCCAGCAATCCCATTACTGGGTATATACCCAGAGGATTATGAATCATGCTGCTGTAAAGACACATGCACACGTATGTTTATTGTGCCACTATCCACAATAGCAAAGACTTGGAACCAACCCAAATGTCCAACAATGATAGACTGGATTAAGAAAATGTGGCACATATACACCACGGAATACTATGCAGCCATAAAAGATGATGAGTTCATGTCCTTTGTAGGGACATGGGTGAAATTGGAAATCATCATTCTCAGCAAACTGTTGCAAGGACAAAAAACCAAACACCGCATGTTCTCACTCATAGGTGGGAATTGAACAATGAGAACACATGGACACAGGAAGGGGAACATCACAATCCGGGGCCTGTTGTGGGGTGGGGGGAGCCGGGAGGGATAGCATTAGGAGATATACCTAATGTTAAATGACGAGTTAATGGGTGCAGCACACCAACATGGCACATGTACACATATGTAACAAACCTGCACGTTGTGTACATGTACCCTAAAACTTAAAGTATAATTAAAAAAAAGAATATGAAACAAAAAAATAAATTAATTAAAAAATAAATAAATAAGGCCAGGTGCGGTGGGTTACGCCTGTAATCCCAGCACTTTGGGAGGCTAAGGCTGGCGGATCATGAGGTCAGGAGATCGAGACCATCCTGGCTAAGACAGTGAAACTCCGTCTCTACTAAAAATACAAAAAAATTGACCGGGTGTGGTGATGGGCACACGTAGTCCCAGCTACTCGGGAGGCTGAGGCAAGACAATGGCATGAACCCGGAAGGCAGAGCTTGCAGTGAGCCGAGATCGCGCCACTGCACTCCGACCTGGGCAAAAGAGCAAGACTCCATCTCAAAAAATAAATAAATAAATAAATAAGAGAAGAAAATATTTAAATCCAATATTAACATTATGCAGCAGAAGAAAGTGGAATGAGGGGAACAAAATCTCATTACAGAACATCTTATAAGTCACAGGTCTTAAAGTAAAATTGACCAGTAAAATCCCACTATTACCTCTTTCAAGTTATGGAAAAATTATTTGAATTTTCTAATGTTTGCGTTACCCATCTGCCAAGAGAGAACATAATACCACTATGTGAGGAAATTCAGCCACAAGCTACTTGTAACAGGACTCTAAAATGTTTTCTATTCAATAAATGCAATCCTTAGTAAACTTTTGTTTTATTCTGCTACTTTTGGGAAGAAAGAAGAAAAAAAAAAGGAAGAAAGGAAGCAAGGGAGGGTAAGAAGCATGAAAGAAAGCTAGCTAACTGCATTACTATAAAATGGCGACAGATATTTTTAAAAACATATTTTAAAGATTTTATTTTATAAAAGTAATAAAAAATGTAAATTGTCTAGTAAAAAACTTAACAAAAAAACAAACCACAAGACACATGTAAAAACAAGGAACTAAAGGAACGTAAGAGAAGGGCTAAGTAGATAATTAATACACCATGTTTCATGTAGGGAGATTTAATATTGTAAAGATGTCAATCTCTCAAAATTGATTTACAAACTCGATGTAACTCCAGTCAAACTCCAATAGGTTTTCTTCATAAAACTTGACAAGCCGACTTTCAAATGTATGCAGAAATGCAAAACAGCAGAAACAAAGTAAAACACTAAAAGAAAAGGAGAAATAATTTGGCCTTCACATAATAGAACTTACTATAAAGTTACAGTAATTCAGAATGTGTTTCTTGTGTATAGATAGATAAACTGACCAACGGAGCAAAACAAAGACCCATAAACAACTATATAAGTATCAATTATACATATATAGATGGCATGTCAGATTAATGGGAAAAGAAGAGTCTATTCGATGAAGAAAAACATTGGTTATCATATGCAAACAAAATCACGTAACATCCTTGTTTCAAACCACCCCAAAACATTAGTTCCTGAATAGTTAAGAACTTAAATATCAAAATCAAAATTCAAAACTTTTAATAGAACATAATATATTAATCTTTTGGACATTAGCGTAGGTATGGATTTCTCAAGACATAAAAAGTTAGAAATGAATCAAAACAAGTAATATATTAAATATACAGGCAAAATAAAACTATTTTTTTCAATGTTAAAGAAAGGAGAAACTCAAAATTCACAATAGTGGTAATCTTTTGCAGGAAGAGAGAAGAAAAAGATAGATATATGATAAGATAACCAAATACATAGATGTAAATTACTCACAATGTTCTAATTCTAGGTGTATGTATGGATATTCATTATATCATAAGTAATTTGTATAAAATAAATAAAGGAGGATCATGTTTAAATTAACAAATTGGGATAGGAACTGAGGAATATTAGTAATCAGATTCTGTCCATTTAATAAAAACAAAAATAATTATGTATGTAAATCGTTTAATTGAATGCCTGTCATATAGCAATAATTCCTATTAATAATAATAGGAACACTATTCTCTGGATTACCACTGAATTCTACATCCTAGATCAGCTGTGCTTCATACAAGCTAATTACAATCACATGACACAACATAATTTTCAAAGAATCAGTTCCCTTTGGTATTGATGCAATATTTTTTGGCAACAAGTTTGAATCATAACTTGTCATCTGTTGTTGTCTGGTACAATCCACACTTTTTATATGAATAGTGTATACAAATATAACAAGAGATGGGGTCATATCTGTATATTTTTCCTGAAGTAGGCCACAAAACAACTCTATTTTAATGACACTGACTAAGAATATGTGTAAGACAGATGCTTTTCTTATCTTGAATTTGTTCACGTGCTTGATATTTCCAACTTAACTGTTGGCAAAATGTCAACTTTGTGTTTATTGTCAGCATATGAAATATAGTTCCTGAAAGGGAGACAGGATAATAAATAGTGTTTTCAGGAAAGCAGTAATTTTCATTGACTGATATAAAAAGCAATTAATATGTCCAGTTAGGTTATTTCTACATCTTAAGTTGGAACACCTTAGGGATACAGTTTAATGGATATACCAGTAAGTGGACAAATAGATATAATACCTTCTGGACTATCTAAAAAAGATTAAACATGATTTTCTATCTCAATCAGTGAAATAATTATCATTTGAGAGTGATAGGTTTTTCTTGTTTATATAGGCTTCCAGAGAAATAGAATAATTATCTCTTTTGATCTGGCATTTGCATATGATAAGAACATTTTAGCTCAAAGGATTGTATATGACAATTGTATTTGTAGTTTTAATGTAGCTGAATAGTTAATTTAAAATATATCACCTAAAATCTATAACATAAATTCAGGAATTAAGAGATACAAATAAATCATCCATATTTCCTTTGAGATTCAATGCTTTAAAGAAAATTTTTATATATCTTCATTGTCTAACTATGTATTGCATGTCTGGAAGTGTTTTATTATTGTGTTTATATTAAATCCCACAGTAATTTAATTCAAAGTGGATTTAAGTGTCCCCTTGGGATAAATAGAGCTTATTTTAACATCAACTTCTTTACGATTCTGCAAAACCCAACTGGAAATTTTACCAAGAACCCACTTTCTCATACATGTTTGTTCCTGAATATAGTTAGTTTTTTAAACTAAGAAGAAAACTTTTTACTAGGTTTTCAGAGTACAAAAGGTTCTCATTCAGAAGCAGTGGAGTGAGGAAAATGGAGACGGACCCATTTTTAAGTGGCAAGATTATAAGAAAACATTTTATCTAGTTACTACATGAGCAATATTCTATTAGCTAAACAGATTGTTTTGTTTGATCATTATTAATCCATAAGCTTCACAAGCATCAGTTACTTCAGGTGTTTATTTTTAAAAAATGACTGCTCTAAGTTATGTGTCCAGTCCATTCTATGTGAATGATTTGTTTTACCCTTCCCAGCTACTCCAGAGTTTTTTAATTTAATCAGGTTAGTTGTCACTAGATGGAAGTGTTATTTTCAAGTTACAAGTCCCACCTGTCAAGGTATCTAAGATACATAATCAACTGAGGATTCCATATGTAATTTTTAAAACTACAAATAGATTTAAAATGAGGAAGTATAAACAAAACAAAGATTAGTTTTTGTTATGAACTAAATGCCGTTTCTCTCCAAAATTCATTTGTTGAAGCCCTAGTCACCAATGTGATGGTATTTGGAGTTAAGGCCTTTGATACAAAATTAGATGTAGATGAAGTCATGAGAATGGAGTCCCCATGATAGGATTAGTGCCTTTATTTTTAAAAAACATTTTTGTTATACTTTAAGTTCTGGGCTACATGTGCAGAACGTGTAGGTTTTTTACATAGGTATACACGTACCATGGTGGTTTGCTGCACCCATGAACCCATCAACTACATTAGGTATTTCTCCTAATGCTATCCCTCCCCTAGCCCCCCACCACCCAACAAGCCCCAGTTTGTGTGCCCTCCTATGTCCATGTGTTCTCATTGTTCAACTCCCATCTATGAGTGATAACATGCAGTGTTTGGTTTTCTGCTGTTGTGTTAGTTTGCTGTGAATGATGGTTTCCAGCGTCATCCATGTCCCTGCAAAGGACATGAACTCACCCTTTTTTATGGCTGCATAGTATTCCATGCTGTATTTGTGCCATATTTTCTTTACCCAGTCTATCATTGATGGGCATTTGGGTTGATTCCAAGTCTTTGCTATTGTTAACACTGCTGCAATAAACATACATGTGCATGTGTCTTTATAGAATGATTTATAACCCTTTGGGTATATGCCTAGTAATGTGATTGCTGGGTCAAATGGTATTTCTATTCTAGATCCTTGAGGAATTGCCACACTGTCTTCCACAATGGTTGAACTAATTTACACTCTCACCAACAGTCTAAAAGCATTCTATTTCTCCACATCTTCTCCAGCATCTGTTGTTTCCTGACTTTTTAATGATTGACATTCTAACTGGTGTGAGATGGTATCTCATTGTGGTTTTGATTTGCATTTCTGTGATGACCAGCAATGATGAGCATTTTTTCATGTGTCTGTTGGCTGCATAAATGTCTTCTTTTAAGAAGTGTCTGTTCATATCCTTTGCTCACTTTATGATGGGGTTTTTTTTTTCTTGTAAATTTGTTTAAGTTCTTTGTAGATTCTGGATATTAGCCCTTTGTCAGATGGATAGACTGCAAAAATTTTCTCCCATTCTGTAGGTTGCCTGTTCACTCTGATGGGATCTGATTAAACTAAAGAACTTCTGCACAGCAAAAGGATTAATGCCTTTATAAGAAGAGGAGGACACCAGAATACCTCCTCTCCTTCTCTCACCAGGTTAGGATACAGCAAAAAGGCAGCCATCTGTCAACAAGGAAGAGGGCCCTCATCAAACCCTAAATCTATTGACACTGTAGTCTTGCACTTCCCAAGCAACAGAAAAATGTTTGTTGTTTAAGCTGCCTAGTCTATGATATTTAGTTATACCAGCCTGAACCAAGACAATCCTATAGAAAAATATTTTAAATGCCATTTAAAGTAAGTTATTGAAGAACATAATATCTAGGTATACCAAGCACATGGTTATTTTCTTAAAATCTCAAACAGTTTCTTATCTTAAATATCCTACTTAATAAATATTAATTTTGAAATAGTTAATTGAGAGGGATACAATTTCCTTACCTATAAAACAAATATAACATAATAATCCTAGCTGTTAGGGCTTTTGTGAAAAGTAAACACAGTCTAAAAAATGCAGGCAGTATATAGAGTTAACTTATTGCCATAGGGTCACTGGATCACATCCTTTCACTAAACATTGGTCTGTACTTTTAAAGTAAGTGCTATCTGTTCCACTTATATTATTAATCGAACACATATTTATTGTAATCGGCACATATTTTGGGACACTAGGAGTTCAATAGTGAACTAAAAACATAAAATTCCCTTTCCCTTAGGCTGCTTATGTTTTAGTAGAGGAAATACATTAATCAAATAACTTGATAAGCAAATACAATTTGTAACAGTGATAAATGAGAAACAGAGTATGAATACATGTAACAGGAAATCAGATCTAAATGGGAAGATCAGCAAGCCTTCCTTGATTAATGAAAAGTATAAAGGAAACTGAGATCTGAAGAATAAAACTAGAAGTCAGCTAGAAATAAGAGGGACATCCATGCAGGGAAAAAAGCAGCATGAGAAATGATGTGTAGCAAATGAAAACATGGTGTATATGTAATAAATAAATAGTAGGCCAATATGTTTCATTTGGAAATGAAGGGTAATGGAACATAAAGCTGGAGAAGCTAATTGGGGGGAGCTCGCTGGACTTTGTAGGTTACATTAAGAATGTCTTTATCGGCCGGGCACGGTGGCTCACACCTGTAATCCCAGCACTTTGGGAGGCCAAGGCAGGCGGATCACGAGATCAGGAGATCGAGACCATGCTGGCTAACACAGTGAAACCCCATCTCTACTAAAAAAATACAAAAAAATTAGCTGGGCCTAGTGGCGGGCGCCTGTAGTCCCAGCTACTAGGGAGGCTGAGGCAGGAGAATGGTGTGAACCCGGGAGGTGGAGCTTGCAGTGAGGCCAGATCGCACCATTGCACTCCAGCCTGGGCGACAGAGCCAAACTCGTCACAAAAAAAAAAAAAAAAAAAAAAAAAAAATTTGTCTTTATCTTTTTATTTTATTTTATTAGTGCAGAGCATCTCTCTCAGTCTGCTCTGGATGCTTTAAGAAAATACCATAAACTGTGTGGCTTATAAACAACAAACATTTATTTCTCTCCATTCCGGAGTCTACAAGTTCAAGGTCAAGGCAGATTCAGTGTCTGGTTAGGGCCCACTTCCTCATAGACAGTGCCTTCTGCTAGCATCCTCACATGGTCACTAACTAGTGCTCTGAAGCCTCTTTCATAAAGGCACTAATGCCAGTCATGAGGGCTTTACCTTCATCACCTAATCACCAAGTCACCCAAAGGCTCCACTTCCCAACACTATTGCCTTAAGGGTGAGGATTTCAACATATGAATTTTGGGGGGACACAAATATTCAGTCCATAGCACAGAATGATTGTGTTTTAAGCCAGGAAGTGGCATGAAGAGATTAGTATTTGGCGATGATTATTCTCAATGAAGTGTGGACAACAGATGTTAAGGAAGTAATTTTGGCAATTACATTACTTTGTATAGTTAATCATCGCATCAGTAAAATTTTGTTAGTGACAAGGACTACATTTCAAGTTAATTATGTGTGTTACATATAGGAGGGATTCTGTTGTGACTAAATATTTTACTTATCAGTAAATTTATTTTGCTAAATACTAAAACATATAATTCTAAAACTGGAAATCTGAAAGGGCCTAGCTCATACTGTACCTCCCACCCACTGTCTAAACCCCTTCTCTGACAGTCCCCAACCAAAGGTAACCTACACTCTGTTTGAATTCTTCCACATAACAGGCTGTTCCACTGTTCTATTTTGTTTTCTTACACTAGGATGAAATCTGTGTCTCTGTAACTTCCACCCACAGAGCTACTCTGCATAATAATTTTCCTAAGACAGACATTCAAAAACTGAAGATAAAAGTGGTATAATTTCCTAAATCAATCTTGCTTTCTCCATGCTAAATACAATTAGTTGCTTCTACAATTGTTGATATAATTTTAAGACTCCATCATCTTTGTGCACCAATATTCAGTACATTCTTGACAAAAGGTCATTGCCCAGAGCAGTGCTGAAGACTATCGTCTCTGTTACTACGGATGCTATCTGCTAATTTTAAGATTGTGTTATCTTTTATGGAAATTATGTCACATAAAGGCTCATCTTGAGTTTCCAACATATAGGTTTTCTTCACATGAATTTCCTATTAAACAATGATCCCTTTATCCTATACTCAAAAGAAAAAAATGGGAGCGGGTGAGAGAAGGTACATAAATGCAAGAATTAACCTATTCTATTATATTGGTTGTGAATTCTGTATTCTTATATTTTTCCCTCTCATCTTTGCCTCAGCTAGAAATTTTGATTTTCATTTATTTGTTTATTTTTAGAGACAGTCTCATTCTGTCACTCAGGCTGGAGTCCAATGGTGTAATCACAGCTCACTGCAGCCTGGAGCTCCTGGGCTTAGCTGATTCTCCCACCTCAGCCTCTAGAGTAGCTGGGACTACAGGTGCATGCTACCACACCTGTCTAATTACTTTTATTTTTGTCTATTTTGCCTAGGCTGATCTTAAACTCCTGGCCTCAAGTGATCCTCCAGCCTCAGCCTCCCAAAGTGCTAGTATTACAGGAGTGAGCCACCACACAAGGCCTGAAAGCTTTACATTTATGTTTTTCACATCTTCATCCAAATTTTTGGCAAAGCTATTAAAATGTACCAAATCCTATGAAATAGCTGACTCTAGAGAGGACTTACAAACTACCTGTTTTGGCAAATTAACTTTCAAATGAACATTTTGTTCTCAACTGGAAATTTTCTCAACAAATTAAGGGAACATAAGATGATATTCTACATGTAAATATGTACACTAAACTATTGTTCAAAGGGAGTTGAAAAAGCCAGAGAGGTTAGTTTGAATAATTGGTCATTTTTCTGGGTGCTTCTTGGTGAGTCAACAATTAGGAAAACAAAATTAAAAATAACGAAAACTTAAAGTGATAAAATATTTTAAAATTCTGATTTGGCATTGGTGTTTGTCTAAAAATATGTAAATTTGTGCTCATTGTGATCAATTTTATTGACTCTTCTATCCCAAGGAAAATTTTAATCAAACCAAATGATGCCCATACAAAGCCTAATTCTTTAGTGCTTTAGAATAAAAAATCTGTAGTTCTTTCATGGCGCCTTACAAACCATCCAGTTCAACCTTCTTTTTGCCCTGTTTACACTGCTAGTTCATAAAGCTGCAAGAATGGGAACCCAAGTCTCCTCTTCATGGTCTGTGTCACTTCCCTTGCAATGCATCACTCCCCAGAACAGAGTTGCAAATTCGGACACCTTGCCTAATGCTCTTTCCGTATTTTTACACTTTCTTACTCTTTCAGTTGCTTATACTGTTACCCAATCAACAAATTTTCCTCTCATTTTATGTAAATCTTGACAAAGGCTTCTCATATTGGACTGTACATAGTTATTACCTGATGGGCTATTTTAAAATAAACCACTTTCTACTACCAAACTTCTGAAGTTGTTATTCCTTAGGTCTCGGGTGGAGTTCTGAGCCAGGATCAGCACTCATTGATTTAGAGGACAATTTGAAGTCACATAAACCTGAATATGAAGCCCCTTAACTAGCTGTGTGGTCTTAGGTAACTATGTGACTTTATCTCAGTCTCATTTTCCTCATCTGCAAAATGAAAATAATAATAATAATAATAATAATAAGATACCTACCCCAAAGGGTTATTGTATATATTAAGTGAGCATATATAGTATTTAATGCAGTGCTTGACATATAGTAAGAAGTCAACAGAAGTTATTATCATCATCCTAGTGTCCCTTGTCATCCACACATTTAAACTAGTTTCAGAATTTAAATGAACTTATGGCATGGCTTCCTACAAATCTCCAGGCTGCCTTTCCAGCCACAGCTTTGGAAAGTGACATTCTCATTGTAGTTGTATAAACTGAGCTTTATTTCACTCATATGATCTAAAGAATTCAAAGAAAGTTCTAGGCAACTATGTGTTCTATAAATATATGGTGGATGAATGAATGAATGAATGAATGAGGCTAAGAGATGATCCTTCAATGCCCTTATTTTAGAAAAAGAGAATACCAAAAGTGATTACCCAGGAAATCCAGTTAAGATCTGGAATCAGAACTCAGGACATACACTTTCCATCCTCTTGCTCAGGCTCAGCAGCTCTGCCTCCACCCTCCACTCTCTCTCTATTCCACCACTTCAGAGGCTGGGATTGCCTCTGGAACAGCACCCAATTAAAGAAAAGTTTCAAAGCCACTATAGCTTTTCTATGAGACTGCGTAGATGATCTAGTCCAACCTCCTTTTTTTTGGTCCCAACTTATATTCCAAGTCAGTAAACAGGCCTAACTGATGATACCATTAGGCTACTTGGCTACATATACTTTTATATTATATGCCTCAGTTTAGCTCCCAGATGCATTATGAAGATTAGCTAACCCAAGTTGTTACTACCTATCTCAGTTGACACTACAGATCCACAGCTCAGACTGCTGCTATCCCTTCTATTTGTATTGGCATTGTACCTGTTCCAACCCCCAGGATAACTACCAGATGGACTCTTTATTAATCTTTCAGTCACAAAGAAAGTGAAGAAAGTGTCCGAGTGTCACTTTCTCTGTAAGGGCTTGCTAGGGCCCATATCCCTATCTCCACCCTCACTTATAACTCTCCAAATTTCCCTTTTACATATATTTAGACAAATCTGGAGCATCTTTCTCCGTGTTTCCTTTTTGCCTTTCACCATATCTCTCCTAGAGCACTTAATTCTTTCTATTATAATGGTTTACGTATTTATCTCCTTGTCTCCCATATAAAGCTAGCAAGGGGCTGCACAGGCAAGTGGAAAAGCCCAAACTGCCTCTTACCTTTGAGGACCTCAAAAATGCATGGTTATTAATAAATAAAATTGTTTCTAATAAGTACTCTTTGGGGAAAATATGTTCTGAGCAACGAAAGTCAACAAAAAATAGTCACGAGACAGATACATGAACAAAAAGAGAAACCACATAAAGTAAGCTGTACAATTTTTCAAAGCTATGGTAAGCATATTTTTATGGTCTATATAGTAATCAAAAAGGTCTATGGCAGAAAATTGGAAAAAATTTATTTTTCCTATGCCTATAAGTCAAAACTGTAGTCCTAATTAATATCACTAGGTTCATATCATTAATAAATTATAATGGGAATAAAAATTTTGAATATAGTAGGCATTCCATGGGAACAAGACTGCACTTAAGAATAAAAAATGACATTTCAGTGAAGGACTGATTAAAAAGCTGATTACCTAACTTTTTTGATTGTTTTTGTTTGTTTGTTTGTTTGTTTGTTTGGGTTTTTGAGACAGTCTCTCTCTGTCACCCAGACTGGAGTGCAATGGTGCAATCTCAGCTCACTGCAACCTCCGCCTCCTGGGTTCAAGCTATTCTTCTGCCTCAGCCTACTGAGTAACTTGGATTACAGGTGCATAGCACCACACCCTGCTAATTTCTTGTGTTTTTAGCAGAAACAGGGTTTCACCAGTTGGTGAGGCTGGCCTTGAACTTCTGGCCTCAAGTGATCTTCCCACCTTGGCCTCCCTAAGTTCTGGGTTTACAGGCATGAGCTACTGCACCTGGCCTTTATTACCTAACTGTTTTGATAAGGTTATTTTGATAAGGTTTCATATGAAAACAATGATGAAGAACATGTCATGAGTAACCAGAAAATGATGAACAATAATTGAAGCAATCATTTCTTTTAAAAAAAATTCTGAAAATAAACTACCAATTCAGTGTTCTTGGGGTATAACCAAAAGCTCATGTATGTACCTTAATGCCATAATAAACCATAATTCATTCCAAATGATCCCAGCTCATTTCTGTTAACTAGCTTCCCTGGAGACTTTTAACTATGATGTAATTTTTGACTCAAGTTGACCTATCTTCTCATCTATAATCTGCTTTTTTTTCCTTAATACTGTCTCCAAAAGAAGCTATCAATTCTAAAGAAAAAAAAGGTGTAATTTTTTTTTCATAAAACTAAAGGGGCTACCAAAAATATACAGTTCATAATGACTTTATATTCAGATTTCCTTATGCTTAACTCAAATCTTTTCTATTTGTTTTATGTCATCATTTTTTTATCTACGCTTTCTAAAAATGACATTCTTCCATTTTCAGTGGGAATGTGGTTTTTCCCTAGAAAAGCTATTAAAAGTCAGAAGGACACATAGCTATTACAGAGAGAGAAGAAAGCAGTATTATAACATATTTTTGTCCCAATTTTGTCTACCTTGTCTTTCCAGTGCCAAAAGCACAGAGGGCAGAAAACATTCACTTCTAGACTCTGTGCCTGTCTGGCAAAGTTAAACTTCAACATAAATGGCATTCAGAGTTGCATATGAACACAGCCAGGGGTTTCTAAAGACAATATTGTCTAGTGAACAGTTCACCAGGTGTAAATGATTATGAAATTTTAATCACAATTAATACCTGTGACCTCTACCAAGGCCACTTGTCTCCAGAACCTAGAATTGAAGAATTTGAACAACAGTAAACACTGCCTTCACTTTTCCTTATAGAAATGTATCAAGTGAAAAAGGTTTGACCTCTTTGGCTGAAAAACATTATTGAAGTGGAAATATTTTTTGGTTCATCTATTAAATTCCTATCAATATTTATACCCATCCCTTATTCTAGACATCTTTCTAAGTCTCAACAAGGTTTCAAAACTTACAGAGCATTTGATTTTATGTCACTCTTACATTTTCCTCCCTCTACAGAAATTATCTGTGCACAGGAGAAGGCATGGAGAAGTTGAAAGTGTTTTGCAGAGAGCATGGTTGACTAGATAACTGAAACAGGCCTTGTGTCTCCTACATCATGGGTTCAGCACATCCGATCACAATTACTGAGCGTTTAGTTACCTCTCATCTACTCCTCATCAAAAACAATCATTCCAAAATGTTGCCTCATTCCTCTTTATCTTTAAACCATTTTTAATTTTTCAACATTCCTCTGAAAATTAGAAGCCAAAAAGATATACTGGTGGCCTGAATAAACAAAAAAAAAAATGAGAGAAAACGCACATGACAATGATACCTCTTCATTTATTGGAATTTTAATCAGACTATCCATAATGATATATATTAAAACTCATATAGTGAATATAGGATATTCAATATAAAGATCTTTTTCTCATGTCTCCTAAGCATAGCCTACTTAAACATATTGTCTATTTTACTCCTCCTGAACTCAATCCTATTTCTTATTAACTTTTACTAATTGAATCTATAAAATTGTTTTTAAATTCTATCTCTGTCCTCAAAATACTAGCAATCTTAGCTAACTCGGCATGTCTTTTAACTATGACTTTCAACTTTTGAATGAAGTCGACTCTCTTCCAGTCTTTCCTTGGGGAAAAAAAACAAAACACTGCCTCCAAAATAAGCTATCAATTCAAAGAGAAAGAACTCTGTATGCAAAGAAAGAGCCAAAATGCCTAACACAGTAGGTACTCAGTTAAGAGGGACTAAATGAATGGATAATTTGGTACAGACTATTTTCCTAAATTTCCTGATATATACATGTTAAAGCATTAGATTCTTCTGACAAACTCTTCACAGAGTTCAATTGGCCAACATGCAGTGGACCACACTAGTGCAGTTGTTGGGAAAATAACGTTTAGTTTGGTGCAAAATTAATTGCGGTTTTTACTTTCCATGGCAAAAACCACAATTACTTTTGCGCCAACCTATTAAATTAAATCAAACATAAGATGATGTATTTGTAGTCCTCTTTTCTCCAATTGACAATCACTGCATAGTTTCCAAATGTTACAAAAAAAGGTTTACAGCATCAGTGCCACATTTTTACAAAGACAAAGGAAATGCAATTCAAATTTAATCTTTTTTTTCTCTAAAAACTAATATTGAGTAAGACCAATACATCACATCTTGGAATTTCTTTAAAAAGTAAAATGACATACAGAAACACTTTTCTAATTGTACAAGTAAATTTCTACAAGGATATTCACTGCCGTATGATCTATAATACCAAAAAAAAAAAAAAAAAAAAGGAATTAAAGTTGTCCAACAATTGAGAAATGCAAAATAAATTATGGTGTACATTATGGCATTATGGTGCACTATGTAGTCATTAAAGATAAAATTAATTAGCCTCACATAATAGAAATGAAATAGTAATATCCATCCAGATTACTGAATAATATGCACATGTATATATGTGTATCTACATGTACAGTCATTGATATATAGACATAAACATAAATGAAAGCGATTCAGGTGGTTACTTCTAAGATGTAGAGGGAAGTTTCTATTTTTTTCTATTGTATCATCAGTGTTTAATATACAGAATCAGGTATTTCTTTTGACATTTAATATATTTTAATAATTAAGTACCAAGAATTCAATGGATAAATAAGCCGTACAAAGTCACAATAAAAGAAATTAAATGGGTTAATATACTTTGAAAATCTAATAACATGTCCAAAGGACATATGAAAACAGAGGGGGTATTCTACACAATGATGTTTTTCATTGCAGTTTATAAGTCAGTAAATAACAGAAGCCAACTGCATTTGCAGAAATATGGGAGTGTTTAAGTTTTGTGTTTTATTTATTCAGTGAAATATTAAAAATAAACAACATATGCTTAAGGAGTTTGTGATAACAGAGATAAATCTAATGTGATATTTATGCTACATTTTACAGTAGGAAACAAAACTGTTGATTCTGAATGATCACACTGCTACTTAAAAAAATAAAAAACTTGTACTGAGGACATGCACCAAAATGTTAATGGTGGTTATGTGTGAGTGATGATATATATAACATTTTTTAATTTTCCCCTATTTTCTATAATAAATAGGAAAACAATTAGTAAATATAAAACAGTTATAAGAAAAATTATTTTTCTTAAGAAAATAAGGTAGGGCAAGTCTTAAAAATACAATTTGAAGAATAATATTGTCTTCAAATATTGATAATATTTAAAAACTTTCCATTTCTACTTTTGTGCATTTTTCATTATTCCCTAATGGTATGCATTATGTTCATACTGGAAAATGCATGATAAACTTCTAAAAATTACCTTGAAAATATTTAATGGCTTAGGATGGAATCTTTCAGAAGGGTATTAAGCTGCTGATCCCTTTTCTTCTAGACTTTTGATAACTGAGGATATATTAACGTAAAGCGCAGGCTTCAACAGAATAGGTTAGGATGAGATGGAACGGGATAGGACAGGACAGGACAGAATACAATAGAATAGGAACAGGGAAGAGATAAAATTATAATAATTGATATTATACTATAGCAATCTAAGAAATAAGAGGGGTTCCAAGTAATATAGGGAAGAAATATTGAGGCACTGGGAGGGCACAATGGACAAAAATTCCTGACCCTTTAACACTACTAACTGGCCCCAAACATTAAGTATTATCCAACCTCTGGTTCGCTGGTGATATCATATTTCCATACTATATTTCTTATGGTTTGCTTTTCTTGTGTGCTGTTAAGACATTTAGCAAACAATTTTGGAAAAAGTATTTTAACACATACTACAATTTTAATAAAGAAAATCCTAATATCCTGCCATGTACAAAACAAAACATCTCCACTCATATTCCATCTCACAACCTTCCTAACCTACGATTGCTCATTAGGGTTGGTACAAGCTATCTACTATACTGTACTTTGCAGTTCAGGAAGTTAGGGTGAGTTGTTTTCTACTTTTTTATTTACCTGTCTTTTAAGAAAATCCATTCCACTATTTGCACCTATCCTTTTAATGTTCTCTTTTATATTTTTTATTCCATTGCCTAGTACTCCCAAGCTTGATGTTACATTTGTCAGGCTTGTTGTTTTTACTGTAACTATATATATGTAGCTTTTTTTGGTTAAATGGTTACTATTATGCGCAGTTCATAAGAAAGATATATAGAAGTTAAATCATACTTAAAATACTCACTACATTCATTCCCTACATCACACAATATACTTTAGTTTTCTTGCTGAAAACTAGTTATTAAAATCAAATATATTAATATTTGTAAACTCATTCCACATGGTGATATTATTTTCACATTTATCCTAATCTGACTAAATCCAACTCCTATAACAAGTAACTAAAAAAATGCTATTTTTTAAACAAAATGAACAACTTATTTGTGCTCCTTTTTAAAAGAAAACCTAGTAGGCAGATCCAACAAAATACCATATAATAATTATATTACAACAGTATCCTTTATATTCATGATGATGCTATTTGAAGCAGCAGGATATTAGAGGTAATCTGAGTTTACATGCCTGGAAGAATGGATATATAAAAAGTGGTAGATGCAAACAATGGAATACCATGTAGCAGTTGGTAGCAAGAAACAAAAGAAGCACACGGCCACATAAATAGACTTCAAAAATATAATAACAGATGAGAAAAATTAGGAAACTAAATAAGTCCTATGATCCAATGCCATTTTTGTGAATTAGAAGATACATATACATAAAACACCGAAAAAAGGATAAACATCAAGCACATTAGAAAGACTGCTATTGTAAGGGGGAGAATGCAGTGGTCCTCAACCTTTTTGGCACCAGGGACTGGTTTTGGGGAAGACAATTTTTCCAGATTGGTGGAGGGGGCAGTGGTGGTTTTGGGATGATTCAACTGCATTACATTTATTGTGCACTTCATTTCTAGTATTATTACATTGTAATATATAATGAAATAATTATACAACTCACCACAATGGAGAATCAGTGATTGCCCTGAGCCTGTTTGCCTGAAACTAAATGGTCCTATCTGGGGGGTGACAGGAGACAGTGACAGATCATCAGGCATTAGATGTTCATAAGGAGCTTGCAACCTAGATCCCTCCTGCGCAGTTCACAATAAGGTTCATGCTCTTAAGAGAATCTAATGCTGCAGCTGATCTGACAGCAGGTGGAGCTCAGGTGGTAATACAAGCAATGGGGAGCCGCCGTAAATACAGATGAAGTTTTGCTTGCCTGCCAGCTGCTCACCTCCTGCTGTGTGGCCCGGTTCCTAACAGGCCACGAACTGGTCTCTGTCTGTGGCTTGGGGACTGGGGACCGCTGAAAGAGTGGGATTGGATAATGGAGAATGATTAAATTGATAAATTAATGAATGAATGAAGAAGAAAGTAAAAGGAAGTCTGGCACAGACCCATGAGGATAGTGTGTTATGAACTGAGGTATATGTTTAATTAAATATCCTGTACTTGATATCAAAAAAGTTTTTAAAACTTTTTTGTTTTTATGGAAATAATTCACTGTTACTCTCCTATAAAATGGGTCTTTTTCATGTGTATATCAATTTATGAGCTGCTTGACGAAGGTTTTATAAAGGCCAAGAATTTGGGAGCTAAAATGTGGAAACCACAGCCAATTGGAAAACAATTAACTGTGAGCTTAAATATTTTTGAAATTCTAACTAAGAAAATAATATATACTGTCATTGGCAAAATATTTTTTCATATCACTTCAAAATGCATGCTTTGCTCTAAACTAGAAGGTATTTTCTCTTAACTGTTGGAAATTTTTATAATCATTAACAAATGTTTATAAATAAATTTCAACTTCAAAACATTCTTAATTCCAAAGATGTTTTCTGAAATAGATAAGTCTTAGCATTGTCATAAATTTGTCTACTATAACTTGCCGTTAGGATGAAGGGAATTAACACTTTTTGAGAGTCTTACACTCATTTCTTCCTCACCTTGGTTAATCTTTTCCTCTCTTTCCCTGCCCCTGTCCCCTGACAAAAAAAAATCTTATAAGCGATATATTAGGTTAAACTAAACACAGGTTAACCTAAATTGTCATTTTTGTAAGTCAAAATGTTTCTATATTGAAATTTTCATGTAGCTCAATTAATAATATAAATCTCAACTGAAAACTGAGAAAACTAAGGCTTTCAAAATTTTAATAAATCATTTACAGGTATATTTGTTAAGAGGTGAAGTTGAGATTTCAACTTAAATCAATTTTCCACAAAATCCATGTTCTTTTCATGACATCATGCCACTCTCACTGATATTGTCGACTTTTCACAAATATTACCATAGTTGATATTTGAGCTGATAGACACTATGTGCTCAGGAAAAGGTGATAGCAGACACTTGATTTTATCAAGAATCAGAATGACGGTCATAAAGGACTTTAACGAATTAACTTTCATATACCTAAAATTTGTGCACTGAACAAAATGTATTTTCTTCAAGCATGACACACTCATTTAAACCCAGTACAAGTCTAAGACCAATTTTCTTCAAGTAGATCAAAGTTAAAGAAACCCTGTAGATCCATTCTCAGCCCATAAACTAAACTCTTCCAAGATTTACGTTTGACTCATTCTTTCACTCTTATGTTTTTTAAAAATGTACAAAATCAAAATAGTAAATGTTAGTTCAGTGATGGGTTCTACACAGTCCAAGCCCATCTGCAACCCCAGAGAATAATCACTTGAGCCAAGGAGTTTAAGGCTGTAGTGCACTATGATCATGCCTGTGAATAGCCACTACACTCCAGCCTGGGCAACATAATGAGATCCTGTTTTGTTTCATCTTAAAAAAAAAAAAAATGAAATGTGGCCAAGGAAAATCAGTGAGAAATAAAAGTAATCTCATCACCTTATCTCCTAAGTATTCTCAATAGGTGGTTATTTTCTTGTTCTACAACTTTCTCATCTTATGAGATCTTCACCCTCCTTGAAGTCTATGCTTCCATATAAGGTAGAGTAGCAGGGATTTTATTCAGTATAAGATGCTAAAGGAAAAGCACGTAAAGGAAGACATATTGGAAGAAAAGGAAGCTTACAAAGAGAATCAAAAGTATAGCATGGGGATAAAAGAAACTTGTTTGGATCACTGCCACTCCAGATCCTCCCACCGGACCTTAGCTTTCTATGATCACATTAATGAGATTATTTGCAATTTGAAATCAGGTATTTGAAAATTTGATCATAAAGAAAAGAGATATAGTCAGAAAGGCATTCCATATAATCTTTTCTTTATTATACCCTATTGTTAAAATGCCTCCATTAGAAAAAAAACACTCAGCTATATAAAATTATTATACTTTGGTTATATCACTCATCTCTTCTTCCCTTAAAATATATCAGACCTCTGAAAGTCTTGATATGTGTCTGGAGACCTTGAACAATCCTTTCATGGGTTCCCATATCCATGAAAACCTTTGATAGTTTCCATTTAGAGATGAGAGCCATTGTCAAATTCAACTTTCTAATTTCTAAAGATGAACACAATTTCTACTGATTGAGCAAAGTCCTTCTTTTCCTTTATTTACTTTTCCTTTAGTCTCATTGTCAGAACTGAAAGTAAACTACTTTTCACTAGACACTAACTTTTTATCGCATTGCTCGGGTTTTATTATATCACAAACTTGCTTTAGGATGTAATTCTAGGAATCACATAGACTCACTCACTACCTGTGTAATTTGCTCTTTCAGTCATCCCTTGGCATATGTGGGGGATTGGTTCCAGGATCCCCACATATAACAAAATCTGTGAATATTCAAGTGCCCCAGTGGGCCCCATGGAATTGGCCTCCAGGAAAAGTCGGTCCTTAGTATATGCGGGTTTCATATCCTGCAAATCCACATTTGGTTGAAAACAATCTGCATGTAACTGGACCTGCGCAGTTCAAATCTTTGCTGTTAAAGAGTCAACTGTATATACTTGTTTTGCTATTAAGTACAACATGTAACAGACTTTCACGATCCCACTTCAACAGTCACACTGCAAAGGTAAAGCATATTGCATGCTAAGGGTTGACTGCCATTTTTTTTGGCATGAAGACAAACGTCTCATTCCTTTCTTCAAACTTTCCTTAATGATGTCCAGGGGAACAATGTCATGGCACCATGACTGGAGCCTTAAAAGCTTTGTGAAATGATAGGAGACAAAAACACGACATAACAACAGTCTTCCACATCTGTGAAACTTAATTCTTCAAACTACTTTCTTATGTATTAAGTCATAATGCTCAGCACAATATTCTGAGATAAGTAGAATATTTCCATCATGTTTTCCTGGGGTATAAAACAGTAAGGTGAATTATTTTATGAGGCTGTGAAGGATAAGAGCAGAGGGAGGAAAGAAGACGACTGACATTTTTACAGCTCCTATTATGGAATAGACTTCATGTTAGGTGCTTATAATCAATGCGCAAATTGCTTACAAATTCTGTTCTTTAGCTTCCTCTCATGAATAGAACCTACCTTGTAGAATAGTGGAGACTGCAGCAAAGAACATAACAGGAACTTGGCACAATGTCAGGCCCATGAAAAGATTGCAATGAAAGCTAGCTCTAGCTATTATTATTATTTATTTTAATTTTCTTTAAAATTTATAGTAATCTGAGATAGGTAATTTATCTTATTTATCTGTTGAAATTCCAAGATTCAGTGAAGATTAATAAAAAGTATTAAGTAATGTTTTGTTGAATGAAATATGTTCCACCTCAAACTAAAATTCCACCCAAGAATCATAGCCAAATTGCCACAAACTTTTTGCCAATAGCAAATAGCAGTAAATAGCCTTCCTCTCTCCAGAGGATCAGGGAGGCAGCCAAAGGTCAACCAAAGGACTGAAGGTAACATGTTCCTACTGACGAGCAAACATACAACCTCATCATCAAACAGCCATTTATTAAGCACCCTTGTGAGCACTGAAATAATAGATCAAAGGGTAAATCTCTGTCCTAGGTGTCATCTCATATGCTCAGCATCTGTATGCTCAGCAAATCCCTTCCATCTTTATGTCTCTGAATTCTTTTTAACATATATATGTTATATATATATGTGTGTGTGTATATATATATACACAATACAATATTACCATTTGGTTCTATTCATAATATTGATGCCATTAATACTAATTACCATTATTTAATATTTATAGTAATAGTTATCAATTTGCTGAATGCCTATGTACCAAGTGCTAAGCACTTCACCTGCATTTTCTCATGTTGTCCTTCCATCTAAACTAAGAGTAGGGCTTAAGCCCTATTTTATGAGTAGGGTTTACACCTAGGCTGAGAGAATAGTATATCAAAATCACAAAGGGAGAGAAATGCTTAACCACAATTGAAATTCATATCCATATGGCTCCAAAGCCCATGACCTTTTCAGTAAGAAATTATAATTATTTTTCTCTCCAGAATTACTTAGGCAATTTTAAAATCAGTTTTATGATAAACACAATGCTTAGCATGATAGACATGAAGAAACACTGACCAGGAGTTAGAGGACCTACATTCCACATTCAGCTTTGCACTGAGTCCATAAAGAAAGCATTTAACTATATGAAATTCATCCATCAAACAGGGTAAATGGACTAGAACAGTCCACAGTTCTACAGGCTCCTCTCCCTCCAGGCTGAGCATTGCCCAGAAGAAAGTATATACAACTATGACTAGGACTAGGGCTACGACGACTGCTACTATTATTGGCCTCAGTGGTGTGCAAGGTAAAGTAGTTCCTCAATATTCCCTACTTCCTTTTCTGGGAGTCAGTTCCCTGAATTCATACTCTTGATGCCAAGATCTAAAAAATCAAAATAAAATATTGATGCTACTCCTCAGAGGTGCTAATTTATCTGATTTTCTTCTTTGAGGTAATGGAGGGAATAAAGGGTTGTGTAAGAGCATGTTTAAAATAGTTGTAGGGTAGGGCTAAGAATAAAGCTCGACAAACCTCTAAGGAGGAACATTACAATACCTTCCTAAAAAGGCCTGGGAAGGACCCTTTTGCCATGTCATTCTGGAATGCTAGTGCTCAGCTGGGCTTCTACAATTAAGGAGAAAAAAAAATACATTAACTTCAAATTAATTTCTCAAAATGCATGCTTAGCTTCCAGAGGAAGACTGACAAAGTTGGTATTTGTACCAAGTTGAATTTAACTCACAATGTAACTATATTTGGACACAATCTTTAAAGGGGTAATTAAGGTTAAATGAGGTCATTGGGATGGGCCCTAATCCAATATGACTGGTGCCCTTATAAGAAGAAATTAAGACATACACACAGAAGGAAGGCCATACAAAGACATTGGAAGAAGAAAGCCCTCTATAAGTCAAGGAGAGAGGCCCTCAGAAGAAACCAACCCTGCTGACACCTTCATCTTGGACTTCTAGTTTCTAGAACTATGAAGAAATTTCTTTCCTTTAAACCACCCAGTCTGTGGTACTTTGTTATGGCAGCCCTAGCAAACTAACAGAGTAGGTATTAGTTATACAAGTCCACCTCATATATAAGAATAATGCATATATGCTTGAATTTACTTCTGATCAAATACTTCTTAACAGATACAAAAAGCACACTAACATGCAAACAGCAAACAGAGGGAAACACAAACAGTATATTCAGCACCACCATGGCAAAATGTATAAGGACCTTAGACAACAGTAGAGAATTGCAGGTTCTAACACTATCTGTTTCAGAACCTCACCTGGAAAGCAGAGTGATTGAGAGCATGGTGTTCAGTTTCAGACAGGTGTGGGCTCAACCTGGGCTTCTCTACTAGTCAGCTATGTAACCTAACTACTCAGAAAGTTACCGAACCACTCAGAATCTCAGTTTCTCAATTCTGTAAAAAGCAAATAGTTCCTAATCTAAGCTTCTTAATTCTGTAAAAATCAATAATTCCTATATTCTACTGTTGTTACAAGGATTCAATTAAATATAAGGATTAAATGAGATTATAAAAGGGGCCAAGAACTGTGTCTGACACGTCATATATAATCAATAAATGGTAACAGTTGCTATTAGGTTGAGCCATATAAAATGGCTGATTTTTGACTGTTTCTGATCTACCAATCTATATGATTCAACCTAATATTAATGTTGCAAAGAAACAACAGAGCACAATGGCTCAGAATACAAATTTGGTCAACAGATAAATGCATAAAGAAAACATGGTATGTATACATAATAGGATACTACTCAGCTTTACAAAAAAGAAGGAAATCCTGCCATTTGTGACAACATGAAAGGAGACCTGAAGGACATCAAGTTAAGTAAAATAAGCCAGGCACAGGAAGACAAATACCACATAATGTTACTTATATGTGTCATCTAAGAAAGAATGTAACCGAATTTACAGAAGTAGAGAGTAGAATGGTAGTTACCAGGTGCTGGTGGGGGTGGGAGGGGGTTGGGTAGCTGTTATTCAAAGGATACAAAATTTCAGATAGACAGGAAGAATAAGTTCAAGAGATCTATTGTACAACATGGTGACTATAGTTTATAACAATTTATTCTTGAAAATTGCTAAGACAGTAGATTTTCTGCTTTTATCACAAAAAAAGATAAGCATGTAAGGTAATATACATGGTAATTATCTTGACTTAGCCATTTCACAATATACACATATTTCAAAATATAATGTGGTACACAATAAATACAATTGGCATTTGTCAATTAAAATTTTATAAAACAAGAATACAAGTTCTGGAACCAGGATCTTTGGGCTTGAGTCCTGCTTCTGTCCCTCACTAGCAAGTTATAGAACCCCTCTAACTCAGTTTCTCAGCTACAAAACAAAAACTTGAAATCATGCCTTCCATACTATGGATGAGAGAATTAAATAAATTAATCAGTGCAAAGCTCTTAGACTAAAGTCTAGTATTAGCCAGTTATCACTGAGCACAATCTGTTATTGATATTATTCATATCATTTATTAAAAAATAAAGATTTGACTATCTTTGAGATTCATTCTAACTTCCAATTCTATGCTGTTTGGGATGATATTGATAAAGGAGAATTATGCAGTTAGCATTTAGCTATATATCACAACGAGGTTAAATATTGAGCCTTAGAATTCTGAAAAGTATTGTGAAATCAGAATAAATTTAAATAAAAATGCTCATAATTCCTTCACAATTTATTGGCAAGTCTCAAACAACTATAATACTAAAAATATATTTTATTTTGAGAGTAAATCAATCATTTTCGCTAGCTTCTTAAATTGCTAGACATTTTAAAGTATCATTTCACCTAAAATGTAAAGCTAGTAGTCCATACAGTGTGGGGTTTAAAATGTTCTTGCGTGTGTTCATACAGCTGTTCATTATAGTGGCTAATATTGGACTAAGGAGAACAATAGACTAAATAGTGACCAAGTCACTAATTCAGTAGGTGATAGTGAACAAATCACCTCAATCTCATTTTTCCATTTCGGAAAATGAAAAGTTAAGTAAAGATATCAAAGTTTCCTTCCAAGTCTAAAACTCTATGAATCAGTGTCTATTGTAAATAGATAAAGAATATAATTTCATCAAAGAAATATAACCCATTTCACCCATCAATAAACAAGAAAATTGTGTCTAAATAACAGAATGTTAAGAATAAAAACAAATAAGCAAAATAACACTCATCTAAAAATGTCCCCTGAATTGTTATCATAACATGTGCCTGAGCAACTCTAGCTAGTGATTTTACAGTCTGTATAATTAGGATTTAATGACCAAATCTCTTCTGAAAGTAACAGGGATCATATATTCATTCTCAGCAGAATTAAAGCTGCCCAGGCCAGCTGTGAAACTAACATTGACTTAAAATCCTAGATCCATTTGTCCAGAGACTCCAGTCTCTGACCTTAAGAAATTCACATGACATCAGATTTCTGTCTCTGTAAAATGTTATGATATAACTTCTAGGACTCTTGAGAGGGTAAATTAGTTAATGTTTCTAATGGATAATGATTGACTAAAGAAAGATAATCCCAGTGTTTCACTAGAAAGAATCTGAATGCTCAAGAGCATAGATATTTCAATAAAAGTTTAAAAAAAGCTTCAAGATCATGCAGCAGATCTAAAACAATATTTGTGAATAAAAGCAAAATAAAAATTAAAATCTTATCCTGACACCATGTGAATAACTAGTTTGAAATTGAATAGTTTGGAGGGAAAAATATAATATATATAACTAAGACACATTGAATATATATATATAACTAAGACACATTGAATCTGATATCATAAAATCATTCTCTTTTCAAGTTAAAATGTTTATGGGAATTACATGATATTCTTTAATTATTAAAATGTAAAAAACGCAACTCAAAACAGGTAAACATGAATTCAAGAGCTCCTATAAATGGTGTTTTGAGTTAAACTGCTCCAATATTTCCAAAAAAAGAAAAGAAAACTACATTTCTGAGAGTTGAACACAACCTGTTACTAATTTCTATAAAGTTCAGGCAACTACATTTTCCATTCTTGAAAATAAATAAATGAAAATGGATTTAATCTTAAGCAATCAATGAAGTGACTTATTTAAAAGGTTGCCATGGGGGAGTGGAGCAGGCTATTGTTTGGTTTGTTGGTTTGCTTGTTTCGGTGTTCATTTTGGCTTCTCTCAATAGATTTTTTTTTCCTCTTAGCTAATTTTAAGATTCCAAAACTCATGACATGTCACAATTAAACATCTCCTAGGAAGTGCACAGTCTGATTAGCACATTAACTCAGGCATAAACCAGCCATGACCACGTTGCCTCCACTCTGGATCAGACCAGTCTGGGGAAGGATAATCATGATGAGAACCCCCAATAAAACATATTAATCCCAATGTTATATTTTATCTTCTAGCAATTAAGATCTTATTTTTTCTATCAATTCGTATGTATTTTTTTTACTCTTTAATTTTATTACGAGAATAATAACCCAGAAATAAAAGTGGATACTCTAGTTCTGAGAAGTAAATACTTTCACCTTCATTCTCAAAGATTCCCACCTTCAGAAAACTCAGAAGATGAGACAGAAGTCAGGGAGATTTTTATAGTTCTATACCAATTTTATTTATTTATTTAAATAAATAAATAAATAAATTTATTTATTTAAATATTTATTTATTTATTTAGCTGTGTCACCCAGGCTGGAATGCAGTGGCCCAATCATAGCTCACTGCTGCCTCCAAACTCCTGGGCTCAAGCAATCCTCCTGCCTCAGCCTTCCAAGTAGCTGCAATTACATGCATGTGCCACCACGCCCAGCTAATATATGTGTGTGTGTGTGTGTGTGTGTTTGTGTGCATATATACACATATATACACATACATATATATGTGTATATATACATATATGTGTGTATATATGTGTATATATACATATATATGTGTGTATATATGTGTATATATACATATATATGTGTGTATATATGTGTATATATACATATATATGTGTGTATATATGTGTATATATACATATATATGTGTGTATATATGTGTATATATACATATATGTGTGTATATATGTGTATATATATGTATATTTTTTTTATTTTTGTAAAGATGGGGTCTCACTTTGTTGCTCTGGCTAGTCTCAAACTCCTGGCTTCAAGCAATGCTCCCACCTTGGCCTCCCAAACCAATAATTTTTGTAGTTCCACAACTTCCCATCCTTTGACAATTCCTGCTTAGTAGAGGAGGAGCAAGAGGACTACCCATGTCCTGATGTCTCTTTTACAGCCTGGTTAGTTGGCCACATATTATTAAATAAATGTCACTGGTTTCTTTTTCCTTTTTTTAATGTGCTACTAGAAAACTTTAAATTATATATATGACTTGCTTTATGTTTCTGTTGGGCAGCACTGGTAAAAATTAATACTAACCAGTAGTATAAGTATCTGACATGGACCAGTGAAGTCGTTTAGAAAAGCTACGTAGTATGATGAAAAAGCAGAGGTCAGACAGGGCTGTATTCAAATCCTAGCTCTGACACTGACCATTAAAAGGTATTTCAGCGAGTCATACAGCTTCCTCAGCCCATATTTCCTTGTATGTAAAACAGAGAGAACAGTTTCCCAGCTTAAACAAAACATTTGTAAAATTCCTGGCATATCACAGGTATAAGTAAACATTTGAATAAAAAGTCATTCTTCAATAGAAAATAGAGATTTTCAAGCAATTACTAAGAATTAACTGTTTCTCATTGTCTGTGTCTTCCAATAAATGGACCATATTCTGTGGGTCCTTCCTGTACTAGTACAACTTTGTTATTACCTTACATTTCACAGACGAATGACAGCAACTTTATACTCAAAGCTATTATCAAAATGTTCAGCCATGAAAGTATTGTTTCTATTTGCATTTTAAATGGTACAATGAAATACATTTCCAGAAATAACATCATGATTTTTACAAACCTAAAATCCACCTAAAAGAGACTTATAATATACCTTGACTCTCTTCAGGAATCCCACATGCGTATACCAGTGGGACCAAGTGTTTGCTAAGTTCTAAGATGCATCACTCTAAGATGCTAAGTTAATAACATATAGTTCTTAAAAATGTAAAACATCAGAACCAGCAATATTTATTTAAAAATTAATTCTATCTCTTTGTTATACTGCATTTCTTTGCAATTTGAAAAGTGCCTGCAAATTGTTACTCTATGAAATAATGCAACACTTATTATAAGATTAGAAAAGATAAGCCTAGGACATAAAATTAAACACTACTTCATAGATAGTAAAACTGTAGAAGGAGTTTCTTTTCCAATAAAAGGTAATATACAGACTGAAAATACCTATTCCAAAATAGCTTAGATAAATTAATGACTGGAAAATTCATAACAGATAATTACTGAGAAGTTTATAAGTCATATTTTATCTCTCAGCATGTAGAAAGACCATTCCTGTCCACAGTGACTCTTGGTAAAATGGAGAATACTTACCAGATAGCTCAAATATCAACTCACTATAATTATACTTGTGTGTTCTTAAAAACTAATTTATAACAACCTCTCCTTTCTTGAATCTGTTTCTTATCCTTTATGCTCCTAGTCTTCCATTTGGTCCTTTTATCATTTTTTTTCTTCATTCCCTTGATCAATATTTATTGAGCCCTATGTGTCAGCAGTCCTTGAAGCTCATTACCCTGTCTGTTATTCAAGCAGAAGCAGTGAAGTGGGATGGAAGTAGAGAGGTGAAACATAGTTTAAATGTTTTCCAAATTTGTTGGTTTATGTTTCTGTGCATATGTGATCTTAATCATATCTGACTTACCACCAAATTAAATTTGAAATTCAGTTATACAGTATCCAAGTTCATGAAAATTAATGAGTTGGTTTCCAAATAATTATTTTTTTAAGAAATAAGATGTTATTTTAGCTTATACTATCTCACAAAGCTAAAATCCAAAGTTCAGTTATGGCTTTCTAGGTTATTGCAATAAATTTCCAGTTCTTAGATTTTTATATTAATACAAATACCTCGTGATCCAGAGCAAATTTTACCATTCTATATCTAAAGAGTTTTCTCCAAGTTGTTCATCAAGTTATGTAATAGATGAGATAAAGCTTCCACTGAAAAACGTCCTATTCATTAAGTTACACCTAATGGGGAAATACTAGAAAACAAAACCAAAAAGTTATCAGACCTCATGTGTTTATTAGAAGAAACCTTTTCTTGTTTATTGAATTATAATTATTTATTTGTTGGTTTTTCCATTATATTGTAAGCAACTTGAGGGGCGAGGTGAGGTCTTACTCTCTGGGTGCCCATCTGAAATGTATAGGTTTCAAGACAGTTCCTGGATTGGATGGATGAAAGAAATAAATGAAATGGGTTTAGCTTTACAGACTATTTTTTTCAACCCATTGGCTTAAAACCTAGAAGTTAAACTTTATAAAGTGTGTGATCAACAGATTATGATATTACTTTGTTGTATAAAAAATTAATTAATTAATTCAACTGCAACTTGTTGCAGGCTTAATATGTGCCAATCACTAGTCTGGGTACTGAGAATTACAGATAAATAAGATCTCTCCATGTAAAACATAGAAGGGAGAGCTGGTTCCACTGAATTTGTCTGAGCTCGTCTTAATTTTAAGTAGTCATTAAACCATGAAAAAAAATAAAAAAGCAAAATGTGTTTTTTTCTGCACCCCCCCACTCACCAAAATGCAAAATCTATTTTTTCAGGTTCCCTAAGTTTTTGCAGGGTTTTACACTTTTTGCTTGTTGCTTAGAAAATGCAATCTCAGCCGGGCATGGTGGCTCACGCCTGTAATTTCAGCACTGTGGGAGGCTGAGGCAGGCGGATCACTTGAGGTCAGGAGTTCTAGACCAGCCTGACCAACATGGTGAAACCTTGTGTCTACTAAAAATACAAAAATTAGCCAGGTGTGCTGGTGCGTGCCTGTAGTCCCAGCTACTCAGAAGGCTGAGGCAGGAGAATTGCTTGAACCAGGCAATCAGAGGTTGCAGTGAGCTGAGATCACTCCACTGCACTCCAGCCTGGGCATCGCAGCAAGACTCTGTCTCAAAAAAAAAAAAAGAAAGAAAGAAAGAAAGAAAAAGAAAACGCAATCTCCTTGTGCAAAGTAATATGCCTTCAGTGACACTATCTTCTGTTAAGCAGTCAAATAAGAAGGAGATGGAACAGAAGAATGAAATCAGAAACATCATAGAAAAGAAAGAAAAATATTAACATAAAATAAATCAGAAAAAAGTTTTGCCCAGTATCTTTCTCATATTATAGTAGAATACTGGAATATCATCAGCCACTAACCCAAAGCAAGCACTGAGAACTGCCCAGAAATGAATAACCCCATTAGACCCATATTTTGTGAGAGTTGTCAGTAAAAACAAACAGTGCAGAAATCCTCTGGATAAGCTCATGAGCAGGCTAAAAGCACTGATAAGTATATACTAAAAGCTTGTTATTGGTTGATCCTCCTAGTGAATCAGATCCTTCAGGGTACTTAGCAGCTGGCAATAAGTAGCAATTTTTTTAAGGCACCAATAACCTGGTCTGGCAGGTTCATTCGTTTCACTTCAGCAGATATTACCTTTGGTTCTTGAGAGAGTCAATCTTTTTAACTTGTACAAGTGTAAATGATAAATCAGGAAAATGTGACCACTTTAGAGAACAACAAAGGTTTTCAAAGTGAAGAGTGCACATTTCTTTAATGAATGGAACTGACCAAACCTGTAGCAATGTCTGCCAGTGTTAAACCCATTCCACCAGATTATCCAAGTTCACCTTACTTACCCCCAACATCTGGTGGAGGTAGTGATACTCTGGCCCTTGGTTATACAGCAAGAAGGTTTTCCAGAAAAGCAGGACATTCATGGAGAGCCAGATGAACTAAACCAATCAGACATGAGAGACAGAAAACAAAAATTGAAAATAATTATTACCTGATGAATAGAAACCACAGGTAAATTCTTCGACACAGTGCTTTCAATGGAACCTAAATCAGTAACTGCAGAAAGCATTTTCAATTAACCAGCAAGCTGAAAACCACTCAGAGGAAAACAAATCTGACTTTACCCAGCCCTTTCACCTGAGACTAAGCATTTGGGTTGCAAATAGGTTTCCTAAATGATTTACAGCTATCCCCTGCCGTACAAAATGAGATTAAGAAATTAATGACATCACCATACCCCAAGCAAACAGAAGTAATCTGGGAAAAGAACAAAGGGAGCAAAAATGTTTAAAGGGTAAAAAGAAAAGCTGTATTCACGGAAAATGACCTCTTCCCTCTTCCTCCACATCTCTCCCATCAATGTGCAGAAAAATTCTCATGCATTTGGGGGACAGGCGAGGGGGTGGGAGGGGGAGTGTTCATTGTTATCTCCAGCATAAAGTTTTGTAAGTTGAGAATGTTCGAATTAAGACAAAACTTCCACTTCCAGCTTCCCACCCGTGCACGCTCAGAGAATGAATCAAAATCACTGCAGGACAGAGAGAACGCAAGGAGAGCCTAGCCCGCCATCCTACCAGGCAGAGGTGTTTAACCCCTTCGTTGGCGAGCCAGCTCCTCCAGGACACAGCCATGCCGCCGGCCCCGCCGCGCTGCGCTCTGTGCCCGCCGGACCGAGAAGGAGCGGGCGGCGGCCGGGGCAGCGGTTACAGTTGTGCGGCCTGCCGGGCCGCTGAGCGAGGACCGAGGGTCAAAGACTGAGTGGAAGCCCGAAGGCCCGGCGCCGAGCCAGCCCGGGCGGGGTCTGCTACCCAGAGCCGGGTTTTCCGGGCGCCCTGACTCCCACCCGCACCGGGTCAGCTCTGCCCACTCAGCTGCCCAGACGCCCAGCGCTCTGAGCGCGCGGCCCAGGCTGCACCAGTCTGCTCCGCCGCGCCGGCCCCTTTGTCTAGGGGCGAGCCTGTTGTTGTGGCTGCTGCTGTTCAGGATGTCCCGGGTGGGAACTTGGAGGCGTCCCCCGCAGCCTCTACCCAGGCCTGCCAGGCTCCAAAATACTGGCAAACATGTGAACAATGCTACTCATACTAAAAGTGGGGACCCTCGCCGCCCCCTTGTACACACACACACACACACACACACACACACACACACACAAGAAGACACAGCTCTTTTAGACTGATTGTTTTCCCCCAAAAAAGTTCATCTCAAAGAGCCTTGGTAACGAAATTTGAGCCGGAAACAGCCTTTTGTGTGCTAGTTCACGTTTCTCCCACCCTTCCTCAGCAAATTATCCCACTCCCAAACTAAAGCCCCCCTGACAGCCTTACCTAAGGCTTCCCACCAGCCGCCAGTTTCTTTATCCCCTTGCCCGCCCATCCCATACTGATAAAAAGGTTTTAAGACATTACTGAATAAGAAGAACCCAGGGAATTAATGGTTAAAGCTGATGTAATTCTTAGGGGCTCTAGGTTAGGTTCACTCTATTCGGGAATCTTTTTGTTTTAATACCTAGTCTGTTTGTAAGTAATAGGAATCCTCTCAATCTTGTACCAGAGGTCCAGTGAAGAGTGAGAAGTGTGTGGAGTTGACCCAGGTACCTATTCGACACTGCAACAAATCAGTATTAGAAAAGAGAGAGAAAAAAATGTCATTCATGTAGAAAAAAATCTGATGCAAAATAGATATCCAATAAAGGTTTGTTAAACCAATAACTTTTCTAGATTTAACAACTAATGAGAGACAGAAAAGTTTACTACTAGTTGCTTAATCGAATGGCTTTTAAACTCTTAAAATAAAAAATCTTACAACACAGGCCATAGGATATAATTAAAACTAAAATTTCAAAAAATACTACTACTCTCACTACATGCAATATACTTATTCCAATTAATTTAATGAACTGATTAATGATTGCAGTCCTCAGTTTTAAAAATCAAAATGAATTCATATCAAGTCCCTGTTAGACTTCACACAATTTTCTAATAGCCTGTTTTTCCTGTTTCATGCATGACCAAATCCAGAAAGCTGTCCTAAATCTTTCTGAAGTTAGAGAGCATATTGTTTATAAATAATACTATGTTCTTTCTGACCATGTGACACCTAAAGGATCAGGGAAAGAGCACACGAAAAACCCAAGGGGTCTCTCCACTGGAAGGAAGTCAAATTCTGGGATGCACTGGTGCTCCTAAGCTTTAATTTCAATAGATGGGGGCAGGAGGTTCATTGGCAGAATAGGTTCTTGTCATGAGTTGAGAAGCGTGAAACAATTCAAGAATAGTAAAATAAGAGACCATTTTTAAAAGCTTAGAGACTTTCAGAACAGCAAAAATAACAAAAAGACAAAAGGTTTAAAAAATGGCTCCAACTCTTAATAATGTACCTACTAAGTCCCAGGCTCTGTCTTTGCTACTTCATATACAAAATCTCACTCCATTCTCATAGTAGCCCTCCATGTGCGTGTTAGCACTCTCACTTTAAAGATGAGAAACGGACTGCCGGGCGCGGTGGCTCACGCCTGTAATCCCAACACTTTGGGAGGCCGAGGCGGGTGGATCACGGAGTCAGGAGATGGAGGCCATCCTGGCCAACATGGTGAAACCCCGTCTCTACTAAAAATACAAAAATTAGCCGGGCGTGGTGGCAGGCGCCTGTAGTCCCAGCTATTCAGGAGGCTGAGGCAGAAGAATTGCTTGAACCTGGGAGGCAGAGGTTGCGGTGAGCCAAGATCGCACCACTGCACCCAACCCAGCCTGTGCGACAGAGCAAGACTCTATCTCAAAAAAAAAAAAGAGATGAGAAACGGAAGCTAAAAGAGATGAAGAAATTTGCTTGAGGTAATGAAACTGGGTTTGCTTCCAATTAAAACAACCTATAATCAGTTACTTTTGTAAAATTATTTTGTAAAATGATGGAATGCTTATATAAATGTTGGTTATTACTTATGGCTATTATTTCATAACTCTGTAAGAGGGGACTGAGATCTGTTTATGTTGCTTTACCAGGAAACAGTACTCCAAGCCATCCCCAAGGGACAGAGCTAGTGTCCTGTTACGCAGGAACTCTCATTAATGAGATTGTTTGCAATACAATTTTCTCTAAGCCAGATTGTTTTATTATTATTATTATTATTATTATTATTATTATTATTATTATTTTAGATGGAGTTTTGCTCTTGTTGCCCAGGCTGGAGTGCAATGTCGTAATCTCGGCTGACTGTAACCTCCACCTCCTGGGTTCAAGCAATTCTCTCACCTCAGCCTCCCAAGTAGAGTAGCTGGGATCACAGGCATGTGCCAACCCGCCCAGCTAATTTGTGTATTTTTAGTAGAGACGGGGTTTCACCACATTGGCCAGGCTGCTTTTGAACTCCTGACCTCAGGTGATCCACCAGCCTCGGCCTCCCTAACTGCTGGGATTACAGGCGTGAGCCACCGTGCCTGGCCAACCAGATTGTTTAATGACATAGTTGCTGTATTTCCCAAACTAGGAAAGGCCATTCTTGAAAGTAATGGGGAGAGAGTTCTGTAGCTACATCAGTATTTTAAATATTATAAGAAAATTCACACTTTCTCCAGGAACAGACTTTACAATAAAAACTCAAATGACAGATACCTTTGATTTTTGGCTGAAATAATGGTAAGCTAGTAGTATAACACTGATCTTCCTATGTTAATTATAAAACCTATTGGCAGTTAGAACTGTTCTTAACCTATTATATATTACTTAAACACAGAAACTTTTTTGTAGACAGTGTTTTTCAAAATATGAAATGCACTGGGGAAATACAATACTCTTTCTACATAATCATTACTGCATTTTCCACAAATTAATTTAATTATACGTATGTGTGTGTCTAATTCTCCTACTCAACTGAACTTCTTAAGGACAAAAATCCTGTCTTACTCCATTTTTATTCTAGGACTTAGCACATAGCTTGACACATAGTAGGAATTTACACAACGTTTATTAGATGAAGGAATAGTGGTTAAGTATATCATCTTTCTTTCCGTGCCTTTCTCAAATCCCAATTTCTCAAGCATAACTCTCCAGTAATATAAAAATAGTTTCTGCTCAGCTTGACAATTAATGACCAGAAAAGGTAAAGAAACGGGGCAAGAACCCCTTAAAATGGATGTTACCAACCCCACAGGTTAAACGATAGGAATTTAAGACAAGTGGGCCCTTCTGTTAGTTTCCTATGGCTGTGCTAACAAATCACTACAGATGTCATGGGCTAAAACAACAGAAATTTATCGTCTCACAGTTCTGAATGTCAGAAGTCTGAAATCAGTATTATTGGTTCAAAATCAAGGTGTTCACCAGATCACAATATTTTCTTTTCTTCTTTTGAGACAGGATCTCGCTGTGTCACCCAAGCTGGAGTGGAGTGGTGCAATCATGGCTCACTGCAGCCTTGACCACCCAAGCTCAGGTGATCTTCTCTCCTTAGCCTCCAGTGTAGCTGGGACTACAGGTGCACACCACCACGCCTGGTTCATTTTTAGTTAGTTTGCTTTTTGTTTGTTTGGTTTTGTTTTTTGTTTTTGTAGAGACGAGATTTTGCCATTTTGCCCAGGCTGGTATCAAACTCCTGGGTTCAAGTGATCCACCAGACTCAGCCTCCCAAAGTCCTGGGATTACATGCATGAGCCACTGCAACTAATGCACCATCTTTTCTGATGTGCTAAAGAGAATCTGTTCCTTGTCTCTTCCAGATTCCAGTGGCTGCTGACATTCTTTGATTTGTGGCTGTATCACTCTAATCTCTGCCTCGGTGGTCACATTGCCTCCTCCTCTTCAATCTGTGTGTGTGTCAAATCACCCTCTGCCTCTCTCTTACCAGGACACTTTTGATTGTATTCAGGGCTCACCCAGATAATCCAGGATAATATCCCTATGCAGGATACTTAAATTTAATCACTTCTGCAAAGTCCCTTTTTCCTTATAAAGTAACTTTACAAGTTCCTGAGATTAGGATATGTTATCTTTAGGTGGCTATTATTTAGCCTAGGATAGCACCTAATTAACCTAGATCATATTAATTTTCTTTCTCTGATTGGATATGCTAGCCTTAGAATAAGACTTCTGGAGAAATTTACCTTAAAGAATAAATGTTTGGGACTCCTAGTTAGCATTTCCCTCAAGAAGTCAAAAATTATAGACCAGGAAACATGCCTGATAGAATTCAGTAAGATTTCTTAACCATTGTAATTTGATATAGTTTACCATTTTTGTTATTTCATGTCTAATTACCAGGAGGGATTAGTATTAAAATTCAATGTAAAAAGAGCCTGTGTGTTTTTTCAGGAAGAGAAAAGAGGAACCTAGGAAAGCTCCATCCCAGTATGCAGCATAAACTGGTAGAGTGGGTAAAAGAATCCTAGAGGTTTGAGTAACCGAAAGGGACATTAAAGAGAAAAGGAAACTCCATCATGTCCCTGAGGCCCTTGCAAGGATGAAAGGCCCACCAGGGAGCCAGGGAAAAGTGGTCCAAAGGCTTAACATTCCCAAGTCGGGGGACAAGTTCCAGACAGTGACTCATTCTCATTTCTACACAAAAACAAGTGTAGACCATCATCTGATTCAGTCATTTAGGAATGTCTACCGTGCACCCACATGGCTGGGTTAGCTCCTTGAGAAATTCTGAAGACATTGGAGAGGTCCTTATGCCCTTAAGGACCAGATACTTTGTTGGAAAATAAGGCTTACAAATGTGAAGGCAATTTAAGAACTTCAAAATGAAGATGTTCAATGAAAGCTTGTTGAATAAAACTGAATAATAATGAATTTTTATTTAGAATTGCCCTACATTAAACACTTTTCCAAACTTCTAGATTTCATAGACCAATAAAATTTCAAGAAGAAAAAACATGGTAATCATTTCACAGTGTATATGTATATGAGAACATCAAATTGTACACCTTAAATATATAAAATTTTATATGCCAATGATAGATCAATAGAGCTGTAAAAAAAAAAAGAGAAAAAATAAATACAAACCAACACAGACTAGTCAAATTTTGCTGCAATTAGGGCAATTTTTAAAATGCAAACTGAAAACAACAGTCACAGAAATACATTCACTTCTGTGTTTATTAAAGAAAATTCATTTTTTACAAAATAAATGTAAGAAATACTGACTGCCTTCAGCTTCCAAAGAAGCTCTCTCTCTCCTCTCTTTATGTTTCTCTCTGTCATTTCACAGCAACCCTCTTATTGTTTTTCTTTATTTGTTCCTTAAATCTATAAGGTAGGAAGGTAGGTAAGGCCATTATTTTCTTCATTCTAATTTTATACATGACAGAACTGAGGCATATGCACAGTAACTAACTTGAACTACCTTGCCCAAAGTAACCATGATATTAAGTAGTAGATTTCCAAGAGCGAATACACCTGCTCCTTCCTCTACTTCATGTAGTCATTGTTGAACCAGGACTTCTACCTGTTCTTAGTTCTAATGCTTAAGGCCACAAATGCAGTTGTGGTTGGCAGCTTTCCCCAGTCATCCCAGGTGTGTAGAGATTTACCAGCAGGCCTTTGTGTTGCCAAGACAGTGCACACTCTCCAAAGACTGTTGTGTCTATTGTTTATGATATCATTTGTGCTTTATCTTGCATGGCATTTCCTGAACACATCTATTAACACAGTAATTCCTGTATGTGTGTGAAATGTTACTGTTCTTAAAGTTTTAAACAGAAGTGTCTGAAAAAATATTCTTAATACCCGAATCCATGTTTTCTGGTTGCATCTTCAAACAGCTTTAAAGTATTGAGGAAATATGATTGGACTTCTATAGTCTCACTCACTTTCTGAATATATTAAGAAAATCTTAAACTCAAACTATTAGAATCCACATTAAATAATATGAGTTTTACAGTCATAAAAACATTGGAATTGGAAGAGGCTTTGGAAAGCATCATAACTTTTAGTTACAGAAAGGAAATTAAAGCCTTTTTCTCAGCTCATTGAGCTCACCGAGCACCTTCATGCTACTGCGTCTTTGCACACTTAGAGGGTATTTATTTATACATTTATTGATGAGCTTGTTTGATTAATGACTATATCTGTCTATATCTGACTAAATTGTGAAATTCCCAAAGGCAAATCCCATGTCTGTTTTGTTCATTCTTGTTTTCCCAGAGCCACACACTGGGCTTGGAACATCAGTAGGGTCTCAGTAATGGTTTTAATGAAAGAAATGAAAGACAGTAGGAGAATCTAAATTTCCTGACTTCTCTTCCAATAATTATTTCACACTGACAGTTTCTTTTTTACACTAATATGATATTCTGTACTTCTTTAATTCTTTCTATTTCCCAAACATATCCTGTTTTCTCACATTTCCATTTATGTGTATGCTTTACTTGTTTCATGGCACACCTTACCTGGAGATGCTTACTTAGTCTCCAAACTCAAGACCAGTATCTTCTCCTGCTAGAGGCCCATGTAGACTCTTCCCAGCTGCATCAGGAACCTCTTCTTTGCGTCCACTGTGTGCCACTCTCTCTCAGAGTAGTTATTGTGCCCCATTTGTTGGTGCATTTTCTAGGTTGTTTCTCCAACTAGACTAGAAGTACTTTGAGGAAAAGAAGTTTATGTTGTTGTTTAATGTATTTTAATAACAAACTTATAGGCACAGCACAGAAGATAGATAACATTAAAAACATGTATTTGCATGTGGGACAACTTAGAAAAGTATAGTAAAAAGATAGAATCTATTATATGATAAAAATTATATAAACATCATTTAGTTGCTGTCAGTAAAAAATTTACTTGCCAACCCAACGTCAATCCAAATGTCCAGAATAACTTAACAGGTTTATTTATAATTGCTATAAAGTTGAATTGCTGAAACTTGTTCACCGAAGTATGTTGACTTGCGTTAATGCTTCACATCCCGTTTATATTAAAAATTCACATACGAATGAAAATAGAAAAACTGCAAATAACTGATTTCTGTACCCTATTTTTCCACTTGCAAGCATATATTTGGGTACCTTTGGATCCCATGGGAAAAAAATAACGTTCAGAATGACTAATAATAGGAAGAAAAGAATTCGGCAGGAGGGCCGAGGGATATGAAATGTTTCCCATCACAGGGGATTCTTAAGCATATTTGCTATGTTTGTGGCATGCTAGTTGAATGCACTTTGGCATAATTGTCACACTTTTGGCATGGATAACACACAGGATTGTGCCTTCAAAAAGGTTAACTAGATAGGTCTTCACTTGCCTCTTGCAAAGCACCAATAGCTGCACTCTGGAAGCCCAGACCTATTTTGAAGTCTTGAGAAATTTTTCACACCAGATGCTAGAAAGAAGTTTTTGAATCAGAAGTTCAATGGGCTTTTCATAATATCTAATTTCATGAAGCACTACAGTATAAGGCTTGCGGTGAGGTTTCTTCACCCCTCCAGTAGAGGGTGCACTTGCAAGCGGCATTTGTAGCATTCGGTGAGGTTTCTTTACCCCTCCGGTAGAGGGTGCACTCGCAAGAGGCATTTGTAGCTAGTTATTTTTAGCTAGTTGCTTCCTGGGCAGTTTACTATGGGTCATTTGCAAGCAGTCCACTTTGTAGGAGCCATGGAATAGAGATTTCCTTACTTACACCCCTTGTCCTTTGGCTGCAGCTCAGTGAACTAGAGGCTGCACTGGTGTTAGAGCAAGAAATTTTTCTTCATTACATAAATCCTGGCACATAGTAAGTGCTCAAAATATATTTAATGAACAAATGAATAAATAAATTAATGTCTAACATGTGAAACCAGTTTAGGTTATTTTCAAAATGAAAACTCAGCATTCACCAAATATTCTAATTGCCAACAGTGTGGCAAAGGTTTTAGGTTAGAACTTGTTACAGAAGAAGTTCAGGAATAAGAGAAATAAATAAATAAACAAATAAACTTGACAATTGTCTTGTCTTCTTCCTCAACAATCTGGCATGATATTTAGCCTTCAGCCAAACTTTCCTACTCTCCAAAAATTTAAGGCTGGGAATTTCACAGTATTTTTTGTTTTTGTTTCCATTCTCACAATTGGATCACTCTTACTTATATCGATTTAATAGCTTAAATGTCTCTAATGTTAGTGCATACCACACTGTATAATACGTTGGTTTATCTGTCTTCCCCATGGGAATCAGACAACTGCCAGTCAAAGAAACTGTGGAATTAATCTTTGTAATCCCAGGGCCTAGCACAATGCCTGGTTCATTATTTAATCAGTGGATATTTAATTTTTTAAAAATAATGCTTGAGCACCTCTCATTATTATTTATCATTCTAACCTTGGACTTCAATACTGTGTTACATTGAGAGAAAAACTATTACAGGAATAAGATTCTATTAGAAAGGTAAATTACCTACATGGCATAGAATGTAACATCTGTACTTCAGATGTTATGCCTGTCATATTTCATTACTATTCCTCCTAAGAATTCACTCCCCTAAGTAATGTATTCTATTATGTGTTGCCTAGCATATCAGGACTATTCAACATCTTTGAAAGATTATTGTGTAAGATCAAATGTTTAAAAGGAGAATAATCTTGCATCTTAGGGTTCTGCATTCTTTTCTACTATTGAAATTTTTGGTTAAGAAGAAAGTTTTGTACCTTATTCCTTTTTACCATTTCTGTCAGTTCTGTCAATTTTTTGCCTGGAGACCCTTTTGATTCAGTCTCCTACAGAAGGCAGCATTATGCTTCCTGTGGTCTTTCATAGTCCTTTCTTAAAATTTGTATGTGTTCAATTATTATATGGTGATGCAATTATTTGTCAACCAAATGTCTTCATATCAGTGGAATTTCACTGGAGGAGCACATAGCCTGCAAGTTCTCCATCATTCTGCTCTTCTTTCATTTAGCAACAAAACCCCCTAAGTTTCAGCTGGATTATAGCTGTGAACTAGTCATTACTTGTTTTAGCCTCTCTTTCTGTCAAGATTAGACATTGACCATGTTTCTACAAATGAGATGTGAGCAGAAGAGATGTGTATGTCCTTTTACAAAGGAAATTTCTTCCACATTTTCCTTTTTCTCCTATTTCACAGGCTGGAAATATGCTTTAAGCATGAATTTAAGGACAATGAAGGATAATGAAAGATATTATCTGAAGAATAATGAAGAAATAAGATATTAAAAATTTAGATGACCTTGTAAATGAGTTGTAGCTACCCACTTATATGGTTCACTTCTTTAATGTTATGAGAAATAAACTGCTTTATTCAAGGCACCGTATTTTAGGTTACAGCTGCTTAACTTATTATAGCCTGTTATTATAGAAATTGGTTCCTGCAAGTGGGGCATTGTCATAATAAAAAACAAAATACATGACATTAGTTTAGCACATTAGGGGGCAGGTAGAAAGGACCTGCAGGCTAGAAAGTGATGTCCTTTGATATGCCATTACAAAACATATGCCAACTTGGAAATATACTGCATTATTACCAAGCTGTAGCCCTAGGAGAACAGGATTTTTTTTAATGTCGTATTTTTGGTATGTTTTGGCTGCTACTTGGAACTTTCAGCAAAATGTTACAAGAGACATGAAATAAAGTTAGGCAAGAAGTGGCCCATTTGCAAATGGAAAAGAAAAGAAAGCTCTGCTAATGGAAAATCTCTCTGCCTGTGATCTGCAATTTAATAGATTAAAATTCCCCTAATTTGAGACTTCAGAGTGTAGAAAAGCTAACTGTTTCCATATCCCAATGAGCATGAACGAGCATGATATTAGATTGTCCCTCAGAGTCAGCTCAGAGGTAAAGAGCGGTAGTTTTGGGTGGTATTAAGGTCGCTTATATTAAGTTAAGGGAAGGAAAGATGAGCAGAGAAGAGAAGATAATAAAAAGGGGAGCATCTATAGACTCTATAGACATTGCTCAAAAGATTGTTTTTGCTGTGGTTACTCCACATGGAAGTGATTGGAAGCAAATAAGCAAGAATACTACTAAGGGTCTGAAAGAATTTTATTATCATAAGAACCACAAGGCTGGTATACAACGACCTTTGTTGTTAGCTCTCTAACACAATCCTCTGTCCTTCCAAGCCGAACCAAGGAGAGAACACTCACTCTTGCCACCTTCTGATGTGGACAGTGGATGAAGAAGAACCTCCCAAATATGTAAAGTCAAAGCTGCAGGGGGCAATGGACGAAGAAAATACTCACTGAGAGCAGAACAAGAGGCTGGTTAACCCAAACAACTAATACATCAGCAGGATGGAGAGTATTCACCATTTCTACCCAGGAGAATTTGAGATTTACTGTGAGCCAGAAACAGCTGGGTGCTTTTCAGTTTTTATGTTTCTGAATGGGAGTTTTTGTTGCAGTTATCCTGTCCCTACTCCACCATTATATATCAGGACAAAGGAAGATATGTAACTTGTAAGTTTGTAAGTTGATGCCAGAGCACAAGGAGCCACTTCCAGACCTGAAAGAGAAGACTATATTTCACTCCAGTCCTGGATTTTCAGCTGCAGCAGTAACTGAATAAGATTTTATGTGGGCCCCCTTGAAGAGGATTTGAGTGTATTTATGAAGAAAGATGAGGGTGCATGGACACCTGGGTTGTTAGAAGGGCAAACTGACAGACTGATACCTATCCATTGTTATTAATTATCCCCTAGTCCACTTACTAATAGAACCCCACGAGTCTTATCGGAACACAGAACTGCTCAGCTAGATGCAACATTTTGCAACCTACTCAGGTAGGTGTGGGCATGAGACTACATTAGTAGGAGTAATGGGTTAAACTTTCTAGTCTTATCGGTTAAAGAGAAAATTGCTTATATTTCATTTTCTCTGTTTCCCCATTCATGAGATTGGAACACAAATGTGCTGATGAACTCTCTTTGATCAAATAAGACTATGCTCTAGGAGATAGTTGAGCAACTCAATAAGAAACTGGATTGCTAAATGACCTCCTGGAGCAAAGGTCCCTGTTAGCCAAGAATGGATTGACTCTTACATGAGGGAGAATAAAACTATCATTTTGATGAATCCACCATCATTTTTGGAATTTTCGTGTTACAGTAACTTAGTCAATACTCTAAATGCTATAATTGAATTACAACAATATGAATTGATGACAGAAGAATATTTTTGATGTTGAGAAACACAGCCATATTAACATGCTAAATGTTTGCATCACAAGTTATTGATAATTCAGGGAATATATCGTAATATTCATATTCCTAGACTTAACTGACTTTGTAATGAATCCATATTTCTTTCATTAATTAGTCAAATAATTCACAAAATGAAAATAGCAAAATAAGAATGGTTGTATGATTCAAACACTTCAAAAATGAACACAATTCTTTTCCCTGTACTATTAATTGTAGTTGTCACCTTAGGGTCTAGCTTTGTACCTTCTCCTCAAGAGTTGAATTATTACTCATCATATCTGGCCTATATAAATGAAAAATACCCTTTATCTTTATTTCTTTGTCCTAGACTATTTAAATCATTTATTTTAACAGCAAATTTGGAAGAACAACAGTAGAGTAAGTGTTCGATAAATGTGGACAGGCACTTGTTAGCAAAATATGTTAAAATTCCTTTTTATATATTTGGAATCCCATAGCCAAATTTTCAGTTGCAAATGCTATACTACTGATATTACTCCCAAATATCATGAGGTCACAGAGAGATAAGTCCTCAACTAGACTCTCCCATACAGACTAATTTAAACAACAAAAGAGTCCAATTCTATTTATGGTAATTATCTGAGTGATGATACTCATTAATAAGGTCTCTAGCAGAATATAAACAGGAAATATGCATGGGGAACATTGGAATAATATAACTGTAGTATAATATTCAACACAATGTTAAAAAAACTGCCATTCGTTCTACTATTGATGATCAAATTACATTTCCTCTTTTCAGCTCATTAATACTGGACATGCTGTTGTTTTACTCAATAAGTAAAAAAATCAGGTTGTGAGATTGAAAATGCCATGTTAGAGAGGTATTCTGATATATTGGACAGGGCAGTGAATTCGGAGTTGGAATTCCTGACTTCCACTGAACCCTGGCTCTGCCATTAATCTTTTTATTAACTTTAGACAAGTAATTTAATACTTTTAAGCTTCAAATTCTGAATGTATAAGATTAATGGGACAGGCTAGACAATATCTAAGGTATTTTCTGGTTCTAGAGTTTTGTGATTCTACAAATTTCCCAATCCATCCTATAACATTGAAATCTCATGCAACATATATTAATTGAGCAATACACTTTGGGTTAGACATCATACTAGATCAAAGCTGAGATGAATGGCCACCATAGACATGATCCCTATCCTTCTATCCTTCTGGAACTTACTATCAAGTGGAAAGACATAGCCTATGGTAATAATTACAACACAAAACACTTAATTGTATTTGAGGAAAGTTCTACACAAAGGGTATGCAATGCTGTGGGGTACAAAATAACAAAATCTTCGTAGTCTTGAGTGCTATGGAATCATATCTGATTAACAAATTTTTAAGATGAGATCTGAAGGACAATAGCCAGACAAGGAGGAGTGGTAGCAGAAGGGATGTCCAGACAGAGGAAATAGCATGAGCAAATTCATTGTGGTGGAAGAGAACTCTTGGCCCAATTAAGTTGCTGAAAGCAAGCTAGTGTTGCTGGAACACACAGGGTGACAGAAAAAGTGGCATAAAATGACACTGGGGAGACAGACAGCGTCACTTCACTTGGAGCTTTATAATCCAATATACATTTTGCACTCCATACAAAAATATAATATATGGGACAAAATAGACATGTTTTAAGTAGGGATGCAATGTTATCAGTTTTCTTTTAAAAACATCACTCTGTCATGGATGAATAGACAGGATGTGGCAATAGAGGGTGTGGGAAAAATAGAACAAAGGCTACTGAAGTAGATAGGTGATAAGAGACAATGACTTTATCAGAGTTGTTATAGTTACAATGGAAAGAAATGGATAGATTTTTTACATATTTGGAAACTAGGGTCTACCAAAATTGTGATGAATCAAAGATGATTCCGTATTCAACTGCTAGTCTAAGTTCCATTGTGAATTATACATCAGGATATTTGTAAGTAGAATATTATTTTGTGAATTAATACAGACATCTGTTTCACTGCATCTTTAAGCAATGATCATACAAACTTTGAGCACCTCCAGTTTCGGAGGATTTATTGCATTTTAAAGAAGACAATTGGTTTTTGGACAATTCTGAATGTTAGAAAGATCTTCTTGATACTGTGCCAAAATTCCTTGACTTTAATTGTTGTTCTAATTCCCTTGTCTCACCTCCGATCCCCAAAGCAATACAGAATATGATTAGTTCTTCTTTGGTATGGCAACATTTCAAACATGTCAAGCTGGGTTTTGGTTGCCACCTTGCCTTCTAGCCCCATCTTTCTCTCTTACCAAGCGTCTTTTCTATAAGCTAAGTGTAGGAATTTCTGCTTTCTTGCCTTAATCACTCTTTGTTAGCTATTACTTACCTTTTAAGTCTCAGAGGAAGGACTATTTTCCCAGAGAACCCTAACACAGGAATATTAGGTCCCCTCATTATAAACTCTTAAATATCATTAACTTTTTCCTTTATAGCACTTTTTAAGTTAGAAATCATTAATGTCTGTCTTCCCTGCTAGACACAAAATACATTAAGAGAATTTGGTCTGCAGTGGGGAAAGACAAGCTAAGTCACTGTCTATGAGGAGATCATGTTCTAATGAGCCCGATAAGTTGTTAAATGAGTAAATAAATTAACATATAATTAGAAACAGTATAAATAATAACATTAATCGGTGCAAAAGTTATTGCAGTTTTTGCCATTAAAAGTAAGCGTAACTTTAATGAGAGTGTGAGGACCAGGAAAGGCCTTTCTAAGGACCTGATATGTAAGCTGAGACTCAGAGGAGTCTCAGATACTACTCAGAGGAGTAGTTAGTATGGGAGAGGTCTCTGAAATTTAGTATGCTGATATGGCTAGAGTGCAGTTACTGAGGGGACAACTGGAGGAAATGTGCGGCAAAGAGACTAAAAACATCTTGTGGTATTTGATGGGAGTGTAATGTGAGGAGAAAACAGGAATCTTAGAGCTGGATAATTTGCTAGTGTAAAAGAAACTTGACTGATATCAGTTCGATGAAATAAGTACATTATTTGTAATTACTATAAAATATTATGGTACCATTAATTGGACTTTTGCTTCCAGATAAAATAGTAAAGCCAGAAATATATTTAGTCTTCCTCCTAAATTAACTATAAAAACAGACAAAATATGTAAAACAATGGCTTTCAAGACATTGGACATGAAGTGATGAAGAATAGTGATCCCTGAAAAATGGAAAACAAGTAGGGTGAGGTTTATGATTGTCCCTGCTACTGTCTTGAGAGAGTTTCTATGTTGAGGCAGTATGTATATTTATGGTATTGATAAACATAGATATAAAAATAAGTATAGATAAACAAACCAATGAAACTGATTAAAGACTGCATAAATAGATCCACACACATATGGAAACTGATTTGTGACAATGTTTAATGTCAATTCAGTGGAGAAACTGTAGTCTTCCTAATAACAGTTTTGAAACATTTGGATGTCCATTTGTAGAAAGAAAGAAAGAGAGAAAGAAAGAAAGAGAGAGAGAGAAAGAAAAAAAGAAAGAGAAAGAAAGAAAAAGAAAGGAAGAAAGAAAGAAAGAAAGAGAGAGAAAGAAAGAAAGAGAAAAAAGGAAAGGAAAGGAAGAAAAAGAACGAAGGAAGAAAGGAACAAAGGAAAAAATAAAGGAAGAAAAATATTTTCATCCATATCTTACACCATGCACAAATATTAACTCAAAATGGATCATAGACCTAAATGTAAAGCCTACAACTATAAAATACCTAGAAATAAATATAGGAGAAAATTTTTGTAACCTTGAATTAGTCAAAAAATTCTAAAATATGACACCAAAATCATGATCTATAAAAGGAAAAATTGATGTTAGAGGTCATTAAAGTATATAACTTCTGTTCTTCAAAAGTTACTGTTAAGAGAATAAAAACAGAAGCCACAGACATGAATAAAATATCTGTAACTCATATGTCTGATAAGAACTTGTATCTAAAGTACATAAAAGACCTTTACGACTTAATGATAAGAAAACAAATAGTCCAATGAAAAATACAGATACCTCACCAAAGAAGATATATGGATTGCAAATAAGCATAGGCAAACATAACTAAACACCATTAGTTATTAAGAACAAGTAAATTAAAACTACAATGTGATAGCACTACATACCTATCAGAATGGCTAAGATTAAAAAGGCTTTAAATGGTGTCAGGGAAACTGGTATACTCATACAATGCAATACTATTCACCAATAAAAGGAATGAACTCTCGATACATACTACAACATGTATGAATCTCAAAGTAATTATTCTGGGTGAAAGAAATCAGACATAAAAATATGTACTGCATGATTCCATTTTTCACAAATGCCTAGGGAATAAAAACTATATTCTATATTTATAGAAAGTAGATGAAGATTTTCTGTGGCTGGGGTGGGCTGGGATAGCAACGGATGTTATAGAGGGATTACAAAAAAGATTGAGGAATCGTTTAGTAGGGATGGATACGTGCATTATCTTGATTGTGGTGATGGTTTCATGGGTGTATCCATATGTCAAAACTTACCCAATTGTACCTTTTACATAAATGCAGTTTGTGAGATGTTTTAATGTTAACTATGACTCAGTAAAGTTACGTGTGTGTATATGTCCATGTATAGATATGCTATATATAATATATAATAATACACATAATAGGTAATACATACCATATATAATAATACACAATACACATAATATACAATGCATATGTCATATAATATATAACAATGTAATACACATATACACACAGACTTACATAATATATATTGCAATATATACATATATATTGAATGAAGATTAAAACTATGTGTGTGTATATAGGTATATAAATGACTTTTTGCTAAAAGCTATTCTCAAATCTATCCCATGGGGCAATTCAGTATCCAAAACGAATGTGGTTATTCCACTTTAGAATATCTCTTGTATAACATTCTGCTTCATTATGGTTATTTTCATTGACTCTTTTACTCTTATGTTTCTGCAGTACCCAGCCTAGTAGTTTGCACATGGTAAATATTAGATAATTCAAAGTTGAGTTCAGGATAGGTAAGCTTCTAAAGGGAATTACTATTTACCACCAAGAATAGCAGTGATGGGCCTTTAAAAACGTAAGAATTTCTTAGAAAAGTCAAAGTTTCATTTAAAGGTCAAAGCATCTAAACAAATAGGAATTAAAATCCAAATAGCCAAATACTCTCTCAGCTAAACACATTCAAAAGTTATATTTGCCCTCATAGTTTATATAGAAGGAGATTTATTTTTATACGAAGCGCCCATTCATTGGTAATATATACAACCAGGAAGATCAAATAAATAAACATGCTTTTAAAAATAATATAATGCAAAAACTATTGGTATGTAAACTGACTTTCTTGTAACCCTCCAAGATACTGTTAGCTATGAGAATCTTAATATCATACTGGTTTATAGGCTACCTAATTCATACTTGCATTAGGTAGAAAAACAAACATCCTCAAAAGTGAAGTTCCCAAAGCACCGCACTCAGGATGTCTGTACTACAGGTGTGATGTCTTGTAAATGAGCGCCAGCTCTCTGACAAGTGTCACTCTTTGACTGACCTGTGGCCAGACAGCCCAGGTCACAAGTGTACTTTTGTTCAGAGCTTGCCAGTACACTTGATGGTAATTTTAATCACCAGTAACTCTGAAATATTTCTTTTCTTGAGCCTTTCTAAGATTACTCGTGTTGAGAAAATAAAGACAGTTATATCTTTAAAAACTATTTATGGTGTTTTGAACGTGCCAGCTTCTAAGCAATGAGATAGAACATAATCATGTGACAAATGACATGTCATAACTTTTCATATTTTTTGATATGTTGAGAGACTGCCCAAACAGGGACATTTTTTGGAGAGGACGGATATGAGGAAGAAGTCATGGAGAGAGGATGGGAGTAAAAAAGAAACTAACATTAACTCTGCGCCTACAATCTCCCCGGCACCAGGCCAGGCCTGTTCTCAATGCTGTGTTACGTAGTGCTCAAAACACTTTCTCAGGTAGCTATAATTAACCCCATTTTGCAGACTGAAAAACTGAGGATCTGAAAGGTGAAGCCACTTGTCAAGTTCACAAAGCAACAAAGTGACGGAGTTGTTATTTAAATCCAGGTTTGTAAAGCTGCAAAGTTTCCATTGCACACAGTTGTCCAGTCAGAAAGACTCAGCACAGAGATTTTTTTTAAAAATGGTGTTTTCCTATTATTCAGGAAACATAATTTAGTTCTCAATTCAAATCATGATGTCACTGAGAACTTTATGAACATATGACTCTTAAAATGTTTTTATTTTTTAAATAATGAATATCATAATTCTGTTCCTCAAAAAAATTGAATCAGAAACAATAAGCACAATATACCAATATACTTGTAAATAATAAATCATTCTGAGCAAACCTAATTACCATTTTTCTTCCAACAGAATTGCATGGCCAAAATATATTGGAAGTTCAAAAGAAACAATATATCTTGATTACTAATATAATAGTGTCTCTTAGACATTAACCAGCACGATTAATTGAAAATAGTCTCAATCTGGAATATGAATTGACTTCATTGGAACAAAAGGGCAATGTCATATACTGTCAGGGGTCTCTCTGTCTCCCTGTCCTGCCCAGCTCTAATTGCCATTTATAATGGTACTTGTAGGGGCAGCAATTGTCTGAAATTACAAAGAAGACAAATTCTTCAGTCCAGTGCTGCCCCTGCCTATCTCTAAGACTCAACTTACTTTAGATAGAGATAAAAGTTGGGAGCCATCAACAAGTTACACACTAGGAAAATGAGTAGTGATTGTAAGATAAATACATAAAGATTTAGGAAAGCCATCATGACCTTTAGAATGGTATTTGTTAATGAATTTAAACTAAATTTTGCCAAACATCTGATGAAAGAGTATATCAGAGAAGAAATTAATCAGCCTTGAAAGCACAGAAAAAAGAACCACAAGGGCAGAAAGTAAACCATTTAGATTTAGCAAGGTGCAATGACCTGCCTTATAACACACAACAATCAGGGGTTGGAAGGAAAACTAAAACACGATGTGTCCGTGTCCACTGATTGTAATCAACTCAAGGGCTCTGATAGCACTCTACATAAAGATGAAAAATGTCCACTCAAACTTCTCTACCTCCTCTATGCCAGGCACTGCTAGGTATTGCAAGACAAAGAAATGACCGGGTAATGATGGGTAGTAGGAATATACACAGCCTCCATTAATGGAGGTAATTTGAACCTACGGAGTGGTAAATAGATGACTTCCTGCTTTCTTCTTTGGAATCTGTGGATTCTTTCGAAAAAGTTAGATATTGGTTGTATTATAAGGCATAAAAAGGCTACTGTGCAATGCACCTGTTAGACATCTAGGCAGGAAGGAGATGGTCAGGCTTTCCAAAGTGATAGCACTTTCAAGCGTAACCTAGAAGGTACCCTGCTCATTCAGATCTTACAGAGTGACAGCCTGAGTTACTTATTAAGAAGATGAAGAAAATTCCTCATAAATCATGCAGAGCAAAGAAGCTTATATTTTCTATTTAGAGATTAAAAGATGCCCCAAGACATAGCTTCTATTTGCCTTAGCTGAGATAGGTGAACACACCCTAGGCAAAAATATGAAACTTACAAAATACTCTTCCATATTTCTGAGATCTTCTCTGGCTTAACTACGAATATGATAGAGTGAGATTACTACAGTTCCAAATCAATGGTTCTCAATATTGCTCAGATGGGACAGTAACATAAAGTCACAGAAACTCTTGCAAAAGAATGTGGAATACTGTATTTTTAATTACTAACAAATTATGTAATTTTTACAGAATCAGAAGACACTCTATACTTGAGTGTAGAATAGATAAATAATAGCAGACACCCATAGTTTAAGAAAAATTCAGAGAAAACAAAAAAGCAAGAACTTTTTATAAACTTAAAATGTTTGATAAATTTTTTTGAAATAGGATTATGTTTCCATTTTAGCAGCAACATGCTTCTGGCTTACATGGTACCTATGCATATTACTTGAGAAATATCGGTTTGGATCCAGGAATTGCTTAATTTATAAAATTACATTCTAGCATTTCAGCTGTGTCCATTCCTAAAACAAATCTACATAAGACTGCCTACCTCTGGTCTTGTAGTACATCCTCCTCAGTATCTAAGGACAGATAATGTATTTTCTCCTAATTTTAACACAATCTCTTTTCCTCCTGCTTCAAAAGTCCCAGATAAACATTTTCTGAAATATTTGTAATTGCATTATTTTTTCTAAACATAATTCTTTGTGTCGTGCTATATGTAGGTATGCTACCATTGTTTCTTTGGAGTTCTTACGAATTTTAAAAATTTATTTAATTGACAAATAATCATTATTAATATTACATTTATGGAGTACAATGTGATGTTTTGATCTATGCATACATCATTAAAAGATTCAATCAACTAATTCACATTTTCATCACCTCATGAACTCATCATTTTTTTTGGTGAGAACATTAAAAATCTATTCTTTTCGCAATTTTGGGACATACAATACATTATTATTAACTGTGGGCATTACAGCAATAGATGACTAAAACTGATTATTCCAGTCTAATTAAAATTTTATACCCTTTTGTCAACGTTTCTCTTTTTTTCATCCCTTACTCTTCCCCCTATCCTCTGGTAACCACCTTTCCACTCCCTGTTTCTATGAGATTAACATCTTTAGATTCCACATATTAATGCATAGTACTGGGGATGGTTTTACTGGTGGGGTATTACATAACTAGGGGTTATTGTTGAAGGCAATGGACCGTCTAATTGCTAACAGAAATTCCGATGACAAAAATAGAATCCTGATTACAAATATCTGTGCGTCAGAAATAGTCTATTTCCTCTTTTAAATAATATCAGATTTGGCCAACTCTTGAAGCCAAAGTGGAAGCTTCCTAAAATTGCTTCTTTGGAGTGTATTTAAGGGTTTAGAATCACTTAAATTATTTTTCAGGTTTCTTGTTTTCAGGAGCTTTCCTTTACCTGAACAAAGTAAAGTTTTCCAAAGAGAAGAGCCACTCTCCAGATTTCTCTTGGAGTCCACACATACCTCACACAATACTTGTTTACAAAAAGGCCTACGTCTTTTAAGACGAGGACAATTTACTGAAATAATAAACATATTGAAGAAACACACTTCTCACTTTGACCATCAATCTTCTCTGTTTGCAGATTACAGATGTAATTAGTAGGTGTTTATATTGCTGAATTTGGCTCTGAGCTCAATAGAAAATTTTTATTTGAATTTTTTACCTGATATGTTATCAGCTTGCCTTATATATTGCATCGTTTCCTCTTAATGAAGCCAATACATTAATCTTTTTTAACACATTTATTAAAGTGTTACTGATATTTAATGTGTACATTTTAAAGAGTTTGGACATATGCAAACGCCCATGGAACTACGAACCACAATCAAGGTAATAGACATATCCATCATTGCCAAAATTTGCTGTGTCCTTTTCCTTTTCCTTTTTTATAATAAAACACTTGATATAGGTCTACTCTCTTAATAATTGTCAAGTGTACAATACAATATTATTAACTGTAAGTGCTATGTTTTACAGCAGATCTCTGGAATATGCTTATATTGCACAACTGAAACTTTATACCATTTAACCAACTCCCCATTTCCCCTCCCTCACTCTAGACCCTGATAATTACCATTCTATTCTCTGATTCTATGAGTTTCACCTTCTTAGGTAACTCATGTAAGTAGAATCATGCTGTATTCATCCTTCTGTGACTGATTTATTTCACTAAGCATAACATACTCTAGGCTTATCCAGGTTGTCACAAATGGCAGAATTTCCTTCTTTTAGGCTGAGTAATATTACATTGTATGTATTTACCATATTTTAACTCCATTCTTCTGTCTATGGTCATTTAGGTTGTTTCCATATCTTGGCTGTTGTAAATAATGCTGCGATTAATCTTAATCTTAGGTTAAACATCACTTGACCATTAAATTCTTCCCCCACCTTTGCCATACACTTCTAAAACATCCTGTGGTTCTTGCCCACTGATTATACTTGCAGTTACTGGTCTGTATGTAGCAACACAGATAGGGAAAGAACTTCAGAGTAGGATTCTATCTTGACTTGTGCACCACTGTATGAGTAGCATCTAGCAGAGTTCTGAGAACATACTCAGTTCTGAAAATATGTTGAGGAAGTAAGCTATTTAACTGAAATCTTTGGAGGAATATTTGTGAAACTCTCTGAAACTATAATATTTTCACATTCGGCTGGGTGCAGTGGCTCACTCCTGTAATCCCAGCAATTTGGGAGGCTGAGGCGGGCAGATGACCAGAAGTCAGGAGTTCCAGACCAACCTGACCAACATGGTGAAACCTCATCCCTACTAAAAATACAAAATTAGCTGTGTGTGGTGGTGCATGCCTGTAATCCCAGCTACTCAGGAAGCTGAGGCAGGAGAACTGCTTGAACCTGGGAGGTGGAGGTTGCAGTGAGCCAAGATCCTGCCATTGTACTCCAGCCTGGGCAACAAGAATGAAACTCCGTCTAAAAAAAAAAAAATCACATTCATAGAAGGAATTCCAACAGAGCTTTGTCTTAACTCACTAGATCCTATGGAATACTTGACTTTAAATCTCACTGAAAACCAAATAACAAAAATCCAAAGCAATGAAAAAATCTCTAGCTATAGAGAATGTGCAATGATATGCAATAGAAATTAAGGTATTTATTTATAATATAATTTTTCAAACATAAGCAAAATAATCTTTGCAATACAATTGAGTCAAACAAAAAAATAGCCTCCAGAAGAAATGCAGATTAAAAACTCCTGTTTTTAATCCATCGTATTAGTTCTGTGCCTCTAGAGAACCCTGACTAATACACTCCTATTTGACATAAATATGGCATTTGAAAAAATTATATTTTATTTAATCCTCAGAACAAACCTGTGATGTATATATTTTTATCTTTATTTTTATAGAGGAGAATACAAGTTTGAGATGGATGAGTAATCTGCTGAAGATCACTGAATGAATGTGCAAGGAAACCATAACATAAATCCATGTCTCTTTCTACTACTCAATTTTTTCCTGTTACTAATATCATTTTTAAAAATAATATTTATGGGGTTACAATTTATGTTTAATAAGCTTTACCCATTTTACCACGTTATGACCCAACAAGAAAGCCTTCACCAGATGCGGCCACTTGATGTTGAACTTCCCAGCCTCTAGAACCACAAGGTAAATAAATTTCTATTCATTATAAATTACCCAGTATATGATATTCTATTAAAGCAGCACAGAACGAAATAAGACAGAGAATATTGTCATTTTAACAATATTAATTCTTTTGCTTCATGATCATGGGGTGGGTTTTCAATTATTTAAATTTTATTTAACTTTTCAAGATTCTTATGTAGTTTTAGCTCATGAATATCACACTTTTTAAATAAAATTTATTTCTAAAGTAGTTTTTTCTTTTGAATGCTGTTGTAAATGGAATTGTGTTCTTAATTTCATTTTCATATTGACATTACTAGTGTATAGAATTACAGTTAATTTTTGTAAAGTGATATTTTATTCTAAAAATTCTGAATTTATTTAACTCTAACAGTTTTTCACAGATGCCTTAGGATTTTCAATATATGTAATCAACTAATATACAAAAAAGATAGTTTTCTTCTATCTTTATAATTTGTATTTCTTTATAATTTTTATTTTATCTTCATAACTAGTTTTTCTGACTACAAACTCTAGTAAAATGTTTATTAAAATTAGCAAGAACAGATAACCTTGTCCTGATCATAGGGGAAGAGCATTGAGTACTTCTTATGATGTTAGCTCTGGGTTTTTCATAGGTGCCCTTAAGTTGAGGGTTTGTTTGTTTGTTTGTTTGTTTTATCATGAAGGGGTATTGAATTTTATAAAATGCTTTTTCTGTGTCTCCTATGATGATCATGTTTTTTGTTCTATTATGATGATGCATTACATTGATTTTTGTGTGTTAAACTAACCTTGCATTCCTTGGATGAAATGTATATGTTAATTTTGCCTATTCTTGAGTGTTGTATACATTTAATCATTTTATATGTTCTCTTTTGTTTCTGTTCTTTAGGTCAGCATAATATTTTTCAAACTCATGCATGCTCCTGCATATATCAATAGCTCATTTGTTTTTATTGCTGAGTATTATTCCATGGAATGAAAATGACATGACATCTGTTCATCCATTCACTTGTTAATAGACATTTAATTTGCTTCTAAGTTTTGGCTAGAATAAATACAATTTTTATGAATATGCATGTGCAAGCCTTTGTGTGAACAGTTATCTTCATTTATCTTGGGTAAATATCCAGGAGTGCAATTGCTAAGCCATTTGGTTCATAAAAATTTACTTCAATAAGACACTGATAAATTCTATTTCAAAGTAGTTGTACCCTTTAAAATCTTCACCAGAAGTGTATGAGAGTTCCATTTGCTCTACAACCTTGCCAATTTTTTTAGCGTGAGTTTTTTTTAGCAGTTCTAATAAGTATTTATAATGCTGAACATCTTTTTCATATGTTTATGGCTATGTCACTTATATAGCTTCTTTTGTAAAATATCTGTTCAAATTTTTCTCCTCTTTATTGCTTTGGTTAAAAAATCTTCTTATTGCAGTGTGTCTGTTTTACATTTATATATTTTGGATTCAAGTTTTTTTTTTCAAATACATGCATAACAAATTTTTTTCACATTCTGTGTCTTGTTTTTTCATTTTCCTAATGATGTCTTTTTAAAAGAGTGTAATGTTTGTAAATCCCAATTAATTAATATATTTAATAGTTATGTTTCTCTGTTCTATTTAAGAAATATTTGCCTATACCAGGATTGTAAAAATCTTTTTTATTCTAGAAATTCTATAATTTTAGCATATATACTTAGGTCTATGATTCATGTCAAATCTATTTTTATGTATGGCATGGGACGATTAATAGATATTCATTTTCTTCCAGATAGAATCCTGTTGTTCTAGCAATATTTGCTTAAAAGTAATTTGTTGAAAATCAGTTGACCATATACATGTGCGGCTATTCCTAGGCTTTTTATTCTGTTGCAAAAAAATTACCTGAAAATGTCCCAAATTTCTTGAAAAACATTTATTGCATTAACTACATCTTCTTCCACCTCCATTCCACTGTTAAGTTCATCCAATAAATTTGTTGTTACACCTAACAATTTGCATTGGCTTTTTGTTTGTTCTCCTTTAATTTCTACAGTGATATTTCTTATGTATTATATATTCACTTTTTATTTGGCATCTCTAATGTTCTTTATTAATTTCTTTAGATCTGAGTTGCCATATGATGTCATTTCTCTTCATCCTTAAAAAAAAATCAGAATCTTTCAGCAATACATTTCCACTCACTTCCCTGTTAGTACTGTGCTATCACATGTATTGCATCTACATACATTATAAACCTCAAAATACAATGTTACAGTTTTGGTTTTAAACAGTCCTATATCTTTTAAGAGAAATTCAAAGAGGTAAGAAATTTAGTAAAATTGAATATAGATCAATAGAAATTAGAGACTCGATATGCTTCACAAGCCCTAATCAAATGAACACAAAGAAAAACACTGTCAAGGTATACTATCATCAGACTAACTATGGTTTCCTGATTCTAGATTCCTCTCTAAATTTCAGCTGCTCTGACAATCTCAGGCTTTTTTTTAAATCTCAAGATAAGATGCCTTCAGCTTTCTGAACTCCATACTGCTGAGGAATTCACTCAGTTAAAAAGTAGCAAACTCATATCTTACCTGGTTCAGCACTATTTTTCAAGTGTAGGCTCCTATCTGATCTCTGACTGCATTTCTTACTAGGATCCTTGAGGGTCTTATCTGCATGTAAAGTCTGGCTGTCAAAGTGGTATTTGTGCAGGGTTTATAGTCATATTTTGGGTCTTACTCCTGAAATTCTTTCAATGCCGGATTTTTCCCCTTTGAACTTCCAGCTGTTATTTCAGTCATAAACACAATTCTTTGGTACTTTGAGCCAGTAAGTCTAGGGGTGTCTGCTGTTCTTGCCTGATAGCATCGTGGGTATTTGGGGAGTTCTTTCTGCCAGAAAGCCTTAAACATGCAATGCTTGCCCTTTCAGCTACAGTTTTTCGAAAACAAACTCAATGGCAGTGATGGCTGCAGTTTCCTCCTCTCTTCCTCCTCCTCCTCCTCCTCCTGCTCTTCTCCTCATTCTTCTTGTTTTCTAAGATGTTGAATAATTATTTTTAATATTCGGTTCAATGCGTAATTGAAATATGCAAAGGGCTTAAATGACCACTCTCCACCATTACCAGAAATACTCTCACTTATGTCACTTTGATGTTATTCAAGTCATAACTGTATTATATCTAAGAGTATATGTCAGACATATTTAAAAATGTGTTTCTAACAAGGACCTTTTTCTAAAAACTTTTTATTTCATTGGCCAGGATTATTAAAAGTAATGTAAAATGTCCTGCTATATTTCTTAAGGTCTGGATTATCGAGTTTTTAAGTTCATCAAGTTTTTAAGTTATTTGGTTGACCGCTCATCAATATATTGATATCTGGTTAAACATTACTTGACCAAGCAATCCTTCCTTTACTTTTTCTATGTGCTTCAAAAGCACCCTGTACCCTTTGTTAATGCTTATTTCCTTTATTATTTATTTATTTATTCATTTTTAGAGACAGGGTCTTGCTGTGTCATCCAGGCTGGAGTACAGAGGCACAGAGGCATGATCATAGCTCACTTCAGTCTTGAATTATTGGGCTCAAGTGATTCTCCCATCTGTTTTCTGAGTAGCTAGGTATATGACACCACAACTGGCTAATTTTTTTTTTTTCAATTTTAAAAACATTTTTGTAGAAACAAAGTTTCACTATGTTACCCATGCTGGTCTCAAACTCATGGCCTCAAGCAATCCTCCCACCTCAGCCTGCCAAAATGCTGGGTGATTTCTTTAATATATACTTTTCTCATGAGGAAATAAACACCATTAAATAAGGATTATGTTGATCTTGTGTACCACTGTAAGGCCAGCACCCAGTGTGTAGCCTGGAAAACAACAAGTACTTAATAAATGTTTACTGAATAAATAAAGTGAAATCTATGGAGGAATATTTGTAAAATTCTATATTAACTAGACTTAATTAACTTAAAAACTCTATATCTAGCCTTAATAAAGCAATTTCAAAAAAGCATTGTTAGTATAGACACTTTTACATTAAATCTCTTCGGAAAACAAACACACAAACTAAATCCCAAAATAATGAAGATTAAATAAATTGGCTAAACAGAGCTAGGGTTTTTCAACTTTGAAAAACATTGACATAAAAGTTGAAACACACTTAAGAATTTGTAGTTAGTAACAAGTAAAGAATAGAAATAAAAAGAAAAATTAAACCTATTTTTGGAAGAGACAAGCATTCAATCCAAACAAACTGCTTGTACTTTAACAGGAACAGACCTTAATTCATACCAACCAAAATTTGGAAAAGGTTTATGGACAGCTATAAAAAATGACCACAGGAATTCAATTATCAAAGTTCTTACAATGACTGCAGAAAGTCTTGGGGGGGGGACAAAGATGCTACTTGCTTATAAAAAAAAACAATAAAATCAAGAAAAACATGATCAGAATTAGTATCTATTCAGACTAAAATAATATGATTATTTAGGGATTCTATCGTAGTAATTCCTATTTTTAAAAATGATCTGCAATAGTCATCTGCATGTTCTTTGCAAGAGCATGTCAGGAGCATTTGGTCTGGGTGAACTCTATTCCTTTGACATTCTGGTAACTAAAACCTGAATCCACAGCACGTCCTCCTCCCTTAAGGAAAAATATGTGAAAAATCACTGCTCTACACTTTTGCCAAATTGGATAATCCAATACTGATAGAAAAGTTGTATGGTATAATAAAAGAATAATGGAAAGGAAATAAGGTTGGTCCTTAATGAACCATGTGACGTGGAGTAATTCACCAGACCTCTGATCCACAGTGCTCTAAGGACGACACCTAAAATATACTCTATTTTTAAAAATTTCTTAATTTCTAATTTAATAATTTTCCATTTAAAGATCTATCTGTGATTATGATAAAAAAATCACTGAAAAGATGAGCAATAGAGTTAATGTAAAAAATTAGATGGTAAAGAATATTTTGTAGTCCTTACATAGGACTGCATTACATTGCATTTATTCATAAGTCAAAAAGTACTTACTCAGTGTTCATTATGTTCTTAGATACTGTGTTAGGTTGTTGGTATCAAATAATAAACACCACCTGTAAAGTCTTCAATTACATTATAAAGAAATAAGGAAGATGAGTCAACAGAAAAATTCTAAACCATGTGAGAAGTGCTATGTTTGAAGCAAATGAAAAGTAATCTGAGAGCATAAAAGAAAGTCACTTCACATGGTTTTCAGGGAGTTAGGGAAAGTTGTTCATGTAGAAAATATCTTGTATTTTTAAATTTTAATTTATTTATTTTTGACTCCATTTACTGAGTGCTTCCTATGAATATGAAATTGTGCTGTATACTGTAGAGAAATTTTCAGATGTAACCAAACAACCCTAGGTTTTAAGGTGATTATAGTTTTGAACAGAAGATAAAATGCAGGTAAATGAGGTACTGAATAAAAAGTTTAAAAACATATAAGAAGTAATGTATTGATGTATCTAAAATTATTTTGTAAGATCTATGAGAATTTTTATCATCTTAAAAGAGGTGAACATTTTTTCCAACAAAATAAATTAAGGGTATCTGTAAGGAGACTATCAGTATATAAGTTGGTATTCATCGGGTAAGAAGAAGCAGTTCAGAAAGAAGAGATCAATGAAGCCAAAGTTTCAAGAGCTAGGGAGCAGCCAATAAAGTCGTTAAAATCCTGCAGTGAAGAACGGAACTATCTTAGCTAACATATATAAGCAGTACAAGAGTGTGTATTTCAAATATATAACATTTATATTCAGAGTCTCACCAATATCAGGTCTGTCTGATTCTCTTTACATTTCTTGACTTTCATTATCTCTGCCCTCTGTGAATGTTGACCTAACTCTTTTCTGCTACAGGCAGAACCAAGGCAACATCTTTAAACCTTAACAACACAGATAAGAAAGCATCATTCTCTCTCTCTCTTTCTCTCATAATATTTATATATTGGATATAATAAAGTACCCTACCATTTCTATGTTCATTACTTGGACCAATTACTATGAAGTGTAAAATGAGGTAGGCTGCTTGACTAGGAATGAGTTTGTACCATTATGATCAGGGAGCAAACAGTGCTTGATAGTCCCATTAGAACTGAAAAGGGTTGGGGAAGGCGTAGCTCCCCAATATGGAAGAGGGATATTGGGTACACAATGAGACATGCGCTACAGTTATTGCCCTGAAGAGGCTAAAAAAAAGGTAAAATGTCTTATTTCCTCCTCTGCTATATGTAAAGATGTATAATGTCATGTCATTTTTACGGAATTTATAAGAAATATACTAATGATTCCCACTAATTTCCAGATTCCATAATGTTTCTTTGCACAACCTTGCCAAAACAAAATATTAGGAATTATACTTCAAAGCATATATCCCTCACTCTATCAGCAAACACAAACACACATTCAAGGAGCAAAAGAATAGTTTGAATTCTCTAAATAAAATGTAGTATGAAGATGTTTAAAAAAGCTAAGAAATAAAAAGTTATTAGAACTTTTGAATGTGGATCTTTAAAAATGCTTGAAATTCAAAATAATAAGAGCCATTTATGACAAACCAACAACCAACACCCCACACTGAATGGGCAAAAACTGGAAGCATTCCCCTGGAGAACTGAAACAATACAAGGATTCCCACTCTTACTACTGCTGTTCAACATAGGACGGAAGTGCTAGCTAGAGCAATCAGGCAAGAGAACGAAATAAAATCATCCAAATAGGAAAAGGAACAAACTATCTCTCTTCACTGATGATATGATTCTATCCCTAGAAAACTCTAAAGGCTATGCCAAAAGGCTCCTGGAACTGATAAATGGCTTTAGTAAAGTTTCAGGATACAAAATCAATGTACAAAAATCAGTGGCATTTCTATTCACCAATAACATTCAAGCTGACAGCCAAATCAAGAACACAATTCCATTTGCAATAGCCACACACATAAAATACCTAGGAATACGTCTAAGTAAGGAAGTGAAAGATCACTACAAAAAGAACTATGAAACATTACTAAAAGAAATAATAGATGACACAAACAAATGGAAAAACATTTCATGCCCATAGATTGCAAAAATCAGTATTGTTAGAATGGCCATATTGTCCAACAGTTTCAATGCTATTCACATCAAACTCTTAATATTGTTTTTCACAGAATTAGAAAAATCTACTCTTAAATTCATATGAAACAAAAAATGACCCTGAATAGCCAAAGCAATACTAAGCAAAAAGAACAAAGCCAAAGGCATCACAATATCCAACTTCAAACTACGGTGTAAGGCTGCAATAACCAAAATGGCATAGTACCAGTAGAAAAACAGACACATAAACCACTGGACCGGAATAGAGAACACTAAAATAAAGCCACCCACCTATAGCCATTTGATCTTAGACAAAGTCAACAAAAATAAGCAACAGGGAAAGGGCTCCATATTCAATAAATGGTGCTGGAATAACTGGTTAGTCATATGCAGAAGAATGAAACCGGGTCCCCACATTTTACCACATACAAAATTAATTCAAGATGGACTAAAGATTTAAATAATGACTTCAAACTATAAGAATCCTAGAAGAAAACCTAGGAAACACCATTCAGGACATCAGCCTTGGAAAAAAAAAATATGATTAAGTCCTCAAAAGCAATTGCTACAAAAACAAAAATTGTCCAGTGCCACCTAATTAAACAAAAGAGTTTCTGCAAAGCGAAAGAAACAACTGATAGAGTAAACAGACAACCTACAGAATGGGAGAAGATAATCACAAACTATGCATCCAACAAAAGTCTAATATCCAGGATCTATAAGGTACTTAAACAACTGAACAAGCAAAAAACAAATAACCCCATTAAAAAACAGGCAAAAAATATGAACAGGCACTTCTCAAAAGAAGACATATAAGTAGCCAACAAACGAAAAATGCTCAACATCACTGATCATTGGAGAAATGCAAATCAAAACCACAATGAGATACCACCTCACACCAGTCAAAATGGTTACTGTTAGAAAGAAAAAACAGCAGATGCTGGCAAGGCTGTCAAGAAAAGGGAAAGCTTATACACTGCTGGAGGGAATGTCAATTTGTTCAGCCACTCTGGAAAGCAGTTTGGAGATTTCACAAAGAACTTAGGACAGAACTACCATTTGACCCAGCAATCTCTTTGCTAGGTATATATCCAAAAGAAAACAAATTGTTCTACCAAAAAGAAACATGCACTTGCAGGTTCACTGCAGCACTGTTTATAATAGCAAAGACATGGAATCAATGTAGGTAGATTTGGTAGAGAAAATGTGACACAGATACACCATCAAATACTATGCAGCCATAAAAAGAAATTATGTCCCTTGTAGCAACAAGAATGCAGCTGGAGGCCATTATCTTAAGCAAATTAACAGGAACAGAAAACCAAATACCACATGTTCTTACTTATAGATGGGAGCTAAACATTAGGTACTCATGAACATAAATGGTAGCAGTAGAAACTGGGGTTTACTGGGAGTGCCAAGGTTTGAAAAACCAACTATTGAATACTACACATAGTAACTGGGTTTATGGGATCATTTGTACCCCAAAACTCAACATCATACAATACACCCTGATAACATACCTGCACATATATCCCCTGAATCCAAAATAAAAGTTTAAAATAAAATAAAATAATTTGAGAAATATTTGAGGTTGATTCAGATGATTTTATAAGGTTATTCATAAAATAAAAGTAAACTTAATTGTTTTCAATATAAAAATTGTATCTACCAAGGAAAGTAGAATTAGTCCTTAGGAGTTTATCTACATTTTATTGCAGAGTACTTCCCAGGCAACCACAGTTATTCAGAAGGCAAAAGGGAAACAAAGCCCTTTAATAAATCAAACTAAGTATTCCTAGGACTCACGGTAGAGAGGTCTCATTCGGTGTTTCACCATCACTTACAACAAACTTAACTCACTTAGCTATACAAACTCCCAGGATAACTGATTAGACCCAATAAGTGGGAAAGTACAGAACGCTTTTTTTTTCTTTTCTTTTTTTTCTTTTTTGAGACAGTCTTGCTCTGTCGCCAGGCTGAAATGCAGTGGCGCGATTTTGGATCACTGTAACCCCCACCTCCGGGTTCAAGTGATTCTCCTGCCTCAGCCTCCCGATTAGCTGGGACTACAGGCACGTGTCACCAAACCTGGCTAATTTTTGTATTTTTAGTAGACACAGGATTTCACCATGTTGGCCAGGATGATCTTGATCTCTTGACCTCGTAATCCTCCCGCCTCAGCCTCCCAAAATGCTGGGATTACAGGCGTGAGCTATGGTGCCTGGCTGGAAAGCACAGAACTCTTAATAGCAGGTATACTGATAACTTCAAGGAAGGGCAAAAGTAAGCTCAGCAATGAGAGAATAAAAATAAATGAGAATATATAAACGTAAAGTAGTCTGAGGGTGAAAGGCTGGTACAGAAACAGATGGATTAAAAGCTGCCATCTAAATGACCATATTTTACTGTGTAGAAGATACATAACCAGGCTTTGTTATTTAACTGTTCATTATTTGGACCTACTCTGTTTTTCTTCTCTGTAGAAATTGAATTAAAAGAGATTCTTATCACACATTCCAATCCTAGGTATTTAATGGAGAGAAAATGAAAACATGTCCACACTAAAAAATTACACATGACTGTTCATGGTGGCTTTCTTCTCAGTAGCCTCAAATTAGAAGCAATTCAATACTCCATCAATGAGTGAAGAGATAAACAAAACATGCTATACTCATGCAAGGAAACCTATTCATCATTTAAAAGGAACTAACTACTAGTACATTCAGCAGCATGGATGAATAATCTCAAAATCATTATATGGATAAAAGAAAGTAGACACACAAACATATGTATAGCATGATTTTATTTACATAAAAATTTAAAAATACAAGCTAATCCATAGCGATTTAAAAATAAAACAAAACAAAACAGATCAGCAGCTCCCTGGGGCCAGAGGAGAATGAACTGCACTGAGGTCATGGAAACTTTTGGAAATGGGAAAGATGGTGGGATGCAAATGTTCTGTATTTGTTAGCTGTGGTGGTTTATGGATATACAAATCTGTCAAAATCTTTCTAATGCACACTTTAAGTAGATGCTGTTTATTCTCCATAAGTTCTACCCTCAAGAAAGTCCATTATAAAACAAGTTGTTTCTGAAAATGTATTAACCTTAAATACAATATAGAGCACTGTTTAATGCCTGCTTACTACAAATGTCAAGTAGGTTTAAGTTAGCATCCTTTCTGGAATAGTTTTGGAAATGATTCTTTTAATTTAAGGCCTATCAAAGGAAAACTATGTAATTAGTTAAAATAATGTAAGGAAAAAGGAACTAACAAGTACTGAGTACCTTCTAGGTATAATACTTTGGTTATATCATTAATTTCAATATGACAGTTGTAAATTAATCCACATTGTAAGTGAGAAACATCAAGGCTCAGAAAGTTTACCTAATTTTCTCTGGCTTTCAAACCATATCAGACCATTGATTCATACTCCTATGTAAGATTTGAATTATCATATTGAGGTTCACATAAAGTAAAATTCACCCACTTTAAGGGCACATTCCAAGAAGAGTTAATAAATTTATTCACTAATGCAACCACCATTACAAGGAAGATACAGAACATTTTCTTTTTTAAAAAAAAAGTATTATTTTTTAATTGACAGATATAATTATGTGTATTCATTGCATGTACATGTTTTGATATATAAATACATCGTGAAATGGTTTAATCTGACTAATTACCAAATGCATTACCTCACATTAACATTTTTGTGGTGAGAACACCACACAACATTTCCCTGTGCTATTTCCAATTAATTGTTCCCACCCTGGTCCTAGTCAGTAACTAGTTTGTTTTCTTTGATTATAAAATAGTTTCCATTTTCTGCATTTTTATGAGTAGAATCATATTTTATGTGTATAGCTTCTTTCATTCAGCTTAATGATTTCAAGATTAATACAAACTGTTATGCAGATTAAAATTTCTGCTTTTTAATTGTTGAGTAGTTATCCATTATATGAATATAATGCATGATTAAAATTTCAATCACCTAGGGAGTGATATTTAGATTCATCCCACTTTCCAGTTTGGAATTATTACAAATAAAGCTGTTATGAACATTTGTATACAAATCTCTAAGTGAACATCTCTTTTTATTCTTTTCTTTAAATTCCTAGGTGTGGAATAGCTGCCTAGATGTGGAATAGCTTGATCATATTGTAGATGTATGTTTAACGTTATAAGAAACTGCCAAAGAGTTTTCTAAAGTGGTTGTACCATTTTAAATTTCAGGAGTAGTGAATAAGAGTTCCAGTTGTTCTATCTTCTAGTCAATATTTGGTATTATTATTTTTTTAATTTGGCCATTCTAATGGATATGTAATGTACCTCATTTGTAATGTGTAATGCAATGTATCTCATTTGCATTTCACTGAAGTTGAGCACTTTTTCTGTGCTCATTGGCCATTGGTTTATTTTCTTTTATAATGTTTCTTAAAATGTTTTGCTCATTTTTGTTTTGGGTTGTTTCTCTTCTTATTGTGTTATAACTGTTCTTTATGTATTGTGGATAAAGGTTATTTGACAGATATATATGTTTTATAAATCTTTTCTCCCATTTTGTAACTTGTCTTTTTATTTTCTTAATGATGTCCATTGTAGAGCCAAAGTTTTAATTGTTTTAAAAGTTAAATTTATCCGTTATGGAGGATTATAATCTTTGTGTGCTAGATGAGCAATATTTACCACCTGAAGGTTTCAAGAATTTGTCTTACATTTTCTTCTATAAATTCTATGTTTAGATTTTATATTCATGTCTATAATCTATTCCAATTTAATATTTTCTGTATTGTATGAGGTCAAGATTGATGTTCATCTTTTTCCCATATCAATATTCAGTTTTATATAAATATTTGTTGAAAAGATTCTCTTTCTCCATTCAGTTACATTTATACCTTTTTCCAAAATTAACCATATATACGTGAGTCTATTTCAGATGCCACCTATTCTTCCCATGAATCTTTATGTCAATAACACATTGTCATAACTAATACAGCCTTATAGTAGGTCTTGAAAGCAGCTTGTATAAGTTCTGCAGCTTTGCTTTTCTTTTTAAAATTTTTTTGACTAATGTGGGTCATTTGAACATTCATATACATTTTAGAATCTGTCAATTAATTAAAAACATACTGCATTTAAACTTTTAAAATTTTATATGTACATAATAGTTGTACACATTTATGGGGTACATCTGATATATTTTGATGCAAGCATTTAATGAGTAATGATCAAACCTGGATAACTGGGATAAACATCACCACAAGCATTGCTACTTCCTAATACTGAACATGTTTCCCTGAACTTTGATCTCCTTCTTTATAAAACAGAGATGAAAATATCAATTTTCAAGTCTTATATAAGGAATATCTACGATATGGTTAGGCTTTCTGTTCCCACCCAAATATCATCTTGAATTGTAATCATCATAATCCTCATAATCCCCACGTGTTGAGGGAGAGAGCAGCTGGAGGTAATTGAATCATAGAATCAGTGTCCCTTATGCTGTTCTCATGATAGTGGGTGAGTTCTCATGAGAGCTGACGGTTTTTTAAGGGGCTCTTCCCTGGCACTTCTCTTTCCTGCTGCCTTGTAAAGAAGTGCCTTGCTTCCCATTTGCCTTCCACCATGATTGTAAGTTTCCTGAGGCCTCCCGAGCCATGCTGAACTGTGAGTCAATTAAACCTTTTTCCTCTATAAATTACCCAGTCCCAGGCAGTTCTTTATAGAAGTAAATTGGGACTGGAGAGAGTGGGGTGTTGCTATAAAGATGCCCAAAAATGTGGAAGTGACTTTGGAAGTGTGTAACAGGCAGAGGTTGGAACAGAAGACAGAAAGATGTGGGAAAGTTTGCAACTTCCTAGAGACTTGTTGAATGGCTTTGACCAAAATGCTGATAGTAATATGACAATGATGTCCAGACTGAGGTGATCTCAGATGGAGATGAGGAACTTTTTGGGAATTGGAATAAAGGTGACTCTTACTATGCTTTAACAAAGAGACTGGTGAAATTTTGCCCCTACGCTAGAAATATGTGGAACTTAGAACTTGAGAGAGATGATTTAGGGTATCTGGTGGAAGAAACTTCTAAGCAGCAAAACATTCAAGAGATGATTTGGGTGCTCTTACAAGCATTCAGTTTTATGCATTCACATAAAGATAGTTTGGAACTGAAACTTATTTTTAAAAGGGAGGCAGAGCATAAAAGTTCAGAAAATTTGCCACCTAGCAATGCAATAGAAAAGAAAATCCCATTTTCTGAGGAGAAATTCAAGCCTGCTGCAGAAATGTGCATAAGTAATGAAGAGTCAAATGCTAATCAGCAAGACAACAGAAATAATGTCTCCAGGGCATGTCAAGGGTCTTTATAGCAGCCCCCACATCACAGACCCAGAGGCCTAGGAGGGAAAACTGGTTTTGTGGGCTGGGCACAGGGCCTTGCTTCTTTGTTCAGTCTTGGGAATTGATGCCCTGTGTCCCAGATATGGCTAAAAGGGGCCAACATATAGCTCAGGCTGTTGCTTCAGAGACTGAAAGCCCCAAGCCTTGGCAGCTTACATTTGGTTTTGGGCCTGAGGGTGCACAGAAGTCAAGAATTGATGTTTGGGAACCTGTGCCTAGATTTCAGAGGATGTATGGAAGTGCCTAGATGTCTAGGCAGAAATTTGCTGCAGGGATGGAGCCCTCATGAAGAACCTCTGCTAGGGCAGTGTGGAAGGGAAAGGGAGGGTAAGAGCACCCACACAGAGTCCACACTGGGACACTGCCTAGTGGAGCTCTGAGAAGAGGACCATCATCCTCCATAACCCAGAATGGTAGATCCACCAACAGCTTGCACTGTCCACCTGGAAAAGCTGCAGGCACTCAATGGCAGCCTGTGAAAGCATCTGGGAGAGGGGCTGTACCCTGCAAAGCCACAGGGATGAAGCTGCCCAAGACCATGGGAACTCACCTCTTGCATCAGTGTGAACTGGATGTGAGACATGGAGTCAAAGGACATCATTTCAGAGCTTTAAGATTTTAATGCCCCACTGGATTTCGGACTTCCATGGGGCCTGTAGCCACTTCGTTTTGGCCAATTTCTTCCATTTGGAACGGGGGTATTTACCCAATGCCTGTACACCCCTTGTATCTAGGAAGTAACTACCTTGCTTTTTATTTTACAGGCTCCTAGGTGAAAGCAGCTTGCCATGTCTCAGGCAGGACTTTGGACTTGGACTTTTAGGTTACTTCTGGAATGAATTAAGACTTTGAGGGACTACTGGGAAGGCATGATTGGTTCTGAAATGTGAAATGAACATGAGATTTAGGAGGGGCCAGGAGCAGAATAATATGGTTCAGATTTGTGTCCCCACCCAAATCTCATCTTGAATTGTAATTCTCACAATCCCCATGTTTCAAAGGAGAGACTAGGTGGAGGTAATTGAATCATGGGGATGATTTCTCCCATGCTGTTCTCATAATAGTAAGTGAGTTCTTATGAGATCTGATGGTTTTATAAGGGACACTTCCCCTCTTTACTCAGCACTTCTTCTTGCTGCCTTGTGAAGAAGGTACCTCGCTTCCTCCTTGCCTTCTGCCATGATTGTAAATTTCCTGAGGCCTCACCAGCCATGCCGAACTGTGAGTCAATTAAATTTTTTCCTTTATAAATTACTCAGTCTTGAGCAGTTCTTTATAGCAGGATGAAATTGGACTAATATAATCTATCTATCTGCCAGCCAATATATCTACCTATTGACTGACTGACAAATCAATCAATTTATCTATCTATCTTTATCACTATAACTTGAATTATGCTGGATACTATTATTATGTGATAGGACAAAATATTAAGCAACAATTCTCACAAGTCCCTTCTCCCTCCTTTTCTATGAAGAGTGGTATCCAATAAAGACAACTTCTGTTTTGTGAACAGGTAGAAGATAAGAATACAAACAGAAGAAATCAAATCCCCAGAAAGTGTAGAAAGAGAAAGAATTAAAAAAAAAGACGAGGAAGAAATGTGTGTGGCTGTCATAAATTTGACTTTTGAGGGGTAGTAATGAATAGATAACTGGGATTGATAGAAAATTCTGTGTCTGATGTTGCATCTAATCCCTCTCTCAGTGTCCTCAAGACAACCTCAGTAAACATTTACATTCCTTTTCAGGGGTTTTTGCAGGTATATTTGTGTTTATTTTTAATATGACTTTGTAATAAGACTAGCTTTAAGGAAGAAAAAAGGAAATATAAATGTGTTCAATTTATAATCGTAATCTAGTTAACTAAAACCAAACTGGATGTTGGAGTAAGCAAAGAAAGGAATGCATTGAGAAACTCAGTGAAGTAGCCTGATTACACAGACCTTCACTGTACCATATAAGCAATAATACTGGAAGATATTTAAGTAGTTAAATACCTGGGAACAGATCCTAGACAGCCCTAAAGCCAAGGTTACTTGTTAAAAAGACATACATATGATGTTTGGATAGTTTACTTGATTTTTACTCCAGGTATATCCTGAGATGTTTATAAACTAAAGATTCTTGAAGAAGCTAGCAAAAGAACAGAAGACGAAATATCAACCAACAATCACTTTTAAAACAAGATAAACTGTGGCCAAAGGAGATACACAAATTCTTAAGTTCTGTCTCCAGACAGTTTAATGCTTTCATTCTTCAGTGACACACTGGAAAGCTTTCACTGGTAAATATATTCAAGACAGGAAAATAAATCAGAGCTGTTTATCAAACTGGACACAATGTACAAAGATTGGACATAATGAAGAAATTATGTGGGTAATAGTCATAGGATAATGGCTCCCATTTCACTCAATTTTGAAGTTATTGCTTTACACATAGATAAAACAATTAGAAGAAACAAAAACACAAGAAAAGAACTGTAATGGCAAATATCAGTTTTTAGCACTCACTGTGTCCTAGCTACCTTACATATTTTATTGTTAAACATCACAGTAGTTATTAAAAGTAAAAATTATACTACAATATTACAAATAAAAAACAGATCTGCGTTTATGTTAAATTGAGCTTAAATGATCTGTGCAAGGTTAAACAATATCCAAATCCAGATTTTCTTGGCTCCAAATCCCATGTTCTTTCCAGCTGTAGGCTGTAAGTACTGTCAACATACTAGATGTCTTCAGAGTATCTATCTAACTCACAGGGCTCCCATAATTTCCTTTCCCTCACTCTCTCCATAATACCACATTCTTAGTTGATCTTCACTTGTTCTAGATGTCTATTCTTTTTTTTTTTTTTTTGAGATGGAGTCTCAATCTATCACCTAGGCTGGAGTGCAATGGCATGATCTTGGCTCACTGCAACCTCCACCTCCTGGATTCAAGTGATTCTCCTGCCTCAGCCTCCCGAGTAGCTGGAATTACAGGCATGTGCCACCACATCTGTCTACTTTTTTTTTTTTTTTTGTATTTTTAGTAGACATGGGGTTGCACTATGTTGGTCAGGCTGGTCTTGAACTCCTGACCTCAGGTTGCCTGCCTAAACCTCCACCCACCTCGGCCTCCCAAAGTGTTGAGATTACAGGTGTGAGCCACCTCACCTGGATTAGTTGTCTATTTTTTAGGATATGATTCACTTCATTACCTGAAGTACACCATTTCTCTCCTTCCTGGCCAGAGTTAATTGATCTAGGGGTAGGTTCCTGATACAAGCTGAGCTAATTGGAGTCTTTTCTCTTGGTATTTAAAATTAATGAGAAATAAATAAAAGTAAGGGAAATACATGTGGCTCTGTAGACAGGGGAGCAGAGGAAGCTAAACCGTAGAGAAAATAAGAAACGTAGGTACAGAGAAGAGTGAAGGTGAAGAGAGATTTCCTCCTGAGTTATTGATTATTTCTATTCCCAGAATATAATTCCAATCCTTCCAGTGACCCAGCTGCAATCTTCTCATTGGACTCTGTGACGCTCCCTTGTTACATTATAATTTGCTGTCCTGTTTTGCTTAAGTTAGCTCCAGCTGGCTTTCTTTACTTGCAATCTAAGAGTTCTAACACCAAATATGCCAGGATTTATTTTCATCAAGAGGATAAATGCACAAAATTTCTCCAATCTCAAAGATCAAGTTGACCCCAGAGGCTTATGTTTTTTCTTATAAAGATCAACATAGCTCTGGGTAGGTCTCTAACCCTGCATTTCTTTCTATGAGGCCCCCTGAGGCCATTGAACTCTCACCAACACATTCAACTTCACCCACAACCTGAAGACTGAACCTCTTTCTAAGCAACAGTGATTTTAAGACACCTAGATTACCAGCTCAAATTAGTCAACATTAAGACACACAGAAGCTTTAGGTCAACAGTCCTGAATTTGAATACCAAATGCTAGCTGCCTGAGTGAACTTGGTAGTCACTTAGTTTCACTAAGTGACATTGATATGGTTTGGCTTTGTGTACCCAGCCAAATCTCATCTCAAATTGTAATTCCCAAATGTCAAGGGAGGGTCCTGGTGAGAGTGACTGGGTCATGGGGGCAGTTTTCCCCATGCTGTTCTCATGACAGTGAGTGAGTTCTCAAGAGATCTGATGGTTTAAAAGTTTATGGCAGTTCCCCGCTCACTCTCTCTACTGTCATCAAGCAAGACATGCCTTGCTTCCTCTTCACCTTCTGCAAAAACATCTCCAAAGCATTTCAGAGATATTCACAGCAGCCCCTCCCATCACAGGCCCAGAGGCCGAGGAGGGAAAAACAGTTTTCTGGGCCAGACCCAGGGCCCTGCTGTTTTGTGCAGCCTGGGGACAGGATGCCCTGTGGCCCAGGCACTCCAGCTCCAACCATGGCTAAAAGGGGCCAAGGTACAGCTCAGGCCATTGCTTCAGAGAGTGCAAGCCCCAAGCCTTGGCAGCTTCCGTGTGGTGTGGGGCCTGTGGGTGTGCAAAGATAAAAGAGTTGGGCTTCGGGAGTTTCCACCTAGATTTCAGAGGATACATGGAAATGCCTGGATGTCCAGGCCATATGGAGAACCTCTGCTAGGACAATGCAGAGTGGAAATGTGGGGTTTGAGCTCCCACACAAAAGTCCCCACTGGGGCACTGCCTAGTGGAGCTGTGAAAAGAGGGCCACTGTCCTCCATACACCAGAATGATAGATTTACTGACAGTTTACACTGTGCACCTGGAAAAACTGCAGGCACTCAACACCAGCCTGTGAAAGTAGCTATGGAAGCTCTACCCTACAGAGCCACAGAGGCAGAGCTACCCAAGGCCTTGGGAGCCCACCCCTTGCAGCAGCATGCCCTGGATGTGAGACATGGAGTCAAAGGAGACTATTTTGGAGCTTTAAGATTTAACGACTGCCCTGTTGGGTTTTGGAATTTCTGTAGTCCCTTTGTTTTGGCCAATTCTCCCATTTGGAATGGGAGCACTTATTCAAGGCCTGTACCTCCATTTTATCTAGGAAGTAACTAACTTGCTTTTGATTTTACAGGTTCATAGGCAGAAGGGACTTCCCTTGTCTCAGATGAGACTTTGGACTTGGACTTTTGGGTTAACGCTGGAATGAGTTAAGACTTCAGGGCACTGTAGGGAAGACACAATTGTGTTTTAAAATTTCAGAAGGACATGAGATTTGGGAGGGGCCAGGGGCAGAATGATATGATTTTGTTCTGTGTCCCTACCCAAATCTCATCTTGAATAGTAATCCCCACATGTTGACGGATGGACCTGGTGGGCTACAATAGGATCATGGAAGTGGTCTCTTCCATGACGTTCTCATGATACTGAGTTCTCATGCGATCTGATGGTTTAAAAGTGTGTGGCATTTCCCTGCTCACTCTTCCTCTCTCCTGTCATCATGTAAGATGCATCTTGCTTCCCCTTCAACTTCTGCCATGATTTCAAGTTTCCTGAGGCCTCCCCAGACATGCGGATCAGTGAGTCAATTAAACCTCTTTCCTTTATGAATTACCGAGTCTCAGGTACTTCTTCATAGCAATGTGAAAATGAACTAATACAGACAATTTTAAAAAACAGAGATAATACTATGTGTCTCAAATTATGAATGTATGTATTGGAATCAAACTATATAAAGTGTCTAGCACAGTGTGTGACATATAGTAGGCACTTATATGAGGTATATTTTATTTGCTACAATTTTGGCCTTGTTTTCCTATTGTTAACAAGTGACATGCTCATGCACTTGAATTTCCTAAATTGGTGTTTTATATATTCTTCCTTTATATCAGTCTTCCTTCCATTTTTGTTCCTGCCTCAAACATTTTTGACTACCTCTAACACAAACTAAAGATATAGTTGCTGCCTTTAGAAGTTCACAGTCTAGTGGGAGAAATCTCACAGCAATACAACAGCACAAGCCAGATGTAATAATAGAGGACAGTTTAGGGTTACATGACATAAGGTCATCTAACTTGGACTGCAGGTTCAGAAGAAATTACTTGTGCCATAGTTCCCTGTGTTGCTGCTTGAAAAAAAGCTGCTCTAGAGGGCTGCTAAATTTGCTTCACATGCATTTTGAGTGAGAACTAAAATTCTTTTCTGTTAAGCCTTTAAGATTTGTGAGTTCTTTGTTATAGATAACAGCTAAAGTAATTATGTCAAATAACTTAGATCCCAAGAACTAGAGCCCCATCTCTGAACAAAAGACCCCAGGCTACGGCTATCTGCAGTAGACTCAGGAACATTTTCCTGCACAGACCTCTGCCTATTGTTTTCTGTAAAGACTGTTGATTCTACACAGCTTGTCCTGAATTTTTTCTTCTGCATCTATCCCAGGTTGTCTCTGCTCACCACTACCCACATCCTTCCCCTGAAACAGACGACTATGGTGATGATGCTTTGAAGTAGAGCATTGTCTTAAGCTTGTCTCAGGCTTGTCTCAAGCCTCTGTCTTGTCTAATACATAAATATGTTGAAAGGTCAAATAGAACAAAGTTCCTATTACAAAAGGATAGCTTTAATTCCTTTCCCACTTACTCCAAGTCTCAAATTTCTGTTTTAATCCTTCTCCTTATTCTCCATTGGGGCATCAGTCATGCTCACTCTCAGTGGCACCGTTCTGTGATTAGACAAGGCAGGAAGATGCCTAGACATTCTGAAGAATGGCTTTTGTTGTGCGGATAAGCACAGACTTTGTGTTCCTGCCTTTGTGCTTCCTGATACTTTGAGATTGGCCTTGACAGGTCACACCTGAAGTTTATGAGCTGGCCTCAGGTAATGTCAGAAACAAGAGATTTATCCAGATGTTGTATGCCAAGGATAAACCCTGAATATCCTTGTAGACATTTCTGAGTCACAATATTTTTTCTCTCTACCTGGTTGGCATGATCTATAGGCTTGACCCTTGTCTTTACTCCACATCTTCTCTCTCCACCTCTCCTCCTCTTCAATATACATTACCTGCTCACCACATATCATAACTAACATGATTCATTCTCATAATAGTTGAATTTCCCACAGAATCGTGTTTTGTCCCATATCACATCCCACTGGGCAAGGTTCAGGTTCTTCTGTACAGCTCTTGCCAGGGCCTTATCCCGGGGACTGAGTCCACTTCTCTAAGTGAGTGAGAGTGCTGTCAGCAAAGAAAATCAGCTTAGAATGGTCTCAGAGTTCTGCCAGATTCTCCTCTATCAGATGTCCTTACCCAGTAGACTGGACTGCCCTGGAGTCTTGCCTGAAACCATACCTGACCTTGATGAACTACTGGGATGTGATGCTTTGGCAAGCTTGGCTGTCGTACTGGATTCTCATTTCAGTCTTTTGGTTTTACTGTTCATATCCACAATAGTTTGCACATAGGGCTGTTTACATTGTGACTGCTTGTGTCTAGTAGTGGATAACTATCGATTCTGAGGAAGAATTCTCTAAAAGCCTGAACTTTTTTCCCGCAATTTTAAAGCCTTGAATTTGAAGCTTAATTTCATAAAACTGAAAAGCAACTTAAAATAGAGCTTTATTCATTACAAGAGGTTAATCTGTCTCCGCAATCTGAGAATTTTTAAATTTTTTGTTCTTGTTACATTTTTTTCTTATCAGAGTAATACAAACACATTACAAGGAAAAAAAGGAAGAATATAAAAGAACCATTAAATCTCAGTCCCCTAAGATAAAAAAAAGTTAGCATTTTTCTACTGTCCTCCAGTCACTTTTTATGAATATGTGTTACAGACATATTTGTGATTACACTTAATATTCTTCTTAAATATAATTTTAACTAATCATCCAACCCCATTTGGTGTTTAGTTATTTGACTATGCTCTTTAACTGACTTTCACTCTAACGTTTCAGTCAAGAGACACGTAAACGTGTTCCCTATGGGACTCTCACTGATTTTTCAGTGGCATCCAAGGCCAAATAACTGTCCAAGAAACAGCATTAATTTACACACTAAAGGAATTTTCTACCTCCCTCAAAAAATAATCCAAAGAACGCCAGATGTTGTAGCAAAACTCTGCATCATGTAATTTATTTTGATCAGCCTCTCCTCCTTTCTGCTTTTTGCTTTCCCTCTTCTGTCTCTCTCTCCTTTCCTTTCTCTACTCTTTTTCTCTGTCTTCCTCTGTGTCTCTCATCTTCCAGACATAGGCACTGTGCTCTGGGATACAGAGTTTAAAAAAAAAGGACTGTATACAAACTTTTAACTAAAGAGTGTAGCATATATACAGATTCCAAATTAATAATTATAAACTTTTTGAAATTAGATAACAAATATAAAAATTAATTATAGCCACACTGTCATAATATATTACAGATTAATTATTCTCCTAAAACCTAATTTAAAAAGCAATTGAAAATAAAGCAGTCTATTTATTTCAGCCATGGAGAAAGGTAAATTTCCAAAGATAGAAGCACTGAGTAAAAAGGAAATCCCACGGTCTCTGCTTTAGTTCAGTCCTGCACTTTTTCTTACCCGGAAAACTTTACTAACCGCTGCCTTCAATATGCTCCCGGGGTTTTCTTTCTGATCATGTTAGTTTTTTTATTTAATTACCTTTGGTAGATCCCTGTCACCTATTCAGTAAAGCTCAGGGTTCTCAGCAATCTTTCTTGATCTGGTCCTTTTCTTTTTTTTTTTTTTTTTTTTTTTTTTGAGACGGAGTCTCGCTCTGTTGCTCAGGCTGGTGTGCAGTGGCGCGATCTCGGCTCACTGCAAGCTCCGCCTCCCGGGTTCACGCCATTCTCCTGCCTCAGTCTTCCGAGTAGCTGGGACTATAGGCGCCCGCCACCATGCCCGGGTAATTTCTTGTATTTTTAGCAGAGATGGGGTTTCACCATGTTAGCCAGGATGGTCTCGATCTCCTGACTTCGTGATCCGCCCGCCTCAGTCTCCCAAAGTGCTGGGATTACAGGCGTGAGCCACCTTGCCCAGCGATCTGGTCCTTTTCTACCTCTGCAGTTCCATATGATCCTTCTGCTTCCTTTTCCAAGTTCTACTTTAGTTATCTAAAGTGTTGTAGAGCCGCTGCAAGAATTAAATTGATTTATATGTTCTTATACTTCAAATAGTGCTGGTTCATCAGGAGTGACTCAATAAATATTACTGTAAATATTATTAACACTACTTCCATTGCCAGTAGCACTATTATTACTACTTCTTCTTTTGCTGTGGCTACTCCTTTTTCTCCTCCTCCTCATTATTATGATTATGGCTATGGTTATGGTTATGATTATGAACAGCTAGATACTATGTCTGGCGTAAGGTGAACATTACCATTCCCACTTTTTACTCAAGAAAATAAGATTTGGAGAGGTTAAGTCAATTGCCCAATGTATGAAGCCAAAATTCAAGTCCACACTGATTCAAAACTTCCACTCTTTCTTCCATACCAGAATCATTTCCAATGAGAAGTGTGTGTTGTGTGAATATTCATTTCAAAAACAACTACATAGTTATTGGAGAACTTCAGGTTGTACATCTGAACTACACAAATGGGATTATGCCCACTTCTGAAAGTAACAATCTAAAAGTAAGCTGCACTGGTGTGAAATTTTTGACTGAAATCCAAAAAGCAAGGCATATCCAGAGCCAAGGAGAGCAGCTTGGCTCTTCATATTTTGAGTTTTTGCCATTGTTTAAAAATATAAAGACAGAATGTAACATGTTGGAAGTAAAATGTCAGCCAACGTCCTTAGTCAAAACTAGGAATTGCTTTATTTTTATAATGTTCTAAAATGATGTTAAGCAAACATTATGACCTACTGAGTATATTATTTGATTTTTTCATATTGGTCATTAAAATATATAATAAGGTGTTTTAATTTAAAAAGCATATTTATATCTTTTTATAATCTCTCTCAATAGTTATACATATCTACAGTTTTATGTATAGTTATATATACATATTATATAATATGTATAGTTATACATAAGTATCTCTCATATAGTTATTATACAGTGCTTGTAAACACCCTTTTATATATGGTATATAAAAATTGTACTAAAAACAGACATATTTCATTTGTTCTGCTCAAGTTTATCATAAGATAGTTAAATTTCAAAATGCAAGTATTAAGAAAAAGCAAAGCATAGACACTCAGGGCCCCCCCGAGGCTAAACTGCTTATTTTTAGATCTAGTAATGTCACTTATCTAATGTTTACCTGTACTATCGAATTGAAAAAAAATCGATCACATATTAACTCTTCCATTTGAAGGCCAGTTCTCAATCCTGGAGTTGACTTTGTACAACACTATGATGTTCTCTGCTAGACTCACACTTTGTCCAGATTTTTAACACTAATTCCAGGCAAGCAAGCACATACGACATAAAAGATGGCTGTAGCATGTCTGTTTTTCATCTCCAGCTCTAACTCAAATCTCTACTCCGTCTTCCTTTTGAGTTTTCCTACACCAACCACCTACTTTGATAACCTCTCTTTTACTTTCCTCATCCAATCTTAAACCAGAATATGGTTGGAACAACTAGTGCTTTTTTGCCCTATTTCTCCAGTCCCTGGCTCTCTGCTGTTTTTCATTTTGTTCTATTTTTCTGGTGTCTTGTTTTGTTTTAACAAGTTAACATGTCTCTTAGCATGGACTGGAATCTGTCTTCATGCTGAAAACCATCAACATGGGGAAATGCACCCAACTGCAGTTCCATTCATCTATGTGCCAAACAACTTCCAAAACCTGGCTGCATTTGTTTGCTCTTCACAGCCTACATGTAGTTGTTTATTTCAATATTTTGTATAGAATTTAAAACTTTCATCTATAAGCAGGTTAATCTGATAAGAGCTATTGTTCGTGTCCTGAATAGAAATCTCCACAATATGGTTTTAATTTTCACTTTTTAAAAATCAAATTTCTGACAATCTTCTTTAAAATTTAAAATTGAATTACCTTAATAATTATTTATTTGAAGCATCTGGTAACACTGATATAAAATTGTTTTTGAAATTCTGCTTCTGATAATGGAGGCAACATGTTAACAGCTAGACCTTCACTTTTCATACATGCCCAGCAAAACTTGGAATTGAAATAGAATTAAATGAATTTGGAACACTTATTTGATCTAAATAGAAAAGGATGCTTCACAGAATGATATGGAAATGACCTTTCTACATCTTCTGTTTGGGGTTTCATTATGTATTACTAAGTAATAAATTTCTCCAAAACTCAGTGCTTAGTGGCTTAAAACACCCCACTATTTTTTTTTTTTATTTCACAATTTCCTAGATCATAAGTTAAGAATAAAGTGTAGCAGGGAGAGCTTATCTCTGCTCCATGATATATGGGGGCCAGATGTTATGGACTCAATGTTTGTGTCCCCCTCAATTTCATATACTGACACCCTAACTCCCAATGTGATGGTGTTATGAGGTTGGACCTCTGGGAGAAATTAGAGTTAGATGATGTCATGCTGGGGATGAGGTCAACCTGATGACACAAGTGCTCTATAAGAGGCCAGAGAGCTTGCACTCTCTCTTTTCCCCAACTCCCAACCCCAACACTTGAAAATACAGCAAGAAGACTGCCTTCTGCAGGCCAAGAAGAGAGCTCTCACCAGAAACTAAAGCGCCTGACACATTGATCTTGGACTTCCCAGCAGTCACAAATAAAAAAAATAATAAATTTTTGGGCAGGATGCGGTGGCTCACGCCTGTAATCCCAGCACTTTGGGAGGCCAAGACGGGCAGATCATGAGGTCAGGAGATCGAGACGATCCTGGCTAACACGATGAAAACCCATCCCTACTAAAAAATACAAAATTATCCAGGCGTGGTGGCATGCACCTGTAGTCCCAGCTACTTGGGAGGCTGAGGCAGGAAAATCGCCTGAACCCAGGAGTAGGAGGTTGCAGTGAGCTGAGATTACACCACTGCACTCCAGCTTGGGCAACAGAGCAAGACTCTGTCTCAAAAAAAAAATTAATATAATAAATAAATAAACTGTTGTTGTTTAAGCCACCAAGTTTATGGGATTTTTGTTATGGCAGACCAAACTGACTGACAGACATTTCTCTTTTCCCATTGGCTCTGTGTCCCTTTCTCTCTCCTTTTTTGCCTTCCCCTCTCTCTCTTTCCCTTCTTCCTCACCCACCCTCTTTCTCTTTCTTTCTCTAACTTTCTTAGAGAATGAGTGCCTTAAGTTTCATGTTTTACAAGGTGACTCAGGGCTCCAAGAGTCTTTTAAGAGACAGGAAATAGAGGCTGATAGACTCCTAAGTCCTGATACCAGAACTGGCATAGTAGTATTCTGGAGTATTCTTTTGGTCAAAACAGCCATAGATCCCACCCAGGACAAGGGGAGCAGTCATGTACCCAATCTCCCCATTGGAAGAGCGTCAAAGAATTTTCAGCCATTTTAATTCACCTTAATCTACCCTCTGGTCATAAATTACTTACATCTTCTCCTGCAGAATATACCCTCTCCCTCCCAAGTCTCCCCAGATTCTCAACTAATTATGGAAGCAGACTCAGGCTTGAGTTTCAAGATCTCATCGTTTAAATCTAGCCTAAGAACAGATTAGGCACCTCAATTGTCATTCTTCTCACTGTGAAAATTTGTGAACTAAAGGAACGTAATACCCGTGTCCTCATACATGCAACATAAAATGCCAAGACAATCATGGGAAATCCACAGTAAATGCTCCTATTCAAAAAAGAGAAAAAGAAGCCATATAGAAATACTTAGTCCAGAACAATTCTGAAACCTAGCTAGTACATGTTATCAGTTCTTTTATTAGGCTATGGTTTTGTTCCCTGGGAATGATTCTTCATGTCTCTTAGCTTTGCCAGCTGGGTACTTCTTTCATCCTCCGAGTCATTCTTCCATTTCTATAAGAAATTGCCTGTACTTACAGCTAAGTAGTTTTTCAGCATGTTTATTGCTCATATATTAGGTGTTCAAAAGCCATTTTTTTTTCATTTTGAACTCTTGCTGCCCCTTTTTGTGCCATGATCCTAATTTCTTTAAAAATTTTGAAAGCTTCGGCCGGGCACAGTGGCTCACGCCTGTAATCCCAGTACTTTGGGAGACCGAGATGGGTGGACCACGAGGTCAGGAGATCCAGACCATCCTGGCTAACACGGTGAAATCCCGTCTCTACTAAAAATACAAAAAAATTAGCCGGGCATGGTGGCGGGCACCTGTAGTCCCAGCTACTCGGGAGGCTGAGGCAGGAGAATGGTGTGAACGCGGGAGGCGCAGCTTGCAGTGAGCCGAGATCGCGACACTGCACTCCAGCCTGGGCGACAGAGCAAGACTCCGTCTAAAAAAAAAAAAAAAAAAAAAAAAAAAAAAAAAAAAAAAAAAAAAATTGAAAGCTTGGCCCACCAAGACCATGTTTCTTTCTAAGATAGATCCCTCTCTACCTGAGGTCCTTTCTGAGGAGTTCTATTGTTTAACAAACAGAATCCAAAAGGTAAACTCTTAAGACACTAATAACAGCCTTTTACTTGAAGAGTCAACAAAGTACTTTACATTTTTCTGAGGACTTACCAAGGTGTTTTATAGTTGTTTACTCCATCTTTACCCCGAGGCAGTGTTTTACTTAGAGAAACTTTTGTTGACTGGAAACTCTGCCTTAGGCCCTCAAAATCCTCTTAAATTCTCTTTGAAAACTAATAGTTTATTCTTCTGTAGTTCATTTCTCCATATTATATTTTATTATAGAAAGTTAGAAGAAGCAGTTAAAACTTTTAAAATTCTGCCTGGAATTGTCTATAGCTAGATCCTTGACTTAGTGGGTACATTTCCTATTTTCTACCTTATCTCAGACAACAGTGCTGTCGAAATTTCCACCACTCCCTAAGAAGAGTTTTTTTCCCCAGCCTCCAATAATATTTTTCTCACTTTCCTTCAAGTTTTACCAACTACTTCCTCAAAGTCCTTTCAGTCTCTTCCAACAACCAGGTCTCAATGCCAACATATGTTTTAGATTTTAATTATAGCAGCAATACACTACCAGGTATTAGATTCTTTTTAAGTTAACAAATAACTTTTAAACCATATACTGATTTTTTTTTCAGAAGATATGTATCTTCTGGTTTTCAGCATAGTTGATGCTGAATGCAGACAAATATTTTATTAGTTATAAGTGATATACTCATCATTAGCTTTATTCAGAAATGAACATTTAATATCAAATTTTTATTAAATGTACAGAAAATGCACTTTAAAAAATTTCTTGAGAAGTTTTCACTATAAAATAAAAGCATGTTTCTAAACCAGAAAAAGAATAAGTAAACGTCATTTGATAAAAGACAAAAATCTCTGTAGCAAGAGTCTTCAAATTATACTATTCATTTATTTCTTTATTATTAAGATAAGTTCTCACTATGTCACCCAGGCTAGAATGCAGTAGTGCAATCAAGACTCACTGCAGCCTCAAGCAATCCTCCCACCTCAGCCTCCCAAGTAGCAGGGAGTAGAGGTGCACACCACCATACCCAGCTAATTTTTGTAGTTTTTTTTTTGTAGATACAGAGTCTCACCATGTTTTCCAGGCTGGTCTCTAACTCCTGGATGCATGCAATCCTCCTGCCTCAGCCTCCCAGAGGGCTGGGATTACAGGCATGAGCCACCACACTTGGGCCAAACTACTGTTTAACACCTCATGGTTGCTCTTCATCTACTAAAAGAAGGGTAAATATTTCTCTTTTTACTGAAAACACAATGTTTTTGTAATACATTGAGTTTGTGCACAACTGAAGATTGATTCTGCTTCCTAATTATTGTCTAAGAATGATTCAAAATAATTATAAAACGAAAATATTATATCTATTATATGTCTTCTAATATTTGTCTGGCTTTTAGCCAACAGTTCTATATAACTGGTCAATCATTCAGATACCTCAGGGCACTCTGCTCAACTAATTTACTATAACCTACTTAGAATTTACCCTGTTTAAAGTTAGAAGTTATGTGATTTTTTTTAGGCTTTATTAATTAAGGCTATGGCAAACCTTGTTGATTGTGAGCCAATATGCATTCTTCTTAGTTGCAAAGTAATAAAATATTAAGCCAGGCAGATTCTGTCCGGAATACAAATCCTGTTCCCCAGCATGCCCTAAAGCTGGATGTGGCCATGAGAATAAGAACTAGTCCATGTTTCATAGGGCAGCTTTTAGTGGTGTTCTTTGTTCTCTCCCTTTTTATCCCTTTCTTCACTGCCTGGAACAAGGACATCATCACCTTGCTCCATGCAATGAGCATCGCATCCTGGGGGCAGGAACTCAGGTTTCTAATTAAAGTGTTGAGGCAAAATAAAAGCATTTTCAATTTAAGACTGAAAATTTTTTCTTCTCTCATACTCCTGAGAAAAATAGCAAGAGACGCACTCCAACAAAATAGGAAAAATAATTCAAGGAAGATAGGGGATTTAAGAATGCTAACAGCTAACTTTGTGGTAGGGAAGTATATTGAAATTCTGTTGGAGGAGCAGACCTTCACTGAAGTAGGAGCTCTACAGAAATGCCCTTATGTAGAAAATTAAAGCTCTTTAGAAATGCCATCATGTAGAAAATAGATTCCATAATTTCAACACTATAAATAAGATAGGAAAGCTATGTGATAGGATGAAAGCAATGTACATTATTTGGGTGACGGCTACACTAAAAACCTAGACATCACCGCTACACAATATACCCATGTAACAAAACTTCACTTGTACTGCCTAAATCTATATAAAAAAATTTTTAAAGAAAAAATAAATAAGCAAATTAGTGAATCTGCTTGTCAAGAATTGACAAGATGGAAGAAAGACATTTTATGTGATCAATCTTGACAGTTAGAAGTTGTTGTTCAAATGGAAAGGATTTGGTGATATAGAATCACATATATGTTACAATTTCCCCTATTGTTCTACATATTAATTGGTTCCTCAATAAACAACATGTTGATTATATTTATCAGTTTTTCATTTACAGATTTAACATGGCTACGAATTAGAGAAGACTGGATTTTAGCTACAGAAAAATGTAAGTATTCTCTACCCTCAAAACAAAAAAGCAATATATATTCCTGACAATTTTAAAGGAGGGTGTGAGGAGGAAAAGTGATAGAATGATAAATATGCAAATATCTTCATTTTACATAATAGGGAGTCGAGGACGCTGTCTAAAATTGATGCAACAAAAAATTTAGTATATTATAAATTTATATAAGAAGTATAGTTCTAATAGAATCATCAAAACCAGCAAAAGTATGAGGATGACAGATAGTGTAAGTCAACTAACATTAACTCCTCAATTGTCATTGTGGAAAGTAAATAGATATTGTCTGAATTTGATAGATCATTGTGGAAAGTAAATAGATATTGTCTGAATTTGATAGATCAAGAAATAGAATTATACACATTTTATTAATAGTCGAGGTGACCACTGAAAGAAATAAAATTAGATATGCTTATAAGTATATTGCTGGGGAGTAAAAGTGGGGAAGAAAAGAAAAGGGGAACCTGTTCCTTTTCATTTATGTAATCCTGTGCTCTTTTTTGTAACTATATAAATATATTATTCTGAAAAAATAGAAGTAATAGAAGCCATTTTTCTAATACTGTAGACTCATAATATTAAACCCTGTGTTGGTAAAATTTCAGGCTCAGGCATGGGCAATGATTTGGTCTGATTTATCTCAATACATTTCAACCAATATTTGTTAAGTTTCTACTCTGCTAAGCCTATTCCATTCTTCTTGAAATCTCTGCTTAAATGTTTTTTTCCTCCAAGAGGCTATTTCTAGCTTTTTAGTTTAGGTTATATTTTCCTAATCTCTGTTCCCATTTTACGTGTTTATTTATTGCCTGCATTCCCTCCTAGACTTTAAGCTCTGTAAAGGTAGGTACCACCACTTTTATTTAGTTTTATCCTGCTCCACAATAGAATTAAATCATCTTCTGAAGTGCAGCATCAAATAAAGGCAGAACTGAACACTGGCGAGTGACTCAGAGATTCAGAGTGCTTTAGCAAAAGAAGGTGAAAGTCATGAAGTAAAAGAGGCATTTAAAAGTGGTATAGGCAGCATTGTATCTTAACATACTGACAATAATAACATAGTCTAGATGGACATCTTTTAAGGATTCCTGCACTGAAGCAATGTATACTGAATACCTAAGAAGTTTTAGAAAAGATGAATCTTAGAGTCTTTCTTCATCTTTACAACACGGTTAGTTACGTGTAACTTTTCCAATTTTGTAGTAAGGTCATGCTGGGCTGAGAGTGGCTCAGTAATTTGCTGTATGTCATACAGCAAAAAAAATTTACAGTCTTATTTTCAATTCACATGTACCTTATTTCAAAGCCACATTGCCCTTAAACTTTTAAAACTCATATTATTTTATAACACCCTAAAATTTGCCCTTAAAGAAAATATATATCCTATGACCCGACCCAATTACTGAATGTACCAAACAACAAACAAACAAACAAAAAACTCGGTAGCAGCCATAACCAAGTCCAGATGCTCAGTCTCCTTTGAGTAACAGGATACTTATTTAGCAAAGTCTCATGAACTTTTATATTTAGATTAGCTAGTAATTTGTGCTCTTGCTGTTGTGGTCTGTAAGTTGAATAGAAGGAAACCAAAATAGCTTTCATTTTTTGTCCCATTTCTGTCTGTACTTACCATGACAGTTACTGCAGAACAAGTGCTGTTCCAAATGATTTTTCAGCAAAAGGTCATCTTATCAGATGCTAGGCATTTAGTTCTGTGTATGTTTTTCTGCTTTGACTACGATTGTGAAAATGAGGCTGTTTCTGTCCAGTAGAAACCTTTGAAAGACTGTGTTATGAGTCTAAACTTGACAATCTACCTGTTAAAACAGTAAAAATGACTTTTCTGGTTTTTAATTTAGAAACCTTTTTCTCGGCCATGACTCCTAAATAAAAATCCTTCGAAATAACATTTCTAACCTCTGCAGATTATAAAAATAATATATGATCATTGTAAAAAACTTACAATACACAAAAAATATAAGTAAATTTTCAGTGGTTTTACAAATACACCTTTAGTAAGTTTTTAATAACCTTCAATGTAAGTATTAATAATGTCACAATAGAGAAATTTACAGATGACAATACATCACCAGAATTACATTTAGATACCTCAAATGTAAATATGGTTGAGGCATTGTAGCCCCTGAACTGAAAATAGTTGGATAAATACTCAAATTTGGATAGCAGAAGTACTGCTTAAAAAAAAAAAAAAAAAGCTCTCACCATCATTATTTTCTCTCTTTCCTGCAGCATTATTCCATTGTCATGATGAAAAAGCAGAGTGTCAGATTTAACCAATGTCATATACCTACTACTGAAAAAGAGACTTGACGACAGTCCTCTGACTTCGGAGTTTGACCCCACATTCCTTAGTCTGTACAGCACCTGTCTGATATGGAAAATGAGTCTGCCTGCATTGTATGACTTATGGCACACCCATCAGCCCCTGTACGCCTATTACTTCATTTTTGGTCTTCCTGTGGTAAATATTAGAGTTAGTCCATTGAGTTGAAAAATATTTAAAAATTTCTCTGCATTTTAAGCATTGTGGCTGTTAAAAGTAACATTAGTTATTAACCTACTGAAAATTTCTTTTCAACTAGTTCTTTATTTCATTTCAACCACTGTTCCCACTGTCACTGCCTTAGTTCAGGCTCTCAAAATTACTCTTCTGCATAATTATAATAGCAATCATTTATTCACTTAATAACTATTTATAACTACTATATTCCAGGCACTGTGTTTGGTGATAGTAATTAAAAAAAGACATGTTTCCAGTTCTTAAATTATATTGATAAGCTTATGAAATTTCAGCCTCTTAGAGGAGGAATCCTAAGTGGGATCTAAGCCTCCATTCTTACCCTGCCTATATCCTTCATGCTGCTGGATCATCTTTCTTTTGTGTTTAAAAGCTGTCTTTGACTTCCCATTTAAGCTTGTTGCAGGATAAGAGCTGGGACTCAGGAGAGAGATAGAGGCTTGGCTCTTACCACTTATTAGCTATGTGATCTGAATCCATTTATATAAACTTTTCAGTTTCTTATGGTTTCTGTCTTAGTCTGTTTTGCATTGCTATAACATAATACCACGCACTGGGTAGTTTATAAAGAAAAAAATAATTTCTCACAGTTCTGGAGGCTGGAAAATCCAATGTCTAGACGCTGGCACCTGGTGAGGGTCTTCTTGCTGCAACATCTCATGGCAGAAGGCAGAAAGGCAACAAAGCATGCACATGAGAGAGGAAAGAGGCGGAAGTAATTTTTTTGTAAGGAACCCACTCCTGTGCCAACTAACCCACTCCCATGATAACAGCATTCACCCAATTACAAGGGCAGAGACCTCATGAACTAATCACCTATTCAAGGTCTCACCTCTCAACATAGTTGCATAATGAATTGTTTCCAACACACAAACTTTGGAGGAAACGTTCAAACCATAGCAGTTTCTAAGCTCATTTGTCATTTTAATAAGTATTTTCTTCTTGTAGACTTGGTGTGGGGATTAAATTAAATAATGTATATAAAGCACATAACAAAGTGTCTGAAAAACAGTAAGTGTGCAATGAATGTTCAACATTATTGTCATTTAATGAACTTGTCCTTCTCTCTGCAGCCTTTCCTCTCATCCTTTCCCCAAATGACCCCTACTACTGACTATACCAAATTACTTGTAGAATTAACATACAGAGTCCCTCATGCCCTATATATTGCCATAGAATCACATGGGGGGGGACAATTGATACCATTAATTTAGTTAATTGAATCAGTTACTTGATAAACAACAGTAAGCAAAGATTAATGAGGTACAGTAAATTTTCGGACATGGCAAGATGCTCTTTGTCAGCATCTAAAACTAGAATATACTCATGGAATAATAATTTCTCCTTCTTGAAGCTTGAGTAGGAAAGAGCATATTTCAGAAGACAATAAACTGGTGAGATATAATTAATTTTAAATATTCTAGGACCTTGCTCTTCAAAGTGTAGTCCCTGAAACTACAATATCTACTTCTCATAGAGGCTTATTAGAAATCACAATTTCATGTCTCACCCTAAATCTACTGAATTTAATCTGCATTTTAACATGATATTCAAGTGATTAATACAACATTAAAGATTGAGAAGAAATACTGTCTGGGACAGTGGTTGCCAAACTTGGCCACACAGTAGAATCAATTGAGCAGCTCATAAACACAACACACACGATTTTCAGGATCCAAACTCAGAGGCTCTACTTTAATTGAGAAGAGTTTAAGGATAGGTATTGTTTAAAGCTTTTCAGGTAATTCTAAAGTATAGCTGTGGTTGAGAATCAGCGCTGGGAACGTATAGCTATATCATGCAGCAATAGAACCCCAGTATTTCCCTAGAGCACTTTATGCATAGACCCAATAATTTATGGACCCTCTCACCACATTCTATCCCCACATGACAGGAGTTATGAACAAAGAGACATGGCCACTCTTCTGCAGAGCAACAGTAACTAAAAAGAAAAAAGAAAAACCTTGGAAATTTAATTAAAATTGATAATTTTAGGAGATACTAGATGAGATGGAGGAAGACTAAATATGTATAAATTTTGTAGGAAAAAAGTGACTGATCTAGAGAAAATGAAAACATACAGTGCAATGGACTGAACGTTTGTGTCTTCTTAAAATTCATATGTGGAAGCCCTACTCCCAGTGCGATGGCATTTAGGAGGAGGTGTCTTTGGAAAGTAATTAGGTAATAAGAGTTGAGCCCTCATTAATGGAATTAGTGTCTTTATAGGAAAAGACCAGAATGCTAACTAGCTCTGCTTCGACCACATGAGGATACATGAGAAGTTGGTCATCTGCAAACTGAATGAGAACCCTCACCAGAAGCCAGCAATGCTGGCAGCCTGATGGGACTGCCACTTCCAGAACTGTGAGAAATAAATTTCTATCATTTACAACACACTAAGTCAATGATACTTTGTTGTAGTAATCTAGACTGACTGAGACATGTGGACATTTGATAGCAAAAAAAGATCTAAAGACTGCAGGGTATGGAGAAGGGATCAGAAACTTGGAGAATGAGGAAGGTGTACTGGGACCCTCAAAATGAGGCCTAGACAGTGAGGCCTTTCCTCTAATGGGGTAAAAAGAAGTGAGATATTTGACTTCCTGTCTATCTATTTGTCTCAATTCTCCTTGCTTTCACCTGCCATGCCACCCAGCAGATACTTGGAGATAATTATTTGAATATCTTAAGAACCTTCACCAAAATCTGGTATTTTATAAAAAGATAGGTGAAATGGTATCTGCACTAGAGAATAGTATTTCTTTCTTTGCACCACAGACTGGAAGCCGCTGCTGTGTTTGCTATCTGGAGACACCAGCAGGAGAAACCATAAAGCTTATCTCCAGACTCACCCCATCCCACTGGAAATTCAACCAAAGTTTCATTCCCTATCAAACAGGGAAAAAAGTCTCATAAAGGTTTCATGTGTTCCATGTAAGCACCATATATAACAAATCTCAAACCTTTTCTTAAATTGGAGAATGTTTCAAAAGCAATAAAACTTTAATTAACTATTTTATCTCCTTCCAGGGAGCAAACCAAAAGGCCCAGAACTGCTTTTCATTATTTATTGTAATTCTTGTGTGGAAATCATCTTGCATATTTCTTTCTTTCACTAGATTTTTTAGATTATTTACTATCATTTAGCATTATAAAAAATGTCACTGTGTGTTATTACTAATAGTTGCAGACTAAATTCACGTTTAATTTTCTATAAGCTAATTATTCTTAAAACCAACCTTTTCTCAGATTTTATCCCCCTTGTTCTCTACTATATTTAACAGCATTAATCAGCCCATCCTTGAAGCTCTCCTCCCTTGATTTTTGTGACACGTCTTGTTTCCTTCAAATGTGTTAGTATCACATAAAACACTTTTTATGTATTATAGAGTGCTGCTTTTTCAAACTTGTTTAAAGACAATCCATAACAATAAGTACATTTTAATTTTTTTATTATACTTTATGTTCTGGGATACATGTGCAGGGCATGCAGGTTTGTTACATAGGTATACATGTGCCATGGTGGTTTGCTGCACCCATCAACCCGTCATCTACAGTAGGTATTTCTCTTAATACTATCCCTCCCCTTTTCCCACATCCCCAAACAGGCCCCAGTGTGTGATGTTCCCCTCCCTGTGTCTATGTGTTCTCACTATTCAACTCCTACTTATGAGTCAGAACATGCAGTGTTTGGTTTTCTGTTCCTGGGTTAGTTTGCAGAGACTGATGGTTTCCAGCTTCATCCATGCCCCTGCAAAAGACATGAACTCATGAACTCATTCTTTTTTACGGCTGCATAGTATTCCATGGTGTATATGTGCCACATTTTCTTTATCCAGTCTATCATTGATGGGCATTTGGATTCATTCCAAGTCTTTGCTGTTGTGAATAGTGCTGCAATAAACATATGTGTGTATGTGTCTTTTTAGTAGAATGATTTATAATCCTTTGGGTATATGCCCGGTAATGGGATTGCTGGGTCAAATGATATTTCTTTTTCTAGATCCTTGAGGAATCGCCACACCATCTTTCACAATGCTGGAACTAATTTACACTCCCACCAACAGTGTAAAAGTGTCCCTATTTCTCCACAGCCTCGCCAGTATCGGTTGTTTCCTGATTTTTTAATGATAGCTAGTCTTTTTTTTTTTTGAGACAGAGTCTTGCTCTGTTGCCCAGGCTGTAGTGCAGTGGCATGATCTTGGCTCACTGCAACCTCTGCCTCCTGGGTTCAAGCAATTCTCCTGCCTCAGCCTCTCGAGTAGCTGGGATTACAGGCACCAGCCACCACGTCCAGCTAATTTATGTATTTTTATTAGAGATGGGTTTTCACCATGTTGGCCAGGTTGGTCTTGAACTCCTGACCTCAGGTGATCTGCCAACCCTGGCTTCCCATAATGCTGGGATTACAGGTGTAAGCCATAATGGTACCTATTCTAACTGGCATGAGATCCTATCTCATTGTGGTTTTGATGTGCACTTCCCTAATTACCAGTGATGATGAGCTTTTTTTCATATGTTTCTTGGCCACATAAATGTCTTCTTTTGAGAAGTGTGTGTTCATATCCTTCACTCACTTTTTGATGGGGTTGTTTTTTTCTTGTAAATTTGTTTAAGTTCTTTGTAGACTGTGTATATTAACCCTTTGTCAGATGGAGAGATTGCAAAATTTTTCTCCCAATCTGTGGGTTGCCTGTTCACTCTGATGATAGTTTCTTTTGCTGTGCAGAAGCTCTTTAGTTTAATTAGATCCCATTTGTCAGTTTTGGCTTTTGTTGCCATTGCTTTTGGTGTTTTAGTCATGAAGACTTTGCCCATGCCCATGGTATTGCCTAGGTTCTCTTCTACAGGTTTTATGGTTTTAGGTCTTATGTTTATGTATTTAATCCATCTTGAGTTAATTTTTGTATAAGGTATAAAGAAGGGCTCCAGTTTCAGTTTTCTGCATATGGCTAGCCAGTTTTCCCAAAGTCATTTATTAAATAGGGAATCCTTTCCCCATTGCTTGTTGGTGTCAGGTTTGTCAAAGATCAGATGGTTGTAGATGTGTGGTGTTATTTCTGAGGCCTCCTTTCTGTTCCATTGGTCTATATATTTGTTTTGGTACCCATACCATTCTGTTTTGGTGACTTGTAGTATAGTTTAGTTATAGCCTTGTAGTATAGTTTGAAGACAGGTAGCGTGATGCCTCCAACTTCATTCTTTTTGCTTAGGATTGTCTTGGCTATATGGGCTCTTTTTTGATTCCATATGAAATTTAAAGTAGTTTTTTTCTCATTCTGTGAAGAAAGTCAATGGTAGCTTGATGGGGATAGCATTGAATCTATAAATTACTTTGGGCAGTATGGCCATTTTCACAGTACTGATTCTTCCTATCCATGAGCATGAAATGTTTTTCCATTTGTTTGTGTCCTCTCTTATTTCCTTGAGCAGTGGTTTGTAGTTCTCCTTGAAGAGGTCCTTCACATCCCTTGTAGGTTGGATTCCTAGGTATTTTGTTCTCTTTGTAGCAATTGTGAATGGGAGTTCACACATGATTTGGCTCTCTATCATTGGTGTATAAGAATGCTTGTGATTTTTGCACATTGATTTGTGTCCTGAGACTTTGCTGAAGTTGCTTATCAGCTTAAGGAGTTTTGGGGCTGAGATGATGGGGTTTTCTAAATATACAATCATGTCATCTGCAAACAGAGACAATTTGATTTCCTCTCTTCCTGTTTGAATACCATTTTTTTTTCTCTTGCCTGATTGCCCTGGCCAGAACTTTCAATACTATGTTGAATAGAAGTGGTAAGAGAGGGCATCCTTGTCTTGTGATGATTTTCAAAAGGAATGCTTCCAGCTTTTGCCCATTCAGTATGATATTGGCTGTGGATTTGTCATAAATAGCTATTATTTTTATTTTAATTTTTAATCCAATGATTCTCTTACACACACACACTCACACACATATATACAATCACTATAAAAAAGTGTTACAAAAATACTTATTTTTACCATGAGTAACGCATTCTACTTTTCTTTTCCAGATCTTTCTTATTAAAATGTTATCTGTTCCTCATTAAACTGTAAAGTTAATTTCTCAAGAAAAAGGCATAACCTGTAGTTTTAAAAACACTAACTTTATAATACATTTCTGAAGGAAGTACTGTTTGTTATATTTTACACAAAAGGAAACTGAAACTGAGAAGAATCATGTAACTGTTGAATTCCAATGTCAGATCTGGGACTTGAATTCAGTTCTCATAGACACCGAAATCCATATTTTTATCTGCTGTACTATCTTGTGTCAATCATTGATCATTTACGTCTCATTTTAATTTAGCCTTTGCAGAGGAACTTATCAAGCTCCTTTAATTCTTTTGGTAGTTTATCTTTCTGTCTCTTTTCATCTCTATTATGGAAACCTTATAATTCATTGCCTCACATTTAGACTATTACAACAGATTCTTCCTTTCTTCAGATCTGCCCACTCCCATTTGTCCCCTAGGTAAGTTACCATCTAGATCAAAGAGAAAGAACACTTCCTCAGTTACATTTATTTATGTTCTTTCAGTCCCAGGCACAGGTCTGAACACAGAATATCAGCTTAATAACTACTTAAAAGTTGTTCTCTTGAGTTCATTGGATTTAGTTCAGTCTTTGGATCAAAGTCTGCAGAATCTAGACATTCCATCAGATTTACTGGGAATAAACTGAAAGAAATTTAGTATCTGATCACACAGTAAGAATTTTGCTGAGAAGTAGTGAGACTGTAGGACAAACTTTATCAAGTAACTTACTGTGAGTCAAAATCAGAGCGGAATTCTCAAGACTCACATGTGTTTATTACACATCTTACTATTATTCCAATACCAGTTAGGCATGAGATTATGCCCCAAAATTATCATCAGTAATAACATTTTCATTCAAGTCAAGCAGTAAGAAATTCTTGAAGCAATGTGCTTGGTTTTAATCCCAGCTGAAAGATACCTCCTGCCACTCACCCCAGAGAAAACCAGGCTAGTTAACCTGCCCCATCTCTATCCCACAGTGTTTTACCCCACACAGGGTCCTAGTCAGAATTCCAACACAGACAAGAGAACCAATATAAAAACAGGGCTGATATGGTTTGGCTGTGTCCCCACCCAAATCTCATCTCCAGCTGTAATCCAAATTGTAATCCCTACATGTCAAGGGCAGGGTAGGGGTTGTCCTGGTGGGAGGTGATTGGATCGTGGGGACAGTTTCCCCATGCCATTCTCATGATGGTGAGTGATTTCTCACAGGATCTGGTTGTTTGATAAGTTTCTGGCAGTTTCCCCTGCCTCACTCTCTCTCCTGCTGTCTTGCTTCCCCTTCTGCTATTATCGTAAGTTTCCTGAGGCCTTCCCAGCCATGTGGAACTGTGAGTCAATTAAACCTCTTTTCTTTATAAATTACCCAGTTTCAGGTATTCTTTATAGCAGTGTGAAAACAAACTAATACAAAGGCTATTTACAGCAGAGGAAATCTGCATTAGCAATATTGGTGATAAAATAATCTCTCAATCTAGAAATCTTTCCTATAAAAGTAGTAGAGAGACAAAAAAAAATTCATTATTGAATAAGAATTAATCTAGAATGTGAGCATATCACAGGCAATCCACAAAGAGATTGCAAAGACAGAAAGAAATTTTATATAGCCAAGCAGATACAGCCCATTACACACATATTATCAAGATAAATAATAACTAGTCTTCGAGTAAGAGGGCTTGACAGCACCATTTTATCTTTACCAGATAACTGGGGTGACCATTTATTTTAGCTAACTGGAATTGGCTTTACTTAGAAGAGAAACAAACATCTTTTTTTTTTTTTTTTTAATGACAAGAGGTAGTTTTGCCACTTGGAGGGAAGTGCCTACCCAAGTTAGACTCCTATCCGCTCACGGAAACTGGCAGGCAGGGTACTAACTCCTTTGATGTTTACATTTCAAAGAGACAGCTTCCAGGTCCTTGAGAAAGATATTCCTGGATGATTAAGCTGAAAAAAGTCTTTCCTAGGTTTCAAAAGGATGTATTTTTTTTTTCAGAAATAGTATCAAGTATGTATAATTACAAGTTTTCTAAAGTAAATGCTCAAAATAAAAGGGGGGGAGGGGAATCTCTTATTTTCATAAAACATGGATCTAGCGTTTTAAAATTGCATTTTATTTATTTTTCTAAATGGCTGTAAAACTGTGGTCCTACCACTATTGAAAAATTCTTTTCACCATGATCTGAAATTCCACATTTATCATAAACTACCTTCACATATGTATTTTTGAGTTTTATATTCCATCCTAGCTCTATCAAATTCATTGATAAACCAATAATATTTTTTAAATTTCAGCTGCATAATATGCTTTAATATTTTAGAATGCTATTCTTTCTCATTATTCTTCTCTTACTGAAGATTCCCAGATATTCTGAGATCTTTTATTTTCACATAATTCATTTAAAAGCAACTTGCCTAGATCCAACAATCCCCAGAATTTTAGATATCTGTATCTAAATAGATATTCAGGTATAGTTATAAATATCTTGGAAGGAGGCATGCAAGAGACTTCTAGATATTACCTAATTCGGTATCTCATCTTTAGGGTGGATTAAATATCTTTCTAAATCTATGACCCTCAGTTGTATTCTTAATGATTCCTAAGAGTACATGGTAGATGTTGACATTTAGTTAGCAATCGGTAGAAAGGCTTTTACAGATTACATTTTTAAAAACCAATCTGATGTATTTTTAGAGGGCTGTAATTAGAAGGCATAAATACACAAATGATCAAAGTTATCAAGTTATCAATTTACTGAAATCAAACTTTATGCTTTATTATTCATCTGGGTCTGCTGTCCATTTAAATTTAGTGAAAAAAAAATCCAAATTAAAATAATTTGATGAGAAATACTACAGAATAACTAGTATACTTTTAATGTAAGCATATAGAGTTTTAAAAATTTATCTTTTTAAAAATTAAAATGGCATGTACATGATTTTAGAAGCTTAATAGTGGTACAAGACTTATAATAGTTTCCTGCCCCAGTTCTCCTTACCCTTAGGCACTTTCCCCAGAGGTAATTAATTCCATTCTTTTTGCTGGTTCTGCTGGAATTCACTTCCAGAGTTGTTAAAAAAAAAATGCTTTTAGTCTGGGAGCAGTGACTCTGGATTGTAAATCCTAACACTTTGGAAGGCCAAGGCAGGAGGATTGCTTGAGCCTAGGAATTTGAGGACCAGCCTAGGCAACATGGCAAGACCTCATCTCCACACACACACACAAAAATTAGACAGGTGTGGTAGTGAACACCTATAGTCTCAGTTATTGGCAGGCCAAAGCAGGAAGATCACTTGAACCCGGGATGTTGAGGCTGCAATGAACCATGATTGCACCACTACACTCTACCTGGACAACAGAGTAAGAATTTGTTTCAAAAAAAAAAGAGTTTTTAGTGTGCTTTCTTATTCTTTATTTATCCTGTTATTAATTTATCCTCTTATTGTTATATAACACTTCATAAACGAAATGATACTTGAATTGAATTTTGAAAGATGAGGCCTTCTCCAGGTCTTCAGTGGGAATTTGGGACGGGAAAGGCAGGCTAAGTGTAAGGAGCAATATGAACAGAGGCACAAACAGAAGTACCATGGACACCATTTGAAACTCCTATAGTAATCTCCAAATGCAACACTTAAATTATTGATCAATCAGGAACCATGTATGTGTAAGCAGAGAAAGGAGAGAGCCGATATGTATTATATGATATTTAATAGCTAGTAAAATCTGCAAATAAATATATGCAGGGTATATACAGGAACTGTTCTGGCACTTCCTCATTGTTGGTTTATTCATTCAAACCTTTAGCTCAACAAAAGAATGTTTAAACAATGACATGGAAACAAAAAGTAAACTAGCATTGTTTGCTAATTTATAGGACTTAACAAACAGTTTGTGTGCTAAAAAAACCTTTGTGAAGATATCTGCTGCATTGAAATACAGACAATTTGGCCAAGAACAGGGTAGACAGCAAGAGCTTACATCTCTAATCAACTAATTGTTGCCCTGGCTTACTTGGGATCTAACATCTACCCTACAACATAGTAAACCATAATAAATATTTATTAATTGAATAAATAAATGATCATATGGGCAAATAAGTATAATCACAGCCCTAAACCAAAGGAAACATAATAGAGGTTCTGGGAAGAAGGCATAAGGAGAAAAAAAATTCTAGCACAAGGCGAGTGGATTACCTGAACTCAGGAGTTCGAGACCAGCCTGGCCAACATGGCGAAACCTCATCTCTACTAAAAATACAAAAATTAGCTGGGCATGGTGGCATGTGCCTGTAATCTCAGCTACTCAGGAGGCTTAGGCAGGAGAATGGCTTGAACCTGGGAGGCAGAGATTGCAGTGAACTGAGATCACACCACTTCATTCCAGCCTGGGTGAAAGGGTGAAACTCCATCAAGGGGAAGGGAGGGGAAGGGAGGGGAGGGGAGGGGGAAACCTACATCTTCAGGAGTAATAGCAACACTACAAATCCATGGGGAGTTATTTGAAGAAACATACCCTAATTTGGGAAGAGGCAAGTCAAAGAAAGTAATTAAAACTATTCACTAAAAGAAATGGGAGGGTTACCTCAATTCAGGGGAACGGTAATTAGTAGGATTAACCATAGAGATATATAGTGAGCTCTCTATTCATATATGTTAAGCCTTGAATACAGGTCAACTTCTATCTCTGAGGGATGAATAATGAATGCTGTAAACTCTAACAAGTTTGGATCTGAAATATGAAATCTCTTGGCACCATTATGAGATGGGGTGGAGGAGCCAATCCTGCAACAATGGTCTGGGCAGAAGTTCATGCAAATATGCATGATGTTTTAATGAAAATGTGATGTTGCCAATGCTAACTTCACACGTGCAGTCATATTACCATGACAACCAGTAGCTCTCTAGAGTTCAAATATGGAGTAATGACTTGCTTATGCCTGAACATTTAACTTAACAGTTTTTCATGCTGCTAACAATGATTAAATTGAAAAAGAACTCTGAGCCAAATCTGACAGATATGGGAAAAATTCATTTCTGAAAGCAATATCTAAAATAATTGCTGGCTACATTTGCTTCCTAATTCTGAGAAAAAAAATCCCAAACTGTGTGGCAATACAAAAGCCTTGCTTATGAGTTTTTGGGTGGTGAATGCTAGAATTATTAAGTGAAGATGATTTTGCAGCATGAACTTGAACAATAATTACAACCAGGGCAGTATTTGAAACACTTCACTGACAACTACTCCGGAAAAGGAGAAGTTTTTCCTCCGGGAAAGGAGGGACCCAAGCCAGGTCAATTAATTACATCTCTAAAGAAATCTTTTCTCCTGGAAGACTTCTTGTTTTTAATTCATGCCACATCACTGGCACACTGCTGAGTAGTAAATCACACCCTTTAAACACTTATCATGTTCCTGGTCCCTTGACTGCCTTCTGTTGACTTTTTAAACATAAACAACTGCCAGGTACTGACATAATTTAAGGAACAAGAGAAAAACAGGTTTTACTTGTTTGTTTTTTTACAGCTGAGACTGAGCAGGTTTATTGGCACATGGAGAAAGGTAGCAGTATTTCATGCTCCCTAAACTTAGTCTCCATTAGCACTTACTCAGGATACCTCATAAAACAAAATATACTTTACGATTAATTACATGGGATGGGGGTTACATGGGGTAGAGCAATGAGAACAGGGTAAATGACTCTCTGTTATCTATTCAGGGTCTGAAACAAAGATACTTGTAGAAAATTAAAGTTGAACTAACTTGTCTCCAAGGGCAAGGAAATCCAACTTGATAGTGGTGTCAGGGAGACAGGAAAGAGAAGAAAAGGAGGAGAGATTTTTGGGAAGGAAACTGACATTTGTGACAGGGTTAAGTTTTCAAATACAGCTCAGTGTTTTAATATAAGATCTTGTTTAATCTTTACCTCAGCCCCAGGACCCAGAATGATTGTACAGATCTCTTGCTTCCTGCATTTGGAGGCCAGTAGTCTTGTACCCTGAGTATGAGCACCAGAAACAAGAAACTATCTTTTTACTTATGCAAAAGAGTCATTTTCTTGCCAAGCCATTAGCTAGAGGGACTGCATTAGCTCAGAGTCGATGCCCTTTACTAATTCATGCAAAACTTCCTTAAACTTTAGTGGTGGTCTCCTTTCTCCAACATGTTTGTACTGTTACCCCAATTTAAGACATAAAGAAACCAACTGCAGAAAGATTAATTACATTACTGAAAGTCATTTAATAAACTAAGAGTTAATTTTAATATCTCAGTATGTCTACTTTCAAGACTCTTACTCTTACCATTTGGCCATGCTTGATAAGTCTGGGCCTTCGGTAACCAAGTCTCTGGATGGAATGAACTGCTTCCTAACTACAGCTGATGCTGCCCATATATAGGTGTTTAATTAAAGCCTGGAAGCCAAGACTAGTGCCCACCTCTTCTGTCCCTAGATTATTTCCCAGGCTTAGTAGTACCCCAGAATACTTCAAATATGTTGACCTATCCTCCCATTGAAGGCATTTATTATTTTCATTTCTACATTGAGCCCATCTTTATCTCATGTAGCTCCTTACAGTGAGGTCACCCAAGGATTCGTTGGCACAAATGGTAAGTCGGTAACTATGCCATAGGCCAGTTTGCATTCCTTTCTTCAATTGTCAGATTCTTTTATCAGAATAAATTTACTACATTCTAGGAACCTCTCACTGGGTATACGCCATACACATCTCTCTTTACTTCAGTTGTCCCATGCATCTGATTATTAATGTTTACCATCACAAATCATAAGTGCAAAGAGGCAGGAAAAATAGATACCAAGGAATTAACACTCTCAATTTTCACCTAAATTTAATTACACATCTTAGCAGGTAACTGGAAACTCAGTGCCTTTTGGCCATGCTTTAACTTTGCCTGATCACCAAACTTAACATACTATCTCATAATTTTGATTTTCCATTTGATCCTCAAATGCATCATAAATATTTAACAAATATTTATTAAGTGCCTGTCATATGCTAAATGCTGTATTTCTGTGCTAGAAATAAGCAGAAATAAAAAAATCATGGGTCCTGCTCTCAAGAAACTTAATTTAGTGAGAAAAACAGATATTCAATAAATGCATGTATAACTGCACAATTACAAAAAAGAGTTTCAAGAAGAATAGAAAAAGGAATTCAGAAAGAGAATAATGAGAGGAAGGAGTCTATTTTAAATGGATGCTATGGAAAGCTGGTCTGAGGAGATGAAGATGAGGCCTAAAGGAAGTACGAGAATTAACCAGTATATCTGGTAAATATTTAACAGCTGCTTTTCCAAGGATAAAAAAAGACCTGATTTGTACTGGTAGCTGATTTCTGTATTATAAATATATCCACTCTGTGGCCAATTTCAAACTACCAAGGTGAGGTCACTGAATATGTATTTAGGGAGACATATGAATACAAGTATTTTATATTTCTGCTATGTAAATATAATAGATGCAAATAATCTAAAGAGTATAGATAGATAATAATCAAATGTAGCAAAATAGCTAGAAATGGATGAGTTTTTAGAATGTATTACCATTGCTTTAAATGTAATTAATTATGTTTATATATTTAATTTTTAATAATTGCTGTGTTTGGCAACTGGCTTCTGATAATTTAACAATTGACCCTCAGGAGCTGGTGTGAGATGGCTCCAGTACAACACCAGAACTTGAGCAAAGAGTGGGCAGAAAAGTAATGCAGACAGAGGAGACAATACATGAGAAGTCTCTGAATTGAGAAAAAGCTTGATACGTTAAACCCATTATTAGCAATCCCATCATGCTGATGCTCTCCATCTGCTATGGGTTGCATTGTGTCCTGCAGAAATATATGTTGAAGTCCTATACCCTGGCATCTATGAATGCGACCTCATTTGGAAGTTGGGTCTTTGCAGGTATAATCGAGTTAAGATGAGGTCAGTTAGGGATTGCTCAAATCCAGTATGACTGTTGTCTTCATAAGAAAAGAGAAATTTGGACACAGACACACACACACACGTACATAAAAGATGAACACATGAAGATAAAAACACACAGGGAGAATGCCATGTGATGACAGAGACAGAGATTGGAGCGATGCATTTGTAACCCAAGGAATGCCAAGGATCAATGACCTCCGTCAGAAGCTAGGAAGAGACAAGGAAGATTTTCTCCTACAGGTTTCACAGGGAGCATGGCCCTCCCAATATCTTGATTTTGGGCCTTTGATTCTGGCACCTTTGATTTTTTAGCCCCCAGAACTGTGAAACAAACAAAAATTCTGTAGTTTTACGTGAGTTTTATGTCTGTAGTTTTGTGGTATTTTGTGACAGCAATTGTGATGGTTAATTTTAGATGTCAACTTGACTGGATTAAGGAGTACTTAGAGAACTGATAAAGCATTATTTCCATGAGGTATGTCTGTGAGGGTGTTTCTGAGGAGATTGGTTCATGAATTGTGAGTTGGTTGACTGAATGGGGAAAGATCTGCCCTCAATGTGTGTGGTTAACATCCAAATGGCTGTGGACCCAGGTAGAACAAAAAGCGAGAAGAAAGGCAAATTTGCTCTCCTTCTTTCTCTCTCTCTTCTGGAGCTGGGACACCCTTCTTCTCCTGCCTTTGGACATCAGAACTCTAAGCTCTCTGGCCTTTGGACTCCAGAACTTACACCAGCAACTCCCTGAGTTCTCAGGCCTTTAGCCTCAGATTGAGTTACACCATTTGTTTACCTTGTTCTGAGGTTTTCAGAGTTGGACTAAGCGATGCTATCAGCATTTCAGTGTTTTCAGGTTGCAGAAAGCCTGTCATGGGAGCTAATTCCCCTAAAAAATTCCCATCTCATCTCGTCTCTCTCTCTCTCTCTCTCTCTCTCTCTCTCTCTATATATATATATATATATATATACATACACACACACATACACATATATCATACATATATATATATATATATATATATATATATATATATCCTATCAGTTCTATCTCCCTGAAGAACCCTAACACAGCAGCTCTAGGAAACGAATACACCACCTCTCTTTCAAAGTTTGTTCTAGCCTATCCATAGTATCTCTTATGGTAATTCCATAAAGGATTACAATACATTTAATCAGTAGGCAAATATATAATGATAAGCCTGTAATTCTTCAATATGTAAGCAGAAGGTGGAAGAAAGCTAAGGGATATAAGGCAGATGAAGTGCAACCCAGCAGGTAAATTGCTAGGAAACATAGATTCCATCCAAATATAACAAATCACCATTTGGTCAGAAAATTATTCTTCTATCCATTAGCTAGCTGACCTTGAACAATCTATACAACTGTCTGCAACATCTATCTTACAGCGCTGCTGTGATGACTGGAGCTAATTTATATGTCAAAGCATAGGTTTGTAAAAATAGTACTAAAATGACAGTGATAATAATTGCTAATGTTAAGTTATATTCAGCAAGTTGTTGTATTTCTCTAGACTTTAATTTCCTCATGTGGAATTCTTTTCACCACATTTTATAGGAATATTATTTACTAATTCATTCAACAAATATCACCTAGGCATCTACACTGTGCCAGACACTGTTGTTGGTGCCGGGGACATACAACAGTGAACAAAACAAAATTCTTGCTCTTGAGGAGCTTCCTTTCTCGTGGGGGAGGCTGGCCGCAAACAAGCAAATCCATAGAATGTCAGATGGCAATAAATACTGTGGAAAAAAGGGGAGCAGAATTGGAAAAACAGAATTGGAGGTGGTGGGAAATTGAGCAGCGGCCTTTGCTATGTTATATACTGCAGTCAGAAGCAAGGTGATTTCAGAGATCATACATGAATATGCCCTGTAGATGTTTGAGGAAAGTACATCCCAGGGAAAGGGAACAGCAAGTACAAATGCTGTGAGCTGAGGCAATGCCTGTTTTGTTAGATAAACAGCAATAGGGTAAGTGTTACTGAGATCAGAGTTACTTCCAAAAACCTCCAGGCATTAGGACACTGTAATCCAAGGCATTAATTAGTAAGCACCTATATTCACTTGTTGCATGCTAAATATTCCTAACATTAGATTAATTATAAATATTCTTCTTTATAATATCTAATGAAAATCATATCAATGCAGATGTAAGTTCACATGAGATATAGAAATTAAAAATGAGAAAACAGAATTGAGACTTGGGGGAATTAGAAAGGAGTCAATGAAAAAAAGGAGCCTTAAGAAAAACTATCGTCTGCCTAAATTCCCTGGAAGCTTTTTGTTAGATAATAAAACTATGGTTTATCCTCTCCTCTCCCTTCCCTTCTCTGCCCCTTCTTCTCCTCCCCGCCCCTTTTATCCAATCTATCCCACCCACTGATTCCGATATAAGTAACCTGCCCGTATCTCTCTCTCCTGTTTAAAAATCAGCTGATTTATTCCTACTGCCTTCAGCCTAAAGTACTTAACATGGCACATAAGATAAATCAAAACTTGGTCTTTATTTCTGATACTGGTTTTTCATCCTCATAAGGCTCAAGAGTTAACCATATGAGACTATGTATTTGTCATCTGTCAAGACCTAGCTCAAAGATTCTTTTCTGAAACTGTTCCTGACATTCCTTGAAGAATGGGCTCCTCCTTCTTTCATAATTTTATGGTGTTAATGCTATTATGAGACTTTTCACCTATGCTTTGTGTATTTATGATTCTGTCTAACAATTAGATCATATGATACCATTTGGCTCTGTGTCTCCAACCAAATCTTATCTTGAATTGTAATCCCCACATGTTGAGGGAGGGACCTGGTGGGAGGTAATTGGATTATTGAGGGGATTTTCCCCCATGCTGTTCTCCTGATAGTGAGTGAGTTCTCATGAGATCTGATGGTTTGAAAGTGGGCACTTCCCCTCCGCTCACGCTCTTTCTGTCTCTCCTGCTGCCTTGTGAAAAAGGTGCCTGCTTCCCCTTCACCTTCTGCCATGATTGTAAGTTTCCTGAGGCCTCTCCAGCCATGCAGAACTGTAAGTCAATTTAACCTCTTTTGTTTATAAATTACCAAGTCTCAGGTAGTATCTTTGTAGCAGTGTGAGAATGGACTAATACATAATAATATTCAGAAAAGAGGCCCTATGTTTCATTTTCAACACTTCATTGTCAATTTGCATGGTACCTGAAACAATGGTTTAGCTTTTCATATCTTTGTTAACAACTCATAAATACTTTTTGTTAAATTACCAGAAATTTCCACTGTTTAGATAGATGGGAGAGGTAGTTTGCAGGTGGTAGGGAGATGATTTTATGCCACTCTTACTTCTGGCTTGGTTTCTACATTCCGAACCTGGGAAGTGGCTCCTTGGGAGATTGATATACTCCAACCATATCACTTATCTCTGCCTCTGAATCTCAACTCCAACCGTATTTGATCTCTCTGCTATATATTTTTGCCTTTCCAAATGCTTTCTGACAAGAACTTGCAAAAAAATACAGAAAAACATGTTTTTTTAATTCCCTGAACTCATTAAATGAAACCAAATCTTCCAGAGTCTTTAAATTTTTTATGACAAATTTAGTAACTTTAATAGACAGTTGATCCCTGCTTTCACCTCCAAATTTTGAACATGTAATTTTAATTTTCCTCTGATTATTGTAGAAAATGAATTTATATGAGTGAAATTACAATTTTGAGTGTTTGCTATATTATTTGTCTTTCTTAACATTACTTTTTTTAGTAATAAGCTTTTATTTCTAATATTAAACTTTATGATAAATAAATTTTACAGTATTTCGGAAATACAGAAAATGACACTTGCAAATTTGTAAGTTCAACTTTTCAAAACAAAAGCCTTCAATTTTCAGCTTTTATTCCTTTACATATAATTTAAATTTCTTCTAATGACATTCTGATTTAGAGGGGTTTACTGAACAGTAGCCTTGCCTTTGACATGGCAAGGCCGTTTAGATAAATAAATGGCTTTGTGGTTGGGGAGGAACACATTTGAAATGTACCGTATTATAAAAGATCTACTAATAATAGAGAATATGATAGAATGCACCGCATGTTTCCTTAAATTGCAAATCCTGAACTGTATTAGTCCATTCTCACAATGCTATAAAGAACTACCTGAAACTGGGTAATTTATAAAGAAAAGGGGTTTGATTGGCTTGCAGTTCTGCAGGCTATACAAGGAGCGTGGCTGGGGAGGCCTCAGGAAAATTACAATCACGATGGAGGGGTGAAGTGAAAGCAGGCATGTCTTACATGACAGGAGCAGGAGGAAGAGAGCAAAGGGGAAGGTGCTATACATTTTTAAACACTCAGATACTGTCTTCCCATCTCATGCACTATCACAAGAACAGCAAGGGGGAAAATTCGGCCCCAGGGTTCAATCAGCTCCTAGCAGGCCCCTCCTTCAACATGGGAGATTATAATTAAACATGAGATTTGGGCAGGGACACAAATCCAAACCACATCATGAACCTTGAATCTAAGAGTAGTGACAAAGTGGGTAACTGGGTAGCCTTTTCATAAAAATAAGGTGGAGCTTGTTTGTTTGCAACACAGAACTTGACACACTTGCCAAAAGATCAACATTACATTTCTTCAGGGAAATGGGAATTTTGGTTTTCTAATTTTGGAGGAGTTTTTTGTTGTTGTTGTTGTTGTTTGTTTTTTGTTTTTTTTTTAATAGTTTCCCATCCCAATGTGCATAGTGGGCTCATTCTTCCCTTTGTAGCAGTTTTGCAGATTCTTCAACCAGCATTAATAGCCACTCATCTAGAACCAGATCTTACAATTGCAGCTTAATATTTCTGTTCTGGAACTTGGAAGATCCAGTCATGGAAATATCCTGTAACTTGGCTCAGTTGTGTGAAGTGAAAATTTTTCCCTCAGTTTTCTTGGCCATATTCTGAAATAAAAGCAGGATAACTTAAAAGTCTGCTTACTGATATCTAAAAATACCTGCTGGGATTTTGACTGGGATTTAGCCAGTGAACATATAGCTCAATTTGAGGAGAATTTACATCTTAAAATATTGAGTCTTCCTATTCATGAACATATATTCTCTTCTCTTTATTTAACTCTTCCTTAACTATGAACATGTATAAAAGATTTCTCAATAATGATTTACAGTTTCCTCTGTTAAGATTCTTGCAGGACTATTTTTTGATATATGATATATCAATAATATTATAATATTATGTTTTAAATTTTACTTTCAATTGTTTACCACTGGTTTATACATAAAGTTTTGATGTATTACCTTGCACCAACATCCTTGCTAAACTTCTTAATAATCCAGATAACTCATCTGTACATTCATTGGATATTATAGATACATAATCATGTATTTTGCAGCTAATGAGCATTTTATTGCTTTCTTTCAACCTTATAACTTTTTTCCTCTTGCCTTCCTGTTTTGACAAGAATGTACAGTATAATTTGAAAGGGAAATAATATTAGGAACTTTTTTTCTAATTTCTAATCTCATTGGATAATATTTTAACAATTCATAATAACATTTGCTACAAGTTTTTGCAAAATCCTTCTATTAGATAAGAAAAATTTTTGCACCAGCATGGCACATGTATACATATGTAACTAACCTGCACAATGTGCGCATGTACCCTAAAACTTAAAGTATAATAAAAAAAAAAAGAAAAATTTCATCTATTCCTACTTTGCTAAATACTGTACCATAAATGATTATTGCATTTTATCACTAGCTTTTGATTTTTATTATCAATAGCCTTTTCTGTACATGATTTTTTCTGCTTTAATATAAAAGTAAATTACATTAATTGATTTTTCATTATTAAGCCAACCTTCCACTTCTGGAATAGATCTTGCATGGTTGTGATAATACTGTACTTTTTATGTATTGCTGGATTTGTGCACTAATGATTTAAGACAGCTGCATCTCTGTATATAAATGAAATTAACTTATTACTAATTCTTTTTTTCTTTTTTTTTTTTTTTTTGAGACAGAGTTGCGCTCTGTCGCCTAGGCTGGAGTGTAGTGGTGCAATCTCGGCTCACTGCAAGCTCTGCCTACCGGGTTCACGCCATTCTCCTGCCTCAGCCTCCTGAGTAGCTGGGACTACAGGCGCCAGCCACAACGCCCAGCTAATTTTCTGTATTTTTTAGTAGAGACTGGGTTTCACCATGTTGGCCAGGATGGTCTTGATCTCCTGACCTTGTGCTCCCCGCCCTTTGCCTCCCAAAGTGCTGGGATTACAGGTGTGAGCCACCATGCCCAGCCTATTAATACTTTCTTTCCACATAATATACTTGTTTGCTTTTAGCATTATGTTTATGCTGCTCTTATAAAATAAATTGAAAATATTTCTAAGTTTTTCTATTCTCTAGGAGGTTTTATATAATAGTTCTCTTGAATATTTGGTAGGATTTATTAGTTTAGGATTTCTTTCTTGAATATTTGGTAGGACTTATCAGTGAAGTCATCTAAATTTGGTGCTTTCTCTGTAGAAGACATATACATAAAAATACACATGCAAAAAAGCGAGAGGAGCCAAGATGGCTAGCTAGAAACAGCAAGGAAAAGCATCTCCCATGGTGAAAACAGACCATCATGAAGTCCAGTATACTCTAAGGAGATCTTTAGAAGGAAATCATTAAGAGTGGAAAAAGGGAGCATGCAGACACTGGGCTGAAGGGGGAGGAAGCTGGGAACCCTGCATGAGACTGCCAAGCACCAGGACTTGTTCCCAGCCCCCAGTGACTCCTTGGAAGGAGTGAGTTAAATAGGTGAGAAGTGGCCCATGGACTTACCATGGACCTCTAGAGTATTAACCGTAGGAATCCCCGTGACCTCCATATACATCCGAGCTGGCATGGAGAGCTGCTTGGAGAAGTGTCAGCCTTTGGGGCTGGGAACTGGGGGGTGTTGGCACAGCATGACTACAGTAGAGCATAGCCAGGGATGCACATCCTCCAAGGCTTACCACACTCCCCTAGGTGGCTTTGGCCTTTGTTGACTATCAGACCTGAACAGAGCAGAGCTATCTGGTCCATGGGACGGGGCCAGTCTGATCTGAACACACCCCTGTTTGCTGGTCCTTCTCTGGGGCACCTCCCCGGCCACACCCATTTGCACTGCAGCCTGAGATCCCCAACAGAGGCATTTTGCAGCAGCTGCCACCATAGCTACTTGGTGTGGACTCTACCTAACCATCGGAGAGCTTTAGCAGACAGGCCCGGATGACATGCACCTGCCAGCAGCCTCCTACCACTGCTTTGCCCCCAAGCACCTGCCTATGGCCTCTTCCTACTACTATGCTATGGTGTGCACTCTGTGAACCTCTCACAACCCCAGTCTATTCGTTCATTCTCACGCTACTATAAGGACATACCTGAGACTGGGTAAATTATAAAGAAAAGAGGTTTAGTTGACTCACAGTTTTGAATGGCTGGGGAGGCCTCAGGAAACTTACAATCATGATGGAAGAAGAAGCAAACATATCTTTCTTCACATGGTGGCAGAAGAGAGAATGAGTGCAGAGGGAAGGGGGAAGCCTCTTATAAAACCATCAGATCTCATGAGAACTCACTCACTATCACAAGAACAGCATGGGGGAACCACTCCCATGATCTAATCACCTCCCATGAGGTCCCTCCCCCAACCAGTGGGGATTATAATTCAATATGAGATTTGGGTGGGGACACAGCCAAAACATATCACCCAGTACCACAGATGCATGCATGTGGAACTCACCACCATAACCCAGCCCCTGCTGGTGCCTATGTGCATGGAGACCCAGCCACTCCACCATCACTAGCATGAGCATGTGTACACAGACTCCATCACACTGCCATCACACTGTTGTCAGTGTGTGTGCATGTGTGGACCCTGATGCCACTATCCTGATGAAGTGCTTTTTCCAGCACCCCTTATCAGAGTACTGGTGCTTGTGGACTGGGAACATCTCTAGCACCTCCAGCACAGCAGCTGCTTAACCTCACGGGGACAGAGAACGAAGTTATGGGCCTGGACACCACACCTTATGGATAGAGCATGCAGCTCAAGAGTGCTCAGCTGAGCCTGGCCCCCCGTGAAATCATCCAGAAACAAAGCCACTCAGCTGAACCCAACTTACAGCAAATCAACCGGAAAACTAGCAGAAGAAAAGAAATACTAAAATCCGAGCTGAACTGAATGAAATTGAGATTAAAATAAATACAATAGATTAACGAAACAAAAAGTGGGTTCTTTGAAAGAATAAGATTGATAGACCACAAGTTGGAGTAATAAAGAAAACTGAAGATCGAAATAAACACAATTTACCAACAACATCCAAGCTGAGAGGCAAATTAAAACACAATCCCATCCACAATAGCCACACACATACAAAAATACCTAGGAAGACAGCTAACCAGAGAAGGGAAAGATCTCTACAATAAGAATTATGAAACACTATTGAAAGTAATCAGAGATTAAGCAAACATGGAAAAATAATCCATGGTCATCTGTAGGAAGAATCAATATTGTTCAAATGGTCATACTGCCCAAAGCAATTTATAGATACAATGCTGTTCCTATCAAACTATCAAAAACATTTTCCACAGAATTAGAAAAATATATTCCAAAATTTATAGGGAACCAAAATATAGTCTGAATAGCCAAAACAATCCTAAGCAAAAAGAACTAAGCCAGAGGCATCACACTCTACTACAAGGCAACAGTAACCAAAGCAGCATGGTACAAGTATAAAAACAGACACATAGACCAATGCAACAGGATAGAGAACCCAGGAATAAGGTCACACACCTACAACAAACAACTTTTGACAAAGTTAACAAAAACAAGCAATGGTAAATGGACTCCCTATTTAATGAATGGTGCTGGGTAACTGGCTAGCCATATGCAGAGGATTGAAGCTGGACCCCTTCTCTTTACTATAAACAAAAGTCAGGATGGGTTAAAGACTTAATGAGTTAAATGAAAAATGTAAAATGTAACTCATCTTGAGGGCTAAAGACTTAAATGTAAAACTTTTAACTATAAAACCCTAGAATAACACCTAGGAATAAACATTCTGGACATAGGTCCTGTCAAAGATTTCATGACAAAGATTCCAAAATTGAAAAAAAAAAAACAAAAATGGACAAGTAGGATCTAATTAAAGAATTTATACACAGCAGAAGAAGCTATCCACAGAGTAAATTGAAAGAAACCTAAATTGAAAGAAAAAATATTTGCAAACTATGCATCTGACAGAGGTCTAATATCCAGAATCTATAAGGAACTTAAACAAACAAACAAAACCAAAATAACCCTATTAAAAAAATGGGCAAAGGATATGAATAGGCGTTTCTCAAGAAAAGATATACACTCAGCCAACAAGCATATGAAAAAATGCTCAACATCACTAATCATTAGAGAAAGGCAAATCAGAACCACAATGAGATACTATCTCATACCAGTTAGAATAGCTTATTAAAAAGTTGATGCTGATGAGATTAAGGAGAAAATGGAATGCTTATACACTGCTAGCAGGAATGTAAATTAGTTCAGCCCCTGAGGAAAGCAGTTTGGAGATTTCTCAAAGAACTTAAAATGGAATTATCGGTCATCCCAGGAATTCCATTTCTGGGTATATATCTAAAAGATACAAATGTTCTGGCCGGGTGCAGTGGCTCACACCTGTAATCCCAGTACTTTGGGAGGCTGAGGCGGGCGGATCACAAGGTCAGGAGATCGAGACCATCTTGGCTAACATGGTGAAACCCGCCTCTATTAAAAATACAAAAAATCAGCCAGGCGTGGTGGCGGGCGCCTGTAATTCCAGCTACTCGGGAGGCTGAGGCAGGAGAATGGCACGAACCTGGGAGGCGGAGCTTGCAGCGAGCCAAGATCATGCCACTGCACTCCAGCATGGGCGACAGAGCGAGACTCTGTCTCAAAAAAAAAAAAAAAAGAAAAAAGAATATAACTGTTCTGCCAGAAAGACACATTAATGCATATGTTTATTAAAGCACAATAGCAAAGATGTGGAATCAAGGTAGACACTCATCAGTGCTGAACTGGATAAAGGAAATGTGGTAGACATGTACCATGGAATATTACGCAGTCATAAAAAAGAACGAAGTCATGTCCTTTGCAGCAACACATGTGGAATTGGAGGCCATTATCCTAAATTAGTTAATGCAAGAAAAGAAAACCAAACACCACATGTTCTCACTTATAAGTGGGAGCTAAATATTGAGTATACATGGTTATAAATAATGGACACTAGGGCCTACTTGAGGGTGGAGGGTTGAAGGAGAGTGAGGTGTGAAAAACCACCTCTCAGGTACTGTGTTTATTACCTGGGTGATGAAATAATCTGTGTAAGAAACCCCTGCAACATGCAATTTACCCATGTAACAAACCTGTATATGTACCCCTCGAACCTAAAAAAAGTTGGAAAGAAAAAAAAGTGATTTTCAATATATATGTATGTATTTTTAAAAGGCCAAATACTGTGGCTTATGACTAATCCCAACACTTTGAGAGGCTAAGGTGAAAGGATCACTTGACCCCAGAGTTCAAGGCCACCCTGGGCAACATAGGGAGACCTTGTCTCTATGAAAGACAAGAAATTCATCAGGTGTGGTGGTGCATACCTGTAGTTGCAGAGAGGAGGCTGAAGTGGAGGATCACTGGAGCCTAGGAGGTTGGTCCTGCAGTGAGCCATGATTATGCCATTGCACTGCAGCCTGGGAAAGACAGCAAGACCCTATCTCAAAATTAAACAAACAAATAGTATGGTTTATTGTGTATGGCTCAATACTTTATCTTGTCAACATGCCACACCCTATGGGAAGGAGAATTAATCTCTATCTTGACCTCCAAAACCATAGATTAGGTTCACTTAATTTTATACTTTATGCAATTTAATCATAGAATATGTATACTTTTTAATGTAACTTCTTTTGCTCAGTTACGTTCATGAAATTAATCCATATTTTTACTTGTAACTGTACATTGTTTATTCTCATTTCTGAAGAGTATTCAGTTTAGCCATTCTGGCATAGTGGCTTTAATTTACATTTCCACAGTGACTAAGGATGTTAAGCATCATTTCTTACGTGCTCTTGATCTAAGTAATTGGATATTTTCCCACTTTATTGGCAGCATTTTTACTCTCTTGATGGCATATTTTTGATAAACAGTAGTTCTACATTTTAAAATAGTCTGATTTATTATTTTTTCTTCTCTGATTTATACTTTTTTTTTTTTTCGAGACGGAGTCTTACTTGGCTGGAGTGCAGTGGCATGATGTCGACTCACTCCAACCTCCGCCTCCTGGGTTCAAGTGATTCTTCTGCCTCAGCTTCCTGAGTAACTGGGACTACAGGCGCACACCACCATGCCTGGCTGGTTTTTGTATTTGTAGTAGAGACGGCATTTCACCACATTGGCCAGGCTGGCCTCAAACTCCTGACCTCGTGATCTGCCCGCCTGGGCCTCCCAAAGTGCTGGGATTACAGGCGTGAGCTACCGCACCCAGGCTATACCTTTTTAAATAAGCAAAATTACTGCCTACTCTAAGAGCAATAAGATGTTTTGTTATGTTTTCTTTGTAAAACATGCATTGTTTACTTTTGTGAAAAAAAAAAAAATAAACCTCAGGACCCCCAAATTACTAAGCCAAGGGAAAATTCAAGCTGGGAACTATGTCACCCAAACCTGCCTTCCATTGTATTCCTAAATAAGGTAGCTACAAAGATAAAAAGCTACATACCTCCCCCACAGGGAATTTCCTTGTGGACAAAGGACAGACGGAACTCAAAGTCATCCCTCTGAGGCTCACCTGAGACAAATGCATGTCTGATTGCTTTCTCCACTGCATTGTTTATGTAAAAATGTAGATTCACTGAGCCAGACCAAATTGTGTATTGGTGTATTCAGTGGAAGGCTGATCAAGGACTCAAAAGAATACAGTCTTTTGCCTCCGCCCCCCTCAAGTAGTCCTGATTTACTGTACCTAAGGCAATGTTACACATATTAATTGATGTCTCATGTCTCCCTAAAATGTATAAAAGCACACTTGAACCCTGACCACCTTGGGCACATGTCTTCAGGACCTCCTGAGGCTCTGTCAGGGGCCATGTCCTTAACCTTGGCAAAATAAACTTTCTAAATTGATTGAGACCTGTCTCAAATACCTTTTGGTTTACAACCTCATATTCAGATCTGCAATCCACCTGGAAATGATTTCTGTATATACATGAGCATTTTTCAGTTTTAATTTTATTTTTTCTTATTTTGGCTCGTTTTTGCTATCGACCTCTAGCTCAACTAAATTGTGGTCAAGAAACATTCTGTATGATTTCAGTCCTTTGAATTTTATGAATATACATTATGACTAGTGTTTGGCTAATTGCTATTAAGTTCTTCTTGAGACAATAAAAATGATGTGCATTCTGCAGAATTATATGTTTTTTTGTTTGTTTGTTTGTTTGTTTTGTTTTTCTGTTTTTTTGAGACGGAGTCTCACTCTGTCGCCCAGGCTGGAGTGCAGTGGCACAATCTAGGCTCACTGCAAGCTCCACCTCCCGGGTTCACGCCATTCTCCTGCCTCAACCTCCCAAGTAGCTGGGACTACAGGAGCATCTTTTTTCCCGTCTTTTTCCCCATCTTCTTTCTTATCTTTTTTCTTTCCAACCTTTCTGTATTTTCTTTTTACATATATCTCTTAAATAGTGTAAAATCGAGTTTCGTTTTTTGTCTAGGCAGATAACAACTGTCTTTATTTACATTAAATATTTTTAGTATTTGGCTTTAAATCTACAATCTTGCTCTACATTTTCTATTTGTCTTATGTAGTCTTATACTTTATAATCTCTTTTCTTGCCTTCTTTCATATTAAAATTCTTTTCTCTTTTCCCCCAAATTAACTCAGCATTTATTCCTCTTTTACTATAGTTCACTGGTTTTCCTGAGAAACATGTACTAGAATTAATTGATACTCTCTTCCCAGACAATGCAAGCACTGCAGAACACCTTTTCCTTCAAAGTATATGCATTTTAAAATTTATTTTAATTATGTACATATTATAAGACCCCTGAGACAATATATTATTATTTTTTGCAGTCGGTATTCATTTAAATTTACCTGCATATTTTATCATTTATTTTGCTTTAACCCAACTTTAAGAACTGATGCTTTTGGCTGGGCATGGTGGCTCATGCCTGTAATCCCAGCACTTTGGGAGGCTGAGGCAGCAGATCACAAGCTCAGGAGATCGAGACCATCCTAGCTAACACAGTGAAACCCTGTCTCTACTAAAAAAAGTACAAAAAATTAGCCAGGCGTGGTGGCGGACGCCTGTAGTCTCTGCTACTCAGGAGGCTGAGGCAGGAGAGTGGTGCAAACCCGGGAGGCGGAGCTTGCAGTGAGCCGAGATCGCCCACATGACTCAAACTTTTAATAGCTGTTTTGCTTCTGATGCACTCTTAGACCTGTTACTGGTGGCAGATATCTGAGTTACCAGCTGCGAATCTGTACGGGTCTGCAGCAACCTGAATTCTTACCTCCTCAGAAGAAAGAATTCAATTTAGGGGCATAAGGCAGAAAAAGAGGAAGTTTCAGAGCAGGAGTGGAAGTTTATTAAAAAGGCTTTAGAACAGGAAAAAAAGGAAAGATCACTTGGAAGAGATCCAAGTGGGCGACTTGAAGAACAAGTGTCGCATTCAGCTGTCATCCTAGGACTTTGTAGGCTGGCATCTTATGCCCCTTTTTGTGATTCTTCCCTTAGGGGGAGCTGCCCTCATGCGCAGTGCCCTCTTTACGCTTGGGAAGTGAGCACGTGCACTGTCTTTAGGAAGTGGTACACATGCCCATCTGAGGATTCCTTCCCTTTTCCGGTGGAGTCGCCCCAGAAGGTCATACTCTGATATTTTGCCTCTTAATGCATATGCCTGGGAAGTTGCTTCTTCCTGGCTGCTGCATAATTTTAACACTTTAATGTTAATAGCTTTGGATGGTAAGGAGGTTGTCTCTCCCTGATGCCCTGGCACAGGCTGCCAAATTATCATTTTTAGAGAGGCAGTGTGATAATTGTCAAACCATCACTTGACATTGCTAGTGGGTAGGGGTGAACAGCCCTCTCCTGCCATGCTCATGCCTGTCTAACTACCTGTAACAGACCTAGAGTACGCTTGTCTGATTCCAACCCATTCTCAAGGGATTTACCAGAGCCACACTATTTGGTGACATTTATTTCCAAGGCAATTTTCCATGGACCCAGGAATCTTCCCAAAGTACTGCCCAATCTGTCGGATACCTATTCTGGGCTGCCAATGCCTACAGAGCAGAAGGATTCCAAAAAGCAGGCTCTTCTCTCTAGATTTCTGGTTTCTTCCAGGTATTGAAGCCATAATTATTTCCTACTTTATTAGTTATAAGATGACATAAGGAAAATGATTCATATATTTTGTTTAGCTCTTTGTTATGCTCTTCAGGAAGTCTGGTTCAAAATATTCAGTTTGCCATTACCAGAAGTCTATAATGACCTTTTACAAGGCTTTTTCTCTCAACTGGACTAGATCTCTAAGAATTATCTTATTTTCTGTTCCACTTCTAAGTACCTGCGTGGCACTTAGTAGGCAAATAGTCAACATTGTTAAACAAATTATTCACTTTACTCAGATAGCCCCAAAGAAAATACTACAATACATCAATAGTGCTATCTCAAACATTCATACATTTAGAGATGAATCTGGATGAAGACAGACACATTTTCCTATGGCTGTGTTTTAATAATTTATGTAGTTACCTAGTATACCAAGGCGTCATTAAAGATATTGCTAGTGAGGCCAGGCGCGGTGGCTCACGCCCATAATCCCAGCACTTTGGGAGGCAGAGGTGGATGATCACTTAAGGTCAGGAGTTTGGGACCAGCCTGACCAACATGGTAAAACCCCGTCTCTACTAAAAATACAAAGATTAGCCAACCGTGGTGGCACGTGCCTGTAATCCCCACTACTCTGGAGGCTGAGGCAGGAGAATTGCTTAAACCCAGGAGTCAGAGGTTGCAGTGAGCCAAGATTGTGCCTTTGCACTCCCGACTGAGCAGCAAGAGCAGAACTCCATCTAAAAAAAAAAAAAAGATATTGCTTGTAAAAGCTCAATTTACATTTCTAATGAAGCTTAGTGCCTATTAAGAAATGGAGGTACATTGTAGTAAGTGTTTAATTTTACACTGATATTTTAAACTAGGCAGAACCAAATAATTATTTTTTTGTGTGATGATGCCAAGAAATTTTTTCACCCAGGAATCTGTTTTATAAGAAACAGCCTACAGATCTGTAGATAAAAGGGAAGATGAGTGAAAAATCAAAATGGGAAAGCACATCTATTGCAAAATGAGAGAAATTGAGTAAAATAATCTGACAATTTAAGCCAAATATAATCATTGATTTATTCTACTTGCTATATATACTACGTAAGTCATGGTTCATAGACTATAATGGGCAAGTATGGCATTGTTTTCCAGCCACTTTATAATATAACCTCTTCTCCCACTCACTCCATCAATAAAATTACAGTAGGAGCTGCCCCTTTTTGTTTCTGTTTTTTACTTCCTTTCTTTCCCTTTTACTTTCTTTCTCCATTTCAACCTTCCTTCCTTCTTTCCTTCTTTTTCCTTCTCCCTCTCTTCCTCCTTCTTCTTTCTTCTACTTCATTTCCTTCTCTTCCTACTTCATTTATTTTTATTTTCCTTTTAATAACTTTAAGCATTACAAAAACACTAGATACTTATTCAAATTCAAGTTTTGTCACTTGGTCAAGTCTCTGAACATTTGTTGTCACAGTTCATTAATATCTAAAACAAAATTATTAGAAAAGTGATGTTTAATGTGTCTCCTAGTTATAACAGTCCATAAGTCTATGAATGCTCCATGTTGCTAACAAGACTGTATTTCTCTGGCCACAACTGTTTGTCCAGTTTTGGGCACATGATCCAAGCTGAACAAATGATTACCTTCTCTGCAGTTTTTGGACTTGGAACCAGAGATAGCAGCAGTTAGTAATGTTTTCTCTTTGGAGGTTAAATTGAAAGGTGTACAACTTTAAAACTGCTTGTAGTCAACTTTACTGCTAAGTTGAGAAAGTTTGAAAAGGAAGGGAAAAACAATGTGAGCATTCAAGAAGCAGCAGAGATGAAAGCCCAAGTCCCTGATGTCATGTGAGTTCTAGTGTTCACTACCTGTCACTAGATCCAGTGTCCCTGGGGTACAAATATAGCCCTCTCTTTTTTCTGGTTTGGTTTCCATAACATGACCTAGAATCCTTCCAATAAATTACTTTTTTCCCTGAGATCATTTAAATTGTATTTCTGTGTCTTTAAACTTGAGAAATCTTAAAAATCATACGATAAAAAAGCTATATTTTAATCGTGGCTATATTTTTCTTGAGAAATGTTATTTAAATCTAGCTTCTTCTTATATTTTTATATCCCTTATGATAACTGTCTGCTCACATTTTCACATGCTATCTGCCATTAACGCCATATAGTTAATGCCAAGGGGACACAATCCAGCTTTGTCTTTAGTGTGACATTATTCAATTTCCAGGCAAATGGTGAGTATTTCTCAAAAAGCTTTTGGCTTATAGGACATTCCTTCAATCTTTAATGTCACATTCATATAATCTCATATTCATTTCTATTAATATACAGAGTAAGAATTTTTTTTTAGTTTTACAAATATTTCCTGAACATTTGGTTATGTAATGGAGCTATATATGATTAAAAAGTAGCAACTCTGCAATCACAGTAACACCAGTAATTTGTTTCAAAACAAATTCTTTAACTTCATATATACACAAAATTATGCTATTGGTAAATTTAAAAGTTAGAGACCCAATACTATGCCATTTATATAACATGTGAAGAATGCCAGAGGCTGAGATGTCTTGTCAGCACATCCAGTACTGATTATGTAACTTAGATTAAATCCTTTTACCTGTTAAGGGTCCCAATTTCTTTTCTTCTGCAAGGTGGTATTAATAATATCACCTTATCTCCTTCAAAAACTTTTTGTAAAAGAGCTCAAGCAGCAGTGGGATATGATGGAAGATTTATATTATTAATTTTTTACTAGCATAGAGAATTACCCAAATATTTTAAATTTCAATAATATAAAAACAATTCTGTAGTTTTGATAATCTATTCTTATATATTTCATTCTCAATGATGATATATAAGATAGATCTAGAAGATTAAGTCACAGGATACACAGGAAAACTTGATTTAAAAATATCTAATGTATGAGCCAATTTTCTTAAGCCATTTACATATCTTGCTGAAAAATAGAATGCTGGAAAGGGCTCAGATAAAGGATTTAGGTAAGGAAATCCAAACAAGAGTTACTATTTGAAGATCTTTTATTATGAATCAGGAACTTTACAAATATTGCTTGCCATTTGACAAATAACCCAGAAAGATAAGAAATATTATCTCAACTTCACACAGAAGGAAATTGAGATTAGAAAGATTAAATCATGTGCCAAATTTATATAGCTAGTTAATCACTGACCTGGGATTCAGCTCCTCTCCAGCTCATTATGGCTACAGAGAAAAACTTTTTTCTATTCTGCAACACAGAACTGCTTCTCTAGACGTCACCAGCTATGTCTTATCCTCTGCAATTAGTTTATAATTTCTTTTGGAGTACATGAGTGAAATAATTAATGAAAGAATTCATATGTACATAAATTAATTTATATATTAATAAAGTATATAAAAACAAATCCAGTAAATTTTACTTTTCCAAAGATTTTACAATACTCTGAGAATTGAGGAGTGTGTATGATTTTGTAATTAGTACATTGCATATTTCTAAGGCAAAGTTTAAAATTATATATTAATGCACATCTGTCAATTTTGTGGAACTCTGCATGGTGAGGTTTGGATTTTTTAGGTATCCAATACCGTATGTTTTCTTAGGGCCCTAGGAGGTGAGTTTTTGTGGCTCATGTCAATTTTTTTGAGTTAGACAATCCAAGCTTGCTCTTTTGGAAGTATATGCTTGGAATTTTTACATGTGCATCATTTTCCAAGTTATTATTTAAATCTTTTTTTTTTTTTTTGAAACAGAGTCTCGCTCTGTTGCCAGGCTGGAGTGCCGTGGCGTGATCACGGCTTACTGCAACCTCTGCCTCCCGGGTTCAAGCAATTCACCTGCCTCAGCTTCCTGAGTAGCCGGGACTACAGGTGCATGCCACCACGCCCAGCTAATTTTTGTAGTTTTAGTAGAGAAATGATTTCACCATGTTGGCCAGGATGGTCCCTATCTCTTGACCTCGTGATCCTCCTGCCTCAGCCTCTCTAAGGAGGCCTCCCTCGGATTACAGGCATGAACCACTGCACCTGGCCTATTTAAATCATTTCTAATAGATATAGCTACAATTTACCATTAATACTCTCAACAACCCTAAAATATAGTCACTTTACATATAGATAAACTAATATATGGAAAGATTATTCTACATGAGATAATATAGCTTGTAAATGGTACAATCAGTTAATAAGACAAACTTTCTGACTCCAAGGTGAAGATTCCATAGCCACAAACAACCTCAATTAATGTTGAATTCAAAGATATATTGAGGTCAACAGGAAAAATGTGTAAAAAAGATGCAAACACATTAAATCAGATTTCATAACTATTCCTGTGGGTACAATCTAGCAATTGTATATATTACATTGTAATATGAAATGTATTTCTTTGAAAAACTATGCCCATACAAGGAATTTCACATGAGTATCTTTAGGAGCTTTATTCCTGATTGCCAAGACTTAGAAACAGTCAAGAGTGTTCACTTCAATGGGTGAATGGATAAACAAATTGCAGCACTTACCTGCAATGAAATATTATTTAGCAATAAAACAAATGAACTATCCAGCCATGAAAAGACACAGAACCTTACTTTCATATTTTTAAGTGAAAGAAGCCAATCTGAAAAAGCTGCATACCATATGATTACAACTGTATGACATTCTGGGAAAGACCAAACAATGGAGATACTAAAAAGATAATTGGTTTTCTAGAGTTCATGGAAGAAAGGGATGGAGGAGTAGGTGGAGCACAGGGAAGTTTTAGGATGGTAAAATTATTTTGTAGGATACTGTGATGAATACATGCCATTATTCATTTATCAAAAACTCATAGAATGCACAACACCAAGAGTAAATCCTGATGTAAACTATGGGCTTTGGGTGATAATGGTGTGTCTGTGTATGTTCATCAATTGTAGTGAATGTACCACTCTGGTGGGGGATGTTGATAATTGGGGAGGTTATGCATGTGTGGGGACAGAGAGTGTGTGGGAAATCTCTGTACCTTCTGCTCAATTTTGCTATGAACCTAAAACTGCTTTAAAAAAAAAAGTCTATTTAAAGAACAAAATAGCCATAGAATATACAACATAAAGAGTGAATCTACCTGTAAAATAGCCATAGAATATACAACATAAAGAGTGAATCTACCTGTAAAATAGCCATAGAATATACAACATATAGAGTGAACCTACCTGTAAACTAAGGACCTTAGTTAATAATAATATATAAAATTGGTTTATCAACTGTAACAAATTTATCATACTAATGTAAGAGATTAATAATAGGGGAAACTGTAGGGAGTGAGGGGTTATAGGGAACTTTGTACTTCCTACTCGCTTTTTCTGTAAAACAAAAGCTGCTTTAAGAAATAAAACCAATTAATTCAAAAATGAAGTAGATGTATATGATGTTGATATTATGAGTATACACCTATAGAAATTGCCTTTGTCTGGAGAATTCAGTAAATGCTCCAAGGTCAAATGAAAAAAAAAAAGACCATTTAGAAGATATGTAAATTGATTATGTCTGTGAAATAAAATTTCCAAAGACTATAAGAATCACATATTCAAAAAACGCTTAGATTGCATCCTGGGAAATGATCACGAGGACTTTAAATGTAGCTCTAGAGAAGATAAAGATCTTGATGAGCGGGTTTTGTGTAAGAGCTTGAGTAAGTTGTATCATGTATTAAGAGTGAGATGAAAAAACATGCCATTTCTTAATAATTTTGTTATTTGAAAAGATATACTATTTATTTATTTTTGCAGTTTTGAGATAGGGTCTCACTCTGTCACCCAGACTGAGTGCAGTGGCATGATTATAGCTCACTGAAGCCTTGACCTCCTGGGCTCAAGTGATCCTCCTACCTCATCGTCCTAAAGAGCTGGGACTACAGGTGCGCACCACCACACCTTGCTAATTTTATTTTTTGTAGAGATGAGGTCTCACTATGTTGCCCAGGCTAGTCTCGAACTTGTGCATGCAAGTGATCCTCCTCCCTAGACTTCCTGAAGTGCAAGTATTGCATGAGTGAGCTACTGAGCTCAGCCTAAAATATGCGGTTTAAATATGTAAATGTAACTAATTTAATAAACTAAGAATTAAAACTAGTTATTAGATAACCTCATAAACATTAAACTGATAAGTGAATGTATATTATTCTTGGGCAAAATCATTTAATTAGTAAAATTCTCATTGGGAATATGGAGGCTCACTCTATTTGGGGAATTATATTATATTGAAGCATTCATGGTATTTTTTAAGTGCTTATCATATATTAGGCTCTGGGTTAGGTATTGTAAGGCAGATACAAAATAATCACCAAGATATGGTTCCTGCACAGAGTCCCTAAATTATGATTCTATGATAGGGTTTGAATGGAAATAATTGAAGTGTAACTCTAGTCACTGCTCAATGTCTATGAACAGTTCCTGTGAAACATGGAATTTATTATGCCAGTCTAAAGGAAGGAGAAATTGCCTTGTCTGGAGAATTCAGTAAACACTCCAAGGAGAAAACAATATTTTTGATGACCTTCAGTGGATTTGAAAAATGGAGAGGAAAAGATGAAAATTTTAGGTTGAAAGAAATTCCTTAAGCACAAATAAAAGTGCAGAAAATAATAAATTGTGTCTGAGGGTTGACAGGTAAGCCAGTAATTTGGTTAGATCACAAGAATCTGAGTATGAAGTGGAGGGGAGAATTCTTATGGAAATGGTAGATGTGGGTAAGGCATGTGCTGGATTGACAGCAAGATAAAGCATAGTCCTTTTTCAGTTAGCAATAGATGGGGAGATATTAAAACGATTAAGAGTTTCTGAGCAAGAGCTATCCCTTAAAAAACTCAAGGTTATTCTTCAGGTTTGTGATAACAGAACTTACCTTACTGCATTACACTTTATCAGGTCCTTTTGTCCTCTAGACTGTGAGATTCTCAAGGACAGATGTCATGTTTTATTCATCTTGTTATTTTCAGCACTTAATATATAACTGGTACACAGTGTAAGAACTATAAATGCTTATTAATGAATAATTGAATTTCCTTTTTCTTAAACACTTTTAATATAATTTTGAGAACTTAGAAATATTGGTTTGAAAATACTCGAATCTGAGTCAATTCTAATAACCACTGACTTACTACCTCTGATTGGACTCCACGTCAGACATCTGGTGTTGATAGGGAAGGGACAAGGGAAGGAATTAAAATGTCATGGTTCAAAGAGACTAAGCCCCTAATAAATATATTACTGCTTTTTTTAAAAAATACCCACATTATTGAGGTATAATCTACATACAAAATGCTGTACATATTTAATGCATATAACTTGATAAGTTTGGAGGTAACTATACACCCATAAAATCATGACCACAATCTATGCCATAAACTTATCTATCATCTCCATAAGTTTCCTTTATTTATTTTTTATTTCTTTTGCAGGAGTACTTGACATAAGATCTATCCATGAAAGCAAACTTTTAAGTATACAATACAGCATTGTTAACCACAGGCCATACACTGTACAGTAGATATCCAAAACTTATTCATCTTGCATGACTAAAACAATTTTGTACCCTTTGACCAATACTTCCCCATTTCTCCCTCCCTCCAGCTCCTGTCAGCTGCTATTCTAGTCTCTTGTTCTATTAGGTTGACTATTTTAGATTCCTCATAAAAGTTGGGGTCATTCAGTGTTCATCCTGGCTTATTTCACTTAGAATGTCCTCTAGATTCAAACATGTTGTCACAAATAGCAAATTTCCTTTCTTTTTAAGGCTGAGTAATATTCCATTTTATATATATATACATGTAAACACACACTATATATTCCATATTTTCTTTATCCATTCATCTGTTGAGGGATATTTAGGTTTTTTCCATATTGTGGCTATTGTGAATAATGCTACAATGAACATGAAAGTACAGATATCTCTCCAAGATCCTGACTTCAATTTCATTGAATATATACCCAGAAGTGGGATTGTTGGATCAAATAATTCTATTTTTAACTTTCTGAGGAATCTCCATACTGTTTTCCATCATAGCTGCACTAATTTACATTCCCACCAAGAGTGTACAAGGATTCCCTATTCCCCACAAAACTTGTCTTTGAACTACTGCTTTTCTTTGAACTCACTGTCCTCCCAATATACTAGACCTGGTAACTGGATATTTAGATTGTTTCTTGTGCCTAAAAAGTCTTTGTGACATGTCTGTGACCCCAGCTTCTCTAAGACTGTGGCTTATTTTGCTTCTCCAGGTTCCCTGCTTAAAGTTTAACGTTGAAACTCAGGCCAGTGCCTGCAATCCAGTGAGCTACCTGCTGACAGGTGTCCTTCAGGCGTTTCTCCTGGAATCCTGAATGCTGCTGTTGGAATTTGTCTCTATGCCCTCCTCAAACCTCCTTATCAGGACACTGCTCTGAATACTGCATTCTGTCCTTCAGACTGTCCTTCCCCTCAGCATCTGCTATTCAGTTTCTATAAGCAGCGCCTGTTCCTCCTATACAGGAAGATTTTGTTCTAGGTCTGGTCCTAGCCTGCTATAAATAACTGAATCACATACAAGCAACTTCAAAAATATTACTGAATATAACATTAAAATAATCTACATTTTAAAATTAAAAATACACAATCAAAATAACACCACTTCTTTTATTCTTTTATATAGCATAGCAGTATAATTTATCTTTTTACATTACAAACAATGGCCAAAATGATCAGAAAATATGTACTTGAAGTTAATTACTTTTACAAATATGATAAGATGTCTTGGAGAAATAAGAGAGGAATTTCTGCCACAACCCATTCTGATGTCTGAGAAAAAAAAAAGCGTTGTCCTCAGCACTGCATAAACTCAGGTGAAACTTAATATTGTTTATTTTTAACATTTCCAATGGTTATTAACTAACAGACTGTCAGTGTTGGAAGAGACTTTAGAGGTCAGCAATAATTTCTTTCTTGAATGGGATAAGTGCAGTAATCTTATAACTCTTTAAAAGTAAAATGGATTAGCTAAACTAATTCCCTTTCCACATTGAAATGCTATGCAACATATTTGAAAAATCTTTATTGCTTCCATTCCAGTGGCAACAAACAGAAAGTTTTCCTTGCCTTGTCTGTCAGCCTGGTTACTATCAAAGATTTATCCTAAAAAGAGCATAAAAAATTTTCTTACAAAAATTATACTTTTGTGGATTTGCTATAATAAGTTATCCCCTTAATTAAGACTTTCCCACCTAGCAATGGGAAAAACTTCTGTCATTACTATCCCTGTGATAACATTACACATTACAACATTACCACATCTCTGTGGTAACATTACTCCAGGAATTGCACTGATCCCTCTAAGGTCTGTCTTTTTACCTGAGTAAACGTTCCAAGGTTCACATCTTTGTTTACCCAGGACTACTACTGCACTTCGCACATGGCAGTGGTTCAATAAATATTTTTTAAAAGGAATGGATAAATGAATGCAACCAATAAAAGATAGGTAAATAATTATTTGTATCAACACACAACTGAATGTATATCTGAAATTGAGTAATGGTTAAAATCAATGATGCCTTTGAAAAATTACCTGACTTTCACATTCTTACTTTCCTTCTGTTACTATCGTAACAGTAAGGCAAGCCAAACACAGTCTCTCCTCTTGGGTAGTGAATTCCTACTCATTCTTCTTAGGATAAAAATTTGATTCTTTGTGAAGTATTTCTCATTCCCTCAGGCAGAACTTTATATTCATTTCTCTTATTACTTTGCAATAAGAGAATTACATTGTATTGTCATTTTCTCCTCAGGAATTATCTAGGCCTTAAATGAAAACTAAATATGAGTCTTTATATATCACCGAAGGTTGCTCACTGTGTTTCTGTACCTCTGGATTTAAATTTGCTGCCCCGATCACATTCCCTGTGCTCATAGATATCTTTGAAGGATATACACATGCATGACATTTTTACCAGTTTTGCACCATAATCAACCTTTTAAATGGACTCATTTTACTTTTTTACTCTGTCATGTCAACAACTACTATTAAAATGTAGTAACAGATGTTTGAAGTGTGTGGTAAATAAATTTGTGTGTGTAGCACAGATGATAAATATACTGCTGAGCTTTGACAGTTTAATTCACTTGAAATCCAAACAGTTTGAATGTCAGTTAACAATGAACAACTTTAAGCAGGCTGTGGTAACTATAATGCTTATTGGGAAATGATGAATATTTTATATTCTAAAAAGTACAGCCTATTTTCCTTTGTCCTAAGTAAAAATGTGTAGTTCAAGAATTGAGCATTGAAATTCCCCCATCTAGAATTCTCTACCTGAAAAAGAATGACTAAAGATAGATAAGATAATGTATATACATATATTGATATATATTTCTGCATGTAGAGAGAGATCATTCTATCACTCATCTATCTATCTAGATGCTATACTGTGAAATGAAATGATAGATTGCTCATATACAATGATTGTCTTCATTTTTGGTTTGTGGTCTAGCAATCCTTGGGATATACAAGGACTTGTAGCCTAGGGGTGTTAAGTTGTTTTTGGTATAATTACTTCTATTTATGCAGTAATGTCCCCAGGCTTAGGATCCCAACCAGGGCCTCACCATTATTGGGTGGGCGAATTTTGTATTGTCAGGTATCTGGCATCACCTGAGGCATTAGCTTACACCGGCGCTTATAGAACCTGACACCATGATTCTTTAGGTGTCATTAGGCCTCTTTAGTTATGCTTAGAAATTCTTAGTCACTGCCCCAAAGATAAGCTTTTCAGTTTGACCACCTTCTAGGAGCCACTCTCATATTGCTCAATGCTGCTCCTCCTGGACACATTCAATTTCTCCTGCTTCCTTTCTTACCTCTCTTAAAATTCACCAGACCTTCTGAAATCCACTGTTTGTGGTAAACTCCTCTTCATGTTCTCAACTAGACACAAAATTCTTTTCTAATTCCTTGCATTAATTATACCCTAGCATATATTAGAAGACACTGATTTGGCTGCAAACTTCTAGAACATGGTTAAGCAAGCTTTCCCTATAAAAGGCCACATAGTAAATATTTTAGGCTTCATGGGCCATATGGTTTTTGCTGCAATTAATCAACTCTGACACTGCAGCACAAAAACAGCCACAGACAATGTATAAATTAATGAGTGTTGCTGTGTTTCAATGAAACTTCATTTACAAAACAAGCAGCAGGCCAGATTTAAGGGCCTTGGTGATCAGCCCCTGCTTTACAGTAGAGAGTGTCCATCCTCCCGTATGCCTTGTTTCACAAAAGCAAACGATTGAGTCACAAATCTAACTTTCCAGTTCATTGTACTCCCATCCTTGTATAAGTCATCCTTTAACCCATTCACATCACTGTTCTTTACCAATTTCTTGGTCACTCCTGAACATATTTTAAAGAATCTGCTGACTGATTCACACTATTCCTCTTAACCCAAGGCCTATCTACTATCTGAAATTTCTATGACAATCACTGAATATAAACATTTCCAAATTCAACAATAATATTTCACAACATTTAATTTCTTGTTCACCTCAACTCTGATTATCTTACAATCCATCTTGTCTACCCTTACTTATGACAGTATTTTGGATCATGTCATCAAAATGCAGTGCTCTAGAGCAGAACATTAAACTGCTGACAGAATATAATAATTTATAACACTCTCTCACTACAACCTCCTTTTATTCCAGTTATTCTCATTCCTTTATCTCTACCAAAATGATCACTCAAATTAATTAAGCTTTCATTCCTTTGACTTCTCAATTTTATCCCAAACCATTCTATTTCATCTGTCTCTACTTCCTTTTCTATTCAACTGAAGCCTTATAATAGTAGCAGTCAGAATTTATTGAGTACTTATTAAGTGTCAGACACTATGCTAAGTATTTCACATGCATTATATAATGTTAGTTCTCACAACAACTCTGTGAGGTAGGTACCAATGTCTTCAGATGAGGCAAATGTGATTTTGAGAAATTAGGTAATTGAATCACCCAACTAAGTGTCAGAGTGAGCTTTGAGTATAGGCCTGCCAAACACTAAAGTGCATTATGCAAAATAATGCAAGTAACTCATTTAAGTATTCTTAGTGCTTATTTGTGGCACTGGTAATATAAAGATCAAGAAGAAATGGACTACTTCTTCAAGAAGCTGAAGTTTAGTGGTATAATCCTTCATGCATACAATCATCCTTCATAAATACAATGCAACATCAGGTAATAATAAAGAAATGTTCAAATTAATATTATAGCAAATAGGAGAGAATGAACTTCCTTAAGAGACTCTTTGCAGATAAAACAACACTTCACCTGGGTCTTAAAGAGTAATCTGAAATTTACCAGGTGGGAAAATTTTAGAATATTTCAGGAGGAAGAAAAATCATGTACATTGACATGGAGATAGGCTTCAGTTGGCATGGTCCTCTAATGTTAGATAACAAAGGTGAAAGGACTGGGAGTGTTAGGAGAGGAAACTAGCAATTAGGTGACTGATAGCTATTGCACGGATTCTATGGAATCTGTATGTTTTTTCTTAGAAAATGGAGAGATTTTATTTAGTTTTATGTCCTAGTGTACATATTATAAAGAGGAAGCTCCCAAGATGATAAAAAAGGCAACTTTTGGGAGCAAAGACACAGAAAAAATAATCAGAATTGTTGAGGAAAAAGACTGAATGGAGGGCTGGCACCCTATGGGGTCAGAGAAGAAAGAATGAATTCAAGACAAATGCCAGAAACTGAATTGTGAGAGTTTAATATATTGGATGCAGTAACATAGAAGGGAGAGGATAGAGGCACCTCGATGGCTTAGATTTCTTTCCAAGGAGACTATTAAAATGGTGATGCCGCTATATAGGTACATTAATTAAGGAGATGGAAAACATTTTTTGTAAGAAGATAATGTACTGAATTTTAAAATGGCGAGTTTCAGATAGTCCAGGGATGGAGATTCTGAGATTCAAAAGTTATAATGAGTTTATTAATAGGAATGGGTGATTTGAAACAGACATGTGGAACAAAGGTGGGAGAGGGAAAGGATTGCGTTCCAGATGAACGCAATCAGAGGGGAGGAAAACTACCAGGGCATAGAGGTGCCCACAAAGCCAAGGGAATAAAAAATTGTAAGAGGGAGTGGAAAAGAGAAGCAAAATGTCTCAAACAGGCCATAAACCAATAGAACCATGGGATTAGTGGCTTAGGGACAATTTCACTGGAATTTTGGAGGCAGAAATCAATAATTTTATAATAGTTAAAAATGGTTTATGTGTTCAGATTTATCAAATGTTATATATTTATAAACTGATTTCAATTAAAATATCTATCTCTACCAATATAAATAATTTTCATCCTTTGTTTTTAGAATGTTTTTGAAAGGATTGGGATTGGGCTATTCTTAGATTTTGAAGACACTGGAGAACAGATGGCCACATTTTCAATATGACTTAAGATGATATTTGACAATAAAATACAATAATCAGTAACTTTATGTTTTCTCATTGCAACACTTGCCCCCAGATTTCTGGGGGAAAAAATCCCAATTGTTTTTCTTATTATTTCTTATAATCTATTCTCTTGTTTTCTATTCCGGTGTTAGGATCCCACATGATTATAATTTGTAATTTTCTCAGTAGTGAATAAATACTTATTTGCTTTTACTCTGCTAAATGTATAACACATTTAATGAAAATTATCCCAGTTTTACACCCTTGTCAAAATTCAAAGAAATGAGTTTAAACTTTTGTTGCTTGACTTTTTTGATTCAAATAAAGTTATGTTCATAGCAAAGAACATGTAATGCCAATTTTGTAGTAAATGCTACCTCATTGTCAATGGCAGAGAAAAGTAATCATTTTAGGCTAAACATAGCTATTTTTATTTTTTTAACCAGGCTTTCAAGAAATATTATAACAAAAAACAGAAGCATCGAGAAATACATTCCAGAAATCATGCACTTTAGACTGAAATTGTTTCCTATTCCAAAGTGATGGAAACATTAATGATTGTGTTCATTTTTAGTCTTAACAGGTCATAAGTTTCCCTTGAAACCATGCAATAATGAATTACTAATTAGTAATGAGAACTTGCTTCTTCAGCAAGTGCTTGCCTCTCCCTAAGACAGGTCAATGTGGGGTGAAACTTTTCACCTGGGTGTATGCTGCAGGCCTCTGCACTTACGGTATTAACTAAAAGTTTATTCCCTGAAATTACTAGGCAGCAATCTTTGTGAAAAAATGGTTGGCTGATTTTATTCTGTCTCTTTTTGCCTAGGAGGTTACATGGGGGAGCTGCATTTTTGAGCCGCATTTATTTTTACAACAGTCTGAATGAACTGAATCTGTAGGCGTGATTGAGAATGCGAAATAAATACAGTGCTGTGGCTCCTACCCACAGAGGATACAGATTATACTGTCAATGGCTGAATATATACACATGAAATTAACTAAAAGATGTAATTGCAGAGGGGTCCCGTATATCGGTAGTATTAGCAATATCACCATCTCTCAGTTATCTTCCCTCTCAACCCTCCCAAGGTATCTCCTCAGCCAATATATGATTAAGAAATACATATAATTAACAGACAACATATTAGCCTAAGTTTGTACCTGAAGCCTGACTACAGAAATTAGGAGAAACTGTAAATGTTCATCTACCTTGCTCCCAATTACTAGGAAATCTTTCTATTCCTAGCTCCATCTGGAGTCTCTCTCTTGGAATCCAAGCTTACACGGTTAGCTTTTTAAGGACTCTGGAGCATTTTGCTTTGATCTTTACCTTCCCACTTTTTCCGTTCCCCACCTTCACTTTCATCACAAGCAGCTTACTTGGATGTTGATTAAAAAGGGCCCAAAACTTGTCATTCCTTCCTTGAGAAGTGGAATTTCTTTCTCTACCCCTTTAGTTTGGGCTGATCCAATGATTGTTTTCAACCAGAGAATATGGCAGTAGAAGCCCTATGTAATACTAAGACTGAATATTAAGAGATTTGCTTACATTTTTAAGCACTTGAATGCCATCTCTTCGAATCCAGCAGGCATGCTGTGAGAAGTTCAAGCCATGTGGAGAGACGATGTAAAGGAGTAACAACACATTCGGCTTAGCAGCCTCATCTGAGATCCCAGACCATAACTAGCACCAGCTGCAGCCAGCCATTTGAGTGAAGTGTGCTGGGAGTTCTACCAGCAGAGCCTCCAGATGACTGCAGAACCAGCTGACATCTGATGCAATATAGCAGAACGACTCAGCTGAGGACCTAATTGATAGAGAAGCATGAGAGATAATTAAAAGTTGTTGGGCAGGGCACTGTGACTGACACGAGTAATCCAGCACTTTGGGAGGCCGAGGCAGGCAGATAGCTTGTGCCCAGGAGTTCAAGACCAGCCTGGGCAATGTGGCAAACCCCATCTCTACACACAAGAAGAATACAAAAATTAGCTGGGTGTGGTGGCATGTGCCTATTGTCCCAACTGCTTGGGGGGCTGAGGCAGGAGGATCACTTGAGCCGGGGAGAAGTCAAAGCTGCAATGAGCCAAAATCATGCTGTCAGAGGCGATCAAACCAAAGCTACTCTATCTTGAATAGGGGATGGGTAAAATAGGGCTGAAGCCAGCTGCGTTCCCAGGAGGTTAAGGTATTCTTAGTTGCAGATGAGTTAGGAGGTCCGCACACGGTACAGAGCACAAAGACCTTGCTGATGAAACAGCATATTGTAAAGAAGCCAGCCCAAGCCAGCCAAAATCACGAGGGCAACAAATGTGACCTCTGGTTGTCCTCACTCCTCATTATGTGCTAATTATAATGCATTAGCGTGCTAAAAGACACTCCCACTAGCACCATAACAGTTTATAAATGCCATGGCAACATGAGGAAGTCACCCTGTATGGTCTAAAAAGGGGTGGAACCCTCAGTTCTGGGAATTGCCCACCCCTTTCCTGGAAAACTCATAAATAATCCACTGCTAGTTTAGCATATGTCAAAAAGTAACAGTAAGTATAAGCAGCTGAGCAGCCTATGCTGCTGCCTAGCCTATGGAGTAGCCCCTCTCTCTTCCTTTACTTTCCTAATAAACTTGCTTTCACTTTACTCTATGGAGTCATAGAGTGTGTGAGATCCAAGAACCCTCTCTTGGGGTCTGGCTCAGGACCCCTTTCTGGTAATAGAGCCACTGCACTCCAGCCTGGGAGACAAAATAAGACCTCATTTCAAGAAAAAAAAAAGAAAAAAAAAGAAAATTTGTTGTTTTAAACCACTTTATTGGGTTGATGTGTTGCACAGAAATGCTTGACTTAAATACTAATTTTTATCTGAATATTTTGCTTATTAAATTTCCTAAGAATGCTTCATCTCAGTAAATTATTAAGGTTTTTTTTTTTTAAATATGAGATTCATTTAATGAGAGACAATGGACTTTGATATCAGTGAGAACTGGTTTAAATACTTTATTTTTTATTAACTATATGACTTTAGGCCAGGTATTAAACTTCTGTAAATTCTTTCTTCAACTTGAAGTATAACTAAAAAAAAAAAAAAAAAAAAAATCCCTTAAATTTTAGTGCCCCCTCTTTAAGTAACATCTACTTCTTATGGTTGTTATGGGGATTAAGTGAATCAATGTGTAAAAAAAAAAAATAGTACAGTTTCTGGCTCACATTAGGTACTTAAAACATATCAGTTTCCTTCTCATTTACCACATCCACATTGTAGGCGAATTTTAATTTTTTCTTTCTCTTACTCTCAGTTATATATGTTCCCATCTTTTTATCTGTCAAAAGACAGAGAAAGGCAACTTTCAAACAAACAAACTAACTGACCAACTAATAAACAAATAAATTTCCTTGATGTTTGCCTGTTGTCAGGCCATCCATCCAAATTCTCTGTATGTCACAATGTGGCTTTTAAAACTCTTAGTGTGGATACCAATGAATTCCGCTTGAATAAACCTTAGTTGCCAGTCTTTTTATAGACCAAGTGGCTCATGGAGGGAAAGGGGAGTGTGGCCACAAATTCCACCTCACAGCTCCCTCAACACTAATAGCTATTTAGTTTTGATTTCTCCCTCCCCTATCCCTCATTCAAGGCCTCACTAGCCATTGAAAATTTTCTCGGTAATTTGATAATCTGTCAGTGCTCCTACTAGTTTCTCTTTCCAATAATGTATTGTTCCTGTGTTCTCTGAAATTCCTCCCTTCGACAAACATTCTGCCATTGTACATATTTCACAACCCAGTGTAATTATCCATCTCTTTTAGGAAGCTTTCTAAATACAGTCCATCTCACAATAATACCTCCTTTATTTTAATTCAGAAAATTGATAATAGAGTTCCCAAATTACGTGGGTGCAATTAATAGTGCCTTGTGACTTGCTTTGTGTTTTCATGTTATTTTATAACTGTTCCGTGAATATTGTTATTTACTCAGCCAAATTGAAAGCTTGAGAGCAAAGTCTAACATTTACCAAATATGTGATATAGAGTAAGTTACTTAACTTCTTAAAACCTACAAAATGGGAGTTATAAAATCTTTCTTTCTAGATTTATCTCATTCAATTCAATGAGATAAGAAGGCCAAATATATAGTTTAGCACACAATTATGTTTAATATAAGTCAGCTAGTTTTTAAATGTGTCCAACAAATGCCTGTGAGGCAACAGATTGAAAGGTAGGATTGTTGACTCTACCATTGATCCATGCTCATAATGTAAATTATAAAATACTATTGCACAGCTCTAACCTGATATACTGTATATGTAAGGTAGGCAACTGCTATATAAATGATACATGGACATCCATTTTTTGGTTCAGTGATTATTTCTTTCAGGAAGGTCCTGATGAAGTCAAATTTCTTTTGGAGTTGTAACTTTCATCTATTAAAAACTGAATTCTGATTGTTTTGGTTCTAACACAGGAAATAAAATCACATGTGTGAGAATGAAGTTTGGCTCTTGGCAACAGGCCTAAAATAAAGATCTTGGGTAAATGAGGACAACATGAATACACTAAAACCATCAATGAACACTAGTGAAAGGTAGCAAACAGAAGCAATGTCAGAAGAGCAGGGAAAAAAGATGGGCTGAATAATGACTAAGGCCAAAGTTTACCTACTTTGAAATTTTTATAACATAAAGTAGTCTTGGGTTTGAAGAGACCTAACAATCATGTAGTCCAACCTCACACAGGTCATGATGGAGGACACATATTACTTATGTTGAAAGGAAATTATCCACAGCAAGAATACTTTGTGTGCTTGTCAAAGCCATTTTCCAGCTGTGTGGCGATATGCAACCTCTGCACATTTGTCCTTGTTTCAGCCTCTGGCATTGGTAGCATCATATAAGAAAAAGAAAAACCAGAGTCTAGTGATTGAGAATATAAGCACATCATTGTCTTTTGTGACTCAATTTCATAGATTCTGCAGAACCAGAGTCATCACTCAAAAGCAAAGTGGTTGGCTACCACCCGGTTTTGACTGTCCTTAGATAGATATAAAGTCAGCCAATAAATACTGAGTTTGAACAAGAATAAGTACCTAGTCTTTATCTCTTCTCAGATACCTGTTCAACATCTAACAGGAGACAAATATATCCCTAGGGCCAAGTATTTAAGTTCTAGGAGCAAAGAACACAGTGTGGGTACCATGATGGATGATGAAGAAAGCAATGTCATCATGTGTGAATGACACAAGCTTCCATGAAAAGATCATCAGGGATCTGCTAACCACACAAAACTTAGTTTATTAAGTTGACTGAACAAGGGAAAACAGAACATTTACCAGAGTACCCATAGTTCTCATGGGGAAAATTTAGGGAAAGGTACTGCTAGGTTTTTTGGTCGGGAGAAGGCAGACAAAGTGGTTTTAGAATAAAGTTAGTGAGCATGGTCTGGGCAGGTGTTGTTCAGAATCGATAAACAGGGAAATTAGTAGAACAGGTAATAGTCTTTTCTCTGAAACACATGAGTTCAGACTGAGGGTATAGCCACTTATCTATGGTTTTATCTTGGAAAGTGTGGGTCTGAATAAGATGACATTAAAACATTTTGAGCTTAAATAGTTTGTGTTGCATGCCATGGTTTAGTATAGTTTACACATTATGCAAATCATAGCACAGTTTGTTTTGTAAATTGTCATTTCTACTGTAACTTCTCAGAATGTATGTTTTCGCCTCACTGCAGTGGTGACTTTCTAATAAAAAAGACTGTGAAAAATATTTTTGTATTTGAAGGGAAGATTTCAAACTTTTACGTGAAAAAGCAATGCTGTTATTGTTTTACGCATTCCATCCAGGCAGCTTACTAAGGAAATACCAGGGAAAAACACATCGGATACAGACAGATTGAGGGTAGTTTTCATTTCTGGAATATATCAGATATATTTTCTTTTTTTTCTTTTTTTTGAGACAGAGTTTCACTCTTGTTGCCCAGGCTGGAGTGCAATGGTGTGATCTCGGCTAACTGCAACCTCCGCCTCCCGGGTTCAAGCGATTCTCCTGACGTAGCCGCCCAAGTAACCGGTATTACAGGCATGTGCCACCACACCCAGCTAATTTGTATTTTTAGTAGAGATGAGGTTTCACCATGTTGGTGTGGCTGGTCTCGAACTCCTGACCTCAAGTGATCCACCTGCCTGGGCCTCCCAAAATGCTGGGATTACAGGTGTGAGACATCGTGCCCAGCCTCAGATACATTGTCATAAGAGATTTATTGCCAGGAACACCTAGCATTGTAAATGATTCAGCCATAGTTTATCATTCTGTTTCTTAATAATGTCATCAATGGCTGGAAATGCTGGCCATCCTGAATCTAAGTATGGTACCATAAGCGTTCCAGAATATGATAGAAGCAATGACATACACAGTGAGGAACAATATAAATAGGACTTTTTACTCCTGGTGCACTGGCAGGGAGAACTTGAAATATTTCAGAAAAGAGGTAAGATAGGAAGTGGATGTAACAAAGACACTGCTATACCAGGGAATCCCCTAATTCCCTAACAACAACAACAACAAAGCAGGAAACATAGAGATTTAGTTTGTGATTGAATCATTATAAACATCTCTGAGGAAGCTTGACTGCAAAAACATGTCCATAGCTTTATTATAATAATCATATTAAAGAAAAATAATTGACCAGTCTCCCTATTCAGAAACTGTTTCAGAAAGTAATTAAGGATATTTGGCCACAAGTGTTTGAATAAACATATTACTTGCTGGCTTCAAATACCAGTAAAAACAAAGTATAGTATTTAGACAAAGCCCAACACAGAGGCAATTAGGATCATTTATGATTCCAAATCACAGCATATGCAAAAATCTATTACTGTAGTTTATTTCATGAAAAGTATAACTTACCACTATTTCATGAGAATAATTGTTTTTATTATTTTCTCTGTGGCCAAAGGAATTTGTTAAAAGTCAAATAATGACTCAGGTGCTCTTTACAGCTTACAATGAATTATATATTTATTCTTCTTTTTCTTTTCTTTCCTTCTTTTTTTTTTTTTTTTTTTTTTTTTTGAGACAGGGTCTCACTGTGTCACCCAGGCTGAAGTACAGTGGGATGATCATAGCTCACTGCAGGCTCAAACTCCTGGGCTCAAACGATCCTCTTGCCCCAGCCTCCAGAGTAGCTGGGACTACAGGTATGGGCCACCAGCCTTGCCAGATTCTTATAAATCTGATCTTTACAATAACCCTGTGAGCAGAAAGAATTACCTCCATTTTAATCAAAAATATTTTAATTTTAAGAAACTTAACTCATACTATTTAAGAAAAAAGGGAAAATAATTAGCTCATACAGCTAGGAAGTCCACCAGTGGCTATTGCTTCAGGCATGGACAGATCCAAGGACTTAGATATAACTCTCTTTCCTTCCCTTTACAGTGCTTTCTTTTGTGTTTTGGCTTCATGTTTATTCTTCCTTGGCCACTGAAGCAGCCATTAGCCTATCTTACAGCTTCCCTCAAAAAGTTAGAAAATCCCTTTTCTCTGACATGCTCATATCAAATCTCATAATATGTCTCTGAATGGCCTTGCTCAGATTAGTTTCTTATCTCTGAAAAGTCTCTATGGCTAAAGGGATGAAGCACTTTGATTGTCCCCCCTGAGCCATGTGGTTATACCTGTAGTTGGGTGATGGAGTGGTGATATTTCACAGTTGCACCATCACCACATGATGTAGGGAAAGATTAATTCTTCAAGTAAAGCAGCACTGAGCAAAGTATGTCCAATACATCTTTCATTGTGCAAATGAGAATACCTTAGCCCAGAAAAATTAAGAAAACTAATGATGAAGACTAGATACCTTTGGCATCAAGTTTAACTTCCTTTAGTCAGGTAATAATGTTTATCATGATGTAACTCTAGATTATCTCTAAGTTCACCTACTATACTCTCTTAAATACACTCCTCAAACAATAAATGTATTTTGGCTTTTCAGACCCCATAATTTCACTCGTCTTCAGATTTTCTACCTCTTTTCCACTGGAGTGTTCATACTTATCTCTCAATTTTAACTTTTATGTCTCTATACCTTTCCTCCCTTATGCGGAGAAAACTAATCTAAAATGAAAGAATAGATACAAGGTATCAAAATAATCCTGGCTGTATTTGAATCCCTAAGGCCAGGTCTTTCTAAAGACAGCCACACTCCTATCCTTCCTGTAGCTTGGTTGTTTAATATTTATTTGTATTCCATTAGTCAATAAAGTGATTTTCTTCTTTTGAATAAATCAGTGACAGCTGGCTTTTTGTCACTTAGAACTCAACTATGACTGATGGTTGCTGAACTATTATAGCTTCTAGCAGATAGAGTATGAGAGAGAGAGAGTCCTTGAAGATAGCGACTATGTGTTTTTTCTGTCTGTAATCCTATCAGCCACAGGCATTCAATATACCTAAGTCAAGCCATATATGGTCATGATTATTTGTTGGACACACACTAAGCATGTGGGACTGCGTTTATCATTAGGGAGATACCATGGCTGTCCTTATTTACTTCTTCAATCTCATCTCATAGCAACTTTAGTCTTTCTTCTTCAGACACATTGCTAACTTCCATCTATGGAATTTGCAGAGGCTGGACTATTCTGTCTGACCTTTCTGCCTCTTAACTTGAGAAATCACCTCACTCCTTTAGGGAAGCCTTTCCTTACCTTCCTGACTTGATCAGGTCTCCCATACACAGTTTCTCAGAGGACCATGCACCTGGTATCTTTAAATAACATTGGTTAGAACTACACTTTGACATTTATTTTGTTGATTATTTGCTTAATTTCTGTTTCCTCCAGTAGTTTAAAAGCTTAAAGAGTATAAAACTTCTGTTTATTTTCACATGCCATTACATCTCCAATGTCTAATAAAAATGCTTGGAACAGTAGAAGTCCAATATATATTGCTGGATGTTATGAATAAGATTGGATCCTACTTTAAAGAGCTTATAATCAAGTTAGGAAGTTGAGCTATACATATTTTTAAATGCCAGCTTTGAGTCCTCCATTTTTATTTGCTAAATATGGAAACTATAGATGAGTCACAGAAACACTTAGAGGAAGTTTTATGAAGGAGACGGTACAAGAACTAAATGTTTTTGAAAAGTTATCAACAAGTGTGTTAATCTTCTTTTGTCGCAATAATAAATGTTCCTATTATCTCAGTGTTTTATAAGAGCAAACATTTATTTCTTACTCATATTACATGAAGGCTACGATATGGCTGTAGCTCCAATGAGTTCAATGATGCTTGGCTAGACTTGGCTCAGTTCAGCTCCACTTGTTTTCTCACTCTGGAATGCAGGCAAGAGGAATAACCAATATCTGGGATATATACAGACAAAGTGAAATTATTATTACAGTCAAGCAAATTGACATATCCATCACACTCCATAGATAGCTTTTTTGTTGTTTTTTGCTATTTATTTGCTTACGTCTTACTGATTGATTGATTTGTGGATAGGAATGTAGCTGTCTTTAGAAAGACCTGGCCTTAGGGATTCAAATACTGCCAGGATTATTTTGATCCCTTGTATCTGTTCTTTCATTTTAGATTAGTTTTCTCCCCATAAGGGAGGAAAGGCATAGAGACATAGAGGCATAGAGACCTAAAATATATTCTCTGTTTTAATGGTGGTTCTAATGGGGCTAAGCTACATCATGCACACAAACTCTTCTCAATTCCATTAGTCAAGACAAGTCATGTGGCAAGTCAATAGGAAAGGAAACACACTCATCTACCATACAAAAGGCATTCATGAACTTCTTTTTTTTTTCCCTCAAAATTGTTTTGGTTATTTGCTATCTTTCTTAGTTCCATTTACATTTTATGATTTTTTTTCCTATTTCTTTGAAGAATATCATTGGTATTTTAATAGAAATTTCGTTTAATCTGTAGATCGATTTTGGTAGTATGGTCATTTTCACAATATTATTTCTTTCAATCCACAAGATATCTTCCATTTTTTATGATCTCTTCAATTTCTTTCATCAGCATTTTATGGTTTTTCATATAAAGGTCTTTCACCGACTTAGTTAAATTTATTTCTAGGTGTAAATATACCTAGAAATAAATATACCTAGATATATCTAGGTATAAATATACCTAGAAATATTTATACCTAGAATAATAAATAAATAGAAGCTATTATTTTGTAGCTTCTATAAATAGAATTCCTTTCTTAATTTCTTTTTCTGCTTCTTTGTGGTTGGTATATTACCAATTTTGTATGTTAATTTTGTATCCTGCAACTTTACTGAGTTTGTTTATTAGTTCTAAAAGTTTTTTTGGTGGGGCTTTTAGGATTTTCAATATAAAAGTATTGTGTTTTCTGCAAAAAGGGATAATCTGACTTCCTCCTTTCCAGTTTGGATGCTCATTATTTATTTCTCTTGACTAATTGTCCTGGCGAGGACTTCCAGTACTATGTTGAATAAGAGTGGTTAGAGTGAGCATTCTTGTCTTATTCCAGTTCTTTGGTAAAAATCTTTCAGCTTTTCCCCATTTGGTATAATACTAGCCACTGGTTTGCTATATGTGGCTTTTACTATATTGAGGCACACTCCTTCTATACCTAGTTTGTTGAGGGTTTTTATCATGAAGTGATGTTGAATTTTTTCAAATGCTTTTTTGCGTCTATTGAGATGATCAGCTAGACCTCTTATGTCTCACTGTATATAAAAATAAAATCAAGATGAATTACAGACTTGATTTCAATGAAGACCTGATACTCTGAAACTACTAGAAGGAAATATTGGGGAAACACTTCATGTCATTGACCTGGGCAAAAGTTTTTTAGAAAAGTCTTCAAAAGCACAGGCAACAAAAACAAAAATAGACAAATAGACAAATGCTATTACATTAAGCTGAAAAGCTTCTGTGCAAGAAAAAAGAAAACAATCAACAGAGTGAAGAAACAACCTATAGAATGGAAGAAAATACTTGCAAACGATCCATCCAACAAGGGATTAATAACAAAAATATATAAGGAACTCCAACACTCAATAGCAAAAAAAAAAAAAAAAATCCAATTACAAAATTAGTAAATAATCCGAGTAGACATTTCTCAAAAGAAGACACACATATAGCCAACTGGCATATGAAAAAATACTCAACCTCACTAATCATTAGGAAAATGCAAATGAAACACACAATAAGATATCATTTACTGCAGTTAAAATGGCTATTAACAAAAAGAGAAAAAAATAACAAATGCTGATGAGGATGTGGAGAAAGGGGAACTCCAGTATCCTACCAGTGGAAATGTAAATTAGTACAGCCACTATAGAAAACGGTATGGAGGTTCCTCAGAAAACTAATATAAATCTACCATGTGACCCAGTAATCTCACTGCTGGGTATATAAATACAAACAAAAGGAAATTAGTATATTGAGGAGAAATCTGCATGCCGATGTTGGTTGAGCACTATTCATAATAACAAAGATGTGGAATCAGCCTAAGTGTCTACCAATGCATAAACAAATTATCTTTAAATGTGAGATATATATATATATATATATATATATATATATATATATACATATACACACATATATATATATACACACACACACATATATATATATAGAGAGAGAGAGAAGGGAAAACAAGAGAGGTTGGTTAAAGCAAAACAGAAGAAATGAATTCTAGTGTTCGATAGCACACTAGGGTAAATAACTACAGTTAACAATCACTTATTGTATATTTAAAAATAGCTAGAAAAGAAGATTTTATATGTTTCCAACACTAAGAAGTAATCAATGTTTGAGGTATGAATATTCTAATTACCCTGATTTAAGCATTACACATGCTATGCATGTATCAAAATAGCACATACACCCTATAAACATGTACAATTATTATGTATCAATTAACAAAAGATCATGGAAAGGGGAATTATAAACAGTAACAAGGACAAAAATACAAATGCAAGAATATTCTTGTTAAAAACATTTTTGGGGACTTCAACTTATTTTTGATTAAACTTTCTATTCCATAGTTTATTGAGATATCCTTAGATTTTACCCATTGTCTGTTCCCCATGACCAGGATCTTATCTAGGATATCATATATTTAGTCATTATGTCTCCTTAGGCTCCTTTAGGTTATGACAATTTTTTCAGATTTTTCTTATTTTTGATGACCTTGTTTTTTAAGTTATTTTTCTTGTGTAACAAAGCTGCACTTGTACCCCTGAACTTAAACATAAAAGTTAAAATAAATAAGTAAAACTTTTTTTTCTTGTTTTTTTCTTATTTTTGATAACCTTGACTGTTTGGTGATATACTCGTCAGGTATTTGTATAATGTCCCTCAACTGAGGTTTTACTGATTTTTAAAAAAGTCATAATTAGAATAAAATTATGGTATTTTGGAAGAATGACCAAAGGCATGAAGTGCCATTTTCATCACAGTATATCAAGGATACACATGATCAAGATGACTAATAACCGTTTATCTTTACCTTAATCTCTTCACTGAAATACTGTTTGTCATACTATTATAAAGTTAATCTTTTCCACCTCTTTCCATACTGTGCTCCCTGAGAAAATGTCACTATGAACAGTCCACACTTAAGATGACAGTTATTCTCTACCTTTTTAAGGGTGGAATACCTACATAAATTATTTAGAATTCTTCTGCAGGGGAGAGTTGTCTACTCTCCATCATTAATTTGTTTTTTAAATAATTTGTGTCAATATGGACTCTGTTTTTTAAATAAAATGTTTTATGAAGTTAAACTCTCAAATTTGGTGCCAACTCAGATTATTTAGAATCAAAATACAAGGAAATAAATAAATACATATATACTTACATGCATGCAGAACATAAAGTTTCTAAATATGCTAAGCTCTTGTTTTATTTTCCTATATGTTTGTAAGGAAGGCTTGTCTAGTAGCAGATGAGCCTTTCTCCCCCACATATTGCTACTTTATTTTTTAATAAAAATTGTATACAGTCATGGTGTGTGTATATATATATATACATATATGTGCGTGTGTATATATATATATGATTTTTACAGTCAAGTAATGTACATATTAATGTCTTCACATAGTTGCCTTTTTGTGTGTTGTGTTGTTAGGGCACCTGAAATCTACTCTCAGCAAATTTCCAGTATATAATACAGTATTATTAACTTCAGCCATCATGCTGTACATTAGATTTCTAGACTTATTCAGTCTTTGACCAGAATATTCCCATTTCCCCCACCTCCTCGGCCCTGGTGTAACCACTTTACCCTGCTTCTATTTACTCATTTTTTAGATTCCACAGGTACATGAGATGGTGCAGTATTTTTCTTTCTGTGTCTGGCTTATTTCAATTGGCATAATGTCCTCCAGGTTTATCCATGTTGTCATAAATAACAAGATCACCCTTCTTTGAAGGCTTAATAACATTTGTGTGTATGTGTGTATTTATATGTATATATACCACAATTTCTTTATCCATTAATCATCAGTGGACACTTTAGTTGCTTCCATGTCTTGGCCATTGTGAGTAATACTGGAATGAATGTGGGAGTGCACATATTTCTTTGACATACTGAGTTCATAAGCTTTGGGCATATGCCCAGATGGATCCTATGGTAGGTCTACTTACGATGTTTTAAGGAACATACATACTGTTGTTCATGGTGACTATACCAATTTACATTCCCACCAGCAGTATACAAGGGTTGCCTTTTCTCCACATCCTTGCCAATACTAATCTTTTTGATAATAACTATCTTAACAACTGTAAGGTGACCTCACTGTGTTTTGTTTTGCACTTCCCTAATGATTTGTGATGTTGAGTGCTTTTTCATATACCTGTTATTTATATGCCTTTTTTGGAAAATGTCTATTCAGGTCATTTGCCCACTTTTAAATCAGGTGTGTTTTTTTGTTTGGTTTTGTTTGTTTGCATGTTTGTTTTTTGCCATTGTATGAGTTTCTTATATTTTCTGATATTAATCCATTATAAAATACATAGTTTGCAAATGTTTTTTCCTAGTCAATAAGTTGTCTTTTTTTGTTGACTGTTTCCTTTACTATACAGAAACTTTTTAGTTTGATGTCCCTCTTGCTTATTTTTGCTTTTATTGCCTGAGATCTTGCTGCCATATCAAATAAATCACTGGCAAGGCCAATGTCACGGAGTTTTTTTTCCTATATTTTCTTCTAGGAATTTTATAGTTTCAAGTCTTATGTTTAAGCCTTTAATCCACTTTGAGTAGTTTTTAGGTTTAGTGTTAGATAAGGATTCAATTTTATCCTTTTACAAGTGGGTATCTAATTTTCCCGACACCATTTATTGAAGTGACTATCCTTGTCTTATTTTGTTTTTCTTGTGACTTTGTGAAAAATTAGTTAACTGTTTGTGCTTGGGTTGATATTCAGGCTTTCTAGTATGTTTCATTGGTCTATGTGTCTGTTTTTATGCCCATACCATACTGTTTTGATCACTATAGCTTTGTAGTATAATTCTAAATCAAGAAGTATGATTTCATGTTTTTTCTTCTTTGTCAAAATTGCTTTGGCTATTCAGGTGCTTCTGTGGTTCCAAACAAATTTTAGAATTATCTTTGCAATGGTGTATGAGCTTTGAACAGTGTGCTATTCGGATGGATAGGGAGAACTTAACTAATAATGACTTTTAAAAAGCAGGTGTATATTTTTACCCAATAGTGTTTATTCAGCTGCCAAATGTGGAAACGAATTGCCACTGTAGATTGATATTGACAGAAATAGCAATAAATAGGAAGGCCCAGCTCCCCTTCTTTTACCTCCTAATATTTCTCTAGTGCTGAAAAATAGGTCTCTGAAATACAATTTGTACAGTCCTAACCTAAGCATCACAAAGTTGAGTACAGGAATATGGATCTGGAGCCAAGGACCCATAGGTAAATGACTAGTACATCTTCCCCCCTGAGACCCTCTGTCCTCTCCAGGTCTGCCATATGGATGCCATCTATTTGCTTCCGTATGGCAGACCTGACTGCATTTTTTGGGTTACATATCTTCCTCTTTCTTGAATTAGATACTCTTCTGGCATATATTTTTCTGTGGTTTAGGAGACTATTCTAAGGGCCGGATATTATTACTGGAACACCACTCTCCAAAGTCTTCTTCCTTCAGTGACTTCACATGACACTTTAAAGCTCTTGGAGTTGGAAATTCACTCTTGGGAATTTTCTCTCTCTCTCTCTCTCTCTCTCTCTCTCTCTCTCTCTCTCTTTTAAAGAGTCTCACTCTGTCACCCAGGCTGGAGTGCAGTGGTGTGGTCTCAGCTCACTGCAACTTCTGCTTCCCTGGCTCAGGTGATCCTCCTGCCTCAGCCTCCCAAGTAACTGGGATTACAGGTGTGTGCCACCATGCCCAGCTAATTTTTGTGTTTTTAGTCAAGACAGGTTTCCGCCATGTTGGCCAGGCTAGTCTTGAATTCCTAGCCTCATGTGATCTGCCTGCCTCAGCCTCCCAAATTGCTGGGATTACAGGCATGGGCCGCCACGCCTGCCCCATCTTAGGAATTCTCTATGTCTTTTTCTATATTCATATTATCTTCCATTACCTACCCCCACCCACCACACACACAATCATAAGGAAAACATAAAGAATAGAGAAATAAAGGAAAGATCATTTCTTCAAATGTCCAATAAATTGTCATATAGAAAAGGCATTAAAGCCTGTATCAAAATATCACATGTTCCCCATAAGGATATATACATCTACTATGTACACCAAAAAATTGAGAATAATTTTTAAAAATAACAAATAAAAATGTGAATAGCTAAAAAGAAAATAAAAGGCATTAAAGCCATTATCTTTTGCTCCACAGAGCTGAGATAGAACTGATAGATACAATTATGAGGTCAAATTTGCCATAACATAAAAATAAAACTTAAACAATTTACTCAATGCATTCTTTAAATAAATATTTATTAAACAACTATTAGATGTTAACTATTCTTCTTAAAGTGGGCATATAACACTAAACAAGATGGAAAAGTTCCCTCCATATTGATTTTGTAAAGCAAGTTTATTTCAGAGACCATTAAGTGTTTTAAAGAGAATGAGCAGACTTCTATAATAAAGTATATTGATGGAGAGGGCAGAAAGGTCATTCTAGAAATGAAAACTTCTAAAACTAGTAAGAATCACCTAATCAGATAATGAGCACTCTGCCACCATAAACATTCATACTGTGTAGTATCATTGACTTTAATTCAGAACATCTATCTGCTCAGTGTTCTCCTAAGTGCTTCACAATTCATTTAATCTTCAAAAACAAGATAAAACAATACAAATTTAAGAAAAACTATCTTGTGGATACAACTATGGTTCCAATTTTACACATGAAAAAATAAAAGAGTAGAAAAGTTAATGAACTCATCCAATGTTACAACCTGGGAAGCAAATGAGCCAAACTGAACTCACATGGTCAGATTCCAGAGCAAGTGCTCTTTATCATGATACTCAGAGGCCACTAGGTTTGTTGACCATAAGCATGGATGCTGTTCATTCATTCAACATTCAACATTCCTATCCAGTGCCTGCTTTATGTCATCTGCAGAGCACGACACTGGAAACAGAGCCCTGAACAAAACTGCCGTTAAGTCCCAGCTCTCACAAAGCTCACAGCGTATGCTTTCAGGATGTCACTGGTTGGGTTCTCTGGGAAGACGACACTGAAGTAGAGTCATAAGGGAAAAGTTTCATAAAGGTATGAGAACTGTGTGAGGAAAAGGGTAAAAAACATACTATAAAACAAATGGAAAACATCAGATTAAGTCTTGAGAGGCAGACTAGAACTCTTCAGAAAGAAGCAACTCTTGCCAATAAATGAGATTTTAATAAAACCTTAAAGTGCCTTATGTTGTATTTGATTTGCTAAACACTTGGATTTCTTAGAGACGCTGCACTTACTTTTATAGCCAATTGTTCTCCTTTCAGTTAACGGTAAGGTCAAAAGAACCACTACTTCAGATTTTGGGGAAAAAAAAAAGCCAATGTAAAAGATTCTCAGTTCAAACAGAACTTAGTGCAGGTTGGTGAGAAGAAATATCAACTCTTTCCAAATCAAAAGAGAAATACAATATTCCCAGTCACTTCAGGAAGGATCAGAATTTGTAAGTAATATTTGTGTAATGGAATTCATTTTATTGTGGTCTTGTTCTACCCAAATGCAGAGGCTGGAAGTGGAATGAAAATTCTCTTCGAAACCACTACTGGTCAAGAACACTATCCTGTGTTTCCAGACCTTAGGAATTTCCTGGGAAGCTTAGAGAAAGGTACCCAGACAGCACCGGGGTACTAAACAAATCTCATGGCACAGGTAAGCAGTATTTCTGCTGGGAGGTCCTCACACATGGAGAGGCAAGTGGTAATGGTTTGTTCTGTCCGATGGTGCTGAGAACAGCCAACATGTACCCTTGACAGAGGTTATGTGCAGAAATGCCTATGTAAATAGCCACAATAGGACTACGAGCCTTATTCTGTGGCAGTTATGACTGATATGTGCTTTGCAGTCTCTTGATGATAATTCTGCTTCTGTCCTCATACCATGTCCCCTTCCCCAATGCTCCTTCTTCTTAGGCCCCTATGACTTCTTTCATGCTAACTTTCTATTCAGATCTACCTGCTCTACTCCACTTTCTGCTCAGGAATTTCCTCTAGTCTCCCGCAGGAGTAGGCCTAGTCTGAGACTTACCATAAAAGAAAGAGCTAAGATCATACGGTATAAACTTTCAGTTATTAGATGAATAAGTTCTGGGGATGTAATGGACAACATAGAGACTGTAGTTGTTAATACTGTATTGTATACTTTATATTTGCTAAGAGAGTAGATCTTCAGTGTTTGTACCACAAAGAAAAAAATGGTAACTATGTGAGGTGACGGATATGTTAATTAACTTGATTGTGGTCACCATTTTACCATGTATATATATCAAATTATCATGTTGTACATCTTAAATATATATAATTTTTACTGTCAGTTATACCTCATTAAAGCTGGGTAGGGGGGAAGAGAGCTAAACTAATGAGTTTGGCCACTGTTCATCAGCATTTGGCTTTACCAAGAAGAATTTTGGGTGTTACCTATCTGCATGTAAATAGTTTCACTCAGATTGGTCTCCTATTCAAATGTCCCATGGGCTCATTCTTTTGCTAATAGGTGGTGGGGAAAGTAAGCAGTGTAAGTTATAACCTAAAAGAGCTACTTCACTATAAACTTTGTAAATGATTGAGACACAAACATAAATGTCTTATGCTTGTGTGGAATACAGCCATGCTAAAATTGGGAAAGAGGTATTCTTCCCACTTCTCCATGAAGAAATGCAGCTCAATTTCAGTCATTGACTGAGGACCATAGTGAGATTGGTTGGGTGCCTCCAGGACTCTCACATATAAGGGGTACCTGTACTCAGTAGTGAGTGCCAGTTATACCCAGCATATCCAGGAACAGAGAACTGGAGCATATGGGGAGAGGAAAAAGACCTGAATAGAGGTAATGAGGCAGCTGACCAAATAGAATTTTGCAACAGAACAATGGTGGGGCCTTTTTTGGGAGACAGGCTGATGACAGGTGAGGGCAAAGGTGAAACACAGACTGCGGACAGGTGAATAGGAGAGACAAGCAAAAGATAATGTAATGAATCTTAAAATTGCAGATGTACTGAGACAATAACCAATAAACAGAACGCAAGTAGACATGTAATCACAGGGTTAATCTGGCCAAAATGGCCATATTGAGGGGTGATGCGGGATTAAGAAAATAATAAGTCTGAGTTTGATTGCTTGTGCTTGGCTACTGTTAAGATATATCTTTTGCAGAATGAACTTGCCAAAAATAAGATGAAACAACATAAAATTTAGTTTTCTGGCATGTACTGCCAACAGGAAGAAATAGAGGTGCTTTTAGGATGCTATCCTGATAACTTATGTTCCTGCCTGAGCTTGGGCAGTGAAAACTCAAAGGCAACAGCTTTGCCCATGCATATGTACCTATTATAGAAGTGAAGCACAGGACATTGGAAGGCCAGGAGGCAACCTCAATTCTCCAGGAAATGCGCATTCACTGCAAAACAACTATTATGGGATGTAGTATGTTCAAAGGGCAAGGATGTCTGCATGCGTCATAGGAAGCTGAGTGTTTGGGATTTAAATGTGGACTTTGACTTGAGGTCTGATGATTCTACTTCCTGACTGTAAAAAGGGACAAGTGTTCATCATTGTATCCATGAGATATGTGGTTAAAATTCCTCTTTATTGACTGTAAGCTTGTCATCTATTTGAAAGGTTGCCTGGGGCTCCTAAAGTTAAAAATATTACTCTTAGTACTTTTGATTTTTGTGGCTCTTGAAGAGGTAGTGAAAATAAATGCTTAGAAGCCTCTTTTCATTAAAAACAAATAAAAAAATGGTAGAAGGAGAGAGGAAAGATTGCAACTACAAAAAAGAAAGAAGCTGTTAATCTAACCTCTCGTGATGGTTAACAGTGTTTTGCTTATGTATCACATATTTTGAGAGCACATAAGGATACTAGAAAATAGCAGAAGGCTATCTAGTAGCCAGTGAATTCTTGGAAAGCAGGAGGTGCAGAGATGATAGAATAAGCAACAAGAAGACAAGTAGAGGAGTGATCTCATCATGGGTACCAGGAAGATGGCTTCAGTGGTTTTAACAAGGAAAAACAACATGACGGGCATGGTGGCACATGCCTTTAGTTCCAGCTACTCAGGAGGCCGAGATGGGAGAATTGGATTGCTTGTGCCCAGGAGTTCAAGGCTGCAGTGAACTATGATTGCGTCACTGCACTCAAGCCTGGGCAACAGAGTGAGATCTTATCTCTTAAACAAACAAACAAATAAACAAACAATCCTACGCTGAAAAGCCTCTTTTCTTTTCTGGTACTCCCAAGTAAGTTAACTCACGCAAAGCCAGGAACATCACAGCACGGTTGTAGAGTCGGGGAAAAAATTAGGGGAGGGTATACTCAACTTTCCATATCATCCTCTGTGTTAATCATAAAATGTGTGGTTTTTGTTGATACATGCTGATCTTCCTCTGTCCCTGTAGTACCTGTTATATGTGTTGTATGAGAATGCTGCCTAATTTATGCGCTACACATACACTACTAAAACACCCAAAGCGAGATTATTTATAAAATATGCTCTCAACAACTTTCAAAGTCATACAATATGAGATAAAAGTTGCAAGCACAATTAAAATAGTCCGTCTCTGCACTTTGGAAATTTGTGACAAGGAGCTAATATTTTACCCAAATTACTAGGTAAAATAAACTTTATTCAATATGTACATATGTAACCAAACGTATCAGTGGGATTATACAGGATTAGTTCTCTGGGAAGCAGATTCTGAGAAGCAGTTTAGCTTGCAAGATGTTTATTAAGGAGTGTCCATGGAGTCCACATCTGTTGAAGGAAGGGGAAGGAAGCAGGAAGCAGCAGGGAGAAGTTGATGGGCAAAGTAATCTCAATAGCAGCCTCCACCAACCCTATGGGGAGCTCTGAAGCTATCAGAGCCCTTCATTGTTGTCCAGACTCGGGCCAACTTGGCCAGGCCTTCTATATGGAGCGGTCATTTTATCCAGGCAACCCTCTGGAGGGTGTGTGGTTGGTTATGGCCGCTCTGTAGCTGGGGCAGTCTCTGAAGGGGCTGACAACATTCTCACCTCTTAGAGCACCAAGTCCTTCATTGTTGGAGGATCTGGGAAGCACATCAAGTGTCCACCCCCTGGGATGTCTGTGTGTCCAGGACTACACCAGATAATATGGAGAAGATAGATAAGTAATGTATCTAAGATACAGTTATCTCTCTCAAGTGAAAGAGAAAGAGAAACCATGTGTCACACACATTCAAAGTAGAGCATATTTAATAGCATCAATTCTGACAATTGCAAGTTGTGTGAGCTTAACTCTTGTATGGCTCCAATTTTTGTTTGAAAGTTATAGATAACACCTTTACTAAATTTATTTATCAATTCTAATAGTTTCTAATAGTTTTTTGGTGGAGTCCAACTATAAGATTGTATTATCTGCCAACAAGGATAATTTGACTTCCCGCTTTCCAATTTTGATGCTCTTTCTTTCTTTCTTTTTACTGATTCCTTAGCTAGGACTTTCAGAACTATGTTTGATAACAGTGGTGAAAGTGAACATCCTTGTCATGTTCCAGATCTCAGAGAAAAGGCTTTCAGGCTTTCCCCATTCAGTATGCAACTAGCTAAGGTTCTGCTGTATATGGCTTTTATTATATTGAGGTATGTCCCTTCTATAGCCAGTTTTTTGTTAAAGATACATCAAAATATAAAAAAGAAAACTACAGACCAGTATGTCTGATAAATATTGATGCAAAATTCTTCAGTAAAATACTAGCAAATTGAATTCAACAACACATAAAAGAGATAATTCATCATGACCAAGTGGGATTTATCCCAGAAATAGAAACTTTATTGGTTTTCTACTTCTGCTGTAACAAGTTACTACAAATTGAGCAGCTTAAAAAACACAAATTTGGCCGGGTGCAGTGGCTCACGCCTGAAATCCCAGCTCTTTGGGAGGCTGAGGCAGGCAGATCACCTGAGGTCAGGAGATGGAGACCAGCCTGGCTAACATAATGAAACCCCGTTTCTACTAAAGATACAAAAAAATTAGCTGGGCAAGGTAATGCATGCCTGTAATCCCAGCTACTCGGGAGGCTGAGGCAAGAGAATCACTTGAACCCAGGAGGCAGAGGTTTCAGTGAGCTGAGATTGTGCCATTGCACTCCAGCTTGGGCAACAAGAGCGAAACTCTGTCTCAAAAAAAAAAAAAGCCCAAAAGACCCACAAATTTATTATCTCACAGTTTAGATCCATAGATCAAAAGTCTTGGCTTGTTTGCTTTGGGGCCCCTAAGGCTGAAATCAAAGTGTCATCATGGCTGTATTCCTATCTGGAGGCTCTAGAGGAGAATCCAATTCCTTGCTCATTTGGGATATTGACAGAATTCAGTTTCTTACAGTTGTAGGATTGAGCTCCCCATTTCTTTGCTGGCTGTCATTTGAGGGCCAATCCCAGCTTCTAGAGGCCACCTACATTCCTTTGCTTATTGCCCCTTTATTCGTCATCAAAGTCAGTTACAGTGGGTCCTGACCTTCTCGTGCTTTGGATCTCTCCTGCATCTTCTTCTGTCACATCTCAGATGAACTGTTCTAGTTTACTCTTCCACTTTTAAGGGCTCATGTGAATAGATTGGACCCACTCAGATAACCCAGGATAAGCTGTGTGTTTTAATGTACATCGCCTTAATTTGTAAATTTTTTGTCATGTTACGTATCTATAGGTTTCAGGGATTAGGGTGTGAACATCTTTGGGAGCCATTATTCTGCCTACCACAACAACTTACAGAGTTATGTGAGGAGATGTGAAATGCCTATGTGGCTGGCATGGAGTAAACTCTCAATAAACAAAGTTCATGTCTGGAGTTTGGAAAAAGACACTGAATAATAAGTGCTGGAATCATCAGTAGGGCTTCATGGAAAAGAGGGACTGAGTTTTGAAGGAAGGAAAGGACTCAGTAAAGGAAAGGACAGAAAAGAGGCTATTATGTCATGTAAATAATATAAACAAAAGAACAAATGCTTCAAGTTGTAGCAGCAAGACACAGGCCTTGATAAAAAATTGAACTGAATTCAAATGCTCACGCACTTGTTATGAGGTTTGTTATCTTAGACATTTAAATATATCTCTCTGGGTCTCAGTTTTCCTGTTTTTATTATTTTTTTCTTATCCATTGAATGTCTATATTCTAGAAGAAAAGCAAGGCATTTTCACATCCTCTTTCTGGCCCCTCAGTTTGACTAGTTACTGTAAACTCACATTGGCTTCACAACCATATCCGTAGTTATTCCAGAAGGCTAAGCAGATTCATCTGTAATCTGCTCATGTCTTTCTAAAATGTTGAAGTGAATAGTTCTGCAAGATTCATGAGCCTATGAAGAGAAGGTCCAGAGTGGCAGTCTCCAAACTTCTTTGATGCTTCACCCATCAGAGAAAATTTTGGAAAATGTATTTCTGATACATGAATAATGAATATGTGTTAATCTATTATATTAAATATTATACTACATTAAATGATAATTATCTTATATAAAAATAGAAGTGTTAATATTTTTATTTTACATTGTAATTTATTGTTTTGCTTATATAGTCTCTAAAGTGATTTTGGAACAGCAGTCTTCCTAAATCCAGTTCAGAATGCCAGCGTGTACTTTCTGACCAATCTGTCTCTATCATATCACACATGCTCTTTGTTCATAACCTGATATATAATCCTTTCTTTTTTATTTGGTCAAAGAACTATTCCAACATGGACCTAAAAAGGGTATGTTTGGTTTCATGGTAAAAGACTGAACTGAGGTGCCTTCTATTTAATGGTGCATAAAGAACTATGCAGATCAACAGATTTTTTTTTTCAAACAGCCCAAAGCTGCTTCTGATCAAAAATTCAGTGAAACTTGTTCAGGAAACCCTGGAGATTAGAAAGGAAGGCAGAGTAAGATCAGTTCTGTGTGCATTTTCCCAGAGGCAACCCCATCTGGCTAAAGCACCTGGGTCTCAGTCCCCAGAAACTGCCAGGTGGCCTGCCAATGTAGAGAAGAGAGTCCTTGGGAAGTTCCACCTGTGCCTTTTTCTTCTATGGGAGTCATTCTATGGGTTCAAGCTTCTTTTCTGAGGACAATACTGCATCCTGCCTCCATTGCTTCTTGTCCCCCTTTGTCATGACGGAGTATGCCTCTGACTTTGATATTAGGATTGGATCCTTCCCTGAATCTCCCTCAAATAGCACTTACTTCTCCAATTTAAAATCTAAAACTTGCCCTATGCATACCTTCCCTCCCTCATTACAATACTAGTTCATAGGGTTTGATTTTGTAGAGCTTTGTTAAAGAAGTTTAGATTTAATAATTTTAAATGAGTCATTGATTATTTTGTTCTGATAAGTCAATATTTTAAGATGATGTTCTTGTTCATGGATTCAATGAGCATAAAATTTGTGGCTGGAATTGATTGGGAGCAGATAGAAGGACTCAGAGTTGTACTAGCCAATAATCCAGCCATGGTGTGATGGGATATTCACACGGCTCCCCCTGCCTATGTCCTTTTTTGGAATGAGAAAAGAAAAAGTTGTATCAGTGGTTTACAATATTTATGGTAGCTATCGGCAATGCACATTGAATGAGCAAACTGCTAGATGCTATTCTTCACTCAATGTGCTCGCTTAAGCAAATAATAAGAAAAATATATTTGAAAAGGGAAGACAAAGTTTGATCATAAATATATTCTTTCTGAACTTCTGCTTTCTGGTCATGTAATTCACTTTGGGGATTACAAAGGAAAAGTGAAAGTAGAGTCAAATTATTAAGTAATGCGTTATTAAGGAAGTCAGATGTGTCAGGTTGGGGATGTTCTGGCACAAAGTTAAAAAATAACTTATGTCCTGGTCCTGGTGCTGGTACCAATTGACTGTGTGATATTTGGCAAAACGCTTAGGTCTATAATTTTTTCAGCTATAAAAAAAGATATTCAATAATAAAAACTTTAAGATTTCTTCTTGTTCTAAAATTCTATGATTATAAAATACATAAATAATGGCTGAATTTAGAGAAAATTCATTCTTTCCTCTTTTATTCAAGCATTATCCATCATTCTTCAACCATTGTCAATTTTTCATGTGTACTTATATTTTATTAATCTATTGCACATGTGAACCTATCTCAAAGCCTGTTTAAGAGGAAGCAGCATATGAATAAATATTTACTATATGGTATTTAACTGTAATACAGAATAAATAAAACCAAATATAATAATAACCATTATTTCTTAGTAAAATGCATATGATCAAAATTACATTTTTTTGGAGTTGTAATATTGCAATGTTTTGAAAGCAATAAGATATTTTCACACTGAGGAAGCCAAGTTCAGTTGTTTGTTGATAATTTGAGGAAGTGCACATATAAGTCACATATAGAAGGCACCATTAACTTCTCTGGTGAAGAAAGGCATTAGTATGGGGAATTCAAAAACAATTACATTATATCTTACTCTGAATGGAGTTTACAAAATTATGCTTAAACATGTCAATGTCTAGTGTCTTAAGGACTAACGATACTTCAAATTACATAATGGGATTCCAATCCAGTTTAGTTTCACATGCAACCAGAGCTCTGAAGAGAATGAAAATTATCACCTCTAATTCCAAGCAAAACTGACTTCCTTATTTCTTCAAGTTTACTTTCTCTAAGCAATTAATATTTTCATTTAAATAACACTTTCTGTGGATTAGAGAAAGCTTGGTGTCAGAGACTTGTATTTAAGTTCTGACATCTTCTTTTACTAGCCATGAGACATTGAGCAAGGCCATAAATTCTTTGAACTTCAATATCATCATTTGGCAAGTAAAATTTATAATAGAGTGATAACTATACTATGTTCTTCAAAGGGATATGGCTAAGATATAACAAAATTGTTCGTGTGGAAATTATTTTGAAAACTAAGTTTATAATGACTTACCAGGGATAACATAAAACAAAATGTAACAATATAAAGAAACAAGTGACATTTGCTGAATTAATTATATTAAATACAAATGCTATGAAGTAAACTGAATTAAAACAAAACAAAACAAAATATGACTTTACCTTCAAGGATGACATGATCTGCCTTTGAAAACATATAGGCAAGAACAACTAATATTCTTCAACTAACACCATAGAAGTTTGTATAAATCTCTAAAACTCTCTGCAGCTCAGTTTTCCTTAGCTATAAAGAGTGAGTATTGGTTTGGTAGTCCCCATGTTTTCTGGAAGTCCTTAACGTATTATTTGAGGAGACTATTTGGAAGAAAGCTGACATTTTTAAAAAGATTTGGCATTAATGTAAGAAAATGTTGTAGTATATCTTAATTGCAGAAACAAGAATTGAAAAGAACAATAGTATCTTTAAATCATATCAATCTCTAAGAATAGTGAGTAGAATGATTGACTAAATAACCTACAAATGAATAACACTCGATAGTGACTTGGATGTTTATGATAACCATGACAACAAAACACCATGTTGCTAACCTATTAAGAGTTTCTTTAAAAATGTAAAGTACTGTGAGCCATCATGAAAAACTGCTAGGTTTTCAATTAAACTCTCAACTTTGGCATGTGTGCTTCATAAGACCATAAAATGGGCACTGTACTTTGCACGGTGCCATGTGATACTGTTTTCAGTAACCAGAGCACTAAAATTCTGCAAGTAGCATCAGTCCTAGGCTGTCAGGCAGAACAAGGCACGGGTGCTTCATCTTGAGGGAGTGGAACTCTGCATTTTTCAAATCAAGTCTGTAATAAAAATGATCCCTTAGACCATATAGTGCTATATATATCTATATCTATATAATCTCATATGATGCTGCCAAGTAGGTACAATAGGTAGAATTCTCCAATTGTATAGATGAGGGAAAACAACACATGTGACTGAGGTTATGTAGCAAATAAATGACAGAGCCAGAACTAGACCTTGTATTTTTTAACCTACAGTCTAATCTTGTGTTCTGTATGCTTGTTTGTTTTCCTGCTCCAGACTTGTCAACAATAATTATGGCTATTATTTTCCGAGCACTTAACTACGTGTCAGGCACGATGCCGAGTTTTTCAGATACTCCCTTTCTTGTAATCAATTTTTTGTCTTTGCTGCCCCCTCTGTCAGAAAGAAAAAAAAAACTCATTGTATTTAATAAGCAAGGAAACTGAAGCTTGGGTAGAAGAAACACAGCACCTTGACGATGGTCACATAGCTACCAAGAGGTAGAGCCTGGACCCACAGTCATGTCTGCCTGTCTTCAGCTTTTCCTATCCCCTCACTTGGGCAGCTTGTATATCTCTGGCAGCTGCCATCTCAGAAGTTTCTTCCTCAAGAGGTTGTGTTTCCTTGAAACAAAAAGCAGTTTGACTTAGAAATATCAAGACAGTGCAATGAAAGACCTTGCACTATTGCCCTTTTAGGGTCTATGATATCTAAGATTGGAGTGTGATATTATTTTATGTGACCTATACATGCTGAGTTTAAATCTCATGCCAGTCATTTTGGAGCTGAGCTCTCTATAAGGCAGTTTTTCTCAATTTCTACACTACTAAACATACTCAGTAACTGTGGATAGGGTTCTATGCATATCTACCTTCGGTCTTCCTCTTGTTTCACATGCTCAGAAGGATTTTTCTCCTGAACATTGACAAATATTATTTTAAAACTTTCACACAATTCAGGATGCTCAAATATATTTCTCATTGTATTTGAGCATCTTAGAAACTAAGATACTCTTGAAAAACATTAATTCCATCTTCCACTACAAGTGCTTATTCCGCCCCTTCTTTCTTTTTCCTTCCTACCTTCTTTCCTCCCTCCCACCATTCCTTTCTTCATTCCTGCCTTCCATTCTTCCATGTAATAATAATTCAGTGTGGCTGCTAATCATGAATGTGATCTTTGAGAACTCACTGTTTAGCTGAGGCAAGAGCCCATGTAGGTGTTAAACAACTAACATGTAAGAGTAACAATGTGTCACAGAACATACATAATGTATATTTTAATGTCAACTCACAGAGATCATAAAGAACAATTTCCTAAGAAACACCTGAACTGACTCCAGTAGAACCAAAATACATAAAGAAGGAAGGGGAGAGGAGAAAATTTTGTAAATTTCAAAGAGAAATCAATAGATTAATGTTAATTCAGTCTCACCTCCCAGCAAATCATTCTACTCTGTTGCTAAGCAGTAAGTACAGACCATATGCACTTCTCCAGTCTAATATGTAGTCTCAAACCTCTTTTTCTTTGCCTCTGCTGTCCCCTCTGCCTGGAATAGACTCCCAACCTCCCATGCAAACCCTCCTGACTATTTTTGAAGGTCAGCTCAAGGGTAAGTCTATACCATCCTCTAGCCTCTCACAGTGTGTTGCACACAACTCCACTGTAACGGTCACCACTTTGCTGTGTAAATGCTTGTTCCTGCTCTCTCTGTGCCATACTGTGTTATCTGCTGTTTCAATCCCAGAACATCAACAGTGTGGAGCATTTAGTAAATACTCAAGATATGTTTCAGGATTAGATAATTCTATAAAAGCCTGTGTCAACTTGTTCTATATAATAATTTGGGTATTAGGATAGTGCCTGTAAGTGTTAAAGGCTCCATGTAATTCAGACTGTTCTCAAAAATATTTACTCTGTGGTTCGACTCTGAGTAAAATAATGACAAAGAAAATGGCTGAGAATACGAGAACCCACACTATGGAAGGAACTACATGCAATGAAAATAGCTAACTGAAACATAAATATGCACAGAAAGAGATAAATGAGGCATTCATACAACAACAGTGTCTGAGTCTACCACAAGTGGGTTATGATTACAGGACGCTGTGGAGCAGCATGAATAAAAGATTAAGTGGTGCATATTTTAGGTAGGTGGATGGGTGAACATTGCAGAGAACTGGTTTTAAAAAAAAGCAAGAATATTCAGATTAGGTATTCAGAAATACCTAATATAAATAATTCATTTTCCTCTGAGAGTGAAACCCAAAAATGACAGTCACTAAAAGTATATTTACATGACACCTTAAACAAATTTTGTGTAATGTTTTTATAATAAAAAAATGAAGCAATCTCTAGATGGAAAAGGTATTTCACACAATGTGTACCACCAATATACAGAGACTGTGTAGAAGTGAGAGTGACCATAAAGGTTTCCCCACTTCATGGTAGGTCAAAACCTAGCAGAGACTGTGTTTAGAATAAAATAGAGTATGCAATAGGTACTCATTATTCTCACTTATGCTGACTTTCCAAATCATCCCTGGTAGTAAAGACCTCTGGCTACTTTCCAAGAAATTAGCAAAAGAAGGGAATAGAATCACTGGATGTTAGAGCTTGAAGATTTTGAGGTTCTTTTGCCACCCTTATTTTCAGATGAGGATATCTTTCACAGGCCAGAAAAGTAAAGAAATCTACCAGGTGGTCAATTATTCTAAAATGACAGAACTGGGGCTAAAATCCAGGATTCTCGATTCCCAGTCCAGTGCTCTTTCTTACACACTAAGCCATGCCAAAATCCACTCTAAAATAAAACCCTAAATCTACTAGCCTTAACATTTATAAGGTGTTTCCACAAGGACATAGGTTTTGCTCCATGCCTCATGTGAGGTCTTTGTTTCCTTCTTGTTTAAAGAAAGAGTGACCTGGACAACAGTCTCATAGTGACATCTGGTGACTAAGTCAGGGTAATACAAAACATAAGAAGAAGACAAATAAAGTATCAATGTGCTTTTGTTTGTTAAGATTTAGGTAGGACAATTAAATCCAAAACTTAGAGGACACATTGTAATTCCTAAAGATTGTGTTTCATGGTTCCCTTCTTCTTTAATATGTCTACAAACAAGGTGATGTTTTATATTAATTCTCTTTTTGTAATAACAGTGAATTATTGCCAATCTTGTGGCATCTGAGTCTACATAAGCTATTCAACAAAGATTTATGAGAACCTACTATGTGACAGAAGCAGTTGTAGCTCCTGGGGACACAAAGCCTAGTTGTGGAATTAACCCAATACAGCAAACTATGAAATAATGTGATAAGAGCTAGAGTTAAGATATACATAAAATATGCTGAGGAAAGAGTGACTGACTGACTGGTAAGTCATAAATGCCTTAGAGAAAATGAGACCTTTTTAACTTAGCCTTTAAAAGTTATTAGGAGTCCACCTGACTTAAAAAAACAAAAATTCTCAATTCATTCTCTCAAATGCAACAAAAAGCATCCAAAATAAAAATATATTTTTATTAAAATTCATTCTATGAGTGTGATTGTCAGTGACATTGCTTCATTATTGATTAGCTTAGTCCCTGTAAAGAAAAATTATATGTTGCTGTTTCTGGTCAATAACACAGGTAGAGAATACCTAGTATCCTCAATATCTTCTATTTCCTATTTCAATTTCTGGTACAGAGGTCTGGGGAAGAAACCCCAGAGTTGCCTGCCTTTAAGTATTCAATTGTTACTTATATAGGGTCTTCTATATATCAGGTTCTCTTTATGGTGCTGGAAATGAAACAGTGAACAAAATCCATGCCCTCATTGTACATATATTCTAGAGGGGAAAACAGTCAATACATAGATATGTCACATATGTAGTAGGTTAGATGGCTGTAAATAGGAAGAGAACTGTGCAGGGATGGGGTTAGATAGTGCTGGGGTAGGAAAGCGTAATCTTAGATACGGTTGCCAGGGAAAACCTTCCTGAGAAATTGGCATTTGAGGAAAGGCCTGAAGGATGTGATGGAAGAAGATAAGCAGATATTTTGCAGATATTTAAGGAAGAGAGCTCCAAGAAGAGGGACAATCAGAACAAAAGGCCTTTGCTGGGAATGTGCTAAGAGTGGAAGCACACCAAGGAGGACAGTGTGGCTAATGAGTGAAGCCTGAAAAAAGTAGAAGAAATTAGGTCTGAAAAGAAGTGGGGACCAGATCATGTAGGGCCTTGTTAGCCTTGATAAGGAGGGTGGTGGGAATCACTGTAGACTTTGGGACACAGAGGGTGACAAGACCTCTGACCCAGATGCTATGTTCAGAACGGATAATAAGGAAGCAAATGCTGAATCAGAAATACCAAAAGTAAAGGATTGTATTTATCCAAGAGACAGCTGATGGTCATTTCAACAAAAGTTAGCAGTGGAAGAGGAGTAATTAGATTCTTGACACATTTAAAAGGCATAATTAACACAACTGATGGATCGAATATGCATGGGGAAATGAGAAAAGTCACTTCGAGAGTGACTCTGAATTGCTTAGGCAATGGGAAGAAATAGACATTTAATGAGATAGAAAATGTGCAAGAGGACCAGGTTTGGAGGAGCAGGACATCAAGAGTCCAACTTAGGATATATTAAATTTGATGTGTCTATTAATTGTGCAGGTAAGGATGTCTAGTAGGAGTTGAATAGAATCTCGAGTTCAGGGGAAATAACATTTGACCATCATCAATATTCAGATACTATTCAAAGGCTATGTGATATCACCTTGTGAGTGAATGCTGATAGAGAAAGGATCTAAGGACTGAACTCCAGTGAACTCCAGTGGAGGGATGAGATAAATGAGTAAACAGAGCTTAGGGGAACATCTAAAGTGAATAGGAAAACTGAGAGTAGCTCCCAGAAGTCAAGTGAAGAAAGTATTTTAAGAAGGAGATAATTACCCGCTGAATCAAAGATACTGAGAGGCTGATTAAGACAAAGACTAAATTTATCACTGAATTTAGCACTATGGAAACCATAGGTAATCTTGAGAAGAGCTTTTTTTCTTAGTATGGTAAACCTTTTGAAGTAGATTCAAATGAGAATGGGAAGAGAGAAAAGGGAGAGAAGCAACATAAGAAATCTCTTTTAAGGAATTTTATATAGAGAGAAACAGAGGAATCAGTTGATAGTTGGAAATTATTTTAAAGAAAATGGGTTATTTTAAAGAAAAAAGGTATTACAACATGTTTGCACTATTGTGGGAATAATCAAGTTGAGACAGAAAATTATTTTTTAAGGAAGAGTCTAATTGCTGAAGTGAAAGAGAATGAATGAGACCCTGTGCATAAGTGTGATCAGATAGGAGCATGTACAGCTCAAGTAAGAACAGGAAGAAAGAGACAATAAACATGTACAGATAGGATGGGCTGGTCGATGTGGTGGTGAAAAGACATGCGAGTTATTACTGATTACTTCTATTTCCCCAGTGAAATAGGAAGCCAGGTTCATAAACCAAAATGAAGAGGAGCGAGGCAGTATTGGAAGTTCAGGAAAAGTAATAGGTGTAAAAATATGTAAAGTAGAATTACCAGGGAGTATGAAGATACATTTCCAATTAAGGATGAAGAATTTAAAGTGAGGCCAGCCAATACCCCTGCTTTGCTTCAGCTACATCAGCTGCATAGGTTCAGGCACAGAATACATGGAACATTGTATTTAAATAGGGCCTGGATTTTACAAAAGTAACACAATGAAGAAGAGAGATGCAAGGCTATTTGAGGGTGTTTGTGGGAGAGATTGTAAAATATTAGCTAAGTAAGAAGGGGACTGCAAATTTTAGTGGTATAAAGGAATGAGGAAAAGTGTAAATACAGTGGGGTCAAAGAATGTTTGGAGCCAAGGCACTAGAGGCAATTAGCTGAAAATGTAGGTGATTATTGGTGAGTGACATGGTTTAAATGAAAAGTATAGAAGGGTACAATTATCCATCATGAAAAGTTCTAGGGTACAACTAAGATCTGAGTAGCTGAAGTAGAATGAAAGTAGAATGGACCTTTCCATATCCAGCCAGGTTCAGTGACAGAAGGTTAGGAAACAAATTATAAACCACTTGAGAGAACATATCCCCTAAGTTGTTTTTGCTATTTTTCTTTCAGCATATATTTGTTGGAATGCCAACTATGTTCAGTTCAATTAATATGGGCTTCTTAAATAAGGGCTCCAGCACTGGATAATCCTGCCATTTATTTTGATACATTCCATCCTGCTGCTCAGATCTATTGGCATCTACAGGATGTCTTTTGAGAAGATGGGCATTCACATCCCTATGTCCTAGCAAATTTCCAACTCAGAAAACCACATTAGGCTTCTCTATATATCTTCCAACTATTTCAATGGAAAATACAATTCTCTGATTTCTTCCTATGATATTTATCAAAGAGAATGGTGCCTGCCAGTTCTAGGGTGGGGGAACTCAATACAAATCACCAACCTTTAGATGACACCCTGTCTTCAAAGTGCTTTCAAAGTCTGGCAGAAAAAAAGTACCCAGTGGCTATAAGACCACCCAGGAGTTCAGTCATGCATTCTAAGTAGCAGATCACTGGAATGTAATTGGCTAGTGAGTTCATTTTACTCTTCTCTTCTTGGTCACATGTTACCGCCCTTGTACCCTGCACGTTCTCTTTCCCAGACTTACAAAGCATGTTCTCTTGAATTCGTTCTCTTTTTAAATTCACACAGTCTTAATGATTCTTCTTTCACAAGAGTCTTTCACTCTTACAATTCAGTTCAAGTCATCCACATGCTTATTATGAGCAAGGGTCTGGGACTTAGGGGAAAAGGGAATAAAAAGATGAATGAAATGTGATCCCTGCAGTCCAAGAGCTTGCTGTGAAAAAGGAAGTTTGGCTTACATTGCCTCCCTAATCCCTTGGCTAGGCCAGAACAGAATATTGTCTAAAACCTCCTCACGTCAGCAGTCCTCTGGGGTGGTGACTGGAAGTAGAATTTAAACAAAAATATAATTGACACATAATAATTGTGCATACTTATAGGGTACAATCTGATGTTTCGATATGTGTTTAAATGGGTGCATTGTGTAATGATCAAATTGAGGTAATTTATCCACCACCTTGAAGAGAGATTTTTCAATATTCTCATTGCGAAGAAGCAGGAATTTTTAGCAGACAACTGAGATGCTTCTTGTTCACACTAAGTCATTCTGACGATGGATTTACATAACTTGTTGTTTTTTTTGTGTGTGTGTTTTTGAGACAGAGTCTTACTTTGTCGACTAGGCTGAAGTGCAGTGGCACAATCTCGGCTCACTGCAACCTCCACCTCCCGGGTTCAAACGATTCTCCTGCCTCAGCCTCCTGAGTAGCTGGGATTACAGGTGCATGCAACTAGGCCTGGCTAATTTTTATATTTTTAATACAGATGGGATTTCACCATGTTGGCCCTGCTGGTGTCAAATTCGTGGCCTCAAGTGATCTACCAGCTGCGGCCTCCCAAAGTGCAGGGATTACAGGTGTGAGACACCAAGCCTGGTACATTTACATTTCTTATCTGGATCTTTCCTTTAGTAAGTGCTAAGGAATCCTACTTCCCCCAATATTTTTTCCTATTTCAATGTTTTAGCATGTATCATGTTACTACTTTGCAGACATTTGATTTTCCCCTTTGTTTACTGTAAAGTATATTTTTATAGCCTTTGTAATAGAAGTATTCTAAAATCTGCCTGCAACCTATCTTTCTGACTCTGCATTTTAGGGAATAATTCTCTGTTGTGGAATGAAAAAAAAAACAGAGCCTGTGGAGTCAGAGATCTCATTTCAAATTATAGTTATCCCTAGGAATAAATCTGAGTGACAGGTAGTATAGTATAATAATAAGTATAAAGCTATGGTTAAGGAAAACTCAACAACCTTATCTGTAAATTGGGATGACAACAGCCTACGTCAAAAAAATGTGAAGGTAAATGAGATAATGTAAGGCTGATACTTAGTAAGCAATTTAAAAACACCCAAAAAACTATTGCCATGATTACTCTACTTACTCTATTTCTCTATGCTCCAGGCAAATGAACTACTAATGACCCAGGGGTCCTTCCCCATTCTCTTCTTCACAAGGAAATATTCTCTCTCTGTGTGCTGTTTATTAAAATCTACTGCCCCTTTTAGAAGCCTTTCCAGATCATCCCATGGCCAAGAACGATCGCTGCTTCCTCTTCTTTACATACAGATGTTTTTCTCCTGCTTGACAATTATTTTTGTGCAATTATTTTCCTTTTGATTGTGTTTTTAATGTCCCCCCCACCCCACAATTTTCCAGACTGTTTGCTCCACGAGAGAGGAGACCATCATCTCTGTGCTCACCGTTGTATGACCAGTATCCTGAGGAGTGGCTGTTACATAATTACATCAGGCACTCAATAAAAATTTGATGAATAAACACTGGATTTTAAGGCAGGTATCATATCTTACATAGCATATCATATCTTACATTTTATGTCCCTCACATAAATACCACAGAGTGAAGTATATGACAGATAAGGTCATTTCTCTTGATAAGTACATAGTCCAGTCTGAAACAGATATGCCAAAAAAAAACAAAACTGGAGTAAACAAGATGAATTGTTTTAATAGAGGCACTGTATTAGTTTCCTAGGACTGCCAGAACAAATCACCTCAAACTTAGTGGCTGAAAACAACAAAAATTTATTGTCTCACAGTTATAGATGTTAGAAGTATAAAATTAAGGTGTCAGTGGGATTGGTTCCTTCTGGGGGCTGTGGAAGAGAATCTGTCCCAAGCCTTCACACTGTAAAGTACAGTACTGGAGGGATAGGACTTCAACTTGCTCTATCTCAGATAGAGAGGAGCCATTTGTTGTGAATTGAGAAGAGGGGTATGTTGAATCCATAATAAGCACATAAAAACTTGGCTGGTTCATAGGAGAAGTAACATGTTTCCAGCTCTAGTAAAAAACAAATTGAAGTGGCCTATAAAAAGGTACAGAGTACGACAGAATGAAAAATAAATGAACAAGAATACAGAGAGGATGTGGTAAATTATCATGTTTCCCTAATATGTTATTGGACACTAAATGGTATTAGAATTATTTATCAATAATAATTCTAAACTGTTGCAATTGAAAGAATATATTAAGTGGTGTTATATGAGAAGTGCCAGGGCATTCTCATTTCTGTCCAATGGGAGAAACATTTTCGTTTGAGACCTCCGTGAATAATACAGTCTTTTAGTTAGGAGAGCTGCATTTTGAGTGGTGCAGGCAGAATGGCGATCTCTCACCCACACAAACACTAAGATAGAGAGAGACAGAGACAGAGACAGAGACAGCAGAGAGAGACAGAGAAAGGAAGTACAGGTACTCAGATAGAGATAAGCCATTTCTTGACATTAAGAAATAAAGTAGAATCCATTGGAGGGAAATAAAACTGCCTCAGGAACAGAGTTAATTCACATACACATGCAGGTAAACACACACTGCTTGATACTTACTGTGGACTTTGAAAATTATGAATGTGTGTGTGTGTGTGTGTGTACATTCAGCCCTCCATATCCATGGATTTTGCATTCACAGATTCAACCAACCATGAATTAAAAACATTTGGAAATAACAAACATTAAAATATAACAATACAACAATAAAAATAATACAAATAAAAAATATAGTGTAACAACTGTTTACATAGCATGTATGTTGTATTAAGTAGTATAAATCTAGAGATTACTTAATGTATACCAGAGGATGCATAGGCTATATGCAAATACTATGCCACTTTAAACTGATAAGAACAGATACTAAACTTCATCTTAGCCAAAAGTCAGAGAAACAATATAACTATGCCATTTTACATAAGGGACTTGAGCTGAGCATCCTCAGATTTCAGTATCTTTGGAGTTCCTGGAAACAATTCCTTGTTTTATATATATATATGTGTGTGTATATATATATATATATATACACACATATATATATATATATATATATGATAGCTACTGAGTGACAGGTGATATTATACCATACCACTTGTCACTCAGTAGCTGTATATGCATATGTATATATATACATATACATATATGTGTGTATGTGTATGTGTGTGTGTGTGTGTGTGTGTGTGTATGCTGTCTTTCCTCGGTATCACAGGGAATTGGAGATATATATATTCTTTTCAGTACAAAAAAAATTGAACACAGATGGGTATGGTACCAGAACAGAAGGTAAAGACACATGAAAAAAATTTGCAACAACATGAATGGAACTGGAGATCATTATTTGAGGAGAAATAATCCAGGCACAGAAAAACAAGCATTTTATTATTTTAGGTGAAAGACAAACATTTTATTTTAGGTGAAATAATCCAGGCACAGAAAGACAAACATTGCATGTTCTCATTTATTTGTGGGATGTAAAAATCAAAACAATAGAACGTATGGAGGTAGACAGCAGAAGGATAGTTACCAAAGGCTGCAAAGGGTAGTGTAGGCTTTGAGGGTGAGGTGGGGATGGTTATTGGGTACAAAAAATAGTTAGAAAGAATAAATAATATCTAGTATTTAATAGCACAACAGGTTGACTATAGTCAAAATAACATAATTGTACAATTTAAATATGAAATTAAATATATATACAAGACTAGAACACCAAGTTGAATGACTCCAGCTTGCGAAACCCACATTGATCACCATGCTTGCCCCAAGGGAAGCTGTACAATGTCTGGCTCGTCCAGAACCCCATCATTTATCACTAGCAATCTATTGTCCATAATCATGTTTAAATTAATAGCATTTTAAAGGTACAAATATTTTTTAAAAAACAAATAATTATTTAATTCGCCTTTTAAAAGCTTTTTAAAAACGTTTTTAAAAACTTTTTTAAAGTCCTGAGGACTATTTTCTTTAAAGTGCTCAGTTACAGAGCTCCATATATTGGGCTATGATAGCCTTACCTGATTCTTGCCAAGAATCTAGTGCCCAGAAAATGCAAATACAAAGTAAGCAACTGAAAAATAAACAAATAAGTTGGAGGTATGCTACCTGTTGAAATATGACCTAGCGCAAACACCTATGCCACTTGCTTATGAAATCATATAGGTTTTCGGTGTGCAGTTTTGACTGAATGAGGGAGTTTACGCTGGACCACAAGGGGGCCCCTCTGTCAATAACGTACTCCATTTGTGTATTAAGTCAAAAATGAAATGGAAGAGAAAAGAAACATCGATGACCCCAAGTCTCTTTAATTGAATGGAGGTAAAAGGGAAACAACGAATGAGAAAAGTACTCTGCCCTTTTAAGAATCTTGCATTCACATTCCTGATGAAGTTATTTTTCCTCCTCTCACTGATTCCCATTTCACTCTATTACATAGCACCGTGTTCCCCAGGAGCTCCTGAATGAAGGACATCACTCAGCTGTGTTAAGTATCTGGAACAATAAATATACTAGTTTCAATGTCTAGGCTATGGGTATTCCTTTTTACTGAAGGTATGACATATAGCTGCCCAGGCCTGACTAAATTAATAGTAATAATAATTAATAATGGCAAATTTTTATTCTATTAAGTTACTTGGCTTGACTTGTAGAAATAGCAACATTCATCTGAAATGCCCCCTCCTACACTTATGTCTAAGGACAAATCCCACATACACCACAGATAACTTCATTTTACATGTTTTATTCTGTTACCAAACTAAATTTTTATCATATAGTCTGTTGCTCACTGAACTCTTCAGTAATTCTCAACATACCATGTAAAGCATTAAGCACAGTTCCAACACAGAGCAAATGAGCAATAACTGTTAGTTATTATAACATTATTATGTGTTTTCAGTGCATTAAACCACTGGTCTGATACCTAGCCCAACATTCTATTAAACCACATAATCCAGTTGAATAATATATGATAATATAATAAAATGGCGATAAGTGCTAAATATCCAGATAGAAACACAGATGGAATCAGACAGCTTTCCCAAGAAATAGAGAAAATAGTAGATAGGCGATCTAGGCCTAAGCACTCTAAGCAGAAGCTAAGTTATCACAGGATATCTTGGCAATCTGTGGCACGTGAACCCTTTTCTTCTGGAGTCTGGAACTATGTTGCAACTCTCACTTTCTCCCTATCTAGAGACTCAGTTTGTTCCCTTGTGATTATCAGCAGTTGAGAAATCCTTAGACCTTCTGAAAGGACTACTTTTTAAATTTATATATATAATATTTAAAATACATATCTTTATATATAATATATATTTAAATATATAATATTTAAATTAATATATATTTAAATATATAATATTTAAATTAATATATATTTAAATAAATAAATTTATATTTAAATATATAATAATTAAAATATATTTTTAATGAACAGAGAGTAAAGGATTATTTTGAAGAGAAACTCCTGGTTCCCACTTAAAATCCTTTCTTGTTTCCAAGTTTTTCAAATGGAGCCCTCTTTACCAGCTTGCCCCCTCAGAGATAAGCTGTTCCCCTACTTATTCAGATCTGAGATCTGAAAACATTCCTTTTCCTGTGAGTTCAGCTAGGACAAAGATGGAGCTTTTTGATAAAATTTGGCAAACACATTTTTTAAAGATGAAAATTTTTAAAAATTGAAAAAAAAACATTTATAGAAAGAGACTTCTAATCCAAATTTAACTTCTCAAACTATGTTTTGACCGGCTAGCATAATGTTTCAGTCTTTCTGGAGAATGCCCCTTGAAACTGTTTTCTTCTACACAACTTCCTCCTTTCCTTTGACTTTCCTGCTCTGGAAGGGAAGAACAGGAAGAGGACAGATCAAATTACTCAAGAGGAAGGACAAGAAATAAGGAACCAAATTATCAACAATTGGAGAAAGAAAGCTGATGTCAGTATCATTTCATATATGATTATGTCAGAGTCAGGTGGATAAGCCAATCCTGTTGAATAGCATACTTTTCCTGCTACTCCTGAAGGGTAAAGAGGTCTTTCTCTTACAAAGCCGTCCTAGCTAGTAATCTTACAGGTGCAAAAAGCTTGTTTTCATGTTATTTCTTAGTAACTCAAAATACCTCTAAAGTTATACATATTATGAAAGTACTACAGTCACAGTGCTGAGAAAAGGAGTAAATAAGACAATGTATATAAAAACACTTGGCTCAGCCCCTGGCTCTGTGGTTGATAAATATTAAGTTAGTATTCATTATTATTATAATTTCCAAAGAGTCCATTAAAAGATATAGAAGAAGGGAGGCAGCAATAACACTAAGAGAAAATTCCATTATCTCCAACTATTTATCCTCTAGCCCAAAATAATTGCCATTAGAAAGAGCAACTTTAACAAAAATTTTAAGTTGCAATAGATGTTCAACTTTAAATCCATCCCAGAAAAATTTCTAACCAAAGGAGCATAGAAGATTTGATCTTATTTTCTAAGTAGTATAGACTTAATTGTGAGAACAAAATAAAAACTTGGGGAAATACTAGGGAAGAGAAATAAGGGTGTGAAGAGCTGATTATTACAATTCCTTCTTTCCCTTCTTGACTTTTATTGCTGATGGGTAATAAAATATGCAAAGAATGTGCTGAGAAATAACCTAAACAAATAAGCCAGTATACCACAAAGATCATTTGAAACTTAAACAATTAAAATAAGATATCATCTGCTAAAATAATAATTGGCAGGGCTAGCACAGTTTCTTCTTTCATGTATTTCTTCCTTCATTTGACAAATAGACATACAACTGTGTGTCAAATCGTGTGGTATACTTGAGGCATTCAGAATTAATTGGGCATCATTCCTGCCTTTGCGTCAGTCTAATGAGGAAGAAAATCTTTCAATAATGATTTCATGTCCTTCATGTCATTACAGATGGGTAGATAGAGTACTATGACGGCACAAAAGATAGAAAAAAAATATCTTCCTGCAGAAGGTCCAAATAAGTCCAATGCAAGGGTGATATTTGAGACGAGCCCTAATGCATGACTAAAACATTTCCAGAAAGCTAAGTGGCAGTGAATATCACAGGCAAATGAGACAGATTTTTTAAAAATCCTAATATCACAAAATAGCCAACAATATTCTAGAAACCATTTGAAGTTCAATGTATCCAGTTTTCATATGTGATGGCAGGAGGGAAGCGGGGAGTACTAGTGAATTAGAGATGAGGCTGGAAAGCTTAATTATTCAGGATTCTATACGGTAGATAAAATAAACCAATTCCAGTTAGCTTAAGCAAAAAAGAGAGGGAGTAATGGTGGTAGGGGCTTATTATAAAGACACAAGAATGTCTCACAGAAGCCAAATCTAAAAATGACAATGGGTCTCAGGAAATGCAGGAATCAAGATCTTGGAGATTATAAATTGAAGGAGTGCTCCATTTCTAATATTGTTTCTGCTCCTCTCTGGGCACTTGCTTTATTCTGCTTTCTAGTTAATCCTGCTTTCTTCGTTATTCAATTCATATGTGAGGTAGAAGCTAGCTAGCCACTCATGTAATGCTTCCAGTCACTTTAAACTTGAATTCAACACCTTAGCAAAAATATTCTCCAAAGCTGAGTCATATATCTACTCTTCATCTATTTCACTGTGACCAGGGGCATGAGGTTTTCAAGGTAGAAGTTCCTCACAAGACTAGATTTGTATGAGATTTTGCAAAGATTTGTACATCTTGATAAAAAGTTTAAACTTTGTTTTGCAGAGAAAAATAGAGTAAAGGCAAAGGTTTACAAGGAAAAGATGACTTTTTTTCCCTTTTAGGACTAAGTAGAGGTAGTTGCTGGTTATGAGTAAAATAGACAAGAGTGACCGGATTTTAGCCTCAACTGCTGTGAAGAGTGGTGTCATCATTTATTCAGGTACGACAGGGAGGGAAGTCTGGCAATAGGTTGGGTTGGTATTGGGGAGGCACAAAGTAAATTTGTTGGGCAGTGGGTTGTAGAGCAACTTATCTTTCACTATGTGAAGTTTGAGCTAATAGACTTCCAGTTGGAGACCTCAATTAAGTAATTACATATTTAATGCTGAATCTCAAGGGAGAAGTCTAAGTGGACAACAAATACGAAAAAAAATGCTGATCTCAATCAAGATCAGAAGTGTTTAGTGCACCAGCTTCTGTACCAAATCAATCCATTCAGTTAAAAAAATAATTTATTCTTTTATTGCTATAAAGTTTATTTGGGTATTATTGATTGCTCCTAGCAATGGTTCGGTAATCTAGGCTCTTTCTGTCTGTGGCTGTATCATTCTCCAGGGCCTCTGAATCCTCTGCTAGAGCCTCTGTGTGTTTCAGAAACCATTAGGGTAAATAAAGAGAGGGGAAAATTGTATAGGAGGTTTTTGGAGAGGGGATAAGCTTGGAAGGGGCATACATCACTTCCTCTCAGATGTTATTAGCTCTCACACAATAATGAGGACACCCCTACCTTTAAGGGAGACTGAGACATGTGGCCTAGCTGTATTCCCAGAACAATAGGGAAATGTGTTTGGTGAACCTCTAGCCAGTTGTGGCCAGATATAGATGGTACTTGGAGTTTGAAATCACCTCAAGAGACACTATAGAATGAAAAGAGCAGGGCCAAAGGGAGAGCCCTGGAACACTCCAGCATTTAAAGGTCTGGTAAAAAAAGGCAGGGCTGGCAAAGGAAACTGAGAAGGGACGCCAGTCAGTTTCAGAGGACGATGGTGTCATACAGTCTAGAAGGAAAGTGTTAATGAAGGAATTAGCAATTAACTTTGTTAAACTCTCTGAGTGTCTGCACTGACTGTTTTTTTATATCCTTGAGGACAGGTTTATATACAGAAAACTCTTCATAGTTTTACTTTAATTTTTATAATCAATATTTAACTGATTGAAGCTACATTTAAAAAAAAAAAAAACCCTGTTCTTTAGCTTCTTGATATTATATATATATATATATATATATATATATATATATATATATATATATATATATATATATCTTTGTTGGGAGCAGGTCCCCCAAAATCTGGCCATAAACTGGCCCCAAAACTGGCCATAAACAAAATCTCTGCAGCACTGTAACATATTCATAATGGCCCTAACTCCCAAGCTGGAAGGTTGTAGGTTTACAGGAATGATGGCAAGGAGCACCTGGCCTGCCCAGGGTGGAAAACCACTTAAAGTCATTCTTAAGCCACAAACAACAGCATGAGCAATCTGTGCCTTAAGAATATGCTCCTGCTGCAGTTAACTAGCCCAACCTATTCCTTTAATTTGGCCCATCCCTTCATTTCCCGTAAGGGATACTTTTAGTTAATTGAATATATATAGAAACAATGCTAATGACTGGCTTGCTGTTAATAGATACGTGGGTAAATCTCTGTTCAGGGCTTTGAGCTCTGAAGGCTGTGAGACCCCTGATTTCCCACTTCACACCTCTATGTTTCTGTGTGTGTATCTTTAATTCCTCTAGTGCCGCTGGGTTAGGGTCTCCCAGACCGAGCTGGTCTCGGCATATCTTACTCTATTTAGAAATCTAATAAATTTTAACAGTAACTTACAGGATATCTCATAGTCTTCATCTTATTTTACATAGTTAATTAAATACTGTTAAGCATTTTAAATAACGTTTATAAATGTATTCTATTAATATTTTAGGTACTTCAATGGTCTGTCCAACAAACATTTCTAAGTACTTAAAATTAATTCTTGTAAGTCTAATATATTTAATTCACAATTATGAGTAATCTTAACTTCTTTTTTCTTTTCTTTTTTTTTTTTTGAGACAGGGTCTCACTCTGTCACCCAGGCTGGAGTGCGGTGGCTTGCACTCAGGCTTACTGCAGCTCCAACCTCCCAGGTGTGAGCTATCCTCTCACCTCAGCCTCCCCAGTAGCTGGGACTATAGGTGCAAGCCACCACACCCAGATAATGTTTCCATTTTTTTGTAGAGATAGGGTTTCACCATGCTGCCCAGGCTGGTCTGGAACTCCTGAGCTCAAGCAATCTGCCCACCTCAGCCTCCCAAAGTGCTAGGATTGTAGGAGTGAGCCATTGTGCCTGGCCCGATTTTAACTTCTTTTCCATATTCCAGTCACAGTGCATATAAATACAGTAAGTACTTTGAATTTAAAAGTCAAAAGGTGAGCTCAACTACTCAATTTATACAGCTTACATTGGAAACAAGTTTCATTGAATAGTCAATATTCTTCTGTACAGTACACATCACATTTTTGAAATACTAAATATGCTTAAACTTATTGTAACTAATGGGTTTAATTACCTAAATATTTCTATGTTTACTTTAAATATTTTAAGGGTAAAAGTAGGCTTTCCCACAAAGGAAACAACAGTGTTATCACAGAGTCTTTGAGGATACTCCCCTAGATGGTTGGAATATGCATATTCGCCTAAGATATTGACCAGGGACTCTGATATCTGTTACTGTGATAGAACATACTCATTCTTATCTGTAGTCACAATATCAACTCACTAAATGGTCTTGCAGATCTTATAGCTCAGGTACATTACATGCTTCAGTTTGGATTTCACCTGTAATATTTTTTTCCCACAGAACTCTGCAAACCCACCCAGGGTCATATCACTGGATTTAATTTTCTTTGGCTTTTATATTATTTAAAATATCTTCTTACATAGGTCAAAATACTTCTGATCTTGATGGAAACCTACACCTTTGTCATGTTTTTCCTGTTTGGTAAGAACAGATGTTCTTATGGGTCTAAAGAATTCTTATGGCTATACCACGTCACATGGTTCAGTTATTCCACTGACACACACACACACACACACACACACACACACCAGAATCAAAGAACTGATCACTGCCTTTGAAAAGACGTAGACCATTGGTAACTTTGAGAAGAACCTTTTCTGGGAATGGTAAACATTACGAATGAGGCAAAATTGAACAATTTGCCCATATTTGCATATGTGAGTTACTGACTGAGATAAATTTAAAATCAGGTATGTATGATTCATATACTAACCTATTGAACATTATAACTTAGCCTCGCCTAAGTTAAACATCCCAGAACACTTACATTAGCCAACAGCTGAAAAAAATCATCTAATACAAAGCCTATTTTGTTATAAAGTGTTGAGTATCTCATGTAATATATTGAATACTGTTCAAAAAGTGAAAAGCAAAATGATTGTATGAGTACTTGAAGTATGGTTTTTGCTGAATGTATATCACTTATGCAGCATCATAAAGTTGAAAAATCCTAAGCCAAATCATTGTAAGTCAGGGAGCATCTATTAAATTCTCATGTGAATCAGGTACACGTAAAAAAATTTGTTTTAAGTACTCATGTGATATTACCAAGAAAGTGAAAAGACAACTAGAATGTCAAATGAAATGTTTGCAAATCACTTATTTGATAAGAATTTTGATATGAATAAAAATGAAATACCCCATTTTATGTCTATTCTTTAAAATATTATAAATATAATATTTTATAAATACTATAAAGTGACAAAATGATAAGATAGATCTTTTATATGCTCATGTAAAACTCTGCATTATTGAATAAAATAAATTATAAAATTGTAGTCATAATATATACAAAAACTCCTACAAATAAAAAAGAAAAAGGCAGAATACCCAAGAGAAAATGGGACAAAACACTTGGTCAGTGCAAAAAAAGAAGAGTACAAATTAGAAACAACCACATGAAAAGCTGCTCCATTTTAGTTGTCATCAGTAAAATACCAGTTGGTTGGCAAGAACAGAGAGAAACTGGAATTCCACATATTCTTCTGGTATGAGTAGTACATAAAAGCCTTAGAAAACCCTAAAATTTTCTACGAAAGCTGAACATATACATAGCTATGACTTCTAGATAAATACCCACAAAAATAAATACATAAGACCTCCAAAAGATATGCACAAGAAAGTTCACTGAAGTACAATTTCTAATAGCCAAGAACTGGAGAAAATCTAAAAATCTATCAAGGAGAGAATAGATAAATAAATTGCAAAACATTTATACAATTGATAAATCCACAACACTGAAAATGAATGAACTATTGCTACATGGAAAGACAGCGAGTGTCCAGTGGTGTGCTGCAGCCTGCTTCTGCCAGCTTACAAAAGGCAATTGTGGCCTTCCCTTTGAGACTGCACATTCAGTAACTTCTTGCTGTTTCCTTGAAATCTGCCATGGTGGGAATATTTGCATCACAGAAATCAGTAAATGCTGCAAACCAAGGCTTTTTCCCTTCTTTAGAGCTGATTTACTAGCACACTACTAATGTATTTCACAAGCATAGTTCCTAGGGAAACAAGCCAAACACAAACATACAAGTACTACATGGTTCCAATTACAGAAATTTCAAAAGAGCAAAACTAAACAGTATTTAGAATTTAGAATAGGAGAATAGTGGATATCTGTCAGCATGAAAGATACTGATGTAAAGGGGATGTGATGAGGGCTTGTGGAGTTGTGTTGATACCCTGTCTCTTGATCTTGATGCTGAATGACCAGTGTGTTCATTTTGTAAAAACTCATCAAGCTGTACACTTAAGACTTGTACATTTTATGTATGTATATGTTAATTAAAAGTTTTCTTAAAAGTAAAGGCATAGCATGATTTCATTTTTCATTTGAACTATTGTGTGTATTTGAAGAAAAATGTCTCAAATAATTACTACCAAAATGTTGATGGTATTCATCTCTGGATGGTGATATGTTAAGGGAAAGGACAGAGGGTTATAAAATGGTACTTAAGCTTCTTACTTTTTATACTTCTGTATACATCAAAAAATAAGCATTTTGGCCAGGCGCGGTGGCTCACGCCTGTTATTCCAGCACTTTGGGAGGCCAAGACAGGCAGATAAGGAGGTCAAGAGATCGAGACCATCCTGGGTAACGTGAAACCCTGCCTCTACTAAAAATACAAAAATTAGCTGGGCATGGTGGCACACACCTGTAGTCCCTGCTACTCAGGAGGCTAGGCAGCACAATATCTTGAACCGGGGAGGTGGAGGTTGCAGTGAGCCGAGATCGTGCCACTGCACTCCAGCCTGGGCAACAGAGCAAGACTCCATCTCAAAAAAAAAAAAAAGCATTTTATTTTAGTAATAAAAATTAACAGAGGAAAAAATATATATTTTATTTAAATATTACAAGCATTTTTTTCCTAAAATATGTTCATTTACTACTCCATTTCATCATTACATTGGAAACAGTATTACCACATTTTCTATTTTTCAAAATTCCGAAGCAAAGAAATCTGTCTACAAAGTTCCCTCTGCAAATGTTCCCCTACTTTAGGTAAAGTTAGCATAAGGAGAATGAGAATTAATTACTTTGAAACAATGGAATTCAGATGAACCATTAGGGAAAATTCTTATTTATCTATGGCCATATCTTTTTGTTTATATCAGTTTTAAACTTTATACTTTAAATACAATAAAGTGCACATATTTTTAACATATGACAAAAGGAATTCAACAAATATAAATGCCTATGTAACCACCCCCAATTTAAAAATACTGAAATTTAAAAAAATCAAATTACTTGGAGAAATAAGTTAGAATTTTTATCTTCTAGAGCTATGTTATTTAGCATGCAGTTTAGAGTCCAAGAATGCTATGTTTACAGATTAAGAAGTAGCCAAGGAGGCTGGGCATAGTGGCTCATGTATTTATTCCCAGGGCTTTGGGAGGCTGAGACAAGAGGATTGCTTGTGGCCAGTTCACGATCAGCCTGGGCAACATGGCAAGACCCTGTCTCTCCAAAAATTTTTTTAAAATGAGTAAGGCATGGTGGCTGGTGTTTGTAGCTTCTGCTACTTGGCAGGCTGAGGTGGGAGGATGGCTTGAGCCCAGCAGTTTGAGGTGACAAAGCCAGACTTTGACAATAAATAAATAAATAAATAAAGCAACCGGTGATTTTTCTTGACTAAGTATTTTTCAAAGGCAAATATGGGTAAAAGTCTGGAAATAAGAGGAATTAAAAATATTTTAATTTTTTTCTAGAACACACCTCATAGATGAGTATAATACTCTGATTTAGTTCATGTTTGTTTCTATAAATTCTGACATGAAGAGTCATCTTCAATCTTTTTCCAATAGTTAAAGAAGGAAGTATAGTATGGCCTAATGCTTATTGGTGGGATTCAGAAAACAAACATCTGCCAATTGTTTTCTTGAGAAAGTTGTCATGGTCAACAACTGTGTGAGGCTGGCGTGCAGGTAGTAAAAGAATTTACCTTAATACCAAGACAGTAATGAGTTTAGAAAGGCGTATTTATTTAGAGAAAAGGGGAGACACATTGAAAGGGAGCAACTGGCCAGACAGCAGAGGGAAGGCTGTCTGCAAAGAGGCAGGGACTCGAGTGGAGTTTTATAAGGGTGCTCCTTAGGCTGAATGCTTGCAGACAGGATGCTTGGTTACAGATGGGCTATGAGCTGGGTGCTTGTAAGAGGATGCTTGGGTGTTAAGTGAGCCATTTGCAGTTGACCCTATTCTTGGAACATTCATTCCCCTCTGCCCCTGTTTCTGTTCCTGCCAGCTAAGCCCATTTTTCATTTTTCTTTTAACTCCTTAGCGCTCCGCAAAACTTAATCAATTTCTCTAAACCTCAGTTTTCTTATCTGTAAAAGGTAAATAATAATACAGGGTGCAACAGAAAAATCTAGTGTGGTTTACATCATCACCTCTTAGAGATTTTAAATTATTTCAGGATAAGTCACGAGAATTAAATGAAATAATGCATATAAAGCACATAGTGTAGTGTCCTCCATATAGAAAATGCTCAGTATATTGGTTATTAACTACTTGTTGAACGTTTATCTTCTCCACTAAACTGTAAGTTCCACAAGGCTTACAATATGTGACAGATGTTCATTCGTTGTCTGAATTCTTCAAATACATCCTCTTCACCATAGCGACTTATTAATTCAATTATTAATTGAATAAATTCTATTGTTCAAAAATCACTTTTATATTTAACTGAAATTTGCTCACTTATAATCACATCTAACCTTCAAAGAAAACACATTAACCAACTGTACTGCGTAATGTTACTGGGTGATCCCACGTTTTACAAATGAGAAGATATATTCTGGTAAGCTGAATACTTAGCACCCAAGGGTACACAGCTTGGACAGGACCAGGTCCAAAGATTATTAAGAGTCTTCTGACTCCAAACTCAGTGCTCCCTCCAGTGCCACAAGCAAACTCCATAAAGGTATCCTGTGCTGAATAGAGACTGTAGAGTGGTACAAAGACAGACAGACATTATATTAAGTCTTAGCTTTGTGACTTTGAATGACTTACCCAATCTAGCTAAATTTCAGTTTTACCATGTGTAAATCGGGAAGAGTAATAAGAACAAACCTTGAAGGGTCCCAATGGTGATTAAATGAGGTGACGTACATAAAATGCATCACTCATAATAAGTGCTCTTTAAATATTAGTCACTATTATTAGCCATCTCTGATTAGATTTGACAACAGGAACATTAGGAAAGATATAGTACATTCAGGATTTTGTTAGAAAGAGATGAAGAAATTCCCTTCCTTCCTGCCCTAGGTCATCTAGGAGTTGTCATGGTTCATTGCTGACAAATTAATTTTCCCAAATTTTTCACTTTGCGCAGAAAGTCTTCATCGAAGCACCCAAGACTGTACAATCTAGCCCATCTTTCTCCACTTAACTCATACTGTGCTCTCCTTTTCTCAAAGCAAACTGTTTGCTATTCCTTGAATACACTCTGAGTTTTCTGCCTTTGCCTACTCAGCTGGCCCATGGCCCCTAATGTTTCTTCTCATCTCCACTGGGTCAAATCCTACCTGTACCTTATGGTTCTGTTAAAAGCAGTGCTTCCATAAAGTACTCCTAGTAAATGCACGGCCTCTCTCATGGATTATAAGAACACAGTTTATTTTATAAAGCATGTAGCTATTCTCTCCCTCGAAATATCACTATTATTATTAAGAATTTATAGCAGGGATATAATTTTGTATGATGATTCTTCTGGTTAATCCAACCAAGACTGATTTTATATCTATTAGGTAAGACAGTAGCCAGACATAGCCGGGATATGAAAATAAAGTCTCTGCCTTCAACAAGTTCCAGTATTCTTTTCTTTCCTCCCCTCCCCTCCCCTTCCTTCCCCTCCTTTCCCCTCCCCTTCCCTCGCCTTCCCTTCCTTTCCCTTCCTTTCTTGACAGAGTCTCACTCTGTTACCAGGCTCCAGTGTTGTTTTCTTTTTTCGTTTGTTTGTTTGTTTTTTTCCTCTCTGTGCATTCTTTCTTCCTTGGAAGTAACAGAGGCAAGCTTGGGAACTGTGTGAACCAGGTCAGCAATCTGGACAGGTCTTTACCAGCAGGTCTTTTGCTGTTTTTCCTGGGTACTGATTTGCAGACTTGATCCAACTTTCTAAGAAAAGCAGAACCACACAGGCAAGCTCAGACTCTTTTATTAAATTCCAGTTTTGACTTTGCCACTTCTTAGTGGCCTTGAACAAGTTACCGAGTCCCTCTCAGCGTTAGTTACCCTATTTTATGATGAGGATAATATTATCTGCAAATTATTGGTAATAGTAAATAATATATCATGTAAATCTAGCACAGTACTGGGATTTTCGCCACTTCATTTCTTCTTTTACCAAGATGCTCCTCATTGGACTTTAATACACAGGACTAGTCTAAGGTATCACCAGGTAGTCCACTCCTGCTTGGAATTCTTGACCCTCTTTCGGGATTTAGAAGAACAGGGCATGGACCAGATGGGTTTAAACAAATTCAGTATCTTCAACTAGCTTCACCTTGGGGTTGTTAAAAGATTTTTGAACCACACACTGTGCTCATAACAATCTTCATCTCTTAAAAGGATTTTATTCTTCCTCGTATTGCCCTCACTCTCATCCCTGTATTCCGTGCTCAGTGGCTGACACAGAAGAGTTCTTTCTTGATGTCCGCCCCCTACCCCTTAGGATTCTCTGCTCTCCCCTCCCCCTACAGGCCTCCATCCTCTTCATCCTGTTCATTTTTCAGATCTCAGTTAAAGCATCTCATCCTCAGTGTGGTGTTTCCTGATCCCTCACTCTAATCCAAGTCTTTCTGTTTTACGCACAGGTGGAATCTTATTTCCATTTGCGTCCAATCATGTATTTTAATATGCATGGATATATGTATATGCATTTGTATGCATGCGATTAAGAACTAGAATAATTAATAATTGGAAAGCTCCATGAAAGCTGGTTGGGCACTAATTTTGTAACTATTTTATTCCCAGATCCTGTAATTTCTCTAAATAAACCCTGGAATCTTGCCTTATCTCCTTCAGGTTAAAAGCCAACTGCAAGGTCTAGTGACTGCAGGATCTAGCTATCCATTGTTTCTGGCCGCCTATGCGTGCACTGGGTGTCTGGCAGAGAGGCTGGGTAAATTGTAGTTTCATTGTAGCTGTCTGAACTTGGATTTCTCAAGCCTACTTCACTGGAAACACAAACTCTCACAGCATTTTGTTTTAGTTTCAGAATCAGAGCAAATTAGAAGTCTGAATTTCCTTCAACACTTGGAAATAATTTATGTATTTGAAATATATTCATAATTAATTCATTATAAAAATGTATTAAATGCTTATTCTGAGTCAGCAGAGGAAGATAGAAACTTTATGAAAGTAGAAGGTGGATCTCCTTTTTGCCTTCATTTTCAGAACATCTCATGTATACCCATTAGTTGAAACATCAATGTCATTTTATTTTCGTCCTGATTATCTCATAAAACATTTCTTAGAGTAACAGCAATACCTATCATTGAAGTTGGATAAAAAATATTTTGCAATTGGTTTGCAACTTAAAAATCTGTTTGCATGACTCTTTTTCAGTGAAAGTAGGCAAGAGAAATTAAAATTCAGAAATATCTCACCTAATGTCAGAGGTAATATTGATAATTTGTGTTTTACAAATGATACATACAACAATAATGAAAAATAAGTCCTATCTATAGGCTCATATCTCATGCCTATTTTTGGATGTATTTTTCAGGGTGGTTTATAAAATCCTCCAATGAAGCTACTAACATTACTCCAAAGCATAATATGAAAGCATTTTTGGATGAATTGAAAGCTGAGAACATCAAGAAGTTCTTATAGTAAGCACATTCTTGAAAGTTTATATGGACAAGTTGTTAGAAAAATTTATCATTCTGTTTTGGTCCAATATTTTATATATAGGAACTGGCCTTTTTTCTTAAAATTTTATTTATTGAAGATCTTGGATCACATTTCATCTGAGGAGGACTATACTTTCAGCTAAATTTTGTCATTACAGAGGTTTAGAGCAGGAGTCAGCAAACTTTTTCTGTAAAAGGACCAGCCTTTTTAGGCCAGCTGATCTGTGTCACATCTAGTCAGCTCTGCTATTGCAGCACAAAAGAAGTCATAGAAAATACATAAACAGTCAGTTCTGATAAAACTTTCCTTATGGGCACTGAAATTTGGATTTCATATAATCGATGTTCAAAAATATTATTTTTAAAACCAATTTAAAATATAAAAACCATTCTTAGCTTGTGGACTGTACAGAAACAGTTAGTGGTCCAGATTTGGCCAGTGGAACCTAGTTTGCTGATTAATGCTTTAGAGAAAGATATTGCATTTTAGTTAAACAAAAATGGACTTTGAGTTAGAATTGAGTTTGAATTCCATCTTTGCCTATTAATACTTTGGATGAATACTTAATCTTTCTGAGCTCTCTTTTCCACATCTGTAAAATGGGAATAATGATCTTATTATGATATGGATGAAGTCCAAGAGCGTATATTTAGCATATACTTGGCATATTTTAAAAACTAGCTCTCTACTTCCTGAAATAGCTATTTCCAGTGTAGGACAAAAGAGATAAATAAGTAAATTTAAAAAGCAACCAAAAAGAAAATACTTATATAGAATTACTATATATAATTGATTAGAATACTTGTTTTTTTTTTCTTTTCTTTTCTTTCTTTTTTTTTTTTGAGATGGAGTTTCATTCTTGTTGCCCAGGTTGGAGTGCAATGGCGTGATCTCAGCTCACTGTAACCTCTGCCTCCCGGGTACAAGCGATTCTCATGCCTCAGCCTCCTGAGTAGCTGGGATTACAGGCGTGCACCACCACACCCAGCTAATTTTGTATTTTTAATAGAGACAGGGTTTCTCCATGTTGGTCAAGCTGGTCTCAAATTCCTGACCTCAGGTGATCTGGCCGCCTCGGCTTCCCAAAGTACTGGGATTACCGGTGTAAGCCCCCACACCCAGCCCAGAATACTTGCTTTTTTTTTTTAAGCGTGAGATCCTTTTGTGAATTTTTACAAATTGAGTTAGCTCATGTGTCCAAAAATACTTGAAGTCCCTCTAATGATTGCAGGATTCCCTGGTGAATAAAGGTTGTAATTCTAAATTAAAAGACCATTACACACACACACACACACATAGGTATGCATAGATGTGTACACATATAATCATACAAACACATATATGTTTGTATTAATTACAACGGAATTAAAAGTATAAGTAAAAATTGATAGGATACCTCTCAGGTCTTTGGAAGGGCCGTTTTAAATGTGAGACTCTGAAGCTCGAACTTCTTTATCTTTGTGGAAACCCCTCCTCTGCCGGTTGTGCTTATTCCACTATAATAATGTATAGTAGGTATAATAGAAGTGGAGGTCTGGCAAGGTATGGTCTTTACTCCTGGACAGAGCTGCTGTTCCAGCTTTCTTCCTTTCCCAATATTAGTGGTGGAAGAGATCCAAGTTACTCCAGGTTATCAGCAGCCTATCCATAAGGTCAGCAGCAACTTCAGTCCTTGCCTCTTCAGAAGAAAGAATTCAATTGGGGGCAAAAGCAGAAAAAGAGACCAAGGCAAGTTCCAGAGCAGGAATGGAAGTTTATTTCAAAAGGAAAGAAAGGAAGGTGTGCTTGGAAGAGAGCCAAGCAGGCACATGAAGGTGAGAGAAGGCCAAGTGCCCCACTTAACTGTGATCGTAGGACTTTTTTAGGCTTGCCTCTTTCCCATGATTCTTCTCTTAGGGTGGGCTGCCCAGCCCTCCTGACCCTTCGGAAATGAGCACCCGCAATGTGTTTAGGGAAGTATACACAGGCCCATCTGAGTCTCTCTTCCTTTTTCTGGTGGAGTGTACCTGGAAGATTATACTATACCATTTTTGTCTCTAACACACAGGCCCAGGAAGTTGCTTCTCCCTGGAGTCTGCATTCAGTTAACATTTTGGTGTTAACAGGTGTGGACCATCAAGAGCTGGCCTCTCCCTGGCACTGCTAAATTATTTTTAGAGAGGCAATGCGATCATTGCTGAACCGAACCATCACCTGACATTCTAGAGGGTGGCGGGAGAGCCCCCTCCTGCCTTGCTCCTGTCTAACTACCTGTAACATTAACTTGTGACATAGATTGACCAACAAAGAAGAAAAATAAATGCCTTTCTTTATTTCTCTTTTTGGACCCTCAGCAAGATTAAGCAGTCAGCTTCTTGTTTATTCTCCATGTCCCTAACCAAGCTCCTCTAACCAGAACTCAGGGGGATATTCAGCATAAACACACAAAAGAAAGAAATTGAAAGAATTCCCTCTCACTCCTCCAAGGACCACAGAATCTCCAGAAGCCTCCTAAACTCTCCAGATTTTCAATTTGCCATTTGTCCATCAGAGAGCTTTCAATTGAAATATACCCATGGGTCAGGGACTATTAAAACCTCTGACCTTCCATCTGGTCCCCCTTTAAAATCTTTAGTTCTGCTTTTAAAAGCCCCCACTGCCTCTGAAATGTCTGCCTCAGTAGTGAATGGGAAGATTAATTAGGAGCAGCTTTTTTTCACTCTGCCTTGGGGTACAGGGTTGTCTGTGTTTTCTCTTCTTTGAAAACACCCAGTTGAATTCACAGATCTGTTTACCATTTTGCATCTCTCTAGAGGGATTCTTCCTTTTCCACATTGTTTTGCCGGATAAGATCGTTTTAAAAGGTGTTTTAGACTTTTGGTCTCAGAATTTTACTGGTCTGTATTTGAATACATAGGTCTGTATTTGAATATATAGGCCCAATGAAATCACATATTAAACTACACTTCTTAATCTATTAATCACTTGAGATGTGTGTCACAAGTAATTTGTTGATACTAGTATATCAAATTTTATTAAAAAAAAAGGTAAGAATAAGAATTGACACACTTTCCAGAATAGCAAAAATCCATTCATAGATCTCTGTCAGACTGGTTTAAATATATTCCAAGTATTGTCTTGTCACTTTATCTCAATAATTATTATTATTATTATTATTATTATTATTATTATTATTATTATTATTATTTTTAGACAGGGTTTCACTCTGCTGCCAGGCTGGAGTGCAGTGGCACAATCATAGCTCACTGCAGCTTGGAGCTCCAGCCTCTCCAGTAGGTAGTACTACAGGCACATGCCACCGTGCCCAACTAATTCCACCTTTTACTGAATACCTTCGTCATCTTGAAGTCTTGGAAACACTGCCAAATTATTTGCAAACAAGATGAAATGTACTAAAACAGAAATAACAGTAGCTCTCTTAAAGGACTGAGATAATGTATTCGGGCATAGTGGCTCACCCATGTAATCCCAGCCCTTTGGGAGGACAAGGCAGGCAGATGCCTTGAGTGAGACTCTGTCTCTACAAAATATTTTTTTAAATTATCTGGGCATGGTGGCATGTGCCTGTAGTCCTATCTACTCAGGAGGCTGGAGTTCCAGGTTTTAGTGAGCTATGATTGCACCACTGTATTCCAGCCTGGCAACACAATGAGACTCTGTCTCTTATAAAAAAAAAAAAAAAAGAAATAATGTGACAATACTAGAAACACATTTAAAGCATCCCTACAGTGATATATAAACAGAATTTGGCTATTTGGGAAAATTTGTAAATTCATATTTTTATTCTTATTTATTTTTTACAAAATTTGATATTCTGGTAGGTTCAACAACTTGTAACACACATCTCAAATGATTAAAATCATTGAGAAGTGCTATTTAATACGCAATCTAACTGAGCCTCAAGTCTTTGTGAAGTAGTGAGACAGTGATGTTCTCCCCATATACAGATGAGAAACTCAAGACACAGCTAGGGTTACATACTGAGTTAATGACAACACCTGTATTATACCACATACATGATTTATGCTAATTAATTTATTTAGTATTTGCAATGGATCTTTTTTTCTCCTACTAATCTTTTCCAGGATGTGTTTTGTTCAAATGAGTGAGTCCCAACCCTGATAATAGCAAAATGTTGTTTCCTAGTTGGTAGTGACAAGACTATTACAAGAAAATTCACTTAATAGTAGCAAAGCCTTATAATGATTTTCTCCCGCTTTTTTGTGAGTAGGTTCAAGATTCCCCATAGTAATTCCTTTTGCTTATAGGGACAGAGGCATAGCTGGCACTTCAGGATATCTGCATCCTACATTAGTTACATAGCAGTTTGTGATCTTCGTAATATTCAAGAAAATAGCGATATGTTGGCTGTTTTTCTGTTTTCCCTGCAGGTGCTCACTGATAAAGGATAGAGACTCCTTAGCTGCCTCTTATGTTTGTGCCCTTTTTGTTACAATATTTTCCATATTAGAAATTCTGTGTAAGATATTTTGCCCCTAAACATTTACCAAATGAGGATTTTAATACTATTTTTATAAATACAATTTAAATAACTTTAATATAATTATTAAAGTAAACAAGTTACAGGAAATTCCAATTTTAAAAAATCGAGTTACTTTAATTCATTATTGATTCACCAAATGAAAAAAAATTAAAATACATGGTAGAATGAAGCCTGAAACTGTAATTATCATAGTCACGTTGGTTATTAGTTTTTTTTAAATCACCATAAGGATGGAATTATGTTGATTTTATAAAACTACATATTTAAAACTAGGAAAGTATGAAGTTCCAAAAGTTTATGAAATATATATATATATTTATCTTTTCATGCTACATAATATCTTGTCATATATTTAAGGGCTTAAGTTAAAAATACTTACCAATGAGCTCTTCAGGGAAACAAGAAATTTCCCAGAAGGGAGAAATTTAAAACAATCAAAAGCCCCAGAATCTAAATAAATTAAATGAGAAATTAGTCTTCTCCTGAAAATATTTCTGGTAGCCAAATTTTGGCCACATAATTTCTTTGTTAAAGATATTCCTCTTCAGACTAATTATTGTCATTGATTTTAAGGGTGTTACTCTGTATGATAGATGGAGTGCAAGAGATTCATTCTGAACTTGTATCGGTATGTTCAGATTATTCTTTGATGAAGATACTTTATAAATGGTTGCTAATCAAAAAGCTTATCACTTGTCTATAACTCTCAGTATTTAAATAAATGTAATTATTAGTAATTCTTGCCATGTCACACCTTGGTCTTTTGGATAAAACATTTTCGTCTGTTTCAATATTTTACACAGTGATATAAACAGATAATTCCATGTAAGTTGCAAGAAGTACAGGTCTTAAGAAAGAATATGATAATCTACCATACGAGGTTATAGTAATAGGATTACACATAATGGTACAAAAATCAGTTTCTCCAATTTTTCTCTTGATTTAGTACAAATTAGAGCATAAAAATTTCAAAGCAGACTTTGAAAATCTATTTCATGCAATAATAGTACCACTTTAATTTTTTAACGTATCACACTTCAAAGTACTTTTGTGTAACTCTGCTTTTCTTTGTTGATTTGGAATAAAAGTTGATTAAACATTCATATCTAACCACTTTCAATTTTTGCTCACCAGTAATTTTACACAGATACCACATTTAGCAGGAACAGAACAAAACTTTCAGCTTGCAAAGCAAATTCAATCCCAGTGGAAAGAATTTGGCCTGGATTCTGCTGAGCTAGCTCATTATGATGTCCTGTTGTCCTACCCAAATAAGACACATCCCAACTACATCTCAATAATTAATGAAGATGGAAATGAGGTAAAAAATAAATAAATAAATAAAAGAAACATTCCCCCCATTTATTCTTTTTCAAATACCTTCTATGAAATAATGTTCTATCCCATCTCTAAATATTAATAGAAATCAGTATTATTGGATCTTGTGAATACCTTTAATATCTCATTATTCCTGTCAACTACTTTCCTATGATGTTTGAGTTTACTGTGTTTTAGAAAGATTCTGAGAAATTAATGCTTGATAACAGCTGCTATTTTTTAGTTTTTAGTACTACACACCAATATCAAATATGATATACTTGTAAACCTCCAAGCATAAAAAGAGATACTTTATAAAAGAGATTCTTTTTTTCTTTTTTTTTTTTTTCCAGATGGAGTTTCACTCCTGTCAGGCAGGCTGGAGTGCAGTGGTGCCATCTCGGCTCACTGCAACCTCCACCTCCCATGTTCAAGGGATTCTCCTTCCTCAGCCTCCTGAGTAGCTGGGATTACAGGTGTGCACCATCACACCCAGCTAATTTTTGTATTTTTAGTAGAGACCGGGTTTCGCCATGTTGGCCAGGCTAGTCTCGAACTCCTGACCTCAGGTGATCCACCCACCTCAGCCTCCCAAAGTTGTAGAATTACATGCATGAGGCACTGCGCCTGACCAAGAGATACATTTTTGATAGGTTTAATTTTTAAAGACACTGCACAGATTTGGAGTTGCTGGGAAATGCACGGATCCAGTATGCAGTTTGACCCAGCAAGTTTTTATTGGTACTTAATGATTATGTCTCAACTGATCAGGTTGAGCTCTGTGCGAAGAATTTGTGTGTGGACATTTGGAGAGGACAAGTTTGGAGGCAAGGTCTTTAGCATGGTATTTAAAGAATTTGCAATCTTGTTTGCAAGTTGGGGCATATACTTGAGAAAGAGAAGACAATCCAGATAAATTGATATATTTATTATGATGTATGTTCAATATGAAAGATCACAAAATATAACATACATTCATCCTTACTTAACATACCTCAGTTTTACAGCTACCGTATGTAGAAGAGTCCATTTCTATTTAGGTAAGTTCCTTTAGTCCTTTTATTACTGGGCACTCTTAATTACATGTAGCTTGAAATATGTCCAGTTTGATCAGTGAACTGAAAATGTCATGTGATTTAAGTACATATATAATTTTTTTCATAGTAGGTCAATAACCTCCTTTTATTGACTAATGAATCAGTCTCTTCTTAATGATTAATATGTTGTTATGTTTTACAGTCAGTGATATAATTCCATACTAAATTTCCTAATGTGATTGGAGCTTTTCATATTAACTACTGTTCTCAATCATAGTAGTTAACAATATAACTTTAAAAAATATTATTAAGCCAGGCGTGGTGGCATGTTCCCCTAATCTCAGCTACTTGGGAGGCTGAGATAGGATGATTGCTGGAGCCAGGAGTTGCAGACCAGCTTGAACAACATAGCAAGACTCCACCTTAAAAGAAAAAAAAAAAAGAAAAACAAACTAAAAAAGCCTAAAATATATTATATTGAAAAGGCAATACCACTACACGTCGTATAGTCTCAGAATGTTTGTTAAATAAGTGGTGGCATATCTATACAGTTAAATACCAAGGGGTCTTTAAAACATGTTCAGAAAATTTAAAGAAATAAAATATTGACAATGTTAAAATGTATACATATGCTTAAACGTCTCTTTTGATCTATCAAATTTGAGAATTGTCTAGGTACAATGTGGAAAAGAGCAGACATATAATATATTTTAGTTTCTTGTTTTTTTTTTTTTTTTTTTTTTGAGACGGAGTCTCGCTTTGTCGCCCAGGCTGGAGTGCAGTGGCGGGATCTCCGCTCACTGCAAGCTCCGCCTCCCGGGTTCACACCATTCTCCTGTCTCAGCCTCCCGAGTAGCTGGGACTACGGGCTCCCACCACGACGCCAGGCTAATTTTTTTGTATTTTTAGTGGAGACGGGGTTTCACCGTTTTAGCCAGGATGGTCTCGATCTCCTGACCTCGTGATCCACCCGCCTCGGCCTCCCAAAGTGCTGGTTAGTTTTTTTTTAAGATGGGGTCTTGCTGTGTTGTCGTTTTTTCTTCTTTTTTCCTTCCTCCTCACTTCCCAGTTTTGACTATACCATTGCTTATTTTATTTCATTATTTACTTTTGTATTACAAGCATTCATAATGTTACCAAAGCCTGTTACATAATACAAAATGAATCACGTAAAAGTTTCACTTGGGAGATTTTCCTGAATAGTGTTACATACGTAGTTTCTTAATTTTTTAAATTTATATCATTAGTTCTTTTTTCTTTTTATCCATGTTATATATGTACATAATCACATAATTCTCCTGAGTGCCTTGCTTTTTCTCTATTTTCCTCTTTCCAGAGGCAACCATGATTCAACTATAAGTTCATTCTTTTGGTATTTACATCTATTTCTATAAATTACATGCTTATATGGCTTTTATTTCAGATGCAGGCATTATCTATTGACATTGTGACAAGTCAGCTCCCTGTTCATCCCTTGGCCCCAACCACCATCTTTTCTTACTACCTCCCATCTCCCAGTACAATTTAATTGTTATGAATAACAGTTCACAGCTGAGCTATGTGGTAAACTATGATTCCGTTTATACCCCTGCACAAAACAGACAAGTTCTCCATCCCTTAGGCAACAAATATGATTAGTATTTTGTGGATCCTATGAGAAATATTTTTAATGTATATAGAGACATTGTTTCACCTTTGATTATGCAGAAATAACATCCCATAAAGGTTTAACTATATATTGACTTTTTTATGTCACAAAATGTAAACAGAAATTGTAAACTAATATTTTGGAAAGTAAAAAATACTCTAAGACTGAAATTTAATCTAACTTTGATAAAGTCAACGAAAAAGGCATTTCCTTGACATTAAAAACTTTTCTTACTTGTTAGAATAGCTCATAAACTTGCTGTAAAATTCAGTGTGGCATAGTGGTGCTGCGAAATTGATTACCATAAAGGCAAATCAAGTGAGACAAGTTTGAATATTCCCTTGCCTGAAAGACATGCTTATATAATGACTTTCTTCCTTTATTGATTTTTATTGCACCTCAGCATAATTTTTCTTTTAATCTTACCTAGTGATTCAGATGAGTTCATTTCTTATGTGAATCACAGAAAAAAATATGGGAAATTTGGAATATGTGGGGATGTGGCAAGTCGTAGTTGATTTGGTTTCATTTTAGCTTCTATCAGTGTCAGAAAAGGGAAATAACTACTGCTCTAGTCAGTACAATGTAAGATCTGCCCAGATACCCTCCTCATCTCCAAATCCCTCCCATTTGTATTACTGCTCTGGCCAAGACCTATACAATATAATGTTGAAAAGAAGTTTTGATAGCAGATATCCTTAACTTTCTTCTGGTCTTGAAGGAAATACCTTTAATTCTTTCTCACCATTAATTATGATATTTACTGTTTTCTTTTTCTGGTTATCTTAAAGTACATCCTTTCCACATATACTAAAATTTTTTGCTATATGGATTTATATTAAACACATTTTTCTTTTGAGATGAGCAGGAGATTTTTCTTTCTTGATCTGAAGATGACATTCAGTGATATTCTAATGTTAGAATAATCTTACATTTTTTGAACTTGTAATATTAGCATTAGGGTTTTAAATTCATATATTGATATATATTATGTTTATCCTCATAGCATGTTTAGTCTGTATTTTTGAAATCTATTTGTTGGGTTATAATTTCAATATCCTACTTGCCTTCTAAAATGAGTTGGGTTTTTAATATTTTCTGAAATTGGTTTTGTTGTAATTAAATTATTTTTTCCTTTAACCTTTCAAACTCAAGGAAAACCAGTTGGCCTTGACTCTGTTTGTGGAAAATTTTAAACTACTGGTTTAATTTCTTTATTGGTTGTTATATGACTATTTTATGTCATATAACAATTTTTATTGTTTGTTAAATGACTTTATTGTTTGTCATATGATAATTTTATGTCATAGAACAATTTTTATTGTTTGATATATGACTTTATTGTTATATGGCTATACAACTAGATTTTTTTGTTGTTTTTGACCAAGTCTTACTCTGTCACCCAGGCTGGAGTGTAATGGCATGGTCTCAGCTCACTGCAACCTCCGCCTCCCAGGTTCAAGCAATTCTCCCGCCTCAGCCTCCCAAGTAGCTGGGACTACAGGCACGTGCCACCGCACCCGGCTAATTTTTGTATTTTTAGTAGAGACCTGGTTCCACTATGTTGGCCAGGCTGGTCTCGAACTCCTGAACTCGTAATCCACCCGCCTCGGCCTGCCAAAGTGCTGGGATTACAGGCGTGAGCCATTGTGTGTGGCCGATTTTTTAAAAAATGTATTCTTATGTCAGTTTTCATAAGTTTTATTTAAAATGCATTTTCCATTTCATGTAAGCTTTCAAATTTATAGTATAGTTGTTCCTAGTATTTTCTTATCTTTTTAAATCTGTTCAGCATCTGCAGATGTGCCTCTTTTTGATAATTAATATTATTTATTTGTGCTTTTGCTATATTTTTTTTCTTATTGCTCTTGAGAGGTATATGTCGAATTTACTAGTGTATCCAAAGAATAAACTTTGGCTTTGGCAATCTTTTCTCATCTATCTTTGCTTTATATTTTATTAATTCTGTTCTTGTTTTATAATTGCCTCTTTTATCTTCTTTGTGTTTACTTTGCTGTTCTTTGTAAAATCCTCAGTAGAATGCTTAACTTATTGACATTCAGTCTTTCTTCATTTCTACTATGAGCATTTAGAGCCATAAATTTCCCCTTTAACTTCCCTTTCCACTTCAACTACATCTCACAAATTTGGATTAGGAGTAGTTTAATTATCATTAGTATGTAAATATTTTTTAATTTCTGTATTTTCTTCTTTGATCCTGGAACTGTTTACAAGATTTTTTAAAATCCTGAATGTAAAGATTGTTATTATTATTTGTTTGATCTGATCTCTAAATTGAACATATTGAGATCAGATAATGTGGTTTGTAGGACACTAATCCTTTGACAATTGTTGAGGCTTCCTTTGGAACCTAATATGTGCTCAATTTTTATAAATGTTCTGTGTTTCTTTGGGAAAAACATGTATTTGATGGTTGTTTGGTTTAATATTTTATATTTGTACATTAGTTTGAGTTTGCTTATTATTTGGCTGAAATCTCCATTATCCTTAATGTGCTCTCTCATTTTGTCTGCTTCCTTTATTAATTAGAGATAAATGTTAAATTATCTCACCTCACTATAGTAATGTCTGCTTCATACTATATGTATAAAATTTATAATTCCATAAATTTGTGTTATGTATAATTTGGAGACCTATTAACATATACAAACAAAATTAGAATAGTTGATGAAATGACAGACTTATACTTATGTAGTAGCCTTTTTTATCTCGTCATAATGTTATTTGACTTTGTCCTAAAATTTTTTTTAAATTAATATTTGTTTGGTATTTCTTTTTCAGTAGGTTTATGTCACTGCTTGTCAATTGGTACACAGCTGATTTTATTTAGACATGCTACGCTTTTTAATTATTCTTTTTTCCATTTTCATTTTTTATAATTCTAATATACAATATTTAGGTCACTTTTACCTTCCTCTAGTGTGAATTTTACTCTTCCTTTTTTCCCCTATAGCTTTGGTGTCATAATTCAATCAATATTTCTACAATACAGAAACCTTAGAACACTTTCACTTTTGTTATATATTACCAATTTATATGCATAATTTTAATTCAGTCTTGTTTCATAAACTTGATAAATATGTTTATTAATATGATAGTAATAAGAATTTGGGAATTCTTTAAGGCTAATTTGAAGGCTGATTCCTCCTGATCATTTCTCTTAGGCGCCAGGGAGCACTACAAACCTGGCACTGCTTTAAAATAAATATTTTAGCTTGAGGCATACTATATAAACAGTGAATGGAAATTTGTAGGGTTATGAATTATCTGGAACCCTTTTTTCCTGCTTTACGCTAAACCATTACTTTCCATGGAGCAAGTTTATTTTGAATTTATCCTTAACCCTGAAAGATATTGTTGTTCTTTTTTTTTTTGTCACCCAGGCTGGAATGCAGTGGCACGATCTCCACTCACTGCAAGCTTGCCTGCCGGGTTCAAGTGATTCTCCTGTCTCAGCCTCCTGAGTAACGGATTATAAGCACGTGGGCCCAGCTAATTTTTGTATTTTTAGTAGAGACGGGGTTTCACCATGTTGGTCAGGCTGGTCTCAAACTCCTGACCGCGTGATCCACCCACCTTGGGCTCCCAAAGTGCTGGGATTACAGGCTTGAGCCACGGCGCCTGGCCAGGATATTGTTGTTCTTAGACCAGCTTTATGCACAGTCTTCTGCTAGATTCCATTATGTGAACCAGCTTTAAACCAACTCCTGAATCCTTTTCATGGGGCCATAGGCTTTGATAGATCCATCTAAGGCAAAGCCAACTTTCGTGCTACCTCTGAGGATTCTTGCTTTCATTTTATTTTTTTGCTTCTGAACATTCCTTACTATTTTTTTCCAATTTAATTATAAACTTAAAAAGACATATATTTGGTTCAGTGTTTTTCATTCTTTTCAGTGCATATGTTGTTCAGAGAATCTAGATATGGTCAGTTGTGGATTCCCCAATCATATACTTTTTTTTTAAGTAAATTTAATATTTAATTTGTTCCTAGGTAATTATCTAAGCACTATTATAATGATTGAGATTACCAAACAAAGGTACTTTTTATTTGGTAATTAAAATCTTTCTCCAAAATCAAAAGCTAGTCCTTACAAGTTCTCTCAAGAAATTCATGAGGTTAATTTACTTCTAACCTTCTGTGAAGCAACTACATATTTAGGCTTTTATTTACACTAGCTTAGTATGTATGCCACTTACAAAAAAATCAATTTCTAATTCTTCCTTCTATCAGTACACAGTTTACAGTACACAGTATTCCTTTTGGAAGAGTATCTTTTTACCTCCTCTGAGCTTTTCTTTCTATAGTACTTATTTTATGGTTGTTGTTTTTTGTTTGGTTGATTTTTAGTTATTGGTGGGGTTTTTTAGCTTTGTTTCCTTGAATAGATCTTACCATTTTGAGGACAGAATCTGTGATTTATTCATCTCATGAATTCTTCACAACTTCTAGCATAGTGCTGGGTATCTGATACTATCATCAAAATCCTGAAGGATTCATTCACCCTCTACTGACATAAAATATAATATTCATTTTTTTGTGTTTGATTATAATAATCAAACTTTAACTGATTTATTTTGATTATAATATTTTGTTTCTCTAGATTTTCAACACATCATTATTTGAACCACCTCCTCCAGGATATGAAAATGTTTCGGATATTGTACCATCTTTCAGTGCTTTCTCTCCTCAAGGAATGCCAGAGGTAAAAACACAGTGCAACAAATAAAAATGACAAAAAGAAGCCTTCCTTCTCTTCATATGTTCAGCCAATAATTAAAGGGTCATAAAGGGACTTTTGATGTAATCCAATTCATTTTTTCCACATTTAAGTAATGAGAATGTCTTAGTAAGAAGAAGGAATATTGATTATATTTTATTAATGGTATTTTTAAAGATACAATTTACTGCAATGAGATGCACAAATCCCGAATGCACATTTATTGATTTTTGACAAATGCCTACATCCGGGTGATCGAAATGCCATCAATGTACAGAATATTACCTTCACTTCTGAAAGTTCCCTTATGCTTCTTCTTAATCAACTCTACATACCCCAGAGGATATGTTTCTTTGACATTTTTGCCACCATAAATTAGTTTTGCCTATTCTAATTTTTCATCTTTTTTGTTCACTCTGTGTTTTCCTTTGTTGAAAAGAGATTCTTAATTTTGATATTGTCAAATTATTTTCCTTATGTTTTTGCACTTTGGGCCTTCTTTATTAATATTCTCCTTCTTTATTATTTACAGTGATATAACTGCATGACTTATGTATACCAAAAATTAACAATACAGTTTTCTTTAAAAATAGTATTAATATTATCAGATTGAAGCTAAACATAAATGACCAAATAGTATATGATAGCAGAAAGTATAATGAATAAATTTAATTTAAAATAGCTAAACAGTATAAAATATACTTTAAAAATCTTAAATGAATGTGATCTACTGAAGAAGTTGAAGTGTGAAGTGTGAAATTGAAGAACACTAAAATGTGTTGAGCAGTGAAAAGACTATGTATAAAAAAACAGGTTGGCCGGTTGTGGAGGCAGGCAGATCACCTGAGGTCAGGAGTTCGAGATCAGACTGGCCAACATGGGGAAACCCCATCCCTATTAAAAATACAAAATAATTAGCCAGATGCGGTGACACACACCTGTAGTCCCAGCTATTCAGGAGGCTGAGGCAGGAGAATGGCGTGAACCCGGGAGGTGGAGCTTGCAGTGAGCTGAGATTGAGCCACTGCCCTCCAGCCTAGGTGACAGAGCGAGACTCCATCTCAGAAAACTAAAACAAAACAAAACAAAAAACAGTTAAACCGTTTATGTTTCTGGATGAGAAGACATCATATTATAAGGAGAAAATTACACCTAGATTAGTTTGTAGGTTTACTACATGCCCAATTATAATCTTCCAAATAATTTTTGGACTTTGACATTACTATTAATCGTAAGAAAGAGTTTTAAAGAGCGTTGTCTCTTATTTCCTTCAAATAGACTTAAACTCTTCCAGATCAATGGCTAAATACAAAGAGCACACATGTTGTATGGGTTTGCTGTTTATGTTTAAATATCAGGTGAGTTTGCTGATCGGTGTTCCTCACTGGATCATCTGTAACCCAGCCAGGGGAGTGTTAATTCTTTCAAAACTATGTATGTCCGTATGTGTGTTTAAAACATTTCACGGGCCAGGCGCGGTGGCTCACGCCTGTATTCCCAGCACTCTGGGAGGCCGAGGAGGGCGGATCAAGAGGTCAGGAGATCGAGACCATCCTGGTTAACAGGGTGAAACCCCGTCTCCGCTAAAAATACAAAAAAATTAGCCGGGAGTGGTGGCGGGCGCCTGTAGTCCCAGCTACTCGGGAGGCTGAGGCAGGAGAATGGCATGAACTGGGGAGTTGGAGCTTGCAGTGAGCCGAGATCGTGCCTCCTGACCTCAGGTGATCTGCCTGCCTCCGCACCCGGCCAACCTGTTTTTGTATACATAATCTTTTCACTGCTCAATACATTTCAGTGTTCTTCAATTTCACACTTCACACTTCAACTTCTTCAATAGATCACATTCATTTAAGATTTTTAAAGTATATTTTATATTTTTTAGCTATTTTAAATTAAATTTATGCACTTCAGCCTGGGCGACAGAGCTAGACTCCGTCTCAAAAAACAAAACAAAACAAAAATTCACGATCAGTAATCTTTGAATTTACGTCTGAATCCTGTGGAATATGAAATATGGGACTCTGCTTTATGCTATTTAAAATTAGCAATTTGCGATGTTCATAAAATATAGTCTATCTAGTGGTTCTCAAGCTTTTGTGTCTGTCACAATAATCTGGATGGCTTGTAAAACACAGATTCTAGTTTCCACTTCCTAAGTTTAATGGGGTGGAGCCTGAGAGTTTGTATTTGTAACAAGCGTGATATTGTTTCTGAGGGTTCAAGGACCATCTTTGAGAATTACTGGTTTTGCCTCCCAATTCTATCTCTATAAATAAGAGTTAGGGAGATGGAAGCTTAAGGAAACAAAGAAAATTCCGGGCTAAGAGTGCAAGATTCTATTTATTCACAGTCATAGAACAATGGATGGTACAGTGTAAGTTGTATAAGAAGATCTTTGTCTAAAAATAAAGCTCTTTTCTAACTAACAGTGACAACTTGTATTTTAGAAGTGCTGAGAGGGAATATCTGTCACACTTGTTTTCATTTTCAAAGTTTACTCTCATTTTTAAGCTAATATGTTTTTCAGTTTTCTCTCCCTCACAGTTTGTTTTGTGAGGATTGCTGATATATCAAAAGACAGCCACATTTAGAGACATTTAAAGGTACAATCTCCTCAAAGTTACTTATATTAAGGGTAAAGAAAGTAGGATACTTAACTAAAAAAATTATTTTGCTGAAATCACATTGGTTAATGACTTTGTAGCCACAGTTAAAATAGAATAAGTGTGCTCCAGAGAGGGCTAACAATGATAAATCAGACATATAGTGTTATGATTAATAGTGCATTAATATTACATTGGTCTTAGGAAGAAATACAAGAGCTAAATGTAATCCTTTTACAGAGGCAAAGATTCAAATGTCAGTTTCCCAATTAGACTTTCCTCATTTTCTTTAATATTACACCCACTTAAGCTCTAGTTCACCATTTGTATACTCTATTTAAATGCTTTTTAATTTTTTCTGTACTACTTATCACCTTTTAATATAATGTATGCTTTGCTTAGTTATTAAATTTAATGCTCATTATTGTATTACCCCATCGACATTACAGGAAACCCCCAATCTAAGATGGCTACTTAAATTTTTTTGACTTTATGATGGTGCAATAGCCATACTCATTCAATACACTTCTCAACTTACCATGAGGTTATGTCTGGATAAACCCATTATAAATTGAAAATATCCTAAGTCAAAAACACACTTTAGATGTATAATTATTTTCAACTTAGGTGAGTTTAATAAGACTTAATCCCATTGTGACTGAAGGAGGACCTGCAGTGTAAGTTGCTTCAAGGGCAGAGATTTGTTGTATTAACATAGGGCACTGCTTAACACATAATGGATCTTCACCAATTTGTCAAATGAATCCTAGAATCAACTTGGAAACAATTCTATTTTAATATCTTATATATATTTGTCATGTACATGCTATGAAAAATGTAGTCAAAAAGGAAAACAATAACCAAAATAAAATAATAGGATATTGGAAATCATCTGGGACAGGGGTTTCAAACTAGGGTGTGTAAAGACTTTCCAAAGGCAAGCATGACGTGGTTTTAAAGAGATCAGTTTCCAGATCATCAATCACCCTGTGCACTTTTTCATGGTATTGAAAGCTAGCCTGTCGTGAGGTCCTGCTCCCTATTTACAAGCATTTTCATCTCATTTTATAAATGAAAAACATCTCCTACCCATTCTAAGTCAATATGAAGCATATATCTGTGTTGTAAAAATCTCTGGGGCTTCAAAAAAAGAGACAATTAGAAATATTGTTTTCAACGTTAAGATAGTGAATGGTTCTCATAGCTGGGTAACAAATTCTTAGCAATTCAAATAGTTTACAATTGAGCAAAATTAAGGGTAAACCCAATTGAGTTTCCAGCTAATATCATTAAAAGACACTTGTATGATAGACTAATTTGTGATTTTCAGATTATAACTTGAAAGAAGTTTAAATAAGTTAGTGACAATTCCATAACAAATCTTTCGTTCCTATCCAAGTTTTCTCAGAACTTACTGTAAAAACAAGAAATGTAAATTGAACTGTTGTTGCTGATCCCTGTCTCATTCTAGCAATAATTTGTTCACCCACTGAACAAATGTGTTAAGATAACACTTCACTGTCCCACTCATTGCATTAAAAGATATATTTCTAATCAAATTTTATGGTTATACATTATTTATAAGAATTGCAATGATGTTGTTAGACTTAATTTGATACTGCTAGTAATTATAATTATAACTTAATCTATCTTTTTTTTTTTTTTTGAGACCAAGTCTTACTCTGTCGCCCAGGCTGGAGTGCAGTGGTATGATCTTGGCTCACTGCAACCTCCACCTCCCGTGTTCAAGCAATTCTCGTGCCTCAGCCCCCGAGTAGCTGGGATTACAGGCAGGTGCCACCACGCCCAGCTGATTTTTGTGTTTTTAGTAGAGATGGGTTTTCACTATGTTGGCCAGGCTGGTCTTGAACTCCCAACCTCAAGTGATCCGCGCACTCCAGCCTCCCAAAGTGCTGGGATTACAGGCATGAGCCACCATGCCTGGCCTATAATTATAACTTACTCTTGAAGCTGTTTCTTAACACAATCTGTCACAAAAATAATTTTTTTTAAAAAATTGACTTCTATAGATATACTGATTCAAGGAAATTTGACAGTGATTAATAAAAGACTTTCAAGCATACCCATATTTAAGGTAATAGATTCTGAATTGAAATTTAGAATGCTAGTTGATAATTATGGAGTGCTCTCTTGGGATCAACATCTGTGAAAAGCAGAGCTGGATTGGGCAGAGGGAGAAGTCACCCTGCAATGCCAGCTGAAGGATAACCTTGGTTAAGCCTATAAGGAGGTCTGGAATAGTTTCTCAGAATTTTCCTACGTTAGACTGAGATGTCCAGGTCTCTGTACCCTCACATCAATCAGTCACTGAATGTGTAGCATTCTAGGAAGGGACATGACCTTGAGAAAGGGGGCTGTCTACAGCTGAGGCAATCCTTGAAGGGGCTGACAGATGAAGATTGTCTGCAGAGAGCCTCCCCTGCAGCTGGAGCAAAAAGTCCTTCGTTGACCATGAATCTGGACAGCTCATCTGGTGCCCAGCACAAATACATTTTACTTTAGAGTAAAATTCTGTGGGGGAAGATGGACAATATACAAGTTCAAGAAAAAAAAAGAGATGACAAAATTTTGACTGTAAAGAAGAGCATGTTCATGTAATTTTTAAAATTGATGATGTTGAATAGTAAATAAATACAGTATTTAAATTGCTTTGGATCAATATAAAAGTTGTATACAATTTCTTCTAAAAATGTTAATATTTATAGTAAGCTAGATATTGCATGCTTTGCAGCTACTTAAAGGTATGATAAAAAATTTTAAATTTTAGATGAAGGGGTACATTGTCAAAATTAATTTAGGGAATAGGTGAGCAAAAAAGGTTGGAAGATCACTGATTTAATCTAGCAGATCATTGAGCCAATGAGAATATTGAGACTCAAATATGTTATAAGATTTGCACATAATCACATTAATGATTGAAATCAGACCTGTAAAGCAGTGATGTTACCTGTGCTTTTTTCTTTACTTGGTAGTTGTTAAGAACCATTAAGCTACTCCCTGTGAACACACACTGAAGAGAGAAAAGGTCTCATTAAGGGCTTCTTAGCCTAGGGTATCTGGACCCCTTCAAGTTGCGTGCAGCAATGTGTATATGTATATGCTTTTCTGTGGGGGGATGCTTCTGTAGCTTCAGCTTCATAGCCACTAAATATGGGACAAATACAAACAAATATTACTTTATTCATGTGCTTCTAGCCCAACTAATTCCATTCTCAATTTCAATTCATTTTTCCCTTGAATCTCTTCTTTGGAGCTCATGCATTTCTGACCCTCCTGTGTGCTCTGACCTCTTCCCTCTTTCAAAAATGCCCAACAGTCCCCATGCAGAAAAACCTCCTTGTTTTATATCTGATTCATATTAAGTCATTCCTGATCTCAACAGGGTGATCTAGTGCATGTTAACTATGCACGAACTGAAGACTTCTTTAAATTGGAACGGGACATGAAAATCAATTGCTCTGGGAAAATTGTAATTGCCAGATATAGGAAAGTTTTCAGAGGAAATAAGGTAAGGTAAAAATTATCTCTTTTTTTTCTCTCCCCCAATATAAAAAGTTATAGTGGGTTTTACATGTGTAGAATCATTTTCTTAAAACTTTATGAATACCATTATTTTCTTGTATTCTGTGACATGCCCACCTTACAGAGAGGACACATTTACTAGGTTATATCCCAGGGTTAAATTTGAGCATTGGAATTTGGACAGTGTAGATGTTTAGAGTGAACAGAACAAATTTTTCTGTGCTTACAGGTTATGGCTGTGGCCTACAAAGAAGCATGCACTGGGTTTATTATTAACTTTCAGTATCTTTGTTTTAAATATTTTCTACAAAAATGTTTACTAAATTAAATTGTAGTATGAATTGTTATAAATAATGAGTGAAAACAATTTACACATAGCCAATTTAAAAATTACTGTCATTTGATTTGTTAATAAATATATTTTTCTCTTTAGTGGGAAATTAAATTTTGAAAAATGCCCTTTAGACTGTAGAACAAATAGGAATTTGGCCTGTGGGGTCTACTTGCTTATTATATTTCTAAGCTAGTGGAAGGAAATAGCAAATACTCACTACCACAAATAAGAACATTTCCAAATCTGATGTTCTGAGGATTTTTAGAGCTTATAGTAGCAAAAAGAAAAGGGAAATTCTCTCTGAGATGTCCTTTTTTGTAGGCCTAATGACAAAAGGTTGAAGATAAAGTTCTAGTACTCATTTAAGTGTAATATTGAAAATTGATATTACCAAATCTGGAACAACCAATTTAAAATAAGGAAAGAAAGACACTGTGTTTTCTAGGTTAAAAATGCCCAGCTGGCAGGGGCCAAAGGAGTCATTCTCTACTCAGACCCTGCTGACTACTTTGCTCCTGGGGTGAAGTCCTATCCAGACGGTTGGAATCTTCCTGGAGGTGGTGTCCAGCGTGGAAATATCCTAAATCTGAATGGTGCAGGAGACCCTCTCACACCAGGTTACCCAGCAAATGGTGAGTGATCAATCCTTGAATATCACAGGAAACTTAACATTTAAAAGAGACTTTATTAAAGAATTTCCTTTGGCACAATGGACTAAGCATGTCTTTTTTTATTCTCTTTGCATTTAAGAATGAAAGAATTTTGAACTCTAAAGTGATTGGTTCAGGCCTCTTACCCCCTTATTTTGAAACTTGGGCCTGGTGGGCTTTCAAATTTAGACTTTTCAGCTATTTAAAAAACATTATGGTGTTACACATATACCATAACTTGCATAACAGTGACATAGGGGGCTGGGACAGAATATGGGGAAAAAGCATATAAATATTTTTGCTGCAGAGTGTATGAATACTTACGCTAAATAGTAAGTGGGGGGCGGGGAATAAGGAATATAAACAGACTTATGTCTACTCAAGTCAAATTTTGCTTTCAAATTAGTTCAGGTCAGATCAGGTTTTGCTGTTGAATAAATTCCCCCCAGATTTACAGATTTCACAGTGTGGGTAAGGGACAGGAGAGCAGAAGTTCCATAAACTTTTTAAATGGCCCATTTAGGATATAGAGCCCAGGAAATGCATATTGCTTCATTTCTGTAAGATAATGGAGATAACTTTCAAAGAGTGTTTCCTAAATGCCAGCAATTTACTTGCATTAACAACCCTAAAGCTAGGGGGTGTTATTATCTCTTATTTGACAGGGAGGAAAGTGAGACTAGAGGTCAGCCCAAGATCACCCCTCCTCTGAATGAGCAGTTGGATTCAAATTCAGGCAGTCTGGCTCACAGAGTCCACATACTAGTCTTATGCTGAAAGGCTCCCCTGTAAAACATTAACAAAGGGAGCTAATTTATTTTGAATGTGCTCAACTATTTGATGATGTTTACAAAAATCTGTGATCATTAAGTTTGTGTGGTTTAAAGCTAACTAAATTTTTAAAACTTGTATAAAATAATTTGCCAAGTTATCTATGACATTTATGTCTTCATCTGGTTTTACTCTTAAATTGTAGACTCCTGTAAAGATTATGTAATTTTTTTTGGCTTTGTAAATCTTCTTAGAACATAATACATTGTCAGAAATTTTTTTCTTTTTTAAAAAATGATACATATTACCCTATAGTAAAATTATATAAATCTACCTGAACTTTATTTGCTCCACCTTTTTATTTCCAAGTTTTAAAAAATGCGGCTTAGCCTAAGCTTTATTAGTTATGCAAAGTCAAAATAATGAAAATAAAATGAGATTAACTGAAATGCTTCTGTTGATTTTCTTCAAATTTGAATGATGGTATTTTAGGGGGAAAATTATGTTATTTCTATGGGGCTAATGTTTATTGAATCATTTTTTGTGCCCTATACATTTTTATTTTCCTTCTAATTTTACTTTTTATTATGGCATAATTCTAACATATACGAAAGTAGAGACAGTTGTCAACATGTTGTCAATCTTTTTTTATTTGTTTATCACTCCAATTTTTTTTGCTATTATTCTAGAGAATTTGAAAACAAATCCCACACAACATGTCATTATGTCATTTTACCCATAAAAACAAGGATTTGAAGTTACCTAAGTTTCTTATTAGATAGTTTTAAAAAGAGAAAAAAAATGGAAAAACAGCTCTGATTTTTCTTAAATCTGAAGAAATGATAGGATGTGTGTGCTTATTTTGAGGTAGAGCTTACATGCAATAAAATACATAGATCTCAAGATTTCAGTTCAATAAATTTTGCAAATCGCATGTGTTTATGTCACTTAAAATAGAATGTAAGGGCATTTCCATCACTCTGGAAAGTTCTTTTATACCCCTTTCTGGTCAATTTTCTCTGTGTCCCCTAGAAGCAATCACTTTCTAATATCTAGCATCGTGTATTCACTTGCCTGAGTCTGAACTTCAAGTAAGTGGAATCAAACAGTAGATTTTTTTTAAAGCCTTGCTTATTTCAATGTACTAATTTGAGATTTTCCATCATATTGTATGTATTAGTTTTTTTCTTTCAATGATTGAGTAGCATTCCATTGTGGGATTATACTATGGATTGTTTATTCATTCTTCTGTTGTTAGAAACCTGGACTTTGTCTAATATTTGGCTAATATAAATGTGGCTGTTATGAACAATTTTGTACACGTCTTCTTGTGGGCATGTGCTCATCTTTCTAGAGTACCCAGGAGTGGAATTGCTGTGCCATAGTGCACATTTCTGCCTGACATTGCTTTTCAAAGAGTTACCTTAAGTGATTGTATAATTTTAGACTAGATTCTCACAAGCAATGTATGAGGATTTCAGTTGCTCCACATTCTCGCTAACATTTGAATTGTTAATCTGTTTTACTTTAACAATTCTAGCAAATGTGAAATTAGAATTTATTTAATGTGATTTATAGAGAACCGTTTGAATGAAACTGAGCTTTTACTGGAAATATGGCAATTTTTTTTTTTCAGAATACGCTTATAGGCATGGAATTGCAGAGGCTGTTGGTCTTCCAAGTATTCCTGTTCATCCAGTTGGATACTATGATGCACAGAAGCTCCTAGAGTAAGTTTGTAAGAAACAATGGATGGCTATTTGGGTAATTTTCATTAATGACAGTTTTCAAATGTTAGGCTTTTATCTCCATTTTTTAGTACTTAAATTTTCCAACATGGGTGCTGCTTGTAATTTTATCACTATAAAATAGAAGAGTGGTTCTGTTCTGGAATTTAGTATATACATGAGTGTCTAGTGTATGACAGCCATGAAAATGAGCCTTTCAGATATTTAACTGCAGGGAGCCTAATTGATCAATTGCTCCAGACACTGTGCTTTGAAACCCCACTATATTTGTGTCAAGACTATGCTTTCTGTAGGTGTTCTCGGGCAATGACTCAGTGTGGCAAGGATACTACTACAAGCCTGTTTCTGGAAGGCACTGGACTCCTCTGATGCAAAACTTTGGCCCAGGGACTCCCTGATAGCCTGGCTTAAATAGATGCTACACCCAACACTCCTCTTTCTTTTCCTTCTCCCTTTTTCCTTTATTCAATATTAGACCCACCTTGCAGTCTAAGGACTTTCTCAGGGTTTCCTAGCTCTCTGCTCATTTTCCACACGTGCTTTTCCCTAGTAAATCTCTTACTCATGTATTCCTCTTACTGTCTACGTCTGGGAGGACCCAGAATAACACACTGTGAGAGCAACTTCCATTTTGTTTTTATCTCTATTCTTCTTCCCCTTCTGCTTTCATTATTGAAACTTTCTGCTTTCATTATTGAAACTTTCCCAGATTTGTTCTGCTTAACCTGGCATTGGAACTGTTTCCTCTTCCCTGTGCTGCTTTCTCCCATCGCCATGTCCTTTTTTTTTTTTTTTTTTTTTGAGACAGAGTCTCACTCTGTTGCCCAGGCTGGAGTGCAATGGTGTAATCTCGGCTCACTGCAAACCCCGCCTCCCGGGTTCAAGTGATTCTCCTGCCTCAGCCTCCTGAGTAGCTGGGATTACAGGTGCCCACCACTATGCCCAGCTGATTTTTGTATTTTTAGTAGAGATGGGGTTTCACCATGCTGATCAGGCTGGTCTCGAACTCCTGACCTCAGGTGATCCGCCCGCCTTGGCCTCCCAAAGTGCTGGGATTACAGGCATGTGTCACCGCGCCCAGCCACCATTATTCTTTAGAGGTGAGAGAACACTGGCTTTTCTAAAAGTGAAATTGATAGAGACCAAAGCGTCTGGCCAGGTAGTCCCTTTTCTTCTTTAAGTTCAAGCCTTTCTTAATCATTTTATTCCAGTATCTATGAGGAAGCACTTTTTGACCAAGGGCAAGGCACTCATTTTTAGAGGTGAGGAGGCTGACATCTGGGGAGTAGGACACATCTGTTTAAGGGCAGATTAAGAAAGTACCCTGGTCTTTCTTCCTTGGGGCTATAAGATTTACTGCATTGGCTAAGATTCAGGACCGGGCACAACTTTTAATAGCACCATAGACTATGCATTTGCCTAAAAATATGTATAAATAAAGACTAAGTATTCATGATATTTAAAAGATAAAAGTGATTTTGGCATTACTTGTAATAGTGGAAAACTGTAGACAATAAATTGTTGAACAATTTATATGTACTCAAATAATACATTAATGACTATGATAGTAAATGAAGTGATTAAAAGATATTATATGTTGTACCAGAATAATTAATAATGTAGAAAAATGCTTATGATATACTATTAAGTGAAGAAAAGCAAATTTCAAAACTATATATATATAGTATTATCTCAGTTATATAAAAAATTAAAACATGGGGCTGGGCGCAGTGGCTCACGCTTCTAATCTCAGCACTTTGGGAGGCCGAGGTGAGCAGATCATGAGGTCAAGAGATGGAGACCATCCTGGCCAACATGGTGAGTGAAACCCCGTCTGTACTAAAAATACAAAAATTAGCGGGGCATGGTGGTACATGCCTGTAGTCCCAGCTATGTGGGAGGCTGAGGCAGGATAATTACTTCAACCAGGGAGGCAGAGGTTGCAGTGAGCCGAGATCGCGCCACTGCACTCCAGCCTGGGCGACAGAGTGAGACTCCGTCTCAAAAAAAAAAAAAAAAAAAATGTAAAACATGAACCTGTATTATCTTTGTAATTAGAAAAGAGGGATGCGTAATGTCATGGAATTAGATGTGAGATTTATTTAGACGTCTAAGATTTGGTCTGGTTTACTAGGTCAATATCAGCTGTGCTCTGATTGTGTAATGGAATTATCTGATTGACTGAAAAATAACAAACACAATTCATCTGACATTACTGTGTCAGCCTCTGTAAGCCATTTTACAAATACAATCACCGTTAATAACATAACTTTCATGGAAAAGTGCATTCTACATTCAAAATTTCATAATTAAAAATAGACACTTTCTATTTATCCACCCATACTTTCTAAGCCATAATGAAACAGTCCATATAAGTGGCATTTAGTTTCAAAAAATTGTTTAAAAGAACATATGGTTTGTTTATGAATTTCACTGTGAAAATTTACTCTCTTGGCACAGGTACCTTGGGAGTGTGCCAAGATACTCAATTCTCAGGTTCTCTCAAGTGGTTAGCAGTTTAGCATTGTGCACTAATTAGAAAAGACAGTGTTTTACAAATGGAATATATCATGAAATAAAAGTTTATTAATAAATGTGTGAGTAAATGAGGAGAGATATAAAGTCATATAATGGCCCAAGAATGCTGAGAACTTAAATAAAAAGTTGATGAAATGTGAGTGATGGTAAAAACTTCAATGTTGACTTGAGTGTGAGAGAAAGGGGACACCATATATATTGTTTCCTATTTTTCTTTACATGTATACTGAACACAGTGTGATTATGTGGTTTTAATTTGCCTTCTACAGTAACTTCTAGGACAATAACTATAGTGCCAACAGTAACAGTAATAGCATGTATCCTGCATGGAGTGCTAATTACGCTTTAGCAATTACTGTTGTGCTAAATGCTTTACGTACATCTCCTCAATTAACCTATAAAACAACAATATGAGTTAGTATTGTGATACTCATTTTAACCAATGTTCAGAGAGTAAGTGAGAGAGCCAGGGCCCAAATTCATGTCTGATGCAAAAGACACTTTGGTAAACACTACTTACTCTCTACTCAACGACGCAAGCATTTAGTAGCCACCTCTATTGATTATGGTGTTGTCTCATTCTTATGCCTCTGCTTGGGAGACCTTTAATGGCTTCTCACAGCCCACTCACTCAAGAAACATTTATAGAATGACTTTTATATTTCAGGCACTGTGGTAGAAGTAGGAATTAGGTAAAGTCAGTAGTAACGTCCTATCTTGTATTCTTGATTTTAGTAATTACTTTTTAAACTTGGTCAGTTTAACTAATGGTTTGCTGATTTTGTTGATCTTTCTAAAGAATCACCCTTGGTTTCACTGATTTTCTCTATTTATTTTATTATTTCTCTTTCAATCTTTTTAATTTCTTTTCTTATGCTTTATGAGTTTAGTTTAGTTTTCTTTGTCCAGTTTCTTAAGGTGAAAGCTTAGCTTAATGATTTGAGATTCTTTCTATATAGGTGTTTGCAGCTATGTATTTTCCTTTAAGCACTGCTTTTGCTGCATCTCATAAATATTGGTATGTTGCATCTTCATTTTCATTCATCTCAAAGCATTTTTAAATTGTATTTGCAAGTTCTTCTTTGACCCGTTGGTTATTTAGGAGTTAGTTGTTTAATTTCCATATATTTGTGAATTTCCTAAATTTACTTTTGTTATTGATTGCTAAATTCCTTTTATTGTGGTTGGATTAGTAAAAGAAGTATATGAGTAATAAAATGATTGTATAATTTCAACCTTTTAAATTTATCCAGACTTGTTTTACAGACATGATTTATTATGAAAAATGCTCCATGTGCACTTGAGTTACACTATTTTTCAATTTCTTTCTCAAGGAATCTTATTCATTTTATATCCCAGCCAGAATAATCATCATGCCTTACACTTGCTCTATGCTTGCCTGCCTCTGTGCCTGGAAGGCTCTTTGCCCTCATTTTTCCATGCCCGGCCCTTATTCATCTTTAAAATCCAGATCAAGTGAAACCTTCTTTAGAAAGTAATTCCTGATCTCACAAGCTGATTCAAGCTTTCTTTTGTCCAAATTTTTTAGAACTTTACCTTTGCTCTGTCATATTCTGTTTTATATTATGATTGGTTTTATATGTATTTTCTTCTGAGTGATTTATAAACTCTTTGGTGGAAAGACTGAGTCTTGTAAATATTTATATTTTTTAGTGAATAAAACACAGTGCCTTAAACATAGTAGACAACAAATCTTCTCCAAATGGTCAAATCAAAATTAATATGCTACAAGATACAGAATTATAAACTCAATACTGTCTATACATTAATTACTGTACATCTACCATCTACCAAATACGTTCAGAGACATTTTCCAACATTTATTTGTACTTCCTAATATTTTTGTGGTTTTAAATTTTAATATTCAACTTTTAAATATTTGTGGAATTTATTTTTTATTTATAAAGTGAGAAAATGACCTAAAGAGATTTATACCTCAGTAACATTTTTCAACTGAAACTTCTCCATGTATGTGCATTATTTTTTTCATTGGTATATTAGATTCTTATATATAACTATTATTATGTTCTCTTCTAGTCATTTGTTCACCTGTCCTTGTGGGGACACTACAATCGTGGCTTTATATTGTATTGTTTTATGGAAATATGGACTATTAATTTTTATTCTGAAAAGGAAATACATTTACAAAGTTCAAAGTTTAAAGGGATTTATAGTAAAGTTTTCCTCTCATCCATTTACACCCCAAAGCAACTGACGTTATTAGTTTATAGTGTATTAGCATAGTTCTCTGCTGCAGAGAGAGGTCCTGGAAAAAGTGTGTTGCTGGTCCACTGCAAAATGCAGAGGGTTTTATAGATGAGCTGGTGAAGAGGTAGTGTCTGATTTATATAAGTCATGGACAAACTGGTTAGGCCAGGTGTGCCTTTTGCATAGGGTGTGAATTTCTAGTGGCCCCACCCTAATCTTTTATTATTCAGGTGAGTTCTCTGCCTGAGCTGCGCCATATTGCTCATTTCTCTGTTACTGTGCATGTGATAACAAAAACAGGGAAGATGGACCCTCCATGTGTACATGCCTGGCCCCCGGGTAGCCTTTTTTTTTCTTTTGCTTTTTTTTTCAGACTGAGTTTTGCTCTTTTTGCCCAGGCTGGAGTGCAATGACGTGATCTCGCCTCACCGCAATCTCTACCTCCCAGGTTCAAGTGATTCTCCTGCCTCAGCCTCCCAAATAGCTGGGATTACAGGCATGTGCCACCATGCCCGGCTCATTTTTTGCGTTTTTTTTTTTTTTTAGTAGAGACGGGGTTTCTCCATGTTGGTCGGGCTGATCTCGAACTCCCGACCTCAGGTGATCCGCTTGCCTCGCCCTCCCAAAGTGCTGGGATTACAGGCGTGAGCCACCGCGCCCGGCTCCAGGTAGCCCTTTTCTATTGGCACAGCTGCCAGCATTCCCCCGCACTTTCAGCTTGCTAATCTATGTTTGCAGCTCGATTTTTCAGGCTGTTTTTTGTTAGAAAAAAAAAAAAATTTCTTGGGCTGCTTTTTGTTAGAAGGGAAGCTCTGCTGAGGACTCTGTTGCCCCCATTATCTGCTTACTAAATTTCTTTCTACCTCCTGTATCAATATTTTATGTATAATTAAGTATATGTATATTCTTTACTTGCCTTTTGCAAATTTTCTGTTTATTTAATACTCTGCTGTTTTGACTATGTATTATGCTTTCTACCAATGTAAAATGCCTCTTCATGTTGCTTGATGCTTTATACGTGGCATTTTATTGTAAATAGTTTAAATAAATTTTATAATACATTACTTGAAATTCTGTTTAATATGCAAACTCCTTAGTGAAAAAGGGAAAAAAGAGAGGAATTATTTACACTTTGATAGAGCATTTTAAAACGAGATGTTAATTCTAATGAATTTTCCATGAGAAAGTGATCTTACTGACTGTTTCCTTATTGCATGTGCAGTAGATTCTAGGTTATGTTGAGCTATTCATATTTCCTCAAACAGGTAGACAGGGAACAAGCACCCGTGTACAGGCACAGAAGAAAACAGGACACGACAGAGCATGCTCCACCGCACAGCCTGGAGTGCATGAGGGTGCGCGACCACAGAGAAAGCCTTACAGGACAGATTGAAATTCTCCACTTTTGATTTCATAACTAAACATCTCAGTATAATATCAGATAATGACATTTATTTTTCCAGGCCATTATTTAAGTGGAGCTGGGTTTAAGATTTGGAATATTCATTTAACAGGAACAAAATGCCTGTGGTAGACCCAAAGAAGTCTGTTTTTGCCTTACAGCTGGATTTTCATAAAAATATAGTTACAATTAAGGTCGAGATTATTCAGTTTGAACACTCAGTCTCTTAAGTTTGTCTGGAAACACATTTGTCTCTCTGTAGCTGTTTAGTAAAAGTATATTGTTTTACATGCCCATATCAAGAATAAGTTAATCCATCATCTTAATGCAGTAAAGGCAGATATGTTGAAGTGAAACTACAAGAACCCCACCATTTCATAAACATTACCATGTTTTCTTTCTCAATCACCTGCTGAAAGATAACCAGGGACCATGGCATATACTGGGTGGTCTGCCTGAATCTTTATTTCTGAATTTTAAAAAATAGCATGAAGCTTTTAGGGGCTTCTGAAATGAAATCCTTTCTTTTGATCCTCCTGTCTTCTTAGTAGGTGTGTATGAAAGTACTTTGTAAAAAATAACTATATACCAGTGAGACAAATAAGAATGGAAAATTTCAGAGAGTTAGACATCAAGCTCTTTCTTCAGCACATGGTCTGGAAAGCACTTTTAGATTTACTACTAGATACTGGTAAGGCAGGTCAAATTCTTATCAATAATTTGAATCTTAATTATACCATTTACTAGTTGCATGACTTTGGGCATGTTATCTAAGCCTCCTGTGCCCCATCTGTGAAGTGGAGGTAGCAATTCCTCAGAATTGTGGTAAGGTTTAAATGACGCATTATATTCAAAGCACTTTGCACTCATTAAAGATATTATGAGCAGATGCTCAATAAAGTGAATCCATTAACATTTTAATGTGTTACTTCAAGGTTTTTTTGTGGCTAATAATGTTGTTTTGTGTCCAACAGAAAAATGGGTGGCTCAGCACCACCAGATAGCAGCTGGAGAGGAAGTCTCAAAGTGTCCTACAATGTTGGACCTGGCTTTACTGGAAACTTTTCTACACAGTTAAGAGACTATTTTAATTTTAACTCTTTTAAGGGGGAGACTTAAAGAAAAAAATACTATAGAGGATGACAGAAAAAGTAAAATTTATGTAATACCAGCAGGAAACAAAACTGCAAGTTAGAACCAGTGTAATTTTTGCCTGTGAACAATTAGAAATCTTTAAACAAGATTGAAGATTTAAATATTATGAGTGTTGTTGGAACTCAGAAAATGAATAACCCAAAGTATGGTGTTTTGGCATGCTGAGCACTTTGAACTAAAGGATAAAAGTCCTTAGATGCAGCTTCAGAATCAATAATTCTGACCTCTTACTTCACCCCACAAGAGCAGAGTGTAAGTTTGTCTCTGAAGTTCCCTTATCTGAAGCTCCTGCAGAAGGAAGACAATGACTTTCCTTCCCCTCCCTGAAATTTTATTAACCAGGGAAGATTGAACTCATATAGTGGGAAGGAAGACTGAGGCATATCACTTTATCTGCACAGGCTTTGTCACAAGCTGTTGACTGTTCTCTAGTTCCATTCAAGTTCCAAAGAGAATTATTTATAAACTATTGCCTGCTCTTTGGGCCCATTTAACTCTCTTGAAAACCATTTACCACCCCTCAAAACCACCTGCACTCCCCCACTTCTCCCTCCTCTATGAAGAGGGTGCTAGTTAAACTTCAGCCATTTGGCCTTTGAGTCTCACATTTTGTTTGGCTCCTGTATACACTGGTGTGTTAGTAAGTTTGTACGCCTTTTCCCCTGTTAATCAATTTTCAGTTTGTTTTACCAGACTTGAACCTTCAAAGGCAGAGGGGAAAATTCCCTTAACCCTTATAGTGTTAATCTGTTAACCAGTTTTGTTTTGTTTTTTTTCAAAGAATGTCTTTTATTTTTGCATTAGAAAAGTCAAGATGCACATCCACTCTACCAATGAAGTGACGAGAATTTACAATGTGATAGGTACTCTCAGAGGAGCAGTGGAACCAGGTAAAGGAATCGTTTGCTTAGCAAATATTGATCAAGTAACTGTTATGTGCTGGATACTACCAAGCTCTGGGAGTGCAAAGTGAATCAAAACAAACAAACAAACAAACAAACAAACGAAGAAAATCAGTGGAACTCACCTAAAAACAAAAGAAATAAATATGAAATAATTTTGTATTGTGGTACAGGTGGTGAAGTGAACATTTGGTGCTAGGCTGGGCAAATGACCAAGGTGAATGATCAATTGTGCAGGCCTCAATTAAAGGATGAAGGGAAGCAGAGTAGGGAAAGATTTGTTTTCTTCTGAGTTTTCTGAATTTTTTTTTACCATATTTTTGCACAGAGAAATATCTTCATGATAACTATGAACGTCTATATAAAATATCACGCTCTTAGAAAATTAAGATAATCCTTTGCATAGTTTTATTTTCTACCACTAAAGCCACTGATAAAATATATGGACATATGATTTCCATAGAAGTTCAGATGATCTACTGATTAATACATTTTATGCATAGTCTTAGTTCGTGAAGGCTCAGTTTCTTATGAACTATTTGGTTCTGTATTTCTTACCAAAACAGATACTATTAAATGCATATTAAACATATTAATTGCATGTTTCTTACAAGCAGCTAATGATTTATTTTAGATCAAGAATATTGATATCCTTGTTGTTTGCATATTCTAAAGAGTACTAAACAATATATAAGTGGCTACTATTGAATAATACTGAGTACCTATTTTGTGCCAGCTCTGTGATAAGCATTGGAAATGGGGAGATAAAAGAAGACACAGACCCGAGGCAAAGAGCTGACAGTTTGTGAAGGGAGCCATATGCTTAAGGGTGATCAATGCTTTATCACTCCTGATAGCTGGGTAGGCAAAGAAATTCCCTCTTCTATAGAAAATACTTGAGCTGTACCTTAAAAACTGCATAGAGGGAGAAAATATTTGAGCTGTACCCTAAAAACTGAATAGAGGGAGAAAATATTTGAGCTGTACCTTAAAAACTGAAAAGAAAGAATAGGAATTGGAGAACTTCCTATGTGGCCACTATGTTCTCTTATTTTGAATATATTCGAAAGTGGTAAGTTAGGTAAGAGAGGAGTATTCTCTTATTCACACAAAAAATGTGAATAAGGATAACGTTAAACTTTCTTAATTACTTAATGTAGTACTTATAATTATGGTAATACATTTCAATATATATTTGCTTTATCACATGTATGCTTTCTCAGATAGAAGAAATACATATTAAAATCAGAAATAACATATTTTCACAAATCTTGGGGAACCTAGCCTTTTTTTTTTTTTTGAGTCATGAGTGCTTTGTATTTAGATGCTACTGAGTTGTTTGCAATGTTCTCTTTTATTGACCTGAAATGACAAATAATCTTGTATCTATGCTTTCTAGACAGATATGTCATTCTGGGAGGTCACCGGGACTCATGGGTGTTTGGTGGTATTGACCCTCAGAGTGGAGCAGCTGTTGTTCATGAAACTGTGAGGAGCTTTGGAACACTGAAAAAGGAAGGTAATACAAACAAACAGCAAAAAAACCAACCTATCTGAGTCTCAGTTTAGTCTTCTGTAAAGGGAGTATAAAAATACTACCTCAACCATTACATGTGTTTGGTAAAAATACCAATACAATTTTTAATGTTGGTTGGTTAATTATATTGTTTATTTATTTTTGCATTTATTTATATAACACATATATTATTGATATTTATGTATTAAGTGATAATCTGAAATAAAGGAATTATACTGTTAATGGTTGTTCTTGGCAACTAAGAAGATGAAGATGGGTTATTACATCACTAGAGAAAACACACTGAAATTAGATTATAAGCCAAAGCTTCCTAGTCAGAGACTGTAAGCAGACGTTCCTCCGTCTCTTCTAACCCCAGACCTCAGATTACGTGTGCAGAGTAATTAAGGAGATAGATGCTCTATTCGGAGAAATACTGGTCTTAGGTCTAATGGGATTCTGTCAAAAGTTTGGAATCTGTGTTCTCACATCCTGAGCCCTGGTGTGCTCTCGCAAAAATTAGGTTTACACTCGTAACATCACCACTTTAGCCATTTTAGAATCTTCATATGAAAGCCAAAGTAAAATTTAGTTCAAATGTTTGCTTTTTAAAATAATAATTACACATTGAGAGCAGGAAGTTCATTCTCTTTATTGACCCTGCAAACAAGGTGTCTGGGGCTGTAAAATGTAATCTATATATTTTTATCAACAATAAAAACAATAATGTATGTTGTTTGCATAGTATTTACTTTTTTTTTGAGAAACTGTTTTTATATGTCCTATCTTCTTTGAAGTCATAGCAACTAGGGAGAAGACATATTTACTTATCTTCTCATGTTACAGATAAGTTAACCAAGGTTTAGAGAATCAAGTAATTTCCCCAGGATTATGTAGCTAGCATGTGGCAGAATAAGAGAATCAGGGCTCAAACTGAAATTTCTGACTACCAGTCCTCAAAACCATGATGTCTCTATTTAAAATAAAATGTAAAGGCACTTAGTTCTTTTTTCTACACAGCTATCTTATATTTGAAGAAAACAAACAATGGAGACCTAAATTTACATAATTCATGAAGTAGGTAGTGTTTAATTTTATTACAAAAATGTTTCATGATTTTTCTAGGAAATTCCTGTGGTAACTATACAAAACATCACTGTGACAATTATAGAATATGCCAAATAAGTGGAATGTTGATAAATAATAATAGGAAATTTGAATAATACTATTGACAAAAACAAAAGACTCGAGTTAACAGCTATACTATACACATTCTTAAGCACACATGAGTATTTACTAAGATGGTGACTACTCGCAATTTTGGGGGCATCTACTCAGTGCTTTCTAAACATTATTCCATCTAATCCTCCCACAATCAAGTGGTGTCTTCATCTTTACTCTCTTGTTCCTTGTATACAGATGAAGAAATGGAAGTTTAGTAGGTTTGAATAACTTTCCCTCAGTCATGCTGCTAGTGAGAGAACCAGGGTTTGAAACAAGATCTTGCCTTAATTCCAAGGTCAGTGTTTATAACCTCCGAGACACATCACCCCTCTATTGAATTATGTGGTTTTCAGCAACAGCAAACATTGCTGTTGCTAACTGAGCCCTTGTTGATTAATTCTGGCAGAGAATGGAGTGAAATCATACGGACCAGCTGATATTGAACAATTGTTCATTTGATGTCAGAACAACAGGAAAGAGTTCTAAAGGATTTTCTTTCAGTTATATCTGCTTTCAGAATACCAAATGCATCTAGAAATTTCTTTCTTTGTTCTAGGCAGTTGCAGACCACCAATGACTTCCTATGCATAGCGAATCATTATAAACCTATTAGAATGTTTTATGATCTTGCAAGATTTTTACTGTCACATTTCCCCCCTTTTCTATGTAATTGTGCTATTTTGTATTGACAACTTTAAAATCTTACCAAAGAAAGTTATGTAAGTAAAGATTTTTTACTACAATTTGCCCTTCCCAAACCATCAATGACTTTTTTTTTTTTCCCCAATCTGGGCTTGGTAGTGTCCTGGGTATATTATGAATTTTTTTTCTATCATTTATATATACACATACATTTTAGGGTGGAGACCTAGAAGAACAATTTTGTTTGCAAGCTGGGATGCAGAAGAATTTGGTCTTCTTGGTTCTACTGAGTGGGCAGAGGTTAGTTGGTAATTTGCTATAATATAAATTTTTATAAAATGAAGTAGCCAGGAATTATTTGCCAAGCATGTAAAAATAAGAAGTGAATATAATGAGAAAGTATTCAAAGTTTTTTCCCCAAAATCTGAGTAACATATTCTTGTTCAAAAATCAGCAATAAAAATCTCTGTTGCTAAAGAACTAAGTTTTGTTTGAACCTTTTAGAGCCACTTAATGTCAATTGTCAAAATTAATTGATCTTTATTTCCTGGGAGTATGAGAGTAAATAAGTAGATATGCTAGAAACCAAACATCAAAACAAGGAGTTAGTTTCTTAATCATATTGTAGTTTATTCTTCAAAATATTGTCTTAGCAAACATGAACGACCTAACAGACTTTTCAGTGAATATCTTCCCATAAACATGTCATTTAAATGGAGAATCTTGTCTGATTCAAAGGGAATTAAGCTATTTCAAATTTATGAAAAATATGAAGTTAAATTGTCTCTATTTCCTGACCATGAAGCCAAATTTTCCTGTATCATGTTTGATTTCTATCACGATTCTATTACGCTTTCCAAAATATCTCCTAAAGCTAACTATACAGAGTCTCGCTCTGTTGCCCAGGCTGGAGTACAGTGACGTGATTTCTGCGCATTGCAGTGTCAGCATCCCGGGTTCAAGCAATTCTCCTGCCCTAGGCTCCTGAGTAGCTGGGATTACAGGCATGTGCCACCACACCTGGCTAATTTTTTTATATTTAATAGAGACAGGGTTTTGCTGTGTTGGCCAGGCTGGCCTCAAACTCCTGAGCTTAAGTGATATGCCTGCCTCGGCCTCCCGGAGTGCTAGGAATACAGGCGTGCGTCACCACGCCTGGCCGTAAGGTATACTTTTCATTTATCTTTCTTAATTCATAATGACCTGCTCTATGTTAAATTATGCTAAAAGTAAGGCAAAAATTTCCACCACAGAATATTTACTAAGCCATTTGAAAAGTAATTTTACCTGCATGTATTGTTGGCTTTATATAACAGAAATGTTAGCTATAAAGTAAATATATGCAAAGTCAATGTTTATTCCATTAATTTCCAGTCACGCTGTAAATATTTATTGGCTCCTTTCATACTCCAGATATTATGTGAAACCCTGTGGACTTTAATTTTCTTTGAAAAAAAAATGGTGCTCCTGTAGACTTAGTCAAAGTTTTATAAGAAAGAATTTTGCCACTATCTGGAAGAACCTAATATTTTGATGATGTAATTTGTGTCTTTCAAATTATTTTTTTCACTTACAGTTGCATTTTTTTCATTTTTTATCTTATAGTCAGAATGCTTAGGAAATTACGTATTTTAGAGACTCAGAATTCACACTGATATCTCAAAAAAACTTTGCTACGCTTTGTTCTAAAAGTGTGCAATTATCAATATTGACCAGGAGATGGTACCATCCTACAGGAGAGCCTGACTTCATGGTCAGGAGATGATTTAAGTTCACTTATTTTTCATAATATGAAATTTAACTTGAAATTTCATACACTTAAAATACCTTCATTCCATATGAATCAGACAAGATTCTCTGCTTAAATAATGAGATGTTTATAGGAAGATTTTCACTGAAAAGTCTCTTAGGTCATTCATGTTTGCTAAGACAATTTTTTGAAGGATAAACTACAGTATGGTTAAGAAATTAACTCTTTTTCCACTTACCATAAGTATATGGACAATTTCATCTTAAATATTAGCTTTTAACAAGTTTTGCTTGTTGTTTCCTACCAGTAATCTTTATTGAAATTCTTTCAAAGCAGCTCTTTTATGAGAATTTCTTATGTCAAATTTGTCATTAATATGGGTCAGCTCAATTAGAAATCTACATACATTAAATGTAGATGTGCATTTTGTGGGGGAGGGGGAGGGGGTTATAACTTTATATTTATAGTTTTCCTTTTTATTGTAGGATAATTCAAGACTCCTTCAAGAGCGTGGCGTGGCTTATATTAATGCTGACTCATCTATAGAAGGTGAATATCGTTGGTCTCATAAGAAAAGATGTGATTAAACTAGGAGCAGCAGTCTAGCTAATAAATTATGCACTAACAAGGAAGGCTATGTATTAACGTGTGGTTAGGGAATCTACTGCAACCTCTGACAGGAAGCAGTGTGTGAACCCTAGTTGAGAGTTGGGTGAGCCCTAGGTGAGCAGGTTTTTCTTTTCTTCTTTCCTTTCCTTTTGTTTTCTTTTCTCTTTTCTTTTCTTTCTTTTCTTACTTTTTTTTTTTCTTTGCTTTGCAGCATAGAGTACTAATTCAGAAAAGCAGCATTCTTTGATTAGCTTCATCTGGCAGATTTCTTTTTATATACAGCAGGAATTTAGTAAGTATCTGTTGAATGATTAACTCAGGGACCTAAAGAGTTCTATAATTTAGAATGGTGTAGAAAAAAAGTATCATTTGTGGGGTGCGGTGGCTCACGCCTGTAGTCGCAGCACTTTGGGAGGCTGAAGCGGGTGGATCACTTCAGGTCAGGATTTCGAAACCAGCCTGGCCAACATGGTGAAACCCCATAGCTATTACAAATGCAAAAATTAGCCGGGCGTGGTGGCGCACTCAGTATAGATAATATGCTAAATCAATCTTGAATTATAATGTATGCAGGTACTTTAGAAAGGGTAGGATAAAACCACTCTGGGAGTTCAGAGGAAAGAATAATAGAAACTTCAGGAAAGGCTTGAGAAAGGGGATAGGCATTTGAGGCTGACTTTGAAGAATGGAAATACGTTTAATAAGCAAAGGACCAAACTAAAGGAAATCTCAGATTGATTTTCATGAAAATGAAAGAGTCCATTGTCACTACAATCCAGCTCCACTAATATATCTATATCTTGACCATATGCAACATCCCAGTCATTGCACTCCTGTTCTCTACACTCAGATTGCTCTTCAACACCTCTTTATGTGTTTAATCCTTATCCTTAGACCCTCCGTTGAAATGTTACTTTTTCAGGGAAGACATGTCTTCATGGCATTCATCACTGTCATTATTAAGTAATTATTTGTTTTACAAGTAATAGACTGTATTCTTTAACAAGGAACAGACAGTATCTTGCTTATTCACTCCTAGATTCCTAATGTCTTATTAAATAAATATCTGTGGTACGGTTGCAAAAAAAAAAAAAAGGACTAAATGAATGAAGGGGGAATTTTTTAGAATATTTTCTTTAGTGTATTAGTAAATTTGCCATGTCAACACTCGGAACATGAGACCTTGATGGAGTCACGTTGGCATTTTCTTTTTCTTTTTCTGTTTTTTTTTTGTGTCTTTTTTTGTTTCTGTTCTTTTTCTGTTTTTTGTTTGTTTGTTTGTTTTTTCTGTTTCCGTTCTTCTTCTTTTGTTTGTCTGCTTGTTTGTTTTGAGTCAGGGTCTCACTCCGCAGCCCAGGTTGGAGTGCATGGAGTGATCATGGCTCACTAGTCTTGATTTCCCAGGCTCAAGTGATCCACCAACCTCAGACTCCTTGGTAGCTGGGACTACAGGCAAACGCTAGACGTCCAGCTAATTTTTGTATTTTTAGTGGAGATGACGTTTGACCATATTACCCAGGTTGGTCTCAAACTCCTGGGCTCAAGCTGTCTATCCACATTGTTCTCCCAAAATGCTAGGATAACGGGTCTGAGCCACAGCTCCCAACCTTCCTTTTCTTCTTTGTCAATGCCTCTGAGCTACACTGTTCTGAAAGTTAGTTTACACAGTGCATTTGGTTATTCTTTTCTCCTTCTCTTAGGGTAGTGGCTAAGAGCTTGACCTTTGGCGTCAGATGCCTGGATTCATTCCTGGCCCTGCAACTTCCCATTTGTGTGACCCAAGCTATTTACTTTCTGTGCCTCAGTTTTCTCACATCTAAATATAACTTCTAAGAGCCCCTATCTCAAAGGCTCCTGTAAGGGCAAAAAAAGTTACATTTGCAAATCTCCCAGACCTGTGCCTTGCACAGAGTAAATGTCAAAAAAAGTTAACTTTGATTAGGATCATTACACCTACTTAAAACACATAATAAGGTGAAATATATATATGTGTATATATATATATGTATATTATATGCCCACCCAGAATAAATACTCCAAATATATTTTCTTGAAATGTAGAATAACGTTCTCTTTATTGATAGTTTTTTTCTGTTTTTTTTTGTTGTTGTTGTTGTTGTTGTTATTGTTGTTTTGAAATGAGATCTTGTAGTATTGTCCAGGATAGTTTCAAACTCCTGAGCTCAACTGAACCTCCCCCGTCAGCCTCCCAAGTAGCTGGGAAAACAGGTGTGTGGCACAATACTTGGCCATAGTTTTTTAAGATTTGATATTTTAATGTATTTTAAAAACTCATTAAGCTTTGCTACTTATGTCATCCCTGGCTTGAAATTGCTTCATTGTGTCTCTATAATTTTCAAAATCGAGAACAAAGGACAGGAGGTACTATATGATTGGGACACCATTCATCTCACTTGTTTTATATTTTTACATTGTATTAATTTTTCTTTCTCAAATAATACAAATAATCATAGATTCTGAAATTTCTAATGTTAAAATGTAAAATTTACAAATAAAGCAAAACTCCTCAATGCAAACTACTCTCAAACTTAGTCCTCTCTCCAAAGGTATTACTGTCCTCAGTTTTGGGTGTTCCCATCATGTTGGCATTAATATATAGAATTTAGCTTCACAAAGCACCAAAAGCATAGTGGGTGCTATCTCAGGTGCTTTACACGTAAAAAAATTATTCAGTACTCACAATAACCCTCTGAGATAAGTAGGTAAATATTTTTATTATCTCTTTTGTATAAAAGAAGAAACTGACACTCAGAGAGGTTAAGTAACTTTCCCAAGGCCACACAGCTAGTGAAGGGTTGAGCTTAGACTCAAATCAGACTAGTCTGTTCCAACTTTACCCTTCTAACCACTACACTCTATTGTCTCTCACCACCTTAAACAGGTATTTGGTATCATATTACAGCTAAATGGTTCTACAGCTTGCCTTTTTCATTCAGCAACACATTATGAAAAACTTTCCATATCAGCACATATCTCTGTTTCACTTAAAAAACAAACACTACCACCAGACAACAAAAATCTACACTATAATCAATAGGACAAATTCTGTATCAATTTTCTAGCTGCTGGACAGATTGCTTCAGTTTGTTGTGGTTAATATTATTTTATTTGCATGCTTTTTTGGTATAATGTGAGGAGAGGGTAGAGAGCTACAAGTATATTTATTTGGTCTTAGGATGTGGGCAATTAAATTGTAATAAATGCTGCCAAACTACTCCCCTCCCCAATTTCCACTCCTATAAACACTTCTGTTTTAAAAATTACATTGGCTGTTTGTACATATTTATTCTTCCAGATAAATTTTAGAATCTAAAATCAAATCTTTAAGTTCCATAAACAATTCTGTTGTGGTGTCACTGTTTTAAAAGCCTCAACTTTTGCTGTTCTCAAACATGGATCTGGGGCTTTGGGATAAAAGCTAGTTGCCATCCTCTGAGTGTTTCATGTGCTTTTACATTTCTGGGCATTTGCACAGTCTATGCCTTTAGCTGCAAATACCATTTTTCCCCCCAACTGCGTCCTGATTCTAGAAAACCCAGTTCAAGAGTCCCCTCTCCAAGTTTGTGAAGTTGTCTTGACTTCCCTCCCCCAAAACTCCTCCTGAGTCAGCAGCCCCTCCCTGTGCTGTCTTGGCTTCCCAAGAACACCTCTCCTGGGTGCTTCACTTGATTGTCGCAACCACCAGCCCCCTCCTGAGGAATGGGGACTGAAACTCTAAGAAGAGCATCTGGTTCACAAATTCATTGTCACAACAAATATTGATTGGTTAAATACCAAATTCTAGGATTGTTCTAAGCACTGGGGTATGGCAGCAAACAAGAGAGTGCACCTTACCCCAGGGGACTTATCTTCTAGTGGGAGGGCCAATAATAAAAAGACAAGTACTTAATATGTTTTATGTTAAATAGATGAGTAATATGGAGAAACATGAGCCAAGGTTAAAAGAGAGAGTGGCTAAAATTAGGGGGTAAGAGAGTGCTATTTTAGGTAGGGTGATCAGGGGAAATCTCTCAGAAAAACATGATATTAGACCAGAGGAGGAGGAGTAAGTCATGCAGATATAATGCAGAATACTGTTCCAGGCTGGAAGGACAGTGTGTGCAAAGATGCTGAGGGAGTATTCTTGGGCAGAATGTAAAATGCAGATTTTTGAGAGGTGAGCTGGGGTTTCATACATGGCAGTGTGGGCCATGGTGAGGATGATGGACTTTACAGAGTTAGTTGGGAAGCCATTGGAGAGTTACAGTTGAAATCAGGTTTTAAAACAATCATTCTGGTAGGAATTTAGCAGTGGTCTTTGAAGAAAATAATAACAGAAAGAAATTAAATTTTAAAATCTATTCTTTTCTTATTTTTCAGGAAACTACACTCTGAGAGTTGATTGTACACCACTGATGTACAGCTTGGTATACAACCTAACAAAAGAGGTATACAATTACATATAATTTAGGAAAACCCAAGTTCTACAAATGACGTTTTCTTGAGGTATTATTATGTTAAACATTGGTGTTGTTTTATAACTTCTTGTCTTCTTTTCATATAACATATATGACATCACATCTTCACAGACCATCACATCTAGTAAACTGTTTACACAGATTGCCTCATTTCTCACCACACCACTGTGAGGTAGCCCGTTAGTAGCATCATGTCTACCATCTCCATTCTTAAAACAGTGAAACTGAGCTCAAAGAACATTGGCCACCAAAGTCACACACAACTTGTACGGTAGCCGAACCAAGACTTGGTCCTATGGCTCAACTCCTTAATTAAAAAACTTGTTTATACTCTTCAGTATAGTGATACCAATTAATTCAGAACACAGGAATCATTAAATGATCCAATTGACTGAGAAAGAATATTCATAAGAATACCAGGTGCTGGCTTCCAGGGACAGAGGCTAGATGAGATCACAATTACATTTTTTCAGATAGGGATTATAAATAAAATTTAAATGCCATTAAGCTTTGGTTGCAAAAGAATGGAATGGAGGAGTGACCAAGATGACTGACTAGAAGCAACTATGGTGTGTGGCTCTCACAAAGAGAAATTGAAGGGGCAAGTAAATACAGCACCTTCAACTGAAATGAACAGATACTCACATTGGGACTAATCAAGGAAACAACCCAACCCAAGGAGAATGGAGAAAAGCAAGGCAGGACGACGGCCCACCTGGGAATGACACAGAGTCAAGAGAACTTCCCCCACCCAGGAAAATGATGAGCGAATGTGCAACCCCAGGAAACGATGCTTTTTCCATGGATCTTTGCAACCCTTAGGTCAGCAGATACCCTCGTGAACCCACTCCACCAGGGCCTTCAGTCTGATACACAGCTGCATGGAGTCTTAGCAGAACAGCCACTCAGGCATGCATGGAGACACAGGAGCTTTAGATACACCAGCTTTCCAGGCTTCATGGCAAAAGTAACTGCAACTCCAGCACAGCAGGAGGTTAGACCCCCATACATACCCATAAAAAAGAGGCCGAATTCAAGGGCCTGAGCAGTGATGGCCTGCAGGCCCCACTTCCACAGCACCTCACAGGATAAGACCCACTGGCTTGGATTTCCAGCCAGCCACTGGTAGCAGTGTTGTGCCTATCTGGGAAAGAGCTCTTGGGGGGTGGTGGGGGGCAGGGAGGTGGGGGTGGAAGGGTGGGCTGCCATCTTTGCTGTTTGAGTGGCTTAGCCATTCCCACCTTTAGGCTTTGGAGAGCCCAAGATGACTTGGGGGGGGGGTGGAAGCAGCACCCCAGCACAGCACAGTGGCCCCACAAAAACGTGGCCAGACTTCCTTATAAAGCAGATCCCCAACTGCGTTCCTCATCAATGGGTGGAGCCTCCCAACTAGGGTTTCTGGCTACCCCCACTGGTGTTCTCTGGCTAACAGAGGTTTTAGGACACCCTGGGATGGAGCTGCCAGGAGGAGGGGCAGACCACCATCTTTGCTGTTTGGGTGACTTAGCCATCCCAGGTTTCAGACTTCGGAGTGTCCAAGACAACCAAGGGCTGAAGTGGACCCTCACCACAGCACAGTTGCTCTACAAAAACGTGGCCAGACTACTTTTTAAACTGGGTCCCTGATCCTTTTCCTCCTGTCTGGGTAAGACCTCCCAGTGGGGTCTCCAGCCACCTCCTACAGGTCTGTTCAGGCTGGCAACATGTCTATAACTCCCTTGGATGGAGGTCCCACAGTAAGAAGCAGGCTGCATTCTTTACTGTTTCACAGCCATCACCGATGATTCCTCCAGGTACTGTAAAATCTGAGGCAACTAGTGATTGGAGTCGAGCCCCCAGCACAACACAGCAGCCCTGCAGAAAAGTGGCTAGACTGTTTAAAAAAAAGAAAAGAAAAGAAAAGAAAAGAACAAGCTCCACTCAAAGGTCACCAACCTCAAAGACTGAAGGCAGATAAGCCCACAAAGATGAGAAAGGATCAGTACAAGAACACTGAAAACTCAAAATGCCACAGTGCCCTCTTTCCTCCAAATGACTGCATCACTTCTCCAGCAAGGGTTCAGAACCGGGTTGAGGCTGAGATGCCTGAAATGACAGAAGTAGAATTCATAATATGGATAGGGACAAAGTTTACTGAACTAAAGGAGCTTGTTGTAACCCAATTCTAGGAAGCTAAAAATCATGTTAAAACATTGCAGGAACTGACAGTAAAATAAGCCAGTTTAGAGAAGAATAGAGTTGAAAAATACTACAGCAACTTCACAATGCAATCACAAGTATTAATAGCAGTATAGACCAAGTGAAGGAAAGAATATTAGAGCTTGAAGACTGTCTTTCTGAAATAATACAGGCAGACAAGAATAGAGAAAAAGGAATGAACAAAACCTCCAAGAAATATGTGATTATGTAAAGAGACTGAATCTATGACTGATTGGTGTACTTGAAAGAGATGGGAAGAATGGAACCAGCTTGGAAAACATATTCCAGGATATAATCCATGAGAACTTTCCCAACATAGCTAGATAGGCCAACATTCAAATTCAGGAAATGCAGAGAACCTCAGTAAGATACTACTTGAGAAGATCATCCCCAAGACACATACTCATCAGATTCTCCAAGGACAAAATGAGAGACAAAATGTTAAAGGCAGCTAGAGGGAAAGGCCAGGTTACCTACAAAGGGAAGCCCATCAGCCTAACAGTGGACCTCTCAGCTGAAACCCTGCAAGCCAGAAGAGATTAGGGGCCAATGTTCAACATTCTTAGAAAAAAGAAATTCCAATTCAGAATTTCATATCCGACCACATTGAGCTTTATACGTGAAGGAGAAATAAGATTCTTTCAAGACAAGCAAATGCTGAGGGAATTTGTTACCACCAGACCTGTCTTAACAAGAGTTATTGACAGAAGTACTAAATATGGGCAGGAAAGACTGTCACCAGCCACAACAAAAACACACTGAAGTACACAGACCAGTGATACTATAAAGCAATCACATAAGTCTGCAGAATAACCAGCTAACATCATGATGACAGGATCAAATCCACACATTTCAATTCTAATCTTATATGCAAATGGGCTAAATACACCAATTAAAATACATAGAGTGGCAAGCTGGATAAAGAACCAGGACCTATTGGTATCCTGTCTTCAAGAGACCCTTCTCATATGCAATGACACACATAAGTCAAAATAAATAGATGAAGGAAAGTCTATCAAGCAAATAGAAAACAGAAAAATGCAGGAGTTGCAATTCTAGTTTCTGACAAAACAGACTTTAAACCAACAAAGATTAAAAAAAAGACAAAGAAGGGCATCACATAACAGTAAAGGATTCAATTCAACAAGAAGAGCTTACTGTCCTAAATATATATGCACATAACACAGGAGCACCCAGATTCATAAGGCAAGTTCTCAGAGACCTTCAAAGAGACTTAGACTCCCACACAATAATAATGGTAGACTTTAACAGCCTATTGAAAATATTAATTAATTTTCAAGACATAAAATAACAAAGATATTCATGGCCTAAACTGAGTACTGGATCAAATGGACCTGATAGATATCTACAAAATTCTCCACCCAGAAACAACAGAATAGACATTCTTGTCATCAGCTCATGGCACTTACTCTAAAATTGATCACATAATTGGAAGTAAAACACTCCTCAGCAAAAGCAAGAGAAATGAAATTAAAAACGTCTCTTGTACTGCCATGCAAATTCAAAATCAAGAGAAAGAAATTCACTCAAAACTATTCAATTCCATGGAAATTGAATAACCTGCTCCTGAATGACTTGTGGGTATATAATGAGATAAAAGCAGGAATCAAGAAGTTCTTTGAAACTAATGAGAACAAAGATATGACACACCAGAATCTCTGGGACACAGCTAAGGCAGAATTAAAAGGGAAATTTATAGCACTAAATGCCCACATTAAAAGTTAGAAATATCTGGCCAGGTGTGGTGGCTCACTCCTGTAATCCCAGCACTTTGGGAGGCCGAGGAGGGCAGATCACAAGGTCAGGAGATTGAGACCATCCTGGCAAACACAGTGAAACCCCATCTCTACTAAAATTACAAAAAATTAGCCAGATGTGGTGGCGGGTGCCTGTAGTCCCAGCTACTCGGGAGGCTGAGGCAGGAGAATCGCTTGAACCCAGGAGGTGGAGGTTGCAGTGAGCTGAGATCACGTCACGGCACTCCAGCCTGGACAACAGAGAGAGACTCCGTCTCAAAAAAAAAAAAAAAAAGTTAGAAAGATCTCAAGTTAACAACCTAGTGTCAAAACTAAATATACTAGAGAACAAAAGTAAACAAACCCCAAAGCTAGCAGAAGACACAAAATAACCAAGACCACAGCTGAACTGAAGGTGTTGGAGACATGAAAAACCCTTCAAAATATTAATGAATCCAGGAGCTGATTTTTTGGAAAAAAAAAAAAATAGAGTGCTAGCTAGACTAATAAAGAAGAAAAGTGATAAGATTCAAATAAACACTGTCAGAAATGATAAGGGGGAATATTCCCACTGACCCCACAGAAATACAAACATCAGAGAACATTGTAAACACCTCTATGCACATAAACTAAAGAATCTAGAAGAAATGGAAATTAGCTGGGTGTGGTGGCAGGTGCCTGTAATCCCAGCTACTCGGGAGGCTGAAGCAGGATAATTGCGTGAACGAGGTTGCAGTGAGCAGAGATGGCACAATTGCCCTCTAGCCCAGGCGACAGTGCAAGACTTCATCAAAAAACAAAACAAAAACAGAAAAAAAAAAAAAGAAAAGGAAAAAGAGAAAAAAGGATAAATTCCTGGAAACATACACCTTCCGAAGGCTGAACCAGAAAGAAATTGAATCCCTGAACAGGCCAATCATAAGTTCTGAAACTGAGGCAGTAATAAATAGCTTACCAACCAAAAAAAAGCCGAGGACCAAATGGATTCACAGCTTAATTCTACCAGAGGTACAAAGAAGGGCTGGTACTATTTCTATTGAAACTATTTCCAAATAATTAGGAGGAGAGACTCCTCCCTAACTAATTCTATGAGTCCAGCATCATCCCAATACCAAAACTTGGCAGAGATACAACAGCAACAAAAATTCAGGCCAGTATCTATGATGAACAATGATGCAAAAATCCTCAATAAAATACTGGCAAACAGAATCCAGCAGCACATTAGAAAGTTTATCCACCACAATCAAGTAGGCTTCATCCCAGGGATGCAAGTTTGATTCAACATATGCAAATCAATAAATGCAGTTAATCACATAGGCAGAACTAGAAACAAAAACCACATGATTATCTCAATAAATGCAGAAAAAAGCTTTCAATAACATTGAATATCTCTTCATGTTAAAAGCTATCAATAAACTAGGTATTGAAGGAGCAAACCTCAAAATAATAAGAGCCATATATGACAAACCCACAGCCAACATTGTACTGAATGGGCCAAAGCTATAACCAGTCCTTTTCAAAACCGACACAAAATAAGGATTCTTCTCTAATCACTCCTATTCAACATAGTATTGGAAGTGCTGGCCAGAGTAATCAGGCAAGACAAAAAAAATAAAGCTCATTCAAATAAAAAGAGAGGAGGTCAAACTATCCCTGTTTGCAGATGACATGATTCTATATCTAGGAAATTCCATTGTCAAAGCCCAAAAGCTCCTTAAGCTGATAAGCAACTTTATCAGTCTCAGGATACAAAATCAATGTGCAAAAATTGCTAGCATTCCTATACACCAACAACAGACAAGCCAAGAGCCAAGTCACAAATTAACACTCATTCACAATTACCACAAAATGAATAAAATACCTATGAATACAGCTAACTCAGGAGGTGAAAGATCTCTACAAGGAGAACTACAAACCACTGCCCTAAGAAATCAGAGATGACATATTCAAATGGAAAAACATTCCATGCTCATAGGAAGAATCAATATCATTAAAATGGCCATATTGCCCAAAGTAATTTATAGATTCAGTGCTATTCCTATTAAACTATTATTGGCATTCTTCACAGAATTTGAAAAATCTGTTTTAAAATTCATATGGATCCATAAAAGAGCCCATATAACCAAGGCAATCCTAAGCAAAAAGAACAAAGCTGGAGACATCAAACTATACTATGAGGCTACAGTAACCAAAACAGCATGATACTGGTACAAGAACAGACATTGCAGTTTATTGTATGTTATTGAATGACTTTGGTAACCCTACTGGCAAGAAACAATATTAAATTGAATCCTTCCCCTTAACCAGTTTGCTTCTTTTTATTTTCTTTGTTGTGAGAAGAGAAATAGTTTTGATTGTAGTATCTTTTAATTCAGAAAAATAGACAAAAAGATCATACACTATGCCATTCATCTAAAGACAATGGCTTGGTATGAATTTGGTGTAGCCTGTTTATGCTATGCACTTCATACATTTATTTTTATAATATAGTTCACCTATATATAACCACATGAGTATTTTCCCACTTGTCAGAAACTTATAATTCTTGATGACTGCTAATGTATGGATAGCATCCCTTGTTTTTGCTGAATTGTGGCTTAGTTACTCACTTCTCGTTAATGGACATCTAGTTTTTAATATATCTGATTTGTAAGTATTCTCTTTTTTTCTTTTAATTTGTGTAGCTGAAAAGCCCTGATGAAGGCTTTGAAGGCAAATCTCTTTATGAAAGTTGGACTAAAAAAAGTCCTTCCCCAGAGTTCAGTGGCATGCCCAGGTAAATAAATGAATGAAGTTTCCACTAAATTCAGTGTGGGATCGTTTTGAAAATAAAAGCATATTTTCTTTCAATCATTAAGTGAAAAATTAAGTTTCAAAATGGTCTAAAATCTGATAAAGGAAAAGCATTACTTTGGTTCACAAATAAAATATTACTGTGTGTTTTGTAGTTAAATCTGCAGGATATCAAAACGTGATTTCTCTTTAGAATATATAATATATACATATGGAACATTTCAACAGATTATAAAGATTGGTCATTTCTTATATGAAATGCGTGGGATGAGAAGTGTTTTGGACTTTGGATTATTTTAAGATTTTGGAATATTTGCATTATACTTACTGGTTGAACATCCCTAATCTGAAAATTCATAATCTGAAATGCTTCAGTTAGCATTTCCTTTCAGTGTCATGTAGGTGCTTAAAAACTTTTGGATTTTGCAGCATTTTTAAAAATGTTCTAATCTTTAATTTTTATGAGTACGTAGTAGGTGTATTTATTTTTGGGGTGCATGAAATGTTTTGATACAGATTTTGGATTTTTGGATTAGGGATACTCAACCCATGATAGAGATAATGATGAAAAGTAATTTTCCTCATTTTTCTGCCACCTCATCACCTTGTAATTATCCTTTTTCTGAATATCATATAGTTAACAAATATTTTGCTTATTGCAATAAAAATGCAAGCATCATTTCAACATTGGTTGTATCTTCACAAGCAAGGGAAGAAGAATAAATATCTCAGTGCTCTGAGTTTATCGATGTCAACAGCACTATTTATATTATTAAGGGCAAAATTTATGTCCAAATTATCTGAAAAATATTTGCTTTTCACTCTATTATGTACAACAAATACAGATGATAAATGGAATGAAATAATCTTAAGGAAAATGTTTTCCAACTTCAGAAACCTTTAACAAAATGTGGCATAAAATAGTCATTCCTACACGAAATAGTCTCATAGAAGGAGATATTTTGTGATCAAAATTAATATTCTTTTTATGTTTTTGCTGCATGTCTAAAGCTGTATGTTTAAAATTACATTTATAATAGTAAGAATGGGGTTTATTTTAATGGACATGTAATCTGTGCTTAATGAACAAATTACTTTGAAATAATTCTGTTGTTTTATCTCTAAAAGGATAAGCAAATTGGGATCTGGAAATGATTTTGAGGTGTTCTTCCAACGACTTGGAATTGCTTCAGGCAGAGCACGGTATACTAAAAATTGGGTAAGTGAATCTCAAATTATCCAAGATTATTTATGAATATGTTTTAACTAAACAAATAATTCTGACTCCAAAAAGTGACTCAAGCATTAGAGGAATAGAGAAATTTGAAAGCAGAGGGAGAAGTCTCAATGGTTGACAGTATCACTACTACGTAGGATAACTCCTGTATCTGGTATTCCAACCCTAAATTCAAGTGTCAGTTGGTATCAATACTCATGTCTGCAAATGTGAACTTCCGTGTACTCCTTTAAACATATTTTCTGTTTCATTTGGTGGCATTGCATTCACTCAGTCATTTAAGTTGGAAATGTAGGAATTGTCTTTGATTTCACCCTCCTCCTTATTCAAAATTAGTCAGTATCTCCCCATTGTCATTCAAAATTAATGAGTGTATTTGGATTTCCATCTCTTACTGTATCTCCAATTATTAAACAAATAACAAGTCATTAAACAAATGAAAAATGTTATATATATTAGTCTGTTTTCCTGCTCCTAATAAAGACATACCCGAGACTGGGTCATTTACAAAGGAAATATGTTTAATTGACTCACAGTTTCCTATGGCTGGGGAGGCCTCACAATCACGGCTGAAGGTGAATGAGGAGCAAAGTTACATCTTGCATGGCAGCAGGCAAGAGAGCATATGCAGGGGAACTTCCCTTTATAAAACCATCAGCTCACATGAGACTTATTCACTATCACGAGAGCAGTGCAGGAAAACTCGTCCCCCATGATTCAATTACCTCCTACAAGGTCTCTCCCATGACACGTGGGGATTATCATAATTCAAGGTGAGATTTGGGTGGGGACACAGAGTCAAATCATATCAGTATAATACACTGTGTACGTGTAAAAGTCATGATTCCCTTTCTTTTGTTGTTGATTACATATATATATATATGGTTTTCATTTTCTTCAAAGTAAATTGGGTACATAGTTTATAAAATGTCAAGTAGTTTTATAAGAACACTGGTTTATAATTAAAAACAGTTGTTTCTTATTTCCATTTCATATTCATACCACCCCTGATTTCTGTTCATCAGATGAAACCTTTGTCAACTTTTATGATACATCCATATTTATAAGTAATATTTTAATCCTGATACTTCTTCAATTTTAAATTTTATGTTACAAAGAAAAATCATTCTCACAGTTATAAAAATGGCAAGGAAGAGTTCATTCAAAACTATTCCAATAAGAATATTGCAATAATAAGAGATCGAGCTCAACTCCAAATACAGAAAAGACATTTGGTGATTTAGAGTTGACATTAAGTTTCTGTAAGCCTTTCCTCATGGGCTGTTCTTCCCAGACGGAAAATCTTCAATCTCCTGTTTGTGAGGTAGGAAGTTAGGCAGAGTTATGTAGGAGGTGATAGTGAGGATAAATATTAATATTGTCTACATTTTACTACGAAAAAATTACAACAAAGAAAAGTCAAATGACCACCTAAAGTTTTTGGTAGTAAGTCCTGAAGCCTAGATTCAAACCCTGGCAGGGTAATTACAGAATCCCAGTCTCTTCAACACATCAGTACATAAAATGTCCTTTTATATTAATAATAAAAAATAAGCATCTTAAGATGATCAAAAGTGATAAACCAGCAATTCACAGTTTGAAAAGTCCTTCCTTCTACCTATACTTTTGGTTTTCCTGACACCTGTCTGGGCCTCCCTTCTCTCTCCTTAGCGAGATTTTGGATCCACTACTGCACCCCTCACCACTCAGACTCTCCAGCCTTCAGCACACTACTTGTCAGACAATCATTTACCCATGGAATTTTAGTGATTAAACAATTTAGTGTCTTCTCCTATATAATATTGTGTAATACTTATGTACTTGCCTTTAACAATTCATCTTCTTATTTTTATCCAAATGCAAGATGTCTTGTCTTTTTTTTCAGATTCTTAAAACATGAATCTAAGAATGCAATCTTCTGCATTCTTAGAGGCAAGCCAGTTTGGTCCCTTTCAAATAATTTTTAAATAATATTTGTTATATCATATACACATATTTTAATTGATACAAGCCTGGAGTGTGTTTACGTATCATAATATTACCCGTTTAGGATGTAGCTTATTGAGATGCTTAAGTACTTTCCTTGATCCATCACTGGCCAATCTTACTAATACTAATAGTAAATATGGTGCTAATCATTTTTTTGTAAGCTATCCTATAAGAGATATGTTTTGTTATTTTTTCTGTAGGAAACAAACAAATTCAGCGGCTATCCACTGTATCACAGTGTCTATGAAACATATGAGTTGGTGGAAAAGTTTTATGATCCAATGTTTAAATATCACCTCACTGTGGCCCAGGTTCGAGGAGGGATGGTGTTTGAGCTAGCCAATTCCATAGTGCTCCCTTTTGATTGTCGAGATTATGCTGTAGTTTTAAGAAAGTATGCTGACAAAATCTACAATATTTCTATGAAACATCCACAGGAAATGAAGACATACAGTTTATCATTTGGTATGTTACCCTTCCTTTTTCAAATTCCTCATCTGTATGGTTCTATTAATCTCCTAAATATAATGGACTATCTTAGGTCATTTATTATTTATTGCTATTTCAAGTGATCCAATATTCTGTTTATGTCTATAAATGTATTTTCCATTTTATGAATGCTCACATCTTATAATATAAAAATATAAATACCTTATAAAACACAAAAGATGATAGCTTCTGTATTGTTCCTTTTCTTGAACTATAGAGCAATGCCATTAGAAATTATGTTCTTTAAGCATTTGATGATCCCAATTTCTATTTCAGATTCACTTTTTTCTGCAGTAAAAAATTTTACAGAAATTGCTTCCAAGTTCAGCGAGAGACTCCAGGACTTTGACAAAAGCAAGTATGTTCTACATATATGTACATATGTGTATATGTGTGTGTGTGTATATATATATATATATATATATATATATATATATATATATATTTAAAAGTAAACTAACATCACTGTTGCTGAACTAGCTTTGGGAATTTCTTGCTGTTTTCTTTTTTTTAAATTTGTTTTACTTTAAGTTCCGGGATGCATGGGCAGAACGTGCAGGTTTGTTACATAGGTATACAAGTGTCGTTTCCTGCTGTTTTCTGTCTTTCCACTCTAGCACATCCTATGTAGGGCTGCCGTATCTCAAAAGACCTACTTTCAACATTCTGAGTGGCAATTGTGCTGCTCAGAAATGTCAGTCCCTCCCTCCTGCCATTTGATCAGTTACAAAATACTCTGCTTAACATTGAAGGTCCTCTACTGTGTGACCCCAGCTGTTTCCAGTTTTATTTCTTGCTTTTTCAGTATCTGTACATCATAACTCAGCCAGACTATTTATTTTTCAAAGCATGATTTCTTTCTACCTCTTTTGTTTTTGTCATTACCTCCACATAGAGCTCCTTATTTCCACTTCCATCTGGCAAAATTCTGTTTATCCAGAATAGCAAATATTGTGAAGCCATTAATTTTGGAAATGTTAAACATTTAGGATTAATTCTGTGTAAGATTACACAAGTACAACACAATTTGAACAAAATTTTAAGATGGAAGGAAAAATACTTGGTGAGAATACTAAGGTAATTTTTTTAAAGTATAATTTTGAGGGCACAGATCTGTGTATTAAATATAGTATCATGATATAAATATCAAATCCCCAGGAGCTGATGTAAGGACACATAAAAACATTACAGTAGATGATGTAGAAATAGGCTCAGTGATCTATAAGGAAGTATTAGTAATAAACGATACAGCAAAAATTAATGGGGAAAGATTACTCAACCATAATAATATATAAACTATGTTAGTACCTGCTATAAAAGTAAATTCAGAATCGCACTTCACATTGTATGCTAACATAAACAACAGGTGTAAAGAATTATTTAGTAAAAATGGAAATTTCTTGAAAGATGCCAAGTTTAGAAGCAATGGGGAAATGATGCAATCAGACTTGAGACCATTTGAAATGGTTCAGAATACGAAAATTAATATTCACAAGAAAAATTAAGAAAGTTGAAAACTTATTTTCTAGCAAAAATGGAGAGTAATATATACATTCTAAAAATATTTTTTGAAAATTAATTTAAACAGTCCAAAAGAACCAGCTGAAAATATTGGTAAGAAACAAGACAATATACACCTGTAAGGAAACATAGCAAAATATTGCAGTTCACTAATGCATAATTCAGAAATACAAATGAAAGTAATGTGATGTTATTTTTATAACACATTAATAACAATTTAAACCTTGGTTGTGCCCATGCTGTAGCTGGTACACTGAAGCATATGCTCTCCATGCTTTTCTGATAGCATTATGAATTATTTTAGCCTTTTTGAAAAAGATAGATACATATTGCTAATGTGTTCAAGAGCTGTCACAGAGTCCTGTGCTTTGACATAGTATTTCCATTTCTTGGATTATTTCTTAGGAAAAAGTCTCAATTTTGGAAAAGAAAGGCTGCCTGGAGAAAGACTTGAAGTATAAAATTATAATAGCAAGTAATTCAAAATAACCTAATGCCTAAGAGAAGAGAAATTACTAAAAAATTTGATATTCACCAATTTGAACATTTTATAATCCTTACAATGGATTATTAGAAATACAACATAATAGAAGATACTTAGAATAAAATATGTAGTAAGCAAGAAGGTTGTAAAATTGTAAATATAATTTGATTAATTTTTATTTAACAAATACAGGAAAAACTTAAAGGGAATTAATGAATTATTATAATAATTGTGCTATCCTCAGGGAATATTGGAAGAATTGTTTTCCTATTCTTTTCAATTCTTTATAATTTTTATATATGGGTAAAAAAGTCAACAATAAGAAATACATTTTAAGGAGATCCCAAACACCATGTATTCTATAAAACTGGTTTTCTTTTTGTATTTAAAAGAAAAAATGTTTTCTCCCTCTGACAAAATACCTCATGGTTTGAATTGTGGTTTGTTTAGGACACTTATTGTTTAGCACACTCAGCTTCCCCTTCCTTTAGTATTTCTATATTTCTTTTATTTTCTCTAAGTGATAGTAAAGATCCACTCTGTTCCCTATATGATATTTACAAATTCTGAAACACCTGAGTAGTGCTTTGCCCATAATAATAGTAAATTCTGACTAAGTAAATTAAACTGAATGTTGAATTTCTCAACCAAAACTTTGAAATCTAAGGAAGAGATATGTCTTTATCCTGCTTTTCTTGTATCACTTCTTGCCTCATCAAAGAATATAAGACGTTAACACAGGATACAGAGAAAGAGAAGTGCGTGTGTGTGTGTGTGTGCGCGCGCGCACACATTTACATGTGTGTAGCCACATGAGTTTTTGTACTTGTAGCAATGCTTTGTGAATTTGATTCCAAAACCCATAGCATCTTATTGAAATTATCCTTCATTCAATTGTCTCAACTGTTTATCGGAGTTGCTAACAGGTAGTCTGTGTTTCATTTACCTTTATAATATCACAGAATCTGAATTCATGATGCCAAATACATAAATGTTAAAAATAGCTCAAATCCAAATTATGGGAGTTTAAGTTGTTCCTATTTTCCTTTTGTTGGCAAGGTGCAGTCGAAAGAACAATATCAATCTCCTATTTCACTCTAAAACTTCCTAGTGTGAATTTAGGCAAGTTATTTAACTCATGATCCTTTGTTATCTCATCTACAAAATGAGGCTGTTACCCTACCCAACTTGCAGAATTGCTCTGAAAATTAAAAATCACATTTTGTATAAACATTCAGAACAGTAATTGGCATATAGGAAATGATCACTAAATGCTAACTTTTAGTAAAACCAAATTATGAAAAGCAAGAAGTAAATTAATGAATAAGATGATTCATGCTTTCTTATTGTAATGATTTTTCTCAGTTAATTAAATTGTGAAATAATTGGTATATTAAATTCAGTAACTCATTGTTGAAGTATTCAGAGCTTGCTGATAAACTTTCAATTATATTGAAACATTCTTATTATAATAACAACCCCAACACTCCTTTTAGAATGTAAGTTCTGTAAAAGCAGGGAGTGTTTGATAAATAGGAGGTATCCAAATATTGTTGAAAGACTTAAGTAATCACCATCTCTTGTGTTCATAATAGGTTTAGCTTTAAAAATAAAAGGAATATTGTTAGTTATCGCTTGGTAAATATTTATAATTTGCCAGGCATCTTACTAAACATTAGCAAGTCATCTTATTTTAATATTGATATTACTTCAGTGAGTAGATTGCTAGGATACCTAAGGTGAAGAAAATCTTGCCTATATTTGTATATCTGGGTTGATCAGTTAATTATGCCAATGTAAATAAAAATCACTGTTATTTTTTCCATTTGCACATACAACTGTTTCTGTGCTTTTATAAGCCTGAGCAGTATAGTATTTTATAAGATTTTAAAGATGTCATAGCTATGTATGTTATTGTTCTTAATTTGCATATTACAGAATGTTAAAATTTACAATTGACATTTGAACAACAGTGATTTGAACTGCACAGGTCCACTTACATATGAATTTTTTTCAATTAATACAGTGAGCCCTCTCTATCCATAGATTTCATATTAGCAAGCAAACGCAGATGGAAAATTCAGTATTATTCACTGTAATCCCAGGTACTCAGGAAGCTGAGGCAGAGGGATTGCTTGAGCTCAGGTGTTTGAGGCTATACTGAGCTATGATTAAGCCACTGCACTCCAGGCTGGGCAACAGAGCAAGAAAATCTCTTAAGAAAACAAAATAAAATACAGTATTGAAGGACTAAAACCCATATGTATGGAGGGCCGACTATTCTTGTTATTTTTAAATATGGAAAACTTTTTATTTTGCCAAATTAAATCTTTTATTTTCAAGCTTACATTTGAAAATATTAGCATTGCATGCAGAAAATGATTTCATTAAAAACATCTAAAAGTAGGATGGACATAAATCTAGAACAAAAGTATTTTAAGTGAGTAAATTCATTTATGTGGAAAACATCTCAACAAACATCTTTCTTTTAGCTTTGATATATTAGAACATTTATCACAGAATGATGCTCACTCTACAAGCTTGAATCTGAGAACCTCAGATGTAGCTAATGAGAAACTAATGAAAAATATAAAATAAGAGAATTATAGAAACTTAAAAAAAAAACCTGTTACATTCCATTTGGACTACTAGCCATGTGTTCCATAAACATTTTCTATTTTATATAATTGCCTATCTCATTGTCTTAACAATATGAAGACTAAGATGTGAAAGGGGGATTAAGCATGTGGTAAGAGTTATACTGGGGGCAGCTAACCCAAGGGAGATCAGATGTGGCTTCAGATGCCACATACACAGCTACATTTCCTCATTGAGGCAGACCAAGTTAATCCAGAAAGTCATATCAGGCTCCAAGAATGCTGTATTTTAACCATTCTGAAAATCACTTGAAATGATATAATTTTAGGTAACTTTTAGACTTAAATCTAGATCATTATACCGAGAGATCTATTTAATTTGTTTGGTAGTTTGTTCATTTTCACCCTGTTAATTCCACAGAGGACTCGTCATTTACATTAGGTATATCTCCTAATGCTATCCCTCCCCCCTCACCCCACCCCACGACAGGCCCCGGTGTGCGATGTTCCCCACCCTGTGTCCAAGTGTTCTCATTGTTCAGTTCCCACCTATGAGTGAGATAACGGGTGCAGCACACCAACATGGCACATGTATATATATGTAACAAACCTGCACGTTGTGCACATGTACCCTCGAACTTAAAGTATAACAATAAAAAAAAATTCCACAGAGGAGGAGGGCCGACTTTTCATATACATGCGTCCTCCTTGCAGGACTTGAGTATGCACAAATTTTGGTGTAGAGGGTGGTCCTGGAACCAATCCCCGGAGATAACTAAATTCAGTTTTGTTCTGACATTTTTATTTTCTGGGTAGAAACATTTTCATGAAGTTATAATTGTATTCATTTTCTTTCTCAGCCCAATATTGTTAAGAATGATGAATGATCAACTCATGTTTCTGGAAAGAGCATTTATTGATCCATTAGGGTTACCAGACAGACCTTTTTATAGGTAAGAAAAGGAAATATGACTCCCTTCTGTAATATCACTTTTTCTGCTAATTATTTTTATTTTTTTCACTGTGGAAAAAATATTGAAGTTGACTTCTTGCAAGCAAATAGAAAATTTCAAAATATATGTAGTAAGTGATAGTTGTATTGTTTCTTCATATAATGTAATATGATTTTTGCATATCTTTATTTTGAATATCTTTGTTCTGATTATAAAAGAATATAAATTTATTTTAGAAAATATAGAAGATCCAGAAAGCCACGACAGAAAATAAAAATCTCCCCAATTTTATCAGAAAAATATAAAATCATTGTTATATTCTTGTGTGTATAATTTTAGCTCCTTTTCTATCTTAAATATATTTTTACTTATGTATACACACAACCCAAACATCTCTCTATATATAATGTATATAATAAATATATATTTATTTATTCTTTTCCCTAATGTTGATATTTAGATATTTTATTTCCTCCTAAATCCTGACAGTTGGATTTTTTCTGTCAAACATTGACTGTCCCGAGGTTGATCTTCTAAATATTGCAGAATGTGACAGATCACTGGACAGCCAGAAATGGCCCTAACTTTCTTTCTAGGGATTATCAAAGGGTTGGGCTTGGGAGTAAGAACATCTTCCAAATAGGTTGACTCGATCAGATCACCAATGGCGGCATATTTTTATCCATCCCCCACCCCCTTTTTTTTTCTAAGAGATAGGGTCCTATTCTGTCTCCCAGGCTGGAGTTCAGTTGTGCAATTGTAGCTCACTGCAGCCTCAGACTTTTGGGCTCAACCAATCTTCCTGCGGCAGCCTCCCAAGAAGCTAGGACTACAGTCACATGCCACCATGCCCAGCTAATATTTGTATTTTCGTTTGTAGCAACAGGGTGTCCCTATGTTGCCCAGGCTCGTCTAGAACTCCTGGCCTCAAGCAATCCTCCCACTTTGGCCTCCCTAATATATGGGATTACAGGCATGAGCTACTGCTTCTGGCCTTATTTACATCTTTACTTTGGAGTTTGTCTTTCTCTTCTGTGGGCTATTACATGAACTGTCTTAGCCCATTCTATAAAACATTTTCTGCCTTGGTCACGTGGAACATTACGAAATTGTTTTTGATGATTCTTCAAACTCTATATTAAGTATTCTAACATGGTAGTGTGACTTTTTAAAAAAAGACAAAAAAATACAATAGAGGGTTTACTGATCACAAACAAGACTGTAACGATCATAATTGTGCTGTAATGTAGGGGGTAGCATGATATACTAAAAAATCAGCAGTTACTTGTCATGTGCCTTGAGACAAATCATTTAGTTACTTTATCTTTCAGACCTCAGTTTCTTCCTCTGTGAAATACTAATATCAACTGTGTAGAGTTTATTTCTAAACATCAGAAAAATTGTAAGTAAACACTAAATACCAAGAATGATTGCTGTGGTTACTATCATCATTGTTAGTTTTGTAGTACTGAACCACTTTAATTTATTTGTTTGAAATAAAATATAATTAATTACTATAGATTTCATATAATAGTCTTCAGAGATGATTGAACTTGGAAGTTCAGTTGACAAGTGGCTTGTTCAAATTGTTATAGGAATATGCAATCCAGGAATTGCAGAGTGCTCTGGTTTCTCTTGTATATCATTTGGGCACCTAATAAACAGCAAACGATTTTATCAACAGGCATGTCATCTATGCTCCAAGCAGCCACAACAAGTATGCAGGGGAGTCATTCCCAGGAATTTATGATGCTCTGTTTGATATTGAAAGCAAAGTGGACCCTTCCAAGGCCTGGGGAGATGTGAAGAGACAGATTTCTGTTGCAGCCTTCACAGTGCAGGCAGCTGCAGAGACTTTGAGTGAAGTAGCCTAAGAGGATTCTTTAGAGACTCTGTATTGAATTTGTGTGGTATGTCACTCAAAGAATAATAATGGGTATATTGATAAATTTTAAAATTGGTATATTTGAAATAAAGTTGAATATTATATATAGTTATGTGAGTGTTTATATATGTGTGTGTTTATATTGTTTATCTTCTCCCTATGGATTAAAAATAAATTTCATAATTATAAGAGGTTATTCTGAAGTGGAAACATTTAACTCAGTATTAAATCTAAGGAGAATGGCCTAATATAGTAAAACTCTCATCTGGCATTATCAGCGAATCAAGTCTAATCTATTCATGTCACTTCACACAGAAGAAAACATCAGTATGTCAGAGAGCACACTGGGGAATATGCACAAGATTATCCCAAGCCAGAGGCCTCATGGCCTGCCTGGCCACCCTGGGCTGAGAGGATCACTATCTCAGCACACTATTTGGGAAATGGATCAAATGACACTTTTAGTAAATGTTATCACTCTATAGCATAAGAAATAATTAATTTCTTTTTATTTATATAAAAGGCTATCGTATAACTTATATGTATAGTAATTAAATGAACATTTGTGAACCTAATAGCCATATGAAGAAAATAACATTTCTAATATCTTTGGATGCCCCATGTACTAATGACAGTTACGCTTTTGCATTTTCTTGAATTTTATGTTTATTTATCTTTCCTCTGTCATTATTTATAATTTTATCACACATGGCTGTATCCTTTACATGTTTTGGCATTATGTATTTTTGAATTTTTATAAAGACAATCATACCATGTGTAATTTTCAGGGACTTGATTTTTTTCATTGACTTTTAAGGGTTCAAATATATTATCACTGTGGATGTAGTTTGCCATATTTTGCTGATATAGAGCATTCATTCACATGAGGGTAGGATTCAGGGTCCATCAAGACAGAGAAAACATACAGTAATGTGAATAGGGAAAGTTAATATAAAGAATTATTAATTGTTACAGCATTGGAACAATGAAATATTGTCTAGTAATATGTAAAGAGAAGTCTCAAGAATATGTGATGAGCAGATATAAGGAATTGCTCGTCTCCATGGTGAATTTGGAGCAGCCAATGAAGAGTCCCCTCACATTGTGGCCTCGCTCAATGTTAAGAAGTCGCTGTAGTGTTACCCTTGGAGAATCTGCTTCAAATTGACACTTCAGAACTCCCCAGAAACTTGTCTTCTGGGCCACTGTGTAAAGCTGTTTATGAAGAAATGTCAAGCCAGAGGGGCTCTACTACAAATTTGGCAAAGGACAGTTTCAGGAGAAGCTCTTGGCCGCTGGGTTCTCCTGGCCACCATGAACTTCAGGAAGTGGGTGCCATAGCAGCAGCCTGAACTACAGAATCTGGGCACTGGTGTAGCTCTGTATGCCCTCCGTGTCAGATGCTGGAGATGTCATTTGCATTGCCAGAGTTTGCCAAGGGTGCACACAGAAAGCAGATTGAAAAGCACCTTCTTGAAACATCTCTCCAATGCCTTCTACTCACAAAGTTTAACATCATTAACACGTGACAAAGAAGATCTATTTAATGGGCCCAGATCTATTTATGTAGACAATCAAGTGGGAGTTTGGAGTGGATAACCCAAATTTGGATAACTGGTGAATAATAAAATGTATTTATTCATTTTCTGCTGGTGTATATTTGGAATGTTTTCTATATTTTGCTTCTGTGAACATGTATCCTAATGCAAATATTCAAGAGATTCTCCTTCCAGACAGTATCTACCTATAGGTTGAATGTCTGTGTTGTAAAGTTTGTGCATCTTCAATTTTACAATGCCAAGCTGTTTCAAAGTGATTTTATTTATTTGTATTCCCACTGGCAAAGTAATCATGTTATTCAAGATAAAAAACAAGTACAGAAGATTGTGGCATGTTAAAGAAATACAAAGAACTCAGTGTTTCTAGAATCCAAGGGATTTGTGGGAAGAACAATCCATACATTGAGCACGAAATACATCACATAGGGCGTAGAAGACATCCAGAGGAGTGTAAGTACTTTCCTGTAGTTTATCAAAAACCCGTAATAAGGTTAAGCAGGATAGGGATACGAGCATATTTGCATTTCAGAAAGCATTCTGGCCTAGATGGATTAGAAGGGCATCAATAAGGCCTCAGAAATTTGTGCAATTGAGATCTCAACCAGAAAACTATGACTCTTCCATAAAGATACAATTCCATGGAGAGCCCAAGAAGCCCCTCATGAATGGATTCCAAAAGTATCATCAAGATTCATGATTGAGTAGGAAGCTGCAACAGGTGCCATTGAGTAAGACCATGACAGAGATTGGCAGATACCATCAGTATATTCTGCAGAGCCTTAAGGAACATAAGAGCCAGGCTGAGGAGTTGCTGAAATACTGCAAGATAGACCTGAATCTCTGGCTCAATTGTCTGTCTCAAAAAAATTATGCTGCATAGACAGTCAACTTCTAATTAGCACAAGAACACGAGCATCACAGGAGGCCCAAACACCAGGTTTGATAGAAAGATCTGCCATCCCATCAGAATGGAGTCTGAAAGAAGAATTTGAAGAGGAGCAGAGGCTGCTGGCTCCAGGAACAAATTCATTAGAAACCATTTGGGTCAAGTATAATTACTCATAGGGATTAGGAAAACAAGAAGGAAGATGGAAAGAGGATGAAAGTAGTAACTACTCCGACTCTAGCAGTGGGAGTGAAGATGAAGATGGCTAGTCTGAGGGCAGCAGCTCTAGCTCAGCTTCCTCAGGGTACTTCTGACTCAGGCTCAACCTGAGCCTGGTTAATACCCTAAAAGGTTGGACAGTCCTTCCAAGCCAAAAGTCCATCTGTGTTATCTATGTCAAAGGGAGGGGACCCTCCTCCTGCTCCTTTTTACTTCCTTGACTTTTCCCTTCCCTCCTTTCTCCCCCTCCTCCTCTGTACAAAGTGGGACAGGTTATAAACAAGGAACTTGATGCAGTGCACTACTCTCTATATTAGGTTCATAAACCCAGGAAGTGGGGACCAACCATAGAGAACAAATATTAGTATTAGCCAGTATTGCCTCCCCACCCATATACACAACTAGCCAGAGAGAGAGAGTTCATGGAATTGAGGTTTTTGGAATAAACAATGAGATGATTGGGCTATGGGGTATTAGACTGAGTATTCCAGAAGTAACAAGTTTTTCTTTCCTTATTTTCTGCCAGCAAGAGGTGGTAGGGGGACACTGAGTCTGTAATCTCCACCTTCTTTGTGAAGTGTCCCTCAGGACTCCTGTGCTGAATGTAGAGTGAAGAGTAGCTGGTGGGAGTTAGGGCAGGTGCCTTAAGAACGTTGCCAGACTCCTGCCATCACTCTCCCCACTCCCTGAAGTAAGGACTTGGCCATTCCCATGCTTGAGTGTGGGCAGAATGATGTAGGGGGCAATATTTTTACATGTATATCTGATTCAGCTCCCAAAGAGACTTCTTACTGATTTCAAAAACATGAAATTAAACATGGAAATTTATCTATTTCACTTGAATAAACTTCTCCATAGAATCAATGTTTTGTGACTGGGCAGGGCACTGCTTCTCCAAGTGGTGTCTGTTGTATTTATTCTGCTGGGTGGAAGCTCCAGATTCTTCCTGCTGCCTCAGGTGCAAGTCCATCTCACTTTTATCATTCAGGAGATACAGAAATATACATGGATACCTAGAAAGATACAGGAGTAGATATGCACACTATACTGTTCTCCTGGTCCACCTGTGAATTCACCAGTACCACATAGCTTTAATTATTTTGGTTTACTGCTATCTTTTAAAGTCAGTTGAAGGCTACTGCCCTCTCATACTTTCCTCTGTTTTCATGTTCTCATTAACGTTTGCATCATAGAAGAAGTGGCATCCATTTTATATCCATTGATTTTAGTGTTTTTGTTCCTAGATTTCTTAGCAAATTATAAGTGATGTTCTAGGTAAACTGTACCAGAAAATAATGGCAATATTTATATTTTTAATACTTCAAATCCCTTTTTATTTATGTGTTCTTTTAGAAAATACAGAGCAATATTAAATAATAGCAGTTATATGTTTTTGTATTGCTTCTAATTTTTAAGCTAATTGTTACACCACTTACAACTGTAACAATTATGCTAATATTTGAAATCATAACATATTAATAAAATGCCGATTTGGATTAATCAGTTTTATTCCGTAATGTGTATTCATTTTTGTCAAATCTCTTTTATTATGTATCAATGTAAATTTTCCTTAAGGTATTTGTCAAAATTCTCCAGAGAAACAGCAGCAATAGGGGACTGTGTGTGTGTGTGTGTGTGTGTGAATGAGCATGTGTGTGTGTGAGCATGTGTATGTGTGAGAGAGAATGTGATTTTATAATGAGAAATTGGCTCTACAATCCTATCATCTCTAAACAAGAAGCTCTGGAAAAAGCTAATGGTGTAATTTAGTCTGAATCTGAAGGCCTGAAATCCAGGGCAGCTAATAATGTAAATCCTAGTGCAATGGCAAGAGATGGTATGACACGTCTTAGCTTACCAGTAAGGCAGGGAAAAATAAAAAGGTTGAATTCCTCTTTCCTCTGCCTTTTGCTCTATTGGATTCTTTCATGGGAGAACGGGAGACAAATGAAGACAGATAGAAGAAAGTTCTCTTGGCAGCAAATTATTTCATGTGCTCAGTAATGGTACTTAATACACAAAAAGTAAGGAAACTGGACAATTTGCACATATTTTGGAGGTAAAAGCAAGATAATTTCCTGAAATGGAAAGTAAAAGTACAAGAGAAATCCAGATCATTCCTAGTTATTTTGACATTTAGAAAAAGGTAAGCAGGTTTTGTCAGGGAAGTTGGGAGTTCTAATTTTTGAAATGCCCATTACCTATCCCAGTGCATATAAGAATCTGGAGCCCAAATATTAGTTTACTACTCCATGGCCGAGCGCAGGGGCTCACGCCTGTAATCCTGGCACTTTGGGAGGCCGAGGTGGGCAGATCACCAGGTCAGGAGATCGAGACCATCTTGGCTAACGTGGTGAAATCCCGTCTCTACTAAAAATACAAAAAATTAGCCAGGCTTGGTGGCGGGCGCCTGTAGTCCCAGCTACTCAGGAGGCTGAGGCAGGAGAATGGCGTGAACCCGGGAGGCGGAGCTTGCAGTGAGCGGAGCTTGTGCCACTGCACTCTAGCCTGGGCGACAGAGCGAGACTCTGTCTCAAAACAAAACAAAACAAAAAAATAGTTTACTACTCCATAATATATATTACATTTGTTTGGTTCTGTTAAAAAACCAAAGTGACAACCATTAATTTAAAGATCCTAATTGGCTTTATCTGTGATTCCAGAAGTTGGCAACACTGTATTTCATAAAATAGAGTAAGTATTCTTATAAGCTGAGAAAAGCTTGGTTTTATATACAGAGCTGAAGAAAGCAAAAACAATGAACGGAAAACTGGCTGATCATCTCAAAGTTAAAGTTATGTTCCTTGTAAGGCAGGGACAGGGAGAAAGAGTACAGAAAAATAACTGATTGGTTAATATCAGAATACTTCAGGTTACTTTTTGGGGTAAACATTAAAACAGAGAGAACCCCAATATCATGCCGACTGAAACTACCCTATTTGGGAATTTACATAATCTCTATCTTCTGATTTCTATTAATAGGACAGTCAGAAATCAACCCAACAACCAACACTTAGTTTTGGTTTGGTGATGTAGAACTTCAGTATGGGAAACTTCATTTTGGTTTTTAGCCTGCTCTGTTGGGGCCTAGCACAGGAGCTTGGTCCAAAACAAGGGCCCCTATAATTTTTACTGAACAGTTTAGAATCTAGAACAATGCCTTGCACTCACATTTAGTGAGTAAATATTGAATAGATGAATACATCAGTGAAGCATAACTTTGGGTAACATTATCAGATATTAATTAAAGCATCACACCATATGACACTAATTTTGAGCATAATCAAGGAGGGAAAGGTAGCAAAACTGAGCACTTGGACAGTCTAATAGTTGGATATGAAACAGAGAAGAAGGAGACTTCCAAAAAGTCTGCTAAAGGGTGTTCTCTGAGGTAGGCTGGAAGTCAGATGAATATAAATTTTGTCTGAGAATCTAATAAAAATGAGTGTTTTCAGAATATGAAGTTATAAGAATAAAATGAAATCAAGAAGAAATAAGTAACCAATAGTATTATTGAAAAGAGAGTGATTAAAAGGAGGTTAGAGATAGGGTATTGTACGTAACAACGTTGAAGTGGATGGTGACTTAAACAATTAAATGGAGTAGACATGATGGAAGGCTGTAGAGTTGGTTGTAGAAGGAAAGGTAAGAAAATGTAAGGGTCAATTTAGAAATATTTTATCAAAGGGGCTATTTCATGAAATGTTTTCAGTAAAAGTGAATTTTTAACGGCTGCTCGTTTTAAATAATATAATCCACAGACATTTATAAGAGTCTATTTAAAGTTCCAGGCACTGATTCAGACATACATAAATTGATCACTATCTGTGTGATGGAATCATTCGTACCCCAAACCTCAGCATCACACAATATACCCATGTAAAGAACGTGCACATTTACTCCCTGAATCTGAAATAAAAGTTGAAATTATAAAATATAAAAGTTAAAAAAAGAACAAATCATAGATACATAAAATCATGATGAATCTCAAAAACATATTAAATGACACAAAGGATTATATATTGAATGATTACATGTGTAATATTTATTAAAAGTCAAAACGCTATAGACAGGTCAGGTGGGGTGCCTCACACCTGTAATCCCAGCAGTTTGGGAGGCCAAGGCAAGAGGATCACTTAAGCCCAAGAGTGTGAGACCAGCTTGGGAAACAGAGTGCCTGTCTCTACAAGAAATTAAAAACTAGCTGGGTGTGGTGGTGTTTGCTTGAAGTACAAACTATGCAGAAAGATGAGGGAAAACTGCTTGCGCCCAGGAGGTTGAGGCTACAGTGAGCTGTGATAGTGCCACTGCATGCCAGCATGGGCAACAAAGCAAGACTCTTCTTTAGAAAGCAACAACAAAAATAGCAACAACAAAAACAAAAATCTTACAGACAAGAAACAGAGCAGCAGTTCCTTGAAGACAGGGATGTGAGTAGAGATTGACTATAAAAGGGGAGAAGAGTGCCACAATAAACATATGTGTGCACCATTGAATACTATGCAGCCATAAAAAAGGATGAGTTCATGTCCTTTGTAGGGACATGGATGAAGCTGGAAACCATCATTCTGAGCAAACTATCGCAAGGACAGAAAACCAAACACTACATGTTCTCACTCATAGGTGGGAAGTGAACAATGAGAACACTTGGTCACAGGGTGGGGAGCATCACACACCAGGGCCTGTCCTGGGGTAGGGGGAGTGGGGAGGGATAGCATTAGGAGATATACCTAATGTAAATGACGAGTTAACGGGTGCAGCACACCAACATGGCACATGTATACATATGTAACAAACCTGCATGTTGTGCACATGTACCCTAGAACTTAAGTATAAAAAAAAAAGCAGGGGGAGAAGAGATGTTTTTGAAAGAATTAAAGTGTTCTAAAAGTGGATATGGTGATCATGCATAAAATGAATTTAACAGCAATTTATTAACGTCTTTAAACTCTATACATTAAGTAAATTTTATGGTATGTAAATTATACCTCAGTTAAGCTGATGAAATTAAGAGTCTCCACAAGCTTTTGTTGATGTGGGTTTTTTAATGTCAAGATATGCTGTATTAGAAATTAAAGCTGAAAAACAAATATCTATTTATTAATAATTTAACAATTATAAAACAATAACTGGTAATGTAATATTTCTATAAAAATAAGTATACTTTCCAAAACCATAAAAATAAATAAAAGAGTGGCTTTGATTACATATTTACAAATCACTTTAATGTCTGGCTTAGTAGAAGTCATCTGGATTCTCACATCTGCTTCTCTATTCAATCTTTTGTGATATTTCATGTCATGTAGCCCCTGGGAAAATCTCCTGTATACTCATGGGATAATAAAATTTCAAAGGGCAATTAATGTCTAAATAGTATTATTATTATAAAAATAGTTTTGACTTTATGAACCCTAAAAATAATCACAGCCACACATTGTGAACCTCTGTAGTAAGGGCCCATTTCCTGATCACCTACTGGTTGTAAGGTTGGGGTAAGGAAAGGAACTGTCTAAAACTAGGGCTGCCTGGGACCCTGCACATTGGGTCTATATCTTGTTCCTTGAGCTCCTAGACCCTGAAAAGCAAGAGTCCTGCACAGTAGCCTTCCCACGGTGCTGTGGTTGTATGGGCAAAAGGGGATGCATTTCCTACCATTCTTAAGAAGCTACAGTGGCAGGTTTACATCCTGGACTTCTATTTTCGTGCTTTCCAAATAGATTTTTTTAAATTGTCCATCCTTGTACAACATAAACATATCATCTTTTATGAACATTGGGCTAAATCAGAGGTTCACAAAGTATGGTTCAGGGACCAGCAGCAATCTCTTATAAGTTGCCTAACACTCAAAGTCTCTGGCCCCACCCCAGACCTACTGAATGAAGAGTAGCCATGGGTAATCCCCAGCAATCTGTGGCCTCAGAAGCTTTTCAGGTGATACTGATGCACCAGCTAGGCTAACTCATTAGCCTCGCTGTTAATCTGAGAACGATCCCTTCTCAGAGAGCAAACAAAGCACAGCTGGTAATGAAGACTTTAGCCCTCTCCCGTCTCCTCCTCTTCCTGGATCTGGACAGTGCGGGCAGCTACAAAGCATCAGTTCTGTGTGGTGGGGCAGGCAGGATAAGACAAAGTAGGTTCCTTGAGGAGAAGCACCAACTGTAAGGTGAGAAAAGTGAGCTTCATGAACTAGGCTACCTGACTTCTGGTTACTGTTTGCTTTTCTTTCTCCGTAGTTTTTACGGAGCCTTTAATAAAGCCTTTAACCAAAGGTCCAGTCGCATCTCTTTCCTATGTTTCAGAATAAATTGAAGCTGAGTTCAGCAAGCATATTAATGTGGAAAAGCCCCATTTGTGGCCACCTTGATGGTGGCAGTGGTTATCCAGAAATCTTTTGAAGGAATAGAACTGGAATGAGAACCACTCTCTGCACCTGGAGACCCCCCTCCTGAGTGCCTTAACAGGTTCTGGACTTTTTATGTTAAAAAGTTTTGTTACTGTTAATTCAAAAGCCTATGGTTACTATACAGATACCTGTCTACTTTTATTCTCCCAATTCAACTGTGCACATGTATTTTTGCTACTTGTAAAAAACTTTCAAAATGAAAAATAACATAAAAATAAATTACATTAAATTATTTTAATACATGATACATAACTAGTCTTTGTCACTATTATGTTAATATTCGTTAACATAGTTGGTATAAATTATTTTAAATGTTGTGTTTCAGTGGGAGAAACATTAAGAAAATTAAACAAAATATCATCAGATTCACTGCAGAGGGTGCTTTTATGTGTATTGAGAAAGGCAGAGACTGGAAGAAAGAGATCTGGTGTGAAATCACTTTCAGTTTAATATAGTGCTTGGGGAAAATGCATGGTGAGCAAAGCTTCTAGGAATTAAAAGATGTTTTAAAATGTATTTTTTCTTCTTCAGCGTTTAAGTTCAGGAGTACATGTGCAGGATGTGCAGGTTTGTTACATAGGTAAACGTGTGCCATGGTGGTTTGCTGCACAGATCATCCCATCACCGAGGCATTAAGCCCAGCATTTATTAGCTATTCTTCCTGATGCTTTCCCTCCTTCCAACCCCTACCCTTGACAGACCCCAGTGTGTGTTGTCCCCCACCATGTATTCATGTGTTTTCATCACTCAGCTTCCACTTATAAGTGAGAACATGTGGTGTTTGGTCTTCTGTATCCTGCAGTTTGCTGAGGATAATGGCTTTCAACTCCACCCATGTCCCTGTGAAGGACATTGTCTCGTTCCTTTTCATGGCTGCATAGTATTCCATGGTGTATATGTACCACATTTTCTTGACCTGGTCTATCATTGATGGATATTTCAGTTGATTTCATGTGTTTGCTGCCATTTTTCTCTTCCGGCCAGTACCACAAGAAGGGAAAATTTCTCTTGATTCTTCCTGGTTTTCCCTGTGAGAGCCTCTTGGCATTTCTGTTGGAAAAGTCTCCCTTTGGGTGAGGATTCTTCTATGTCTGTGACCCTAAGGGTCTTTGCACACTCACTCTAGCCCAGCTTTGATTTTTAGCAGTAAATTAAAATCATTTGGTTTATTTTCTGTTTTTATGGCCTTTGGTAGAATCTGCCCCAGATAAACATATGCATGGGTCCTGTTTTTCTCAGTGCTGTACCTGTCTCTATCCAGAACTGATTGAGTTGTCTTGTTACCTCTGTTCTCTAATGGTTTACAAAGCAAACAAACAAACTAAACCTCATTAATCTTTAGTTTCTCTCGGACTTTTTTTCTTGCAGGGAGGTGGCAATAGTATTTTCAACCTTCTCCATTTCTGAGCTGCAACCATAAGACTCTACTAGGTTTTATGATATCCCTGAACGTTCTAAAAATGTCCTAATCGGCTGTTACTTTTTTCAAACCAGGTACAAATCAATGATACTATAATTACATCATAGTTAGATTTTTTATTTCTTTTAGTTATCTTTGCTATATAGCTGTTTCCAGACATTTTCTCCTTAGAAATTAAAATTATTTTAATAGGCCAGTTTTATTTTTTGCATAGTGTTTTTCAAATGCATTTATCTAATTTCCTCCCATGGTTACATGCAGGTAAAATGTTTTTGGCAAAAATACTACAGAGGTGTTTTGTGTCCTTAGTCATCTACCTCTGTTTGTATACATTAAATTATACACTTTCACTTATCTATTATGCCTCAATAACACTGTGGATAGAGCTGACATGTGGGGTAGAACTTTGATGATATGTAAATAGGCTCTTTCACAAAATCTATGACTTAGTTATTTTATTATCCATTAATGATTCTTGCCTGATTCAGTTATTTTTATGGCATCAGTAAAATGATGATTGTCCACCATTCCTTCTATTGCATTAGTTGGCCTCTCCAGAATTACGTAGTGTTCTATTGTATTATTAAGGATGCAGTTTCTTTCCACTTTTCTGTTTTCCTTAGAGTATTGGCTTTGGTCTTAGATTAGTTCACTATGAGTCCACAAAGTGGTTACACAAACAAATATTGCATCCAAATAATGTCCAGAGGCAGAAAAAGCAATTGTTTCTTCTATGTGTCTCTTCTGTAGCAAGAACACCTTTTACAGAATTCTTCTACGAGTCTACTTTCTTGTTCTCTTGGCCAGAATTGGAGTACGTGTCTTATGATGACCAATAAGAGAGAGAGAAAAAAAGGGGGAAATCTTGATAGCTTTGGACAAAATAATGATCCACTGCCTGTGGCTACAGATGAGCCCAGGACTTGTAATTTTTATGTTTTTGTAGGAGAGATAACAGATATGAAAAATATTGGATTTCTATTAGGGAACTGGAAAATAGTGCTATAGGCCAAGGTTGTCAAGAAAGAGGACATGTGATCAATCTGTTGCACTGTTTGTGTCTCTCCATCCTATTTTAGTCTTTCAGAAAACATGGCCTGTCATGCTACAATGCATACACAAATTAGTAAAAAAAGGTCTTAAGCTCATTTCATATGCCATGGGGGAAAGAATGACACTTTCCTTTTATTTCCTCAGAAACATGGCTTCTGCTATCACGCAGTGTTCTACCAGTGAGCTCACCTGCTCGATCTGCACAGACTATTTGACAGACCCTGTCACCATTTGTTGTGGGCACAGATTTTGTAGTCCCTGTCTCTGCCTCTTGTGGGAAGATACACTAACTCCTAATTGCTGCCCTGTGTGCAGGGAAATATCACAGCAAATGTACTTCAAACGCATTATTTTTGCTGAGAAACAAGTTATTCCTACAAGAGAATCAGTCCCCTGCCAGTTATCAAGCTCTGCCATGCTGATCTGTAGGAGACACCAGGAAATCAAGAACCTCATCTGTGAAACTGATAGGAGCCTGCTGTGTTTTCTATGCTCTCAATCCCCAAGGCATGCTACTCACAAACACTATATGACAAGGGAGGCTGATGAATACTATAGGGTAAGTAAATGCTACTGATTGCACTTTGAAATGTGAAGAACCCTGAATCCTACAGGTAATACGGAAAGATATACTTATCATTATTGTTATTAATAATTTTATGCAATAAACAAACAGAATTGCTTATGACCATAAATTAGACACTGTTCTAGACACTAAGATAAAGCACTGAAGAAACCAAACATCCCTGCTCACCTGAAATTTAAATTCTCTTGGGCTGAGGGAGAAGAATGATGATAAAGTTGATGAGCATTAGGGTTCTGGTATTTCAGTGTAAGAAGCTCTATATTAATCACTAGTTTCCATGATAGTCATTGGCTAACACAGTCATGATTGCAATGAATCTATTATAGAAAATTCTAATAAATACTGGTCAGTATGCTCCAATAGTACTGTAGATAAGTTGAGGGCTAGCATTTTAAAATTAAATATAAAATAAGAGTTACTTCTGAAAATTGACAAGGTTGTATCAGTTTCAGTGCCAGACTTCTAAGATAATGGGTCTTGTTTTCTAAATTTGGGAATTCTACCTTTGGTTTCATTGACCTCTCGGACTTGACAATCAGTGCCCTTAAGAAAAGCCCCTGCATGTCTGCATTCTGCACTCTTTACTTGTCCCATGTCTGTACCTCTTTTGGTAGTATCTGAAATATACTATATTTTCTTTTCTAGTGCTCAGATTTATAGTTTTGTTTTTCAGAAGAAACTCCTGATTCAAATGAAGTCCATCTGGAAAAAAAAACAGAAAAATCAAAGAAATCTAAACAGAGAGACCAACATAATCGGAACATGGGAAGTAAGCAGTAAGCTCATTTCTCTCAGAACCAGTTTGGAATAGAAAATGTGACTTGTGGGAGAAGAACTTGAGTTAACCATGTGTCCCCTGAATAGGATGATCAGAAAAAGGACCTACATGTGTTTCTCTACAATATAACTTAATCTTTAGTGTGAGATTTCATGTTGAATCCAATATATAACTAAAAATATCCTGATTTTTCTGAATAAAGCAGTATCTACCAATAATACATCAGCAGTGACAAGAAATGTGCTAAAAGTGGCATGTAAGATCACTAGAATGAAGGTAAAAATGTGGTTCTACAGCAGGTTAGCAGACATGAAATGCTAAAAAAAAATAGCTTCTAGGTGAAAATCAATCTGATGCTAATGTGTTAGTAAAATTTAGAAATTTACCGATGATAATGTTGGAAGATTTTAGGAATAAGAAAGCTGAAAGTTAGAAAAGCGGTAAAATTATTTGGGCATGTGAGTAACTCCTCTTGATTAATTCATGAAAAAGAGTCAGGCAGTGGTGAGAGATATGGCTATAAATGTACTTATGGCCAGGTCTAGAATGTGAATGCTTAGGTAAGAATTTAGGATTATATAATCCATTCACAAATATGAATTAAGTACCTAAAACTGAATAAGTAAATTAAACAACATTTTTATTCTCAAAGATCTCAAGCACTTCTGAAGGGGACATATAAACAGGGACCAGTAGAGAATAATAATAATTGATATGTGATACTGTGAGAATGCCAAAGGGGAACAAAAAAATCATGTTGATCATTTCAGATGGATTTTCTGAGGAGTCCTGCATTCTCGTGAGGGCCTATCATGTGTTGCTTACTGCTGTAGCCCAACAAAATGATACAGAAGTGAACAAAAGAAGAAATAGATCGCTTACCCTAGGAGTCTATAATCTAGTGGGGGAATTCAATCTACAAATTAAAATGTAAACTTTATAATAAATAATGTTCGTGAAGTGCTTCAGGGAAAAATAAAGCAGAGAATGGATACAAAGAATCCAGGTTTGTAGAATCTATGCTGGCCAAGAAGAACCCATTTTCAGGGATAAGAAAGTGCAGAAGAAATGAATCAGTGGCTTTGTAAGAATGTATTTTTCTGTGGCAGGAAAAACAAGGTATGGTTAAAAGGAATAAGTAGAAAATGGTGTCAAATGCAGAAGGAAGGTGAAGACTTCTAGGACTAAAGCATAATATTTGGATTTAGAAAAAAGTTCTTGGTAAGTTGTAATGTTTGGTTCAGGAAAGAGTAGGGAATAGAGGTAAAGGGGTCTTTAATCACACACATGAGCACAGCAAGTTTGATCACATTTGATTAATTTAGCTTTAATAAGGATAGAAATGTTTTAGCAAGAGAAGCTAGATGAAGTAATTGGGACAAGAATATTTTAATTTTTTTTCCAAAGTAATTTGCAAAATTTGCACGTATTTAAAGGTGGTATGGAAAGAAGGGAAAAACTGTGAAAAAGTAATTGAGGTCCGGCGCGATGGCTCATGCCTGTAATCCCAGGACTTTGGGAGGCCGAGGTGGGCGGATCACGAGGTCAAGAGATTGAGACCATCTTGGCCAATGTGGTGAAACCCTGTCTCTACTAAAAATACAAAAATTAGCTGGGCATGGTGGTGTGCGCCTGTAGTCCCAGCTACTTAGGACGCAGGCTGAGGCAGGAGAATCACTTGAACCCGGGAGGCAGAGGTTGCAGTGAGCTGAGATCATGCCACTGCACTCCAGCCTGGGTGACAGAGGGAGACTCCGTCTCAAAAAAAAAAAAAAAAAAAAAAAGTAATTGAGTAGCCTGGCATGGCGGCATGTGTCTGAAGTCGCAGCTACTCAAGAGGCTGAGGAGGAAGGATCTCCTGAGCCCAGGAATTCAAGGCTGCAGTGAGCCATGATTGCACCACCATACTCCAGCCTGGGTGACAAACTGAGACCTTGTCTCAATAATAATAATAATAATAATAATAATAATAATAATAATAATAATAATATAATTGAGTGAAAGAGAGATGGGGGAAATAAAGACACAGTGACAGAAAGACAGAGACAGAAAATCAAAGACAAGCCAGGGAAAGAATGAGACAGAGAAATGGAGCCAGAAAGAGAGAGTAGGCAAACAATAGGGACAGAGACAGGAAGACAGACGCAGGCAGAAGGAAAGAATGAACATTGTAAGAAAGTAATCTAGAGAAGGGGTGGATAGAGATGTGTAGTCTTAGGTAATAGGCAAGCATAGCCAAACACTGGTAAAAGCACCGAGTGTTTTGGAAATGGAAGTAATTTAGAAAGATGCAGCAATGTCTTATGTTCTCTATTTTCCTGAGGAAGTAAATTGTTGTGAGTAGGAGTATTGAGAAAAATGGAATAAAATTTAGGTATAATGATGAAGAGGTTAGAACATTATATAAGACAACATAAATTTGATCTTAATTTATCTTTATTATCTTTATTTTTAAAATGTAAATATGGAGGTTTGAGGGAAAGTAGATGGAGTGATGCAGGGAAACGGAAGAGGAAGGGAAGGAGGAAGAAAGGAAGATTTATACTGTATTTGAAGTGGAAAAGCATTAAACTATATTTAGTAGAATAGCACAAAACATGAAACAAAGCAGAATAGCTGATAAGGAAAGAATAAAACCACTTAGACACATGATTTAATTAATCAACTATCACTACAGGTTTTTATAAATTTGCGGAGCATGATGATCAGTGCTGAATATCCTAAGGTGTGTCAATACCTCCGTGAAGAAGAGCAAAAGCACGTAGAGAGCCTGGCAAGAGAAGGCAGGATAATTTTTCAGCAACTCAAGAGAAGTCAAACTAGAATGGCTAAGATGGGTATACTCCTGAGAGAAATGTATGAGAAACTGAAGGAAATGAGCTGTAAAGCAGATGTGAACCTGCCTCAGGTAAAAACTGAAGGAGATCAGGGTGCTGAACACCACCCTGCTTGGGAATCGTATCTGCTAGAGTCTATATCCTTTTTGATCTATATTACTTTTCCGGTTCCAAATATTCAGATTCTGCCTTTCCTGGCCTTATGGTGGCAGGTTTCACTCCTCTGTAGACCCGGTCTCACTCTTTCTTGTCCCATAGAGGAGAAGGAAAACTATTTGGAAAAGTTCTAGTAACAAATTCAGGAAAATTCTCTTCTAAAATTATCTTACTACACCCACTGATTCTTAGTAGTTGCAACAGAGCAGCTCATGAATACATGATTCAGTTTTGTATAAGGATGTGTCAATATGTGAAAGTGTGAGATTTATGAAATTTATTTACTCTTTTAGTTTTGAAGTCCTAAATTTGGGCCCCACACATCCTTATAAGAACTTTGTGGGGACCTCTGTCAATCTTGTTGCAGATGTTTGTACAGTAGAATGTCTTCCCTTCCTCTTCCCATTTGTTCAACCTCAGTCCATCTGACTATGTTTCATCAAGAGTATAATTTTATTGACTACATGTAGACGTCAGACTGGGTTTCATATTTATAAAGAAAAAGAAAATGAAAAATGCCTTTATCCAAAGAAGGAAAGTGGAAGACGTTAAGTTTTCCAATTCAGTCCATATCCTCAGACTGCATGTCTAGGATATATTGAGAGAACCATGTTGTGCTGCAAACTAAGCAATCCTCTCTCTCTTTATAGGATTTGGGAGACGTAATGAAAAGGTAAGTTTGCCCCTCTATCCAAGTCCTGGTAATTGTGACAATAATCAGGCTGTTTCTGCTGGGATCGACCCACACTTTTAGTGAGGAATTTCTGTCTGTATTTATTCCTTTCTTATCAAAGGTCATCCAGGCTTTATATATTGACTACTTCAGATGAAAGTGAAGGATGGGAAGCAGTTTTAATTGCAAGGCCTAATGTAGAAGTTTCAATAAGGCAACTATTTTTCCTGCCTCTAATTTTCTACATCCTAATTATTTGAAGGTTATTCCAGGTTGTCAATGGGAAAGGCAAATAATCTCAGAGAGGCAGCTGATGGAAAGATGGTGAAAATAAGAGAAAGGGAACATCACCAAGAAGGAATGTAGTATAGAGCTGAGGCTCCATATGTAGCAGGTGGCATGTTCCAAAAATTTGACAGCTATCAGATTTCAGAAATTAAATGAGTATTTCTGCATGGCTCACCTAGGGAAGCTGTGAAGGTGAGAACTGATATAATTATGACTGGGATAACATACTTTACTGTCATAGAGGTATTAAAAGCAGCAGAGCACATTGTAAAATACAGTTACAATTGCAATATTTCTTAGTTCTTGAGTTCAAGTCACACTCTTCAACCTAATTGTGAGGATTCTGATCAAGCATCTTATTAGTGGATTGCTAATGATTCCTTTGGGACTGGTAATTAAAAGTAGGTATTTTTCTTTGCAGGAATGAGTTTCTGAGGCTGGCCATGCCTCAGCCTGTGAACCCACAGCTCAGTGCATGGACCATCACTGGGGTGTCAGAAAGGCTTAACTTCTTCAGAGGTAAGAGTGTGAACTGCACTAATGTTTCCAACGTAAGTATTTTTATATGGGTGACCTATATTCAGTTTAGTCTATATTCACTTCTCTGTCTCTATTATTATTTTCAGTGAACAAGCAGGTAAATATGGAAACCTTTATAACCAATTTTAAAACTGTTAATAAACTTTCAGGAAAAGCTAACTGAAGTCTGGAATAAATAAATAAGAAATACAGTGCGTAACATGATTATTTTAAGTGATTAAAAAAAAACACTCAAAAAAGACCTGGAGGAATGCTATAAATAAAGCATTCATTTTTCAGTGTAGCATATAAAACTGCATATTCATTCAAAGCATTTCAACTCTGGTTATATTTACACGATCCAATTCTTAGAAATATCTTAATGTTGTTATTCGAATGTTTACCTAAAGATTGAAGTTTTAAGGAATACATTTGAAAAACCACAGGATTCTCAAAAGCAGAAAAACAAGTTTGTAAACAATAGGTACAACCACAAAGCAGTCTGAAAGAAAATCCCTTCACTGTGTAGAGGGCTATGCAGACGAATGGAAATGGAGGGTGAGTCTGGCATATAGAAGAGAGGCAGCCATGGGATGAGATGAAGAGAATTCTGATTTAATGGTGTCCAAACCAGAAATTCTGGGAGAGAAACCACCTTTTTAAAAAGGCACATATAGATTTTCAGTTTATTTCACTTTTGCTTGCTTAAGTTGTGAAGCCCTCATTACTTCTTGGCCTTTTGGCTAAGATCAAGTGTGAAGCCCTCCCATCTTAGGCAAAGTGGTATTGTTTAGGACTAATAATGATAACAGTGTCATAGCTTAAGTATAATTAATAATATTTTTATTATTTTTAGTATGTTTTTTTATTTTGCGAAAATTGGTTAATAAGGAGGCTTAAATAAAGGCCCATTTTGATGTTTTCTTGGCATCTTATGAATAAGCTGGCAAATTTTTAGTAGTCTAGTAAAAATTAAATCAGAGCTTGACATCCTACATCTCTGTTTTCTCTAAATTTTCTTTCATCTTAGTTGCTTGATTAAAGATTCATTTGCCCTGCAAATGGACAAGAAGCTGTTGCTAAACTGTCTCCATAATTACTCTGATATACTCTGTATGCCACTCGTGATAGAGTGGTATGCCGGACCCAGTTAGTACTGACTCATGAGAGCAAATTGTTAAATGTTTTGAAATTTTTTGACTGATTATTAAATTGTTGGTAGCTTGAAACTGGCCTTAGTGAGGTGGAAATATTCCTAATAAACAAAACCAGTTGCTTTTGTTTGTTTGTTTTCAGGGATTGGTTGTTAAGCATTTGCCAGACTGCCTCTGCACCTGTACCTCCAAACTTTTAAACTGTTTTTTTGCATTCACTGTTTTCTTTTGCCATAGTGTATATCACCTTGGATCGTAAGATATGCAGTAATCACAAGCTTCTGTTCGAAGACCTAAGGCATTTGCAGTGCAGCCTTGATGATACAGACATGTCCTGTAATCCAACAAGTACACAGTATACTTCTTCATGGGGAGCTCAGATCCTCAGCTCTGGCAAACATTACTGGGAGGTGGATGTGAAAGACTCTTGTAATTGGGTTATAGGACTTTGCAGAGAAGCCTGGACAAAGAGGAATGACATGCGACTTGACTCTGAGGGTATCTTTCTACTCCTGTGTCTCAAAGTGGATGACCATTTCAGTCTCTTCTCTACCTCCCCACTGTTACCTCACTATATTCCAAGGCCCCAAGGCTGGCTAGGGGTGTTCCTGGATTATGAATGTGGGATAGTGAGCTTTGTTAATGTTGCCCAAAGTTCCCTCATTTGTAGTTTCCTCTCACGCATCTTCTATTTTCCTCTCAGACCTTTCATTTGCCACGGATCTAAATAATCAGGGACAGGTCACAAACCTGACCAAGGCCTTGGGAATTCTAATAGCAGAGGAGGCTCCTATTCTGGTTACTTTCTTAATGGGGAAAATCAGTCATATCTCATTACCTTTTACTTCATTTTACCTCCTGGATATATATTTATCGTATCATTTTTTAAAGTGTTGATAATGAACATTTGTCATTTCTATTTTATTTGAATAGATGTAACGTCTCTTATTATATTGTATAGGATGCATGTTCTTTTAACTTGTTATCAAAGCGTACTAGAGGTGAAAGAATACATGAGCATGAAAACCCAGCTAACTGAGTCAAATTAAAGCACAGACAAGTTGCCTTCCAGATAGCCCTTATTTAAAACTCAGTGTCAGCCTAAAATTCTCTATTCCCTGCCTTCATCTGGATAAACCTTTCCCTTCACCAGTTCCCACCTTTCTGAACTAGACGAGGTCTCAGATGTCAAGAATGGCTCATACATTTCCTCTATAAAACTCCTAACAGAACTTGGGTCTTTTTTTCAAGTTTGTAAATTACAAAAAGGGAATGCCAGTGATAGTTCTTCTCATTCATTATAGGAATAAGAAACAGTCTGATGATATGAGAGATATTCAAGAAATATGTAAATAATTAAATGAATAAACATGTAAAAATTATTAAAATCAAAAGCTATAGACCCAACAAAAATATGCTACAGTATAGCCATAATTAGCAAGACAGAACAGGCTGAGAAATATCATTACATAAAGGATACATAGATATGGTACCATGGTACTTAAGCCTTCTTGTTCAATTGAAACTTTATCATTTTGTAATGCTCTTCTTAATTGTTTTTGGTTTAAAGTCTTTTTTATCTTATGTAAGAATAGATGCTCCTGCATTTTTTTGTTTTTATTTGCATGGTAGATCTTTCTCCATCCTTTACTTTGAGCCTGTGGATGTCATTATATGTGAGATGGATCTCTCAAGACCAAATACACTTGGGTCTTGTCTTCTTATTCGGTTTGCCACTCTGTGCCTTTTAATTGTGGAATTTAGATCATTTACATTTAGGATTTGTATTGATATGTGAGATTTTGATCCTGTCATCATGCTGTCAGCTGGTTGTTTTGTAGAGTTGATTGTATAGTTGCTTTATAGTGTCTGTTAGCTATATGGTTTACTCAATATTTTGGTCTCTTTCAGCAGGAATGGAGCTTTCCGGTTGCATCTGTTTGGCCATCTTCCATTCTTTTTTAGCTGAGTGGTTTTTCATACCTTGTATACACCACGTTTTATTTATCCAAACACCAGATGATGTGTATCTTAATTGTTCCCAATTTTAGCAACTGTGATTTATATTTCTGTTCAAATTAACCCACATATCTTTCATTTATTGTGGGTAGTTACTTGGGGTGAAAGTACTGAATTATTTAGTGGATTTTAATCATTTAAGAACCTGTCAAAATACTTCTTTAAAAAGTGACTGTACCATTTTACATTGCCACCAGCATCTTGGTAAGAGTTCTAATTCCTCTACATCCTCACTGACATTTAGTATTTTCAACCTTTATTACATAAGCTTTTCTATTTTTTAGTGTATAGTAATAGCTTATTGTGGGTTAATTTGCTTATATATTACTAGTGATTAATGATGTTGAACTTTTTTTTTTTTTGAGGGAGGATCTCTCTCTGTCAACCAGGCTGGAGTGCAGTGGCAAGACCATAGCTCACTGTAACCTCAAACTCCTGGGCTCAAGGTATCCTCCCACCTCAGCCTTCCAAGTAGCTGGGACTACAGGCACACATCACTGCCCAGCTAATTTTTAAAATTGTCTGCGGAGATGTGGTCTCTCTATGTTGCCCAGGCTGATCTTGAACTACTGACCCCAAGTTATCCTCCTGTATTGGCCTCCCAAAGTGCTGTATTTATAGACATGAGCCACTGCACCTGGCCTTGAGCATCTTTTACTATCATTAGTTTCCAGCCAAGTATCTTCTTTAGTGAATCATCTGCTCATTGTACAATGATTTCATTGGATAGTCTGTCTACTTGATGAGTTGTAAGAGTTCTTTTTGATACAAATCCTTTATCACATATACGTTTTGCAAATATAATTTCTGCCAGTCTATGGCTTATATTTTAATTTTGTTGTCTCCTTGGAAGAACAACATTTTTAATTTTAATAAATCCAGTTTGTCATTTTTTAATGTTTCTTTTTTTGATGCCACGTGTTAAGAAATACTTGTCTAACACAAGGTCATTAAATTTTTTTATATGACTACTTCTAGAAGTTTTATAATTTCAGCTTACATTTAGGTAGGTCAGTAATCCATTTTGAGTTAATTTTTATGTACAGTGTAATGTGGGTTTGAAGTTCATATTTTTTGCCCCTAAATTCCAAAAATTTAAACACTATTTGTGGAAAAGATTATCCTTGAATCTTTTGAATGATCTTACCACCTTTGTCAAAAATCAATTGACCATATATGTGTTATCTACTTCTGGACTCTCATTCTGTTGCATTGTTGTAGATATTTATTTATCTCACCATACACTAATATACTTTCTTGATCCCTACATACTTATAGCACATTTGGATACAGATAATGTAAATCTCATTTTATTCTTTTTTGAAAAGTACTTTGGCAATTTTATAACTTTTATATTCCTCAGTACTTTCAACAACTTTATTGAGACATAATCTGTATACCATAAAATTCTCCCATGTAACATTCTCCCATTTGTAACTTTCAATGAATTTTAGTATATTTATTGTGTTCCTCAACTGTCACCATAATTTAGTTTTTGAACACTATCATTACTCCAAAAGGATGCCTTGTGCTGGTTTACAATTAATTTCACCATCTACCCTAGTACCAAGAAATCAATTACCTCTCTCTAATGTTCTGCCTCTGAATGTTCCATATATATGGAATTATACAATATGTAGTTTTTAGTGTGTCTTTTAACTTGGCATAATATTTCCAATATTTATCCATATTGTAATATAAATCAGTATTTCATTATTTATTATTTTTCTGATTAGCATTTCAATGTATGAATAGTTCACATTTTGATATTCATTAAAGAGTTGATCAAGATTTGGATTGTTTTACCTTTTTAGCTATTATAAATAATGCTATCATGTATATATGAGTTTAAGTCTTTGTATAAAAATATTTTTATTTCTTTTAGGTAGATACTTAGGAAAGGGATTCCTGGATTTTCTGGTACATTTATGTTTATTTATTTATTTTTAAGAAAACAAACTATTTTTCAAAGTGGCTGTATTATTTTACATGCTTACCTAGAATGCATTAAAATTCCCATTTTTCCATAACCTTAACAACAAATACTATTGTCTATGTTTTTTATTGTAGCTGCTGTATTGAGCTTATAGTGGCATGTAATTGTGGTTTTAATTAAAATAATCTCAATGACTATGATGTTGAGTATCTTTTTTGTACTTATTAGTTATATTAGAGAAGTTCAATTCATGCACCATTTATAAAATAAATGTGAAAGGTCTTAACTTACCTATTAAAAGATAAAAAATATTTTTATAAGCTCAAATATAATTCCCAGCTATGTCCTGTATATAAAAAAAGACACCTAAAGCAAAATAATTCAGAAAGACTGCAAGTAAAGAGAAGGACAAAATTATGCTAGAAAGATGGAGACATTAAGAAAGAAGGATCTGAGAATCTGATAAGAAAGTCAGTATAATTTAAATCAACAACTTTCAATGTGACAACTTAATGCTATCAAAATTTGCAATGAAAAATTAAAACTTATAAATAGCTATGTACCAAATGTACAGGAACCAAAATTGTAAAGTTAAAAGTTAAAATAGATGCTAGAAAACCTAGGTAGAAACATACTCAATATAGAAAATATTTATATAGGACTTTTAGTATCAAATAGATGAGGAAGCCATATATATATATATGGAATCTTTATATACATACATATATATATACACACACACACATAAACACACATATATATTATATAAAAGACTTTAAGATCATAATATAGATCTTGTGTGTATTTTAACACTGTGGAATTTACTACTATTTTCCTTTTGATTTAATTTATGATTATTTGGTTTACAGAATATTCTATATTATTAAAAAAATTGTATTTTCTATGATCAGGCTAAATAATTACACAAACATATACACAGATAGAAGAAACAGTTCTGATTAAGCCTCTGTTATAGGCAGACACTGTATCTCTGGGACTTGTAAATGGGACTTTCTCAGTGATCTTGCTCTGCCTTCGGTTCTAGGTCTTAATCTAACATGTATTTATGCTATTTCCCACCTTTTAATTTCTTGTTCCTGTCTATGAGCTGGAATAAATTTTTACCAGTACCTTAAGGGAAGCTATGTTTCTCAATCTTCCTGCAGTGGTTTAGACTTCTGTTACATTGCGGAGATAGGGAAGACGAGACAGGGAAGGTCCAGGTCTTTGTGTGTGACATAATCTTTAGATACATTGAAAGAGGTAAAGAAAAAAGTGGGGTAAAAGAAGAAAAATCTTTAGATAGAATAGAACTTGTCTGTTGTTAATATTTAATATTATTCCATATTAAATATTCTTTAAGAATAAGTTTTGTCCAGATTCATTTCTTAAAGTGATGTTTGATATTCTTTCATTTTGTTGCATGTAGTGAGAGTTCATTATTTTTCTTTGCTTCATAAAATTTATTTGCATGAATATATCACAACTTATTTAGGCATTCTACTGGAGATAAACTTCTTAACTTAAATTTTGGTATACTATGAACAGTAATGGTATGAAGAATGTTGTACTGTTGTATACATATTTTAATTAATATATGAATGCAGCCTGTAATTCCACTACTTTGGAAGGCCGAGGCGGGCAGATTGCTTGAGCCCAGGGATTTGAGACCAGCTTGGGCAACATAGTGGAACCCCATTTCTACAAATAAAAAAGAGAATGTATTTATGTAGGATGTATATTTAGGAGTGGATTAGTGGGTCATAAGGAATACTTTATGTAGATTTCCCAAAATGTTTTCAAAGTGGTTGTATAAATTTACGTTCCCCCGTGTATGACTGGAATTTCATTCGTTCTGCATCTTTGTCAACACATAGTAATAAATCTCTCGGTAAATTCTGGTCGCTCTTCTGGGCAATTAGTGGTTCATCTTGTGATTTTAATTTGCCTTAATCTAATGATTAATAAGCACTTTTTCACATAGAATAGCATTATGCTATGCATCATGCGTGATGATTTTCATAAAATGAATAAATAATATATAAAAGCACATTTTGAAAAGTATAAATAGGCCAGGTGCAGTGGCTCACACCTGTAATCCCAGCACTTTGGGAGGCCGAGGCAGGCAGATCACTTGAGGCCAGTAGTTCGAGACCAGCCTGGCCAACATGATGAAACCCTGTCTCTACTAAAAATACAAAAAGAAATTAGCCAGGCATGGTGGTGCTCACCTGTAATCCCAGCTACTGGGGAGGCTGAGGCCTGATAATCACTTGAATCCAGAAGGCAGAGGTTCCAGTGAGCTGAGATTGAGCAACTGCACTCCAGCCTCCAACAGAGCAGGACTCTGTTTCAATAAAATAAAATAAAAATGTAAGATGTCCAAATATGTCCAATAGTATAGTAAATGCGCTTTCATTAAATTAGAAGGAACTTAATCAGATATAACCCATGCATCTTATTTAAGAAGACACACACACTAGAAGGGCTCCTTCAGGTACTTCTGTTACTCCATATATAGATAATTTCCTGATTTGTTTCTGGTCAGAAATGACTACAGTAAAAGACAAGCCTGATAAAGAGAAGGAGTGCTATATAAAAGGGAACTGAACAATATTAACAAAGTTCACAGTTCCCTTTCCATTAACTAGAAATTCTTTTGACTGAAAGACCATGGCACATATTGAAATAAAAGCGAGGAAGTGGTAAATAGATTGTAGTGAAAGTTCTCTTTAACAATCTAAGGAGAGAATCTCTCCATGTCATTTATCTCATTATCCCTATTCTTTCCTTTCCAGTAATATTACAGACACCAAAAGCCCAATTTCAAGAATCTCTCATCTCCAAGTAAAGTCTGCCAAAAGTGAGAGTCTGAGTTCTCATTCAAGAAAACACTTAGATCTTGGAGTTGTACATAGTAGATCTTGAGGATCACGTCCAACACTCATGCTTCTCAAATCTCCAAGTAGGAGGATATGGCTATTAGCTTTGTCAGGATACAGAGTAATATTCATTGCAAAAAGAAAAAAGATACATGCATACGTATACATACGTGAATAATGGGATCTTATCTCCCCAGAAAAGTGTATAAAGTGTATTTCTCCCCAAGATATTATATAACTGAGCAATATGAGGTCAAGAGGCCAATGACAATTCTGTTTAAACTGTTTAATAAAGTAGAGGATTACTAATACATCTGCAGAACAAACAAATCTCTAACCACAGACATTAACCATTTTCTGAAAATTCAAATATATATAAAAATCAAATATAAGACTAATATATTTGAGTTCAACTTTCATAACAAAATGCCCTATAAATTATCTGTCATTAACTCCTTTCAGCTATCAGAGATGGCTGGAAACATTTGTTAGTTCTAAATAATAATTTCCAGGAAAACATTTCTTAGTTCTAAATAACAACATCATTTGCCAAGGATGTGAGAATTTGCCATTTATTCAAGTTCTTCCCTAGAAAACAAAAGGAAGTCTACACATGTTATTTTTCGAAGTGAATATATATATATAAACATTTTAGAAGTGTTATTTATAAATAATTTTCTTAAAATTCTAGTCTGTCTGATTCTCTGCATTCACACTGGGCTGCCCTGAATTTTCTGATTTAACATTAGCTCTTCATACTGTAAGTTAAATTTTTTTTGCTTCCTTACTTAGTTTTTATTTTAGTTTTTTAAAAACAATTTTAATATTTATTCAAATTTTATATCATATGAATAATATATGCCATTGTAAAAATAATATAAAGAACAGCACACCAGTACAACAGACAACCCCAAAAATCTACTCTTAGCAAATAAAAATTAAATATACTGAATAAATGTACAATTTTATATATAACATTGAATAATTTACCTGAACTCTGAACATTGCACCATTTATTCCTTTTTTCCCTTTGTCATTCTGTTTGCCTATTATGTAAGTCACCAATTGTGAGCCTGGATCTATTTAAGTTTCATACTGATTCATTCTGCATCTTGCCAATATGATTACAAGGATGTATGCAATTATAAAAAGTCTGTACGGTCAAAATGATGTAATAATTTCTGAAAATAAATTCAATAATTAAAGTAAAAAGATTATCCATATGATTTCACACACAAAAAATACTAGATTATGAGCGTATTGCTAATGGGCTGCCCCTTACATAGAAAGCAGTTAAGCTTTTTAATCAGTCTATAAATCAACCCTGCTCTGAGCTCTGAGTTCACAGCCTAGGGCACTTGCAGCTATACTGCCTCACTTTTATAAGGAAAAATTTGCAGTTAACATTCATATAGCTACAAAAAAAAATCACTAGTATTATGTATTTAAGATGCTTCAACAAAATCTTATTTTATTCCATAATTTTAAAACTACAATATCATCACTTTGTTTTTCCCAGATTAATTCTTATTTGTGGCTCCTAAATTTTCAAATCAAATGAAAATTCTCAGTCAGAATTAAGTCTATTCTTTACTTCTAATAACTAGTAATTTTTAAAGACCCTGACTCTCTTATGTCTTGAGAATATTCAGTAATAAAATGCTAGTATACAGTTTTTACCAGACTCCATTGCAATGCTCCCTGTGTGGAACAATGGAATTTTTTCAAGGCTAGTAGTTTGTGTGTTTGTTTGCCAAAGTGGAGGCTGTGAGATTGGTTTATAGAGCTGCCCTTGGGACCACATTGTTCTCACACGTGTAGGGTCTCTTTCATCTATTCTAGCTGTCAATTGTAACATACAGGAGTAACTCACTAGCTTTTTCACTCCTGGGAGACTCCTTCTCTCCTTTTCTATTCTGGCATCCACCATTCCTGCATTCACTAAAGTAATTGCCTCTGTTACACTTAAAAAAACTTAGCACTTTCACATATGCATAGGATTTTTAGAACTAAAAAATTAACCTGGAACAGATTATTAGGATCCTGTTTTTTTTTCTTTTGCAACTTTTAAACCATGCCAAATAAAATTACTGAACACCAGAAACATCTCTGTATCAGAGGAAGGGAAAAATAGATTCATAAAAAATTGAGTTAACATTTTAATAATGTGTGAGCTCATTTCAGTAGCTCTTGTGAAAACTCTGAAAGTGCATCTGCTGGAATCAGGGACAGACTCAACTGTGCATTATGTCTTCAAAAGCCAGTGAAGGCAAAAACAGGAGGCTTAGTGGTCTTCACAGGACATCTCTTTCACTAAGTCCTGTCTAAGAACTTGAGACAATTTTGAAAAATAGTCTTTCCTCAGTTTCCTCATACTTGAGAAGTCATTGCCTATTTTCTTTAAAATAGAGACTCCCAATTGAGCAGATTGACAGAGGGGAAACCTCTGAAGAAGTCTTATTTCTAAGGATCTTCTCAGAGTGAGTCGGGGGGAAGGAGATCTGGGAAGCCAATGTGCTCTGTTATAAACATGAATGAGTTGTCCAAAAATTCCCAAGGCCTCATTCTTAGGTATATCTGACTCAAAGATGACCATGATACAAATCCAGTGATAACAGTTAAAGAGAAAATAGAGGAGGAAGGCAGTTAGTTAGCTAGAATCTCAAGCTTTTCTCATATTTCTATGACCAAAATATTAACCTAAATATTATTTTATGGATTTACAAAAACCTAAATAAATTTTTATTCATTTAAATGGCCAGTTTTCCTTCGGTCTTCTACATTCACCAATTCGCAAAGTTCATTTGTTCATGGATAAAGTATAAGTAAGCTGCACGAATTCTAGAGAATTTTTTGAGGGCATACAATAAACCAGCCACAGTTATAGAAGTATGTTTTTGGAAACAAATAATGAAAGTGGGAGGGAATGTGGATTTCATCTGAGAGAAATAATTTCCATGCATGTGAATGTTCAGCACTTTGACACCCTAAATCTTTCTCACCTGAGCAAGTCCATATCTGGCTTGTGGCGCATTTCCTTTTTAAGATCCCCCGTTATGAGACATTCTGGTCTTATGTGTGTGTGTGTGTGTGTGTGTGTGTGTATACATAAACATACACATATACACATATGTATACACACACATATATATGTGTGTGTGCATATATATATTCATATGTATATATATATGAAGTTACTAAAAATTCTTCTTGCCCTCTATTTTCAGTCTTTCTAAATTATGTTGTCTGTCCTCATGGAGAAATAGAGGCATCTTCTAAAACTAAACACTGATTTTCTCCTTACATTCATATAATTCTGCAGTGGTATTGGGTTAGCCAGAATATAAACCAATTTATCCATCTATTATTGAATCTTACTGATACTTCCTTGCTTTATCACAGATAAATCCATTATACTTCAGGCTTATTTGCCAATTGTCAGAATCCATAAAACCTTATTTCCTTTTTCCTCTGCACCAAGAAAAGCTATTATCCACCCTACTTAATAAATTCTTGATGAAGTGCATGTTAAATGAGCCACCAAGAAGAAAAAAATAATTGCTTATTGAAGAAAAAAATAATTGCTTATTGAAGAAAAAAATAATTGCTTATTCCTCCTTTACAACCCATCTTTTTGGAGAGGTAGGACAGCTGGTCCTTAAGAGATGGGTTTTGAATCTAAATTGGCTGGATTGGAGTTCATTATGGACTCCTATTTCCAAGATTAGACATCTCTAATTTTTGTAATTACTTTTGTGCCGATAGGATATTTTTAAATTTTCCTGTAATGTTATTGAGTTTCCTTTTGGTTTGTTTTTGTGTCCCCACCTGTCCCCCACCCCACTGTTTCTCTTTTTCCTCCTTCCTAGTATGACTGTAGATCAGCGGTCCTTAACCTTTTTCGCACCAGGGACTGGTTTCCTGGGAAGCGGGAAGGGGGATGGTTTCGGGATGAAAGTGTTTCACCTCAGATCATCACGGGTTAGATTCTCATAAGGAGAACGTCACCTAGATCCAATGCATGCGCAGTTCTCAATAGAGTTCCAGCTCCTATGAGAATCTAATGTCACTGCTGATCTGACAGGAGGTGGAGCTCAGACGGTAATGCTCGCTCACCTGCTGCTTACCTACTGCTGTGCGACCGGGTTCCTAACAGGCCAAGGGTTTGAGGACCCCTTGTTGAATAGGGTGTCCTTTACCCACTTTATATTTTTGTTTGCTTTGTCAAAGGTCAGTTGATGTAGAGAATGCTGGGTTTGGTTGGTCTTTCAGCTTCTCTCATACAGCCCTAGGCATTTCTGTCTACAGGTTTTTTTTATTGGGCTGTGCGGTTCGACCTGCAAGCCAGTAAATGTGCTTATGTGTTAGAGCTGGTTTTGACCAACATGGTTGGTTCGACCTACAAGCCAGTAAATGTGCTTATGTGTTAGAGCTGGTTTTGACCAACATGGCTGGGTTTATACTTGATCCTTGTTTACTAGAAGAAGCCCCAGGCAATGGGCTGATTCGTGGAGTACACAATGTTCCCAGCTCCCTCCTCAGCTCTGGGGTCAGCTGGGGCAACATGGGCAGGGCCATACTGGGCAGGTTCACCTACAAGTCCCTCAGTGTCAGGCACAAGCACAAGCACCTAAGGAGAATCCAGTGGGTGGCCACCTAGTGCCCATGGAAAGTGGTTTTTCAGAAACAATTAGTGAGGCTAAATCTAATGGCGGAAGTAAGTCCAAAAATTAGAAGAAATTTGCAGGAGATAATGAAACTTTGAATTAAGAAAGAAGAAATTAGAAATGTGAAGGACAAAATATATCTGACAGACATTTAAAGTTTAATCACTTAATAACACTGTGTAGGGCCTGATAGGATGTAGAGGTTGAGGAAGAAAACATCATCTAAACTAAATCTTAGTTTTCCAGTATGGATAAGGAGGTAAGTAGTCATACTGATTCCTGAAACCAGGAAGACAAGATGAGAATAACTTTTCAAGAACAAAACCTGATGGGTTTTTTTGGATGTGAGGAACTTGAAGTGGCTGTAATTTATATTAAGAGCCTGCGTAATATCTAGGTGGCTTTATGAATGTTCAACTCGGAAAAGAAAATAGAGCAAGAAATAAGGATTTGGAAGTCCAAAGAATAAATTGCCTCAAAATCTGGACATATATAAGAAAAAAAAAAGGAATTCAAACAATATTTAGTAAAGTGAAAATAACCTGTTTTTATTTTAATTTGTTGACTATAACTTTCTATGTTATATTATTCTGTACTCTCTGGAGTTGACTAAAGAAAATGACTTTTGAAATAAGTTCATAAAATGTAAAGTCAGCTGAGGTGGAAAACTCACAATAGTGTTGGCCTGAATTAATTGAAAAGTTTCTAATATGTCTTTCTTATAATCTCCAGGGTTTTCTCTTAGCTAACAGAATGTTTAGTATGTATTAACTTTATGAGAGTTAAATCTCCCAAATATAAAGCATGAGCTAACCATGTGTGGGTATTGATTATATTAGTAAGATTAGCTTAGTCTGCCAAAGAATGATATGCAGAGTAATGAAGAAATTATATAATGCTATCTTAATAGTGAAAATAAATCTATTAGTCTTGTATCAGTCAGGGTTCAACTGGAGAAGCAGAACCAGTAGGAGGGCAGGAGGGAGAATAAAGAAAATAATGACATATTACTATGGAGACTGACTACGCAAGTTGGAGATCAATAAGGCAGTCGTTTTGGGAAAACAAACAAATAAAAAAAAGACTGGAGCAGGCAGAAATGTAACTGGCACCATTTGATCCAATTATCCCATTACTGAGTATATACTCAAAAGAAAATAAATTATTCTACCAAAACGACACATGCACTCCTATGTTCATGGCTGCACTATTCACAATAACAAAGACATAATCAACCTAGGTGTCCATCAATTACACACTGTATAAGTAAAATGTGGTACTTATACACCATGGAATACTACACAGCCATAAAAAAGAATGAAATCATGTTCTTTACAGAAATGTGGATGGAGCTGGAGGCTGTAATCCTAAGCCAATTAATGCAGCATCAGAAAACCAAATGCTGTATATTCTTACTTATATGCAGGAGCTAAGCACTGAACACATATAGGCATCAATATGGGAAAAATAGACTCTGGACTACTTGAGGGTGGAGGGAGAGGGATGGGTTAAAAAACTACCTATTGAGGGCCATCTCTACAGCCTGCCCCGTCTGTCTCTCTCCGAATCGCTCCTCCTGCTGCTCTCCTGCTCCTGGCAGGCCTTGTGCCCACCGGGTTACCTGCCCTCAAGCCTCCGCCCAGAGAAGCGCAGCTGCAGGGGCGCGTCCTGTCACTCCGCCCCGCCAGCTACCCTCCCCTGAGCCCGGGTGCCCGGCTTAGGCCGCTCCGTGCGAGGAGACCTGGGACCCCGCACCCTCCGGTCCTACCCAGTGCTTCTGCCCTGGCGTGCGAGGCACCACACCCTCCTCTGCCCTGTGCGGGGCCTGGAGGGGCCCCTTCAGATCGCAGCCGTCACCACAGCTGCTGCCGCCAGCGGGAGAGCATGACATAGGGGTGGCTTTCCCAGCTGGCTGCCACGCAGGAGCTCTGGATGCTTAGCCCTCTCCGTGGAGAGATCTAAAATCAAGGCATGACTTAACAATTTACCTTGTAAGAGAAAAGCTCAACTCAAAGGCAGATTGCTAGTCCGGACTTTATTACAAGCAGGACTGCAATGATGTTTACAGCATTGAAGTGAGTTCCAGGCTAAGTACAGAAAGTGGCTTCTCTGCTTTCCCTCCCCAGCAGAAGTCTATACACCTTGCAGACTTGAATCACTGAAGATGTAAGGCAGCTGTTACTCTTAATATTGGGAGACCCCTGTGGACGGCATGAAGACTGTCCCTTATCAGAGTCTTTAGTGAGCACTAAGGAGTCAAGATTAAAGAATGTGTTTGATTACCCTGGTCTGCATTACTATGGAAAATGAACCAAGGCCTGGGTTTGGATATGGAAGTCTGTCCTGCCTGCTTCTGTAATCTGGTGCTCTGCATCCAGATCTTGGCCCTTTATGGACACTACTGTATGTTACTCTGATGATTCTCTGCCTTTCTGTGAGTTCAGACGTGGCACCTTATTTCATTTTTGAGCAACTCTGCCGTCCAGAAACTCAGTGGACCTGTAAAACTATATTGTTCTGCTAAACCTGTGACCACTCATATTTCATGGTCACATAATGGAAAAAAATAGGATAGAAACATGGATATATTAAGAATCATCAGGGGACTTTGACAATTTTTTTCTCTTAAAGCCTCCCTTTTGGGTTACTACCAATGCATTTCCAACAGTAGGTTGATGTTGTTGTAAGTGGCCCTGTAACAGTATCCACAGCACTTCTTGGTGATTTTGGTTCATCCACAAAGCATGTTATTACAGCAGAAGAAAAAAGTGCTGGTTTCATTGGCTGCAGGGTACCAGAGAGTAACCCCAAAGCTGAGGTGTGCGCTAAAATCCATGGGAAGTGGCTGAAACACTCCATAAAGAATTACTTAATCCTTCCATCAGGACATCTTTACATTTTGCATGTATCCTTAGAGGACAAGGGATCATACAAATATGTGGCTTATAATCCTGTCATACATGAATTAAAAGTTGAACCCATTGGCCAAAAGCTCCTTATGAGTCACCTTTCTTCAGATGATTTTGACATTCTTCATCCTGCTTGTTCACAGGTATTAGTTGTTTTTTCACATATTCCTCTAACCTTGCAGTGTGTGGTTAGTGGGGTCCTGGATCCTCAAGTGTATTGGCTAAAGGACAGGGAATATTGCTCCAGGAAGCAACTGGAGAAGGTTATATTCTCATGTTGCGACAGATAGCATTGACCCAGCAGACTCTGGAAACTATTCCTGCATGGTGGGAAATAAGACTGGAGATGTAAAATATGTGACATACATGGTTAATGTGCTTGAATATGCTCCCATTTATAAAGGACTACAGGATCAGTCTCTGGGTGCCACAGTACATTTTACCTGTCATATTCATGGAAACCCAGCCGCCAACCATACTTGGTTTTATATTGCACAGCCTATTCATCCTTCCCCATGACATCTAACTGCAGGAAATTGACTGAAAGTCAGTAGGGTTATCATGGAAGATACTGGGCTGTATCAGTGTTTGACAGATAATGGGACTGGATTTATGCAGTCTACTGGAAGACTTGAAATTGAAAAAAGACAATGGATTCAAGCCAGTTATAATCATGGCACCAATAAGTGCAAAGGTGGTATGTGGAGACTTTGTCACTGTGTCCTGCAATGCCACTGGGCTGTCAGTTCCAGTCATTCCTTGGTTATGACAGCTATGGATTAATAGCCAGCCATCTGTCTTAAGTCCTTAGATCTAAGTCCCCAAAGTCACACTTATCAAGACCTGGAATCTTGGACCTGAAGCCTGTCTACTTCATCATGTCCCAAGTTGGCTCTAGCTCTCTCCATATTCAGGATGTGACTCAGAAACATGTGGGGAAACACATATAGGAAGCTCCAGATGGACAGAGTACCATGCAGGGAGAAGCATCTCTCATGGTTGTTCCTTTTGAAACAAATACAAAAGTGGAAACAGTCACACTTTCTTCTGCTACTCAGAATGATGAAAGAAATAAAAGAGATGGTTCAGAAACTGGATTGAGCTCATGTCCAGTTAAGGTACATTCCAGTGCAGTGCACAATCAGCATCAGAGGAAAATGTTAATGGCATCGCTGTTCCTGACGCCCCCATCCTACTGATCTCCTAACAGACCCACACACCAGATACGTACAACCTGGTGTGGAGGGCAGGCAGGAATGGTGGGCTATCCATTAATGTGTATTTTATGAAATATCAGAAGATGAACAATGGGGTTGGTTTGGTAGGAATTTGGCATATGGTTCGAGTCCCAGGTAGTGAAAATGAGCTCCATTTAGCTGAACTAGGGCCATCTAGTCTTTACAAAGTCTTGATAGTAGCAAGAAGTGGAGCAGGTGAAGGACAAACTGCCATGCTTACCTTCTGAACCAGCAAAGAAAAAAGAGCATTGACAAAAAACACCCAGGCATCCTGTCCACCCATGGGCATCCATAAGTATCCTGTTGTTTCAGAAGCTGCAAACAATTTTGGAGTGGTACTTACAGATTCTTGAAGGCACAGCAAAGTTCCAGAGGCATCAAATGGCCCTACTATCTCCAAAGCATCAGAGACATTGGTCTACGTCACTCAGATTCTTCTGGAAAATTGGGTTTCTGTAATCACTGCTTTCAAAGTTGAATATGAAAGGATGAGGACCAGTGATTGGCTGGTGGCAGCTGAAGATATCCTTGCTTCCAAAATTTCCATGGAAGTTCATAGTTTAGAACTGGGTTCAACATACAAATAATTGAGAGTCATTGCTATCAATCATTAGGAAGGGAGTTTTAAGAGTCCAGAATCTTGTCCTTATCAGGTGGCTGGGTTCCCCAGTCATTTTTTCAGCCATCCAATAATGGAACTCACATTGCCTACACAGAGGCTGTCAGTGTTGCCCAGATAGTGCTAAAGTGGACATACATTCCATGAAGTAACAATAACACTTCCATTCTTTTATAACTATTACTGACCATCAGATAGTGACAATGACAGTGATTACAAGAGGGATGTAGTAGAAGGTTCAAAGGAGTGGCACATGATTGGCCATGTCCTGTCAGAAACTTCCTATGGCATTAAAATGCAGTGCTTCAGTGAAGGAGAAGAAAGTGGGTTTATCAGTGTGGTGATCTGCGAGAGTAAAGTAAAACATGTTCCTGGAGATTCTGAGTATCCTAAAGGCTTGAGTATCCCTCTGAATTCTTCAGAAAGTGAAGGAAATGTGAGGCCAGCAACCAGCCCTGCCAGAAGCAGACATGTTATATCTGATCCTTGGCTGTATGCTGGGTGTCATGGTCCTTATTTTTGTGGCTTTTTATTGCAATGTGCCTGTGGAAGAATCACCAGCAGAATATCATAGAGAAATATGACCCACTGGGTTATCTCTACCAGGGATCAGATATTAATGGGCAGATGGTGGAACACACCACTCTCTCAGGAGCAAATGAGATAAATGGAAATGTTCATGAAGGCTTCCTGAGCCAAGGCGGTCTCAGCAGTGGCTGTTCCCACCTTCACCATAAGGTCTCCAATGGAGTCAATGCAACTGTGAATGGGAGCTTAAATGGAGGACTTTACTCTGGGCACACTAACTCTCTAACCAGGACATGTGAATTTTGAACAGCCTCATCATCTAGTGAACGGTGGTGGAATGTACATAGCAGTGCCTCAGATTGACCCTCTGGAATGTGTTAATTGTCAAAATTGTTGAAACAACAATAGCTGTTTCACCAAAACCAACAGCACTTTCAGCAGTAGCCCTTTTCCTGTGGTCTCTAGGGTGGCACTTTGTCCTCAGTATGGTGTGGGAATCAGGCCCCTCAGTCAAATGAAGATGCCCGTATGCCTGGCTTCTGCATCCCTGATTGTGGCCAGTTGCCTCACGAGAGCATCAAGAACAATGTGGAACCAATCTCTACTCAGCATACTTGCTGTCAGGATAATAGAAACATTGTCAGCTCTAATCACACAGAAGATCCAGAAGAGTTCAGCAGAGGAGACAGCTGTGTCTCTTCAGAAATGGACAGCAACATTTTACATTGGAATCCTTTTATTTTTGCCACCTATCTCAGAGGACTGTGCTGAAAAGACAACATGGCCTCTGCCTGGTGTTCCTTTAGACAGCCCCTCAGAGGTCCTACAGCAGCCCCAGGAAACTGGAAGATGTGCAAACAACCAGTCATGTTCTGACTTGAAGTCTGTAACCAACTGCACAAAACAGGCCTGTGAATGGACTATGTGAAGGACTTTAATTCAAATCAAAGAAAATCATTATTTATTTCTTTGTAGTATAATGTCATATGAATGCATCCTGAAATGTGTGCCCTTTTATATTATTTATGCCTTAAAAGTTTTCTTACCCATTCCTTCCTTCCTCTCAGAAAGAAACAACCTTGTTTTGCATAGCTTTCAATCACCCGGAGGGCAGAAGGAACATTCCATGTTTTCTAACAACCTTAGTGGCAGTAAGAACTCCTCATGCAAACGATTCCATCTCTTGGCTGCTTCAGCTCAGAGGAAATGCAGGGGCCAATTGAAGGTTGCCACCAGTCAGGTTTTCAGATGGAAAATTGTCTTTTAATAGTGTATTATCAGACTTTCTGAGAACACTTCGAAGTCAACTACAGTTTTGACCCAGTGTTTATAATAGCAGACCTGGCTGATGAATTTTATAAGAGTGCCTTCCACCAAAGTGGTAATGTGACCAGATGACTTTCTCTCTATCTGCCCGTGGGCACAAGTGATGTTCAGTCTTCTAGTCACTAGTCATAAGCAGTGTCGTGGACATGGTAGAGTGTAAGATGTAGCTGAATGATTGCAGTATGCAGAAAAGGAACCAAGGCCAGAGAGACAAATAATGCCTTAATGTCCCACTGCTTTAAAATTACATTAATTTATAAAATGGCCAGTATGGGGCTCTTTTTTACTGTTTCTAAGAGTAGGAACAAAATAAGATTTTAAGTGGTGGCTTGAAAAGAAATATACAGATTTTCAGAGGAAAGAAAGGGAAGGGCTGTGGGAAGCTTGTCTTGGAGGGAGCTCTTCAGTCTGTTCCATGAGCCCAGGAGCATGCTCCTGGTGTCACACTGCCAGAAACCAGTCATCTTTCACTTCCCACAGGGGCAACAGCCTGAAGGTGTGAGTGTCAGAACATATCTACTTTGGAAGAAAAGGGTTTTTTTTTTTTTCTTCTGAAGTTTCCTGCCATTTTTTTCAGAATGTCATCCTTGTAAATAGGCACCTAAAGCAATGGTCGGCAGAGCTCCTGACCACTGCTGCCTCTGCGTGACAAGGACATTTGCAGCCGCCTTCGGAAGGCTCTTCTCCACATTAATAAATAACAATAATATGTTTTTTAAAAACTACCTATTGGGTACTATGCTGACTACCAAGGTGACAGGATCTGTATTCAAATGTCAGCATCATGCAATACTCCCATGTAACAAATATGCACATGTACCCCCTGCATCTAAAATAAAAGTTGAAATTAAAAAATACATATAATGTATAAAATTATCTGCAAGTTACTTATGCAGAAAGCACCTTAGTTTATACTTCACTAGAATACATATATATATATATATTTACTTCATGGATAAAGTAATAGTGCTTGCAAAATTAGCTTACTAATTAAAAAATATATAAATGACTACTTTGAAATATATATATACACACACACATATATATACACATATATACACACACACATATATATACATATATACACACACACACATATACACACACACACACACACATATATATATATAACCTTCATGTGAGAGTAGCTATGCTTTTGGCTTCTGAGGTGAACATATTCATGATGATAAATATTTACCATAAATTCAGTTAAACATTAAACTCAGCAATATCCATATCTATTTATCTCTATTTCTACCTAAATCTGTATTTCAAAAGTTGTGTCTAACCCTTCTAGTTAGATTTTTATCCTTTATCATTCAATGTGTGTGGCTTGGAGACAGCTTTCACTGGTCAGGAAGTTTACAATTACATCCCACATTCAGTGGACTAACAGCTCAGAAGTCCTCTCTCCGGCTACTGCTAAGACAGTGTATTGTCAGGCTTCCAGATCACCAGAGATGAATGTGGTTTTGTTTTTAAGTCTGGCTTCTAGGAGCCACTCCCTGGAATAGAATAATTTATTGTTTACCCAGTGTTCACTCAGAATTTGTGCTTTAGCTCTTTAGCCAGGAGGGCTAAAGGCTCTTTGCTGATGAATCAGTGGTTAGTTTGGGGAGTGCTTACAAATTTGTCCACATTCCACCTTGATTGCTCTTGAGAGGGTGCAGTCTAGCACAGATACACAGCCTTCCAGATCTCCAGAAATTAGTGATCCTAAGACACCTTTTCTTGGCTTTCTCCTTGCCTGGTTTTCTTTGGTAAAATTCAGGCTGTCTGCCAGAAGTTTATTTGTAGCTACAAAGCATGCTAAAGATTCCAAGCTCCTCTTTAATGTTCCTAACCAAGATCTCCATTGTTTTTTACAATGCCCTTGGGAATGTACCTTTTCATGACTGATTCAAAATCAGTCATTAATGTGAGGCATTGAGCAAAGCTCTCAGTTTTTCTGGCCTGTCAGTCCTCCTAGATGAATCTCTACATCACTGCAAAGGAGTTGACAGTGGCTTCACTAGCACTCACACACGCCCTACAAGTCTGCGCTGGGGTAGGTAGGGGGATGGTGTCCCCAGGTGTTTTGTCTTATCCCTTGAGGGATGGAAGATACAGCCAGTGGGAAACTTGGGCATAGCAACACTAGACCTCCTGTTCCGGAGTGGAGAGTCTACCCTATCAGTGGAGGTTGTATGTGCATTTTCTAATCCAGTCCTCACAATTATAAGAAAAACATATTTCTCTCATAAACTTATAAGAACTGCCAATTAAACTGAAGCTTAAATTATTGGCCATATTTAGGCCAGGCATGGTGGCTTATGCCTATAATTCCAGAACTTTGAGAGGCTGAGGTGGGAGGACCACTTTCTCTTATAATTGTGAGGACAGAATGATATAATGCACTTAAAGTTTTATTATCCACTGCCTGTACCTAGTATTCCTTCTATTAATGCTAGTCATTTTTTATAAATGAATTTTCATATTTTCATGAATTATTCTTAAACTTTAAGAACTAGTCTTATGAAGGTGCAATCATAAAGTAATTCATATTCAAGAACACATTTTAAGACACAGATTTTTTTATAATGAAAGAGAGTGAAACACAAATAATTTAAACTTCAGTTTAATTGGCTGAATTTAGGCCTGGCATAGTGGCTTGTGCCTATAGTCCCAGCAATTTTAGAGGTTAAGGTAGGAGGATCTCTTGAGCCCAGGAGTTTGAGACAAGCCTGGGCAACAGAGTGAGACCCTGTTTCTCAAAAAAAAAAAAAAAAAAAAAAAAAATTACTCAGGCATGATGTTGCAGCCTGTAGCCAGCTATATGGGAGACTGAGGTTGGAGGATTGCTTGATCTGGGTTGGTTGAGGCTGCAGTGAGCCGTGATCTCACCATTGCACTCCAACCTGGGAGACAGAGTGAGAGCCTATCTCAAAAAAACAAAACAAAACAATAACAAAAAACTGGCCGTATTCATCCACTCTTCCTTATTGCTCTAATAGTTGTATTCTAATACACAATGAGATAATACACAAGATGAGGATGGTTAAAAGAGTATAATACAATTAAAATATAAATGACTACAGAATTGTATGTTTGCATTACTCCTATCATTGAAATAACCCATTATGCAACCCATCTGTCATTAAACTTTTGGATTAGGCCTGCTGCTTATAGATGGAGTCAGTCTTTTTTAGACTTTGCTGTCAGCAATCTTCATTAAAGGAGGCATTGTTGGATTGCTTTAAATAAATTAAAAAACTACATATCAAAAACTTTGGATATGTTTGTTGTGTGCCATATTGCCAGTAATTAAATTAAATATCAGAAAATACACCATTATATATGATATTTGGTATACAGTTGGACCTCCATATGATAGGGTTCTGCACCCATGTATTCAACTCACCATGGATTAAAAATATTCAGGAAAAAAATATCGGATGGTTTCATTTGCACTCAACATGTGCAGATTTTTTTTGCTTGTCATTATTCCCTAAATAATTCAGTGTAACAACTACTTACATAGCATTTACATTGCATTAAGTATTTTAAGTAATCTAGAGATAATTAAAGTACATTGGAGGATGTGCTTAGGCTACATGCAAATACCTCGCCATCTTATGTAAGGACATCTGAGGATTATTAGCATCCAAGGATTTTGATATCCCTGGGGAGTCCTGGAACCAATTTCCAATCGATACTTAAGGAAAGGCTTCATACAAAATTAACATGATCAAAATATAGGTATTTCTGATAATAAGGATATTTTAATGCACATGTATTTTAAAAATTTCTAAGAACTAAATAAATTTGGAATTTTATTAAAATGCAATGAGGCTTCTGAGTATTCTGTATTTTCTGAAGCAAAATTGAGTCTTATTTTCTATTCTGCTAATGACATGTTCCCAGGTAACTGTGTGTGTAGGATGCCATCAGTGAAATTACTAAAATCTTACAGATTTTCAGTCTTTTTATTTGTATCATTGTCATTCTGTTAAGATCTGTGTTCATCAATAGTTTGTGACTGAGCTAAAGAAAATTTGCTGAGCCTATCAATTTGATAAGCAGTCCAATTTACAACTTTATTAAATAGTATTTCTCAGTATCCCTATTGATTTTGGTTACATTCAGTAGCCAAAATCAACAGAAATACAGGGGTAAATTTGGTTGCCTTTTAAACAGTTGTATCACATGTTTTTATCAATTATTTTGTGCATTTATTCTTTTATTCAAACAATTATTGAATATGTTATATATTAAGCGTTGTGTAATTTCTTGGAATATACCTGTGTGTAGTACAAACACCATCCTTCTCCTGCAATTTGAAAACCAGAAAAGAAGCCCAATATTACATTGTGAGTTTTACAAAGAAAGGTATAAGATTTTCTGAGTCTATACAACAAATAACCTAATCTAGTCCAGGAGCTAAAGAAATAATTCCCTGAAGAAATGTTGAAACTTACACTTGATGAATTGGGACTTAGCAGGTGTCTAACAGAGAAAGGAAAATTCCAGGTCAGGGGGAAGAAACCTGTGCTCTTGCATTAGCCCATCAGTTTGGATAAACACACTCAGGTATTTATTTACCTGGACTGGCTTAGAGATCAAGGGAAAAGAAAAGATATAGCATAAAAGGAAAGACATGCACAGTATTCTAAGAGAGAATATTTTTATTTAAAGAAAATCAAAACTAATGTTACCTCTACACTTTTAAAAATGGTACAGAAAATGTTTCATAGAAATAGATAAAGAAAATCAAGTAGTCAGTATGTTAGCATTCTCAGAAGCTGGTGTTTCTGATACCTTTAGTCAGGTTACTGACCTATCCCTGATTCCGTGAGTCCAAAGCAAAAGAAAGGTGTAAGAGTGTAAGGGAAAGAACCTGACAGGCTACAAAGCATATTTATTCACCACATGAGTATGTTCTCTGTACTCATTTGTGAAACTTTCCATCTCTTTTGAAGTCAGTGAAATATTTCATTCCCAACAGTTTACAGAAACCATGTTCTTCATCTCACCACCACCATCTTTTCAACTACATTCTTTATCTGACCACCAACTTCCTTTGCTAAACACACATATTTTTATTCCTATTAATTCTAGTCCTTTCTTCCATAAAACTCACATAAATAAAGTTGGTTTCAGAAAGTTATTTTAAAAAATAAAATAAAACTTTCTCTCCTATTTTTCTTCTATCAACTTATATTTACCAGTTTTTCTTTCCTAGCCTGGCCCATTAATGCAGATATTACACAAGGCGTTTTATTTTAACCTGACCCCTCCACTGCCTCCTTGGCTCTTTCCTAATTACCTGAAATCTCCAGCTTTGGGGACAACTGGATCCCCTTTCATTACCCTGGATGGAGGCTGGTTTGGGTGGCCTCACAAGGCCCCAGTTGCCTTTACATATCTTGGTAGTGATTCAATTGTCTTTCTGGAAAATACTAATTTCAGTTCACTAATTTTAACCCATCTACTTTCTCTTGCAGATACAAAGAGAATGTGCAGGGAGAAAGCAGAGTTTTCTTTAATCCTGGAGCTGTGGATGATGGACAGAGAAGCTGACTGCTTTCTCTCTGCAAACTTTCTGAAAAAGCCCCGGTCCCTCCTCCCTGCAGTCCCTGCAGCCCCTCTCTTTACCCTCCCAAAACCTTTAGTGCTCATGATTTATCCAGCTCATGTAGGTACTATTCACAGTAACCAAAATCTCCCACCATTATTAACACAAAAGGAAAAGAGGATAAATCCATTCCCCACCCATACCCCTCTCAGAGCAAGACAGCCACCCCAAACATCCCTTAATCTCCAGAATTTTCCCACTAGTGATAATGAATAGTTAAGATCAACCCTTTGGGTGCATATTCCTAACCTCATTTCCCAAGTGTAACTGACTGATTTGAAACATTTTCTAAAGCCAAAAACTTGCACTTGAATTTGCAGATAATTTGCTGGATATACCTCGTGGTCCTCAGTACCATATCTGAGAGTAAATCACGCAGTAAAGTAATTAGCCATTGTGAAAAATGGGGGTGGTAGCTGCTTGTTATTAGGGATTCTATCAATTTGAGATCTCTCTCTCATATATGCATGTATAATGTACTATATATATAATAATGGAAGTAAACTACATATTAAGCAACATATAATGCATATATTCATGTACATGTATAATATGCATATATATTATACATAACTAAATACATAGATATATCGATATGTAGATAGATACCTACCTCTGCCTCTTCCTATTTCTCATTTTTTTTCTCACTGTGTCATCACTCTGTTGCTCAGGCTGAAGTTCAGTGCCGCTATCTCTATCACTGCAAATTCTGCCTCCCACGTTCAAGCTATTCTCATGCCTCCGCCTCCTGACTAGCTGAGAGTACAGGCATGTGTCAACACACCCTGCTGATTTTTGTATTTTTAGTAGAGAGGGGGTTTCATCTTGTTGGCCAGGCTGGTCTCGAACTTCTTGCCTCAGGCAATCCGTCTGCCTAGGCCACCCAAAGTGCTGGGATTGTAGGTGTGAGCCACCACGCTGGCTTATAATACATTCTTGGGTGAGGTATTATGGGACAAGGGCAGGCAGAAAGGCTTTTAGGTGGGGGTTCGGGAGGGATATTGCAGGGACCAAGAGGGGTGCTTGGAGGAGGAGAGGATTAGGACATACTCCAGAAATTGACCTTCAGGAATAACTTGAGGTGGCCAGGCACAGTGATGGAGCTGGATCCAGTGAGGTGGGGCTGAGGTTCTGCTGGGAAGGAAACAAAGAGGACTGCCCAGAAGCACTTCTCTCAAGGTTGCAGCTGCAGAATATAAGCTCACTGTAGCCCTGGCACTAAGGTTCTTTTAAAAACACTAGACGTTACTTCATGAACAGTCATATCAAGGTATACTATTTTGGGAAAGGCACTTTCTTCCCTCTGCACTCTCCTTAAATAAGAAACAAACAACAACAAAAGCATGCCGTATTGATGCCATTTGTATGGAATTAAACTTGAACTTTTATAAGGTAAAGATCGGTCAAGATAGCTTTCCTAGCATCCTGAATCTAGAGCTCTCCTGTTGATTTTATAAGATATTCAATAATAAGACCTTTCACTTTTTGCTCTGTCCTGGTTCTGCTTCTGTCCCCACTTACTTTTTAGAGGCCTTCTCTTTTTTTGGCCCTATTGTGTCAGCCTTGTTTAATATGTAGTTTACTTACAGTAAATTCTTCTCAATACGGAACTTGATCCTGGAAGAGAATTTGGTCTGGTTATTTTAAGAGTTGTAGAAGCCATATGGTCCCAGCCTCTTTTTTATCTCATCCTGGACTCTTGCTTATTGATGTGTGCAAACTCCCACCCTACTTAGTTTCCGTAGCTGTTTTTTAATTGCCTTGCCCACTTTCTAATAAATCCTTGTTGCTGACTTGGGGGTTCTCAAATCCATAATATATTGTGTTCACCCTCTGCTTCATCTTGAAAGGATTCTGATTCCTCATGGATATTGCAGGTCTTCCTGATTTGTCTGTCACTATTTACACTGGGGATTTTTTGTAGGGCACATTGTTACCCTGTGTTGTTGTAAATATTGTTCATGAATTTTAATTTTGTTAACCTAGTTTTTCTCTGTTTTTCTTTAGAAGTTTGGAAATAGTCTGAAAGCACACTGTACCTCTCTATATTTTCAGAATTTTAAGGTGAAATTTTTAAAAATGTGTAAACAAGAAATGCCTCTAAACTGGATCTCAGTGTGTTTAGCAGTTTCCATGAGCTGTGTGTAACAGAAGACTGGAACAAAGAAATGTAGAAGTAGATTCTCCACAAGCATCATGGCCTTCTTCACTTTGAATGTTTGGGTATGCTGTTTCCTCTGTCTGGACATCACTTCCACTTCCAATACTTCCTTTTTGAATTAATACTTGTTATATCAAGGACAAATTTTGATTTAATTTCCTTTCAGAAACATTTTTACATTTTAAAAATTGTACTGCACTTTCTATCAATTGCCATTGCATTCAACGCTCTCTCATTATTATGTACAAATATATAGTGTGTATATATATATGTATACACGCAAACACACACACACATACATACACACATACACAGACACAATCCACAACACTATTTTAAAACATTTCTGGTATACTTGGGTCAAATTTGGGACCAAATTCTAGCAAGGTAGTAGGTCTTTATGTGCATTGCAGATAAATATCATTAATTGCATTTTAATTTATTTAATGTAATATATATTGTTACATAATATGCATTAAAGGTTTTCATCGGAATTAAGTAAAGGAGAAATATGGATGATGAAAGAAACAAAGAAGAAAAAAAGGTGGCAGCCTAACATTTTCTATAAATCTACTGTGAGCTAGGTACTTTATAAGCATTAAGTCTAACATTTACCTATATCTAATCTCATTGTAATTTTTTTGTTTTGTTTTGTTTTGTGAGATGGAGTCTTGCTCTGTCACTTAGGCTGGAGTGCACTGGTATAATCAGGGCTCACTGCAACCTCTGCCTCCCAGGTTCAAGCAATTATCCTGCCTCAGCCTCTTGAGTAGCTGGGATTACAGGCATGTACCACTACATCTGGATAATTTTTGTATTTTTAGTAGAGATGGGGTTTCACCATGTTGGCCAGGCTGGTCTTGAACTCCTGACCTCAAGTGATCTGGCCTACTCAGCCTCCCAAAATGCTGGGATTATAGGCATGAGGCACCACACCTGGCCTAATCTAACCATAATTTTATTTCCAGTTCATGAATGTATAGATGAGGTAACAGAGAAGCAAAGAGATCAGTATTTTAACCAATGATATTTTACTAAAATAGCAAACTCATAAGTTTAGTTTATATTTGTCAGTATTTGTGGTTTTTAAGCCAAATAATACCATCTTTAACTCTGAGTGTCATGCTGTCAAGAATTGTACCTTTGTGGGGAGGAGCCAAGATGGCCGAATACAAACAGCTCCGGTCTACAGCTCCCAGCATGAGCGACGCAGAAGACGGTGATTTCTGCATTTCCATCTGAGGTACCGGGTTCATCTCACTAGGTAGTGCCAGACAGTGGGCGCAGGTCAGTGGGTGCGCGCACCGAGCGCGAGCCGAAGCAGGGCGAGGCATTGCCTCACTTGGGAAGCGCAAGGGGTCACGGAGTTCCCTTTCCGAGTCAAAGAAAGGGGTGACGGATGGCACCTGGAAAATCGGGTCACTCCCACCCAAATACTGCGCTTTTCCGACGGGCTTAAAAAATGGCGCACCGCGAGATTATATCCGGCACCTGGCTTGGAGGGTCCTACGCCCACGGAGTCTCCTGATTGCTAGCACAGCAGTCTGAGATCAAACTGCAAGGCAGCAGTTAGGCTGGGGGAGGGGCGCCCGCCATTGCCCAGGCTTGATTAGGTAAACAAAGCAGCTGGGAAGCTCGAACTGGGCGGAGCCCACCGCAGCTCAAGGAGGCCTGCCTGCCTCTGTAGGCTCCACCTCTGGGGGCAGGGCACAGACAAACAAAAAGACAGCAGTAACCTCTGCAGACTTAAATGTCCCTGTCTGACAGCTTTGAAGAGAGCAGTGGTTCTCCCAGCACGCAGCTGGAGATCTGAGAACGGGCAGACTGCCTCCTCAAGTGGGTCCCTGACCCCTGACCCCTGAGCAGCCTAACTGGGAGGCACCCCCCAGCAGGGGCACACTGACACCTCAAACTGCAGGGTATTCCAACAGACCTGCAGCTGAGGGTCCTGTCTGTTAGAAGGAAAACTAACAAACAGAAAGGACATCCACACCAAAAACCCATCTGTACATCACCATCATCAAAGACCAAAAGTAGATAAAACCACAAAGATGGGGAAAAAACAGAACAGAAAAACTGGAAACTCTAAAAAGCAGAGCGCCTCTCCTCCTCCAAAGGAACGCAGTTCCTCACCAGCAACGGAACAAAGCTGGATGGAGAATGACTTTGACGAGCTGAGAGAAGAAGGCTTCAGACGATCAAATTACTCTGAGCTACGGGAGGTCATTCAAACCAAAGGCAAAGAAGTTGAAAACTTTGAAAAAAATTTAGAAGAATGTATAACTAGAATAACCAATACAGAGAAGTGCTTAAAGGAGCTGATGGAGCTGAAAACCAAGGCTCGAGAACTACGTGAAGAATGCAGAAGCCTCAGGAGCCGATGCGATCAACTAGAAGAAAGGGTATCAGCGATGGAAGATGAAATGAATGAAATGAAGCGAGAAGGGAAGTTTAGAGAAAAAAGAATAAAAAGAAATGAGCAAAGCCTCCAAGAAATATGGGACTATGTGAAAAGACCAAATCTACGTCTGATTGGTGTACCTGAAAGTGATGGGGAGAATGGAACCAAGTTGGAAAACACTCTGCAGGATATTATCCAGGAGAACTTCCCCAATCTAACAAGGCAGGCCAACATTCAGATTCAGGAAATACAGAGAACGCCACAAAGATAATCCTCGAGAAGAGCAACTCCAAGACACATAATTGTCAGATTCACCAAAGTTGAAATGAAGGAAAAAATGTTAAGGGCAGCCAGAGAGAAAGGTCGGGTTACCCTCAAAGGGAAGCCCATCAGACTAACAGCGGATCTCTTGGCAGAAACTCTACAAGCCAGAAGAGAGTGGGGGCCAATATTCAACATTCTTAAAGAAAAGAATTTTCAACCCAGAATTTCATATCCAGCCAAACTAAGCTTCATAAGCGAAGGAGAAATAAAATCCTTTACAGACAAGCAAATGCTGAGAGATTTTGTCACCACCAGGCCTGCCCTAAAAGAGCTCCTGAAGGAAGCGCTAAACATGGAAAGGAACAACCGGTACCAGCCACTGCAAAATAAATGCCAAAATGTAAAGATCATCAAGACTAGGAAGAAACTGCATCAACTAACGAGCAAAATAACCAGCTAACATCATAATGACAGGATCAAATTCACACATAACAATATTAACTTTAAATGTAAATGGACTAAATGCTCCAATTAAAAGACACAGACTGGCAAATTGGATAAAGAGTCAAGACCCATCAGTGTGCTATATTCAGGAAACCCATCTCACATGCAGAGACACACATAGGCTCAAAATAAAAGGATAGAGGAAGATCTACCAAGCAAATGGAAAACAAAAAATGGCTGGGGTTGCAATCCTAGTCTCTGATAAAACAGACTTTAAACCAACAAAGATCAAAAGAGACAAAGAAGGCCATTACATAATGGTAAAGGGATCAATTCAACAAGAAGAGCTAACTATCCTAAATATATATGCACCCAATACAGGAGCACTCAGATTCATAAAGCAAGTCCTGAGTAACCTACAAAGAGACTTAGACTCCCACACATTAATAATGGGAGACTTTAACACCCCACTGTCAACATTAGACAGATCAACGAGACAGGAAGTCAACAAGGATACCCAGGAATTGAACTCAGCTCTTCACCAAGCAGACCTAATAGACATCTACAGAACTCTCCACCCCAAATCAACAGAATATACATTTTTTTCAGCACCACACCACACCTATTCCAAAATTGACCACATACTTGGAAATAAAGCTCTCCTCAGCAAATGTAAAAGAACAGAAATTATAACAAACCATCTCTCAGACCACAGTGCAATCAAACTAGAACTCAGGATTAAGAATCTCACTCAAAACCGCTCAACTTCATGGAAACTGAACAACCTGCTCCTGAATGACTACTGGGTACATAACGAAATGAAGGCAGAAATAAAGATGTTCTTTGAAACCAATGAGAACAAAGACACAACATACCAGAATCTCTGGGACGCATTCAAAGCAGTGTGTGGAGGGAAATTTATAGCACTAAATGCCCACAAGAGAAAGCAGGAAAGATCCAAAATTGGCACCCTAACATCACAATTAAAAGAACTAGAAAAGCAAGAGCAAACACATTCAAAAGCTAGCAGAAGGCAAGAAATAACTAAAATCAGAGCAGAATTGAAGGAAATAGAGACACAAAAAACCCTTCAAAAAATTAATGAATCCAGGAGCTGGTTTTTTGAAAGGGTCAACAAAATTGATAGACCACTAGCAAGACTAATAAAGAAAAAAAGAGACAAGAATCTAATAGATGAAATAAAAAATGATAAAGGGGATATCACCACCGATCCCACAGAAATACAAACTACCATCAGAGAATACTACAAACACCTCTACGCAAATAAACTAGAAAATCTAGAAGAAATGGATAAATTCCTCGACACATACACTCTCCCAAGACTAAACCAGGAAGAAGTTGAATCTCTGAATAGACCAATAACAGGATCTGAAATTGTGGCAATAATCAATAGCTTACCAACCAAAAAGAGTCCAGGACCAGATGGATTCACAGCTGAATTCTACCAGAGGTACAAGGAGGAACTGGTACCATTCCTTCTGAAAGTATTCCAATCAATAGAAAAAGAGGGACTCCTCCCTAACTCATTTTATGAGGCCAGCATCATTCTGATACCAAAGCCAGGCAGAGACACAATCAAAAAAGAGAATTTTAGACCAATATCCTTGATGAATATTGATGCAAAAATCCTCAATAAAATACTGGCAAAACGAATCCAGCAGCACATCAAAAAGCTTATCCACCATGATCAAGTGGGCTTCATCCCTGGGATACAAGGCTGGTTCAATATACGCAAATCAATAAATGTAATCCAGCATATAAACAGAGCCAAAGACAAAAACCACATGATTATCTCAATAGATGCAGAAAAAGCCTTTGACAAAATTCAACAACCCTTCATGCTAAAAACTCTCAATAAATTAGGTATTGATGGGACATATTTCAAAATAATAAGAGCTATCTATGACAAACCCACAGCCAATATCATACTGAATGGGCAAAAACTGGAAGCATTCCCTTTGAAAACTGGCACAAGACAGGGATGTCCTCTCTCACCACTCCTATTCAACATAGTGTTGGAAGTTCTGGCCAGGGCAATTAGGCAGGAGAAGGAAATAAAGGGTATTCAATTAGGAAAAGAGGGAGTCAAATTGTCCCTGTTTGCAGACGACATGATTGTATATCTAGAAAACCCCATCATCTCAGCCCAAAATCTCCTTAAGCTGATAAGCAACTTCAGCAAAGTCTCAGGATACAAAATCAATGTACAAAAGTCACAAGCATTCTTATACACCAATGACAGACAAACAGAGAGCCAAATCATGAGTGAACTCCCATTCACAATTGCTTCAAAGAGAATAAAATACCTAGGAATCCAACTTACAAGGGATGTGAAGGACCTCTTCAAGGAGAACTACAAACCACTGCTCAAGGAAATAAAAGAGGATACAAACAAATGGAAGAACATTCCATGCTCATGGGTAGGAAGAATCAATATCATGAAAATGGCCATACTGCCCAAGGTAATTTACAGATTCACTGCCATCCCCATCAAGCTACCAATGCCTTTCTTCACAGAATTGGAAAAAACTACTTTAAAGTTCATATGGAACCAAAAAAGAGCCCGCATCGTCCAGTCAATCCTAAGCCAAAAGAACAAAGCTGGAGGCTTCACACTACCTGACTTCAAACTATACTACAAGGCTACAGTAACCAAAGCAGCATGGTACTGGTACCAAAACAGAGATATAGATCAATGGAACAGAACAGAGCCCTCAGAAATAGCGCCGCATGTCTACAACTATCTGATCTTTGACAAACCTGAGAAAAACAAGCAATGGGGAAAGGATTCCCTATTTAATAAATGGTGCTGGGAAAACTGGCTAGCCATATGTAGGAAGCTGAAACTGGATCCCTTCCTTACACCTTATACAAAAATCAATTCAAGATGGACTAAAGACTTAAACGTTAGACCTAAAACCATAAAAACCCTGGAAGAAAACCTAGGCATTACCATTCAGGACATAGGCATGGGCAAGGACTTCATGTCTAAAACACCAAAAGCAATGGCAACAAAAGACAAAATTGACAAATGGGATCTAATTAAACTAAAGAGCTTCTGCACAGCAAAAGAAACTACCATCAGAGTGAACAGGCAACCTACAAAATGGGAGAAAATTTTCACAACCTACTCATCTGACAAAGGGCTAATATCCAGAATCTACAATGAACTCAAACAAATTTACAAGAAAAAAACAAACAACCCTATCAAAAAGTGGGCCAAGGACATGAACAGACACTTCTCAAAAGAAGACATTTATGCAGCCAAAAAACACATGAAAAAATGCTCATCATCACTGGCCATCAGAGAAATGCAAATCAAAACCACAATGAGATACCATCTCACACCAGTTAGAATGGCCATCATTAAAAAGTCAGGAAACAACAGGTGCTGGAGAGGATGTGGAGAAATAGGAACACTTTTACACTGTTGGTGGGACTGTAAACTAGTTCAACCATTGTGGAAGTCAGTGTGGCGATTCCTCAGGGATCTAGAACTAGAAATACCATTTGACCCAGCCATCCCATTACTGGGTATATACCCAAAGGACTATAAATCATGCTGCTATAAAGATACATGCACACGTATGTTTATTGCGGCATTATTCACAATAGCAAAGACTTGGAACCAAGCCAAATGTCCAACAATGATAGACTGGATTAAGAAAATGTGGCACATATACACCATGGAATACTATGCAGCCATAAAAAATGATGAGTTCATGTCCTTTGTAGGGACATGGATGAAATTGGAAAACATCATTCTCAGTAAACTATCGCAAGAACAAAAAACCAAACACCACATATTCTCACTCATAGGTGGGAATTGAACAATGAGATCACATGGACACAGGAAGGGGAATATCACACTCTGGGGACTGTTGTGGGGTGGGGGGAGGGGGAGGGATAGCATTGGGAGATATACCTAATGCTAGATGACGAGTTACTGGGTGCAGTGCACCAGCATGGCACATGTATACATATGTAACTAACCTGCACATTGTGCACATGTACCCTAAAACTTAAAGTATAATTAAATAAAAACAAAAAACAAACAAACAAAAAAGAATTGTACCTTTAATCTCTGTATCCCACACAAGGAGGGCAAGTCTTAAAAAGAGTAGGTGCTGAATAAACTTAAAAACATTTCATTTAAAATCACTACTAAAGCCCCAATTGAATTTGTACATCTCACCATCTAGCCTGGGCTATGGGCCTTACTACTAGTTAGTGGCAAATGTGACTTACATTATCTCCTGAATTGGAAATAAAAAGAATCAGATCTTTAAAGTTAATTTTGCAAACTTGATGTTAAGAGAAACAAAGGACATAATATGCAAACACATTTTCTAAATAAGTTCAACCCATTGGCTGGACTCGGTGGCTCACGCCTGTAATCCCAGCGCCAAGACGGGTGGATCACAAGGTCAGGAGATCGAGACCATCCTGGCTAATGGTGAAACCCCGTCTCTAATAAAAATACAAAAAAAATTAGTCAGGCATGGTGGCGGGAGCCTGTAGTCCCAGCTACTCGGGAGGCTGAGGCAGGAGAATGGCGTGAACCCGGGAGGTGGAGCTTGCAGTGAGCCGAGATCTCTCCACTGCACTCTAGCCTGGGCAACAGAGCCAGACTCTGTCTCAAAAAAAAAAAAAAAATTCAACCCATCAGCCATCTAGAATTCATATAAAAATACCTAAATCTCCAGAATCTGTAAGAAAATGAAAGTATGATGGTAAATTGTATGTGTCAGCTTGAACTGGTCTCTGTAAAGTAGGCTTCCCTCCCCAATATGGGATGTGCATTTTCCAACCCATTTAAGGCCTGCATAGAACAAAGGGCAGATGATAGAGGAGTGTGACCCTTTCTGTCCTGTCTCACTGCTTAACTAGTATATCTCATCTTATCTTCACCTACACTTGAATTAGGGTTTACACCATTGGCTGCCCTGCTTCCCAGGCCTTCAGACTCAGATTGAATTACACCTCTGGCTTTCCTAAGTGTCCAGCTTGCAGATTGCAGATCATGATATTTTTTGCCTCCACAATTTTGTGAGCCAATTCTTCATAATAAAATTAGTCTCTTTGTCTCTCTCCTCTCTACTATTCTATTACTCTCTCTGTCACTTTGTTTCTCTATCTATGTTGGTGGTTCTGTTTCTCTGCAGGATGATGACTAATACAGTAAGAAAAAATTACATAAATATATGATAAAATAAATTTGTTAAAAATCGATATGCATTAAAAATTAAAAGCAAATAATAATAAAAGTAAATAGCAATTTTCTTATTTTTAATAATTTATTTCAAATGTACACATCAGCATAATTTTCATGATTTTAAATTCTGTAAGCATTAGGTTAAAAGTCAGAAGCAAGCCAAGAACAGATTATTGTTGTTACTTAACATTCTTCTGGATATTTTAATCCAACACATTTAGAAATTAGAGGTATAAAAATGGTAAACATTGCCATTATTCTCTGAAACTTATTATTTATTTAGAAAAAACTTATAAGTAAAATTTTCCTAAGATATCTAGGGACAAAATAAACACTCATTATTCAATGGTTTTTATACAAAAAGAATACAACTAGTTCTGTGATGCTAATATTCATGAGAACAAAGTATGAAAATAGCCAGAAATGTTTAATAGAATAAAGGTATACTGAGAAGGCACTAACTTTAGGTAGATTTTCAAACATATTAGTAAACCAAAAAATTAAAACAATGTGACACTGGTGCATGAATTCTTAGACAGAGCAGATAGTGAAACAGGATAGTGTACTCATCTATATCTGTCTTTCTCTACATCTTTGTATCAATCCTGAATGCTAAAGGTGAGATTCACTTGCATCTGAAGCAGCAGGAAAAATTTGGAGCTTCAAGAATAAATGAAGATATAACTTAGAGAAGCTGCACCCAGTGTCACAAATGATTCTGTGGAGGAGCTCTTTCAGATTAAATCAGTAACTTTTTATTTTGTATTTTCATTTTTTTTTGAAATAAGCAAGAAAAGTCTAATTGAGAACTGAGTCAGATATACATGTAGAAATATTACTCCCTACTCCCAGGCATGGGAATGGCCAACTCCTTACTTCAGGGAGGGGAGGAGAGAGATATCAAGAGTGGGACAATTCTCTTAAGACACCTACCCCACCTTTCATCAAATATCCCCGACCTTAGATTTGGTGCAGGAGTCCTGAAAAACATTTCCAAAGGGAAGTTTGGGTCCCAGGCTTATGGGTATCCCCCTACCACCTTTGGCAGGACAAAAATGAGTAAAGCAAAGCTTCTTGCTTCAGAAATATTCAGTCTAATACAGTGTGTACCCCACAACGTAATCATCTCTTCATTTCAGAAGTCTTAATTGCATAAAGTTCCTCGGGAAAGGGATGATATTTGTTTGTTTGTTTTTTTAAGGATAAGGCCAGTAGTGGCTCAAACTTATATTTATTCTTCCCAAAGAGTTCCTCCCAGGTTCATAATCTTGATGTAGGAGAGTGCTGCACCAAGTTGCTTCTTTCTTCCCAACCTGTCCTACTTTGCGGGAGGAAGGAAGAAAAGAAAACAAACAAACAAAAAAAAAAAAACAAGGAAGCTGCACTAGAGCCACTGCCCTCAGACATCAACTTCTATTTCTTCTCCACTGCTGCAGTCTGAAGAGTTACTGCTTTCTTCCTTTTCTCTATCTTTCTTCCTGTTCTCTTCTGGTTCCATGGAGACATGACAGTTTACCCAAATAGTCTGTGATGAATCTGTTCCTGCAGCCTGGAGCCCTTGCCCCTCCCCAAACCCTTCTTGCAGACCCTTTGCTGATGAGGACTGTGGATCTGCTTGTTTCAACCTGGGGTCCGGGCCTCCTGTCATGGCCATATTCTTACCCTTAGCATAGGTCGATTCTTTGTATGCAGCATAATTTTCAGGTGACAAAGTCTTGAGCCAGAGATCCAATTTCACCTTGTATTGCTTCTGCAGTTCCTCAGCCTGGCTCTTAAAATGATCCTTCTGGCTCTGCGGGATGCGCTGCCAGCGTCTGCCAATCTCTACCATGCGCTCCCTCACTGACAAATGTTGCAGCTCTTTACTTGACCAGGAATCTTGGTGAAACTTGTGGTATCCATTCATGGGGGGTTTCTGAGGCTCTCCATGAAATTTTACCTTCTTGAAAAATCGATCCGTTTTTGGAAGAGACCTCACTTCTTCAATATTTTTCTGAAACTTCTTTTGCACTTTGTTTTGAGTCCTCTTGGAGACACTAGATTTCTTGGCCTTCTGGACTAAATCAGGGTGTTCTTCCCTGAATCGAGCAAGTTTTTCCTCAAATTCTTGCTTTTCCTTCTGGAAATCCTGAATATATTTCTGTTTCATCTGCTCTGGGAGTTCCCTGTATTTCTTTGACAGGATTTTGGTCAGTTCCTGGCTTCTCATCCCAGGGTACATTTGGGAGTACTGGGGCCAACTCTCCTTGAAGAAGCGATTATAAGCAGTAAGGGGCCTTTTTGGAAAGTCTGGACAGTTCCTGTATTTTTGGCTTTTGTTCATCTTTTTAACACATTTCTTAGCTTCCAGGACTAATTCTTTCAAAGTGCCGAATTTTCTCAAGTTGCAAGAAATCTCTAACCATTTGAGTCTGCACATTTCACCAGAAAAGTTTTTAAAAGCTACTTTTCCCCAGTCCATGTATGACTGAGTTGAGCTAAACGTGCTGTTGTCATCAGATGGGCGATTATTCTCCATGCATTCCAGTAACCTCAAGATGTCTTTGTTGGACCAATGGCCTTGGCTTCTAGGCAAAGCCATTTAGATGTCTTTGGCTTACTTATAAGATCCCGGTTATGTAGACACCAGAGCAAGAACACAGAGTTCTTTACTTTTAAGACTCAGTGGATGATTTATTTCTGGAAGTATTGCAGTATATGTGATTCTGTATTTCTGAGGAGAAAGAAAGTTACTCTCCTTCATTTGGATTAATGAAGCAAATTACATCCTATTTGTCATATGTCCCTTGTATAATTCATTTGACCCTTAACTATAAATAAACATTGCCTGTTTCTGAATTAAATGTATGTTTGCCTTTCATATGCTACATGCACAATATTCAGTATCTCCACACCCCACCCCAGCCTGCTTTCTGCCAGATCTCACATGAACCTATCTTAAATTGAGTTGCATAACACAAACACCAGACCGCTCATCACTTAAGAAGCTTAATATAACAGATATGCCCTGAAGACAGAGTCAGAAGTTAAAGTGGAAGGAGAAATGCCTAAACAGGAAGGACTGTTCATTCTACAGTGCCCTGAGTATGGCCATTATCTAAGCACAGCCCAAATAGCCATAGCTAAAGGTGCAGATGAGAAGTTAAAGATACAATAGGACAAGCCCAAGAGCTCCTCCAGACATGCATCCAACTGTTACCTTTTTATAAGGGAATGTGAACCTGTGATAAAAGACTGAATTATAGATTCTCCAGGACCAGTGCATGGGAATTAATGCTTTCTTGCTTTCTTTCTTTTATTTCTTTTTTTTTTTTTTTTTAATTGAGACAGAGTTTCACTCTTGTCGCCCGGGTTAGAGTGCAGTGGGGCAATCTGGGCTCACTGCAACCTCTGTTTTTCGGCTTCAAGTGATTCTCCTGCCTCAGCCTCCCAAGCAGCTGAGATTACAGGCATGTGCCACCACGACTGGCTAATTTTTCTGTATTTTTTAGTAGAGATGGGGTTTCACCATGTTGGCCAGGCTGGTCTCGAATTCCCAACCTCAGGTGATCCGCCTGCCTCGGCTTCCCAGAGCGCTAGGATTACAGGCGTGAGCCACCACTCCTGGGCCGGGAATGAATGCTTTCTAAGAACCATACTGCTTCTCCTTTTAAATATCAAGGATTTAATGACAATTATAAAACATTTCAACTTTATTTGGTTAATTGTTCATCATATTTAAGCCTCAGTGAAAGTTTGGCTTCCTCCAGAAACTCCCTCCAGAATACCTACCATTTTCCATTACAGAACTTGAAAATGTGGCAGATCTGATGACTACTCCTTTTTTTTTTTTTTTTTTAGCAATTTTGTCTTGCCTGAAGTAATTCTTCTGGTACGTGATTTCTGGATTCACTCTTGAAATTCTCATAACTCTTTCACTAGTCTTTTTAGGATAATCTTCTATTCTAAGACTAAGCCTCACATAAATAAAATTGTGTACAAATACATACAACATTAAATAAAACCGAATCTTAAATGGAGGGTGAATAAGGAGTGTAACAATGGGCCTTGAGGGGGAAAATGTGCATTAGAAGGGAAAGAGAACAGAGTTAAGATACTGGTGGAAGTTGAAATTCTGAGAATGAGTTCTGAATATCTGAGAATAATATTTTTGAGAACTATTTTTAATTCTCAGTAGAGTATAGAAGGATGTAGCCTTTGAATGACATTAAAAATTCACTAGAAGTGTAAAGAATAATAGTCATAATATCACGTAAGTCACAAATGTCTCAAAACATAGATTAAAATGTTCTGAAATATTGGAATATAATTAAAGTCCATATTTGAGACAGAAGAGAAAATAAATAATAGCTTATATATTATATTAAATTTATTATGTGAAAAAGACTTTTGGGAAGTTGTTCCATAATAAATGAAGATATAAATAACTATAATTAAAATTTACAAAAAAAAGCATTAAAATAAACTGTGAAAAACTTAAAAGAATGTAAAATTTAAAGTTATTAAATTTTTCATCTCAAAAATCATAAAAAAGTCATTTCATCAATGTCCTTTGAAAATTAAAATAAAACAAACTTAGTAATGTAACAAATAAAAAGAGTAATTAAGAAAAAAGTAACTTTCACAAATGAAAGTTAAAAAAAAGAAAAAATAATGGATTCCATACTTTGTGTTTAAGATCAGAACATAGTCTCAAATGGTTCAGAAATAAAAAATGTCAGACTCCCAAATATATTGTGGTGATTATAAATAATAAAAATAAATAAATACAAGATGTATTCTAACTCAGAAAAAAGGGAAAAAACATAGAATTGACATTAGAAAAGAGGTGTGAAATATTCAGAATCTGAATTTAGGAAAAAAGAAGTACCATCTTCCCAATTGTAAAAGTTAGGGTGATGTGCGTAAAGCAGTGGAAATAAAAATACAGTTGTGTTTTTGTTGTTATGGGGCTGTTTTCTGAGCCAGGCATTTTTTTCAAATTGCCAGTTAAAGAGTGGCCCCCCGAAATATATGTCTAAGTCCTAACCACTGAAACCTGTGAATATGGACTTTTGAAAATAGGATCTTTGCAGATGTAACTACCTTGGTAATCTCCCAACAAGATTAGTCTGGGTTTAGGGTGGGACCTAAGTCCAATGACTGGTATCCTTAGAGAAAAAATAAAAGGAAGATCTGAGACACATAGACAGCCACGTGGAGACAGAGGCAGAGACAGAGCTCACTAGAGCTATGCTGCCACAAGCCAATGAAAGCCAAGGATTCCCATCACCCACCAGAAGCTAGCAGAGAGGCAGGAGGTGGATTTCCCCTCAGAATTTCCAAAGGGAACCACTCTATCAACATGTTGATTTTAAATGTTAGGCATTCAGAAATGTGAGAGAGCAAATTATTGTTTTATCTGTGATAGTTTATTACAGCAGCCCCAGGAACCTAATATGCAAATGTTTTACATTTATTATTAATATCTTATTTTTCTCCTTAAAACTCTGTGAGCTCATTTTATGCTTGCTGTTCCGTTACATATATGATGAAACTGTGACCAGGCATGGTGACTCATGCCTGTAATCCCAGCACTTTTGGAGCCTAAGATCCAAAAGGAGGGTCGTTTGAACTCAGGAGTTTGAGACAAGCCTGGGCAACAAAGTGAGAGACCCCTGTCAAAAAAAAAACAAAAAACAAAAACAAGAAAGAAAGACAGAAAGAAAGAAAAATAAAGAAAGAAAGAAAAAGAATGAAAGAGAAAGAAAGAAAGAAAGAAAGAAAGAAAGAAAGAAAGAAAGAAAGAAAAAGAAAGGAAGGAAGGAAGGAAGGAAGGAAGGAAGGAAGGAAGGAAGGAAGAAAGAAAGAAAGAAAGAAAGAAAGAAAGAAAGAAAGAAAGAAAGAAAGAAAGAAAGAAAGAAAAGAAACTGGGAAAACTAAGAATTTATATAGGGCCAGGCACAGTGGCTCATGCCTGTAATTTGAACATTTTTGGAGGCTGAAGCAGGAAGATTGCTTGAGTTCAGGAGTTCCAGACCAGCCTGGGCAACATGGAGAGACCCCATGTCTACAAAAACAAAAATTTAGCCAGGCCCACACTTGTAGTGCCTGTAGTCCCAACTACTCTGGAGGCTGAGGTGAGAGGATGGCTTGAGCACAGGAGGTCAAGACTTCAGTGAGCCTTGATTGTATCACTGCACTTCAGACTAGGCAACAGAGTGAGACTCTCTGTCTCAAAAAAATTGACCTTGTCAATGTTGTGTGATTTTCCCTTTTCTGTGTCATAATCCATCTAATTTTTATTTTTCATTTTTTATCACAATCACTTACGAAATACTTAGAAGTTTAAGACATTTTATTCCTGAACCATTTGAGAGTAAGTTTTGATCTTAAACAAAATGTATGAACTCCTGTGACTTTATGAAGCTGTATGAATTGTTAATTTTTTAAATTTTTGTAACATAAAAGATAAATATTTGGCCAGGCGCAGAGCCTCACGCCTGTAATCCCAGCACTTTGGAGGCTGAGGCAGGCAGATCACGAGGTCAAAAGATCAAGACCATCCTGGCTGACATGGTGAAACCCCATCTCTACTAAAAATACAAAAATTAGCTGGGCATGGTGGTGCACCCCTGTAGTCCCAGCTACTCGGGAGGCTGAGGCAGGAGAATCGCTTGAACCTGGGAGGCAGAGGTTGCAGTGAGCCGAGATCACGCCACTGCATTCCAGCCTGGTGACAGAGTGAGACTGCATCTCAAAAAAGGAAAATAAAAATAAAATAAAATAAAATAAACATTTATATAGTAGCTTCACAAAGTCATATGTATGATATTTATTATCAAACTATATTAAATATAATAAAAATATCAAAAAATAACAAGAGGCTTTAAAAAGAGGATTCAAACAACAACATAGATTTGTAAAATAAAAATACCATTACAGAAATAAAAACTTCAGTGGAATATTAGGAAAATAAAAAAGTGCCTTTGAGCACTTAAAAACTTTGCAGACGACCAAGGCTGCATTCAACCTGAAGTTAAAGACAACATGGAACTTTTCATATTCTACAATAAAGGTTTCCAATTAAATTCTAGATATCATGCTATAGATAAAACTGTATAATATCTAGGACTTTCCCTCCAGAAGTTCACAATTTGTATAAACAAGGAACAAAAAATTAAAGGAAATACTCACCTGAATATTCTATAACTGGTCTGAACAGTGCTTGCAGGAAAGTTCATGCATTTGGCTCAGGAGTTCTGTGTCCTCTGGGCTTTCTGGACAACAGATGTTATTTTCTGAGGTTTCCACAGTCTAGCAAATTCCAAATGCCTCTAAAATAATTAGACTTGCTTTTTGGATGCCAGTGTGTTATAGGATCCTTAAAGCCCCTCCCTGATTAGATGTCTGCAGTACAAAGTATCAATAAAAGGATTTACCTTTCAACCGTTGATTAAATTAATTCCATTTCTAATCTCTGTAAATAACCCTCTACAAACACCCTCTAGTGCTGGTTTATATTGTCATTGATTTTTAAATAACACCCAGGTGGAAAATTCATGTCTGATTTTTCTGGGGCAACGAGTCTACTTTCATTTCTGTTCCCACATCTGACAGTATTTTTATATGATATTTGAATATACACCATTCCATTCTTTGATAATTTCTGCCCTTTCTTCACTGAAATCTGGGATCTGCTACCATCTCACCTTCCTCCTGGACATGTAATTCCCTTCAGTACTGATCAATTCCTACCAGCCTTTAGACTTGGAGATCAAAATGCTAATGATGATGGTGGGTGGTTTTGGAAAAAGAGAAGTAGAAGCTCGGTGTCTGGCATCTCTGGCTGATTTAATTTTAAATTTAGGGAAATGAAATAGGTACTGCCTCTCAAAAAAATTCAGATAATTTTGTTTTTGATCAAATTCAAACTAATCAAAAAGATACCTTTATTTAAATGACAACTTATTTGAACAAATTTTAAAATTTTTATTTTTAATCAATATATAAAAATTGCACATATTTTTATAAGGTACAATATAGTATTTTGATACATGTATAAATTGTGCATTGATCAAATTAGGGTTTGACAATATGAGGCTTCATAATTTATAAAACAGGTTTCTGCCTTTCAAACATTTTATATCTAAAGTTACCAACTAGTAATTAACTGAACGTATCAAATAACAAGATATTATTTGAAAAAGCCTAAATTAATAAAATGTTTAAATACATTTTTAGCTTTAAAATACAATAAATATAACTTATTTTGAAAAAATTTTTAAAAATTATAGACAAAGATGGATATAGACAAAAACAAGTATAGAAAAATATTAGAAGGACTAAACTCCTTGGTGATTTTAATGGTAAAAACTTGCTGATATTATTTTTAAAAATTATCATCTTTTTCTTTATATTTTATGGTTGTTAATGAGAGTAAACTTCTACTGAAAAAGAAACCTTTACTCCTGTAAGAATATACTCTCAGACATGTATCTCTTATATTACTCACATAAATAATTATTTAGACATTGTAGTTACAATTAGTTTTATATGGTGGGGTTTAGGAATATCTATAATAATAAGCCCTGTGGATAATTCTGACACATGCTAGAGTTTGAGGATATAAGCTCAAACTGTCACCCATGTCGTGACTTTAAACTCGTCTTCTACTCTACACCACAACACACACATATATGTGCACAAGCAAATATATGCAAATAAAACATTGTGGTGAAATAAAATACCTTTTTGTTTGTTTGTTTTGAGAAAAGCTCTAGTTCTGTTGCCCAGAATGGGATGCAGTGGAACAGTCATGGCTCACTGCAGCTTCAAAATCCAAGGTTCAAGTGATCATCCCACCTCAGCCTCCCAAGTAGCTGCAACCATAGACGTGTGCCATGATGCTGCTAATTTTTTGAAAAATTAGTTTTATAGAAATAGAGTATCTGGGGCCAGACCCAGTGGCTCATGCCTGTAATCCCAGCACTTTGGGAGGCTGAGGCAGGTGGATCACTTGAGGCCTGGAGTTTGAGACCAACCTGGGCAACATGGTGAAACACCATCTCTACTAAAAATATGGAAAAAAAAAAAAGTAGCTGGGCATCTTAGCACGTGCCTTTAATTCCAGCTGCTCAAAAGGCTGAGGCATGAGAATTGCTTGAACCCTGGAGGCAGAGGTTGAAGTGAGCCCAGATCTTGCCACTGCACTCCAGCCTGTGCGACAGAGCAAGACTCCGTCTCAAAAAAAAAAAAAAAAAAAAAGAAAAAGAAAAGAAAAGAAATAGCTTATCTCAATGTTGTCCAGGCTCATCTTGAACTCCTGGATTCAAGCATTCCTCCCGCCCAGCCTCCCAAAGTGCTGAGATTAAAGGCATAAGGCTCTATGCTTGGCCTTGAAAGGAATTTTTATTCAATCTCATCCAGATGTTTTTGCTTTATTCTGGCGCTAGTCCTAAGAAAATTAAGAAGTCCTAAGAAAACTCTTCCCAACAGGTAAAAGATGCATTAGTTAGTTATTATGGCAATATACCCTGCATGAGTAATTTTGGTGATAAGCTTCTGTCTCATCATTTCTAGAAAAATATTTTATTTCTGTCATAACTTCTAATGCTTAGTAAAAAGGCTCTTTCTTTGTGTGTTGATCTTCTTCTTGCAAATTAGGCACTCAGTATTAGCTAGTATTTCATTGTTGAGTACCAGCCCTGTGCCCTGTATACATGAGAATTTTGTTTTCAGGTCTGCTACTTATCATGGTAGCTGATGGCTGTGGTCTTTCTCTGTTCCTTGCTTCACTTCACTCCACAGTATCTCACACAGGACAAAAAGCAGAACAGATATCTTCAGATCCTCTGATGTTAATTAAGGCAACTCTGCTTTTCAAGAAATACAAAATGTGGTTCAAAAGCATCCATCCAGATTGTATACAGAGTCTAGGGACCTCTCCAATATGACCTCATGCTTTAGCAGAATCAGTTCAGCTTCTGGATATTTTTACAAACTCAAGTTAGCTGCAACTGCTCCAGTTCTCATAAATTCACATACAAAATCATTCACTTTCTTTGATTTCAACAATAAGAATCACAAAACAATATCTTGCATACAAGTACACCTCACTGAATTGGGTGGGGTTGGTAAATAAATTAAATTAAATGTGATTATTATCTATTGCTATTCATATCTTTCCCCCTAACCATTTCCAATCTTGGTGCCCATCTCTCATCAGATGGTGCTTGGCCCTTCTCTGTGCAAATGCCTCTTCTTCTATTTCCACAAAGGCAAAATGCTGCTTCCTGTATGTAGGAATACTATCAACTTGTTGTTACTGTTGTCATTACTTCATAGTCACCTACTCAAATGTACAGCTTCAAAACTAAATATGCCAAGGAATTTTACTCAATGAAGACAATTCCATGTGGAATTTTAGTCATGTTTCTTTTTCCACACCTCAGAAAACTGTGGCTTAGAGAAAATGGGAACACATTAGACACATTAGATTTTTTTTTTTTTTTTTGAGGTGGAGTCTCACTCTGTTGCCAGGCTGGAGTGCACTGGCTCAACCTCAGCTCACTGCAACCTCTGCCTCCCGGATTCAAGTGATTCTCCTGCCTCAGCCTCCCGAGTAGCTGGGATTACAGGCTAACGTTTGTGTTTTTAGTAGAGATGGGGTTTCGCTATGTTGGCCAGGCTGGTCTTACTGCTGACCTCAGGTGATCCACTGCTCTCAACCTCTCAAAGTGCTGGGATTACAGGCGTGAGCTGCCACGCCCGGCCTAGATAAGTATTTTTGAGGGATTAGATGGTAATACCTGAAATATTTGGCTAGAGATGTTCTTTATACTGTTTTTACTTCTATCTCTCTGTTACTTGTATCCTATACTGACAGTCAAGGCTCCTTTCGATGGAAATTATTTTAATCTCTTAGCTGTTGCCTCTTTCTGCCTATAGAACATCTTGCACACCACTACCTGACCAGTTTTTATAACTCAGCATTCGAGTGAAGCTCCTATCATAGTCTAAACTCTTCCTTATGGTATCCTTGCTTTTCAATACTAATCTGAGATACTCCTGCTGCTTTTCTTTAGAACAAATAACTCTTACTAGCTTTATTTTGCCACACACAATTTTTTTCTTTTCTTTCTTTCTTTTTCTTTTCTTTTTTTTTTTTTTTTTTTTTTTTTTTTTTTTTTTTGAGACATACTCTTGCTCTGTCACCCAGGCTGGAGTGCAGTGGCGCGATCTCAGCTCACTGCAACCTCTGCCTCCCGGGTTCAAGCAATTCTCCTGCCTCAGCCTCCCGAGTGGCTGGGATTACAGGCATGCACCATGCCCAGCTAATTTTTGTATTTTTAGTAGAGACGGGCTTTCATCATCTTGGTCAGGCTGGTCTCAAACTCCTGACCTCATGAATCGCCCACCTCGGCCTCCCAAAGTGCTGGGATTACAGGCATAAGTGACCATGTCTGGCACTCTCTTTTTTTTTTTGAGATGGAGTCTCACTCTGTCACCCAGGGTGAAGTGCAGTAGCACAATCTCAGCTCACTGCAGCCTGCACCTTCTGGGTTCAAGCAAGTCTCCTGCCTCAGTGTCTCAACTAGCTGGGATTACAGGTGCCCATCACCATGTCTGGATAATTTTTGTAATTTTGGTAGAGACAGGCTTTCACCATGTTGGCCAGGCTTGTCTTAAACTCCTGACCTCAAGTTATCTGCCCGCCTCAGCCTCCCAACATGTAATTTTCTTTTTTTAACTACATGGGTAAACACATCTTAGTTTCTTCCTGGTCTCAAGTTCCTCAGTGATACCTTTATGCTATTGCTTTCCCACAATTTCATCACAGAACATGATCTCTTCTCATTTTGTATACTCTTCCTTTTACAATTTCATCTCATCTCTCTGGTTTGAACTACACACATACTATGTCTCCACATCAGTTTTTAACTTTGAATTTTATTTCTGTGAAGAATTTAACTTGTGTCCCCCAAAATGCGACAAGGCAAATGGATCAATAACCTCTTCAGGAGGTGAGGAGTCCTAGATTTCTGATATAAGTGGCAAGGTTCCCAGTAGTTGCACCTTAATTTTATTTCTCAATTTTAGGAATGTCCCAGATGATAATAATTCTAATAGAAGTTATCAAAACAGAGGAATGTAACAAGTTTTTGGTTTAATGGCTAAGAAAATTTACCAAACTAATACGCACTTTCCCCTCTTCCAAAATTAAAGTAATATCTTAAATGTCTACAGTAGCTAATACCAACTGTATGTACAAGTAAATCTAAGCTAAATATGATTAGCTATAAAATTTTCTTTGAATAAGTGACAAACAAAATTGGTAACAAGGTAATATTGAGAGTGTAATAGCTGTTGCTTATGGAAATTTTTAGTGTCAGTAGAGAAAGCTCAGAAACTTTAGGTGGAAATAAAAAGGAGAATTGGGTTGAAAGCCCAGAAGGCAAAATTCTATAATCTGAGATCAGTTGGAGAGACACAAATCATCAGAAGGTGATAGACTTTTCCTGTTACCTAGGAAAGTGCTGCAAATAAGTGTGTGGGAGGAGAAGAGAGAAAGTTAACTAAGGAGTGTAGGTAGTACAGACAGAAAGAATAAGGAAGCATTGCTAATAAGCATTTTCATAATTTGTATAATCACCTTGAGTTAGTGATCAGTTTAAGAGATTAAAAGACACATAAGATCCTTCTTGCCATATGACCCTTAATTAGCCAGTTGCTGAATGGGGAAACACTGGACACTTCGACAGTGGTGAAAAGCAGAGTTTACTTATTCCTGAATACCCATTCCCAGTTCTAACTAAAAGCAACTCTTCAGTAAAGGATCACCTGATTTTCATTGAACACAAGCTCTTGGGCATTTCTTCTGCTGTGCTGTCATTTAATTTTCTTTCTCTTCTAAATCAAAGAAAAAAAGAAAAAGAAAGAAAAGGCCAGACACCGGTGGCACATGCCTCTAATCCCAGTGCTTTGGGCAGTTGAGGAGGGTGGGTTGCTTGAGGTCAGGAGTTTGAGACCAAAAAAAGAAAAGACCAGACACAGTGGCACATGCCTCTAATCCTAGTGCTTTGGGCAGTTCAGGCGGGAGAGTTGCTTGAGGTCAGGAGTTCGAGACCACCATGGGCAATATAGCGAGACCTTGTCTCTAGCAAAAGAAATAAAAATAAAATAAAATAAAGGAAATAAAAATAAACATTTTAGTGTGTATTCAGCACTTCCGGATACATCTTGCAGTTCAGTGTGCTGTATACCTAAACTTGAAGCAATAGGATGGGAACAGAAGTACTGAGGAAAACACCAGGTCATTTCCTTACATTCAGGTCCTCTTGCTCAGGATGTTTTTTCAGCTTTCTCACTGAACAGGAGATGGCAACAGATTGCACTTTCTTGCACGTACAGAGGAAATCCAGTTGATGAAAGTGTCAATCTTCGTTTTGATTACCTCCTCAATTTGTATAAGTAGGTGAGAAAAACATAGCCTCCCATTTATTTAAAATTGGAATCTTGCTGCTCAACGTTACCAGAGCCTGCAATCTGTGGGATCAGTCGAATATGGGTATTCAGCATGATGTGTTGGAAGAAAATTGCTTCTCGCATGATTGAATGCCTAAGGAGTAACTTTATATATATCTCATATTTGAGTAAAGAAGAAATTGCTTTCTCAGATCCCACTCCTGATGGAAAACTGTTTGCAACAGAGTACTGTGGTACTGGTCAGTTTCTGGTGTATAATTTTATAAACTGACAGAATAGCATGTAAAACAAATTCTTGCCTACACAACTAGAAGACATCTATTGAAGAAAATAGATTGATTGCTGACTTTAACCAGGAACTAGGGCCATTTTTATTGCAATGAACTCAAGACTAGCAACAACCATATATTTGTTCCATTTTCATAAAATTGGAAATAATGCAGTAATAGCTTATTGTTTTGTTTTTTAAAGAAGATATTTTATTATCTTTTACAGAAATTTATGATTGATGTATTTTATCTATAGTTATTTAGACATGTTTACATGCAGCAGATAATTGTTCATAGCATACTGAAAACTAATGCAAGGACTATGCTCTCAGCAATGAGGATATTGTGGAGTTCTTAAAATGGAAATATACCAGTGTAGCTTGGTACTGTATTTTTTATATTGATCTGCTGATACCAGTTATAAGCTCAAAGATTGTATTTTCACAGAGTGGAAACGAGTTTTTTTAGTTATTGTTCAAGGAGGGTGCAACATTAAGTGTTTTGGAATTTGAAGTTAATTTTTTTTTTTTTTTTTTTTTTTTTTTTGAGATGGAGTCTCATCGTGTCACCAGACTGGAGTGCAGTGGCACGATCTCAGCTCACTGCAGCCTCTGCCTCCCAGGTTCACACTTTTCTCCTGCCTCAGCCTCCTGACTAGCTGGGACTCTAGGTTAACAATGAGAATTCACAATCCGTGTGAATGGGAAGCATAAACACATTTTAAAGTAGACAGTCTGCTCATCTGTTTATTTTTCCCTGGATGATGCTGTTTGCTTTATTAAACAGCTACAGAATTCAATGTGGGTTAAACCCTTTTGGTTCCTGCTGAGACATTGCTAGCAACTTCTCAGAGAAGCAATAGGCTGTACCATTTAGCTTATATCTGTAGATGGATATTCTATCTAGGTTTTTATGTGTGTTCTAATGTTCACACAATGATAAAATCGCCTAGTAATGCATTTCTCAGAATGTGTTTTTGTTGCCATAGGATGCACGACTGTTAAATTCCTATTCTGGCCCAAAGATTCAGTGAAAACTTCTGTGTAAAATAAATTTTTCCACCTAAAGCAATGAGGTGTAGAATTTACCGTATTAATAGGAGAGAGCACTCACACTTACAAGTGCATTGTACAAAATCCTGTCTGTCCATGATGTGCAAATTTTGTTCCTGCATGGGATAATTAAGTGGGAATCACACACCCACATATTTCCAGAATTCCATCCAATAAATTCACAAACACTTGAAAATCACAATACATATTTTAGGTAATGGGCCATAAGAGATTATTTTAATTGTAAGAAAATGTACAAAAATGTTTTGCATTTTACATATCTTCTACTTAATAGCAATAAAATGAAGTGACACTAAAGTAGAAAAAAGCCTGAAAAGTATGATTTCTTTGTATCAACAGTGAAGGGCTGGCTCCCCTGTATATGGAGTTCCCGAACAGTCAGGTTTCTTAATCCTTGTCATCTGTGGCCAGTGTAAAAGAAAGACCTGACAGGAAAATTTAAGGAGCCAGCTGGGTAATTCCATATGAGGGAATTCTTGGTGACATTCAAAAAACTCACACTTCCACTTTCAAAATCAAGAAACACACCAACTCGGCCCAGAGGTTTCTCTACATAGTGAGGAAACATTGGGGAGGTGGTCAAGAGACTGAAATGATTATCCACCTTCACACATAAAAGAAGAAATATGTCCTTAGATTTAAACATTGTGCTATTCTTCCTTATCCAGGAGTCCTTACAGACTCCCAGAGCCCAGTCCCAAGAGTTGTCCACATCCAGCTCCCAGTAGTGTTTGCCAGAGGAGAAGACCCAGGCTCCCCATGCAGCAAAATAGTCAGATCTGTCAGAATTCAAAGATCCACGTCTAAACATCAAACTTCTCACATCCTCAAACAGCCCGATATTGTAATTGGTTCCTTCCCAAGTGAAGGAAATTTCCACTGTAGAAAAAAGAGAACGTTCCAGTGAAAAGCAGTTTATAAATTCTTATGTTCAGATAAGAAAGAGATTCTCACTAGAAAACACAGGTCAAGATTACAAAGTAACTTCTGCCTGGAAAAATGTTGGAATCAAAGGGTGTTAGGATATCTGCACAAGTAAATGGCTCAACTTCAATGATCGCAATTTCTATAAACTCAAAAAGCATAAAGGGGAGGAAGGTCATGTCTATGTCTAGTTAGCGACCTTTCATAACAACTGAAAAACTGGAACCTCTTGCACTGCAGCCAAGTCCATAGCAATAAAATTAACCTCCATTGCCTCTTCTCTGTCAGGGCAGAGCAGGAGGCTGGGGACAGGAGATGAGGTGGGGAGCCATTCTTAGACCCAAATAAAAAAGTTATCGCTTTCCAGAAATATTATAATCTGCCACTTAAACTAGAAAATTCATACTTAAAGAGAAAATCTGAATCTGCCTTCTGAAAAGTGCAGATTCCTTGCCAGAATTATCTGACTTTCATGCCAGATTCAGGCACAGACTTCTTTTATCTGCTGGATTTATCATGATCTATCCTGGAGTTCTATCTAAGGCCTCATCAACCACCAAATCACTTTCTTATTGTTCACAGATTCTCAGTGTTTGCATTGTTATATAAGTTACTCATGTATGCTTTAGTTGATTAAAATGCACGTGATTAAAATTATAAATGCTATGAAACTTCACCTGAAATGTATTTAAAAAAACACTGTCACTCAAATCAGTCATTAACTGCACTGAATTTGAAATTGAAACGTCCTGAATTAATTCAGTTCTGTATACTTCATGTAATAATTGTATACATGAAATTGTATCACGATTGAACCATACATGAATGGTTCTACGTCCTAAAAAGCCCTTCTGCGTGTTTTACTTTTCCAAGAAATTTGTTATATGGCTGATTCCACCATCTTTTATTTAGTTTTGTCTGTTTGAGGATAGTGAAACTATAAATATAAATACCTATTCACAGACTATTCTCTTGTTCTAGATGAAAAATCGTTACACTGGGAAGGCTGCCCATAGAAAACCATAACTGAAGGCATTGCATGTTGATCCCACCAAGAGGGCCACACTCACCTCGGAAGTGGTTGAGCCTGTCCACCGGTCCTGTGATGGGCCCTGTAGGGAACTCTGGATTCACAGGCTGGGGCATGTGCAGCAGCACGGACTCACTCCTGCAAGGAAGTAGGTTGAGTTGGTTAAGTTTCTGATGTTTGTGTTTAAGAAATAGATTCCAACAGAAAATGCTTCATTCAAACCACTTCTGATATTGTAATGTACCTCCACAATCCTAGGATGGGTTTGTGGCCCTTAGGGAATCTTTCTAACTCTTCACTCCGTTTCTAACCTACTGCCACTGAAAGATAAATGCCTCTCTCCCTATTTGCCACCAAATAGTTGATCTCTAATTATGATTCTGAATCCTAAAAAGAGGCAATTGTATTCTAGCAACTTCTGCATTGAACTCTTCAAAACAGAAACCCCTGAGTCACTTGGAAAAGTAAGAAAAGTTTAATGTCTGATAAGAGGCATAGGTAACATTCAACATACCACACAAACACATAAGTACACACACTTACACACACAATCACATTGACACATTATGGTGTTAGTAAATTATGTTTTCCCTTTGTTGGAAACAACTTGATGTTTTTCACAGCACGCCTTGTGCTCCAGCTTGCATTGATGGCCATTAACATACCTTGCCACCATGTCTCCCAAATCCTGGAGAGAGAGAGAGAGAGAGAGAGAGAGAAAACGACTCCTTTAGAAAGTTGTTATTCTTGTTGGGTGAGGTGGCTCACACCTGTAATCCCACCACTTTGGGAGGCCAAGGTGGGTGGATCACCTGAGGTCAGGATTTCCAGACTAGCCTGGACAACATGGCAAATCCCCATCCCTACTAAAAAATGCAAAAAAATTAGCCAGGTGTGGTGGTGCATGCTTTTAGTCCCAGCTACTAGGGAGGATGAGGCAGGAGAATAGCTTGAACTAAGGAGGCAGAAGTTGCAGTGAGCTGAGATTGGGCCACTGGACTTCAGCCTGGTTGACAGAAGACTCTGTCTCAAAACAAACAAACAAAGAATCAAAGAAACCAACAAGTTGTTATTCTGCGCATCTGCTCTTTAGGTTTTGAAAACTTTAGAATTACCACATACTATCACTGCAACACTTTTAAAATGTATTCTCATCTCTTACACTTATACCAGTAAGACCTATTGACAGAATCTATTTCTGACAAAGTAATGATGGCAGGGCTTCATCTGAATGCATTTATTCTACCGTTCATGGAGAGGAGTGTCATGCCATGTTAGACACATGAGAACATTCTCTGCCTAGTTACCAGTAGCTCTAGATCTTCCTGCAGTTATGGAAACCCATGCTACAGATTCTGGAGAAGCAATTCAGACCTCGTGCAGACAAGAGTTCTTCGAGAACCACCTTGGCTATGCAAAGACTCTCAGGCCCAGCAACAGTCTGAGCTGGATGAGAGATAGAGCAAAGGTCCCAGGAGCAGCAGAAGCTGTAAGGGAGGGAAAAGGGAAGGAAGAAACCCTAGATTTCAGGATATCCCCTTTACATCTGTGAGAATATCAGCACGCACAAGGCCACCATTCCTTTGTCTGACTCCTCTTGGATCCAGGAGTTTTCCTGGGTTAAGCCATCCAGGGACAGGACACGAGATGCCATTTGGCTCTAGGAGCACAGGAGAGAAACTCAGCAGGAAGAGTGTCTCTATGGGAGGAAAATTCAGTTGAGCACGTTTGTAGGGTCACAGGGCTGGATATGGGTAGAGTCCAGTGTACATGTTTAGAAGCCACAGTTCCCCCAGATCTTCTGATTCTAACAAGTACACAGAGCCAATCAAATGAAGGAGGGGTGGGTCAAGGGAGTTCAGGGACAAGGAGAATGAGGGATGATTAGTTGCAGGAGGATGCCGTCGAGGTCAATAGGCAGACATTCTCCCCTCCTCTGATACTGAGAAACAAGTAATGAAGCTTAAAAGTGTTGCTTGTGCTCTGTGCCAAAGGCAGCAGAGCACTTGTCTCTGGTCTCCATATACACTTGACATATTTACCTTCAGTATTCTGAGTAAGATTTTGATTCATTTCACACGGAATAACACTCACCTACCATGCTTAAATTACCGTACATATTGTGAGACTTTATTGATCATAAATAAGTTACTCTCAACCTTGAGATCTGGCTTCAATTTTCTGTATTCTCATTCTTTCTCCTTTATATCAGAAGCTTCATAATAGACAATGGGGGCAAATATGGTGTGGAGAAATAATCAGTTTATATTTAGATATTTTTAATGTAGTTATCACTTCCTAAAAAGCTAGGAAAAAGCTGAAATAGATGAAATAGCCACGCACCTTCGTTTCTAGCCTCCTTTAGGTATCTGCCCAAATATATTCTATACTATGTCTTTTCTGACCATAGTATTAAAAATTCAATTTTGGGCCAGGCACGGTGGCTCACGCCTGTAATCCCAGCACTTTGGGAGGTCGAGGTGGGCGGATCACGACGTCAGGAGATTGAGACCATCCTGGCTAACACGGTGAAACCCTGTCTCTACTAATAATACAAAAAAAAAAAAATTAGCTGGGCGTGGTGGCGAGCGCCTGTAGTCCCAGCTACTTGGGAGGCTGAGGCAGGAGAATGGCGTGAACCCGGGAGGCGGAGCTTGCAGTGAGCCAAGATTGCGCCACTGCACTCCAGCCTGGGTGACAGAGCGAGACTCTGTCTCAAAAACAAAAACAAAACAAAACAAAAATCAATTTTTGTCTATGATTCTTTATTTTCCTTTCCTGCTGTATTTTTCTCTAAAGCACTTATCACAATGCGTCACTCTATCAATTTTTTTTTTCTTTTCGAAACAGGGTCTTGTTCTGTCATCCAGGCTTAAGCGTGGTGCAATACCAGCTCAATGCAACCTTGACTTCCCAGGTTCAAGCAATCCTCTCACCTAAGCCAGTGTCTGAGAATACAGGGACATGCCACAACCCAAGCTAATTTTGTTTCTTTTCTTAGAGAAAAGAGCTCTCACTTTGTTGGTGAGGCTGGTCTTGAACTGCTAAGCACAAGTGATCCTCCTACTTCAGAATCCTGAAGTGCTGGTATTACAGGCCACAGCCACTGTGCCAGCTTCACTTTTTCAATGTTGTATTTTGACTTGTTGTCTTGTGTTTCTCACCCTGCAACCTCATTAGCTCTTTAGGTGCAAGAAAATCCGTCTCATTTGTTCATTTCTGCATTGGCTTAGAATGTTTCTTAAGACACAGTAGGCACTTGATATTTTGAAGAAAAAAGTATTGTAAGTACTATCCTTAAGGATATCACCTTTAAAGAATCAAAATGACTTATCAATAATTAAGCTCATGATATCTCTTTCTTTCACACAGAGCCAATTTCTTTCTTAGTGCTTAGGAGTGTCTTTAATATTATTTGTTTTACTTTTCCATCAGGAAATCTTTACTTCTTTCAGAATGTATATGTAATTTCATTTCATCTCTTCTCTTCATAGTATTCATTTTATGTTTGAATCAGTAAATGATCCATACAGATTCTTCAGCCATGCATGTAGGTCCCATCTTGAACTACCCTATGCTACCTTTTCTGCTACATCTCTAAGCACTGCCTCTCTCATTATGGAAGTGTTAATCACATATGTGAATTATGTGGAAATCCAATAGTACAATGGTTTATCTAGTATATAGTTTCCAGCACCCCCGCCCCAATTTACCTGCCTGAAATTCCAAGAAATTTCCTATTAAATTTTTTTATGTAATGTAGTTTAATTTTATTTAGAAAATCGGAGAATATAGTTTTAAAGCTTTTGACCTATATTTACTGTTGACCCTTGAATAACACTGGTTGGAACTCTGTGAGTCACTTATAATTGGAGTTTCTTCTGCTTCTGACACCCCTGGGACAGCAAGACCAACCCCTCCTCTTTCTCCTCCTTCTCTGATTACTCAACATGAAAATGATGAGGATGAAAACCCTTATAATGATCCACTTCCACTAATTATATTTAGTTTTCCATTAATGAATATTAAATATATTTTCTTTTTATTTTCTTAATATTTTCTTTCCTTTAGCTAACTTTATTGTAAAAATACTGTATACACATAACATATAAAATATGCGTTAATCAACTGTGAATATTATCATTAAGGCTTCTAGTCAACAGTAGGCTATTGATAGCTAAGTTTTGAGGAAGACAAACATTATATGCTGATTTCTGACTACATGGGATCTTGACACCCCAACCACCATGGTGTTCAAGGGTCAACTCTAGGTTTATTAAATATTATTCAAATAATCTGAGAATCTCTTTGTGAACATTCAAAGACTTTATCTTTCTGTGAAACCCTGTGTTTATCTTATGCACTAATTATGGCATTCCATAGTGATAGTGTATTTTACCATGCTTATTGATATTTTATATCATTTCCCAGGAAATAAAATTTTTTTAGCTGAATATTTTGATATTAGCAAGAAATCCTAATAAGAAGTTTGCTTCCATGTTGAAATGATTAGATGGAACCCTTGTGCTATTGTTCTGCTGCTCACAGTAGCATAACAATTGACACCTTGGTTGTGCCCATTGCTCTATCTGGTACACTGAAGCATACGCTCTCCATGGATTTCTGATAATATTGTGAATTCTATTAATCTTTTTGAAAGTAATAGCTATATATTGCTAAAGTGTCCAAGAACTGTCACAAAGTTCTATATTTTGTCATAGTATTTTCATTTCTTGAATTATTTCTTAAGAAAAAGTCTCCAATTTGGAACAGAAAAACTGGTTTGAAAAAGACTTGAAGTCTAAAATGATAATAGCAGATCACCTGAGGTCAGGAGTTCGAGTCCAGCCTGGCCAACTCAGTGAAACCTTATCTCTACTAAAAATACCAAAATTAGCCAGTCATGGTGGCAGACACCTGTAATCCCAGCTACTCGGGAGGCTGAGGCAGGAGAATCACTTGAACCTCGGAGGCAGAGGTTGCAGTGAGCTGAGATCATGCCATTGCACTCCAGCCTGGGTGACAGAGGGAGACTGCGTCTCAAAAAAAAAGTAATAATAATTATTATTATTGTGTAAATAATTATTATATAATTTTTAAAATATGAATACATAACATTGTTATAGTTATGTACATATATATGTAAAGTATCACTTTTAAAATTATTCAAAAAGGTGGATGAATAAAAAATAGATTTTAGTTTCATACAAAACAATCATTAGGAAATAGTCATAAAATAGACTATAAGACATAAAATAGCCATAAAATAGACTATAAGAAAATCAGGCTGATACAACTAATTCTATCAACCATTATATATACAATTATGTGAAACACAATTGAGTTCCTTGCTATACTTTTTTAAACAACAGAGTTACACAGCACGGATGTGTTGGTAATCCCAGTTAATGTTTTATCTTTGAACATATTCAGACAAATAACGGCTAGGCACATAAGCAACTATAATTTTAAAACAGAGTGAGAAACAAAAATTTAAAGTTAGCATGTGGCCCGGTGCAGTGGCTCACGCTTGTAATCCCAGCACTTTGGGAGGCCGAGGTGGGCAGATCACCTGAAGTGAGGAGTTCGAGACCAGCTTAAGCAACATGGTGAAACCCTGTCTCTAGTAAAAATACAAACTTAGCTGGGCTTAGTGGCAGGTGCCTGTAATCCCAGCTACTTGGGAGCTGGGGCAGGAGAATCACTTGAACTGGAGATGCAGAGGTTGCAGTGAGCTAAGACCAAGCCCTGGCACTCCAGCCTGGGCGACAGAGCAAGATACCGTCTCAAAAGAAAAAAAAAGTTAGCAAGTGATAATATTTAATGAAATAATTGTTGTATTTAAAATATTTCTTTTTTTTTTTTCTTTTGAGACAGAGTCTCGCTCTGTCACCCAGGCTGGAGTGCAGTGGTGCTATCTCGGCTCAGTGTAACCTCTGCCTCCCAGGTTCAAGTGATTCTCATGCCTCAGCCTCCCAAGTAGCTAGGATTACAAGTGCCTGCCACCGAACTCGGCTAATTTTTTGTATTTTTAGTACAGATGGAGTTTCACTATCTTGGCCAGGCTGGTCTTGAACTCCTGACCTCGTGATCCACCCTCGTGGGCCTCCCACAGTGCTGGGATTACAGGCATGAGCCACCTTCCTTGCCCAGCTACTTAAAATATTGCTTTGAATAAACTGTGTTAAGTCAACTTTCTTGCGTCTCATTCCAAACTTGTCTGTTGAGCTTTGAGCCCTCAAGTCTGGTTTTCAATACTTTATAAACCTAATCAGCCAATTTATCCCTTTCTATGCAATCCAATCCATCTCAGGAAGTGGGTGTGGTCTTCCGTGGGCCCATACACTTTAAAAGGATGCTTGTCCAGAGATTTCTCCCTCCTTCAGTGAGGACCCACTGGATTTGTGACTGCTGGGCTTTGAAGAGCCAGGAGTGACTTCTAATCTGGATATCTACAGAGCTTCTAGACTGAGACCATTCATAGTAGCCTTGTGAGTATAAAATTTGCAGTAAACCCATCATGCTCACTTTTTCTCTTCAAAATACTTTAAATTTACCTGGCAGCATGCTTGGGTCTTTTCTAAGCAAACAAGTAACTGTCTTAGTGATTTTACAGAAAATCAATATAAAGTATCTTCAATTTGTAAGGTATGGTTTGTGTTCCCTTGCTATTTGATTCCTTTGATGTGACTGTTTTCTGTATTGTTAGATTTTTCTTAAGTGTGAAAAGATATATTTCCATAGTTTCATGCAATGATAGAACCCATAAAATACCTAAAATGTTCACTAGAATGTGGGCATGTAGTAATGGTTGTAACGTACGCCAAAGGAAATGTTAAAAATGTTGAATTACTTTGAAAATTCTTGTTGCAAAGGTCTTATTTGCTGTCTCTTCAAAATTTGCAGTTTGCAGACTAGATGTGAAAGCTGTTGAAAATAGATTTAATCGGCTGGGCATGATGGCTTATGTTTGCAGCCTAGCACTTTGAGAGGCCAAGGCAGGCAGATCGCTTGAGGTCTAGAGTTAGACACCAGCCTGGCCAACATGGTGAAACCCGGTCTCTACTAAAAATACAAAAAAATCATCCTGGCGTGGTGGTGGGTGCCTGTAATACCAGCTACTTGGGAGGCCTCGGCAGGAGAGTTGCTCGAACCTGGGAGGCTGAGGTTGCAGTAAGCTGAAATCGTGCCACTGCACTCCAGCCTGAAGTCAGAGCAAGACTGCATCTCAACAACAACAACAACCAAAAAAAAAAAAAAGATAGAAAGAAAGAAAATAGATCAATAGACCTAACCAACTGGCAAGGGCTTCCCAGAGGCTACAACTTCCAAGTCACTAAGGGGAAAGGTGAATTGGTGGCCATGCTTCCATTAACTGTATTTCTGGATTTTCTAGTGTAGAGTGGAAAACCTAATACATATCTTCACTTTTTTTGTTGTTATTTTAGAAGATAATTAACAGTTGATTAATTCTTGTTAATTATTATAGTTGAAATATTGGCTATTTCAGAATGTGAAAGTGTTCTCTCTAATCATCTGAATTGGCAATGGGAAAAAACTTTCCTAAATTAAAAATAATAGATATTAATTACATTTAATGTATTGAAAGGAAGAGTTTTGATATTAAAGTTAAAAGGACAAATTTAATGGTTGATAATTTTAGGAGTTGACGGTCCACTCTGATTACTCAATCTTAGATAAAAGCTACTTTATTTATAATTGTCTGAGCAAACTTCACAGGTGAGTTTGGAGGCAGGGAGTATAGAATAATACCATAGATACTAAGTGTCTTTCATATATTATCATCATGGAATTATTGAGAGAGATAGAATGACAGAGACAGGATGACATTCAGAATGTGCTTCTTCATCAATTAGCTTATATAAGTGACTCAGAAATCATCCCAGCTTTTACCCTCCGCCCAGGCTTTAAGCTTGTCTAGGTAACTGGGAATGACTGAGAGCACGGCTTGTTTAACAAAAATGCCATGAGGACTCTCGTCTCATTTTATCATTTGAATCATGGTTGTTCATATCCATGTTTCATACCCGTGGATTCAACTAATCTCAGATAAAAAAATATTTACAGGAAGAAAAAAGCAGGTATACTGAACATGTACTTTTTTTTGAGACAGAGTCTCACTCTATTACCCATGCTGGAGTGCAGTGGCACGATCTCAGCTCAGTGCAACCTCCACCTCCTGGGCTCAAGTGATTATCCTGCCTCAGCCTCCCAAATAGCTGGGACTACAGGCACGTGCCACCACGCCCTGCTAATTTTTTGTATTTTTAGTAGAAACGAGATTTCACCGTATTAGCCAGGATGATCTTGATCTCCTGACCTCATGATCCGCCTGCCTCGGCCTCCCGAAGTGCTGGAATTACAGGCATGAGTGAACGCACTCTGCCAAACTTGTACATATTTTTAATCTTCTTGCTGTTCCTAAACAGTGTGGCATTACAAGTATTTATACAACATTTACATTGTATTAGGCATTCAAAGTAATCTAGAGATAAAGTATTCAGGAGGATAGGTTTACGTTACATGCAAATCCCACACCGTTTACTAATAAGAGACTTGAACATCTTAGGATCTTGGTATGTCAGGGAGTCCTGAACCAAATCTTCAATGGCTATTGAGCGAAAACTTTATAAATCCAGCATGTTTGCATTTACTATGTCTCAGTTTGTACTGGAGCTAACTTATTCGACATGTTGGACAGAGCTCAAGTAGACAAAGAAAATTGTCCACCGGCCTTTTTTTCCTTTTCATCGGGGCAAATAAAAATAAGAGAAAGAAATTCTCACTTTTTTTTTTTTAATTTTCAGAAACATGGATTCTGATGCCCTGCGAGTCTTCCAGAATGAGCTCATTTGCTGCATTTGCGTGAACTACTTCATAGACCGGTCACCATTGACTGTGGGCACAGCTTTTGCAGGCCCTGCCTCTGCCTCTGCTCAGAAGAAGGCAGAGCACCAATGCGCTGCCCTTCGTGCAGAAAAACCTCAGAGAAGCCCAACTTCAACACCAATGTGGTACTCAAAAAGCTGTCTTCCCTAGCCAGACAGACCAGACCTCAGAACATCAACAGCTCAGACAATATCTGTGTGCTCCATGCGGAGACTAAGGAGCTCTTCTGTGAGGCTGACAAGAGATTGCTCTGTGGGCCCTGCTCTGAGTCACCAGAGCACATGGCTCACAGCCACACCCAATAGGATGGGCTGCTGAGGAATGCAGGGTACGTGATGCCTCTAAGGCAGTTTGAATTATACAGAATCCCAAATAAGAATGATGAGGGCCTGTGATAATGATGGTGATGAGAATGCAGATGATGGAGGTGGTGATTATTCCATGTCAATCATAACACATGAATGTGTCCTTTCAATGTTGCTGGCTAATTTGGCACTCTAATCATAGCTGTGTTGAGACTTCGCTAAAGGAGGTTTCCTTAAAAACATTGTTCAAACATATAGAATGGAGCTGTGGAGCTGGTGGCCAGCACCAAGAACACTTTTCAAAGTCAGGTTATGTAAAAGCCAGTTTCTCAGAAAATTGATGATATTATCTGAAGGGTCCCTTAAAACTCTCTATTATGTTTCTATCACTTTTCACATCCAAATTATTAGAATCATATTCGTTTAACTTGGAAAAATCTGACCGCTTCACTCTAACTTAATTTATGTTTCTTTCAATTACAGCCTTTTTTTTTATTGATAAGGGGATGAAATCTACTGTCTTCATCATTGCTAAGCTTCTTGCTTCTTTTGCAGGAGAAACTTATAAAGGAAATGGACTATTTATGGAAAATCAATCAAGAGACACGAAACAATCTAAATCAGGAAACTAGCAAATTTTGTTCATTAGTGGTAAGAATGAAAATGTTTCCTTTGTTTTTACGCAAATAAACACAAAGTTGGCTTATACTTTTTAGCTAAATTCAAACTACCAGTTAAAAGATAGTGATTTCATCTCAAGAAAATGTAGTGATTTCAATTGATATAACAGGAATTGCAAACAGAGAAGCCCACACAAGCTAGCCAAATTAATTCTAGTGTATTGGATAAACGGCATGATGTGTATTCTAGTTCAAATTTGAAGGTTGGCATAAACCTTTTCAGACACTGCAGATGAGACAACATTTCACTAAGATTGGGTGTGAGGAAGATGAAAGAAATAGAATAGTATATAGAGTAAAAATATAGTAAAAGTAAAAAAAAACTGCATAATATGGTGTATGGCTAAATGTTTTTTAACATGTAGGCGAAGCAGACATGGAAAAATCCTAAAAGAGAGATTAATAGAGGAAACAATTGACCCAGTAAGAACTGTGAAGAAGCGTCACAGTGACGGAAACCAGGAGTCTTTATATAGGTTTGATTTAAAAAGGGAGAGAGAATAGGAACATTGAAAAAGATGGACAGAAAAAGATAGCAAATATTCAAGACTCTTTGCAAGAGTGAGGCAGAAAGTTTATAAATTGCTTAATTACACGCTGCATATAATTATTTGAAGTTTTCTATTGAGAGTGAGAATATGTAATCCTTTTAACCAAACATCTCTGCAGGACTATGTGTCATTAAGGAAGAGGATAATCACTATTCAGTATCAAAAGATGCATCTATTTCTCAATGAGGAGGAGCAACTGCATCTGCAGGCACTGGAAAGAGAAGCAAAAGAGCTTTTCCAACAACTACAAGACAGTCAAGTGAGAATGACCCAACATTTAGAAAGGATGAAAGACATGTACAGAGAGCTGTGGGAGACATGCCACATGCCTGACGTGGAGCTGCTCCAGGTGAGGAGGGAGGGTCCATCCTCAGAGACAGGAAGCCTTTGCTGAACAACGCTGCCAGGACATGCAAATATCACCTGCGTATGTCACTGCTCTAAGCTAAGTGACACATGCTGTCTGACTTCCACCATTACATTTTTCCAGTCATTTATTACTGCATACTTTAGTAATCTTTGGGAAATTTTTGCCAATTTAGTAGATAACATATAACACAGTTCTCTTCAATATAATTTGGAGTACTATCCACAAGAGAGATCATCTAAGATCATTAGAACTCTAGGCCAGGGGAAGGTTAGTAATATCCATGTATATGCCCTAGTTCCTCCTCACTCTCTAATGTCCCACACAGCAGTGATTTGCTGAAGACATTGAGGGGTTTCCCCTTGCCTGGGCAAGGTTTGTCAAAGCTGCTCATCAATGTCCATGTACTCTGTTTCTCATATGGTTCTCTGTTTTAATAGTTGTCATGTGTGGTCAGAGCTTTCCTTGGAAATAAGGTTAGGAAATTAATGACACTGGAAACCTAGATATCTTTGCTTTACTCCATCTTCTCTTGCTGAGCTCCTTTCTTCTTAATGCCCACTGATGAAGCTTTTCATTGTTCAGTTGAGGTTCTGTTATTAACATAGCCTTGAATGATTCCTTAGAGGGAAATAAAAAGATATACATTATTAAAACACTAAAACAGAAAGAAACAAGAGTATGAGAAAAGATGCAGAAGGAAAAATCTCTCATAATTAACATTATATATATATTTTTTTGCAGCATGTGGGAAATGTATCGGCAAGGTGAGTTTACACTAAAAAAAAATGCTATTTCTGAAAAATTTGTTCTCTTGTGAATGAAGGGGATGTATACATTTTGAGGTACTGACATCATTCTCAGTGCCTATTTCCGATTTTGTTTCAAAAGAGGGCCTGAGGTCTTCTTCTCTTTGGTCTGGAAAGTTTCCATCTTACAATTTGTATGAATTAAAATATACATAGAAACAATTTGCCATTCGGAAGTTTGGTTTCCCAATCCATCCATCCTGACCAACCATACCCCACAGATCTTAATACAAAATTACTCTGAGGAATCATAGAGGTGTCTTCTACTCTAGAGGGGTGGGAGGTTAAAAAAAAAAAAAAAGACAGAGGGAGGAGAGAGATTCCCTAAGGAAGGGCTGAGGAGGGATATTTTGCTCCTAAAAGCATCAATGACCCGGGCCTCCTCCATCACCATACACCCAGTTCTAGGAAAGACCTCAGGAAAATGGTTACCTCGGGCCCCTCAGCAGCAAGGTTCTCAGGCTGGAATTAGACTCCTTTGTTTTGCACAAAAGATTAAAGACTTTTGCCTCAGTGAACATTCTCTGTTAGACACTGACTAGCATTAGTGACAACTGCAGGCTGAGGTCCCAAAGGTTTTTGTCTGAGTTTTCTGCTCTCTGAAATATTTCCAGGATTTCTGCATACCCTCAAGGGGTGTGATGGGCAGAGGGAGGCAATGACTTTTAATGACTTTAGAAGTTGTATAATGTCTGAGAATAACATATCTGGGGAAACTGGGTTTTTATGCAAGTAAAATTTAGAAAAAGTAACATCCTTATTGCCCCTAGAGTGTGGAATAAAGTGTATACCCAGTTAACCAAAACTGGCAGAATTCTGAGGAAACATCTTATATGAAAATGTGATATCTTTGTATGACTGTGTGATTAGCTCTGGGCCTGGAAATATAACTGAGGCCATTTTTTTTGCAGGACTGATTTGGCACAGATGCAAAAGCCCCAGCCAGTGAACCCAGAGCTCACTTCATGGTGCATAACTGGAGTCCTAGACATGCTCAACAACTTCAGAGGTAAGAGCCAGCTGCTTGGCATTCCAGCCTCAAATTATTTCCTTATTGGTTCCCTTGGTTGAGGCTTTTCCCATTTAAGTTTTGTTAGTTTTGACATGTAGGTAATACATAGTTTTCCGAAACATGTGCATCTTCCCTACCTGCATAGTAATATTACAATGATCAAAACTCAATTTCCTGACTTACAGTTTGACGAAAATGTAAAGCAAGATACATACTTTATCTGCAGAATAAGAGGACAAAGAATATTCAGGTCATGTAGTTATGAAGACACTAGTTCTCATGGCGGCATCGGTATTTCGTGTTTATTCAATTTAATTCAATTTTGAAGGCTTAGATTTGGCATAATGGTTTTTAATTATTTCTATTCTATGTGCATTTACATGCATTCTATAAGTAATTTTTATTATTTACAAAATCAGAACATTTTGATCAACAAAGAAAATGACTAAAATATCCATAATCCAGACAATTCTAATGCCATCAGAAACATCTCGTAACAAGCAGAAGGTGAGGGATCTGTGAACATGACCTAACCATGCTAGGCCCATTCTAGAGAGCAGATCTAGGTAGCAGAGAGCAGGAACCCAGAGTAGATTGAATCAGGGGCTAAACAGATAATGTAAAGCCAGAATATTCTTTTCAGAAACTTATAAACTTTACATGTGTTAATTTCTACCAAATTTTTGATGTTTGAGACTATAGCAGGCATAACTTACATTCCAATAAATACTCACATCACAGCAAAGTGATGTCTACCTGTTGATGATCTTAAAGACAAATAATACAAGAAGATTTTTCTATTGAAGAAAAAAATACATTTTAGATATGTTCTGAAACAAACTGTGCAGAGATAGACATTAAATCATTACTTTGCCCAGTGATATGGTCACATTTTTTCTCTATTATTAAAAGAATAATACATAATTGTATATGCTGTAGAGGTGTAATAACATTTCATCTTCATGGATGCATGGGGCTGAACTCTCTTGGCTTCCTTTTTTCTGTATTTTCTTGGAAGAAGAGCAAATGAAGTGAATAATTGGGCCACAGAGCCTCTGTCCCTCATAACACTCACTAATATAATATTTTTTTCCTTGTCAGTGGATAATGCTCTGAGTACGGAAATGACTCCTTGCTATATAAGCCTTTCTGAGGATGTGAGATATGTGATATTTGGAGATGACCATCTCAGTGCTCCCACGGATCCCCAGGGAGTGGACAGCTTTGCTGTGTGGGGAGCACAAGCATTCACCTCCGGCAAGCATTACTGGGAGGTGGATGTGACCCTCTCCTCCAACTGGATTCTGGGAGTCTGTCGAGATTCCAGAACAGCAGATACCAATATCGTTATTGATTCTGATGAAAGATTTTTTTTAATTTCCTCAAAGAGGAGCAATCACTATAGTCTCTCCACCAACTCTCCACCTTTAATTCAGTATGTGCAAAGGCCTCTGGGTCGGGTTGGGGTGTTTCTGGATTATGATAATGGATCTGTGAGTTTTTTTGATGTTTCTAAAGGTTCTCTTATCTATGGTTTTCCTCCTTCCTCCTTCTCGTCCCCTCTGAGGCCTTTCTTTTGCTTTGGTTGTACATGAAAAGTTGGTTTCATGATGATTTATTGTGACCTCCCATATATAAGGCAAATACTGTCCTAAGACACTATGTGTGAGAGCCTGTGAGCGCACTGTAACTTCATGGAATGTAATTACTTTATGGTTATAAATGGGATAACCACCTTGAATGTATACATTCATTAATTAAGTTATTTTAATTAATAAATTATTGTGGAATCTTTACTAGAACATCAATAATGGCTTTTTTTGTACAAGTTTTTTGAGATTCATTCACTTACTGTGAAAGTCATGTTCTAATGTATTTAATTCAGAGATTGTTAGTATATCACACTTGAGCAGCCATCAGAGCTCTCTTCTGCCTGGGCACTTTTATCACTTCCAGAAGAATCCCAATACCCCTTAACATTTATTCTGCATTCACCCTCCCCCATTCCTTCAGAACACTTAATCTACTTTTTATGTTTTTGCATTCGGGTAAATAAAATCATACAACATAAGTTCTTTTTTTAATCTGATTTATTTTTCAGAGAGTATGTTTTCAGTTTGTGCACACTGTAAACCATTTGTCTTACTTGTATATTTGAACCAGGCTGGGGTAGAAAAATGAAGTGGTGGATATCTCATCTTACAAAGAATAAAGAAGTGTGCTTATTTTCTTTCTAAGTCTGACCAAGTTAAGTTGACCTCACAGACTTTATTATTTCTCAACATCCTAGTTATTAATCGCATTTCAGCTCATACAAAAGTTTTTCAGTGCTGGGTTGCTCTGCTATTACATCTTCTCAAGTATATTATATCAGATTATAACATTCAGAAAACTCTTATACTTATTACTACCAGATTGAAAAGTCCAAGGGGGCAATGGCAGTATTTGTCTTCTTTGCTAATATATTACCATTATCGAATGCGATTTTTAGAATAGATTATACAATAAATAAGATGAATAAATGGATTAAGTAGAGGAGTTAGTATGTATAAATATTATTCTAACATTGAGAAACTTTTCCAAAATGTACGTAACAAAATAGGATAGAACATACTAATGAATATCTATCAAAAGATAAGACATAAATTGATTTTCAGATTGATATCAAAGATAATACTATTATGTTAGGGTTTAAAATAATTGTAGCATAATTTTTATAGGGTTGATTTCAATTGTCTTAGGTTTTTTAATATAAACCTTTGAAAGATGAAGGTTCCTATATAAGATGATGGGGTAGAGGAGCAGGACTTAGAATAGTGGAGACTGGCCTTAAACTGACATATAAATTTAATTACTTGCTAAGCATAAAGTGGTATAAACCTTCCTATGCAGTAGAAAGAACAAAATTAGTTTACACTTTAAATAAGAATCCAGATGATAGAGAATGGAAAATTCTATAATAGAATGTAATAGCTACATCTCCTAGGGCACCGGCTTACCTGCTCTAACAAAGACCACAAATTTGAAATGATTCAGAAGATGCATTTCTCTCACATGTTTGTACCAATATAGGAGTTGGTCAAGAAGAAAACTGACATCTTCAACCAGTGAATTTTACCTCTGTGTGCAGGAAACTCCCATTTATTGCCATGTCCCATGCAGCAGGAAAGCCGGGAGAAAAGTAGGAGGGACAAGAGTATTTGGCTTTAAGGAAATCACCTGGTGTTTTTCACAATGCATTTATTCCCATCCTATAGGTTCAAAATTAGGCAGATGGCACACCAAGTTGTAAGATATATCTGGGAATGCTGTTTACACTCAAAACCATATTTATTCTTAACATTTGATTCAGAAAACAAATTAAATGACTGGCACAACTGAAAATAACCCAAGAGATTTGTTCAATGAAACAAAGCTGAACCTCAACCAAATAGATAAGCTGCTGCCTAAGGTTAGCACCATTTCTTAGTATTCAAGAGTGAGTAAACCCTGCTTTTTACCACTGTCGAGGTGTCCAGTGTTGTCCTTTTTAGAGCCTGGCTAGCTGAGGGTTAGATGGCAAGAAACATCATACTTGTATTTTAGTCCCTTAAATGAATGATTTAGATAGGAATGATTCTCCAAATTTTGAAAACACTTATCAGAAATGTTCTCTTATTCCTTCACTCTATACCATGTAGACTATAATAAACTGTCTCTCTTCTGCCTTCACACATTTCATGCAGAACATTAGGGGTTAGCAGAGAGAAAGCTTATCACCAGCTTCTTTTGGACTTGCTGCTTTTTTCCAAGCGATCTGAGATGATAAAATTATTCACCTTAGGGCTCCAACCCAGCACTCCTTTTTTTGATTTTCTCCTATGTTTTGTGAGCTTTTCTGTTGATGCTAGAACTCTATGCAGCAGTCAATGCCTCATAATGTAATTACATTATTTGTTCCTAGTTTTCAAGGAAAAATTTATTCCTGACATTCTTTTAATTTAGCTCAGATTCACTTTGCAGAAAGACAGTATTAGCTACTTTATGATCATTTAGTATTTGACTCTGATTTTGGAAGATGAAAAAGTTTTTGTGTCTATTTACCATGTTTTCTCAACCATTTAACCAAGATAATCTTATTGTATTGATTCTCCTAGAGATACTTAATTCATTTATTATCTTCATCTGTCAGAATTTATGTTAGAATATCACCAAGAATTACTTACAATTGAAATAAATCAGAGAGATCACTAAGAACATTGTCAATCATTAATCCAGAAATCTTGAACTTTCTGAGGTTTTTATCCCTAAAAGAAGTTATTTATCAATAGCCTGGTTACAGATTTTTTATGGAGGCTGAGGCAGGATAATCACTTGAACCGAGGAGGCAAAGATAGCAATGAATGGAGATCATGCCACTGCACTCTAGCCTCGGTGACAGACTGAGTGAGACTCTGCCTCAGTGAATAAATAAATAAATAAATAAATAAATAAATAAATAAATAAAATCACCTCTTGAATGGAGGGCGAAAAAGGAGTATAACACCAGGACTTGGGGGAAAAATATGCATTAGAAGGGAAGGAGAACATACTTAACATGCCAGTGGAAGATGAAATTCTAAATATCTGAGAATATTTTTGAGAACTATGTTTAATTCTCACTATAGAAAGATGTACCCTTTGAATGACATTAAAAATTCACTAGAAGAGTGAAGAATAATAGTTAAAATGTCACATAAGTAACAAGAGTCTCAAAACATAAAGTGTTCTAAAAGTTTAAAGTCCGTATTTGAGATAGAGGAGAGAATAAATAATAGTTCATTAATTAGACTTTATTATGTGAAAAGACTTTTCTAAAATTCTTCCATAATAATTGAAGATATAAATTACAATAATTAAAATTTACAAAAGAATAAAAGCATTAAAATAAATTGTGAGAATTTTAAAAAAGAGTAAAGTTGAAAATTATTTAATTTTTAATCCCAATAATCCGAAAGTGATTTTATCAATGTCCTAAGAAAATTAAAATAAAAACAAACTTAATAATGTAAAAGAAGGGAGGTTTCCGCCGGGCTTGGGGCGGGAGCTAGGGCTTCTCTGGGGTCTCAGTAGTGAGAGGCAGGGACCTTGGCGGGCACTAGGCTTTCCCGGACGGTGCCGCGATCCCCCGCCCACGCCTCCGGCATGGTGCTGCTGGCTGGGACTCGGCCGCAGGGTGGCGGGGCGCGCTGCATGATCCCGCCACCGCCATCCCCACTCCTAGGCGCACAGGTCGAGGAGGACCGCACTGAATTCAAAGAGTTCCAGGACTTCTCCAGTCTGCCCGACACTCGCAGCGTCGCCTCTGACGACTCTTTGTACCCCTTTCCAGGACGAGGAGGAGCACGGCGTCGAGGGCGTGGAGAGCGTACCGGAGGAGGGCGTCCTGGAGGCGCGGGGCAGAGGCGGACGCTGGTGCGGTGTGGGGTGAGCTTTAAGAAGGCGCGGGAGACTGACCACAATGGCTGGACCGGCCTTAATGTCGCCTGATACCACGACTTTGTGGATATACCGTGGTGGCCTTAGCTGAGTACCCCCACATTGATGTCAACTGGCAGGACAGGGAGGGGAACGCAGCCCTAATCATAGCTGCACAGGCAGGAACTGCCCCTGGCCCCATGGGCACTGTTGCCTTAGACACTGGCTCTCAGCCTTGCCCTTCCTGCGTCAGCATCACCTGGGCTGGTTCATTTGAGCTTTAACACAGATCTGGTGGAAACAGGCTGCCAGGCCCTGCCCCTGGAGTCTTTCTTTGAATAGGCCTGGGGTGGGGCCCAAGAATGAGCAGAAGAACAGGTTTCCTGGTGAGGCTGATGCCGCTGGCCCAGGGATCCCACGTTGAGGACGGAGGGCTTTGAGGTTTTCATGCCTGATAATGGCCAGGAACCCTTCTCAGTAGGCATTGAAGACCAGCAGAGTCCCAGACCCCAGGAGAGATGTCGTCAGACGGACACAGAGGCATCACGGAATTAAAGTGAAAATGAAGAAAGGAGCTGAGCATCTGTTTCATGACTTTCCTGCGCTGTTTTACTAAAGAGGCTGTTCAGGCCCAGTCAGGGCACGCTATCATCACCAACTACTTGTGAACTATGTCCTGGGTCTTGACCTTGAAGGAGGGATGCGTTTGGGTTGAAAGCCGCCATGCAGGGTCGAACCGATCACATCGGAGCCCTGAGCTAGTAGGGGCGGGTGTCCACACGAGGGTCCCTGCCGTGGGATGTCGCCAGAGGAGTGGCCACTTACACGTCCGCCTCATGCAGAGGCTCCTGGAGCGCCCCTGCCGGGAGCGGTTGGGGGAAAAGTACCAGCTTGAGCTGCCTCCGCTCCACGAGAGGGCGCAGAAGCCCGAGGGCTCCAAAAACTGCCTGCAGAGGGTCAGGGACTGCGAGCTGTCCGCGCTGACGCCGGGCGCCGTGCGTGGCCCAGAGGACCGGGGCGCCCTGGACCACATAGTCAGGATGACCACGAGCCTCTAACAGCCCCGCCGTGGCCTTCGCGTGCCAGACCGTGTGCCCCGAGAGGACCCTGTGCGTGGGGAAGAGGCGGCTGGCGGTGCAGGAAATCCTGGCGACTCAGGAAATTCTGGCGGCGCGGCGTGGGGTCGGTGGGGGCGGCAGGCGCAGGTGGCGGGCGAAACGGAGGGCGCAGAGCAGCACAAGCGGCCTGGCCTAGAGGCGGCGGGCTCCCGTGAGGAATCCCCAAGAGCCGGCCTCCCACCTGCCCCGCTGCCGGGGTCCTGGGGCTCTGCCGACCCCTCCCCGCGGAAGGCCAGCCTCCTGCCCCTGCAGCGCCTGCGGCGGAGCAGCTTGTGGCCAGGCATGGTGGTGCCCCGGGTCCGCCTCAGCAAGGCACCCGCGCCCACCTTCCAGCCCAAGAGGGCAGCGCGGAAGGGCAGCACCAAGGACAGCGGCCACCTGCGGATACCCAAGTGGCATAACAAGGTGGCCAAGGAGGAGAAACCCGAGGCGGAGGAGGCCGAGAAGAAGCGCCAGGCCAAGGTGCAGGAGAAGCGCCCGCTGCCCTGGAAGAAGAGGACGTGAGAGTCCGCGGGTGCTTGACACGGGGTTTGAGGGCAGGGCAAGGCCGCGGGGCTGGGCACCGTGGCAGCTCCCGGGACCACCGGGCCGCGTGTATTTCCGCGCTGTCTCTCTAGGATGCTCCCAGGAAGGGGCTGGGGGAGCCACATCGATTCGCCTGACACCAGCCACCCTAGCAATCAGTACACCTAGCGGGCATGTTGCCTAAAAGGCTCCCTTTAGAGAACCTCCGTTAAGATGTTTTTAAAGATCAATTTATTAGGCCGGGCGCGGTGGCTCATGCCTGTAATCCCAGCACTTTGGGAGGCCAAGGCAGGCGGATCTCCTGAGGTTGGGAGTCTGAGACTAGCGTGACCAACATGGAGAAACCCCGTCTCTACTAAAAATACAAAATCAGCCGAGCATGGTGGCACAACTACTCGGGAGGCTGAGGCCGGAGAATCGCTTGAACCCTGGAGGCAGAGGTGGCAGGCAGCCAAGATCGCACCATTGCACTCCGGCCTGGGCAACGAGAGCCAAACTCTGTCTCAATTTAAAAAAATCAATTTATTAAAGGGTATTTTCTGTGTAATTTTGTATTTTTAATCGTTATCCAATTTGCCAATTTTTACAAGTTATAGGACCTCTTGTATCCAAGGCAGTTTTAATACAATTGCCTGAAGACCTTTTATTTAAAATACTGTTCCTAGCAATAAATATTTATGATATCTGTAGGAGTTTACACAGAAATCATGGGATTCTCTCCTTTTGGGCTGTTTGCTTTGTCTTTTCTTCTCATCATGGGTGCACGTGCACACTGGATGTTTTTATTAATTAGATTAAGTGATGCTGGATATTTCTATTTGTTGGAGGGATTGACTCGTTCAGCCACATGATCAAGTGAGACAGAGAGATCAGATTTTATTGTATCTTTTTAAAAAGTGTTATCCATACAGTCGTATATTGGGGAAAAACTTTTATCGTCAAATTATAAAACAATGCAAAGATAAGCATGTAGGTATTGCTAGAATTAAACTCACTTTAAGCAAGGAGTTTTAGATAAACTGGATACAAAATCTTTAACATATTAAAAAAAGATATGAGACAAACGTGTCATTCGATAAAATGGGGGAAATATAATAAATGATTAACAGAAATACAAAATTAAGCCATATATGCACTCAAGTAAATCGAATCCAGGCATCCTTAAAATGTAATAAAGGATGCAACAAGAGTAAGGAGCCCAGAATGATGCAAAATAAAGGAATGGGGAGGAGGTGATGTTTACAACAAGCAAAGAGAATGCAGTGGGAAGCAAACTTGTTTTAGGCAAATTCTCCTGGAGTGGACCAGGCAGCCCTCTCTTCCAGACTCAGTTCCAAAGAGTCCCTTATGTGGGTATTTATTTTATTTTTCCTTTGAGGACTGCACTTGGTGTTTAGTTCAACCTCATGTGGACCTCATGGAATTTCCAAAACATGGGGCCTTGGCATTGTGGCACCTTCCTGCTACACGTACCTAATTCACAGCGTTACCAAGTCACCATGAGCCCTACCCTCACCTCTGTCAGCTGAGGACCCAGCCAGGCAGTGCCACATGGTCTCCCAGGCACACTTCTCCAAGCTGGCTATCCCTGCTGCGAAAATTCTCAAGGCACTGGTCCAGGGAGATGAGCTCTGGGCCTGTCCTAAAGCTCCATTGGTGACTGCACTGCAGCCCACATGGAGAGCTGCAGCTCTAACACAGGGATTTTGAGAGGCCTCGGTCACCTTTAAGTGGCCACTTTGTGGAGCTCCCACAAAGGGCTCCACCTTCCCAAGAACGTCTAATTGCCGTTGGAATAGCCAGGGTTAGGCAGCTTCTGCTCGGGTTGATGTGGCATCTGACCCTTGTTGGGTTGCCAGGCATTCCTTCCTGTTTCCGCCATGGGAAGTTAAAAATCATTTAAAAATCAAACTTGGGTTCCAAGGTGGCCGAATAGGAACAGCTCCAGTCTACAGCTCCCAGCGTGAGCGATGCAGAAGATGGGTGATTACTACGTTTCCAACAGAGGTACTGGATTCATCTCACTGGGGCTTGTCAGACAGTGGGTGCAGGACAGTGGGTGCAGCCCACCTAGCATGAGCTGAAGGAGGATGAGGCATCGCCTCACCCAGGAAGTTCGAGGGGTCAGGGAATTCCCTTTCCTAGCCAAGGGAAGCTGTGAAAGATGGCACCTGGAAAATTGGGTCACTCCCACCCTAATACTGCATTTTTCCAATGGTCTTAGCAAACGGCACACCAGGAGATTATATCCTGCGTCTGGTTCAGAGGGTCCCACGCCAACAGAGCCTCACTCATTGCTAGCACAGCAGTCTGAGATCAAACTGCAAGGCAGCAGTGAGGCTGGGGGAGGGGCGCCTGCCATTTCTGAGGCTTGAGTATGTAAACAAAGTGGCCTGGAAGCTTAAACTGGGTGGAGCCCACTGCAGCTCAAGGAGGCCTGCCTGCCTCTGTAGACTCCACCTGTGGGGGCAGGGCATAGCTGAACAAAAGGCAGCAGAAACCGCTGCAGACTTAAATGTCCCTGTCTGACAGCTTTGAAGAGAGTAGTGGTTCTCCCAGCACAGAGTTTGAGATCTGAGAACGGACAGACTGCCTCCTCAAGTTGGTCCCTGAGTAGCCTAACCAGGAGGCACCCCCCAGTAGGGGCAGACTGACACCTCACACGGCCACTTACTCCTCTGAGACGAAGCTTCTAGAGGAACGATCAGGCAGCAACATTTGCTGTTCAGCAATATTCACTGTTCTGCAGCCTCTGCTGCTGATACCCAGGCAAACAGTGTCTGGAGTGGACCTCCAGAAAACTCCAACAGACCTGCAGCTGAGGGTCCTGACTGTTAGAAGGAAAACTAACAAACAGAAAGGACATCCACACCAAAACCCCATCTGTACGTCACCAGCATCAAAGCCCAAAGGTAGATAAAACCACAAAGATGGGGAAAAAACAGAGCAGAAAAACTGAAAATTCTAAAAATCAGAGCACCTCTCCCCCTCCAAAGGAATGCAGATCCTCACCAGCAATGGAACGAAGCTGGATGGAGAATGATTTTGACAAGTTGAGAGAAGAAGTCTTCAGACGATCAAACTTCTCCAAGCTAAAGGAGGAAGTTCGAATCCATTGCAAAGAAGCTAAAAACCTTGAAAAAAGATTAGATGAATGGCTAACTAGAACCAATGTAGAGAAGTCCTTAAATGACCTGATGGAGGTGAAAACCATGGCAGGAGAACTACGTGATGAATGCACAATCTTCAGTAGCTGATTCGATCAACTGGAAGAAAGGGTATCAGTGATTGAAGAACAAATGAATGAAATGAAGTGAGAAGAGAAGTTTAGAGAGAAAAGAGTAAAAAGAAGTGAACAAAGCCTCCAAGAAATATGGGACAATGTGAAAAGACCAAATCTGTGTCTGATTGGTGATGAAAGTGATGGGGAGTATGGATACGAGTTGGAAAACACTCTGCAGGATATTATCCAGGAGAACTTCCCCAACCTAGCAAGGCAGGCCAACATTCAAATTCAGGAAATATAGAGAATACCACAAAGATACTCCTCAAGAAGAGCAACTCCCAAACACATAATTGTCAGATTCACCAAAGTTGAAATGAAGGAAAAAATGTTACAGGCAACCAGACAGAAAGGTCAGGTTACCCACAAAGGGAAGCCCATCAGACTAACAGCAGAGCTCTCGGCAGAAACTCTACAAGCCAGAAGTGAGTGGGGGCCAATATTCAACATTCTTACAGAGAAGAATTTTCAACCCAGAATATCATATCCAGCCAAACTAAGCTTCATAAGTGAAGGAGAAATAAACTCCTGTATAGACAAGCAAATGCTGAGAGATTTTGTCACCACCAGGCCTGCCCTAAAAGAGCTCCTAAAGGAAGCACTAAACATGGAAAGGAAGAACCAGCACCAGCCACTGCAAAAACATGCCAAATTGTAAAGACCATCGATGCTAGGAAGAAACTGCATCAACTAATGAGCAAAATAACCAGCTAACATCATAATGACAGGATCAAATTCACACATAACAATATTAACCTTAAATGTAAATGGGCTAAATGCTCCAATTAAAAGACACAGACTGGCAAATTGGATAAAGAGTCAAGACCCATCAGTGTGCTGTATTCAGGAAACCCATCTCACGTGCAGAGACACACATAGGCTCAAAATAAAAGGATGGAGGAAGATCTATCAAGCAAATGGAAAACAAAAAAAGGCAGGGGTTGCAATCCTAGTCTCTGATAAAACAGACTTTAAACCAACAAAGATCAAAAGAGACAAAGAAGGCCATTACGTAATGCTAAAGGGATCAATTCAACAAGAGGAGCTAACTATCTTAAATATATATGCACCCAATACAGGAGCACTCAGATTCATAAAGCAAGTCCTGAGTGACCTACAAAGAGACTTAGACTCCCACACAGTAATAATGGGAGACTTTAACAACCCACTGTTAACATTAGACTGATCAATGAGACAGAAAATTAACAAGGATATCCAGGAATTGAACTCAGCTCTGCACCAAGCAGACCTAATAGACATCTACAGAACTCTCCACCCCAAATCAACAGAATATACATTCTTCTCAGCACCACATCGCACTTATTCCAAAATTGACCACATAGTTGGAAGTAAAGCACTCCTCAGCAAATGTAAAAGAACAGAAATTATAACAAACTGTCTCTCAGACCACAGCGCAATCAAACTAGAACTCAGGATTAAGAAACTCACTCAAAACCGCTCAACTACATGGAAACTGAACAACCTGCTCCTGAATGACTACCGGGTACATAACGAAATGAAGGCAGAAATAAAGATGTTCTTTGAAACCAACGAGAACAAAGACACAACATACTGGAATCTCTGGGACACATTTAAAGCAGTGTGTGGAGGGAAATTTATAGCACTAAATGCCCACAAGAGAAAGCAGGAAAGATCCAAAATTGACACCCTAACATCACAACTAAAAGAACTAGAGAAGCAAGAGCAAACACATTCAAAAGCTAGCAGAAGGCAAGAAATAACTACGATCAGAGCAGAACTGAAGGAGATAGAGACACAATGAAACCTTCAAAAGATCAGTGAATCCAGGAGCTGGTTTTTTGAAAAGATCAACAAAATTGATAGACTGCTAGCAAGACTAATAAAGAAGAAAAGAGAGAAGAATCAAATAGATGCAATAAAAAATGATAAAGGGGATATCACCACCGATCCCACAGAAATACAAACTACCATCAGTGAATACTATAAACACCTCTATGCAAATAAACTAGAAAATCTAGAAGAAATGGACACATACACTCTCCCAAGACTAAACCAGGAAGAAGTTGAATCCCTGAATAGATCAATAACAGGCTCTGAAATTAAGGCAATAATTATGAGCCTACAAACCAAATAAAGTCCGGGTCCGGATGGATTCACAGCTGACTTCTACTAGAGGTACAAGGAGGAGCTGGTACCATTCCTTCTGAAACTATTCCAATCAATAGAAAAAGAGGGAATCCTCCCTAACTCATTTTATGAGGCCAGCATCATCCTGATACCAAAGCTAGGCAGAGACACAACAAAAAAAGAGAATTTTAGACCAATATCTCTGATGAACATCGATGCAAAAATTCTCAATAAAATACTGACAAACAGAATCCAGCAGCACATCAAAAAGCTTATCCGCCAAGAGCAAGTGGGCTTCATCCCTGGGATCCAAGGCTGGTTCAACATACGCAAATCAATAAATGTAATCCAGCACATAAACAGAACCAAAGACAAAAACCACATGATTATCTCAATAGATGCAGAAAAGGCCTTTGACAAAATTCAACAGCCCCTCATGCTAAAACCTCTCAATAAATTGGGTATTGATGGGACGTATCTCAAAATAATAAGAGCTATTTATGACAATCCCACAGCCAATAAATATCATACTGAGTGGGCAAAAACTGGAAGCATGCCCTTAGAAAAGTGGTGCAAGACAGGGATACTCTTTCTCACCTCTACTATCCAACACAGTTTTGGAAGTTCTGGCCAGGGCAATCAGGCAAGAGAAAGAAATAAAGGGTATTCAATTAGGAAAAGAGGAAGTCAAATTGTCCCTGTTTGCAGATGACACGATTGTATGTTTAGAAAACCCCATCGTCTCAGCCCAAAATCTCCTTAAGCTGATAAGCAACTTCAGCAAAGTCACAGGGTACAAAATCAATGTGCAAAAATCACAAGCATTCTTATACACCAGTAACAGAGAAACAGAGAGCCAAATCATGAGTGAACTTCCATTCACAATTGCTTCAAAGAGAATAAAATACCTAGGAATCCAACTTAAAGAGACGTGAAGGACCTCTTCAAGGAGAACTACAAACCACTGCTCAATGAAATAAAAGAGGATACAAACAAATGGAAGAACACACCATGCTCAGGGATAGGAAGAATCAATATCATGAAAATGGCTATACTGCCCAAGGTAATTTATAGATTCAATGCCATCCCCATCAAGCTACCAATGACTTTCTTCACAGAATTGGAAAAAACTACTTTAAAGTTCATGTGGAACCAAAAAAGAGCCCTCACAGCCAAGTCAATCCTAAGCCAAAAGAACAAAGCTGGAGGCATCACACTACTTGACTTCAAACTATACTGCAAGGCTACAGTAACCAAAACAGCATCGGACTCGTGCCGAAACAGAGACATAGACCAATGGAATAGAACAGAGCCCTCAGAAATAATGCCACATATCTACAACCATCTGATCTTTGACAAATCTGACAAAAACAAGCAATGGGGAAAGGATTCCCTATTTAATAAATGGTGCTGGGAAAACTGGCTAGCCATATGTAGAAAGCTGAAACTGGATCCCTTCCTTACATCTTATACAAAAATTAATTCAAGATGGATCAAAGACTTAAATGTTAGACCTAAAACCATAAAAACCCTAGAATTAAACCTAGGCAATACCATTGAGGACATAGGCATGGGCAAGAACTTCATGTCTAAAACACCAAAAGCAATGGCAATAAAAACCAAAATTGACCAATGGGATCTAATTAAACTAAAGAGCTCCTGCACAGCAAAAGCAACTATCATCAGAGTGAACAGGCAACCTACAGAATGGGAGAAAATTTTTGCAATCTACTCATCTGACAAAGGGCTAATATCCAGAATCTACAAAGAACTCGAACAAATTTACAAGAAAAAACAAACAACCCCATCAAAAAGTGGGTGAAGGAGATGAAAAGACACTTCTCAAAAGATGACATTTATGCAGCCAACAGACACATGAAAAAATGTTCTTCAACACTGGCCATCAGAGAAATGCAAATCAAAACCACAATGAGATACCATCTCACACCAGTTAGATTGGCGATCATTAAAAAGTCAGGAAACAACAGGTGCTGGAGAGGATGTGGAGAAGTAGGAACACTTTTACACGTTGGTGGGACTGTAAACTAGTTCAACCATTGTAGAAGACAGTGTGGCGATTCCTCAAAGATCTAGAACTAGAAATACCATTTGATCCAGCCATCTCATTACTGGGTATATACCCAAAGGATTATGAATCATGCTGCTATAAAAACACATGCACACGTATGTTTATTGTGGCACTATTCACAATAGCAAAGACTTGGAACCAACCGAAATGTCCAAAAATAAGAGACTGGATTAAGAAAATGTGGCACATATACAACATGGAATACTATGCAGCTATAAAAAAGGATGAGCTCGTGTCCTTTGTAGGGACATGGATGAAGCTGGAAACCATCATTCTCAGCAAACTATCACAAGGACGAAAAAACGAACAGTGCATATTCTCACTCATAGGTGGGAATTGAACAGTGAGATCACTTGGACACAGGAAGGGGAACATCACACATAGGGGCCTGTTATGGGGTGGGGGGAGGGGGAGGGATAGCATTGGGAGATATACCTAATGTAAATGAGGAGTTAATGGGTGCAGCACACCAACATGGCACATGTATACATATGTAACAAATCTGCACGTTGTGCACATGTACCCTAGAACTTAAAGTATAATGAAAAAAAAAATCAAACTTTCCAGAGAAGACATCTCCAGAGAAGACACACTGAATATGCATCTGCTAGGCTTCAGGCACCCAATAATTACTGCTTACCTAGATATCCGCAAATCCTCTAGACATGAGACTATTCATAGCAGATTCTGGTGTGTATCACATTGGTAATAAAGCACTTCATCCTCACTTACTCTAATAAAAATACTTTAAACTTACTTCCCAAGGCACTTTTGTCTGGTCTAAGCAAACATGTAGCTATCCCAGCTTTCTCAGTTATTTTAAATAAATCAATATTTAAAATACCTATAATTAGCGCATTTATAATATATTGGTTTGTGTTATATCAAGTAATTATAGTTTGTTTTATTATGAGACAGACTGTCATTCTGTCACAGGCTGGACTGCAGGGCACCACCATGGCTCACTGCAGCCTGGACCTTCTGGGCACGAGCCATCGTGCTGCATCAGCCCCCTGAGTAGCTGGGACTATAGCATGTGCCATCATGCCAGGCTGATTTCTAAAGGAATGTTTAGTAGACATGAGGTCTGACTATGTTGCCTCCACTGGTCTGGAACTCCTGGCCACAAGACGTTCTCACACCTTGGTCTCCCCAAGTGGTGGGATTGGAGGTGTGTGCCACCATGCCTGGGCTCCTATTTTATTCTACTACCTTATGCATTATTTGACATTTTGGGTCTTAAAAGTTATAATTCCACAGCGTTCATGTAATTATGGAACCCATAAAGAGCTTACAATTACCAATATATTATATACATGGAAAAGTCTTTTCTTAACTTCAATTTTATCGTTTAAATTGGCATATGTTTATTAACTTGTTTCTGAGATTCATCAGCTTTGTTGCATTCAGTGAGTTATTTATTGTTTTATAGGATTATTTTGCATAAATACACCAAATTTATTTAGCTATTCTACGGTTGAAGAATATTTTGGGTCTAATTTGGAGCTACTATAAAAATTGATGCAGTGAACAATATTGTGTATGTTGAAGTATATGTAGGCAATCAGTTGACTATATTTTAGAATTAGAATATCTAGCCCATAAGAAATGCTAATAGTCAGTTTCCCAAAAGGGATTTCCATTTACATCTCTCCAGCCATGAATAAATTTCATTTATTCTGTATCTTTGACAACACACAATATTGTGTGTCTTTAAATTTTGGTATTTTTTTATGAGGGCCTGTGGTACAACTGGTGGATTAATTCTTACTTTTGTAAGACTAATGAAAGTGAGCACTTTTTTATATTTGGCTAGTTATTTATGTATCCAATTCTGTAAAGTGTCTGTTCAGATATTTTAGCCAATCTTCTGTTGAGTTCACTGTCTTTTATTTATTACAATTTAAGTATTCATCATATACATGTATTATATTTTACTTTATGTATGTTGGGGTGAATATCTTTCTCCACTACTAGTTTGCATAATGTTTTTTGAAACACAGAAGTCATCATTATCAATATAAATGAACTAATTGTTTTAATTATTAATTTGTGCCCTGGTTAAGAAATCCTTATGAGAATATTGTATCAGGTTCCCCTTCCTTTCAGGACTTCAATCTATCTGGAAATGACTGTGTGTGTTTTGAGGTAGGAGTCAATATTTAGTTACTTTTTAAAAAAAATTTCAATTAATCCAGCATTGGTCTGATCACATTGTGTATTTCAATGTAGACGAGCACACTAATAATGAAGGATTATTTATATCTGTGGTGAGAATTGCAAAATAAAGCCCAGCATAGAAGGTCAAATAGTATTACCTCAAAGGATAGATTAATACAATGAAACCTGATGGATAAGTGTAATATAGTTAGATAAAGAGGAAGAAAAACATTTCCCAGTTATCATTGAGACTTCACTCCAAGTTTTTTGCATGAAGCAAAAGATCCCGACTGTCTTCCATTGATTTTTACTTCATTCAGACATGTCTGTCATCTATTATTTCACTCAGTGACAGTCATAAATAAAGAAAAAAAAGAGAATATACTGTATGCCATGATCATGAATAATGATTTTTCAAAAATTATTTAATAAAGAACCAATACGTATACTTTTAGCGTTTTCAGCATATTTAATAGTAACACAATAAATGAGTTTTGATAACATTAGAAGGCAATTCAAGACATAAAATAGAGCCTATTTGTCCTGTATGTTAAGGCACAAGGAAGAGGACTTCCTGGGATAAAGGGGTTCCCACAGCATGTGAACACATTTCTGATTTGTCTCTGGTCAGAAGTGAATACAGCAAAAGATAGGCCTGAGAGGAGGTGAGAAAGAGCAATTAGGGATGGTGTATATTAGGGAGCTTTGATTAACATCAACAAAGCTCACAGTCTTAGCCTCACAATCCAGGAATAATCCTACTCGGCTGGTAGGTTTTGGGATATATTGCAGCATAAGTGGGGAGGTGGTAAAGAGACTGCATTGAATGTCATTCTTAACACACCCAAGAAGAAAGAGTCCCGCCTTTCCATCTATCTTCTCATTCTGATTCTTCTCTTTCCGATACATATTACAGACACCAAAAGCCCAATTCCAGGAGTCCCCTACATGGACCTCCCAGTAATATTTGCCCGAGGTGAAAGTCTGAACACCCCATGCAAGAAAACTTCTAGGTGTTGCAGTGAAATAGGGTACATCTTGATGGTCACATCCAATACACATGCTTCTCAAAATTTCATACAGAAAGATATCATTGTTGGCTTCTTCATGATGCAGAGTAATATGCACTGCAAAAAAAAAAAAAAAGAAAACATGCATAGACATGTGTAAATAAGAAAAAAATAATTGTTCTATCAAGAAGTTACTTTACCAGCAAATGTAAAGTCATAAAATGTTTTGCTTGTAACTTCTAGTAAAGTATAGAGATGGTTAATATTATATACAAGACAAACAAAACCCTAACCACAGATATTATGTTTTTTTTTTGAAAACTTACATATTGAGAGCCAAATGTGAGACCAACTTCTTTCAATCCAATTTTCAAAGTAAAATTTACACATTATATGCCCTAAATGCAATGCTGTTATCAAGATCATTATTTAGAAATGTTTCTTATTCTTAAAAACTAGTGCTATCATTTTGGAAAGAATGTGAATGTGAAGATTTTCACTTAAGAACTGCTCTAGATATCTGGATAAAAATCCATATGTACATGTTATAAGTGATAATTTAAAGCAGATCTCTGCAAAATCTTTGACCAGTCTCTCTGAGGTCCTCCATGCTAGCTCTGGGCTGAAGCTGGATTTTAGACTTAACATGTAGCTCTTCATATTGCAATTAAACTGAACTTATTTTCATTTGTAATTTTACTTATATCCACAAAATGATTTCTTCCTTTTAGCTTTACCTATTAATTCAAATGTTTGCAATATATGAATAATATATACACATTAAAAAAATACAAAACCCCCAAGAATCTCCAGAAAACTATATTCCCCTAAAGAACAGTTCTTAGCAGTTCAAATGAATACACTAAAGAAATGCACAATTTTGTATTTAACATTAAATAATTCACCATTCTGAGCATTATTTCATTTGCTCCTTTTTAAAATTTTCTACACTACTCCTTTTTCCCGTTATATAACTCAGTACATATTATGCCAGAAAGTATTTCTTTTTCACTATCTTTCAAACTTAATGCTATAAATCTGACTGTAAATACAGACACGGATACCAAAGGGTTGCATGGTTATATTGTTCACTTATGTCTTAAAAGAAGTAAAATATTTGATAAAATATGAAATATTACCTATGTGATCCTAACAATAATAATATTTAGATAGTGGGAGTGCTGCCTGTGGGTGGAGACTTACCTCGGAATTGGTTGAGCCTGTCCCTCAGTCCAGTGATGGGCCCTGCACTGAGCTCTGGATTCAGAGGCTGGGGCATGTGCAGCAGCACGGACTCACTCCTGCAAGGAAAAACCTGCAGTTACAACATCTACAGCCATAAAATAAATAAAAATCACTATTTGTATATAAAAGACATTTCAAGAGAATCCTTTGAATCTACACATTTGATAATTCAAAAATTAATCCTTCCTTTTGCAAATTAATTCTTTACAGTTTCTAAATTTTAAAGCATGATGGAAGAATCTAAGCCAGAATCCAATCTGATCCTTCTTTTTTTTTTTTTTGCTCCAAATGTGTAAGGTTCCTTAGCTTTATGGCCTTGAGAATATTTAGAAACGAAATTCTGAGTTCCACTTCTTGGCAGACTCCCCTGACATCTTTGTCTGAAATAGCGGGGTTCTGGGGAGACTGATGCATCCACTGCTTCCTTCTCAAGATAAAGAATGGAAACTTGTTCTCTCCCCTTTTAGCAAAGAACTTCCCTAGAGACTTACACAGTTCTAACACTCCACAGTTTTTTTCAATCTATTTTTCAGAACTGTTAACTGATATGTATATATGTATAAAAAACAAAACATCAACACTTTTTCACTGCTAAAATACTTCCTCCTCTTCTCTCCTGCTTCCTCTGGTGACTTTCTCACCATTCACAAAAAAAAACTTATCTTTCTCCTGTGCAGGCTTTCAAGCAATAAAACAAAATCAGGGGCCGGGCGCGGTGGTTCACGCCTGTAATCCCAGCACTTTGGGAGGCCGAGGCGGGCGGATCACGGGGTCAGGAGATAGAGACCATCCTGGCTAACATGGTGAAACCCAGTCTCTACTAAAAATACAAAAAATTAGCCGGGTGTGGTGGCGGGCGCCTGTAGTCCCGGGTACTCGGGAGGCTGAGGCAGGGGAATGGTGTGAACCCGGGAGGCGGAGCTTTCAGTGAGCCGAGATGGCGCCATTGCACTCCAGCCTGGGCGACAGAGCCAGACACCGTCTCAAAAAAAAAACAAAAGCAGGAATCAAATTGTTTGTTTTAGTTCACTCTTCTTTTATTCATTTATTTACTTCGTGGCCTTGTCTTTTAAGGTGTGGGAACGAAAGTAGATGCAAAAAAAAGTGGTATCAATATCTTAATTATTTATGCCATGACTTTAATAGAGCCTGCTTTGATAGTCGTGGAATCTTAAAGAACATATGCTAAAATCTAGGTACACACTCACCTGTGTAATATGTCTCCAAAAGCCTGAAAAAAAAAAAAAGAAGAAAGATTTAGTGCATTTCACAAGATGCATCTTTCACTAAGTTCAGTGTGAGATTTGTACTCAGTTTCTGAAGATATTATTTCCCTACCATCTTCTCTTCTGGAAAGTATTTTCTGTTTCTTCTGTAAAGAAAAACCCAGTCAGTTGTATTGTTATTAATTAACGTCCTGGGAAAGTCTGAGTCTTGAAGACATTCTCTAAAGAAGTGAAGGGAGAAGAGGCCCAGAAGGTCTATGGTCTGTGGTAACCATGAAAAACCTACTCAGTCATCTTTAACTGAACCTGTTACCCAAATGAGTGGACCCCAAAATAATGTTAATGCAAACCTAGATTCCCAAAACTTCTGATCTTGCCATGTTTACAAATTAACCTAAATGTAAATGAATCACTCACTATTCTATACATGTTTAACAACCCAAAGTATATTATTGAATTAGATGGGGAATATTTCTTGGGGCTGTTACCTTGACCATTCCACAAAGTTTTGTGGCTGGTGGATAAAGTAGGAGGGACCTTTGGCCTGGTAGAATCCCTTAGTGGGGCTATACTCTCCCAACAAAGTAGCATTAGTTATGTGAATGTGTTTTTGGAAACACATCATGGAAATAAAAGTAGGGAGATGGATTTCAGCCATGAGGAAAATACTTATACATGTGAATATTCAAAAACCTGAAACCACATGGCGAGTTTTTACCTGAAGTAGCTCCACATCTGGTTTATGGCACATTTCGTTCAGCTCCTCATACATTCCTCTTAAAATCTCCATCCTATGAGCCATTTTGGCTTTACTTAAATGAAGTCGATGAAAAATTTCTTTCCCCTTCTTTTTCAGCATCTCCAAATTATGTTTTTCTTCTTCATGATGAAATGCAGGCATCTTCTGATACTCAGCTCTAATTGCTTCTAGCCTTAAATTCACATAATCCTGCAGTGATAATGGGTTAGTCAAAAGAGAAATGTATATATCCATCTCCTATTAAATCTCACTGATTCCTTTTGTCTCTCGAACGTCCAATAGTTCAAACTTCTGTCTTGCCAGTTCTTAGAATCTACAAATTTTGTTCCTTTCCTTTTTTCTGCATAAAGATCAACATAGCTGTATCTGACCAATTACGTTAAATTTATTCAAGATAATGTGTTTTCTAAGATAGTTGAAAACAAAAAAACACAATTTGAATTTCTCTATTCCAACCCATATTTATGGCAAAGTAAGAACAGTTCATGCTTGAGAGTTGGAGTATAGGGCTATAGTTACTAGAAAGGAAACAATTCTTTCTATTTCTGAGATATGCACCAAGTTGCTTAAACTCATTATATGAAAATGACCTTAGACTAGCATGTCCAGCTAAGTGCATTTCGCTCAGCAAAACCTATCCTAATAAGGCTGCATTTATGATTTGGCCATCTTTGTCTCCCTGAATTCATTTCCTTCTATTCTTTTTCTAAGTCATCCCAGTCTGAAACATAGACTTCTTTGTGGTTCTTCCGGCCTCCAAATATACACAAACTCAAAATTACTGCATATGCTGTTCTCTCCAACTAGAATTACATATATATGTATACAAACACACACACATACATACATACATACATACATACATATATACACACAACCACACACACATACATACATATACACACTCATGGTCCACATATATATCCACACACACATTTGTGTTCCCCCTCCTCTTCAAAACTTTGTTTCAATTTGAATTTTTCAGTGAGTCTTTTTTCTGACCACCCTATTTAAAACTCAAACACTAATCTCCAGTTTCTGGCCTCTATTGTCCTTTTCTACTTCCCTGCTTGATTATTCTCCAACAAAAACCTACCACACTCAAATACATCATGTATTGCATATATTTGTGTATTGACAATTTGACTCTCTTATTTGGATTGTATGATTTGTGAGGACAAAGGTGCTTCCTTTCTTCTTTACTAGTATATTTTCTAATTTAATATTCAACATAGACTAGGTTCTCATGAAATACTTTTCAACAAACTAATCTTAGCTATCATACCCTCAAAATATACATCCACGAAGAGAAAATTATTTTAATGTTTTTCTGAAGTCCTCAGAGTTCTCCTTATGTTTAGATACTAGTTCCCATATTTCTGGCATGTTTACATGTCTCCCTCAAGACACAAATCCGTATTTCTCACCGCTTTTCTCATCGTATGTTATGTATTATTCAATATTAATTAGTTGAGATTCTTAATTTCATGGTTTCCCTAGATTTGCCCTGTCACTTTTTCTGCCTCAAATTTTCCATGCAATTCCAAATACTACTTGCACACTAGCATTCAGATTAATGCTGACCGACACTCAGAAGTTTCAGTTGAGCATTCCATGACTGCCAAATAACCCTTTTGCCTAGCATTTATCCAACCAGCAAATATAGAATGCTTTGAGATGGCCCAGTTTCTTGGATCTGTTGGTGTATAACTATAGGTTTGTATGAAACAAACCAGCATGCTTTGGGTGACATCAGTAGTTTTCTTAGAAATCCTACCTAACAGGCATACTATTCTATATAAAAATGAGGCCACTTTTTCTCAGTGTTTTCTCTCGCCTTTTTTTTTTTACTGTATCCCAGAAACATTACAGTTTGATATCAAGTTCCTATTTTAAGAGTCACCCATTTGCCCACCATAAGTTCCTGGAGAAGGTAGAGTAGTACAGGACTAACCTTCCAGCATCTGGTTCTGGTGGTTTCCACATTCAGGTTTCTGTGATTTTCACAAGCTTTTTCCCACAAAGACTGCATTTTCTGTAAAAGCTTCTCCTGCAAAAGAGCCATAAATTGAAGCACCAGTGCAGACCATGACATAGGGAGGGGGCCCAGAATGAGAGACAAATAAGCCCCTAGTAAATGGCATTTCCTTTGTTTCCCTTCATGTTTGTCAAAGCCCAGAGGTTGGAAGCTAAGAAAGCCCAAACAGAGCTGCTTAAAGGGACTCAGAGTTGGCTTTATCCAATCTCCAAGAAAATAGACCCACAGGAATTTTATGCTTCCTTTACAGAAATCGATCTTCAGAGCCATCACTTACCCGGTGTTCCTCAGCAGCCCACTCAATGGGACGGTGTCTGTGATACCGGTGCTCCTGAGAGCTGGAGCACAGCAAACAGAGCAGGCTCCTGTCCACTTCACAGAATATCTTCTTTGTCTCCCTGTGAGTGCCACACATTTGCTCCTCAGAGCTCAGGAATAGCCAGAGACTGACTTTTCTGGCAAGAGAAGCCATCTTCTTCAAATGAATGTTGGTTTTGAGGTTTATCTGCTCGGTTGACTTTGTGCATTCAGAGCACTGGACAAGAAATGGGATGTCTTGCCAGTTGAGGTAGAAACAAGGCCTGCAAAAGCTGTGCCCACAGTCTATGGTGACCGGGTCTATGAAGTAGTTCATGCACAGGGGGCAGATGAGTTCCCCCTGAAAGACCTGTAAGATTCCAGAATTCATGTTTCTGAGGAACAAAGAGAAACATGTCATTTTGGGGCCTGGGTTGATGAAAACCTTCTAAACATGTGGAGATATGTGATAGTTATATTTTCTTCTCTTGACAGTGTTCATTAAAGTACAACAAACTATTTCTTCTGTTACAAACTTAAAAATTTACACTTAGAGGGAGTCTCCTGGCTTTCTAACAGATATTACTAACCAGAGGACTCACAGTCCCTTCTACTCCTAGTTCCTGTCTGTAGCATAATACAAACCTATTCAACTACCCATTTTCTGAACATAGATCTGGAAATTGGGTTTTGATTCTAAGTGGTCAGAATAAATCATAGTTGTCCCTATTCTTCTTTCAATAACTGATGAATGACTGTGAAAGAGTGGGAGGGAAAAAACTACCCGGGCCAAAGAAATATGAGAAGATGGCCAAAGAAATATGAGAAGATGGTTCTATGACATATTTTTATAGAGAGTCACAAAAGCCGGGCAGCAAACCACCATGGCACAAGTTTACCTACATAACAAGCCTGCAAGTCCTGCAGTTATCCCAGGACTTAAAATTAAATTAAATTAAAAACAAAGACCCAAATCAAAACAAAATTTAAAAAAAAGCCAACCAACCAAATAAACAAAGAAAAAGACTGCAATTAAACTAATCAAGTTTCACTAGTAGGGAAAAGAAAAATTATTAAAGATATTGGGTCTTTTTATTTTCTTGCGGATTAAATTAACTTCCCCTAGGGCTGTGCAAGCTCTGAACTAACATATAGGAGGTTTTTGTTAAACTCAGAGAGGTGTAATTATATTTCCATAGTGTGATGGTGAATTTTAGGTATCAGTCTGACTGGATTAACCAACACCTAGGGAACTAGTGAAGCATTGTTTGTGGGTGAGTCTGTGAAGGTGTTTCTAGAGGAGAGAGACATGTGAGCTGGTGAGCTGAGTGGGAGCCTCATCTCTCAATGTGTGTGGGCACCATCCAATCAGCTGACACCTCAGATATAAAGAAAAAGGCAGAAAAAAGGCAACTTCCTCCGTCTCTCTCCTGAAACTTGTTCTGAACCTTTCAGACTTGAGCTTAGCCAGGATACCGGTATTCTCAGGACACCAGCTTAGAGACAGCCTATATTGGAACTCTCTAGACTCCATAATCAAGCAAATTAATTTTCCTGATGAATTCTGTCCCATGTAGAATCATGTATAGCTTGTGGACAGATGTATGTTCTGAGAAATGTGTCAGGTGTTTTTAGTTTTTTTTTGTTTTTTTTTTTTGAGACAGAGTATCCTTCTGTCACGCAGGCTGAAATGCAGTGGCGTGATCTCGGCTCACTGTAACCTCCGCCTCCAGGTTCAGAGCGATTCTCCTGCATCAGGTTCCCAAGTACCTGGGATTACAGGAACGTGACACTAGGCCTGGCTAATTTTTGTATTTTTTTAGTAGAGATGGGGTTTTGCCATCTTGGCCAGGCTGCACTTGAACTTCTGGCCTCAAGTGATCTGCCTGCCTTGGCTTTGCAAAGTGCTGGGATTCTAGGCACGCGCCACAGTGCCCAGCCCGGCGGTTTCATTGTTTTAATATGATAGAATATACCACACAAATCTAGATGGTATAGCCTACTACACCTATGGTATACACTATAGCCTATTGTTCCTACAATAGGCTACAAACCTGTACAGTATGTTCTGTACTGCATACTGTAGGCAACTGTAACACAATGATAACTATTTGTGTATCTAAACATAATTGAATACAGAAAAGGTACAGTAAACATATTGGTATTATAATCTTATGGGACCCCCATATGTGGTTTGTGGCTGACTCAAATGGCCCATGAATGTATCTGCACACATATATGTATACATCCTATGGTTCTGTCTGGAGAACCCTGACTAATATAAAAACTATAATCTTTGTTTTGGCAATTTTAAATCCTTTAGCATAAAGCAGCATAAAGCTGCTAGTTTTATATCACTTCTGAATTTAAGTGAAAGCAGTGAAAAATCTTAGAATTGCAAATATTTTCCAGAACTCATCTAAGACATTTTAAGAAATTTTTCACAGTTTAATAAGATTGAGACTCAAGTGAGATGACAATCACAATCACATACCATATTAGGTCTTATAAATTTACTTGTTCGAAAAATTGTGTTTTGATTTCTAAAGTAGGATATTTTGGGGAGCTTTCTCATTGTTTTAGTTTCACTATTTTGCATCGCTCATCATTACCTTACTAATTTAAAGTCATGTCTAAAACCTGAATGTTATGAAAGCAAATAACTTCATCATTCATTAATGTCTTCTCAATTCAATTTGACAATATTAATACACTCATTACATACATATACACACACACCTATGTGTACATATATGTATCAACTCCATATATTCATTATGAATACATATCTGTTGCAGCAAACACTAGATATTTTAAGTTTTTCAGAACTATATTAAACAATCATAGAAAGCACAAAATAACAACAATTAGTATCCTTATAATTCATAAAATCTATAGTAAGAACATGAGTTACAAATGGTATCATTGTGTAGATTTCAGATAATGAGATATTTTTAACACTCTAATTTATTATTGTGTAAAGGAAAGATGATATAATTTTATCAATATGTTTCACTCACCCTGGAGTTCTTTTAATGGTTCCCACAACGATTTTTCCAAAAATAATTTTGTTAAGTTCACCTCAAGATCAGAAGCTCATTCACTGCAGTACTGAATTTCAGAGGTCGCCAAAATGCAGTTCTAAGTGCAGTCCTTCTCCTTCAGAGAAAACTGAGCTTGTCTCTTCCGTGTCCTTTTATAAGAACCTGTGAAGACCACACCCACCTCTTTATGGGTATTTAGAGCATTCAGAAAGGTGGAGACAAAGATGATTAGGTTTATGCAGTATTTAGAACACACCTTTGCAGCTCTGATTAAATTATCATCACACTTTCATTCTGAACACCAGTGCCTGAATGAATCATATGTAACATAAATCCTGTCAGAGCATACATAGGCTAGAAATTAACTAAGATGCATTTTATACTGTTTATTGAGTTTCTTCCATGATACAGGCATTCCTCTAAGTGCACATTTATTTATTCTAGAGAAAGGGTCTCCTTCTGGAGTGCAGTAGCATAATCATAGCTCCCTGCAGCCTTGAATTCCAAGTAATCCTCCTGCTTCAGCCTTCCAAGTAGCTACGACTTTAGGCTCACACTATATCACCTGGCTAATTTTTTTTGTTGAAATTTTTGGTAAAGTCAGTGTATGACTCTGTAGCCCATGCTGTTCTCCAACTCCTGGCTTCAAGTGGTCCTCTGGTCTCGGCCTTCCAAAGTGCTAAGAGTACAGGTATAAACCACCTCATCCAGCTTAAATGCTGCTTTAGTACATTTATAGGATATTTCCAGAGAAGTCCAATGGAAGATAAAACTTTCCTTTTTGTTTTCTGTTTTCTACCACTCTAAGAGAAATCACTGATTAACCAAATAAACCCACTAACCTGGGGTCTCTCATTGAATTTACAAAACTTCACCAGTCTCATGGGTGAAAGATGAGTTATGATTTTAACGTTTTTCTCCATATAGTGCATGATGTCCTACAATGACTAGGAGTGCACCACGGGAATTATTTTGGGGATTACACATAACTTTTAGCATATAGGCAAATTCACAAATACAGAATCCAAATGATAGAGATGGACTATATTTTTCTTTCTATGCCAAGTCTTTTTGTTGTTATATGAAAATTATTTTTTTTAAAAAAGAGATTTCAGAAGGGACTACTCAAATATCTTCTGATAGAGGAATTCTTTGCCAATGGTCCAGAAGACTTATGGTCAAGACTGTCAAAACAGTGAAGACAAATCTATCAGACCCAGGTCTGTCCAGGTTCAAAGACAAAAGCAGAACCCATAAGATATATGTATAGTTAGGGAGATTCACATATGAATTAAGTGCAAAGACTTGACTTACCCAATTGTGGGAGCTGCTTAAGCAAATGTGAGATCCTGGGTACAGTCCATCAGGAAAAGAAATCCCCCGCTGGCTGGATCCCAGTGGTCATGAATCAAAGCTTTGGTTTAAAGTCAATAGGGGGCAACTGGAAGATTAGAGTCCCATTTGCCATTTAAAATGTTGTTCAAGGAATGCCTATGTGTTTCTTTAAAGGACTTTCACTGATGAAGTCAGGCTTACTTGGGTACACTTCCTAGTTACAGGATTAGGACCTTTGCTCGCATCTGCAAAATGCCTTTCCAGCAGGTCCTAAGTAAGTGTTTCATTGAAGAATAATAAGGTATGTCTATGCCACAAAATGGCTACTGCCCTCATTTCCCTCTTTGTACATACATGTACTCAAGTTGACACATCATAAAATCATCCAGAGTTTATATTTAATTAAATACAAGGAATTGAACAATAGATTTTCTTGTTCTATTGTCAGTTTACTATCCAAGACCACCAACTGACTGACCACCCTGTATGCACATTCTGTACCTCAATAAATCTAAGTAATTAACCAAAGTGTCCACACAGAAGTAAGATCTGCGCTGGTTGTGTGTGGGGGCCCTCTTGGCTCAGTCCTGGACTCCAGAGTGGGAAACTTGTGAAACCCTGGGTCATGGACTTGATCCTGTGGACATTCTCTGCTTAAATTCTGGAGCTCCGTGGCGGGGCCCTGGTACTCCATTACAAGGTCTGATGATGCTGTGTATCAGGAAGGAATTAGGGCAAGGAGAGAAAGGAAGGTAGGTAGCTTCTGATTTTATTTCAACCACTTTTTGCACCACATCATTCACTTATTCAAACACTCAGCTTTAGGCAGTTGAAGCCTAGAGCACTGGAAATTAGGAGCTTTCAATTACAGACCTACCTCTGTCTACTGTGGCATTATCAAGGAAACAACCTATTTTCCTACTTGAGTCTCAGACCATGAAACAAATATAAGAAAGTAATTCTCTTTAGAGTTGGCATTTTGTAGGTTCCAAAAGTCCTACCCAATCCAGAAGAGAGAGTAGAGGTGGGTATAGGCAAGAACAATCCGTGATGTGGATAAAGGACACTCCAGCCAATTTGGAATATTTCCTTATTTCCCAGTGCTTCTCCTTTTAATAAAAAAGATACTTTTTTGTACATGAGACTGTTTCCATTCTAGCATCTGAAACCTACCTCTACCACAAAGTTTTCTGTTGAATTACACATCTATTTTTGAGAATCTGGTAATAGACTCTTTTGTTCATCTGGGTTCTAAAACTCATTGGAAAATCTTTGTATGAAAGTTGGTGATCTATTTCTCGTTCCTTAACATATGTAGAAATCTGACTTTATTTAATTCTGGAAATTTTTAAATTTTTATAAAAATGCCATTCTATGATAAATACCATTTAAAACCTAGGTATTATAACTACTTTGACATTTTGTTTGTTTTATTTGCGCACATGGAGAGAATTCTGCATATTTTTTCCCATGCTAACAAAATTTATTAATTTTCCACAAATTTATATTTTGCTTTGTGGATCCTGAATGTCCAGGGCTATCTTTTCTTTAACGCTTTTTTTTTTTTTGGCATTTCTTCTCAATTGTTTTACCCGTTTATTGTCTATTTTTCTACAAACCCCAGTCATTTTCTCTTGAAACCTCTTATCTATTTGAGTGGAGAGAAATATGTTAGAAAAAGGAAGGGGACAATGTGATACATGGGCTATGATGTACCAGTTACTGTGCTGTCTCCATGCACACATTGTTCCTAATCTCCACAGAAAACATGCAATATGTGTAGCATTGTCCCAACTTTACATATGAGCACATAAAAGGTAAGCTTTTCGTTGTTGTTGTTGAGTCCGAGTCTCACTCTGTCGCCCAGGCTGGAGTGCAGTGGCGGCGTGATCTTGGCTCACTGCAAGTTCCACCTGCCGGGTTCACTCCATTCTCCTGCCTCAGCCTCCCGAGTAGCTGGGACTACAGGCGCCCGCCACCATGCCCGGCTAATTTTTTTGTACTTTTAGTAGAGACGGGATTACACTGTGTTAGCCAGGATGGTCTCAATCTCCTGACCTCGTGATCCGCCCGCCTCAGCCTCCCAAAGTGCTGGGATTACAGACGTGAGCCACCGCGCCCGGTCGTAAGCAATCTTTTTATGGTCCTGTTTCCTGTATGGGATGGATTCAGGGATCAATTACATGTCGTCAACTCCATAAATCCTCAAATCTCTCAACGTATTTTCTCACTTAGAGCCACAGAAACACATATGATTCCTTCTGTGCTTGTGTGTTCAGGTGAGGTTCAGCCTACATTCTGAAGTTTCTTCCTCTGATGAATGAAACATTGAGTTCTTGAATATAGCTACATTATCATTAGGCTGTAAAAATCAGAATCAAATAGGTTTCCTTCCTTGAGAAAATAATGGAGGCAACAGTTACAAACAGCACTCTAGGTTTTAGATTTCAATCATGTTTTTCCTTTTCTATTCTTTTTTCTTTTCTTAGAGACAGGGTCTCACTCTGTCATCCAGACTATAGAGCAGTTGCTGGATCATAGCTACTGCAGCTTCAACCTCCTAGGCTCAAGTGATCCTCAACCTCGGCCTCCTGAGTAGCTCTGACTACAGGCAGACACCCGCACTTCAGGTTAGTTTTTAAATTGTTTGTGGAGATATGGTCTTCTTATGCTGTTCTGGCTGGTCTCAAACTCCTGGACTCAATCCTCCTGCTTCGACCTTCCAAGGCACTGGGATTACAGGCGTGAGCCACGGTTCCCAGCCTCGAAGCATTTTCATAGCAAAGAGTTAACAGAACATTTTCTTCTCTAGATTCAGTAGACACAAGATTCTTATATTTTATTCTTCCCATATCTGGCTGTGTATCCTGTTCGCAGACATTACATTGCCAAATTTGTTTTCCATTCATCTTTCCTAGCACAGTATAGAAAAACGAGTACTGTGGAGTAGAGTTTTCACATTCTTTCCTGAACCCTGCCAGTTCTAATGGTGCTCATGGACTTAGCCATTTCCCTTCACTGGAATCCATTCTTGTTTATAAACAACAGTAAGTGTTGTTTATAAAATTTCCAAGGAACAGAGCAGAATGTAAGGTTAGCATATCTTGTGTTTTTACCTCCCCTAAGCCCAAAGGATCATGAGTACTACATACAGAAATCTTTCCTCCTTACCCCTGTCACATTCTACTTGGATGCTGTGGAGAAATAAACCCAGTGTATCCCCTTCTGCTATACAAAATAATACTATTTGGCTTAAACTGATGTTTGTAAAATTTCATCCACAGATTTCAGTCACATTTTCAAATAAATCCATTATAAAACCATGTAATACAAGTTGACTGTTTGTTATTCACAATGTTAGGGCCAGAAGAATTTCAGGTTTTGGATATTTGTGGATTACAGAATATTTGCATAGACATAATAAGATATCTTGTGTATCAACCCAAGTGTAAACACAAAATTTATGTTTCATATACACCTTATACAGATAGGCTAAAGATAATTTTAGACAATATTTTAAATAACTTTATTCATGAAGCAAAGTTTGTGTACACATGCCATTTTATTACCCTTTGTGAGTGCTCTTGCTCGGGGGCATCTAGGTGGACACAGAAAGATATATTGCAACTGAAGGGGCTGGGAGAGTCTTTTGTTCACTGAGAATATGTTTTGACTGTAACTTCTCATATGAGGTCACGTGTGGGATATTTCACTTTTGGTGACATTTCACAGCTCAAAACATTTGAGATTTTGGAGTATTTTGGATTTTTAGATATTTTGATTAGTGGTGCTCAACCTGTATGTTATTTCATCTTTTTTTTCTCCAGGTAGGAATGGAAAATGCATTTTTGTTTTTACTTGTATTACACATTTTTTCCAACTCAAATTCATTATGCATATTGTTAGATGTCTTCAAATTTTGATGAAAAGTCTCAAGTTATATCAATTACTATTTTCAAAAATTGTTTGTAATAAGTAGATTAAATACCATGATAATCCACAGTTAAAAAAATAAACACAAATTCATGTGCTTGTATTCCAGTTGGGTTTTTTTTCCAAACGATGAGCATTAATGAAATACTATACCTTAAAACCTTTTTCTAAATATATTTGAGAATATTGTTTGAAAGTAAAAAATTGAAAAGGACTGAACATACCATAATAAATGATATTTGTGCTTAAGAAGGCTGTCTTTTTCAGAGATTATTTATAAAATAAAAATACACATTTCTAACCTTGTCTCAGTTAAGAGCTTGTTACTGATGTGTTACTTATGATGTTGAATGTTGTTAGTCTAACAGGATGCACTGGTAATAGGACCCTGTCAAGCTGAACTTTCCCGATTTAAATGCTACCTCACCATTCCTGTGCAGTATGTTTTTATTAGAATTCTAGCAGTATGTATTTTATATTGTGACCTAAATAACAAGCACACACAAAAATGATTTCACACTGTGTATGCCGATGTATTTTAAAGTCTATGAAAAATATTGTAGGTATCAGCAAGTAGAACACTGCTTCATACATAGAAAGGGACCAATTAATGCTAAGTAAATGTTATTAGTTACTTAAAGAACTTTGCATTATGTAAATACATCCAAATCAATTATTATTTGGATGGTAATATGATAGCAAACCTAGATGCAGATTTAAGAAGAATATTGAGCAAGAATGGGTTAGGAGGGTGTGAGGAGTAGGCCACAGAGAAAGTTAATACCTATAATTTGCTGAGTCAGAGTTGAAAGCACCTATAGGCTAAGTGGATACCTCCCATTCTGACCCATTTCAGCAAAATATTTGAATCTTCCATGTTTTTCATAATTCTGGGAGTTTAGAAAATGCTTTAGAGAAGTGAAAGAGCCACTATATTTTATATTCGTTTATTTATTGTGTTTGGTGATTTGAGAATTTCTCTAAGTCACCAGAGATAGAGCTTCAGAATATTAATCTCAGGATACAAATCTATTTTTCAATTTTATACCCGTACATAACCCATTCTCCAAAGGTGACCCCTCTGTTAAGTGATAGTAAATTATCTTCAATGTCATTTAAGTTCACCAGTTTCTTGTGAAATGTTTTTAACTTTAAAAAGTTTAAAAACACAAAAAGCCATTCTTTAAAACTAAACATGTATAAATCAAGTTCTTAAAAACCAATCCAGCCTGGGCGTGGTGGCTCAGTCCCAACACTCTGGGAAGCCGAGGTGGGTGGATCCCTTGAGGTCAGGAGTTCAAGACAAGTCTGATCAACATGGCAAAACCCTATATCTAATAAAAATACAAAAATTAGGCTGGCATAGTTGCACGGACCTGTAGTCCCAGCTACTCAGGAGGCTGTGGCAGGAGAATCACCCGAACCAGGGAGGCAGAGGATGCAGTGAACTTAGACAGTGCCACTGCGATTCAGCCTGGGCAACAGAGTGAGACTACATTTCAAAATAAATAAATAAATAAATAAATAAATAAATAAAGTCTTCTACTCTTTAAAAATCATGGAAAATCTAGTATTGTAGATAAAAGCAGAAAACAAAATAGTTCTTCATATATTTTAGGTTTTAATAAGGAGTCATTAAAAGATAATTATAAAGTCACTTTATGTGGACTTAAAAAGGTAACATCAGGCCGCTGTGGCAGCTCATGCCTGTAATCCCAGCACTTTGGGAGGCCAAGGCGGGTGGATTATCTGAGGTCAGGAGTTCGAGACCAGCCCTCTCTACTAAAAATACAAAAATTAGCTGGGCATGGTGGCAGGCACCTGTAATCCCAGCAGAAGATTTGCTTGAACCCCTGGGGTGGAGGTTGCAGTGAGCCGAGATCCTGCCACTTCACTCCCGTCTGGGAGTGACATTGTATAATGACATCAGACAACTGATTTAGTTATCTAACATTGGAATGTATTTGTAGAAGTTTTTTTAAAATTTTAATCGATAAAGCAATTATACAATTAAATAGAGCCAATCGAAAGGATTAGGTTTTGCCTTTGAAACTGCAGAATCCTAATCTTCTATTAAGGATGTATCCATGCATAGTGTAAATTTTTTAAAAAATACGTAAATAAAAGGAATGTAGTGAAGTGTTTTAAGAAAAGTTTCTAACTTTGGAAATTCTACACAATGTACATGTAACAAAGTTCAGTCTTCCACATTATTAAAAAAAATAAAAAACCTCAGCGTTGGCCATTAGGATGCCAAGACATATCCAGTGAATGCTCAATTATAAAGCATCTAGCCTGGCTCACTTTGAAAACTTTTCTTCTAAAATTGTCTTCCTGGGGCCTTTAATACTTGACTCTAATTTATAGTTCTAGAAACTATTGAGTTTAGAGAAAGTAAATTCCAATCCATCCTTTCTAAAAGAACTTAAGTAGGCTTAGGACTTTCTTCCTAAAATGTATGAACATTGTTGTTCAAGCGTGTCATCGCATCACATTGAGAGGTGGACACAGGAAAGGAGTTTGAGAAAAGCCTAGGCAACATTGCGAAAACTCGTCTCTCCAAAAAAATTAAAATTAGCGGAGCATGGTGGGATGAACCTGTAGTCCCTGGTACTGGGGAAGCTGAGGTGGGAAGATTGCTATAGCCAGGGGGGTTGACACTGCAGCTAGACAGGATCCAGCAACTGCACTCCAGCCTGGGTGACAAAGCCAGACCCTGTCTCAAAAAAAATATATATAAAATATCTCACTAATATTTGTAATGTTTATTATGTTGAAAACATTTTGGATATATTGGGTTATAATGTTTTATTAAAATTAATTTCAATGGTTTCTAATTGTTTCAGATATCATTAGAAAAATGCATTCCCTCCCCTCTCCGTTATAGTTTCCCTGAAAATACATGCACTAAAGAAAAACGAAGAAAGTATGTTTTATTAAATAATATTCAAAATACAAAACAAAAAAACTTTTGAAATGTATTTAAGACAATGCTTACAAAACAATGTATATCATTAAATGCATCTGTTATTAACAAAGAAAGGTCTGTCGCAAACAGCCAGAAAATTAAAGCAAATTCCCATTAAAAAACTAAAAAAAAATTAGAGAAATTGCAGAAAATTGATTAAAAAGCATGCAAAAGATAAATCAACAAATTCAAAAGTAGGCTCCTTAAATAGATAAATTAAATTAATAAATTCCCAATGAGATTCATTTAAACAATGGAGAGGGGGAGTTCAAATCAAGAATAAACAGGCAAACTCATGGTCATCCAGATATCAATAAGCCAGCATGAATATTTTAGGAACAATTTATACCTATACATCTGACAATTTTGATGACATGAGAAAATTTCTTGAAAAACACAGCTGACTAAAACAGACGGAGGAGAACATAGAAAAATGAAAGATATGATTTGGATTCTTAAAATTCCGTGTATTATTTAAAAAACAAAACTCACAAAGAAAACTCCAGTGATCTCTTTCAGCGAAATTTTCAAAGCATTTTAGAAAGAAATAACACACTTTTAGACAAATTCTTCTAGAGAACAAAGAAAAAGCAACACTTTCTAACTTATAACTTTGTTTTTCTTTCATTTTTTTCTTTCCTTTATTTAGACAAGTTCTCCCTCTGTCACTCAGACCAAAGTGCAGTGCATGATCATAGCTCATTGCAGCCTCAAACACCTAGGCTCAAGTGATCCTCCTGCCTGGTCCTCCTGATTAGCTGGAACTACATGTGCTTGCTTCCAGGCCTGGGTAAAAACATTTATTTTTAGAGACAGGTGTCACCCTATGTTGCCTGGGGAAACCTGGAATTCCTAGAGTCAAGTGACCCTTTTGCCCAGCTGTCCAACTAGCTGGAATTACAGACAGGAGTCACTGAACTCTATTCAAAATTAGTTTTCTGTATGTACTTTGTTAAAGATAATTATACACATAATTATTGTTTAAATAATTATTTATGACATTGCATCATATTTTGATATAAATATACATGCTGTACATCTTCTACATGTCCATACATATATACTGATGTAAAGTATCTAATTTAAAATTATTCACCATGGCGTAAAATCAAAAAAACACATTTTATTTTTGCATAAATTCACCTTTGAAAATAGTCATAAAATAGGGAAGACAACAAAAAAATTAGACAAGTAAATTCACCAACTGTTGTATATAGAGTCATAGTATTTAAAATACAACTAAGTGCCTAGGTGCACTTTTTTATGAGAGCTCCATAGATGGGTTAGTTATTTCATTTAATATTTTAGAGTTGTACATATTCAGATAAATAATGACTGGAGACTTATTTAACAATGATATATTTTAAAACTAGACTGACACTTCACTGGCTTCCCATAATTTCTAGATAGCAAACTCATCTTTTCCATGTTCTGATGCCCGTACCTGCCTCTGCAGCCTCATCTCCCATCAGACCACTCTCATTCTTGTCACTCTAGCTCCAGTGGCCTGGAGCTCAACTGTACCAGGCTTCCTCCATCCAGGAAGCTTTTGCGTCTGCTGCTGTCACTGCAAAGAAAGTTTCTCTCTATCTCTCTTTGCCAAGTTAATGTATTCCTATTCCTCAAATCTCAATGCTTTCATATCTTCATAAAAGCCTGGCATAAGCTGGCATTCAGCACCTCCCTCCTACTACTGACCCTGAAAACATGTACTGCTCATTTATTGAGCTTATAGTTCTAATTGTATATTTACTTGTGTGATTCTTTAATTATGATACATCTCATTCACTAGTCTGGATGTTCTAGCAGGACTGAAATTGTCTATTATAGTTTAATATAATTTATTTCTAATACCTAGTTTATTGTCATTAGTATATGCTTGTTGAAGAATAAATAAAAAATCTTTAATGGAAATATAGATGATACATTTCAGTTTAAAATAATAAAGCAATTGTTTTTAATTGTGAGGGCATTGTTTGTGAAACAAAACATTACTTAATGAAATAATTGTTTCAGTTGTAATGTCTGTGAACAACCTATGTCAGGTTAAGATTCTTGCATCTCACTCCAAAATCCTCTACCTTCTGTTGGGCTATAATCCCCTAGGCATGATTGTCTGTACTTTATAAATCTGATCACCCCATGTTACACCCTTCCCCAATGTTACACCCTTCTGTGTAACCTAATCTTCCATTTCCACTTCTTTCTCCAGACAGTAGCCAATCCCAGGAAGTGAGAGTGTTCTTAGGTGAGTCTAATCACTTAAAAAGCAGAGTTGTCCAGGGAAGACTTCTCCAGAGAAGTCAGACTGAATTCGTGGAGGCTGGGCTTTGGTGAGCTCAGTGTTGCTGCTGACCTGGATATCCACGAATCTTCTAGACTTGAGACAATACATCGCAGATTCTGGTGTGTATGACATTTGTAGTGAAGCCCTTCATGCTTAATTTTTCTGATAAAAATACTTTAAACTCACCGGCCAGGACATTTACATCTTGTCTAAGCAAACAAGTAGCTTACCCAGTTATTTGAAGTAACATCATTATTTAAAATATCTGTAATTAGAGCATTTATAATATACTGGTTTGTGTTATATCAAGTTATTTGACTGGGTTTTTTTTTTTTTTTGTGATAGGGTCTCACTCTGTCACCTAGGCTGGACTGAAATGGCACTATCATGGCTCACTGCATCTTGGACCTCCTGGGCTCAAGCAATCCTGCCGCCACAGTCTCCTGAGTAGCTGAGACTACAAGCATGTGCCGTCACGCCAGCATTATTTTTAAAAGAATTTTTGGTAGAGATAAGATGTCAATAAGATGCGCAGGCTGGTCTAGAACTGCTGACCTGAATCCATCCTCATACCTTGGCCTCCTCAATGCCAGGATTAGAGCCTAGAGGCTAGGCTATGCCTAGCCCCCATTTTGTATTATATTACCTTATGCATTATTTGGCATGTTATGTCTTAGCAGCTATATTTCCACCTTATTTGTGTAATTATGGAATCCAAAAAGAGCTTACAATTTTCAATATGTTACATATACGGAATAGTCTTTTTCCACTTCAATTTTATTTTGTAAATTGGCATATGTTAATTGTCTGTTCAGATCATTTGCCCATTTTTTAATTGGGTTGTTTGGGTTTTTTTTTCTTTTTAATTTGTTATTGAGTTATTTGATTTCCTTGTATAGTCAGGGTATCAATCTCCTGTCCAGTGAATAGTTGGTAAATATTTTTTCTCATTCTGTCAGTTGTCTTTTCACTCCATTGATTGTTTCCTTTGCTGTGCAGAAGCTTTGCAGTTTAATATAATTCCAGTTGTTGATTTTTGGTTTTGTGGACTAGGCTTTTGTGATTTTATTCATACAATTTTTTCTCTGATTAATGTTCTGGAGCATTTCTCCTATGTTTTCTTCCAGTAGATTTGTTCTTTCAGGTTTTACATTAAAGTTTTCAATCTATTTTGAGTTGATTTTGGCATAGGATGAGAGGTGAGGGTATAATTTTATTCCCTGCATGTAAATATCCCGTTTTGCCAGCAGTGTTGATTGAAAAGACTGTCCTTTCCCCGGTAAATACTGTTGCTACCTTTGTCAAAATTCAGTTGGCTGTAGAGAGGTGTAACAGTTTCTGGGTTCTCTGATCTGTTCCGCTGGTTTACTTGTCTATTTTGACACCAGTACCATGCTGCTTTGCTTACTGTAGCTTTGTAGTATACTACATGTCATCAGTGTAAGTGTTAAATGTGTAGGATTAATTGGAAAACCCTTGTTGTAAAGGTCATGTTTGTAGTCCTTTTCAAATCTTCAATGAGCAGACTGGATTTGAAAAGTGTTCAAATAGATCCCATCAACTGGTAAAGACTCCCAGGAAGTAGGGACTTTGATCACTGTGGAGAAACACAGGGAATAAAGATAAATTGGTGGTCATGCTTCCATTAACTACATCTCTGGATTCTTTAAAGAAAAAATTCGAGTGTTTACTTTCTTTTTTGGTTTAAGTAAAAATTGATTAATTGTTGCTGAGTACTTTCATAGCTTGCGTAGTCACCATTTCAAAATATGAAGATACTCTGATGGTCTGAACTCATTCTGAGCAAAAACATTGTCTTGAATAAGAAATAACAATTTTTCGTTGTATTTATGTAAAGGTTGAATTTTGGGATTAAAATTAGAAGCATAAGTTCAGCTGTTTATAGTTACAGGAGTTGAGTGTTGAAGCCCACAATGATTAAACTAAAGACACTTAGATTAAACTTAACCAAATTTTAATTGTCTTTAGAAAAGTACATCTGCTACTTGGGTGCCAGAGAGTGAGACTAAGTATCCCTGTATAAGTTCCACTCAAGGGGTCATGGAGGAAAAGAAAGAGAGAGAGAGAGAGATGGGTTTATATGGGTTTCTGGAACAATCAGCTAATAGAAGTAACTGTGAAGTTATCCTAATTGTTCCCCTCTACCCCAATATTAAGCTTGCCCAAATAACTTATAATTGAGAACATTGTTTGTTTTAAACTAAAATGATGCTTGTCTCATTTTTCCACTTGTGTTATAGTATAAACCTAGCTTGCCTGTATTTACCACATCTAGGTCTGTACTGGGCTTAAGTTAACGGGTAGATTGAACAGAGCTGAAGCAGACAAGAAGAACTAGCTACAGGCCCTTCCCCCTCCATGTGGTCAAAAAATAATTTTCTCACTTAAATTTTTCTGTTTTAAATTTCCAGAAACATGGATTCAGACACACTGCAAACCTTCCAGAGGGAGCTCTGTTGCTTTATCTGCAGGAACTACTTAACGGACACAGTCACCATTGACTGTGGGCATAGCTTTTGCAGGCCCTGCCTTTGTCTGCGCTGGGAGGAAGGCCAAGCTCCAAAGGGCTGTCCTGTGTGTGGGAAAATCCCCCAGAAGACTGACTTCAACACCAATATTGTTCTCAAGAAGTTGGCTTCTCTTGCAAGGCAGCGCAGACCTCACAACATCAACAGCTCAGAGAAGCAGATCTGTGTGCTACATGAAGAGGAAAAGGGGCTCTTCTGTGAGGCAGAGGAGAGACTCCTCTGTGGGCCCTGCTCTGAGTCACAAGAGCATGAGGCTTATGGCCACAGCCCAATAGGATGGGCTGCTGAGGAGTGCAGGGTAAGTGACACCTCCAATGCAACCGGGAATCCACATGATCCTAAATGAGAGAGAAAATGAGAGCTTATGATAATAAAGGTGGAGAGAATGGAGATGGTGAGGTTCTGAATTTTCAATATAAATCTCTAGATATAAATGTGTCCTAGGAACACGGTTTGTTTTTGCTGCAAGCTTGACTTCCCCAGAGCCAGGATATATGAAATCCAATTTCTTAAAAAATTGATTAGCTGTTGGGTCTCCTCAAACTCTCTATTATATGTTTCTGTTACCTCTTATATTCCAAATATTAAAATCAAATTAGGTTAACTTGTAAAAACTCTGACCACTTCAGGGGGACTCAAATTTACCATTCTCTCAACAACAGGCTTTTCTCATAAAAAGGGAATAACATATCCAGTAACGTCGTATCTGCTACTAAAGGTCATGTCTATTTTGCAGGAGAAACTTCTGAAGAAAATGGATCATTTATGGAGGAGCACTCAAGAAATGCAAAACAATCTAAATCAGGAAATTAGCAAAATCCATTCATTAACGGTAGGGATAAAAAGGTTTTATATTTTTAATGTAGATTGGCACAATGCTAACTTAGACTTCTTAGCTGAATTCTGCTTACCAGTTAAAAAATAGTAGTGTCCTCTTCCCAGAAAAAAACAAAACAGTGGTTTCAAATGATATATCAGCAATTATCATTATACAGGCCAACAGGAGCTGGTGCAAAAAATACTAGTATGTACATGTATATGAAATAAACAGGGCATGATAGTTATTCCTGATGTAACCTTGAGGGTTTAGATAAAACTTCCAAGGCACTGAGAATGGGATAGCATTGAACTGTTTAAAGCGTTGTATTCACATCAAGTAGTTTAAAGTTTTGCTGTGAAGGTGAGGAGAGAAATAGAGAAATTAGTGGGGAAAACAAAACCTGAAGTAATTTCTTTAAAAACTCAGTGGTAGAGCGTATACTGAAATATTTAAAAATGTTTAGAAGAATCAGGCAAAGGAACAAGAGAAAATTAAGAAGAACCAGGTAAAAAAGACAATAATTAATGAAGTAAGAATCCTGTAGAAGCATCACAGGCAGGGATCTTGAGTCCTTTTGAGGTACTGATTTATACAGGAAGGGAGACTAGGAGGAACATGAAGAAAGGATGGGTAGAGGAGACTAGCAAATCTTCAAGAACCTTTTCAAGTATGAGACACAGAGCTTAGGAGTTTACTGCTTGCATATCCTAGGAGAATAACAGTTGAAGTGTTAAGTGTTTTGTTGAGAGTGAGGAGATGCAATTCTTTTAACTGAGTATCTCTGCAGGACTATGTGGCCCCCAGGAAAGGGATGATCAGATAACAATATCAGAAGTTGCGCCAATTTCTCCTGGAGGAGGAGCAACGCCATCTGGAGACAATGGACAGAGAAGCAGAAGAGATTGTTCGACAACTCCAAGACGGTGAAGTAAGAATAACCCAACATATAAAAAAGACGAAAGGCATGTACAGAGAGCTGTGGGAGATGCGCCACATGCCGGATGTGAAGCTGCTCCAGATGAGGAGGGAGGGTCCATCATCCAGAGTCAGGAAGACTTTGTTGGGCAATGCTGCCAGGACATTCATATGCTACCTGCAAATGTAACTACTCTTAGAAAGTGACACATGCTCCTTGACTCTGTCATTACGTTTGTCCAGTGACTTATTTTTGCATATTCTGGTAATCTTTGGGAGATTTTTGCCATTTTGGTAGATCACATAGGACAAAATCCTCTTCAGTATAATCAGAAGTACTAGCCACAAAGAAATGTTATCCAAAATCAACCAAATGCTAGGCCAGGAGAATATTAGCTTTGTTAATAAAACTCAATTTAAGTTCCCTAGTACGTCCTCACTTCTTGGGATTAAGCCTGGGAGATGAGTGACACTGAGAACTAGATAGCTGTGTACATCACTCCACAGTCTTATTCTCAGCTCCTTCATTCCTAATGCCCACTGAGGAAGACCACCATGGTTCAGCTGAGGTTCTGTTATTAACACAGCCTTGGATGGTGCCTTAGAGATGTATCAATAAACCTACCTTGTTAACCCAGAAAAACAACAAAGAATACTAGGGAAAGTAGGACAGAATTCTCATGATTAAGTACTTGTGTTTTTCTTTGCAGGACTTGGAAAACATACTGGAATGGTGAGTTACACTAATGGACTTTGATTGCTGAGAAAGTCATTCCCTTATTGATAAAGTCAATGTACCCTTGAAAGTCAATGTACCATTGAAAAAGGTGGGGATTAGGTTCACTAACCACCTTCATGCAATTCCACATAGTTGAAAACCCAAGTATAACTTCTGACTTTTCCAAAACCAAACTACGAATGACCTCTTATTGACTGGAAGCCTGTTGATACCATAAACAGTCAATTAACATATATTGTATGTTATACGTATTATATGCTGTATCCTAACAATAAAGTAAGCTGGAGAAAAAATATAATTGAGAAAATTGTAAGGAAGAGAAAATAAATTTATTACTCATTAAGAAGTTGATCACCATAAGGGTCTTCATCTTCATTGTCTTCACATTGAGTAGGCTGAAGAGGAGGAGGAAGAGAAGACAGTGTCTCAGCAGTGGCAGAGGCAGAAATAAAAGAAATGGAGTGGGAGGCAGGAGAGGCAGGCAAGCTAGGTGAAACTTTCATTGAAAAAAATCCACTTATAAGTGGACCCCCAAATTTCAAACCCTTGTCGCTTAAGGGTCAACTACATGTTTTGAGGTATTTAGCATTAATCTGTGGCTATGTTCCATTTTGGTTTCAAAGGAGAACCTGAGAACTTAAGCTTCTTTGTCTCAGAAGTTTCCTTCTTATCTGGCTGAATGAATATGTATCGAAAAACAGTGTGCCATTCTGGATTTTCTTCTACCCACCCACCCCATCTTCTCCAGCCCTGCCCCAGCAAATCTTTTTTTTTTTTTTCTATTTTTTTTTATTATACTTTAAGTTTTAGGGCACATGTGCACATTGTGCAGGTTAGTTACATATGTATACATGTGCCATGCTGGTGCACTGCACCCACTAACTCGTCATCTAGCATTAGGTATATCTCCCAATGCTATCCCTCCCCCCTCCCCCCACCCCACCACAGTCCCCAGAGTGTGATATTCCCCTTCCTGTGTCCATGTGATCTCATTGTTCAATTCCCACCTATGAGTGAGAATATGCGGTGTTTGGTTTTTGGAGGCATCACACTACCTGACTTCAAACTATACTACAAGGCTACAGTAACCAAAGCAGCATGGTACTGGTACCAAAACAGAGATATAGATCAATGGAACAGAACAGAGCCCTCAGAAATATCGCCGCATGTCTACAACTATCTGATCTTTGACAAACCTGAGAAAAACAAGCAATGGGGAAAGGATTCCCTGTTTAATAAATGGTGCTGGGAAAACTGGCTAGCCATATGTAGAAAGCTGAAACTGGATCCCTTCCTTACATCTTATACAAAAATCAATTCAAGATGGACTAAAGACTTAAACGTTAGACCTAAAACCATAAAAACCCTAGAAGAAAACCTAGGCATTACCATTCAGGACATAGGCATGGGCAAGGACTTCATGTCTAAACCACCAAAAGCAATGGCAACAAAAGCCAAAATTGACAAATGGGATCTAATTAAACTAAAGAGCTTCTGCACAGCAAAAGAAACTACCATCAGAGTGAACAGGCAACCTACAAAATGGGAGAAAATTTTTGCAACCTACTCATCTGACAAAGGGCTAATATCCAGAATCTACAATGAACTCAAACAAATTTACAAGAAAAAAACAAACAACCCCATCAAAAAGTGGGCAAAGGACATGAACAGACACTTCTCAAAAGAAGACATTTATGCAGCCAAAAAACACATGAAAAAATGCTCATCATCACTGGCCATCAGAGAAATGCAAATCAAAACCACAATGAGATACCATCTCACACCAGTTGGAATGGCAATCATTAAAAAGTCAGGAAACAACAGGTGCTGGAGAGGATGTGGAGAAACAGGAACACTTTTACACTGTTGGTAGGACTGTAAACTAGTTCAACCCAGCAAATCTTAAGAAGATTACTCTGAGTTATCACAAAGGAGTCTCCTATTCTGGAGAGGCAGAGGCGAGAGGTGAAAAAGAGAGGGAAATGCCCTAAGGACAGGAAAGGGAGGGAGGATTTGTTCCCAGGGATATCAATAGCCAGGCCCTGCTCCATCTCTGCACTGCCCTGTTGTAGGTAGAATCTAAGAGGGGAATGGCTGCCTCAGGATCCTCAGCGCCAGAGCTGACAGGCTGAAAATAGACTCCTTTGGTTTGAACAAAAGTTCAAAACCTTTAGTGTCAGTGGGCATTCCCTGTAAGACCCTGACTGCATCACTGGTGACAACTACCGACTGAGGTCCCAAAGGCTTTGGCTGAGTTTTCTTCTCTCAGCAAGAATCCCAGGATATCTGTATACTTTGAAGAGGCCGGAGGGGGAGAGGGAGGAAATGACACTCAGTAATTTTAAATTAGGATCATGTATGAGAGAATAGAGAAATTGGACTTTAACATGTTAAATTTAGATAAAAGTAACATTGCTATATCCTCAATACAGTTGAATAAAATGTATACTGAATTTAACAAAAAAGGGAGATTTCTCCAGAAATATCTTGGATGAAAATCTGAAACATTTGTATGACTGTGTGATTATCCCTGGGCCTAAAAGTGTAACTGAGGTTGTTCTTTGCAGGACAGATTTGGTGCAAATGGAAAAGCCCCAGCCAGTGAACCCAGAACTCACTTCCTGGCACATCACCGGAGTGCTAGATATGCTCAACAAATTCAGAGGTAAGAGCCAGCTGCTTGGCAGTACAGCCTCAACTTCTGTTTAGTGGATTCCTTGGTTGAGCCGTTTCCCATTTTAGTTTTAATTTCTGTGAATTTATCATATATTGTAGAAATAATATTTATCATAAAAATTAGAAAGCGTTGACCAACCAAATAACTAAAACTTCCATAAACAGAACAACTTTACTGCTGTAAGATACATTTCACAACAACTGGAAGCTGAGGGTTCTGTGAAAATGGCCCAAACATGTAAGGCAGCCATTAGACAACAGAGGGCTAAAACCGGGATTAGACTGAATGAAGCAGTGGCTGACCAGGTCACGTAAAAGCAGAACATGATCATTATTTTCAGAAACTTCTAAACTGCACATGTATGGAAGTCCATCAAATTCTGATGTTTAAACATGGAGGAGGTGAGGCCGGGCACAGTGGCTCATGCCTGTAATCCTCCAAGGCTGAGGCGGGCATATCACCTGAGGTCAACGGCTGGAAACCAGCCTGGCCAACATGGCAAAACCCCATCTATACTAAAAATACAAAAATGATCTGGGCATGGTGGCACATGCCTGTAATCCCAGCTACTCGGGAGGCTGAGGAAGCAGAATCGCTTGAACCCAGGAGGCTGCAGTGAGCCGAGATCGCACCACTGCACTCCAGCCTGGGCAGCAGAGTGAGACTCTGTCTCAAAACAAAACAAAACAAAAGTAACAGGCACATTTTATATCCCACTAGACAAGAGCATCATAGCAGAGTGAAGTCTATTTGTTAATTATATTGAATACAAACAATGCAAGTGGCATTTTCTACTAAATAAATAAAGAATGTTACATATCTCTTGAAACGAATCGTGCAAAGCCAGACATTAAATCATTGATTCACACAATTAATGATATGTTTGTTTATTTGTTTTTCTGTGTGATTTTAAGGATTCTCCTGTGCTGTAGAAGTCATAATAACCCTTGATCTTCGTAGATGACAGTCTCCAAAGTCTTTTTGCTCCATGTATTCTGTCTGTCACTTACAGGAGGTACAAATAAAGCCAGTACCTGGGCAGATAACATCTGACCCCCACGTAACTCCTTGATCTGATTTTTGTTCTTCTTGCAGTGGATGATCCTCTGAGTAAGGAAAAGACGAGTCACTATATGAGCCTTTCTGAGGATGTGAGAAATGTGGTATTTGGAGATGACCATGATGGTGCACCCGGGGAGTCCCAGAGAGCAGAGAACTTTGCAGCATGGGGAGCTCAGGCCTTCTCCTCTGGCAGGCATTACTGGGAAGTGGATGTAACCCAGTCCTCCAGCTGGATTCTAGGAGTCTGTAAAGATTCCAGGACAGCAAACACAAATCATGTTCCTGCTTTTGAGGAAGCATTTTTTCAATTTTCTTCAAAGAGAAACAGCCTTTATAGCCTCTCCAACATCTTTCTTCCCTTAACTCACTATGTGCAAAGACCTTTGGGTCGGGTTGGGATGTTTCTGGATTATGACAACACAGTTGTGAGCTTTTATGATGTTTCAAAAGGTTCCCTCATATACAGCTTTTTCCCTTCCTCTTTGTCTTCCCTTTTGACACCTTTCTTTTGTTTTGGTTCCCCATGAAAGTCAGGTTTCATTATGATTTCCTAGTGAGCTCTCTTGCCTGAAAAATCTTCTAATCTCGAGACCTTCTCATGTGAGACAATAGGACAATGTGTGAGCATCTTTGAGCTCACTGTAACTTGAGGAAACAAAATTATTATCTGGGTATGAAATGGGATAACCACATTGACATTATACATCTGTTTCCTAAATTTTACTTTAATAAAGAGTTGTGAAAAACCATAACTGTCTGATTCCTGGACATTTTATATACCCCAAAATGAAACCCAAAACTCTTTATCATTACTCTCTATTCATTGCGCCTTCCCCACCCACTCGACTCACAATCCCTTTTGTACTTTAGATCTTTGTGGATTTGTGTATTGTAGACACTTTATGCAAAGCAAATAATACAAAATATGGTCTGGATCATCAGTTACTAAAAATTGCAGATTTTTGTAAATGTGCAAAATATATTAGTTATAAGAGTAAACTGTACTGTCTTACTGACATATATGCTTAATTATAGTTCTTCGTTTCAATGGCCCTTGCATGCTTTCCAAAGTAGCATCATAAAATGTAAACTTAGACTGGAAAAGCTTTGAAGAAGTTTGTTTTGATGCAAATAATTTTTAGCTGAACAAATTCTTCTTCTTTTTTTTTTTTTGCTTCTAGCATAGATTATTTATTTATTTATTTTATTTTATTTTTTTGAGACGGTGACTCCCTCTATCCCCCAGGCTGGAAATACAGATGCCTGACATGGGCTCACTGCAACCTCCGCCTCCCGGGTTCAAGCGATTCTCAGCCTCCTGAGTTGCTGGGATTACAGCAACCCCTGGCTAATTTTTGTATTTTTAATCGAGACCACAGGATTTCACCATGTTGGCCAGGCTGGTCCCAAACTCCTGATCTCAAGTGATATGCCCGCCTCGGCCTCCCAAAGTGCTGGCATGACAAATGTGAGCCACCAAACGCGGCTGATTCTTATCTTCAATATTCTCATAAATGCTGGATTCAGAAAAACCACTGGTTTATCAAAGTCATTTTATTATCATCTATGTTTTCTTCAATGTTAACTTCAAATTGGGAGTCTTGGTAATAAAAGATCAGTAATTGTGCATTGTCTTTCATGATAAATTTGGTCCATCCTGACTATGTGCCATTCTTTGCAAAGGATAAACAGCTTGTGAGTCAGATCTGGAGTTAATGAAACCTTCAGATTCCGTAAGCAAATAAGTAGAGACGCTGTGTTTAAATTGTCTGAAGCCATCCTTGCCTCTGGGATATTTCCCTCTTATTGGGAAGCTAACTCATATGGCTCTAGAAATAGTGTACTCCTAAGTGTTGTTAAGAGTCTGCAGGCAGGTAAATCTTTAATGCTTTCAACGAATTTCCCTTTTCTTAAAAAGTCTGTGAAAACCATCCTTTAAAACTTCTTGCATCAACGTAATTTTAGAAAAAAAGATGGAACCAAAGCCAGAGGTGGTGGTAAAGGCTACAGCCAAATTGAAGGGTCACAGCAGCATAGGAGACAGGAGGCTCAGAAGAAAGCCAGGCAGAAAACATAAAAACCTCTGGAGACTAGGCATGAGCCTTGTGCTTCTCTTGAAGCCCGACGCCAGCGGTGATTCCAGCACATCTGTGGTCCTTCAGTCTTGCAGTCTCCAGATCCCTCAGTCCCCTATTACAAAAGTTTCGGAATCTGTTTTCATTTGGATAGAAAAGAGGGGTCAGAAAATTAAGAACTTTACCAGGTTTGGACAGAGCAAGCTGGGATAGAGTGGTAGGTGTTGAAATTAGCTGTGGATACAGAAACTTGTACTTGGAGAATAGTGGTATTTGTTGTGAATTTCCAAAAGACAATATTGAACCAAGGTCATACATCCCAGGTTAAAAGTTTGTAAATAGACTATTTTACAGGACTCTCCCTGAAAAGTGAAACTTTGAAGAATGACCTGTTGGTGGTATTAGGAAAGAAATAGAGGCCATAGTGAGGGAAGGAAGGAGGGATGAAGGGAGCAGAGAATGTGAACTGGCATGCCAGACAGATTAAAAAATAATGAAAACAAAAGCAAAAATTACAGATTCCATACATTTCTCAAAGGAAGACATTTATGCAGCCATCAAACATATGAAAAAAAGGTCATAATCATTGATCAGTAGATGCAAATCAAAGCCACAATGAGATACCATCTCATGCCAGTTAGGATGGCAATCATGAAAAAGTCAGGAAACAATTGTGGCAATTCCTCAAGGATCTAGAACCAGAAATACCATTTGACCCAGCAATCCCACTACTGGGTATATACTCAAAGGACAATAAATCATTCTACTATAAAGACACATGCACACTTAGGTTTATTGCAGCACTGTTCACCATAGCAAAGACTTGGAACCAACCAAAATGTCCATCAATGATAGGCTGGATAAGGAAAATGTGGCACATATACACCATGGAATACTATGCAGCCATGAAAAAGGATGAGTTTGGCTGGGTGCCAGGCTCACGCCTGTAATCCCAGCACTTTGGGAGGCCGAGGCAGGTGGATCACGAGGTCAGGAAATGGAAACCATCCTGGCTAACACGGTGAAACCCTGTCTCTACTAAAAATACAAAAAAATAAAAAATTAGCTGGGCATGGTGGCTGTCACCTGTAGTCCCAGCTACTTGGGAGGCTGAGGCAGGAGAATGTCGTGAACCCGGGGGCGGGGTTTTCAGTGAGCCAAGATTGCACCACTGCACTCTAGCCTGGGCGACAGAGTCAGACTCCTTCAAAAAAAAAAAAAAAAAAAAAAGGATGAGTTCATGTCCTTTGCAGAGACATGGATGAAGCTTGAAACCATCATTCTCAGCAAACTAACACAAGAACAGGAAAACAAACATCGCATGTTCTCACTCATAAGTGGGGGTTGAACAACGAGAACACATGGTCACAGGGAGGGGAACATCACACACCAGGGCCTATCTGGGGGTTGGGGGATAGGGGAGGAATAGCGTTAGGTGAAATACCTAATGTAGATGACAGGTTGATGGGTGCAGCAAACCACCAAGGCACATGTATACCTATGCAACAAACCTGCACTTTCTGCACATGTATCCCAGAACTTAAAGTATAATTAAAAAAAAAAAAAAGTAAAACACAAGCAAAGAAGCAAACAAAAACCCTACAGATTCCAAGACAAATTGGCTTAGGTATTTGATATGTAGGGGGGAAAATGCAGGGGAAAATTATCGTAAAGCGACATTAACTTTGGAGTTTGAAGAAATTGGTGGGTCTTGCTTTCAATATGTCAAGGATGTGACTTCTGAAGGTGTGAATAACAACATCCCTCAATAAATCCGTGTGCTAATTAATAACAGACACTCCCACATTTTTATCATTAAGATCCCACCTAATCCTAATTCAGATACTCATTCTAATTAATGCAATCATCTCAGAATTTCAAAGATATTTGTTGGCCAGTTAGTGACTATTAGTTATCCTTAGAAAGAAACTATTTGAGAGGAACATTTAGAGGTACTTATCAATTTTTAAGTGTACATATATTTTAAACCTATAATATCATTAGTATGGAAATTTCCATAAAAATGCACAAGGATATATATATATTACGTATATTGTGGCAATATTTTCAATATAACAAGGGAGAGAATATAGTTCAACAAAACACTGCGTAATCTATTGTACTCTCTATAAATATGAACAACATCTGCATATACTCATAACCAGCCACTTGCTTAACTAAAAAAAAGTGATCTCATGGAATTAAAAAGTAAAACAGAGGATACTAGTGGCTAGGAACGGTAGAAGGCAGAGGGTATAGGGAGAGGTACAAAATTAAATATAATTAAATATAATGAATACTAAAAGAGAAAATAAATACAATTTAAAAATACAAAATTATAGGTAGATGGGAGGTATAAGTTGTAACGGTCTATAGCATTGCAAGATGATTATAATTAACAGTAATATATACTTTCAAATAGCTAGAATGAGGATATTGCAGGTTCCCTAAAAAAAAAGAAATGGTAAATGTTTGAGACAATGTGCTAAATACTCTGATCTGATTACTATGCATCATATGTATCAAAACATCACTATCTACCCTACAAATATGTAAAATTATGTGTCTATTAAAAATAAAATTTTAAGTACTGATTCCTTGATATCCTCTGTACAGTGATAGCTTATTTTTCTAATATTCTTTTAATGGGTAATCAAACACAAAAAATGGTTTGACCTGCAAGATAACATAAGAATAAATGTAAAAATATATGAGTCAGGTTCAGAGTTGGAAATTTGTGTCCACAATGTCATTTTAAAATTAGCAATACTACATAGTTGATAATTGAAAGATATAATTAATCATGGAATAATTATCAGATGCATTTTCTCTCCAGGAATGTCTCTATAACAAATCAATTAGAAGGAATCAAATCAATCGGTTCTGTATTTATAAAATGGTACGTGACCTGATGCATTCATCTCTAGTGTAAGGAAAGAATATTTTTTAAATCTCATGGCACAAGACCCCCTCTATTTCAGAAAATATTTTTGAAGGCATTGCCAAAATGTGTGTTTTGTATAATGTTATTATATAAAATACAAAAACTATGCATTCAATAATCCTGCCCCTCAGTAACATAAATGTAAATTATTCTATTTTAAATGGTCCAAGGAATGAACAGATTATTTATTCTATTTATTCTATTAAAGAGGAAGTAAAGAGAACCATTAAACGTTGGAGAAAATGCTTAAATTGATTAGTATTTCAGAAGATGGAAAATCAAAGAGTACATTACCGTAAATATGCATTAGATTGTCAAAAGTTAGTTATTTAATTGCATCCCATAGTAACCAATTCAAGTGACCTTTTCCAGCAAAACAGTGACAATATAAAAGATCCGGGTTTCAGTGACTTCCTCCAGATAACCTCCCTCAGAAATGTCTTGGATATTTCTATATTAAGACAGAAAACTTATATTGTTATACTTACTTATTTGTATATCTGCATAATCTACTTGCAGTGACACAGGATATTAATATTATTTATCTTTGATATTGTGCAATGGAAGAAGTGTTGCACATAGACACAAATAGAAACAAACTTTATTCTTTACACTTACTAGTAGGAAGAGGATAAAGGTTCACAGAACTTTATGGGCAGTTTGGATGCTATGAATGGTAATCAAAGACTTAGAAACTAAGGCTTAGTTTTAAAAAGTGTTGCGTGAATTAAAAATCTTACATATTTATCTATGCAATTACAATTTCTGGTGCTCTTCAGTGTGTGTGTGTGTGTGTGTGTGTGTGCTTGTGTGTTCGTGTGTATGTATTGCAATGTGAGTCTGATTTTTTTCAGCTTTTTTGCGTCTGAATAAGGACTTTATTTTTCTTTGAATAAATGTATTGTTTTGGAAAGATTTTCCTTCGGTATAGAACTCAGATTGACAATATTTTTCTTTATTGTTACTTCAAGGATGTTTTCCATTCCTAGTCACTTGCACTATACCTGACAAAAAATTAATTGACATTTTTTTCTTTTTTTCTGAACATTATGTCTGTTTTCCTTTACCTCCCACCCTCCCTCCCTCGGTCCCTTTCTTCCTTTTTCCTTCCTTTATTTTATTCTTTCATTTTTTGTCACTGATTTTAAGCAATTATTAGAGTGGGGCATAAGTAATTGTGGTTTTTACCGTTGAAAGTAAAGGCAGGCCATGCACGGTGGCTCACGCCTCTAATTCAAGCACTTCGGGAGGCTGAAGCAGGTGGACTACCTAAGGTCAGGAGTTCGAGACCAGATTGGCTGATACCGCAAAAACCCATCTCTACTAAAAATACAAAAATTAGCCGGGCATGGTGGTGGGTGCCTGCAGTCCCAGCTACTTGGGAGGCTGTGGCAGGAAAAATCGCTTGAACCCAGGAGGTGAAGGTTGCGGTGAGTGGAGATCACGCCACTGCACACCAGCCTGGGCGAGAGAGTGAGACTCTGTCTCAAAAAAAAAAGAAAAAAAAGAAAAAAAAAAGTAATGGCAAAACCGCAATTACTTTTTGCACCAACCTAATAGATTATGATGAATATTGCTATAGCTCTAGTTTAACTTTTTTCCCCTTCCTTTTCTTCACACTTTGTAATCTAATACGATGCAAATCTAATCAGCCTGTAATCCCTGTCAATGTTGTTCTCATTTAAGAAGTTGTAGATTGTATGTCTCTTACACAAATTTCTCTTTTTACATCTACCATATCTCTACATACTTTATTTGAATATAAAAAATATAGTTATTTCAAATGTTGTAATGTCCTGATCTGCTAATTCTAGCATCTCTGTCAATCCTGTTTTAATTTGTATTGATTATTTTTTTCTCTTTATGGGCATTTTTTTGTACTTCTTTACTCTGTTGGTAATTTTTTACTGTATTACAGACATAGTGAATTTTTTTACTGCAAATGTATTTTTAAAAATATTTTTGAGTGCTATTTGTGAGCACTGTTGAGTTTTTTGGAAATAATTTGATCCTTTTGGATCTCTCTTTGAGAGTTTGTTAGCCTAGTCTGGAACAAGGTTGAAAAAGGATCTATCTGGACACATTTATTTCCTACTGCTGTGCCAAGTATTTTCTGCCTACTCTACCCATCATCCTAGAGAATAGTTATAAATAATTTTGGGTAATGTGTATTATTAATAAGCACACATTTATGCACTTTACTGAGGATACTATGCTGCTAAAAACTGATAAAAGAAATCTTGTTAATGTTTTTGAAATCATTTGCCACAGGAGAGATTAGTTGCGTTTTAGAATCTAAGCTCGTTTTTAAAAAGCACAGTGGTAAAAAATTAACAGCACCTTAATAGGGTCTACCTGGAATATATACACTCATATTGTGGAAAGCTTAGAAAGGCATTTCTTCCAAAAACTCTTCATGGCTAGAGCTGTTTCTAGGTAAGAAACACTTCAGAATAGGAAGGCATCCAGATTTCATTATTCAGTTTTGGTAGAGTTGGGAAGTGAGTTTTTCATTTAAAATTACTCTTTATTATTTTCCCACGTTTTTGCCTTTTTTGTTTGAATACTATTTACAAAATTTTGTAAACTAAATATTAAAATGAGGAAATAAGCAATAATCAAAGTAGATGACTTGGGAAGAGTCAACGGCCTAGAAAAATGTGCATGTCAAAACATGGCTTCACTTAATTACCAGTATTCTTTCCACACAGCTCATCCTTTTGACTGTTAAACTTTTGGTAATAACTTTTTTGCAGACATCTTCTCATACTTGTAAACCACTACCAGGAAATAAATAGAGGCCCACATACAAATGTCCAAATGTTTAAAATGTATAACTGTAGCTAACAATCTGTCAATAAATATTTTGCATCCTTTTTCTTTAAAAAACAGTATATGACTTCCTCATAACACAGAAGGCTGTGCTGGAGTTTAGAACTGCCAGATTGTTGTAGGACCAACAGGTTGTACAGTAACAGCCTACTGTGCAGTAACATGCCAACCACACTAAGACAGGAGATTTGCAGCAGATAATAACTTTAATGATCACAGTGTTCTGAGTGAGAACATTGGAGGAGACCCTCAAATCCATCTTTCCAAGGAGTTCTGGGCTGGAATTTTTAAGGGGATTGTGGAAGGTGAGGGGCTGGAAAATTCTGCTTGATTGGTCGCTGCAAGGGGGTATGAAATTATCAGGATGTGGACACTGCATTATTTGGTGAGTCAGTTGCTTCTGGGGACTGTCAGCACCACAGAGTCTGTAGTTTAATTGGGATGCAGGATAGAACAGTCGCAGAGAACTATAAACTGGGGTCTACCTGATTCTAGGAAATAGGCAATAAATGACTAGGAGAAAGCAGTTCAGAGATCTAGCTCACCTAATAATTTATTCTAAAAATGTTGCAAGCTTGGTTTATTTTTATTTCCCCCAATCTCTTCTTCCCTGATTAATTTTATGGCGTTTAAAAGGATGGTTTCAAGACCTCAGCATGGAGCAATATTGGCTCATCTGCTCTGGAAAAACTGGGAAGAAAAAGGTAAGAAGCTCCTCGTTCAGACAGGGAATTTGGGATTTAGAATTCCAAGAGGAACTCTAGGAGCCAGAAAACCTCACAGCCTTCTCCTCCAGCAGGGTTAGATTGGGCAATTTTGGAAGGGCCATTAGGAAGTGCTCTATTGTGTTGGTCCCAGAGCAAGGGCCACTCTGTCTACCTTCACTCCTTCTTTCTGAAGCTAAGAGTTTGCTCTGTCCAGTGAGCAGTAAAAGCTTGTCCTTGCAACTTCTACTCTCTAACATTCCTTCTTCCAGATTTTACTTGGCTTCTTCACCTGCTTTTGGATGGCTCTATCTACTGGTGTTGAAGAATTAGGAGATTTCTGCGACTTGAGGACTCCAAAAGATTATTTATCCCTCTGCCTCCACTATGCTTATGCATCCAGGTACATGATCACTTGGATATTACAGAGATTGTTTGTTTTTAGTCTCTGCCTTCTGTCTTATCTCTGAATGGATTAATTCTGGAAAACTCCCAGATTTCAATGAAGTCCAGCAAACAAATAGATACGTTTTGGTGGAATCATCCAGATTACCTATGTACAAAGCGAGGCATCCTAGAAGCTCAGGCTCCTTCTCTTTCTTCTCTCTTCTTCTTTACCTTAACTAGTTTGCTACTTTTTATTTTCTTTTTTTGTAAGAGAAAGGTAAATATTTTTGAGAGCTGTCCCTTTCAATTTAGCAAAATGGACCAAAAAATAATATGATAGAACCATTCATCTAAAGACAATGTCTTGGTACTATTTAGTTGCAGACTTTTTATTCTACGTGGTTTATGCATTTATTTTAATAATATAGTTGCACCTATACATAACAACATCAGTATTTTTCCATATTGTCAGAAACTCATTATTATAATTCTTAACAGTTACTAATGTGCAGATATCATTCCTTGTTTTTGCCAAATTATGGTTTAGTTATTTACTTCTGTTTAATGGACATTTAATATATCTGATTTCTATGTGTTCTCTTTTTCCTTTTAAATTGTGTAGCTGCAAAGCCCCAGTGAAAGCTTTGAAGGTAAATCTCCTTATGAAAACTTAACTAAAAAAAAGTCCTTCCCCGGAGTTCACTGGCATGTCTAGGTAAAGAATCAAATACAATTCCCCACTGAATTCAATGTGGGATTGTTTTGAAAATAAAAGAGCATCGTCTTTCAACCATTATGTTAAAGATTAACTTTCAAAATGCTCTAAAAGCTGATAAAGGAAAAGCATTACTTGGGTTCATAAATAAAATACTACTGTGTGTCTCAAAATTAAATCTGCAAGACATCAAAACATGATGTCTCTTTAGAATATGTAATCTATACATATGATACAATTCAACAGATTATAAGGTTGATTATCACTTATATAAAATGCTTGAGACTGGAAAAGTTTTGGATTTTTGATTTTTTCAAATTTTGGAATATTTGCAGTATACTTATTGGTTTAACATCCCTAGTACATATCCTAATACATATCCCAAAATATCCCGTCTTTTAGGATATGCTAGAATTATTTGCTTAAATTAATGCTCCAATTAACATTTTCTTTTAATGTCACGTTGCTGCTCAAAAACTTTTAGATTTTGACCCTTTTGTAAAAAATTTCTTAATTTTTTATTTTTGTGGGCACATAGTAGGTGTATACATTTGTGGGGTGCATGAGATGTTTTAATACACGTTTTGGATTTTTAAATGACGAATGCTCAACTTGTAATAGAGAGAATAGTGAAAAGTAATTCTGATAATTCTGTGCCCTCATCATCTTGTCTTTATGCTTTTTCTGAATATCATATAGTTAACAAATATTTTTGGTACTCCAGTAAAAAAAGCATCTTTTCAGCATTGGTTGTATCCTCACAAGCAAGGAAGGGAAAATAAATATCTCAGTAATCTGGGATTATTTATTTAAACAGTACAAATAATTTATATTATTAAGGACAAAATTTACATTCAAATTATCTGAAAAATGTTTTCTTCATATACCTATAATAGATATAATTAAAAAGAAATGTTAACTCACATCAGTGTTGCTGAAAGAGACTTGGGAAGTTCTTGCTGTGATCAGTCTCTGAACTCTGACATCTGCCTCTCCATTCTAGTGCATCCTATGCAGGGCTGCCCTATCTCAAAAGACCTATTTTTGACATAATAAGTTGGATTTGTGCTGCTCAGAAATGTCAGTGCATCCCTACTACCAACTGATTAATTACAACATACTCTGCTTAACACTGAAAGCCCTCCACTCTGTGACCCTGGCTTTTTCTAGTTTTATTTCATGTTGTTTTTAGTATCTATGTATCATATTCAGCCAAACAACTGAATTTTCAAAGTCTGATTTCTTTCTACCTTTGTATTGTCATTACCTTTACATAGAGTTCCTTATTTCCACTTTCATCTGGCAAAACTCTGTTTATCCAGAATAACAATATTATGAGGCCATTAATTTTGAAAATGTTAAACATTTGTGATTAATTTATGCTTAATTCTGTGTAAAATCAAAAAAGTAGAACACAATTTGAACAACATTTTAAGATGGAAGGAAAAAAAATACTTGGTGAGAATACTAAGGTAATTTCTTTAAAGTAGAATTTTGAGGGTAAACATCTGTGTATTAAATAGAATATCATTATATAAATATCAAATCCTGGGAGCTGATGTAAGGATACATAGAAAGATAAGAGTAGATGACCCAGAAATAGGTTCAGTGATATATAAGCAAGTATTAGTAACAAAGAATACAGCAAAAATTGATGGGGAAAGATTATTCAACTATAGTATGGTATAAGCTATGTTAGTACCTGCTATAAAAGTAAATTCAGAATTGCAGTTCACGTTGTATGCTAACGTAAACAACAGGTGTAAAGAATCCCTTTATGCCAGGAGTTCGAGACCAGCCTGGGAGACATAGTAAAACACCATCTCTACAAAAAAGAAAAAGAAAATTAGCCATGCCTGGTGATGTACCCCTGTTGTCCTAGCTACTTTGGAGGCTAAGGTGGAAGAATCACTTTATTCCAGGAGTTTGAGACTGCAATGGGCTACAATTGCAATGCTGCTCTTCAGCTTGGGTGACGGAGTGAGACTTTGCCTCAAAAACAACAAAAAGCTTTAAGTAGCCGTTTTATTTTAGAAGTATAATTCTTTCTTCTACAATTAATAAATTTACATATGACTAGGCCAGATGTATCAGACAGAGATTGTTCTCTACTACTTATATCTCAAGAAAAATGGAAGACACTTAGAAGGAAGCTCTAAGAAAAACATTTTTTTTCATCATTCTGGACTTTGAGATTATAATTCTTTAGACTGATTTTCTGTCTCGGTGGTGGATATCATCCTGGAAGTTAATTTGTTCAAAAACCTCACATAATCTGATATTTTAAAAAACATGAAATTCATAGGATCCATGAATTATTGTGCCTTAAAAGTCTTCAGAAATTCAGGGATAATTTCTGTAGGATCTCAGGCCTTCTGCATTGTTGGGACTGAGACTCACAGCACTGGGTTGCAGACGTCTGTTAACAGGTCTGGACAAGGAATGATGTCAGCCCAGATAATTCTAAGGAAGGCTTTCTGCTTTGTTATAAGGAGAGTAATCATTGAAGTCTCTAGACAAGCTCACAATCATCATTCCAGCATATGCAAATACATCAGAACAGTTTCAGTATGCTCCTGGTTTATGAATCTTCATCTGCCTCTTTTCCATATTCCTATTTATTTATTTATTTATTTATTTATTTACTGAGATGGAATCTTGCTCTGTCACCCAGGCTGGAGTGGAATGGTACAATCTCGGCTCACTGCAACCTCCGCCTCCCAGGTTCAAGCACTTCTCCTGCCTCAGCCTCCTGAGTAGCTGGAGTTACAGGCGCCCGCCACCATGCCCAGCTAATTTTTTGTATTTTTAGCAGAGAGGGGTTTCACCATGTTGGCCAGGCTAGTCTCGAACTCCTGACCTTAGAAGATCCGCCTCCCTGGACCTCCCAAAGTGCTGGGATTACAGGCGTGAGCCAGCGCACCTAGCCCTTTTTCCCTATTCCTAAATGTTTTCTCATAATTTGTTCCTTACATACTTCTTTGCTGGAATACTCAGACCCTTCTTTGCCACTCATAAACTACAATGAGGGTCCAATTCAAGTATCATAGGAATGGTTCAAGTAAACTTTTCTATAACTAGCCAAGAAAATAAATTGTTAATACACAGGGACTAGAGAAGCCCAGAGGAAGTGCTGCTAGGTCAATCACGGGCCCCAAGGCAGACATTCCATGGGTTATACTTAAAAGACACTCTATTGAGCCCAGACGGGGGGAGCTTTTCAGGCAAAGACTCACAGGTCCAATTGATGAGAAAGGATAGAACATGAAGTGCATTGGAGGAATTGCCAGAAACTGGGTAAAATTGGATCAAAGGAATGTGACCTCGTGGTCTCCCCATGGGACTGAGAATGTTAGAGTGCTTGTTGGAAAGACGCTATTCTGAAGGCAGAAAGACATTTAGATACCTATTGTAGAAATCCAGATGAGAGCATAGAAAATAAAAATAAAGTAATAGTCAAAAAAAATCATGAAAGATTTGTAAATCAAGAAAAACATGATTATGGAAATATTTTCTTATAGACAAGAATAAATAATTATTTAAGGTGATCTCCTATACTGTAACTTAAATCCCAGACAGATGACCTTGTTCCTCAGGTTTTGAGATATGGAATAAATGAAGAGATAAAACGCAACATGTTGAATGTAAATGATTATGGAATATACAGCTGATGATGATGTGAGATGATACGTTAACTACATGATGAATTGAAATGAGGTGAATGATGTAGGCACTGACATGAGCTTTAGGCTACTATTGACCTTCTGTTTTCATGAATCTGTGTTACTGTCCTTACTTGCAGTAAATGGCTTAGTGTCACTTGTTTTAGGGGATCTTTTGCTAAAATCTTCATATAGGTTCAATGCTTTCTGGGGAAACATGTTGCCATCCATTGGAACACATTTCTTGTTCATGCTTTCTACATACATTTAACGACCGTTTTTATAATCTTAAATAAGCACTTATTATACACTGCGGCTGTAACGTCTGCTGTTTGAAATGCAATGCAAAACTTGTTTGGATTTGTTTTTCTTCCTTCACAATTTTATGAGTAAAAGATTCAACCCACAACCTCAGCATATTTTTTTTCATTTCTTTTTGAGTAGAAAACTTTTACCTTTTCATTTAAAAGAAGCACTTTATTATGGCTTCTCTTTAGCATATTTGAATGACCAGCATCACTACTTGTGTGATTTGGGGACATTATTGAGTAAGAAATGAATTACTTCAACACAAGCACTGCCATACCATAGCAGTTGAATAAATTGATATCTGAGAGGTTACTGATGATTGTGCTGGTATAAATCATGTCCTAGGTGGGACAAAGTAGGACTGAAAAAGATTTCATCATGATATTCAGAACAGCAGGGAACTTAAAACTTAGAAACTGTTTATTTGTAGATTTTTTTAATTTAATATTTTTTGGCCAGGTTTTGATCCCTGGTAACTCAAACCTCAGAAAGAAAAACTGTGTTCTCATTGCACATGCACCCTAGAACTTTAAGTACAATTATATATATATATTTTTTTTTATATTTTATATATAATATTTTATATTTTATATATAATATTTTATATATTATATATAATATTTTATATATAATATTTTATATATTATATATAATATATTATATATAATATTTTATATTTTATATATAATATTTTATATATTATATATAATATATTATATATAATATTTTATATATTATATATAATATATTATATATAATATTTTATATATTATATATAATATATTATATATAATATTTTATATATTATATATAATATTTTATATATTATATATATAAAAGAAAAAAGAAAAAATGTGGATAAGGGGGACTATTGCACATAACCATAGATACATTTTCTCCATGATTTGTATGTGGTTAAACATAAAATAAGCTGAGAAAATACATAAGCACTCTTGACTATAAGTCTTGTGGGGGCTATTGGCAAAGAATTCCTCTGTCAGAAAATGTTTGAGTAGCCGCTTCTGAAATCTCTTCTTTTTTTAATTGTCACATGACAACAAAAATATTTGTTATAGAAAGAAAAATATAATCCATCCCTATCATTTGGATTCTGTATTTGTGAATTAGCCTACGTCCTAAAAGTTGTTTATAATCCCCAAATTATTACATTGCATTTCTAGTCATCATACAACATCATGCACTATGTGGAGAAAAGCATTAAAATAATAATTTATATTTCACCCATGAGATTGGCAAAGTTTTGTAAATTCAATAAGAGACCTCAAATTAGTGGGGTTATTTGGTTAATCAGTGATTTCTCTTAGAGTGGTGGAAAATAAAAAAAGTTTTATCTTCCTGTTGGACTTCTCTGGGAATAGCCTATAAATGTACTAAAGCAGCATTTAGGGTTGGAAGAGGTGGTTTATGCCTGTACTCCCAAGCACTTTGGAAGTCCAAGACCAGAGGATCATTTGAAGACAGGAATTGGAGAACAGCCTGGGCTACAGAGCCATACCCTGACTCTATGAAAAGTTTTAAAAAACATTAGCCAAGTGGGATGGTGTGAGACTGTAGTCCTAGCTACTTGGGAGGCTGAAGCAAGAGGATCCCCTGAGCCTTGGAATTCAAGGCTGCAGTGAGCTATGATTGTACCACTGCACTCCACAAGGAGACAGTTTCTCTAGAATAAATAAATATGCCCTTAGAGGAATGCCTGCATCTTGGATGAAACTCAATAAACAGTATAAAATGCATCTTAGTTAATTTCTAGTGTATGTGTAATCTCATAGGATTTATGTTACATATGATTCACTTCAGTCACGGTTTTTTGGAATGAAGGAGTGATGATAATTTAATCAGCGGTGCAAAGGTGTGTTCTAAATACTGCATAAACCTAATCGTCTTATCCTCTACCTTTCTCAATACTCCACCCTGTTAAAGAGGTGGGTGTGGTCTTCACAGATTCTTATAAAAGGACATAGAAGAGACAAGCTCAGTTTTCTCCAAAGGAGAAGGAGCACACTTAGAGGGAGCTGTATTTTGGTGACCTCTAAAAGTCAGTACTGCGGTGAATGAGCTCCAGAACTTGAGGAGTACTTAACAGAATTATTTCTGGAAGAATCACTGTGGGAACCATTCAAAGAACCCAGCGGTGAGTGAAACTTATATTGATAAAATTATATCTTCTTTCCTTTATAAAATAATAAATTAGAGTGTTAAAAATATCTCATTATCTTAAATCTACACAATGATACCATTGTAATTCATATTCTTACTATAGATTTTATGAATTATGAGGATACTAATTGTTGTTATTTTGCATTTTCTATCTTCAATATAGTTTTGAAAAAATGGAAATATCTAGTGTTTGCTGCAACAGATATGTATGCATAATGAACATATGGAGTTGATATTAATACATATATGTGCACATAAGTGTGTGTAAATATATGTGTAATGAGTGCATTAATATTAAACAATTGAATTGAGAAGACATTAATGAATGTTAATTCATTCATTCAGCTTTTAGACATAACTTTAAATTAGCAAGGTAATGATGAGAGATGCAAAACAGTGAAACTGAAAAAAATGAGAAAGCTCCCCAAAACATCCTGGTTTGGAAATCAAAACAGTTTTTTGACCAAATAAATTTATAAGATATAATTTGATACGTGATGGTGGTTGCCATCTCACTTGAGTCTTAATCTTATTAAACTATGAAAAATTCCTTAAAATGACTTAGATGACCTCTGGAGAATATTTACAATTCTAAGATTTTTCATTTCTTTCACTAAAATTCAGCAGTGTTATCAAATAAAGGAGAGTAAAGAAAAGGACTTAAAATTGCCAAAGACCATAGTTTATATATTAGTCAGGGCTCTCCAGACAGACAGAATGATAGGATGTATATGTATACATGTAGAGATACATTCATGAGCCAATTCAGTCAACCATAAACCACACATGGTGGTCACATAAGATTATAATACCAGTGTGTTTACTGTACCTTTTCTGTATTTAAATATGTTTACATACTAAATAATTACCACTGTGTTACAATTGCCTACAGTATACCGTACAGAACATGCTGTACAGTTTTGTAGCCTAGGAGCAACAGGCTGTACTGTATACCATAGGTGTGTAGCAGGCTATACCATCTAGGTTTGTGTAAGTATAGTCTATAATGTCAAAACAATAAAACCGCCTGGCTGGGCACAGTGGCTCATGCCTGTAATCCCAGCACTTTGGGAGGCTGTGGCAGGCACATCACTTGAGGCCGGGTGTTCAGGTCCAGCCTGGGCAATATGATGAAACCTCATCTCTACTAAAAAAAGGAAAAAAAAATGAAAAAATTTACCAGGTGTAGTGAGGTGTTCCGGTAATCCCAGGTACTCAGGGGGCTAAGGCAGGAGACTCGCTTTGACCCTGGAGGCGGAGATTGCAGTGAGCCGAGATTGCACCACTGCACTCCAGCCTGGATGATAGAGTGAGACTCCATCTCAAAAAGTAAATAAATAAAACCTCCTTACACATTTCTCAGAACATATATCTGTCATCAAGCTACACATGACTCTACCTGAGAGGGAATTCATCAGGAAAATTCGTTTGCTTGATTATAGAGTCTGAGCAGTTCTAATATAGGCTGTCTTTAAGCTGATGTCCTGAGGATACCGGTATCTTGACTGAGCTCAAGGCTGAAAGCCTCAGAACCAGCTTCAGGAGAAAGAAAGAGGAAATTGCCTTTTCTCTGGCTTTTTCCTTCTATCTGAGCTACCAGCTGATTGAATGGTGCCCACTCACATTGAGGGATGATGGTCCCACTCAGCTCACCAACTCACATGTCTCTCTCCTCTGGAAACACCTTCACAGACTCACCCAGAAACAATGCTGCACCAGTTCCCTAGGTATTGGTTAATCCAGTCACACTGATACCTAAAATTCGCCATCACACCATAGAGATGTAATTACACCTCTCTGAGTTTAACAAAAATCCTACTATATGTTAGTTCAGAGTTTGGGTATCCCTAGGAGAAGTTAATATAATCCACGAGAAAATAAAAAGGCCCCATATCTTTAATTATGTTTTTCTCTTCTATTAAACCAAAATTGGTTTAATTGCTGTTTTTTTGTTTATTTGGTTGGTTGATTGGTTTTTCTATTTTGTTTTGGTTTGGTTTTTTATTTTACTTTAATTTCATATTATTTTAAGTCCTAAGATAAATGTGCAGGACATGCAGGCTTGTTACACAGGTAAACATGTGCCATGGTGGTTTGCTGCCCCACTGTTGTGTCTCTAAAAATATGCCATAGGACCCTCTAGCCATCTTCTCATATTTCCTTGGCCAAGGCAGTTTTTCCCAGTCTTTCATACTCAGCAGTTACATGAAAGAAGAATAGGAACAACTACAATTTATTCTAGGCCACTTAGAATCAAACCCAATTTCCAGATCAACATTCAGAAAACGGGAAATTGAATAGATTGGTATTGTGTTACAGACAGGAAATAAAAGTATAAAGGGTTGTGAGTCATCTAGTCAGTAATATCTACTGTAAAGCCGAGAGACTCTCTCTGTGTGAGATTTTTATTTTTGTTACAGAATAAATAGTGTGCTGTGTTTTAATGAATACTGTCAAGAGAAGAAAATAGGGCTATCAGGTATCTCCACATGTTCCGAAACTTTTCATCGACCCAGACCCCAAAATGACATGTTGCTCTTTCTTCCTCAGAAACATGAATTCTGGAATCTCGCAAGACTTCCAGATGGAAATTACCTGCCCCATCTGCATGAATTACTTCATAGACCCAGTCACCATAGACTGTGGGCACAGCTTTTGCAGGCCCTGTTTCTACTTCAACTGGCAAGACATCCCAATTCTTACTCAGTGCTTTGAATGCATGAAGACAACATGGCAGAGAAACCTGAAAACTAACATTCATTTGAAGCAGATGGCTTCCCTTGCCAGAAAAGCCAGTCTCTGGCTATTCCTGAGCTCTGAGGAGCAAATGTGTGGCACTCACAGGGAGACAAAGAAGATATTCTGTGAAGTGGACAGGAGCCTGCTCTGTTTGCTGTGCTCCAGCTCTCAGGAGCACCGGTATCACAGACACCGTCCCATTGAGTGGGCTGCTGAGGAACACCGGGTAAGTGATGCCTCTGAAGATCTATTTCTATAAATGACACATGAAATTCCTGTGGGTCTATTTTCCTGGAGATTGGGTAAAGCCAAACCTGAGTCCCTTTAAGCAGCTCACTTTTGGGCTTTCTTAGCTTCAAACCTCTGAGATTTGACGAAGAAGAAGGGAAATAGAAGAAATGCCATTTCCTAGGGACTTACTTGTCTCTCATTCTCAGCCCGCTCCCTATGAAACGGTCTGCATGTTACTTTATTGTTTTCACTGGTGATTCAATTTATGGCTCTTTTGCAGGAGAAGCTTTTAAAGAAAATGCAGTCTTTATGGGAAAAAGCTTGTGAAAATCAGAGAAACCTGAATGTGGAAACCACCAGAATCAGCCACTGGAAGGTTAGTTCTGTACTACTCTACCTTCTACCTTCTCCAGGAACTTATGGTGGGCAAATGGGTGACTCTTAAAATAGGAACTTGTTATCAAACTCTAATGTTTCTGGGAGTCAATAAAAAAAAAAAAAGAAAACACTGAGAAAAAGTGACCTCATTTCTTATATAGAATAGTATGACTGTTAGAAAGGATTTCTAAGAAAACTACTGAAGTCACCCAAAGCATGCTGGTTTGTTTTCATACAAACCTGTAGCTATACACCAACAGATACCAGAAACTGGGCCATCTCACAGCATTCTATATGTGCTGGTTGGATAAATGCTGGGCACAAGATTCATTTGGCAGTCATGGAAAGCTCAAGTGAACCTTCTGAGCCTGGGTCAGCATTAATCTGAATGCTGGTGGACAAGTAGTATTTGGAATTGTATGGAAAATTTGAGGCAGAAAGAGTGACAGGGGAAATCTAGGGCAACCATGAAATTAAGAATCTCAACTAATTAATATTGAATACTACATAACATATGATGAGAAAAGTGGTGAGAAATATGGATTTGTGTCTTGAGGGAGACACGCAAACATGCTCAAAATATGGGAACTAGTATCTAAATATAAGGAAAACTCTAAGGACTTCAGAGAAATATTAAAAATGATTTTCTCTTTGTGGATGTATACTTTGAGGGTATGATAGCTAATATTAGTGTTTTGAAAAGTATTTCATAAGAACCTAGTCTATGTTGAATATTAAATTAGAAAATTTGACAGTATAGAAGAAAGAAAGCATCTTTGTCCTCACAAATCGTACAATCCAAATGAGAGAGGCAAAAATGGTCAACATGCAAATATGTGCAATACATGATGTGTTCGAGTGTGGTAGGTTCTTTGTTGGAGAATAATCAAGCAGGGAAGTAGAAAAGGACAATAGAGGCCAGAAACTGGAGATTAGTGTCTGATTTTTAAATAGGGTGGTCAGAAAAAAGACTCACTGAAAAATTCAATTTGAACGAAATTTTGAAGAGGAGAGGGAACACGAATGTGTGTATGTATATACATATATGTGGACCATGAACGTGTATATATGTATATGTGTGTGTGTGTGTGTGTGTGTGTGTGTGTGTGTGAAATTCTAGTTGGAGAGAACAGCATATGCAGTAATTTTGAGTTTGTGTATATTTGGAGGCCTGAGGAACCACAAAGAAGTCTATGTTTCAGAATGGGATAACTTAGAAAAAGAATGGAAGGAAATGAATTCAGAGAGACAAAGATGGCCAAATCATAAATGCAGCCTTATTAAGATAGGTTTTGCTGGGTGAAATGCATTTAGCTGGACATGCTAGTCTAAGGTCATTTCACATATAATGAGTTTAAGCAACTTGTTACGTATCTCAGAAATAGAAATAATTATTTCCTTTCTAGTAACTATAGCTCTATACTCCAACTCTTAAGCATGAACTGTTCTTACTTTTCCATAAATATTGGCTGGAATAGCGAAATTCAAATTGTGTTTTTTTATTTCCAACTATCTGAGAAAACACATTATCTTGAATAAATTTAATGTAATTGGTCAGATACATCTATGTTGATTTTTATACAGAAAGAAAGGAAATGAACAAAATTTTGTGGATTCTAAGAACCAGCAAGACTGAGGTTTAAATTATTGGATGTTCGAGTGACAAACAGAATCAGTGAGATTTAGTAGGAGATGGATATATACATTTCTCTTTTGACTAACCCATTATCACTGCAGGATTATGTGAATTTAAGGCTAGAAGCTATGAGAGCTGAGTATCAGAAGATGGCTGCATTTCACCATGAAGAAGAAAAACATAATTTGGAGATGCTGAAAAAGAAGGGGAAAGATATTTTTCATCAACTTCATTTAAGTAAAGCCAAAATGGCTCATAGGAGGGAGATTTTAAGAGGAATGTATGAGGAGCTGAAGGAAATGTGCCATAAACCAGATGTGGAGCTACTTCAGGTACAAACTCACAATGTGGTTTCAGGTTTTTGAATATTCACATGTGTAAGTATATTCCTCATGGCTGAAATCCATCTCCCTACCTTTATTTCCATGATGTGTTTCCAAAAACACATTCGCATAACTAATGCTACTTTGTTGGGAGAGTATAGCCCCGCCAAGGGATTCTACCAGGCCAAAGGTCCCTCCTACTTTATCCACCAGCCACAAAACTTTGTGGAATGGTCAAGCTGACAGCCCCAATAACTATTCCCCATCTAAGTCAATAATATATTTTGGGTTGTTTAACATGTATAAAATAGTGAGTGATTCATTTACATTTAGGTTAATTTGAGGACATGGCAAGATCAGAAGTTTTGGGAATCTAGGCTCACATCAATATTATTTTGAGGTCCACTCATTTGGGTAATAGGTTCTGGGAAAGATGACTGGGTAGGTTATTTGAAGTTATCACAGAGCATAGACTCTCTGGGCCTCTTCTCCCTTCACTTCTGGAGAGAATGTCTTCAAGACTCAGACTTTACCAGGACATTAATTAATGACAAAACGACTAACTGGGATTTTCATTACAGAAGAAACAGAAAATGCTTTCCAGATGGTAGGGAAATAATATCTTTAGATACTGACTCGAAATTTCACACTGAACTTAGTGAAAGGTGCATCTTGTGAAATGTCCTACATATTTCTATTTTTTTTTACAGGGTTTCGGAGACATATTACACAGGTGAGTGTTTACCTAGATTTTAGTATATATTCTTTCAGTTTCCATGAATATCAAAGCAGGCTCTACCAAAGTCATGGCATAAATGATTAAGATATTGATTCTACCTTTTTTTTGCATCTGCTTTCACTCTCACACCAGAAAAGACAAGAACACTAAATAAATAAATAAATAAATAGTGAAATAAAAAAAAATGTTTATTCCTGATTTTGTTTTATTGCTTAAAAGCCTGCATAGGTGAAAGATAAAGTTTTGTTTTGTGGATGGTGAGAAAGTCACCAGAGGAAGCAGGAGAGAAGTGGGGGAAGTATTTCAGCAGTGAAAAAGTTGATGATTTGTTGTTCATACCTACATACATATCAGTTAACAGTCCTGAAAAATAGGTTGAAAAAACTGTGGAGTATTAGAACTGTATAAGTCTCTAGGGAGGCTTGTTTCTAAAAGGCAGATCTAGCTGCCTAGAACAAGTTTCACATTCTTTATCTTGAAAAGGAAGCAGCAGATGCAGCAGTCTCCCCAGAACCCCGCTATTTCAGACAAAGATGTCAGGGGAGTCTGCCAAGAAGTGGAACTCAGAATTTCATTTCCAAATATTCTCAAGGCCATAAGGCTAAGGAACCTTACACATGTGGGGCAGAAAAAAAAGAAGGATCAGACTGAATTCTGACTCAGACTCTCCCACTATGCTTTAAAATTTGGAAACTGTAAATAGAAATTAATTCCAAAAAGGAAGGAATAATTTTTGAGTAATCAAATTTGTGGATTCAAAGGATTCTCATGAACTGTCTTTTAAATAGAAATAGTGGTTTTTGTTTATTTTATGGCTGTAGATGTTGTAACTGCAGGTTTTTCCTTCCAGGAGTGAGTCCGTGCTGCTGCACATGCCCCAGCCTCTGAATCTAGAGCTCAGTGCAGGGCCCATCACTGGACTGAGGGACAGGCTCATCCAATTCTGAGGTAAGTCTCCACCCACAGGCAGCACTCCCACTATCTAAATATTATTATTGTTAGGACCACATGGGTAATACTTCACCATTTATCAAATATTTTACTTCTTTATAGACATAAGTGAACAACATAATCATGCAACCCTTTTGTATCTGTGTCTGTATAGTCAGATTTATAGCATTAAGTTTGAAAGATAGTGAAAAACAAATACATTTTGGCCTCATATGTACTGAGTAATGTAATGGGAAAAAAGAGTAGTGTAGCAAATTTAAAAAAGGAGCAAATGGAACAATGCTCAGAATGAAGGTGAGTTATTTAATGTTAAATACAAAATTTTACATTTCCTTAGTGTATTCATTTGAACAGCTAAGAACTTTTTTTGGGATTATGGTTTACTGGGGATTGCTGAGGGTTTTTAATTTTTTAAATGGATATGTATCATGTATTGCAAAAAAAAATAGTTAATGGGTAAACATAAAAAGAAGAAACCATTTTGTGAATACAAGTAAAATTACAAACAAGAAGAACTTCAGTTTAATTGCAATATGAAGAGCTACATGATAAGTTTAAAATCCAGCTTCAGCCCCAAGCTAGCATGGAGGACCACAGAGAGACTGGTAAAAGATTTTACAGAAATCTGCTTTAAATTGTCACTTACGACATGTACTTACGGATTTTTATCCAGTCATCAAGAGCAGTTCTTGAGTAACTGAAAATCTTCACATTCTTTCCAAAATGATAGCACTAGTTTTTAAGAATAAGAAACATTTCTAAATAATGATCTTGATAATAGCATAGCATTTAGGGCATATAATGTGCAAATTTTGCTTTGAAAATTGGATTGAAAGAAGTTGGTCTTACATTTGGCTCTCAATAAGTAAGTTTTCAAAACATTTTTAATACCTGTGGTTAGTGTTTTGTTTGTCTTGTAGTTAATCATCTCTATGCTTTATTAGAAGTTAGAAGCAAAAGTGTCCTTGTGACTCTACATTTCCTGGTAAATTAACTTCTTGATAGAACAATTTTTGCTTATTGACACATGTCTATGCATGTTTTGTTTCTTTCTCTTTTATTTATTTATTTATTTATTTTGCAGTGGATATTACTCTGCCTCATAATGAAGCCAACAGTCATATCTTCCGATGTGGAGATTTGAGAAGCATGTGTATTGGATGTGACCGTCAAAATGTGCCCCATATCACTGCAACACCTACAAGTTTTCTTGCATGGGGTGCTCAGACTTTCACCTCTGGCAAATATTACTGGGAGGTCCATGTGGGGGACTCTTGGAATTGGGCCTTTGGTGTCTGTAATAAGTATTGGAAAGGGAAGAATCAGAATGACAATATATATGGAGGGGAGGGACTCTTTAGTCTTGGATGTGTCAAGAATGACATTCAGTGCAGTCTCTTTACCACCTCCCCACTTACACTGCAATATATCCCAAGAACTACCAGCCACATAGGATTATTCCTGGATTGTGAAGCTAGAACTGAGCTTCGTTGATGTTAACCAAAGCTGCCTTATATACACCATCCCTAATTGCTCCTTCTCACCTCCTCTCAGGCCTATCTTTCGGTGTATTCACCTCTGACCAGAGATAAATCAGAAATGTGTTCATCTGCTGTGAGAATCCCTTTATTCCAGGAAGCCCTCTTCCTTGTGCCTTATCAAACAGGACAAATAGGTTCTGTTTTATGTCTTGAATTGCCTCCTAATGTTATTAAAACTCATTTATTGTGTTACTATTAAAAATGGTAAAAACACTAAAAGTATATGTATTGGTTCTTTATTAATTTTTGAGAAATCATTATTCGTGATCATGGCATACAGTATATTCTGTTTTTTTTTTTTTCTTTATTTCTGACTGCCACTGAGTGAAATAATAGATGACAGACATGTCTGAATGGAGTTAAAATCAATGGAAGAGAGTCGGGATCTTTTGCTTCATGCAAAAGCTTGGAGTGAAGTCTTGATAGCTGGGAAATGTTTTTCTTTCTCTTTACCTAACTATATTGCACTTATCCATCACATTTCATTTTACTAATCTATCCTTTGAGTTAATATTATTTGATCTTCCATGCTGGGCTTCATTTCGGAATTCTCACCACATAGATAAACAATCCTGCATTAGTGTGCTCTTCTACATTGAAATACACAAGGTGGTCAGAACAATGCTGGATTAATTGAATTTTAAAAAACAACTAAATATTGACTCCTACCTCAAAACACACACAGTCATTTCCAAATAGATTCAAGTCCTGAAGATTCAAGTCCTGATACAATATTCTCATAAGGATTTCTTAACCAGGACAAAAATTAACAATTAAAAAAATTAGTCGGTTTATATTAATAACGACTTCTGTGTTTCAAAAAACATGATACAAGAATTGAGATGCAAACAATTAGTGGAGAAAGAGATTCACCCGAACTATATAAAATGAAATACAATACATGTGCATGATGAATACTTAAAATGTATTTTAAGTATTTTTCCAGATTCTTCCAGAGTGGCATAGAATAAACTTGGATGGCAGAGTCAATGATGAGATTAGCTGTGGAAATGGGAAACCGTTTTTTGGAGGACAGTAGTAATGCTGTGAACCTATGAAAACAACCAATTATTCAGTAGCAACTAAAATGTGTCTCCATAAGATTATTTTACAGATGCGTATCTGAAATCTGAAATTTGGAAGAACATTCTACTAGTGTTCTCTAGTGAAAAAATACAGCTGGAAGGAAGAAGGGAGGGAAGATGAAGGAGAGAGAAACAGAATGCATTTGAGAGAAAATGCTATTTAGACTAAAATAGAATACTGCAGATACCATGACAAAGTGGTTAAGGTGTGTCTTATGGAGCAGAAATGGCAGAAAATACCACAGTGAAGAGATTTACAATTGGATTGTTAGTTCCGGCTTTTATCCTGTCAATGTTGTGGCTTCTAAACACATCAGTAATCTCCTTTGATCCATGTGCTAATTAACAACCAACACTCTGCCCCCTCTCCCAGATTCTTTCCATCGCTTTAAACCTAATCTAATTCTAATCCAGCTGGTCACTGTAACACATGTAATCACCTAATAATTTTAAAAATATTTTTGATGAATAAATGAAAAATTAGCTAGGTGCAATGGCATAAACCTCTAGTCTTTTTTACTTTGAAAGCTGAAGTGGGAGGATTACTTGAGCCCTGGAATTCAAGGCTGTGGTGAGCTAAGATTGTGCCACTGCATTCCAGAGGGTGAAACTTTCTTTGGTATAAATAAATAAATGTGCACTTAGAGGAATGCTTGTGCCTTGGGAAGAAACTCAGGAAACAGTATTAATCAATTTTAGTTAATTTCTAGCATATTTACTCTGATAAGATTGATGATAGATATGCCTCATTCAGGCAGTGGTTTTTACAATGATAGTGTGATGCTAATTTAATCAGTGATGAAAAGGCGTGTACTAAATATTGCATAAACCTAATCATCTCTGCTGTCTCCACCTTTCTTAATACCCTAAATATCACTAAAGAGGTGGGTGTGGTCTTCAAAGATTCACATAAAAGGAAGTAGAAGAGACAAGCTCATATTTCTCCAGAGGAGGACAGCACTTCGAGTTAGTTGCATTCAGGTGACCTCTGAAAGTCAACTCTGCAAGGAATGAGCTCCTGATCTTGGGGAGTACTTAAAAGAACTTTTTCTTGGAAGAATTACTGCAGGAAACATTCATAGAACCTTGGGGTGAGTGCAACTTATATGGAGAAAATTATTTCTCTCTTCCTTTAAAATAGTAAATTACAGTGATAAAAATATCTGACTAAACTTACTTAATGATCTTATTTGTAACTCATAGTATTGCTATTCATTTTATGACATGAGGTTATTAATTGTTGTCATTTTGTGTGTTCCAAAAGTGTTTAATATATTTTTGAAAAATTTTAGATATCTAGTGTTTGCTGCAATAGATTTGTATGCATCATGAATATATGGAATTCACATTAAAACATATATATGTGTACTGCATGTACTAATATTGGTACACTTAATTAAGTAAAAAAGGATAATTATTGAATACTGTAAATGTTGTGCTTTCATAACCTTAAGCTTTTAGACATGATTTTAAGTTACTGAGGCAATGGTGAGTTAAAAATGGTGATACTAAAGGAAATAAGAATGCTCTCCAAAATGCCCTAGCTTAGAAATCAAAACACAATTGTTTAGCAGATAACTGTATAAGGAATGATTTGATACTTGATACTAGTTGTCATTTTAATTGAGGCTTACCTCAGATGAAACTATGAAAAATTCCTTGAAATGGCTCAGAAGACCTCTGAAAAATATTTGCAAGTCTTAAATTTTCACTGTTGGCACTTAAATTCAACAGTGTTTAGTAAAAGAGAGTAAGGTAAAGGACTTCAAACGGCCAAGGCAAAGATTACAGTTTGTATTGGTCAGGGTTCTCCAGAGAGACAGAACCATAGGATGTGTACATAACTATATATATATACCAAAAATACTTACAATTGTGGTACAATTGCCTATCGTATACCATACAGGTTTGTAGCCTAGGAACAATATGCTATACTGTATACCATAGGTGTGTAGTAGGCTATACCATCTAGGTTTGTGTAAGTGTACCCTATGATGTTCAAACAATAAGGAGACTGTCTAATGCGTCCCTCAGATCATATATCTGTCCTCACTCTACACATGACACTGTACAGGAGAGGAAGTCCACTAGGGAAATTTGTTCCCTTGATTATGGAGTCTGAGAAGTTGAACATAGGCTGTCATTAAGGTAGTATCCTGGAGATACCAATATCCTGGCTGAGTTAGAATAAGCTTCAGGAGAAAGAGAGGAAACTGCCTTCTCTCTGCCCTTTATCTTCAGTCTGAGCTACCAGCTGATTGGATAGTGTCCACCCACATTGAGGGCTGCTGTTCCCCACTCAGCTCACCAACTTACATGTCTCTCTGGAAACACCTTCACAGACTCACCCAGAAATAATGCTTTACCAATTCTCCATGTATTATTTGATCTAGTCAAGTCAACACCTAAAATTAACCATAATACCATAGTAACATAATTATATATATTTCAGTTTTTAAAAAACTGACTATATGTCAGTTCATAGTTGGAGTAGCCCAAAGAAGAAGTTAATTTAAGCCATAAGAAAAATAAACCCAATATTTTTCATTATTTATTTTATCTCCTAGTGATCCTAGACTGGTTTAATTGCTGTGTTTTTGTTTATCTGGTCGGTTGGTTTGTTCTGGGGTTGTTTTTGTTTTAAAGAGCCGGCTTCTGGGTCCCTCTCTCTAAAAATATGTCATAGCGCCCTCTGACCATCTTCTCATGTTTTGTTACCCAATGTAGGTTTTCTACTGCTCTCCCATAGTCATTCAGTAGTTATTTGAAAGAGAAATAGGGACAAGCATGTTTTATTCTAGACCACTTAAGATTAAAACCCGAGTTTCATATCGACATCCAGGGAATAGGTTTTTGAACAGATTTGCATTATGTTGCGGGCAGGAACTACGAGTAGAAGAGGTTGCGAGTCATCTAGTCAGTAGTGCCTGCTAAAAAGCCTAAGGACTCTCTTTGTGTATGAATTTTTCATTTTTGTTACAGAGGAAATAGTTTGTTCCGCTTTAATGAGCACTGTCAAGAAGAAAATATAGCTACCACATATCACCACATGTTCACAGATTTTCACCAACCCAGACCCCAAAATGACATGCTGCTCTCTCTTCTTCATCAGAAACATGAATTCTGGAATCTTGCAAGTCTTCCAGAGGGCACTCACCTGTCCCATCTGCATGAACTACTTCATAGACCCAGTCACCATAGACTGTGGGCACAACTTTTGCCGGCCCTGTTTCTACCTCAACTGGCGAGACATGGCAGTTCTTGCTCAGTGCTCTAAATGCAAGAAGACAATACAGCAGAGAAACCTCAAAACTGACATTTGTTTGAAGAACATGGCTTCCACTGCCAGAAAAGCCAGCCTCTGGCAATTCCTTAGCTCTGAGGAGCAAATATGTGGGATGCACAGAGAGACAAAGAAGATGTTCTGTGAAGTGAACAAGAGCCGGCTCTGTTGGCTGTGCTCCAACTCTCAGGAGCACCGGAATCACAGACACTGTCCCATTGAGTGGGCTGCTGAGGAACGCCGGGTAAGTGATGCCTCTGAAGATCTATTTCTATACAGGACACATGAAATTCTTGTAAGTCTATTTCCTTGGAGATTGGATGATGCCATCTCTGTGTCCCCTTAAGCATGTCTGTTATGAGCTTCCTTGACTTCACACCTCTCAGATTTGACAAACATGAGGAGAAACAAAGCAAACTCTATTTTCTGTGGGCTAATTTGTCTCTCATTTTGGGTCCTTCGTATATCAGAGTGTGAGTGATACTTTATTGTCCTCACTTGTGCTTCAATTCATGGCTCTTTTGCAGGAGGAGCTCCTAAAAAAAATGCAGTCTTTATGGCAAAAAGCTTGTGAAAATCTCAGAAACCTGAACACAGAAACCACCAGAACCAGATGCTGGAAGGTTAGTACCGTATTACTCTACCTTCTGCAGGAACTTATAGTGAACAAATGGGTGACTCTTAAAACAGGAACTTGATCTCAACCCATAATGTTTCTGGAATTCAATAAACAAGGAAAAAACACTTGAGAAAAAAACACCCTAATTTTTTATATAAGTTAGTGTGACTCTTTGGTAGGATGTCTAATCAGACCACAGATGTTACCCAAGCATGCTCATCTGTTTCCATACAAACCTATAGCAATACCCCCAACAAATACAAGAAACTGGGCCATTTCACACTGTTCCCAATGGGCTGCCTGGATAAATTCTGGATACAAGTGTTATTTGTCAGTCATGGAAATTTCAGGTGACCCTTCTAAGGCTGAGTCAGTATGAATTTGAATCCTGGTGGGCACCTATATTGAAATGTGAGCTAAATTTCAGGCAGAAGGAGCAAGAGCACAACCTTAGGGAAAGCATGAAATTAAATATCAGCGCTAATTAATATTGAGTAAGTCATAACACATAATGGGAAAAGTGGTGAGAAATGTAGACTTGTGTCTTGATGAAGACATAAATATGTGAGAAATATGGGAACTAGTATTTAATATAAGGAGAACTCTAAGGACTTGAGAAGAATTCTAGAAATGATTTTCTCTTTGTGGATGTTTATATTGAGGGTATGATATCTAATATTAATTCATTAATTTATTCTAATATTAATTCATTGAAAGATATTTTATGAGTACCTAGTCTATGTCAAATATCAACTTAGAAAATTAAGGATTAAAGAAGAAAGAAAACACACAAATCTTGCAATGGAAATGAGAAAAGCAAATGGTCACCATGCAGATATGTGAAGTACATGATGTGTTAGAGTGTAGTAGTGTCTTTGGAGAATAATCAAGCAGGAAAGTAGAAAAGGAGCACAGAGGCCAGGGACTGGGGCTGAGGGTTTGAGTTTTAAATAGGGTGGTCAGAAAAAAGGCTCATGGAAAAATTCACACTGAAACAAAATCTTGATCAGGAGGAAATATACATATCCTCCTGTTTGCCTTCCTCTTCTTCATAAATATATGAATATGTATGTGTATCTGGGTGTTGGTATATATATATATATATATGGATATATTTGAGGAATATATATATACACACACACAGATACACGTATATATTCCTCATATATCCATATATACCTATATTTGAGAAATATATATATGAGTACATATATGAGAAATATATATATATATGTATATATGAAAATAATTCTAGGTATAGAAAACAGCATGTGCAGTAATATTTAATTTGCATTTATTTGGGGGTTTGAGGAACCACAAAAAAGTCCATGTTGCTGATTAGTGTGAGTTTGGAAGAGAATAAATGAAACCTTATTAGAATATGTTATGCTGGGTGAAATGCATTGAGTTGACAATGCTAGTCTGGGTCATGTCATCATTTGTCGTATAATGGTTTTACATAACTTGCCCCAATTCTCCAAAATAGAAATAATGGTTTCTTACCTAGTCAATATAACTCGATAGTTTGATTCTTAAGCAAGAACTGTGTTTTCTTTCTATAAATGTGGTGTGGAAGAGAGAAATCCATTTTTATATAACTATCTTAGAAAGCATTTTATCATTAATCAAGTAAATGTAACTGGGCAGAAACAACTATGTTGATATTAGTACAGAAAAAAAAGGAAAGGAATAAAATTTTGTGGAATCTGAGACTTGACAAGATTGAGGATTAAAATATTGGGTGTTCAGAATGCTAAGAGGAATCAGTGAAATTCAAGAGAAGATGGATAAAACATTTCTATTTTGACTAATTGTCACTGCAGGATTATGTGAGTTTAAGGACAGAAGCAATCAGAGCTGAATATCAGAAGATGCCTGCATTTCTCCATGAAGAAGAGCAACATCACTTGGAGAGGCTGCGAAAGGAGGGCGAGGACATTTTTCAGCAACTCAATGAAAGCCAAGCCAGAATGGAACATCCCAGGGAGCTTTTAAGAGGAATGTATGAGGATCTGAAGCAAATGTACCATAAAGCAGATGTGGAGCTACTCCTGGTACGGACTGACCATGGGGTATCATGATGTTGAACATTCACATACATGGGTGTTTTTCCTCTCTCCTGAAATCCGTCTCCCCCTTCACTTCCATTATTTGTTTCCAAAAACATGATTCGATAACTAATGCTACTTGGTTGGGAAGGTATAGCCTCTCCTAGTGATTCTACTAGACCGAAGGTCCCTCCTACCTTATCCACCAGCAACAAAACTTTGTAGAATGGCTAAGGTAACAGACAGCCCCAAGAAATATTTCCCATCAAAAGTCAGTGATTTATTTAGGATTTTTGAAAGTGGATAAAATGAGAAGTGATTCATTGGCATTTAGGCTAATTTGGAGACATGGCATGATGGAGAAGTTGGGGAATCTAGGATCACACTAATATTATTTTGGGGTCCACTCATTTTGGTAACAGGGCTTAGGGAAGATGACTGAGTAGCTTCTTTATGGTTACCACAGAGCATAGACTCTGTGGGCCTCCCTCCTCTCCCTTCACTTGTAAAGAGAATGTCTTCAAGACTTAGACTTTATCAGGACATTAATTCATGACATATGATAGACTGGGATTTTCATGAGAAAAGAAACAGAGAATGCTTTCCAGGAGGGAACATTGTAGGAAAATATCTTCAGAAACTGTCTCCAAATCTCACACTGAACTTAGTGGAAGATGCGTCTTGTGGAAAGCACTAAGCCTTTCTATTTTTTTTTTTTTTACAGGCTTTTGGAGACATATTACACAGGGGAGTGCATACCAAGATTTTAGCAGATGCTTTCAGTTTCCACAAATATCAAGCAGGAACTTTGATATTGAAGGTATAATGGATTCAGATAGTGACACTGCCTTGTGCTGGTTGTACTTTCTCCATCCCCCACCCCCATGTAGTCATCTATTTTGTTGCCATACTCAGTGACTTTATTAAGCAGCTCAATGAAAGTTCTGCAAAACCAAATAAATAAATAAATAAATAAATAAATAAAACAAAAAATAAATAAATGAAAGAAAAATCAAGGAAGTGAGCATCTCTATTCCTAATTTCCTTTTTATTGCTCAAAAGCCTTCATATTTGAAAGAGAAAATATTACATTTACTACATGGCTACAAAGTCAACCAGGGGAAGCCAGAGAGAAGAGGGGAAAGTATCTTAGCAGTGAAAAGTGTTGATGATTTCTAGTTTATATTTAAATATATAATTCTGAAAAATGGATGAAACAAACTATTTGGAATGTTTGAACCGTGTAGGCCTCCAGAGAACCTCAACTATAAAAGGCAGATCTCCCTGCCTGGAGCAAGTTTCAACACCCTGGCCTTGAGAAGGAAGCAACAGATGCAGCAGTCTTAAAAATAACCCCACTTTTCCAGACAGTGATTTCAGGAATTTCTGGTGAGGTCTGGAACCCAGAATTTCATTTTTCAATATTCTCCCAGTCTTAAGACTAATGATCCTTACTAATTTGGAGCAATACGAAGAAAGATCCGAATGAATTCTCAGTCAGATAGACTTTTCCATCGTGCTTGAAAATCAGGAACTGTGAATAAGAATGGATTTGAAAAATAAAATGATAATTTTGGAATTAGCAAATGTGTGGGTTAAAGGGATTCTCATGAAATGTCTTTTAAATAAAAGTGGTGATTTTTATGTATTTTTTTTGGATGTAGATGTGGTAACTGTATCTTTCTCCTTGCAGGTATGAGTCCCCGCTGCTGCAAGTGTCTGAGCCTGTGAATCCAGAGCTCAGTGCAGGGCCCATCACTGGACTGCTGGACAGGCTCAGTGGATTCAGAGGTGAGCGTCAGCCCATTGGCAGAATTCCCACAGTGTATTACTTCTTGTTAGAATCATGGGGGTAATATTTTACCCTTCATCAAATCTTTATTTCATTTCAGCAGGAAGTGAACCATATGACTATGCAACCCTTTTATATCTGTGTTTCTATTTATAGACCAATTTATAACATGAAGAGTAAAACATAGTGAAAAACAAATATGTTCTGGGATCACATGTATAGAGTTATATATTGGGTAAATGGAATGACATAAGAAATAAAAAATTGAATAAATGGAACAATGCTCAGAAGGAAGCGTAATAATCCAAGGTTACATAAAAATTTTGGCACATGTTCTCAGGATCTCCTGAGGGCTGTGTCACAGACCATGGTCACTCATATTTGGCTCAGAATAAATTTCTTTAAATATTTTACAGCTCTCCCTCTCCCTCTCCCTCTCCCTCTCCCCACGGTCTCCCTCTCCCTCTCTTTCCACGGTCTCCCTCTGATCCCTAGCCGAAGCTGGACTGTACTGCTGCCATCTCGGCTCACTGCAACCCCCCTGCCTGATTTTCCTGCCTCAGCCTGCCGAGTGCCTGCGATTGCAGGCGCGCGCCGCCACGCCTGACTGGTTTTCGTATTTTTTTGGTGGAGACGGGGTTTCGCTGTGTTGGCCGGGCTGGTCTCCAGCTCCTAACCGCGAGTGATCCGCCAGCCTCGGCCTCCCGAGGTGCCGGGATTGCAGAAGGAGCCTCGTTCACTCAGTGCTCAATGGTGCCCAGGCTGGAGTGCAGTGGCGTGATCTCGGCTCGCTACAACCACCTCCCAGCCGCCTGCCTTGGCCTCCCAAAGAGCCGAGATTGCAGTCTCTGCCAGGCCGCCACCCCATCTGGGAAGTGAGGAGTGTCTCTGCCTGGCCGCCCATCATCTGGGATGTGAGGAGCCCCTCTGCCTGGCTGCCCAGTCTGGAAAGTGAGGAGCGTCTCTGCCCGGCCGCCATCCCATCTAGGAAGTGAGGAGCGCCTCTTCCCCGCCGCCATCCCATCTAGGAAGTGAGGAGCGTCTCTGCCCGGCCGCCCATCCTCTGAGATGTGGGGAGCGCCTCTGCCCCGCCGCCCCGTCTGGGATGTGAGGAGCGTCTCTGCCCAGCCGCGACCCAGTCTGGGAGGTGAGGAGCGTCTCTGCCCGGCCGCCCCATCTGAGAAGTGAGGAGACCCTCTGCCTGGCAACCGCCCCGTCTGAGAAGTCAGGAGTCCCTCCGCCCGGCAGCCGCCCCGTCTGAGAAGTGAGGAGCCCCGCCGTCCGGCAGCCACCCTGTCTGGGAAGTGAGGAGCGTCTCCGCCCGGCAGCCACCCCATCCGGGAGGGAGGTGGGGGTCAGCCCCCGCCAGGCCAGCCGCCCCGCCCGGGAGGGAGGTGGGGGGGTCAGCCCCCCGCCCGGCCAGCCGCCCCGTCCCGGAGGTGAGGGGCGCCTCTGCCCGGCCGCCCCTACTGGGAAGTGAGGAGCCCCTCTGCCCGGCCACCACCCCGTCTGGGAGGTGTACCCAACAGCTCATTGAGAACGGGCCATGATGACAATGGCGGTTTTGTGGAATAGAGAGGGGGGAAGGTGGGGAAAAGATTGAGAAATCGGATGGTTGCTGTGTCTGTGTAGAAAGAAGTAGACATGGGAGACTTTTCGTTTTGTTCTGTACTAAGAAAAATTATTCTGCCTTGGGATCCTGTTGATCTGTGACCTTACCCCCCACCCTGTGCTCTCTGAAACATGTGCTGTGTCCACTCAGGGTTAAATGGATTAAGGGCGGTGCAAGATGTGCTTTGTTAAACAGATGCTTGAAGGCAGCATGCTCGTTAAGAGTCATCACCACTCCCTAATCTTAAGTACCCAGGGACACAAACACTGCGGAAGGTCGCAGGGTCCTCTGCCTAGGAAAACCAGAGACCTTTGTTCACTTGTTTATCTGCTGACCTTCCCTCCACTATTGTCCTATGACCCTGCCAAATCCCCCTCTGCGAGAAACACCCAAGAATGATCAATAAATCAATAAATCAATAAAAAAAAAATTTTACATTTCTTTACTGTATTTCATTTGAATTGTTAAACACATTTCATTAGAGAATAGAGTTCACTGCAGTTTGTTGGAGTATTTGTACTTTCTTACAATAAATATATATTATTGATATAATGTAAAATTTTGATTTAACATGTAAAAAGAAAGAAGAATTATTACGTAAATAGGAAGTAAAAATGGAAATGATAATTTCAGTTTAGTTACAACATGAAGAGCTACGTGTAAAATCTAAAATTCGGTTTCAGTCTAGAGCTGGCAGGGATGTCCACAAAGTGACTGGTAAAAGATTTTGCAAAAATCTGCCTTAAATTACCACTTATAATTTGAATATATGGACTTTTATCCAGTTATCTAGAGCGGTGCTTGAGGAAGCTAAAATCTTCCCATTCTTGCCAAAATTATATCACTAGTATTTAAGAACAAGAAATATTTTAATAATAATGACCTTGATAGCTAAAGGGCATTCAGGGCATAAAATATTTCACTTTTACATTGGAGACTGGATTAAAACAGGCTGGTCTCATATTCGACTCTCAATTTTTAAGTTTTCAATAAATTTTCAATGTCTGTTTTTAGGGTTTTGTTCTTCCTATAGAGAATATTAATCATCCTTATACTTTATTAAATGTTGTAGTCACAATTCTCCTGTCCTTGTAACTTCAAATTTCTTGGTAAAGTAAACTCTTGGTAGAACAACTTTTCCCTCAAGAATTCTAATTTCTATTAATTACATGTATCTATATTTTTTAAAAATTATTTTTGCAGTTGATTTTACTCTGCAGCCTGAAAGAACCAATAGTCATATCTTCCTGTATGGAGATTTGAGAAGCATGAATGTTGGATGTGACCCTCAAGATGATCCCGATATCACTGCAAAATCTGAATGTTTTCTTGTATGGGGGGCTCCGGCTTTCACATCTGGCAAATATTATTGGGAGGTTCACGTGGGGGACTCTTGGAATTGGGCTTTTGGTGTCTGTAACAATTATCGGAAAGAGAAGAGACAGAATGACAAGATAGATGGAGAGGAGGGACTCTTTCTTCTTGGATGTGTTAAGGAGGACACTCACTGCAGTCTCTTTACCACCTCCCCACTTGTGGTGCAATATGTTCCAAGACCTACCAGCACAGTAGGATTATTCCTGGATTGTGAAGGTAGAACCATGAGCTTTGTTGGTGTTGATCAAAGTTCCCTGATATACACCATCCCTAATTGCTCCTTCTCACCTCCTCTCAGGCCTATCTTTTGCTGTAGTCACTTCTGACCAGAGAAAAGTCAGAAATGTGTCTATATGCTCTGGGAACCTGTTTATCCCAGAAAGCCCTCTTTTTCGCACCTCATCAAACGGGACAAATAAGTTACATTTAATGTCTTTAGTTGCATTCTAATGTCATCAAAACTCATTTATAGTGTTTCTATTAAATATGGTGAAAACACTAAAACCATGTGTATTGGTTCCTTTTTAAATCATTTTTGGAAAATCATTACCCATGATGTATGGCATAGAATATATTCTCTGGTTTTTAATTATTTCTGAATGTCACAAAGTGAAATAATAGATGACAGAGTTGTCTAAATGAAGTTAAAATCAATGGAAGAAAGTAGAGATCTTGGGCTTCATGAAAAAACTTGGAGTAAAAAGACTCAATGGTAACCTGGAAATATTTTCTTTCTCTTCATCTAACAATATTATACTTATCCATGTGTTTTATTTATGAACCTATACTTTGAGGTAATCTTATTTGACCTCCTATGCTGTGCTTATCTTTGTAAATCTCATCTTACATACAAAATGCTCATGCATTATTAGAGTGCTGTTCTACAGTGAAATTTACAAGGGGATCAGGACAATGCTGGATCAATTAAATATTCAAATGGACATAACTGAATACTGACCCCTACCTCAAACCATACACAGTGCATTTCCACATGGATTCATGTTCTGAAGGTGAAGGGAACACAATAAAATATTCTCACACAGAAAGATTTCCTAACCAGGACAAAAAAGTAACAATTAAGAAGAAAAATTTAGTTAGTTTGTATCAAAAATGATGACTTCTGTGTTTCAAAATACACCATCCAAGAATTAAAATGCAAACCAAGAGTGGAGAAACATATTTATCCCAACATATATGCAATAAAATACAATACATGTGATTAATGAATGTAATAAACAAAAGAAAATGAACCCAATATAAACTTGGGAAAATATTTGAACAGCCGGCCTCTGGGGCTGGAAGGTGGGCACGGGCGCCTTGCTGAGGCGGACCCGGGGCACCACCACGCCGGGCCGCAAGCTGCTCCGCTGCAGGCGCTGCAGGGGCAGGAGGCTGGCCTTCCGCGGGGCGGGGTCGCCAGAGCCCCAGGACCCTGGCAGCGGGGCAGGTGGGAGGCCGGCTCTTAGGGAGCCCTCCCGGGAGCCCGCGGCCTCTGGGCAGGGCGGCTTGTGCTGCTCTGCGCTCTCCGCTTCGCCCGCCTCCTGCGCCTGCCTCCCCACCCCCAGCCGCGCCGCCAGAATTTCCTGAGCCGCCAGGATTTCCTGCACCGCCAGCCGCCTCTTCCCCACGCACAGGGAGCTCTGGGGGCACACGGTCTGGCACGCGAGGGCCACGGCGGGGCTGTTAGAGGCTGGTGGTCATCCTGACCATGTGGTCCAGGGCGCCCCGGTCCTCCGGGCCACGCACGGAGCGCGGCGTCAGCGTGGACAGCTCGCAGTCCCTGACCCTCTGCAGGCAGTTCTTCGAGCCCTCGGGCTTCCGCACCCTCTCGTGGAGCGGAGGCAGCTCAAGCTGGTACTTTTTCCCCAGCCGCTCCTGGCAGGGGCGCTCCAGGAGCCTCTGCATGAGACGGACGTGTAAGTGGCCACTCCTCTGGCGACCTCCCACGGCGGGGGCCCTCGCGTGGACACCCGCCCCTGCTAGCTCAGGGCTCGGATGCGATCGGTTCGACCCTGCATGGCGGCTTTCAACCCGAACGCGTCCATCCTTCAAGGTCAAGACCCAGGACATAGTTCAGCAAGCAGTTGGTGATGATAGCGTGCCCTGACTGGGCCAGAACAGCCTCTTTAGTAAAACAGCGCAGGAAAGTCATGAAACAGATGCTCAGCTCCTTTCTTCATTTTCACTTTAATTCCGTGATGCCTCTGTGTCCGTCTGACGACATCTCTCCTGGGGTCTGGGACTCTGCTGGTCTTCAATGCCTACTGAGAAGGGTTCCTGGCCATCATCAGGCATGAAAACCTCAAAGCCCTCCTTCCTCAACGTGGGATCCCTGGGCCAGCGGCATCAGCCTCACCAGGAAACCTGTTCTTCTGCTCATTCTTGGGCCCCACCCCAGGCCTATTCAAAGAAAGACTCCAGGGCAGGGCTTGGCAGCCTGTGTTTCCACCAGATCTGTGTTAAAGCTCAAATGAACCAGCCCAGGTGATGCTGACGCAGGAAGCGCAAGGCTGAGAGCCAGCGTCTAAGGCAACTGTGCCCATGGGGCCAGGGGCAGCTCCTGCCTGTGCAGCTATGATTAGGGTTGCGTTCCCCTCCCTGTCCTGCCAGTTGACTTCAATGTGGGGGCACTCAGCTAAGGCCACCACGGTATATCCACAAAGCCGTGGTAGCAGGCGACATTAAGGCCGCTCTGGCCATTGTGGTCAGTCTCCTGAGCCTTCTCAACGCTCACCCCCCGCCGCACCAACGTCTGCAGCAGCCCCACGCCTCCAGGACGCCCTCCTCCAGGACGCCCTCCTCCAGGACGCTCTCCACGCCCTCGACGCCGTGCTCCTCCTCCTCCTGGAAAGGGTAGAAAGAGTCGTCCCAGGCGATGCTGCGGGTGTCGGGCAGACTGGAGAAGTCCTGGAACTCTTTGTAGTCAGCGCGGTCCTCCTCGACCTGTGTGCCTAGGAGTGGGGACGGCGGTGGCGGGGTCATGCAGCGCGCCCCGCCACCCTGCGGCTGGGTCCCAGCCAGCAGCACCACGCCGGCGGCCGGAGGCGTGGGCGGGAGGCCGAGGCTCTGTCCCGGAAAGCCTGGTGCGCGCCAAGGTCCCTGCTTCTTGCTTCTGCGTCCCCAGGGAAGCCCTAGCTCCCGCCCCCAGCCCGGTGGAAACCTCCCTTCTTTTACATTATTAAGTTTGTTTTTATTTCAATTTTTTAGGACATTGATAAAATCACTTTCAGATTTTTGAGATTAAAAATTAAATAATTTTCAAGTTTACCCTTTTAAAAATTTGTCACTATTTTAATACTTTTATTTTTTGTGTATTTTAATTATTGTAATTTATATCTTCAATTATTAGGGAAGAATTTTAGGAAAGTCTTTTCACATAATAAAGTCTAAGTAATTAACTATTATTTATTCTCTCTATCTCAAATACGTACTTTAACCTTTTAGAACACTTTATGTTTTGAGACTCTTGTTACTTATGTGACATTTTAACTATTATTCTTCACTCTTCTAGCGAATTTTTAATGTCATTCAAAGGGTACATCTTTCTATAGTGAGAATTAAACATAGTTCTCAAAAATATTCTCAAGTATTAGGAATTTCACCTTCCAATGGCATGTTAAGTATGTTCTCCTTCCCTTCTAATGCATATTCCCCACCCCCCGCCCCCTGCTAATTGTGTATTTTAAGTAAAGACAAAGTTTTACCATGTTGAACAGGCCAGTCTTGAACTCTTGACCTCAAGTGAGCCACCTGCCTCGGCCTCCCAAAATGCTGGGATTACAAAAACAGCAACTAAATGCTGGAATGATGACTGGGAACTTGTCTAGAGTCTCCACTGATTATCCTCCTCATAACAAGGCAGAAAGCCTTCCTCAGAATTATCTGGACTGACATTACTCATTGTCCAGACCTGTTAACAGACTCCTGGAACCAGAGCTGTGAGTCTCAAATGTGCTCCTTCAATAATGCAGTAGAAGGCCTGAGTTTCCACATAGTGGTATCCTTGAATGCCTGGAGACTTTTAAGGCTTAAGAACGTACTGATCCTATGAACTGTATGTTTTGTAAAATCTCAGGTTATGTGAGGTGCTTGGACAAATTAAGTTTCAGGGTGATATCCACTATTGAGACAGAAAATTAGTCTAAAGAATTAAGACCTCAAAGTCCAGAATGAGAAAAAATTGTTTTGCTTAGAGCCTCCTTATAATTGTCTTACTTGTTTTATAGATATAAGCACTAGAGGACAAGCTCTACCTGATCTAGCTGGCCTAGACATACGCAGATTCATTAATTGTAGAAGAAAGAATTATACCTTTCAGGTAAAATGGCTACAAAAAATAATTAGTTGCTGTTTTTGAGACAAGTTCTCACTCTGTCACCCATGCTGGAGTGCAATGGCACAATCAGAACTCACTGCAGTTTTATAGTCCTGGACTCAAGCAATCCTCCCAACTCAGCCCCTGAGAAGCTGGGACAACAGGTGCACACCACCACTCAAGGCTAATTTTCTGTTTATTTTTTGGTAGAGATAAGGTCTTACTATATTGCCCAGGCTGATCCCAAACTCCTGGCCTCCAGTATTTTTCTGCCTTGGCTTGCCAAAGCACTGGGATTATAAGTATGGCCACTGTAACCAGCTTTAGATCAATTTTATTTAATACAGATACCTTCCCAATTAAAAATATGTTATTAGAATTCTCTTAATCCAGCAAAGCAATGTTATTACTGACCCAGTCTTCACTTATTTTCAGCTTACATGCAGGAACAAAATTACCTTTATTTTTTAATTTGTTTTATTTTATATTTTCAAGGTGCACAATATGTTGTTTTGAGATACATGTGCATAAGGAAATGATTACTATAATGAAGAAAATTAACAAATCGATCATATCACTTAGCTCTGCTTCTTTTTTATGATAAGAACATCAAAAATCTAGTCCCTCAGAATATTTCCCAAAAACAATACAAGATTATCTATTATACCTACAGGTTGTACATCAGATTCATTTATTCTACATTACTGCACCTTTACAACTTTTGCCCTTCATTTACCTATTTTCTTCCCACCAATGTAACCACCTTTTTTAATGTATTAAACTTATAAAAATAGATTTCAAATATGAGTGGGACCATGAAGTATTTTTCTCTGTGTGTCTGTCTTATTTCACTTAGGAAACCTACCATTTACATGTCTCCTAAATTTAGTACAGAAATAAAGTGCTAGTCAAGAATGTGTCTCCGTTTTGTTAGATTAATTTTTTTCCAAGTTATCCTCTTTATCAATTTTTACTTTTTGTATTATAGAAGAGTGAAAATTCTTGTATTAAAGAAACTGTAACCAGGCTATTGATAAATAACTTCCTTTAGGGATAAAAATCTCAGGAAGTTCAAGATTTATGTATTAATGATTGACGATGTTCTTAGTGGTCTCTCTTTGATTTATTTCAATTGTAAGTAATTCTTGGTGATATTCTAACATAAATTCTGACAGGTGAAGAGAATAAATAAAGTAAGTATCTCTAGGAGAATCAATACAATAAGATTATCTTGGTTAAATGGCTAAGAAAATATGGTAAATAGACACAAAAACTGTTTCATCTTCCAAAATCAGAGTCAAATACTAAGTGATCGTAAAGTAGCTAATTCTGTCTTTCTGCCAAAGTGAATCTGAGCTAAATTAGAAGAATGTCAGGAATAATTTTTCCTCGAAATCTAGCAACAAATAATGTAATTAAATTATGAGGCTTTGACTGTTGCATAGAGTTTTAGCATCAACAGAAAAGCTCACAAAACATAGGTGAAAATCCAAAAGGAGTGCTGGGTTGGAGCCCTAAGGTGAGTAATTTTATCATCTCAGATCACTTGGAAAAAAGCAGCGAGTCCAAAAGAAGCTGGGGATAAGCTTTCTCTCTGCTAACCCCTAATGTTCTGCATGAAATATGTGGAGGCAGAAGAGAGACAGTTTATTATAGTCTACATGGTATAGAGTGAAGGAATAAGAGAATATTTCTGATAAGTATTTTCAAAATTTGGAGAATCATTCCTATCCAAATCATTCATTTAAGGGACTAAAATACAAATAAGATGTTTCTTGCCACATAACCCTCAGCTAGCCAGGCTCTAAAAAGGACAACACTGGACACCCCGACAGTGGTAAAAAGCAGGGTTTACTCACTCTTGAATAACTAAGAACTGGTGCTAACCTTAGGCAGCAGCTTATCTATTTGGTTGAGGTTCAGCTTTGTTTCATTGAACAAATCTCTTGGGTTATTTTCAGTTGTGCCAGTCATTTAATTTGTTTTCTGAATCAAATGATAAGAATAAATATGGTTTAGAGTGTAAACAGCATTCCCAGATACATTACAACTTGGTGTCCCATCTGCCTAATTTTGTAGCTATAGGACGGGAACAAAAGCATTGTGAGGAACACCAGGTGCTTTCCTTAAAGCCAAATACTCTTGTCCCTCCTACTTTTCTTCCGGCTTTCCTGCTGCATGGGACATGGCAATAAATGGGAGTTTCCTGCACACAGAGATAAAATTCACTTGCTGAAGATGTCAGTCTTCTTCTTGACCAACTCCTATGTTGGTACAAACATGTGAGAGAAATGCACCTTCTGAATCATTTCAAATTCGTGGTCTTTGTTAGAGCACATAAGCCGGTGCGCTAGGAGATGTAGCTATTACATTCTATTATAGAATTTTCCATTCTCTATCATCTGGATTCTTATTTGAAATGTAACCAAAGTTTGTTCTTTCTACTGCATAAGAAGGTTTATACCACTTTATGCTTAGCAAGTAATTATATGTCAGTTTAAATAAGGACAGCCTCCATTATTCTAAGTCCTGTTCCTGTTCCCCATCATCTTATATAGGAACCTTCCTCTTTCCATAGTTTATATGAAAAAACCTAAGACAATTGAAATCAACCCTGTAAAAATTATGCTACAATTATTTTAAACCCCAACATAATAGTGTTATCTTTGATATGAATCTGAAAATCAATTTATTTCTTATCTTTTGATAGATATTCATTAGTATGTTCTGTCCTATTTTGTTACTTATATTTTGGAAAAGTTTCTTAATGTTAGAATAGTATTTATACATGTTAACTCCTCTACTTATCCATTTACTCATCTTATTTACTGTGTAATCTATTCTAAAAATTGCATTGAATAATTGTAATATATTAGCAAAGAAGACAAATACTGCCATTGCCCCCTTGGACTTTTCAATCTGGTAGTAATAAGTATAAGAGTTTTCTTAATATTATAACCTGATATAATATATTCAGAGAAGATGTAATAGCAGAGCAACCCAGCACTGAAAAACTGTTGTATGAGCTGAAATGTGATTAATAACTAGGTTGTTGAGACATAATAAAGTCTGTGAGGTCAACCTAACTTGCTCAGACTTAAAAAGAAAAAAAGCACTCTTTTTATTCTTTGTAAGATGAGATATCCACCACTTCATTATTCTACCCCAGCCTGGTTGAAATATACGACTAAGACAAATGGTTTACAGTGTGTACAAACTGAAAACATACTCTCTGAAAAAGAAATCAGATTAAAAAAAGAACTTACATTGTATGATTTTATTTACCTGAATGCAAAAACATAAAAAGTAGATTAAGTGCTGTCAAGGAATGGGGGAGGGTAAAAGGAGAATTAATGTTAATGTGTATTGGGATTCTTCTGGAAGTGATAAAAGTTCACAGGTAGTAGAGAGCTCTGATGGCTGCTCAAGTGTGATATACTAACAATATCTGAATTAAATACATTAGAACATGACTTTTACAGTAAATGAATGAATCTCAACAAAACTAGTACAAAAAAACCATTATTGATGTTCTAGTAAAGATTCCACAATAACTTATTAATTAAAATAATTTAATTAACAAAAGTACACATTCAAGGTGGTTATCCCATTCATAACCACATAGTAATTACATTCCATGAAGTTACAATGAGCTCACAGGCTCTCGCACATAGTGTCTTAGGACAGTATTTGCCTCATATGTGGGAGGTCACAATAAATCATCGTGAAACCAACTTTTCATGTACAACCAAAGCAAAAGAAAGGCCTCAGAGGGGAAGAGAAGGAGGAAGGAGGAAAACCATAGATAAGAGAACCTTTAGAAACATCAAAAAAACTCACAGATCCATTATCATAATCCAGAAACACCCCAACTCGACCCAGAGGCCTTTGCACATACTGAATTAAAGGTGGAGAGTTGGTGGAGAGACTATAGTGATTGCTCCTCTTTGAGGAAATTAAAAAAAATCTTTCATCAGAATCAATAACGAAATTGGCATCTGCAGTCCTGGAATCTCGACAGACTCCCAGAATCCAGTTGGAGGAGAGGGTCACATCCACCTCCCAGTAATGCTTGCCGGAGGTGAATGCTTGCGCTCCCCACACAGCAAAGCTGTCCACTCCCTGGGGATCCGTGGGAGCACTGAGATGGTCATCTCCAAATATCACATATCTCACATCCTCAGAAAGGCTTATATAGCAAGGAATCATTTCCGTGCTCAGAGCACTATCCACTGACAAGAAAAAAATATTATATTAGTGAGTGTTATGAGGGACAGAGGCTCTGTGGCCCAATTATTCACTTCATTTGCTCTTCTTCCAAGAAAATACAGAAAAAAGGAAGCCAAGAGGGGTCAGCCCCATGCATCCATGAAGATGAAATGTTATTACACCTCTACAGCACATACAATTATGTATTATTCCTTAAGTAATAGAGAAAAAACGTGACCATACCACAGGGGAAATAATGATTTAATGTCTACATCTGCATAGTTGGTTTCAGGGCATATGCAAAATGTTTTTTTTTCTTCAATAGAAAACTCTCCTTGTATTATTTGTTTTTAAGATCATCAACAGGTAGACATCAATTTGCTGTGATGTGAGTATTTATTGGAATGTAAGTTATGCCTGTTATAGTCTCAAACATCAAAAATTTGGTAGAAATTAACACATGTAAAATTTATAAGTTTCTGAAAAGAATATTCTGGCTTTACATTATCTGTTTAGCTCCTGATTCAATCTACTCTGGGTTCCTGCCCTCTGCTACCCAGACCTGCTCTCTAGAATGGGCCTAACATGGTTAAGCCGTGTTCACAGATCCCTCACCTTTCACTTGTTACTAGATGTATCTGATGGCATTAGAATTGTCCTGATTATGGATATTTTAGTCATTTTCTTTGTTGATCAAAATGTTCTGATTTTGTAAATAATAAAGGTTACTTGTAGAATGCATGTAAATGCACATAGAATAGAAACAATTAAAAACCATTATGCCAAATCTAAGCCTTCAAAATTGAATTAAATTGAATAAACATGAAATACTGATGCCGCCATGAGAACTAGAGTCTTCATAACTACATGATCTGAATATTTTGTCCTCTTATTCTGCAGATAAAGTATGTATCTTGCTTTACATTTTCGTCAAACTGTAAGTCAGGAAATTGAGTTTTGATCATTGTAATATTACTATGCAGGTAGGGAAGATGCACATGTTTCGGAAAACTATGTATTACCTACATGTCAAAACTAATAAAACTTAAATGGGAAAATCCTCAACCAAGGGACCCAATAAGGAAATAATTTGAGGCTGGAATGCCAAGCAGCTGGCTCTTACCTCTGAAGTTGTTGAGCATGTCTAGGACTCCAGTTATGCACCATGAAGTGAGCTCTGGGTTCACTGGCTGGGGCTTTTGCATCTGTGCCAAATCAGTCCTGCAAAAAAAATGGCCTCAGTTATATTTCCAGGCCCAGAGCTAATCACACAGTCATACAAAGATATCACATTTTCATATAAGATGTTTCCTCACAATTCTGCCAGTTTTGGTTAACTGGGTGTACATTTTATTCCACACTCTAGGGGCAATAAGGATGTTACTTTTTCTAAACTTTGCTTCCATAAAAACCCAATTTCCCCAGATACGTTATTCTCAGACATTATACAACTTCTAAAGTCATTAAAAGTCATTGCCTCCCTCTGCCCATCACACCCCTTGAGGGTATGCAGAAATCCTGGAAATATTTCAGAGAGCAGAAAACTCAGACAAAAACCTTTGGGACCTCAGCCTGCAGTTGTCACTAATGCTAGTCAGTGTCTAACAGAGAATGTTCACTGAGGCAAAAGGCTTTAATCTTTTGTGCAAAACAAAGGAGTCTAATTCCAGCCTGAGAACCCTGCTGCTGAGGGGCCCGAGGCAACCATTTCCCTGAGGTCTTTCCTAGAACTGGGTGTATGGTGATGGAGCAGGCCCGGGTCATTGATGCTTTTAGGAGCAAAACATCCCTCCTCAGCCCATCCTTAGGGAATCTCTCTCCTCCCTCTGTCTTTTTTTTTTTTTTTTTTTTAACCTCCCACCCCTCTAGAGTAGAAGATGCCTCTATGATTCCTCAGAGTAATTTTGCATTAAGATCTGTGGGGTATGGTTGGTCAGGACGGATGGACTGGGAAGAACAAACTTCCGAATGGCAAATTGTTTTTATGTATGTTTTAATTCATACAAATTTTAAGATGAAAACTTTCCAGACCAAAGAGAAGAAGACCTCAGGCCCTCTTTTGAAACAAAATTGGAAATAGCCACCGACAACGATGTTAGTACTCAAAATGATACATCCCCTTCATTCGCAAGAGAACAAACTTTTCAGAAATAGCATTTTTTTAGTGTAAACTCACCTTGCTGATACATTTCTCACATCCTGCAAAAAAATGAAAGATAATGTTAATTATGAGAGATTTTTCCTTCTGCATCTTTTCTCATACTCTTGTTTCTTTCTGTTTTAATAATGTATATCTTTTTATTTCCTGCTAAGGAATCATTCAAGACTACATTAATAATAGAACCTCAACTAAACAATAAAAAGCTTCATCAGTGGGCATTAAGAAGAAAGGAGCTCAGCAAGAGACAGTGGAGTAAAGCAAAGATATCTAGGTTTCCAGTGTCATTAATTTCCTAATCTTACTTCCAAGGAAAGGTCTGACCACACATGACAACGATTAAAACAAAACAGAGAACCATATGAGAAACAGAGTACATGGACATTGATGAGCAGCTTTGACAAACCTTGCCCAGGCAAGGGGAAACCCCTCAATGTCTTCAGCAAATCACTGCTGTGTGGGACATCAGAGAGAGGAGGAACTGGGGCATATAAATGGAGTATTACTAACCTTCCCCTGGCCTAGAGTTCTAACGATTTTAGATGATCTCTCTGTGTGGATAGTACTCCAAATTATATTGAAGAGAACTTTGTTATATGTTATCTGCTAAAATGGCAAAAATTTCCCAAAGATTACCAAAGTATGCAGTAATACGTGAATGGAGAAGTGTAATGGTGGAAGTCAGACAGCATGTGTCACTTAGCTTAGAGCAGTGACATACGCAGGTGATATTTGCATGTCCTGGCAGCACTGTCCAGCAAAGGCTTCCTGTCTCTGAGGATGGACCCTCCCTCCTCACCTGGAGCAGCACCACGTCAGGCATGTGGCATGTCTCCCACAGCTCTCTGTACATGTCTTTCATCCTTTCTAAATGTTGGGTCATTCTCACTTGACTGTCTTGTAGTTGTTGGAAAAGCTCTTCTGCTTCTCTTTCCAGTGCCTGCAGATGCCGTTGCTCCTCCTCATCGAGAAATATAGGCATCTTTTGATATTGAATAGTGATTATCCTCTTCCTTACTGACACATAGTCCTGCAGAGATGTTTGGTTAAAAGGATTACATGTTCTCACTCTCAATAGAAAACTTCAAATAATTATATGCTGGGTGTAATCAAGCAACTTATAAACTTTCTGCCTCACTCTTGCAAGGAGTCTTGAATATTTGCTATCTTCTTCTGTCCATCTTTTTCAATGTTCCTATTCTCTCTCCCTCTTTAAATCAAACCTATATAAAGACTCCTGGTTTCTGTCACTGTGATGCTTCTTCACAGTTGTTACTGAGTCAATTGTTTCCTCTACTAATCTCTCTTTTAGGATTTTTCCATGTCTGCTTTGCCTGCATGCTAAAAAACATTTAGCCATACACCATATTATGCAGTTTTTTTTTACTTTTACCATATTTTTACTCTATATACTATTCTATTTCTTTCGTCTTCCTCACACCCAAACTTAGTGAAATGTTGTCTCATCTGCAGTGTCTGAAAAGGTTTATACCAACCTTCAAATTTGAACTAGAATACACATCATGCCGTTTATCCAATATACTAGAATTCATTTGGCTAGCTTGTGTGGGCTTCTCTGTTTGCAACTCCTATTACATCAATTGAAATCACTACATTTTCTTGGGATGAAATCACTATCTTGCAACGGGTAGTTTGAATTTAGCTAAAAAGTATAAGCTAACATTGTGTTTATTTGCATAAAAACAAAGAAAACATTTTCATTCTTACCTTTAACGAATGAAATGTGCTAGTTTCCTGATTTAGATTGTTTCTTGTCTCTTGATTGATTTCCCATAAATAGTCCATTTCCTTTATAAGTTTCTCCTGCAAAAGAAGCAAGAAGCTTAGCAATAATGAAGACAGTATAGTAGATTTCATACCCTTATCTTAAAAAAAAAGGCTGTAATTGAAAGAAACATAAATTAAGTTGGAGTGAAGTGGTCAGATTTTTCCAAGTTAAACACATTTGGTTCTAATAATTTGGATGTGAAAAGTGATAGAAACATAATAGAGAGTTTTAAGGGACCCTTCAGATAATATCATCAATATTCTGAGAAACTGGCTTTCAGATAACCTGACTTTGAAAAGTGTTCTTGGTGCTGGCCACCAGCTCCACAGCTCCATTCTACACGTTTGAACAATGTTTCTAAGGAGACCTCCTTTAGTGAAGTCTCAACACAGCTATGATTAGAGTGCCAAATTAGCCAGCAACATTGAAAGGACACATTCATGTGTTATGATTGACATGGAATAATCACCACCTCCACCATCTGCATTCTCATCACCATCATTATCACAGGCCCTCATCATTCTTATTTGGGATTCTGTATAATTCAAACTGCCTTAGAGGCATCACGTACCCTGCATTCCTCAGCAGCCCATCCTATTGGGCTGTGGCTGTGAGCCATGTGCTCTGGTGACTCAGAGCAGGGCCCACAGAGCAATCTCTTGTCAGCCTCACAGAAGAGCTCCTTAGTCTCCTCATGGAGCACACAGATATTGTCTGAGCTGTTGATGTTCTGAGGTCTGGTCTGTCTGGCTAGGGAAGACAGCTTTTTGAGTACCAGATTGGTGTTGAAGTTGGGCTTCTCTGAGGTTTTTCTGCACGAAGGGCAGCGCATTGGTGCTCTGCCTTCTTCTGAGCAGAGGCAGAGGCAGGGCCTGCAAAAGCTGTGCCCACAGTCAATGGTGACCGGATCTATGAAGTAGTTCACGCAAATGCAGCAAATGAGCTCATTCTGGAAGACTTGCAGGTCGTCTGAATCCATGTTTCTGGAAATTAAAAAAAAAAAAAAGTGAGAATTTCTTTCTCTTATTTTTATTTACCCCGATGAAAAGGAAAGAAAGGCCGGTGGACAATTTTCCTTGTCTACTTGAGCTCTGTCCAGCATGTCTAATAAGTTAGCTCCAGCACAAACTGAGACATAGTAAATTCATACATGCTGGATTTATAAAGTTTTCCCTCAATAGCCATCGAAGATTCGGTCAAGGACTCCCTGAGAACCAAGATCCTAAGATGTTCAAGTCTCTTATTAGTAAATGGTGTGAATTTGTATGTAACCTAAACCTATCCTCCTGAATACTTTATGTCTAGATTACTTTGAATGCCTAATACAATGTAAATGCTGTATAAATACTTGTAATGCCATACTGTTTAGGAACAGCAAGAAGATTAAAAATATGTACATGTTTGGCAGGGCGCGGTACTCATGCCTGTAATCCCAGCACTTCGGGAGGCCGAGGCGGGCGGATCACGAGGTCAGGAGATCGAGACCATCCTGACTAACACGGTGAAACCCCGTTTCTACTAAAAATACAAAAAATTAGCAGGGCGTGGTGGTACGTGCCTGTAGTCCCAGCTATTCGGGAGGCTGAGGCAGGAGAATCGCTTGAACCCAGGAGGCGGAGGTTGCAGTGAGCCGAGATCGCACCACTGCACTCCAGCATGGGTAATGGAGTGAGACTCTGTCTCAAAAAAAAAAAAAAAAAAAGTACATATTCAGTACAGCTGCTTTTTTCTCCCTGTAAATATTTTTTATCTGAGATTAGTTGAATCCACGGGTATGAAACTTACGAATATGAACAACGAACAACCGTGATGCAAATGAGAAAATGAGACAACAGTCCTCATGGCATTTTTGTTAAACAAGCCGTGCTCTCAGTCATTCCCAGTTACCTAGACAAGCTTAAAGCCTGGGTGGAGGGTAAAAGCTGGGATGATTTCTGAGTCACTTATGTAAGCTAATTAACGAAGAAGCACATTCTGAATGTCATCCTGTTTCTGTCATTCTATCTCTCTCAATAATTCCATGATGATAATATATGAAAGACACTTAGTATCTATGGTATTATTCTATACTCCCTGCCTCCAAACTCACCTATGAAGTTTGCTCAGACAATTATAAATAAAGTAGCTTTTATCTAAGATTGAGTAATCACAGTGGACTGTCAACTCCTAAAATTATCAACCATTAAATTTGTCCTTTTAACTTTAATATCAAAACTCTTCCTTTCAATACATTAAATGTAAATAATATCTATTATTTTTAATTAGGAAAGTTTTTTCCCATTGTCAATTCTGATGATTAGAGAGAACACTTTCACATTCTGAAATAGCCAATATTTCAACTATAATTAACAAGAATTAATCAACAACTAATTATCTTCTAAAATAACAAAAAAAAAGTGAAGATATGTATTAGGTTTTCCACTCTACACTAGAAAATCCAGAAATGCAGTTAATGGAAGCATGGCCGCCAATTCACCTTTCGCTTAGTGACTTGGAAGTTGCAGCTTCTTGGGAGCCCTTGCCAGTTGGTTAGATCTATTGATCTATTTTCTTTCTTTCTTTTTCTTTTTCTTTTTTTTTTTTTTTTGTTGCTGTTGTTGAGATGCAGTCTCACTCTGTTACGCAGGCTGGAGTGCAGTGGCACGATCTCAGCTTACTGCAAGCTCCACCTCCCAGGTTCAAACAATTCTCCTGCCGCAGCCTCCTGAGTAGCTGGTATTACAGGTGCCCACCACCACGCCAGGATGATTTTTTTGGATTTTTAGTAGGGACCAGGTTTCACCATGTTGGCCAGGCTGGTGTCTAACTCTAGACCTCAAGCGATCTGCCTGCCTTGGCCTCTCAAAGTGCTAGGCTGCAAACATGAGCCATCATGCCCAGCCGATTAAATCTATTTTCAACAGCTTTCAGATCTAGTCTGCAAATTGCAAATTTTGAAGAGACAGCAAATAAGACCTTTGCAACAAGAATTTTCAAAGTAATTCAACATTTTTAACGTTCGCTTTGGCTTACGTTATAACCACTACTACATGCCCACATTCTGGTGAACATTTTAGGTATTTTATGGGTTCTATCATTGCATGAAACTATGGAAATATATCTTTTCACACTTAAGAAAAATCTAACAATACAGAAAACAGTCGCATAGTCAAATAGCAAGGGAACACAAACCATATCTTACAAATTGAAGATACTTTATATTGATTTTCTGTAAAATCACTAAGACAGTCATTTGTTTGCTTAGAAAAGACCCAAGCATGCTGCCAGGTAAATTTAAAGCATGTTTAAGAGTAAAAGTGAGCATGATGGTTTTGCTGCACACTGTATACTCACAAGGCTACTATGAATGGTCTCAGTCTAGAAACTCTGTAGATATCCAGATTAGAAGTCACTCCTGGCTCTTCAAAGCCCAGCAGCCACAAATCCAGTGGGTCCTCACTGAAGGAGAGAGAAATCTCTGGACAAGCATCCTTTTAAAGTGTATGGGCCCACGAAAGACCACACCCACTTCCTGAGGTTGATTAGATTGCGTAGAAAGGGGTAAATTGGCTGATTAGGTTTATAAAGTATTGAAAACCAGACTTGAGGGCTCAAAGCTCAACAGACAAGTTTGGAATGAGATGCAAGAAAGTTGACTTAACACTGTTTATTCAAAGAAATATTTTAAGTATAACAATTATTTCACTACATATTATCACATGCTATTTTTTTTTTTTTTTTTTTTTTTTTTTTTTTGAGACGGTATCTCGCTCTGTCGCCAAGGCTGGAGTGCAATGGCTCGGTCTCAGCTCACTGCAACCTCTGCCTCTGGAGTTCAAGCGATTCTCCTGCCTCAGCCTCCCAAGTAGCTGGGATTACAGTCGCCCGCCACTACCCCCAACTAATTTTTGTATTTTTAGTAGAGACGGGGTTTCACCATGTTGCTCAGGCTGGTCTCAAACTCCTGATGTCAGGTAATCTGCCCACCTCGGCCTCCCAAAGTGCTGGGATTACAAGCGTGAGCCACTGCACCGGGCCACATGCTAACTTTAAAATTTTGTTTCTCACTCTGTTTTAAAATTATAATTGCTTAAGTGCCTAGCCGTTATTTGTCTGAATATGTTCAAAGATAAAACATTAACTGGGATTACCAACATATCTGTGCTGTGTCACTCTCTTGTTTAAAAAAGTATAACAAGGAACTCAATTGTGTTTCACAAAATTGTATATATAATGGTTGATATAATTAGCTGTATCGGCCTGTTTAACTTATTTTTACTATTTTATGACTATTTCCTAATGATGGATTTATATGAAAATAAAATCTGTTTTTTATTTATCCACCCTTTTCAATAATTTTAAAACTGAAACTTTACATATATATGTACATAACTATCTATAACAATGTTACGTATTCATATTTTTAAAATTATATAATAATTATTTACACAATAATAATAATTATTGTTACTTTTTTTTTGACATGCAGTCTCCCTCTGTCACCCAGGCTGGAGTGCAATGGCACGATCTCGGCTCACTGCAACCTCTGCCTCCCAGGTTCAAGTGATTCTCCTGCCTCAGCCTCCCGAGTAGCTGGGATTACAGGTGTCTGCCACCGTGACCGGCTGATTTTGGTATTTTTAGTAGAGATAATGTTTCACCAAGTTGGCCAGGCTGGTCTCGAACTCCTGACCTCAGGTGATCCGCCCATCTTGGCCTCCCAAAGTGCTGGGATTACAGGCATGAGCCATGGCACCTGGCTGCTATTTATACAATAATTATGTGCATAATTATCTTTAATGGTGCCTGAAAGTTATTTTTAACATGGTTGCCATACTAACCGATTTTGTTGTCGTTTACCATGATTTAATAAATCACCAATGTTTATACATAGTTGTATTCATAAATTATCTAATGTTTGGGGAGTTAGGTCATTTCTGTAAACTTAAAATTAACAAACCTTGCTAGAAGTTGAAAAAGTAAAAATCTATATAAAGTCACCATTTGCAGATTAATAGACATTTAAAAAATTATAAAATTCATAAAAGCCAGCATATCCTAGAAAAAGATGAAGTGGCTGTCTTTTTAATCAGTCCATGGCATTGCAAATTAGTATGTTTTCTGAAGTGTCATTTGATCAGCATTATGCTTCAAAAAATATATCCAATAAAGATAAGAAAAGGTAATCATAGATATATATATATATGCAGACTTTTCCACAAACGTTATTCTTTGAAAACAGATTCAAACACTTCTTAAAATGTTGCATATTATCTACTAAGTGTAGAGAAGAAAGACTTTCTGGTATTCTCACTTCTCAGTAAAAATTCAATTCTACATTTTGTAGACTGCCCCGTATTAGACAGAAACAAACAATAAGCAACTTATGAGATGCATATAAAAGAATAAAAAATAGTTGCAAATTTTAGTGCTGGAAGCTGAAAAAGTTATTATCTATTTTACTACAACTGTGTTATCATGCAGGATAGGTAAGAGAGAAAAAGTAGTATTTCCTTACCTAACTAAAAAATACTCTGTCATTCAAGTGAAAATATCAGACATTTATTGATTACCAATTCTATGCTAAAAACTGTTCTAAGTGCTTCACATGTTCTAGCTTACTTAATTGTTACAGCAACCCCATAAGATAAATAATATTTTATACTCATTTAAAGATTAAGAAACGTAAGAACAGGAAGCTTTAATAATTTGCCCATAGGCATACTCTAATTAAGTAGGAGAACTAGGGTTTGAAACCAGGCAGTCTGTCTCTGAAAACTGTCTTCCTTTCAGTGACGTTAAATATGTTGCCAAAGTATGTTCCTAAGCCACCAAATTACATACAATATTTTGGGGGGATGCTTCTTGCATGCTGGCCGAATTGATTGAACGTTGACAAAGCTTTCAAGTATTGTGCAGGTTTTGGTCCACTTTTTTGAATAGTAATATGTACACTGTCCTACATCTACCATACTGTCCAACTCTCTATCAATGACATCACAAAAAGCCTGTGAGCATGCTCAGCCAAACCCCATAACAAAGGCATTGGTGGAAATCCTAGTGTGCAGCGCAGCTCTTCTTTTCAAAGCACAGAATGTCTCAGAGGGTCTCTTATGTGCGCTACTCTGATCACTCACAAAACAAGTGTCTGCTATGGACTCTCCTTACTGGTAGAGATTGGAGCCAAAATTGTAACAAACCTGCACGTTCTGCACATGTATCCCAAAAATTAAAGTAAAATGTTTAAAAAAAGTGTAAAAAAAACCAAGACTAAGTCCTTAAGGAGCTCATGGTCTAGCAGTTGATACAAAGGAAGGGACAGTCATCCTAAAAGTCTTCCTAAGAGAAATGACACCTAAGCTGAAACCCAAAGGATGCGGGTAGTCTTATCTTTTCTGATAGTAAAGTCTAAGTGACAGCAGTTGTCATGAGAAAAGATTTTGGGGCCTGGCATGGTGGCTCATGCCTGTAATCCCAGCACTTTGGGAGGCCTAGGTGGCTTGACCGGTCAAGCTGAGAAGTTCGACACCAGGCTAGGCAACATGGTGAAACTCCATCTCCACAAAAAATACAAAAATTAGACAGGCATGAGGGTGCACACCTGTAATCTCAGCTAAGTCTTAGGCTGGACGATTGCCTCAGCCCAGGAGGCAGAGTTTGCATTGAGCAGGGATTGTGCCACTGACTCTAGTCTGGGTGACAGAGTGAGACCCTGTCTCACACACACACACACACACAAAATATTAGTTCTGTTCTCTTCCTGGGTTGATATCCTTCTATTCTATCTAGACCAGAATGCTTTCTGAAATGGAAATGTGCCTATATCCCTACCTGCTTTACCTTATTATGGGATTTTGATAAACTACAAGAAAGTAGTTACACTCCTCTCGATGTCTTCCAAAACGTACTTGATGTATTTGATGCTCAATGTATGAATTGTTCTTCCCACAAATGCCTTGGTTTCTAGTAAGGGTGAGTTCCTTGTATTTCTTTAACTTGCCACAATCATCCATACTTCTACCATTTTGTATAACATGATTACCTTGTCAGTGGAAATATAAATAAATAAAATTACTTTGAAGCACTGTGGCAGTGCCCAGTAGAATTGACGATCACAAATTTTATAACCCAGACATTCCAGCTGTCAGAAGATACTGTCCGAAAAGAGAATCTATTGGCTATTTACATTAGGAGACATGTTCACAAAATCAAAATACAAAAATCATTCCAAATGTACAACAGCAGAAAATGAACAAATATATTTTATTATGCACCATTTATCCAACTTTGGGTTTTCCACTACAAACTCACTCTTGATTGTTTACATAAATAGATCTGGACCCTTTAAATATTTTTTTCTTTGCCACGTGTTAAGATGTCAGTCTTTGTGAGTAGAAAGCATTGGAGAGAAATTCCAAAAAAGCGCTTCCAATTTGCTTTGGAAATGACACCTCCAGTGTCTGGCCCGGAGGGCATACAGGGATACACCAAAGCCCAGATTGTGTAGTTCAGGCAGCTGCTATAGCACCCACTTCCTGAAGTTCATGGTGGCCAGGAGAACTCAGCAGCCACGAGCTTCTCCTGATCACTGCCCTTTGCCAAATTTGCAGTGGAGCCTGTCTGGCGTGACATTTCTTCGTAAACAGCTTTACAAGTGGCCCAGAAGCCAAGTTTCTGGGGAGCTCTAAAGTGTGGATTTAAAGCAAGTTTTTCAAGCGCAACAGCACAACAACTTCTTAACATTTAGTGAGGCCAAGGGGTGAGGGGACTCTTCACTGGCGACTCCAACTTCACCCTGGAAACAATGGCAATTCCTTTTATGTGCTCATCACGTATTATTTAGACTTCTCCTTACATTCTACTAGACAATATTTCCTTGCTCAAATGTTGTTATAATTAATCATTCTTTATATTAACTTTCCCTATTCACATTATTATATGTTTTCTCTGTCTTGACGGACCCTGAATCTTCCTTTCATTTGAATAAATGCTATCCATCTATCTATCTATCTACTTACCTATCTATCTATCTGAACACTTAAGGACCAGTGGAAAAAAATCAAGTACCATAAAACTACACATGGTATGATTTTACTTAAAAAAGTTCAAAACTACCTAAAGCCAAACCATAAAACATGTAAATAATATAGCCATGTGTGATAAAATTATAAAGAGTAACAGAGGAAATAAAGATAAACACAAAATTCAAGAAAGTGAAAAAGCACAACTGTCATTAGTGCATGGGGAACCCAATGATATTGGAAATGTTATTTTCTTAACATGGCTAGTAGGTTCACAAATGTTCATTTCATTACTATTTTTCTCTATACTTGTGTGTTATATTATAGTCTTTTACATAAATAAAATATTTTAATAAAAAATAATGATTTCTTATACTATAGAGTGATTACATATACTAAAAGTGTAATTTAATCAGTGTCCCAACTAGTGCGCTGAGATAGTGATCCTCTCAGCCTTGGAAGGCCAGGTAGGGCGTGAGACCTCTGGCTTGGAGCAGTTGCGCATATTCTGCAGTGTGCTCTATGACAAACTGATGATTTCCCATGTGTGAAGCGACATGAACACATTAGACTTGATTCCCCGAAAATGCCAGATGAGAGTTTTACGATATTTGTCCATTCCCCTTGGATTTAATACTGACTTTGATTCTTCCACTTCAGAATAACCTTGTATAATTATAAATTTTGATTTTTTATTTTTAATCCACAACGAGAAAATAAAAGAAAAAATATATACACAGACAAATATATGAACACTCACATAACTGTATATACTATCCATCTTTATTTCTAATATACTAATTTTAAAATACATCAATATACCCATCATGACTCTTTCTGAGTGACATACCACACAAATTCAATATAGGTTCTCTAAGGAATCCTCTTAGGCTTCTTGTTTCAAAGCCTCTGAAGCTGCCTGCACAGTGAAGGTTGCAACAAAGCTTTCTCTTCACTTCTCCCTTAGCCTCGCATGGGTCCACTTTCCTTTCAATATCAAACAGAGCGTTAGAAACTCCTGGAAATGACTCCCCTGAATACTTGCTGTGGCTGCTTGGAGCATAAATGACATACCTGTTGATAAAACAGTATACTGTTTACTAGTTGCCCAAATGATATGGAAGAGAAACACAAGGGCACTCTACAATTCTAACATTGAATATTTCTAATTTAACAATTTGAACCAGCCACTTGTCAACTAAACTTCCACATTCAATCAACTCTAAAGACTAGTATGGCCAGGCGCAGTGGCTCAAGCCTGTAACCCCAGCATTTTGGGAGGCCAAGGTTGGCGGATCACGAGGTTAGGAGTTCGAGACTAGCCTGGAAAGCATGGTTAAACCCCGTCTCTACTAAAAATACAAAAAATTAGCCGGGCATGGTGGCACGTGTCTGTTGTCCCAGGTGCTCAGGAGGCTGAGGCAGGAGAATTGCTTGAACCCGGCAGGCAGAGGTCACAGTGAGCTGAGATCGTGCCACGCCCTGCAATCCAGGCTGGGATACAAAGCAAGGCTCCATCCTTTAAAAAATAAATAAATAAATAAAATGGAAAAGACTAGTTTATGAAATATGTATTAATTAATAATATTTGACTTCGAACAAATAACCTAAGAGGTAAGTGGTTCGATGCTACAACAGTAACAACGATTAAGTAACCACAGCAATCATGCTTGGTAATAAAGTATTTACTTACAATTTTTCTAATTCTTCAAGATAGACTACACGCAATTGATATTAGTATTTCCCAGAGGAGGAAACTGAGGTCTGAGAAATCAAGTTGCTAAATGATTTGTCTCAAGGCACATTACAAGTAAGTGCTGATTTTTTAATATATCATAATAAATGATAGCACTACTGTGATCGTTAAAGTCCTGTTTGTGATTAGTCAACCATCTGTTGTGTTTTTTTTTTTTTTTTGTCCTTTTTAAAAAAGCCACACTACCATGTTGGAGTACTTAACATAAAACATGAAGAAATATCAAAAACAATTTTGTAATGCTTCATATGACCACGACAGATGAATGTTTTATAGAACGGGCAAAGACATTTCATGTCATAGACCTAGAAAGGAAGGACAAACTCTGAAGTGATAAATAAGGCCAGGAGCGGTGGCTCATTACTGTAATTCCATAAATTTGGGAGGCTTAAGTGGGAGAATTGCTTGAGGCCAGGAGTTTGAGACCATCCTAGGCAACATAGGTTACACCCTGTCTCAACAAATAAAAGTACAAATATGAGCTGGGCATTGTGGCACGTAACTGTAGTCCTAGCTATTTCAGAGGCTGAGGTGGAAAGATTGATCAAGCCCAGGAGTTTGAGGCTGCAGTGAGCTAAGACTGCACACTGAACTCCAGCTTGGGAGACAGTGTGAGAACCCGTCTCTTAAGAACAACAACAAAATAAGCTGGGGCGATGGGTAAGTTAAAAATATGCTGCCATTGGCCAACAAATCGAGCTGTTTAAAACATGCTCTTACTCCCAAGCCAGACAATTTGATAATCGCTGGACAGAAAGATGGAGCCATTTCTGGCTGTCCAATGACCTAACCCCTTTCAATACATATAAGATCAACCTGGGGATAGTCAATGTTTGGCAATAGTCAAGATTTAGGAATTAAAAAACCTCTAAATATCAAAAATATGAAAAAGAACAAATAAGTATGTGTTTATTATATACCTTACATATAGAGAGATTTACTGGGTTTTGTGTATATGTAAACAAAAATACATTTAAAATAGGAAAGGGGCTAGAATTACACACACAAGAATATAACCATGATTTTATATTTTTCTGATGGAATTAGGCAGATGTTTATTTTCTGCCATGGCTTTCTTGATCTTTACAGTTTCTAAAATAAACATTATTTTAAAATAAGAAACAAAAAGATACTGAAAATAAAGATATGCAAAAATTATATTACATCGTATGAGAGAATATTACATTTATCATTTACTACATATATCTTGAAATTTTCTATTGGCTTGCAAGAAATCAACTATGATATTTTTCCACAGTACAAAAAAAAAAAAAAAGGAAAAAGTGATATTATAACAGGGAATCATTTTTTCTTTTCCTACCTATAAAAACATCTATCTGGTAACCCTAAGGATCAATAAATGCTCATTACAGAAACATTGGTTGATTATTCATGATTCTCAATAATACTGGAATGAGAAATAAAATGAATATAGTTATAACTTCATGAAAATGTATTTCTATACACAAAACAAAAATTTCAGAACAAAACTGAACTTAATCAGTCAGCTCTGGGGACTGGTTCCAGGACACTGATAGATATCAAAATTTGTGCACACTCAAGTCCTGCAGAAAAGACACGTATACATGAAAAGCAGGACCCCTCTTCTGTGGAATTAACAAGCTGAATGTGGAAAAAACCACTAAACAAATCAAATTGATTTATCAGAATAATAATCCAGATTTTAGTAGAAATTATTTAATATTTCATCTTTTCAAGTGATTTTCCTCATAATGTAAGTACAGCATTCTCAGAGTCTGAAAAGACTTTCTGGATTACCTTGCTCTGCCTCGGTGAGGAAAGGTAGCTGCCTACGTGGAATCTGAAGCCACATCTGACCTCCCTTGGGTTAACTGGCCATAATATAACTCACCACATGCTTAATGCCCTTTGACATCCTGGTCTTCATATTGTTAAGACAATGAAGTAGGCAATAATAGAAAACAAAATATTTCTGAAAAACATGGCTAAGAGTCCCAGTGGGATGTAACAGTTTTGCTTTATTTTGTTTTGTTTTCTGGAAAAACATTAATAATTTTCTTACTTTACATTTTTCATTAGTTCTTTATTGGCCACATCTGAGGTGCTCAGAGTCAAGCTCATGTAATGAGTATCATTCTGTGAAAAAAGTTCTAACATATCAAAGCTAAAGGAAAAATAATTGTTGAGGTTTGTTCCATAGAAATAAATTTACTCACTTAAAAGCCTTTTTTCTGGATTTACGTCCTTCCTACTTTGTGATATTTTTAACAAAATCATTTTCTGTATGCAATACTAATATTTAAAAAGATAAGTTTGAAAAAAATAGTTTGGCAAAATAAAGTTTACCATCTTTAAAAATAAAAAGTTGGCCCTCTATATACATGGGGTTCTTTCCTTCAGTAATGTATTTTATTATGTTTTCTTAAGACATGGAATTTCTTTGCCATGTTGTCCAGGCTAGTCTGGAACTCCTGACCTCAGGTGATCCACCCACCTTGGCCTCCCAAAGTGGTGGGATTACAGGTGTGAGCCACCTCACCCAACAAGAATAACAACTTTCTAAAGAAGTCAATTTTTTCTCTCTCTCTCGCTACAGGATTTGGGAGACATGGTGGCAAGGTATGTTATCGGCCATCAGTGCAAGCTGGAGCACAAGGCATGCTATGAAAAACATCAAGCTGCTTCCAACAAAGTGAAAACATAAGTTACTAACACCATAATGTGTCAGTGTGATTGTGTGTGTACTCATGTGTTTGTGTTTTATGTTGAATGTTACCTATGCCTTTTATCAGACATTAACCTTTTCTTACTTTTCCAAGTGACTCAGGGGGTTATGTTTTGAAGAGTTCAATGCACAAGTTGCTAGAATACAATTGCCTCTTTTTAGGATTCAGAATCATAATTAGAGATCAACTATTTGGTGGCAGATAGGGAGAGAGGCATTTATCTTTCAGTGGCAGTAGGTTAGAAACGGAGTGAATAGTTAGAAAGATTCCCTAAGAGCCACAAACCCATCCTAGGATTGTGGAGGTACATTACAATATCAGAAGTGGGTTTGAATGAAACATTTTCTGTTGGAATCTATTTCTTAAACACAGACATCAGAAACTTAACCAACTCAACCTACTTCCTTGCAGGAGTGAGTCCGTGCTGCTGCACATGCCCCAGCCTGTGAATCCAGAGCTCACTACAGGGCGCATCACAGGACCGGTGGACAGGCTCAACCACTTCCAAGGTGAGTGTGGCCCTCTTGGTGGGATCAACATGCAATGCCTTCAATTATGGTTTTCTATGGGCAGCCTTCCCAGTGTAACGATCTTTCATCTAGAAGAAGAGAATAGTCTGTGAATAGGTATTTATATTTATAGTTTCACTATCATCAAACAGACAAAACTAAATAAAAGATGGTGGAATCAGCCATATAGCAAATGTATTAGAAAAGTAAAACATGCAGAAGGGCTCTTTAGGATGTAGAACCATTCATGTATGCTTCAACCGTGATACAATTTCATGTATACAATTATTACATGAAGTATACAGAACTGAATTAATCCAGGACATTTCAATTTCAAATTCAGTGCAGTTAATGACTGATTTGAGTGACAGTGTTTTTTTAAATACATTTCAGGTGAAGTTTCACAGCATTTATAATTTTAATCATGTGCATTTTAATCAACTAAAGCATACACGAGTAACTTATATAACAATGCAAACACTGAGAATCTGTGAAAAATAGGAACGTGATTTGGTGGTTGATGAGGCCTTAGATAGAACTCCAGGATAGATCATGATAAATCCAGCAGATAAAAGAAGTCTGTGCCTGAATCTGGCATGAAAGTCAGATAATTCTTGCAAGGAAGCTGCACTTTTCAGAAGGCAGATTCAGATTTTCTCTTTAAGTATGAAATGACTAGTTTAAGTGGCAGATTATAATATTTCTGGCAAAGTGATAACTTTTTTATTTGGGTCTAAGGATGGCTCCCCACCTCATCTCCTGTCCGCAGCCTCCTGCTCTGCCCTGACAGAGAAGAGACAATGAAGGTTAATTTTATTGCTGTGGACTTGGCTGCAGTGCAAGAGGTGCCAGTTTTTCAGTTGTTATGAAAGGTCACTAACTAGACATAGACATGACCTTCCTCCCCTTTATAATTTTTGAGTTTATGGAAATTGTGATCATTGAAGTTGAGCCATTTACTTGTGCAGATATCCTAACACCCTTTGATTCCAACATTTTTCCAGACAGAAGTTTCTTTCTAATCTTGACCTGTGTTTTCTAGTGAGAATCTCTTTCTTATCTGAACATAAGAATTTATAAACTGCTTTTCAATGGATCATTCTCTTTTTTCTACAGTGGAAATTTCCTTCACTTGGGAAGTAACCAATTACAATATCAGGCTGTTTGAGGATGCGAGAAGTTTGATGTTGAGACGTGAATCTTTGCGTTCTGACAGATCTGACTATTTTGCTGCATGGGGAGACTGGGTCTTCTCCTCTGGCAAACACTACTGGGAGCTGGATGTGGAGAACTCTTGGGACTGGGCTCTGGGAGTCTGTAAGGACTCCTGGATAAGGAAGAATAGCACAATGGTTAAATCTAAGGATATATTTCTTCTTTTATGTGCCTGCTGTCCTGACCCATATTTCCAGGGATAACCTGGCATACGTAGACACTATGTAAAGCCCACATCCATTAGAAGTTTATAACACTATGTTTTCGTGTGACTGTTTTCTTGTTCCTGCAGTGCATATTTCCTGGGATAATAAAATAACCACTTGGTACATTCCCCTTGTTTGAAGTTCTGAGACAGCTACTCTTTGGTTCTGATTATCTCAACATTGCCCCAACTCCAACAAAATCTAAGTGTTTTCTTGATGGCGAGCCCTGCCATTCACTTTTGGAAGATATTACTGAGAGGTGGACGTTGGGCAGTGCTGGAACTGGGCTGTTGGATTTTGCAATGATTCTTGGACAATGAGAAATGACATGCTGGTTAACTCCAAGAAATTTTTTCTACTTTTTTGTGTCAAGAAGGCTACTGGTGTCATCTCAAGACCTCTTCCCCACTATTATCTCAGTATACAGAAAGGCCTCTAGGCCAGATGGGGGTGTTTCTAGATTATGAATGTGGCATGGTAAGCTTTGTTAATGTGGCCAACAGTTTTCTCATCTGTAGCCTCTCTGGTTCTTTCCCTTACCCTCTTACAACTTTGCTTTGTTTTGCTTTGCTTTGCACTCACAGAATCAGAGAGAGGTCAGTAACGTGACTAAAGGTATCAGAAACACCAACTTCTGAGAATGCTAACTACTGACTACTTGACATTCTTTATCTTTTTCTATGAAACTTTGTACCATTTTTAAAAGTGTGGAGGTATACATTTGTTTTGATTTTCATTAAACTACTACTCTCTCTTAGAATACTGCGCATGTCTTCTCTTATATGCTGTATCTTTTCTTTCCCTTGATTTCCAAGCCAGCCCAGGTATATGAATACCTGAGTGTGTTTATCCAAACTGATGGGTTAATGCAAGAGCACAGGTTTCTTCCCCCTGAACTGGAATTTTCTTTTCTCTGTTCCACATCTGCTAAGTCCCATTTCATCAAGTGTAAGTTCCAACATTTCTTCAGGGAATTCTTTCTTTAGCTCCTGGACTAGATTAGGCTATTTGTTTTAAAGACTCAGAAAGCCTTATACTTTTCTTTGTAAAACTCACGGTGTAATAGTAGGCATCTTTTCTGCTTCTCAAATTACAAGAAAAGGATTGTGTTTGTACTACACACAGGTATATTCCACGAAAGTACACAATGCTTAAAATATAACTGATATTCATTAATTGTCTGTTTGAATAAAAGAATAAATGCACAAAATAATTGATAAAAACATATGATGCAACTGTTTAAAAGGCTACCAAATTTACCCCTGTATTCCTATTGATTTTGGCAACTGAATGTAACCAAAATCAACAGGGATACTGAGAAATATTATTTAATAAAGTTATAAATTGGACTGCTTATCAAATTGATAGGTTCAGTCAATTTTCTTTAGCTCAAGAACAAACTATCGATGGACACAGATCTTAAGAGAGTGAAAATGATACAGATAAAAAGACTGAAAACCTGTAAGACTTTAGTAATTTCACCGATGGCATCCTGCAGACAGTTACCTGGGAACATGTCATTACCAGAATAGAAAGTAAGACTCACTTTTTGCTTCAGAAAATACAGAATACTCAGAAGCCTCATTACATTTTAATAAAACTCCAAATTTATTTAGGTCTTTGAAGTTTTTAAAATACATGTGCAGTAAAATATCCTTATTATCAGAAATACCTATATTTTGATCATGTTAATTTTGTATGAAGCCTTTCCTTAAGTATCGACTGGAAATTGGTTCCAGGACTCCCCGCAGATACTAAAATCCTTAGATGCTAATAATCCTCAGATGTCCTTACATAAGATGGGGAAGTATTTACATGTAGTCTAAGCACATCCTCCCATGTACTTTAATTATCTCTAGATTACTTAAAATACTTAATGCAATGTAAATGCATTAAGTGTAAGTAGTTGTTACACTGTATTATTTAGGGAATAACGACAAGCAAAAAAAGTCTGCACATGTTCAGTGAAAATGTAATCATTCAATTTTTTTTCCTGAAATTTTTTAATCCATGATGAGTTGAATCCATGGGTGCAGAACCCATTTATATGGAGGTCCAACTGTATATCAAATATCATATTTAATGGTGTATTTTCTAGTATTTAATTTAATTACTGGCAATATGGCACACCACAAACATATCAAAAGTTTCTGATATGTGTTTTTTGAATTTATTTAAAGCAATCAGGGAATGCCTCCTTTAATGAGGGTTGCTGAGAACAAAGTCTAAAAAAGGCTGACTCCATTTATAAGGATTAACTCTGATCCAAAAGTTTAATGACAGATGGGTTGCATAATGGGTTATTTCAATGATAGGAGTAATGCAAACATACAGTTCTGTAGTCATTTATATTTTAATAGCATTATACTGTTTTAACCATCCTCATCTTGCATATAATCTCATTGTATATTAGAATACTACTATTAGAGCAGTAAAGAAGAATGGATAAATACGGTCAGCTTTTTGCTTTTGTTTTGTTTTGTTTTTGAGACAGGCTCTCACTCTGTCACCCAGGTTGTAGTGCACTGGTGAGATCACGGCTCACTGCAGCCTCGACCTCCCCAGATCAAGCAATCCTCCAACCTCAGCCTCCCAAATAGCTGGACTACAGGCTGAACTGTCATGCCCAAGTAATTTTGTTGTTGCTGTTGTTGGAGAGACAGGGTCTCACCCTGTTGCCCAGGCTTCTCTCAAGCTCCTAGCTCAAGTCATCCTCCCACCTCAGCCTCTAACAGTGCTGGGACTATAGGCATAAGCCACTATGCCAGGCCTAAATACAGCCAATTCAACTGAAGTTTAAATTATTTGTGTTTCACTCTCTTTCATTATAAGAATAATCTGTGTCTTAAAATGTGTTCTTGAACGTGAATTACTTTATGATTGCCCCTTCATAAGAATAGTTCTTAATGTTTAAGAATAATTCACAAAAATATGAAAATTCCTTCATAGAGAATGACTTGAATTAATAGAAGGAATACTAGATACAGGAAGTGGATAATCAAATTTTAAGTGAATTATCTTATTCTGTCCTACAATTGTAAGAGAAAGTGATCCTCCAACCTCAGCCTCTCAAAGTACTGGGAATTATAGGCATGAGCCACCATGCCTGGCATAAATATGGCCAATAATGTAAACTTCAGTTTAATTGGCTGTTCTTATAAGTTTTTGAGAGAAATATGTTTCTCTTCTAATTGTGAGGACTGGATGAGATAATGCACATACAACCTCCACTGATAGGGTAGAATCTCCACCCCGGAACAGCAGGTCTAGGGTTGCTATGCCCAAGTTTCCCACTGGCTGTATCTTCCATCCCTCAAGGGATAAGACAAAACACCGGGAGACACCATCCCCCTACCTACCCCAGCACAGACTTGTAGAGCGTGTGTGAGTGCTGGAGAAGCCCCTGTCAACTCCTTTGCAGTGATGCAGAGATTCATCTAGGAGGACTGACAGGCTGTAAAAACTGAGAGCTTTGCTCAATGCCTCACAGTAATGATTGATTTTGAATCGGTCATGAAGAGGTACATTCCCAAGGGCGTTGTCAAAAACAATGGAGACCTTGGTTGGGAACATTAAAGAGGAGCTTGGAATCTTTAGCATGCTTTGTAGCAAGAAATAAACTTCTGACAGCCAGCCAGAAGTTTACCAGAGAAAACCAGGCAAAGAGAAAGCCAAGAAAAAGTGTCTTAGGATCTCTAATTTCTGGAAATCTGGAAGGCTGTGTATCTGTGCTAGACTGCACCCACTCAAGAGCATCAAGGCGGAATGCGGACAAATTTGTAAGCGCTCCCCAAGCTAACCACTGATTCATCAATAAAGAGCCTTTAGCCCTACTGGCTGAAGAGCTAAAGCACAAATTCTGAGTGAACACTGGGTGAACAATAAATTATTCTGTTCCAGGGAGTGATTCCTAGAAGCTAGACTTAAAAATAAAATCACAATCATCTCCGGTGATCTGGAAGATTGACCATGCACTGTCATAGCAGTAACCAGAGAGAGGATCTCTGAGCTGTTAGTCCACTGAATGTGGGACATAATTGTCAACTTCTTGATCTGTGAAAACAGTCTCCACGCCACACACACATTGAATGGTAAAGGATAAAAATCTAACTAACTAGGAAGGCTTAGCCACAACTTTCGAAATACAGATTTGGGTAGAAATAGAGATAAATAGATACAAAGATTGCTGAGTTTCATGTTTAGCTGAATTCATGGTAAACATTTATCATCATGAATATGTTCATCTCAGAAGCCAAAAGCATACCTACCCTCAGATGAAGGTTGCATATATATATACGTATATATGTGTGTGCATATATATAATATACATATATATTTCAAAGCAGTCATTCATATGTATATTTTTCAATCAGTAAGCTAATTTTCCAAGCACTATTTTTCATATATATATATATATATATATATATATAGTCCTAGCACTTTTAGAGGCTGAGGTGGGACGATCACTTGAGCCAGGAGTTGGAGAGAAGCCTGGGCAATAGGGTGAGACCCTCTCTCTCCAACAACAGCAACAACAAAATTACTCAGGCATGGCAGTTCAGCCTCTATCCAGCTATTTGGGAGGCTGAGGTTGGAGGACTGTTTGATCTGGGGAGGTCGACCCTGCAGTGAGGCGTGATCTTACCACTGCACTCCAACCTGGGCGACAGAGTGAGAGCCTGTCTCAAAAACAAAACTAAACAAAACAAAAACAAAAAGCTGACTGTATTTATCCATTCTTCGTTATTGCTCTAATAGCTGTATTCTAATATACAATGAGATTATATACAAGATGAGGATGGTTAAAAGAGTATAATGCTATTGAAATATAAATGACTATAGAATTGTTATGTTTCCATTACCCTTGTCTTTGGAATACGGATCCTGTCACCTTAGTAGTCAGCATAGTACCCAATAGGTAGTTTTTAAAAAATATATCATAATCATTTATTAATGTGGAGGAGATCCTTCCAAAGACAGCTCCAATGTCCTTGTCACACAGAGGCAGCAGTGGTCAGGAGCTCTGCTGACCAATGCTTTTGGTGCCTGTTTAAAAGGAAGACATTCTGGAGAAAAAAGTCAGGAAACTTCATAAAATAAACAACAAGAACAACAAACACCTTTTCTTCCAGAATAAGTATTTTCTGACACTCACACCTTCAGGCTGTTGCCCCTGTTGGAAGTGAGAGAATGACTAGTTTCTGGCAGTGTGACACCATGAGCATGCTCCTAGGCTAATGGAGCAGACGGAAGAGCTCCCTCCAAGAGAGGCTCCCTGCAGCCCTCCCCTTTTTTCTTCTGAAAATGTGTGTCTTTCTTTTCAAGCCACGACTTAAAGTCTTATTTTGTTCCTACTCTTAGAAACAGTCAAAAAGAGCCCCATACCGTACCGGCCATTTTATGAATCAATGTAATTTTAATGCAGAGGGATAGTAAAGCATTATTTGTCTCTCCGGCCTTGGTTCCTTTTCTGCATACTGCAACCATTCAACTACATCTTACACTCTACCATGTCCACGACACTGCTTATGACTAGTGACTAGAAGACTGAACATCATTTGTGCCTGCGTGCAGATAGGGAGAATGTTGTCTGGTCACATTACCACTTTAGTGGAAGGCACTCTTTTAAAATTCATCAGCCAGGTCTGCTATTATAAACACTGGGTCAAAACCGTGGTTGACTTCAAAGTGTTCTCAGAAAGTTTGATAATACACTATTAAAAGACAGTTTTCCATCTGAAAACCTGACTGCTGTCAACCTTCAATTGGCCCCTGCATTTCCTCTGAGCTGAAGCAGCCAAGAGATGGAATCGTTTGCATGAGGAGTTCTTACTGCCACTACAGTTGTTAGAAAATATGGAATGATCCCTCTGCCCTCCAGGTGATTGAAAGCTATGCAAAACAAGGTTGTTTCTTACTGAGCGCAAGGAAGCAATGGGTAAGAAAACTTTTAAGGCATAAATAATACAAAAGGGCACACATTTTTAGGATACATTCACATGACATTATACTGCAAAAAAAATAAAGAATGATTTTCTCTGATTTGAGTTAAGATCCTTCACACAGTTCACTCCCAGGCCTGTTTTGTGCAGTTGGTTACAGGCTTGAAGTCAGAAGATGACTGGTTGTTTGCACATCCTCCAGTTTCCTGGGGCTGCTGGAGGACCCCTGAGGGGCTGTCCAAAGGAACACCAGGCGGAGGCCATGTTGTCTTTTCAGCACCGTCCTCTGAGATAGGTGGCAAAATAAGAGGATTCCAATGTAAATTGTTGCTGTCTGTTTCTGAATAGACACAGCTGTCTCCTCTGCTGAACTCTTCTGGATTTTCTGTGCGATCACAGCTGACATCGTTTCTATTATCCTGACAGCACTTTTTTCCTCCTCTGTAATAACACACTTTGTGGATGAACCAAGATCACCAAAAACTGCCACGGATACTGTTACAGGGCCACTCAAAATAATACCAACGCTATTGTTGGCAAGGGATTGGTAGAAACCCAAAAGAGAGGAGTTAAGAGAAAGAATTGTCAAAGTCCCCTGATGAATCTGTATATGTTCCATGTTTCTATCCTACTTTTTTACATTATGCAACCATGAGCTATGAGTGGTCACAGGTTTGGCAGAACAATGTAGTTCTGCAGGTCCACCATGTTTCTGGACGGTAGAGAGTGGCTCAGAAGTAAAATAAGGCGCCAAGTCTGAACTCATGGAAGAGCAGAGAATCATGACAGTAACATACAGCAGTGTCCATATGGGTCCAAGATTCACATGCAGAGTGCCAGATTACAGAAGCAGGCAAGGCAGGCTTCCAGAGCAAAACCCAGGCCTTGGTTCACTTTCCAAGGTACTACAATTCAGGGTAATCAGACGCATTCCTTAACATTGACTCCTTCCTGCTTACTAAAGACTTTGATCAGTCTTCATGCTGTCCATAGGGAGTCTCCAAAACTCAGAGTAACAGTTGGCTTACATCTTCAGTGATTCAAGTCTGCAAGGTGTATATGATTGTGCTTCGGGGGGAAAGCAGAGAAGCCACTTTCTGTACTTACAACGGAGTTCACTTCAGTGCTATAAACGTCACCGCAGCCCTGCTTGTAATAAAGTCCAGACTAGCAATCTGCCTTTGGGTTGAGCTGTTCTCCTACAAGATAAGCTGTTAAGTCATGCCTTGATTTTAGGTCTCTCGGCCGAGCAGGCTAAGCATCCGGAGTTCCTGTGGGGCAGCCGGCTGGGAAAGCCACCCTCAGGTCCTTCCCTCCGACGCCACGGTGGCTACTATGGAAGCGGCTATGGTGGCAGCGGCTGCGATCCGAAGGGGCCCCTCCATGCACTACGCAGGGCAGAGGAGGGCGCGCGGTGTCTTGCAGGCCAGGACGCAGGCGCTGGGTAGGTCAGGCGGGCGCTGGGTCCTGGTTCTTCTGGCACCTTGACTCTGGATCCGGGCATCAGGGCTCTGGATAGGGGACCTGGGGCGCGCCCCCGCGGCAGCGCTCCTCCAGGCGGAGGGGAGTGGACATGTAACTGGGCGGGTTCAGGGCTGCCCGGAGCATGCCAGGAGCAAGAGGAGGGATCCTGTGAGAGACAAGCGAGGCCAGCTGTAGAGGCCGCCTCCCATAAGTAGTTTTTTAAACCCATCCCTCTCCCTCCACTCACAAGTAGACCACAGAGTCTATTTTGCCCATACTGATGTCTCTGTGTGTTCAATGCTTAGCTCCCAATTATAAGTGAGAACATAACAGCATTTAATTTTCTGATCCTGCATTAATTTGCTTAGGATTACAACCTCCAGCTCCATTCCCATTGCTGTAAGAGAGTTGGTGTGCCCAGAGTAAAGTCCTTCATTTAAGCTCCCATTCACAATTACACTGACTCCATTGAGAACCTTATGGTGAAGGTGGGAACAGCCACTGCTGAGACCGACATGGCTCAGTAAACCTCCATGAACACTTCCATTTATCTCATTTGCTCCTGAGAGAGTGGTGTATTACATCATCTGCCCATTAATATCTGATCCTTGATAGAGGTATCCTGGAGGGTCATATTTCTGTATGATATTCTGCTGGCGATTCCTCCGCAGGCACATTTCAATGAAAACCATAAGAATGAGGCCCAAGACACCCAGCATACAGCCAAGGATCAGATAGAACAGGTCACTGCTTCTGTCAGGGCTGGTTGCTGGCCTCACATTTCCTTCACTTCCTGAGGAATTCAGACGGGTACTCAAGTCTTTCGGATACTCAGAAGCTCCAGGAACGCATTTTACTTTAGTCTCGCAGATCATCATACTGCTAAACTCACTTTCTTCTCCTTCACTGAAGCATTGCATTTTAATGCCATAGGAAGTTTCTGACAGCAGATGGCCAATCATGTGCCACTCCTTTGAACCTTCTGTAACATCCCTCTTATAAACATTGTCATTGTCATTATCTGTGGGTCGGTAATAGATATAAAAGAATGGAAGCGTTATTATTTCACGGAATGTATGTCCACTTTAGCACAATCTGAGTAATGCTGACAGCCTCCGTGTACACAATGTGAGGTCCATTATTGGACAGTTGGAAAAAAGTTTGGGGAACCCAGTCACCAGGTAAGGATGAGACGCTGAACTCTGAAAACTCTCTTCATAATGGTTGATAGCAACGACCCTAAATTTGTATGTTGAACCTGGTTCTATACTACAAACTTCCACAGAAATTTTGGAAGGAAGGATATCTTCAGCTGCCACCAGCCAGTCACTGGTCCTCATCCATTTATATTTGACCTCGAAGGCAGGGATTGAAGAATTCCCATCTGCCCAAGGAATTCAAGTGACATAGACCAACCTCTCTGATGCAGTGGAGATAATCAGGTGATCTGGTGCCTCTGGAGCACCACTGTGCCTAGATGAATCTGTAAGCACCACTCCAAAATTGTTGTTTGAAGCTTCTGAAACAACAGGATACTCGGGGGTGCTTGTGGGTTGAGAGGATGCCTGGGTGTTTTTTGATGATGTTGTTTTTTCTTTGCTGGTTCAGAAGGTAAGCATGGCAGGTGGGTTTTCACCTGCAGCACTTCTTGCTACCATCAAGAGTTCATAAAGACTAGATGGCTCTATTTCAGCTAAATGAAGCTCACTTTCACCTCCTGGGATTCAAACCCTGTGCCAACTTCCCACCACACCAACTTCATACTCCAGATTTTGATACTTCACAAAATAGGCATTGATGGGCAGTCCACTTTCCTTGCCTGCCCTCCACACAAGGTTGTATGTATCTGCTATGGGGGTCTGTAGGGTTTCAATTTGATGGGGACCTCAGGAACAGAGATGCCACCAGCATTTTTCTCTGATGGTGATTCCACTGCACTGAGGTGTACTTTCTCTGGAAATGAGCTGAATAATCCACTTTCTGAACCATCTCTTATTTTTTTCATTATTCTGAGTAACATCAAAAAGTGCGACTGTTTCTGCTTTTGTTTGTTTCAAAAGGAACAACCATGAGAGGTGGTTCTGCCTGCATGGTACCATGTTCTTTTGTAGCTTCGCAGATGTATTTCTCCACATGCTCCTGCATCACAGCCTGAGTATGGAGAGAGCTCAAGCCAGCTTGGGACATGATGAAATAGGCAGGGTCTAGGTCCAAGATTCCAGGTCTTGATAAGTGTGACTTTTGGGATTTAGATCTAAGGACTTAAGACAGATGGCTGGTTATCAATCCGTGGATGTCATACCAACAAATGACCGGACCCAGCAGCCTGGTAGCATTGTAGGACAGAGTAAACAAAGTCTCCATCTACCACTTTTATGCTTGCTGGTGCCATAATTATAACTCGCTTGAATCCATTGCCTTTTTCTATTTCAAGTCTTCCAGTAGACTGCATAAATCCAGCCTCGTTATCTGCTAAACACTGATGTAGCCTAGTATCTTGCATAATAACCCCACTGAATTTCAGTCAATTTCCTGCAGTTCGATGTCTTGAGGAAGGATGATTAGGCTGTGAATTATGAAACCAGTTATGGTTGGCAGCTGGGTTCCTACAAACATCAGAGATAAAGTGTACTGTGGAAAATAGAGACACTATCTGATCCTGTAGTCCCTTAGAGTAGGAGCGTGTTCAAGTACATTAACCATGTATGCCACATATTTTACATCTCCAGAGTTGTTTCCCACCATGCTGGAATTGTTTCCAGAGTCCACTGGGTCAATGCTATCTATGGCAAGATGAGAACACAACCTTCTCCAGTTGCTTCCCAGGGCAATATCCTGCCTGTTCTTCAGCCAACACACTTGAGGAGCCAGGACCCCACTAAACACACACTCCAAAGTTACAGGGCTATGTGAATGAACAGCTAATACCTGTGAACGAGCAGGGGAAGAATGCCAAAATCATCTGAAGAAAGGTGACTCACAAGGAGCTTTTGGCCAATGGGTTCAACTCTTAATTCATGTGTGGCCGGATTATAAGCTGCACATTTGTGTGATCCCTTGTCCTCTGAGGATACATTCAAAATCTAAAGATGTTCTTGTGGAGGGATTAAGTAATTCTTTGTGGAATGCTTCAGCCACTTCCCCTGGATTTTAGCGCACACCTCAGCTTTGGGGTTACTCTCTGGTACCCTGCAGCCAATGAAACCAGCACCTTTATTATTTTGCTGTAATAAAATGCTTTGTGGATGAATCAAAATCACCAAGAACTGCTGTGGATACTGTTACAGGGCCACTTACAACAACACCGACCTATTGTTGAGAATGCACTGGTAGTAACCCAAAAGGGAGGAGTTAAGAGAAAAAAATTGTCAAAGTCCCCTGATGAATCTTAATATATTCCATGTTTCTATTCTATTTTTTCCATTATGCGACCTTGAGATGTGAGTGGTCACAGGTTTAGCAGAACAATATAGTTCTACAGGTCCACTAAGTTTCTGGACGGCAGAGGGTAGCTCAAAAGTGAAATAAGGTGCCATGTCTGAACTCCCAAAAGAGCAGAGAATCGTAAGAGTAACAGACGGTGGTGTCCATAACGGGCCAAGATCTGGATGGTGAGAGCGCCAGATTACAGAAGCAGGCAGGACAGGCTTCCAGAGCAAAACCCAAGCCTTGGTTCGTTTTCCAAAATACTGTAGTCCAGAGTAAGCAAACACATTCTTTGACCTTGACTCCTTCCTGCTTACTAAAGACTTTGATCAGGGACGGTCTTCATGCTGTCCACAGGATGTCTCCCAAAATGAGAGTAACAGCTGACTTACATCTTCAGTGATTCAAGTCTGCAAGGTGAATACACTTGTGCTTGGGACGGAAAGCAGAGAAGCCACTTTCTGTTCTTAGGGTGGAACTCACTTCAGTGCTAAAAGCACATCATAGCAGTTCTGCTTGCAATAAAGTCCAAACTAACAATCTGCCTTTGGGTTGAGCTTTTCTCTTACAAAATAAGCTGTTAAGTCATGCCTTAATTTTAGGTCTCTCCACGGCGCGGGCTAAGCATCTAGAGCTCCTGTGTGGCAGCCAGCTGGGAAAGCCACCCCTGTGTCATGCCCTCCGGCGTGAGGCAGCGGCTGTGGTGGCAGCTGTGATCTGAAGGGGTCCCTTCAGGCCCGGCACAGGACAGAGGAGGGTGTGGTGCCTCGCACGCCAGGGCAGAGGCTCTGGGTTGGGCGAGCGGCCGCGAGGTCCCAGGTCTCCTTGCACTGTGTGACCTCAACTGGGAACCAGGGCTCAGGTGTGGGTAACTGGGTTGGGGGTGGGGTGCGGAGTGACAGGATCCATCCCTGTGGCAATGCTACTCTAAATGGAGGCCTACCTACAGGTAACCAGGTGGTCACAAGGCCCAACAGGAGCAGGAGAGGAGCAGGAGGAGGAGCGATCCCAGAGACAGACAGGCAAGGCAGGCTGTAGAGACCGCCCCCAGTCGGTATTTTTTCAAGCCATCCCTCTCCCGCCACCCTCAAGTAGTCCACAGAGTCTATTTTTCCCATATTGATGTCTATGTGTGTTCAATATTTAGCTCCCCATGTAAGTGAGAACATACAGCATTTGGCTTTCTATCCTGCATGAATTTGCTTAGGATTAAGGCCTCCAGCTCCACCCACATTGTTGTAAAGGACATGATTTCATTCTTTTTATGGCCGTATAGTATTCCATGGTGTATATGTACCATATTTTATTTATACAGTCTACCATTGATGGACTCCTGGGTTGATTATGTCTGCTATTTTGAATAGTGCAGCCATGAACATAGGAGAGTATGTGTCTTTTTGTTAGAACGATGTATTTTCTTTTGAGTATGTACTCAGTAATGAGATAATTGGATCAAAAGGTAGCTCCGTGTTAAGTTCTTTGAGAAATCTCCAGACTGTTTTCCACAGTGGGTGCACTAATTTACATTTCTTGTTCTATCTTTAGTTCACAAAATTTCTACTAGACCCAGCTCAGGGTTGCAGCCCTGACTGCAGCAGGTGCTGGGGCTTCCCTAAGTAGATACTGTGCACAGATAAAGAGAGTGCTCAGATCCCGGGGTTGTGAGAAGAGAAGCAGAAGAAGGAGTTAAGGAGAGGGCCACATTTGGATGCCCTGAGGAGGGATGACAGGCAGATGTAAGGAAGGTGGTACTGTGCTAGTCACTGGTGACATCCTCCTAGTTCCACAATCTCCTGGAAAGCAGGAAGCCTCACAATTCCCAAGCATGCTGCAGTTCTGGAGGGCACAGGGCTACTATTCTTCCCAGCTTGACTCTCTTTTCTCCCAATAAACATGGGACTCTGAAGCCAGGAGTCAGAATGAATTATCTTCCACCCACACAACATTTAAACCTTCGATTTATGATTGAATTACACACACACACACACACACACACACACACACACAGGCGCAGGCACACACATGCATCTGTCTCTGTAATAAAACGTCCTTAGCTAATGCTAGACAGATCTGTGATCTGTGATTATCTCTACCCTTTTGGGCAACAAGAATAGTGAATTGATTGACAAAATTGATTGACTCCTGGAAAGTAGTGTAAAAATGTAATATATATGTAAGACACATGGTGTCTTCCCCCGTGACATTAGCAGCAACATTCCCCTAGAATATTACAAATAATATCAGAGGGGGTGTACACACATAATGTACATACCTTGTAAAATTAGGAGTAGCATCTCCCTAAGATATCATTAATAGTATCACAGAATGTGTACACACATGGCTTATACCCCATATGATGTTAGGAGTTACATCCTTCTAGTATGTTAGGAATAATACCACAAAGTTGTTCACACATGGATAACGGCATATGTAATATCAGGATTAACATGCCTCGAAAATATTACAAATAACATCACAGGGGGTGTGCACACATAACGTGCATGCCCTGTGACATTAGGAGTACATTTCCCTGACACATTACGAGTAATATCAGAGAGTGTACACCTTCTGTGACATTTCGAGTAATGTCCCCTGGATAGTACGAATAATATCATAGGGTGTACATCCCCTGTGACCTGAGGAGCAACATCTTTCTTGGATAATGCAAATAATATCACAAAATATACAGCCCCTGTGACATTAGGAGTAACATCCACCTAGGATATTATGAATAATATCACAGGAAGTATACCCCGTGTGACAATAGGAGTAACCTCCCCCAAGGATATAACGAACAAATGCAGAGGATGTACATGTGTTGTGACATTAGCAGTAACATCCATTTAGGATATTATGAAAATTATCACACTGTGAACACCCCCTGTGATATTAGGAGTAACATCCCCCTACAATATTGGGAACAATATCACATGGTGTACATTCCCTGTGACATTAGAGGTATCATTTCTTTAGGATATTATGAATAATATTACAAGATGTACAGCCCCTGTGATATTAGGAGTAACATTTCCATAAAATATTACGAATAATATCACTGCGTGTACACCACGGGTGACATTAGGAGTAACAGCACCCAAAACTATTAGGAATAACTTCACAGGGTGTACACCGTCTGTGACATTAGGAGTAACATCTTTCTAAAATATTACGAATAATATCGCAAAAGATACACCCCCTGTGACATTAGAAGTAACATCCACCTAGGATATTATGAATAATATCACAGGGAGTACACCCCCTGTGACATAAGAAGTAACACCGCCCGAAGATATAAGAAATAATATCAGATTGTGTACATGCATTGTGACATCAGTAGTAACATCCCTTTAGGATATTACGAATATTATCAGAGTGTGAACACCTTCTGTGACATTAGGAGTAACATCACCCTACAATATTGGGAATAATACCATACGGTATACACTGCCTGTGACATTAGTAGTAACATTTCTTTAGGATATTACGAATAATATGACAGGGTGTATGGCCCCTGTGATATTAGGAGTAACATATCCAAAAAACCTTACAAATGAAATCACTGTTTGTACACCACGTGTGACATTAGGAGTAACATCTTCCTTGGATATTATGAATGAGATCATAGGGTTGACGCCCCATGTGATTTTGAAATTAAAATCCCCCAGGAATATTACTAATAATAACACAGGGTGTACACCGTTGTGACGTTAGGAGTAACATCCTCCCAGGATATTACAAATAATATCAGAAGCTGTACACACATTGTGACATTAGTAGTAATATCGCATGAGTAAAGTGTGAATAATATCACAGGGTATACACACCTGTGACATTAGGAGTAACATCCCCCTGGAATATTCTGAATAATATCGCAGGGTTTACACCTCCTGTGACTTTAGGAGTATCATCTCACTAAAATATTACGTGAATAATTGTAAAATTACGAGCATCTCACTAAGATATTATGAATAATATCACAGAATGTGTACACACATGGCGTATACCCCATGTGATGTTAGGAGTTACATCCTTCTAGTATGTTAGGAATAATACCACAAAGGTGTTCACACATAGTTAACAACATATGTAATATTAGGATTAACATCCCTCGAGAATATCACAAAGAACATCACAGGGGCTGTGCACACATGATGTGCATGCCCTTTGACATTATAAGTACATTTCCCTGACACATTTCCAGTAATATCACAGCGTTTACACCTTCTGTGACATTTGGAGTAACATCCCCTAGGATAGTACAAATAATATCACAGGGTGTACATCCCCTGTGACCTGAGGAGTAATATCTTTCTAGAATACTATGAATAGTATCACAATGTATACACCCCGTGTGTCATTAAAAGTAAAATTCCCCTAGGATATTATGAAAAATAACACAGGGAGTACACCCCCGTGTGACATTAGAAGTAACATCCCCCGAGGATATAACGAATAATATCAGAGAATGTACATGCATTGGGACATCAGTAGTAATATCTCTTTCGGATACTACGAATAATATCAAAGGGCGTACATGCATTGTGAAATTAGTAGTGAACTCCCGCTAGGATATTACGAATTTTATGACAGGGTGTATATGCCCTGTGACATTCAGAGTAACGTTTTCCTAGAATATTACGAAGAATATTAAAGGGTGTACAGGACCTGTGATTTACGAGTAACATTTCCATAGAATATTACACTGTGTGTACACCCCGTGTGACATTAGGAGTAACATCCCACAAAACTATAACGAATAATTTCACAAGGTGTACACCCTCTGCAACATTAAAAGTAACATTTCCCTAGAATATTACGATAATATCACAGAGTGTACACCCCCTGTGATATAGGGAGTAACATCTTATAAGGATAATACGAGTAATTTGATAAGGTGGACAAACCCTGTGACACAAGGAGTAACATCCCTCTAGGACATTACAAATAATATCAAAGGGAACACACCCCGTGTGACAATAAAGGTAACCTCCCCTTAGGATATTACGAATAATACCACAAAGAGTACACACACTGTGATATTATTATTAATGTCCCACTAGGGTATTGTGAATAATATCACAGTGCGTACAGTCCTGTGACATCAGGATGAACATTCCCCTACAATATTACGAATAATATAGCAGGGTATACACCCCCTGTGATATTGGTAGTGCCATCCTCCTAGAATATGGAAAATAATGTCCCAGGGTGTTAACGAAGGGTGGCAGTAGAGGTAAAATCCTAGTAGTGGAGTAATATCACCCCTCCTCTACCCCCAGGATATTACGATCCACGGTGGACACACAGCGTGTTTACGTTATTGTGAGTAATATCTTCTCCGCCTCTGGAGATTACCAACTGTCATAGAAGGGTGTACATCCTCTGCACTATTTGCGGTAATGGCATCCCCTTGACCCTGGATATTAACAACAATATCAGGAGAGGATGATATTACTCCCAATATCACAGAGGGTGTACACCCCGCCTGTCATATTATTCCTACTATCCAGAATAAGAGAGAATGATATTACTCGCAATAGTGCCGGGGCCTACACCCCCCTTGTGATATTGTTCCTAATATCCAGGGAGGGAGATCATGATATTAATAACTCCCAATATCGCTATGGGTGTACACCAACCCTGTGATATTGCTCCTAATATCCAGGGGGTAGAGTATGACATTACTCCCAATGTTTTTCTTGGGAGTGTTTCTACCCCCAGCGGCATTGGGTGTAGTATCATCCTCTCCCACGTTGAAATTAGGAACAATATCACTGGGGGCGTGTACACACCCTGTGATATTGAAAGTAATATCATCCTCTTTTCTCCTGGATCGTGGGACCAATATCAATGGGAAGCGTACGCTTTCTGCAATATTGGGAGTAATGTCATCCTCTCCGCCTTTGAATATTAAGGGCAATGTCACAGGGCGGGTGTACACTCTCTGCGATATTGGCAATGTTATCCTCTCCCCAAACTGCATATTAGGAAAAATAACACAGAGTGGGTGTACACCTTCTGCGATATGAGTAGTAATATCATCTTCTCCCCTTCTGGATATTAGGAACAATATCACTCGGGAGTGTACACTTTCTTCGAGATTGAGAGTAATATCATCCTCTCCGCCTTTGAATGTTAAGAGAAATATCACAGGGGGGATGTACAGCCCCTGAGATTTTGGGAGTAATATCGGGCTCTTTCCCTCCATGGATATTAGGAACAATATCTCAGGGTGGGTTTACACCTCCTGCTATATGGGGAGTCGTATCCTCTCTTTTCCTGGATATTAGGGACAATATCACAGGGTGGGTGTACACAGCCTGCGATATTGCTGTAATATCATCCTCTCGCCCTCCGGGTATTAAGAACAATATCACAGAAGGGGCGTACACTCCCTGTGATATTGGGAGTAATATCATTTTCTCCTTCCATGAATATTAGGAGCAATATCCCTGGGTGGATGTACACCCACTGTTACATTGGGAGTAATGTCATACTCTACCCCCTGGATATTAGAAGCAATATCACAGGGTGGGTGTACACCCATAGCGATATTGGGAGTTATTAATATCATGCTCTCCCTCCCTGGATATTAGGAACAATATCACAAGGGGGGTGTACACCCCGGCACTATTGCGAGTAATATCATTCTCTCTTATTCTGGATAGTAGGAATAATATGACAGGCGGGGTGTACACCCTCTGTGATATTGGGAGTAATATCATCCTCTCCCAACGTGGATATTAGGAACAATATCACAAGGGGGGCTGTACACGTCTTTGACATTGGTAGTAATATCATCCTCTCCCCCTTGCATATAAGAAACAGTGTGACAGGCGGGGTGGACACACCCTGCGATATGGGGAGTAATATCACCCTCCTCTCCATACCTGGATATCATGACCCACGGTGGACACACAGCGTGTTTACGATATTGTGAGTAATATCATGCCCCCTCTAGAAATTATGAACAATATCACAGATTGGTGTACACCCTCTGCACTATAGGGAGTGATAACATCCTCTCCACCCCTGAATATTAGGAACAATATCAAAGAAGTGTTTATACCCCCTGTGATATTGGGAGTAATACCATCCTCTCCCACGTTGAAATTCAAAACAGTATCACTGGGGGCGTGCCCACCCCATGTGATACTGAAAGTAATATCATCCTCTTCTCTCCTGGATCATGGGAACAATATCACTAGGGTGGTGTACACTTTCTGCAATATTGGCAGTAATATCCTCTTCGCCTTGGAATATTAAGGACAATATCACAGGGGGGCTGTACACATCCTGCGCTATTAACAATAATATTATCCTCTCACGCCCTGCATATTAGGAAAAATATCACAGAGTGGGTGTACACCTCCTGCGATATGGGGAGTAATATCATCTTCTCTTCTTCTGGAAATAGGAAGAATATCACACGGGTTTGTGCACTTTCTGTGATATTGGGAGTAATATCAACTTCTCCGCCTTTGAATATAAAAAAACAGTATCACAGAATGGATGTACACCCCCTGCGATATTGGGAGTAATATCAGCCTCTACCCTCCATGGATATTAGGAATAATATCCCAGAGTGGGTGTTCAGCTGCTGCTGTATGGGGAATCATATCATCCTCTCACTTCCTGGATATTATTAGCAACAATATCACAGGGTGGGTGTGCATAGCCTGCAACATTGGGAGTAATATCTCCCTCTCCCCCTCCGGATATTAGGAACAATATCACAGAACGGGTGTACACTCCCTGCGATACTGGGAGTAATATCATTCTCTTCTTCCGTGAATATTAGGAGCAATATCACTGGGTGGATGTACACCCACTGCTATATTGGGAGTAACGTCATACTCCACCCCCTGGATATTCGGATCAATATCACCGGGTGGGTGTACACCTACTGCAATATTGAAAGTAATACCATGCTCTCTCCCTCCCTGGACATTAGGAACAATATCATAGGTGGGTGTACACGCACTGCGGTATTAGGAGTAATATTATTATTAATTATTACTTATTTATTATTAACATTAACATTAATTACCAGTATCAATATTGAGAAATAATTGCTAACAAAAAGTTTTCATATTATTAACATTAATATTAATTATTGGTACCTAATATTATTTTCTAATTAATAAGATCAGTATCAATTGTTAATATCAGTCATATTAATAATTAATATTAATAATTTTATTGTTATCATTAATATAACTATTTAATAATAATTATCATTATTATCAGTATTGATTTTAAATCACTCATTTAACAAAAACTCAGGCTACATACAACTACGCAAAGGGCCTAACATTGTAAGCCTTTAGGGACTGCTTCAATCATTCGCTGACACAATAACACTTTTCAGCAAAGAACCCCTATGGCCCTCAACATCTACTATTAACCTTTATATTATCGCTCCAACCCTGGCCCTTTCTTTCGCTCTTCTATTGTGAACCCCCATCCCTATACCAGACCCTCTAATTAATTTTAAAATAGGCCTCCTATTTTTACTAACCTTATCAAGCCTAGCCGTCTACTCTATTCTATGATCAGGAAGAGCAATTAAATTCAAATTATGTACTAATTGGCACATTACAAACTGTAGCCCAAACAACTTCATATGAAGTAACCCTAGCCATTGTCCTGCTATCAATTCTACAGATAAGTGGCTCGTTTAACTTATATTCACTCATCACAATGCAAGAAATCCTCTGACTGCTCCTATCATCATGGCCCCTAGACATGATATGACTTGTCTTCACACTAGCAGAAACTAATCGAGTCCCTATATTATATATATAATTTTTTATATATATAATACATATTATATAAAATATAAATATATAAATATTTGTATATATATATTTTATATGAAATATAAATATTTGTATATATATATTTTATATGAAATATAAATATTTGTATATTATATATTTTATGTAAAATATAAATATATAAATATTTGTATATTATATATTTATATAAAATATAAATATACAAATATTTGTATATTTATATTTTATATAAAATATAAATATATAAATATTTGTATATTATGTGTTTTATATATAATATAAATATATAAATATTTGTATATTATGTGTTTTATATATAATATAAATATATAAATATTTGTAATGTATTTTATATATAGTATATATAAATATTTACCTATAATACAAAATACATATAATATATATGATTATATATAATTTTTATACCCTCTGTAGAGGGAATTATTTTTGTTTCTATATCCATCCATAATAAAATACTGTGTCTGTCCATAATAAAAATACTAGTGGAAAAGTAGGAATTATAGTCACGTAAGAGATAAAAGAAAATCTGTTAGTATCAATATATTAACACATATAGGTGGTGTTGGTTCTTACAGGGTTTAGTAAAATGCATTCTAATTTTCTAAACAATTTCCACGTTACTGTATATTTATTTTTCTCTCTTTCATGATTGGAAAGAGTGCAACAATATACATCCCTATACAATCATCCTTGATTACATCTAAGGGAGCTTCGGCAGTAGTAAAATTACAGGGTTAATTTATTCATATAGGTATTACAGGGTAACCAAACAAGATTCCAAATTCTTTCATCAGCAAAGCCCAGTGTAATCCTAAACCAGGTAGCCACTCTAATTAATGCAATTAACTCAGATACATAAATATATACATATATATGTATATGTCTCCATGTGTGGATGCACTTAAATGGTTGCAAATACCATCGACTTTTCCTCTCAAACAGTATTTTTGTTGAGAATGAGGTATATTCACTAGTTCATCAAAAATATTTTTTAAATTCTTAGATGATTACATTTGTTACAGTGACCAGCTGGATTAGAATTAGATTAGGTTTAAAATGATGAAAGAATCTGGGAGAGGGGGCAGAGTGCTGGTTGTTAATTAGCACATGGATCAAAGGAGAGCACTGAGGTGTTTAGAAGCCACAACATTGACAGGATAAAAGCCAGAACTAACAATCCAATAGTAAATCTCTTCACTGTGGTATTTTCTGCCACTTCTGCTCCATAAGACACAATTTAACCACTTTGTCGTGGTATCTGCAGTATTCTATTTTAGTCTACATAGCATTTTCTCTCAAATGCATTCTGTTTCTCTCTCCTTCATCTTCCCTCCCTTCTTCCTTCCAGCTGTATTTTCTCACTAGAGAACACTAGTAGAATGTTCTCCCAAATTTCAGATTTCAGATACGCACCTGTAAAATAACGTTATGGAGACACATTTTAGTTGCTACTGAATACTTGGTTGTTTTCATAAGTTCACAGCATTACTACTGTCCTCCAAAAAACGGTTTCCCATTTCCACAGCTAATCTCATCATTGACTCTGCCATCCGAGTTTATTCTAGGCCACTCTGGAAGAATCTGGAAAAATACTTAGAATACATTTTAAGTATTCATCATGCACATGTATTGTATTTTATTTTATATATGTTCGGGTGAATATCTTTCTCCACTAATTGTTTGCATTTCAATTCTTGTATCATGTTTTTTGAAACACAGAAGTCCTCATGAATATAAACCAACTAATTTTTTTTAATTGTTAATTTTTGTCTTGGTTAAGAAATCCTTATGAGAATATTGTATCAGGACTTGAATCTTCAGGACTTGAATCTATTTGGAAATGACTGTGTGTGTTTTGAGGTAGGAGTCAATATTTAGTTACTTTTTTAAAAAAAATTCAATTAATCCAGCATTGTTCTGACCACCTTGTGTATTTCAATGTAGAAGAGCACACTAATAATGCGGGATTATTTATATATGTGGTGAGAATTCCAAAATGAAGCCCAGCATGGAAGGTCAAATGATATTAACTCAAAGGATAGATTAGTACAATGAAACATGATGGATAAGTGCAACACAGTTAGATAAAGAGAAAGAAAAACAGCATTTCCCAGTTATCATTAACGCTTCACTCCAAGTTTTTGCATGAAGCAAAAGATCCCGACTCTCTTCCACTGATTTTAACTCCATTCAGACATGTCTGTCAACTATTATTTCACTCAGTGGCAGTCAGAAATAAAGAAAAAAAAACAGAGAATATATTTCATGCCATGATCATGAATAATGATTTTTCAAAAATTAATTAATAACCAGTACACATACTTTTAGTGTTTTTACCACATTTAATAGTAACACAATAAATGAGTTTTAATAACATTAGAATGCAATTCAAGACATAAAACAGAACGTATTTGTCCTGTTTGATAAGGCACAAGGAAGAGGGCTTTCTGGGATAAAGGGGTTCCCACAGCAGATGAACACATATCTGATTTGTCTCTGGTCAGAGGTGAACACAGCAAAAGATAGGCCTGAGAGGAGGTGAGAAGGAGCAATTAGGGATGGTGTGTATAGGGGAGCTTTGATTAACATCAACGAAGCTCACAGTTCTAGCTTCACAATCCAGGAATAATCCTACATGGTTGGTAGGTCTTGGGACATACTGCAGTGTAAGTGGGGAGGTGGTAAAGAGGCTGCACTGAATGTCATTCTTAACACACCCAAGACTAAAGAGTCCCTCCTCTCCATGTATATTGCCATTCTGATTCGTCCCTTTCCAATACTTATTACAGACACCAAAGGCCCAATTCCAAGAGTCCCCCACATGGACCTCCCAGTAATATTTGCCAGAGGTGAAAGTCTGAGCACCCCATGCAAGAAAACTTGTAGGTGTTGCAGTGATATGGGGCGCATTTTGACGGTCACATCCAATACAAATGCTTCTCAAATCTCCACGTCGGAAGATATGACTGTTGGCTTCATTATGAGGCAGAGTAATATCCACTGCAAAATAAATAAATAAATAAATAAATAAATAAATAAATAAATAGAAAGAAAGAAAGAAAGAAAACATGCATAGGCATGTGTAGATAAGCAAAAATTGTTCTATCAAGCAGTTAATTTACCAGGAAACGTAAAGTCACAAGGACACTTTTGCTTGTAACTTCTAATAAAGTATAGAGATGATTAATATTATCTACAAGACAGACAAAACGCTAACCACAGATATTAAAGATGTTTTGAAAACTTACATACTGAGAGCCAAATGTAAGACCAACTTCTTTCAATCCAATTTTCAAAGCAAAATTTGCACATTATGTGCCCTAAATGCTATGCTGTTATCAAGATCATTATTTAGAAATGTTTCTTATTCTTAAAAACTAGTGCTATCATTTTGGAAAGAATGTGAAGATGTTCAGTTACTCAAGAACTGCTCTAGATAACTGGGTAAAAATCCATAAGTACATGTCATAAGTGATCATTTAAAGCAGATTTCTGCAAAATCTTTTACCAGTCTCTCTGTTGGCCCTCCATGCTAGCTTGGGGCTGAAGCTGGATTTTAGACTTAACATGTAGCTTTTCATATTGCAATTAAACTGAACTTCTTTTTGTTTGTAATTTTACTTGTATTCACAAAATGATTTCTTTTTATTTTTACCCATTAACTAATTTTCTTGGAAATACATAATATATATCCATTAAAAAAATTAAAAAACCCCAAGAATCTCCAGTGAACTATATTCCCCAAAAGAACAGTTCTTAGCTGTTCAAATGAATACACCAAAGAAATGTAAAATTTTGTATTTAACATTAAATAACTCACCTTCATTCTGAGCATTGTTCCATTTGCTCCTTTTTTAGATTTGCTACACTACTCCTTTTTCCCATTACATTACTCAGTACATATGAGGCCATAATGTATTTGTTTTTCACTATCTTTTAATCTTAATGCTATAAATCTGACTATACAGACACAGATACAAAAGGGTTGCATGATTATATTGTTCACTTATGTCTATAAAGTAGTAAAATATTTGATAAAGGGTGAAATATTACCTATGTGATCCTAACAATAATAAAATTTAGATAGTGGGAGTGCTGCCTGTGGGTGGAGACTTACCTCGGAATTGGTTGAGCCTGTCCCTCAGTCCAGTGATGGGCCCTGCCCTGAGCTCTAGATTCAGAGGCTGGGGCATGTGCAGCAGCACGGACTCACTCCTGCAAGGAAAAACCTGCAGTTACAACATCTACAGCCATAAAATAAATAAAAATCACTACTTGTGTTTAAAAGACATTTCATGAGAATCCTTTGAACCCACAAATTTGATAATTCAAAAATTATTCCTTCCTTTTTGAAATTAATTTCGATTTACAGTTTCCGAATTTTAAAGCACAGTGGGAGAGTCTGAGTCAGAATTCAGTCTGATCTTTCCTATTTTTTGCCCCAAATGTTTAAGGTTCCTTAGCCTTACGGCCTTGAGAATATTTAGAAACGAAATTCTGAGTTCCACTTCTTGGCAGACTCCCCTGACACCTTTGTCTGAAATAGCGGGGTTCTGGGGAGACTGCTGCATCTGCTGCTTCCTTTTCAAGATAAAGAATGTGAAACTTGTTCTAGGCAGCTAGACCTGCCTTTTAGAAACAAGCTTCCCTAGAGACTTATACAGTTCTAACACTCCACAGTTTTTTCAATCTATTTTTCAGAACTGTTAACTGATATGTGTATAGGTATGAACAACAAATCATCAACTTTTTCACTGCTGAAATACTTCTCCCACTTCTCTCCTGCTTCCTCTGGTGACTTTCTCACCATCCACAAAACAAAACTTCATCTTTCACCTATGCAGGCTTTTAAGCAATAAAACAAAGTCAGGAATAAACATTTTTTTTTATTTTACTTCACTATTTATTTATTTATGTATTTATTTACTTAGTGGTCTTGTCTTTTCTGGTGTGGGAACAAAAGTAGATGCAAAAAAGAAATAAAGTGGTATCAATATCTCAATCATTTATGCCAGGACTTTGGTAGAGCCTGCTTTGATATTCGTGGAAAGTGAAAGAACATATGCTAAAATCCAGGTACACTCTCACCTGTGTAATATGTCTCCAAAAGCCTGTAAAAAAAAAAAAAATAGAAAGATTTAGTGCAGTTCACAAGATGCATCTTTCATTAAGTTCAGTGTGAAATTTGGAGTCAGTTCCTCAAGATATTATTTCCCTACCATCTTCTCTTCTGCAAAGCATTTTCTATTTCTTCTGTAACGAAAAACCCAGTCAGTCGTATTGTCACTAATTAATGACCTGGGAAAGTCTGAGTCTTGAAGACATTCTCTAAAGAAGTGAAGGGAGAAGAGGCCCAGAGAGTCTATGCTCCATGGTAACCTCGAATAACCTACTCAGTCATCTTTCCCAGAACCTATTACCCAAATGAGTGGATCCCAAAATAATATTAATGTGAGCCTAGATTCCCAAAACGTCTGATCTTGCCATGTCCTCAAATTAACCTAAATGTAAATGAATCACTCACTATTTTATACATGTTTGACAACCCAAAATGTATTATTGACTTAGTTGGGGAATAGTTATTGGGGCTGTTACCTTGACCATTCCACAAAGTTTTGTGGCTGGTGGATAAAGTAGGAGGGATCTTTGGCCTGGTAGAATCCCTTGGCGGGGCTATACTCTCCCAATAAAGTAGCATTAGTTGTGCGAATGTGTTTTTGGAAACACATCATGGAAATAAAGGTAGGGAGATGGATTTCAGCCATGAGGAAAATACTTATACATGTGAATATTCAAAAACCTGAAACCACATTGTGAGTTTGTACCTGAAGTAGCTCCACATCTGGTTTATGGCACATTTTCATCAGCTCCGCATACGTTCCTCTTAAAATCTCCCTCCTGTGAGCCATTTTGGCTTTACTTAAATGAAGTCGATGAAAAATATCTTTCCCCTTCTTTTTCAGCATCTCCAAATTATGTTTTTCTTCTTCATGATGAAATGCAGGCATCTTCTGATACTCAGCTCTAATAGCTTCTAGCCTTACATTCACATAATCCTGCAGTGATAATGGGTTAGTCAAAAGAGAAATGTATATATCCATCTCCTATTAAATCTCACTGATTCCTTTTGTCTCTCGAACATCCAATAGTTTAAACCTCAGTCTTACCAGTTCTTAGAATCCACAAATTTTTTTCCTTTCCTTTCTTTCTGCATAAAGATCAACATAGATGTATCTGACCAATTACATTAAATTTATTCAAGATAATGAGTGTTCTAAGATAGTTGGAAATAAAAAAAAAAAAACACAATTTGAATTTCTCTATTCCAACCCATATTTATGGAAAAGTAAGACCAGTTCATGCTTAAGAGTTGGAGTATAGAGCTATAGTTACTAGAAAGGAAATAATTATTTCTATTTCTGAGATACGTAACAAGTTGCTTAAACTCATTATATGTGAAATGACCTTAGACTAACATGTCCAGCTAAATGCATTTCGCCCAGCAAAACCTATCCTAATAAGGCTGCATTTATGATTTGGCCATCTTTGTCTCCCTGAATTCATTTCCTTCCATTCTTTTTCTAAGTCAACCCAATCTGAAACATAGACTTCTTTGTGGTTCCCCAGGCCTCCAAATATACACAAACTCAAAATTACTGCATATACTGTTCTCTCCAACTGGAATTTTACACACACACACACACACACACACACACACACACACACACACAAACACACAAACACACATATACATATACATGTATACACACTCATGGTCCACATATATATCCATACACACTTTCGTGCTCCCCTTCCGCTTTGAAACTTTGTTCAATTTGAATTTTTCAGTGAATCTTTTTTTCTGACCACCCTATTTAAAACTCAGACACTAATCTCCAGTTTCTGGCCTCTATTGTCCTTTTCTACTTCCCTGCTTGATTATTCTCCAACAAAGAACCTACCACACTCGAACACATCATGTATTGCACATATTTGCATGTTGACCATTTTTGCCTCTCATTTGGATTGTACGATTTGTGAGGACAAAGATGCTTTCTTTCTTCTATACTGGCAAATTTTCTAATTTAATATTCAACATAGACTAGGTTCTTATGAAATACTTTTCAACACACTACTATTAGCTATCATACCCTCAGAGTATACATCCACAAAGAGAAAATCATTTTTAATATTTTTCTGAAGTCCTCAGAGTTCTCCTTATATTTAGATACTAGTTCCCATATTTCGGGCATGTTTGCATGTCTCCCTCAAGACACAAATCCATATTTCTCACCACTTTTCTCATCATATGTTATGTAGTATTCAATATTAATTAGTTGAGATTCTTAATTTCATGGTTGCCCTAGATTTCCCCTGTCACTCTTTCTGCCTCAAATTTTCCATGCAATTCCAAATACTACTTGTCCACCAGCATTCAGATTAATGCTGACCCAGGCTCAGAAGGTTCACTTGAGCTTTCCATGACTGCCAAATAACTCTCATGCCCAGCATTTATCCAACCAGCACATATAGAATGCTGTGAGATGGCCCAGTATCTTGTATCTGTTGGTGTATAGCTACAGGTTTGTATGAAAACAAACCAGCATGCTTTGGGTAACATCAACGGTTTTGTTAGAAATCCCATCTAACAGTCACACTATTCTACATAAGAAATGAGGCCACTTTTTCTCAATGTTTTCTTTTCTTTTCTTTTTTTTTTTTTTTTTTTTGACTCCCAGAAACATTACGGTTTGATATCAAGTTCCTATTTTAAGAGTCACCCATTTGCCCACCATAAGTTCCTGGAGAAGGTAGACTAGTACAGGACTAACCTTCCAGTGGCTGATTCTGGTGGTTTCCACGTTCAGGTTTCTCTGATTTTCACAAACTTTTTCCCATAAAGACTGCATTTTCTTTAAAAGCTTCTCCTGCAAAAGAGCCATAAATTGAAGCACCAGTGAGGACAATAAAGTAACATGCAGACCGTTTCATAGGGAGGGGGCCCAGAATGAGAGACAAATAAGTCCCCAGTAAATGGCATTTCTTCTGTTTCCCTTCTGCTTCGTCAAATCTCGGAGGTTTGAAGCTAAGAAAGCCCAAAAGAGAGTTGCTTAAAGGGACTCAGAGTTGGCTTTACCCAATCTCCGAGAAAATAGGCCCACAGGAATTTCATGTGTCCTTTACAGAAATAGATCTTCAGAGGCATCACTTACCCGGTGTTCCTCAGCAGCCCACTCAGCGGGACAGTGTCTGTGATACCGGTGCTCCAGAGAGCTGGAGCACAGCAAACAGAGCAGGCTCCTGTCCACTTCACAGAATATCTTCTTTGTCTCCCTGTGAGTGCCACACATTTGCTCCTCAGAGCTCAGGAATAGCCAGAGACTGGCTTTTCTGGCACGGGAAGCCATCTTCTTCAATCGAATGTTAGTTTTGAGGTTTCTCTGCTGTGTTGTCTTTAGGCATTCAAAGCACTGAGTAAGAATTGGGATGTCTTGCCAGTTGAGGTAGAAACAGGGCCTGCAAAAGCTGTGCCCACAGTCTATGGTGACCGGGTCTATGAAGTAGTTCAGGCAGATGGGGCAGGTGAGTTCCCTCTGGAAGACTTGCGAGATTCCAGAATTCATGTTTCTGAGGAAGAAAGAGCAACATGTCATTTTGGGGTCTGGGTTGATGAAAAGCTTCTGAACATGTGGAGATAAGTGATAGCTATAGTTTCTTCTCTTGACAGTGTTCATTAAAGCACAGCAAACTATTTCTTCTGTAACAAAAATAAAAATCTCACACAGAGAGTCTCCCGGCTTTATAGTAGATATTACTGACTAGATGACTCACAACCCCTTCTACTCCTAGTGCCTGTCTGTAACACAATACCAATCTATTCAATTTCCCATTTTTCTGAATGTGGATCTGGAAATTGGGTTTGATTCTAAGTGGCCTAGAATAAATTGTAGTTGTTCCTATTCTTCTTTCATGTAACTGCCGAATGAGTATGAAAGGGTGGGAAAAACTGCCTTGGCCAAAGAAATACGAGAAGATGGCTAGAGGGTCCTATGATATATTTTGAGAGACACAACAGTGGGGCAGCAAACCACCATGGCACATGTTTACCTGTGTAACAAGCCTGCACGTCCTGCACATTTATCTCAGGACTTAAAATAATATAAAATTAAAGTAAAATAAAAAACCAAAACCAAAACGAAATAGAAAAACCAATCAACCAACCAAATAAACAAATAAAAAACAGCAATTAAACCAATTTAGGTTGAATAGAAGAGAAAAAATCATTAAAGATATTGGGCCTTTTTATTTTCTCGTGGGTTAAATTAACTTCTCCTAGGGATACCCAGGCTCTGAACTAACATATAGTAGGATTTTTGTTAAACTTAAAGAGGTGTAATTATATTTCTATGGTGTGATGGTGAATTTTAGGTATCAGTCTGACTGGATTAACCAACACCTAGGGAACTGGTGCAGCATTGTTTCTGGGTGAGTCTGTGAAGGTGTTTCCAGAGGAGAGAGACATGTGAGTTGGTGAGCTGAGTGGGACCATCATCCCTCAATGTGAGTGGGCACCATTCAATCAGCTGGTAGCTCAGATAAAAGGAAAAGGCCAGAAGAAAGGCAATTTCCTCTTTCTTTCTCCTGAAGCTAGTTCTGAGGCTTTCAGCCTTGAGCTCAGTCAAGACACCGGTATCCTCAGGACATCAGCTTAAAGACAGCCTATATTAGAACTGCTCAGACTCCATAATCAAGCAAACGAATTTTCCTGATGAATTCCCTCTCGTGTAGAATCATGTGTAGCTTGAGGACAGATATATGTTCTGAGAAATGTGTAAGGAGGTTTTATTTATTTACTTTTTGAGATGGAGACCCACTGTGTCACCCAGGCTGGAGTGCAGTGGTGCAATCTCGGCTCACTGCAACCTCCGCCTCCTGGGTCAAAGCGAGTCTCCTGCCTTAGCCTCCTGAGTACCTAGGATTACAGGAACATGCCACTACACCCGGCAAATTTTCTCATTTTTTTTTTTCCAGTAGAGATGAGGTTTCGCCATGTTGGCCAGGCTGGACTTGAACTCCTGGCCTCAAGTGATCTGCCCACCACGGCCTCCAAAAGTGCTGGGATTACAGGCATGAGCCACTGTGCCTAGCCGGGCGGTTGTATTGTTTTGACATGATAGAATATACTTATACAAACCTAGATGGTACAGCCTGCTACACACCTATGGTATACAGTACAGCCTGTTGCTCCTAGACTACAAAACTGTACAGCATGTTCTGTACTGTATACTCTAGGCAATTGTAACACAGTGGTAATTATTTAGTATGTAAACATATTTAAATACAGAAAAGGTACAGTAAACACACTGGTATTATAATCTTATGTGACCACCATGTGTGGTTTATGGTTGACTGAATTGGCTCATGAATGTATCTCTACATGTATACATATACATCCTATCATTCTGTCTGTCTGGAGAGCCCTGACTAATATATAAACTATGGTCTTTGGCAATTTTAAGTCCTTTTCTTTACTCTCCTTTATTTGATAACACTGCTGAATTTTAGTGAAAGAAATGAAAAATCTTAGAATTGTAAATATTCTCCAGAGGTCATCTAAGTCATTTTAAGGAATTTTTCATAGTTTAATAAGATTAAGACTCAAGTGAGATGGCAACCACCATCACGTATCAAATTATATCTTATATATGTATTTGGCCAAAAAATTGTGTTTTGATTTCCAAACTAGGATGTTTTGGGGAGCTTTCTCATTTTTTTCAGTTTCACTATTTTGCATCTCTCATCATTACCTTACTAATTTAAAGCTATGTGTAAATGCCGAATGAATGGATTAACATTCATTAACGTCTTCTCAATTCAATTGTATAATATTAATACACTCATTACACACATATTTACACACACCTATGTGTACATACATGTATAAATATCAACTCCATATATTCATTATGCATACATATCTGTTGCAGCAAACACTAGATATTTCCATTTTTTCAAAACTATATTGAAGAATGATAGAAAACGCAAAATAACAACAATTAGTATCCTCATAATTCATAAAATCTATAGTAAGAATATGAATTACAAATGGTATCATTGTGTAGATTTAAGATAATGAGATATTTTTAACACTCTAATTTATTATTTTGTAAAGGAAAGAAGACATAATTTTATCAATATAAGTTTCACTCACCGCTGGGTTCTTTGAAGGGTTCCCACAATGATTCTTCGAGAAATAATTCTGTTAAGTACTCCTCAAGGTCAGGAGCTCATTCGCCGCAGTACTGAGTTTCAGAGGTCACCAAAACACAGCTTCCTCTAAGTGCGCTCCTTCTCCTTTGGAGAAAACTGAGCTTGTCTCTTCTATGTCCTTTTATAAGAATCTGTGAAGGCCACACCCACCTCTTTAAGTGGGTGGAGTATTGAGAAAGGTTGAGAATAAGATGATTAGGTTTATGCAGTATTTAGATCGCACCTTTGCACCGCTGATTAAATTATCATCACTCCTTAAAAAACCATGATTTAAATGAATCATATGTAACATAAATCCTATCAGATTTGACATACACTGGAAATTAACTAAGATGCATTTTATACTGTTTATTGAGCTTCATCCAAGATACAGGCATTCCTCTAAGGGCACATTTATTTATTCTAGAGAAACTGTCTGCTTGTGGAGTGCAGTGGTACAGTCATAGCTCACTGCAGCCTTGAATTCCAAGGCTCAAGGGATCCTCCTGCTTCAGCCTCCCAAGTAGCTAGGACTACAGGCTCAAACCATCCCACCTGGCTAATGTTTTTTTAAAACTTTTCATAGAGTCAGGGTATGGCTCTGTAGCCCAGGCTGTTCTCCAACTCCTGTCTTCAAGTAATCCTCTGGTCTTGGACTTCCAAAATGCTTGGGAGTACAGGCATAAACCACCTCATCCAGCCTTAAATGCTGCTTTAGTACATTTATAGGATATTCGAAGAGAAGTCCAACAGGAAGATAAAACTTTTTTTGTTTTCTACCACTCTAAGAGAAATCACTGACTAACCAAATAACTCTACTAATTTGAGGTCTCTTACTGAATTTACAAACCTTTGCCAATCTCGTGGGTGAAATACGAGTTATTATTTTAATGCTTTTCTCCACATGGTGCATGATGTTCTGCCATGACTAGAAATGCAATATAGTAATTAATTTGGGGATTATAAACAAGTTTTAGGACGTAGGCTAATTCACAAATACAGAATCCAAATGATAGGGATGGATTATATTTTTCTTTCTATAACAAATATTTTTGTTGTCATGTGACAATTTAAAAAAGAAAAGAGATTTAAGAAGCGGCTACTCAAATATATTCTGACAGAGGAATTCTTTGCCAATAGCCCCCACAAGACTTATATTCAAGAGTGTCAGAACAGTGAAGACAAATCTGTCAGCCCTATGTCTGTCAAGGTTCAAAAATCAAAGCAGATCCCATAATATATATGAATACTTAGGGAGATTCACATATGAATTAAGTGCAAGGAACCGGTTTCCACAGTTGATGGGCTGCCTGAGCAAGTATGAGATCCCTGTTAAAGTCAGTTAGGAAGAAAAATCCTCAGCTGGCTGGATCCCAATGGTCAGGATTCAAAGCTTTGGTCCAAAGTCATTAGGGGGCAACTGGAAGATTACAGTCCCATTCGCTATTTTAAATGTTGTTCAAGGAATGCCTATGTCTTTCTTTAAGGGACTTTCACTGATGAAGTCAGGCTTACCTGAGTACACTTGCTAGTTACAAGAGCAGGACCTTTCGTTACATCTGCAAAATACCTTCCCAGTAGGTCCTACGTGAGTGTTTCATTGAATAACAATAAGAAAGTTTGTCTATGCCACAAAGTCCAGTTTCATTCTCCTACATGTGGCTTGCCAATTATCCCAGCACCATTTGTTGAATAGGGTGTCCTCTCCCCACTTTATGTTTTTGTTTGCTTTGTCAAAGATCAGTTGGTTGTTAAGTATTTGGGTTCATTTCTGGGTTCTCTATTCTGTTCCACTGGTCTATGTGCCTATTTTTGTACCAGTACCATGCTGTTTTGGTGATGAATAAAGGCCTGGAGTATGGGGATGTAATGCTCAGGGGCCAGACAGTCGGCTGCAGCAGCACAGCCTCATCCAGCAATTAGAGAGGGGATAGGAACAGAGAAAGGTGGGGAAGACTAGAGGCAGGTTTATGAAAGGAATCAGAGCCCTTGGTTGGGTCGAAATGGGGGTGGAGGGAGATTCCAGCTTGTCTTCTGCAGCATGAATACCTTGACCCCCTGCCACAAACAGACATCTATACACAACAGCTCTCCTGTGACTGAGATTCTTGGTTATTTTCTTGCTTGATGCAGCAGTGAGTGGTTAGAGAGGTAACTGACCAGGTACCTAAGCCCTCTGCCCATGGGTACTGTTGGGAATCTTGGCTTTTTAGCTCCAAGGAAGCTACAGCAAATTTTCAGGGGAATGGCCTGGTTTGTGGCCCAGATTTCTTGGCATTGTCATGTCCCACTGGTCGGCAGCTGAGGGTCCTTCTGCTCTAACCTGAGAATAGACAAAACAATTGTTGGTTACCCTAAAGTGTTCACGGCTGTCATATCTGTGGCTAGAGAAAGTTTTATTGGCTTTAGTTAGTGTTTTCAGACAATTTGTAAATCATCTTTCAGTTAAATTGTGAAGTTGATCTGTTTTACTCTGTTGTTTAAAAATTAAGAAGGAAAATTATAGAAATACTGTTCTTTTAAAGATATTTTATTGTTTTTGTTTAATTTTTATTTGGATATGTTTATTTTTTATTTTGTGTTGCTTTGTAACTGAAAATCATATTGACTTCATTTAGCTTTAAAACGTTATTATTTTGAAAACTATTTAACTAAATGTATAAGTGGAGCTATGGAAAAAATATCGTATATGTAAGGGTAGACTTGGTAGTCAGATCCAGTAAGAGCTAAGCAAGTAATTTCAATGTTTGGGAGGCAGAGATCGGAGGATCCCTTGAGCCCAGAAGTTCGAGGTTACAGTGAACTATGATTGCACCACTACACTCCAGCCTGGGCAACAGAGCAAGGCACAGCCTCTTAATAAAAATCTGCATTTTACTGGGTGAGGGACACTGATAGTGTTACTCTCCCCTCCCATTATTAGATAGATCAAAAAAAATGTGAGAATAAAAGCCACCCTGCTGATGGCAGTGAGGACTGCATGCAGTGTGTGCCAAGAACAACACGGTGTCCAGCATGACATCCTCTTCACTGATATCCTCTTCCTCTCTTCTTGCCATTTTCTTTATTTTACAAAATTCATTGCTATATAGGGAAGAATGAGAGGAAAAGATGGCATGGACTGGTCCAAAATTATACAAGGAAAAAATAAAATGAGAAGTTACCAGATGACATAGAAAAGGGTTCCTCAGACATACAGAGACCAGGAGACAAAAGAGAAATGTTCTCTTAGCAGAGAAGAATAACTCTGAAGATGTTCTCTGTTGGGAGAAATCCAGCAGCCAACACATTAGCAATCAAATATTTTATCAAGGGTATAAATATTGGTTTTGCAAAGTTGTTAACCATTGGTCTGCTTCAAGATAGAATATTTTCAAATTGCAAATTTTATTAGGAACCAATTTTTACACCACTTTCCAGAAGTAAATCAATTGACTCAAGGAAGAAAATTGCATCAAGCAAGAAAATAACCAAGAATGTCAGTCACAGGAGAGCTGCTGTGTATAGATGTCTGGTTTTTTAAGGAGTGATGATAATTTAATCAGCGGTGCAAAGGTGCGATCTAAATACTGCATAAACCTAATCATCTTATTCTCAACCTTTCTCAATACTCCACCCACTTAAAGAGGTGGGTGTGGCCTTCACAGATTCTTATAAAAGGACATAGAAGAGACAAGCTCAGTTTTCTCCAAAGGAGAAGGAGCGCACTTAGAGGAAGCTGTGTTTTGGTGACCTCTGAAACTCAGTACTGCGGCGAATGAGCTCCTGACCTTGAGGAGTACTTAACAGAATTATTTCTCGAAGAATCATTGTGGGAACCCTTCAAAGAACCCAGCGGTGAGTGAAACTTATATTGATAAAATTATGTCTTCTTTCCTTTACAAAATAATAAATTAGAGTGTTAAAAATATCTCATTATCTTAAATCTACACAATGATACCATTTGTAATTCATATTCTTACTATAGATTTTATGAATTATGAGGATACTAATTGTTGTTATTTTGCGTTTTCTATCATTCTTCAATATAGTTTTGAAAAAATGGAAATATCTAGTGTTTGCTGCAACAGATATGTATGCATAATGAATATATGGAGTTGATATTTATACATGTATGTACACATAGGTGTGTGTAAATATGTGTGTAATGAGTGTATTAATATTATACAATTGAATTGAGAAGACGTTAATGAATGTTAATCCATTCATTCGGCATTTACACATAGCTTTAAATTAGTAAGGTAATGATGAGAGATGCAAAATAGTGAAACTGAAAAAAATGAGAAAGCTCCCCAAAACATCCTAGTTTGGAAATCAAAACACAATTTTTTGGCCAAATACATATATAAGATATAATTTGATACGTGATGGTGGTTGCCATCTCACTTGAGTCTTAATCTTATTAAACTATGAAAAATTCCTTAAAATGACTTAGATGACCTCTGGAGAATATTTACAATTCTAAGATTTTTCATTTCTTTCACTAAAATTCAGCAGTGTTATCAAATAAAGGAGAGTAAAGAAAAGGACTTAAAATTGCCAAAGACCATAGTTTATATATTAGTCAGGGCTCTCCAGACAGACAGAATGATAGGATGTATATGTATACATGTAGAGATACATTCATGAGCCAATTCAGTCAACCATAAACCACACATGGTGGTCACATAAGATTATAATACCAGTGTGTTTACTGTACCTTTTCTGTATTTAAATATGTTTACATACTAAATAATTACCACTGTGTTACAATTGCCTAGAGTATACAGTACAGAACATGCTGTACAGTTTTGTAGTCTAGGAGCAACAGGCTGTACTGTATACCATAGGTGTGTAGCAGGCTGTACCATCTAGGTTTGTATAAGTATATTCTATCATGTCAAAACAATACAACCGCCCGGCTAGGCACAGTGGCTCATGCCTGTAATCCCAGCACTTTTGGAGGCCGTGGTGGGCAGATCACTTGAGGCCAGGAGTTCAAGTCCAGCCTGGCCAACATGGCGAAACCTCATCTCTACTGGAAAAAAAAAAATGAGAAAATTTGCCGGGTGTAGTGGCATGTTCCTGTAATCCTAGGTACTCAGGAGGCTAAGGCAGGAGACTCGCTTTGACCCAGGAGGCGGAGGTTGCAGTGAGCCGAGATTGCACCACTGCACTCCAGCCTGGGTGACACAGTGGGTCTCCATCTCAAAAAGTAAATAAATAAAACCTCCTTACACATTTCTCAGAACATATATCTGTCCTCAAGCTACACATGATTCTACACGAGAGGGAATTCATCAGGAAAATTCGTTTGCTTGATTATGGAGTCTGAGCAGTTCTAATATAGGCTGTCTTTAAGCTGATGTCCTGAGGATACCGGTGTCTTGACTGAGCTCAAGGCTGAAAGCCTCAGAACTAGCTTCAGGAGAAAGAAAGAGGAAATTGCCTTTCTTCTGGCCTTTTCCTTTTATCTGAGCTACCAGCTGATTGAATGGTGCCCACTCACATTGAGGGATGATGGTCCCACTCAGCTCACCAACTCACATGTCTCTCTCCTCTGGAAACACCTTCACAGACTCACCCAGAAACAATGCTGCACCAGTTCCCTAGGTGTTGGTTAATCCAGTCAGACTGATACCTAAAATTCACCATCACACCATAGAAATATAATTACACCTCTTTAAGTTTAACAAAAATCCTACTATATGTTAGTTCAGAGCCTGGGTATCCCTAGGAGAAGTTAATTTAACCCACGAGAAAATAAAAAGGCCCAATATCTTTAATGATTTTTTCTCTTCTATTCAACCTAAATTGGTTTAATTGCTGTTTTTTATTTGTTTATTTGGTTGGTTGATTGGTTTTTCTATTTCGTTTTGGTTTTGGTTTTTTATTTTACTTTAATTTTATATTATTTTAAGTCCTGAGATAAATGTGCAGGACGTGCAGGCTTGTTACACAGGTAAACATGTGCCATGGTGGTTTGCTGCCCCACTGTTGTGTCTCTCAAAATATATCATAGGACCCTCTAGCCATCTTCTCGTATTTCTTTGGCCAAGGCAGTTTTTCCCACCCTTTCATACTCATTCGGCAGTTACATGAAAGAAGAATAGGAACAACTACAATTTATTCTAGGCCACTTAGAATCAAACCCAATTTCCAGATCCACATTCAGAAAAATGGGAAATTGAATAGATTGGTATTGTGTTACAGACAGGCACTAGGAGTAGAAGGGGTTGTGAGTCATCTAGTCAGTAATATCTACTATAAAGCCGGGAGACTCTCTGTGTGAGATTTTTATTTTTGTTACAGAAGAAATAGTTTGCTGTGCTTTAATGAACACTGTCAAGAGAAGAAACTATAGCTATCACTTATCTCCACATGTTCAGAAGCTTTTCATCAACCCAGACCCCAAAATGACATGTTGCTCTTTCTTCCTCAGAAACATGAATTCTGGAATCTCGCAAGTCTTCCAGAGGGAACTCACCTGCCCCATCTGCCTGAACTACTTCATAGACCCGGTCACCATAGACTGTGGGCACAGCTTTTGCAGGCCCTGTTTCTACCTCAACTGGCAAGACATCCCAATTCTTACTCAGTGCTTTGAATGCCTAAAGACAACACAGCAGAGAAACCTCAAAACTAACATTCGATTGAAGAAGATGGCTTCCCGTGCCAGAAAAGCCAGTCTCTGGCTATTCCTGAGCTCTGAGGAGCAAATGTGTGGCACTCACAGGGAGACAAAGAAGATATTCTGTGAAGTGGACAGGAGCCTGCTCTGTTTGCTGTGCTCCAGCTCTCTGGAGCACCGGTATCACAGACACTGTCCCGCTGAGTGGGCTGCTGAGGAACACCGGGTAAGTGATGCCTCTGAAGATCTATTTCTGTAAAGGACACATGAAATTCCTGTGGGCCTATTTTCTCGGAGATTGGGTAAAGCCAACTCTGAGTCCCTTTAAGCAACTCTCTTTTGGGCTTTCTTAGCTTCAAACCTCCGAGATTTGACGAAGCAGAAGGGAAACAGAAGAAATGCCATTTACTGGGGACTTATTTGTCTCTCATTCTGGGCCCCCTCCCTATGAAACGGTCTGCATGTTACTTTATTGTCCTCACTGGTGCTTCAATTTATGGCTCTTTTGCAGGAGAAGCTTTTAAAGAAAATGCAGTCTTTATGGGAAAAAGTTTGTGAAAATCAGAGAAACCTGAACGTGGAAACCACCAGAATCAGCCACTGGAAGGTTAGTCCTGTACTAGTCTACCTTCTCCAGGAACTTATGGTGGGCAAATGGGTGACTCTTAAAATAGGAACTTGATATCAAACCGTAATGTTTCTGGGAGTCAAAAAAAAAAAAAAAAAAAAGAAAAGAAAAGAAAACATTGAGAAAAAGTGGCCTCATTTCTTATGTAGAATAGTGTGACTGTTAGATGGGATTTCTAACAAAACCGTTGATGTTACCCAAAGCATGCTGGTTTGTTTTCATACAAACCTGTAGCTATACACCAACAGATACAAGATACTGGGCCATCTCACAGCATTCTATATGTGCTGGTTGGATAAATGCTGGGCATGAGAGTTATTTGGCAGTCATGGAAAGCTCAAGTGAACCTTCTGAGCCTGGGTCAGCATTAATCTGAATGCTGGTGGACAAGTAGTATTTGGAATTGCATGGAAAATTTGAGGCAGAAAGAGTGACAGGGGAAATCTAGGGCAACCATGAAATTAAGAATCTCAACTAATTAATATTGAATACTACATAACATATGATGAGAAAAGTGGTGAGAAATATGGATTTGTGTCTTGAGGGAGACATGCAAACATGCCCGAAATATGGGAACTAGTATCTAAATATAAGGAGAACTCTGAGGACTTCAGAAAAATATTAAAAATGATTTTCTCTTTGTGGATGTATACTCTGAGGGTATGATAGCTAATAGTAGTGTGTTGAAAAGTATTTCATAAGAACCTAGTCTATGTTGAATATTAAATTAGAAAATTTGCCAGTATAGAAGAAAGAAAGCATCTTTGTCCTCACAAATCGTACAATCCAAATGAGAGGCAAAAATGGTCAACATGCAAATATGTGCAATACATGATGTGTTCGAGTGTGGTAGGTTCTTTGTTGGAGAATAATCAAGCAGGGAAGTAGAAAAGGACAATAGAGGCCAGAAACTGGAGATTAGTGTCTGAGTTTTAAATAGGGTGGTCAGAAAAAAAGATTCACTGAAAAATTCAAATTGAACAAAGTTTCAAAGCGGAAGGGGAGCACGAAAGTGTGTATGGATATATATGTGGACCATGAGTGTGTATACATGTATATGTATATGTGTGTTTGTGTGTTTGTGTGTGTGTGTGTGTGTGTGTGTGTGTGTGTGTGTGTGTGTAAAATTCCAGTTGGAGAGAACAGTATATGCAGTAATTTTGAGTTTGTGTATATTTGGAGGCCTGGGGAACCACAAAGAAGTCTATGTTTCAGATTGGGTTGACTTAGAAAAAGAATGGAAGGAAATGAATTCAGGGAGACAAAGATGGCCAAATCATAAATGCAGCCTTATTAGGATAGGTTTTGCTGGGCGAAATGCATTTAGCTGGACATGTTAGTCTAAGGTCATTTCACATATAATGAGTTTAAGCAACTTGTTACGTATCTCAGAAATAGAAATAATTATTTCCTTTCTAGTAACTATAGCTCTATACTCCAACTCTTAAGCATGAACTGGTCTTACTTTTCCATAAATATGGGTTGGAATAGAGAAATTCAAATTGTGTTTTTTTTTTTTTATTTCCAACTATCTTAGAACACTCATTATCTTGAATAAATTTAATGTAATTGGTCAGATACATCTATGTTGATCTTTATGCAGAAAGAAAGGAAAGGAAAAAAATTTGTGGATTCTAAGAACTGGTAAGACTGAGGTTTAAACTATTGGATGTTCGAGAGACAAAAGGAATCAGTGAGATTTAATAGGAGATGGATATATACATTTCTCTTTTGACTAACCCATTATCACTGCAGGATTATGTGAATGTAAGGCTAGAAGCTATTAGAGCTGAGTATCAGAAGATGCCTGCATTTCATCATGAAGAAGAAAAACATAATTTGGAGATGCTGAAAAAGAAGGGGAAAGATATTTTTCATCGACTTCATTTAAGTAAAGCCAAAATGGCTCACAGGAGGGAGATTTTAAGAGGAACGTATGCGGAGCTGATGAAAATGTGCCATAAACCAGATGTGGAGCTACTTCAGGTACAAACTCACAATGTGGTTTCAGGTTTTTGAATATTCACATGTATAAGTATTTTCCTCATGGCTGAAATCCATCTCCCTACCTTTATTTCCATGATGTGTTTCCAAAAACACATTCGCACAACTAATGCTACTTTATTGGGAGAGTATAGCCCCGCCAAGGGATTCTACCAGGCCAAAGATCCCTCCTACTTTATCCACCAGCCACAAAACTTTGTGGAATGGTCAAGGTAACAGCCCCAATAACTATTCCCCAACTAAGTCAATAATACATTTTGGGTTGTCAAACATGTATAAAATAGTGAGTGATTCATTTACATTTAGGTTAATTTGAGGACATGGCAAGATCAGACGTTTTGGGAATCTAGGCTCACATTAATATTATTTTGGGATCCACTCATTTGGGTAATAGGTTCTGGGAAAGATGACTGAGTAGGTTATTCGAGGTTACCATGGAGCATAGACTCTCTGGGCCTCTTCTCCCTTCACTTCTTTAGAGAATGTCTTCAAGACTCAGACTTTCCCAGGTCATTAATTAGTGACAATACGACTGACTGGGTTTTTCGTTACAGAAGAAATAGAAAATGCTTTGCAGAAGAGAAGATGGTAGGGAAATAATATCTTGAGGAACTGACTCCAAATTTCACACTGAACTTAATGAAAGATGCATCTTGTGAACTGCACTAAATCTTTCTATTTTTTTTTTTTTTACAGGCTTTTGGAGACATATTACACAGGTGAGAGTGTACCTGGATTTTAGCATATGTTCTTTCACTTTCCACGAATATCAAAGCAGGCTCTACCAAAGTCCTGGCATAAATGATTGAGATATTGATACCACTTTATTTCTTTTTTGCATCTACTTTTGTTCCCACACCAGAAAAGACAAGACCACTAAGTAAATAAATACATAAATAAATAAATAGTGAAGTAAAATAAAAAAAAATGTTTATTCCTGACTTTGTTTTATTGCTTAAAAGCCTGCATAGGTGAAAGATGAAGTTTTGTTTTGTGGATGGTGAGAAAGTCACCAGAGGAAGCAGGAGAGAAGTGGGAGAAGTATTTCAGCAGTGAAAAAGTTGATGATTTGTTGTTCATACCTATACACATATCAGTTAACAGTTCTGAAAAATAGATTGAAAAAACTGTGGAGTGTTAGAACTGTATAAGTCTCTAGGGAAGCTTGTTTCTAAAAGGCAGGTCTAGCTGCCTAGAACAAGTTTCACATTCTTTATCTTGAAAAGGAAGCAGCAGATGCAGCAGTCTCCCCAGAACCCCGCTATTTCAGACAAAGGTGTCAGGGGAGTCTGCCAAGAAGTGGAACTCAGAATTTCGTTTCTAAATATTCTCAAGGCCGTAAGGCTAAGGAACCTTAAACATTTGGGGCAAAAAATAGGAAAGATCAGACTGAATTCTGACTCAGACTCTCCCACTGTGCTTTAAAATTCGGAAACTGTAAATCGAAATTAATTTCAAAAAGGAAGGAATAATTTTTGAATTATCAAATTTGTGGGTTCAAAGGATTCTCATGAAATGTCTTTTAAACACAAGTAGTGATTTTTATTTATTTTATGGCTGTAGATGTTGTAACTGCAGGTTTTTCCTTGCAGGAGTGAGTCCGTGCTGCTGCACATGCCCCAGCCTCTGAATCTAGAGCTCAGGGCAGGGCCCATCACTGGACTGAGGGACAGGCTCAACCAATTCCGAGGTAAGTCTCCACCCACAGGCAGCACTCCCACTATCTAAATTTTATTATTGTTAGGATCACATAGGTAATATTTCACCCTTTATCAAATATTTTACTACTTTATAGACATAAGTGAACAATATAATCATGCAACCCTTTTGTATCTGTGTCTGTATAGTCAGATTTATAGCATTAAGATTAAAAGATAGTGAAAAACAAATACATTATGGCCTCATATGTACTGAGTAATGTAATGGGAAAAAGGAGTAGTGTAGCAAATCTAAAAAAGGAGCAAATGGAACAATGCTCAGAATGAAGGTGAGTTATTTAATGTTAAATACAAAATTTTACATTTCTTTGGTGTATTCATTTGAACAGCTAAGAACTGTTCTTTTGGGGAATATAGTTCACTGGAGATTCTTGGGGTTTTTTAATTTTTTTAATGGATATATATTATGTATTTCCAAGAAAATTAGTTAATGGGTAAAAATAAAAAGAAATCATTTTGTGAATACAAGTAAAATTACAAACAAAAAGAAGTTCAGTTTAATTGCAATATGAAAAGCTACATGTTAAGTCTAAAATCCAGCTTCAGCCCCAAGCTAGCATGGAGGGCCAACAGAGAGACTGGTAAAAGATTTTGCAGAAATCTGCTTTAAATGATCACTTATGACATGTACTTATGGATTTTTACCCAGTTATCTAGAGCAGTTCTTGAGTAACTGAACATCTTCACATTCTTTCCAAAATGATAGCACTAGTTTTTAAGAATAAGAAACATTTCTAAATAATGATCTTGATAACAGCATAGCATTTAGGGCACATAATGTGCTAATTTTGCTTTGAAAATTGGATTGAAAGAAGTTGGTCTTACATTTGGCTCTCAGTATGTAAGTTTTCAAAACATCTTTAATATCTGTGGTTAGCGTTTTGTCTGTCTTGTAGATAATATTAATCATCTCTATACTTTATTAGAAGTTACAAGCAAAAGTGTCCTTGTGACTTTACGTTTCCTGGTAAATTAACTGCTTGATAGAACAATTTTTGCTTATCTACACATGCCTATGCATGTTTTCTTTCTTTCTTTCTTTCTTTTTATTTATTTATTTATTTATTTATTTATTTATTTATTTTGCAGTGGATATTACTCTGCCTCATAATGAAGCCAACAGTCATATCTTCCGACGTGGAGATTTGAGAAGCATTTGTATTGGATGTGACCGTCAAAATGCGCCCCATATCACTGCAACACCTACAAGTTTTCTTGCATGGGGTGCTCAGACTTTCACCTCTGGCAAATATTACTGGGAGGTCCATGTGGGGGACTCTTGGAATTGGGCCTTTGGTGTCTGTAATAAGTATTGGAAAGGGACGAATCAGAATGGCAATATACATGGAGAGGAGGGACTCTTTAGTCTTGGGTGTGTTAAGAATGACATTCAGTGCAGCCTCTTTACCACCTCCCCACTTACACTGCAGTATGTCCCAAGACCTACCAACCATGTAGGATTATTCCTGGATTGTGAAGCTAGAACTGTGAGCTTCGTTGATGTTAATCAAAGCTCCCCTATACACACCATCCCTAATTGCTCCTTCTCACCTCCTCTCAGGCCTATCTTTTGCTGTGTTCACCTCTGACCAGAGACAAATCAGATATGTGTTCATCTGCTGTGGGAACCCCTTTATCCCAGAAAGCCCTCTTCCTTGTGCCTTATCAAACAGGACAAATACGTTCTGTTTTATGTCTTGAATTGCATTCTAATGTTATTAAAACTCATTTATTGTGTTACTATTAAATGTGGTAAAAACACTAAAAGTGTGTGTACTGGTTATTAATTAATTTTTGAAAAATCATTATTCATGATCATGGCATGAAATATATTCTCTGTTTTTTTTTCTTTATTTCTGACTGCCACTGAGTGAAATAATAGTTGACAGACATGTCTGAATGGAGTTAAAATCAGTGGAAGAGAGTCGGGATCTTTTGCTTCATGCAAAAACTTGGAGTGAAGCGTTAATGATAACTGGGAAATGCTGTTTTTCTTTCTCTTTATCTAACTGTGTTGCACTTATCCATCATGTTTCATTGTACTAATCTATCCTTTGAGTTAATATCATTTGACCTTCCATGCTGGGCTTCATTTTGGAATTCTCACCACATATATAAATAATCCCGCATTATTAGTGTGCTCTTCTACATTGAAATACACAAGGTGGTCAGAACAATGCTGGATTAATTGAATTTTTTTTAAAAAAGTAACTAAATATTGACTCCTACCTCAAAACACACACAGTCATTTCCAAATAGATTCAAGTCCTGAAGATTCAAGTCCTGATACAATATTCTCATAAGGATTTCTTAACCAGGACAAAAATTAACAATTAAAAAAAATTAGTTGGTTTATATTCATGAGGACTTCTGTGTTTCAAAAAACATGATACAAGAATTGAAATGCAAACAATTAGTGGAGAAAGATATTCACCCGAACATATATAAAATAAAATACAATACATGTGCATGATGAATACTTAAAATGTATTCTAAGTATTTTTCCAGATTCTTCCAGAGTGGCCTAGAATAAACTCGGATGGCAGAGTCAATGATGAGATTAGCTGTGGAAATGGGAAACCGTTTTTTGGAGGACAGTAGTAATGCTGTGAACTTATGAAAACAACCAAGTATTCAGTAGCAACTAAAATGTGTCTCCATAACGTTATTTTACAGGTGCGTATCTGAAATCTGAAATTTGGGAGAACATTCTACTAGTGTTCTCTAGTGAGAAAATACAGCTGGAAGGAAGAAGGGAGGGAAGATGAAGGAGAGAGAAACAGAATGCATTTGAGAGAAAATGCTATGTAGACTAAAATAGAATACTGCAGATACCACGACAAAGTGGTTAAATTGTGTCTTATGGAGCAGAAGTGGCAGAAAATACCACAGTGAAGAGATTTACTATTGGATTGTTAGTTCTGGCTATTATCCTGTCAATGTTGTGGCTTCTAAACACCTCAGTGCTCTCCTTTGATCCATGTGCTAATTAACAACCAGCACTCTGCCCCCTCTCCCAGATTCTTTCATCATTTTAAACCTAATCTAATTCTAATCCAGCTGGTCACTGTAACAAATGTAATCATCTAAGAATTTAAAAAATATTTTTGATGAACTAGTGAATATACCTCATTCTCAACAAAAATACTGTTTGAGAGGAAAAGTCGATGGTATTTGCAACCATTTAAGTGCATCCACACATGGAGACATATACATATATATGTATATATTTATGTATCTGAGTTAATTGCATTAATTAGAGTGGCTACCTGGTTTAGGATTACACTGGGCTTTGCTGATGAAAGAATTTGGAATCTTGTTTGGTTACCCTGTAATACCTATATGAATAAATTAACCCTGTAATTTTACTACTGCCGAAGCTCCCTTAGATGTAATCAAGGATGATTGTATAGGGATGTATATTGTTGCACTCTTTCCAATCATGAAAGAGAGAAAAATAAATATACAGTAACGTGGAAATTGTTTAGAAAATTAGAATGCATTTTACTAAACCCTGTAAGAACCAACACCACCTATATGTGTTAATATATTGATACTAACAGATTTTCTTTTATCTCTTACGTGACTATAATTCCTACTTTTCCACTAGTATTTTTATTATGGACAGACACAGTATTTTATTATGGATGGATATCGAAACAAAAATAATTCCCTCTACAGAGGGTATAAAAATTATATATAATCATATATATTATATGTATTTTGTATTATAGGTAAATATTTATATATTTATACTATATATAAAATACATTATATACAAATATTTATATATTTATATTATATATAAAATACATAATATACAAATATTTATATATTTATATTTTATATAAATATATAATATACAAATATTTATATATTTATATTTTATATAAATATATAATATACAAATATTTGTATATTTATATTTTATATAAATATATAAATATACAAATATACAAATATAAAATATATAATATACAAATATTTATATATTTATATTTCACATAAAATATATAATATACAAATATTTATATTTCATATAAAATATAAATATACAAATATTTATATTTCATAAAAAATATAAATATACAAATATTTATATTTCATATAAAATATAAATATACAAATATTTATATATTTATATTTTATATAATATGTATTATATATATAAAAAATTATATATATAATATAGGGACTCGATTAGTTTCTGCTAGTGTGAAGACAAGTCATATCATGTCTAGGGGCCATGATGATAGGAGCAGTCAGAGGATTTCTTGCATTGTGATGAGTGAATATAAGTTAAACGAGCCACTTATCTGTAGAATTGATAGCAGGACAATGGCTAGGGTTACTTCATATGAAGTTGTTTGGGCTACAGTTTGTAATGTGCCAATTAGTACATAATTTGAATTTAATTGCTCTTCCTGATCATAGAATAGAGTAGACGGCTAGGCTTGATAAGGTTAGTAAAAATAGGAGGCCTATTTTAAAATTAATTAGAGGGTCTGGTATAGGGATGGGGGTTCACAATAGAAGAGCGAAAGAAAGGGCCAGGGTTGGAGCGATAATATAAAGGTTAATAGTAGATGTTGAGGGCCATAGGGGTTCTTTGCTGAAAAGTGTTATTGTGTCAGCGAATGATTGAAGCAGTCCCTAAAGGCTTACAATGTTAGGCCCTTTGCGTAGTTGTATGTAGCCTGAGTTTTTGTTAAATGAGTGATTTAAAATCAATACTGATAATAATGATAATTATTATTAAATAGTTATATTAATGATAACAATAAAATTATTAATATTAATTATTAATAATGACTGATATTAACAATTGATACTGATCTTATTAATTAGAAAACAATAATATTAGGTACCAATAATTAATATTAATGTTAATAATATGAAAACTTTTTGTTAGCAATTATTTCTCAATATTGATACTGGTAATTAATGTTAATGTTAATAATAAATAAGTAATAATTAATAATAATATTACTCCTAATACCGCAGTGCGTGTACACCCACCTATGATATTGTTCCTAATGTCCAGGGAGGGAGAGAGCATGGTATTACTTTCAATATTGCAGTAGGTGTACACCCACCCGGTGATATTGATCCGAATATCCAGGGGGTGGAGTATGACGTTACTCCCAATATAGCAGTGGGTGTACATCCACCCAGTGATATTGCTCCTAATATTCACGGAAGAAGAGAATGATATTACTCCCAGTATCGCAGGGAGTGTACACCCGTTCTGTGATATTGTTCCTAATATCCGGAGGGGGAGAGGGAGATATTACTCCCAATGTTGCAGGCTATGCACACCCACCCTGTGATATTGTTGCTAATAATATCCAGGAAGTGAGAGGATGATATGATTCCCCATACAGCAGCAGCTGAACACCCACTCTGGGATATTATTCCTAATATCCATGGAGGGTAGAGGCTGATATTACTCCCAATATCGCAGGGGGTGTACATCCATTCTGTGATACTGTTTTTTATATTCAAAGGCGGAGAAGTTGATATTACTCCCAATATCACAGAAAGTGCACAAACCCGTGTGATATTCTTCCTATTTCCAGAAGAAGAGAAGATGATATTACTCCCCATATCGCAGGAGGTGTACACCCACTCTGTGATATTTTTCCTAATATGCAGGGCGTGAGAGGATAATATTATTGTTAATAGCGCAGGATGTGTACAGCCCCCCTGTGATATTGTCCTTAATATTCCAAGGCGAAGAGGATATTACTGCCAATATTGCAGAAAGTGTACACCACCCTAGTGATATTGTTCCCATGATCCAGGAGAGAAGAGGATGATATTACTTTCAGTATCACATGGGGTGGGCACGCCCCCAGTGATACTGTTTTGAATTTCAACGTGGGAGAGGATGGCATTACTCCCAATATCACAGGGGGTATAAACACTTCTTTGATATTGTTCCTAATATTCAGGGGTGGAGAGGATGTTATCACTCCCTATAGTGCAGAGGGTGTACACCAATCTGTGATATTGTTCATAATTTCTAGAGGGGGCATGATATTACTCACAATATCGTAAACACGCTGTGTGTCCACCGTGGGTCATGATATCCAGGTATGGAGAGGAGGGTGATATTACTCCCCATATCGCAGGGTGTGTCCACCCCGCCTGTCACACTGTTTCTTATATGCAAGGGGGAGAGGATGATATTACTACCAATGTCAAAGACGTGTACAGCCCCCCTTGTGATATTGTTCCTAATATCCACGTTGGGAGAGGATGATATTACTCCCAATATCACAGAGGGTGTACACCCCGCCTGTCATATTATTCCTACTATCCAGAATAAGAGAGAATGATATTACTCGCAATAGTGCCGGGGTGTACACCCCCCTTGTGATATTGTTCCTAATATCCAGGGAGGGAGAGCATGATATTAATAACTCCCAATATCGCTATGGGTGTACACCCACCCTGTGATATTGCTTCTAATATCCAGGGGGTAGAGTATGACATTACTCCCAATGTAACAGTGGGTGTACATCCACCCAGGGATATTGCTCCTAATATTCATGGAAGGAGAAAATGATATTACTCCCAATATCACAGGGAGTGTACGCCCCTTCTGTGATATTGTTCTTAATACCCGGAGGGCGAGAGGATGATATTACAGCAATATCGCAGGCTGTGTACACCCACCCTGTGATATTGTCCCTAATATCCAGGAAAAGAGAGGATACGACTCCCCATATAGCAGGAGGTGTAAACCCACCCTGAGATATTGTTCCTAATATCCATGGAGGGAAAGAGCCCGATATTACTCCCAAAATCTCAGGGGCTGTACATCCCCCCTGTGATATTTCTCTTAACATTCAAAGGCGGAGAGGATGATATTACTCTCAATCTCGAAGAAAGTGTACACTCCCGAGTGATATTGTTCCTAATATCCAGAAGGGGAGAAGATGATATTACTACTCATATCGCAGAAGGTGTACACCCACTCTGTGTTATTTTTCCTAATATGCAGTTTGGGGAGAGGATAACATTGCCAATATCGCAGAGAGTGTACACCCGCCCTGTGACATTGCCCTTAATATTCAAAGGCGGAGAGGATGACATTACTCCCAATATTGCAGAAAGCGTACGCTTCCCATTGATATTGGTCCCACGATCCAGGAGAAAAGAGGATGATATTACTTTCAATATCACAGGGTGTGTACACGCCCCCAGTGATATTGTTCCTAATTTCAACGTGGGAGAGGATGATACTACACCCAATGCCGCTGGGGGTAGAAACACTCCCAAGAAAAACATTGGGAGTAATGTCATACTCTACCCCCTGGATATTAGGAGCAATATCACAGGGTTGGTGTACACCCATAGCGATATTGGGAGTTATTAATATCATGATCTCCCTCCCTGGATATTAGGAACAATATCACAAGGGGGGTGTAGGCCCCGGCACTATTGCGAGTAATATCATTCTCTCTTATTCTGGATAGTAGGAATAATATGACAGGCGGGGTGTACACCCTCTGTGATATTGGGAGTAATATCATCCTCTCCTGATATTGTTGTTAATATCCAGGGTCAAGGGGATGCCATTACTGCAAATAGTGCAGAGGATGTACACCCTTCTATGACAGTTGGTAATCTCCAGAGGCGGAGAAGATATTACTCACAATAACGTAAACACGCTGTGTGTCCACCGTGGATCGTAATATCCTGGGGGTAGAGGAGGGGTGATATTACTCCACTACTAGGATTTTACCTCTACTGCCACCCTTCGTTAACACCCTGGGACATTATTTTCCATATTCTAGGAGGATGGCACTACCAATATCACAGGGGGTGTATACCCTGCTATATTATTCGTAATATTGTAGGGGAATGTTCATCCTGATGTCACAGGACTGTACGCACTGTGATATTATTCACAATACCCTAGTGGGACATTAATAATAATATCACAGTGTGTGTACTCTTTGTGGTATTATTCGTAATATCCTAAGGGGAGGTTACCTTTATTGTCACACGGGGTGTGTTCCCTTTGATATTATTTGTAATGTCCTAGAGGGATGTTACTCCTTGTGTCACAGGGTTTGTCCACCTTATCAAATTACTCGTATTATCCTTATAAGATGTTACTCCCTATATCACAGGGGGTGTACACTCTGTGATATTATCGTAATATTCTAGGGAAATGTTACTTTTAATGTTGCAGAGGGTGTACACCTTGTGAAATTATTCGTTATAGTTTTGTGGGATGTTACTCCTAATGTCACACGGGGTGTACACACAGTGTAATATTCTATGGAAATGTTACTCGTAAATCACAGGTCCTGTACACCCTTTAATATTCTTCGTAATATTCTAGGAAAACGTTACTCTGAATGTCACAGGGCATATACACCCTGTCATAAAATTCGTAATATCCTAGCGGGAGTTCACTACTAATTTCACAATGCATGTACGCCCTTTGATATTATTCGTAGTATCCGAAAGAGATATTACTACTGATGTCCCAATGCATGTACATTCTCTGATATTATTCGTTATATCCTCGGGGGATGTTACTTCTAATGTCACACGGGGGTGTACTCCCTGTGTTATTTTTCATAATATCCTAGGGGAATTTTACTTTTAATGACACACGGGGTGTATACATTGTGATACTATTCATAGTATTCTAGAAAGATATTACTCCTCAGGTCACAGGGGATGTACACCCTGTGATATTATTTGTACTATCCTAGGGGATGTTACTCCAAATGTCACAGAAGGTGTAAACGCTGTGATATTACTGGAAATGTGTCAGGGAAATGTACTTATAATGTCAAAGGGCATGCACATCATGTGTGCACAGCCCCTGTGATGTTCTTTGTGATATTCTCGAGGGATGTTAATCCTAATATTACATATGTTGTTAACTATGTGTGAACACCTTTGTGGTATTATTCCTAACATACTAGAAGGATGTAACTCCTAACATCACATGGGGTATACGCCATGTGTGTACACATTCTGTGATATTATTCATAATATCTTAGTGAGATGCTCGTAATTTTACAATTATTCACGTAATATTTTAGTGAGATGATACTCCTAAAGTCACAGGAGGTGTAAACCCTGCGATATTATTCAGAATATTCCAGGGGGATGTTACTCCTAATGTCACAGGTGTGTATACCCTGTGATATTATTCACACTTTACTCATGCGATATTACTACTAATGTCACAATGTGTGTACAGCTTCTGATATTATTTGTAATATCCTGGGAGGATGTTACTCCTAACGTCACAACGGTGTACACCCTGTGTTATTATTAGTAATATTCCTGGGGGATTTTAATTTCAAAATCACATGGGGCGTCAACCCTATGATCTCATTCATAATATCCAAGGAAGATGTTACTCCTAATGTCACACGTGGTGTACAAACAGTGATTTCATTTGTAAGGTTTTTTGGATATGTTACTCCTAATATCACAGGGGCCATACACCCTGTCATATTATTCGTAATATCCTAAAGAAATGTTACTACTAATGTCACAGGCAGTGTATACCGTATGGTATTATTCCCAATATTGTAGGGTGATGTTACTCCTAATGTCACAGAAGGTGTTCACACTCTGATAATATTCGTAATATCCTAAAGGGATGTTACTACTGATGTCACAATGCATGTACACAATCTGATATTATTTCTTATATCTTCGGGCGGTGTTACTTCTTATGTCACAGGGGGTGTACTCCCTGTGATATTATTCATAATATCCTAGGTGGATGTTACTTCTAATGTCACAGGGGGTGTATCTTTTGCGATATTATTCGTAATATTTTAGAAAGATGTTACTCCTAATGTCACAGACGGTGTACACCCTGTGAAGTTATTCCTAATAGTTTTGGGTGCTGTTACTCCTAATGTCACCCGTGGTGTACACGCAGTGATATTATTCGTAATATTTTATGGAAATGTTACTCCTAATATCACAGGGGCTGTACATCTTGTAATATTATTCATAATATCCTAAAGAAATGATACCTCTAATGTCACAGGGAATGTACACCATGTGATATTGTTCCCAATATTGTAGGGGGATGTTACTCCTAATATCACAGGGGGTGTTCACAGTGTGATAATTTTCATAATATCCTAAATGGATGTTACTGCTAATGTCACAACACATGTACATCCTCTGCATTTGTTCGTTATATCCTTGGGGGAGGTTACTCCTACTGTCACACGGGGTATACTTCCTGTGATATTATTCATAATATCCTAGGTGGATGTTACTCCTAATGTCACAGGGGCTGTATATTTTGTGATATTATTTGCATTATCCAAGAAAGATGTTGCTCCTCAGGTCACAGGGGATGTACACCCTATGATATTATTCGTACTATCCAGGGGACATTACTCGAAATGTCACAGAAGGTGTACACTCTCTGATATTACTCGTAATGTGTCAGGGAAATGTACTCCTAATGTCACAGGGCATGCACGTTATGTGTGCACACCCCCTGTGATGTTATTTGTAATATTTTCGAGGCATGTTAATCCTGATATTACATATGCCGTTATCCATGTGTGAACAACTTTGTGGTATTATTCCTAACATACTAGAAGGATGTAACTCCTAACATCATATGGGGTATAAGCCATGTGTGTACACATTCTGTGATACTATTAATGATATCTTAGGGAGATGCTACTCCTAATTTTACAAGGTATGTACATTATGTGTGTACACCCCCTCTGATATTATTTGTAATATTCTAGGGGAATGTTGCTGCTAATGTCACGGGGGAAGACACCATGTGTCTTACATATATATTACATTTTTACACTACTTTCCAGGAGTCAATCAATTTTGTCAATCAATTCACTATTCTTGTTGCCCAAAAGGGTAGAGATAATCACAGATCACAGATCTGTCTAGCATTAGCTAAGGACGTTTTATTACAGAGACAGATGCATGTGTGTGCCTGCGCCTGTGTGTGTGTGTGTGTGTGTGTGTGTGTGTGTGTGTAATTCAATCATAAATCGAAGGTTTAAATGTTGTGTGGGTGGAAGATAATTCATTCTGACTCCTGGCTTCAGAGTCCCATGTTTATTGGGAGAAAAGAGAGTCAAGCTGGGAAGAATAGTAGCCCTGTGCCCTCCAGAACTGCAGCATGCTTGGGAATTGTGAGGCTTCCTGCTTTCCAGGAGATTGTGGAACTAGGAGGATGTCACCAGTGACTAGCACAGTACCACCTTCCTTACATCTGCCTGTCATCCCTCCTCAGGGCATCCAAATGTGGCCCTCTCCTTAACTCCTTCTTCTGCTTCTCTTCTCACAACCCCGGGATCTGAGCACTCTCTTTATCTGTGCACAGTATCTACTTAGGGAAGCCCCAGCACCTGCTGCAGTCAGGGCTGCAACCCTGAGCTGGGTCTAGTAGAAATTTTGTGAACTAAAGATAGAACAAGAAATGTAAATTAGTGCACCCACTGTGGAAAACAGTCTGGAGATTTCTCAAAGAACTTAACACGGAGCTACCTTTTGATCCAATTATCTCATTACTGAGTACATACTCAAAAGAAAATACATCGTTCTAACAAAAAGACACATACTCTCCTATGTTCATGGCTGCACTATTCAAAATAGCAGACATAATCAACCCAGGAGTCCATCAATGGTAGACTGTATAAATAAAATATGGTACATATACACCATGGAATACTATACGGCCATAAAAAGAATGAAATCATGTCCTTTACAACAATGTGGGTGGAGCTGGAGGCCTTAATCCTAAGCAAATTCATGCAGGATAGAAAGCCAAATGCTGTATGTTCTCACTTACATGGGGAGCTAAATATTGAACACACATAGACATCAATATGGGAAAAATAGACTCTGTGGACTACTTGAGGGTGGCGGGAGAGGGATGGCTTGAAAAAATACCGACTGGGGGCGGTCTCTACAGCCTGCCTTGCCTGTCTGTCTCTGGGATCGCTCCTCCTCCTGCTCCTCTCCTGCTCCTGTTGGGCCTTGTGACCACCTGGTTACCTGTAGGTAGGCCTCCATTTAGAGTAGCATTGCCACAGGGATGGATCCTGTCACTCCGCACCCCACCCCCAACCCAGTTACCCACACCTGAGCCCTGGTTCCCAGTTGAGGTCACACAGTGCAAGGAGACCTGGGACCTCGCGGCCGCTCGCCCAACCCAGAGCCTCTGCCCTGGCGTGCGAGGCACCACACCCTCCTCTGTCCTGTGCCGGGCCTGAAGGGGCCCCTTCAGATCACAGCTGCCACCACAGCCGCTGCCTCACGCCGGAGGGCATGACACAGGGGTGGCTTTCCCAGCTGGCTGCCACACAGGAGCTCTAGATGCTTAGCCCGCGCCGTGGAGAGACCTAAAATTAAGGCATGACTTAACAGCTTATTTTGTAAGAGAAAAGCTCAACCCAAAGGCAGATTGTTAGTTTGGACTTTATTGCAAGCAGAACTGCTATGATGTGCTTTTAGCACTGAAGTGAGTTCCACCCTAAGAACAGAAAGTGGCTTCTCTGCTTTCCGTCCCAAGCACAAGTGTATTCACCTTGCAGACTTGAATCACTGAAGATGTAAGTCAGCTGTTACTCTCATTTTGGGAGACATCCTGTGGACAGCATGAAGACTGTCCCTGATCAAAGTCTTTAGTAAGCAGGAAGGAGTCAAGGTTAAAGAATGTGTTTGCTTACTCTGGACTACAGTATTTTGGAAAACGAACCAAGGCTTGGGTTTTGCTCTGGAAGCCTGTCCTGCCTGCTTCTGTAATCTGGCGCTCTCACCATCCAGATCTTGGCCCGTTATGGACACCACCGTCTGTTACTCTTACGATTCTCTGCTCTTTTGGGAGTTCAGACATGGCACCTTATTTCACTTTTGAGCTACCCTCTGCCGTCCAGAAACTTAGTGGACCTGTAGAACTATATTGTTCTGCTAAACCTGTGACCACTCACATCTCAAGGTCGCATAATGGAAAAAATAGAATAGAAACATGGAATATATTAAGATTCATCAGGGGACTTTGACAATTTTTTTCTCTTAACTCCTCCCTTTTGGGTTACTACCAGTGCATTCTCAACAATAGGTCGGTGTTGTTGTAAGTGGCCCTGTAACAGTATCCACAGCAGTTCTTGGTGATTTTGATTCATCCACAAAGCATTTTATTACAGCAAAATAATAAAGGTGCTGGTTTCATTGGCTGCAGGGTACCAGAGAGTAACCCCAAAGCTGAGGTGTGCGCTAAAATCCAGGGGAAGTGGCTGAAGCATTCCACAAAGAATTACTTAATCCCTCCACAAGAACATCTTTAGATTTTGAACGTATCCTCAGAGGACAAGGGATCACACAAATGTGCAGCTTATAATCCGGCCACACATGAATTAAGAGTTGAACCCATTGGCCAAAAGCTCCTTGTGAGTCACCTTTCTTCAGAGGATTTTGGCATTCTTCCCCTGCTCGTTCACAGGTATTAGCTGTTCATTCACATAGCCCTGTAACTTTGGAGTGTGTGTTTAGTGGGGTCCTGGCTCCTCAAGTGTGTTGGCTGAAGAACAGGCAGGATATTGCCCTGGGAAGCAACTGGAGAAGGTTGTGTTCTCATCTTGCCATAGATAGCATTGACCCAGTGGACTCTGGAAACAATTCCAGCATGGTGGGAAACAACTCTGGAGATGTAAAATATGTGGCATACATGGTTAATGTACTTGAACACGCTCCTACTCTAAGGGACTACAGGATCAGATAGTGTCTCTATTTTCCACAGTACACTTTATCTCTGATGTTTGTAGGAACCCAGCTGCCAACCATAACTGGTTTCATAATTCACAGCCTAATCATCCTTCCTCAAGACATCGAACTGCAGGAAATTGACTGAAATTCAGTGGGGTTATTATGCAAGATACTAGGCTACATCAGTGTTTAGCAGATAATGAGGCTGGATTTATGCAGTCTACTGGAAGACTTGAAATAGAAAAAGGCAATGGATTCAAGCGAGTTATATTTATGGCACCAGCAAGCATAAAAGTGGTAGATGGAGACTTTGTTTACTCTGTCCTACAATGCTACCAGGCTGCTGGGTCCGGTCATTTGTTGGTATGACATCCACGGATTGATAACCAGCCATCTGTCTTAAGTCCTTAGATCTAAATCCCAAAAGTCACACTTATCAAGACCTGGAATCTTGGACCTAGACCCTGCCTATTTCATCATGTCCCAAGCTGGCTTGAGCTCTCTCCATACTCAGGCTGTGATGCAGGAGCATGTGGAGAAATACATCTGCGAAGCTACAAATGAACATGGTACCATGCAGGCAGAACCACCTCTCACGGTTGTTCCTTTTGAAACAAACAAAAGCAGAAACAGTCGCACTTTTTGATGTTACTCAGAATAATGAAAAAAATAGGAGATGGTTCAGAAAGTGGATTATTCAGCTCATTTCCAGAGAAAGTACACCTCAGTGCAGTGGAATCACCATCAGAGAAAAATGCTGGTGGCATCTCTGTTCCTGAGGTCCCCATCAAATTGAAACCCTACAGACCCCCATAGCAGATACATACAACCTTGTGTGGAGGGCAGGCAAGGAAAGTGGACTGCCCATCAATGCCTATTTTGTGAAGTATCAAAATCTGGAGTATGAAGTTGGTGTGGTGGGAAGTTGGCACAGGGTTTGAATCCCAGGAGGTGAAAGTGAGCTTCATTTAGCTGAAATAGAGCCATCTAGTCTTTATGAACTCTTGATGGTAGCAAGAAGTGCTGCAGGTGAAAACCCACCTGCCATGCTTACCTTCTGAACCAGCAAAGAAAAAACAGCATCATCAAAAAACACCCAGGCATCCTCTCAACCCACAAGCACCCCCGAGTATCCTGTTGTTTCAGAAGCTTCAAACAACAATTTTGGAGTGGTGCTTACAGATTCATCTAGGCACAGTGGTGCTCCAGAGGCACCAGATCACCTGATTATCTCCACTGCATCAGAGAGGTTGGTCTATGTCACTTGAATTCCTTGGGCAGATGGGAATTCTTCAATCCCTGCCTTCGAGGTCAAATATAAATGGATGAGGACCAGTGACTGGCTGGTGGCAGCTGAAGATATCCTTCCTTCCAAAATTTCTGTGGAAGTTTGTAGTATAGAACCAGGTTCAACATACAAATTTAGGGTCATTGCTATCAACCATTATGAAGAGAGTTTTCAGAGTTCAGCGTCTCATCCTTACCTGGTGACTGGGTTCCCCAAACTTTTTTCCAACTGTCCAATAATGGACCTCACATTGTGTACACGGAGGCTGTCAGCATTACTCAGATTGTGCTAAAGTGGACATACATTCCGTGAAATAATAACGCTTCCATTCTTTTATATCTATTACCGACCCACAGATAATGACAATGACAATGTTTATAAGAGGGATGTTACAGAAGGTTCAAAGGAGTGGCACATGATTGGCCATCTGCTGTCAGAAACTTCCTATGGCATTAAAATGCAGTGCTTCAGTGAAGGAGAAGAAATGAGTTTAGCAGTATGATGATCTGCGAGACTAAAGTAAAATGCGTTCCTGGAGCTTCTGAGTATCCGAAAGACTTGAGTACCCGTCTGAATTCCTCAGGAAGTGAAGGAAATGTGAGGCCAGCAACCAGCCCTGACAGAAGCAGTGACCTGTTCTATCTGATCCTTGGCTGTATGCTGGGTGTCTTGGGCCTCATTCTTATGGTTTTCATTGAAATGTGCCTGCGGAGGAATCGCCAGCAGAATATCATACAGAAATATGACCCTCCAGGATACCTCTATCAAGGATCAGATATTAATGGGCAGATGATGTAATACACCACTCTCTCAGGAGCAAATGAGATAAATGGAAGTGTTCATGGAGGTTTACTGAGCCATGTCGGTCTCAGCAGTGGCTGTTCCCACCTTCACCATAAGGTTCTCAATGGAGTCAGTGTAATTGTGAATGGGAGCTTAAATGAAGGACTTTACTCTGGGCACACCAACTCTCTTACAGCAATGGGAATGGAGCTGGAGGTTGTAATCCTAAGCAAATTAATGCAGGATCAGAAAATTAAATGCTGTTATGTTCTCACTTATAATTGGGAGCTAAGCATTGAACACACAGAGACATCAGTATGGGCAAAATAGACTCTGTGGTCTACTTGTGAGTGGAGGGAGAGGGATGGGTTTAAAAAACTACTTATGGGAGGCGGCCTCTACAGCTGGCCTCGCTTGTCTCTCACAGGATCCCTCCTCTTGCTCCTGGCATGCTCCGGGCAGCCCTGAACCCGCCCAGTTACATGTCCACTCCCCTCCGCCTGGAGGAGCGCTGCCGCGGGGGCGCGCCCCAGGTCCCCTATCCAGAGCCCTGATGCCCGGATCCAGAGTCAAGGTGCCAGAAGAACCAGGACCCAGCGCCCGCCTGACCTACCCAGCGCCTGCGTCCTGGCCTGCAAGACACCGCGCGCCCTCCTCTGCCCTGCGTAGTGCATGGAGGGGCCCCTTCGGATCGCAGCCGCTGCCACCATAGCCGCTTCCATAGTAGCCACCGTGGCGTCGGAGGGAAGGACCTGAGGGTGGCTTTCCCAGCCGGCTGCCCCACAGGAACTCCGGATGCTTAGCCTGCTCGGCCGAGAGACCTAAAATCAAGGCATGACTTAACAGCTTATCTTGTAGGAGAACAGCTCAACCCAAAGGCAGATTGCTAGTCTGGACTTTATTACAAGCAGGGCTGCGGTGACGTTTATAGCACTGAAGTGAACTCCGTTGTAAGTACAGAAAGTGGCTTCTCTGCTTTCCCCCCGAAGCACAATCATATACACCTTGCAGACTTGAATCACTGAAGATGTAAGCCAACTGTTACTCTGAGTTTTGGAGACTCCCTATGGACAGCATGAAGACTGATCAAAGTCTTTAGTAAGCAGGAAGGAGTCAATGTTAAGGAATGCGTCTGATTACCCTGAATTGTAGTACCTTGGAAAGTGAACCAAGGCCTGGGTTTTGCTCTGGAAGCCTGCCTTGCCTGCTTCTGTAATCTGGCACTCTGCATGTGAATCTTGGACCCATATGGACACTGCTGTATGTTACTGTCATGATTCTCTGCTCTTCCATGAGTTCAGACTTGGCGCCTTATTTTACTTCTGAGCCACTCTCTACCGTCCAGAAACATGGTGGACCTGCAGAACTACATTGTTCTGCCAAACCTGTGACCACTCATAGCTCATGGTTGCATAATGTAAAAAAGTAGGATAGAAACATGGAACATATACAGATTCATCAGGGGACTTTGACAATTCTTTCTCTTAACTCCTCTCTTTTGGGTTTCTACCAATCCCTTGCCAACAATAGCGTTGGTATTATTTTGAGTGGCCCTGTAACAGTATCCGTGGCAGTTTTTGGTGATCTTGGTTCATCCACAAAGTGTGTTATTACAGAGGAGGAAAAAAGTGCTGTCAGGATAATAGAAACGATGTCAGCTGTGATCGCACAGAAAATCCAGAAGAGTTCAGCAGAGGAGACAGCTGTGTCTATTCAGAAACAGACAGCAACAATTTACATTGGAATCCTCTTATTTTGCCACCTATCTCAGAGGACGGTGCTGAAAAGACAACATGGCCTCCGCCTGGTGTTCCTTTGGACAGCCCCTCAGGGGTCCTCCAGCAGCCCCAGGAAACTGGAGGATGTGCAAACAACCAGTCATCTTCTGACTTCAAGCCTGTAACCAACTGCACAAAACAGGCCTGGGAGTGAACTGTGTGAAGGATCTTAACTCAAATCAGAGAAAATCATTCTTTATTTTTTTTGCAGTATAATGTCATGTGAATGTATCCTAAAAATGTGTGCCCTTTTGTATTATTTATGCCTTAAAAGTTTTCTTACCCATTGCTTCCTTGCGCTCAGTAAGAAACAACCTTGTTTTGCATAGCTTTCAATCACCTGGAGGGCAGAGGGATCATTCCATATTTTCTAACAACTGTAGTGGCAGTAAGAACTCCTCATGCAAACGATTCCATCTCTTGGCTGCTTCAGCTCAGAGGAAATGCAGGGGCCAATTGAAGGTTGACACCAGTCAGGTTTTCAGATGGAAAACTGTCTTTTAATAGTGTATTATCAAACTTTCTGAGAACACTTTGAAGTCAACCACGGTTTTGACCCAGTGTTTATAATAGCAGACCTGGCTGATGAATTTTAAAAGAGTGCCTTCCACTAAAGTGGTAATGTGACCAGACAACATTCTCCCTATCTGCACGCAGGCACAAATGATGTTCAGTCTTCTAGTCACTAGTCATAAGCAGTGTCGTGGACATGGTAGAGTGTAAGATGTAGTTGAATGGTTGCAGTATGCAGAAAAGGAACCAAGGCCGGAGAGACAAATAATGCTTTACTATCCCTCTGCATTAAAATTACATTGATTCATAAAATGGCCGGTACGGTATGGGGCTCTTTTTGACTGTTTCTAAGAGTAGGAACAAAATAAGACTTTAAGTCGTGGCTTGAAAAGAAAGACACACATTTTCAGAAGAAAAAAGGGGAGGGCTGCAGGGAGCCTCTCTTGGAGGGAGCTCTTCCATCTGCTCCATTAGCCTAGGAGCATGCTCATGGTGTCACACTGCCAGAAACTAGTCATTCTCTCACTTCCAACAGGGGCAACAGCCTGAAGGTGTGAGTGTCAGAAAATACTTATTCTGGAAGAAAAGGTGTTTGTTGTTCTTGTTGTTTATTTTATGAAGTTTCCTGACTTTTTTCTCCAGAATGTCTTCCTTTTAAACAGGCACCAAAAGCATTGGTCAGCAGAGCTCCTGACCACTGCTGCCTCTGTGTGACAAGGACATTGGAGCTGTCTTTGGAAGGATCTCCTCCACATTAATAAATGATTATGATATATTTTTTAAAAACTACCTATTGGGTACTATGCTGACTACTAAGGTGACAGGATCCGTATTCCAAAGACAAGGGTAATGGAAACATAACAATTCTATAGTCATTTATATTTCAATAGCATTATACTCTTTTAACCATCCTCATCTTGTATATAATCTCATTGTATATTAGAATACAGCTATTAGAGCAATAACGAAGAATGGATAAATACAGTCAGCTTTTTGTTTTTGTTTTGTTTAGTTTTGTTTTTGAGACAGGCTCTCACTCTGTCGCCCAGGTTGGAGTGCAGTGGTAAGATCACGCCTCACTGCAGGGTCGACCTCCCCAGATCAAACAGTCCTCCAACCTCAGCCTCCCAAATAGCTGGATAGAGGCTGAACTGCCATGCCTGAGTAATTTTGTTGTTGCTGTTGTTGGAGAGAGAGGGTCTCACCCTATTGCCCAGGCTTCTCTCCAACTCCTGGCTCAAGTGATCGTCCCACCTCAGCCTCTAAAAGTGCTAGGACTATATATATATATATATATGAAAAATAGTGCTTGGAAAATTAGCTTACTGATTGAAAAATATACATATGAATGACTGCTTTGAAATATATATGTATATTATATATATGCACACACATATATACGTATATATATATGCAACCTTCATCTGAGGGTAGGTATGCTTTTGGCTTCTGAGATGAACATATTCATGATGATAAATGTTTACCATGAATTCAGCTAAACATGAAACTCAGCAATCTTTGTATCTATTTATCTCTATTTCTACCCAAATCTGTATTTCGAAAGTTGTGGCTAAGCCTTCTTAGTTAGTTAGATTTTTATCCTTTACCATTCAATGTGTGTGTGGCGTGGAGACTGTTTTCACAGATCAAGAAGTTGACAATTATGTCCCACATTCAGTGGACTAACAGCTCAGAGATCCTCTCTCTGGTTACTGCTATGACAGTGCATGGTCAATCTTCCAGATCACCGGAGATGATTGTGATTTTATTTTTAAGTCTAGCTTCTAGGAATCACTCCCTGGAACAGAATAATTTATTGTTCACCCAGTGTTCACTCAGAATTTGTGCTTTAGCTCTTCAGCCAGGAGGGCTAAAGGCTCTTTATTGATGAATCAGTGGTTAGCTTGGGGAGCGCTTACAAATTTGTCCGCATTCCGCCTTGATGCTCTTGAGTGGGTGCAGTCTAGCACAGATACACAGCCTTCCAGATTTCCAGAAATTAGAGATCCTAAGACACTTTTTCTTGGCTTTCTCTTTGCCTGGTTTTCTCTGGTAAACTTCTGGCTGGCTGTCAGAAGTTTATTTCTTGCTACAAAGCATGCTAAAGATTCCAAGCTCCTCTTTAATGTTCCCAACCAAGGTCTCCATTGTTTTTGACAACGCCCTTGGGAATGTACCTCTTCATGACCGATTCAAAATCAATCATTACTGTGAGGCATTGAGCAAAGCTCTCAGTTTTTACAGCCTGTCAGTCCTCCTAGATGAATCTCTGCATCACTGCAAAGGAGTTGACTGGGGCTTCTCCAGCACTCACACACGCTCTACAAGTCTGTGCTGGGGTAGGTAGGGGGATGGTGTCTCCCGGTGTTTTGTCTTATCCCTTGAGGGATGGAAGATACAGCCAGTGGGAAACTTGGGCATAGCAACCCTAGACCTGCTGTTCCGGGGTGGAGATTCTACCCTATCAGTGGAGGTTGTATGTGCATTATCTCATCCAGTCCTCACAATTAGAAGAGAAACATATTTCTCTCAAAAACTTATAAGAACAGCCAATTAAACTGAAGTTTACATTATTGGCCATATTTATGCCAGGCATGGTGGCTCATGCCTATAATTCCCAGTACTTTGAGAGGCTGAGGTTGGAGGATCACTTTCTCTTACAAGTGTAGGACAGAATAAGATAATTCACTTAAAATTTGATTATCCACTTCCTGTATCTAGTATTCCTTCTATTAATTCAAGTCATTCTCTATGAAGGAATTTTCATATTTTTGTGAATTATTCTTAAACATTAAGAACTATTCTTATGAAGGGGCAATCATAAAGTAATTCACGTTCAAGAACACATTTTAAGACACAGATTATTCTTATAATGAAAGAGAGTGAAACACAAATAATTTAAACTTCAGTTGAATTGGCTGTATTTAGGCCTGGCATAGTGGCTTATGCCTATAGTCCCAGCACTGTTAGAGGCTGAGGTGGGAGGATGACTTGAGCTAGGAGCTTGAGAGAAGCCTGGGCAACAGGGTGAGACCCTGTCTCTCCAACAACAGCAACAACAAAATTACTCGGGCATGACAGTTCAGCCTGTAGTCCAGCTATTTGGGAGGCTGAGGTTGGAGGATTGCTTGATCTGGGGAGGTCGAGGCTGCAGTGAGCCGTGATCTCACCAGTGCACTACAACCTGGGTGACAGAGTGAGAGCCTGTCTCAAAAACAAAACAAAACAAAAGCAAAAAGCTGACCGTATTTATCCATTCTTCTTTACTGCTCTAATAGTAGTATTCTAATATACAATGAGATTATATGCAAGATGAGGATGGTTAAAACAGTATAATGCTATTAAAATATAAATGACTACAGAACTGTATGTTTGCATTACTCCTATCATTGAAATAACCCATTATGCAACCCATCTGTCATTAAACTTTTGGATCAGAGTTAATCCTTATAAATGGAGTCAGCCTTTTTTAGACTTTGTTCTCAGCAACCCTCATTAAAGGAGGCATTCCCTGATTGCTTTAAATAAATTCAAAAAACACATATCAGAAACGTTTGATATGTTTGTGGTGTGCCATATTGCCAGTAATTAAATTAAATACTAGAAAATACACCATTAAATATGATATTTGATATACAGTTGGACCTCCATATAAATGGGTTCTGCACCCATGGATTCAACTCATCATGGATTAAAACATTTCAGGAAAAAAAATTGAATGATTACATTTTCACTGAACATGTGCAGACTTTTTTTGCTTGTCGTTATTCCCTAAATAATACAGTGTAACAACTACTTACACTTAATGCATTTACATTGCATTAAGTATTTTAAGTAATCTAGAGATAATTAAAGTACATGGGAGGATGTGCTTAGACTACATGTAAATACTTCCCCATCTTATGTAAGGACATCTGAGGATTATTAGCATCTAAGGATTTTAGTATCTGCGGGGAGTCCTGGAACCAATTTCCAGTCGATACTTAAGGAAAGGCTTCATACAAAATTAACATGATCAAAATATAGGTATTTCTGATAATAAGGATATTTTACTGCACATGTATTTTAAAAACTTCAAAGACCTAAATAAATTTGGAGTTTTATTAAAATGTAATGAGGCTTCTGAGTATTCTGTATTTTCTGAAGCAAAAAGTGAGTCTTACTTTCTATTCTGGTAATGACATGTTCCCAGGTAACTGTCTGCAGGATGCCATCGGTGAAATTACTAAAGTCTTACAGGTTTTCAGTCTTTTTATCTGTATCATTTTCACTCTCTTAAGATCTGTGTCCATCGATAGTTTGTTCTTGAGCTAAAGAAAATTGACTGAACCTATCAATTTGATAAGCAGTCCAATTTATAACTTTATTAAATAATATTTCTCAGTATCCCTGTTGATTTTGGTTACATTCAGTTGCCAAAATCAATAGGAATACAGGGGTAAATTTGGTAGCCTTTTAAACAGTTGCATCATATGTTTTTATCAATTATTTTGTGCATTTATTCTTTTATTCAAACAGACAATTAATGAATATCAGTTATATTTTAAGCATTGTGTACTTTCGTGGAATATACCTGTGTGTAGTACAAACACAATCCTTTTCTTGTAATTTGAGAAGCAGAAAAGATGCCTACTATTACACCGTGAGTTTTACAAAGAAAAGTATAAGGCTTTCTGAGTCTTTAAAACAAATAGCCTAATCTAGTCCAGGAGCTAAAGAAAGAATTCCCTGAAGAAATGTTGGAACTTACACTTGATGAAATGGGACTTAGCAGATGTGGAACAGAGAAAAGAAAATTCCAGTTCAGGGGGAAGAAACCTGTGCTCTTGCATTAACCCATCAGTTTGGATAAACACACTCAGGTATTCATATACCTGGGCTGGCTTGGAAATCAAGGGAAAGAAAAGATACAGCATATAAGAGAAGACATGCGCAGTATTCTAAGAGAGAGTAGTAGTTTAATGAAAATCAAAACAAATGTATACCTCCACACTTTTAAAAATGGTACAAAGTTTCATAGAAAAAGATAAAGAATGTCAAGTAGTCAGTAGTTAGCATTCTCAGAAGTTGGTGTTTCTGATACCTTTAGTCACGTTACTGACCTCTCTCTGATTCTGTGAGTGCAAAGCAAAGCAAAACAAAGCAAAGTTGTAAGAGGGTAAGGGAAAGAACCAGAGAGGCTACAGATGAGAAAACTGTTGGCCACATTAACAAAGCTTACCATGCCACATTCATAATCTAGAAACACCCCCATCTGGCCTAGAGGCCTTTCTGTATACTGAGATAATAGTGGGGAAGAGGTCTTGAGATGACACCAGTAGCCTTCTTGACACAAAAAAGTAGAAAAAATTTCTTGGAGTTAACCAGCATGTCATTTCTCATTGTCCAAGAATCATTGCAAAATCCAACAGCCCAGTTCCAGCACTGCCCAACGTCCACCTCTCAGTAATATCTTCCAAAAGTGAATGGCAGGGCTCGCCATCAAGAAAACACTTAGATTTTGTTGGAGTTGGGGCAATGTTGAGATAATCAGAACCAAAGAGTAGCTGTCTCAGAACTTCAAACAAGGGGAATGTACCAAGTGGTTATTTTATTATCCCAGGAAATATGCACTGCAGGAACAAGAAAACAGTCACACGAAAACATAGTGTTATAAACTTCTAATGGATGTGGGCTTTACATAGTGTCTACGTATGCCAGGTTATCCCTGGAAATGTGGGTCAGGACAGCAGGCACATAAAAGAAGAAATATATCCTTAGATTTAACCATTGTGCTATTCTTCCTTATCCAGGAGTCCTTACAGACTCCCAGAGCCCAGTCCCAAGAGTTCTCCACATCCAGCTCCCAGTAGTGTTTGCCAGAGGAGAAGACCCAGTCTCCCCATGCAGCAAAATAGTCAGATCTGTCAGAACGCAAAGATTCACGTCTCAACATCAAACTTCTCGCATCCTCAAACAGCCTGATATTGTAATTGGTTACTTCCCAAGTGAAGGAAATTTCCACTGTAGAAAAAAGAGAATGATCCATTGAAAAGCAGTTTATAAATTCTTATGTTCAGATAAGAAAGAGATTCTCACTAGAAAACACAGGTCAAGATTAGAAAGAAACTTCTGTCTGGAAAAATGTTGGAATCAAAGGGTGTTAGGATATCTGCACAAGTAAATGGCTCAACTTCAATGATCACAATTTCCATAAACTCAAAAATTATAAAGGGGAGGAAGGTCATGTCTATGTCTAGTTAGTGACCTTTCATAACAACTGAAAAACTGGCACCTCTTGCACTGCAGCCAAGTCCACAGCAATAAAATTAACCTTCATTGTCTCTTCTCTGTCAGGGCAGAGCAGGAGGCTGCGGATAGGAGATGAGGTGGGGAGCCATCCTTAGACCCAAATAAAAAAGTTATCACTTTGCCAGAAATATTATAATCTGCCACTTAAACTAGTCATTTCATACTTAAAGAGAAAATCTGAATCTGCCTTCTGAAAAGTGCAGCTTCCTTGCAAGAATTATCTGACTTTCATGCCAGATTCAGGCACAGACTTCTTTTATCTGCTGGATTTATCATGATCTATCCTGGAGTTCTATCTAAGGCCTCATCAACCACCAAATCACGTTCCTATTTTTCACAGATTCTCAGTGTTTGCATTGTTATATAAGTTACTCGTGTATGCTTTAGTTGATTAAAATGCACATGATTAAAATTATAAATGCTGTGAAACTTCACCTGAAATGTATTTAAAAAAACACTGTCACTCAAATCAGTCATTAACTGCACTGAATTTGAAATTGAAATGTCCTGGATTAATTCAGTTCTGTATACTTCATGTAATAATTGTATACATGAAATTGTATCACGGTTGAAGCATACATGAATGGTTCTACATCCTAAAGAGCCCTTCTGCATGTTTTACTTTTCTAATACATTTGCTATATGGCTGATTCCACCATCTTTTATTTAGTTTTGTCTGTTTGATGATAGTGAAACTATAAATATAAATACCTATTCACAGACTATTCTCTTCTTCTAGATGAAAGATCGTTACACTGGGAAGGCTGCCCATAGAAAACCATAATTGAAGGCATTGCATGTTGATCCCACCAAGAGGGCCACACTCACCTTGGAAGTGGTTGAGCCTGTCCACCGGTCCTGTGATGCGCCCTGTAGTGAGCTCTGGATTCACAGGCTGGGGCATGTGCAGCAGCACGGACTCACTCCTGCAAGGAAGTAGGTTGAGTTGGTTAAGTTTCTGATGTCTGTGTTTAAGAAATAGATTCCAACAGAAAATGTTTCATTCAAACCCACTTCTGATATTGTAATGTACCTCCACAATCCTAGGATGGGTTTGTGGCTCTTAGGGAATCTTTCTAACTCTTCACTCCGTTTCTAACCTACTGCCACTGAAAGATAAATGCCTCTCTCCCTATCTGCCACCAAATAGTTGATCTCTAATTATGATTCTGAATCCTAAAAAGAGGCAATTGTATTCTAGCAACTTCTGCATTGAACTCTTCCAAACATAACCCCCTGAGTCACTTGGAAAAGTAAGAAAAGGTTAATGTCTGATAAAAGGCATAGGTAACATTCAACATAAAACACAAACACATGAGTACACACACAATCACACTGACACATTATGGTGTTAGTAACTTATGTTTTCACTTTGTTGGAAGCAGCTTGATGTTTTTCATAGCATGCCTTGTGCTCCAGCTTGCACTGATGGCCGATAACATACCTTGCCACCATGTCTCCCAAATCCTGTAGCGAGAGAGAGAGAAAAAATTGACTTCTTTAGAAAGTTGTTATTCTTGTTGGGTGAGGTGGCTCACACCTGTAATCCCACCACTTTGGGAGGCCAAGGTGGGTGGATCACCTGAGGTCAGGAGTTCCAGACTAGCCTGGACAACATGGCAAAGAAATTCCATGTCTTAAGAAAACATAATAAAATACATTACTGAAGGAAAGAACCCCATGTATATAGAGGGCCAACTTTTTATTTTTAAAGATGGTAAACTTTATTTTGCCAAACTATTTTTTTCAAACTTATCTTTTTAAATATTAGTATTGCATACAGAAAATGATTTTGTTAAAAATATCACAAAGTAGGAAGGACGTAAATCCAGAAAAAAGGCTTTTAAGTGAGTAAATTTATTTCTATGGAACAAACCTCAACAATTATTTTTCCTTTAGCTTTGATATGTTAGAACTTTTTTCACAGAATGATACTCATTACATGAGCTTGACTCTGAGCACCTCAGATGTGGCCAATAAAGAACTAATGAAAAATGTAAAGTAAGAAAATTATTAATGTTTTTCCAGAAAACAAAACAAAATAAAGCAAAACTGTTACATCCCACTGGGACTCTTAGCCATGTTTTTCAGAAATATTTTGTTTTCTATTATTGCCTACTTCATTGTCTTAACAATATGAAGACCAGGATGTCAAAGGGCATTAAGCATGTGGTGAGTTATATTATGGCCAGTTAACCCAAGGGAGGTCAGATGTGGCTTCAGATTCCACGTAGGCAGCTACCTTTCCTCACCGAGGCAGAGCAAGGTAATCCAGAAAGTCTTTTCAGACTCTGAGAGTGCTGTACTTACATTATGAGGAAAATCACTTGAAAAGATGAAATATTAAATAATTTCTACTAAAATCTGGATTATTATTCTGATAAATCAATTTGATTTGTTTAGTGGTTTTTTCCACATTCAGCTTGTTAATTCCACAGAAGAGGGGTCCTGCTTTTCATGTATACGTGTCTTTTCTGCAGGACTTGAGTGTGCACAAATTTTGATATCTATCAGTGTCCTGGAACCAGTCCCCAGAGCTGACTGATTAAGTTCAGTTTTGTTCTGAAATTTTTGTTTTGTGTATAGAAATACATTTTCATGAAGTTATAACTATATTCATTTTATTTCTCATTCCAGTATTATTGAGAATCATGAATAATCAACCAATGTTTCTGTAATGAGCATTTATTGATCCTTAGGGTTACCAGATAGATGTTTTTATAGGTAGGAAAAGAAAAAATGATTCCCTGTTATAATATCACTTTTTCCTTTTTTTTTTTTTGTACTGTGGAAAAATATCATAGTTGATTTCTTGCAAGCCAATAGAAAATTTCAAGATATATGTAGTAAATGATAAATGTAATATTCTCTCATACGATGTAATATAATTTTTGCATATCTTTATTTTCAGTATCTTTTTGTTTCTTATTTTAAAATAATGTTTATTTTAGAAACTGTAAAGATCAAGAAAGCCATGGCAGAAAATAAACATCTGCCTAATTCCATCAGAAAAATATAAAATCATGGTTATATTCTTGTGTGTGTAATTCTAGCCCCTTTCCTATTTTAAATGTATTTTTGTTTACATATACACAAAACCCAGTAAATCTCTCTATATGTAAGGTATATAATAAACACATACTTATTTGTTCTTTTTCATATTTTTGATATTTAGAGGTTTTTTAATTCCTAAATCTTGACTATTGCCAAACATTGACTATCCCCAGGTTGATCTTATATGTATTGAAAGGGGTTAGGTCATTGGACAGCCAGAAATGGCTCCATCTTTCTGTCCAGCGATTATCAAATTGTCTGGCTTGGGAGTAAGAGCATGTTTTAAACAGCTCGATTTGTTGGCCAATGGCAGCATATTTTTAACTTACCCATCGCCCCAGCTTATTTTGTTGTTGTTCTTAAGAGACGGGTTCTCACACTGTCTCCCAAGCTGGAGTTCAGTGTGCAGTCTTAGCTCACTGCAGCCTCAAACTCCTGGGCTTGATCAATCTTTCCACCTCAGCCTCTGAAATAGCTAGGACTACAGTTACGTGCCACAATGCCCAGCTCATATTTGTACTTTTATTTGTTGAGACAGGGTGTAACCTATGTTGCCTAGGATGGTCTCAAACTCCTGGCCTCAAGCAATTCTCCCACTTAAGCCTCCCAAATTTATGGAATTACAGTAATGAGCCACCGCTCCTGGCCTTATTTATCACTTCAGAGTTTGTCCTTCCTTTCTAGGTCTATGACATGAAATGTCTTTGCCCGTTCTGTAAAACATTCATCTGTCGTGGTCATATGAAGCATTACAAAATTGTTTTTGATATTTCTTCATGTTTTATGTTAAGTACTCCAACATGGTAGTGTGGCTTTTTTAAAAAGGACAAAAAAAAAAAAAAAACACAACAGATGGTTGACTAATCACAAACAGGACTTTAACGATCACAGTAGTGCTATCATTTATTATGATATATTAAAAAATCAGCACTTACTTGTAATGTGCCTTGAGACAAATCATTTAGCAACTTGATTTCTCAGACCTCAGTTTCCTCCTCTGGGAAATACTAATATCAATTGCGTGTAGTCTATCTTGAAGAATTAGAAAAATTGTAAGTAAATACTTTATTACCAAGCATGATTGCTGTGGTTACTTAATCGTTGTTACTGTTGTAGCATCGAACCACTTACCTCTTAGGTTATTTGTTCGAAGTCAAATATTATTAATTAATACATATTTCATAAACTAGTCTTTTCCATTTTATTTATTTATTTATTTTTTAAAGGATGGAGCCTTGCTTTGTATCCCAGCCTGGATTGCAGGGCGTGGCACGATCTCAGCTCACTGTGACCTCTGCCTGCCGGGTTCAAGCAATTCTCCTGCCTCAGCCTCCTGAGCACCTGGGACAACAGACACGTGCCACCATGCCCGGCTAATTTTTTGTATTTTTAGTAGAGACGGGGTTTCACCATGCTTTCCAGGCTAGTCTCGAACTCCTAACCTCGTGATCCGCCAACCTTGGCCTCCCAAAATGCTGGGGTTACAGGCTTGAGCCACTGCGCCTGGCCATACTAGTCTTTAGAGTTGATTGAATGTGGAAGTTTAGTTGACAAGTGGCTGGTTCAGATTGTTAAATTAGAAATATTCAATGTTAGAATTGTAGAGTGCCCTTGTGTTTCTCTTCCATATCATTTGGGCAACTAGTAAACAGTATACTGTTTTATCAACAGGTATGTCATTTATGCTCCAAGCAGCCACAGCAAGTATTCAGGGGAGTCATTTCCAGGAGTTTCTAACGCTCTGTTTGATATTGAAAGGAAAGTGGACCCATGCGAGGCTAAGGGAGAAGTGAAGAGAAAGCTTTGTTGCAACCTTCACTGTGCAGGCAGCTTCAGAGGCTTTGAAACAAGAAGCCTAAGAGGATTCCTTAGAGAACCTATATTGAATTTGTGTGGTATGTCACTCAGAAAGAGTCATGATGGGTATATTGATGTATTTTAAAATTAGTATATTAGAAATAAAGATGGATAGTATATACAGTTATGTGAGTGTTCATATATTTGTCTGTGTATATATTTTTTCTTTTATTTTCTCGTTGTGGATTAAAAATAAAAAATCAAAATTTATAATTATGCAAGGTTATTCTGAAGTGGAAGAATCAAAGTCAGTATTAAATCCAAGGGGAATGGACAAATATCGTAAAACTCTCATCTGGCATTTTCGGGGAATCAAGTCTAATGTGTTCATGTCGCTTCACACATGGGAAATCATCAGTTTGTCATAGAGCACACTGCAGAATATGCGCAACTGCTCCAAGCCAGAGGTCTCACGCCCTGCCTGGCCTTCCAAGGCTGAGAGGATCACTATCTCAGCGCACTAGTTGGGACACTGATTAAATTACACTTTTAGTATATGTAATCACTCTATAGCATAAGAAATCATTATTTTTTATTAAAATATTTTATTTATGTAAAAGACTATAATATAACACACAAGTATAGAGAAAAATAGTAATGAAATGAACATTTGTGAACCTACTAGCCATGTTAAGAAAATAACATTTCCAATATCATTGGGTTCCCCATGCACTAATGACAGTTGTGCTTTTTCACTGTCTTGAATTTTGTGTTTATCTTTATTTCCTCTGTTACTCTTTATAATTTTATCACACATGGCTATATTATTTACATGTTTTATGGTTTGGCTTTAGGTAGTTTTGAACTTTTTTAAGTAAAATCATACCATGTGTAGTTTTATGGTACTTGATTTTTTTCCACTGGTCCTTAAGTGTTCAGATAGATAGATAGGTAAGTAGATAGATAGATAGATGGATAGCATTTATTCAAATGAAAGGAAGATTCAGGGTCCGTCAAGACAGAGAAAACATATAATAATGTGAATAGGGAAAGTTAATATAAAGAATGATTAATTATAACAACATTTGAGCAAGGAAATATTGTCTAGTAGAATGTAAGGAGAAGTCTAAATAATACGTGATGAGCACATAAAAGGAATTGCCATTGTTTCCAGGGTGAAGTTGGAGTCGCCAGTGAAGAGTCCCCTCACCCCTTGGCCTCACTAAATGTTAAGAAGTTGTTGTGCTGTTGCGCTTGAAAAACTTGCTTTAAATCCACACTTTAGAGCTCCCCAGAAACTTGGCTTCTGGGCCACTTGTAAAGCTGTTTACGAAGAAATGTCACGCCAGACAGGCTCCACTGCAAATTTGGCAAAGGGCAGTGATCAGGAGAAGCTCGTGGCTGCTGAGTTCTCCTGGCCACCATGAACTTCAGGAAGTGGGTGCTATAGCAGCTGCCTGAACTACACAATCTGGGCTTTGGTGTATCCCTGTATGCCCTCCGGGCCAGACACTGGAGGTGTCATTTCCAAAGCAAATTGGAAGCGCTTTTTTGGAATTTCTCTCCAATGCTTTCTACTCACAAAGACTGACATCTTAACACGTGGCAAAGAAAAAAATATTTAAAGGGTCCAGATCTATTTATGTAAACAATCAAGAGTGAGTTTGTAGTGGAAAACCCAAAGTTGGATAAATGGTGCATAATAAAATATATTTGTTCATTTTCTGCTGTTGTACATTTGGAATGATTTTTGTATTTTGATTTTGTGAACATGTCTCCTAATGTAAATAGCCAATAGATTCTCTTTTCGGACAGTATCTTCTGATAGCTGGAATGTCTGGGTTATAAAATTTGTGATCGTCAATTCTACTGGGCACTGCCACAGTGCTTCAAAGTAATTTTATTTATTTATATTTCCACTGACAAGGTAATCATGTTATACAAAATGGTAGAAGTATGGATGATTGTGGCAAGTTAAAGAAATACAAGGAACTCACCCTTACTAGAAACCAAGGCATTTGTGGGAAGAACAATTCATACATTGAGCATCAAATACATCAAGTACGTTTTGGAAGACATCGAGAGGAGTGTAACTACTTTCTTGTAGTTTATCAAAATCCCATAATAAGGTAAAGCAGGTAGGGATATAGGCACATTTCCATTTCAGAAAGCATTCTGGTCTAGATAGAATAGAAGGATATCAACCCAGGAAGAGAACAGAACTAATATTTTGTGTGTGTGTGTGTGAGACAGGGTCTCACTCTGTCACCCAGACTAGAGTCAGTGGCACAATCCCTGCTCAATGCAAACTCTGCCTCCTGGGCTGAGGCAATCGTCCAGCCTAAGACTTAGCTGAGATTACAGGTGTGCACCCTCATGCCTGCCTAATTTTTGTATTTTTTGTGGAGATGGAGTTTCACCATGTTGCCTAGCCTGGTGTCGAACTTCTCAGCTTGACCGGTCAAGCCACCTAGGCCTCCCAAAGTGCTGGGATTACAGGCATGAGCCACCATGCCAGGCCCCAAAATCTTTTCTCATGACAACTGCTGTCACTTAGACTTTACTATCAGAAAAGATAAGACTACCCGCATCCTTTGGGTTTCAGCTTAGGTGTCATTTCTCTTAGGAAGACTTTTAGGATGACTGTCCCTTCCTTTGTATCAACTGCTAGACCATGAGCTCCTTAAGGACTTAGTCTTGGTTTTTTTTACACTTTTTTTAAACATTTTACTTTAATTTTTGGGATACATGTGCAGAACGTGCAGGTTTGTTACAATTTTGGCTCCAATCTCTACCAGTAAGGAGAGTCCATAGCAGACACTTGTTTTGTGAGTGATCAGAGTAGCGCACATAAGAGACCCTCTGAGACATTCTGTGCTTTGAAAAGAAGAGCTGCGCTGCACACTAGGATTTCCACAATGCCTTTGTTATGGGGTTTGGCTGAGCATGCTCACAGGCTTTTTGTGATGTCATTGATAGAGAGTTGGACAGTATGGTAGATGTAGGACAGTGTACATATTACTATTCAAAAAAGTGGACCAAAACCTGCACAATACTTGAAAGCTTTGTCAACGTTCAATCAATTCGGCCAGCATGCAAGAAGCATCCCCCCAAAATATTGTATGTAATTTGGTGGCTTAGGAACATACTTTGGCAACATATTTAACGTCACTGAAAGGAAGACAGTTTTCAGAGACAGACTGCCTGGTTTCAAACCCTAGTTCTCCTACTTAATTAGAGTATGCCTATGGGCAAATTATTAAAGCTTCCTGTTCTTACGTTTCTTAATCTTTAAATGAGTATAAAATATTATTTATCTTATGGGGTTGCTGTAACAATTAAGTAAGCTAGAACATGTGAAGCACTTAGAACAGTTTTTAGCATAGAATTGGTAATCAATAAATGTCTGATATTTTCACTTGAATGACAGAGTATTTTTTAGTTAGGTAAGGAAATACTACTTTTTCTCTCTTACCTATCCTGCATGATAACACAGTTGTAGTAAAATAGATAATAACTTTTTCAGCTTCCAGCACTAAAATTTGCAACTATTTTTTATTCTTTTATATGCATCTCATAAGTTGCTTATTGTTTGTTTCTGTCTAATACGGGGCAGTCTACAAAATGTAGAATTGAATTTTTACTGAGAAGTGAGAATACCAGAAAGTCTTTCTTCTCTACACTTAGTAGATAATATGCAACATTTTAAGAAGTGTTTGAATCTGTTTTCAAAGAATAACGTTTGTGGAAAAGTCTGCATATATATATATATCTATGATTACCTTTTCTTATCTTTATTGGATATATTTTTTGAAGCATAATGCTGATCAAATGACACTTCAGAAAACATACTAATTTGCAATGCCATGGACTGATTAAAAAGACAGCCACTTCATCTTTTTCTAGGATATGCTGGCTTTTATGAATTTTATAATTTTTTAAATGTCTATTAATCTGCAAATGGTGACTTTATATAGATTTTTACTTTTTCAACTTCTAGCAAGGTTTGTTAATTTTAAGTTTACAGAAATGACCTAACTCCCCAAACATTAGATAATTTATGAATACAACTATGTATAAACATTGGTGATTTATTAAATCATGGTAAACGACAACAAAATCGGTTAGTATGGCAACCATGTTAAAAATAACTTTCAGGCACCATTAAAGATAATTATGCACATAATTATTGTATAAATAGCAGCCAGGTGCCATGGCTCATGCCTGTAATCCCAGCACTTCGGGAGGCCAAGATGGGCGGATCACCTGAGGTCAGGAGTTCGAGACCAGCCTGGCCAACTTGGTGAAACATTATCTCTACTAAAAATACCAAAATCAGCCGGTCACGGTGGCAGACACCTGTAATCCCAGCTACTCGGGAGGCTGAGGCAGGAGAATCACTTGAACCTGGGAGGCAGAGGTTGCAGTGAGCCGAGATCGTGCCATTGCACTCCAGCCTGGGTGACAGAGGGAGACTGCATGTCAAAAAAAAAGTAACAATAATTATTATTATTGTGTAAATAATTATTATATAATTTTAAAAATATGAATACGTAACATTGTTATAGATAGTTATGTACATATATATGTAAAGTTTCAGTTTTAAAATTATTGAAAAGGGTGGATAAATAAAAAACAGATTTTATTTTCATATAAATCCATCATTAGGAAATAGTCATAAAATAGTAAAAATAAGTTAAACAGGCCGATACAGCTAATTATATCAACCATTATATATACAATTTTGTGAAACACAATTGAGTTCCTTGTTATACTTTTTTAAACAAGAGAGTGACACAGCACAGATATGTTGGTAATCCCAGTTAATGTTTTATCTTTGAACATATTCAGACAAATAACGGCTAGGCACTTAAGCAATTATAATTTTAAAACAGAGTGAGAAACAAAATTTTAAAGTTAGCATGTGGCCCGGTGCAGTGGCTCACGCTTGTAATCCCAGCACTTTGGGAGGCCGAGGTGGGCAGATTACCTGACATCAGGAGTTTGAGACCAGCCTGAGCAACATGGTGAAACCCCGTCTCTACTAAAAATACAAAAATTAGTTGGGGGTAGTGGCGGGCGACTGTAATCCCAGCTACTTGGGAGGCTGAGGCAGGAGAATCGCTTGAACTCCAGAGGCAGAGGTTGCAGTGAGCTGAGACCGAGCCATTGCACTCCAGCCTTGGCGACAGAGCGAGATACCGTCTCAAAAAAAAAAAAAAAAAAAAAAAAAAGCATGTGATAATATGTAGTGAAATAATTGTTACACTTAAAATATTTCTTTGAATAAACAGTGTTAAGTCAACTTTCTTGCATCTCATTCCAAACTTGTCTGTTGAGCTTTGAGCCCTCAAGTCTGGTTTTCAATACTTTATAAACCTAATCAGCCAATTTACCCCTTTCTACGCAATCTAATCAACCTCAGGAAGTGGGTGTGGTCTTTCGTGGGCCCATACACTTTAAAAGGATGCTTGTCCAGAGATTTCTCTCTCCTTCAGTGAGGACCCACTGGATTTGTGGCTGCTGGGCTTTGAAGAGCCAGGAGTGACTTCTAATCTGGATATCTACAGAGTTTCTAGACTGAGACCATTCATAGTAGCCTTGTGAGTATACAGTGTGCAGCAAAACCATCATGCTCACTTTTACTCTTAAACATGCTTTAAATTTACCTGGCAGCATGCTTGGGTCTTTTCTAAGCAAACAAATGACTGTCTTAGTGATTTTACAGAAAATCAATATAAAGTATCTTCAATTTGTAAGATATGGTTTGTGTTCCCTTGCTATTTGACTATGTGACTGTTTTCTGTATTGTTAGATTTTTCTTAAGTGTGAAAAGATATATTTCCATAGTTTCATGCAATGATAGAACCCATAAAATACCTAAAATGTTCACCAGAATGTGGGCATGTAGTAGTGGTTATAACGTAAGCCAAAGCGAACGTTAAAAATGTTGAATTACTTTGAAAATTCTTGTTGCAAAGGTCTTATTTGCTGTCTCTTCAAAATTTGCAATTTGCAGACTAGATTTGAAAGCTGTTGAAAATAGATTTAATCGGCTGGGCATGATGGCTCATGTTTGCAGCCTAGCACTTTGAGAGGCCAAGGCAGGCAGATCGCTTGAGGTCTAGAGTTAGACACCAGCCTGGCCAACATGGTGAAACCTAGTCCCTACTGAAAATCCAAAAAAATCATCCTGGCGTGGTGGTGGGCACCTGTAATACCAGCTACTCAGGAGGCTGCGGCAGGAGAATTGTTTGAACCTGGGAGGTGGAGCTTGCAGTAAGCCGAGATCGTGCCACTGCACTCCAGCCTGCGTAACAGAGTGAGACTGCATCTCAACAACAGCAACAAAAAAAAAAAAAAAAAAAGAAAGAAAAAGAAAGAAAGAAAATAGATCAATAGATCTAACCAACTGGCAAGGGCTCCCAAGAAGCTGCAACTTCCAAGTCACTAAGCGAAAGGTGAATTGGCGGCCATGCTTCCATTAACTGCATTTCTGGATTTTCTAGTGTAGAGTGGAAAACCTAATACATATCTTCACTTTTTTTTTGTTATTTTAGAAGATAATTAGTTGTTGATTAATTCTTGTTAATTATAGTTGAAATATTGGCTATTTCAGAATGTGAAAGTGTTCTCTCTAATCATCAGAATTGACAATGGGAAAAAACTTTCCTAATTAAAAATAATAGATATTATTTACATTTAATGTATTGAAAGGAAGAGTTTTGATATTAAAGTTAAAAGGACAAATTTAATGGTTGATAATTTTAGGAGTTGACAGTCCACTGTGATTACTCAATCTTAGATAAAAGCTACTTTATTTATAATTGTCTGAGCAAACTTCATAGGTGAGTTTGGAGGCAGGGAGTATAGAATAATACCATAGATACTAAGTGTCTTTCATATATTATCATCATGGAATTATTGAGAGAGATAGAATGACAGAAACAGGATGACATTCAGAATGTGCTTCTTCGTTAATTAGCTTACATAAGTGACTCAGAAATCATCCCAGCTTTTACCCTCCACCCAGGCTTTAAGCTTGTCTAGGTAACTGGGAATGACTGAGAGCACGGCTTGTTTAACAAAAATGCCATGAGGACTGTTGTCTCATTTTCTCATTTGCATCACAGTTGTTCGTTGTTCATATTCATAAGTTTCATACCCGTGGATTCAACTAATCTCAGATAAAAAATATTTACAGGGTGAAAAAAGCAGCTGTACTGAATATGTACTTTTTTTTTTTTCTTGAGACAGAGTCTCACTCCATTACCCATGCTGGAGTGCAGTGGTGCGATCTCGGCTCACTGCAACCTCCGCCTCCTGGGTTCAAGCGATTCTCCTGCCTCAGCCTCCCGAATAGCTGGGACTACAGGCACGTGCCACCACGCCCTGCTAATTTTTTGTATTTTTAGTAGAAACGGGGTTTCACGGTGTTAGCCAGGATGGTCTCGATCTCCTGACCTCGTGACCTGCCCGCCTCGGCCTCCCGAAGTGCTGGGATTACAGGCATGAGTACCGCGCCCTGCCAAACATGTACATATTTTTAATCTTCTTGCTGTTCCTAAACAGTATGGCATTACAAGTATTTATACAGCATTTACATTGTATTAGGCATTCAAAGTAATCTAGACATAAAGTATTCAGGAGGATAGGTTTAGGTTACATACAAATTCACACCATTTACTAATAAGAGACTTGAACATCTTAGGATCTTGGTTCTCAGGGAGTCCTTGACCGAATCTTCGATGGCTATTGAGGGAAAACTTTATAAATCCAGCATGTATGAATTTACTATGTCTCAGTTTGTGCTGGAGCTAACTTATTAGACATGCTGGACAGAGCTCAAGTAGACAAGGAAAATTGTCCACCGGCCTTTCTTTCCTTTTCATCGGGGTAAATAAAAATAAGAGAAAGAAATTCTCACTTTTTTTTTTTTTTAATTTCCAGAAACATGGATTCAGACGACCTGCAAGTCTTCCAGAATGAGCTCATTTGCTGCATTTGCGTGAACTACTTCATAGATCCGGTCACCATTGACTGTGGGCACAGCTTTTGCAGGCCCTGCCTCTGCCTCTGCTCAGAAGAAGGCAGAGCACCAATGCGCTGCCCTTCGTGCAGAAAAATCTCAGAGAAGCCCAACTTCAACACCAATGTGGTACTCAAAAAGCTGTCTTCCCTAGCCAGACAGACCAGACCTCAGAACATCAACAGCTCAGACAATATCTGTGTGCTCCATGAGGAGACTAAGGAGCTCTTCTGTGAGGCTGACAAGAGATTGCTCTGTGGGCCCTGCTCTGAGTCACCAGAGCACATGGCTCACAGCCACAGCCCAATAGGATGGGCTGCTGAGGAATGCAGGGTACGTGATGCCTCTAAGGCAGTTTGAATTATACAGAATCCCAAATAAGAATGATGAGGGCCTGTGATAATGATGGTGATGAGAATGCAGATGGTGGAGGTGGTGATTATTCCATGTCAATCATAACACATAAATGTGTCCTTTCAATGTTGCTGGCTAATTTGGCACTCTAATCATAGCTGTGTTGAGACTTCGCTAAAGGAGGTTTCCTTAGAAACATTGTTCAAACGTGTAGAATGGAGCTGTGGAGCTGGTGGCCAGCACCAAGAACACTTTTCAAAGTCAGGTTATCTGAAAGCCAGTTTCTCAGAATATTGATGATATTATCTGAAGGGTCCCTTAAAACTCTCTATTATGTTTCTATCACTTTTCACATCCAAATTATTAGAACCAAATGTGTTTAACTTGGAAAAATCTGACCACTTCACTCCAACTTAATTTATGTTTCTTTCAATTACAGCCTTTTTTTTTAATTGATAAGGGTATGAAATCTACTATACTGTCTTCATTATTGCTAAGCTTCTTGCTTCTTTTGCAGGAGAAACTTATAAAGGAAATGGACTATTTATGGGAAATCAATCAAGAGACAAGAAACAATCTAAATCAGGAAACTAGAACATTTCATTCGTTAAAGGTAAGAATGAAAATGTTTTCTTTGTTTTTATGCAAATAAACACAATGTTAGCTTATACTTTTTAGCTAAATTCAAACTACCCGTTGCAAGATAGTGATTTCATCCCAAGAAAATGTAGTGATTTCAATTGATGTAATAGGAGTTGCAAACAGAGAAGCCCACACAAGCTAGCCAAATGAATTCTAGTATATTGGATAAACGGCATGATGTGTATTCTAGTTCAAATTTGAAGGTTGGTATAAACCTTTTCAGACACTGCAGATGAGACAACATTTCACTAAGTTTGGGTGTGAGGAAGACGAAAGAAATAGAATAGTATATAGAGTAAAAATATGGTAAAAGTAAAAAAAAACTGCATAATATGGTGTATGGCTAAATGTTTTTTAGCATGCAGGCAAAGCAGACATGGAAAAATCCTAAAAGAGAGATTAGTAGAGGAAACAATTGACTCAGTAACAACTGTGAAGAAGCATCACAGTGACAGAAACCAGGAGTCTTTATATAGGTTTGATTTAAAGAGGGAGAGAGAATAGGAACATTGAAAAAGATGGACAGAAGAAGATAGCAAATATTCAAGACTCCTTGCAAGAGTGAGGCAGAAAGTTTATAAGTTGCTTGATTACACCCAGCATATAATTATTTGAAGTTTTCTATTGAGAGTGAGAACATGTAATCCTTTTAACCAAACATCTCTGCAGGACTATGTGTCAGTAAGGAAGAGGATAATCACTATTCAATATCAAAAGATGCCTATATTTCTCGATGAGGAGGAGCAACGGCATCTGCAGGCACTGGAAAGAGAAGCAGAAGAGCTTTTCCAACAACTACAAGACAGTCAAGTGAGAATGACCCAACATTTAGAAAGGATGAAAGACATGTACAGAGAGCTGTGGGAGACATGCCACGTGCCTGACGTGGAGCTGCTCCAGGTGAGGAGGGAGGGTCCATCCTCAGAGACAGGAAGCCTTTGCTGGACAGTGCTGCCAGGACATGCAAATATCACCTGCGTATGTCACTGCTCTAAGCTAAGTGACACATGCTGTCTGACTTCCACCATTACACTTCTCCATTCACGTATTACTGCATACTTTGGTAATCTTTGGGAAATTTTTGCCATTTTAGCAGATAACATATAACAAAGTTCTCTTCAATATAATTTGGAGTACTATCCACACAGAGAGATCATCTAAAATCGTTAGAACTCTAGGCCAGGGGAAGGTTAGTAATACTCCATTTATATGCCCCAGTTCCTCCTCTCTCTGATGTCCCACACAGCAGTGATTTGCTGAAGACATTGAGGGGTTTCCCCTTGCCTGGGCAAGGTTTGTCAAAGCTGCTCATCAATGTCCATGTACTCTGTTTCTCATATGGTTCTCTGTTTTGTTTTAATCGTTGTCATGTGTGGTCAGACCTTTCCTTGGAAGTAAGATTAGGAAATTAATGACACTGGAAACCTAGATATCTTTGCTTTACTCCACTGTCTCTTGCTGAGCTCCTTTCTTCTTAATGCCCACTGATGAAGCTTTTTATTGTTTAGTTGAGGTTCTATTATTAATGTAGTCTTGAATGATTCCTTAGCAGGAAATAAAAAGATATACATTATTAAAACAGAAAGAAACAAGAGTATGAGAAAAGATGCAGAAGGAAAAATCTCTCATAATTAACATTATCTTTCATTTTTTTGCAGGATGTGAGAAATGTATCAGCAAGGTGATTTTACACTAAAAAAATGCTATTTCTGAAAAGTTTGTTCTCTTGCGAATGAAGGGGATGTATCATTTTGAGTACTAACATCGTTGTCGGTGGCTATTTCCAATTTTGTTTCAAAAGAGGGCCTGAGGTCTTCTTCTCTTTGGTCTGGAAAGTTTTCATCTTAAAATTTGTATGAATTAAAATATACATAAAAACAATTTGCCATTCGGAAGTTTGTTCTTCCCAGTCCATCCGTCCTGACCAACCATACCCCACAGATCTTAATACAAAATTACTCTGAGGAATCATAGAGGCATCTTCTACTCTAGAGGGGTGGGAGGTTAAAAAAAAAAAAAAAGACAGAGGGAGGAGAGAGATTCCCTAAGGAAGGGCTGAGGAGGGATGTTTTGCTCCTAAAAGCATCAATGACCCGGGCCTGCTCCATCACCATACACCCAGTTCTAGGAAAGACCTCAGGGAAATGGTTGCCTCGGGCCCCTCAGCAGCAAGGTTCTCAGGCTGGAATTAGACTCCTTTGTTTTGCACAAAAGATTAAAGCCTTTTGTCTCAGTGAACATTCTCTGTTAGACACTGACTAGCATTAGTGATAACTGCAGGCTGAGGTCGCAAAGGTTTTTGTCTGAGTTTTCTGCTCTCTGAAATATTTCCAGGATTTCTGCATACCCTCAAGGGGTGTGATGGGCAGAGGGAGGCAATGACTTTTAATGACTTTAGAAGTTGTATAATGTCTGAGAATAACGTATCTGGGGAAATTGGAAGCAAAGTTTAGAAAAAGTAACATCCTTATTGCCCCTAGAGTGTGGAATAAAATGTACACCCAGTTAACCAAAACTGGCAGAATTCTGAGGAAACATCTTATATGAAAATGTGATATCTTTGTATGACTGTGTGATTAGCTCTGGGCCTGGAAATATAACTGAGGCCATTTTTTTTTGCAGGACTGATTTGGCACAGATGCAAAAGCCCCAGCCAGTGAACCCAGAGCTCACTTCATGGTGCATAACTGGAGTCCTAGACATGCTCAACAACTTCAGAGGTAAGAGCCAGCTGCTTGGCATTCCAGCCTCAAATTATTTCCTTATTGGGTCCCTTGGTTGAGGATTTTCCCATTTAAGTTTTATTAGTTTTGACATGTAGGTAATACATAGTTTTCCGAAACATGTGCATCTTCCCTACCTGCATAGTAATATTACAATGATCAAAACTCAATTTCCTGACTTACAGTTTGACGAAAATGTAAAGCAAGATACATACTTTATCTGCAGAATAAGAGGACAAAATATTCAGATCATGTAGTTATGAAGACTCTAGTTCTCATGGCGGCATCAGTATTTCATGTTTATTCAATTTAATTCAATTTTGAAGGCTTAGATTTGGCATAATGGTTTTTAATTGTTTCTATTCTATGTGCATTTACATGCATTCTACAAGTAACCTTTATTATTTACAAAATCAGAACATTTTGATCAACAAAGAAAATGACTAAAATATCCATAATCAGGACAATTCTAATGCCATCAGATACATCTAGTAACAAGTGAAAGGTGAGGGATCTGTGAACACGGCTTAACCATGTTAGGCCCATTCTAGAGAGCAGGTCTGGGTAGCAGAGGGCAGGAACCCAGAGTAGATTGAATCAGGAGCTAAACAGATAATGTAAAGCCAGAATATTCTTTTCAGAAACTTATAAATTTTACATGTGTTAATTTCTACCAAATTTTTGATGTTTGAGACTATAACAGGCATAACTTACATTCCAATAAATACTCACATCACAGCAAATTGATGTCTACCTGTTGATGATCTTAAAAACAAATAATACAAGGAGAGTTTTCTATTGAAGAAAAAAAAAACATTTTGCATATGCCCTGAAACCAACTATGCAGATGTAGACATTAAATCATTATTTCCCCTGTGGTATGGTCACGTTTTTTCTCTATTACTTAAGGAATAATACATAATTGTATGTGCTGTAGAGGTGTAATAACATTTCATCTTCATGAATGCATGGGGCTGACCCCTCTTGGCTTCCTTTTTTCTGTATTTTCTTGGAAGAAGAGCAAATGAAGTGAATAATTGGGCCACAGAGCCTCTGTCCCTCATAACACTCACTAATATAATATTTTTTTCTTGTCAGTGGATAGTGCTCTGAGCACGGAAATGATTCCTTGCTATATAAGCCTTTCTGAGGATGTGAGATATGTGATATTTGGAGATGACCATCTCAGTGCTCCCACGGATCCCCAGGGAGTGGACAGCTTTGCTGTGTGGGGAGCGCAAGCATTCACCTCCGGCAAGCATTACTGGGAGGTGGATGTGACCCTCTCCTCCAACTGGATTCTGGGAGTCTGTCAAGATTCCAGGACTGCAGATGCCAATTTCGTTATTGATTCTGATGAAAGATTTTTTTTAATTTCCTCAAAGAGGAGCAATCACTATAGTCTCTCCACCAACTCTCCACCTTTAATTCAGTATGTGCAAAGGCCTCTGGGTCAAGTTGGGGTGTTTCTGGATTATGATAATGGATCTGTGAGTTTTTTTGATGTTTCTAAAGGTTCTCTTATCTATGGTTTTCCTCCTTCCTCCTTCTCTTCCCCTCTGAGGCCTTTCTTTTGCTTTGGTTGTACATGAAAAGTTGGTTTCACGATGATTTATTGTGACCTCCCACATATGAGGCAAATACTGTCCTAAGACACTATGTGCGAGAGCCTGTGAGCTCATTGTAACTTCATGGAATGTAATTACTATGTGGTTATGAATGGGATAACCACCTTGAATGTGTACTTTTGTTAATTAAATTATTTTAATTAATAAGTTATTGTGGAATCTTTACTAGAACATCAATAATGGTTTTTTCGTACTAGTTTTGTTGAGATTCATTCATTTACTGTAAAAGTCATGTTCTAATGTATTTAATTCAGATATTGTTAGTATATCACACTTGAGCAGCCATCAGAGCTCTCTACTACCTGTGAACTTTTATCACTTCCAGAAGAATCCCAATACACATTAACATTAATTCTCCTTTTACCCTCCCCCATTCCTTGACAGCACTTAATCTACTTTTTATGTTTTTGCATTCAGGTAAATAAAATCATACAATGTAAGTTCTTTTTTTAATCTGATTTCTTTTTCAGAGAGTATGTTTTCAGTTTGTACACACTGTAAACCATTTGTCTTAGTCGTATATTTCAACCAGGCTGGGGTAGAATAATGAAGTGGTGGATATCTCATCTTACAAAGAATAAAAGGAGTGCTTTTTTTCTTTTTAAGTCTGAGCAAGTTAGGTTGACCTCACAGACTTTATTATGTCTCAACAACCTAGTTATTAATCACATTTCAGCTCATACAACAGTTTTTCAGTGCTGGGTTGCTCTGCTGTTACATCTTCTCTGAATATATTATATCAGGTTATAATATTAAGAAAACTCTTATACTTATTACTACCAGATTGAAAAGTCCAAGGGGGCAATGGCAGTATTTGTCTTCTTTGCTAATATATTACAATTATTCAATGCAATTTTTAGAATAGATTACACAGTAAATAAGATGAGTAAATGGATAAGTAGAGGAGTTAACATGTATAAATACTATTCTAACATTAAGAAACTTTTCCAAAATATAAGTAACAAAATAGGACAGAACATACTAATGAATATCTATCAAAAGATAAGAAATAAATTGATTTTCAGATTCATATCAAAGATAACACTATTATGTTGGGGTTTAAAATAATTGTAGCATAATTTTTACAGGGTTGATTTCAATTGTCTTAGGTTTTTTCATATAAACTATGGAAAGAGGAAGGTTCCTATATAAGATGATGGGGAACAGGAACAGGACTTAGAATAATGGAGGCTGTCCTTATTTAAACTGACATATAATTACTTGCTAAGCATAAAGTGGTATAAACCTTCTTATGCAGTAGAAAGAACAAACTTTGGTTACATTTCAAATAAGAATCCAGATGATAGAGAATGGAAAATTCTATAATAGAATGTAATAGCTACATCTCCTAGCGCACCGGCTTATGTGCTCTAACAAAGACCACGAATTTGAAATGATTCAGAAGGTGCATTTCTCTCACATGTTTGTACCAACATAGGAGTTGGTCAAGAAGAAGACTGACATCTTCAGCAAGTGAATTTTATCTCTGTGTGCAGGAAACTCCCATTTATTGCCATGTCCCATGCAGCAGGAAAGCCGGAAGAAAAGTAGGAGGGACAAGAGTATTTGGCTTTAAGGAAAGCACCTGGTGTTCCTCACAATGCTTTTGTTCCCGTCCTATAGCTACAAAATTAGGCAGATGGGACACCAAGTTGTAATGTATCTGGGAATGCTGTTTACACTCTAAACCATATTTATTCTTATCATTTGATTCAGAAAACAAATTAAATGACTGGCACAACTGAAAATAACCCAAGAGATTTGTTCAATGAAACAAAGCTGAACCTCAACCAAATAGATAAGCTGCTGCCTAAGGTTAGCACCAGTTCTTAGTTATTCAAGAGTGAGTAAACCCTGCTTTTTACCACTGTCGGGGTGTCCAGTGTTGTCCTTTTTAGAGCCTGGCTAGCTGAGGGTTATGTGGCAAGAAACATCTTATTTGTATTTTAGTCCCTTAAATGAATGATTTGGATAGGAATGATTCTCCAAATTTTGAAAATACTTATCAGAAATATTCTCTTATTCCTTCACTCTATACCATGTAGACTATAATAAACTGTCTCTCTTCTGCCTCCACATATTTCATGCAGAACATTAGGGGTTAGCAGAGAGAAAGCTTATCCCCAGCTTCTTTTGGACTCGCTGCTTTTTTCCAAGTGATCTGAGATGATAAAATTACTCACCTTAGGGCTCCAACCCAGCACTCCTTTTTGATTTTCACCTATGTTTTGTGAGCTTTTCTGTTGATGCTAAAACTCTATGCAACAGTCAAAGCCTCATAATTTAATTACATTATTTGTTGCTAGATTTCAAGGAAAAATTATTCCTGACATTCTTCTAATTTAGCTCAGATTCACTTTGGCGGAAAGACAGAATTAGCTACTTTACGATCACTTAGTATTTGACTCTGATTTTGGAAGATGAAACAGTTTTTGTGTCTATTTACCATATTTTCTTAGCCATTTAACCAAGATAATCTTATTGTATTGATTCTCCTAGAGATACTTACTTTATTTATTCTCTTCACCTGTCAGAATTTATGTTAGAATACCACCAAGAATTACTTACAATTGAAATAAATCAAAGAGAGACCACTAAGAACATCGTCAATCATTAATACATAAATCTTGAACTTCCTGAGATTTTTATCCCTAAAGGAAGTTATTTATCAATAGCCTGGTTACAGTTTTTTTAATACAAGAATTTTCACTCTTCTATAATACAAAAAGTAAAAATTGATAAAGAGGATAACTTGGAAAAAAATTAATCTTACAAAACGGAGACACATTCTTGACTAGCACTTTATTTCTGTACTAAATTTAGGAGACATGTAAATGGTAGGTTTCCTAAGTGAAATAAGACAGACACACAGAGAAAAATACTTCATGGTCCCACTCATATTTGAAATCTATTTTTATAAGTTTAATACATTAAAAAAGGTGGTTACATTGGTGGGAAGAAAATAGGTAAATGAAGGGCAAAAGTTGTAAAGGTGCAGTAATGTAGAATAAATGAATCTGATGTACAACCTGTAGGTATAATAGATAATCTTGTATTGTTTTTGGGAAATATTCTGAGGGACTAGATTTTTGATGTTCTTATCATAAAAAAGAAGCAGAGCTAAGTGATATGATCGATTTGTTAATTTTCTTCATTATAGTAATCATTTCCTTATGCACATGTATCTCAAAACAACATATTGTGCACCTTGAAAATATAAAATAAAACAAATTAAAAAATAAAGGTAATTTTGTTCCTGCATGTAAGCTGAAAATAAGTGAAGACTGGGTCAGTAATAACATTGCTTTGCTGGATTAAGAGAATTCTAATAACATATTTTTAATTGGGAAGGTATCTGTATTAAATAAAATTGATCTAAAGCTGGTTACAGTGGCCATACTTATAATCCCAGTGCTTTGGCAAGCCAAGGCAGAAAAATACTGGAGGCCAGGAGTTTGAGATCAGCCTGGGCAATATAGTAAGACCTTATCTCTACCAAAAAATAAACAGAAAATTAGCCTTGAGTGGTGGTGTGCACCTGTTGTCCCAGCTTCTCAGGGGCTGAGTTGGGAGGATTGCTTGAGTCCAGGACTATAAAACTGCAGTGAGTTCTGATTGTGCCATTGCACTCCAGCACGGGTGACAGAGTGAGAACTTGTCTCAAAAACAGCAACTAATTATTTTTTGTAGCCATTTTACCTGAAAGCTATAATTCTTTCTTCTACAATTAATGAATCTGCATATGTCTAGGCCAGCTAGATCAGGTAGAGCTTGTCCTCTAGTGCTTATATCTATAAAACAAGTAAGACAATTATAAGGAGGCTCTAAGCAAAACAATTTTTTCTCATTCTGGACTTTGAGGTCTTAATTCTTTAGACTAATTTTCTGTCTCAATAGTGGATATCACCCTGAAACTTAATTTGTCCAAGCACCTCACATAACCTGAGATTTTACAAAACATACAGTTCATAGGATCAGTACGTTCTTATGCCTTAAAAGTCTCCAGGCATTCAAGGATACCACTATGTGGAAACTCAGGCCTTCTACTGCATTATTGAAGGAGCACATTTGAGACTCACAGCTCTGGTTCCAGGAGTCTGTTAACAGGTCTGGACAATGAGTAATGTCAGTCCAGATAATTCTGAGGAAGGCTTTCTGCCTTGTTATGAGGAGGATAATCAGTGGAGACTCTAGACAAGTTCCCAGTCATCATTCCAGCATTTAGTTGCTGTTTTTGTAATCCCAGCATTTTGGGAGGCCGAGGCAGGTGGCTCACTTGAGGTCAAGAGTTCAAGACTGGCCTGTTCAACATGGTAAAACTTTGTCTTTACTTAAAATACACAATTAGCAGGGGGCGGGGGGTGGGGAATATGCATTAGAAGGGAAGGAGAACATACTTAACATGCCATTGGAAGGTGAAATTCCTAATACTTGAGAATATTTTTGAGAACTATGTTTAATTCTCACTATAGAAAGATGTACCCTTTGAATGACATTAAAAATTCGCTAGAAGAGTGAAGAATAATAGTTAAAATGTCACATAAGTAACAAGAGTCTCAAAACATAAAGTGTTCTAAAAGGTTAAAGTACGTATTTGAGATAGAGAGAATAAATAATAGTTAATTACTTAGACTTTATTATGTGAAAAGACTTTCCTAAAATTCTTCCCTAATAATTGAAGATATAAATTACAATAATTAAAATACACAAAAAATAAAAGTATTAAAATAGTGACAAATTTTTAAAAGGGTAAACTTGAAAATTATTTAATTTTTAATCTCAAAAATCTGAAAGTGATTTTATCAATGTCCTAAAAAATTGAAATAAAAACAAACTTAATAATGTAAAAGAAGGGAGGTTTCCACCGGGCTGGGGGCGGGAGCTAGGGCTTCCCTGGGGACGCAGAAGCAAGAAGCAGGGACCTTGGCGCGCACCAGGCTTTCCGGGACAGAGCCTCGGCCTCCCGCCCACGCCTCCGGCCGCCGGCGTGGTGCTGCTGGCTGGGACCCAGCCGCAGGGTGGCGGGGCGCGCTGCATGACCCCGCCACCGCCGTCCCCACTCCTAGGCACACAGGTCGAGGAGGACCGCGCTGACTACAAAGAGTTCCAGGACTTCTCCAGTCTGCCCGACACCCGCAGCATCGCCTGGGACGACTCTTTGTACCCTTTCCAGGAGGAGGAGGAGCACGGCGTCGAGGGCGTGGAGAGCGTCCTGGAGGAGGGCGTCCTGGAGGAGGGCGTCCTGGAGGCGTGGGGCTGCTGCAGACGTTGGTGCGGCGGGGGGTGAGCGTTGAGAAGGCTCAGGAGACTGACCACAATGGCCAGAGCGGCCTTAATGTCGCCTGCTACCACGGCTTTGTGGATATACCGTGGTGGCCTTAGCTGAGTGCCCCCACATTGAAGTCAACTGGCAGGACAGGGAGGGGAACGCAACCCTAATCATAGCTGCACAGGCAGGAGCTGCCCCTGGCCCCATGGGCACAGTTGCCTTAGACGCTGGCTCTCAGCCTTGCGCTTCCTGCGTCAGCATCACCTGGGCTGGTTCATTTGAGCTTTAACACAGATCTGGTGGAAACACAGGCTGCCAAGCCCTGCCCTGGAGTCTTTCTTTGAATAGGCCTGGGGTGGGGCCCAAGAATGAGCAGAAGAACAGGTTTCCTGGTGAGGCTGATGCCGCTGGCCCAGGGATCCCACGTTGAGGAAGGAGGGCTTTGAGGTTTTCATGCCTGATGATGGCCAGGAACCCTTCTCAGTAGGCATTGAAGACCAGCAGAGTCCCAGACCCCAGGAGAGATGTCGTCAGACGGACACAGAGGCATCACGGAATTAAAGTGAAAATGAAGAAAGGAGCTGAGCATCTGTTTCATGACTTTCCTGCGCTGTTTTACTAAAGAGGCTGTTCTGGCCCAGTCAGGGCACGCTATCATCACCAACTACTTGCTGAACTATGTCCTGGGTCTTGACCTTGAAGGATGGACGCGTTCGGGTTGAAAGCCGCCATGCAGGGTCGAACCGATCGCATCCGAGCCCTGAGCTAGCAGGGGCGGGTGTCCACGCGAGGGCCCCCGCCGTGGGAGGTCGCCAAAGGAGTGGCCACTTACACGTCCGTCTCATGCAGAGGCTCCTGGAGCGCCCCTGCCAGGAGCGACTGGGGAAAAAGTACCAGCTTGAGCTGCCTCCGCTCCACGAGAGGGTGCGGAAGCCCGAGGGCTCGAAGAACTGCCTGCAGAGGGTCAGGGACTGCGAGCTGTCCACGCTGACGCCGCGCTCCGTGCGTGGCCCGGAGGACCGGGGCGCCCTGGACCACATGGTCAGGATGACCACCAGCCTCTAACAGCCCCGCCGTGGCCCTCGCGTGCCAGACCGTGTGCCCCCAGAGCTCCCTGTGCGTGGGGAAGAGGCGGCTGGCGGTGCAGGAAATCCTGGCGGCTCAGGAAATTCTGGCGGCGCGGCTGGGGGTGAGGAGGCAGGCGCAGGAGGCGGGCGAAGCGGAGAGCGCAGAGCAGCACAAGCCGCCCTGCCCAGAGGCCGCGGGCTCCCGGGAGGGCTCCCTAAGAGCCGGCCTCCCACCTGCCCCGCTGCCAGGGTCCTGGGGCTCTGGCGACCCCGCCCCGCGGAAGGCCAGCCTCCTGCCCCTGCAGCGCCTGCAGCGGAGCAGCTTGCGGCCCGGCGTGGTGGTGCCCCGGGTCCGCCTCAGCAAGGCGCCCGTGCCCACCTTCCAGCCCCAGAGGCCGGCTGTTCAAATATTTTCCCAAGTTTATATTGGGTTCATTTTCTTTTGTTTATTACATTCATTAATCACATGTATTGTATTTTATTGCATATATGTTGGGATAAATATGTTTCTCCACTCTTGGTTTGCATTTTAATTCTTGGATGGTGTATTTTGAAACACAGAAGTCATCATTTTTGATACAAACTAACTAAATTTTTCTTCTTAATTGTTACTTTTTTGTCCTGGTTAGGAAATCTTTCTGTGTGAAAATATTTTATTGTGTTCCCTTCACCTTCAGAACATGAATCCATGTGGAAATGCACTGTGTATGGTTTGAGGTAGGGGTCAGTATTCAGTTATGTCTATTTGAATATTTAATTGATCCAGCATTGTCCTGATCCCCTTGTAAATTTCACTGTAGAACAGCACTCTAATAATGCATGAGCATTTTGTATGTAAGATGAGATTTACAAAGATAAGCACAGCATAGGAGGTCAAATAAGATTACCTCAAAGTATAGGTTCATAAATAAAACACATGGATAAGTATAATATTGTTAGATGAAGAGAAAGAAAATATTTCCAGGTTACCATTGAGTCTTTTTACTCCAAGTTTTTTCATGAAGCCCAAGATCTCTACTTTCTTCCATTGATTTTAACTTCATTTAGACAACTCTGTCATCTATTATTTCACTTTGTGACATTCAGAAATAATTAAAAACCAGAGAATATATTCTATGCCATACATCATGGGTAATGATTTTCCAAAAATGATTTAAAAAGGAACCAATACACATGGTTTTAGTGTTTTCACCATATTTAATAGAAACACTATAAATGAGTTTTGATGACATTAGAATGCAACTAAAGACATTAAATGTAACTTATTTGTCCCATTTGATGAGGTGCGAAAAAGAGGGCTTTCTGGGATAAACAGGTTCCCAGAGCATATAGACACATTTCTGACTTTTCTCTGGTCAGAAGTGACTACAGCAAAAGATAGGCCTGAGAGGAGGTGAGAAGGAGCAATTAGGGATGGTGTATATCAGGGAACTTTGATCAACACCAACAAAGCTCATGGTTCTACCTTCACAATCCAGGAATAATCCTACTGTGCTGGTAGGTCTTGGAACATATTGCACCACAAGTGGGGAGGTGGTAAAGAGACTGCAGTGAGTGTCCTCCTTAACACATCCAAGAAGAAAGAGTCCCTCCTCTCCATCTATCTTGTCATTCTGTCTCTTCTCTTTCCGATAATTGTTACAGACACCAAAAGCCCAATTCCAAGAGTCCCCCACGTGAACCTCCCAATAATATTTGCCAGATGTGAAAGCCGGAGCCCCCCCTACAAGAAAACATTCAGATTTTGCAGTGATATCGGGATCATCTTGAGGGTCACATCCAACATTCATGCTTCTCAAATCTCCATACAGGAAGATATGACTATTGGTTCTTTCAGGCTGCAGAGTAAAATCAACTGCAAAAATAATTTTTAAAAAATATAGATACATGTAATTAATAGAAATTAGAATTCTTGAGGGAAAAGTTGTTCTACCAAGAGTTTACTTTACCAAGAAATTTGAAGTTACAAGGACAGGAGAATTGTGACTACAACATTTAATAAAGTATAAGGATGATTAATATTCTCTATAGGAAGAACAAAACCCTAAAAACAGACATTGAAAATTTATTGAAAACTTAAAAATTGAGAGTCGAATATGAGACCAGCCTGTTTTAATCCAGTCTCCAATGTAAAAGTGAAATATTTTATGCCCTGAATGCCCTTTAGCTATCAAGGTCATTATTATTAAAATATTTCTTGTTCTTAAATACTAGTGATATAATTTTGGCAAGAATGGGAAGATTTTAGCTTCCTCAAGCACCGCTCTAGATAACTGGATAAAAGTCCATATATTCAAATTATAAGTGGTAATTTAAGGCAGATTTTTGCAAAATCTTTTACCAGTCACTTTGTGGACATCCCTGCCAGCTCTAGACTGAAACCGAATTTTAGATTTTACACGTAGCTCTTCATGTTGTAACTAAACTGAAATTATCATTTCCATTTTTACTTCCTATTTACGTAATAATTCTTCTTTCTTTTTACATGTTAAATCAAAATTTTACATTATATCAATAATATATATTTATTTTAAGAAAGTACAAATACTCCAACAAACTGCAGTGAACTCTATTCTCTAATGAAATGTGTTTAACAATTCAAATGAAATACAGTAAAGAAATGTAAAATTTTTTTTTATTGATTTATTGATTTATTGATCATTCTTGGGTGTTTCTCGCAGAGGGGGATTTGGCAGGGTCATAGGACAATAGTGGAGGGAAGGTCAGCAGATAAACAAGTGAACAAAGGTCTCTGGTTTTCCTAGGCAGAGGACCCTGCGACCTTCCGCAGTGTTTGTGTCCCTGGGTACTTAAGATTAGGGAGTGGTGATGACTCTTAACGAGCATGCTGCCTTCAAGCATCTGTTTAACAAAGCACATCTTGCACCGCCCTTAATCCATTTAACCCTGAGTGGACACAGCACATGTTTCAGAGAGCACAGGGTGGGGGGTAAGGTCACAGATCAACAGGATCCCAAGGCAGAATAATTTTTCTTAGTACAGAACAAAACGAAAAGTCTCCCATGTCTACTTCTTTCTACACAGACACAGCAACCATCCGATTTCTCAATCTTTTCCCCACCTTCCCCCCTCTCTATTCCACAAAACCGCCATTGTCATCATGGCCCGTTCTCAATGAGCTGTTGGGTACACCTCCCAGACGGGGTGGTGGCCGGGCAGAGGGGCTCCTCACTTCCCAGTAGGGGCGGCCGGGCAGAGGCGCCCCTCACCTCCGGGACGGGGCGGCTGGCCGGGCGGGGGGCTGACCCCCCCACCTCCCTCCCGGGCGGGGCGGCTGGCCTGGCGGGGGCTGACCCCCACCTCCCTCCCGGACGGGGTGGCTGCCGGGCGGAGACGCTCCTCACTTCCCAGACAGGGTGGCTGCCGGACGGCGGGGCTCCTCACTTCTCAGACGGGGCGGCTGCCGGGCGGAGGGACTCCTGACTTCTCAGACGGGGCGGTTGCCAGGCAGAGGGTCTCCTCACTTCTCAGATGGGGCGGCCGGGCAGAGACGCTCCTCACCTCCCAGACTGGGTCGCGGCTGGGCAGAGACGCTCCTCACATCCCAGACGGGGCGGCGGGGCAGAGGCGCTCCCCACATCTCAGAGGATGGGCGGCCGGGCAGAGACGCTCCTCACTTCCTAGATGGGATGGCGGCGGGGAAGAGGCGCTCCTCACTTCCTAGATGGGATGGCGGCCGGGCAGAGACGCTCCTCACTTTCCAGACTGGGCAGCCAGGCAGAGGGGCTCCTCACATCCCAGATGATGGGCGGCCAGGCAGAGACACTCCTCACTTCCCAGATGGGGTGGCGGCCTGGCAGAGACTGCAATCTCGGCTCTTTGGGAGGCCAAGGCAGGCGGCTGGGAGGTGGTTGTAGCGAGCCGAGATCACGCCACTGCACTCCAGCCTGGGCACCATTGAGCACTGAGTGAACGAGGCTCCTTCTGCAATCCCGGCACCTCGGGAGGCCGAGGCTGGCGGATCACTCGCGGTTAGGAGCTGGAGACCAGCCCGGCCAACACAGCGAAACCCCGTCTCCACCAAAAAAATACGAAAACCAGTCAGGCGTGGCGGCGCGCGCTTGCAATCGCAGGCACTCGGCAGGCTGAGGCAGGAAAATCAGGCAGGGGGGTTGCAGTGAGCCGAGATGGCAGCAGTACAGTCCAGCTTCGGCTAGGGATCAGAGGGAGACCGTGGAAAGAGAGGGAGAGGGAGACCGTGGGGAGAGGGAGAGGGAGAGGGAGAGGGAGAGCTGTAAAATATTTAAAGAAATTTATTCTGAGCCAAATATGAGTGACCATGGTCTGTGACACAGCCCTCAGGAGATCCTGAGAACATGTGCCAAAATTTTTATGTAACCTTGGATTATTACGCTTCCTTCTGAGCATTGTTCCATTTATTCAATTTTTTATTTCTTATGTCATTCCATTTACCCAATATATAACTCTATACATGTGATCCCAGAACATATTTGTTTTTCACTATGTTTTACTCTTCATGTTATAAATTGGTCTATAAATAGAAACACAGATATAAAAGGGTTGCATAGTCATATGGTTCACTTCCTGCTGAAATGAAATAAAGATTTGATGAAGGGTAAAATATTACCCCCATGATTCTAACAAGAAGTAATACACTGTGGGAATTCTGCCAATGGGCTGACGCTCACCTCTGAATCCACTGAGCCTGTCCAGCAGTCCAGTGATGGGCCCTGCACTGAGCTCTGGATTCACAGGCTCAGACACTTGCAGCAGCGGGGACTCATACCTGCAAGGAGAAAGATACAGTTACCACATCTACAGCCAAAAAAAATACATAAAAATCACCACTTTTATTTAAAAGACATTTCATGAGAATCCCTTTAACCCACACATTTGCTAATTCCAAAATTATCATTTTATTTTTCAAATCCATTCTTATTCACAGTTCCTGATTTTCAAGCACGATGGAAAAGTCTATCTGACTGAGAATTCATTCGGATCTTTCTTCGTATTGCTCCAAATTAGTAAGGATCATTAGTCTTAAGACTGGGAGAATATTGAAAAATGAAATTCTGGGTTCCAGACCTCACCAGAAATTCCTGAAATCACTGTCTGGAAAAGTGGGGTTATTTTTAAGACTGCTGCATCTGTTGCTTCCTTCTCAAGGCCAGGGTGTTGAAACTTGCTCCAGGCAGGGAGATCTGCCTTTTATAGTTGAGGTTCTCTGGAGGCCTACACGGTTCAAACATTCCAAATAGTTTGTTTCATCCATTTTTCAGAATTATATATTTAAATATAAACTAGAAATCATCAACACTTTTCACTGCTAAGATACTTTCCCCTCTTCTCTCTGGCTTCCCCTGGTTGACTTTGTAGCCATGTAGTAAATGTAATATTTTCTCTTTCAAATATGAAGGCTTTTGAGCAATAAAAAGGAAATTAGGAATAGAGATGCTCACTTCCTTGATTTTTCTTTCATTTATTTATTTTTTGTTTTATTTATTTATTTATTTATTTATTTATTTGGTTTTGCAGAACTTTCATTGAGCTGCTTAATAAAGTCACTGAGTATGGCAACAAAATAGATGACTACATGGGGGTGGGGGATGGAGAAAGTACAACCAGCACAAGGCAGTGTCACTATCTGAATCCATTATACCTTCAATATCAAAGTTCCTGCTTGATATTTGTGGAAACTGAAAGCATCTGCTAAAATCTTGGTATGCACTCCCCTGTGTAATATGTCTCCAAAAGCCTGTAAAAAAAAAAAAAAATAGAAAGGCTTAGTGCTTTCCACAAGACGCATCTTCCACTAAGTTCAGTGTGAGATTTGGAGACAGTTTCTGAAGATATTTTCCTACAATGTTCCCTCCTGGAAAGCATTTTCTGTTTCTTTTCTCATGAAAATCCCAGTCTATCATATGTCATGAATTAATGTCCTGATAAAGTCTAAGTCTTGAAGACATTCTCTTTACAAGTGAAGGGAGAGGAGGGAGGCCCACAGAGTCTATGCTCTGTGGTAACCATAAAGAAGCTACTCAGTCATCTTCCCTAAGCCCTGTTACCAAAATGAGTGGACCCCAAAATAATATTAGTGTGATCCTAGATTCCCCAACTTCTCCATCATGCCATGTCTCCAAATTAGCCTAAATGCCAATGAATCACTTCTCATTTTATCCACTTTCAAAAATCCTAAATAAATCACTGACTTTTGATGGGAAATATTTCTTGGGGCTGTCTGTTACCTTAGCCATTCTACAAAGTTTTGTTGCTGGTGGATAAGGTAGGAGGGACCTTCGGTCTAGTAGAATCACTAGGAGAGGCTATACCTTCCCAACCAAGTAGCATTAGTTATCGAATCATGTTTTTGGAAACAAATAATGGAAGTGAAGGGGGAGACGGATTTCAGGAGAGAGGAAAAACACCCATGTATGTGAATGTTCAACATCATGATACCCCATGGTCAGTCCGTACCAGGAGTAGCTCCACATCTGCTTTATGGTACATTTGCTTCAGATCCTCATACATTCCTCTTAAAAGCTCCCTGGGATGTTCCATTCTGGCTTGGCTTTCATTGAGTTGCTGAAAAATGTCCTCGCCCTCCTTTCGCAGCCTCTCCAAGTGATGTTGCTCTTCTTCATGGAGAAATGCAGGCATCTTCTGATATTCAGCTCTGATTGCTTCTGTCCTTAAACTCACATAATCCTGCAGTGACAATTAGTCAAAATAGAAATGTTTTATCCATCTTCTCTTGAATTTCACTGATTCCTCTTAGCATTCTGAACACCCAATATTTTAATCCTCAATCTTGTCAAGTCTCAGATTCCACAAAATTTTATTCCTTTCCTTTTTTTTCTGTACTAATATCAACATAGTTGTTTCTGCCCAGTTACATTTACTTGATTAATGATAAAATGCTTTCTAAGATAGTTATATAAAAATGGATTTCTCTCTTCCACACCACATTTATAGAAAGAAAACACAGTTCTTGCTTAAGAATCAAACTATCGAGTTATATTGACTAGGTAAGAAACCATTATTTCTATTTTGGAGAATTGGGGCAAGTTATGTAAAACCATTATACGACAAATGATGACATGACCCAGACTAGCATTGTCAACTCAATGCATTTCACCCAGCATAACATATTCTAATAAGGTTTCATTTATTCTCTTCCAAACTCACACTAATCAGCAACATGGACTTTTTTGTGGTTCCTCAAACCCCCAAATAAATGCAAATTAAATATTACTGCACATGCTGTTTTCTATACCTAGAATTATTTTCATATATACATATATATATATATTTCTCATATATGTACTCATATATATATTTCTCAAATATAGGTATATATGGATATATGAGGAATATATACGTGTATCTGTGTGTGTGTATATATATATTCCTCAAATATATCCATATATATATATATATATATACCAACACCCAGATACACATACATATTCATATATTTATGAAGAAGAGGAAGGCAAACAGGAGGATATGTATATTTCCTCCTGATCAAGATTTTGTTTCAGTGTGAATTTTTCCATGAGCCTTTTTTCTGACCACCCTATTTAAAACTCAAACCCTCAGCCCCAGTCCCTGGCCTCTGTGCTCCTTTTCTACTTTCCTGCTTGATTATTCTCCAAAGACACTACTACACTCTAACACATCATGTACTTCACATATCTGCATGGTGACCATTTGCTTTTCTCATTTCCATTGCAAGATTTGTGTGTTTTCTTTCTTCTTTAATCCTTAATTTTCTAAGTTGATATTTGACATAGACTAGGTACTCATAAAATATCTTTCAATGAATTAATATTAGAATAAATTAATGAATTAATATTAGATATCATACCCTCAATATAAACATCCACAAAGAGAAAATCATTTCTAGAATTCTTCTCAAGTCCTTAGAGTTCTCCTTATATTAAATACTAGTTCCCATATTTCTCACATATTTATGTCTTCATCAAGACACAAGTCTACATTTCTCACCACTTTTCCCATTATGTGTTATGACTTACTCAATATTAATTAGCGCTGATATTTAATTTCATGCTTTCCCTAAGGTTGTGCTCTTGCTCCTTCTGCCTGAAATTTAGCTCACATTTCAATATAGGTGCCCACCAGGATTCAAATTCATACTGACTCAGCCTTAGAAGGGTCACCTGAAATTTCCATGACTGACAAATAACACTTGTATCCAGAATTTATCCAGGCAGCCCATTGGGAACAGTGTGAAATGGCCCAGTTTCTTGTATTTGTTGGGGGTATTGCTATAGGTTTGTATGGAAACAGATGAGCATGCTTGGGTAACATCTGTGGTCTGATTAGACATCCTACCAAAGAGTCACACTAACTTATATAAAAAATTAGGGTGTTTTTTTCTCAAGTGTTTTTTCCTTGTTTATTGAATTCCAGAAACATTATGGGTTGAGATCAAGTTCCTGTTTTAAGAGTCACCCATTTGTTCACTATAAGTTCCTGCAGAAGGTAGAGTAATACGGTACTAACCTTCCAGCATCTGGTTCTGGTGGTTTCTGTGTTCAGGTTTCTGAGATTTTCACAAGCTTTTTGCCATAAAGACTGCATTTTTTTTAGGAGCTCCTCCTGCAAAAGAGCCATGAATTGAAGCACAAGTGAGGACAATAAAGTATCACTCACACTCTGATATACGAAGGACCCAAAATGAGAGACAAATTAGCCCACAGAAAATAGAGTTTGCTTTGTTTCTCCTCATGTTTGTCAAATCTGAGAGGTGTGAAGTCAAGGAAGCTCATAACAGACATGCTTAAGGGGACACAGAGATGGCATCATCCAATCTCCAAGGAAATAGACTTACAAGAATTTCATGTGTCCTGTATAGAAATAGATCTTCAGAGGCATCACTTACCCGGCGTTCCTCAGCAGCCCACTCAATGGGACAGTGTCTGTGATTCCGGTGCTCCTGAGAGTTGGAGCACAGCCAACAGAGCCGGCTCTTGTTCACTTCACAGAACATCTTCTTTGTCTCTCTGTGCATCCCACATATTTGCTCCTCAGAGCTAAGGAATTGCCAGAGGCTGGCTTTTCTGGCAGTGGAAGCCATGTTCTTCAAACAAATGTCAGTTTTGAGGTTTCTCTGCTGTATTGTCTTCTTGCATTTAGAGCACTGAGCAAGAACTGCCATGTCTCGCCAGTTGAGGTAGAAACAGGGCCGGCAAAAGTTGTGCCCACAGTCTATGGTGACTGGGTCTATGAAGTAGTTCATGCAGATGGGACAGGTGAGTGCCCTCTGGAAGACTTGCAAGATTCCAGAATTCATGTTTCTGATGAAGAAGAGAGAGCAGCATGTCATTTTGGGGTCTGGGTTGGTGAAAATCTGTGAACATGTGGTGATATGTGGTAGCTATATTTTCTTCTTGACAGTGCTCATTAAAGCGGAACAAACTATTTCCTCTGTAACAAAAATGAAAAATTCATACACAAAGAGAGTCCTTAGGCTTTTTAGCAGGCACTACTGACTAGATGACTCGCAACCTCTTCTACTCGTAGTTCCTGCCCGCAACATAATGCAAATCTGTTCAAAAACCTATTCCCTGGATGTCGATATGAAACTCGGGTTTTAATCTTAAGTGGTCTAGAATAAAACATGCTTGTCCCTATTTCTCTTTCAAATAACTACTGAATGACTATGGGAGAGCAGTAGAAAACCTACATTGGGTAACAAAACATGAGAAGATGGTCAGAGGGCGCTATGACATATTTTTAGAGAGAGGGACCCAGAAGCCGGCTCTTTAAAACAAAAACAACCCCAGAACAAACCAACCGACCAGATAAACAAAAACACAGCAATTAAACCAGTCTAGGATCACTAGGAGATAAAATAAATAATGAAAAATATTGGGTTTATTTTTCTTATGGCTTAAATTAACTTCTTCTTTGGGCTACTCCAACTATGAACTGACATATAGTCAGTTTTTTAAAAACTGAAATATATATAATTATGTTACTATGGTATTATGGTTAATTTTAGGTGTTGACTTGACTAGATCAAATAATACATGGAGAATTGGTAAAGCATTATTTCTGGGTGAGTCTGTGAAGGTGTTTCCAGAGAGACATGTAAGTTGGTGAGCTGAGTGGGGAACAGCAGCCCTCAATGTGGGTGGACACTATCCAATCAGCTGGTAGCTCAGACTGAAGATAAAGGGCAGAGAGAAGGCAGTTTCCTCTCTTTCTCCTGAAGCTTATTCTAACTCAGCCAGGATATTGGTATCTCCAGGATACTACCTTAATGACAGCCTATGTTCAACTTCTCAGACTCCATAATCAAGGGAACAAATTTCCCTAGTGGACTTCCTCTCCTGTACAGTGTCATGTGTAGAGTGAGGACAGATATATGATCTGAGGGACGCATTAGACAGTCTCCTTATTGTTTGAACATCATAGGGTACACTTACACAAACCTAGATGGTATAGCCTACTACACACCTATGGTATACAGTATAGCATATTGTTCCTAGGCTACAAACCTGTATGGTATACGATAGGCAATTGTACCACAATTGTAAGTATTTTTGGTATATATATATAGTTATGTACACATCCTATGGTTCTGTCTCTCTGGAGAACCCTGACCAATACAAACTGTAATCTTTGCCTTGGCCGTTTGAAGTCCTTTACCTTACTCTCTTTTACTAAACACTGTTGAATTTAAGTGCCAACAGTGAAAATTTAAGACTTGCAAATATTTTTCAGAGGTCTTCTGAGCCATTTCAAGGAATTTTTCATAGTTTCATCTGAGGTAAGCCTCAATTAAAATGACAACTAGTATCAAGTATCAAATCATTCCTTATACAGTTATCTGCTAAACAATTGTGTTTTGATTTCTAAGCTAGGGCATTTTGGAGAGCATTCTTATTTCCTTTAGTATCACCATTTTTAACTCACCATTGCCTCAGTAACTTAAAATCATGTCTAAAAGCTTAAGGTTATGAAAGCACAACATTTACAGTATTCAATAATTATCCTTTTTTACTTAATTAAGTGTACCAATATTAGTACATGCAGTACACATATATATGTTTTAATGTGAATTCCATATATTCATGATGCATACAAATCTATTGCAGCAAACACTAGATATCTAAAATTTTTCAAAAATATATTAAACACTTTTGGAACACACAAAATGACAACAATTAATAACCTCATGTCATAAAATGAATAGCAATACTATGAGTTACAAATAAGATCATTAAGTAAGTTTAGTCAGATATTTTTATCACTGTAATTTACTATTTTAAAGGAAGAGAGAAATAATTTTCTCCATATAAGTTGCACTCACCCCAAGGTTCTATGAATGTTTCCTGCAGTAATTCTTCCAAGAAAAAGTTCTTTTAAGTACTCCCCAAGATCAGGAGCTCATTCCTTGCAGAGTTGACTTTCAGAGGTCACCTGAATGCAACTAACTCGAAGTGCTGTCCTCCTCTGGAGAAATATGAGCTTGTCTCTTCTACTTCCTTTTATGTGAATCTTTGAAGACCACACCCACCTCTTTAGTGATATTTAGGGTATTAAGAAAGGTGGAGACAGCAGAGATGATTAGGTTTATGCAATATTTAGTACACGCCTTTTCATCACTGATTAAATTAGCATCACACTATCATTGTAAAAACCACTGCCTGAATGAGGCATATCTATCATCAATCTTATCAGAGTAAATATGCTAGAAATTAACTAAAATTGATTAATACTGTTTCCTGAGTTTCTTCCCAAGGCACAAGCATTCCTCTAAGTGCACATTTATTTATTTATACCAAAGAAAGTTTCACCCTCTGGAATGCAGTGGCACAATCTTAGCTCACCACAGCCTTGAATTCCAGGGCTCAAGTAATCCTCCCACTTCAGCTTTCAAAGTAAAAAAGACTAGAGGTTTATGCCATTGCACCTAGCTAATTTTTCATTTATTCATCAAAAATATTTTTAAAATTATTAGGTGATTACATGTGTTACAGTGACCAGCTGGATTAGAATTAGATTAGGTTTAAAGCGATGGAAAGAATCTGGGAGAGGGGGCAGAGTGTTGGTTGTTAATTAGCACATGGATCAAAGGAGATTACTGATGTGTTTAGAAGCCACAACATTGACAGGATAAAAGCCGGAACTAACAATCCAATTGTAAATCTCTTCACTGTGGTATTTTCTGCCATTTCTGCTCCATAAGACACACCTTAACCACTTTGTCATGGTATCTGCAGTATTCTATTTTAGTCTAAATAGCATTTTCTCTCAAATGCATTCTGTTTCTCTCTCCTTCATCTTCCCTCCCTTCTTCCTTCCAGCTGTATTTTTTCACTAGAGAACACTAGTAGAATGTTCTTCCAAATTTCAGATTTCAGATACGCATCTGTAAAATAATCTTATGGAGACACATTTTAGTTGCTACTGAATAATTGGTTGTTTTCATAGGTTCACAGCATTACTACTGTCCTCCAAAAAACGGTTTCCCATTTCCACAGCTAATCTCATCATTGACTCTGCCATCCAAGTTTATTCTATGCCACTCTGGAAGAATCTGGAAAAATACTTAAAATACATTTTAAGTATTCATCATGCACATGTATTGTATTTCATTTTATATAGTTCGGGTGAATCTCTTTCTCCACTAATTGTTTGCATCTCAATTCTTGTATCATGTTTTTTGAAACACAGAAGTCGTTATTAATATAAACCGACTAATTTTTTTAATTGTTAATTTTTGTCCTGGTTAAGAAATCCTTATGAGAATATTGTATCAGGACTTGAATCTTCAGGACTTGAATCTATTTGGAAATGACTGTGTGTGTTTTGAGGTAGGAGTCAATATTTAGTTGTTTTTTAAAATTCAATTAATCCAGCATTGTTCTGACCACCTTGTGTATTTCAATGTAGAAGAGCACACTAATGCAGGATTGTTTATCTATGTGGTGAGAATTCCGAAATGAAGCCCAGCATGGAAGATCAAATAATATTAACTCAAAGGATAGATTAGTAAAATGAAATGTGATGGATAAGTGCAATATAGTTAGGTAAAGAGAAAGAAAAACATTTCCCAGCTATCAAGACTTCACTCCAAGCTTTTGCATGAAGCAAAAGATCCCGACTCTCTTCCATTGATTTTAACTCCATTCAGACATGTCTGTCATCTATTATTTCACTCAGTGGCAGTCAGAAATAAAGAAAAAAAAAAAACAGAATATACTGTATGCCATGATCACGAATAATGATTTCTCAAAAATTAATAAAGAACCAATACATATACTTTTAGTGTTTTTACCATTTTTAATAGTAACACAATAAATGAGTTTTAATAACATTAGGAGGCAATTCAAGACATAAAACAGAACCTATTTGTCCTGTTTGATAAGGCACAAGGAAGAGGGCTTCCTGGAATAAAGGGATTCTCACAGCAGATGAACACATTTCTGATTTATCTCTGGTCAGAGGTGAATACACCGAAAGATAGGCCTGAGAGGAGGTGAGAAGGAGCAATTAGGGATGGTGTATATAAGGCAGCTTTGGTTAACATCAACGAAGCTCAGTTCTAGCTTCACAATCCAGGAATAATCCTATGCGGCTGGTAGTTCTTGGGATATATTGCAGTGTAAGTGGGGAGGTGGTAAAGAGACTGCACTGAATGTCATTCTTGACACATCCAAGACTAAAGAGTCCCTCCTCTCCATATATATTGTCATTCTGATTCTTCCCTTTCCAATACTTATTACAGACACCAAAGGCCCAATTCCAAGAGTCCCCCACATGGACCTCCCAGTAATATTTGCCAGAGGTGAAAGTCTGAGCACCCCATGCAAGAAAACTTGTAGGTGTTGCAGTGATATGGGGCACATTTTGACGGTCACATCCAATACACATGCTTCTCAAATCTCCACATCGGAAGATATGACTGTTGGCTTCATTATGAGGCAGAGTAATATCCACTGCAAAATAAATAAATAAATAAATAAAAGAGAAAGAAACAAAACATGCATAGACATGTGTCAATAAGCAAAAATTGTTCTATCAAGAAGTTAATTTACCAGGAAATGTAGAGTCACAAGGACACTTTTGCTTCTAACTTCTAATAAAGCATAGAGATGATTAACTACAAGACAAACAAAACACTAACCACAGGTATTAAAAATGTTTTGAAAACTTACTTATTGAGAGCCAAATGTAAGACCAACTTCTTTCAATCCAATTTTCAAAGCAAAATTTGCACATTATATGCCCTAAATGCTATGCTATTATCAAGATCATTATTTAGAAATGTTTCTTATTCTTAAAAACTAGTGCTATCATTTTGGAAAGAATGTGAAGATTTTCAGTTACTCAAGAACTGCTCTTGATGACTGGATAAAAATCCGTAAGTACATGTCGTAAGTGACAATTTAAAGCAGATTTCTGTAAAATCTTTTACCAGTCTCTCTGTGGTCCTCCATGCTAGCTTGGGGCTGAAGCTGGATTTTAAACTTATCATGTAGCTCTTCATATTGCAATTAAACTGAAGTTCTTCTTGTTTGTAATTTTACTTGTATTCACAAAATGGTTTCTTCTTTTTATGTTTACCCATTAACTATTTTTTTTTGCAATACATGATACATATCCATTTAAAAAATTAAAAACCCTCAGCAATCCCCAGTAAACCATAATCCCAAAAAAAGTTCTTAGCTGTTCAAATGAATACACTAAGGAAATGTAAAATTTTGTATTTAACATTAAATAACTCACCTTCATTCTGAGCATTGTTCCATTTGCTCCTTTTTTAAATTTGCTACACTACTCTTTTTTCCCATTACATTACTCAGTACATATGAGGCCAAAATGTATTTGTTTTTCACTATCTTTCAAACTTAATGCTATAAATCTGACTATACAGACACAGATACAAAAGGGTTGCATGATTATGTTGTTCACTTATGTCTATAAAGAAGTAAAATATTTGATAAATGGTGAAGTATTACCCATGTGGTCCTAACAATAATAATATTTAGATAGTGGGAGTGCTGCCTGTGGGTGGAGACTTACCTCAGAATTGGATGAGCCTGTCCCTCAGTCCAGTGATGGGCCCTGCACTGAGCTCTAGATTCAGAGGCTGGGGCATGTGCAGCAGCACGGACTCACTCCTGGAAGGAAAAACCTGCAGTTACAACATCTACAGCCATAAAATAAACAAAAACCACTATTTCTATTTAAAAGACAGTTCATGAGAATCCTTTGAATCCACAAATTTGATTACTCAAAAATTATTCCTTCCTTTTTGGAATTAATTTCTATTTACAGTTTCCAAATTTTAAAGCATAGTGGGAGAGTCTGAGTCAGAATTCAGTCTGATCCTTCTTTTTTTTCTGCCCCACATGTGTAAGGTTCCTTAGCCTTATGGCCTTGAGAATATTTGGAAATGAAATTCTGAGTTCCACTTCTTGGCAGACTCCCCTGACATCTTTGTCTGAAATAGCGGGGTTCTGGGGAGACTGCTGCATCTGCTGCTTCCTTTTCAAGATAAAGAATGTGAAACTTGTTCTAGGCAGCTAGATCTGCCTTTTAGAAACAAGCCTCCCTAGAGACTTATACAGTTCTAATACTCCACAGTTTTTTCAACCTATTTTTCAGGACTGTTAACTGATATGTATGTAGGTATGAACAACAAATCATCAACTTTTTCACTGCTGAAATACTTCCCCCACTTCTCTCCTGCTTCCTCTGGTGACTTTCTCACCATCCACAAAACAAAACTTTATCTTTCACCTATGCAGGCTTTTAAGCAATAAAACAAAATCAGGAATAAACATTTTTTTTTATTTCACTATTTATTTATTTATTTATTTAGTGTTCTTGTCTTTTCTGGTGTGAGAGTGAAAGCAGATGCAAAAAAAAGGTAGTATCAATATCTTAATCATTTATGCCATGACTTTGGTAGAGCCTGCTTTGATATTCATGGAAACTGAAAGAATATATACTAAAATCTAGGTAAACACTCACCTGTGTAATATGTCTCCGAAACCCTGTAAAAAAAAATAGAAATATGTAGGACATTTCACAAGATGCACCTTTCACTAAGTTCAGTGTGAAATTTCGAGTCAGTATCTAAAGATATTATTTCCCTACCATCTGGAAAGCATTTTCTGTTTCTTCTGTAATGAAAATCCCAGTTAGTCGTTTTGTCATTAATTAATGTCCTGGTAAAGTCTGAGTCTTGAAGACATTCTCTCCAGAAGTGAAGGGAGAAGAGGCCCAGAGAGTCTATGCTCTGTGATAACTTCAAATAACCTACCCAGTCATCTTTCCCAGAACCTATTACCCAAATGAGTGGACCTCAAAATAATATTGATGTGAGCCTAGATTCCCAAAACTTCTGATCTTGCCATGTCCTCAAATTAACCTAAATGTAAATGAATCACTCACTATTTTATACATGTTAAACAACCCAAAATATATTATTGACTTAGATGGGGAATAGTTATTGGGGCTGTCAGCTTGACCATTCCACAAAGTTTTGTGGCTGGTGGATAAAGTAGGAGGGACCTTTGGCCTGGTAGAATCCCTTGGCGGGGCTATACTCTCCCAACAAAGTAGCATTAGTTATGCGAATGTGTTTTTGGAAACACATCATGGAAATAAAGGTAGGGAGATGGATTTCAGCCATGAGGAATATACTTACACATGTGAATATTCAAAAACCTGAAACCACATTGTGAGTTTGTACCTGAAGTAGCTCCACATCTGGTTTATGGCACATTTCCTTCAGCTCCTCATACATTCCTCTTAAAATCTCCCTCCTATGAGCCATTTTGGCTTTACTTAAATGAAGTTGATGAAAAATATCTTTCCCCTTCTTTTTCAGCATCTCCAAATTATGTTTTTCTTCTTCATGGTGAAATGCAGCCATCTTCTGATACTCAGCTCTCATAGCTTCTAGCCTTAAATTCACATAATCCTGCAGTGATAATGGGTTAGTCAAAAGAGAAATGTATATATCCATCTCCTACTAAATCTCACTGATTCTGTTTGTCACTCGAACATCCAATAATTTAAACCTCAGTCTTGCTAGTTCTTAGAATCCACAAAATTTTGTTCATTTCCTTTCTTTCTGTATAAAAATCAACATAGATGTATCTGACCAATTACATTAAATTTATTCAAGATAATGTGTTTTCTCAGATAGTTGGAAATAAAAAAACACAATTTGAATTTCGCTATTCCAGCCAATATTTATGGAAAAGTAAGAACAGTTCATGCTTAAGAGTTGGAGTATAGAGCTATAGTTACTAGAAAGGAAATAATTATTTCTATTTCTGAGATACGTAACAAGTTGCTTAAACTCATTATATGTGAAATGACCTTAGACTAGCATGTCCAGCTAAATGCATTTCACCCAGCAAAACCTATCTTAATAAGGCTGCATTTATGATTTGGCCATCTTTGTCTCTCTGAATTCATTTCCTTCCATTCTTTTTCTAAGTTATCCCATTCTGAAACATAGACTTCTTTGTGGTTCCTCAGGCCTCCAAATATACACAAACTCAAAATTACTGCATATGCTGTTCTCTCCAACTAGAATTTCACACACACACACACACACACACACACACATATACATATATACACGTTCATGGTCCACATATATGTATATACATACACACATTCGTGTTCCCTCTCCTCTTCAAAATTTCGTTCAAATTGAATTTTTCAGTGAGTCTTTTTTCTGACCACCCTATTTAAAAATCAGACACTAATCTCCAGTTTCTGGCCTCTATTGTCCTTTTCTACTTCCCTGCTTGATTATTCTCCAACAAAGAACCTACCACACTCGAACACATCATGTATTGCACATATTTGCATGTTGACCATTTTTGCCTCTCTCATTTGGATTGTACGATTTGTGAGGACAAAGATGCTTTCTTTCTTCTATACTGTCAAATTTTCTAATTTAATATTCAACATAGACTAGGTTCTTATGAAATACTTTTCAAAACACTAATATTAGCTATCATACCCTCAAAGTATACATCCACAAAGAGAAAATCATTTTTAATATTTCTCTGAAGTCCTTAGAGTTTTCCTTATATTTAGATACTAGTTCCCATATTTTGAGCATGTTTGCATGTCTCCCTCAAGACACAAATCCATATTTCTCACCACTTTTCTCATCATATGTTATGTAGTATTCAATATTAATTAGTTGAGATTCTTAATTTCATGGTTGCCCTAGATTTCCCCTGTCACTCTTTCTGCCTCAAATTTTCCATACAATTCCAAATACTACTTGTCCACCAGCATTCAGATTAATGCTGACCCAGGCTCAGAAGGTTCACTTGAGCTTTCCATGACTGCCAAATGAATCTTGTGCCCAGCATTTATCCAACCAGCACATATAGAATGCTGTGAGATGGCCCAGTTTCTGGTATCTGTTGGTGTATAGCTACAGGTTTGTATGAAAACAAACCAGCATGCTTTGGGTGACTTCAGTAGTTTTCTTAGAAATCCTTTCTAACAGTCATACTATTCTATATAAGAAATGAGGTCACTTTTTCTCAGTGTTTTCTTTTTTTTTTTTTATTGACTCCCAGAAACATTAGAGTTTGATAACAAGTTCCTATTTTAAGAGTCACCCATTTGCCCACCATAAGTTCCTGGAGAAGGTAGAAGGTAGAGTAGTACAGAACTAACCTTCCAGTGGCTGATTCTGGTGGTTTCCACATTCAGGTTTCTCTGATTTTCACAAGCTTTTTCCCATAAAGACTGCATTTTCTTTAAAAGCTTCTCCTGCAAAAGAGCCATAAATTGAATCACCAGTGAAAACAATAAAGTAACATGCAGACCGTTTCATAGGGAGCGGGCTGAGAATGAGAGACAAGTAAGTCCCTAGGAAATGGCATTTCTTCTATTTCCCTTCTTCTTCGTCAAATCTCAGAGGTTTGAAGCTAAGAAAGCCCAAAAGTGAGCTGCTTAAAGGGACTCAGGTTTGGCTTTACCCAATCTCCAAGAAAATAGACCCACAGGAATTTCATGTGTCATTTATAGAAATAGATCTTCAGAGGCATCACTTACCCGGTGTTCCTCAGCAGCCCACTCAATGGGACGGTGTCTGTGATACCGGTGCTCCTGAGAGCTGGAGCACAGCAAACAGAGCAGGCTCCTGTCCACTTCACAGAATATCTTCTTTGTCTCCCTGTGAGTGCCACACATTTGCTCCTCAGAGCTCAGGAATAGCCAGAGACTGGCTTTTCTGGCAAGGGAAGCCATCTGCTTCAAATGAATGTTAGTTTTCAGGTTTCTCTGCCATGTTGTCTTCATGCATTCAAAGCACTGAGTAAGAATTGGGATGTCTTGCCAGTTGAAGTAGAAACAGGGCCTGCAAAAGCTGTGCCCACAGTCTATGGTGACTGGGTCTATGAAGTAATTCATGCAGATGGGGCAGGTAATTTCCATCTGGAAGTCTTGCGAGATTCCAGAATTCATGTTTCTGAGGAAGAAAGAGCAACATGTCATTTTGGGGTCTGGGTCGATGAAAAGTTTCGGAACATGTGGAGATACCTGATAGCCCTATTTTCTTCTCTTGACAGTATTCATTAAAACACAGCACACTATTTATTCTGTAACAAAAATAAAAATCTCACACAGAGAGAGTCTCTCGGCTTTACAGTAGATATTACTGACTAGATGACTCACAACCCTTTATACTTTTATTTCCTGTCTGTAACACAATACCAATCTATTCAATTTCCCGTTTTCTGAATGTTGATCTGGAAATTGGGTTTGATTCTAAGTGGCCTAGAATAAATTGTAGTTGTTCCTATTCTTCTTTCATGTAACTGCTGAGTATGAAAGACTGGGAAAAACTGCCTTGGCCAAGGAAATATGAGAAGATGGCTAGAGGGTCCTATGGCATATTTTTAGAGACACAACAGTGGGGCAGCAAACCACCATGGCACATGTTTACCTGTGTAACAAGCCTGCATGTCCTGCACATTTATCTTAGGACTTAAAATAATATGAAATTAAAGTAAAATAAAAAACCAAACCAAAACAAAATAGAAAAACCAATCAACCAACCAAATAAACAAAAAAACAGCAATTAAACCAATTTTGGTTTAATAGAAGAGAAAAACATAATTAAAGATATGGGGCCTTTTTATTTTCTCGTGGATTATATTAACTTCTCCTAGGGATACCCAAACTCTGAACTAACATATAGTAGGATTTTTGTTAAACTCAGAGAGGTGTAATTACATCTCTATGGTGTGATGGCGAATTTTAGGTATCAGTGTGACTGGATTAACCAATACCTAGGGAACTGGTGCAGCATTGTTTCTGGGTGAGTCTGTGAAGGTGTTTCCAGAGGAGAGAGACATGTGAGTTGGTGAGCTGAGTGGGACCATCATCCCTCAATGTGAGTGGGCACCATTCAATCAGCTGGTAGCTCAGATAAAAGGAAAAAGCCAGAGAAAAGGCAATTTCCTCTTTCTTTCTCCTGAAGCTGGTTCTGAGGCTTTCAGCCTTGAGCTCAGTCAAGATACCGGTATCCTCAGGACATCAGCTTAAAGACAGCCTATATTAGAACTGCTCAGACTCTATAATCAAGCAAACGAATTTTCCTGATGAATTCCCTCTCAGGTAGAGTCATGTGTAGCTTGATGACAGATATATGTTCTGAGAAATGTGTAAGGAGGTTTTATTTATTTACTTTTTGAGATGGAGTCTCACTCTATCATCCAGGCTGGAGTGCAGTGGTGCAATCTCGGCTCACTGCAATCTCCGCCTCCAGGGTCAAAGCGAGTCTCCTGCCTTAGCCCCCTGAGTACCTGGGATTACCGGAACACCTCACTACACCTGGTAAATTTTTTCATTTTTTTTTCCTTTTTTTAGTAGAGACGAGGTTTCATCATATTGCCCAGGCTGGACCTGAACACCCGGCCTCAAGTGATGTGCCTGCCACAGCCTCCCAAAGTGCTGGGATTACAGGCATGAGCCACTGTGCCCAGCCAGGCGGTTTTATTGTTTTGACATTATAGACTATACTTACACAAACCTAGATGGTATAGCCTGCTACACACCTATGGTATACAGTACAGCCTGTTGCTCCTAGGCTACAAAACTGTACAGCATGTTCTGTACGGTATACTGTAGGCAATTGTAACACAGTGGTAATTATTTAGTATGTAAACATATTTAAATACAGAAAAGGTACAGTAAACACACTGGTATTATAATCTTATGTGACCACCATGTGTGGTTTGTGGTTGACTGAAATGGCTCATGAATGTATCTCTACATGTATACATATACATCCTATCATTCTGTCTGTCTGGAGAGCCCTGACTAATATATAAACTATGGTCTTTGGCAATTTTAAGTCCTTTTCTTTACTCTCCTTTATTTGATAACACTGCTGAATTTTAGTGAAAGAAATGAAAAATCTTAGAATTGTAAATATTCTCCAGAGGTCATCTAAGTCATTTTAAGGAATTTTTCATAGTTTAATAAGATTAAGACTCAAGTGAGATGGCAACCACCATCACGTATCAAATTATATCTTATAAATTTATTTGGTCAAAAAACTGTTTTGATTTCCAAACCAGGATGTTTTGGGGAGCTTTCTCATTTTTTTCAGTTTCACTGTTTTGCATCTCTCATCATTACCTTGCTAATTTAAAGTTATGTCTAAAAGCTGAATGAATGAATTAACATTCATTAATGTCTTCTCAATTCAATTGTTTAATATTAATGCACTCATTACACATATATTTACACACACTTATGTGCACATATATGTATTAATATCAACTCCATATGTTCATTATGCATACATATCTGTTGCAGCAAACACTAGATATTTCCATTTTTTCAAAACTATATTGAAGATAGAAAATGCAAAATAACAACAATTAGTATCCTCATAATTCATAAAATCTATAGTAAGAATATGAATTACAATGGTATCATTGTGTAGATTTAAGATAATGAGATATTTTTAACACTCTAATTTATTATTTTATAAAGGAAAGAAGATATAATTTTATCAATATAAGTTTCACTCACCGCTGGGTTCTTTGAATGGTTCCCACAGTGATTCTTCCAGAAATAATTCTGTTAAGTACTCCTCAAGTTCTGGAGCTCATTCACCGCAGTACTGACTTTTAGAGGTCACCAAAATACAGCTCCCTCTAAGTGTGCTCCTTCTCCTTTGGAGAAAACTGAGCTTGTCTCTTCTATGTCCTTTTATAAGAATCTGTGAAGACCACACCCACCTCTTTAACAGGGTGGAGTATTGAGAAAGGTAGAGGATAAGACGATTAGGTTTATGCAGTATTTAGAACACACCTTTGCACCACTGATTAAATTATCATCACTCCTTCATTCCAAAAAACCGTGACTGAAGTGAATCATATGTAACATAAATCCTATGAGATTACACATACACTAGAAATTAACTAAGATGCATTTTATACTGTTTATTGAGTTTCATCCAAGATGCAGGCATTCCTCTAAGGGCATATTTATTTATTCTAGAGAAACTGTCTCCTTGTGGAGTGCAGTGGTACAATCATAGCTCACTGCAGCCTTGAATTCCAAGGCTCAGGGGATCCTCTTGCTTCAGCCTCCCAAGTAGCTAGGACTACAGTCTCACACCATCCCACTTGGCTAATGTTTTTTAAAACTTTTCATAGAGTCAGGGTATGGCTCTGTAGCCCAGGCTGTTCTCCAATTCCTGTCTTCAAATGATCCTCTGGTCTTGGACTTCCAAAGTGCTTTGGAGTACAGGCATAAACCACCTCTTCCAACCCTAAATGCTGCTTTAGTACATTTATAGGCTATTCCCAGAGAAGTCCAACAGGAAGATAAAACTTTTTTTATTTTCCACCACTCTAAGAGAAATCACTGATTAACCAAATAACCCCACTAATTTGAGGTCTCTTATTGAATTTACAAAACTTTGCCAATCTCATGGGTGAAATATAAATTATTATTTTAATGCTTTTCTCCACATAGTGCATGATGTTGTATGATGACTAGAAATGCAATGTAATAATTTGGGGATTATAAACAACTTTTAGGACGTAGGCTAATTCACAAATACAGAATCCAAATGATAGGGATGGATTATATTTTTCTTTCTATAACAAATATTTTTGTTGTCATGTGACAATTAAAAAAAGAAGAGATTTCAGAAGCGGCTACTCAAACATTTTCTGACAGAGGAATTCTTTGCCAATAGCCCCCACAAGACTTATAGTCAAGAGTGCTTATGTATTTTCTCAGCTTATTTTATGTTTAACCACATACAAATCATGGAGAAAATGTATCTATGGTTATGTGCAATAGTCCCCCTTATCCACATTTTTTCTTTTTTCTTTTATATATATAATATATAAAATATTATATATAATATATAAAATATTATATATAATATATTATATATAATATATAAAATATTATATATAATATATTATATATAATATATAAAATATTATATATAAAATATAAAATATTATATATAATATATTATATATAATATATAAAATATTATATATAAAATATTATATATAATATATAAAATATTATATATAAAATATTATATATAATATATAAAATATTATATATAAAATATAAAATATTATATATAAAATATAAAAAAATATATATATATATATAATTGTACTTAAAGTTCTAGGGTGCATGTGCAATGAGAACACAGTTTTTCTTTCTGAGGTTTGAGTTACCAGGGATCAAAACCTGGCCAAAAAATATTAAATTAAAAAAATCTACAAATAAACAGTTTCTAAGTTTTAAGTTCCCTGCTGTTCTGAATATCATGATGAAATCTTTTTCAGTCCTACTTTGTCCCACCTAGGACATGATTTATACCAGCACAATCATCAGTAACCTCTCAGATATCAATTTATTCAACTGCTATGGTATGGCAGTGCTTGTGTTGAAGTAATTCATTTCTTACTCAATAATGTCCCCAAATCACACAAGTAGTGATGCTGGTCATTCAAATATGCTAAAGAGAAGCCATAATAAAGTGCTTCTTTTAAATGAAAAGGTAAAAGTTTTCTACTCAAAAAGAAATGAAAAAAAATATGCTGAGGTTGTGGGTTGAATCTTTTACTCATAAAATTGTGAAGGAAGAAAAACAAATCCAAACAAGTTTTGCATTGCATTTCAAACAGCAGACGTTACAGCCGCAGTGTATAATAAGTGCTTATTTAAGATTATAAAAACGGTCGTTAAATGTATGTAGAAAGCATGAACAAGAAATGTGTTCCAATGGATGGCAACATGTTTCCCCAGAAAGCATTGAACCTATATGAAGATTTTAGCAAAAGATCCCCTAAAACAAGTGACACTAAGCCATTTACTGCAAGTAAGGACAGTAACACAGATTCATGAAAACAGAAGGTCAATAGTAGCCTAAAGCTCATGTCAGTGCCTACATCATTCACCTCATTTCAATTCATCATGTAGTTAACGTATCATCTCACATCATCATCAGCTGTATATTCCATAATCATTTACATTCAACATGTTGCGTTTTATCTCTTCATTTATTCCATATCTCAAAACCTGAGGAACAAGGTCATCTGTCTGGGATTTAAGTTACAGTATAGGAGATCACCTTAAATAATTATTTATTCTTGTCTATAAGAAAATATTTCCATAATCATGTTTTTCTTGATTTACAAATCTTTCATGATTTTTTTTGACTATTACTTTATTTTTATTTTCTATGCTCTCATCTGGATTTCTACAATAGGTATCTAAATGTCTTTCTGCCTTCAGAATAGCGTCTTTCCAACAAGCACTCTAACATTCTCAGTCCCATGGGGAGACCACGAGGTCACATTCCTTTGATCCAATTTTACCCAGTTTCTGGCAATTCCTCCAATGCACTTCATGTTCTATCCTTTCTCATCAATTGGACCTGTGAGTCTTTGCCTGAAAAGCTCCCCCCGTCTGGGCTCAATAGAGTGTCTTTTAAGTATAACCCATGGAATGTCTGCCTTGGGGCCCGTGATTGACCTAGCAGCACTTCCTCTGGGCTTCTCTAGTCCCTGTGTATTAACAATTTATTTTCTTGGCTAGTTATAGAAAAGTTTACTTGAACCATTCCTATGATACTTGAATTGGACCCTCATTGTAGTTTATGAGTGGCAAAGAAGGGTCTGAGTATTCCAGCAAAGAAGTATGTAAGGAACAAATTATGAGAAAACATTTAGGAATAGGGAAAAAGGGCTAGGTGCGCTGGCTCACGCCTGTAATCCCAGCACTTTGGGAGGTCCAGGGAGGCGGATCTTCTAAGGTCAGGAGTTCGAGACTAGCCTGGCCAACATGGTGAAACCCCTCTCTGCTAAAAATACAAAAAATTAGCTGGGCATGGTGGCGGGCGCCTGTAACTCCAGCTACTCAGGAGGCTGAGGCAGGAGAAGTGCTTGAACCTGGGAGGCGGAGGTTGCAGTGAGCCGAGATTGTACCATTCCACTCCAGCCTGGGTGACAGAGCAAGATTCCATCTCAGTAAATAAATAAATAAATAAATAAATAAATAGGAATATGGAAAAGAGGCAGATGAAGATTCATAAACCAGGAGCATACTGAAACTGTTCTGATGTATTTGCATATGCTGGAATGATGATTGTGAGCTTGTCTAGAGACTTCAATGATTACTCTCCTTATAACAAAGCAGAAAGCCTTCCTTAGAATTATCTGGGCTGACATCATTCCTTGTCCAGACCTGTTAACAGACGTCTGCAACCCAGTGCTGTGAGTCTCAGTCCCAACAATGCAGAAGGCCTGAGATCCTACAGAAATTATCCCTGAATTTCTGAAGACTTTTAAGGCACAATAATTCATGGATCCTATGAATTTCATGTTTTTTAAAATATCAGATTATGTGAGGTTTTTGAACAAATTAACTTCCAGGATGATATCCACCACCGAGACAGAAAATCAGTCTAAAGAATTATAATCTCAAAGTCCAGAATGATGAAAAAAAATGTTTTTCTTAGAGCTTCCTTCTAAGTGTCTTCCATTTTTCTTGAGATATAAGTAGTAGAGAACAATCTCTGTCTGATACATCTGGCCTAGTCATATGTAAATTTATTAATTGTAGAAGAAAGAATTATACTTCTAAAATAAAACGGCTACTTAAAGCTTTTTGTTGTTTTTGAGGCAAAGTCTCACTCCGTCACCCAAGCTGAAGAGCAGCATTGCAATTGTAGCCCATTGCAGTCTCAAACTCCTGGAATAAAGTGATTCTTCCACCTTAGCCTCCAAAGTAGCTAGGACAACAGGGGTACATCACCAGGCATGGCTAATTTTCTTTTTCTTTTTTGTAGAGATGGTGTTTTACTATGTCTCCCAGGCTGGTCTCGAACTCCTGGCATAAAGGGATTCTTTACACCTGTTGTTTACGTTAGCATACAACGTGAACTGCAATTCTGAATTTACTTTTATAGCAGGTACTAACATAGCTTATACAATACTATAGTTGAATAATCTTTCCCCATCAATTTTTGCTGTATTCTTTGTTACTAATACTTGCTTATATATCACTGAACCTATTTCTGGGTCATCTACTCTTATCTTTCTATGTATCCTTACATCAGCTCCCAGGATTTGATATTTATATAATGATATTCTATTTAATACACAGATGTTTACCCTCAAAATTCTACTTTAAAGAAATTACCTTAGTATTCTCACCAAGTATTTTTTTCCTTCCATCTTAAAATGTTGTTCAAATTGTGTTCTACTTTTTTGATTTTACACAGAATTAAGCATAAATTAATCACAAATGTTTAACATTTTCAAAATTAATGGCCTCATAATATTGTTATTCTGGATAAATAGAGTTTTGCCAGATGAAAGTGGAAATAAGGAACTCTATGTAAAGGTAATGACAATACAAAGGTAGAAAGAAATCAGACTTTGAAAATTCAATTGTTTGGCTGAATATGATACATAGATACTAAAAACAACATGAAATAAAACTAGAAAAAGCCAGGGTCACAGAGTGGAGGGCTTTCAGTGTTAAGCAGAGTATGTTGTAATTAATCAGTTGGTAGTAGGGATGCACTGACATTTCTGAGCAGCACAAATCCAACTTATTATGTCAAAAATAGGTCTTTTGAGATAGGGCAGCCCTGCATAGGATGCACTAGAATGGAGAGGCAGATGCCAGAGTTCAGAGACTGATCACAGCAAGAACTTCCCAAGTCTCTTTCAGCAACACTGATGTTAGTTAACATTTCTTTTTAATTGTATCTATTATAGGTATATGAAGAAAACATTTTTCAGATAATTTGAATGTAAATTTTGTCCTTAATAATATAAATTATTTGTACTGTTTAAATAAATAATCCCAGATTACTGAGATATTTATTTTCCCTTCCTTGCTTGTGAGGATACAACCAATGCTGAAAAGATGCTTTTTTTACTAGAGTACCAAAAATATTTGTTAACTATATGATATTCAGAAAAAGCATAAAGACAAGATGATGAGGGCACAGAATTATCAGAATTACTTTTCACTATTCTCTCTATTACAAGTTGAGCATTCGTCATTTAAAAATCCAAAACGTGTATTAAAACATCTCATGCACCCCACAAATGTATACACCTACTATGTGCCCACAAAAATAAAAAATTAAGAAATTTTTTACAAAAGGGTCAAAATCTAAAAGTTTTTGAGCAGCAACATGACATTAAAAGAAAATGTTAATTGGAGCATTAATTTAAGCAAATAATTCTAGCATATCCTAAAAGATGGGATATTTTAGGATATGTATTAGGATATGTACTAGGGATGTTAAACCAATAAGTATACTGCAAATATTCCAAAATTTGAAAAAATCAAAAATCCAAAACTTTTCCAGTCTCAAGCATTTTATATAAGTGATAATCAACCTTATAATCTGTTGAATTGTATCATATGTATAGATTACATATTCTAAAGAGACATCATGTTTTGATGTCTTGCAGATTTAATTTTGAGACACACAGTAGTATTTTATTTATGAACCCAAGTAATGCTTTTCCTTTATCAGCTTTTAGAGCATTTTGAAAGTTAATCTTTAACATAATGGTTGAAAGACGATGCTCTTTTATTTTCAAAACAATCCCACATTGAATTCAGTGGGGAATTGTATTTGATTCTTTACCTAGACATGCCAGTGAACTCCGGGGAAGGACTTTTTTTTAGTTAAGTTTTCATAAGGAGATTTACCTTCAAATCTTTCACTGGGGCTTTGCAGCTACACAATTTAAAAGGAAAAAGAGAACACATAGAAATCAGATATATTAAATGTCCATTAAACAGAAGTAAATAACTAAACCATAATTTGGCAAAAACAAGGAATGATATCTGCACATTAGTAACTGTTAAGAATTATAATAATGAGTTTCTGACAATATGGAAAAATACTGATGTTGTTATGTATAGGTGCAACTATATTATTAAAATAAATGCATAAACCACATAGAATAAAAAGTCTGCAACTAAATAGTACCAAGACATTGTCTTTAGATGAATGGTTCTATCATATTATTTTTTGGTCCATTTTGCTAAATTGAAAGGGACAGCTCTCAAAAATATTTACCTTTCTCTTACAAAAAAAGAAAATAAAAAGTAGCAAACTAGTTAAGGTAAAGAAGAAGAGAGAAGAAAGAGAAGGAGCCTGAGCTTCTAGGATGCCTCGCTTTGTACATAGGTAATCTGGATGATTCCACCAAAACGTATCTATTTGTTTGCTGGACTTCATTGAAATCTGGGAGTTTTCCAGAATTAATCCATTCAGAGATAAGACAGAAGGCAGAGACTAAAAACAAACAATCTCTGTAATATCCAAGTGATCATGCACCTGGATGCATAAGCATAGTGGAGGCAGAGGGATAAATAATCTTTTGGAGTCCTCAAGTCGCAGAAATCTCCTAATTCTTCAACACCAGTAGATAGAGCCATCCAAAAGCAGGAGAAGAAGCCAAGTAAAATCTGGAAGAAGGAATGTTAGAGAGTAGAAGTTGCAAGGGCAAGCTTTTACTGCTCACTGGACAGAGCAAACTCTTAGCTTCAGAAAGAAGGAGTGAAGGTAGACAGAGTGGCCCTTGCTCTGGGACCAACACAATAGAGCACTTCCTAATGGCCCTTCCAAAATTGCCCAATCTAACCCTGCTGGAGGAGAAGGCTGTGAGGTTTTCTGGCTCCTAGAGTTCCTCTTGGAATTCTAAATCCCAAATTCCCTGTCTGAACGAGGAGCTTCTTACCTTTTTCTTCCCAGTTTTTCCAGAGCAGATGAGCCAATATTGCTCCATGCTGAGGTCTTGAAACCATCCTTTTAAACGCCATAAAATTAATCAGGGAAGAAGAGACTGGGAGAAATAAAAATAAACCAAGCTTGCAACATTTTTAGAATAAATTATTAGGTGAGCTAGATCTCTGAACTGCTTTCTCCTAGTCATTTATTGCCTATTTCCTAGAATCAGGTAGACCCCAGTTTATAGTTCTCTGCGACTGTTCTATCCTGCATCCCAATTAAACTACAGACTCTGTGGTGCTGACAGTCCCCAGAAGCAACTGACTCGCCAAATAATGCAGTGTCCACATCCTGATAATTTCATACCCCCTTGCAGCGACCAATCAAGCAGAATTTTCCAGCCCCTCACCTTCCACAATCCCCTTAAAAATTCCAGCCCAGAACTCCTTGGAAAGATGGATTTGAGGGTCTCCTCCAATGTTCTCACTCAGAACACTGTGATCATTAAAGTTATTATCTGCTGCAAATCTCCTGTCTTAGTGTGGTTGGCATGTTACTGCACAGTAGGCTGTTACTGTACAACCTGTTGGTCCTATAACAATCTGGCAGTTCTAAACTCCAGCACAGCCTTCTGTGTTATGAGGAAGTCATATACTGTTTTTTAAAGAAAAAGGATGCAAAATATTTATTGACAGATTGTTAGCTACAGTTATACATTTTAAACATTTGGACATTTGTATGTGGGCCTCTATTTATTTCCTTGTAGTGGTTTACAAGTATGAGAAGATGTCTGCAAAAAAGTTATTACCAAAAGTTTAACAGTCAAAAGGATGAGCTGTGTGGAAAGAATACTGGTAATTAAGTGAAGCCATGTTTTGACATGCACATTTTTCTAGGCCGTTGACTCTTCCCAAGTCATCTACTTTGATTATTGCTTATTTCCTCATTTTAATATTTAGTTTACAAAATTTTGTAAATAGTATTCAAACAAAAAAGGCAAAAACGTGGGAAAATAATAAAGAGTAATTTTAAATGAAAAACTCACTTCCCAACTCTACCAAAACTGAATAATGAAATCTGGATGCCTTCCTATTCTGAAGTGTTTCTTACCTAGATACAGCTCTAGCCATGAAGAGTTTTTGGAAGAAATGCCTTTCTAAGCTTTCCACAATATGAGTGTATATATTCCAGGTAGACCCTATTAAGGTGCTGTTAATTTTTTACCACTGTGCTTTTTAAAAACGAGCTTAGATTCTAAAACGCAACTAATCTCTCCTGTGGCAAATGATTTCAAAAACATTAACAAGATTTCTTTTATCAGTTTTTAGCAGCATAGTATCCTCAGTAAAGTGCATAAATGTGTGCTTATTAATAATACACATTACCCAAAATTATTTATAACTATTCTCTAGGATGATGGGTAGAGTAGACAGAAAATAGTTGGCACAGCAGTAGGAAATAAATGTGTCCAGATAGATCCTTTTTCAACCTTGTTCCAGACTAGGCTAACAAACTCTCAAAGAGAGATCCAAAAGGATCAAATTATTTCCAAAAAACTCAACAGTGCTCACAAATAGCACTCAAAAATATTTTTAAAAATACATTTGCAGTAAAAAAATTCACTATGTCTGTAATACAGTAAAAAATTACCAACAGAGTAAAGAAGTACAAAAAAATGCCCATAAAGAGAAAAAAATAATCAATACAAATTAAAACAGGATTGACAGAGATGCTAGAATTAGCAGATCAGGACATTACAACATTTGAAATAACTATATTTTTTATATTTTTTTATATTCAAATAAAGTATGTAGAGATACGGTAGATGTAAAAAGAGAAATTTGTATAAGAGACATACAATCTACAACTTCTTAAATGAGAACAACATTGACAGGGATTACAGGCTGATTAGATTTGCATCGTATTAGATTACAAAGTGTGAAGAAAAGGAAGGGGAAAAAAGTTAAACTAGAGCTATAGCAATATTCATCATAATCTATTAGGTTGGTGCAAAAAGTAATTGCGGTTTTGCCATTACTTTTTTTTTTCTTTTTTTTCTTTTTTTTTTTTGAGACAGAGTCTCACTCTCTCGCCCAGGCTGGTGTGCAGTGGCGCGATCTCCACTCACCGCAACCTTCACCTCCTGGGTTCAAGCGATTTTTCCTGCCACAGCCTCCCAAGTAGCTGGGACTACAGGCACCCACCACCATGCCCGGCTAATTTTTGTATTTTTAGTAGAGATGGGTTTTTGCGGTATCAGCCAATCTGGTCTCGAACTCCTGACCTTAGGTAGTCCACCTGCTTCAGCCTCCCAAAGTGCTTGAATTAGAGGCGTGAGCCACCGTGCATGGCCTGCCTTTACTTTCAATGGTAAAAACCACAATTACTTATGCCCCACTCTAATAATTGCTTAAAATCAGTGACAAAAAATGAAAGAATAAAATAAAGGAAGGAAAAAGGAAGAAAGGGACCGAGGGAGGGAGGGTGGGAGGTAAAGGAAAACAGACATAATCTTCAGAAAAAAAGAAAAAAATGTCAATTAATTTTTTGTCAGGTATAGTGCAAGTGACTAGGAATGGAAAACATCCTTGAAGTAACAATAAAGAAAAATATTGTCAATCTGAGTTCTATACCCAAGGAAAATCTTTCCAAAACAATACATTTTTTCAAAGAAAAATAAAGTCCTTATTCAGACGCAAAAAAGCTGAAAAAAATCAGACTCACATTGCAATACATACACACGAACACACAAGCACACACACACACACACACACACACACTGAAGAGCACCAGAAATTGTAATTGCATAGATAAATATGTAAGATTTTTAATTCACGCAACACTTTTTAAAACTAAGCCTTAGTTTCTAAGTCTTTGATTACCATTCATAGCATCCAAACTGCCTATAAAGTTCTGTGAACCTTTATCCTCTTCCTACTAGTAAGTGTAAAGAATAAAGTTTGTTTCTATTTGTGTCTATGTGCAACACTTCTTCCATTGCACAATATCAAAGATAAATAATATTAATATCCTGTGTCACTGCAAGTAGATTATGCAGATATACAAATAAGTAAGTATAACAATATAAGTTTTCTGTCTTAATATAGAAATATCCAAGACATTTCTGATGGAGGTTATCTGGAGGAAGTCACCGAAACCCGGATCTTTTATATTGTCACTGTTTTGCTGGAAAAGGTCACTTGAATTGGTTACTATGGGATGCAATTAAATAACTAACTTTTGACAATCTAATGCATATTTACGGTAATGTACTCTTTGATTTTCCATCTTCTGAAATACTAATCAATTTAAGCATTTTCTCCAACGTTTAATGGTTCTCTTTACTTCCTCTTTAATAGAATAAATAGAATAAATAATCTGTTCATTCCTTGGACCATTTAAAATAGAATAATTTACATTTATGTTACTGAGGGGTAGGATTATTAAATGCATAGTTTTTGTATTTTATATAATAACATTATACAAAACACACATTTTGGCAATGCCTTCAAAAATATTTTCTGAAATAGAGGGGGTCTTGTGCCATGAGATTTAAAAAATATTCTTTCCTTACACTAGAGATGAATGCATCAGGTCACGTACCATTTTATAAATACAGAACCGATTGATTTGATTCCTTCTAATTGATTTGTTATAGAGACATTCCTGGAGAGAAAATGCATCTGATAATTATTCCATGATTAATTATATCTTTCAATTATCAACTATGTAGTATTGCTAATTTTAAAATGACATTGTGGACACAAATTTCCAACTCTGAACCTGACTCATATATTTTTACATTTATTCTTATGTTATCTTGCAGGTCAAACCATTTTTTGTGTTTGATTACCCATTAAAAGAATATTAGAAAAATAAGCTATCACTGTACAGAGGATATCAAGGAATCAGTACTTTAAAATTTTATTTTTAATAGACACATAATTTTACATATTTGTAGGGTAGATAGTGATGTTTTGATACATATGATGCATAGTAATCAGATCAGAGTATTTAGCACATTGTCTCAAACATTTACCATTTCTTTTTTTTTAGGGAACCTGCAATATCCTCATTCTAGCTATTTGAAAGTATATATTACTGTTAATTATAATCATCTTGCAATGCTATAGACCGTTACAACTTATACCTCCCATCTACCTATAATTTTGTATTTTTAAATTGTATTTATTTTCTCTTTTAGTATTCATTATATTTAATTATATTTAATTTTGTACCTCTCCCTATACCCTCTGCCTTCTACCGTTCCTAGCCACTAGTATCCTCTGTTTTACTTTTTAATTCCATGAGATCACTTTTTTTTAGTTAAGCAAGTGGCTGGTTATGAGTATATGCAGATGTTGTTCATATTTATAGAGAGTACAATAGATTACGCAGTGTTTTGTTGAACTATATTCTCTCCCTTGTTATATTGAAAATATTGCCACAATATACGTAATATATATATATCCTTGTGCATTTTTATGGAAATTTCCATACTAATGATATTATAGGTTTAAAATATATGTACACTTAAAAATTGATAAGTACCTCTAAATGTTCCTCTCAAATAGTTTCTTTCTAAGGATAACTAATAGTCACTAACTGGCCAACAAATATCTTTGAAATTCTGAGATGATTGCATTAATTAGAATGAGTATCTGAATTAGGATTAGGTGGGATCTTAATGATAAAAATGTGGGAGTGTCTGTTATTAATTAGCACACGGATTTATTGAGGGATGTTGCTATTCACACCTTCAGAAGTCACATCCTTGACATATTGAAAGCAAGACCCACCAATTTCTTCAAACTCCAAAGTTAATGTCGCTTTACGATAATTTTCCCCTGCATTTTCCCCCCTACATATCAAATACCTAAGCCAATTTGTCTTGGAATCTGTAGGGTTTTTGTTTGTTTCTTTGCTTGTGTTTTACTTTTTTTTTTTTTTAATTATACTTTAAGTTCTGGGATACATGTGCAGAAAGTGCAGGTTTGTTGCATAGGTATACATGTGCCTTGGTGGTTTGCTGCACCCATCAACCTGTCATCTACATTAGGTATTTCACCTAACGCTATTCCTCCCCTATCCCCCAACCCCCAGATAGGCCCTGGTGTGTGATGTTCCCCTCCCTGTGACCATGTGTTCTCGTTGTTCAACCCCCACTTATGAGTGAGAACATGCGATGTTTGTTTTCCTGTTCTTGTGTTAGTTTGCTGAGAATGATGGTTTCAAGCTTCATCCATGTCTCTGCAAAGGACATGAACTCATCCTTTTTTTTTTTTTTTTTTTTTTTTGAAGGAGTCTGACTCTGTCGCCCAGGCTAGAGTGCAGTGGTGCAATCTTGGCTCACTGAAAACCCCGCCCCCGGGTTCACGACATTCTCCTGCCTCAGCCTCCCGAGTAGCTGGGACTACAGGTGACAGCCACCATGCCCAGCTAATTTTTTATTTTTTTGTATTTTTAGTAGAGACAGGGTTTCACCGTGTTAGCCAGGATGGTTTCCATTTCCTGACCTCGTGATCCACCTGCCTCGGCCTCCCAAAGTGCTGGGATTACAGGCGTGAGCCTGGCACCCAGCCAAACTCATCCTTTTTCATGGCTGCATAGTATTCCATGGTGTATATGTGCCACATTTTCCTTATCCAGCCTATCATTGATGGACATTTTGGTTGGTTCCAAGTCTTTGCTATGGTGAACAGTGCTGCAATAAACCTAAGTGTGCATGTGTCTTTATAGTAGAATGATTTATTGTCCTTTGAGTATATACCCAGTAGTGGGATTGCTGGGTCAAATGGTATTTCTGGTTCTAGATCCTTGAGGAATTGCCACAATTGTTTCCTGACTTTTTCATGATTGCCATTCTAACTGGCATGAGATGGTATCTCATTGTGGCTTTGATTTGCATCTACTGATCAATGATTATGACCTTTTTTTCATATGTTTGATGGCTGCATAAATGTCTTCCTTTGAGAAATGTATGGAATCTGTAATTTTTGCTTTTGTTTTCATTATTTTTTAATCTGTCTGGCATGCCAGTTCACATTCTCTGCTCCCTTCATCCCTCCTTCCTTCCCTCACTATGGCCTCTATTTCTTTCCTAATACCACCAACAGGTCATTCTTCAAAGTTTCACTTTTCAGGGAGAGTCCTGTAAAATAGTCTATTTACAAACTTTTAACCTGGGATGTATGACCTTGGTTCAATATTGTCTTTTGGAAATTCACAACAAATACCACTATTCTCCAAGTACAAGTTTCTGTATCCACAGCTAATTTCAACACCTACCACTCTATCCCAGCTTGCTCTGTCCAAACCTGGTAAAGTTCTTAATTTTCTGACCCCTCTTTTCTATCCAAATGAAAACAGATTCCGAAACTTTTGTAATAGGGGACTGAGGGATCTGGAGACTGCAAGACTGAAGGACCACAGATGTGCTGGAATCACCGCTGGCGTCGGGCTTCAAGAGAAGCACAAGGCTCATGCATAGTCTCCAGAGGTTTTTATGTTTTCTGCCTGGCTTTCTTCTGAGCCTCCTGTCTCCTATGCTGCTGTGACCCTTCAATTTGGCTGTAGCCTTTACCACCACCTCTGGCTTTGGTTCCATCTTTTTTTCTAAAATTACGTTGATGCAAGAAGTTTTAAAGGATGGTTTTCACAGACTTTTTAAGAAAAGGGAAATTCGTTGAAAGCATTAAAGATTTACCTGCCTGCAGACTCTTAACAACACTTAGGAGTACACTATTTCTAGAGCCATATGAGTTAGCTTCCCAATAAGAGGGAAATATCCCAGAGGCAAGGATGGCTTCAGACAATTTAAACACAGCGTCTCTACTTATTTGCTTACGGAATCTGAAGGTTTCATTAACTCCAGATCTGACTCACAAGCTGTTTATCCTTTGCAAAGAATGGCACATAGTCAGGATGGACCAAATTTATCATGAAAGACAATGCACAATTACTGATCTTTTATTACCAAGACTCCCAATTTGAAGTTAACATTGAAGAAAACATAGCTGATAATAAAATGACTTTGATAAACCAGTGGTTTTTCTGAATCCAGCATTTATGAGAATATTGAAGATAAGAATCAGCCGCGTTTGGTGGCTCACATTTGTCATGCCAGCACTTTGGGAGGCTGAGGCGGGCATATCACTTGAGATCAGGAGTTTGGGACCAGCCTGGCCAACATGGTGAAATCCTGTGGTCTCGATTAAAAATACAAAAATTAGCCAGGGGTTGCTGTAATCCCAGCAACTCAGGAGGCTGAGAATCGCTTGAACCCGGGAGGCGGAGGTTGCAGTGAGCCCATGTCAGGCATCTGTATTTCCAGCCTGGGGGATAGAGGGAGTCACCGTCTCAAAAAAATAAAATAAAATAAATAAATAAATAATCTACGCTAGAAGCAAAAAAAAAAAAAAAAGAAGAAGAAGAAGAAGAATTTGTTCAGCTAAAAATTATTTGCATCAAAACAAACTTCTTCAAAGCTTTTCCAGTCTAAGTTTACATTTTATGATGCTACTTTGGAAAGCATGCAAGGGCCATTGAAACAAAGAACTATAATTAAGCATATATGTCAGTAAGACAGTACAGTTTACTCTTATAACTAATATATTTTGCACATTTACAAAAATCTGCAATTTTTAGTAACTGATGATCCAGACCATATTTTGTATTATTTGCTTTGCATAAAGTGTCTACAATACACAAATCCACAAAGATCTAAAGTACAAAAGGGATTGTGAGTCGAGTGGGTGGGGAAGGCGCAATGAATAGAGAGTAATGATAAAGAGTTTTGGGTTTCATTTTGGGGTATATAAAATGTCCAGGAATCAGACAGTTATGGTTTTTCACAACTCTTTATTAAAGTAAAATTTAGGAAACAAATGTATAATGTCAATGTGGTTATCCCATTTCATACCCAGATAATAATTTTGTTTCCTCAAGTTACAGTGAGCTCAAAGATGCTCACACATTGTCCTATTGTCTCACATGAGAAGGTCTCGAGATTAGAAGATTTTTCAGGCAAGAGAGCTCACTAGGAAATCATAATGAAACCTGACTTTCATGGGGAACCAAAACAAAAGAAAGGTGTCAAAAGGGAAGACAAAGAGAAAGGGAAAAGGCTGTATATGAGGGAACCTTTTGAAACATCATAAAAGCTCACAACTGTGTTGTCATAATCCAGAAACATCCCAACCCGACCCAAAGGTCTTTGCACATAGTGAGTTAAGGGAAGAAAGGTGTTGGAGAGGCTATAAAGGCTGTTTCTCTTTGAAGAAAATTGAAAAAATGCTTCCTCAAAAGCAGGAACATGATTTGTGTTTGCTGTCCTGGAATCTTTACAGACTCCTAGAATCCAGCTGGAGGACTGGGTTACATCCACTTCCCAGTAATGCCTGCCAGAGGAGAAGGCCTGAGCTCCCCATGCTGCAAAGTTCTCTGCTCTCTGGGACTCCCCGGGTGCACCATCATGGTCATCTCCAAATACCACATTTCTCACATCCTCAGAAAGGCTCATATAGTGACTCGTCTTTTCCTTACTCAGAGGATCATCCACTGCAAGAAGAACAAAAATCAGATCAAGGAGTTACGTGGGGGTCAGATGTTATCTGCCCAGGTACTGGCTTTATTTGTACCTCCTGTAAGTGACAGACAGAATACATGGAGCAAAAAGACTTTGGAGACTGTCATCTATGAAGATCAAGGGTTATTATGACTTCTACAGCACAGGAGAATCCTTAAAATCACACAGAAAAACAAATAAACAAACATATCATTAATTGTGTGAATCAATGATTTAATGTCTGGCTTTGCACGATTCGTTTCAAGAGATATGTAACATTCTTTATTTATTTAGTAGAAAATGCCACTTGCATTGTTTGTATTCAATATAATTAACAAATAGACTTCACTCTGCTATGATGCTCTTGTTTAGTGGGATATAAAATGTGCCTGTTACTTTTGTTTTGTTTTGTTTTGAGACAGAGTCTCACTCTGCTGCCCAGGCTGGAGTGCAGTGGTGCGATCTCGGCTCACTGCAGCCTCCTGGGTTCAAGCGATTCTGCTTCCTCAGCCTCCCGAGTAGCTGGGATTACAGGCATGTGCCACCATGCCCAGATCATTTTTGTATTTTTAGTATAGATGGGGTTTTGCCATGTTGGCCAGGCTGGTTTCCAGCCGTTGACCTCAGGTGATATGCCCGCCTCAGCCTTGGAGGATTACAGGCATGAGCCACTGTGCCCGGCCTCACCTCCTCCATGTTTAAACATCAGAATTTGATGGACTTCCATACATGTGCAGTTTAGAAGTTTCTGAAAATAATGATCATGTTCTGCTTTTACGTGACCTGGTCAGCCACTGCTTCATTCAGTCTAATCCCGGTTTTAGCCCTCTGTTGTCTAATGGCTGCCTTACATGTTTGGGCCATTTTCACAGAACCCTCAGCTTCCAGTTGTTGTGAAATGTATCTTACAGCAGTAAAGTTGTTCTGTTTATGGAAGTTTTAGTTATTTGGTTGGTCAACGCTTTCTAATTTTTATGATAAATATTATTTCTACAATATATGATAAATTCACAGAAATTAAAACTAAAATGGGAAACGGCTCAACCAAGGAATCCACTAAACAGAAGTTGAGGCTGTACTGCCAAGCAGCTGGCTCTTACCTCTGAATTTGTTGAGCATATCTAGCACTCCGGTGATGTGCCAGGAAGTGAGTTCTGGGTTCACTGGCTGGGGCTTTTCCATTTGCACCAAATCTGTCCTGCAAAGAACAACCTCAGTTACACTTTTAGGCCCAGGGATAATCACACAGTCATACAAATGTTTCAGATTTTCATCCAAGATATTTCTGGAGAAATCTCCCTTTTTTGTTAAATTCAGTATACATTTTATTCAACTGTATTGAGGATATAGCAATGTTACTTTTATCTAAATTTAACATGTTAAAGTCCAATTTCTCTATTCTCTCATACATGATCCTAATTTAAAATTACTGAGTGTCATTTCCTCCCTCTCCCCCTCCGGCCTCTTCAAAGTATACAGATATCCTGGGATTCTTGCTGAGAGAAGAAAACTCAGCCAAAGCCTTTGGGACCTCAGTCGGTAGTTGTCACCAGTGATGCAGTCAGGGTCTTACAGGGAATGCCCACTGACACTAAAGGTTTTGAACTTTTGTTCAAACCAAAGGAGTCTATTTTCAGCCTGTCAGCTCTGGCGCTGAGGATCCTGAGGCAGCCATTCCCCTCTTAGATTCTACCTACAACAGGGCAGTGCAGAGATGGAGCAGGGCCTGGCTATTGATATCCCTGGGAACAAATCCTCCCTCCCTTTCCTGTCCTTAGGGCATTTCCCTCTCTTTTTCACCTCTCGCCTCTGCCTCTCCAGAATAGGAGACTCCTTTGTGATAACTCAGAGTAATCTTCTTAAGATTTGCTGGGTTGAACTAGTTTACAGTCCTACCAACAGTGTAAAAGTGTTCCTGTTTCTCCACATCCTCTCCAGCACCTGTTGTTTCCTGACTTTTTAATGATTGCCATTCCAACTGGTGTGAGATGGTATCTCATTGTGGTTTTGATTTGCATTTCTCTGATGGCCAGTGATGATGAGCATTTTTTCATGTGTTTTTTGGCTGCATAAATGTCTTCTTTTGAGAAGTGTCTGTTCATGTCCTTTGCCCACTTTTTGATGGGGTTGTTTGTTTTTTTCTTGTAAATTTGTTTGAGTTCATTGTAGATTCTGGATATTAGCCCTTTGTCAGATGAGTAGGTTGCAAAAATTTTCTCCCATTTTGTAGGTTGCCTGTTCACTCTGATGGTAGTTTCTTTTGCTGTGCAGGAGCTCTTTAGTTTAATTAGATCCCATTTGTCAATTTTGGCTTTTGTTGCCGTGAAGAAGCTCTTTAGTTTAATTAGATCCCATTTGTCAATTTTGGCTTTTGTTGCCATTGCTTTTGGTGGTTTAGACATGAAGTCCTTGCCCATGCCTATGTCCTGAATGGTAATGCCTAGGTTTTCTTCTAGGGTTTTTATGGTTTTAGGTCTAACGTTTAAGTCTTTAGTCCATCTTGAATTGATTTTTGTATAAGATGTAAGGAAGGGATCCAGTTTCAGCTTTCTACATATGGCTAGCCAGTTTTCCCAGCACCATTTATTAAACAGGGAATCCTTTCGCCATTGCTTGTTTTTCTCAGGTTTGTCAAAGATCAGATAGTTGTAGACATGCGGCGTTATTTCTGAGGGCTCTGTTCTGTTCCATTGATCTATATCTCTGTTTTGGTACCAGTACCATGCTGCTTTGGTTACTGTAGCCTTGTAGTATAGTTTGAAGTCAGGTAGTGTGATGCCTCCAAAAACCAAACACCGCATATTCTCACTCATAGGTGGGAATTGAACAATGAGATCACATGGACACAGGAAGGGGAATATCACACTCTGGGGACTGTGGTGGGGTGGGGGGAGGGGGGAGGGATAGCATTGGGAGATATACCTAATGCTAGATGACGAGTTAGTGGGTGCAGTGCACCAGCATGGCACATGTATACATATGTAACTAACCTGCACAATGTGCACATGTGCCCTAAAACTTAAAGTATAATAAAAAAAAATAGAAAAAAAAAAAAAAAGATTTGCTGGGGCAGGGCTGGAGAAGATGGGGTGAGTGGGTAGAAGAAAATCCAGAATGGCACACTGTTTTTCGATACATATTCATTCAGCCAGATAAGAAGGAAACTTCTGAGACAAAGAAGCTTAAGTTCTCAGGTTCTCCTTTGAAACCAAAATGGAACATAGCCACAGATTAATGCTAAATACCTCAAAACATGTAGTTGACCCTTAAGCGACAAGGGTTTGAAATTTGGGGGTCCACTTATAAGTGGATTTTTTTCAATGAAAGTTTCACCTAGCTTGCCTGCCTCTCCTGCCTCCCACTCCATTTATTTTATTTCTGCCTCTGCCACTGCTGAGACACTGTCTTCTCTTCCTCCTCCTCTTCAGCCTACTCAATGTGAAGACAATGAAGATGAAGACCCTTATGGTGATCAACTTCTTAATGAGTAATAAATTTATTTTCTCTTCCTTACAATTTTCTCAATTATATTTTTTCTCCAGCTTACTTTATTGTTAGGATACAGCATATAATACATATAACATACAATATATGTTAATTGACTGTTTATGGTATCAACAGGCTTCCAGTCAATAAGAGGTCATTCGTAGTTTGGTTTTGGAAAAGTCAGAAGTTATACTTGGGTTTTCAACTATGTGGAATTGCATGAAGGTGGTTAGTGAACCTAATCCCCACCTTTTTCAATGGTACATTGACTTTCAAGGGTACATTGACTTTATCAATAAGGGAATGACTTTCTCAGCAATCAAAGTTCATCAGTGTAACTCACCATTCCAGTATGTTTTCCAAGTCCTGCAAAGAAAAACACAAGTACTTAATCATGAGAATTCTGTCCTACTTTCCCTAGTATTCTTTGTTGTTTTTCTGGGTTAACAAGGTAGGTTTATTGATACACCTCTAAGGCACCATCCAAGGCTGTGTTAATAACAGAACCTCAGCTGAACCATGGTGGTCTTCCTCAGTGGGCATTAGGAATGAAGGAGCTGAGAATAAGACTGTGGAGTGATGTACACAGCTATCTAGTTCTCAGTGTCACTCATCTCCCAGGCTTAATCCCAAGAAGTGAGGACGTACTAGGGAACTTAAATTGAGTTTTATTAACAAAGCTAATATTCTCCTGGCCTAGCATTTGGTTGATTTTGGATAACATTTCTTTGTGGCTAGTACTTCTGATTATACTGAAGAGGATTTTGTCCTACGTGATCTACCAAAATGGCAAAAATCTCCCAAAGATTACCAGAATATGCAAAAATAAGTCACTGGACAAACGCAATGACAGAGTCAAGGAGCATGTGTCACTTTCTAAGAGTAGTTACATTTGCAGGTAGCATATGAATGTCCTGGCAGCATTGCCCAACAAAGTCTTCCTGACTCTGGATGATGGACCCTCCCTCCTCATCTGGAGCAGCTTCACATCCGGCATGTGGCGCATCTCCCACAGCTCTCTGTACATGCCTTTCGTCTTTTTTATATGTTGGGTTATTCTTACTTCACCGTCTTGGAGTTGTCGAACAATCTCTTCTGCTTCTCTGTCCATTGTCTCCAGATGGCGTTGCTCCTCCTCCAGGAGAAATTGGCGCAACTTCTGATATTGTTATCTGATCATCCCTTTCCTGAGGGCCACATAGTCCTGCAGAGATACTCAGTTAAAAGAATTGCATCTCCTCACTCTCAACAAAACACTTAACACTTCAACTGTTATTCTCCTAGGATATGCAAGCAGTAAACTCCTAAGCTCTGTGTCTCATACTTGAAAAGGTTCTTGAAGATTTGCTAGTCTCCTCTACCCATCCTTTCTTCATGTTCCTCCTAGTCTCCCTTCCTGTATAAATCAGTACCTCAAAAGGACTCAAGATCCCTGCCTGTGATGCTTCTACAGGATTCTTACTTCATTAATTATTGTCTTTTTTACCTGGTTCTTCTTAATTTTCTCTTGTTCCTTTGCCTGATCCTTCTAAACATTTTTAAATATTTCAGTATACGCTCTACCACTGAGTTTTTAAAGAAATTACTTCAGGTTTTGTTTTCCCCACTAATTTCTCTATTTCTCTCCTCACCTTCACAGCAAAACTTTAAACTACTTGATGTGAATACAACGCTTTAAACAGTTCAATGCTATCCCATTCTCAGTGCCTTGGAAGTTTTATCTAAACCCTCAAGGTTACATCAGGAATAACTATCATGCCCTGTTTATTTCATATACATGTACATACTAGTATTTTTTGCACCAGCTCCTGTTGGCCTGTATAATGATAATTGCTGATATATCATTTGAAACCACTGTTTTGTTTTTTTCTGGGAAGAGGACACTACTATTTTTTAACTGGTAAGCAGAATTCAGCTAAGAAGTCTAAGTTAGCATTGTGCCAATCTACTTTAAAAATATAAAACCTTTTTATCCCTACCGTTAATGAATGGATTTTGCTAATTTCCTGATTTAGATTGTTTTGCATTTCTTGAGTGCTCCTCCATAAATGATCCATTTTCTTCAGAAGTTTCTCCTGCAAAATAGACATGACCTTTAGTAGCAGATACGACGTTACTGGATATGTTATTCCCTTTTTATGAGAAAAGCCTGTTGTTGAGAGAATGGTAAATTTGAGTCCCCCTGAAGTGGTCAGAGTTTTTACAAGTTAACCTAATTTGATTTTAATATTTGGAATATAAGAGGTAACAGAAACATATAATAGAGAGTTTGAGGAGACCCAACAGCTAATCAATTTTTTAAGAAATTGGATTTCATATATCCTGGCTCTGGGGAAGTCAAGCTTGCAGCAAAAACAAACCGTGTTCCTAGGACACATTTATATCTAGAGATTTATATTGAAAATTCAGAACCTCACCATCTCCATTCTCTCCACCTTTATTATCATAAGCTCTCATTTTCTCTCTCATTTAGGATCATGTGGATTCCCGGTTGCATTGGAGGTGTCACTTACCCTGCACTCCTCAGCAGCCCATCCTATTGGGCTGTGGCCATAAGCCTCATGCTCTTGTGACTCAGAGCAGGGCCCACAGAGGAGTCTCTCCTCTGCCTCACAGAAGAGCCCCTTTTCCTCTTCATGTAGCACACAGATCTGCTTCTCTGAGCTGTTGATGTTGTGAGGTCTGCGCTGCCTTGCAAGAGAAGCCAACTTCTTGAGAACAATATTGGTGTTGAAGTCAGTCTTCTGGGGGATTTTCCCACACACAGGACAGCCCTTTGGAGCTTGGCCTTCCTCCCAGCGTAGACAAAGGCAGGGCCTGCAAAAGCTATGCCCACAGTCAATGGTGACTGTGTCCGTTAAGTAGTTCCTGCAGATAAAGCAACAGAGCTCCCTCTGGAAGGTTTGCAGTGTGTCTGAATCCATGTTTCTGGAAATTTAAAACAGAAAAATTTAAGTGAGAAAATTATTTTTTGACCACATGGAGGGGGAAGGGCCTGTAGCTAGTTCTTCTTGTCTGCTTCAGCTCTGTTCAATCTACCCGTTAACTTAAGCCCAGTACAGACCTAGATGTGGTAAATACAGGCAAGCTAGGTTTATACTATAACACAAGTGGAAAAATGAGACAAGCATCATTTTAGTTTAAAACAAACAATGTTCTCAATTATAAGTTATTTGGGCAAGCTTAATATTGGGGTAGAGGGGAACAATTAGGATAACTTCACAGTTACTTCTATTAGCTGATTGTTCCAGAAACCCATATAAACCCATCTCTCTCTCTCTCTCTTTCTTTTCCTCCATGACCCCTTGAGTGGAACTTATACAGGGATACTTAGTCTCACTCTCTGGCACCCAAGTAGCAGATGTACTTTTCTAAAGACAATTAAAATTTGGTTAAGTTTAATCTAAGTGTCTTTAGTTTAATCATTGTGGGCTTCAACACTCAACTCCTGTAACTATAAACAGCTGAACTTATGCTTCTAATTTTAATCCCAAAATTCAACCTTTACATAAATACAACGAAAAATTGTTATTTCTTATTCAAGACAATGTTTTTGCTCAGAATGAGTTCAGACCATCAGAGTATCTTCATATTTTGAAATGGTGACTACGCAAGCTATGAAAGTACTCAGCAACAATTAATCAATTTTTACTTAAACCAAAAAAGAAAGTAAACACTCGAATTTTTTCTTTAAAGAATCCAGAGATGTAGTTAATGGAAGCATGACCACCAATTTATCTTTATTCCCTGTGTTTCTCCACAGTGATCAAAGTCCCTACTTCCTGGGAGTCTTTACCAGTTGATGGGATCTATTTGAACACTTTTCAAATCCAGTCTGCTCACTGAAGATTTGAAAAGGACTACAAACATAACCTTTACAACAAGGGTTTTCCAATTAATCCTACACATTTAACACTTACACTGATGACATGTAGTATACTACAAAGCTACAGTAAGCAAAGCAGCATGGTACTGGTGTCAAAATAGACAAGTAAACCAGCGGAACAGATCAGAGAACCCAGAAACTGTTACACCTCTCTACAGCCAACTGAATTTTGACAAAGGTAGCAACAGTATTTACCAGGGAAAGGACAGTCTTTTCAATCAACACTGCTGGCAAAACGGGATATTTACATGCAGGGAATAAAATTATACCCTCACCTCTCATCCTATGCCAAAATCAACTCAAAATAGATTGAAAACTTTAATGTAAAACCTGAAAGAACAAATCTACTGGAAGAAAACATAGGAGAAATGCTCCAGAACATTAATCAGAGAAAAAATTGTATGAATAAAATCACAAAAGCCTAGTCCACAAAACCAAAAATCAACAACTGGAATTATATTAAACTGCAAAGCTTCTGCACAGCAAAGGAAACAATCAATGGAGTGAAAAGACAACTGACAGAATGAGAAAAAATATTTACCAACTATTCACTGGACAGGAGATTGATACCCTGACTATACAAGGAAATCAAATAACTCAATAACAAATTAAAAAGAAAAAAAACCCCAAACAACCCAATTAAAAAATGGGCAAATGATCTGAACAGACAATTAACATATGCCAATTTACAAAATAAAATTGAAGTGGAAAAAGACTATTCCGTATATGTAACATATTGAAAATTGTAAGCTCTTTTTGGATTCCATAATTACACAAATAAGGTGGAAATATAGCTGCTAAGACATAACATGCCAAATAATGCATAAGGTAATATAATACAAAATGGGGGCTAGGCATAGCCTAGCCTCTAGGCTCTAATCCTGGCATTGAGGAGGCCAAGGTATGAGGATGGATTCAGGTCAGCAGTTCTAGACCAGCCTGCGCATCTTATTGACATCTTATCTCTACTAAAAATTCTTTTAAAAATAATGCTGGCGTGACGGCACATGCTTGTAGTCTCAGCTACTCAGGAGACTGTGGCGGCAGGATTGCTTGAGCCCAGGAGGTCCAAGGTGCAGTGAGCCATGATAGTGCCATTTCAGTCCAGCCTAGGTGACAGAGTGAGACCCTATCACACACAAAAAAAAAAACCCAGTCAAATAACTTGATATAACACAAACCAGTATATTATAAATGCTCTAATTACAGATATTTTAAATAATGATGTTACTTCAAATAACTGGGTAAGCTACTTGTTTGCTTAGACAAGATGTAAATGTCCTGGCCGGTGAGTTTAAAGTATTTTTATCAGAAAAATTAAGCATGAAGGGCTTCACTACAAATGTCATACACACCAGAATCTGCGATGTATTGTCTCAAGTCTAGAAGATTCGTGGATATCCAGGTCAGCAGCAACACTGAGCTCACCAAAGCCCAGCCTCCACGAATTCAGTCTGACTTCTCTGGAGAAGTCTTCCCTGGACAACTCTGCTTTTTAAGTGATTAGACTCACCTAAGAACACTCTCACTTCCTGGGATTGGCTACTGTCTGGAGAAAGAAGTGGAAATGGAAGATTAGGTTACACAGAAGGGTGTAACATTGGGGAAGGGTGTAACATGGGGTGATCAGATTTATAAAGTACAGACAATCATGCCTAGGGGATTATAGCCCAACAGAAGGTAGAGGATTTTGGAGTGAGATGCAAGAATCTTAACCTGACATAGGTTGTTCACAGACATTACAACTGAAACAATTATTTCATTAAGTAATGTTTTGTTTCACAAACAATGCCCTCACAATTAAAAACAATTGCTTTATTATTTTAAACTGAAATGTATCATCTATATTTCCATTAAAGATTTTTTATTTATTCTTCAACAAGCATATACTAATGACAATAAACTAGGTATTAGAAATAAATTATATTAAACCATAATAGACAATTTCAGTCCTGCTAGAACATCCAGACTAGTGAATGAGATGTATCATAATTAAAGAATCACACAAGTAAATATACAATTAGAACTATAAGCTCAATAAATGAGCAGTACATGTTTTCAGGGTCGGTAGTAGGAGGGAGGTGCTGAATGCCAGCTTATGCCAGGCTTTTATGAAGATATGAAAGCATTGAGATTTGAGGAATAGGAATACATTAACTTGGCAAAGAGAGATAGAGAGAAACTTTCTTTGCAGTGACAGCAGCAGACGCAAAAGCTTCCTGGATGGAGGAAGCCTGGTACAGTTGAGCTCCAGGCCACCGGAGCTAGAGTGACAAGAATGAGAGTGGTCTGATGGGAGATGAGGCTGCAGAGGCAGGTACGGGCATCAGAACATGGAAAAGATGAGTTTGCTATCTAGAAATATCCAAAACCTGAAATTCTTCTGGCCCTAACATTGTGAATAACAAACAGTCAACTTGTATTACATGGTTTTATAATGGATTTATTTGAAAATGTGACTGAAATCTGTGGATGAAATTTTACAAACATCAGTTTAAGCCAAATAGTATTATTTTGTATAGCAGAAGGGGATACACTGGGTTTATTTCTCCACAGCATCCAAGTAGAATGTGACAGGGGTAAGGAGGAAAGATTTCTGTATGTAGTACTCATGATCCTTTGGGCTTAGGGGAGGTAAAAACACAAGATATGCTAACCTTACATTCTGCTCTGTTCCTTGGAAATTTTATAAACAACACTTACTGTTGTTTATAAACAAGAATGGATTCCAGTGAAGGGAAATGGCTAAGTCCATGAGCACCATTAGAACTGGCAGGGTTCAGGAAAGAATGTGAAAACTCTACTCCACAGTACTCGTTTTTCTATACTGTGCTAGGAAAGATGAATGGAAAACAAATTTGGCAATGTAATGTCTGCGAACAGGATACACAGCCAGATATGGGAAGAATAAAATATAAGAATCTTGTGTCTACTGAATCTAGAGAAGAAAATGTTCTGTTAACTCTTTGCTATGAAAATGCTTCGAGGCTGGGAACCGTGGCTCACGCCTGTAATCCCAGTGCCTTGGAAGGTCGAAGCAGGAGGATTGAGTCCAGGAGTTTGAGACCAGCCAGAACAGCATAAGAAGACCATATCTCCACAAACAATTTAAAAACTAACCTGAAGTGCAGGTGTCTGCCTGTAGTCAGAGCTACTCAGGAGGCCGAGGTTGAGGATCACTTGAGCCTAGGAGGTTGAAGCTGCAGTAGCTATGATCCAGCAACTGCTCTATAGTCTGGATGACAGAGTGAGACCCTGTCTCTAAGAAAAGAAAAAAGAATAGAAAAGGAAAAACATGATTGAAATCTAAAACCTAGAGTGCTGTTTGTAATTGTTGCCTCCATTATTTTCTCAAGGAAGGAAACCTATTTGATTCTGATTTTTACAGCCTAATGATAATGTAGCTATATTCAAGAACTCAATGTTTCATTCATCAGAGGAAGAAACTTCAGAATGTAGGCTGAACCTCACCTGAACACACAAGCACAGAAGGAATCATATGTGTTTCTGTGGCTCTAAGTGAGAAAATACATTGAGAGATTTGAGGATTTATGGAGTTGACGACATGTAATTGATCCCTGAATCCATCCCATACAGGAAACAGGACCATAAAAAGATTGCTTACGACCGGGAGCGGTGGCTCACGTCTGTAATCCCAGCACTTTGGGAGGCTGAGCCGCGCGGATCACGAGGTCAGGAGATTGAGACCATCCTGGCTAACACAGTGTAATCCCGTCTCTACTAAAAGTACAAAAAAATTAGCCGGGCATGGTGGCGGGCGCCTGTAGTCCCAGCTACTCGGGAGGCTGAGGCAGGAGAATGGAGTGAACCCGGCAGGTGGAACTTGCAGTGAGCCAAGATCACGCCGCCACTGCACTCCAGCCTGGGCGACAGAGTGAGACTCGGACTCAACAACAACAACAACGAAAAGCTTACCTTTTATGTGCTCATATGTAAAGTTGGGACAATGCTACACATATTGCATGTTTTCTGTGGAGATTAGGAACAATGTGTGCATGGAGACAGCACAGTAACTGGTACATCATAGCCCATGTATCACATTGTCCCCTTCCTTTTTCTAACATATTTCTCTCCACTCAAATAGATAAGAGGTTTCAAGAGAAAATGACTGGGGTTTGTAGAAAAATAGACAATAAACGGGTAAAACAATTGAGAAGAAATGCAAAAAAAAAAAAAGCGTTAAAGAAAAGATAGCCCTGGACATTCAGGATCCAGAAAGCAAAATATAAATTTGTGGAAAATTAATAAATTTTGTTAGCATGGGAAAAAATATGCAGAATTCTCTCCATGTGCGCAAATAAAACAAACAAAATGTCAAAGTAGTTATAATACCTAGGTTTTAAATGGTATTTATCATAGAATGGCATTTTTATAAAAATTTAAAAATTTCCAGAATTAAATAAAGTCAGATTTCTACATATGTTAAGGAACGAGAAATAGATCACCAACTTTCATACAAAGATTTTCCAATGAGTTTTAGAACCCAGATGAACAAAAGAGTCTATTACCAGATTCTCAAAAATAGATGTGTAATTCAACAGAAAACTTTGTGGTAGAGGTAGGTTTCAGATGCTAGAATGGAAACAGTCTCATGTACAAAAAAGTATCTTTTTTATTAAAAGGAGAAGCACTGGGAAATAAGGAAATATTCCAAATTGGCTGGAGTGTCCTTTATCCACATCACGGATTGTTCTTGCCTATACCCACCTCTACTCTCTCTTCTGGATTGGGTAGGACTTTTGGAACCTACAAAATGCCAACTCTAAAGAGAATTACTTTCTTATATTTGTTTCATGGTCTGAGACTCAAGTAGGAAAATAGGTTGTTTCCTTGATAATGCCACAGTAGACAGAGGTAGGTCTGTAATTGAAAGCTCCTAATTTCCAGTGCTCTAGGCTTCAACTGCCTAAAGCTGAGTGTTTGAATAAGTGAATGATGTGGTGCAAAAAGTGGTTGAAATAAAATCAGAAGCTACCTACCTTCCTTTCTCTCCTTGCCTTAATTCCTTCCTGATACACAGCATCATCAGACCTTGTAATGGAGTACCAGGGCCCCGCCACGGAGCTCCAGAATTTAAGCAGAGAATGTCCACAGGATCAAGTCCATGACCCAGGGTTTCACAAGTTTCCCACTCTGGAGTCCAGGACTGAGCCAAGAGGGCCCCCACACACAACCAGCACAGATCTTACTTCTGTGTGGACACTTTGGTTAATTACTTAGATTTATTGAGGTACAGAATGTGCATACAGGGTGGTCAGTCAGTTGGTGGTCTTGGATAGTAAACTGACAATAGAACAAGAAAATCTATTGTTCAATTCCTTCTATTTAATTAAATATAAACTCTGGATGATTTTATGATGTGTCAACTTGAGTACATGTATGTACAAAGAGGGAAATGAGGGCAGTAGCCATTTTGTGGCATAGACATACCTTATTATTCTTCAATGAAACACTTACTTAAGACCTGCTGGAAAGGCATTTTGCAGATGCGAGCAAAGGTCCTAATCCTGTAACTAGGAAGTGTACCCAAGTAAGCCTGACTTCATCAGTGAAAGTCCTTTAAAGAAACACATAGGCATTCCTTGAACAACATTTTAAATGGCAAATGGGACTCTAATCTTCCAGTTGCCCCCTATTGACTTTAAACCAAAGCTTTGATTCATGACCACTGGGATCCAGCCAGCGGGGGATTTCTTTTCCTGGTGGACTGTACCCAGGATCTCACATTTGCTTAAGCAGCCCCCACAATTGGGTAAGTCAAGTCTTTGCACTTAATTCATATGTGAATCTCCCTAACTATACATATATCTTATGGGTTCTGCTTTTGTCTTTGAACCTGGACAGACCTGGGTCTGATAGATTTGTCTTCACTGTTTTGACAGTCTTGACCATAAGTCTTCTGGACCATTGGCAAAGAATTCCTCTATCAGAAGATATTTGAGTAGTCCCTTCTGAAATCTCTTTTTTAAAAAAAATAATTTTCATATAACAACAAAAAGACTTGGTATAGAAAGAAAAATATAGTCCATCTCTATCATTTGGATTCTGTATTTGTGAATTTGCCTATATGCTAAAAGTTATGTGTAATCCCCAAAATAATTCCCGTGGTGCACTCCTAGTCATTGTAGGACATCATGCACTATATGGAGAAAAACGTTAAAATAATAACTCATCTTTCACCCATGAGACTGGTGAAGTTTTGTAAATTCAATGAGAGACCCCAGGTTAGTGGGTTTATTTGGTTAATCAGTGATTTCTCTTAGAGTGGTAGAAAACAGAAAACAAAAAGGAAAGTTTTATCTTCCATTGGACTTCTCTGGAAATATCCTATAAATGTACTAAAGCAGCATTTAAGCTGGATGAGGTGGTTTATACCTGTACTCTTAGCACTTTGGAAGGCCGAGACCAGAGGACCACTTGAAGCCAGGAGCTGGAGAACAGCATGGGCTACAGAGTCATACACTGACGTTACCAAAAATTTCAACAAAAAAAATTAGCCAGGTGATATAGTGTGAGCCTAAAGTCTTAGCTACTTGGAAGGCTGAAGCAGGAGGATTACTTGGAATTCAAGGCTGCAGGGAGCTATGATTATGCTACTGCACTCCAGAAGGAGACCCTTTCTCTAGAATAAATAAATGTGCACTTAGAGGAATGCCTGTATCATGGAAGAAACTCAATAAACAGTATAAAATGCATCTTAGTTAATTTCTAGCCTATGTATGCTCTGACAGGATTTATGTTACATGTGATTCATTCAGGCACTGGTGTTCAGAATGAAAGTGTGATGATAATTTAATCAGAGCTGCAAAGGTGTGTTCTAAATACTGCATAAACCTAATCATCTTTGTCTCCACCTTTCTGAATGCTCTAAATACCCATAAAGAGGTGGGTGTGGTCTTCACAGGTTCTTATAAAAGGACACGGAAGAGACAAGCTCAGTTTTCTCTGAAGGAGAAGGACTGCACTTAGAACTGCATTTTGGCGACCTCTGAAATTCAGTACTGCAGTGAATGAGCTTCTGACCTTGAGGTGAACTTAACAAAATTATTTTTGGAAAAATCGTTGTGGGAACCATTAAAAGAACTCCAGGGTGAGTGAAACATATTGATAAAATTATATCATCTTTCCTTTACACAATAATAAATTAGAGTGTTAAAAATATCTCATTATCTTAAATCTACACAATGATACCATTTGTAACTCATGTTCTTACTATAGATTTTATGAATTATAAGGATACTAATTGTTGTTATTTTGTGCTTTCTATGATTGTTTAATATAGTTCTGAAAAACTTAAAATATCTAGTGTTTGCTGCAACAGATATGTATTCATAATGAATATATGGAGTTGATACATATATGTACACATAGGTGTGTGTGTATATGTATGTAATGAGTGTATTAATATTGTCAAATTGAATTGAGAAGACATTAATGAATGATGAAGTTATTTGCTTTCATAACATTCAGGTTTTAGACATGACTTTAAATTAGTAAGGTAATGATGAGCGATGCAAAATAGTGAAACTAAAACAATGAGAAAGCTCCCCAAAATATCCTACTTTAGAAATCAAAACACAATTTTTCGAACAAGTAAATTTATAAGACCTAATTTGGTATGTGATTGTGATTGTCATCTCACTTGAGTCTCAATCTTATTAAACTGTGAAAAATTTCTTAAAATGTCTTAGATGAGTTCTGGAAAATATTTGCAATTCTAAGATTTTTCACTGCTTTCACTTAAATTCAGAAGTGATATAAAACTAGCAGCTTTATGCTGCTTTATGCTAAAGGATTTAAAATTGCCAAAACAAAGATTATAGTTTTTATATTAGTCAGGGTTCTCCAGACAGAACCATAGGATGTATACATATATGTGTGCAGATACATTCATGGGCCATTTGAGTCAGCCACAGACCACATATGGTGGTCCCATAAGATTATAATACCAATATGTTTACTGTACCCTTTCTGTATTCAATTATGTTTAGATACACAAATAGTTATCATTGTGTTACAGTTGCCTACAGTATGCAGTACAGAACATACTGTACAGGTTTGTAGCCTATTGTAGGAACAATAGGCTATAGTGTATACCATAGGTGTAGTAGGCTATACCATCTAGATTTGTGTGGTATATTCTATCATATTAAAACAATGAAACCGCCTGGCTGGGCACTGTGGCGCGTGCCTATAATCCCAGCACTTTGCAAAGCCAAGGCAGGCAGATCACTTGAGGCCAGAAGTTCAAGTGCAGCCTGGCCAAGATGGCAAAACCCCATCTCTACTAAAAAAATACAAAAATTAGCCAGGCCTAGTGTCACGTTCCTGTAATCCCAGGTACTTGGGAACCTGATGCAGGAGAATCGCTCTGAACCTGGAGGCGGAGGTTACAGTGAGCCGAGATCACGCCACTGCATTTCAGCCTGCGTGACAGAAGGATACTCTGTCTCAAAAAAAAAAACAAAAAAAAAAACTAAAAACACCTGACATATTTCTCAGAACATACATCTGTCCACAAGCTATACATGATTCTACATGGGACAGAATTCATCAGGAAAATTAATTTGCTTGATTATGGAGTCTAGAGAGTTCCAATATAGGCTGTCTCTAAGCTGGTGTCCTGAGAATACCGGTATCCTGGCTAAGCTCAAGTCTGAAAGCTTCAGAACAAGTTTCAGGAGAGAGACGGAGGAAGTTGCCTTTTTTCTGCCTTTTTCTTTATATCTGAGGTGTCAGCTGATTGGATGGTGCCCACACACATTGAGAGATGAGGCTCCCACTCAGCTCACCAGCTCACATGTCTCTCTCCTCTAGAAACACCTTCACAGACTCACCCACAAACAATGCTTCACTAGTTCCCTAGGTGTTGGTTAATCCAGTCAGACTGATACCTAAAATTCACCATCACACTATGGAAATATAATTACACCTCTCTGAGTTTAACAAAAACCTCCTATATGTTAGTTCAGAGCTTGCACAGCCCTAGGGGAAGTTAATTTAATCCGCAAGAAAATAAAAAGACCCAATATCTTTAATAATTTTTCTTTTCCCTACTAGTGAAACTTGATTGGTTTAATTGCAGTCTTTTTCTTTGTTTATTTGGTTGGTTGGCTTTTTTTAAATTTTGTTTTGATTTGGGTCTTTGTTTTTAATTTAATTTAATTTTAAGTCCTGGGATAACTGCAGGACTTGCAGGCTTGTTATGTAGATAAACTTGTGCCATGGTGGTTTGCTGCCCGGCTTTTGTGACCCTCTATAAAAATATGTCATAGAACCATCTTCTCATATTTCTTTGGCCATCTTCTCATATTTCTTTGGCCTGGATAGTTTTTTCCCTCCCACTCTTTCACAGTCATTCATCAGTTATTGAAAGAAGAATAGGGACAACTATGATTTATTCTGACCACTTAGAATCAAAACCCAATTTCCAGATCTATGTTCAGAAAATGGGTAGTTGAATAGGTTTGTATTATGCTACAGACAGGAACTAGGAGTAGAAGGGACTGTGAGTCCTCTGGTTAGTAATATCTGTTATAAAGCCAGGAGACTCCCTCTAAGTGTAAATTTTTAAGTTTGTAACAGAAGAAATAGTTTGTTGTACTTTAATGAACACTGTCAAGAGAAGAAAATATAACTATCACATATCTCCACATGTTTAGAAGCTTTTCATCAACCCAGGCCCCAAAATGACATGTTTCTCTTTGTTCCTCAGAAACATGAATTCTGGAATCTTACAGGTCTTTCAGGGGGAACTCATCTGCCCCCTGTGCATGAACTACTTCATAGACCCGGTCACCATAGACTGTGGGCACAGCTTTTGCAGGCCTTGTTTCTACCTCAACTGGCAAGACATCCCATTTCTTGTCCAGTGCTCTGAATGCACAAAGTCAACAGAGCAGATAAACCTCAAAACCAACATTCATTTGAAGAAGATGGCTTCTCTTGCCAGAAAAGTCAGTCTCTGGCTATTCCTGAGCTCTGAGGAGCAAATGTGTGGCACTCACAGGGAGACAAAGAAGATATTCTGTGAAGTGGACAGGAGCCTGCTCTGTTTGCTGTGCTCCAGCTCTCAGGAGCACCGGTATCACAGACACCGTCCCATTGAGTGGGCTGCTGAGGAACACCGGGTAAGTGATGGCTCTGAAGATCGATTTCTGTAAAGGAAGCATAAAATTCCTGTGGGTCTATTTTCTTGGAGATTAGGTAAAGCCAACTCTGAGTCCCTTTAAGCAGCTCTGTTTGGGCTTTCTTAGCTTCCAACCTCTGGGCTTTGACAAACATGAAGGGAAACAAAGGAAATGCCATTTACTAGGGGCTTATTTGTCTCTCATTCTGGGCCCCCTCCCTATGTCATGGTCTGCACTGGTGCTTCAATTTATGGCTCTTTTGCAGGAGAAGCTTTTACAGAAAATGCAGTCTTTGTGGGAAAAAGCTTGTGAAAATCACAGAAACCTGAATGTGGAAACCACCAGAACCAGATGCTGGAAGGTTAGTCCTGTACTACTCTACCTTCTCCAGGAACTTATGGTGGGCAAATGGGTGACTCTTAAAATAGGAACTTGATATCAAACTGTAATGTTTCTGGGATACAGTAAAAAAAAAAAGGCGAGAGAAAACATTGAGAAAAAGTGGCCTCATTTTTATACAGAATAGTATGCCTGTTAGGTAGGATTTCTAAGAAAACTACTGATGTCACCCAAAGCATGCTGGTTTGTTTCATACAAACCTATAGTTATACACCAACAGATCCAAGAAACTGGGCCATCTCAAAGCATTCTATATTTGCTGGTTGGATAAATGCTAGGCAAAAGGGTTATTTGGCAGTCATGGAATGCTCAACTGAAACTTCTGAGTGTCGGTCAGCATTAATCTGAATGCTAGTGTGCAAGTAGTATTTGGAATTGCATGGAAAATTTGAGGCAGAAAAAGTGACAGGGCAAATCTAGGGAAACCATGAAATTAAGAATCTCAACTAATTAATATTGAATAATACATAACATACGATGAGAAAAGCGGTGAGAAATACGGATTTGTGTCTTGAGGGAGACATGTAAACATGCCAGAAATATGGGAACTAGTATCTAAACATAAGGAGAACTCTGAGGACTTCAGAAAAACATTAAAATAATTTTCTCTTTGTGGATGTATATTTTGAGGGTATGATAGCTAAGATTAGTTTGTTGAAAAGTATTTCATGAGAACCTAGTCTATGTTGAATATTAAATTAGAAAATATACTAGTAAAGAAGAAAGGAAGCACCTTTGTCCTCACAAATCATACAATCCAAATAAGAGAGTCAAATGGTCAATACACAAATATATGCAATACATGATGTATTTGAGTGTGGTAGGTTTTTGTTGGAGAATAATCAAGCAGGGAAGTAGAAAAGGACAATAGAGGCCAGAAACTGGAGATTAGTGTTTGAGTTTTAAATAGGGTGGTCAGAAAAAAGACTCACTGAAAAATTCAAATTGAAACAAAGTTTTCAAGAGGAGGGGGAACACAAATGTGTGTGTGGATATATATGTGGACCATGAGTGTGTATATGTATGTATGTGTGTGTGGTTGTGTGTATATATGTATGTATGTATGTATGTATGTATGTGTGTGTGTTTGTATACATATATATGTAATTCTAGTTGGAGAGAATAGCATATGCAGTAATTTTGAGTTTGTGTATATTTGGAGGCCGGAGGAACCACAAAGAAGTCTATGTTTCAGACTGGGATGACTTAGAAAAAGAATAGAAGGAAATGAATTCAGGGAGACAAAGATGGCCAAATCATAAATGCAGCCTTATTAGGATAGGTTTTGCTGAGCGAAATGCACTTAGCTGGACATGCTAGTCTAAGGTCATTTTCATATAATGAGTTTAAGCAACTTGTTGCATATCTCAGAAATAGAAAGAATTGTTTCCTTTCTAGTAACTATAGCCCTATACTCCAACTCTCAAGCATGAACTGTTCTTACTTTGCCATAAATATGGGTTGGAATAGAGAAATTCAAATTGTGTTTTTTTGTTTTCAACTATCTTAGAAAACACATTATCTTGAATAAATTTAACGTAATTGGTCAGATACAGCTATGTTGATCTTTATGCAGAAAAAAGGAAAGGAACAAAATTTGTAGATTCTAAGAACTGGCAAGACAGAAGTTTGAACTATTGGACGTTCGAGAGACAAAAGGAATCAGTGAGATTTAATAGGAGATGGATATATACATTTCTCTTTTGACTAACCCATTATCACTGCAGGATTATGTGAATTTAAGGCTAGAAGCAATTAGAGCTGAGTATCAGAAGATGCCTGCATTTCATCATGAAGAAGAAAAACATAATTTGGAGATGCTGAAAAAGAAGGGGAAAGAAATTTTTCATCGACTTCATTTAAGTAAAGCCAAAATGGCTCATAGGATGGAGATTTTAAGAGGAATGTATGAGGAGCTGAACGAAATGTGCCATAAACCAGATGTGGAGCTACTTCAGGTAAAAACTCGCCATGTGGTTTCAGGTTTTTGAATATTCACATGTATAAGTATTTTCCTCATGGCTGAAATCCATCTCCCTACTTTTATTTCCATGATGTGTTTCCAAAAACACATTCACATAACTAATGCTACTTTGTTGGGAGAGTATAGCCCCACTAAGGGATTCTACCAGGGCAAAGGTCCCTCCTACTTTATCCACCAGCCACAAAACTTTGTGGAATGGTCAAGGTAACAGCCCCAAGAAATATTCCCCATCTAATTCAATAATATACTTTGGGTTGTTAAACATGTATAGAATAGTGAGTGATTCATTTACATTTAGGTTAATTTGTAAACATGGCAAGATCAGAAGTTTTGGGAATCTAGGTTTGCATTAACATTATTTTGGGGTCCACTCATTTGGGTAACAGGTTCAGTTAAAGATGACTGAGTAGGTTTTTCATGGTTACCACAGACCATAGACCTTCTGGGCCTCTTCTCCCTTCACTTCTTTAGAGAATGTCTTCAAGACTCAGACTTTCCCAGGACGTTAATTAATAACAATACAACTGACTGGGTTTTTCATTACAGAAGAAATAGAAAATACTTTCCAGAAGAGAAGATGGTAGGGAAATAATATCTTCAGAAACTGAGTACAAATCTCACACTGAACTTAGTGAAAGATGCATCTTGTGAAATGCACTAAATCTTTCTTCTTTTTTTTTTTTTCAGGCTTTTGGAGACATATTACACAGGTGAGTGTGTACCTAGATTTTAGCATATGTTCTTTAAGATTCCACGACTATCAAAGCAGGCTCTATTAAAGTCATGGCATAAATAATTAAGATATTGATACCACTTTTTTTTGCATCTACTTTCGTTCCCACACCTTAAAAGACAAGGCCACGAAGTAAATAAATGAATAAAAGAAGAGTGAACTAAAACAAACAATTTGATTCCTGGTTTTGTTTTTTTTTGAGACGCTGTCTGGCTCTGTCGCCCAGGCTGGAGTGCAATGGCGCCATCTCGGCTCACTGCAAGCTCCGCCTCCCGGGTTCACACCATTCCCCTGCCTCAGCCTCCCGAGTACCCGGGACTACAGGCGCCCGCCACCACACCCGGCTAATTTTTTGTATTTTTAGTAGAGACTGGGTTTCACCATGTTAGCCAGGATGGTCTCTATCTCCTGACCCCGTGATCCGCCCGCCTCGGCCTCCCAAAGTGCTGGGATTACAGGCGTGAACCACCGTGCCCGGCCCCTGATTTTGTTTTATTGCTTGAAAGCCTGCACAGGAGAAAGATAAGAGTTTTGTTTTGTGAATGGTGAGAAAGTCACCAGAGGAAGCAGGAGAGAAGAGGAGGAAGTATTTTAGCAGCGAAAAAGTGTTGATGTTTTGTTTTTTATACATATATACATATCAGTTAACAGTTCTGAAAAATAGATTGAAAAAAACTGTGGAGTGTTAGAACTGTATAAGTCTCTAGGGAAGTTCTTTGCTAAAAGGGGAGAGAACAAGTTTCCATTCTTTATCTTGAGAAGGAAGCAGTGGATGCATCAGTCTCCCCAAAACCCCGCTATTTCAGACAAAGATGTCAGGGGAGTCTGCCAAGAAGTGGAACTCAGAATTTCGTTTCTAAATATTCTCAAGGCCATAAAGCTAAGGAACCTTACACATTTGGAGCAAAAAAAAAAGAAGGATCAGATTGGATTCTGGCTTAGATTCTTCCATCATGCTTTAAAATTTAGAAACTGTAAAGAATTAATTTGCAAAAGGAAGGATTAATTTTTGAATTATCAAATGTGTAGATTCAAAGGATTCTCATGAAATGTCTTTTATATACAAATAGTGATTTTTATTTATTTTATGGCTGTAGATGTTGTAACTGCAGGTTTTTCCTTGCAGGAGTGAGTCCGTGCTGCTGCACATGCCCCAGCCTCTGAATCCAGAGCTCAGTGCAGGGCCCATCACTGGACTGAGGGACAGGCTCAACCAATTCCGAGGTAAGTCTCCACCCACAGGCAGCACTCCCACTATCTAAATATTATTATTGTTAGGATCACATAGGTAATATTTCATATTTTATCAAATATTTTACTTCTTTTAAGACATAAGTGAACAATATAACCATGCAACCCTTTGGTATCCGTGTCTGTATTTACAGTCAGATTTATAGCATTAAGTTTGAAAGATAGTGAAAAAGAAATACTTTCTGGCATAATATGTACTGAGTTATATAACGGGAAAAAGGAGTAGTGTAGAAAATTTTAAAAAGGAGCAAATGAAATAATGCTCAGAATGGTGAATTATTTAATGTTAAATACAAAATTGTGCATTTCTTTAGTGTATTCATTTGAACTGCTAAGAACTGTTCTTTAGGGGAATATAGTTTTCTGGAGATTCTTGGGGGTTTTGTATTTTTTTAATGTGTATATATTATTCATATATTGCAAACATTTGAATTAATAGGTAAAGCTAAAAGGAAGAAATCATTTTGTGGATATAAGTAAAATTACAAATGAAAATAAGTTCAGTTTAATTGCAATATGAAGAGCTACATGTTAAGTCTAAAATCCAGCTTCAGCCCAGAGCTAGCATGGAGGACCTCAGAGAGACTGGTCAAAGATTTTGCAGAGATCTGCTTTAAATTATCACTTATAACATGTACATATGGATTTTTATCCAGATATCTAGAGCAGTTCTTAAGTGAAAATCTTCACATTCACATTCTTTCCAAAATGATAGCACTAGTTTTTAAGAATAAGAAACATTTCTAAATAATGATCTTGATAACAGCATTGCATTTAGGGCATATAATGTGTAAATTTTACTTTGAAAATTGGATTGAAAGAAGTTGGTCTCACATTTGGCTCTCAATATGTAAGTTTTCAAAAAAAAAACATAATATCTGTGGTTAGGGTTTTGTTTGTCTTGTATATAATATTAACCATCTCTATACTTTACTAGAAGTTACAAGCAAAACTTTTTATGACTTTACATTTGCTGGTAAAGTAACTTCTTGATAGAACAATTATTTTTTTCTTATTTACACATGTCTATGCATGTTTTCTTTTTTTTTTTTTTTTTGCAGTGCATATTACTCTGCATCATGAAGAAGCCAACAGTGATATCTTTCTGTATGAAATTTTGAGAAGCATGTGTATTGGATGTGACCATCAAGATGTACCCTATTTCACTGCAACACCTAGAAGTTTTCTTGCATGGGGTGTTCAGACTTTCACCTCGGGCAAATATTACTGGGAGGTCCATGTAGGGGACTCCTGGAATTGGGCTTTTGGTGTCTGTAATATGTATCGGAAGGAGAAGAATCAGAATGAGAAGATAGATGGAAAGGAGGGACTCTTTCTTCTTGGGTGTATTAAGAATGACATTCAATGCAGTCTCTTTACCACCTCCCCACTTATGCTGCAATATATCCCAAAACCTACCAGCCGAGTAGGATTATTCCTGGATTGTGAGGCTAAGACTGTGAGCTTTGTTGATGTTAATCAAAGCTCCCTAATATACACCATCCCTAATTGCTCTTTCTCACCTCCTCTCAGGCCTATCTTTTGCTGTATTCACTTCTGACCAGAGACAAATCAGAAATGTGTTCACATGCTGTGGGAACCCCTTTATCCCAGGAAGTCCTCTTCCTTGTGCCTTAACATACAGGACAAATAGGCTCTATTTTATGTCTTGAATTGCCTTCTAATGTTATCAAAACTCATTTATTGTGTTACTATTAAATATGCTGAAAACGCTAAAAGTATACGTATTGGTTCTTTATTAAATAATTTTTGAAAAATCATTATTCATGATCATGGCATACAGTATATTCTCTTTTTTTTCTTTATTTATGACTGTCACTGAGTGAAATAATAGATGACAGACATGTCTGAATGAAGTAAAAATCAATGGAAGACAGTCGGGATCTTTTGCTTCATGCAAAAAACTTGGAGTGAAGTCTCAATGATAACTGGGAAATGTTTTTCTTCCTCTTTATCTAACTATATTACACTTATCCATCAGGTTTCATTGTATTAATCTATCCTTTGAGGTAATACTATTTGACCTTCTATGCTGGGCTTTATTTTGCAATTCTCACCACAGATATAAATAATCCTTCATTATTAGTGTGCTCGTCTACATTGAAATACACAATGTGATCAGAACAATGCTGGATTAATTGAAATTTTTTTTAAAAAGTAACTAAATATTGACTCCTACCTCAAACCATACACAGTCATTTCCAGATAGATTGAAGTCCTGAAAGGAAGGGGAACCTGATACAATATTCTCATAAGGATTTCTTAACCAGGGCACAAATTAATAATTAAAACAATTAGTTCATTTATATTGATAATGATGACTTCTGTGTTTCAAAAAACATTATGCAAACCAGTAGTGGAGAAAGATATTCACCCCAACATACATAAAGTAAAATATAATACATGTATATGATGAATACTTAAATTGTAATAAATAAAAGACAGTGAACTCAACAGAAGATTGGCTAAAATATCTGAACAGACACTTTACAGAATTGGATACATAAATAACTAGCCAAATATAAAAAAGTGCTCACTTTCATTAGTCTTACAAAAGTAAGAATTAATCCACCAGTTGTACCACAGGCCCTCATAAAAAAATACCAAAATTTAAAGACACAATATTGTGTGTTGTCAAAGATACAGAATAAATGAAATTTATTCATGGCTGGAGAGATGTAAATGGAAATCCCTTTTGGGAAACTGACTATTAGCATTTCTTATGGGCTAGATATTCTAATTCTAAAATATAGTCAACTGATTGCCTACATATACTTCAACATACACAATATTGTTCACTGCATCAATTTTTATAGTAGCTCCAAATTAGACCCAAAATATTCTTCAACTGTAGAATAGCTAAATAAATTTGGTGTATTTATGCAAAATAATCCTATAAAACAATAAATAACTCACTGAATGCAACAAAGCTGATGAATCTCAGAAACAAGTTAATAAACATATGCCAATTTAAACGATAAAATTGAAGTTAAGAAAAGACTTTTCCATGTATATAATATATTGGTAATTGTAAGCTCTTTATGGGTTCCATAATTACATGAACGCTGTGGAATTATAACTTTTAAGACCCAAAATGTCAAATAATGCATAAGGTAGTAGAATAAAATAGGAGCCCAGGCATGGTGGCACACACCTCCAATCCCACCACTTGGGGAGACCAAGGAGTGAGAATGGCTTGTGGCCAGGAGTTCCAGACCAGTGGAGGCAACACAGTGAGACCTCATGTCTACTAAACATTCCTTTAGAAATCAGCCTGGCATGATGGCACATGCTATAGTCCCAGCTACTCAGGGGGCTGATGCAGCACGATGGCTCGTGCCCAGAAGGTCCAGGCTGCAGTGAGCCATGGTGGTGCCCTGCAGTCCAGCCTGTGACAGAATGACAGTCTGTCTCATAATAAAACAAACTATAATTACTTGATATAACACAAACCAATATATTATAAATACGCTAATTATAGGTATTTTAAATATTGATTTATTTAAAATAACTGAGAAAGCTGGGATAGCTACATGTTTGCTTAGACCAGACAAAAGTGCCTTGGGAAGTAAGTTTAAAGTATTTTTATTAGAGTAAGTGAGGATGAAGTGCTTTATTACCAATGTGATACACACCAGAATCTGCTATGAATAGTCTCATGTCTAGAGGATTTGTGGATATCTAGGTAAGCAGTAATTATTGGGTGCCTGAAGCCTAGCAGATGCATATTCAGTGTGTCTTCTCTGGAGATGTCTTCTCTGGAAAGTTTGATTTTTTTTTATTATACTTTAAGTTCTAGGGTACATGTGCACAAAGTGCAGGTTTGTTACATATGTATACATGTGCCATGTTGGTGTGCTGCACCCATTAACTCCTCATTTACATTAGGTATATCTCCCAATGCTATCCCTCCCCCTCCCCCCACCCCATAACAGGCCCCTATGTGTGATGTTCCCCTTCCTGTGTCCAAGTGATCTCACTGTTCAATTCCCACCTATGAGTGAGAATATGCACTGTTCGTTTTTTCGTCCTTGTGATAGTTTGCTGAGAATGATGGTTTCCAGCTTCATCCATGTCCCTACAAAGGACACGAGCTCATCCTTTTTTATAGCTGCATAGTATTCCATGTTGTATATGTGCCACATTTTCTTAATCCAGTCTCTTATTTTTGGACATTTCGGTTGGTTCCAAGTCTTTGCTATTGTGAATAGTGCCACAATAAACATACGTGTGCATGTGTTTTTATAGCAGCATGATTCATAATCCTTTGGGTATATACCCAGTAATGAGATGGCTGGATCAAATGGTATTTCTAGTTCTAGATCTTTGAGGAATCGCCACACTGTCTTCTACAATGGTTGAACTAGTTTACAGTCCCACCAACGTGTAAAAGTGTTCCTACTTCTCCACATCCTCTCCAGCACCTGTTGTTTCCTGACTTTTTAATGATCGCCAATCTAACTGGTGTGAGATGGTATCTCATTGTGGTTTTGATTTGCATTTCTCTGATGGCCAGTGTTGAAGAACATTTTTTCATGTGTCTGTTGGCTGCATAAATGTCATCTTTTGAGAAGTGTCTTTTCATCTCCTTCACCCACTTTTTGATGGGGTTGTTTGTTTTTTCTTGTAAATTTGTTCGAGTTCTTTGTAGATTCTGGATATTAGCCCTTTGTCAGATGAGTAGATTGCAAAAATTTTCTCCCGTTCTGTAGGTTGCCTGTTCACTCTGATGATAGTTGCTTTTGCTGTGCAGGAGCTCTTTAGTTTAATTAGATCCCATTGGTCAATTTTGGTTTTTATTGCCATTGCTTTTGGTGTTTTAGACATGAAGTTCTTGCCCATGCCTATGTCCTCAATGGTATTGCCTAGGTTTAATTCTAGGGTTTTTATGGTTTTAGGTCTAACATTTAAGTCTTTGATCCATCTTGAATTAATTTTTGTATAAGATGTAAGGAAGGGATCCAGTTTCAGCTTTCTACATATGGCTAGCCAGTTTTCCCAGCACCATTTATTAAATAGGGAATCCTTTCCCCATTGCTTGTTTTTGTCAGATTTGTCAAAGATCAGATGGTTGTAGATATGTGGCATTATTTCTGAGGGCTCTGTTCTATTCCATTGGTCTATGTCTCTGTTTCGGTACCAGTCCGATGCTGTTTTGGTTACTGTAGCCTTGTAGTATAGTTTGAAGTCAAGTAGTGTGATGCCTCCAGCTTTGTTCTTTTGGCTTAGGATTGACTTGGCTGTGAGGGCTCTTTTTTGGTTCCACATGAACTTTAAAGTAGTTTTTTCCAATTCTGTGAAGAAAGTCATTGGTAGCTTGATGGGGATGGCATTGAATCTATAAATTACCTTGGGCAGTATAGCCATTTTCATGATATTGATTCTTCCTATCCCTGAGCATGGTGTGTTCTTCCATTTGTTTGTATCCTCTTTTATTTCATTGAGCAGTGGTTTGTAGTTCTCCTTGAAGAGGTCCTTCACGTCTCTTTAAGTTGGATTCCTAGGTATTTTATTCTCTTTGAAGCAATTGTGAATGGAAGTTCACTCATGATTTGGCTCTCTGTTTCTCTGTTACTGGTGTATAAGAATGCTTGTGATTTTTGCACATTGATTTTGTACCCTGTGACTTTGCTGAAGTTGCTTATCAGCTTAAGGAGATTTTGGGCTGAGACGATGGGGTTTTCTAAACATACAATCGTGTCATCTGCAAACAGGGACAATTTGACTTCCTCTTTTCCTAATTGAATACCCTTTATTTCTTTCTCTTGCCTGATTGCCCTGGCCAGAACTTCCAATACTGTGTTGGATAGGAGAGGTGAGACAGAGTATCCCTGTCTTGCACCACTTTTCTAAGGGCATGCTTCCAGTTTTTGCCCACTCAGTATGATATTTATTGGCTGTGGGATTGTCATAAATAGCTCTTATTATTTTGAGATACGTCCCATCAATACCCAATTTATTGAGAGGTTTTAGCATGAAGGGCTGTTGAATTTTGTCAAAGGCCTTTTCTGCATCTATTGAGATAATCACGTGGTTTTTGTCTTTGGTTCTGTTTATATGCTGGATTACATTTATTGATTTGCGTATGTTGAACCAGCCTTGGATCCCAGGGATGAAGCCCACTTGCTCTTGGTGGATAAGCTTTTTGATGTGCTGCTGGATTCTGTTTGTCATATTTTATTGAGAACTTTTGCATCGATGTTCATCAGGGATATTGGTCTAAAATTCTCTTTTTTTGTTGTGTCTCTGCCTAGCTTTGGTATCAGGATGATGCTGGCCTCATAAAATGAGTTAGGGAGGATTCCCTCTTTTTCTATTGATTGGAATAGTTTCAGAAGGAATGGTACCAGCTCCTCCTTGTACCTCTAGTAGAAGTCAGCTGTGAATCCATCTGGACCCGGACTTTATTTGGTTTGTAGGCTCATAATTATTGCCTTAATTTCAGAGCCTGTTATTGATCTATTCAGGGATTCAACTTCTTCCTGGTTTAGTCTTGGGAGAGTGTATGTGTCCATTTCTTCTAGATTTTCTAGTTTATTTGCGTAGAGGTGTTTATAGTATTCACTGATGGTAGTTTGTATTTCTGTGGGATCGGTGGTGATATCCCCTTTATCATTTTTTATTGCATCTATTTGATTCTTCTCTCTTTTCTTCTTTATTAGTCTTGCTAGCAGTCTATCAATTTTGTTGATCTTTTCAAAAAACCAGCTCCTGGATTCACTGATTTTTTGAAGGTTTCATTGTGTCTCTATCTCCTTCAGTTCTGCTCTGATCGTAGTTATTTCTTGCCTTCTGCTAGCTTTTGAATGTGTTTGCTCTTGCTTCTCTAGTTCTTTTAGTTGTGATGTTAGGGTGTCAATTTTGGATCTTTCCTGCTTTCTCTTGTGGGCATTTAGTGCTATAAATTTCCCTCTACACACTGCTTTAAATGTGTCCCAGAGATTGCAGTGTGTTGTGTCTTTGTTCTCGTTGGTTTCAAAGAACATCTTTATTTCTGCCTTCATTTCGTTATGTACCCGGTAGTCATTCAGGAGCAGGTTGTTCAGTTTCCATGTAGTTGAGCGGTTTTGAGTGAGTTTCTTAATCCTGAGTTCTAGTTTGATTGCACTGTGGTCTGAGAGACAGTTTGTTATAATTTCTGTTCTTTTACATTTGCTGAGGAGTGCTTTACTTCCAACTATGTGGTCAATTTTGGAATAAGTGCGATGTGGTGCTGAGAAGAATGTATATTCTGTTGATTTGGGGTGGAGAGTTCTGTAGATGTCTATTAGGTCTGCTTGGTGCAGAGCTGAGTTCAATTCCTGGATATCCTTGTTAATTTTCTGTCTCATTGATCAGTCTAATGTTAACAGTGGGTTGTTAAAGTCTCCCATTATTACTGTGTGGGAGTCTAAGTCTCTTTGTAGGTCACTCAGGACTTGCTTTATGAATCTGAGTGCTCCTGTATTGGGTGCATATATATTTAAGATAGTTAGCTCCTCTTGTTGAATTGATCCCTTTAGCATTATGTAATGGCCTTCTTTGTCTCTTTTGATCTTTGTTGGTTTAAAGTCTGTTTTATCAGAGACTAGGATTGCAACCCCTGCCTTTTTTTGTTTTCCATTTGCTTGATAGATCTTCCTCCATCCTTTTATTTTGAGCCTATGTGTGTCTCTGCACGTGAGATGGGTTTCCTGAATACAGCACACTGATGGGTCTTGACTCTTTATCCAATTTGCCAGTCTGTGTCTTTTAATTGGAGCATTTAGCCCATTTACATTTAAGGTTAATATTGTTATGTGTGAATTTGATCCTGTCATTATGATGTTAGCTGGTTATTTTGCTCATTAGTTGATGCAGTTTCTTCCTAGCATCGATGGTCTTTACAATTTGGCATGTTTTTGCAGTGGCTGGTACTGGTTCTTCCTTTCCATGTTTAGTGCTTCCTTTAGGAGCTCTTGTAGGGCAGGCCTGGTGGTGACAAAATCTCTCAGCATTTGCTTGTCTATACAGGAGTTTATTTCTCCTTCACTTATGAAGCTTAGTTTGGCTGGATATGATATTCTGGGTTGAAAATTCTTCTCTGTAAGAATGTTGAATATTGGCCCCCACTCACTTCTGGCTTGTAGAGTTTCTGCCGAGAGCTCTGCTGTTAGTCTGATGGGCTTCCCTTTGTGGGTAACCTGACCTTTCTGTCTGGTTGCCTGTAACATTTTTTCCTTCATTTCAACTTTGGTGAATCTGACAATTATGTGTTTGGGAGTTGCTCTTCTTGAGGAGTATCTTTGTGGTATTCTCTATATTTCCTGAATTTGAATGTTGGCCTGCCTTGCTAGGTTGGGGATGTTCTCCTGGATAATATCCTGCAGAGTGTTTTCCAACTCGTTTCCATACTCCCCATCACTTTCATCACCAATCAGACACAGATTTGGTCTTTTCACATTGTCCCATATTTCTTGGAGGCTTTGTTCACTTCTTTTTACTCTTTTCTCTCTAAACTTCTCTTCTCACTTCATTTCATTCATTTGTTCTTCAATCACTGATACCCTTTCTTCCAGTTGATCGAATCAGCTACTGAAGATTGTGCATTCATCACGTAGTTCTCCTGCCATGGTTTTCACCTCCATCAGGTCATTTAAGGACTTCTCTACCTTGGTTATTCTAGTTAGCCATTCATCTAATCTTTTTTCAAGGTTTTTAGCTTCTTTGCAATGGATTCGAACTTCCTCCTTTAGCTTGGAGAAGTTTGATTGTCTGAAGACTTCTTCTCTCAACTTGTCAAAATCATTCTCCATCCAGCTTTGTTCCATTGCTGGTGAGGATCTGCATTCCTTTGGAGGGGGAGAGGTGCTCTGATTTTTAGAATTTTCAGTTTTTCTGCTCTGTTTTTTCCCCATCTTTGTGGTTTTATCTACCTTTGGGCTTTGATGCTGGTGACGTACAGATGGGGTTTTGGTGTGGATGTCCTTTCTGTTTGTTAGTTTTCCTTCTAACAGTCAGGACCCTCAGCTGCAGGTCTGGTGGAGTTTGCTGGAGGTCCACTCCAGACGCTGTTTGCCTGGGTATCAGCAGCAGAGGCTGCAGAACAGTGAATATTGCTGAACAGCAAATGTTGCTGCCTGATCGCTCCTCTAGAAGCTTCGTCTCAGAGGGGTAAGTGGCCGTGTGAGGTGTCAGTCTGCCCCTACTGGGGGTGCCTCCTGGTTAGGCTACTCAGGGACCAACTTGAGGAGGCAGTCTGTCCGTTCTCAGATCTCAAACTCTGTGCTGGGAGAACCACTACTCTCTTCAAAGCTGTCAGACAGGGACATTTAAGTCTGCAGCGGTTTCTGCTGCCTTTTGTTCAGCTATGCCCTGCCCCCACAGGTGGAGTCTACAGAGGCAGGCAGGCCTCCTTGAGCTGCAGTGGGCTCCACCCAGTTTAAGCTTCCAGGCCACTTTGTTTACATACTCAAGCCTCAGAAATGGCAGGCGCCCCTCCCCCAGCCTCACTGCTGCCTTGCAGTTTGATCTCAGACTGCTGTGCTAGCAATGAGTGAGGCTCTGTTGGCGTGGGACCCTCTGAACCAGACGCAGGATATAATCTCCTGGTGTGCCGTTTGCTAAGACCATTGGAAAAATGCAGTATTAGGGTGGGAGTGACCCAATTTTCCAGGTGCCATCTTTCACAGCTTCCCTTGGCTAGGAAAGGGAATTCCCTGACCCCTCGAACTTCCTGGGTGAGGCGATGCCTCATCCTCCTTCAGCTCATGCTAGGTGGGCTGCACCCACTGTCCTGCACCCACTGTCTGACAAGCCCCAGTGAGATGAATCCAGTACCTCTGTTGGAAATGTAGTAATCACCCATCTTCTGCATCGCTCACGCTGGGAGCTGTAGACTGGAGCTGTTCCTATTCGGCCACCTTGGAACCCAAGTTTGATTTTTAAATGATTTTTAACTTCCCATGGCGGAAACAGGAAGGAATGCCTGGCAATCCAACAAGGGTCAGATGCCACATCAACCTGAGCAGAAGCTGCCTAACCCTGGCTATTCCAACGACAATTAGACGTTCTTGGGAAGGTGGAGCCCTTTGTGGGAGCTCCACAAAGTGGCCACTTAAAGGTGACCGAGGCCTCTCAAAATCCCTGTGTTAGAGCTGCAGCTCTCCATGTGGGCTGCAGTGCAGTCACCAATGGAGCTTTAGGACAGGCCCAGAGCTCATCTCCCTGGACCAGTGCCTTGAGAATTTTCGCAGCAGGGATAGCCAGCTTGGAGAAGTGTGCCTGGGAGACCATGTGGCACTGCCTGGCTGGGTCCTCAGCTGACAGAGGTGAGGGTAGGGCTCATGGTGACTTGGTAACGCTGTGAATTAGGTACGTGTAGCAGGAAGGTGCCACAATGCCAAGGCCCCATGTTTTGGAAATTCCATGAGGTCCACATGAGGTTGAACTAAACACCAAGTGCAGTCCTCAAAGGAAAAATAAAATAAATACCCACATAAGGGACTCTTTGGAACTGAGTCTGGAAGAGAGGGCTGCCTGGTCCACTCCAGGAGAATTTGCCTAAAACAAGTTTGCTTCCCACTGCATTCTCTTTGCTTGTTGTAAACATCACCTCCTCCCCATTCCTTTATTTTGCATCATTCTGGGCTCCTTACTCTTGTTGCATCCTTTATTACATTTTAAGGATGCCTGGATTCGATTTACTTGAGTGCATATATGGCTTAATTTTGTATTTCTGTTAATCATTTATTATATTTCCCCCATTTTATCGAATGACACGTTTGTCTCATATCTTTTTTTAATATGTTAAAGATTTTGTATCCAGTTTATCTAAAACTCCTTGCTTAAAGTGAGTTTAATTCTAGCAATACCTACATGCTTATCTTTGCATTGTTTTATAATTTGACGATAAAAGTTTTTCCCCAATATACGACTGTATGGATAACACTTTTTAAAAAGATACAATAAAATCTGATCTCTCTGTCTCACTTGATCATGTGGCTGAACGAGTCAATCCCTCCAACAAATAGAAATATCCAGCATCACTTAATCTAATTAATAAAAACATCCAGTGTGCACGTGCACCCATGATGAGAAGAAAAGACAAAGCAAACAGCCCAAAAGGAGAGAATCCCATGATTTCTGTGTAAACTCCTACAGATATCATAAATATTTATTGCTAGGAACAGTATTTTAAATAAAAGGTCTTCAGGCAATTGTATTAAAACTGCCTTGGATACAAGAGGTCCTATAACTTGTAAAAATTGGCAAATTGGATAACGATTAAAAATACAAAATTACACAGAAAATACCCTTTAATAAATTGATTTTTTTAAATTGAGACAGAGTTTGGCTCTCGTTGCCCAGGCCGGAGTGCAATGGTGCGATCTTGGCTGCCTGCCACCTCTGCCTCCAGGGTTCAAGCGATTCTCCGGCCTCAGCCTCCCGAGTAGTTGTGCCACCATGCTCGGCTGATTTTGTATTTTTAGTAGAGACGGGGTTTCTCCATGTTGGTCACGCTAGTCTCAGACTCCCAACCTCAGGAGATCCGCCTGCCTTGGCCTCCCAAAGTGCTGGGATTACAGGCATGAGCCACCGCGCCCGGCCTAATAAATTGATCTTTAAAAACATCTTAACGGAGGTTCTCTAAAGGGAGCCTTTTAGGCAACATGCCCGCTAGGTGTACTGATTGCTAGGGTGGCTGGTGTCAGGCGAATCGATGTGGCTCCCCCAGCCCCTTCCTGGGAGCATCCTAGAGAGATAGCGCGGAAATACACGCGGCCCGGTGGTCCCGGGAGCAGCCACGGTGCCCAGCCCCGCGGCCTTGCCCTGCCCTCAAACCCCGTGTCAAGCACCCGCGGACTCTCACGTCCTCTTCTTCCAGGGCAGCGGGCGCTTCTCCTGCACCTTGGCCTGGCGCTTCTTCTCGGCCTCCTCCGCCTCGGGTTTCTCCTCCTTGGCCACCTTGTTATGCCACTTGGGTATCTGCAGGTGGCCGCTGTCCTTGGTGCTGCCCTTCCGCGCTGCCCTCTTGGGCTGGAAGGTGGGCGCGGGTGCCTTGCTGAGGCGGACCCGGGGCACCACCATGCCTGGCCACAAGCTGCTCCGCCGCAGGCGCTGCAGGGGCAGGAGGCTGGCCTTCCGCAGGGAGGGGTCGGCAGAGCCCCAGGACCCCGGCAGCGGGGCAGGTGGGAGGCCGGCTCTTGGGGATTCCTCACGGGAGCCCGCCGCCTCTAGGCCAGGCCGCTTGTGCTGCTCTGCGCCCTCCGTTTCGCCCGCCACCTGCGCCTGCCGCCCCCACCGACCCCACGCCGCGCCGCCAGAATTTCCTGAGTCGCCAGGATTTCCTGCACCGCCAGCCGCCTCTTCCCCACGCACAGGGTCCTCTCGGGGCACACGGTCTGGCACGCGAAGGCCACGGCGGGGCTGTTAGAGGCTCGTGGTCATCCTGACTATGTGGTCCAGGGCGCCCCGGTCCTCTGGGCCACGCACGGCGCCCGGCGTCAGCGCGGACAGCTCGCAGTTCCTGACCCTCTGCAGGCAGGCAGTTTTTGGAGCCCTCGGGCTTCTGCGCCCTCTCGTGGAGCGGAGGCAGCTCAAGCTGGTACTTTTCCCCCAACCGCTCCCGGCAGGGGCGCTCCAGGAGCCTCTGCATGAGGCGGACGTGTAAGTGGCCACTCCTCTGGCGACATCCCACGGCAGGGACCCTCGTGTGGACACCCGCCCCTACTAGCTCAGGGCTCCGATGTGATCGGTTCGACCCTGCATGGCGGCTTTCAACCCAAACGCATCCCTCCTTCAAGGTCAAGACCCAGGACATAGTTCAACAAGTAGTTGGTGATGATAGCGTGCCCTGACTGGGCCAGAACAGCCTCTTTAGTAAAATAACGCAGGGAAGTCATGAAACAGATGCTCAGCTCCTTTCTTCATTTTCACTTTAATTCCGTGATGCCTCTGTGTCCGTCTGACGACATCTCTCCTGGGGTCTGGGACTCTGCTGGTCTTCAATGCCTACTGAGAAGGGTTCCTGGCCATTATCAGGCATGAAAACCTCAAAGCCCTCCGTCCTCAACGTGGGATCCCTGGGCCAGCGGCATCAGCCTCACCAGGAAACCTGTTCTTCTGCTCATTCTTGGGCCCCACCCCAGGCCTATTCAAAGAAAGACTCCAGGGGCAGGGCCTGGCAGCCTGTTTCCACCAGATCTGTGTTAAAGCTCAAATGAACCAGCCCAGTTGATGCTGACGCAGGAAGGGCAAGGCTGAGAGCCAGTGTCTAAGGCAACAGTGCCCATGGGGCCAGGGGCAGTTCCTGCCTGTGCAGCTATGATTAGGGCTGCGTTCCCCTCCCTGTCCTGCCAGTTGACATCAATGTGGGGGTACTCAGCTAAGGCCACCACGGTATATCCACAAAGTCGTGGTATCAGGCGACATTAAGGCCAGTCCAGCCATTGTGGTCAGTCTCCCGCGCCTTCTTAAAGCTCACCCCACACCGCACCAGCGTCCGCCTCTGCCCCGCGCCTCCAGGACGCCCTCCTCCGGTACGCTCTCCACGCCCTCGACGCCGTGCTCCTCCTCGTCCTGGAAAGGGTACAAAGAGTCGTCAGAGGCGACGCTGCGAGTGTCGGGCAGACTGGAGAAGTCCTGGAACTCTTTGAATTCAGTGCGGTCCTCCTCGACCTGTGCGCCTAGGAGTGGGGATGGCGGTGGCGGGATCATGCAGCGCGCCCCGCCACCCTGCGGCCGAGTCCCAGCCAGCAGCACCATGCCGGAGGCGTGGGCGGGGGATCGCGGCACCGTCCGGGAAAGCCTAGTGCCCGCCAAGGTCCCTGCTTCTCACTACTGAGACCCCAGAGAAGCCCTAGCTCCCGCCCCAAGCCCGGCGGAAACCTCCCTTCTTTTACATTATTAAGTTTGTTTTTACTTTAATTTTCTTAGGACATTGATAAAATCACTTTCGGATTATTGGGATTAAAAATTAAATAATTTTCAACTTTACTCTTTTTTAAAATTCTCACAATTTATTTTAATGCTTTTATTCTTTTGTAAATTTTAATTATTGTAATTTATATCTTCAATTATTATGGAAGCATTTTAGAAAAGTCTTTTCACATAATAAAGTCTAATTAATGAACTATTATTTATTCTCTCCTCTATCTCAAATACGGACTTTAAACTTTTAGAACACTTTATGTTTTGAGACTCTTGTTACTTATGTGACATTTTAACTATTATTCTTCACTCTTCTAGTGAATTTTTAATGTCATTCAAAGGGTACATCTTTCTATAGTGAGAATTAAACATAGTTCTCAAAAATATTCTCAGATATTTAGAATTTCATCTTCCACTGGCATGTTAAGTATGTTCTCCTTCCCTTCTAATGCATATTTTTCCCCCAAGTCCTGGTGTTATACTCCTTTTTCGCCCTCCATTCAAGAGGTGATTTTATTTATTTATTTACTTATTTATTCACTGAGGCAGAGTCTCACTCAGTCTGTCACCGAGGCTAGAGTGCAGTGGCATGATCTCCATTCATTGCTATCTTTGCCTCCTTGGTTCAAGTGATTATCCTGCCTCAGCCTCCATAAAAAATCTGTAACCAGGCTATTGATAAATAACTTCTTTTAGGGATAAAAACCTCAGAAAGTTCAAGATTTCTGGATTAATGATTGACAATGTTCTTAGTGGTCTCTCTGATTTATTTCAATTGTAAGTAATTCTTGGTGATATTCTAACATAAATTCTGACAGATGAAGATAATAAATGAATTAAGTATCTCTAGGAGAATCAATACAATAAGATTATCTTGGTTAAATGGTTGAGAAAACATGGTAAATAGACACAAAAACTTTTTCATCTTCCAAAATCAGAGTCAAATACTAAATGATCATAAAGTAGCTAATACTGTCTTTCTGCAAAGTGAATCTGAGCTAAATTAAAAGAATGTCAGGAATAAATTTTTCCTTGAAAACTAGGAACAAATAATGTAATTAAATTATGAGGCATTGACTGCTGCATAGAGTTCTAGCATCAACAGAAAAGCTCACAAACCATAGGAGAAAATCAAAAAAAGGAGTGCTGGGTTGGAGCCCTAAGGTGAATAATTTTATCATCTCAGATCGCTTGGAAAAAAGCAGCAAGTCCAAAAGAAGCTGGTGATAAGCTTTCTCTCTGCTAACCCCTAATGTTCTGCATGAAATGTGTGAAGGCAGAAGAGAGACAGTTTATTATAGTCTACATGGTATAGAGTGAAGGAATAAGAGAACATTTCTGATAAGTGTTTTCAAAATTTGGAGAATCATTCCTATCTAAATCATTCATTTAAGGGACTAAAATACAAGTATGATGTTTCTTGCCATCTAACCCTCAGCTAGCCAGGCTCTAAAAAGGACAACACTGGACACCTCGACAGTGGTAAAAAGCAGGGTTTACTCACTCTTGAATACTAAGAAATGGTGCTAACCTTAGGCAGCAGCTTATCTATTTGGTTGAGGTTCAGCTTTGTTTCATTGAACAAATCTCTTGGGTTATTTTCAGTTGTGCCAGTCATTTAATTTGTTTTCTGAATCAAATGATAAGAATAAATATGGTTTTGAGTGTAAACAGCATTCCCAGATATATCTTACAACTTGGTGTGCCATCTGCCTAATTTTGAACCTATAGGATGGGAATAAATGCATTGTGAAAAACACCAGGTGATTTCCTTAAAGCCAAATACTCTTGTCCCTCCTACTTTTCTTCCGGCTTTCCTGCTGCATGGGACATGGCAATAAATGGGAGTTTCCTGCACACAGAGGTAAAATTCACTGGTTGAAGATGTCAGTTTTCTTCTTGACCAACTCCTATATTGGTACAAACATGTGAGAGAAATGCATCTTCTGAATCATTTCAAATTTGTGGTCTTTGTTAGAGCAGGTAAGCCGGTGCCCTAGGAGATGTAGCTATTACATTCTATTATAGAATTTTCCATTCTCTGTCATCTGGATTCTTTTTTTTTTTTTTTTTTTTGAGACGGAGTCCCGCTCTTTAGCCCAGGCCGGATTGCAGTGGCACAATCTTGGCTCACTGCAAGCTCCGCCTCCCAGGTTCACGCCATTCTCCTGCCTCAGCCTCCCGAGTAGCTGGGACTACAGGCGCCCGCCACCGCGCCCGGCTAATTTTTTTTGTATTTTTAGTAGAGACGGGGTTTCACCGTGTTAGCCAAGATGGTCTCGATCTCCTGACCTTGTGATCCGCCCGCCTCGGCCTCCCAAAGTGCTGGGATTACAGGCGTGAGCCACCGCGCCCAGCCCATCTGGATTCTTATTTAAAGTGTAAACTAATTTTGTTCTTTCTACTGCATAGGAAGGTTTATACCACTTTATGCTTAGCAAGTAATTAAATTTATATGTCAGTTTAAGGCCAGTCTCCACTATTCTAAGTCCTGCTCCTCTACCCCATCATCTTATATAGGAACCTTCATCTTTCAAAGGTTTATATTAAAAAACCTAAGACAATTGAAATCAACCCTATAAAAATTATGCTACAATTATTTTAAACCCTAACATAATAGTATTATCTTTGATATCAATCTGAAAATCAATTTATGTCTTATCTTTTGATAGATATTCATTAGTATGTTCTATCCTATTTTGTTACGTACATTTTGGAAAAGTTTCTCAATGTTAGAATAATATTTATACATACTAACTCCTCTACTTAATCCATTTATTCATCTTATTTATTGTATAATCTATTCTAAAAATCGCATTCGATAATGGTAATATATTAGCAAAGAAGACAAATACTGCCATTGCCCCCTTGGACTTTTCAATCTGGTAGTAATAAGTATAAGAGTTTTCTGAATGTTATAATCTGATATAATATACTTGAGAAGATGTAATAGCAGAGCAACCCAGCACTGAAAAACTTTTGTATGAGCTGAAATGAGATTAATAACTAGGATGTTGAGAAATAATAAAGTCTGTGAGGTCAACTTAACTTGGTCAGACTTAGAAAGAAAATAAGCACACTTCTTTATTCTTTGTAAGATGAGATATCCACCAGTTCATTTTTCTACCCCAGCCTGGTTCAAATATACAAGTAAGACAAATGGTTTACAGTGTGCACAAACTGAAAACATACTCTCTGAAAAATAAATCAGATTAAAAAAAGAACTTATGTTGTATGATTTTATTTACCCGAATGCAAAAACATAAAAAGTAGATTAAGTGTTCTGAAGGAATGGGGGAGGGTGAATGCAGAATAAATGTTAAGGGGTATTGGGATTCTTCTGGAAGTGATAAAAGTGCCCAGGCAGAAGAGAGCTCTGATGGCTGCTCAAGTGTGATATACTAACAATCTCTGAATTAAATACATTAGAACATGACTTTCACAGTAAGTGAATGAATCTCAAAAAACTTGTACAAAAAAAGCCATTATTGATGTTCTAGTAAAGATTCCACAATAATTTATTAATTAAAATAACTTAATTAATGAATGTATACATTCAAGGTGGTTATCCCATTTATAACCATAAAGTAATCACATTCCATGAAGTTACAGTGCGCTCACAGGCTCTCACACATAGTGTCTTAGGACAGTATTTGCCTTATATATGGGAGGTCACAATAAATCATCATGAAACCAACTTTTCATGTACAACCAAAGCAAAAGAAAGGCCTCAGAGGGGACGAGAAGGAGGAAGGAGGAAAACCATAGATAAGAGAACCTTTAGAAACATCAAAAAAACTCACAGATCCATTATCATAATCCAGAAACACCCCAACCCGACCCAGAGGCCTTTGCACATACTGAATTAAAGGTGGAGAGTTGGTGGAGAGACTATAGTGATTGCTCCTCTTTGAGGAAATTAAAAAAAATCTTTCATCAGAATCAATAATGATATTGGTATCTGCTGTTCTGGAATCTCGACAGACTCCCAGAATCCAGTTGGAGGAGAGGGTCACATCCACCTCCCAGTAATGCTTGCCAGAGGTGAATGCTTGTGCTCCCCACACAGCAAAGCTGTCCACTCCCTGGGGATCCGTGGGAGCACTGAGATGGTCATCTCCAAATATCACATATCTCACATCCTCAGAAAGGCTTATATAGCAAGGAGTCATTTCCGTACTCAGAGCATTATCCACTGACAAGGAAAAAAATATTATATTAGTGAGTGTTATGAGGGACAGAGGCTCTGTGGCCCAATTATTCACTTCATTTGCTCTTCTTCCAAGAAAATACAGAAAAAAGGAAGCCAAGAGAGTTCAGCCCCATGCATCCATGAAGATGAAATGTTATTACACCTCTACAGCATATACAATTATGTATTATTCTTTTAATAATAGAGAAAAAATGTGACCATATCACTGGGCAAAGTAATGATTTAATGTCTATCTCTGCACAGTTTGTTTCAGAACATATCTAAAATGTATTTTTTTCTTCAATAGAAAAATCTTCTTGTATTATTTGTCTTTAAGATCATCAACAGGTAGACATCAATTTGCTGTGATGTGAGTATTTATTGGAATGTAAGTTATGCCTGCTATAGTCTCAAACATCAAAAATTTGGTAGAAATTAACACATGTAAAGTTTATAAGTTTCTGAAAAGAATATTCTGGCTTTACATTATCTGTTTAGCCCCTGATTCAATCTACTCTGGGTTCCTGCTCTCTGCTACCTAGATCTGCTCTCTAGAATGGGCCTAGCATGGTTAGGTCATGTTCACAGATCCCTCACCTTCTGCTTGTTACGAGATGTTTCTGATGGCATTAGAATTGTCTGGATTATGGATATTTTAGTCATTTTCTTTGTTGATCAAAATGTTCTGATTTTGTAAATAATAAAAATTACTTATAGAATGCATGTAAATGCACATAGAATAGAAATAATTAAAAACCATTATGCCAAATCTAAGCCTTCAAAATTGAATTAAATTGAATAAACACGAAATACCGATGCCGCCATGAGAACTAGTGTCTTCATAACTACATGACCTGAATATTCTTTGTCCTCTTATTCTGCAGATAAAGTATGTATCTTGCTTTACATTTTCGTCAAACTGTAAGTCAGGAAATTGAGTTTTGATCATTGTAATATTACTATGCAGGTAGGGAAGATGCACATGTTTCGGAAAACTATGTATTACCTACATGTCAAAACTAACAAAACTTAAATGGGAAAAGCCTCAACCAAGGGAACCAATAAGGAAATAATTTGAGGCTGGAATGCCAAGCAGCTGGCTCTTACCTCTGAAGTTGTTGAGCATGTCTAGGACTCCAGTTATGCACCATGAAGTGAGCTCTGGGTTCACTGGCTGGGGCTTTTGCATCTGTGCCAAATCAGTCCTGCAAAAAAAATGGCCTCAGTTATATTTCCAGGCCCAGAGCTAATCACACAGTCATACAAAGATATCACATTTTCATATAAGATGTTTCCTCAGAATTCTGCCAGTTTTGGTTAACTGGGTATACACTTTATTCCACACTCTAGGGGCAATAAGGATGTTACTTTTTCTAAATTTTACTTGCATAAAAACCCAGTTTCCCCAGATATGTTATTCTCAGACATTATACAACTTCTAAAGTCATTAAAAGTCATTGCCTCCCTCTGCCCATCACACCCCTTGAGGGTATGCAGAAATCCTGGAAATATTTCAGAGAGCAGAAAACTCAGACAAAAACCTTTGGGACCTCAGCCTGCAGTTGTCACTAATGCTAGTCAGTGTCTAACAGAGAATGTTCACTGAGGCAAAAGTCTTTAATCTTTTGTGCAAAACAAAGGAGTCTAATTCCAGCCTGAGAACCTTGCTGCTGAGGGGCCCGAGGTAACCATTTTCCTGAGGTCTTTCCTAGAACTGGGTGTATGGTGATGGAGGAGGCCCGGGTCATTGATGCTTTTAGGAGCAAAACATCCCTCCTCAGCCCTTCCTTAGGGAATCTCTCTCCTCCCTCTGTCTTTTTTTTTTTTTAACCTCCCACCCCTCTAGAGTAGAAGACACCTCTATGATTCCTCAGAGTAATTTTGTATTAAGATCTGTGGGGTATGGTTGGTCAGGATGGATGGATTGGGAAACCAAACTTCCGAATGGCAAATTGTTTCTATGTATATTTTAATTCATACAAATTGTAAGATGGAAACTTTCCAGACCAAAGAGAAGAAGACCTCAGGCCCTCTTTTGAAACAAAATCGGAAATAGGCACTGAGAATGATGTCAGTACCTCAAAATGTATACATCCCCTTCATTCACAAGAGAACAAATTTTTCAGAAATAACATTTTTTTTTAGTGTAAACTCACCTTGCCGATACATTTCCCACATGCTGCAAAAAAATATATATATAATGTTAATTATGAGAGATTTTTCCTTCTGCATCTTTTCTCATACTCTTGTTTCTTTCTGTTTTAGTGTTTTAATAATGTATATCTTTTTATTTCCCTCTAAGGAATCATTCAAGGCTATGTTAATAACAGAACCTCAACTAAACAATGAAAAGCTTCATCAGTGGGCATTAAGAAGAAAGGAGCTCAGCAAGAGAAGATGGAGTAAAGCAAAGATATCTAGGTTTCCAGTGTCATTAATTTCCTAACCTTATTTCCAAGGAAAGCTCTGACCACACATGACAACTATTAAAACAGAGAACCATATGAGAAACAGAGTACATGGACATTGATGAGCAGCTTTGACAAACCTTGCCCAGGCAAGGGGAAACCCCTCAATGTCTTCAGCAAATCACTGCTGTGTGGGACATTAGAGAGTGAGGAGGAACTAGGGCATATACATGGATATTACTAACCTTCCCCTGGCCTAGAGTTCTAATGATCTTAGATGATCTCTCTTGTGGATAGTACTCCAAATTATATTGAAGAGAACTGTGTTATATGTTATCTACTAAATTGGCAAAAATTTCCCAAAGATTACTAAAGTATGCAGTAATAAATGACTGGAAAAATGTAATGGTGGAAGTCAGACAGCATGTGTCACTTAGCTTAGAGCAGTGACATACGCAGGTGATATTTGCATGTCCTGGCAGCGTTGTTCAGCAAAGGCTTCCTGTCTCTGAGGATGGACCCTCCCTCCTCACCTGGAGCAGCTCCACGTCAGGCATGTGGCATGTCTCCCACAGCTCTCTGTACATGTCTTTCATCCTTTCTAAATGTTGGGTCATTCTCACTTGACTGTCTTGTAGTTGTTGGAAAAGCTCTTTTGCTTCTCTTTCCAGTGCCTGCAGATGCAGTTGCTCCTCCTCATTGAGAAATAGATGCATCTTTTGATACTGAATAGTGATTATCCTCTTCCTTAATGACACATAGTCCTGCAGAGATGTTTGGTTAAAAGGATTACATATTCTCACTCTCAATAGAAAACTTCAAATAATTATATGCAGCGTGTAATTAAGCAATTTATAAACTTTCTGCCTCACTCTTGCAAAGAGTCTTGAATATTTGCTATCTTTTTCTGTCCATCTTTTTCAATGTTCCTATTCTCTCTCCCTTTTTAAATCAAACCTATATAAAGACTCCTGGTTTCCGTCACTGTGACGCTTCTTCACAGTTCTTACTGGGTCAATTGTTTCCTCTATTAATCTCTCTTTTAGGATTTTTCCATGTCTGCTTCGCCTACATGTTAAAAAACATTTAGCCATACACCATATTATGCAGTTTTTTTTTACTTTTACTATATTTTTACTCTATATACTATTCTATTTCTTTCATCTTCCTCACACCCAAACTTAGTGAAATGTTGTCTCATCTGCAGTGTCTGAAAAGGTTTATGCCAACCTTCAAATTTGAACTAGAATACACATCATGCCGTTTATCCAATACACTAGAATTAATTTGGCTAGCTTGTGTGGGCTTCTCTGTTTGCAATTCCTGTTATATCAATTGAAATCACTACATTTTCTTGGGATGAAATCACTATCTTTTAACTGGTAGTTTGAATTTAGCTAAAAAGTATAAGCCAACTTTGTGTTTATTTGCGTAAAAACAAAGGAAACATTTTCATTCTTACCACTAATGAACAAAATTTGCTAGTTTCCTGATTTAGATTGTTTCGTGTCTCTTGATTGATTTTCCATAAATAGTCCATTTCCTTTATAAGTTTCTCCTGCAAAAGAAGCAAGAAGCTTAGCAATGATGAAGACAGTAGATTTCATCCCCTTATCAATAAAAAAAAAGGCTGTAATTGAAAGAAACATAAATTAAGTTAGAGTGAAGCGGTCAGATTTTTCCAAGTTAAACGAATATGATTCTAATAATTTGGATGTGAAAAATGATAGAAACATAATAGAGAGTTTTAAGGGACCCTTCAGATAATATCATCAATTTTCTGAGAAACTGGCTTTTATATAACCTGACTTTGAAAAGTGTTCTTGGTGCTGGCCACCAGCTCCACAGCTCCATTCTATATGTTTGAACAATGTTTTTAAGGAAACCTCCTTTAGCGAAGTCTCAACACAGCTGTGATTAGAGTGCCAAATTAGCCAGCAACATTGAAAGGACACATTCATGTGTTATGATTGACATGGAATAATCACCACCTCCATCATCTGCATTCTCATCACCATCATTGTCACAGGCCCTCATCATTCTTATTTGGGATTCTGTATAATTCAAACTGCCTTAGAGGCATCACGTACCCTGCATTCCTCAGCAGCCCATCCTATTGGGCTGTGGCTGTGAGCCATGTGCTCTGGTGACTCAGAGCAGGGCCCACAGAGCAATCTCTTGTCAGCCTCACAGAAGAGCTCCTTAGTCTCCGCATGGAGCACACAGATATTGTCTGAGCTGTTGATGTTCTGAGGTCTGGTCTGTCTGGCTAGGGAAGACAGCTTTTTGAGTACCACATTGGTGTTGAAGTTGGGCTTCTCTGAGATTTTTCTGCATGAAGGGCAGCGCATTGGTGCTCTGCCTTCTTCTGAGCAGAGGCAGAGGCAGGGCCTGCAAAAGCTGTGCCCACAGTCAATGGTGACCGGTCTATGAAGTAGTTCACGCAAATGCAGCAAATGAGCTCATTCTGGAAGACTCGCAGGGCATCAGAATCCATGTTTCTGAAAATTAAAAAAAAAAAAGTGAGAATTTCTTTCTCTTATTTTTATTTACCCCGATGAAAAGGAAAAAAAGGCCGGTGGACAATTTTCTTTGTCTACTTGAGCTCTGTCCAACATGTCGAATAAGTTAGCTCCAGTACAAACTGAGACATAGTAAATGCAAACATGCTGGATTTATAAAGTTTTCGCTCAATAGCCATTGAAGATTTGGTTCAGGACTCCCTGACATACCAAGATCCTAAGATGTTCAAGTCTCTTATTAGTAAGCGGTGTGGGATTTGCATGTAACGTAAACCTATCCTCCTGAATACTTTATCTCTAGATTACTTTGAATGCCTAATACAATGTAAATGTTGTATAAATACTTGTAATGCCACACTGTTTAGGAACAGCAAGAAGATTAAAAATATGTACAAGTTTGGCAGAGTGCGTTCACTCATGCCTGTAATTCCAGCACTTCGGGAGGCCGAGGCAGGCGGATCATGAGGTCAGGAGATCAAGATCATCCTGGCTAATACGGTGAAATCTCGTTTCTACTAAAAATACAAAAAATCAGCAGGGCGTGGTGGCACGTGCCTGTAGTCCCAGCTATTTGGGAGGCTGAGGCAGGATAATCACTTGAGCCCAGGAGGTGGAGGTTGCACTGAGCTGAGATCGTGCCACTGCACTCCAGCATGGGTAATAGAGTGAGACTCTGTCTCAAAAAAAAGTACATGTTCAGTATACCTGCTTTTTTCTTCCTGTAAATATTTTTTTATCTGAGATTAGTTGAATCCACGGGTATGAAACATGGATATGAACAACCATGATTCAAATGATAAAATGAGACGAGAGTCCTCATGGCATTTTTGTTAAACAAGCCGTGCTCTCAGTCATTCCCAGTTACCTAGACAAGCTTAAAGCCTGGGCGGAGGGTAAAAGCTGGGATGATTTCTGAGTCACTTATATAAGCTAATTGATGAAGAAGCACATTCTGAATGTCATCCTGTCTCTGTCATTCTATCTCTCTCAATAATTCCATGATGATAATATATGAAAGACACTTAGTATCTATGGTATTATTCTATACTCCCTGCCTCCAAACTCACCTATGAAGTTTGCTCAGACAATTATAAATAAAGTAGCTTTTATCTAAGATTGAGTAATCAGAGTGGACCGTCAACTCCTAAAATTATCAACCATTAAATTTGTCCTTTTAACTTTAATATCAAAACTCTTCCTTTCAATACATTAAATGTAATTAATATCTATTATTTTTAATTTAGGAAAGTTTTTTCCCATTGTCAATTCAGATGATTAGAGAGAACACTTTCACATTCTGAAATAGCCAATATTTCAACTATAATAATTAACAAGAATTAATCAACCGTTAATTATCTTCTAAAATAACAACAAAAAAAGTGAAGATATGTATTAGGTTTTCCACTCTACACTAGAAAATCCAGAAATACAGTTAATGGAAGCATGGCCACCAATTCACCTTTCCCCTTAGTGACTTGGAAGTTGTAGCCTCTGGGAAGCCCTTGCCAGTTGGTTAGGTCTATTGATCTATTTTCTTTCTTTCTATCTTTTTTTTTTTTTTGGTTGTTGTTGTTGTTGAGATGCAGTCTTGCTCTGACTTCAGGCTGGAGTGCAGTGGCACGATTTCAGCTTACTGCAACCTCAGCCTCCCAGGTTCGAGCAACTCTCCTGCCGAGGCCTCCCAAGTAGCTGGTATTACAGGCACCCACCACCACGCCAGGATGATTTTTTTGTATTTTTAGTAGAGACCGGGTTTCACCATGTTGGCCAGGCTGGTGTCTAACTCTAGACCTCAAGCGATCTGCCTGCCTTGGCCTCTCAAAGTGCTAGGCTGCAAACATGAGCCATCATGCCCAGCCGATTAAATCTATTTTCAACAGCTTTCACATCTAGTCTGCAAACTGCAAATTTTGAAGAGACAGCAAATAAGACCTTTGCAACAAGAATTTTCAAAGTAATTCAACATTTTTAACATTTCCTTTGGCGTACGTTACAACCATTACTACATGCCCACATTCTGGTGAACATTTTAGGTATTTTATGGGTTCTATCATTGCATGAAACTATGGAAATATATCTTTTCACACTTAAGAAAAATCTAACAATACAGAAAACAGTCACATCAAAGGAATCAAATAGCAAGGGAACACAAACCATACCTTACAAATTGAAGATACTTTATATTGATTTTCTGTAAAATCACTAAGACAGTTACTTGTTTGCTTAGAAAAGACCCAAGCATGCTGCCAGGTAAATTTAAAGTATTTTGAAGAGAAAAAGTGAGCATGATGGGTTTACTGCAAATTTTATACTCACAAGGCTACTATGAATGGTCTCAGTCTAGAAGCTCTGTAGATATCCAGATTAGAAGTCACTCCTGGCTCTTCAAAGCCCAGCAGTCACAAATCCAGTGGGTCCTCACTGAAGGAGGGAGAAATCTCTGGACAAGCATCCTTTTAAAGTGTATGGGCCCACGGAAGACCACACCCACTTCCTGAGATGGATTGGATTGCATAGAAAGGGATAAATTGGCTGATTAGGTTTATAAGGTATTGAAAACCAGACTTGAGGGCTCAAAGCTCAACAGACAAGTTTGGAATGAGACGCAAGAAAGTTGACTTAACACAGTTTATTCAAAGCAATATTTTAAGTAGCTGGGCAAGGTGGCTCATGCCTGTAATCCCAGCACTGTGGGAGGCCCACGAGGGTGGATCACGAGGTCAGGAGTTCAAGACCAGCCTGGCCAAGACAGTGAAACTCCATCTGTACTAAAAATACAAAAAATTAACCGAGTTCGGCGGCAGGCACTTGTAATCCTAGCTACTTGGGAGGCTGAGGCATGAGAATCACTTGAACCTGGGAGGCAGAGGTTACACTGAGCCGAGATAGCACCACTGCACTCCAGCCTGGGTGACAGAGCGAGACTCTGTCTCAAAAGAAAAAAAAAAAAGAAATATTTTAAATACAACAATTATTTCATTAAATATTATCACTTGCTAACTCTTTTTTTTCTTTTGAGACGGTATCTTGCTCTGTCGCCCAGGCTGGAGTGCCAGGGCTTGGTCTTAGCTCACTGCAACCTCTGCATCTCCAGTTCAAGTGATTCTCCTGCCCCAGCCTCCCAAGTAGCTGGGATTACAGGCACCTGCCACTAAGCCCAGCTAAGTTTGTATTTTTACTAGAGACAGGGTTTCACCATGTTGCTTAAGCTGGTCTCGAACTCCTCACTTCAGGTGATCTGCCCACCTCGGCCTCCCAAAGTGCTGGGATTACAAGCGTGAGCCACTGCACCGGGCCACATGCTAACTTTAAAATTTTGTTTCTCACTCTGTTTTAAAATTATAGTTGCTTATGTGCCTAGCCGTTATTTGTCTGAATATGTTCAAAGATAAAACATTAACTGGGATTACCAACACATCCGTGCTGTGTAACTCTGTTGTTTAAAAAAGTATAGCAAGGAACTCAATTGTGTTTCACATAATTGTATATATAATGGTTGATAGAATTAGTTGTATCAGCCTGATTTTCTTATAGTCTATTTTATGGCTATTTTATGTCTTATAGTCTATTTTATGACTATTTCCTAATGATTGTTTTGTATGAAACTAAAATCTATTTTTTATTCATCCACCTTTTTGAATAATTTTAAAAGTGATACTTTACATATATATGTACATAACTATAACAATGTTATGTATTCATATTTTAAAAATTATATAATAATTATTTACACAATAATAATAATTATTATTACTTTTTTTTCGAGACGCAGTCTCCCTCTGTCACCCAGGCTGGAGTGCAATGGCATGATCTCAGCTCACTGCAACCTCTGCCTCCGAGGTTCAAGTGATTCTCCTGCCTCAGCCTCCCGAGTAGCTGGGATTACAGGTGTCTGTCACCGTGACTGGCTAATTTTGGTATTTTTAGTAGAGGTAAGGTTTCACTGAGTTGGCCAGGCTGGACTCGAACTCCTGACCTCAGGTGATCTGCTATTATCATTTTAGACTTCAAGTCTTTTTCAAACCAGTTTTTCTGTTCCAAATTGGAGACTTTTTCTTAAGAAATAATTCAAGAAATGAAAATACTATGACAAAATATAGAACTTTGTGACAGTTCTTGGACACTTTAGCAATATATAGCTATTACTTTCAAAAAGATTAATAGAATTCACAATATTATCAGAAATCCATGGAGAGCGTATGCTTCAGTGTACCAGATAGAGCAATGGGCACAACCAAGGTGTCAATTGTTATGCTACTGTGAGCAGCAGAACAATAGCAAAAGGGTTCCATCTAATCATTTCAACATGGAAGCAAACTTCTTATTAGGATTTCTTGCTAATATCAAAATATTCAGCTAAAAAAATTTTATTTCCTGGGAAATGATATAAAATATCAATAAGCATGGTAAAATACACTATCACTATGGAATGCCATAATTAGTGCATGAGATAAACACAGGGTTTCACAGAAAGATAAAGTCTTTGAATGTTCACAAAGAGATTCTCAGATTATTTGAATAATATTTAATAAACCTAGAGTTGACCCTTGAACACCATGGTGGTTGGGGTGTCAAGATCCCATGTAGTCAGAAATCAGCATATAATGTTTGTCTTCCTCAAAACTTAGCTATCAATAGCCTACTGTTGACTAGAAGCCTTAATGATAATATTCACAGTTGATTAACGCATATTTTATATGTTATGTGTATACTGTATTTTTACAATAAAGTTAGCTAAAGGAAAGAAGATATTAAGAAAATAAAAAGAAAATATATTTAATATTCATTAATGGAAAACTAAATATAATTAGTGGAAGTGGATCATTATAAGGGTTTTCAGCCTCATCATTTTCATGTTGAGTAATCAGAGAAGGAGGAGAAAGAGGAGGGGTTGGTCTTGCTGTCCCAGGGGTGTCAGAAGCAGAAGAAACTCCAATTATAAGTGACTCACAGAGTTCCAACCAGTGTTATTCAAGGGTCAACAGTAAATATAGGTCAAAAGCTTTAAAACTATATTCTCCGATTTTCTAAATAAAATTAAACTACATTACATAAAAAAATTTAATAGGAAATTTCTTGGAATTTCAGGCAGGTAAATTGGGGCGGGGGTGCTGGAAACTATATACTAGATAAACCATTGTACTATTGGATTTCCACATAATTCACATATGTGATTAACACTTCCATAATGAGAGAGGCAGTGCTTAGAGATGTAGCAGAAAAGGTAGCATAGGGTAGTTCAAGATGGGACCTACATGCATGGCTGAAGAATCTGTATGGATCATTTACTGATTCAAACATAAAATGAATACTATGAAGAGAAGAGATGAAATGAAATTACATATACATTCTGAAAGAAGTAAAGATTTCCTGATGGAAAAGTAAAACAAATAATATTAAAGACACTCCTAAGCACTAAGAAAGAAATTGGCTCTGTGTGAAAGAAAGAGATATCATGAGCTTAATTATTGATAAGTCATTCTGATTCTTTAAAGGTGATATCCTTAAGGATAGTACTTACAATACTTTTTTCTTCAAAATATCAAGTGCCTACTGTGTCTTAATAAACATTCTAAGCCAATGCAGAAATGAACAAATGAGACGGATTTTCTTGCACCTAAAGAGCTAATGAGGTTGCAGGGTGAGAAACACAAGACAACAAGTCAAAATACAACATTGAAAAAGTGAAGCTGGCACAGTGGCTGTGGCCTGTAATACCAGCACTTCAGGATTCTGAAGTAGGAGGATCACTTGTGCTTAGCAGTTCAAGACCAGCCTCACCAACAAAGTGAGAGCTCTTTTCTCTAAGAAAAGAAACAAAATTAGCTTGGGTTGTGGCATGTCCCTGTATTCTCAGACACTGGCTTAGGTGAGAGGATTGCTTGAACCTGGGAAGTCAAGGTTGCATTGAGCTGGTATTGCACCACGCTTAAGCCTGGATGACAGAACAAGACCCTGTTTCGAAAAGAAAAAAAAAATTGATAGAGTGACGCATTGTGATAAGTGCTTTAGAGAAAAATACAGCAGGAAAGGAAAATAAAGAATCATAGACAAAAATTGATTTTTGTTTTGTTTTGTTTTTGTTTTTGTTTTTGTTTTTGAGACAGAGTCTCGCTCTGTCACCCAGGCTGGAGTGCAGTGGCACAATCTTGGCTCACTGCAAGCTCCGCCTCCCGGGTTCACGCCATTCTCCTGCCTCAGCCTCCCAAGTAGCTGGGACTACAGGCGCTCGCCACCACGCCCAGCTAATTTTTTTTTTTTTTGTATTATTAGTAGAGACAGGGTTTCACCGTGTTAGCCAGGATGGTCTCAATCTCCTGACGTCGTGATCCGCCCACCTCGACCTCCCAAAAAAGTGCTGGGATTACAGGCGTGAGCCACCGTGCCTGGCCCAAAATTGAATTTTTAATACTATGGTCAGAAAAGACATAGTATAGAATATATTTGGGCAGATACCTAAAGGAGGCTAGAAACGAAGGTGCGTGGCTATTTCATGTATTTCAGCTTTTTCCTAGCTTTTTAGGAAGCGATAACTACATTAAAAATATCTAAATATAAACTGATTATTTCTCCACACCATATTTGCCCCCATTGTCTATTATGAAGCTTCTGATATAAAGGAGAAAGAATGAGAATACAGAAAATTGAAGCCAGATCTCAAGGTTGAGAGTAACTTATTTATGATCAATAAAGTCTCACAATATGTACGGTAATTTAAGCATGGTAGGTGAGTGTTATTCCGTGTGAAATGAATCAAAATCTTACTCAGAATACTGAAGGTAAATATGTCAAGTGTATATGGAGACCAGAGACAAGTGCTCTGCTGCCTTTGGCACAGAGCACAAGCAACACTTTTAAGCTTCATTACTTGTTTCTCAGTATCAGAGGAGGGGAGAATGTCTGCCTATTGACCTCGACGGCATCCTCCTGCAACTAATCATCCCTCATTCTCCTTGTCCCTGAACTCCCTTGACCCACCCCCTCCTTCATTTGATTGGCTCTGTGTACTTGTTAGAATCAGAAGATCTGGGGGAACTGTGGCTTCTAAACATGTACACTGGACTCTACCCATATCCAGCCCTGTGACCCTACAAACGTGCTCAACTGAATTTTCCTCCCATAGAGACACTCTTCCTGCTGAGTTTCTCTCCTGTGCTCCTAGAGCCAAATGGCATCTCGTGTCCTGTCCCTGGATGGCTTAACCCAGGAAAACTCCTGGATCCAAGAGGAGTCAGACAAAGGAATGGTGGCCTTGTGCGTGCTGATATTCTCACAGATGTAAAGGGGATATCCTGAAATCTAGGGTTTCTTCCTTCCCTTTTCCCTCCCTTACAGCTTCTGCTGCTCCTGGGACCTTTGCTCTATCTCTCATCCAGCTCAGACTGTTGCTGGGCCTGAGAGTCTTTGCATAGCCAAGGTGGTTCTCGAAGAACTCTTGTCTGCACGAGGTCTGAGTTGCTTCTCCAGAATCTGTAGCATGGGTTTCCATAACTACAGGAAGATCTAGAGCTACTGGTAACTAGGCAGAGAATGTTCTCATGTGTCTAACATGGCATGACACTCCTCTCCATGAGCGGTAGAATAAATGCATTCAGATGAAGCCCTGCCATCATTACTTTGTCAGAAATAGATTCTGTCAATAGGTCTTACTGGTATAAGTGTAAGAGATGAGAATACATTTTAAAAGTGTTGCAGTGATAGTATGTGGTAATTCTAAAGTTTTCAAAACCTAAAGAGCAGATGGGCAGAATAACAACTTGTTTGTTTCTTTGATTCTTTGTTTGTTTGTTTTGAGACAGAGTCTTCTGTCAACCAGGCTGAAGTCCAGTGGCCCAATCTCAGCTCACTGCAACTTCTGCCTCCTTAGTTCAAGCTATTCTCCTGCCTCATCCTCCCTAGTAGCTGGGACTAAAAGCATGCACCACCACACCTGGCTAATTTTTTTGTATTTTTAGTAGGGATGGGGATTTGCCATGTTGTCCAGGCTAGTCTGGAAATCCTGACCTCAGGTGATCCACCCACCTTGGCCTCCCAAAGTGGTGGGATTACAGGTGTGAGCCACCTCACCCAACAAGAATAACAACTTTCTAAAGGAGTCGTTTTCTCTCTCTCTCTCTCTACAGGATTTGGGAGACATGGTGGCAAGGTATGTTAATGGCCATCAGTGCAAGCTGGAGCACAAGGCGTGCTGTGAAAAACATCAAGTTGTTTCCAACAAAGGGAAAACATAATTTACTAACACCATAATGTGTCAATGTGATTGTGTGTGTAAGTGTGTGTACTTATGTGTTTGTGTGGTATGTTGAATGTTACCTATGCCTCTTATCAGACATTAAACTTTTCTTACTTTTCCAAGTGACTCAGGGGTTTCTGTTTTGAAGAGTTCAATGCAGGAGTTGCTAGAATACAATTGCCTCTTTTTAGGATTCAGAATCATAATTAGAGATCAACTATTTGGTGGCAGATAGGGAGAGAGGCATTTATCTTTCAGTGGCAGTAGGTTAGAAACGGAGTGAAGAGTTAGAAAGATTCCCTAAGGGCCACAAACCCATCCTAGGATTGTGGAGGTACATTACAATATCAGAAGTGGTTTGAATGAAGCATTTTCTGTTGGAATCTATTTCTTAAACACAGACATCAGAAACTTAACCAACTCAACCTACTTCCTTGCAGGAGTGAGTCCGTGCTGCTGCACATGCTCCAGCCTGTGAATCCAGAGCTCCCTACAGGGCCCATCACAGGACCGGTGGACAGGCTCAACCACTTCCGAGGTGAGTGTGGCCCTCTTGGTGGGATCAACATGCAATGCCTTCAGTTATGGTTTTCTATGGGCAGCCTTCCCAGTGTAACGATTTTTCATCTAGAAGAAGAGAATAGTCTGTGAATAGGTATTTACATTTATAGTTTCACTATCATCAAACAGACAAAACTAAATAAAAGATGGTGGAATCAGCCATATAACAAATTTCTTGGAAAAGTAAAACACGCAGAAGGGCTTTTTAGGACGTAGAACCATTCATGTATGCTTCAACCGTGATACAATTTCATGTATACAATTATTACATGAAGTATACAGAACTGAATTAATTCAGGACATTTCAATTTCAAATTCAGTGCAGTTAATGACTGATTTGAGTGACAGTGTTTTTTTAAATACATTTCAGGTGAAGTTTCATAGCATTTATAATTTTAATCACGTGCATTTTAATCAACTAAAGCATACACGAGTAACTTATATAACAATGCAAACACTGAGAATCTGTGAACAATAAGAACGTGATTTGGTGGTTGATGAGGCCTTAGATAGAACTCCAGGATAGATCATGATAAATCCAGCAGATAAAAGATGTCTGTGCCTGAATCTGGCATGAAAGTCAGATAATTCTGGCAAGGAATCTGCACTTTTCAGAAGGCAGATTCAGATTTTCTCTTTAAGTATGAATTTTCTAGTTTAAGTGGCAGATTATAATATTTCTGGAAAGCGATAACTTTTTTATTTGGGTCTAAGAATGGCTCCCCACCTCATCTCCTGTCCCCAGCCTCCTGCTCTGCCCTGACAGAGAAGAGGCAATGGAGGTTAATTTTATTGCTATGGACTTGGCTGCAGTGCAAGAGGTTCCAGTTTTTCAGTTGTTATGAAAGGTCGCTAACTAGACATAGACATGACCTTCCTCCCCTTTATACTTTTTGAGTTTATAGAAATTGCGATCATTGAAGTTGAGCCATTTACTTGTGCAGATATCCTAACACCCTTTGATTCCAACATTTTTCCAGGCAGAAGTTACTTTGTAATCTTGACCTGTGTTTTCTAGTGAGAATCTCTTTCTTATCTGAACATAAGAATTTATAAACTGCTTTTCACTGGAACGTTCTCTTTTTTCTACAGTGGAAATTTCCTTCACTTGGGAAGGAACCAATTACAATATCGGGCTGTTTGAGGATGTGAGAAGTTTGATGTTTAGACGTGGATCTTTGAATTCTGACAGATCTGACTATTTTGCTGCATGGGGAGCCTGGGTCTTCTCCTCTGGCAAACACTACTGGGAGCTGGATGTGGACAACTCTTGGGACTGGGCTCTGGGAGTCTGTAAGGACTCCTGGATAAGGAAGAATAGCACAATGTTTAACTCTAAGGACATATTTCTTCTTTTATGTGTGAAGGTGGATAATCATTTCAGTCTCTTGACCACCTCCCCAATGTTTCCTCACTATGTAGAGAAACCTCTGGTCCGAGTTGGTGTGTTTCTTAATTTTGAAAGTGGAAGTGTGAGTTTTTTGAATGTCACCAAGAATTCCCTCATATGGAATTACCCAGCTGGCTCCTTAAATTTTCCTGTCAGGTCTTTCTTTTACACTGGCCACAGATGACAAGGATTAAGAAACCTGACTGTTCGGGAACTCCATATACAGGGGAGCCAGCCCTTCACTGTTGATACAAAGAAATCATACTTTTCAGGCTTTTTTCTACTTTAGTGTCACTTCATTTTATTGCTATTAAGTAGAAGATATGTAAAATGCAAAACATTTTTGTACATTTTCTTACAATTAAAATAATCTCTTATGGCCCATTACCTAAAATATGTATTGTGATTTTCAAGTGTTTGTGAATTTATTGGATGGAATTCTGGAAATATGTGGGTGTGTGATTCCCACTTAATTATCCCATGCAGGAACAAAATTTGCACATCATGGACAGACAGGATTTTGTACAATGCACTTGTAAGTGTGAGTGCTCTCTCCTATTAATACGGTAAATTCTACACCTCATTGCTTTAGGTGGAAAAATTTATTTTACACAGAAGTTTTCACTGAATCTTTGGGCCAGAATAGGAATTTAACAGTCGTGCATCCTATGGCAACAAAAACACATTCTGAGAAATGCATTACTAGGCGATTTTATCATTGTGTGAACATTAGAACACACATAAAAACCTAGATAGAATATCCATCTACAGATATAAGCTAAATGGTACAGCCTATTGCTTCTCTGAGAAGTTGCTAGCAATGTCTCAGCGGGAACCAAAAGGGTTTAACCCACATTGAATTCTGTAGCTGTTTAATAAAGCAAACAGCATCATCCAGGGAAAAATAAACAGATGAGCAGACTGTCTACTTTAAAATGTGTTTATGCTTCCCATTCACACGGATTGTGAATTCTCACTGTTAACCTAGAGTCCCAGCTAGTCAGGAGGCTGAGGCAGGAGAAAAGTGTGAACCTGGGAGGCAGAGGCTGCAGTGAGCTGAGATCGTGCCACTGCACTCCAGTCTGGTGACACGATGAGACTCCATCTCAAAAAAAAAAAAAAAAAAAAAAATTAGCTTCAAATTCCAAAACACTTAATGTTGCACCCTCCTTGAACAATAACTAAAAAAACTCATTTCCACTCTGTGAAAATACAATCTTTGAGCTTATAACTGGTATCAGCAGATCAATATAAAAAATACAGTACCAAGCTACACTGGTATATTTCCATTTTAAGAACTCCACAATATCCTCATTGCTGAGAGCATAGTCCTTGCATTAGTTTTCAGTATGCTATGAACAATTATCTGCTGCATGTAAACATGTCTAAATAACTATAGATAAAATACATCAATCATAAATTTCTGTAAAAGATAATAAAATATCTTCTTTAAAAAACAAAACAATAAGCTATTACTGCATTATTTCCAATTTTATGAAAATGGAACAAATATATGGTTGTTGCTAGTCTTGAGTTCATTGCAATAAAAATGGCCCTAGTTCCTGGTTAAAGTCAGCAACCAATCTATTTTCTTCAATAGATGTCTTCTAGTTGTGTAGGCAAGAATTTGTTTTACATGCTATTCTGTCAGTTTATAAAATTATACACCAGAAACTGACCAGTACCACAGTACTCTGTTGCAAACAGTTTTCCATCAGGAGTGGGATCTGAGAAAGCAATTTCTTCTTTGCTCAAATATGAGATATATATATAAAGTTACTCCTTAGGCATTCAATCTTGCGAGAAGCAATTTTCTTCCAACACATCATGCTGAATACCCATATTCGACTGATCCCACAGATTGCAGGCTCTGGTAACGTTGAGCAGCAAGATTCCAATTTTAAATAAATAGGAGGCTATGTTTTTCTCACCTACTTATCCAAATTGAGGAGGTAATCAAAACGAAGATTGACACTTTCATCAACTGGATTTCCTCTGTACGTGCAAGAAAGTGCAATCTGTTGCCATCTCCTGTTCAGTGAGAAAGCTGAAAAAACATCCTGAGCAAGAGGACCTGAATGTAAGGAAATGACCTGGTGTTTTCCTCAGTACTTCTGTTCCCATCCTATTGCTTCAAGCTTAGGTATACAGCACACTGAACTGCAAGATGTATCCGGAAATGCTGAATACACACTAAAATGTTTATTTTTATTTCCTTTATTTTATTTTATTTTTATTTCTTTTGCTAGAGACAAGGTCTCGCTATATTGCCCATGGTGGTCTCGAACTCCTGACCTCAAGCAACTCTCCCGCCTGAACTGCCCAAAGCACTAGGATTAGAGGCATGTGCCACGGTGTCTGGTCTTTTCTTTTTTTGGTCTCAAACTCCTGACCTCAAGCAACCCACCCTCCTCAACTGCCCAAAGCACTGGGATTAGAGGCATGTGCCACCGGTGTCTGGCCTTTTCTTTCTTTTTCTTTTTTTCTTTGATTTAGAAGAGAAAGAAAATTAAATGACAGCACAGCAGAAGAAATGCCCAAGAGCTTGTGTTCAATGAAAATCAGGTGATCCTTTACTGAAGAGTTGCTTTTAGTTAGAACTGGGAATGGGTATTCAGGAATAAGTAAACTCTGCTTTTCACCACTGTCGAAGTGTCCAGTGTTTCCCCATTCAGCAACTGGCTAATTAAGGGTCATATGGCAAGAAGGATCTTATGTGTCTTTTAATCTCTTAAACTGATCACTAACTCAAGGTGATTATACAAATTATGAAAATGCTTATTAGCAATGCTTCCTTATTCTTTCTGTCTGTACTACCTACACTCCTTAGTTAACTTTCTCTCTTCTCCTCCCACACACTTATTTGCAGCACTTTCCTAGGTAACAGGAAAAGTCTATCACCTTCTGATGATTTGTGTCTCTCCAACTGATCTCAGATTATAGAATTTTGCCTTCTGGGCTTTCAACCCAATTCTCCTTTTTATTTCCACCTAAAGTTTCTGAGCTTTCTCTACTGACACTAAAAATTTCCATAAGCAACAGCTATTACACTCTCAATATTACCTTGTTACCAATTTTGTTTGTCACTTATTCAAAGAAAATTTTATAGCTAATCATATTTAGCTTAGATTTACTTGTACATACAGTTGGTATTAGCTACTGTAGACATTTAAGATATTACTTTAATTTTGGAAGAGGGGAAAGTGCGTATTAGTTTGGTAAATTTTCTTAGCCATTAAACCAAAAACTTGTTACATTCCTCTGTTTTGATAACTTCTATTAGAATTATTATCATCTGGGACATTCCTAAAATTGAGAAATAAAATTAAGGTGCAACTACTGGGAACCTTGCCACTTATATCAGAAATCTAGGACTCCTCACCTCCTGAAGAGGTTATTGATCCATTTGCCTTGTCGCATTTTGGGGGACACAAGTTAAATTCTTCACAGAAATAAAATTCAAAGTTAAAAACTGATGTGGAGACATAGTATGTGTGTAGTTCAAACCAGAGAGATGAGATGAAATTGTAAAAGGAAGAGTATACAAAATGAGAAGAGATCATGGTCTGTGATGAAATTGTGGGAAAGCAATAGCATAAAGGTATCACTGAGGAACTTGAGACCAGGAAGAAACTAAGATGTGTTTACTCATGTAGTTAAAAAAAGAAAATTACATGTTGGGAGGCTGAGGCGGGCAGATAACTTGAGGTCAGGAGTTTAAGACAAGCCTGGCCAACATGGTTGGTGAAAGCCTGTCTCTACCAAAATTACAAAAATTATCCAGACATGGTGATGGGCATCTGTAATCCCAGCTAGTTGAGACACTGAGGCAGGAGACTTGCTTGAACCCAGAAGGTGCAGGCTGCAGTGAGCTGAGATTGTGCTACTGCACTTCACCCTGGGTGACAGAGTGAGACTCCATCTCAAAAAAAAAAAAAAAAAAAAAGAGAGTGCCAGACATGGTCAATTATGCCTGTAATCCCAGCACTTTGGGAGGCCGAGGTGGGCGATTCATGAGGTCAGGAGTTTGAGACCAGCCTGACCAAGATGATGAAAGCCCGTCTCTACTAAAAATACAAAAATTAGCTGGGCATGGTGCATGCCTGTAATCCCAGCCACTCGGGAGGCTGAGGCAGGAGAATTGCTTGAACCCGGGAGGCAGAGGTTGCAGTGAGCTGAGATCGCGCCACTGCACTCCAGCCTGGGTGACAGAGCAAGAGTATGTCTCAAAAAAAAAAAAAGAAAAGAAAAAGAAAGAAAGAAAAGAAAAAAATTGTGTGTGGCAAAATAAAGCTAGTAAGAGTTATTTGTTCTAAAGAAAAGCAGCAGGAGTATCTCAGATTAGTATTGAAAAGCAAGGATACCATAAGGAAGAGTTTAGACTATGATAGGAGCTTCACTCGAATGCTGAGTTATAAAAACTGGTCAGGTAGTGGTGTGCAAGATGTTCTATAGGCAGAAAGAGGCAACAGCTAAGAGATTAAAATAATTTCCATCAAAAGGAGCCTTGACTGTCAGTATAGGATACAAGTAACAGAGAGATAGAAGTAAAAACAGTATAAAGAACATCTCTAGCCAAATATTTCAGGTATTACCATCTAATCCCTCAAAAATACTTATCTAGGCCGGGCGTGGCAGCTCACGCCTGTAATCCCAGCACTTTGAGAGGTTGAGAGCAGTGGATCACCTGAGGTCAGCAGTAAGACCAGCCTGGCCAACATAGCGAAACCCCATCTCTACTAAAAACACAAACGTTAGCCTGTAATCCCAGCTACTCGGGAGGCTGAGGCAGGAGAATCACTTGAATCCGGGAGGCAGAGGTTGCAGTGAGCTGAGGTTGAGCCAGTGCACCCCAGCCTGGCAACAGAGTGAGACTCCACCTCAAAAAAAAAAAAAAATATCTAATGTGTCTAATGTGTTCCCATTTTCTCTAAGCCACAGTTTTCTGAGGTGTGGAAAAAGAAACATGACTAAAATTCCACATGGAATTGTCTTCATTGAGTAAAATTCCTTGGCATATTTAGTTTTGAAGCTGTACATTTGAGTAGGTGACTATGAAGTAATGACAACAGTAACAACAAGTTGATAGTATTCCTACATACAGGAAGCAGCATTTTGCCTTTGTGGAAATAGAAGAGGCATTTGCACAGAGAAGGGCCAAGCACCATCTGATGAGAGATGGGCACCAAGATTGGAAATGGTTAGGGGGAAAGATATGAATAGCAATAGATAATAATCACATTTAATTTAATTTATTTACCAACCCCACCCAATTCAGTGAGGTGTACTTGTATGCAAGATATTGTTTTGTGATTCTTATTGTTGAAATCAAAGAAAGTGAATGATTTTGTATGTGAATTTATGAGAACTGGAGCAGTTGCAGCTAACTTGAGTTTGTAAAAATATCCAGAAGCTGAACTGATTCTGTTAAAGCATGAGGTCATATTGGAGAGGTCCCTAGACTCTGTATACAATCTGGATGGATGCTTTTGAACCACATTTTGTATTTCTTGACAAGCAGAGTTGCCTTAATTAACATCAGAGGATCTGAAGATATCTGTTCTGCTTTTTGTCCTGTGTGAGATACTGTGGAGTGAAGTGAAGCAAGGAACAGAGAAAGACCACAGCCATCAGCTACCATGATAAGTAGCAGACCTGAAAACAAAATTCTCATGTATACAGGGCACAGGGCTGGTACTCAACAATGAAATACTAGCTAATACTGAGTGCCTAATTTGCAAGAAGAAGATCAACACACAAAGAAAGAGCCTTTTTACTAAGCATTAGAAGTTATGACAGAAATAAAATATTTTTCTAGAAATGATGAGACAGAAGCTTATCACCAAAATTACTCATGCAGGGTATATTGCCATAATAACTAACTAATGCATCTTTTACCTGTTGGGAAGAGTTTTCTTAGGACTTCTTAATTTTCTTAGGACTAGCGCCAGAATAAAGCAAAAACATCTGGATGAGATTGAATAAAAATTCCTTTCAAGGCCAGGCATAGAGCCTTATGCCTTTAATCTCAGCACTTTGGGAGGCTGGGCGGGAGGAATGCTTGAATCCAGGAGTTCAAGATGAGCCTGGACAACATTGAGATAAGCTATTTCTTTTCTTTTCTTTTTCTTTTTCTTTTTTTTTTTTTTGAGACGGAGTCTTGCTCTGTCGCACAGGCTGGAGTGCAGTGGCAAGATCTGGGCTCACTTCAACCTCTGCCTCCAGGGTTCAAGCAATTCTCATGCCTCAGCCTTTTGAGCAGCTGGAATTAAAGGCACGTGCTAAGATGCCCAGCTACTTTTTTTTTTTTTCCATATTTTTAGTAGAGATGGTGTTTCACCATGTTGCCCAGGTTGGTCTCAAACTCCAGGCCTCAAGTGATCCGCCTGCCTCAGCCTCCCAAAGTGCTGGGATTACAGGCATGAGCCACTGGGTCTGGCCCCAGATACTCTATTTCTATAAAACTAATTTTTCAAAAAATTAGCAGCATCATGGCACACGTCTATGGTTGCAGCTACTTGGGAGGCTGAGGTGGGATGATCACTTGAACCTTGGAGTTTGAAGCTGCAGTGAGCCATGACTGTTCCACTGCATCCCATTCTGGGCAACAGAACTAGAGCTTTTCTCAAAACAAACAAACAAAAAGGTATTTTATTTCACCACAATGTTTTATTTGCATATATTTGCTTGTGCACATATATGTGTGTGTTGTGGTGTAGAGTAGAAGACGAGTTTAAAGTCACGACATGGGTGACAGTTTGAGCTTATATCCTCAAACTCTAGCATGTGTCAGAATTATCCACAGGGCTTATTATTATAGATATTCCTAAACCCCACCATATAAAACTAATTGTAACTACAATGTCGAAATAATTATTTATGTGAGTAATATAAGAGATACATGTCTGAGAGTATATTCTTACAGGAGTAAAGGTTTCTTTTTCAGTAGAAGTTTACTCTCATTAACAACCGTAAAATATAAAGAAAAAGATGATAATTTTTAAAAATAATATCAGCAAGTTTTTACCATTAAAATCACCAAGGAGTTTAATCCTTCTAATATTTTTCTATACTTGTTTTTGTCTATATCCATCTTTGTCTATAATTTTTAAAAATTTTTTCAAAATAAGTTATATTTATTGTATTTTAAAGCTAAAAATGTATTTAAACATTTTATTAATTTAGGCTTTTTCAAATAATATCTTGTTATTTGATACGTTCAGTTAATTACTAGTTGGTAACTTTAGATATAAAATGTTTGAAAGGCAGAAACCTGTTTTATAAATTATGAAGCCTCATATTGTCAAACCCTAATTTGATCAATGCACAATTTATACATGTATCAAAATACTATATTGTACCTTATAAAAATATGTGCAATTTTTATATATTGATTAAAAATAAAAATTTTAAAATTTGTTCAAATAAGTTGTCATTTAAATAAAGGTATCTTTTTGATTAGTTTGAATTTGATCAAAAACAAAATTATCTGAATTTTTTTGAGAGGCAGTACCTATTTCATTTCCCTAAATTTAAAATTAAATCAGCCAGAGATGCCAGACACCGAGCTTCTACTTCTCTTTTTCCAAAACCACCCACCATCATCATTAGCATTTTGATCTCCAAGTCTAAAGGCTGGTAGGAATTGATCAGTACTGAAGGGAATTACATGTCCAGGAGGAAGGTGAGATGGTAGCAGATCCCAGATTTCAGTGAAGAAAGGGCAGAAATTATCAAAGAATGGAATGGTGTATATTCAAATATCATATAAAAATACTGTCAGATGTGGGAACAGAAATGAAAGTAGACTCGTTGCCCCAGAAAAATCAGACATGAATTTTCCACCTGGGTGTTATTTAAAAATCAATGACAATATAAACCAGCACTAGAGGGTGTTTGTAGAGGGTTATTTACAGAGATTAGAAATGGAGTTAATTTAATCAACGGTTGAAAGGTAAATCCTTTTATTGATACTTTGTACTGCAGACATCTAATCAGGGAGGGGCTTTAAGGATCCTATAATACACTGGCATCCAAAAAGCAAGTCTAATTATTTTAGAGGCATTTGGAATTTGCTAGACTGTGGAAACCTCAGAAAATAACATCTGTTGTCCAGAAAGCCCAGAGGACACAGAACTCCTGAGCCAAATGCATGAACTTTCCTGCAAGCACTGTTCAGACCAGTTATAGAATATTCAGGTGAGTATTTCCTTTAATTTTTTGTTCCTTGTTTATACAAATTGTGAACTTCTGGAGGGAAAGTCCTAGATATTATACAGTTTTATCTATAGCATGATATCTAGAATTTAATTGGAAACCTTTATTGTAGAATATGAAAAGTTCCATGTTGTCTTTAACTTCAGGTTGAATGCAGCCTTGGTCGTCTGCAAAGTTTTTAAGTGCTCAAAGGCACTTTTTTATTTTCCTAATATTCCACTGAAGTTTTTATTTCTGTCATGGTATTTTTATTTTACAAATCTATTTTGTTGTTTGAATCCTCTTTTTAAAGCCTCTTGTTATTTTTTGATATTTTTATTATATTTAATATAGTTTGATAATAAATATCATACATATGACTTTGTGAAGCTACTATATAAATGTTTATTTTATTTTATTTTATTTTTATTTTCCTTTTTTGAGATGCAGTCTCACTCTGTCACCAGGCTGGAATGCAGTGGCGTGATCTCAGCTCACTGCAACCTCTGCCTCCCAGGTTCAAGCGATTCTCCTGCCTCAGCCTCCCGAGTAGCTGGGACTACAGGGGTGCACCACCATGCCCAGCTAATTTTTGTATTTTTAGTAGAGATGGGGTTTCACCATGTCAGCCAGGATGGTCTTGATCTTTTGACCTCGTGATCTGCCTGCCTCAGCCTCCAAAGTGCTGGGATTACAGGCGTGAGGCTCTGTGCCTCGCCAAATATTTATCTTTTATGTTACAAAAATTTAAAAAACTAACAATTCATACAGCTTCATAAAGTCACAGGAGTTCATACATTTTGTTTAAGATCAAAACTTACTCTCAAATGGTTCAGGAATAAAATGTCTTAAACTTCTAAGTATTTCGTAAGTGATTGTGATAAAAAATGAAAAATAAAAATTAGATGGATTATGACACAGAAAAGGGAAAATCACACAACATTGACAAGGTCAATTTTTTTGAGACAGAGAGTCTCACTCTGTTGCCTAGTCTGAAGTGCAGTGATACAATCAAGGCTCACTGAAGTCTTGACCTCCTGTGCTCAAGCCATCCTCTCACCTCAGCCTCCAGAGTAGTTGGGACTACAGGCACTACAAGTGTGGGCCTGGCTAAATTTTTGTTTTTGTAGACATGGGGTCTCTCCATGCTGCCCAGGCTGGTCTGGAACTCCTGAACTCAAGCAATCTTCCTGCATCAGCCTCCAAAAATGTTCAAATTACAGGCATGAGCCACTGTGCCTGGCCCTATATAAATTCTTAGTTTTCCCAGTTTCTTTCCTTCTTTCTTTCTTTCTTTCTTTCTTTCTTTCTTTCTTTCTGTCTGTCTGTCTGTCTGTCTTTCTTCCTTCCTTCCTTCCTTTCTTCCTTCCTTCCTTTCTTTCTTTCTTTCTCTTTCATTCTTTTTCTTTCTTTCTTTCTTTTTCTTTCTTTCTGTCTTTCTTTCTTGTTTTTGTTTTTTGTTTTTTTTTTTGACAGGAGTCTCTCACTTTGTTGCCCAGGCTTGTCTCAAACTCCTGAGTTCAAACGACCCTCCTTTTGGATCTTAGGCTCCAAAAGTGCTGGGATTACAGGCATGAGTCACCATGCCTGGTCACAGTTTCGTCATATATGTAATGGAACAGCAAGCATAAAATGAGCTCACAGAGTTTTAAGGAGAAAAATAAGATATTAATAATAAATGTAAAACATTTGCATATTAGGTTCCTGGGGCTGCTGTAATAAACTATCACAGATAAAACAATAATTTGCTCTCTCACATTTCTGAATGCCTAACATTTAAAATCAACATGTTGATAGAGTGGTTCCCTTTGGAAATTCTGAGGGGAAATCCACCTCCTGCCTCTCTGCTAGCTTCTGGTGGGTGATGAGAATCCTTGGCTTTCATTGGCTTGTGGCAGCATAGCTCTAGTGAGCTCTGTCTCTGCCTCTGTCTCCACATGGCTGTCTATGTGTCTCAGATTTTCCTTTTATTTTTTCTCTAAGGATACCAGTCATTGGACTTAGGTCCCACCCTAAACCCAGACTAATCTTGTTGGGAGATTACCAAGGTAGTTACATCTGCAAAGATCCTATTTTCAAAAGTCCATATTCACAGGTTTCAGTGGTTAGGACTTAGACATATATTTCGGGGGGCCACTCTTTAACTGGCAATTTGAAAAAAATGTCTGGCTCAGAAAACAGCCCCATAACAACAAAAACACAACTGTATTTTTATTTCCACTGCTTTACGCACATCACCCTAACTTTTACAATTGGGAAGATGGTACTTCTTTTTTCCTAAATTCAGATTCTGAATATTTCACACCTCTTTTCTAATGTCAATTCTATGTTTTTTCCCTTTTTTCTGAGTTAGAATACATCTTGTATTTATTTATTTTTATTATTTATAATCACCACAATATATTTGGAAGTCTGACATTTTTTATTTCTGAACCATTTGAGACTATGTTCTGATCTTAAACACAAAGTATGGAATCCATTATTTTTTCTTTTTTTTAACTTTGATTTGTGAAAGTTACTTTTTTCTTAATTACTCTTTTTATTTGTTACATTACTAAGTTTGTTTTATTTTAATTTTCATAGGACATTGATGAAATGACTTTTTTATGATTTTTGAGATGAAAAATTTAATAACTTTAAATTTTACATTCTTTTAAGTTTTTCACAGTTTATTTTAATGCTTTTTTTTTGTAAATTTTAATTATAGTTATTTATATCTTCATTTATTATGGAACAACTTCCCAAAAGTCTTTTTCACATAATAAATTTAATATAATATATAAGCTATTATTTATTTTCTCTTCTGTCTCAAATATGGACTTTAATTATATTCCAATATTTCAGAACATTTTAATCTATGTTTTGAGACATTTGTGACTTACGTGATATTATGACTATTATTCTTTACACTTCTAGTGAATTTTTAATGTCATTCAAAGGCTACATCCTTCTATACTCTACTGAGAATTAAAAATAGTTCTCAAAAATATTATTCTCAGATATTCAGAACTCATTCTCAGAATTTCAACTTCCACCAGTATCTTAACTCTGTTCTCTTTCCCTTCTAATGCATATTTTCCCCCTGAAGGCCCACTGTTACACTCCTTATTCACCCTCCATTTAAGATTCGGTTTTATTTAATGTTGTATGTATTCGTACACAATTTTATTTATGTGAGGCTTAGTCTTAGAATAGAAGATCATCCTAAAAAGACTAGTGAAAGAGTTATGAGAATTTCAAGAGTGAATCCAGAAATCACGTGCCAGAAGAATTACTTCAGGCAAGACAGAATTGCTAAAAAAAAAAAAAAAAAAAGGAGTAGTCATCAGATCTGCCACATTTTCAAGTTTTGTAATGGAAAATGGCAGGTATTCTGGAGGGAGTTTCTGGAGGAAGCCAAACTTTCACTGAGGCTTAAATATGATGAACAATTAACCAAATAAAGTTGAAATGTTTTATAATTGTCATTAAATCCTTGATATTTAAAAGGAGAAGCAGTATGGTTCTTAGAAAGCATTCATTCCCGGCCCAGGAGTGGTGGCTCACGCCTGTAATCCTAGCGCTCTGGGAAGCCGAGGCAGGCGGATCACCTGAGGTTGGGAATTCGAGACCAGCCTGGCCAACATGGTGAAACCCCATCTCTACTAAAAAATACAGAAAAATTAGCCAGTCGTGGTGGCACATGCCTGTAATCTCAGCTGCTTGGGAGGCTGAGGCAGGAGAATCACTTGAAGCTGAAAAACAGAGGTTGCAGTGAGCCCAGATTGCCCCACTGCACTCTAACCCGGGCGACAAGAGTGAAACTCCGTCTCAATTAAAAAAAAAAAAAAGAAATAAAAGAAAGCAAGAAAGCATTAATTCCCATGCACTGGTCCTGGAGAATCTATAATTCAGTCTTTTATCACAGGTTCACATTCCCTTATAAAAAGGTAACAGTTGGATGCATGTCTGGAGGAGCTCTTGGGCTTGTCCGATTGTATCTTTAACTTCTCATCTGCACCTTTAGCTATGGCTATTTGGGCTGTGCTTAGAAAATGGCCATACTCAGGGCACTGTAGAATGAACAGTCCTTCCTGTTTAGGCATTTCTCCTTCCACTTTAACTTCTGACTCTGTCTTCAGGGCATTTCTGTTATATTAAGCTTCTTAAGTGATGAGTGGTCTGGTGTTTGTGTTATGCAACTCAATTTAAGATAGGTTCATGTGAGATCTGGCAGAAAGCAGGCTGGGGTGGGGTGTGGAGATACTGAATATTGTGCATGTAGCATATGAAAGGCAAACATAAATTTAATTCAGAAACAGGCAATGTTTATTTATAGTTAAGGGTCAAATGAATTATACAAGGGACATATGACAAATAGGATGTAATTTGCTTCATTAATCCAAATGAAGGAGAGTAACTTTCTTTCTCCTCAGAAATACAGAATCACACATACTGCAATACTTCCAGAAATAAATCATCCACTGAGTCTTAAAAGTAAAGAACTCTGTGTTCTTGCTCTGGTGTCTACATAACCGGGATCTTATAAGTAAGCCAAAGACATCTAAATGGCTTTGCCTAGAAGCCAAGGCCATTGGTCCAACAAAGACATCTTGAGGTTACTGGAATGCATGGAGAATAATCGCCCATCTGATGACAACAGCACGTTTAGCTCAACTCAGTCACACATGGACTGGGGAAAAGTAGCTTTTAAAAACTTTTCTGGTGAAATGTGCAGACTCAAATGGTTAGAGATTTCTTGCAACTTGAGAAAATTCGGCACTTTGAAAGAATTAGTCCTGGAAGCTAAGAAATGTGTTAAAAAGATGAACAAAAGCCAAAAATACAGGAACGGTCCAGACTTTCCAAAGAGGCCCCTTACTGCTTACAATCGCTTCTTCAAGGAGAGTTGGCCCCAGTACTCCCAAATGTACCCTGGGATGAGAAGCCAGGAACTGACCAAAATCCTGTCAAAGAAATACAGGGAACTCCCAGAGCAGATGAAACAGAAATATATTCAGGATTTCCGGAAGGAAAAGCAAGAATTTGAGGAAAAACTTGCTCGATTCAGGGAAGAACACCCTGATTTAGTCCAGAAGGCCAAGAAATCTAGTGTCTCCAAGAGGACTCAAAACAAAGTGCAAAAGAAGTTTCAGAAAAATATTGAAGAAGTGAGGTCTCTTCCAAAAACGGATCGATTTTTCAAGAAGGTAAAATTTCATGGAGAGCCTCAGAAACCCCCCATGAATGGATACCACAAGTTTCACCAAGATTCCTGGTCAAGTAAAGAGATGCAACATTTGTCAGTGAGGGAGCGCATGGTAGAGATTGGCAGACGCTGGCAGCGCATCCCGCAGAGCCAGAAGGATCATTTTAAGAGCCAGGCTGAGGAGCTGCAGAAGCAATACAAGGTGAAATTGGATCTCTGGCTCAAGACTTTGTCACCTGAAAATTATGCTGCATACAAAGAATCGACCTATGCTAAGGGTAAGAATATGGCCATGACAGGAGGCCCGGACCCCAGGTTGAAACAAGCAGATCCACAGTCCTCATCAGCAAAGGGTCTGCAAGAAGGGTTTGGGGAGGGGCAAGGGCTCCAGGCTGCAGGAACAGATTCATCACAGACTATTTGGGTAAACTGTCATGTCTCCATGGAACCAGAAGAGAACAGGAAGAAAGATAGAGAAAAGGAAGAAAGCAGTAACTCTTCAGACTGCAGCAGTGGAGAAGAAATAGAAGTTGATGTCTGAGGGCAGTGGCTCTAGTGCAGCTTCCTTGTTTTTTTTTTTTTGTTTGTTTGTTTTCTTTTCTTCCTTCCTCCCGCAAAGTAGGACAGGTTGGGAAGAAAGAAGCAACTTGGTGCAGCACTCTCCTACATCAAGATTATGAACCTGGGAGGAACTCTTTGGGAAGAATAAATATAAGTTTGAGCCAATACTGGCCTTATCCTTAAAAAAACAAACAAACAAATATCATCCCTTTCCCGAGGAACTTTATGCAATTAAGGCTTCTGAAATGAAGAGATGATTACGTTGTGGGGTACACACTGTATTAGACTGAATATTTCTGAAGCAAGAAGCTTTGCTTTACTCATTTTTGTCCTGCCAAAGGTGGTAGGGGGATACCCATAAGCCTGGGACCCAAACTTCCCTGTGGAAATGTTTTTCAGGACTCCTGCACTAAATCTAAGGTCGGGGATATTTGATGAAAGGTGGGGTAGGTGTCTTAAGAGAATTGTCCCACTCTTGATATCTCTCTCCTCCCCTCCCTGAAGTAAGGAGTTGGCCATTCCCATGCCTGGGAGTAGGGAGTAATATTTCTACATGTATATCTGACTCAGTTCTCAATTAGACTTTTCTTGCTTATTTCAAAAAAAAAATGAAAATACAAAATAAAAAGTTACTGATTTAATCTGAAAGAGCTCCTCCACAGAATCATTTGTGACACTGGGTGCAGCTTCTCTAAGTTATATCTTCATTTATTCTTGAAGCTCCAAATTTTTCCTGCTGCTTCAGGTGCAAGTGAATCTCACCTTTAGCATTCAGGATTGATACAAAGATGTAGAGAAAGACAGATATAGATGAGTACACTATCCTGTTTCACTATCTGCTCTATCTAAGAATTCATGCACCAGTGTCACATTGTTTTAATTTTTTGGTTTACTAATATGTTTGAAAATCTACCTAAAGTTAGTGCCTTCTCAGTATACCTTTATTCTATTAAACATTTCTGGCTATTTTCATACTTCGTTCTCATGAATATTAGCATCACAGAACTAGTTGTATTCTTTTTGTATAAAAACCATTGAATAATGAGTGTTTATTTTGTCCCTAGATATCTTAGGAAAATTTTACTTATAAGTTTTTTCTAAATAAATAATAAGTTTCAGAGAATAATGGCAATGTTTACCATTTTTATACCTCTAATTTCTAAATGTGTTGGATTAAAATATCCAGAAGAATGTTAAGTAACAACAATAATCTGTTCTTGGCTTGCTTCTGACTTTTAACCTAATGCTTACAGAATTTAAAATCATGAAAATTATGCTGATGTGTACATTTGAAATAAATTATTAAAAATAAGAAAATTGCTATTTACTTTTATTATTATTTGCTTTTAATTTTTAATGCATATCGATTTTTAACAAATTTATTTTATCATATATTTATGTAATTTTTTCTTACTGTATTAGTCATCATCCTGCAGAGAAACAGAACCACCAACATAGATAGAGAAACAAAGTGACAGAGAGAGTGATAGAATAGTAGAGAGGAGAGAGACAAAGAGACTAATTTTATTATGAAGAATTGGCTCACAAAATTGTGGAGGCAAAAAATATCATGATCTGCAATCTGCAAGCTGGACACTTAGGAAAGCCAGAGGTGTAATTCAATCTGAGTCTGAAGGCCTGGGAAGCAGGGCAGCCAATGGTGTAAACCCTAATTCAAGTGTAGGTGAAGATAAGACGAGATATACTAGTTAAGCAGTGAGACAGGACAGAAAGGGTCACACTCCTCTATCATCTGCCCTTTGTTCTATGCAGGCCTTAAATGGGTTGGATAATGCACATCCCATACTGGGGAGGGAAGCCTACTTTACAGAGACCAGTTCAAGCTGACACATACAATTTACCATCATACTTTCATTTTCTTACAGATTCTGGAGATTTAGGTATTTTTATACGAATTCTAGATGGCTGATGGGTTGAATTTTTTTTTTTTTTTTTGAGACAGAGTCTGGCTCTGTTGCCCAGGCTAGAGTGCAGTGGAGAGATCTCGGCTCACTGCAAGCTCCACCTCCCGGGTTCATGCCATTCTCCTGCCTCAGCCTCCCGAGTAGCTGGGACTACAGGCTCCCGCCACCACTCCTGACTAATTTTTTTTGTATTTTTATTAGAGACGGGGTTTCACCATTAGCCAGGATGGTCTCGATCTCCTGACCTTGTGATCCACCCGTCTTGGCGCTGGGATTACAGGCATGAGCCACCGAGCCCAGCCAATGGGTTGAACTTATTTAGAAAATGTGTTTGCATATTATGTCCTTTGTTTCTCTTAACATCAAGTTTGCAAAATTAACTTTAAAGATCTGATTCTTTTTATTTCCAATTCAGGAGATAATGTAAGTCACATTTGCCACTAACTAGTAGTAAGGCCCATAGCCCAGGCTAGATGGTGAGATGTACAAATTCAATTGGGGCTTTAGTAGTGATTTTAAATGAAATGTTTTTAAGTTTATTCAGCACCTACTCTTTTTAAGACTTGCCCTCCTTGTGTGGGATACAGAGATTAAAGGTACAATTCTTTTTTGTTTGTTTGTTTTTCATTTTTTTAATTATACTTTAAGTTTTAGGGTACATGTGCACAATGTGCAGGTTAGTTACATATGTATACATGTGCCATGCTGGTGCACTGCACCCAGTAACTCGTCATCTAGCATTAGGTATATCTCCCAATGCTATCCCTCCCCCCTCCCCCCACCCCACAACAGTCCCCACAGTGTGATATTCCCCTTCCTGTGTCCATGTGATCTCATTGTTCAATTCCCACCTATGAGTGAGAATATGTGGTGTTTGGTTTTTTGTTCTTGCGATAGTTTACTGAGAATGATGTTTTCCAATTTCATCCACGTCCCTACAAAGGACATGAACTCATCATTTTTTATGGCTGCATAGTATTCCATGGTGTATATGTGCCACATTTTCTTAATCCAGTCTATCATTGTTGGACATTTGGGTTGGTTCCAAGTCTTTGCTATTGTGAATAATGCCGCAATAAACATACGTGTGCGTGTGTCTTTATAGCAGCATGATTTATAGTCATTTGGGTATATACCCAGTAATGGGATGGCTGGGTCAAATGGTATTTCCAGTTCTAGATCCCTGAGGAATCGCCACACTGACTTCCACAATGGTTGAACTAGTTTACAGTCCCACCAACAGTGTAAAAGTGTTCCTATTTCTCCACATCCTCTCCAGCACCTGTTGTTTCCTGACTTTTTAATGATGGCCATTCTAACTGGTGTGAGATGGTATCTCATTGTGGTTTTGATTTGCATTTCTCTGATGGCCAGTGATGATGAGCATTTTTTCATGTGTTTTTTGGCTGCATAAATGTCTTCTTTTGAGAAGTGTCTGTTCATGTCCTTGGCCCACTTTTTGATGGGGTTGTTTGTTTTTTTCTTGTAAATTTGTTTGAGTTCATTGTAGATTCTGGATATTAGCCCTTTGTCAGATGAGTAGGTTGTGAAAATTTTCTCCCATTTTGTAGGTTGCCTGTTCACTCTGATGGTAGTTTCTTTTGCTGTGCAGAAGCTCTTTAGTTTAATTAGATCCCATTTGTCAATTTTGTCTTTTGTTGCCATTGCTTTTGGTGGTTTAGACATGAAGTCCTTGCCCATGCCTATGTCCTGAATGGTAATGCCTAGGTTTTCTGCCAGGGTTTTTATGGTTTTAGGTCTAACGTTTAAGTCTTTAGTCCATCTTGAATTGATTTTTGTATAAGGTGTAAGGAAGGGATCCAGTTTCAGCTTTCTACATATGGCTAGCCAGTTTTCCCAGCACCATTTATTAAATAGGGAATCCTTTCCCCATTGCTTGTTTTTCTCAGGTTTGTCAAAGATCAGATAGTTGTAGACATGCGGCGTTATTTCTGAGGGCTCTGTTCTGTTCCATTGATCTATATCTCTGTTTTGGTACCAGTACCATGCTGCTTTGGTTACTGTAGCCTTGTAGTATAGTTTGAAGTCAGGTAGCATGATGCCTCCAGCTTTGTTCTTTTGGCTTAGGATTGACTGGACGATGCGGGCTCTTTTTTGGTTCCATATGAACTTTAAAGTAGTTTTTTCCAATTCTGTGAAGAAAGGCATTGGTAGCTTGATGGGGATGGCAGTGAATCTGTAAATTACCTTGGGCAGTATGGCCATTTTCATGATATTGATTCTTCCTACCCATGAGCATGGAATGTTCTTCCATTTGTTTGTATCCTCTTTTATTTCCTTGAGCAGTGGTTTGTAGTTCTCCTTGAAGAGGTCCTTCACATCCCTTGTAAGTTGGATTCCTAGGTATTTTATTCTCTTTGAAGCAATTGTGAATGGGAGTTCACTCATGATTTGGCTCTCTGTTTGTCTGTTGTTGGTGTATAAGAATGCTTGTGACTTTTGTACATTGATTTTGTAACCTGAGACTTTGCTGAAGTTGCTTATCAGCTTAAGGAGATTTTGGGCTGAGACGATGGGGTTTTCTAGATATACAATCATGTCGTCTGCAAACAGGGACAATTTGACTCCCTCTTTTCCTAATTGAATACCCTTTATTTCCTTCTCCTGCCTAATTGCCCTGGCCAGAACTTCCAACACTATGTTGAATAGGAGTGGTGAGAGAGGACATCCCTGTCTTGTGCCAGTTTTCAAAGGGAATGCTTCCAGTTTTTGCCCATTCAGTATGATATTGGCTGTGAGTTTGTCATAGATAGCTCTTATTATTTTGAAATACGTCCCATCAATACCTAATTTATTGAGAGTTTTTAGCATGAAGGGTTGTTGAATTTTGTCAAAGGCTTTTTCTGCATCTATTGAGATAATCATGTGGTTTTTGTCTTTGGCTCTGTTTATAGGCTGGATTACATTTATTGATTTGCGTATATTGAACCAGCCTTGTATCCCAGGGATGAAGCCCACTTGATCGTGGTGGATAAGCTTTTTGATGTGCTGCTGGATTCGTTTTGCCAGTATTTTATTGAGGGTTTTTGCATCAATGTTCATCAAGGATATTGGTCTAAAATTCTCTTTTTTGGTTGTGTCTCTGCCTGGCTTTGGTATCAGAATGATGCTGGCCTCATAAAATGAGTTAGGGAGGAGTCCCTCTTTTTCTATTGATTGGAATACTTTCAGAAGGAATGGTACCAGTTCCTCCTTGTACCTCTGGTAGAATTCAGCTGTGAATCCATCTGGTCCTGGACTCTTTTTGGTTGGTAAGCTATTGATTATTGCCACAATTTCAGATCCTGTTATTGGTCTATTCAGAGATTCAACTTCTTCCTGGTTTAGTCTTGGGAGAGTGTATGTGTCGAGGAATTTATCCACTTCTTCTAGATTTTCTAGTTTATTTGCGTAGAGGTGTTTGTAGTATTCTCTGATGGTAGTTTGTATTTCTGTGGGATCGGTGGTGATATGCCCTTTATCATTTTTTATTGCGTCTATTAGATTCTTCTCTCTTTTTTTCTTTATTAGTCTTGCTAGTGGTCTATCAATTTTGTTGACCCTTTCAAAAAACCAGCTCCTGGATTCATTAATTTTTTGAAGGGTTTTTTGTGTCTCTATTTCCTTCAATTCTGCTCTGATTTTAGTTATTTCTTGCCTTCTGCTAGCTTTTGAATGTGTTTGCTCTTGCTTTTCTAGTTCTTTTAATTGTGATGTTAGGGTGCCAATTTTGGATCTTTCCTGCTTTCTCTTGTGGGCATTTAGTGCTATAAATTTCCCTCTACACACTGCTTTGAATGCGTCCCAGAGATTCTGGTATATTGTGTCTTTGTTCTCATTGGTTTAAAAGAACATCTTTATTTCTGCCTTCATTTCATTATGTACCCAGTAGTCATTCAGGAGCAGGTTGTTCAGTTTCCATGCAGTTGAGCGGTTTTGAGTGAGATTCTTAATCCTGAGTTCTAGTTTGATTGCACTGTGGTCTGAGAGATGGTTTGTTATAATTTCTGTTCTTTTACATTTGCTGAGGAGAGCTTTATTTCCAAGTATGTGGTCAATTTTGGAATAGGTGTGGTGTGGTGCTGAAAAAAATGTATATTCTGTTGATTTGGGGTGGAGAGTTCTGTAGATGTCTATTAGGTCTGCTTGGTGAAGAGCTGAGTTCAATTCCTGGGTATCCTTGTTGACTTTCTGTCTCGTTGATCTGTCTAATGTTGACAGTGGGGTGTTAAAGTCTCCCATTATTAATGTGTGGGAGTCTAAGTCTCTTTGTAGGTTACTCAGGACTTGCTTTATGAATCTGAGTGCTCCTGTATTGGGTGCATATATATTTAGGATAGTTAGCTCTTCTTGTTGAATTGATCCCTTTACCATTATGTAATGGCCTTCTTTGTCTCTTTTGATCTTTGTTGGTTTAAAGTCTGTTTTATCAGAGACTAGGATTGCAACCCCAGCCATTTTTTGTTTTCCATTTGCTTGGTAGATCTTCCTCTATCCTTTTATTTTGAGCCTATGTGTGTCTCTGCACGTGAGATGGGTTTCTTGAATATAGCACACTGATGGGTCTTGACTCTTTATCCAATTTGCCAGTCTGTGTCTTTTAATTGGAGCATTTAGTCCATTTACATTTAAAGTTAATATTGTTATGTGTGAATTTGATCCTGTCATTATGATGTTAGCTGGTTATTTTGCTCGTTAGTTGATGCAGTTTCTTCCTAGTCTTGATGATCTTTACATTTTGGCATTTATTTTGCAGTGGCTGGTACCGGTTGTTCCTTTCCATGTTTAGTGCTTCCTTCAGGAGCTCTTTTAGGGCAGGCCTGGTGGTGACAAAATCTCTCAGCATTTGCTTGTCTGTAAAGTATTTTATTTCTCCTTCGCTTATGAAGCTTAGTTTGGCTGGATATGAAATTCTGGGTTGAAAATTCTTTTCTTTAAGAATGTTGAATATTGGCCCCCACTCTCTTCTGGCTTGTAGAGTTTCTGCCAAGAGATCCGCTGTTAGTCTGATGGGCTTCCCTTTGAGGGTAACCCGACCTTTCTCTCTGGCTGCCCTTAACATTTTTTCCTTCATTTCAACTTTGGTGAATCTGACAATTATGTGTCTTGGAGTTGCTCTTCTCGAGGAGTATCTTTGTGGCGTTCTCTGTATTTCCTAAATCTGAATGTTGGCCTGCCTTGCTAGATTGGGGAAGTTCTCCTGGATAATATCCTGCAGAGGGTTTTCCAACTTGGTTCCATTCTTCCCATCACTTTCAGGTACACCAATCAGACGTAGATTTGGTCTTTTCACATAGTCCCATATTTCTTGGAGGCTTTGCTCATTTCTTTTTATTCTTTTTTCTCTAAACTTCCCTTCTCGCTTCATTTCATTCATTTCATCTTCCATCGCTGATACCCTTTCTTCTAGTTGATCGCATCGGCTCCTGAGGCTTCTGCATTCTTCACGTAGTTCTCGAGCCTTGGTTTTCAGCTCCATCAGCTCCTTTAAGCACTTCTCTGTATTGGTTATTCTAGTTATACATTCTTCTAAATTTTTTTCAAAGTTTTCAACTTCTTTGCCTTTGGTTTGAATGTCCTCCCGTAGCTCACAGTAATTTGATCGTCTGAAGCCTTCTTCTCTCAGCTCGTCAAAGTCATTCTCCATCCAGCTTTGTTCCGTTGCTGGTGAGGAACTGCGTTCCTTTGGAGGAGGAGAGGCGCTCTGCTTTTTAGAGTTTCCAGTTTTTCTGTTCTGTTTTTTTCCCATCTTTGTGGTTTTATCTACTTTTGGTCTTTGATGATGGTGATGTACAGATGGGTTTTTGGTGTGGATGTCCTTTCTGTTTGTTAGTTTTCCTTCTAACAGACAGGACCCTCAGCTGCAGGTCTGTTGGAATACCCTGCCGTTTGAGGTGTCAGTGTGCCCCTGCTGGGGGGTGCCTCCCAGTTAGGCTGCTCGGGGGTCAGGGGTCAGGGACCCACTTGAGGAGGCAGTCTGCCCGTTCTCAGATCTCCAGCTGCGTGCTGGGAGAACCACTGCTCTCTTCAAAGCTGTCAGACAGGGACATTTAAGTCTGCAGAGGTTACTGCTGTCTTTTTGTTTGTCTGTGCCCTGCCCCCAGAGGTGGAGCCTACAGAGGCAGGCAGGCCTCCTTGAGCTGTGGTGGGCTCCGCCCAGTTCGAGCTTCCCAGCTGCTTTGTTTACCTAATCAAGCCTGGGCAATGGCGGGCGCCCCTCCCCCAGCCTAACTGCTGCCTTGCAGTTTGATCTCAGACTGCTGTGCTAGCAATCAGGAGACTCCGTGGGCGTAGGACCCTCCAAGCCAGGTGCCGGATATAATCTCGTGGTGCGCCATTTTTTAAGCCCGTCGGAAAAGCGCAGTATTTGGGTGGGAGTGACCCGATTTTCCAGGTGCCATCCGTCACCCCTTTCTTTGACTCGGAAAGGGAGCTCTGTGACCCCTTGCGCTTCCCAAGTGAGGCAATGCCTCGCCCTGCTTTGGCTCGCGCACGGTGTGCGCACCCACTGACCTGCGCCCACTGTCTGGCACTCCCTAGTGAGATGAACCCGTTACCTCAGATGGAAATGCAGAAATCACCGTCTTCTGCGTCGCTCATGCTGGGAGCTGTAGACCGGAGCTGTTCGTATTCAGCCATCTTGGCTCCTCCCCACAAAGGTACAATTCTTGACAGCATGACACTCAGAGTTAAAGATGGTATTATTTGGCTTAAAAACCACAAATACTGACAAATATAAACTAAACTTATGAGTTTGCTATTTTACTAAAATATCATTGGTTAAAATACTGATCTCTTTGCTTCTCTGTTACCTCATCTATACATTCATGAACTGGAAATAAAATTATGGTTAGATTAGGCCAGGTGTGGTGCCTCATGCCTATAATCCCAGCATTTTGGGAGGCTGAGTAGGCCAGATCACTTGAGGTCAGGAGTTCAAGACCAGCCTGGCCAACATGGTGAAACCCCATCTCTACTAAAAATACAAAAATTATCCAGATGTAGTGGTACATGCCTGTAATCCCAGCTACTCAAGAGGCTGAGGCAGGATAATTGCTTGAACCTGGGAGGCAGAGGTTGCAGTGAGCCCTGATTATACCAGTGCACTCCAGCCTAAGTGACAGAGCAAGACTCCATCTCACAAAACCAAACAAAACAAAAAAATTACAATGAGATTAGATATAGGTAAATGTTAGACTTAATGCTTATAAAGTACCTAGCTCACAGTAGATTTATAGAAAATGTTAGGCTGTCACCTTTTTTTCTTCTTTGTTTCTTTCATCATCCATATTTCTCCTTTACTTAATTCCAATGAAAACCTTTAAGTAATGCATATTATGTAACAATATATATTACATTAAATAAATTTAAATGCAATTAATGATATTTATCTGCAATGCACATAAAGACCTACTACCTTGCTAGAATTTGGTCCCAAATTTGACCCAAGTATACCAGAAATGTTTTAAAATAGTGTTGTGGATTGTGTCTGTGTATGTGTGTATGTATGTGTGTGTGTGTTTGCGTGTATACATATATATATACACACTATATATTTGTACATAATAATGAGAGAGCGTTGAATGCAATGGCAATTGATAGAAAGTGCAGTACAATTTTTAAAATGTAAAAATGTTTCTGAAAGGAAATTAAATCAAAATTTGTCCTTGATATAACAAGTATTAATTCAAAAAGGAAGTATTGGAAGTGCAAGTGATGTCCAGACAGAGGAAACAGCATACCCAAACATTCAAAGTGAAGAAGGCCATGATGCTTGTGGAGAATCTACTTCTACATTTCTTTGTTCCAGTCTTCTGTTACACACAGCTCATGGAAACTGCTAAACACACTGAGATCCAGTTTAGAGGCATTTCTTGTTTACACATTTTTAAAAATTTCACCTTAAAAATTCTGAAAATATAGAGAGGTACAGTGTGCTTTCAGACTATTTCCAAACTTCTAAAGAAAAACAGAGAAAAACTAGGTTAACAAAATTAAAATTCATGAACAATATTTACAACAACACTGGGTAACAATGTGCCCTACAAAAAATCCCCAGTGTAAATAGTGACAGACAAATCAGGAAGACCTGCAATATCCATGAGGAATCAGAATCCTTTCAAGATTAAGCAGAGAGGGTGAACACAATATATTATGGATTTGAGAACCCCCAAGTCAGCAACAAGGATTCATTAGAAAGTGGGCAAGGCAATTAAAAAACAGCTACGGAAACTAAGTAGGGTGGGAGTTTGCACACATCAATAAGCAAGAGTCCAGGATGAGATAAAAAAGAGGCTGGGACCATATGGCTTCTACAACTCTTAAAATAACCAGACCAAATTCTCTTCCAGGATCAAGTTCCGTATTGAGAAGAATTTACTGTAAGTAAACTACATATTAAACAAGGCTGACACAATAGGGCCAAAAAAAGAGAAGGCCCACCTTCTCTTTTTATATATATATTATATATATATATATTATATATATATAATATATAATACTGTATATATATTATATATACAGTATATAAAGTATATATTTATATATAATACATATTATATATAAATATATAAAGTATATATTTATATATAATATGTATTATATATAAATATAGAAAGTATATATTTATATATAATATATATTTTATATAAATATACACTTTCTATATTTATATATAATATATAATATATATAAATATATAAGGTGTATATATATAATATATATTATATATAAATATATAAAGTATATATTTATATATAATATATATTATACATACAATATATAAAGTATGTATTTTTATGTTATATATAAATATATAAAATATATATTTATATATAATATATATTATATATAAATATATAAAGTACATCTATAAAATATATAAAACATATGTTAATTATATATAATTAATTAATATATATAAATTATATATAAAATATAAAGCATATCATATAAAATATATAATATATAATATATTGTATAAATATTTATATATTATATATTTTATATGATATAGTTTATAAATCATATAAAAATTATATATATATATAACATAGGGCTCAATTAGTTTCTGCTAGTGTGGAGAGAAGTCATATGGCTAAGGGCCATGATGGTAGGAGCAGTCAGAGGATTTCTTGCGTTATGATGAATGCATATAAGTTATATGAGCCACTTATGAGTAGATTTCATAGCAGGATAACAGTTATATCATTGATACCTAGGCAGTACATGACACTCAATAAAGAATAGATTAATCCTCATGCTCTTCATCTTCCTCCTAATCTCTTTACCTGTGCTGCCCTCCAGCTTTCAAAGTGCTCTCAGAGTCATCACTTACACAGTGTTCCTTTGCTTCCCCTTCAGTGGGCCAGTGTTTCTGTGCCCCAGTGTTCCTGCGAGATAGAACACAGAAAACAGAGCAGGCTCTTGCCCACATCACAGAACATCTTTGTCTCCCTGTGGATCCCGCACATTTGTTCATTAGAGCTCAGGAATTGCCAGAGACTGGCTTTTCTCACAATGGACACTAGATTCTTCAGAAGAATATCGGTTTTGAAATCTTCCTGCTGTGACGGTTCCCTGCATGCAGGGCAGGAGTGTGGGCTTCTTCCCAGCAAAGGCAGAGGCAGGGCCTACAGAAACTGTGCCAGCAGCCTATAGTGATGGGGTCTATGAGGTAATTCAGGCAGATGAGGCAGGTGAGTTCTTTCTGGAAGGCTTGTGGGAATTCTAAGTCCATTTTTCTGAGGGAAGAAACCCAGAAGAATTTATTCTTATGCCATAGAGAGACAAAGATCTATGCAAAGTTTGAATCAGGTTTTGAGTAGGATCAGCTCACAAGTTTAAATCTATAGCAGGATAGAATTTTATTTTACACATAACGAAAATGAAAAACTGAGGCACAGAATTCAAGCTTTGCAGAAAAATGTGTTGGCTCCCTAACGAACACACACACACACCTACTTTCCCAAATTCTTTCCTCCTGTATGAAAAAAAACTTAAGGCTGGGCACAGTGGCTCACGCTTGTAATCCAGCACTTTGGGAGGCTGAGGCAGCAGGATTGCTTGATCCAAGGACTTCAAGACCAGCCTGGGCAACATGATGAGACCCTGTCTCTACAAAAAAAAAAAAAAAAAGAGGAAAAAAATTACCTGAGCATGCCTATAGCCCCAGCTACTAGAGAGGCTGAGGTGAGAGGATTGCTTGAGCCCAGGAGGTCAAGGCGGCAGTGAGCCATAATCCAGCCACTATACTCTAGCCTGAGTGACAGAGCAAGACTGTCTTAAAAATGAACAAAGAAAGAAAAGAAAGAAAGGAAGAAAGAGAGAGAGAGAAGAAGGAAGGAAGAAAAGAAGGAAGGAAGTTTACAGAGTTTTTTGAAGTGTTAGTGTTCCCTAAATTTTATGGTCTTCAGAGGTTTACCCTCCTATAGCTTCAAGGGGTGAGTCCTGACTGATAGGAAAATCAGTCACACTCTTACTTGCCAGTGATTCATTTAGGGAAGACAGCTAACTAAGCTCTTCCACTTTGATTATTTCATTTAATTGTTAACAACCATCTTATCATGACTTCTTCAAAATTACCCTGCCAGTAAGTGTTGGAGGCCTCCCCAGAAGCAGAAACCACCATGCTTCCTGTATAGCCTATGGAACCATGAGCCAACTAAAGGTATTTCTCGGTTATTTCTTAATATCTTTGGCCAAAATTAAAGAGTTAGGCTTTACTCTCCAAGATACTGCAATAGACAAAAACAAGCCACCACTGTTTTCTAATGTTGTTTTCTTGTTAATTCAATCAACAAGTATTTTCTGGTAAGTTTAGTGTTCCAGAGACTGTTAACCTGGTGATGTACTGGTTAATAAAACATCCTCAAGAGAATTAAATGTTTAAAAATAAACCAGATGATAAAATGCAGTAGTGTACACAATGCCACTTAACCACATGTCTTCTGTCTGTCACCCATGATCCAGAAAATGTCTTTAGTATAAGCCATTGGTAAAGATGCATGAAAAATTTACATATAGAAGACATAGTCACAAAATTATTTTTTTCCTTTGATATCCCTTGTTACCTCAAATAGAATTTACCACTCCAATTCGATTTCTGAATACATGGGAGTTAATAGAATACTCCTAATCCATTTATAGGATCTACACTAAGTAAAAAAATTAAAGACATCTGAAAACTACTTTGTGAGTCCTTATACTCCATATCAATAGTCATGGAATATATTAAGTAATAGGCCAAAAATTAATCATCATATTAACCAAAAACACATAGTAAGACAAGGTAACTAAATATTTTCATTTGGAAATTGGGAAATTTAGTCAATTTTAAAACTCAGCACATGAGATCATTTCACAGAAGGAACCTAGGTTTGCTGGCAAATTATAATTAGGACATTTTTGTTTTGGTTTGGGAGGGTAGTTCCTCTTCTGTAAATTGTGTACTCACTTAAGAAATATATCTATTTTCTCACCGACGCTTGCTGTAGAGGTAATACTATGAAGTTAGCTCAGGGATCAGGACTCCACATTGCGGTGCTGGTAGCTTTTTTTTTTTTTTTTTTTTTTTTTTTTGCACTGCACCTTGAGTAAAAGTTTCCTGAGGCCTCCCCACAAGCAGAAACCACCATGCTTCCTGTATACCCTATGGAACCATGAGCCAACTAAAGGTATTTCTCATGTATTTCTTTATAGCAATGCAAGAACATACTAATACAGCTAAGCAGAGGCCATCAGGACCAGCAACAGTCTGAGCTGGATGAGAGACAAAGCTAAACTTTGAGAAGCAGCAGGAGCTGCCAGGGGACAGAAAGGAAGGATGGAGTCCTAAATTCCAGGATGTCTCCTTTAAATCTGTAAGAAGCTCAGCCACTGTCTTTTTACCTGACTCCTCTGGGAAAGAGTTTCCCTAGGTTAAGCCATACAGGGATAGGGCAGGAGATGCCATTTGGATCTAGGAGCAGAGGTCAGAGACTCAGCAGGAAGAGTGTCTCTATGAGAAGCAGACACAGTGGAGCAGGTGCATAGGTTCACAGGGCCAGCTATGGGTAGAGTCGGGTGTACATTTTTAGAAGCCACAATTCCCAAAAATCTCCTGACTATAACATCAGTGCACAGAGCCAGTCAAATGGAGGAGGAGTGGGTCCAGGCAATTCAGGAAGAAGGAAAGTAAAAAATGAGTGGTTTCAGGAGAACACTTTCTCTGTCGAGGTCACTAGACAGAACATTGTAGCCTCACCTTAACTTCGGAAACAAGCAATGGAGGGTAAAAGTGTTGCCTGGGCCCTGGGAGCAAAGGCAGTAGATAACTTCTCTGTTGTGTCCTCCAGAAGGGCCTAGTCCAGCCTCACAGGCCGAGAAGTCTGTTCAGTTCCCAAGTACTAGAGATGCTGCTATAAGGGATCCCTGAATTTCCTGCCCGGACCACAGGCTCCCCGGCCTTTTCTTCCTGTTTTATTTTTTCCCAGGAAGAAACTTGCCTGTATAATTACAAGGTTCTATGATTCTAAATTCCAACCTAGCCTTCCACATCGTTTTGAAGGTATAATATTATTTGTCAGAGTGGGATGATAGAAGATATGTGTGCACATAAAATTAAGTTGTTGACAAGGAAAAAAACTAAAATAAAAAAATAAGAGAGAAAAAATATGTATGTACAGTGGTTAGCTAGAAATATGCCTTTTAAATATTTGACATGTGGTATGTGGGCCTCAATGTGTACTATTGCACTAGCTTCACAAATATTAAAGGATGTCTTTTAAAAGAAAAACCTCTTGCTAAAAGGTTAACAGTCAAAATAACCCGAGTGGCACAGGTACCAGTCATTAAGTGAAACCTTTCATCTTCCCAGTATAGTACCTGTTCCCAAGCCAGCTTCTTTGAAAATCACTTTTCTCTCTTTTACTATTTAGTTTATAAATTGCATAGTAACAATACAGAAACCACAATAGCAGAAAAAACTAATAAAGAATATTTTTAAATGAAAACTCACATCCTAACTCTACCAAAACATGGTAATTAAACCTGAATGCCTCCCTTTCCTGATATATTTTTTCACCTAAATATTCAGCTCTGGGATTGCATTGTCTTTGGATTGAGTGAAAATTATTGCCTGGTCTCTAAATCTTCCATAGTGTGTGTGTGAGTGTGTGTGTGTGTTGAATGTATTTCTTTTTGTTCAGAGCAAACTTTTTTCAATATGTATATATAGATATATATATTTAGGCAGATTATGCCAGTAATTTTCTACAAATGTGCTTTTTTAAAAATAATCTTTAATTAAAAAAATAATTATTATTCTTATCCAGTGGCCCATAATTTTTAAAAACACTACTAATAGAGCTGGGTATGGAGTCACACACCTGCCATCCCAGCTACTTGGGAGACTGAGGCAGGGGTATTTGCTTGAACCTGGGAATGTGAAACTAGCCTGGGCAACATAGTGAGACCCCCATTTCAAAAATCAATCTGTCATTTAAAAATAAAATAAAATAAAACAAAACACTACTAATAGCTTTTTAAAAAATATTTCTTAACCAATTTTCCTAGCACCTTCCTTTCCTCAGTGAAGTATAGAAATATGTTGTCAGGGACTGTGGCTTACACCTATAATCCCAATCATTTGGGAAGCCAAAGCATGAGAAACAGTTGAGTCCAGGAGTTCAAGACCAGCCAAGGCGACATAATGAGACCCAGTCTCTAAAACAAATTTTTTTTTTTTATTACCAGGGCATGATGGTGCATGCCTGTAGCCCAGCTACTTGGAAGGCTGAGGTAGGAGAATCGCTTGAGCCCAGGAGGTCAAGGCTGCAGCGAGCCATGGTTGTGCCACTGCACTCCATACCTAGGTGACAGAGTGAGACACAGTATCAAAAACAAACAAACAACAAAAAAAAGTATTTGTTTTAGAAAAAACATTTGGTGAGGTTTGGGCTTAAAAATATATTATTCTAAAATGTTCATAAATATTCTCTAGTAATGATAAGATTAAAGTGACAAAGACAAATTTTTTCCTGTGCAGTTCTATCTCTCACCTTCCCATAATTTGTCTGTCCCATCCAGCTTCCTAAGGAAATTATTTACAAAATAATGTCTGCATCGTGGGTCTATATATCTGTTGCCTATGAGGAGAGCATTTAAGATCTGAGCCATCTTCAAGTCTTATACTTTGTGTATGGCTCTCATGTTTATGCAGGTTAAGTAAGTTTGTATGCCCTTTCTCTTATTAATCTGTGTATGGTCAGTTCATTTCGGGTAATCGTCAGAGGGTGAAAGGGGAAGCTTTTCACTTCACTCCTACTGTGACGGCCAACTACCTTCTTACTTATTCAGTTTTTTAGTATATATCAACACTTTTATATACCTTTAATTTTAAATAAAATTTTGCATCATTTCACTTAAAATTGTATTTACCTTTTAAAAAGGAAATTAAAAATAAATTTAAAAAATATAAAATTTTAAATAATAAAAATAAATGATTTATATAAAAATTAATCTGACCTGTGAAAAACACTATCAAGAGAATAAAATGACAAGTCGTAGACTAGGAGTAAATATTTACAAAAGCTATATCTGGTGAAGATATATTTGTTATCCAAAATATACAAAGAACTCTCAGGACTCAATATAAGAAAACAAATAGTCCAACACAAATGTAAAGATCTGAACAGACATTTCACCATAGAAGACAGATGGATGATAAATAAGCACATTGAAAGATGTTCAACATCATTCATCATTAGAGAACTGCAAATTAAAACCACAATAAGATACTGCTACATCCCTATTAGAATAGCTAAAATTTGAAAGACTGACCATACTAAACATTGGTGAGAACACAAAGGAACTGGAATGCTCATACACCGCTGCTGGAAATATTAAACAGTATAGACACTTTGTCAGTTTCTTTAAAAGTTAAACATATCACACCACCTAGTCATTCAAATCCTGCGTATTTACCCAAGACAAATGAAAGCGTATGTCCAAACGGTTGGACAAACATTCATAGCAACTTTATTTGAAATAGCAAAAACAACTGGAAGCAACCCAAATGTCCATCAAGAGGTGAAAAGATACACTAACTGTAGAATATCCATACAATAAAACTATCTTTTTTTAACTACGGGGCAAAAAACAAAAAACCAAAGATAGAATCTAACTTCTTGGTAAATACCTTCACTATTAGGGTTTTTTATAACAGAGAATTCATTCTTTATTAATACTCTTGACTATGAAAATATTTTGACATCAGAAATCTGCAAAATATGAATAAACAAGCAAACAAAGGACACACAGCTTTTTTTATTTTTATTTTTATTTTATTTTTATTTTTTTTGAGACAGTCTCGCCCTGTTGCCCAGGCTGGAGTGCAGTGGGGCGATCTCCGCTCACTGCAAGCTCTGCCTGCCGGGTTCACGCCATTCTACTGCCTCAGCCTCCCGAGTAGCTGGACTACAGGCACCTGCCACCACGCCCGGCTAATTTTTTGTATTTTTAGTAGAGACGGGGTTTCACCGTGTTAGCCAGGATGGTCGGATTGTCTTGATCTCCTGACCTCGTGATCTGTCGCCTCGGCCTCTCAAAGTGCTGGGATTACAGGCGTGAGCCACCGCGCCCGACCCCAGGACACACAGCTTTAAAAGCTCTCCTTGGTCTCACCCAGTGCCAACCAACTAAAACCTCTCATTTTCCCCCAGGCATTTCTTCTGCCTCCAGGATGGAGGTACAGAATCTTGGCCTTGGGCCACGCACTGGGGACCATGCTGGGCTGCCGTGGTCAGCGACAGACTCAGGTTCTCACCAGGAGCCCCAGGATAAGCCCCTGAAAAAAAATGTTACCCATCAGGGTGTGCTCCCTGATTCTTGTCTCTGCTGGAAGGAGGAAATCAAGCCAGGAACATTGTCAGGAGAGAGATGAAAATGGGGCTCAGGTTTCTGTCTCTTGTGATGTCAGACAAACCTTTCAGCTCCATCTCCTCAGCCCTCATGGAATTGTTCGGTGTGGACGCACTGAGATTCTGAACTGGGTCCCCTCTCCCTCTGCCTTTCTCTGGGGCCAGATCCTGAGCTCTCCAATCCAATTTTTCCCCCAATTTGACCTTGGATTTATGTATCTCAATTACTGTCTGCCTGTCCCAAAGAATAAAAGCTGTATCGCAGCAGGGACGTTGTTTAAAAAAATAATAATAACAGCTATATTTTTAGGATCCATGACACTGTCCAGCATATCGGTGGTATATGATAAAAAAGTTTGTTGAATGAATGAACAAATATATTATTCACAATGTCACATTATCCTGAACTGACAAGAAAATTAAATATCTGATGTCAGTATTGGCAACATTATGAAGTAAATATAATTCTGATACAGTACTGGTGAAAATCTAACAAGAGATGCTCATTTTAGAAAACATTTTCTTGTAGATTTGAAAATGTTTAATCTCCATGAACTAGTTGTATATCTGCAAGTTGTGTATCTTTGGGTTAGGCATCTGCCCCCCACCAAAGACAGCCACATCCCAGTCTTCAGATAAGGTGAACATGCTACCTTATATGCTAAAAGGGGCTTTGCAGATGTGATTACCATTAAGGGCATTGAAATGGGGAAATTACCTTGAATTATCTTGGTGAGTCCAATCTAATCTCATAATTCCTTGAGAGCAGAGAATATTTTCTGGATGCAGAGATTCAGACAGATGGCAGTATGAGAAAGATGTAGCCTGCTATTGCTGGCTTTTAAAACAGTGGAAGGGGGCCACAAGCCAAGGAAAGCCAGTGACCTTTAGAAGCTGGGAATGACCCAAAGTTTACAACCAGGAAGAAACCGAGGATCTCAATCCTACAACCACAAGGAACTGAATTCTGCCAACAACCCAGATTCTCTCTTAGAGCCTTCAGAAAGAAATGCAGCCTGCCAACATCTTGATGTTAGTTCAATGAGAGCCATACCAGATTTCTAACCAGAACAACTCTAAGATAATAAGTTTGTGTGTGTGTTTTAAAACAGGCTAACAGCTTACAAAAATGTGTTCTTTTAAGCCACTAAGTTTGTAGTAAATTTTTATAGCAGGAATAGAAAACTGATACAACCCATTCTAACTGGTGTGAGATGGTATCTCATTGTGGTTTTGATTTGCATTTCTCTGATGGCCAGTGATGATGAGCATTTTTTCATGTGTCTTTTGGCTGCATACATGTCTTCTTTTGAGAAGTGTCTGTTCATATCCTTCGCCCACTTGTTAATGGGGTTGTTTGCTTTTTTCTCGTAAATTTGTTTGAGTTCATTTTAGATTCTGGATATTAGCCCTTTGTCAGATGAGTAGATCATTAAAAAGTCAGGAAACAACAGGTGCTGGAGAGGATGTGGAGAAATAGGAACATTTTTACACAACCATTGTGGAAGTCAGTGTGGCAATTCTTCAGGGATCTAGAACTAGAAATACCATTTGACCCAGCCATCCCATTACTGGGTATATACCCAAAGGATTATAAATCATGCTGCTATAAAGACACATGCACACGTATGTTTATTGCGGCACTATTCACAATAGTAAAGACTTGGAACCAACCCAAATGTCCAATAACGATAGACTGGATTAAGAAAATGTGGCATATATACACCATGGAATACTATGCTGCCATAAAAAATGATGAATTCATGTCCTTTGTAGGGACATGGATGAAACTGGAAACCATCATTCTCAGCAAACTATCACAAGGACAAAAAACCAAACACCGCACGTTCTCACTCATAGGTGGGAATTGAACAATGAGAACACATGGACACAGGAAGGGGAACATCACACGCTGGGGCCTGTTGTGGCATGGAGGGAGGAGGGAGGGATAGCATTAGGAGATATACCTAATGTGAAATGATGAGTTACTGGGTGCAGCACACCAACATGGTACATGTATACATATGTAAGAAACCTGCACGTTGTGCACATGTACCCTAAAACTTAAAGTATAATAATAAAAAAAAAGAAAACTGATACAACCCTAGAGAAAGTCTTGTACATATGCCCTATAAACACACAACAGAATTTTTTTAATTTTTTTATTGAGATAAAAATGTATATATATATAATTTACCATCTGTACATTTTTAGAGGCCAGTTTAGTGGTGATAAATACATTTATGTTTGCTTTTCTTCATCTCCTCTTCCCACTCCCCTTGCTGGCCTCTAGCAACCACCAATTTACTTTCTATCTTCATGAGATCCACTTTTTCACCGCCCACATATGAGTGACAACATGCGATATTTGCCTTTCTGTGCTTAGCTCATTCCATTTAACATAATGGCCTATGTTCATTACGTTAAGCGAAATGGCCAGCACCACTTATGTTGCTGCAAATGACAGAATTTCATTCTTCTTTGTGTCTGAGTAGTAGTCCATGATGTATATATATTACTTTTAAAATCTGTTCGTTTGTTGATGACCACTTATGTTGATTCCATATTTTGGCTATTGTGAATAGTGCTGCAATAAACATGGGCATGTAGAGATGTCTTTGATACATTGATTTCCTTTATTTTGGATATATATCCAGTAGTGAAATTGCTGGACCACATGGTAGCTCTAGTTTTACTTTTTTGAGGAACCTCCATACAGTTCTCCATAGTGGCTTTATTAATGTAAATTCCCACCAACAGTGTACTAGTGTTCCCCTTTCTCCACATCTTTGCCAGCATCTGTTATTGCCTGTCTTTTTGATACAAGCCATTTCAACCAACATGAGCTGATATTGCATTGTGGTTTTGATTTGCATTTGCTTGATGATTAGTGATATTGAACATTTTTTCATCTTCCTATTGGCCTTTTGAATGTCTTCTTTTGAGAAGTATCTGTTCAGATCTTTTGCCCATTTTTTTAAAAAATTGTATCTATTTATATATTTTTAACAATTTTTTTAGAAGCAAGGTCTTGCTGTGTCACCCAAGATAAAGGGCAGTGGCTTAATCATAGCTCACTGTAACCTCAAACTCCTGGGATTAAGAAATCCTCCTACCTCAGCCTCTTCAGTAGCCCATTTTTCAATCAGATTTTTTGATTATTATTGAGTTGTTTGAGCTTTTTATATATTGCAGTTGTTACTCCTTTATCAGATGGATAGTTTGAAAATATTTTGTCCCATTCTGTGGTTGGCACTTCACTTTGTTGATTATTTCCTTTGCTTGAGGCTTTTTAGCTTGATATAATCCCATTGTCTATTTTTGCCTTTGTTGCCTGTGCTTCTGAGGTCTTACGCAAAAAAATCTGCCCGGACCAATGTCCTGGAGCATTTCTCCTATGCTTTCTTTTAGTAACTTCATAGTTTCAGGTCTTAGATTCAAGTCTTTAATCTATTTTTATTCGATTTGATTTTTGTATATGGTAAGAGGGGTTTAATTTTATCCTTCTTCATTTAGTTATTCAGTTTTCCCAGGATTATTTATTGAAAAGACTGTTCTTTGCCCAGTGTATGTTCTTGATGCCTTTGTCAGAGATGAGTTGTTTGTAAATGTGTAGATTTATGTCTGAGATCTCCATTCTGCTCCATTGTCCTGTGTGTCTGTTTTTATGCCAGTAGAAATATATTGGCAATAATTAGTACAGAAAAGCTGAAACAATGAAATGACAAAAGTGAATTATATTGATATAATTCATTATGCTCACTAAATGCAATAGCATGCAGCTAGGAAAAACAATGTAGTGCACACAGTATTAAAATAAAACACAATTCAATATACACAGTGCTCACAGTGGCCATCATTAGAGTGTTGAAGAAGGGGATGTAGTCAGCAAAAGTTGTACAGGTGACTTCAAAAGTAATCATAAGCACTTATGATTACTTTTGGCTTAATTTCTTAAACCAAGACTGGAGACACAAGTGTTCATTGTGTGCTTATTCTATATATATATTATAAATATTTTATAAATATATTGTTTCTATTCAGTATTTAATAAAGTAAATCAATAGAAAAGGTTAAAAAGCAATGCATACATATTTCAAATATTTTTTTGCTCCAAATTATATAAGCATTGCATAGTTATTGCCCTGGGCCAGGTAAGGTGGCTCACACCTGTAATCCTAGCACTTTAGGAGGCTGAGGCAGGAAGAGAGCTTCAGCCCCAGAGGTCAAGGCTGCAGTGAGCCGTAATTGCACTACTGCACTCCAGCCTAGGTGACAGAGCAAGACGCTGTCTCAAGATAAAAATAAAAATAAGTTAATAAATAAATAAATATATGTGTATATATTAACTGATTTTATTAAGTATATATATAGTTAATATATATAACTATACATATATGTAGTTACTGTCTTGGTCTATAGTCAATCTTACAGTGCTTAAGACATTGATACTGAGAACAGTTCTCCTAGGTATATGCTGTGTTTCTGGGGTGACATGATGCTCTCATCAGGCCTCTGTGAGCCTAATTCTATCTTACATTTACCCCACTCTTCAACAACAACTTGGGAAGGTGTCCCTAAATGTTCCTAGGTGAACCCAAACCTGTGGCCCTCAACACGTTTCTAGGTAAAGCAAGCTCCTGACATATCTGTGGATATCCTCTCATTAGAAGAAGGGGGAAGAGACCATCTCAAAGAAATTCATTTAATATAGCTTTTCAGCATTAATTTTATTTTGACAAAGAGACACAAAGTAAATAAAATTTCTAAAAAACTATAAACTTTCAAGCATTTTCACACTAAGTCTAGCCCTGCTCACATGCCAGGGAATTATAAAGGTGATCTGTTTCTCAACCTGACCAAGATGCTATAGTAATTAAAAATAAACTCAATCCCTGGATCTCTACCAAAGGGTCTTTTCATATGGATCAAAGTGTATCTACTCATCACATTCTGGAAAAATTATTTGTCTGGAAATAGACAAATTATCCAAAATATAATAGAAATAACAGCCTCTGGAAAGGGCCAAATAAGACTCTTAATGATACAACAGCTAAATCTAGGTCTGATGCTTATTCTGTGTGGACAACAATAGCAGAGCTAATGGCTGATTTGTGGGAAGTAAACATTATGTTTGCAGAATCGTACACGATTTCAGTAGAAGGGCAAGGAAATTTCAGTTGGGAACAGATTGCTCCATGGTAATGTGATCACTATGTACCCAACAATGGCTCTTTCTTCCTAGCGTCAATGCAGATGTTGTTTTATCCTTAACTGTTATCATTTCTGTTTCTAATCACATAAAAGTGTATCCGTTACATATCTGAAGTAAATTCATACTAGTGGTGTAACATCTCCAGCCATTTAAGTGTAAAAAGAGAAAACGTATGATGTGTTTACTCACTGTTTTATACTCTGTAACGCATGAAGATCCTTTTATTCATTGCCTGTACTTTTATTTTTAAACTTTCTGAAACACTTTATGTTATATCCAGCATAGAACTGAGTTTTCCTTTTTGATTTAATCTGACAATATTTTTTTCCTCTAATAAGAGAGTCAAGCCCACTTACTTTTATTGGTAAATTCTGTTTGGTTATATTTTGGTTACAGCATGTTATGCTATGATCTATATGCACGTATCTTCTTTTGCTGCCTTGTTTGTTTTTATTGATTTTGTTTTGATGTTGTGATATTTGGAAGAGTTAAATTTTTATTCTGATGGCTACCTTATGTAACTTCATAAAATCATCTCTTTCTTTAGACAGTAGCTAATGTCTCTAAACTAAGAACAATGGTATTAACTCTTTCTTGTCTTCCCTATGTGATCTTTCATCTCCCAATTTGATATAATAATATTAACTTTGTTTCCCCTGATGCCATTAAGTATGCCTACATTTCTATAAACAGTATCCTTTGACTCCCAGGCATTACAGACGAGCAGTCAGTAAAATCATTCTGCAGAATACCTTCTTTTTCCTTTTCTTCTATTTTTCTTAGTTGTATCATTTCTATATTGCCAGAGCACCTACAGTTGCATTTCTTTCTGTCAGCTTTATCCAGCATTTGTTTTTGTCTTTTATTTGAAGTTAAATATATTCCTTGCTCACTACGACACTGGGGAGAGGAAGGTTTTTGTTGTCATTGTTGTGCTTGTACAGTTGCTTATTTAAAAACATTGGCAAAAACAAACAAAAAATGTATGTAGATGGAATGGAGATAAGACAGAAAATGAGAGAGATTGATGATGAGTGTGCTTATTCTAGACTGGGAGGGGTGCTGCACTGAGTAGTGTCTCAAGGCTGCAGGAAAGGATGGTTGATTGTGAGCAGGTGGAGTTTCCACTGAAGGAGAGAAGTCCTGCCTTCAACAACCTGTGCAGAACCAGGAACTGGTAATGGTTCAAATCAACTTACAGACCTGGAGGTAGAAATTTAAGAAAGCTCGTTTAGCACCTAGTTTCCTAGAAAATATTAGCTACTATTTGCTGAGCATCTGTCAGTCTGTCTGCAGCATGGAAGATCTGAGTACAGGGGAGACTGGATTAGTAACAGTGGGTCAGAAAATTATATAATATTCAACCAAAATTCCTGCTTTACATAGACGGCACCTGGTATTTCCAGAACTAGAAGGTAAAGAAATTATTTGTGCTTGAACTTGCAGAAAACTGCCTTTTCCCTTCTTCTCTTGCATCTTAACCTGGAGCTTCTCTTTTCTTGAGCCTCAGTGTCCTTCCCAACTCAATTTATAATTGACTTCCTGCAGTTTCTCCTTAGGACAGGGCTTTGTTTTGGGGGTGGTTAATTTGTAGGGTTCATAGGATACAGACCACTCACAGCACTGCTTTTTGCCATCCTCACTCTCAGCTGTGAGTTGAGGCCCAGGAAGCCTTCTGCCAGCCTCAGCTGCTGTTCTCAGATTAATCTGCTAAGTTCTTTTTGCCTAGTAGGAATCTCTGAATTTAGGAACATAGATGTTAGCAATTGTATTTCTAGTTTTTCCAGTTCCCAGGGCCATTAAAGATTTTTTTCCTTTCCTTTCCTTCTTCCAAAACAGTTGGTGATTCCCCTGGGTCTCTGTGGTTTAACCTCACAAAAGGTTCATGATGACACCCTGTTACATTGTTTTGTCATAGTTAATACCTTGTTATCCCAGTTGCTCAGTCAATTTTTGTGAGAGATTCAGGGATATTAATAAAACTGTGCTGCTGCTACTAGCATCTTGCATAAAAGCCCTATGAATTAAAATGTTTATTTTACGTGTGATTTGAACTTGTAATTTTTATTCAAAGTTTTTCAACAGAGATCCAGAGAAGACCCTCTTTATATTTGTAGTTTTGTGCATTGCAACACTTTTTAGTGAAAAAAAAAAAAACATGAGAACAACACAAGTGATTTTAAAAGAATAAACCTACAATCCATTAATTATAAAATGAAATACTGTGCAGGTGTTAAGAATGAGGGAATCAATAAGAACTTGTGTTGGGTAACTATAAACTCTTAAAAAATAAAGTATATGCTCATGTGACCATATTATCGTTTAAAAAAATACAAGCATACTTGCACACACCTTCAAGCAAAATGGGTACATGCATTTAAAAATATTTAAATTAAGTAAATGGTCCAATAATTTAACTTTGTAAAATTCTATGTTCTCTGATTATTTTATACACTAGAAACAGGCATTACTGTTTTGTTTATTTCATTTGAAATAATTGTAGTCACATGAGGTTTAAGTTATAAGACAGAGAGGTCACATATGCCTATTTTCTAATTGGATACCTTATTTATTACTATTGAGTTTTGAGAATTCTTTACATATGCTAGATGTAAGCTCTTTGTCAGATATATAGTATGCAAATTATTTCTCCCAGTCTGTAATTCATGTTTTCAACCTCTTTACAGGATCTTTCTAAGTTAAAAAAAAAAAAAGGTGTTTATTTATTTTAATGAAGTCCAGTTTTATCACTTTTTCCTTTTGTAGATTTTGTTTTTGATATCGAGCCTAAAAATTCTTTGCCTAGCCCAAGGTCTAAAGAGTTTTCTTCTATTTTTAAAAGTTTAATGAATGAATGAATTTATTTATTTATTTATTTATTATTTTTGACACGAGGTTTCGCCCAAGCTGTAGTGCAGTGGTGCCATCATTGCTCACTGCAGCCACGAACTACTGGACTGAAGTGATCCTTCTGCCTCAGCCACTTGAGTAGTAGCTGAGATTACAGGCACGAGCTACCATACATGACTTAAAGTTTTATAATACTACATTTTACATTTAAGCCTGTGATTTATGTGAGCTAAATTTTATATAAAGTATAAATTTAGGTCAATCTTAGTTTTTGTATCTATGAATGTCCAATTGCTCTAGCACCATTTGTTGAAAAAGGTATCCTTCCTTTAAACTGTTTTTGCATCCTTGTTAAAAAAAAATCAGTTGAATATTGTGTGGTCTGTCACCTTTTAATAAGATAAAAACATTAACACTCACCAGATATCGAAGTTTAGAAACTTTTTTAAAGCTAAACTTCTGAAAATAGAATACAAAATAAAAAACATGTCAAATTAGTCAATTTGCATAAGACCAGTTCATTTAAATATATTAAAATACAAACTAATTCAAACCACTAAATTGATAATGCAAGACTATAAATTTAAAGGCTAATTATTAAGTCAAACTGCTGAATTCTATGTGTTAGAGTGAGTTCAGAAAGATCCATTGTATTATTGAATAGGCAAAAGTTTTAATTTCAGAGGATGAAACTGACATATTACTGCCACCTTGTGGATATTCTGTTATTATAGGCTATTATAAAAAGCAATGAGGGTATGTAATCTGTTCTAACAAGAAACATTTCCTTTTTTTGTCGTTTTTATTATTATTATCATTACATTTTAAGTTCTGAGATACATATACAGAACATGGAGGTTTGTTACATAGGTATACACGTGCCATGGTGGTTTACTGCACCCATCAACCCATCATCTACACTAGGCATTTCTCCTAATGCTATCACTCCCCCAGCCCCCCAGCCCCCCACCCCCTGACAGGCCCCGGTGTGTGATGTTCCCCTCCCTGTGTCCATGTGTTCTCATTGTTCAACTCAAAAGAAAAAAAAAAGATGCATTTTCTGCTTTCCCAATTTTTTAAATACAATGCAACTTTATGTTTAATTTAACTAATTTAATTTTTTGAGACAAGGTCTAGCTCTGTTACCCAGGCTGGAGTGGAGTGGCATGAATATGGTTCAGTAACACCTCCACCTCCCTGGCTCAAGTGATCCTCCTTCCTCAGCCGCCTGAATAGCTAGGACCACAGGCATGCGCCACCATAGCCAGCTAATTTCTTTTTTCTTTTTTGTAGAGATGAGGTCTCACTTTGTTGTCCAAGCTGGTCTCAAACTACTGGGCTCAAAGGATCCTCCTGCCATGGCCTCCCAAAGTGCTTGGATTTATGGGTGTGTGCCATAGCACCAGGCCTAAGCAACTTTAGAGAAGCCTTTTTTTCTTTCATAAAAACAGTTGTAGATATTTTCCTTATGGAATTTATTTGTGATAATATATTTTAATAGATGGTTTAATTTGTTAAATAATTTGTCTCAGATAATAATAATTAATTGATATTAAAACTACAAAACAAGCAGGGTCTTCTTTTTCTATGAAAAATGAAAGTTGATTCTGACATCTATGTAAACATTTTAAATATTCAAAGTATATAAATGTGAAGTCCTATCAAGATTAATTAGACAAGAGAAAGAAATAAAGGGCATTCAGATTGGAAAGGAGGATGTCAAATTGTTCCTGTTTGCAGTTGACATGATCTTATATATAGGAAAACCTGAAGACTCTACCAGAAAACTTTTAGAACAAACAAATTCAGTGAAGTTGCAAGACACAAAACTAATACACAAAAATTGGTGGCATTTATATATATGAACAACAAACTAGCTGAAAAAGAAATCAAGATGGCAAACCTATTTACAATAGTTACCAAAAAAAACACCTAGACATAAATGTAACCAAGGAGGTAAAATGAAAACTACAAAACACTGATGAAAGAAATTGAAGAAGATACAAATAAATGAAAAGTAAAAAGTAGAAAGTAGAACAGAGGATACTGCAGGCTGAAAAGGGTAGGGAGAAAGGAGGGATAGTAAGAGATTTGTTAATGGATACAAAATTACAGCTAGGTAGGAGTAATAAGTTCCAGTGTTCTATAGCACTGTAGATGACATTCATGCTCATGGATCAGAAATACTAATGTTGTTAAAGTGACAGTACACTCAAAAGCAACCTACAGATTCAATGCAATCTCTATCAAAATACCAATGAATATTCTTCACAAAATTAAAAAAAAATCCAAAGAGATTGTATGGAAACAAAAGTATCCTGAATAGCCAAAGCAATCCTAAGCAAAAAGAACAAAGCTGGATGTATCATGCTACCAGACCTCAGAATATACTACAAAGCTGTAGTAACCAAAACATCATGGTACTGGCATAAAAACAGACACATAGACCTATGGAATAGAATAAAGAACACAGAAAATCCACATATCTCAGCCAATTGATTTTTTACAAAGATGCCAAGAACACTCATTGGGGAAAGGATAGTCTCTTCAATAAATGGTGCTTGGAAAACTGGATATCCAAATGCAGAAGGATGAAACTAGACCCCTGCCTCTCACCCTATACAAAAATCAACTCAAAGTATCTCAAATAACCAAATATAAGACCCAAAATGGTAAAGCTACTAGAAGAAAACATAGGGGAGATCCTTCAGGACATTGCTCTGGGAAAAGATTTTATGAATAAGGCATCAAAAGCACAGGCAACAAAAGAAAAGTAAACAAATGGGATCACATCAAGCTAAAAGGCTTCTGCACAGCAAAGGAAATAATGAAGTGAGTGAAAAGACAACCTACAGAATGGGAGAAAATATAAACTACTCATCTGGCAGGAAATTAATATCAAGAATATACAAGGAATTCAAACATATCAACAGCAAAGAAACCCAACAATCTAATTAAATATAAGCAAATGCTCTGAACAGACATTTCTCAAAAGAAGACATACAAATGACCAACAAATTTATGAAAAAATGTTCAACACCACTAATCAGCAGGGAAATGCTAATCAAAGCCACAATGAGGCATCATCTCATCCCAGTTAGGATGGCTATTATAGAAGAGACAAAAATAAACGCTGGCAAAGATGTGAAGAAAAGGGACTTTTTTTTTTGACAGTCTCATTCTCCGTCCAGGCTGGAGGGCAGTGGTGGTGTAACCTGGCTCCCTCTGCTTCTAGAGTTCAAATAGTTCTCCTGCCTCAGCCTCGTGAGTAGCTGGGGAAAAAGGAACTCTTATACACTGTTGGTAGGAATGTAAATTAGTGCAGCCAGTATGGAGAACAGTATTGAAATCCCTCAAGCAATCCCACTACTGGGAATTTATCCAAAGGAAAGAAAAGCATTATATTGGAGAGACATCGGCATCCCCATGTTTATTGCAACAGTGTTCACAATAGCCAAGATATGGAATCAACCTAGGTTTCCAATAACAGATGAATGGATTTTAAAAATGTGGTATATATACACCAAGGAAGGCTATTTAGCCATAAAAAAAGAATAAATAAAATCCTGTCATTCTCAGCAACATGGATGGAACTGGAGGATATTATGTTAAGCAAAATAAGCCAGGAATAGAAATTTCAACACCACGTGTTCTCACTCATGCAGAAGCTAAAAAAAAGTTGATCTCATAGAAGTAAAAAGTAGAACAGAGAATACTGCAGGCTGAAAAGTGTAGGGAGAAAGGAGGGATAGTAAGAGATTTGTTAACGGATACAAAATTACAGTTAGGTAGGAGTAATAAGTTCTAGTGTTCTATAGTACTGTAGATGACTATAGTTAACAATACTATATTATGTAGTTTAAAATACCAAGGAGTAGTTTGAATGCTCCCGACACAAAGAAATAATAAATGTTTGAGATGATAGATATGCTAATTACCCTGATCTGATCACCATCTACATGTATTGAAACATCCCCATATAGCAATGAATATGTATAATTTTTGTCAATTTAAAAAGTAAAAAAAAATTAATCTTGAAGAATGCATTTGAAGAACTTGTACTCAAGAAATCAGCTTATTTTAAGAACTTGAGTCTCCTTGGAATTTGTGTTTTCTAGACCAGTACTTCTCCAAATTAAAGCAAATTTAGGCTGGGCATGGTGGCTCATGCCTATAATCTCAGCACTTTGGAAGGCCGAGGCCAGCAGCTCACTTGAGGTCAGGAGTTCAAGACCAGCTGACCCAACATTGTGAAACCCTGTCTCTACTAAAAATACAAAAATTAGCCGGGCATGATGGCATGCGCCTGTAATCCCAGCTACTTTGTAGGCCGAGGCAGGATAATCGCTTAAACTGAAGAGATGGAAGTTGCAGTGAGCCAAGATTGAACCACTGCACTCCAGCCTGGGCAACAGAGCAAGACTCTGTCTCAAAAAAAAAAAAAAAAAAAGCGAATTTAGTTCACTTTGGTATTGTGTCAAAATGTAGATTCTTTTAAAGTAAATCCAGAGAATTTAGATGTAGTTGAAGCTTGTAATCTGTTCTTAATTTTTTTTAATAAAAATAAAATATTTAGATTTAGAGTAAATCTAAAGTGAGGCCTGAAGCTGCTCCCAGGTGATACTGATGCTGCTCATTTTTGCCCAAATTTTGAGTCACAAGATTCTAAATTAGTGGTTTGAAGTCCTACATGCGTAATCACTTGGGGAGCTCAATTAACACCCAGCACAGACTAATTATTAATAAATCAGAATCTTCAGTATTAGGCTTCAATCATTGGCTTTTTTTTTTTTTTTTTTTGAGATGGATTCTCCCACTGCTGCCCAGGCTGAAGGGCACTGGCACGATCTTGGCTCACTGCAAGCTCTGCCTCCTGGGTTGACGCCATTCTCCTGCCTCAGCCTCCCGAGTAGCTGGGACTACAGGCACCCGCCACCACGCCCAACTAATTTTTTTGTATTTTTAGTAGAGACGGGGTTTTACCGTGTTAGCCAGGATGGTCTCGATCTCCTGACCTCATGATCCGCCTGCCTTGGCCTCCCAAAGTGCTGCGATTACAGGCGTGAGCCATCGCGCCCAGCCAATCATTGACATTTTTAAAGGTCCCAGGTGATTCTAATGTGAGGTCTTTACAGACATCTTGTAAGTTAAAAACTATAAAGTGTAAAATTGTCTTTACCTCCCTTTTGGAAACCACAAATGTATGTCAAAGTTAGAACAGAAGTAGAAAGCATACAAAAATGAACTTGACAATACCCATCTACAGATCCGTGATAGGCATTTGTGTACAACTTGACCTACGTGACATTTAAGGTCAGTTTGCTCCGATTATTATTAAGAATAAAGTCAACTACAATGATGGCAATATGTTTCATCGACAGCAGTTCACCCATTGAGTGTTGATACCGTGGGTCTGAGTGAAGCTGAGGGTGGAGGAAACACAGGGTGAGGGAGCGGGATAGTTTGCCCCTTCAAGGATTGACAGGATATAACACAAAAGGCGGGAGGGGGGAAAGAATAAAGTCTACCTTCTGAGTAAAGCAAAGCAAAGTGTTCTCAGCCAATCCAAGTGGCGCCTGTAAATACCATTATCTAGAGAAAATATGATTAAAGAAGTGGCTTTTCTGTGTAGGAAGGTAAGAAGTTTCTGGATATTTGTACTGAGTAGGAATCAAGATTTCTGGGTAGAGAGGCTGGAAGAAAATCAGCGCCTAGTCCAGGAAAAAAAAAAAGAAAAAGAAAACTTCTCCGAATTTTTCTGCTTGAATTCCATGAACTCAAACTTGTAATTTAGTCTTTAAACATAATAGTGAGTCATAATATTGCCTACGTATACGTGGAAGAAAATGTTGTTTTACCTATCTTCCCAATGGGAAAAAAGTGGCTCATAAAGAAACCTTGACTTCCAACTAAACTTTCAGGTTACTTAGCCTCACATCCATTCCACTAAAATACAAGTGTGTGCTCTAAGTAGAAAGTAGAAGGATGGTTACCAGAGGCTGGGTTGGGAGAAGGGGAGGAAGGGAGTGGGAGCCTGTTGATCAAAGGGTACAAAGTTTCAGATATGGGAGGAACAGGTTTTGAGATCTATTGCACAGCAGAGTGACTGTAGTCAATAATAATGTACTACATACTTCAAAATAATGGTAAATTTCACGTCTCACCATAAAAAATGATGGGTAAGTGAGATGATGGATATGTTCATTAGCTTGATTTAATCATGCCACCTTATATATATATATATATATATCTCACATTGTAGCCTATAAATGTATACAATTATGGTTTGTCAATCAAAAATATTTATATAAATTTTTAAAATATCTGTACGCTAATAGAGATATTACAATCAGTGCCCATAGAGGAAGAAGGAGGATGTTGGATGAGTATATTTTCTTCTGATCCAACTGACTCTGCATGAAGCTTAAAAAAGTCAATTACCTCCTTTCCTTCTTTCTAGGTAGCTTTGTTGAGGTATAGGTGACCTGCAATAAACTCCACATATTTAAAACTGCACAATTTGAGAAGTTTTGACATATATAAATATACGTGTGTAAGACCACCACCATAATCAAGATAATAAACATCAATCACCTAAAAATTTCCTTGTGCCACTTTCTGTTTTGTTTAAGATGGGATCTTGTCATGTTGCCCAGGCTGTTCTCAAACTCCTGGGTGCAAGTAATCCTCCTGCCTCAGCCATCCACAATGCTGGGATTACAGGCCTGAGCTACTGCCCTCGGCCTCCTTATGCCACTTTGTAATCCCACCCTCCTGACCTTCCCTGCTGCTCCTCTCCAAGCAACTACTGATCTGCTTTCTGTCACTATAGATAAGTTTGCATTGTCTAGATTGTTATATAAATGCGTCATAGAGTATACATTTGTTGTTTTTGCCTGGCTTCTTTCACTCAATATTTGTCATGAGATTTGTCCTTGTTATGTGCATACATTTTTATTGCAAAATAGTGTTTGATTGCTTGACTATATCAGTTTGTTTAACCTTTTATAGTACTTGTTAATGGAAATCTTTGTTGTTTCCCGTTTGAGGGGGTAATTGTTTGTTTGTTTGTTTGTTTGTTTTGAGATGAAGTCTCACTCTGTCACCCAGGCTGGAGTGCAGTGGCATGATCTCGGCTCACTGCAACCTCTGCCTCCCAGGTTCAAGCAATTCTCCTGCCTCAGGCTCCCAAGTAGCTGGGATTACAGGTATGCACCACCCCACCAGGCTAATTTTTGTATTTTTAATGGAGACAGGGTTTCATCATGTTGGCCAGACTGGTCTCAAATCCCCGGCCTCAGGTTATCCACCCTCCTCGGCCTCTCAAAGTGTTAGGTGACATGAGCCACCAAGCCCGGCGTGAGGGTATAATTTTTAAAAAGCTTCTGTGAACATTCATACACAAGTCTTTATATGGACATATGCTTTTGTTTCTCTTGAGTAATACCTAGGAATGAAATGGCTGGACCATCTGCCTGTTTTCTGACAGCATCCAATTAGAGCAAACCCCTTCTTTCTTAGACATTCACTCATCTCCCAACCAAAGGGTAAGTCCTATAATAGGTTCCTTTTAACATCCTATTACTGAGACACCCATTGGTTTCTCTTGGTATGTGTTCTCCTTGTAGCAGGCCAGGCATGGTGGCTCATACCAGTAGTTCCAGCACTTTAGGAGGCCGAGGTGGGAGGACAACTTAAGGTCAGGAGTTCGAGACCAGCCTGGCCAACATGATGAAACCCCGTCTCTACTAAAAATACAAAAATTAGCCCAGTGTGGTTGTGGGCACCTGTAATCCCAGCTACTAGGAAGGCTGAGGCAAGAGAATACTTGAACCTAGGAGGAGGAGGTTACAGTGAGCCGAGATCATGCTATTGCACTCCAGCCTGGGTGACAGAGCAAGACTCCGTCTCAAAAAAAAAAGGAAAAAAGAAAGTTGTAGCAAATCTAATTAATTACGAGTGTGTTTCTATAGGTCTTTGCCTGTAATTATTGTCTAGAATTTTTTTCCATTTTACTTAAATCATCTGGTTTATTGGCATAAAGTTCTTCAAAGTATTTTCTTACCATTCTTTTAATATCTATAAAATCTACAGCCATATCACCTTTTTTATTCCTGATATTGGTAATTTGTATCTTCTCTTCATTTCCTTATCAGTTTTACTAATGGTTTATCGAGTTTATTGATCTTCTCAAAGACCAATAGGTTTTGGGTTTATTGATCTCAATTGTTTTTGTTTTCTGTATCACTGAATTTTGCTAAGATTATTACTTCTGTGATTCTGCATACTTTAGGTTGAATTTCTATTCTTTTTCTAGTTCTTATGATAAAATATGAAGTTATTGATTTTTTTTTCTTTTCTAATATGTAGGCTTTTAGTGCTAAAAATTTCCCTTTCAAGTACTGCTTTACTTGCATTACATACATTTTTGTATGTTGTGTTTTCACTTTAAAACACTTCCTGATTTCTCTTTAGATATCCTCTCTGAGTCATAGGTTATTTAAAATATGTTATTTGGTTTCCAAATAATTGAGAATTTTTCAGATATCTTTCTGTTACTGATTTCTAATTTAATTCCATTGTGCTCAGAAAATGTATTTTGTGTAATTTGAACCATTTCAAACTTGGTTAGTTTTATGTCCCAGAATATGAACTATCCTGTTAAATGTTTTCTGTAATGTTGAAAAAAAATGCACAATCTGCTGTTGTTGGTTGACAGTGTTGCACCATCTTATATGTTTCTATTGATTTTATGTCTACTTTTTCTATCAACTGTTGACAGAGAAATTTAAAAATCCATTATAATTAGGAACGTGTTCGATTCTTCTTGCAGTTCTATCAGTGTCTGCTTTATGTATATTGAAAGCTTGTTCATAGGTGCATAAATGTTTAGGATCATTATGTCCTCTCGATGAGTTGATCACTTTATGATTCTAAAATGACCTAATTTTATCACTGCTAATATTCTTTGCTCTTAAATATACTTCCTCTAATGTATTAATAGCTACTCTTGCTTTTTTCACTAGTGTTATCAAGTTACATCTTTTTTTCTGTTATTTTCCTTTTAACCAATTTGTTTTTATAGTTAAAGTTCATTTCTTATATGGCATATATAACTGTGTCTTTTGTATCTTGTTCTTCTTAACCTGGCTTTTTATTGGAATGTTTACATCATATACCTTTAATATGATTATTGGTACGGTAAAGTTTAATTTTATCATCTTACTATTTGTTTTCTTTTTTCTTTCTTTTTTTATGTGTTTTTTGTTTGTTTGTTTGTTTTGTTTTTTTGTGCTGACCATGGAAAGGACAGCTATTTGTTTTCTGTTTGTTACAAGTATTCTTTTCCTCTTTTTCTTCTTTTGGATTGAATATTTTATGATTAAATTTTATCTACTTTTTTGCTTGTTCGCTGTATGCTTTGTTATTTTAGTGACTGCTTTAGGGTATGTATCTTTAAATTATCAGTTTACCTATGGGTGATATTATACCACTTCATGTGTAGTATAAGCACTTTACAATAATACACATCCATTTCTTGTCTACATGTATATTGCAATAATATACATCTATTTCTTGTCTACATTCAGTACAATAATATTCGTTCATTTCTTAAATCATATGGGTAAGATATTTGTTGACTTAGGACAGACAGCACGAAAGACTAGAGAAATTCAAAGCATGATAATTGAGGGTAGCTGCCTCTAACAGCAAAGGGTATCTCAAAGATGTATATAAATAGACTCAAGTTTCTTAATTATCATTCAGTAACATTCTAAAACTTTGAGACTGATATCCTCCTTTTCCCTCACACAAATTCTTATTTCCTGCAAGTGAAAGGCTAAGGTTGTTATAAACAAATGCCAAGTTTGTTTCTGTCACTTGACAAACTGCAAGGTCGGTTGAATCCGGGTTTTGGAATCTCTTTTATCTTTTTTTTTTTTTTTTTTTTTTTTTGAGACGGTATCTCACTCTGTCTCCCAGGCTGGAGTGCAGTGGTGCCATCTCCGCTCACTGCACGCTCCGCCTCCTGGGTTCATGCCATTCTTCTGCCTCAGCCTCCCAAGTAGCTGGGACTACAGGCACAGGCCACCACGCCCGGCTATTTTTTTTTTTTTTCGGTATTTTTAGTAGAGACGGGATTTCACTGTGTTAGCCAGGATGGTCTCAAACTCCTGACCTTGTGATCCGCCCACCTCGGCCTCCTAAAGTGCTGGGATTACAGGCGTGAGACACCACGCCCAGCCTGGAATCTCTTAACTGAAAGTCTGAGCACTGATTTTAAAAGAGCAAGATACCAAACACTGGAATGTGAATATACAGAGGTACTTAGAGGATTTAGAGTCCAGCTTTCCAGCCTGTGTGGCCCTTCCTTTCCCTGAGGAAAATGAGCCTCCTAGACTCTCACTCAAAGGAATTTTCCTACTTTTAAAGAAAATATCCATAGTCTTCATAACTCATTGTCTCCCAAATAGTAACCAGGTTAAAATGGAATCAAACCCAAAAAGGCTTTTTCCATAGCATATCATAAACAATGCTTACACATTGCAAGAATTACAGATTTTAGCATTTCATATTGGCCACTATCTTGCAAATGCATGGATTATAGATTCTGGTGATAAATGACAAAAAAGAAAATTTTAGATTAGGGTGAATTTACCAGTGTAATGTGTTTACCAGACATTGTATGTTCAAGGTGCTAGCTCAGGTACCTGGAAGTAGTCTTAGTTAATTGATCATCATTGGTCTGTGTATGTACTTCTTGATTCACAAAAATCTAACCTTATAGAACAGTGGAATGCTTTTTGATGACTCAGACACAGTAGCATTTTCTAATTCAAAAAAAAAAAACAAATACAGAGTCTCGCTCTGTCGCCCAGTCTGGAGTGCAATGGCGCAATCTCGGCTCTCTGCAACCTCTGCCTCCTGTGTTCAAGCGATTCTCCCGCCTCAGCCTCCCATGTAGCTGGAATTACAGGTGCCCGCCAGCACACCCAGCTAATTTTTGCATTTTTAACAGAGATGGGGTTTCACCATCTTGGCCAGGCTGGTCTTTAACTCCTGACCTCGTGATCCACCTGCCCCTGCCTCCCAAAGTGCTGGGATTACAGGCATAAGCCACTGCGTTCAGCCTACAGTAGCATTTTCTAGACAACATTTTGTGAGTTTGAAGTGCTGTCCTGAAGGACTTCAAACTCAGCTCAGTTGAGCTGAGCCGCAACTAATACACATGTAGTGCCATTTCTCCCACAACCAGAAAATATATCTCAGGAAACCAAGCATAGAGAAAAGGTAGTTCTTCTCATGATTACATTTGAAGATCCACTGTAGTCCCCACAATTCTGGACTCTGATGATTTAGAGGTTCCAGTCCCTACAGAGCAAATGTTTCTGTCAGGGGAAATAATAGTTACATAGATATGGCTCCAACCTGGCTATCTTAAGCCTCTCATGCCACTGAACAGAACACAACACTGTAGGCAGAAGATGAATTTACCGTTGGCTGGAGTGGAAAATTCTTGTGGTAAGAAAGAATTGAGATTCTTGTCATAAGAAGATAAGAGTTACCATTAAACTGAGATAATAATCTAAATCACCTCCTCAAACCTACATTCAGTGCAAAAGGTTCACTGAGATTACTAAACTAGAGGGTACAGCAAGGGTTCAGGTCCCTTAGAAATGAAGGTAAATAATTCTGAATAGCTGAGATACTTGCTGAAAGCAAAGGGAATATGGGAGAAAAGTGGTGGAAGGAAGTTATAAGTGACTTTATAATGAAATGCTGAAACAAAAATTTTAATCTCATGTGTCTCATTTCTTACTGTAACATGTATATATTCTTACAGTTTATCTTAAATTTCTTTTCTCTCTCCCTATTACATATATATTTTTTATTTTTTTTTTTTTAATGGAGATGGCATCTCACTCTGTTGCCTAGGCTGGACTCAAACTCCTTGGCTCAAGCCTCAGCCTCCAAAGTAGCTGGGACTACAGGTATGAGCCACCATCTTGGCTAAATTTTTAGTTTTAAGAGACAGGGTCTCATTTGTTGCCCAGGCCGGAGTGCAGTCACATGATCATGACTCACTGCAGTCTCCAACTCCTGGGCTCAAGCAATCCTCCTGCCTCAGCCTCTCAAATAGCTGGAATTACAGGCACGAGTCACTGAACCCAGCCTCCTATTGCATATAGAGGTAAACGGGATGTGAAAGTAGCAGTTAGCTTTTCAGTTTTGTTCATAGGATGAGACAACTGAGTTGGAATCATGACAGAACTACAAGAAGAATGAGCATCAACTAGAAAGCTAGATTTGCAGCTGGATGCAATAACCACAAGACTTTGGGTCGATTTTTTCCCATCGTATAAAAGCAACTCTAAAAGTAATAGTTATCTTCATTCTTGAAGAAAAGTTTCTGATTCAATAGCTCTAGAATTGCCCTGAGACTGCACTTCTAACAAGTTGCCAGGTAATATTGACGCTGTTGTCTGGGGATCTCACTTTGCGAACCACTTCTCTAAATAATACTCTAATGCATTTTTTTCCTGTCTGTTTAGAGAAATGATGAGTGTAGTCCTGTTTGCTAAATGTGAAAATTACAAAACTTCCACTGGGGATGTGTTTTTTGGAAGTTTATTGGAAGATTAATATGTACAGATATTGGGCAGGCAGAAAAAAAGAGACTATATAACTGTTTGCTGGTGTATTTTTGTCTGTACAGCATTTGAACACCCTTTCTATGTTTGTGGAATGTTCTGCTGTGTGATTCTTCATGGTCTCAGAATCTATAAAGTCTAGACATCTGTCTTCCCTGACCCTGGTAGAGCACAGGCACATGATCTCACTGTTCTATGGTGGTGGTGATCATGGGGATCATCTCTAAAACAAGGGGTGCCATCCAGTGTCCCGCTGCCGCAGCCATACCAGCCTCACCAGATTGTTCCTCTGTCATCATTTTTGCCATAGTTATGATTGACTGGCCACTTTAATCACTGCCCACTTCAAAAAAAAAAAAAAAAAAAAAGATTCTCTAATCTTGCCAGAGATTCTATGAGCTACTATTTCTTTTCTGTTCAAGTTAGAGTAATGTATATTGTTTGCAAAATAGAAGCTAACAGAAACCAAAGCATAGGCCAAAAATGATACAGATTACAGGCAATACAGTTTACAATGGAGACATTTTAATGACAGGCAAAACACCCTTTCACTTAGGTGAAATGTCACTTCCCAATGCTTACAGATCAAGTATCCAAAGCATTTTTTAAAGTGGAAGGTAAACAAGAATCACCTTCCTCTAAATTCTGAAATTCTGTACTCAAACATGAGTCTTAAATTTGGTTTCACCAAAACTGATCAAATGGGATAAAAGTATAAGATGCAGGAAAGCTGATTGTCTAGTAGGGTAGAGTCTCTCTTTCACTGTATTTTGCTGAGTGGGAGGTGGGATCTCCTCAGGCCAATAAATTGTAAAGACAGACTCTTCTCTAAGCAATATATAAAATGCAATGTTTTGATGTTGCAACACCACTTTTGTAGTATACCTGCTCACCATGCCAAAGATGACAACAGGTAGGGCAAAAATAATGGTCCTAGGGTCTCTGTATCCTTCACTGTTGACTAAAGTTAAATGCTTTTTAAATCTTTTTGAAGAAAAATTTTTAACAGTGTTTTCATTTGACTATAATTATCCTCTGATTATTGCACATTTAATACTCTGCTTTATATATTTAGTTTGAGGGGATTTTATCCCATTTCTCAATATGGCAGTAAAAAAGAATTCTATGAAATGGTCCAATAAAATGTGTATCATATATATTTAAGGTGTGCAACATGGTGTTTTGATGTATGTATACATAATGAAGTGGCCACAACATTCCAGCAAATTAAACTATCTATGACCTACCATGATTACTGGTGTGAGTGAGTGCATGCGCGTGTGTGTGTGCGTGTGTGTGTGTGTGTGGTGAGAGCACCTAAAATCTACCCTCAACAAATTTTTATATGCAATACAATGTTATCAACTACAGTTCTCACGCTGTACATTAGATCTCTAGATTAATTTATCCTATAAAAGTGCAGTTTTCTACCCCTTGACCTACTACTTTCCATTTCCTCCTCCTTCCTGCTCCTGAAAACCACCATTCTTCTCTCTGTTTCTACGTGTTTGACTTGTTTTAGACTCCACATAAAAGTAAGCTCATGCAGTATTTTCCTTTCTGTGTCTGGCTTATTTCACCTAGTGTAATGTTTTCCAGATTCCAGGTCTTTTTAATGAAAAGAGATTTTAAGGAGAAGTAAAACAAAAGTTTGTGTTGGTTAGAGACTTAGTTTTGTTGTGGACAGATGACTTGTGTGTGTTTCAGGACTTAGAATAGGTAGCCAGGTACAGTTTTGGTCTTTGTGAAGGCCAGAGACCATTCACTGAACCAGCTATTTTATGTCTTCTGGGGCCCCACCATGATTCTCTTACTCTCTGTATCTTCTTTAATCTTTTTTACCTTTGTATTAGTCCATTTTCTTGCTGCCAATAAAGACATACCCAAGACTGGGAAGAAAAAGAGGTTTAATTGGACTTACACTTCCACATGGCTGGGGAGGCCTCAGAATCATGGAGGGAGGCAGAAGGCACTTCTTACATGGTGGCAGCAAGAGAAAATGAGGAAGAAACAAAAGTAGAAAGCTGCGATAAACCCATCGGATCTCATGAGACTTATTCATATCACAAGAATAGCACAAGAAAGACCAGCCCCCATGATTCAATTACCTCCTTCTGGGTCCCTTCCACAACAGCAGGAATTCTAGGAGATAGAATTCAAGTTGAGATTTGGATGGGGACACAGCCAAATCATATCATTCCACCCCTGGCCTCTCCAAAACTCAATTCTTCACTTCTGTGCAACTGCAGGCTCAACACCACATGGAAGCTGTCAAGGCTTGAGACTTCCACCCTCTGTAGCCACAGCCTGAGCTCTATGTTGTCCTCTTTCAGCCACAGGTGGAGTGGCTGGGACACAGGGCACCAAGTCCCTAGGCTGCACACAGCACGGGGACCCTGGTCCCAGCCCACAAAAATCACGTTTTCCTCCTGAGCCTCTGGGCCTGCAATGGGAGGGGCTGCTGAGAAGTTCTCTGACATGGCCTGGAGACATTTTCCCCATGGTCTTGGGAATTAACATTAGGCTCCTTGCTACTTATGCAAATTTCTGCAGCTGACTTGAATTTGTCCCCTGAAAATTGGTTTTTTCTTTTCTATCACATTGTCAGGCAGCAAATTTTCCGAACTTTTATGCTCTGCTTGCCTTATAAAACTGAATGCCTTTTAACAACACCTAAGTCACCTCTTGAATGTTTTGCTGCTTGGAAATTTCTTCCACCAAATACCCTAAACCATGTCTCTCAAGTTTAAAGTTCCACAAATCTCTAGGGCAGGGGCAAAATGCCATCAGTCTCTTTAATAAAACATGACAAGAGTCTCCTTTGCTCCAGTTGCCAACCAGTTCCTCATCTCCATCTGAGACCACCTCAGCCTGGATTTTATTGTCCATATTGCTATCAGCATTTTGGACAAAGCCATTCAACAAGTCTCTAGGAAGTTCTAAACTTTCCCACATCTTCCTGTCTTCTTCTGAGCCCTCCAAACTCTTCCAGTCTCTGCCTGTTACCCAGTTCCAAAGTTAATTCCACGTTTTTGGGTATCTTTTCTGCAGTGCCCCACTCTACTGGTACCAATTTACTGTATTAGTCCGTTTTCATGCTGCTGATAAAGATATACCTGAGACTGGAAAAAAAAAGAGGTTTAATTGGACTTACACTTCCATGTGACTGGGGAGGTCTCAGAATCATGGCAAGAGGTGGAAAGCACTTCTTACATGGCAGCAGCAAGAGAAAATGAGGAGGAAGCAAAAGCGGAAACCCCTGATAAACCCATTAGATCTCATGAGACTTACTATCATCAGAATAGCATGGGAAAGACTGGACCCCAGGATTCAATTACCTCCCCCTAGGTCCCTCCCACAACACGTGGGAATTCTGGGAGATACAATTCAAGTTGAGATTTGGGTGGGGATGTGGCCAAACCATATCAACCTGCACAAACCAGAGTGTGCCATAACTTCATCACTAGATGATCTGAAAAACTCCCTTCACTCATTCATTAATAGCCTTGCTTCTCTGAGCCTAAGAAAAAGAATTTTGTATGGAAGGTGGGATAGTAGTGAGCAGGGCTGGCAAATGTTTGGCAGCTTTTCTCAGAGTGGTCTGAGACTTAGCAGGAAATGAATGCTCAGTCTCAAAAACTGGCAATATAATATAGGGAACTATGGGGTTATGGATGTGGCTTGTAGAATAGGGATTATATTCCTCTTGTTATGAATTAGACTGTCCTTGGTCAGGTTAGCTGGCCAAGAAAAGTAACCAGTTAATAAAAATAATTCTCTTTTAAAATAACAAATGAATTTCAACTCACCACAATAAAAATATCAAATAATTTTAGTTTCTCCAATGGTTAACTCAAATTGTAAAATTGTTAAACACCCTCTTCTTGCTATTTTACTTTGTTAGAGATCTTTGAAAAATACTATAGAAGGCTGGGGCTTTCTTAGCCATTTGCCATATAACAAAGCCTCCTTTATCTATAGACATATGAATTTATTACATTATCACTAGGAGGGCTTAGTGACACAAGCCCTCCCTTTGGGTTTGTCTGTTTCTTTATGATGTTGGTGATCTTTGTTGATTTTGTGGTTGCCTGGTCTCCATGTATTTGGCTTGCCTGTATTTCCTTAGTGCAGTTTTCCTTTGAGGGGAGGTGAGATTCAAAAGCTAGATCATGTGGGTTTTTGGTAGCCACTCTAATGAGTCTAAATTTGGGGGAATTTGGGGTTGTTTATAGTTTTTATTTTTTCTCAGAGATCCTTGTTCTGATAAATTTTGTTTTTAAGTTTAAAGACAGGGCTTTGGAAAATTTTAAGTTATAACTTGATCTGATTTTTGACTTAGGAAGGACATTCTATTGAGTCAAAGATGGTCTGCAAAGGTGGAGAAAGAGAACCCAATAAAAATGCTTTACATGAGAGATTATTGTGGCTAAGATTAGAATAATGGCGGTGAAGATGGTAAGCAGCTAGATTCAAGATACATTTTGATTGCAGAGCCAATAGAACATACTAAAGAATTCTATGTGAGGTGTGAAAGAAAATGAGGAGTGAAGTGCCAAAGAATGGGGCACACTCAAATTCTACAATGTAGCCATTAAAACCACTGGAGAAAGTAGGATAATATCTTGGTGGGGACAATGATGAAAAAAGGAAGCAAATTATATAATCAGATGGAAGTGACTTCAGAAGAGAATGTGCAGGGAATAATGGTGACAAAGCAAAGATCTGTCCTTCCTCTCTGACCCCATGAGTCAATGGAGAGGCAAGAAAAGGAAATGTCCATTTAACTGGTTTTCAGAAAAAAGTGGTATCAAGTGAAAATAGGTGTCAGACAAGAGGGGGTAGAAAAAGATATGTTAGAGAGAGGATTCAAAATATAAAGGGATTTATACACAATAAAATGATACTAAAGGGATACAGGGACTGCAGCTGTAAATAAGGCTATAGGATGAGAGTTTGTGAAGGAATAGCACTGGAGGTACCCTAATCATGGCACTATTAGTTAAAGCTATTATGGAAAATAGCTTGAAGGTGCATTTTAATGATAAGGGATGAGCAATGTTAAATCGGAAAATCTGGTTTAAAGGCCAAGTTGTAAAACTTACCAGTGTCAAGGTTCCAACTAGAATGCTAGCATGATAGGAGGCATATCCTACGCTGATAAGAAGGTATGGATGGTCTATTTTACACATTTACCTGGTAGGTCTTTTCTAATTTCTACATTTATTGTTGAGTAGAGTAATTATGACATCAGAAGGAAATCATCCAATCATGGTTTCTGCTTTCCTTTTAAAATTTCTTCTCACTTTTATCAGTCTTTCACCTCTTCTCACTATCTAGACTTCTTTTGTCTCACCTCTCCTCTGTGATATAAGTTCTGGTATATTGTTTAATGTACTAATTTTCTAACATCTTATTTTATGTTTGAAACTAATTTTTGCCAATTTTGTGGCCCAGAATCTTAAAAATACTTAACCACAGTGGTTCATGTCTGTAATCTCAGCACTTTGAGAGGCCAAGTTGGGAGAATTGCTTGAGCCCAGGAGTGCGAGACCAGCCAAAGCAACGTAGTGAGACCCCATCCTATAAAAGAGAAAAGAAACAAATACCCAACTGGAATATAATTCTTGTGCTGAATCACAGCTATCATAACATCAACGATTCACATTTTTGAAAGTGAACATTGCTTTCTGGATGACCACAACATCATGTGGGCCTATTCATTTCCCTAGTAATGCCACCTTGTGACATCACTAAGGGCATAATGTCTGTATCTATACAGTGAGCCTCTCATATGCAGAATAAGGCAACATTTTCAAGCAAAACCTGAAATTTTGTGGCACAGCACCTGGTGAGACTGTGGGTTTGACAAATATCTCACCACTTTATCATCAAGTTAAACATTATTCTTTTTTATTAAAGCTTAATAATTAAAGCTTAATTCTGCAAGTGAAATTTATATATACTGCTTTATTAGTACATATATGACACTTTGTTTTCAAACATTGCCATAACCTGTTTGAAGGAACTTGAGCTTCAGGGTTACAAAACTGCTTCTGCTATGATGGAGAAGAGGAGGAAAAAATGCTTAGATAAGAGCAATTTAACTTAAATGGAGGAAGTGGTGAGTTTTGTTATGTTAGAGGCTCACTGAATCATGAGCAGGTCAAATGTGTCAAATAGCTTCATTGAGAGACTGGTTTTCAATACTCAAAGTTTTTATATACTATTAGCTTTGATGGAGAAATTGAAAAGGATTGCCCTACGTCAACAGTGTTGCTTTGTTAAGTGTGCTTTGCAAAGTACAAGTATTTGCCAAGATGGTAATAATTAGCAATTACTTTTTGATAGCAGCCTTCTGTTACAAACTTAATTAACATAGAATTTTGAATGCTTGCAGTGTCTATATTGACAAAAGTCCAAAGACTTGTTGAGCCAGCTAACTGGGCTTTTTACAATGGCTTTTCAAGATTGCAGATGCCGCCTACAGAGACGACAGTCATATTTGAGGTAACATTGCTCATTCTTGGAACTCTTTAATCTAATTTTAATTTAGGGAGATTATTCAAACTGGCAAACTGTGTTAAATAATGCATTGATTTATTCTATTACTCAAACTTCAATTAGCAATAAAAAACACAAAATGAGCAAGAAAAAATAAATTTAATAAATAGCTTAGCAACTTTATTCATTAGTTTCTACCTTCTCTTTCTTCAGTAAATCTTTTCCTGGAGATAATTTTGATCTGCCTCTTGAGGGCTATGTAGTCAACAGTGAATGGTCCAATGGGTAGCAAATAGAAAAAGCCAAGAGTCTAAAAATTGACAAATTACACAATCAATACCCAAAATGTTTATATGTACAAAAATAACATTTGATATTGTTTGAGACCTTTGTGTGTCACCTGTTAAACACTGGAGAGTTATTAAAATCCCAGTATTATTTCATAATGTCACACATAAAAATAATTCTGAGTGCTCTTGGAAAATGTTTCTTAAGCCATATTTGAGGGGTTTAGTTACTTCACTGGATATTGAACCTTTTGAATAATTCTATTCTAATTCCCTATATTTGGTGTTGTGTGTATGCATATAAGGGGGAACAAACTCACTTTGTTATGAAAATGTTTTTTGAAAGATGTTTCTCTCTAAAATAAAAAACACTGGAGGAGTCAGTCAAGGAATGTCTAACAGGCTAGTAGCTGAAAAAGCTGAAGTTAGTTGGGACTTAAATTGCATGCAAACATTTAGAAATCAACAGTTCATTAAGGAGGTTTGCTTCAAAGTTAAGTACCAGGTATGCTACAAAAGTTTCAAGAAATAAGTTATTAGGCATACCTATCAACAATTATGTTCAATTGATAGCCATTGAAATACAAGGACAAAAAAAAGTTATGTCCCAGAAAAATAAATTTCACTCTTCCAGTCACTTGTTAGGAGCAAAGGTGCATTACCTAAAGCTATCAGGGCTGCAGACAATGCTGTGAAGTTTATCCTAGATATACTACCATCTTTGAAATCAACATAGCAGTTTTGCTTTGGCTGAAAAAACTACTTTTGGTTAGATACGTGAAGCCAATCATAAATTCCTAAAATTTTTCTCTGAGATGAGATGGTTGGATGAAGGCTATTTACAATGGCCACTATTTTGCAAACCCATCTTTAAAGAGAAATGCTTCATGAATGTAGCATGGTGAGGACAGGGGAATGACAGGGACCATTGCTAATGTAGGGGTCAATGGAAAGCTTCCCCTTCACCCTCTGAAGTTTTGCTGGAAAATCAACTCACAAAAGGCAGACTATTAGAAAAAAAAAAGGCTTACAAATTTATGAATAACATAGCATAAGGGAATCGTAGTAGAATGATTACCCAATAACCAATGAGGTACAGATGATAATATACCCATCTTTTTAGAGGAAAGGAAGATGAGAATGTGTGTATAATTTTAAGAGGGTAGTAAATGAATTTTAGGGAAATTCAATGGGCTTGAAGAATATGCAATGGCCTGGGACAAAGTCTGTTGGCCCTACAGGGCAGACGAGAGTTTGTAACAGAAGGCTGCCAGTTGTATTGACAGACTGCAGTCCTTCTTCCTGAGATATTAGTTCGGTTAATGAAAACTCAGGAAAGAAACTCTTTTTTTTTTTGTTTGTTTGTTTTTGCCTTTAGTAGTTCTGGACTTTAGGCAGATAAGGGAACTTTAGAGAACAGCTTTATTCTGTGCTATGGGAGAGACAAAGGATTGAGAGAGAGGAGCTGGAAGAGAGGGGTATGGTCAGAGAGACCCCCTGGCTTCTTCGGTTTAGCATGTCAAAGCACCATATTTTGGGAAATTGGTGTCTGAGCTTTAGCATTAAGAACAGACTCTCAGTAACTACTGGCAGTGCAAGGTCCTTTCAGTGATTACTTTTACTAATGTGAACCTAAAACATTCCAGTGAGGTAGGTAAAAACCTCAGTTAAATGAGTGGAAACAGAATTACAGAAATGTGGAGTTTTGTTTAAGTAAAGGGGAACAAAAAAACGCAATCCCATCGATTTTGATGCTGACAGTGATTGCGGTATTAGTGATGTTAACAGCTTTAACAGCGGAGCACCCAGGACCAGAAATCATTTCCGAGTCTGACGAGTGGGAAATTACAGCAGAGAATCTGGAAGAAGAATAACCAATAGATCAGGAAAAGCAATACTTAAATTCACTTCTGAGCCGAAACTGGGCATTTTGGGGGATGGGCATGGCAAACAGCAGTAGAGTTCTTTAGGAAAAAATTAGGGACGTTTTCAGCAGCTCCCGCCACCTACTATGTCCGGGTTACTGCGGGATCCACAGAATGGAAGTTGCCCGCCAACAGGAAGAATGTCTCCTCCCTCTGCAGGGCTTCCTTTCCCCCATCGAGGGCCCCTGGGGACCACAGGTCCCCAGCGGGTAGGGCGGAGGCGTGGCCTTGCGAAGGTCAGCGGAGGCCACCCAGAGCTCACAGCCTCCTGCCAGCGCGCTCTCTGTTTCTCTGCAGCCCCGAAGCTCGCGAATGTAGCAGGCGCCCCAAGCTCGGTCCTCAAGAAGCCATGGCGGAATCCAGGGGCCGTCTGTACCTTTGGATGTGCTTGGCTGCTGCGCTGGCATCTTTCCTGATGGGATTTATGGTGGGTAAGTGAACAAAACACTCTACCCCGACTCCGGGGCTCGTGATTCTCTGCAGAGATAAAGGGAGAAATCCTGGAGCTGGAAGGGATTGGGCTGTGCGCTAGCCCTGGCCGGCTGGGCTAGATATGATAAACTCTGCACATTTCAGCAAAACTAGAAACCAGATGGAATGTATTTTGGGCTTGCTAATAGATAAAGTGTGCTTGAAATTCAAATTTATTAAATGTTCACTGAGTTCACTAAAGACAACCTACAGCTGTCACTGTCTGCAGGGATGAAAAAAAATCGTTTTATTTCCAAGCAACATTAGTGAGTCAAAACTTTCAACTAATACGGGCAGCATTAAAAACAAAGCAAAACGAAACAAAGCAAAACAAAACCCTGCTCTATACGTAAATAAATATTTGTGGAATGTTCCCTATGTGTCAGGGACTAGAGATCCAGGGAAGAACAACAAAAGCCATGCCTTCATGCATAACGTGAGAAAATGAAAGAGCTTCTCTTAAATAAAACTCCTTTTAAGCATCTAAAAATTATATTACATATCAGAATTTACAGGTTTTCTGCATTTAATATAAACATTATTTTTTAAAGCTCACCATGATCTACTTGTCAGATAAAGGCTTTTTGGGGGGAAGGACAGAGGGGTGGCTTCTAGTTTTAATAAAGTCAAAGTGATTTTGTGTGTATGTGTGCATGTTTGTGTATTTTTTTTCCTTAGGCTGGTTTATTAAGCCTCTCAAAGAAACGACCACTTCTGTGCGCTATCATCAAAGTATACGGTGGAAACTGGTATCCGAAATGAAAGCTGAAAACATCAAATCATTTCTTCGGTAAGTTTATTTTACGTATTTGATCTTAAAAATCATGTTTAAAATATCACAGTGAGAAGCATATTATACCTGGTTATATGCATGAGGACAGTCTTCTCTGTGTGAAATTACATATTAGTCATCAACTTTTTTTTTTTTTTTAATGTCTCTTTACACCAGTCTTGGGGTGAAAAAGTAGGTCTTTCTTCCCTAACTTTATGTAACAAAAAGTATCTGGTTGGCTTATTGAGAGATGTTTCAACTTCATGTAACTTTGGATCTAACTGAATGTTATTCTTTGTTCATCAGTGCCTGGGTTTTAATCAGCAATTTTCTTAGATACCATATTCTGTCAGGGAAAGTTAGATGATGGTTGACTAAGTGATTTAGTGGAAAAGTGATCAAAGTGTCTGATTCTGTCTGCCAAAAGTTAAACCTTTATCCCATCTTGCAGGTATAAATTTGTTTTTTACAAATAAGACAAAATGAAACCAAAAAGAATCATTGCCATTCCTCCAGCTTCTAACCATGAAAAACAGTGGAAATTGGGGGAGTGATCATAAACTCCTTAAGAACAATGGCCATGGTATTTATTTCTGTATTCAGACTCTTTCAAATGGGTGTTATTTTTTAAAATCAGCTTTAGTGAAGTATAATTTACATAAAATAAACTGCATCCCTATAAAGCCTACAATTTGAGAGTTATGACAGACGTATGCTATGCTGAACAAACCACCTCCTCCATCATGCTACAAAAATATTCCATTATGCCCTTTGCAGTTTATTCCCCATCCCCCTCCATCTCTGTCACTGGGCAATCACTAACCAATTTTATATCACTGGAGATTCATTTGCATTTTCTAGAATCTTATTTAAATGGAATCATATAGTATATGTTCTTTTGTATCTAGCTTCTTTTACTCAGAATAATGATTTTGAGATTCATCTAGATTGTTGCATGCATTAGTAGTTCATTATTTTTATTGCAGACTAGAATTCCATTGTATGGATATATTGCAATGTATAATTGATGGAAATTTGGGTTGATTATAGTTTTTGACTATTGTGAATAAAGCTGCTATGAACAGATGTTTACAAGTCTTTCTGTGGATATGTGGTTTATTTCTCTTGAAATGGTTGAGTTTGATGATAAGCATAAGTTTAACTTTTTAAGAAAATGCCTAAGATAAGTGAAAAGTGGTTGCATCATTTTGCATTTCTACCTCAAAATAAGGAAATCAGTATTCCAAAGAGATATGTGCACTCTGATATTTACCACAGCAATATTCACAATAGCCAAGATACCAAATCAACCTGATGATCAACTTCCATCAACAAATATTATGGTGTATATACAGGATGGATTATTACTCAGCATAAAAAAGAAAGAAATCCTATCATTTGTAGCAAAATGAATGGAACTAAATGTCATTATATTAAGTGAAATAAGCCAGGCACAGAAAGACACATATTGCATGATCTAACTCATATGTGGGAGCTAAAAAAAAATTGATCTCATGGAGACAGAGAATAGAATGATGGTTACCAGAAACTAGAAGGGTAGTGAGGAGGGCAGACAATACTGAGGGGTTGGTTCAATGGGTACAAAAATACAGTTAGATAGAAGGAATAAGATCTAGTATTACATAGCACAATAGGGCAACTATAGTTAACAATAATTTATTGTATATTTCAAAATAACTAGAGTGGATTTGAAATGTTCCAAACTCAAAGAAATGATAAATGTTTGAGGTGATAGATATCCTAACTACTCTGATTTGATCATTACTTATTGTATGCTTGTATCAAGATATCACATATACCCTATAAATGTGTACAAGTAGTAGGTAGCCATAAAATTTAAAAATAAATAATTTTAGAAGTCTATTCACGGCTTTGGCTTATTTTGTATTTAGATATAAGTTGTTTTCCCCCTGTGGAGTTTTTTGTTTGTTGTTGATGTTGTTGTTTTGAGACAGAGTCTCACTCCATCACCCAGGCTGGAGTACAGTGGTGCAATCTCAGCTCACTGCAACCTCCATGTCCTAGGCTCAAGGGATTCTCCCACCTCAGCCTCCTGAGTAGCTGGGACTACAGACATGCATCACCACACCCAGCTAATTTTTTTATTTTTGTTTATTTTATTTATTTTGTTGTTGTTGTTGTTGTTGTTGGTAGAGACAGGGTCTCATTATTTTGCCCAGGCTGGTCTCGAACTCATGAGCTCAAGTGACATACCCACCTCACCCTCCCACAGTGCTAGGATTACAAGCATAGGCCACCATCCCCAACCCTCCTATGGAGATTTTAGAGTTCTTTATATAGAGTTGACTCTTGAGTAATGTGGGCATAGGGTGCTGACCCCCCATGCAGTCAAAAATCCACACATAACTTTTAATTCCCCCAAAACTTAACTATTAATACCCTACTAGTGACCTTAGCAATAACATAGACAATTAATATGTATTTTGTATATGTATTATATGCTGTATTCTTACAATAAAGTAAGCTAGAGAAAAGAAAATGATTTTAAGAAAATCATAAGAAAGAGAAAAAGCATTTACTATTCATTAAGTGAGTGTAGATTTTCATGAAGGTCTTCATCCAGTCTTCACATTGAGTAGGCTGAGGAGGAGGAGGAAGAGGAGGGGTTGGTCTTGCTGTCTCAAGGATGGCAGAGGCAGAGAAGGTAGAGAAGGGAGTCAGGAAAGGCAGTCACATTCCATTTAATTCTTAGACATCATGTATGTTTTTTGCTTTTTCTTTTCTCTAAAAATATTTTTATACACTACCAGTTCTTCTTCCATCATTTGCTTTAGTTTTAGTGCCTATATCATAGAAAGGACCGTGTTGTAAAAGAAGTCAAAAGCAGTCTTGAATAATGGAAACCCTTCTGCCAGATTGTCTAATATCATCTTGTTTTCTGGCATTGCTTCTTCTGTGTCTTCTTCCTCATCACCTGGTACTGGTTTAGAAGTATTCATCTCCATCAAATCGTCTTCTGTTAATTTTTCTGGTGTCTACTAACTTTTGAATTTTTCCAAGATTACTATCATGAAACCCTTCATCCCTCAACTTTTTTTTTTTTTTTTTTTTTTTTTTTTTTTTTTGCCATATTCACAATCTCTTTCATGATTACCTTGTTTGGCTCTGTCATCAATCCTGTGAAGTCATGTCAACATCTGCACACAGTTTTCTTTAGCAGGAATTTGTTGTGTTGGGCTTGATGGCTTTCACAGCATTTTCTATAACAATGATGGCATCTTCAATAATGTAATTTTTTTCAGAATTTCATGAAGTTCTGTCAGGGTTCTCTTCCGTAGTATTGACAGTCCTTTCCATAGAGTGCAGTGAGCCTTAAAATTCTTATTATGACCCCTTGATCTAGGGGGCAAATTAGAGAGATGTGTTTGGGGGTAAGTAGACTACTTGATCTCAGGGTTTCTGGGTAGCCAGAGGTGTCTTCCAATACCAAAAGAATTTTAAAAGGCAATCCCTTCCTGGCAAGGTATTTCATGACTGCAGGAACAAAGTATGGGTGGAATCAATCTAGAACATAGGTTTCTGTTGTCCAGGCCTTCTTGTTGTACAAACAAAAGACTGAAAGCTGGTGTTTATCTTTTCCATTCAAGGCTTGGGGGTTAACAGCTTCATAGATAAGGGCAGTCCTTATCATAAACCCAAGTGCATTTGCACAAAACAGTAGAATTCGCCTATCCCTTCCTGCCTTAAATCTCAGTGCTTACATCTCTTCCTTACTCATAAATACCCTTTGTAGCATCCCCCTCTGCCCCCAGGATAGGGCATTTTCATTTGCATTAAAAAACCTTTTCAGGCAGATATGCTTTCTCCTCAGTAATTTTCTTAATGTCATCTGAAGACTTGTCTACTGCCTCTTGGTGAGCAGAAGCTGCTCCTCCTCTTATCTCGACACTTTAAGTTAAACTTCTTTCTAAATGTATCAAACCATCTTTTGCAGGCATACTATTCTCCACCTTTACCTTCCTTTTGCTTTAAATTATCATAGAATGACTTTGCTTTTTCTCAAATCACATTAATTAGAGTCTATAGATATGCCTTTCTTATAACAATCCTACACCCACATAAAAGCTACATTTTCAATACAAGAAAAAAAGGTAATTTGCAAAAGAACAAAGTTTTCACATTTGCAGGCATAGCTGCCATGACAGCTTCACAAACTTTTCCTTTTTTTTTTTTTTTTTAACAATAGTCCTTATGCTGGATTTATTTTGAAAATGGAGGGCAATCACAGCTGCATACCTCAGTCTACGGTATACCAAGCAATTCAACCTTTTCTTATAATGTATCATTAGTGGCACTTTGTATGGATCCCACGGTGTTATTCAAGGTTTACAGTATTGTACTAAACATGGTAAGAACTACATGAGAACCATGGGAGATCATTTTTTAAACTGCCATAAGCAATTTACTGGAGAAACAAACTGTTCAGGTAGTGATGATTAGGGAGATGATTAATATCACACAGTGGTTTAAGCAGATAGTCACCTCACAAGCTCACGGCAAGAGCAATAAGCTGTTGCTACAAAAGTATTACTGTAGTACACAATGTATTACAGTTAATTTTACATAATTATGATTTTATATTGTATCTTTATGTTTGTTTACATTTCTCTAGACTGCAAATGGCACCATGTAGTCTGTAACTGTATGCCTACGTTTTGATACATTTTAACTTTTTATAATAGATTCATGTTATTTTAAAACAGTAAATGATAAAATACTTTTACATGTACTTCATGCATTCGTGACAAACCTCTTCTTTTTTTTTTAATATTTCTAGGCTATGTGGTTCATTTATGAGTTTTTTTTAAATTGCTGCAAATCTCAAAAAAATTTTCCAATATATTTATTGAAAAAAATTCATATATAAGTGGACCCATGTTGTTCAAACCTATGTTTCAAGGGTCAACTCTATTCTAGATATAAGTCTTTTGTTGGAAATGCAGTGAACAAATATTTTTTCCCAGTCTGTAATTTGTCTATTTGCCCACCCTCATTTGCAGATCAGAAGTTAAAACCTTATTTTGATGAGGTTTAATTTATCAATTTTTCTCTTTTTGGATCATGCTTTTGGGTTCATATCTAAGAACTCTTTGATCTGGACTTTGACCAATTTTGTCTTCTTTTTTCCCCCAGAGATTTATAATTTACCTTTTACATTAAAGTTTCTGACCTATTTTGAGTTATTTTGTGCATAAAGGTGTAAGGTTTAGGTTGAGTTTATTCTTTTGCTTGAGAATGGCCAACTGCTCTATCACCATTTGTTAAAATGTTATCCTTCTTTCATTTAATTGCTTTTGCACCTTTGTTAAAAATTGGTTGGGCGTATTTGTGTGAGTCTATTTCTAGATTCTCTCTTTTGTAGAGACAGAGTCTTATTCTGTTTCTGGGTTTTATATTCTGCCCTATTTATCCAGTACCATACTGTCCTGATTATTAAAGTGACATAGTAGATTTTAACAAAACATAGAATGATTTCTCTTACCTTATTCTTTTAAACTATTATTGTAGCTATACTATATCCCTTACCTTTTCATTTAAAATATATAATAAACACATATTTGTCTAAAAAACTATTGGTGGAGCTTTGATAGGAATTACATTAATCCTATAGAGCTATTTGGGAATTCTTGACATTTTTGCTATGTCCAGTCTTCTATTACATGAACGTGGTATGTTTCCAATTGTAGATCATCTTTCTTTTATCAGCATTTTGTAATTTGCATTAAGCAGATGCTTTACATGCTTTGTTAGATTTGCATCTTTCATTTTCTTTGGAGCAAATGCAAATTATATTGTGTTTTAATTTCAATTTCCACATACTCTGTTGTTAGCATATAGAAATACTGTTGTGTTTGTGTATTGATGTTGCATCCTGTGGCCTTGCTGAACTCTAAGAAGGTTTTGTTTGTTTGTTTGTTTTGGTTTTGGGGGGGTTTTCTGAGACAGAGTCTTGCCATATTTCCCAGGCTGGTTTCAAACTCCTGGAGTTAAGCGATCCTCCCACCTAGGCCTCCCAGAGTTCTGGGATTACAAATGTGAGCCACTGGACTTGGCTGGAAGGTGGGAAAGAGTTTGGTTTGTTTGTTTGTTTTGGTTTGTTTCTTGTAGATTCATTGAAATTTTCTATGTAGACAATAATGTCATCTTCAAAAAGGGAACATTTCATTTCTTTTTTCTTTCTAACCTGTATGCCTTTTACTTTTTTAAGAAAAATTGCCTCTTTGTGCTGACTGGAAACTCCATTACTCTGTTGAATAAGAGTAGTAAGAGTGGACATTCTTTTCTTTTTTCTAATCTTAAGGAGAAAGATTTAGTTTCACCATTAAGTATGATGTAGCTGTCGTTATTTTGTTGATGCTCTTTGTCAAGTTAAGAAAGCTCTCCTCTATTCCAAGACTGCTGAGGGTTTTTATCATGAATGGGTGTTGAATTTTGTCAAGCGCTTTTTCTGTATCAATTAATATGATCATATGATTTTTCTTTTTTAGCTGGTCGGTAGGGTAATTCCTTTATTTCTTCACTAATTTGGGAGGGGGTCAAATTTAATCCAGAGGTATGTTATAGTTTTCTCCACGAATGCGAAATTGTCTATTTGTCCCATTAACTTGCTCAGTTTTTACTCTATGTATTCTGAGGCTCATTCATTAGGCATATACACATGGACGTTGCTATGTTTTCAAAACAGAATGACCTTTTATTTTTATGAAATGTGCTTAGTTATCTTTAGTAATAATCTTTTTAAGTCTATTTTATTTCATATGAATGGAGCCACGTCAGCCTTCTAATACTTATGTTTATATACGATGTCTTCTTCCATCTACTTACTTTTAACTATCACTTTCATTAGAATTAAAATGTACCCTCTATAGAGAGAACACAGTTGTCATTTGCTGTTTTATCCATTTTTGTAATCTTAATTTAAGTATGCCCTCTGTGGGCCGCATATAATAGATATTTGCTTTTTTATCCACTCTGGTAACCTCTGCCTTGTGAGTATTTAGTCCATTAACATATAATATAGTTATTGATTGATATAATTAAACTTAAGTCTGCCACTTTTTGGTTTGTTTTCTGTTTTCTTTCTGTACCTTTACTCATTTTCTGACTTTTTGATAGTGGGGAAAATATATGAAATTTTATTTTATTTCAATTTATCTTTTGGCTATACCTCTTTGGCTATACTTTTTAGTGGATACTCTAAAGGTTATATTATACATCTGTAATGTTTCACTGTATTCTTAAATTTACTACTGTGTCACTTAATACAAAATGGAGAAACTCACATTTCTTTATGTCCATTTACTCTCTCCCCCACCATCCTTTATAAAGTAGCTGTCATATGTATTATACATACATGAAATATAAACCTCAAAAAATAATGTTATATTAATGTTATATTTTTTCTTTGAACATGTATATGTATTGTAAACCAATTAAAGTTAAAATTAGTATTTCATGTTTCTTAGGTATTTATCGTTTTTGATGCTTTTCATTTGTTTCTGAAGATTTAGGTTGCCTTGTGCTATTTCTGTTGAGTCTGAATAACTTCCTTAAGTATTTCCTGTAATGTGGAGTCTGATGGTGACAAATTCTTAGTTTTTCTTCACCCATAAAATTCTTTACTTCAACTTTATTCTCCAAACATATTTTTCCTGGACATAGAATTCTGGGTTGACTCCGCTAATACACATGAAGTTTTTAGAACTTTAAATGTTTCACTGTCTTCTAGCTGCTATGTCATCTGATGAGAAGTTTACAGTCATTAAATCATGTAACGTCTTATTTTTGTCTTTGATTTTCAGCAGTTTTACTATGTGTCTAGGCATAGTTTTCTTTAAATTTAGCCTGTTTAGGCTCTCTGAGCTTCTTGACAATGTAAATTTATGTCTTCTATTAATTTAGAAAGGTCTTGTTTACTATTTCTTAAAATATCTTTCTGTACCATTCTTTCTCCTCTTCTCTTTTAATACTCCAGTTAAACCCTACAGACAGATACACTGAGCGAAGTACATACACTACAGTTAACAGACAATCCCTGACTTATGATGGTTTGATTTAGAATTTTTCAACTTTATGATGGATTTATCAGGGTATTAAATGCATTTTCAATTTAGTAATATGTTTGACTTTCAATGCGTTTATAGGAACATAACCTCACCATAAGTTGAGTAGTATCTCTATTTTCTACCCATCTGTGCTGTTGATGAGATCACAAGGTTCCATGTTAGTGTCTATGGATGAACTCGAGTGAGCTATTGTAATGAGGAATAAATCAGCTATAATGTTCTTATTAAATTTCAGCTTATGTATTATCAAGGCACATCAGATATCAAGAGATTAGTTCAAAATGTCTGTTGTGAGGTGCTTTTTTGATGATACAGGAAAAGAATGAGTAGGAATGAACATCACTTGAAGAGAGATACACATACAAAAATTACACACCAAGAATGATGACAAGAACAGGGATAGAGGGAAATACACCATATTAGGAGCCCCCAACTTTAATGAATGAAGAGGCATGACTCAAAGTTTTGTAGATGACAGTACATACCTAGAAGGTGTAGTGGGTGGTGACTTTTGTTGTAAGCTTCAAAAAAGCTGTTAGTTTTTAAAGAAGATAAAAGAGATATATTTGAAAGAGCCAGTGGAGAGTAAGAAGGCCTCCTAGCTGAATTTTAGCCATGAGCTATATGGGATCATGGAAAATAAAACAGCCGGCATGTGAGCAGGGTCCTCAGAGGAAACCAGTTAAGACAAGGAGGTTGGCTGGGCACGTTGGCTCATGCCTGTAATCCCTGCACTTTGGGAGGCCAAGGAGAGTGGATCACCTGAGGTCAGGAATTCAAAACCAGCCTGTCCAACATAATGAAACCCCACCTCTATTAAAAATACAAAAAATTAGCTGGGCATTGTGGCATGCACCTGTAATCCCAGCTACTCAGGAGGCTGAGGCAGGAGAATTGCTTGAACCTGGGAGGCGGAGGTTGCAGTAAGTCGAGATTGTACCACTGCACTCCAGCCTGGGCAACAAGAGCAAAACTCCATTAAAAAAAAAAAAAAACGGAAAAGAAAGACAAGGAGGTCAAGGAAACATTCAGAGAAGGTGCTGAAGATATAAGCGAATAGTTGATTGCAGAGCTAAAGGGTTAATGAACACAGCAGAAGAGTTTAGAAGGCAAAGGAGGGCTTGAAGAGTGGGTTAAAGGGCTTAAATGTGGGAACAATTGTATTTCTCCCAGCCACTTTCTTTTTAACAGAGCCTCAACTTTGAGTGTTCTCCCTCTCTCAGGAGGGTATGTGTTCAGTAAAGGTTACCTTCCTCCCAGCCCAGGAATCTCTTGATTAGTCCATAAGCCAATCATTACCCTCCCTCTAGCAATGGTTGATTTGAGAAGGGGTAAATGACCCTATTTTGCCTAATGAAATGGGAGAAAAACTTGGCTAAGATCTTCTAGAAAAATGTTCCTTTGTTAAACACAAAAGAAGGAATAGTTGTTCTAGTTTGTACTTGTTTCTCCTGAAGTTACTGGGTGAATATGTATGCCTGGCGCTGTAATGCCCATCTTGGGACCATACAGAGAAACCCTGATATAAAATAAAGGATGTTCTACCTTCCTACTCTTTTTCTGTACTTCTCTATTTCATTTCAGGGGGTTCTTGAAAAGATGGGAGGCAAAAAAGTTCATGGCTAATCCTCCCTCCTAATTTAAGGAAATATATATATTTTTTCTAATTGCAAGAATCATATCTGCTCTATGTAGAAACAAAAATAATGAATTGTATAAAGTAGAAATTAAATATCTCTAGCTGTTTTGCTTTTTTATTCCTATACATATAAAATAACTTCTGTCTGAACACATTTGTACTTTTAAAAAATAAATATGGTAAGAAATTAAACATCTGATACCTGCAGTTTTCATTTTCTGATATAGAGAAAGACATCTTCTGAGAGAAGATGATGCTTGAAGAGTCCTTATGGATGATTAATAGTTTGCAGATGAGAAAGGAGAGTGATTAGAAGTGGTGATAGAGGGAGATTCAGGTAGATGGGACAATATTTTTGGTTGAGATAAGACATTGTGCAAAGGCTAAAAGGTATTAAAGATCATAATCATTTTATGAGAAAAATAAGTATACTCAGTGACAGAGAGTAGAGGAATTTATAAGAGAGTGATGTGGAATTAACCTGAAAAGACAGAAGACAGGACCTAACCTAAAAGTGCTTTAGATGCCATGTTGGAGTGTGGACTTTCTAATGCAGGGTACAGGGAGTTGTAGAAGAGTTTTAAGCACATGGGTAATAACAGCAGATGAATTATTTAGAAATATCACTATTTCTCAGGATCGGGTAACTACAATTTTGGATTCCAGTTCCAGCATTTATTAGCTGTAAAATTATGAGTAGATTATTCAGTCACTCTGTCAGTCTCCTCATTTGCAAAATGGGGATGACAGAAGAAGGATTGTGATGATTAAATGAGAAAACACATGTGAAAGTGAATGTAGAGTGCTTGTCATACAACAGGTTTTCAATACATGTTAATTTCCTTCTACTGCTGTATATTTTGTGGCTGTCATCCGGTTAACTAAAAAAAAAAAAAAATTAAAAAAGGGTTTATTTTTGTTCTACTGATGGTGGGGGAGTTTAATTTTTTTTTTTTTTTTTTTTTTTTTTTTTTTTTGTGATGTAGTCTCACTCTGTCACCCAGGCTGGAGTGCATTGGCATGATCTCGGCTCACTGCAACCTCCGCCTCCCAGATTCAAGCAATTCTCCTGCCTCAGTCTCCCAAGTAGCTGGGATTACAAGCACCCGCCACGACGCCTGGCTAATTTTTTGTATTTTTGGTAGATACGGGGTAGTTCAAGACCATGTTGGCCAGGCTGGTCTTGAACTCCTGACCTCAGTTGATCCACCCTCCTCGGCCTCCCAAAGTGCTGGGATTACAGGTGTGAGCCACCATGCCTGGCCAGGGACTTTAAAAATATTATTCACCCCAAGTAAAATAAATCTCACTAAGAACTATGTTTGTGGGGTCACTTAAATGTTACAACTCATTTACATCCAAAACCAAGAGAACACTGCCCAAATTAAATTCAGCAAGCCTGTACATTTTGGGTAAAAGGCAAGAACTAAGCACTAGGGGATATGAAAAATAAAAATGCATGGACTTTGAGATCAATGAGATAAATAAGCAACTGCATACATGATACAATCAACAGTAGAAATATATAAGATAAACATGGAAGTGCCCAAGTGGTCCCTGCGAGAGGTTAAGATCTATTTTTTTTTTCCAAAATGTCTCTGTTCTCTGACAAACAGCAAAAAGGAACATTATTGGTATAGAAGTATGACATTCTTCCAGGGTGTCATCTCATATCTGAGCCTTTGCTGATTGTATCTACCATGAAATGTGTTCTTTTCTGAGGAAGCATAATATGAAAACTGCAGTTGTACACAAATAACTTAAAAATTGGCCTATCTAGAAACTGGTAGCATTAGCTGTGTTTCTTTTATCTGTCATATAGGAATGACAACTTAATGCCCAATGCATAAGTAGTGCATTTAGAATAGTTCTTAGGCACATCGTCTGAGCATAGTCTTTAATGCCCTCTTATGTTTTATTTTCATTTTAGTTCTTTTACAAAGCTTCCTCATCTGGCAGGAACAGAACAAAATTTCTTGCTTGCCAAGAAAATCCAAACCCAGTGGAAGAAATTTGGACTAGATTCAGCCAAGTTGGTTCATTATGATGTCCTCTTATCTTACCCCAATGAGACAAATGCCAACTATATATCGATTGTGGATGAACATGAAACTGAGGTATGTGAAATTGTTGGTACTTTTTATATTTTGCAATCCGACCGTTTTATGTGGATTGTAATGTAGGGTCAAGTAAAAGTAGAAATTTGTTAATAGTGAATTATTCAGTATCCACTATGTGTTCGACATGGTGTTAAGTCCTGAGGCCAGAATAAGACTAAGGCATGGTTCCTTTGCCTAAGTAAGTTGAGGCAGACAATGGAATACTTCAGACCTCAAATTAGTATGGTAAGTGCTATGAAGATTATGATTAGAATTCATTATTTACCCAGAAAAGGGTCACTCAGCCCAGCCTGGGAGTTAGACAATGTTTCCTGAAGTCTTGACACGTGAGTCATGAAAGGACATAGGAGTTAACCATGTGACAAAATAAGCTAAGAAAATTCTCAACAAAAGACAAAATATTGGCAAATGCTTGGAGGCATATACTAGCCTAGTTTTATTGGGAGAATGTAATGATTTTCTGTATTTCAAAAGTGTAAAATATGAAGTAGGCCACGATATGAGATAAACCAGTAAATATGTTCTGGGAACAGATCATAGAAGGGCGTGTATGCTGTCCTAGGGAGCTTAAACTTCAACTTCAGTTCACGGGAGCCAATGACAAGTCCTGAGCAGGGGAAGGATGTGGCTAGAGGGGCATTTTAGATAGACAACGTCCTCTATGGATCACACCTAGGCTAAGCAACGGGTTAAAGTTGTTGTCTTAAGACAATAGTCCAGGTAAAAGATAATAAAGTTTTAAATTAGGATGTTAGTAGGAATGAGGATGAGGGATGGATTTCAGAAATAGTAAGGAAATGTATTAGCAGGACTTGATTAGTGATTGACTTGGGGAAGGAGGGGAAGATAGAGTTCAGGATGACTCCGAGACTGTCTGGTGTGGGTGGCTAATGACTGAAGCTATTAATAGAGGTAGGAAATGCAGATCAAAAGCAGGCCCAGGGTGAGAGATGATAAATTTGAATTTTAACATGTTGAGTTTGGACATCCAGGATGAAATAACCACCAAACATTTAAATATATGAATCTGAAAAGGTAAGCATCATAAGCATATTAGCTATTGGTAAAATTCTGATACTTAATGAAGTGTCGCAGGGAGGGAGTACAGAGGCAAGCAATGGGCTGGGGATAAAACATGGGGAAATATTATTTAAATAAAGATGAAAGAAAAGGAGCCCACAAAGGAAGCTGAAAAGGCATAGTCAAAAAAAAGAGGATCACCAAAGTGCCACCTTTGAAGCTCTGCTGTTACACTTTATAAGGAAACTTTTGGTTACCTGGGATTGCATGCATTTATAAAAGTTTCTATTGTTAGGAAGACAATAATAATGATAAGGCTCTTTCTCATTGTTGTCAGTGTAATTTATCTATTACAGAACCTTGTTCCAGGATGCTTAATCTGAAGTATATACTTGGAGGCAAAATGAATTATATCTTAATAATAATCTGGAATTTTTCTAACTTGACATATTTTAATTCTTGCTAGATTTTCAAAACATCATACCTTGAACCACCACCAGATGGCTATGAGAATGTTACAAATATTGTGCCACCATATAATGCTTTCTCAGCCCAAGGCATGCCAGAGGTAAAATAAAATACTTTTGTAATCCAAGTCTTTAAATGGTTCTTTTGCTATGTAAAACCTGTATGGAGGACTAAAACCAAGGAAATTAGGTGAATCATTCATGCGGGTTCCTTGTTTGATATTCAGTACTATGAAAACCTCATCCCTCAAATTAAAAAAATTACAATAAAATAAAATAGAAAAGAACACCAGAGAAAAAAGAAACAAAACAAATACATTAAAAACTGACCCTGCTGAAGCAGTTGCCACTCTCTGAAATAACAAACTGCTGAACATGCCTTTCAGTGAGGCAGTAGGTGTTTTTTTGTTTGTTTGTTTTTGTTTTTGTTTCGTTTTGTTTTTTTGAGACAGAGTTTCGCTCTTGTCACCCAGGCTGGAGTGCAGTGGCACAATCTCGGCTCCCTGCAACCTCTGCCTCCGAGGTTCAAGCAATTCTCTTGCCTCAGCCTCCCGCGTAGCTGGGACCACAGGTGCATGCCGCCACATCCTGCTAATTTTGTATTTTTTTTTAGTGGAGACGGGGTTTCTCTATGTTGGTCAGGCTAGTCTCGAACTCCCGACCTCAGGTGATCTGCTTGCCTCAGCCTCCCAAAGTGCTGGGATTACAGGCGTGAGCTACCGCTTCCGCCCAGCAGTAGGTGTTTTTACAAGCTTCTTTCCATTTTTCATAATTTGAATATTTTATGGATTCATAGATAGGATTTTATAGATCATACCATAGAGGTTCTTAAATTAATGCAATGGTTGGAAATTAAATAAATATAGTTAGGATCTTTAAAATGACATTTATTTACTCTATTCCCTGTGGCTTTGTATACACTGATGATTTCTTCAACACAGGACATGCTGTTTAGATATGTCTGGCTGGGTGTGGTGGCTCACACCTGTAATCCCAGCACTTTAGGAGGTTGAGGCGGGCAGATCTTTGGAGGTCAGGAGTTCAAGACCAGACTGGCCAACATGGTGAAACCCATCTCTACTGTTAAAAAATACAAAAATTATCTGGGCATGGTGGCGCATGTCTGTAATCACAGCTACTCTGGCAGCTGAGGCAGAATCACTTGAACTCAGAAGGTGGAGGAGGTTGCAGTGAGCCGAGGGAGTGCTACTGCACTCCAGCCTGGGTGACAGTGAAATTCCGTCTCAAAAATAATAAATAAATAAATAACTCTTATACATTGTCGTTTTTTAAACTTTTCAGGATTTTAAAAGATTCTCTAATGAATTCTGCATAATTACTGTGGGTCTGTTTATTACTCCCCAAATAAAGAAAGGAAACACTTTTGATGATGTAGTATTGTGAAGCAAACTTATTTTTTGTTTTTTTTTTTCTTTAATTTTAGCAGTATTATATATATTTTCTTTTCCCTATAGGGAGATCTTGTATATGTGAACTATGCTCGCACTGAAGACTTTTTCAAACTAGAAAGAGAGATGGGCATCAACTGTACTGGGAAGATTGTTATTGCAAGATATGGAAAAATCTTCAGAGGAAATAAAGTACAGTATTATTTGTTTTTCTACAGAGAATGAGAGGATATATATATTCTGTAAATGTAAATGACCAACTTGCTTCTCTGTTTCCAAATTGCTTTCAAACATTTCTTTTCTTTTTTTCTTCCTATTTGCCATGGGTACACGGAAACTCATGTTTTTATGTTTTCTTACATACCTGGAAAAGGAGATTATTTTGAATCATTTTTATTATAAAAGTAATATTTGCTTTTAGAAATTTAATTGAAGGAAATTTATATAAAGTAAAAAATGAAAAGCTTCTCTGCATTACCCACTTCATTATTCAGATATAATCAATCTTAATAGCTTTTTTCAAACCTAATTCTGTGACATATAAATACATCTGTCCCTATATGTCCATTTTACATATATTTATTTATTTACTTTTACATTGTATATTATAAGACTTTATTTTTTTTCATTCAGCCATGACTCATATTCTTCATGTCCACATGTTGAGAGTTATGTAATACATTGGTTAAGAGTATAGAACCCTAGATCCATATCACCTGGGTTCTTGTCTAGTCTGGCTCCTATTCTTTCTAGATCTTTTACTGTGAGCATGTTACTTAACTTCTCTGTTGCAAAGTTTCCTCACATATAAAATGCGAATGACGAGGGCACCAATCTCATAGAGTCCTTATTGAATGACTTTGTTTGAAAGCACTTAGGAAAGTGGCTGGTACTTAGTAATTTCTATATAACTGCTTATTAATTACCTCAGTATTTTAAATGATGGCATCATATTTCACAGAATTGATAAGCCATTTATTTAACCATTCCGCTACTGACGATGTTTGTCTCATCTTGAATTTGTTACTATTACAAATAATTTAATTGTGAACATCTTTGTCCATATATGCTCCAGAAATTTGTGTGAAGATTATTGTAGTATAGATTCATAGAAATTAAATGGCTAAATAATAGTGTATATTCTTTCAAAATTTTGATAGACATCATCAATTTTCCTTCAAAAAGTTGTGACAGATTATACTCTTAGTGATATAACAGGGTGTTCTCTAAATATTGGAATGCATTTTTATGAATCAAGACTGTTATCCATCTTCTGCTACAATACTTTTGGTGAAGAAGAATTTAGTATCTCACAGGGTACATTTTCCTATTTTTGGCCAGTTTGGATTGTTAGAAAGATGTTTACAAAAACCCTGGGCTGTTTTTCACAAATATGACTGCTCTGCATACAATTTTAAATGAGTTTAGTTCCATAAATATTTGTAGAATGCTTACTCTATGATGTGCGAGATTTTACAGGGCAGTAGTTTAAAATTAAGAACACATGGTTCAAGTTTTCAAAAACACCCTCAGCCTAATAGGAGAGATAGATATTTAATAGATGTTTTAATACATTAAGAGCTATCCTATAATATAGAAAATATAGAACTACAAAGAAGGGACATGAATTCTACAGTTGCAGGTTGTAATAGGAATGTTTCACAGAAGAAATGATAACTCGTTTAGATTTCCATGGAATAATGGAAGTCTGTTAGGTCTAATAGGTGGGAAATTGTGTTCAAAGCCAAGAGAACTGAATGTGTAATTGTATGGTAAAAGGCAGTGTCTAAATATCCTTCCATTATTAAATTAATGTCTTTCTTATATGAATAAGCCAACCATTTGCCATATCTGCATTATGAATTGCACATTGCCCCTGCAGGTTAAAAATGCCATGTTAGCAGGAGCCATAGGAATCATCTTGTACTCAGATCCAGCTGACTACTTTGCTCCTGAGGTACAGCCATATCCCAAAGGATGGAATCTTCCTGGAACTGCAGCCCAGAGAGGAAATGTGTTAAATTTGAATGGTGCTGGTGACCCACTCACTCCAGGCTATCCAGCAAAAGGTAAGGGATGAGCCTATCAGTCCACCAATTTTGCAAAAATACTCCTTGCCCTTTTAGAAGGAATACAAGCAAGCATGTTCAGAATAATATTAAACTAAAATTGAGTACACTTATATCATTTTGGATTACTGCTGCTAGGAATTTTAAAACATTTGCTCTTGTATTATTTTAGTTTTAAATTTTCATGAGATGTCGGCATGGGGAGTAAACACTCAGTTCATACTCTCCTTCTTCCTTTATTAGAGTTCAGAAATACTGATCCTCATACCTAAAGTAATGCTCCTTTTAACAAATGACAATTTAGGTTTGCTGAATTACCGATAGATTGTATTTTTAAAAATACAATAGATAGATTGAATTATCGATAGATTGTATTTTTGAATTACATTTTTTAAAAAAATGAGTTTTTGTGTTATTTAAAACATAAAATTGGAAGTTTTACATATGTGAAATGATTTCTACAATCAAAATAATTAACATACCCATTATCTCAAAAAAGCTTCCTCTCGTCTCTTTATATTCCCACCCTCCCAACTCTTCCTTCCCACTTCATCCAATCCCTAGGCAACCATTCATCTTGGTTTCTGCTGTCAGCATGATTATTTTGAGATCTGTCCATGTTGGCATCTTTGTCAATAGTTTTTCTTTCTTTTGCTGAGTAGTATTCCCTTGAATGGCTATAGCACAGTTTATTCCTTTACTTGTAGATGGACATTTGGATTGCTTTCAGTGTGGGGGCTATTACAGATAAAGGTGTAATGAACAGTTGTTGTACAAGACCTTGTATGTACATGTTCTTTTATTTCTCTTTGGGAAATACTTGGAAGTGAAATGCCTGAATATTATGGTTAGTTGGATATTTAACTTTTACAGAAATTTTAAAATTGTTTTCTGAAGTTGTTTCACTTTATATTTCAACAGCAATGTATGAGTGTTCTATTTGCTATGTCCTCACCAACATTTAGTATGTCAGTCTTTTCAATTCTACATTCTAACAGATGCATACAACTTCCAGGTTACAACTCTTCTATTTTCAAAACGTTTTGTCTAATTTTGGTCCTTTCCATATGAGTTTTAGCACTAATTTACAATTGCCACCAAAAAGCCTCCTGGGAGTTTGATTGAGATTGAATGAAATCTATAAATCAATTTGGGGAGAATTGGCAATATTTGGGAGAATTGAATTAACAATATTGAATTTTCTGATCCATAAATAAAATACAACTTTGCAGTCTTTAATTTCTTTCAGCAGAGTTTTATAGTTTCACTGTATGAATCACACATACCTTTTGTCAGATTTATCCACAAACATTTCATAGTTTTATGCTATTGTAAAGTTTCAATACCAATTTTTCTTTACTAGGAAATGAAAGCATTATTCTATTTCTAGAAGAAATACATTGGTCTTGTATCCTGCAAACTTGTTAAACCCATCGATTCTGCTAGGTTTTTGTAGCTTCTATCAGCATTTTTACATACATGATTATGTCATCTGCAAATGAAGATAATTTTATTTCTTGGCTTTCAATCTACATGCCCTTCCTTCCTCTCTCTCTCTCTCTCTCTCTCTGTCTCTCTCTCTCTTTCTTTCTTTCTCTCTTTCTTCTTTTTGCTTTATTGTACTGGCTAGACCCTCCAGGACATTTTTTTTCTTTCTTTTTTGTATATACATTTTATAGAGGTACTCCAGTACAATGTTGAATAGAAGTTGTTACAACAGACATACTTGCTTTTTATTTCTGTTCCAACAGGGAAAGTATCCAGTCTTTCTCTGTTAAATATTATGTTAGCTCTAGGTTTTTTATACATTCCCTTTGTCACAATGAGGAAGTTTACTTCTATCCTAATATACTGGGCGTTTTCATTAGAAATATATGTTGGATGTTGCCAAATGTTTTTTCTGTGCACATAGAGATGATCATATGTTATCATTTACTTTTGTTAAATTATATGATGTTTTTAATGTTAATCCAACCCTGTCATCCTAAAATAAATCCCATTTGGTGACAATGTATTATCCTTTTATATATTGTTGAATTTTTGATATATTTTTCTTAAGAATGTTTCTGTCTATGGTCATAAGGGATGTTAACCTGTAGATTTAGTTTCTTGTAATATCTTTGTGTCATTTGGTATCAAAGAAATGCTGGCCTCTTAGCATGAGTTGGGAACCATTTCATCTTCACTTTTTTGCAAGAGTTTATAAAGAATGGGTTCAATGTTGTCTATAAATATTTGGTAGAATTCTCCAGGGATCTATCTGGGCCTGAAGTGTTTTATGTAGAACTGTTTTTCACTACAAATTGAATTTCATATATATATATGTAATATATGTAATATGTAATGTTACATAGTATATACGTATACATAATATGTATATATTATATACGTATACATAATATATGTATATATTATATACGTATACATATGTATATATTATATACGTATACATATGTATATATTATATACGTATACATAATATGTATATATTATATACGTATACATAATATGTATGTGTGTATATATTATATACATATACATAATATGTATATATGTGTGTATATATTATATACATATACATATGTATATATGTGTGTATATATATTATATACGTATACATATGTATATATGTGTGTATATATAATATACGTATACATATGTATATATGTGTGTATATATATTATATACCTATACATAATATGTATATATGTGTGTATATATTATATACATAATATGTATATGTGTGTGTATATATTATATACATGTATAATATATGTATATAGAATGTATATATTATATATGCATATATGTATATATAATGTATATATTATATATAATATATAATGTATAATTATATATATTATATATTACATGTATAATATGTAATATTACATATTATACATGTAATATATAATATATATAATGTAATATTACATATTATACATGTAATATATAATATATAATATGTAATATGTAATATTACATATACATGTATATATTATATATAATATATTATATATAATTATATATAATTACATATTATATATGCTATATTATATATGATATATAATGTGTAATATATAATATATAATATATATGTAATATATATGTAATAATATATATTACATATAAATTACATATATATTAATATATATATAATTATTACATATGTATGTATTATTATTGTATGTATGTAATACATACATACATATGTATGTATTATTATTGTATGTATGTAATACATACATACATATGTATGTATTATTACATATGTATGTATTATGTATGTAATATGTATTATTACATACATATTACACATATATAATATATAATATATATGTAATATATGTAATATATATGTTATATATATTATATTATATATAATATGTAATGTATATGTAATATATATTATATATTATATAATATGTAATATATATGTAATGTATATGTGATCTATTTATTCTCAAGTGAGCCTTGGTAGTTTGCATTTTCTCAAAGATTTTTGTCCATTTCATCTAACTTGCTGAATTTATGAGCATAGAGTGGTTTATAATATTTTTGTACTATTCTTCTGTCTGCAGGTACTAGAGTGATATTCTCTCCTTTATTCCTGATGTTAGCAATTTAGTCATTTCTCCTTTAGTCCTGATCTGTCTTGTTGGAAGTTTATTAGTTTTATTGATCTCAGATAACTAGCTTTGGGTTTCATTGATTATCTTTACTATTATTTTTGTTTCCTATTTCTTTTTTTAAATTTAAATAGAGACAGCTCTTGCTATGCTACCCAGGCCAGTCTCAAACTCCTTGACTCAAGCAATCTTCCTGCCTTGGCCTCCCAAAGTGCTGGGATTACACACATGAGCCATCAGGAACCCAGCCAGTTTCTATTTCTTAGATGTCTGCTGTGATATTTATCATGTGCTTTCTCCTGCTTATTTTGGCCTTTATTTGTTCTTTTTCTAGTTTCTGAAAGTGGAATCTGATGTCATTTGTCAGAAACTTAACTTTTTTTCTACGATGGATTATTTAGTGCTATACCTCTCCCTATAAGCACTACTTTAGCTGCATCCTACAGTTTTTAATATATTGTGGTTTTATTTTATGTTAGAGACAAGATTCCACTCTGTCACCCTGTCTGTCACCCAGGCTGGAGTGCAGTGGTCCAACCATCGCTCACTGTAACCGCAAACTCCCAGGCTCAAGTGATTCTCCTGCCCCAGCCTCCCAAGTTAGCTGGAACTATAGGCATGTGACACCATGCCCAGCTAATTTTTTAATGTTTACTTTTAGAGATGGGTCTTGTTGTGTTGCCTAGGCTGAGTGTTTTTATTTTTATTTGGTTCCAAATACTTTCTGATTTCCCTTTTCATTTCTACTTTGACCCATGGTTTATTTATAAATGTGTTATTTAATTTTAAAATATTTGAGGATGTTCTAGGTATCTTTCTAATATTGATTTCTAATTTAATTCCACTGAGGTCGGAGAACATACTGAGAATTTACTGAGACATGTCTTATGGCCCAGAATATGGTCTCTGTAATACATATTCTATATGCACTTGAAAAGAATGTATATTCTGTTTTTGGTTGGAGTATTCTATAAATGTCAATTAGGTCAAATTAGTTAATAGTGTTATGAAAGTCTTATATACTTACTGATTTACTATCTAATTATATTGTTACAATTTTGTTTCAGCAGTCAATTATCTCATGAAGCTACTTACATAATAAAAATCTCATGATAGAACTATTATTTTACATATTTTATTATTTTTAAAGTGTTTCATTTACATAAAATAAGGTGAATAAAAAATAAGGTGTTTCAGGCATGAAGGTAAATTTGGTCCCTTTAACTCTATCTTGGCTGAAAGTCACAGTTCCAATGAGGTTTTAAGGCTGGCAATACTTTTCAATCTTCCTTGAATGATAATATATCACTATTTGAATAAGATGTTTCTCATTTTTTCCCAAGATTGCATATGTTCTCTTGTTTTTTTTCCAATTATTTATAGTTTCAGAATCTGGGACACATTTTCTAAGCATCTGGTTAATAACATTTCTCTAAGAAAGATTCAAGAGATCCTTGAGGAAATAAAATATTCTTGTAAAGGTCAAGAAAATTATGTGAAATGTCAAAACAAATTTGGAAAACTGCCATCTCTATAATTAACATTACCTTAAAATATAAATGATTTATTAAATAAAGATGTATTAGGTAAAACAATTGTCTGACTTTTGGGGAACTTTTTTTTTTTCAGACAGAGTCTTGCTCCGTCTCCAGGCTAGAGTGCAGTGGCGTGATCTCGGGTCACTGCAACCTCTGCCTCCTGGGTTCAAGCGATTCTCCCACCTCAGCTTCCCAAGTAGCTGGGCCTACAGGCATGCGCCACCACGTCCAGCTAATTTTTGTATTTTCAGTAGAGACGGGGTTTCACCATGTTGGCCAGGATGGTCTCCATCTCTTGGCCTCATGATCCGCCCACCTCTGCCTCCGAAAGTGCTGGGATGACAGGTGTGAGCCACCACGCCTGGCCAGGAACTTTTAATTTTGGCATAATTGCAAATGTATAGCAAATCTGCAACGGTTATGCAAAAAATCCCTGTATATCTCTTGCTCAGATTTTTAAATTGTTTTCATTTTATGCATTTGATTTTTTTAGAATACACTTTCAGACTTGATGTTGAAGAAGGAGTGGGAATCCCCCGAATACCTGTACATCCCATTGGATATAATGATGCAGAAATATTATTACGGTATAGTTTTCTTGTTGGATATGAGATTAAGATATTTTGCACTAGTTGTCTATTTTCTCATTGAAAACCAATATGGCATTCTTATGTTAAACACAAAGTTTTATAACTAAATAACTCCTGAAATAGGAATAACAGAGTATACTATCTTTTTATTTCATAAAAGTAGTCATTTTAGTGACTAAGAAATCAAAATAAAATATCGCTCTGTTCGCTACAAATGAAATTCTCAAATACAAAGCTATGTCCTAAGATAATTCTGATTTGAGATTTTTCAAGCAATTGAATTTTCATAGGTATTCATTAGATATTTATATTCAACGTCTAGTATAAGAATATGACAATGCCCCCCACTTACTAGAGGTATGACCTTGGATCAGTTGCTTAAACTTTCTCCAGCTCAGTTTCTTTATTTGTAAGATGAGGCTAGTAACTGTTTCTCCTTGATAGGGTTATTATAAGATCATATGAGTAAAATACATAGCACCGTATTTAGAATATAGTAAACAAACAATTATTGTATTCTATAACTGATATTTCTTTACATATCCCCCAACTCCCATTTTTAAATGCCTGTATGTGTATTACAACTTAATAATTGTTTGGGTGCCTACTGTGTAATCAGCAGCTTTTTTACAAATACATTTCTTCTCCTTAATGCAGTCATTAATTTCCTGTATTTAGGATATCTTGGATTCAGTGAGTCCCCACATAAATAATTAAGGTCAAAAATAAGGAGATAGCCTTCCCATTTGCCATGACTACTTTATTTTTTCTCTTTGCTCTCATCACTAACATATTACGTATTTTACTTACTGATTTCAGTATGGCTCTCTTGCTAGAAAATAAGCTCCACAAAGGGCGGGCTTTTTGACAGTACCTGGCACTTAGTAAATGACAAATATTTGTTATATATATGAATGAAATATTGTCATCAAACTTTAAAATTTCTCCTTAGAAATTGTGGTAGCCTTTTTCTGTCACTTTCATTTTATTTTGTCAGCTACTTGGGAGGAATTGCTCCACCAGATAAGAGTTGGAAGGGAGCCCTTAATGTGAGTTATAGTATCGGACCTGGCTTTACAGGGAGTGATTCTTTCAGGTAATTTTGCATTACTTTAATAGTCTGAAAAAGTTTTATATTTTTAATGGAAACATGTCAAGATAACTGTTCTGCCAGGGGTATTTTGCTTATCTCTTTTTCTCTTTCTAAACAACCATTTTACATTACTTAAGAAGTACTTACACATGAAATATTGAATTATTTCACTAGCAGCATCACAATATTAGTTTCACAGAATCTCAAAAATTAATATATTTGAATATAGGTTTAACATTTCAAAGATTTTTCAAAATTCTCTCTTCAGCTATTTTTTAAAAATAGTTTTTCAAATAACTTACAAAATGATATACATGTGAAAAACTAGGTGAAGGTGCTGGGTGTGGTGGCTCACACCTGGAATCCCAGCATTTGGGAGGCTGAGGCGGGCGGATCACCTGAGGTTGGGAGTTCAAGACCAGCCTGGCCAACAAGGAGAAACCCCGTTTCTACTAAAAATACAAAAATTAGCCAGGTGTGATGGTGGTGCATGCCTGTAATCCCAGCTACTTGGGAGGCTGAGGCAGGAGAATCACTTGAACCCAGGAAGCGGAGGTTGCGGTGAGCTGAGATCGCGCCATTGCACTTGAGCCTGGCCAACAAGACTGAAACTCCATCTAAAAAAAAAAAAAAAAAAAAAAACTAGGTGAAGTTAAGGGAGAGGTAAAGATGAAGAGAGAAGGGGGCCAAAATGTATAGATCACTTACTGTGTGGGTTAAATGAGTTTAAATGGGTAAATCACATAGTTACTATAAGACTATAAGCCTCAATAGAATTAATATTACAATTATTACTGTTATTAATACATGATAATACTCTTCTAGAAGAGATGTGATCACAAATTGTGTGTTTATTGAGCTTAGTCTTACAGAAAGAGTAAAAGTTTACCACTGGGTAAAGGGAGGCAAGAAATGCCAACTAGAGAAATCAGCTTGTACAGAGTAGTTGAACAGCGTGGCATGATCAGAACTTCAAGAAGTTTGATTTGCCTGAAATGTGATGGGAGAGAGAAATGTAACACTGATAAATCAGAGTGCATATAGCTGTTTTTATTAAACCAAAATTATTAAATCAGTCTTCTTTGCTAACAATTTACCCTTAACTACGTGAATTTGGATTCTCAGAATATTTTTTAGTTTCTGTAGGATTTCTTGTATTCCAGAAATTTTAAAGTATTAGAAGTCCAATTTCCTTGTTTTATAATAAGTTTATAAATGTTTGATTTATATGTGTTTATCTCTATCATTAAATCAGAACAGTGCTCTTTTAATTTGGGACTTTATTATCTAATTTGTGTATGCCCTCCAGAGAAAGGAAAATGTAACTTACTCAATGAAACATAAAGCCCTTTCTGATTTACAAACAGAAACATACAGACAGAGAAAACATATAACTTCAGTTCTACAATTTTAGTCACAAAGAGTAAACTCAAAAACATAAACATTCCTAGGTCTAGATATAAAATAGCTGTGCTCCTTCACTGTGAGCATAGAATTCTCTATTGGTTAGAACTCAAAGTGGACAAATAAACAACAACAAAACTAAAAACTAGATTCTCTCATGTCTCACCTCACAGAGATCTTGAAAATCCATTAATCCATTTACAGATATTATCAAATGACAAGACATAAAGGCCAACTCCAAATCATTGCTGCCACCAATGAGGACTAACTTAATTTGCCCTAAGCAAAGCAGAAACATAAAACAAAACATCAGTAGAGAAAAAATAAAGCTAGAGATATAGAGTATCAGCAAAGTTAAATTTCTACTGTTGTTTAGAATTTACATATGAGAGCCAAAAGAAGATATGAAGAATTGGTTTAAGCTGCCCATACCTGGTTCTGCAAAATGAATCCATTTTACCTCAGAGTGGAGCCTCCAAAAGTCTTCCACAGTGAGGAAAGGAACACAAACCTTCACTAGACAGATTGTGCATTTCAGTGGATTTGAATTATTTGCATTACTGTCATGTTTCTATAAGTTAACTTCTCTTTACAGAGCTGTAAAACAGTCTAGTTAAGGACACTGACAGGTAAAGTTGACCATAATGGATGAACCAAAGTTTTTCCCAATTTTTCCTTACAGGATTATATTCATTTATTTCATGAATATTTATTGAGCATTTCCTATGCCCCGGGAACCATTCTGGGTTCTGGGGATTCAGCAGTGAATAAAGTAGGCAAAAATCTCCTCCCTGTGGAGCCTGCATTCTAGAGTTCAGTTTATTTGAAACGTGATAAGTTTGAAGTAATAATAGGACAAATAAATATTCTTCTGGAGCTCAAAAATACTAAAAACGAGAAAGACGTAGGTTTAAAGACGTAGATGTGCTTCTTTGAGAATCTTAGCAGATAGCCTATGTTTTTGTTTAGACTAATATCAATTTTTTTCATTCCTCATATGTTGCATTTTTCTTTACTTAATTTTCTTCTTTTAATGACACAATACCGATGAATTTGGGTTTCTTACTAATCATATATCTAAGGCTCATATTTTTAGAAACACATGCTAAACAATATTTCTGCTTTTCTGCTATTAATTTTCATCTGTCAGTAGCAAAAAGAAATCATTTACTTAATGCCTTAAAATGAAAAAAAAAAAAACATCGATTAGTTTTCCTCTGAGGTACTTTTAGTTGAATATTGCAAATGGATTAAATATCAGAAGCACAGTATACTTTTGGTGGGGGTGAGGGAAGCCAGAATTTGTTCTTAACAATATACAAGTTTCGGGGGCTTATTCATTCTTCCATTAAAAAACGATCACAAACTAGAAACAACGGAGGTCTCCCTACCTTTAGAATAAATGATGATTAATTTTGTTCCCTTGGGGAAAAGTAGCATTTTCCCATGTCATCTTGGATTCATAAAATGTGAGTGATACTTTGTTTTTTCTGTCTGGCTGAGCTTGATATTTTCCCTTGTTTTCTAATTCGGTTGATTGTAACTCATGAATGAATATTTAAAAGCCTGACCCAAATCAGAATCAACAATCATGGCCTAGAAACATTTCATTATGTAGTTGTGCATTGTAGCAGGAGCTTCCCAAATTCTCATTTAACAACAGAATTTTTTATGTTTTTTATAGGTGGCACTCAACCAGCTCTTAAACTTACATATCATTTCCATAATCATAAAGAAAATTTTTGAACCTCGGATTTAATATAAATATAAATAGATACATTTAAATAATATGCTTATACTTTTTTCTTTATTACATAATGGGCTGTCTTCTTCGTTTTCATAATTAACTGGGGTATATTTTTACATTTTAGAATAAATATGACATTTTGAATAATAGAATATTTTGAATTTTAAATAAATAACAATTTAGCTATGAGAAAATAATATAAAATAGACAGCTTTTAAAATTTGACTTCAAGGTGCATGCTTAGGTGCTTAGAAGTAAATTGGCATAATGTCTGTACCTTACTTGCAAATGCTTCAACAGTGTTAACAATTATTGAATTTAGGTGGTAGAGATATGAGAATCCATTATGCTATTGCACAGCTTTTCATAATAAAACACTATTATGAAAATAGTTTTTTATAATAAAACACTGTAAAAAACATAATTTGCTGTACTAAGTAATTTATTCCTTTTAAAATTCTAGGAAGGTTAGAATGCATGTTTATAACATCAATAAAATTACAAGGATTTACAATGTAGTTGGAACTATCAGAGGATCTGTGGAACCTGGTGAGTCACATAATTTTTTAAAACATTTTGTTTTTACAAAAATTAAAGGGTAAGTAAAGATAAATTGTAGTCAACAATTGAAGTGGGGTTTTTTGGCTGATTTGAAACTACTAAATTTTGAGGAAAACTGTACAAATCTAAAAGAAGATTTTACTTTATAGTGTTGTCTTCTATAGAGGAAACTCAAGCAAGAGGATGTTTATTTTAAAAACATAAATTACAAATATTTATAATGTATTCAAAGTTGTAGGTTTCTTGAACGTATTATTTTCCAGACAGGTATGTTATTCTGGGAGGTCACCGGGACTCCTGGGTATTTGGAGCTATTGACCCAACCAGTGGGGTTGCTGTTTTGCAAGAAATTGCCCGGAGTTTTGGAAAACTGATGAGTAAAGGTAAACAACCTTTCTTTCCTAGGTGATGACAAAAAGTGACTTACTGAATTTTCTTTTATTTTTTAGGCAGTTGTACCTAACCACGTGTGTTAACAATTCTTACAGGCTGGAGACCTAGAAGAACTATCATTTTTGCCAGCTGGGATGCAGAAGAATTTGGACTTCTGGGTTCCACAGAATGGGCTGAGGTAAATAAGACAAAGAAGGTTCTTATTATTTTTTTGGTCAACAGGGAACAAATATGTATGTGTCTCAGGATGATCAAAAATATATTCCATTACCTAATATGGTTTTGTTTTGGAGAATGACTCAAGACAATTTAAGAAATAGTTTATTTTTACTTTCACATCAGTTTGGCAATAACCTTTTAGTACTAGACTGCAGACAGAGTTATTGCCTCTTGTCAAAATATTTTCGTTGCCATTTGCATTTGTTTTATAAAAAATAAGAAAAATCAGTAAGCTCAGAAAATAATCAAAATTAATGAGATATTTTTGATGATAATTTACTTATCTAAAAACTGATACAGATGCTTAGAGCTAATTTTCAAGTTTTTGAAGTTTCTTTAGAGTTCTTCCATCTGAGAAAATATAAGATGTTCTATTAAGATGGCCATATATTGACTATATTTTCACATTGACAGATTCCATTTAAAATGGCAACCATAAGTATACTTTAGCATTTACAACAGATATGTGCTTCATTGTTAAGTATAAAGTGATAATTCTGTGAATTGAATTACTTTAATAAATTGACCTGCTTTACAATTTCATAGGTGGGGTTTTTTTTCTTCACATATGATTGTCATTTGTCACTGACTCTTAATTATTTATATTTAAGTGTCTCTCCTAGGGCCCTTTTCTTCCAACTTCTTCCTTTAGTCTCTCTGTCAAGTAATCTCTAAGTTCTTAAATGTAGAAGGTAAGCACATTCATTTTTTTAACTTTTAAGTTCAGGGTACAAGTGCAGGTATGTTACATAGGTAAACTGTGTCATGGGGATTTGCCACGCTGTTCAACTACTCTGTACAAGCTGATTTCTCTAGTTGGCATTTCCTGCCTGCCTTGACGCAGTGGTAAACTTTTACTCTTTCTGTAAGAGTAAGCTCAATAAACACACAATTTGTGATCACATCTTTTCTAGAAGAGTGTTATCATGTATTAATAATAATAATTGTAATAATATTTCTATTGAGCTTTACAGTAGCTATGTGATTTACCCATTTTAACTCATTTAATCCACACAGTAAGTGATCAATAAATGTTGGCTCCCTTCTCTCTTCATCTTTACCCCTCCCTTAACTTCACCTGGTTTTTCACATGTATATCATTTTGAAAGTTATTTGAAAAACTATTTTAAAAACTAGGTGAAGAGAGAATTTTGAAAAACCTGGTTTGAAATGTTAAACCTATAACTCAAATGTAGTAATTTTTGAGACTCTATGAAACTAATATTGTGGTATTACTAGTGAAAGATTATTTCATCACCCAGGTATTAAGCCCAGTACCCACTAGTTATTTTTCCTGACCCTTTCCCTTCTCCCACCTTCCACCCTTTGAAAGTCCCCAGTGTGTTGTTCCCCTCTATGTGTCCATGGGTTCTCATCATTTAACTCCCACTTATAAGTGAGAACATGTGGTATTTATTTTTCTGTTTCAACATTAGCTTGCCAAGAATAATGGTCTTCATCTCCATCCATGTCCCTGCAAACAACATAGTCTCATCATTTTTTACGACTGTGTAGTATTCCAAGGTGTACATGTACCACATTTTCTTCATCAAGTCTGTCATTGATGGATATCTGGGTTGAATTCATGTCTTTGCTATTATGAATAATGCTGCAATGAACATATGTGTGTATGTGTCTTTATAATAGAATGATATATTTCTTTGGTTATATACCCAGTAATGGGATTGCTGGGTCCAGTAGTATTTCCAGGTAGGTGCACTACATAAGTACTTACCTTCCCTCCTCCATCTGCTAGTTATCATTTATAAGTCCAGATTTTATAGAGCTGTTTTAAAATATGGCAAACCTGTCTTGCCATTGTGTTTAGTTTTGAAAATGCTTTCCTCCTAACTCAGTTTCTCTTACATTAGTTTAAAATACTATAATAGGAATAATATGAATTAAACAAATACAGAGGGGGTAAAAATCCCACTCACAATTACTTGTCTGGTATCACCCTTTGTTGATTACATTTACACTGCGAATTGTTATTTTCACATTGGTATTATTAATGGGCATTTTGAAACTATAACATTAATTTGATGAATCAAATTTTATTAGTTCAGGTCATTATCTTTTTTCCCCTTGCCCCTGTGGTGGGTGAGGTCATTTGCTTTTAGAAACATGCGATTTAGAAACATGTGATTTCTTGTGATACATATATAAACACATATAAACACATGCATCTGTTTTTTAAATTTCAGCAGCTGAACATAAAGAAATCTAATATATAAAATAATAAAAACGCTTTGCATTAATTTATAAACATGTGCATTAAAAGGCAATTTCAATACACTTTCCAGTTTTGTGCCAGGTTCTTGATTATATTCAGTAGCATGCTTACCTTCTTTAAATACACATAAGGAATCTTCTTTATTTTCACTATAAATCTGTTATAATGGAAACTCTGATTTTATATTTCTCTGTAATGGAGTCAACTATCACCTGGCCTATGCAGGCAAGTGCAAAGAGGTGACAGTTTTTATTTGTGCCATAACCACACACAGCTTTAAATGTTTTTACTATAACATATTTTAGAAAGCTAACAAGCTAGAGAGAGCGGTGAAGGGCTCTCTCAGCATGTTCCTCTCTGTCTGTGTGTTAGTTTTGCTTTACTTTTTCTTTAATCTGTGTCTGTGTGTGTGTGTTTGTGTATGTGTATGAGAGAGAGAGAGCGAAAGAGTCTTATTTTTGTCTTAATGTGTGCCTCCTCTAATTTTTTGTCTTCCTTTTTTCTTTCACTTCATATACATAGTAAATATAAACAAATGGAAATTTTATATTTCTCACTTTTGAAATGATAAATTTACTTGGGTATCCCCTCCATAAATGGATGTCAAACTTCAATGTATGTAAGTGTCAATTGCCAGTTATATCTATTAGGAAATACAGATTGGCTGGGCGCGGTGGCTCACGCCTGTTATCCCAGCACTTTGGGAGGCCAAGGCGGGCGGATCACGAGGTCAGGAGATCGAGACCATTCTGGCTAACATGGTGAAACCCCACCTCTACTAAAAATACAAAAAATAAGCCAGGCGCAGTGGTGGGTGCCTGTAGTCCCAGCTACTCGGGAGGCTGAGGCAGGAGAATGGCGTGAACCCGGGAGGTGGAGCTTGCAGTGAGCAGAGACAGCGCTACTGCACTCTGGCCTGGGCAAAAGAGCAAGATTCTGTCTCCAAAAAAAAAAAAAAAAAGAAAATGCAGATTTCCACCCGGCACGGTGGCTCATGCCTGTAATCTCAGCACTTTGGGAGGCTGAGACAGGTGGATCACCTGAGGTCAGGAGTTCGAGAACAGCCTGGCCAACATGGTGAAACCCCGTGTCTATTAAAAATACAAAAATTAGCCAGGCGTCGTGGTGAGAGGTGACAGCATGCTGGCAGCCCTCGCTCGCTCTCGGCGCCTCCTCGGCCTTGGCGCCCACTCTGGCCACGCTTGAGGAGCCCTTCAGCCCGCCGCTGCACTGTGGGAGCCCCTTTCTGGGCTGGCCAAGGCTGGAGCCGGCTCCCTCAGCTTGCTGGGAGCTGTGGAGGGAAGGAGCGGGCGGGAACCGGGGCTGCGCGGGCGCTTGCGGCCCAGCGAGAGTTCCGGGTGGGCGTGGGCTCAGCGGGCCCGCCCTCGGAGGCGCCGGCCAGCCTGCAAGCCCGGGGCAGTAAGGGGCTTAGCGCCTGGGCCAGCAGCTGTTGTGCTCGATTTCTCGCTGGGCCTTAGCTGCCTCCCCGCAGGGCAGGGCTTCCGACCTGCAGCCCACCATGCCTGAGCCTGCGCCCCCGCCGCGGCCGCTGCACAGCCGGAGCCTCCCGACGAGCACCGCTTCCTGCTCCACGGCGACCAGTCCCATCGACTGACCAAGGGCTGAGAAGTGCCGGCGCACATCGTGGGACTGGCAGGCAGCTCCACCTGTGGCCCCGGTGTGGGATCCACTGAGTGAAGCCAGCTGGGCTCCTGAGTCTGGTGGGGACTTGGAGAATCTTTATGTCTAGCTAAGGGATTGTAAATACACCAATCAGCACTCTGTATCTAGCTCAAGGTTTGTAAACACACCAATCAGCACCCTGTGTCTAGCTCAGGGTTTGTGAATGCACCAATCCACACTCTATATCTAGCTAATCTAGTGGGGACGTGGGGAAAGAACTTTTGTGTGTAGCTCAGGGATTGTAAACGCACCTATCAGCACCCTGTCAAAACGGAGCAATCGGCTCTCTGTAAAACAGACCAATCGGCTCTCTGTAAAATGGACCAGTCAGCAGGATGTGGGTGGGGTCAGATAAGAGAATAAAAGCAGGCTGCCGGAGCAGCAGTGGCAACCCTCTGGGGTCTCCTTCCACGTTGTGAAAGATTTGTTCTTTTGCTCTTTGCAATATTGCTGCTGCTGACTCCTTGGGTCCACACTGCCTTTATGAGCTGTAACACTCACCTTGAAGGTCTGCAACTTTACTCGTGAAGCCAGTGAGACTACGAACCCACCAGGAGGAAGGAACAACTCCAGATGGGCCGCCTTAAGAGTAACACTCACCGTGAAGGTCTGCAGCTTCACTTCTGAGCCAGCGAGACCACAAACCCACCAGAAGGAAGAAACTCTGAACACATCCGAACATCAGTAGGAATAAACTCCGGACACGCCGCCTTTAAGAACGGTAACACTCACCGCGAGGGTCCGCGGCTTCATTCTTGAAGTCAGTGAGATCAAGAACCCACCAATTCTGGACACAGTGGCACACACCTGTAATCCCGGGTACTCCGGAGGCTGAGTCAAGAGAATTGTTTGAACCTGGGAGGCCGTGGTTGCAGTGAGCTGAGATCGTGCCGCTGCATTCTAGCCTGGGCAACAGAGTGAGTCTCTGTCTCTAAAATAAAATAAAATAATAAAATACAGATTGCCAGGCCTCACTTTTAGCCTCACTGTGAGTTCTGATTCAGTAGATCTAGGGCAGGGCCCTAGAATATGGGAGCCACATCCCTGCATAGTCTGATGCAGGGAATCAAGGAACCACACTTTGAAAATATTTTTTTTTCTTAGGGCTCTCTGCTATTGCTATAAACAGTAGCTATTGCTTCATAGTATCCTTAATTCTTATATTAATTGCGTAATTGTTGTTAACAAACTGGTTTTCTGCATTTTCTCAGAAATTAGGGTCACAGATGGACCTAGCTATTTAATTGTGAAAGATACTTGTAAACCGCTTTTCCACGAAATTAATTTGCTTATTTTGTTTACATTTTCACAACTAAGTAATGTGAATTAAGTAACAACTTTGCTTCAACTACAGGAGAATGTCAAAATACTCCAGGAGAGAAGCATTGCTTATATCAACTCGGATTCATCTATAGAAGGTAAATTTTATTTCAATTTGAAGTGAAATTTTCAGAAAGGAAATTTTACTTCAAGTAACTTTTATTATTGAGTAGAATACCATCTACTAAGACTATAAATTCTAGCTTATTAAGCACCTCAGATATCCCCTTCCTTTGAGATGCCTCAGTAATACCTTTATTTTTCATTTTGCCACAGAGAAAATAATTAGGATTCATATGAATTGATATGATTCATAACTAAGCTATTGCTTTTAATTTCTTTGATATATTTACTATTTGTTTATATTACTACTTAAAACTCTAGTATTAACCACATATTTTCTCGATAAAGATATTAATGGAATTTGGCTAAAACAGTTCAGAAGAAAGGTTTTGCAGACTATTCTGTGTAGAAATATTTCCTGTATTTGTTGTAACAAATTTGAAGTAAGTGTACTCACTTACTCACTCCTTTTGAACTACAAACTCCTATTGAATCTAGCTCAGGATCACCTGAGCCCAGGAGTGTAAGCCATAGAGAGACCCTGACTCTCAAAAAAAAAAAAAGAAAAAGAAAAAGAAAAAAACTGATCTGGATTGTCTACGCCAACAGGACTTGATTTCTGATTAGCACTACTATGGAGACAGTATGATTCAGAAAATGAAGAGATTCGTGTCTCTAGGCTTTCATTGCATTGTGATTATTTCTAAATAAATGTTAGAACCTAATAATTACTGACATGGCTTTGTCTAATATCTTGATATATACTATTGCATAGAATGAAACAAGTAAAAAATTAATGCTACAGACTTACCACTTCCTTTGCCAAAGTGCCCCTAAGAATTGCTGCCATGAGAATGACCCTTATAATCACTGTGACAGCTGCTGCCTTAGCAACCAAAGTCCACCAAGACCTTCTACTATTCAGAATATTTGGTGCAGGCTCTCTTGCTCCTGAAGAACTATTTCCACCCTGTTTTATTCTTTGGGAATAAAATCTTTGATTTGAAGATCATTATATCTTGTTTAAAATTAGAAAATAAAGTTAGAATTAAACAAATGGAATTTCATTTAGAAGTATGAAATAATACTCTGTGTCTTATTTATTTTTCAGGCAATTATACTCTCAGAGTTGACTGTACTCCCCTTCTTTACCAATTAGTGTATAAACTGACAAAAGAGGTATATAAGGAAATGTGTCTTCATATGTTCTCTTTTGAATGGATAAATGAATAACGTGTGTTCCCCCCTAAATTAATGGTACTTATTTTTAAGCTGGTGAGAGAACATAATAGAATCATATAAACAAAACAAAATCTTTAATATGCCATTTACCTATATGACATAACTAAGAAGATATTATCACCAGCTTCTTTGTTCTAGCAATAGTTCTTATTAATAATTGTGTAAATAGTTGTAACATGTATTTATCTGGCAGAGGTATTTGATATAGCAGAAAGAACACTGAGTTGGAATAGAAAGGCATACAGTTAAAAAACTGTCTTAGCTACTCATTCATTCATTCAACAAATATTCACTGAGTGGTCACTATATGTCAGATTCTACAAAATGAATTATAGCAGCAATAGTGATAAGGGGACAAGGTCACTGAATTCGAAGACTTTGTAATCTAGAGAGGACACAGATTGGTAAATGAGGAATTAGAATTCACTAGAATATTTGATACTATGTATGATGGAGAACAGTTATGGAATAGAGAATATTAAATCCTGAGGTGGCTGGGGGAAGTTGAGGAGCATAAGAAGAGGTTTGCAGAGTCACTGATGTTTGGACTGTCAAATGAAGGGATGTAGAAGTAAGGGAGAGGGCATTCTAAGCAGAGGACACAGTATCTAAAAAAGATGTGGAGGTTTAAAAGAACGTATTTCCTGATCTGAAGGTAGCTCAGCATGGCCAAGCCAAAGGCGTTGGTGGGAAAGATGGTAAGAAATGAGGCATAACCAATGGGCCAAGGAGTTCAGAAATCTGTTATGGAGAAATCATTAAAGAATTTCTAACAAGGTTGTTCATTGTTTTATGTCAGTGTAGTGAATACATTAAGTAGTTGCAAGTCTAAAGGCAAAATGGAAATAATTCTGCAGGCTTGCTAATCTCCCAGTAATTTATAAATATTAAATGAGTTATAGATATTTTAAGAACTCTAAAATCTAAAGGACTCTGAATCTCTAAAACTTATATAATCTACTCATTTAATATCTGTGAACATCATTTAAATAGTTCCTTGCCAAAGAATTTACCTGTGGAAATGTTTGCTTCAAGGTCATCCTTAGATAACAATATGAAGTAGATATCACTTCTCTCTGGGTACTATTAATATTTCCTCCCTTAATCTTACCCCTCTCTTTTTCATGTCTTTAAAAACTAGTTTTCCAAATGAAACTCCTCTCATTTTCCTCATCACAATGCTCTCACCATCTTGGGTAGCTGATGTCTTTGATCCTTTCATTGGAATGTTCCATAAAAGCATCTTATCTAAAAGTAAGCTGAAAAGAAAATCTTTACTGAGAGAACCCTTTTTGGAACAGGAATTTATGATTTGTGCTGTCCTAGAGAGATGATCCCTGGCCTTGATGTCAGGAATGATAAGAATTTGGTGGTTGATAAGGGAGAAGTTGACATCTGTGCCTCTTTGTACAAAGATAAATTCTTATCTGTGGGCATGCCAAGACCCAGTAGACAAAGGAGACTTGTTTTTACTCTCCTGTAAACTGATTATTACAATTTTATTAATCCCTAGTGTGTGTTAGCACAAATAGTCAAGCCATATTGGTGACTTGAGGATAGTGTAGGGGTGAGAGACAAGGCTGAGCTTGGAGAGAAGGGCAGCTGCCAGATGCAGCAAGAAATGGGGCAAAGTGTTGCTAAATAAGAGGAGGGCTATCAATTCTGACAATGCATGTAGCTGAGGTAAGACTCATCTAGCCGAGTGTGGTGGCACATGCCTATAGTTCCAGCTGAGGCAGTAGGATCACCTGAGCCCAGGAGTGTAAGCCATAGAAATCCTGACAAAAAAAGAAAGAAAAGAAAAAAGAAAGAAAGAAAGCTGATCTGGATTTTCTAGGCCAACGGGACGTGATTTCTGATTGGCACTATTATGGAGACAGTATGATTCAGAAAATGAAGAGGGTTTTACTGGGAGTTCAATCCAAGCAGGATGTAGGAACTGGAACAGAATCTCTCTCAACCATTGTAAATTGGCAGGAGCAGAGTAGAGAGTAGAACCCAGTCAGCTGGCTAGAAATGAGCAGAACATCTCTGCAGCTGCCTCATGTTGGTGAGGAAGGGTGTAGAGTGCCAAGACTTTCTAAGCTGTGGACCCTCTATGCAGTCATAAAATATCATCTCATTCATACAAAGCTAAGGGCAAGTGACCACTTCCCAGCCCTACCATTACTCTGTGGATGGCAGTGGATTCACCACTGTTACCTTCTACTTGAAGGCTGATGAGGGCTTGTGTTATCAGTAGACACAACACATTTGTGCCTCTAAATAAGTGGGGTGAGATTGAAACAGGGAAATTGTTCAAAATCATGTGCCAATACCCAACATCTTTATTAGATGCTCTTAAATTTAATTGCCATTTTCTCAGAAAGCCCTTACTTGGAGACATATCTATCTCTCATCCCCACATCTCTTTATAGCACTTTGATATTTTCTTTTAAACTGCTTATTATAATTTTGTATTACAAAATTTGTTTGGTGTGTGTATCCCCAATTAGATTTCATTGTGAGGTCCAAGAGGGTAGAGACTATGTCTCTGTTTCCGCATCTCTTTTCTGAGTTCAGTGCTTAGTAAATATCTATAGAAAAATTAAGAATAGTGGCACAGAAGTTAGAATAACCAACTCTGTCTAAAGGCCAGAGAAAATACCAGATGTTTATATTCAGAAAGGTACCATTATCCCCAGTTTTACAGGTGAGAAGACTAAGGTTCAAAGAGGGGAACAAATACACCAAGTTATAATGCTTTCACAGTTACTTAAGTAGGGTCTGCCTTGGGTCTATTTTTGAGCAAATCAGTGTTATAAACAAACAAGAAAACAAAATATAGTCAATATGTGTAGTAGTCTAGATTTAAAATAGACCAATTTGACTCCACAGTCCACAATGTTTTCACCACATGTCTCTGCTCTTCTTAGAGTGTCAAAAGACAAGGCAAGTATAAGTTTGTAAATGTATTTTTAATGAAAGGAGTAAAAATGTATATATATACACACACACACACACGAGCTCTTAAAAATTCCCAAGTAGAAATCTGAGGTTATGTAGAGTTTTTTAAAAAATCCATAAAATTTTAACTTTGTTTAAACATAATAAGACTGTCTAAAAGAATAGTCCCAGCGCTAACCCCTGCCTGCCCTGCAAAACCAAGACTTATAGGTTAAGAAGCTGAGCTTGAAATTATGTCACCTCTATTGTTCTGAGACCTCTTTATAGGTCTTATTAGGCAAAAATAATTTACAAAAGCAAATGTTTTATCTGAAGTTTTCTCCAGTGTCTTCCCACTAAAAGAAATCTAAGCTGCCAAACATTAATTAAAATGGCATTTGTAAAGATTTTAAGTTCTATTTAAAAGTTTACCAAAATAAGCAGGAAATTACATCTTAGGTACATGGCAAAATTACCAACACAGGTAGACATCATGAATAAAAAATAATTTGGGCTAGATTTATTTCTTGCCATTTGCAAAAATATAATTTTTCTATAAAACATATACATGTGTATAAATATATACATGTACATATGTTATTAAAAGTAGAAGTTGATGACAAATAATATATAGTTTTATTTTGGCATAAATGTAGTTGCTTCTACCCCTAATTTCCAGTATTTGATTTCTCTTTCCAGATCCCCAGCCCTGATGATGGGTTTGAGAGTAAATCACTGTATGAAAGCTGGTTGGAAAAAGACCCTTCACCTGAAAATAAAAATTTGCCTAGGTAAGTTACTGATATGCACCTTTTCTACTGTAGGATAAGTTATGAATTCCCCTCTGCCTCTTGTTTCTCCAAGCATGAAATTCTCAAGCGTCTCATCAATAATTTGAGCCAAGAAAAGATAATGAAGAATTCCTGGCCGAGCCCAGTAGCTCACGCCTATAATCCTAGCACTTTGGGAGGCCGAGGCGGGTGGATCACCTGAGGTCAGGCATTGGAGACCAGCCTGGCCAACACGGCGAAACCCTGTCTCTACTAAAAATACAAAATTAGCCGGTCATGGTAGCGGGCACTTGTAATCCCAGTTACTCAGGAGGCTGAGGCAGGAGAATTGCTTGAACCCGGGAGGCAGAGGTTGCAGTGAGCCGAGATCGTGCCATTGCATTCCAACCTGGGCAACAAGAGTGAAACTCCATCTCAAAAAAAAAAAAAATAAGAATTCTTCTATCCAGTTTTGTTTTGCTGATTAGCCAGCATGTGAAGTCTTTCAGTCTATGTTAGAGCACAAATAGATCTAGTTTTGCAAATTTTTAGCCAAAATAGTTTCGCTACATTATTAGCCATTAGTTGGCATTCTTGCTTAAAATTTCATTTACATATGTATTAGGTGTATTAATATATAATATAACTTCAGATGATAATGATGAAAAGACAAATGCTAGATTATTTGCTTGTAAATTTATTAAGGAACATTATCAGTAACCACCAAATTGTGTCTTTACCTGTGATTTAGAATTTATATAAATATTATTTTATTTTTTATGTCATCTCATTCATGCTACAGCAGCTTTCTTAAATTTATTTTATATTTATTTGTTTTTATTTTCTTTTTTCTAAACATTATGTAATAAAAAGTATATATTTGTTTTCTACTGTAGTGCCATTTCTAATACAGACTGAGCATTCCTAACTCAAAAACCTGAAATCTGAAGTGCTCCAATATCCAAAACTTTTTGAGCACCAACATGATGTCACAAGTGGAAAATTCCACACCTTATAGCACTTAACACAAACTTTGTTTCATGCACAAAATTATTTAAAATATTATGTAAAATTAAGTTTAGGCTATGTTTATAAGATACATATGAAACATAAATGAATTTTATGTTTAGACTTGGGCCCCATCCCCAAGATATCTCACTGCATATATGTAAATATTCATAGTTGGAAAAAAATCTGAAGTCCAAAATATTTCTGGTCCCAAGCATTTCATATGGGATACTCAACTTGTACAAGCAAATAATAGTAACAGTTTATAGCTTTATTCCTCATTTCAAATCAGTCTTGTGAAAGTTTGAATGTGGGTCCATTATAAAACTTTCACATGCCAATTCAACAAAAACAGTAAAATACAAAAATGATTTCTAAAACATTGAAGAGGTCAGTCTCAAAAACATATCTACTAACCTAATAGTTTGGAAATAAACAGTTATGTTATTAATGAACATGCAATTTTATATTCTGCTTTCATGACTTACCATTATTTTACTAAAAATTTTCATGTCTTACATTTTATTTATGTATATGCATATATATGTGATAGATCAACAGAGGTTTCCTAATCATATGCAAAGAAATAAATTATAATTAGATTTATTTCTAAAATGAGGCACATTTATATTCTTCATGATTTTAAAAGTAGATTTTTTTATGGCAGTTTTCTTACTAGATGATAGTTCTCTGAGGGTAGGGCCCACGTCTTCATTGTTTTCCCCTCTAAACAAAAATGTAAATGCTGAAGATATGATGGAGAGCATCATCACAAGATGCAGTCTTTGGTGGCACAGCCCAATTCTTGTTATAGGTTGGTGCAAAAGTATTTGCAGTTTTTGCCATTATTTTTAATTTTCAGCATTACTTTTAATTTTACAGCAATTTTCCTGCAGATTATGGGAAAATGTCTTGATGGTGGTTGACCTTTTTTAAATTCTTATAAATGTAATATATAATTCCTTGCTATTCTTGGGGCAGGATTCCTTGTCCCATCTATTTAACTTTGTATCATTTACTTGTTTATGTGTGTGTGTGTGTGTGTGTGTGGATTGCATTCTACATCTAGAATCAATAAGCTGGGATCTGGAAGTGACTTTGAAGCTTATTTTCAGAGACTTGGAATTGCTTCAGGCAGAGCCCGTTACACTAAGAATAAGGTAAGCCATTTTATCATTTTGAATATATAACATTTCATCTACAGTCCTTTGGCGAAGAATGTCACTGAGTTGTTTGGCACCAGACACCTGGTGGATGTGGCCTGGGAAGAGTTCCCAGGGATAGAGATAGACTGCATGTCCCTTTCCAGATGGACAAGGAAGCAATTTGAGTAATTTTGTGAAAATTTCATTGTTAGGGTTAATCAAATAAATGGTGATTCACAGAGTAATGCCAGACACTTATCTGGTTAATCAGTACTAAGTAGTTCACATCCTTTTCCTGATTTGTCAGAAAACTCTCATTCTCTAGACTAGTCTTGCAGGCTCTGATGTACTTTTCATGAGGATAAATGCAGTTGGAGAACATATTTTGGTCAAGAGGAGCATTAGGGTAAGATTCATTATTGTCGGTAGCTCCTCTTCATATTGCCACTTCTGCCTGTCACCTGAGTCAAGGGTTCTTGGTTGGGAAATAAAGCAAGTTTCTCTTTTAACTTGATCCCCTTTTCTGTTCTGCACTGACTGGTTTGCACTACTGTCACACAGACATCCTGATGATATGCAGGTACTTGGATATAACCAATATATACCATGTTTGCTCATCAATGTTATAAATTATTTCATAAACCAAATTGAAGATTACAGTAGCAGACACAGATTTGTCATAGATTTTAATCAATCTTCAAATCATAATTACAGTACATCTAAATCTTGCTTGCCCATTATATGTATATCACTTGCAAATTTGACTGTTCAGAATACAACAAAGAACAAAGAAATAAAAGCAACCCCAGAGTAACCCAAAATAGATAAACTCAGAATGCTTACATTCATTACAATTAATACATAAATGATGTGTTTTAACTCTTTGTCAAGGCCTGTTCACTTTTATACTCTGTCTTCTGTAATTTGCTCAAAGTTATCTAGTTTCTAAGACCACTTTAGATTAGAAGCAGATAATTAGATAGAAGGAGAAGGACTGATAAGGAGATTGCTTTTTAGTGATACTAACAGCAGTAAGAACGATAGCCATACAAGGTGGCAAATAATAAAAACTAAAATTAGAAAAGGCAGACCGAAGAACTAAAAAGAATATTTATACGGGATACTACTATGTAATAATTCATATTCATAATGGTACCTTAATTATGTAATAAAGCTTAAATGACATTTAGATATACACTGTTTGAGAAGGAAGGGAAGTTACTTAAATAAATCATCCTTAAGCTGTGTACTTAGCTGCCCAGAACCTTTTTTTTTTTTTTACCAATCAATTGATAGATAACTTTGAACTATGCTGAGGTGCAATTTGAATATGTATTCCCTAATTTTAGTTATCGAAGATACAAGGAGAAAATGTTCAAGGTGTAGCATCTTGAATGAAGGTTACATAAATTATAAAACAAATAATGAGAAAATTTTTAAAACCAGTGAATATTTGGCTATAGTGTTTTCGTTATTAGCGTTTTGCCTCCTTGTGGTAAAACTCAGGGTGTTATATGGTTGTATTTTTTCTTTTTCTTGTTTTTTTTTTTTTTTTTTTTTTTTTTTTTTTTTTTTTTGTATTTTTAGTAGAGACAGGGTTTCTCCATGTTGCCCAGGCTGGTCTTGAACTCCTGAGCTCAGGCAATCCACCTGCCTTGGCTTCCCAAAGTGCTAGGATTACAGATGTGAGCCACCATGACTGGCTGGTTGTTATTTTTTCTATAGTTATTTTTATGCTTACATAAAAATATTATAACTTGAATATTTAATGTTTATTTATACTTGCCTCTCCATTTTTTTTTCAGAAAACAGATAAGTACAGCAGCTACCCAGTGTACCACACAATTTATGAGACATTTGAATTGGTAGAGAAATTTTATGACCCCACATTTAAAAAACAACTTTCTGTGGCTCAATTACGAGGAGCACTGGTATATGAGCTTGTGGATTCTAAAATCATTCCTTTTAATATTCAAGACTATGCAGAAGCTTTGAAAAACTATGCAGCAAGTATCTATAATCTATCTAAGAAACATGATCAACAATTGACAGACCATGGAGTATCATTTGGTAAGAAATAGTTGGGCAGATATTTTACAGTCTTTAAGTTAGAGCTTTAAGATATTATCTCCTATGATGATCAATGCATATTGTTTCATCCTAGAATACATATTTGCCTTACTTATTTTGACTTCTACACAAAAACTTAAAACAAACACCTATTAAAGAATCTGATTTAATCTGGCATGTATAGAATGAATCCATTATGGCTGAGTTATTACCACAAACATTGGGATGGTAAACATTTTTCTTGTATTATGGCCTTTAAAAACATTTTTACTGGCTGGGTGCGGTGGCTCACGCCTGTAATCCCAGCACTTTGGGAGGCTGAGGCGGGCAGATGATGAGGTCAGGAGATCGAGACCATTCTGGCTATTATGGTGAAACCGCGTCTCTACTGAAAATACAAAAAACTAGCTGGGCATGGTGGTGGGCGCCTGTAGTCTCAGCTACTCGGGAGGCTGAGGCAGGAGAATGGCGTGAACCTGGGAGGCAGAGCTTGCAGTGAGCTGAGATCGCGCCACTGCACTCCAGCCTGGGCGACAGAGCAAGGCTCCTTCTCAAAAAAAAAAAAAAATTTACTGTTATAGAAACAATATTAGAAAAATGTAACATTATTTGCAAAAGATTGAGAAAGCCACAAATACTATTACATACGTATTTTTAATTATTGTCAACAAAATGATTATTACTGCATATATCTTTTAGTGTTTGTCTATATGAAACATTTTTTCCATGGTTATAAGTATACTTTCCTTTTATTAATGACTGTTTAGTGGTTGCTCTTCTGCATTGTGCATCTCCTATACAGCAAGGATGACTCATAATGCAGTGTATGTAGTAGCATTGAGGATTGAGTTTGGAAGTGGTTTGCCTGGTTCAGATACTAGCTTTACCAGTTCTTCGTTATGTGACCTTGGGAAAGTTACTTAACTTCTCTATGTGTTAGCTTTCATACAATTAAAAGATAAAAAAGAACATATCATGTTTCAAAGATCATTGTGGAGATTCAGTTTGGTAATATATAGAAGCTGTGGTGGGTAGCACTTAGTGCTCATTAAATATTACCTATTACTGTTTTATTACAAACATTGTCTTTTATTATTCTGGGGGCACCTATTTTTAGTATATACCCAAATTATCAAATATGCCCTGAGTTTCTACTGTGTACCAAGTACTATGTTATTACCTGGGAGATATAAATGTGTACAAGGCATGGTCATAGTCCTAAGAAAGCTTAAAGTCTCATGTGGGGAATAAAGCAATATACAGATAATAGGTTACTATGGGGCTATGTAGAGAGTACTATAAAAACACAGAAAATGGGTATGGAATAGTAATGACTTCTGAATATTATTATATAAAGGATTAGTAATCTTTATATAATATTATATACAGGATTAGTAATAATAGCAAATACTATGGTCTAGAAAAAAAATGAAGCAAATAAAATGTGTTTATATCAATACAATTGGAGTATCTCTGCAGTGATGGGGGAAATAAGGAGAGATAAAACCAGAGAAATAAGCAGAGCCTACAGCAAAATGGACATTGGTAGTTCTGTGGCTATTCAGCATCCAGTTGTCTTCCTAAATTCCCTGATTTCCTTTTGGTGAATGATCTTTTATCAGTTTTTATAAGTCAGGGTCCAATTAAGAGACAGAAACCACACAGTTAGAGTGGAAGGGCTCTCTTTAGACAAGGTTAATTCTTCTACCTACTTACCTTCTTAGAGGCCTGGTTTGATCTGTTAATTCCTTTCCCTGTCATACTTTCAAAAATCACCATTACTATTGGTGACTATCCATTAGATTAATTATTCTTATAGCTTTTCTATTTCAAAAACATTTCTTCTGCCTGATGTGTCCCACTTTCTTCACAATCAAAATTCTTCATTTAGTGCCAGGCAGAAACAGTTCCTGAGAAAATGTGTTAGTGTAGGAATGAAGGTATAATTGATGAATGAATGAATGAATGAATGAATGAATACATAATCTACACTCCCTGTCTATAGTTTTTTACCTCTCACTAGCCAATCCACTGTGCTGTCTTATGTCCTTTCTACTCTAGTAAAACTGCTCTTGCAAAAGTCGTCATTGACATGTGTTACTAAATCCCAGGACACGTTTCAGTTATCTATCTTGACTTCTGTCCTGCATTTGAAATTTAAAATTCTGTTTTCAGCATTCTTTCCTCATAGTTTCTATTCTATCTCTTATTACATTCTTTGGTTTGAACTTGGCTTAAAACAACAATTAAAAGTTAAGGAAAATCTAGGACTAAAAGACTAGGACTAAAATCTAGGACTAAAATCTGGGACTAAGAAGGTTTTTAAAAATACTGAATATACTTATACTGAATGTACCACTTACTAGCTAAAGCATTTAGAGCTCAGGATTTCTATTAGGTCAGACCTAATAGAAATTAGGTAATAGAAATAGAAATTCTTTCCATTAGGTGTGACCTAATAGAAATCCTGAGCTGTAAGTGCTTTATCTATAAAATGAATATCGTATCTCCTGATTTGCTTGCACCACAGGATTGATGCAAGCAACAAATCAATAATGTATGTTTAAAGTCCTGTGTAGAAAATATGGAAAATAATAAATTGTTGTAATAAAAATATAATATAGTCACCTCTCTATATTGGTGAGTTCTGCATCCATGTATTCAACCAACTGCAAGCCAAAAATATTCAGAAAAAAAAACCCATTAAGTTTCAAAAAAGCAAAACTTGAATTTGAATTTGTTGTGCTCTGAGCACTACATTGAATCCACATGAAGTTATATATAGGCATTGTATTAGGCATTATAAGTAATCTAGAGATGACTTAAAGTATAGGGGAGGATGTGTGTAGGTAACAGGCAAATACTATGCCATTTTATATAAGGGAGTTGCTTCCATGGAATATGGTTATCTGCAGGGGATTCTGGTACCCAGGCCTCACTGATACTGAGGTATGACTGTACTGAGAACCTAATCACTTTCCTCAGAAGCATTGTGAATTAAAGAAGAGTTTGACCAGATCAAATCTGATCCTCTTTCTCAGTATCTGGTTATATCAGTTTGTCACAGGTTGCCTGTTGAACAAGATCTTAAATGCACTATTTGAAAACAAGAATTGGTATTTTTTTTTGCCCTGTAATAATTACAGAATCATATCCTATGCATAGCTGTATCCAGTGTCTAGCATACAGTTGTTGTCCCAATGAATGAATGAATTAATAAAAAAATGAATTCTGGGTTTCTGGTAAACTATGGGTTAAGGAATTATTTGTGTCCTAGATTTTTGAAAGTCATTTCCTTTAAGAAACAATGTTACCATTTTTTGTTTTCAAACAATATTACTTTGTTATATTTTCTACTAATTTTCATGGATCTGCAAGAAGACTCAGTAGAAAAATGGCTTCGACATCTATGTGGTCATATCAATCTGGAATGGGGAGGGTGGGAAAGCGAACCTCTGAAATATGAGCTAATTTCTCTTCTTCTTTTCTATTTTTAAAAAAGACTCCTTATTTTCTGCTGTGAAAAACTTCTCAGAGGCTGCTTCAGATTTTCATAAACGACTTATACAAGTTGATCTTAACAAGTAAGTTTCAAATCCCTTTTTTTTTAAAAAAAAAAAAAAAAGCAATCTGGTTACTAGAATGAACTGTTTCACTCATATTAGCATTAACCTCTAAATCACTACTATTCAAATTATAGTCTGCAAATCAGCAATAGCAGTAGTACCTGAGAACTTGTTAGAAAGGCAAAATATCAGACACCAACCAAGACATGCTGAATTAGAATTTTGCATTTTAACTACCACCCCCACCCCGCCCTTCAATGATTTATACTAACAGTAAAGTTTGGGGAGCACTGCTCTGAATGGTAGACTAAAAACTCATCCCAAAGAGACAAGGGCCAAAGGTACCTGTCATTAGGAGTCTGCATGATGAAAATTCTGACTACAGCTGTAAATTCATAGCTTTATGAGTTTAAGTGCGTTTGTAATATATTTTACTAGTTCTTTGTTCAGTACTCCTGTGTACCAGTTTAGAAATTCTTTTTTCATGGATAATTTTTTTTGCATTTTATTTAATTTCTTGCCACTTTCACATTGAAAATAGTTTCAAAGTACATTCAAAGTAAATACCATGTAACAAGCATAAATTTATCCACAGATGTGTCCATGTCACATTTATTTTTTCAGATGTAATCAGAATAAACTTTGCTACTTCCCATATTGGAAGAAAGCTATTATCAGTAGTTTTAAGGGACCTCATTCTCCTTTGGATTGTAGGGGAGCCCAGGGAACTTACTCAACTCCCCAAAGGGATAGTCTGAGTGTGACAAGGGATTCCCTATCCATTATGTGCAGCTATCTCTTACCCTCCTTACAGGCTTCTGAAACCTTCATTCACTCTTTGTTGTCCAGCCTGTTATCTGCTCCTTTTTTCAGCAGTAGAACCGAATGACTTATCAGGAATAACTTGATAGCTCACTTTGTCTGCCTTTCCAGGAGGCCTGGCTGTCCTCCTAGAAGTATAGAATGTCTTTGAGTCCCTTTTGATTGGTGTGTGATGTAAAAAAATATAACAAACGATTTTCCAATAGGTCTCTCTGCTGACTGTAAATATTAGAAAGATGACTCTGCTGTTTGTGGCTCACCATGTAAAGCATTACTGTGTTAATATTCATTTTGTTAAAAATTGATCAATTTTAGAAATATATTTTCCCAAGCCTTGTTTTTATTTAATATTATTTTTGAAGCATGATTCTGCGGTTTGCGTTATAATTATGTATATGTTCTTCTCGAAGTCCCATTGCAGTGAGAATGATGAATGACCAACTGATGCTCCTGGAAAGAGCATTCATCGATCCTCTTGGTTTACCAGGAAAGCTGTTCTATAGGTAAGGAAACAACAGGCGCCAAATACATCACTGTGACCAAAACCAGCATACCTAAAGTTGGCTTTAAACTAATGCCATTAGATGGGTGAAAGGCAAATATGTACACTCTAGGGAATTTGGGTAAGATTGTACATTTAATAATAGGTATAATACATATTAGAAAAATAAATTTCATATTGTTTATTGCTTTGCTGTGAGGGAAAATGGTAAAGGCTAGTTAAAAAAGAACTCTTTCTAACAAAATCTTCAAACTGTAGAATCTTAAAGGGAATTTTAGAGCTTATCTAGTTCAACCTTCTACATAATCCTTTTTATAGAATCTCAGATAAATAGTTATCCAGTCTCAGAATCTTTTAGTGATGAGAAGCTTACTACTTCATGAGGAGGCTCATTTCACTTTATGAAAGGTCTAATTATTAGAAAGTTTTCTTCATAAAGATTTAACATCTATTTTCCTGTAATATTTTTCTCTTTGAGTTTGTTCTGTTAAAGTCAAATAAAATAAGTTTAGCTCTATTTCCATATAGTATTTTAGGTTTTTGAGATGGTTCTCAACGATGGTTAGATTTCATTTTTCGGCGTTATGATGGTGCAAAGGCAATACACATTAAGTAGAAACCATACTTCAAGTACCCATGCAACCACTCTGGTTTTCATATTCAGTGTAGTATTCAATAAATTACATGAGATATTCAACACTTCATTATAGAATAGGCTTTGCATTAGATAATTTTGCCCAACTGTAGGCTAATGTAAGTGTTCTGAGCACATTTAAGGTAGGCTAGGCCAAGCTATGATTGTTGGTAGGTTAGGTATATTAAATGCATTTTTGACTTGTGATATTTTCAGTTTATGATGGTTTTATCAGAAAACAACTCATCTTTAAGTCACGAAGCCTCTGTATCCTATTTTCCTATCTGTATCTCTACATCATGTTCTCTTTCAGTATCTTGGCTGCATCCCTTTGGATGTTCTCCATTTTCTCAAGGTCCTTCTAAAACTGGTTCTCTGGTGGAAATTAGAAAGGTCCTAGCATTCAAAGCCAGAAAATCTATATTCTAGTTCACTTGCAGATGTGTGACTTAAAGCAAGTAACTTCTAGGGTTTTCCCATCCGAATTAAGATGATGATAATTGCTACTTTAAAGGCTATTTATCATCAAATAATATGCAAAAAAGGTTTATATGTTACCTTTCTTATAAATGTTAATGATTAATATTAACATTTAGATAATTACAAGCATACGCTTTTAGAACCCAGCTCTGCCACATACTTCACGTGACCTGGAAAAATTATTTTTCTAAGCTTCAGATCCCTCAGCTACTAAGTGGAGATTATAATTGCTTTTACTCAATAGGCCTGTAGATTTAAGGCCTGTAGAAGATTTAGCTCAAGAGGGATGCACTCAATAAATGGCAGCTATTTTTATAAATAATAAAAACACAAATGTTTGTTTCTTCATTGATGCAAATGAAATAGCAATGATCAATTATTTATATGGATCAAACAAAAGCCGAAAGCCGTATCTACAGTGTTTGTTAGTCCTCTCAGGTGTTGTTATTAGTCTATCTTTATATATTTATTTTCTATTTATTTATAAGAAATCTATATTTTGTCATTATTTTAAAAACTCAGGCTCTGTAGAAGCATATAAAATAAAAAGGAGCAGTGCTTCTTCAGCATTCCCCCCTTGCCCCCTACACCCAGTTCTTTATTCTCTTCAGTGAAACTCAATGTTGAGTTTGGTGTAAGTTTTAATGCACTTATATACATGTTTATATATGTATATAGTCAGCCCTCTGTATCTGTGAGTTCCACATCTGTTGATTCATCAACTGCAGATAGAATATATTTGAAAAAAAAATGAATGGTTGTGTCTGTACTGATTTACAGACCTTTTTTGGGTCATTATTCCCTAAATACAGTAAACAACTATTTGCATAGCATTTACATTGTATTAGGTGCTGTAAGCAATCTAGAGCTGATTTAAAGTATCTGGGAGGACTTGTATATGTCATATGCAAATAGTAAGCCATTTTATATAAGGGAGTTGAGCATCCTTAAATTCTGGTATCCAAAGGGGATTCTGGAACCAATCCCCCATGGATACTGAGGAATTACTGTATATACTTACATATACATTTATATATACATATATTACATTTATATACTATATATGCAAATATTTCCATAAAAGTGTACACACACAATATATAAACAATTTTTATTTACATAAACATCTATATTTAACATATTATAAATTTACATATGTAATCATTTATATTTACATGTATAAATATGTAAACCCATTTATATTTACATAAATAATGTATGGGACCATACGTTACAATTTTATTTTTTTCCTTAAGAATGTATCTTAGGCTGGGTGAGGTGGCTCACACTTGTAATCCCAGCGCTTTGGGAGGCTGAGAAAGGAGGATCGCTTGAGGCCAGGAGCTCAAGACCAGCCTGGGTAACACAGCGAGACCCTGTTTCTACAAAAAATTTTTTAAAGTAGCTGGTGTAGTGGTGCATGCAATCCTAGCTACTTGGGAGGGTAAGGCAGGGGGATTGCTTGAACACAGGAGCTTGATGTTACAGTGGAGCTATGATCATGCCATTGCACTCCAGCTTCGACAATCTCTAAGATTTTTTTTCATTTTTTTAGATAAAAGATTTGACTCTTGTGAAAATATCTACCTCTTACTGAATTTCAGATTAGGATTTTTCCACAATTATTTACTATTATGAAAAGTAATGGCATTGTATGGATGTCCTTGAGTCCTATTTGAACATTTGTTAATATCTCTATAATCAGGACCTGGGATTTCAGGGTGAAAGGGTAAACACTTTTTTTTTTTTTTTTATATACATTTAAAATTTTATTTGTTTTCACAGAAATGAGCAACTTGTACAGCCATATTTGCCTTTTCTGGCTCATTGGCTTTTGATCACATCTCATGACTTTTTGAGTCCATGATATTTTGCTTACACTGAAGAACTTGTAATCTTTTTTTTTTAAATTTATTTATTATACTTTTAAGTTTTAGGGTACATGTGCACATTGTGCAGGTTAGTTACATATGTATACATGTGCCATGCTGGTGCGCTGCACCCACTAACTCGTCATCTAGCATTAGGTATATCTCCCAATACTATCCCTCCCTCCTCCCCCCACCCCACCACAGTCCCCAGAGTGTGATATTCCCCTTCCTGTGTCCATGTGATCTCATTGTTCAATTCCCACCTATGAGTGAGAATATGCGGTGTTTGGTTTTTTGTTCTTGGCGATAGTTTACTGAGAATGATGATTTCCAATTTCATCCATGTCCCTACAAAAGACATGAACTCATCATTTTTTATGGCTGCATAGTATTCCATGGTGTATATGTGCCACATTTTCTTAATCCAGTCTATCATTGTTGGACATTTGGGTTGGTTCCAAGTCTTTGCTATTGTGAATAATGCCGCAATAAACATGTGTGCATGTGTCTTTATAGCAGCATGATTTATAGTCCTTTGGGTATATACCCAGTAATGGGATGGCTGGGTCAAATGGTATGGGGAAAGGATTCCCTATTTAATAAATGGTGCTGGGAAAACTGGCTAGCCATATGTAGAAAGCTGAAACTGGATCCCTTCCTTACACCTTATACAAAAATCAATTCAAGATGGATTAAAGACTTAAACGTTAGACCTAAAACCATAAAAACCCTAGAAGTAAACCTAGGCATTACCATTCAGGACATAGGCATGGGCAAGGACTTCATGTCCAAAACACCAAAAGCAATGGCAACAAAAGACAAAATTGACAAATGGGATCTAATTAAACTAAAGAGCTTCTGCACAGCAAAAGAAACTACCATCAGAGTGAACAGGCAACCTACAAAATGGGAGAAAATTTTCGCAACCTACTCATCTGACAAAGGGCTAATATCCAGAATCTACAATGAACTCAAACAAATTTACAAGAAAAAAACAACCCCATCAAAAAGTGGGCGAAGGACATGAACAGACACTTCTCAAAAGAAGACATTTATGCAGCCAAAAACACTTGAAAAAATGCTCATCATCACTGGCCATCAGAGAAATGCAAATCAAAACCACAATGAGATACCATCTCACACCAGTTAGAATGGCAATCATTAAAAAGTCAGGAAACAACAGGTGCTGGAGAGGATGTGGAGAAATAGGAACACTTTTACACTGTTGGTGGGACTGTAAACTAGTTCAACCATTGTGGAAGTCAGTGTGGCGATTCCTCAGGGATCTAGAACTAGAAATAGCATTTGACCCAGGGTAAACACATTTTTAAATTTGATTAGGTTACTACCAAACTGTCCTCCAAAGACTACCATATTTTTAAAAATGCACTTTGAACTATTAGCTGAATGTTAAGATTATATTCTAATGCTAATTCATATTATTATGTTTTAGTCTACTGCAGTAGTATGGAAATAAGTTCTTCCTTCATGATCATAAGGATTACTTTATGGATTGATATGACATATTGCATATGCACACTTTTTCCAATAACTGCTAAGATAAATGTAGCTATAATAGCAATTCCAGCTACCCAGAATTTCTCATTTGTCTTAAAGAATTTATTTCAAAATTATTTTTTCCTCATCCAGCAATGTATATCAGGTTAAAAATGATCTTGTAAATCTTATAAAACCTCTAAGAGTAAAAACTTTCAGTACGTATAATGGATCAATGACATTTTTAAGATCTGCTATTTTATGAACCTCAAGAATGGAGAGATTACCAAATCTGTAGTGTAATAAAATTGTTCTACCATGTAGAATTGATAGACTAAGAAAATTAGACTAATCTGATGTATGTATGTATAGCCATTATATATATATGTACATTACATATGTATGTATTGTTAAAACAAAAACATTAGCCAAATTATATTTAACAGACTTTAATTGAGCAAAGAATGATAGACTCAGAGAGACTCCAGTGCAGCCACGTGATGGATGAAGAGTTACAGACAGAAAAAGGAAAGTGACATACAGAAAACGGAAATGAGTAACAGAAACAGCCAGACTGGTTACAGCACAGAATTTACCTTATTTGAACAGTTTGAACTGACCCCTTTAATTGGCCAAAACTTGGTGATCGGCACAAGAGTAGACTCAGTCTGTTGACAACTCCATTTAGGTTATAGTTCACTATGTACAGAGAAACCTTTAGGCTGAACTTAAAATATTTAAGGAGGCAGCTTTAAGTTAAACTTGATTTAACAGTTGAGATTCAGTAATGAATAAATCAGAAAACATTGTACATATTTTAAAATAAAATGTTAATGTGGAACATATAAAACATTCTTCTTAAAATTCAGAAGTATAACTAAATGTTTATTGTGAATAAAAAACGTGTCTTAGTCCATTCCTGCTGCTATATCAAAATACCTGAGACTGGGTAATTTATAAAAAACAGAAATTTATTCCTCACAGTTCTAGGGGCTGGGAAGTACAAGATCAGTGTCAACCAATTCAATGTTTTATGAGCACCTGTCCCATATATGGTATTTTTCTCAGGGCGTCCTCAGTTGGCAGAACAGATGGAAGGGCTAGCTAGCTTTCTTCATTCTCTTTTATAAGGGCTCTAATCCCTTAATACTGTCACACTAGAAATTAAGTTTCAACATACGAATTTGGGGAATGAACACATTCAGACCATAGCAGCATGCTTGATAAATTTTGCAAACTTAATTATTTTTGAGTTGTGGGTAATATATTGTAACTATCACAACAAAGGCAAATAAGTAATAAATCCTTATCTACCACTGAGCTCATTTTCTATATTCTATTACTCCTCGTTTTTTCCCTAATGAAAGTTCCACAAAAATTAATTGCTCTGTGTGGTAAGCATAATAATGGCCTCCCAAAGATCTCTATTTTCTAACCCCAGAACCTTTGAATATGTTAGGTTACATGACAAAGAGGAATTAAGGTGGCAGATGGATGAGTCACACTAATCAGCTGAGTTAAAATAGGGACAGTATTCTGAATTATACTGGTGGTCCCAATGATGCAGTCACAAGGGTCCTTAAAAGTCTTCCTGTAAGAGGCAGGCAGGAGAGAAAGTTAGGGTGATGCCATTGCGAAAAGACTCATCTAAAATGCAGTTGCGGATTTTGATGGTGGAGGAATGTGGTAGGCCTCTAGAAGCTAGAAAAGCAAGGAAAAGGATTCTCCTCTAGTGCCTCCAGGAAGGAATGTGACCCTGATCATACCTTGATTTTAGCTTGGTGAGACTTATGTCAGACCAACTGTAAGATAATAAATTTTTTTAAGCCACTAAGTTGGTGGTAATTTGCACAGCAGCAATATAAAATGAACACACTCTGTAATGGAATCTAAAAAGGATTAAATAAAGCTTCCTTTTTTGCAAACATCAAGTGAAATACTGTAAAAGTCTTTAAAAGCTGCAAAGCATTTAATTATGAAATTCTAGAAACATTTGTGGCCGGGCATGGTGGCTCACGCCTGTAATCCCAGCACTTTGGGAGGTTAAGGCGGGTGGATTACCTGAGGTCAGGAGTTTAAGACCAGCCTGGCCAACATGGTGAAACCCCATCTCTACTAAAAATACAAAAATTAGCCAGGCGTGGTGGTAGGCACCTGTAATTCCAGCTACTCGGGAGGCTGAGGCAGGAGAATTGCTTGAGCCCAGGAGGTGGAGGTTGCAGTGAGCCGAGATCATGCCACTGCACTCCAGCCTGGGCCGACAGAACGAGACTCTATCTCAAAAAAAAAAAAGAAATTTTGCATTATCACAACTCATCAGTGAATACTTACTATGTACTGAGGGGAAGGTTGAGGAAAAAAGACTATGAAGTGTTGACCATATTCTCTAGTCTGCTCAGTAGTTCTTGATGCCTCTTAAAAATTCAGAAATGTCCATTGTGGAGGGTAATTAAATCATCATATACTTGAAACCTTGAGAACTAGACCAGAGTTTGAATTCTTATGGGACTAGAATAGCTATTTGAGTCCACCATTTCATAAAAGGGTATTTGAGTTGCTTAAGCATTACCAATTGTCTGATCATTTCTTTTAGCTTGCTGCCTGCTTCTTATCTGAGAAAATTAGGGAAAGGATTTAGTTTCAGAATAGCTAATATTTACTGAACACCTATTAAATGTCAAGCTATGCTTTTCATCCAACATTTGATTCTCACAATTCTTTTAGAACAGTACTTTTATCACCATCATTTTTAAGATAACAGGCACAGGGAGGTTAAATAACCAGTGCAAGGCCACAAGGCTGATAGTTGATAGTATTCTGTTGATAGTAAATATGCTAGTATTCTGATTTTTAAAAAACAGGCAGTCTCAGTCTACAACCTGCTCAGTCACTACTCTAAGCAGAGTCTACATTATTTCAATTATTTTACAAATCTGGGACAAATTTAGACAACTTAGGCAATTTGCCAAAGGTCACTGAGATATTAAATGCCATATCAATGATTCAAAGGTTATTCGCTTCCTATATCAAATTTTTTTTGCTATATTCTTCCTTTACAATTCTCCAGAAGAGGGTAAGTATACTAAGGAATATCTATGACTTGCATCTCTAATTTCTTGACTCATATACAGGTCAGGATACCAATGCTTATAAACAACTTAGCACATAAACTGATTTTAATTTTAAAAAAATCCATCTGAGGCCATATTAAGATTTAAAAGCCAAGATAATAAATCCTGATGTACTTTGGTAAATCTGAATGATGAGTGTTATAGATTTGTCATTAATCATTAATCATTAATACTGACTTATATGGAGCTCTATATTGCTTCATACAGATTTACTCTAGAATAAGCTTTGGGGTTTGACTGTTGGACCTAATTCCTGATGTATTAATAAAATACATCCCTTTCTGGAAAGCAAAATTCTACGTCATTATTGCGGAAAGTAGCTTGATCCCTTGAGCTACTTATGTTGAAGTAGAAAAGCAACTATAAAACTTTCTTTTTAGATCAAAAGTTGAGTGTCTTTGCGGGCAACCCACATATAACTGTCTTACCTTTGTGGAATGGACGTCATTATCCTTGCCATTTGTAACACTTTGAAATACAGGCTTCTTTAATTACTTGTTTTTTAATGTCTAAAAAGTATTGGGAACAACTGTCATTCTTGTTTAATCTATTTTTAAAAGGCAACACAAAAATAAATTATCTTTCTCAATCTCCTCTTACTAAAAACATCCATAAACTTACATGTTATCACCATATTTGTGGATGCTTACGGGACGCTGAGCAATTATTCTGCACAACTTAAAAGAACCTGCTTTCTTCCATCTGCTTTGGGTTCGCAACATGGTATATGATTCCTGAGATATGTCTTAGCGAATGCATATTGTTAGCTTCTTTCCTGGCTTGAAATTATGATTCGCATAAGTATCTCAGATCAACTGTCTTCTTATTATAGGAACAAAAGTGAGTATCACAAGGAAACATCATGTGGTCTAAACAAAAAGCATGCAAAATGCATGTATACACTTTAGTTCAATTTGCCTTGTTTTCTTCCTTTTAGGCACATCATATTTGCTCCAAGTAGCCACAACAAATATGCTGGAGAATCATTTCCTGGAATCTATGATGCTATCTTTGATATTGAAAATAAAGCCAACTCTCGTTTGGCCTGGAAAGAAGTAAAGAAACATATTTCTATTGCAGCTTTTACAATTCAAGCAGCAGCAGGAACTCTGAAAGAAGTATTATAGAAGGTCTCAAGTGGCTAGCCATTAAAGGTGTTGCTAAAAGTCTGAGGATAAAATTCACCTTTCTGATAACTTATGAAGCCAGGGTGTTCTAAACTCTTTTCATGTCATGTTTTGATTATAGGCTTTGGTCTTTTCATCTGCAAAGCCTTTTTTTTTTGCTCTTTAAAAGTTAATAATTATATTAGCAAAGTGTTAATCTAATGAAGTAAAAAACTCCTGTGTGGCAGAAAGTAAAAGAAAATTCCCTAAATTATAGCAAGGAACATGAATTCTCAGACATTGTGAGTGTGGGAATGTAAAATGGTAAAATCACTTTTGAAAACAGTTTGGCAGTTTCCTATAAAGTTAAACATACACTTTTACTTTAGGACTCCAGAATTCCACTTCTAGTTATTTATTCAAGAGAAGGAAAAACAATGATCACAGCAATACTTGTATGCATGTTCATTGCAACTTAAAAGCGTAAAAACCCCAAATGTCCATCCACAGACGAATGTATAAACTGTGGTATCCATTACACAATAGACTACTTACTACTCAGCAATAAAAATGAAGTAACTTTCAATAAATGCAATATTATTGGCAGACATTGTTGAAGGAAAAAAGCCAGACAAACAACTACATAAAATATGTTTCTATTTAGATGAAGTGGCAAACTAATCTGTAGTGTTAAAAATTAGATTAGTGATTGCCTGGGCCAAGTGGCAGGTTGGGGAGGATGGCTGCAAAGAAGTATGAGGAAACTTTCTCCAATAGATGAGAATTTTCCGTATCTTGATCTGAGTGGCAAATTGTAAACTTAAAATATATATAAAATTTATTGTATGAAAATTAAGCCTCAATAAACGTGATTATAAAAAACAAGTCTGCAAGGAAACCAGAATCATATACCTTCTCTTGTGAAATCACCATGAAGTGTGAATGGTCAGGAAAAAGCCAGTAATATTCATACATTTAATAATTTCAGCTCTACTGAATAAACATATAAGTCTGATGGGTGATGAAAATAGCTACTACAATCTTCATATTCTAACTCCTATAAAGACTGTATATCAGAATCTGCAAACTTTTATGCAGATCCCAGTGACTCAATTACATGTTCAACTATGATTAAAGCTTCAATAAACTTGGTTGTTCATCTACTTCACCAAAACGAGTTAAGAATTAAAAATTAGAAGAGCCTTCATAGGCAAGTACAATAACTAAAATAAGAAATGACAGCTCAAAGCTTAACTACAAGGAAAAACTACCCATTACCCTTGCTCCCAGGCCAACAATACAGTTTAACTTAAAACAGTGGGGGCATTTAGTTTAGGGGCATTTTCTATACATCTCAGTATTACTAGAGGGTATTTCACTGATCCCCCACAATAAAATAAGTTGCAAGTATAGCAATGACTCTGTCATCAAGGTAACTTTTAAATATGTTCCATTCCTTCTGCTTAAAGAGGCAATAAGGTGTGCTATTTATGAAGTATAAATATACACAATTAAGACTTTTGTAAAAGGGAGTTAACTTTACTACCACGCTACACTACCAAAGTATAACACTTTAACTTTTGCCTTGAAGCACTGTGTTGTAGAAAATATACTGCATTAAGACCCATGAATCATACTATCTACTACCCAACTGAGTAGATCACTACGTATCTCTGGGCATCAGTTCCCTCCAACTCTATCATTTCTAAAGGAGACAAAGCACAAAGGTTTAGAAATGTCTTGGGTGTTCTTCCTACTGGTAGTTTTCCTGAAGACAAATGCGAGCTGCCAGAACAGCATATTTGGTCTGAAATATGAGTTTGGAGTAAAATAGTAATTATTGCAATTTAATTTTTCCTTTAATTCTTGTTTTTTTTAATCATTTTTAATCAATATCTGATTGTTAGCAACAGAACAAGTGATTGTGTGGCATGCACTATAATCAATTCAGGATATTTAATATAGAATATGTGTTATCACATGTTAAATAGGGCATATGTTTGAACTTTTTAAAAAAACTTTTCCCCTAAGCATTTGAGATCAGCTGAATTAAGCTGCTAATCATTATTCCCCTTTGATCTCATTCCTTGGTCCAAGTCCTGAGAGAGATACTGTTCCTCTTAAGGATACTTACGAAATAATGACATGGAAATATTTTGCTTGTCACAGTATATTGCCTGTTTTAAGACCTACTTTTAAAATCAAATAAGCCATAAATTCTTATTGTAATGCCATACTTTTAATCATTTAAACTAAATGTTTAATCAGAAGTTGTCTAATATAAAAACTAGTAAAAAAGCACGTGAAATGTATATACTTTAACCAAGAAATTCTAAAAATTGGTTTCTATAGAGAAAACTGGACAGAATGACAATGTATGTGACACAAAGGTGTTTACCACAGCATTTTTTATCACAGTAAAAAATAGTAAAAAAAAAAAATCACAAGCTAAATATCAATGGAGAATTGATTATAGTATAATATAAAAATGATCATACAATGATCATATATACATTTTTCACTTATATAGTAAGTTGTCCATGACTTACTGGTTAAAAAAAGTGATAAAACTAAATATATGAATATCAAACAAAATACAAATAGTGCTTGCATTTCGGTGGTAGACTTTTATGTGACTTGTACTCTGTACTGAATTGCTAAAATTTTTTACATCATATTCCCTTTTATAAGGGTTAAAATAATATAATAACTACTGTTTTCATTTTGAACAGACAAAAGTACAGAGTTCTGGGATACAATACAGTTCACAAATAGTAATCCTATTTTGTACCCTTGAAATTTATTAGTTTATTCTGAGGATACAAATAACATTTATATATGCACACATGAGCCATCTTAATATTTCCATTTAGTTCAGAATTTCAAAAATATCAATCGATCCTTGAACTTTCAAGTATAGAAATGAGTTTAGGGTAAAATAGTAACCTTTGAAATAATTACAGTACTGTATTAGATTTGTCTTTTTCTTTAATTGCTTAACTTCATGAACTCATTTGTTTTTTTCTTTTTAATTTTTATTCATCTACTTTTTCCAATCCCCAATGTGATTAAATTCAGAAGAACAGTATCTTTCAAGTAAATGATGCAAAACTTCCTTTCACATCATCTCACGTCCTTTCCCCCTTTGTATTAGTAGATAATTATACTATCTACAGCCAGAACGATCTTCCTAGACGTGATCATGCTATGTGCTATGAAAAAAACCTTCAATGGGGACCTCCACTACCGAAATGATGTGGTAGTACTGGCAGTCGCTCCCAGGTGCAGTAACTAGGAAAAAATGGATCAAATGCAAAATACATTACAGATACGAAAGAGCTGTGGAAGCGCTTAAGACTAGATGTACTAAAAGTCTTTGTCTTTTCTACATAGCTGAGACTACCAACTGTTTTCTTTCCTGGCATCATTTGCCAATTCTAGGCATGGATTAAAGATCAGGCTTTGTGTGGACTAAAGCACTTTACTGGGGAAAATCAGCAGGACTTTTACTGACTGCATGATCTATCATGATGTACTAGAATCTAGAGGAGCCCTAAACCCAATACTGAGTGAGACTAGAACTTAGGGGCTAGGCAAACAAGTTTTCTTAACAGGCCAATACCACCTCTCAATGCCAGGCTTCTTCATATCCTATTCTTTCTCCCATTTCCTCTCTTGTATTTGGCCACTTCTATCCTTTTTTCCCCCCTCAGGACTCTGCTATTTATCCTTCACGAAATCCATCCATAAAATCTACCAAATACGCACCACAGAAGCTTTCTACAGGCTTATCTTTGGCATAATTTTTATTTAACAACCTCTTATTTTCCTTGTTGTATCCTTTCTTGGAAGTGGAGTCTTTAATTATCTCCAGCACATAGGAAGTGACCTGAGTGCTGAATAAAAAATAAGCAATGGAATCGCTACATTAAAGATGCTTACAAACTTTTATTATCAATAAAATCTATAAATTTTACACCTATCAACTCAGAAAAATTCACTGGGAGGAGAAAAACTATTAAAAAGCCTAACTTCAAATGAACTCAAACTTTCCTGCCAAATCATAAATATGAAAAGTAAATCATCCATGTATGCTAGAGGATCTCTCTGGGAGAAGTGTCCTACAATTTATAACATTTTACAAGTGGTTAAATCCATTAAAACTTCAAAAACTTTTAGATTGTCTTTCTCCTGTAATGTGATATCTTCCCTAACTTGCTAAAACTGAGAACCCAGCTAGCTTTACATAACTGAAATGATTGAATTTGTTTGCCTAATACACTAATATTTGATTTTAATGAATTATCTCACTCCCACAAAGTGTCTTATGTTAGCTGCCTTCATACGTGGCCTTTTAATCATCCACATCTAAGAATACTGAGATGCAAAAATTGCTCAGAGTCCAGATGATAATAAGGCTAAGTTTATTTCTAGGCACAAGCATTTAGAACAAACTGCCTGCAAGGGACAAATTTACCGCCATGGGCCTTTTACTTTCACTTGGTCTTACAGCTGCAGAATCCATCCCTAATTTTTGTCAACTGCCCATTGGCCTTTTAGAGGTTCTTAGTAAGAAAATCAATGGCTGAACTAACTACTGCGAAAACTGAAAGCACATTATCTTCTCATGGTAATTAAGTCATTTAATTAATATTAGGAAATAAAGGAATAAGCACTAATAAATGGCCATTTAGATTCTGGGTTTTGCGTGGTGACTTAGATGTCTTCAGTTTCATGGTTAAGAGTGTAAGGACTTTGGAATCAGTTTCTAATTTTAAAATTAAATTTCATCATTTGCTATCTATGTGACCCTGGAGGCAAGTTATGCCCCTTTCCTTTGCCTACATTTCTCCATCTGTAAAATACAGGTTATACTGTAAATAATCATGGTGATGTTCTGAAGAGAAAAGCTATCATAAGCACTTAGCAAAGTGTTTGGCACATTCTAATTATGCAACAAAAGCTATCATCATGTCCACAGCTTCAAGTTACCTCTTGTAACTAACACTTCCTAAATTCCTATGGCTAAATTACAAATTTCTACTCAAGTGAATTAAGTCCTGTGATTAGACACCTACTTTCCCTGAAGGTTTTAAAATTATCTTCAGATTCTGGCTTTCATTTGTCTTCCCAATGGCTTTCTGTTCCCTTAAATTTGTCCTCCATCTCTGCCCCCAATTACTCAGCTCTTTCCTACAGAGGATTTTAAGTAGCTTTACTGGGGGTATGGTAGAAAGAGAAAGGGGACTTGAAGGAATCTTTAAGGCATCAAAAATAGTCTAAGTTGGCCTCAAATATGAACTGAGTAGTCTGGGCTCAATCTGTTACTGGAATTCAGCTTTCTTTAGTAGGAAGCCTTTGAAGGTTTTACATAAAATTATAATGATCCCATTTATTACTATCAGCCTAAAGAACCATTTAAAATTTGTGAATTTTCTTGACACAATTTCCACATTTTTCTGTACCTTAAGAATGTATCATGCCTAGTTTTATCAATCATGTTTTATCACTGATACTAACAGAATCAAGGGTCTGTGGTACATTTATTTTGCTTTTGCCCATCCAGCCTTCCTTGCCCATTCTGGAAAAAGAATGTTTTCAATAAGGGGACCCATTACAGATGGTTTGGGTGGCACACTGAGTATTTAGCAGGTGAGCCTAAATACTCCTTTATTGGATTTACTTATTCCCATGCTTGTGTACTGCTACTTACATCACAATCAAAAGCAGGGATTACCAGTTTTTTGAATTAAAACAAGATGCCCTCAAAGTTCAGAGTGCTATGAATGTTGCAACCTCAAAGTTAGCTAGTGAATTTACATTACTGCCTATTACGACTCTAAATCCTGAGAGCCAGAAAAGGCCTATGAGCCTCAGATCTTACAAATAGCCTGGAGTACTTCTTGAGGATTTGTAAACATTCCTTGGACTCAGCAGTCCCTTGAGAAAATCATTTCCTCCAAAATCTGTGTCTATATTCTCTATCTTGTTTAAGCTCTCCCTCCATTCCCAAACCTAGGAATCATCCTAAATTTTCATCTAGACCCTAATTCAAGATCCTCAGTCTCTCTTCTCTTCCTACTGCTTCTGCTGTATTTCATGCCCTCATCCTAACTGGTCTGTCTCTACACCAACTCTAATTGTTCCCTTCTATCAAAGCTAAACTTGATGCTGTTTTACTGGATGTTTTATCTAACACAGAGGTAAGAATTATTATTTACGAGCTACATATCACTATCAAAATGGCAATGAAAACTTTTGTGCTTTTTGCAGTAAGGATTCTGAAACTTCAATTTGGAGGCTGTTAAGAAAAACTAGAGACCCTAAGAGTCATCAAATCACAAGTGATGAATTGGCTATTATATCCAAAACCATCCAGGCAAAATTACTACATAATTTTATAACTTTACTAACACAACAAAAAAATTGTTCCTGGTTACCAAACACATTAAGAGTTTTCCATGCTATATGCCCATGTTATATCAGAAGCAGCACAGAATAGTGGTTAAGAGCATGGAACAACACAGAGGCAGGCTGCATGAGTTTGAAATCTTTATACCACAACTCATTAGTCTGAACTCTGGATAAGCTACTTAACCAATGTCATAAAGTCAGTTTCCTCATCTGTAATATAAGAATAAAAAAACCCACCTCACAGCATGGTAAAGAAGATTAACAAGTTAATCATAAAAATAAAATCTGAATAAATATGAAACTGCAAAATGAAATAAGCAAAATGAAGAAAAGGATCAGGGTGTTTAAAAATATTAATACATCCATCTAACCTCTTTACTGAACGAGGGGAAAGTGCCTCAAGTTCAGGGAGGTTTCCCTTTTCCAGACTCAATCACTGATTTTACTTTTATTAGCAAAGTTTTTAAAAAATAATTTAAACATTTAAGCAGCATCTCTGCCTAATGAAAAAGGAATGGCAAATTGAATTATTTTGACACATAATCTTTAAGAAACATAAAAATGTTTAAGGCTGGAAGTTATATTTCTTTTCAATGGACATTAAAGGTGACCCACTAAACGGAAAAACTAAGAAAAGTCATTGAGTTTTTAGTGAAAACATGGTCTTCAGAAAAACTGTTCTTAAAGATAATCTTCACAATGAAGAATTCTGTTAAAAAGTTAAAGAACATGCAGAAGAAAACCTCTGCAAGCCTGGTATTTTAGAGATAGTGCCATATGTATAAAGCCATAGGCATATACGTAACTGAAGAAGGCAAGCCATCCAACACCACCAGATTAAGTTGTTAAGATACCTGGGCAGTAGGGAAGCAGTCAGGGATAATTAACAACAACAACAAAAAACCTATCAAACAATCAAAACAAATGAAACAGAAAACCCTATTAACAAAACCTAAAAACAAGCTGGGCTTAATAGCTTGCATTTCAAAACTGAGGCCATGGAATTATACTGGTGAAAACAAAGTAAATAACAAATATGAATGCCAAGTCAAAATAATTTGCCATAAAAGATGAACAACAAAAAAAAACCCTGTTAATGTTCAAATAGATAATTTAAAAGTACCTGACTGCTAAAAACAAAATTTACAGAGTACATACCCATATATCCTAAAAGGGACACCAGCCCTCATAAATGAGCTTTTAAGAGTTTACTTGGCCGGGCGCGGTGGCTCACGCCTGTAATCCCAGCACTTTGGGAGGCCGAGGCGGGCGGATCACGAGGTCAGGAGATCGAGACCATCCCGGCTAAAACGGTGAAACCCCGTCTCTACTAAAAAAAAAAAATACAAAAAATTAGCCGGGCGTAGTGGCGGGCGCCTGTAGTCCCAGCTACTTGGGAAGCTGAGGCAGGAGAATGGCGTGAACCCGGGAGGCGGAGCTTGCAGTGAGCCGAGATCCCGCCACTGCACTCCAGCCTGGGCGACAGAGCGAGACTCCGTCTCAAAAAAAAAAAAATAAATAAATAAAAAAAATAAAAAAAAAAAAGTTTACTTACTGTGAGTATACGCATGACATAAATTTTCAGGCTGAGGAATAACTGATTAAAAAAAAAAAAAAAATTGGGAGTTCGGAGAGGGGAAATAACTCAAAGTCCCTTTAAAATATTTGCAAGAACTCTTTAAGTTTCTCTACACTTTGATGGTTGAATAATTTTCTGAAGAAAATTCTTAATTAAATCCTTGCATAAAATATAAATTAGAATAAAGTAAAATCATTACAGTCCTTTGCCAGTATAGTTACACCAAGAAGTTACATCTTCAACCTATAAACATTTGTTGATTCCTAATCATATCTTAATTGTTTATAAATTACTGGCTTAAATTATTACCAAAAAAGTAGGACAAGTCTTAAGACCTTGAAGAATTCCACTAAAAACAGATGGTAAAAATAAAATGTTCTACTTTAGTTAATAGTATTATACAAAGGTTAATTTCTTAAGTTTTATAAATGTTCTATGATAACGTAAGATTTTAACATTAAGATTAATATAAGACATAAAGAACTGTTGTATTTTTACAACTTTTCTGTAAACCTAAAACTAGGTCAAAGAAGTTAAATAAAGGCTCAGTTTATTAGGATCTTACTTCCTTTATACTAGTAAATGTGCTATGAAAGAAAAATAGCATTTTAGGTTTCCCATCTTTAGTTACCAAGTATATATATAATATACCTAACTTTGACTGCTTTGCTATAGTAATTATTTTTAATGCTAAAAAAGACAAAGCAAATTTCTAGAGAAATAAATCAATAAGCACTTTTTATTAACTTTTTTGACAAACCGATAGTAAAACATATGCTACCTAACGATAACTGTGTCCCTTTATGTATGAGTCTAAGAGAAATATTCGGATTTTTATCTGGACAAGAAATTCAAAGGCTCCTTAAGAAGAAAGTAAATACCATGGTCACTAATGTAACCAGACTAAATATAAAAGCTACATATGTATGTGTGTGTGTGTGTGTATAAATCAATGTTTTGATCAATGTAACTAATCTGAGGTTACAATAACTCACTGCTTCAAATAATATTTCAATTACATGTAACAGATTAAGATACTGTTTAGGGGAAAACAGCCTCAGAAGGAAGTATGAACAAAAAGGGATATTAATCATTACCTTTAATCAAACTAATTATCAACCTTTCCCCCAACCCATAAAGACTTCATGTCTCTAAATGGTTCCTAAATCATGGAAGATAACTTGAAAAATTTTAAATACATCTCCAGGTATCAGATGCTTATGTACTCCATGTGGGTCCAACTTTTACTGCCCAGAGTTTCTTGTCATGGTAATGTAACATCATGAAAGTCTGGTTGCCAGATCTTTATGTTTTTATTTGTAACAGAGCTAAACCTTTTAACAATTATATTAACTACAACTAAGTTATTTGCTAATGGTAGTAGAATGATACATATGTTTTATTCACGAAAATAGTACTTCTGCAAATTTTTCTTTGTAAGAATTCCATAAATACCAAGGAAAAGAAAAGACTCAAGGGGTTTGGGAAATAAACCCCTTTTAATTTTAAATCTACATAAGTTTAATTTATTCCCAAACTTTCTAAGTTCTTCCAGAGTTCTGGCCTTCAGAATATTTCCTAATTTTTCTTCTTGAGTTCTGCACTAACTCAAAACCTATCCAAACGATCTAATTCTGTATTACCTATATTTAATATAAAGTACAATATATAGTCAACATTGTATCACTAGAATTGTGAAGCTCTTCATGACTTTAAAAAAAAACTCCAAAACAATTAAGCTATTTTTATTTAACATGTAATAGTCATAAAGCAACTCCATATATTTAGTTTTCTGATATCCTAATGTATTTCCACAAACCTTTTAAGTCTACAATTTTATATAGTTTTCCATCAGGGAGGCAAGATATATATAATTTCTTTTTATATTTAACTAAAGGTTTTAAGAGGGCTTAGTCTCTAAATCAGTAACAATTAGTCATAACACCATACAAACACATTTAAATATTCAGGAAAGAGGTTGTTAAGATTATTGCTTAGTCTTATAAAATGGTGAATTTTAACCAAATTGATACCTCTGTAATCTTATTTATGTTTCCTATAACATCATACTGCTTGGCAAGTAATGTAAGTTTTGACATAATTTAAAAATTCAAGTAGTTGTAAACAAATTCTAATTTGTTAAACAATTCATATATTCCCCTTTAGTTACTATACTACCTCAGAATTAATCCTCCTTAAAAAAGTAATCATCCCACATAGAAAAAACTGCAGAGCTTCATCTCTTCCTTAAATATTTTCAAGTACTGTAAGAACACAAATCCATGAAAAAACTGATTAAAATTTGACATTTCATCTTGCTTTACTAATTATGGAATAATACAAAAACATAAAAAAAATGTTCCTTAATATTTCTTTGCTTAACAGAGAAATACAAAGAAATACTGCAATTATGGTTATGGGCTACTTTCCAGCCTCTTCAAGTATAGGACACAACTATGGTTCCTACCAGTAGGGAGAAATGAATAATCAATCTTACATAACACAAAAGAAAGATGAGAGGCACAAAAAGACAAACTGACTTTGGCTTTTAAGAACCTAATGTTAACCCTGAAATGCCACATTCAGTAACACAACAACAAAACAAAAGATTACAGCAGCAAGCCACCACTTCACACAGTATTAAAAATTCGGAAATAATGTAATAGCCTTCCTTCCATCTCCCACTCAATCTGTTGTGGCATCTTTTTGTTTTTCCTGCTTTTTAGCTGCAGGCAGTTCAAGGCTTGCCCACTGCATCGGTTCAGCTTTTCTCATAGTGATTTCAATCTTTGTTGCAGTCATAGTTACATAACTTCGCTTTACATCAATCACCTGTAACATATCAAAGAGAATTACAGGAAACCTCAGTAGTTTTATTAGTCTCAGAGGAAAACATCAGACTTGCTTATGCCAATAATCCCAAATCCAAGCTTCTAAAGGCCTCTTTTATATCTAGTCTTAAACTTTTTGGTAGGATACACTGTTAAGTTATACATCTATACTTTGCATCAATGTTTACTGAAGAATTGTCTTTTATTCTACAAATGATCTAAGTTATCAGAAAAAAAATTCTTATAAATTTGTAATACTTACACCCCATAATTTCACATTTTGATCAAATTCCTTCTCTCCTTCAAATACAATATGCACATTTAACTGAAAAAGATATACACAGTTAATTGATCTAATTCAAACTGAAGATTTATGCTATCAAACACTGATTATAAAAATAAGACTGACAAAAATGAATTAAGCTATTTTAAGAAACTGCCAATACTGTATTGTTTCATATGAGAAAAGCCACTGACAAAAAAGAATAACTGGCTTCAAGTTTCATATTGAGAACTAAGTACTATATTACTTGATAAATCTACTACAGTATCTCCAGAATGGTTCAGCAGTAAGTCTACTATACAGAAATTTTCATTTAAAATAGTTTCATAGAAGTAATTTAATTTTTTTTAATGGGAGTCATTATAAAATCTTACCCCCAAATCAGCTGAGATATAAACAATACTTTAAAATACAGTAACATAAAGAATGATGTATAGAAAAGAACTTTTACCCAAAATTATAAGATGTACTTACCAATGTGCTATTTGCTTCTACTCGGCTAAGTTCTGGAAGTGAGTTTTTAGCATATACTGAAATGGTAACTTCACCTCCAGTCTGATGCCAGTCATGTCTACATGGAACAACTTTTTTCCCCTGTAATGTAAGAGAAACTCTGTAAGTTAAAAAAGTGCCACATAATTAATTTCTTAAAAAGAGGAATTTGACCCATCTGAGAAAAAACTACCATGCACAACAACTAAGCACTTAATGTTTAAGGGCAAAAAACTTCTATATTTCCCAAGAGGCTTAAACAAGAAAATATATCATGGTACAAAGATTCTTCATAAATTTTATGATTTCAGAACACACTTACTCCTTCCCTTTGTTTTTTTCTTTCAGGGCCATAATATTGATACACAGCTAAAAAGACAATTTAAGAACTCCTACTAAATTTAATCCAATTTAACATTCTGTAACCTACTAAGTACTGTCATCAAAACATTCTTTGAAGACTGAAATGAAAGACATTTGTTTACTGGGATAAATCAGACAACACCTTAACCTCATGCACTAGAAACCTTATTTATTTTCTACAAATCAGAATCTAAGAAAAAAATCTGACCAGTTATTACTTTCTTCCCATTTTAATAAAGAACAAATGATTTTTGGATTTTCTGATTATGAAAATAATCCTTACATACCAGTAGTATACTATACTGCCCTACCAGTATTTTTTTTTATAGAGGCAAATGATGATTTGTTATATAAATGAGAACAATTTAGTTACATAATTCAGGAAACTGAGACACTACTGTTGTAAAAGGTACTATTTTCGTTTTGATAAAATTACATTAACTAAATTTAAATTATATATATCACTCACATTTTTCCCCTTAGCTACTAGCTTAGATACTTAATACTTGATAACTGCATACATTAAAAAACAAGAGAAATTACATCATTTTATCTAGGATTATACTCCCAAACTTAACATAATGGAAAACAACATTTTATTTTTTCAAACTAAAATTTTCAAACTTTTGGACTATAAAAAATACACTCTTTTTATTTAAAAACATTTCTGATAGTTTTGTGGTAGATGAATTTTTATAACTTCAGGGTATTTTTATAATATCCAACCATGTGTTATTAAAAAGCAACTAGGGCCAGGCGCGGTGGCTCACGCCTATAATCCCAGCACTTTTGGAGGTCGAGGCGGGTGGATCACGAGGTCAGGAGTCCAAGACCAGCCTAGCCAAGATGGTGAAAACCTGTCTCTATTAAATATACAAAAAAATTAGCTGGGCGTGGTGGTACGCACCTGTAGTCCCAGCTACTAGGGAGGCTGAGGCAGGATAACTGCTTGAACCCGGGAGGCGGAGGTTGCAGTGAGCCTGCACTGCACGTCTGGGCGACAGAGCGAGACTCTGTCTCAAGAAAAAAAAAAGTGGGGGAGGGGCAGCAACTACAGAAGACTAAAATATTGAAATCTCTAAATTAATTTGAAAATTTAATACATTATAAAATACATTAACAATAGCTAACAGACAAAAACTTATTGAGCAATAAGTTGCTCATCCTCTCACAATTTAATGGGGTTTTGGGAAATTATTTGCATAGCCCCCAAGTCTTTTTAAAAAGCTGTCCAGGGAAGTAGGAAATGATGCTTTTTTCCCCCCTTTTGATAAATATCCCATTAGCAAGCAGAGGCATTCAAAACAATTCCACTGAAACAAGACTGCAATCCTCCTCTCTGGCCACTAGATGGAGTGTTTGTGCATCTGTAAATGATTGAAGTTTTAAGTGGCCAAAAGAATAACAGAGGTCTAAACGTTTAACGTCATCAAATTCATAGAAAAGTAATTTTTAAAAAACAAAAAGTAGGAAGAGGCCATGGAGCTAATTTTATTAATTAAAGAAGACAAAAATTCTTCAATTTTGTCAGGCTTAAGTATTTCACAAAACCTCACATGCTTGCATCAAAACAGACAATGGCTATTTTGCTCAAAAGGCAGTACACTGGCAGCTTGACTCAGATTCATTTTATTTCGTAGTCACATCAAAGCTCTATGGTGCAAAAAAGAAAACTTTTTTTTAAAATCTAAAGACAGAATAATTTCAAATCTTTAAAAAATGACTCAGATGAATATAAACCCAGTGTGCTATTTTTGGAAGAGTTACTTACAGCATCTTTTTTAGTCCACATGTGTTTCCCTTTTGTACAGCCCTCTTGGGCTAAGAATGTATTAAAATCAGAAGTTTTTCTTCTACAACAGCTCCAGTATTTCATCCTTTAAATTATCACAGAAAAACTTCAGAAATAAAATCTCACAACCAATTAAATCCACAAGTATTTTAGGGATAAATCTGATTTTTAATAAGCCAGTAAGTGTACAAACTCTAGCATTTTACAAGTGTCTAAGTTACTAAAAATGAATGTACAGTATATCAGGAAGAATGTGGAAACAGAGTGGAAGATTTTTACACAGTGCTGCATTTCTATAAACTAGAGCATAATACAGAAGAGAGGCTCTCAACTGCAGGATGCGGAAAAGTATGGGTCGTCTTGGGATAATGTTGTCTTAGTGCCCCAGGGCCCAAAATTCTAAATGCCCTGCAATGTGTAGGACAGTCCTTCAAACAAAACATTTAGCCCAAATAGCATCACTTTTAAATACAGAATATGAAGAAAAACAGGCAGTTTATATCACAATGACCACTTAAGAACTGTAACCTTGTTTCTGTTTTCTCATGTATAAACACACAACATACAAACCCCTGTGTTTGTGTAGGCTATTGTGAAGATGTTAATGGCAATGTAAGTAAAATGCCTAATAACACTGCATGGCAAACAATGTTTAAAGACAGAAAGGTTTAACTTTCTAAATTCTACCATAAACTATTTTAATAAGTCATGCATAAGTTACCCCTCATGGAAAATAGGTACTCCAGAATGATATACACAGACTTCTTCTAGACTCTCTAGACCCTGGTATGTCTAAAAAGGAAACAAAGAGAAAAAAAATTAGCTGCGTATCTTACAGTTACATCTCATACATATTTGCAGTATTGGTGACCTCTACGAACTTTGCAAAATACTTAAATGACAATTACCTAGAAAATTCATAAATCCATCCCACGCCATTCTGTTAAAAAATGAAAAATGATTCCCTTTTGGACTTGGTTAAGTTTTAGGTTCCTTTGAGAAAGTCATATTAAGATGCTTTCAGCCTTTTGAGTATGAGATCCCATCCAATCATATTCAAGTACTTACTTAGTTACTAATTTCAAAAACAATGTTGAAACCAAGGGATTAATACTCTCAATAAAAATACAGTTACTGCATGACTTATGTGTACAGTAAACTCCATGTAAGTATTGTCAAATAATATGAGAAATCTAATAAGCAATTCTGGAAGTTCTAGAGTGATGGTGATTTCTTATCCCTATAAAGGGTAAAATGAGCTGCAGACCTATATATATATCCAGGGTTTGTCTGGAAGATCCGGGCCCCATTGCTGCTGTAGATGGAGGCTCTACAGATGAATTCACAAAAAATTATGTTAATAAAACATGGATGTAGCCAGTAGTATATTTTCTATTTTTGTATTTATAGCACTACCTACAAACAGAAAATAAAATTCTGTGTTTATCTTTTATAAATCCAAAGTACAGTATTAGATGTGTATTTCTCCTTAAGATATTTCACAAGAACATAAAACTCAGTATGTTAGCATCTACTAAACTTAATGCTATTGCCCCCACAGTCCATTCTTTTCCCCATATTATTTGATGGCACCGTACAGACTCAGTTTCTCAAAGCAAAATCCATTCGTTCCTCTTCAGCATCTCCTCTCCCTCCACCCATAGGCAGTCTATAATGAAATCTCATCAATTTGACTTGAATATATTAATTTGTTAATCTTCCTCATAAGCTAGCAGATTTTAAGCAATCAGACTATACTAACAGGTTTCTACTATTTCTCAGCCTTCGACTTCTATTTTCTACTAATTATCAAATTACTATCACCCTTTTGTTTAAAGTTCTTTAATTACATCCATGTCACACCTTATACAATAATCAGTTCCAGGTCATTTACATATTTAAATGTGCCTCCATATGAGAAAACACTCACAGCCCTGAAGTAAGCAACGATTTCTTAAATAGAACATGGAAAGCACTAGTCATAAACAAAATGATGGACAAATTGGATTTTGTTAAAAAGCAATTTGATAAAAAGTTTATCAAAGTCGTCATTAAGACAGTGAAAAAGCATAGAATTTCTGATAAGAGTCACAGCTAAAATATATAAAGAATTCTTACAAACTGGTAAGCAAGAGACATTAGAGATAGGTAAAAGATTCTGCACACTTCACAAGAGGATATACAAATGGCTAATAAACATACAAAAAAGCAGTCATCATTAGGGAAGTACAAATCAAAACCATGACAAAACACTATACACACACTAGAATGGTTAAAATACAAAAAAAAAAAAAAAAACAAAAAAAACTCGTATAACAAAATGTTAAGAAACCATAGGACAAGTTGAACTAGCCTCACATACTGCTGGTAGAAACGTAAACAAATACAACCACCTTGGAAAACTATGTGGAAGTATCTGTTAATGCTAAAGATATACAGGTGGGCATACCTAATCCAAAATCTCAAATGCTCCAAAAATCTGTTAACTTTTTGAGAGCCAACATGACAGTTAAAGAAAATGCTCATTGGAGCATTTCAGATTAGGGATGCTGAACTAACTGATAAGTATAATGCACATATGCCAAAATTTAAAAAAAAAAATCCAAAATACTAGAAATGGAAATGTGTATATGTGTCACAAAAGTCATGCACAAGAATGTTCATAATAGGCCGGCTGCGGTGGCTTCACGCCTGTAATTCCAGCACTTTGGGAGGCCGAGGCGGGTGGATCACCTGAGGTTCAGGAGTTTGAGACCAGCCTGGCCAACATGGTGAAACCTTGTCTCTAGTAAAAATACAAAAATTAGTCAGGCGTGGTGGGCACCTGTAAACCCAGCTACTCAGGAGGCTGAAACAGAAGAATCGCTTGAACCCGGGAGGCGGAGGTTGTAGTGAGCCGAGAGCCTACCATTGTACTCCAGGGTGGGTTACAAGAGTGAAACTCCATCTCAAAAAGAATGTTCATAATAGCATTATTAAAAACAATTTTTTAAAATTAAAGGACAATATAAAGTAGAAATTAGTTGTGGCACATTCAAATAATGACATACCTTAAAGAAATAAAAAAACAAAACTAAAGCTACATGCAACAAAGATAAATAAAACAAGCATTATTATGCAGAAGACGACAAAAACAAGTACATATTCTATGGTTATTTTTACATTAAACTCAGAAACAGAAAAAACATATGTTGACTGACAGAAAAACATTTGAGGAAGATAATGAATGAGAAAACACATAAGGAGTGCTCTGCATTGCTGGTGTGTTTAATTTTGTGAAAATCCCTTGAGCTACAAATTTATATTTGTATATCCTTTAACAAACTTCAATGTTATATTTCAATGAAAAAGACTAAAAAATTCTTCAATTTCAATGGCCTCCACACTCTAACGTACAATCTAACTTCCCTGCATCACTAAACCCTTTTAGGATCTGGCCAGGTCTACTTATCTCTATTAATCTCAATTCCACAGCAGCAAATTTGTACCATTACATAATTTTCTCTATACTTGTGCTATTACTTACGCTTGAAATACCCTTTCTCTGTTTTCCCTGTCATTCACTTTTCAAAACACATCTGATACCTTCTCCTTGATCTTCCTCTATTACCCTACCATTTGCACTGCCTTCCCCAATCCAGTAATTACTAATTCCCTTTTATCTACTACTTCTACCTCATATACATGTAAATACAATTGTATCTCCATTCCTTAAGTGATCTAAAATTTAACATGAGGAAAAAGTATAAACCTGCCCCCACCCCATTTTCACCTTGTTGGTTAATGGTGTCACCAATCACCCAGATGCTTGAATTCCCTTCACATCGAATCCATTAGCAAATCCTGCTAATACAGGCAGATGCTCCTTTGCTTACAATGTGGTTATAGCCTGATAATACCATTGTTAAGTCAAAAAAATCTTAAGTTACACCATGGTAAGTTCGGAACCATCTGTACTTTCTGTACTTTCAAATTCTATCATTCATTCTACACGCACTGTTCTAAGGATTCAAGATACAACAAAGAAAAAAAATCCCTATCCTCACAACTTTTACTCAGCATGGGGGTTAGATGGTATAGCTCAGAAGTAAAATAAGTATACAAAATAAGTAATATAAAGTGATTAAGAGCGATGGAGAAAAAAGGAGAGGGAGAAGAAATGTTGGAGGATATGCAAGTTTTATATCAAGTAGCAAGAGGCAGGAAAATGGCTTACTGGTATGTTTGACCGCATCCCACATTTAATCACTTCTCAACAAACTACTCTCCAATCCCACTGTCTGGTCTTCCACAATAGCATCCTAGCTGGTTTCTCTTCTTCCAATTCCACTCCTGCTGCATCACCATGTATTTACCATTCACCAGTCACAGAATCTTTCTAAAACCCTTCCCTAAAGCAAGTAATAGCTTCTCCTAATACTTAGAATAAAGCCCAAATACCTCATCATGGCTTAAAAGAACCACCATAATTCTGTCTACCTGTCTTACCTGCTACCCTTGCCCAAGCTCCACAGACCTTGTTATTCCTTGAATAGCCAAGTTCTAAAGCCTCTGCTCATGTTACTGCATCCAGAACACTCTTCACCCAGGTTTACATAATCCATCCAGTGCAACATGAAGATTTCTGATTTAGTGTTACTATGTCAAGAAGGGCTTTGCTGATAAGCACTCCTTAGTATGTTTTATTTTCTTCCTATCATCCTGATTTTGTAATATCTAACTACCTATTTGTTGCTCTTCTCCCCATTCTAGAATATCAGCTCCATAAGAAAAGAAATGTTTGCTTTATTTGATACTATGTCTCCAGCCCATAAAATGTCTGGCACATAATAAGTGCTCAGTAAATGTTAAGTGAATTGGAATTACTTATTTTCATTATTCTACTGGACATGATGCTACTCAGAGTCTCTTATCCATGATTGTAGCCCTAGTCCCCAGCATAATGTTCAATATATAATATGCATGCAAATGTTTGTTGAATTGAGTCAGCAAACTGCACTTTCCTCAAAATTAAAATTTTACTTCATAACACATCACAAATCTTGTGATATATACCTTTGAACACCCTCCATTCTTACATGAGGTCCCAATCTTAATTTCATCATTGTCTTCTTCTGTAACAAAGAAAAAAAAATCAAATTAAAAAGTTAAAATAGAACTTCGCTGTGGCATCATTCTTAAAAACTAGGTTTTTCCAGAAAACAATACTTTTTAGAAAACGACTGTGACTAGGATTTGCTTATATCCCCAAATTGATATATGACACATTTCTTCTTCTTTTGAGGACCTGGTGTCTTCAACAATGCAGGACACAATTTTTTCCATAACAAAATGTTATATCCAGTATCTTAACTTTGTAAAATAAATCATGAAAGGGTGTTTTCCTCCCATGGTACCAGGTATAAAGTCAGAGAATAGTGAATATATTTTGTATAATGTACAAGAAAACATTTTAAAATATCAAAGAAATTTAGCTGATTCTTAAAAAAATAATGAACCATAAAAGAAAAAAAATTTAATATAGGTTCTCGTTTTGAATAAAGACATATGGAATTAACCTATTAGGTTCTGAAGTATTTGTAGTTTATCATATCTGACATTTAGAAGAAAAAGTTTCTTAACTACAATGTGCGACTTTTCCCTATTTATATGCAGTAAACTACTATTCTCTCTTTTGGATAACTGCTTAACTGTACCAGAAAATAATTAACAATAAAACAAAATAAAATCTTACCTTTCTTATTTTCTTCATTCCCTGATGACAGTTTAAGTTTATCAAGTGCTTGTTTTAGGGAGGCAGATATTTTTAATTCCAAATTTGTCATTGGTTCATCTGGGCTGGAGAATTTTGAAACCTTATTACCATTATTAATATACCAAAATATTTCTTTGTACTCCAAATTAATAACCTTAAAAGCTTTCTGAGAAGCCAAATGCTTTGTGTATCAAATGATTCCCATTAAAAGGTTAAAAGGTATTTTATAAATAATTGTTACAATGTATCTACATTCTGTCTTAACAGAAAAGCTCCTTATATTAGAATAGTAAGTCTCAAATAATCACGCTATTGTCAGCATATTTAAGTATTAATCAGTTGCACTAACGAGAAAGGAATAAAGACTAGGAATCCAAGGTTTTCAAGATGAGTAATGCTGAGGAAGGGACCATAATGTACTTTTACATCCCATGCCCAAGCTCAATGCTGAGCACATAATAAACATGAAATATAAGTAAGTTCTAAGTGAATCCATACTCACTTCTACCAGTGGAGATAATTTATGTGGACACTGGCATATGGATCTGTAAATTCAGATACGATCGTATTGCAAGGCAATTTCAGTAGGGTTTAAAAAACAACATCTTCTAACATTTCATAATGGCTAAGTGTTGTATACATAATTTAAGTCCACTCAATAAATAAGTATTAAACATATTAATAAACACAGCAATAAAAATAAAAATCGTAGGCTATTCATTCTATATCCTCGATGAAAAAACTGACAAAAGAGGCATTTTAAAAGTACATAGGCAAGGCATGGTCGCTTATGCCCATAATCCCAACACTTTGGGAGGCTGAGGCAAGAGGACTGCTTGAAGCCTGGGCAACAAAGTGGAACCCTGTCTCCGCAAAATAATAAAAAATATTAGTCGGTCACTGATATGGTTTCCCTGTGTCACCAACCAAATCTCATCTTGAATTCTAGCTCCCCTAATCTCCACATGGTGTGTGACAGACCTAGTGGGAGGTAACTGGATCATGGGGATGCCTTTTTCCCATGCTGTTCTCATGATAGTGAATAAGTCTCAGAAGTTCTGATGGTTTTTTTCTTGCCTGCCACCATGTAAAACATTCCTTTATTACTCGCTCTACCTTCTGCCATGATTGTGAGGCCTCCCCAGCCATATGGAACTGTGAGTTCATTAAACCTCTTTTTCTTTATAAATCACTTAGTCTCGGGTGTTTCTTCGTAACTGTGAAAATGGACTAATACAGTCATAGTAGCATACACCTATAGTTCCGGGGAGGGTTAGGGAGGAGGATGGCTTGAGCCCAGGAGTTAAAGGCTGCAGTGAGCTATAATGCCACTGCATTACAGCCTGGGTAAGAGAGGGACTTTTCTTCTTAAAAAAAAGAAAAGTATGTAAAAACTGATATCCTCATAATTGTTATAATACCACCAAATGAATTTAGGATAAAATATTTAGTTTTTCTCATCTCACTGCCTTTGTCCTTTTTTTTCAAAAAGTCAATCTCAAGATCCTCCTGCCTCAGCCTGAGTAGCTGCAACTACATGAGCACACCACCAAACCCAGCTAATTTATTTTTTTTGGAGAGACAGGATCTCTTTCAGATTGGTTCTCAAACTCCTAGGCTCAAAGGATCCTCCCTCCTAGGCTTCTCAAAGTGCTGGATTATGGGCTTGAGCCACAGTGCCTGGCCTCTCACTGCCCTTTAAGTAAAATAACAGCCCATCATTTAAAGAAAAAATTAACTCATACTATTATAGTACAGACTGTATTATATTACTAAAGAGATTAAGAATGAGCCATGACTGAAGTTTTGTCTTTTCCCAATTATTTTTCTAACTGCTAAACTGGCCAAAGCATTCAATGGTCTCCTCTAACTATGAAGATGGAGAGAGAATAAAATCATCCTGAGTAGTTTCCTTAGCAATAATCTGTACTCAGAGTGCTAATGAACAAATAAACATCTAAAGTCTCTTAGGGTTCTTATCTTGGTTCTATATTATTCAATACTCTATAAATTTATTTAAGTAGGATCAAAGGAGAATAAAGGGAAAATCATGAGTTCATAGCATGAATAAAAATTACAATAAGTGCCTACTTGCAGCCAAAAAAAAAAAAAAAAATCACCTTTTTTTAAGTCCTGTAGTTTGCTTCTAAAACAATTTAGTACTCAAGTGTAGCACGAAGAAGACCTGGTTCAACAAAGGTACTCAATATACATGTGTGGGAATACAGAGTCTGGTTATCAGAAGGCAAGTATGAAGAATCTGTACAACTCTATTGCACAATGAGCAAACGCTTTTTTAAGACTACTTTCACAAATATGTCATCTAAATCAAATGCATTAAAAATTGACCAGTAGTAATGAGATTAACGGTAGTTTTCAGGCATCTGAAAGTAAAGATGGATGATTAGGCCTCTGCATTATTTTCTACTTCAAACTCATGCCATGAAAAGGAAAACTGCTTCAAAGAATTTTACCATGCCACAGTGAAAAAGATGCACTCTAAGGCACAAGAAAAATGTGACTTCCCTACCCTGATGATACATGTCCCTGTAATTATGACAGTACAATATGCAAATCTGTTATGTAGTTATATTGTGTACATGCTCTCAAGTTGAAGAGAAATAAAAATTTAAGGCAGATTTAAGGGAGAAACCAAATGGTTCAAAGCTTGGTGGCCTACATAGTAGCTACAAATGGTATCATGCTAAATCATAAAGGAAAGTACCATGCACAAGTGCTACTATTCAAGTGTGACAAAAATATGTAACTGTATAAAGTATACCTTGGTCTTTTTATTGCTTCTACTGGCTTAGGGGCTTGAATGATGTGTTCCTGAAATTTGGGTTTTAATTCACATAGCTCCTTCTTCTCAGTAGTCTTGACTTCAGGTTTGACTGGCTCAGGTGGCTTCTCACTATTATGTCTACCTTTTGTACAGCCCTGTTAGTGAAAGATAATTCATTAAGAGCTATCTATTTTACATTTCATGATAGAAATATTATCTTTTCAGTTCTTTATTGATAGTGATTCTATTTCATGTTTTCTCCAGTTTCAATACATTGATTTTAAGAAATTAAAAACAGAACTCCAAATTTGCCATATTTGCTGAATCTCTGAATGACGGCTTTTTTAAAAAGTCTTTGAATTACACTTCATAAACATCTACTTATTCTATTAAAAATATGGCATAAACCTCTTGTTTACAGAAGAATTCTGGAGAATCTCACAAAGAACTGTAAAAAATAGTTATACAGAAAAATCTGTTACTCGAAAGGCCTCAATTTGAGACCTAGTTCTCAACATACTTATTAGTTATATGACCTTAAGCAAGATAATCTTTTTAAACCTCCATCTCCTCATTTGTAAAATGGAGGTAATGTCAGGTAAGATATTTTCTGAGAGAGTTAAATAATAAAATGCCTGGCACATTTGGCAGGTGATAACATTCAACAAACGTTAGCTACTTTTCTACTACATTCTACTGAATTATACATACTCTTTAACACCTCTGAAATGATACAATCAATAGCATTATCAGTTTGTTAGTAGCTTTAGTTTTCTTAGTGGTATATAAAGTGGTTTTATATAAAAGTGGTATGTAAAATATTTCAACAGCATCTTAGATAAAACTTTATCGTTCCTAACTGAAAAGGCTTTAAATTGTTGCTTACCACTTTCTCCTTGATGTTCTTTCAACATAACAGAAAGAACAAACCTAAAATGATAAGCAGGTAACTGATACCTTAAAACGTTAATTTCCAAAACAGATTCTTTATTTTACAAGCTGTGGAAGGGAGATGAGCTGCTTTTTGAAAGGTGTTATCTGCAAGTTGATGAAGACCAATCAATCTATATCAGAAATCAGACTCCTCAAATCTGAAGCTTTCTATAACATGTATTTTTAGGAAGATAATCTAGAAAAAATAATTAGTACTTACTACAATGCTTAAGAAATCAGAAAAATCAGTTGTTCTTCTCTTACAGCAAGACCAACCCTATGAAAAACAAGAGAAGGAAACTAAAAACTCTATTTGCATGAGAAACACGACCCACTAAAACACTCTACTTGCACTTATCTACTTGAATCCTGCAGTAACTTGCGTATAGAGTGCAAAATTTCAGTGTTGCATATAATTCACCTAATCAAGTAAAATGAATATTAATCTTTGATTTTTAAAAAGCCAATTAACCAATGTTAAAGTGATTTGTGCTATGCCCTATCATCAAGGGAAGCACCTTTATAAAACAAAAACTGTTTCTCTTTTCAACAATCGTGTCTGCTTTTTTTTTAGAAGAAAAACATGTTATAATTCCTAAAACTATCATATTTAAAGAATATTCAAAATAAGTATAGGTATTTTACTTTTAAAATCTATTAAGTTAAAGATAGTAACTATCTTTAGTTAATTTTAATTTCACAATAAGCATTCTATTTTCAGAACAACAAAGATTAATTAACACAGCAGCTAAAGCACTATTAAGCCTTTGAAGGTGATCTTTTCAGTGAGAAGCATAAAGACAGAGAAACTATTAGTATTTGTGATTTTTGAACAAACTATCAAGTAGTTTACCAAAAAATGGCTTTAATAATTATCTCTAAATTCCAATGTTTATAGAGCATAGGGAAACAAAAATGCAAAATCTCAAAACTTGGAACTTCAGATTAAGATTTGGGACTAAATTCAGATTAAGATGCAACTTTGCACACATCCGCCTGGACCTCGCTGATTTTCAAAAGACTGCATAAAAATATGGTAGTGATTTTTCTCATTATATGCACCTGTAGGTTCTTTTTCTTTAAAGGTAATTTCAAATATCCTATAATTCAAATTTTCCTTTAATTTGAAATTTAATTATCTTTTACTCCGAATTGAGATGTAGATCAATTACTACAACCTTAAATATAGGGTTTAAATAGCATCAATAATATAGTCAACAGAAAAGTTATTCTATAAGAGAAAAAGTTTTACTGTCTTAATCATGTACTAAATTATGTCAGATACTGTGATACACACATGTAAAATACAATACAGGCCAGCTGTTCCCAAATGCCAATCTGGATTCTATGCTAGTCTTCAGTACAATGAGAAAAGGAAAGATAAATTTAAGTTATGTGAATATAAGGTTGCTAGTTGTCTTTTTTCAGCAAGATTGTCCTTTTCTCTGAATATGCCCCTTCTAATATTAAAATAGTATTTCTTTTGTCAATGCAATGTTTAACTTCTTACTTGGTCAACTAGTATCCCTGTATTGATGTATACGCATTTTGTCTGAAATCTTCTGGACTGTGAAATCCAATAATCTTGGAAAGTCTAGGACTTTAAGAAATGGTTATAAAATAGAGACCACAATAAACACTACAACTGCAAAAGAGAGAGAAGCAAAAATACTTCAAAGTGAATTCATTAAGACTTGGAGTGATTAACAATGCGGTAAGAGAAAAAACGGGCAATGGACCAAATGATCAGAAAGTCAGTAGTATCATTACTAGGAGCAGTAAAGTTGAGAGGCAGACTACTTTTGGAATAAACGGTACACACTAGAAACTGGTTTGATGTTGCCAATGAGACACATAAATAGAAATATGTTGTAAGAGCCATCGGCGTAGAGGTGACATTTGAGAAAACCAATGAATGAACTGAATGAGAGAAAACAGCCAAAGGTTACCTTTAAGAGCTAAGAGGAAAACAGCATAGGGAAAAAAAGAAAAAGACACAGTAAAACAAAAATATCAGAAGAAATGGCAGTCTAGGAAAAATAAAATTCCACAAAAAGAAAAATAAACATTTCCACAGCACCACAGTTTCCACCACAACAAAGATTTGTAAAAACTAAAAAAATGTATGGAGGAATAAGGTCTCAACTTGCCCTACTGAATGTCTTCTCTGTTTTCCTCACTCAGAACTAACCAGACTAATACATCTTTTGTTAGATTTGGTGGTGTTAACAGTGAAGTGCCAAAACAGTCTAACTACTCTTTGGAAGGTATAATTAGACATTTAAAGGGCACCAACAATATTTAAACATGTTAAGACTGCTTATGTTCCTGAGAACCAAAGAAGTAGAACCTAAAACCATGGCAGCCCTACCACAGCATCATCTTTTGAGATATACAAAGGAAACTCTTTAAATGTATCATACTATCATGAATTTTAAAAAGATGACCAGCAAAAACCTAGTCAAACAACATTCCACCAATTCTCCAGAACATCCAAGAAGTATAGCTGGAAAACTCACAGGTCTGTCCCGAGATTGGCACTAAATGTTTATAAGAATCTTTTCTAAAATTCAGAGCTGTTATTAGCCAGTAGTGACAGACTGAGATTCAATACAACCACTCTATTTTCCCTCAAAATTAGAAAAGTGAAGAAATGGGTGTAGAAAATGAAAATTAAGACCAGGCATGGTAATCCCAGCACTTTGGGAGGCTGAGGCAGGTGGATCATCTGAGGTCAGGAGTTCGAGACCAGCCTGACCAATATGATGAAACCCTGTCTCCACTAAAAATACAAAAATTAGCTGGGCATGGTGGCAGGTGCCTGTAATCCCGGCTCCTCAGGAGGCTGAGGCAGAATCGCTTGAACCCAGGAGGCGGACGTTGCAGTGAGCTGAGATCGCACCACTGCACTCCACCTGGGCAACACAGTGAAACTCCATCTCAAAAAAAAAAAAAAAAACCCAGAATTAAAATACAATTTTATAACTGGAAAAGACCTTAAGATCATCATCTACTGTCTTTTCTTTGTCTTTAGTGGAGTATACGCTTAAAGCACCTCCCCCGCAAAGGTCATTAAGAAGAAAGTCACTAGCTGAGAAAAAAAGATGAGAAAATAAAGATTTAGTATTACATCTCTCAATTTACTACACAGATATGAAAAAAATGAAAATATAGTTCCTACCTTTAATGCATCGTGAAAGACCGGAACACCTGGGTGGTATGTGCAAGCATCTGGAGAAAACAGAGAAAAAAAAAAAAGTACCACTCTTTATAATGAAGAAAAATATATACATGATCATCTCCTTAAGGTGTTAACCTTTAATCCTTTTTCCAAACGCAAGTACCTTAAAAAGGTACAAATGATTGAGTTTGACGTGCAGCACAAAGTGTACTATATTAAAATAGTATTAAAAATTCTAATTCAAGCATATGATGACTAAGGACAAAAATACAGAATTGTTTATGTATAACAATTATATTTTATATTCCCCTAATCTTGGTAGTAAAATTTGTTTAGTACCAAAACTTCAAACCCCCAAATTTTGACCATCATTTTTCAAACCTGCTTTTACAAATGTACTATCAAACTTGAAGTATTCTTATGTGCATTCATCCATAAAGGTTTCACAAGAGATTCCCTTAAAGACATTTTGTAATAACAGGCTCAACATTTTAAATACTGTAAAGATTTTTTGCAGTATCTAATTGGTAATTTAACTTTCCTAGACACAGTCATTCCTAGGTACAAACCTCACTAAAAAGAAGACTAGGGTGCCTCTGCCTGGCCCCTGCCCTGTTTGGGAAGTGAGGAGCTCCTCTGCCCTGCCCCCGCCCAGTCTGGGAACTGAGGAGTGCCTCTGCCTGGCGGCAGCCCTGTCTGGAAAGTGAGGAGCACCTCTGCCTGGCCACTGTGCAACCTTCCAAGTGTGAAGTGACAGCCTTGTGTGTGATCTTTCTGCCTTCCCCAAGTGTGCATTTTCAACATTAAAGTTTACTTTTTAATTAAAAAAAAAAAAAAAAATAGAAGTCTAGGTGGGCCTGGTGGCTCATGCCTGTAATCCCAGCACTTTGGGAGGCTGAGGTAGGCAGATCACCTGAGGTCAGGAGTACGAGACCAGCCTAACCAACATGGTGAAACCCCGTGTCTACTAAAAATACAAAAATTAGCCGGGCGTGGTAGTGCATGCCTGTAGTCTCAGCTACTCAGGATCTTGACAGGAGAATCGCTTGAACTTGGGAAGCAGAGTTTGCAGTGAGTCAAGATCATGCCACCGCACTACAGCCTAGGTGACAGAGCAAGACTCCATCTTAAAAAAAACAAACAAAAAAAACTCTCAAGTTCTACAGCCTATTTTCTAGATTCTCACTGGGTGTTATTCTATACTTCCCTCCCCACTACACCATCAATCTTTACTTCTCTTATGTAAATGGGTTTATTACAATTTGTGTTGGGAACAGGCCCCCAAATCTGGCCATAAACTGGCCCCAAAACTGGCCATCAACAAAATCTCTGCAGCACTGTGACATGCTCGTGACGGCTTTGATGCCCAGGCTAGAAGGTTGTGAGTCTACCTGAATGAGGGCAAGGAACAACTGTCCCACCCAGGGCGGAAAAACACTTAAGGCATTCTTAAACCACAAACAATAGCATGAGCCATATGTGCCTTAAGGACATGTTCATGCTGCAGATAACTAGCCAGAGCCCATCCCTTTATTTCCCGTAAGGAATACTTTTAGTAAATCTCCATTGGAGGCTCTCAGCTCTAAGGCTGTGAGACCCCTGATTTCCCACTCCTTACTATATATTTCTGTGTGTGTGTCTTTAATTCCTCTAGCACCACCGGGTTAGGGTCTCCACGACCAAGCTGCTCTCAGCAATTTGCAAGATGGAGTACTATATTTTTAAAAATCAGGTAACAGTCAGCTTCATCCCTCTGCAATCTGCTTAAAAGACTATCTTTCAACCTTTCAAGTCTATTTAGCTTTCAATGCTCTACAACAACCTTGTCCAACATGCCGCCCCAGACAACTCTGAATGTAGCCCAACACAAATTTCGTAAACTGTCTTAAAACATTATGAATTTTGTTTTTGTTTTCTTTTAAGCTCATCAGCTATCATTAGTGTTAGTGTATTTCATATGTGACCCAATTATTCTTCTTCCAATGTGGCCCAGATAATTCCTCTTCTTCCAATGTCGCACAGGGAAGCCAAAAGATTGAACACCCTTGCTCTATCACCTGATTCCTGGTGTTGCCTCAAAATTTACTACTGGTGCTCACAGAAATCTCCCTACCCCGTTACTAGCCAGTATTGCTTCCTTAGTAACCATGTGCTGCATAGATACTAGCTAATGTAGAAAGTGTTAGGTATCTTCCTGATACAGTAAGTAAATCCGTGGGATCAGAAAGATGTTATTAATTAAGGGTAGTTGTGGAATTAAGGGCTGAAAAAGGAGGTTGGAAGTAGAAATGGGTATGCAGAAGGACATGAAGTTGAGAGGGGAATGGAAGTAGAGAATAGATCCAGTATTTTCAAACACCAAATTTAAAGTAGTCAGAAACATAAACGCAATGTATAACAGAGTCAGAGGCATAAAATGTCACAATAAGTCAATTTTGGCAGCATGGCAGCAGGAATGAGTCAGATCTGAACCATACAACTAACATGAACACAATTAGAAAGCCACTGCTTTCAAAAACAAGAAGTAACAAGCAAATGGACATTCTTCATTCTTTCTTTAATATCCATCCTTTCTTTATCAGTTTTAAGAGTTTTGGCAAAATTAATATTTTATGGGTGAGAAGCTACAAGACAGTAGCAGTGGTTAAGTGTCCAGGGCTTCTAACATTGGGTCTGACCCTGGCTAAATTTCTCACTGAGCTACTCGCTAGTAGTTCCTTCAGTTTTCCTCGTATACGTCGATTAAAAAAAATACCGTTTGTGAAGCTGTGTTTATTCTAGAATAAGTGTTTAACATATGTAAGTTACCAACTGTGTCTCCCTTAAACACCCTTTAACTTCAGTTACAAGTTAAAACGTTCTATCAGCTTAAAAGGGAGTCTAATTTCTGTCTCTAGGGGGAAAAAAAAATCATGAGACTATAAGTCAACGAGCACGGTAATTATGCCACAGCACCGAGAAAAAAAGCATTTAGTGTAGATTAAGAAATATTTAAAGATGACAGATCCAACATCTGGCTTACGCAAAATGGAACTTGCTTGTGTATTTACCTCTTTTAACTTATTTCTGTCAACTGTACAAGGTCAAACCTCTTCCTAAAAAACCTCCTAACCAACCTTTCTATTTAGTTCTTGTCTCCTACTCCGTATCTCCATTTTCTTCTCCTTCCATTCACTCAATCAGTTTACTTGAAAAATGTATTCTAAGTCTCTAAAAAAACCGTCATTTCGCTAAAGTAAATATACTTATTGGAATTTCTCTGCTGTAACTAGTACTGCTGACCACCCAAGTTTTGAGACGGTTTTCCTGGTCGCTTTCTGTTTCCTAGGCACTGCACCAATTCACACATGGATACAGACTTCCAACAAATGACTATCGCCCCTGAACTTTATTGTCTCATAAGCAAAGCGTCAGTCTTTCCCCTGTATTCTATATTAAAGTAGAATATCTGCAGACATAAGTGCAATTAATGTTTTACATAGGCTGCCAACACCAAAGGGCTTTAAAATCGTTTCTCGATTTTGTCATCGACTGAAATCTCACAATTTTCCTCATGAGTAGCATCATATTTGCATCATAAAAATGTCAGTGGCGGTAACTTGAGTATTGCATAGGTTGGATTTTCCTTTTCCTTAAAACTCTGTATCAATGGTCTTATTTTAAATAACGCTATCAATTTACCTGTGTGCCAAAAATAAGTATTTCAAACATCTCAGAGGTGAAGAGTTCAAAAGGCATCAGTTTTCATCTCCTCCACAATAATGAAGGATGTTATTAATACAACCTCATTGAACTGAGCTTCTCTATCAAATGGGTCTAATTAACATTACATGCGTCCCAGGGTGGTTATGAAGATTAAATAAGATAAAGCAATAATGGCTGGCATGCAGAAAATATAAACTAAATGCTAGTTCAATCTGAAAACGTGTTGTCACTTCTCACGATACGCAAGGAATCATCTCACTTCTTTGTCAATCAAAATTTCAATTCACTGATCATTTCCCGTCCTTCACCTAATAGTCATTTTCGCTTTGGATCCTTAACTCGACATCTAGGTGCTGTAGATGACATTCACTCATTTTATACGGGAGTAGGCATGGTAGTAAAACGTGGAGGCCACAAGAAGAACAAGCAACAAATGCCGCTAGTAATAAAAAGATAACTAACGTACCACCAGGATGAACCTATCAAAACAGCGTGAAGATACAGAGTAATGTCCCTTACCAAGAACACTTGTAAGAGGTTTGTAACAGCGGATCGACTGAACACAAACTTCTACAAGGCAGAGCTTACATGCTAGGACAACCCGCTGCTCATCCCGGCCACCTCTCCCTCTCGCGCAGGCAATCACAGCCATCACTACTTCGGGAACTACAAAGCAAGCTCACCAGTACCTCGTTAATTTTTGCTTCCCCAGAGACTGGAGGGCCAGAGGAGAAACGTGTTCGTTCTAAATTCCAGGCGACTTAAAAGGAGTGCGGGGACGACGGGGGAAACACGTGGATCCATGGGAGCGTCTCTCTCCGCAGTGGCAGAGGACAGTCAGGCGCCGGGGCCGGGCGCTCGCCAAGGGAACGCGGCGCAACAGAGGGGCGGCCGGCGGGCTGCGCGGGCAGCCAAGGGAGGCCCAGGAGGGGCATGGACCTGGGGCCGCGCGAGGACGGCTGCAGGAGATCCGCGGACACCCTCCGGCCCAAAGGGCCTCCCCTGCTGATGAGGTGGAGGGGAGGGAGGGCTGGCGGCGCGTTCCTCTTACCGTCGGAATTGGTCTCAGGATCGAAGCGCTGACCGCAGCCCCGGTTGTAGCACAGCAAGGCCATTTTCTTTTCCCACCGTCACAGGCAAGGCCCAAACACCGGGAACGGCAAGAGGATGCGTTTGCCACTCCCGTGTCGCTAGCACCGGTCTGACGACTGAGGCGGCTACCGGCTTCCGGAAACGATCCGTTGCGTTTCAGGAACCTTCGCGAATTTTCCGGTCGCGCAGGCGCAGAGGAGAAGGGACGAGGCGGAGGTAGCGGCGGGAGGCTGGCACTAGCCCGGGCCACGATAGGTCGGACTACAGCTGGTAGCAACTGGGGGTCGGAAGTGGAGCCCAGACAACAGCGGAGGAGAAATTTCCGGGGCAGAAAATGAAGGTGTCCGAGAGACTGACAATTCTCTTCTGACTTCCTCAGTGCTAACTGGCTTTGGGTATCTCCTGCAGCAAAGTGGCCGCCCCGCCCTCTCATCCCCTGCGACCCAGCACCCTTCTTCCTTGCCTTGAGGCTGCGCCTTAGACAGCCCGGTGGGTATCTGTTTACCCCTTAGCACTAAGGGATAAGTGCACAGTAAGTGCAGAATCATACAGTGTTTCCAAATCCTCAGGGTAGACGTGTGAGCTTAGTAAATGAGAGGAATAGCGGACGAACCTCTCCGTGTGTTTGTGTCTCGAGTGCCCTCATCTCAGGAGCAATTTTAATAACTTAACAGTTGCGGTCACATTACTTTGAAAATACAAAAAACGTAGAAATCAGAGTAGCAAAGAAAATTATGGATCTGATGCTGTGCCAGAATTGATCACAGTTGCTCTAAAGCCCTGGGGTAATAGTTAATATTTCATGTGAGCCTCCACTTAAACGATTTATCAATACTCAGTACACCACTCTTGGAACAGCTAGTAAAACTTCAGGTGCATTATAAAAAGTACAGTAATGCATTGGCTTCAACTTGCATATTTCCCAAACATGGGCGTTTGCAAGAAAAGCAAACACTTTTTGATAACATATACTGAAGGATCTTAAAATAAGATCAGCAGCTTATAAGTGAACCTAAAAATCTATACACTGTTTCCATTGATCTCAAGGTTATTTAGAGATCTGCTCACGTCCTCCTACCCCTAAAGACTTTTTAGTTTTTCATATTCTCTTTCTCTTCTTCTACCTAGAAGTATTAAATTTTCATATTGTGATCCACCATAGATAGGTATGTTTTCTTCATTTAACCTAACGTGAGTATTTTTCTATTTTGTTTCATAGTCATTGTTACAAATGACGGAGTATTCTGTTGAATAAATGCACTGTAATTTAACCTTTCTCTAATTTCCCCAACTTTATTATATATAAGTTACAGTGCTCAACCTGTGTATTGTTTTTCTTATTTCGAATTTCCCCCTTTAGGAAAATTTTTGGAAAGCGACAGTTCTGGGGTAAAGGGCATAAGGCTTTTTAAATAACTTTAAGATTTTAAAGATATATAGAGCCAATTGCTTTCCGAAAGGTGGTACCAATTTACAATTGCACCGGCTGTGAATGTAATAGACCGTAGAAATTGATCATACACAATTGGAAATGAGTAAGTGGAGAGCTCTAAAAAGTTTTAGTTGTGACCAAATCTGTTGTCTTGAGTATCCTAGTATCAATGCAACATTACCAGGATTGTTAGTGAACTAAACCTTTTAAATAATTTTAATGTTTATTTCTAGTTTTTCATCTGTAGCATTTTACAATCAGAATATAATTGCTTATGGTAGATAATTTGGAAAACGCAGAAGTATACTAAGAACAAAGTCAACAATAATTCCACCACCCAGCAATAAGTACTGAATGGCTAAAATAACTCTTTGGTAAATTTATTTTCAGTGTTTCCTGACACCCCAAGCATTTATAGATATATATGTTTAAAAAGAGTCGTGTTATATATAGGAGTTTATGTTCCTCCCTTGGGTATTTTGAGAAACTATAAAATTAAATCATTCTTATGATTAAGAAAAACAGTGTTACAGCAACAGCCTGTTTCAATCCCACCTCCACTTACATTTCCATTCCAACACTTCAGTGCTGACTAACACCCACTGTTTGAAAAACTTTCTAGAATTTACATGTATATTTTATATACACTTTGAATATATCTTCCCTTCCTTCTTTACCCCCATACATATCAAAATATGCTTTAACTTTGACTATCTTGTTATTAACAAAAGACTTAAATAAATATGTTAACTTAAAACAATTGTCAATTATTCTTGGTGCAAAATGAATGTTTATCATACTACTCTCTTTTTCTGCATTTAAAAATATTTCTTAAAACAATTCAGTTAAGTTTAATTAAGCTCCATTATCTTGGGCTGGGTGCTGTGGCTTACGGCTGTAATCCCAGTACTTTAGGAGGCCAAAGTAGGTGAATCACCTGAGGTCAGAAGTTTGAGACCAGCTTGACCAACATGACGAAACCCTGTCTCTACTAAAAATACAAAAAAATTAGCTGCGTATGGTGGCGCATGCCCGTAACCCCAGCTACTCGGGAGGCTGAGGCAGGAGAATCACTTGAACCGGGGAGGCAGAGGTTGCAATGAGCTGAGATCATGCCATTGCATTCCAGCCTGGGTAACAAGAGCGAAACTCTATCTCAAAAAAAAATTAATTAATAATATAAATAAATAATAATTAAGTTCCATTATCTTAAAAACGATTATAGATATGTATGTATCCATGTACGTGTATAAAATAATATTTGAAAAGACCATTAATCTCTTATAATAACGGATATGTATAAAGACAAGGATGAGTTTAAAGGAGTAAAGTTAATATTTTACTTTATACTCTTAGATATGTTTTGAAAATGTAAATACATACTCATTTTTGATATAGTTAACATTATGAAGAGGACAAAAAACCAACTTAACAATGACTATTTTTATTTGTTCTACTTTATTCGAAAGATGAAAATTTCATCCATTATGATTGTGTGTTGAGCAGTTTGTGGTTTCTGTATTTTGAACATATATTATTCATCCTATAAAGGTGCATGTCTTTCGTATTTACATAGTTTATGTTTTTAATATAAAATGACCTTCTTTGTATCATTTTGTATTTTTGTCTTGAAACCTACTTTGATATTAATGCTTCAACTTTTGCTATGTTTCTCTTTGTTTTTGCCTAATAAACCTCACCCTATCCATTTATATTTAACCTGTGTCATCTTGTTTTGGGCATATCTGCTGTAAGCAGCAGATAGATTGCATCTTGTTTTTCTTTTTTTAACTCAAATCCGAGAATCTTTTTATTTTGCAGAGAAGCTTAACCTTTTTATTTCTGATTAATGCTTGAAAGTTCAGGTGCCAAAGTGGCCCAGAACTTATTAATGGTTTTATAAGTCAATTAACGTCAATAAGCCTGAGTTTTCTTATCTGTAAAACATTGATAACAGAGTGCTGTGAAGATTAAGTTAAACAATGCATGTAAAACATATAGTCTAGTGTAAGCACTGAATGATAATTTCACAAAAGTTTAGCAATGAAAATGGTCAACTTAGATGTTTAGTCCTATTTGGTTATTTCACTTTTGTTTTCCCTTTTATATGCAGTTGTGTCTGCTTCCTTGCTTTTATTTTATTCTATTTTCTAAATAAAGTATGTGCTTGCTTTTTTATTTTGTCCACGATTTAAAAAAAAAATATATATATAGGTTTTAATTTATTTCAGCATGTATTAAGTAGTTAATGTGTGTTGGTACATTAGATGCAGGATACAGTGGTGAACTGAAGTGACATTTTACCTGTCTTCGTTGTATTTGAATTTTATAAGAAAGACGGATGTGAATCAAATATTCCCAATTATGAATTCAATCACTGATAATTGCCATAAATGCTATGAATGGGAAGTACGTTATGCTAAGTTAGTGGAGATGGGAATTTGCCTAATCTTGAGTTGGAGTGCAGGCATAGGTGTTAGTCTAAACAGAAGTCCTGCAATGGAAGGTAGTATAACATTAAAGAAAGCACAGAATCATCGAGGTAAACCAATGCTCAGAAATAAGGGATACCAGATGTATTAGGACATTCTTGCATTGCTATGAAGAAATACCCAAGACTGGATAATTTATAAGAAAAGAGGGTTTAATTGGCTCACATTTCTGCAGGCTATACAGGAAGGGCTCAGGAAGCTTTAACTCATGGCAGAAGGCAAAATGAGAGCTTGTACTTCACATGGTAAATGCAGGAGCAAGTGGTGGGGGAGGTGCCACACACTTTTAAATGATCAGATCTCATGTGAACTCAACTGGAGAACTCACTCATCACCCAGGGGATGGCCCAAGCCATTCATGAGAGATGCGCCCCCATGACCCAAATACCTCCCACCAGGCCCCATCTCCAAGATTGGGGATTACATTTCAACATGAGATTTGGGCAGGGAAAACTATCCAAACTATATAATTCTTCTCCTGGCCCCTCCCAAATCTCATGTCCTCACATTGCAAAATAGAATCATACTTTCTCAGCAATCCCCTAAAATCTTGACCTTTGCCAGATTTAACTCAAAAGTCCAAAGTTTCATCTGAGACAAGACAAATCCCTTCCACCTATGAGCCTGTAAAATAAACAAGTTAGTTACTTCCAAGATACAATAGGTATGTATAGGCATTGGGTAAACATTCCCATTCCAAAAGGGAGAAATTGGCTAAAAGAAAGGGGCTATAGGCTCCATGCAAGGCAAAACCCAAGCAGGCCGTCATTAAATCTTAAAGCTCCAATGTAATCCCCTTTGACTCTATGTTCCACATCCAGGGCACACTGGTGCAAGGAGAGGGCTCCCAAGGCCTTGGGCAGCCCTACCCCTATACCTTTGCAGAGTACAACTCCCCCAACTGCTCTCATGGGCTGGGATTGAGTGCCTGTGGATTTTCCAGGTACAGAGTACAAGCTGCTAATAGATCTACCATTCTCAGGTCTGAAGGATGGTGGCCCTCTTCTCACAGTTCTACTAGCCAGTGCTCATTAGAGACTTTGTGTGGAGGCTCCAGCCCCATATTTTCCCCTCCACATTGCCCTAGTAGAAGTTGTCTGTGAGGGTTCTGCCCCTGCAGCAGGCTTCTGCCTATACATCCAGGCTTTTTCATGCATCCTCTGAAACCCTCACAGAAGCTTCCAAACCTCAGCTCTGGCACTCTGTACATCCACAGGCTTAACATCTCATGTAAGCCATGTAAGCTTATGGCTTGCATCCTTCAAAGTGGCAGCCCGAGCTGTACCTGGACCCTGTTGAGCCATAGCTGGAACTGGAGTGGCTGGGATGTGGGGAGAGTAGTTTGCCAAGGGCTCGGCCCATGAAACCATTCTTCCCTCCTAAGGCCTCTGATGGGAGGGGCTGCCATGAAGTTCGCTGAAATGACTTCAAGTTGTTTTCCCCATTGTCTTGAATAGTAGCACTTGGCTCCCTTTTAGTTATGCCAATGTATCTAGCAGGTGGTTGCTCCACAGCCTGCTTGAATTCCTCTCTACAAAAAAGCTTTTTCTTTCTCTGCCATATGGCTAGGCTGCAAAATTTCCAAACTTTTATGCTCTGTTTCCTGTTTAAATATAAATTTCTACTTTAAGCCATTTCCTTGCTTCTGTATCTAAGCAAAGGTTGTTAGAAACAGCCAGGCCACATCTTGGGCACTTTGCTGCTTAGAAATTTCTTCTGTTAAATACCCTAGGTTATCACTCTCAAGTTCAGATTTCCTCAGATACCCAGGGCATGAACAGAATGCAGCCAAACTCTTTCCTATGGCATAACATGTGTGACCTTTGCTCCAGTTCCCAATAAGTTCCTCGTTTTCATCTCAGATCTAGTCAGCCTGGATTTCATTTTCCATATCACTATCAGCATTTTGGTCACAATCATTTAAGCAGTCTCTAAGAAGTTGCACACTTACTCTCATCTTCCTGTCTTCTCTAGAAAGACATACTCCACGTGATCCTAACCTCTGGCCATTATCCAATTTCCAAGCTGTTTCTACATTTTCAGGTATCTTTATAGTAATACTCCACTCTGAGTACTAATTTTCTGTATTAGGTCATTTTTGCATTACTATAAAGAAATGCCTGAGACTAGGTAATTTATAAGAAAAGATTTAATTTGCTTATGGTTCTGCAAGCTTTACAGGAAGCGTAATTTCTGGTGAGGCTTCAGGAAGTTTTACTCATGGTAGAAGGCAAAGCAGGAGCTTGCACTTCACATGGCAAAAGCAGGGAAAGAGAGAGAGAGTTGGGGAGGGGAGGTTCCACAGACTTTTAAATGACCACCAGATCTCAGAGCAAGAGCTCACCTATCACCAAGGGAATGGCCCAAGCCATTCATGAAGGATGGACTCCCATAATCCAAACACCTCCCACCAGGCCTCACCTTCAAGACTGGGGATTATATTTCAACATGAGATTTGGATGGGGGCGAATATCTAAACTATAACACCATCTGAGGCTGGAAAGGTAGACAGAGGCCCAACAACACAGGCAGCCTGAGAGGCAGCTGTAAGGATGATTAAAAGGCTTTTATCCTTAGGGCAAAGAGGAATAATTGAAAGGAGTTTTCCATTAATGTGATTTTTCCAGAAATCTCAAAATTAACTGAAGGCATGCAATAATCCAAAGAGCCCTTATTCAACAAAAGTGCTAAATATTGGTAAGAACAACAAATTGTGTGACATTTTAATTTCCCTATTTCCATTCTCTTCTTTATACCTAAATGGTAGGTATAAAATCCAGCAGCCTCTCAACAATAGGTATGTAAAGTGGAATTCTAGAAGCTACAAGAGGAGGCAGAATGGCATTGTCTAAGCATTGACCCATCTGACAGCTCCTTGGAAAAGCTCAATTTTTAAGGCTTGTGATCGTTTTGACTTACTGAAAGCTTGTTGATTGGGAAAAATCTTGTTTCTAGGACATTTGCTGAAAACAATCAAAAGTGATTGTTTAACATGGCAGCTGCCTGAGGAGACTATACGAGTTGAGGCCAATAAGAAGCTGGCCAATAAAAATGTAAATGGAAGAGTTTATGAGTGAGATAACACCAGAATCTTTGAACAACACTGACATATTCCTAAGGAATGTGAAGAAAGCCACATCCATGAGTAGGGCTGTGTCCATGTAAAAGAATGATCTGAGAAAGTTCCATCCTCTCATCTCTACTTGAACTTTAGGTCCTTTGAAGCAGGAAGGGAAGACTAATGCAGAATTGTAAACTATCAAAACATTGAGAGCCTGTCAATACATACAAAGAGCCTCTCAACAAATAATATACAGCTTATTCACTCAGGGTATATAAGGAAATCTCTGTCCAATCACGAGCTTAACTACAAAGCTAACTGTACAGAGGACTCAGTGGCCACAAATAACAGGGAATAAAGAGTTTACAGAATTAGTCCAGGAGATAAATAATAACAACAACAACAACAACAATAAATGGCAATCAAAAGAAAGGCTGGGAGGAGATAATCTGATTTCTAGAGTTGTCACATTATATTATATAAAATATCCAGTTTTCAATAAAAAATTATGTCTTGTAAATAAGAAGAATGGCTCATATACAGGAAGAAAAAAAAGCATGCAATATAAACTGTCCCTGAGGTAGATATTGGACGTAATAGGTAAAGACTTTAAATCAATTATTATAAATATGTTCAAAGAAATAGAAGAAACTAATTCTAAAAAACAAAGAGACTGATGTCTCAGCAAATATTACTAATGAAGAAATAAAAAGTAAAAATTCTCAAATTGAAAAGTATAATAACTAAAAATTTACTATAAGGATTCAATAGAAGATTAGTCCTGGTAGAAAAAGAGAATTTGAATATAGGTCAGTTTACATCATCTAGTCTAAGGAACAGGAAAAAAACTGAATAAATAAAGATACATAAAGTCTCAGAGACTAATTGAACAGTATCATGCTTACCAGCATACACATATTAGAGTCACAGAAGAAGAGAATATGGGAAAAGGGGAAGAAACAGTACTTGAAGGTATAATAACTAAAAACTTCTCAAATGTAGTTAAAACATTAATGTACACATCTGAAAAATTTAGGAACCCCCAGTAAGACAAACTCAAAGAGATGAACATATACAAAATAATAAAATTGTCAAAAGCCAAAAATACTGAGAGAATTTTGAAAGCAGTAAGAGAAAAATGGGTCTCCACATATAAGGGATTCTCTGTAAGATTAACACATGATTTCATTTCCAAAACACTGTAGTCCAAACAGAAATAGGATGACACAGTCAAAGTCATAAAAGAATAAGATCATCAACTAGTCTATTTTGCAAAATTATACTTCCAAAACTAAGTATAATATTTATAGATTTCAAGTATTAGTATGTGGGCATCTTGTGAGGGTGAGGCATTATTTAGCCTACCACAATACCAGTATCATAAGGTTCTCCAAAGCAACTGAAAATGGTTTCCATCAGTTTGGTCTTATCCATATCTGTCCTTGACTTAAACTACTTCTGAGTGATATAAATATTTAAAGCCTTTTCCAATATCTGATTTATTTATTTCCTGGTGAATTAATACCCTCTAAACTCCCCAGTTGTAAAATGAAGAATTTAGGAGGTTGTGTTCTCTAGATAGTGAAATGATTAAAAATATTATGAACTTCTGAGTTGAAAACAGATTAGACTCTCCAACACTTAATAAGGATGTGGTTTTAGGAAAGGTATTTTACTTTCGATGTCTTATTTGTAAAATGAATTCAATATTGTCTACTTCTTTAGTTTTATTGGTCCATAGATAAAGAAAATTGTGCTACCAGGTAGATCATATCCAGAATCTCACCCACACCTAATTTAGATTATTTAGATGATGAGATTTGGATGAGATCTGAGGATTTGAATTGATGCTATAATGGGTTCAGAAATTTTGAGGACCTTGAGATGGAGCAAACATTTGGAGTAACATTAATCTGGCAGCCAGAGGGCCAGATGTGATGTGTAGAATAAGGTTTACCCAAGAATTTGTATACCTTAATTCCTAGAACTCTGAATATTATGTTACATGGCAAAGGGGATGTAAGGTTGCAGATAGAATTAAGATTGCTAATTAGTAGACATTAAAATAGAGATTTTCCTGGACATCCAAATGGGCTCAATGTAATCTCAAGCTTCCTAAAAAGTAGGAGAGGCTATACAAGAAGAGGTTAGGGTGATGTGATGTGAGAAGGACTCGACTCACTGTTGCTCACTTTGAATATGGAGAAAGCAGTTTACAAGCCAATAATGGTGGGTAGCCTCTAGAAGCTAGAAAGGGAAGGAAACACACTTTCCTCTCTAACTTCCAAAAAGGAACATAGTCCTTTTGACACATTTGTTTTAGCCTAGTGAGACCTGTGTTGGACTTCTGACATACAGAGTTGTAAAATAATACATTTGTCTGTTTTCAAGCCACTATAATTTAGGTAATTTAGTACAGGAGCAAGAGAAAATTAATACCTGTTTGAGTTTCCATGAGGATTAAATTTAATTAATGCATATAATACTGGTTTCCCAGTTACAGGTTAATTAATAGAAATTCATGTTATATTTCTCCTGATAGCTCTTTCCTCTTTTTAGATTTTATTAATGAGGAGAATTGAAATCACATTATTAATATTAAACTAATAGCTTTCATGTTATATATCCCCTTTGGAAATAATTTTTGTAATTTATATTCAGTTTTGTGACCATATCTGCAATATTTCTACTTAGTCATATGTTTAATTTGCTTTAATAACCGCTGTCAACATACCATAATTTACTCATATCAGTTTCTTAACTTTAGAGTGATGTTGTTTCTGAATTCTTTTAGTTCTAAGGTGTCTCTTTTGAATGACAACTTACCTGGACATCAAATTTTGGGTCAAAATCACTTTCTGTCAAAATTCTTCTTTAGGTATAACTGCTATTTTCGGATGTTTGGTATTGCAAAAGAGAAGCTGGAAGCCAGAGTAAATTTTGTTTATAGGTTATCAGTGTTTCCTCTTTGGATACTTGTGGACTTTTTCAAAACTGTCATGTCATATATGTTGCTAGCTTCTGCATTCAGTACTTTTGCAGACTAGGTACCCTGATCAACTGTCCCATGGAAAACAATTTAAAACATGGGATACAATTCTTTAAAACTTTTTATACATTCACCAATGCAAGAACATCAGAAATACTCAGGGGACAAAAACTATGAGAAAGAGCAATCTTTAGCTCCAAAGCTGAAACATTGAGGATGGCTGTCATCTTGAAATGATCTTGTGCTCAAGTTGTCACCAAGAGCAAGAGAAAAGAGAAACATTCCTGGATCTGTCTGAGGTGGAACTGTTGAGAAAATTTGCCCTCCCTTCCTTTATTAAGCTGGGAAAGCAAAGGGCTATATCCCTGCTATAAAAATGAAATATAAACCTACATTGCTCTTTCTCTTTCTTTTCCTTCATCCTCTATAGAAGACTACCAGGAGCATTGCTTGCTTCACATCTCAGGTATAAGTAAAGAAGGAAAAAAGCCAACCTTTACTCAGGTTGGTAGTCAAGATTCACACTCTAGAGATTGTTAAGAATATTTTTAAAACTCTAAAGTAAAAATTTAGTGTGAAGTGCTCTTTTTAAATTGCCTGATAAAAGCAATATACATTCTCTCTACATGCACCTACTTCAAGCTAGGCCTCAAAAGATACCAATAGATAAAGTTGCAGGAAATGTGAGCTCTCAATGAAAAAAAAAAAAAGTATAAAATACCATGAATGAAAGCTAACAAAACAATAGTGGAATTAAACTGCTAAAGGGTTGAAATTTATCAAATACAATAGATTTAAAGAAATAAAAAGGACTGACAACGTAAGTAAGAACAACAAACTTCAAAAATGAAAAAGAAAAAGAATCAGAAACAGCCAGAAATAAAAATATATATAGTTAAAAGTTTATGAATAAGCTTAATAGCTGATAGACCCACCCAAAAGAAGGATTTTTGAACTGGAATATAGAACTGAAAAAAATACATAGAATGCAAAAGAGAGAGAAAAAGAAATTGAAAATACAGAAAAAAGGTAAATACAAGAGGAGATTAAGAAAGTCAGATATTTGTGTAATCAGAGAAGGAACAGGGCAGAGTAAAATAGAGATAGTATGTAAGAAGATAATTGGTAAGAATTTTCCAGAAATGATAGATGAGTAAGTACAGAGTCAGGAATCTCAATGAATCTCAAGCAGAAAGAAAAAAATTACAATATTTTTAAAATTGTAAAGTAGCGAAAGCAAAAGAGACCTTGCAGAAGCTGTAGAGAAAAGACAGAGTATGTAGCAATTGACAATGGAAGCCTGAAAAGAGCAGCATTATACTATCAGTAGCCAAGATAAAAATGTTTTACCGTCTCATTAAACGTTATATACTCAATAATATAATATTCAAAATGAGCCAAAAATGTGTATAAATATATAACACAGATAGAAATACAATAATAATGGGTTATATTAGAACACCCCTTAGCCTTTGACAGATTAAGTAGAATGATCCACTCCAAAAAAAAGAAGCAAGATAGGATCATAGAGAATTTTATTTTGTATTAAAATATAGTAGGTAGTGGCAAGCTATTTTTTCTTCTATTTCAACAACTATAAAAAGAAATACATCATAAGATTATATTTTTAAAGACATTGCATAGGTGTAGAAGCAAAGAAGCTTATATATCAACTAAAATTTTAAAGACAAGAATTCTTCCTAGTTGAATTGTTAATCAGTCTTTCCTCTTTGAGGTCACTGGATTAAGACTGAGCTTGCCATAGATAGAAAAGCTCTACTAAGTTTAGCTAAATGAATAAACAAACAAAGTGAGCTTTCTAAAAACTGCTGCACGGGCTGGCATGACAAACTGAAATCCAGAGAAACCAAAGACATTGTTGACTAAAGAAAGAAAAATAAAGCTTTTAAAGAATTAAAGTTAGTTTTATTCACAAGCCTTACTGAGGACTGTAGATGATTATAGCCTGAAAGGAGTCTTTTGGGGAGATTCTATCAGCCTGCTCCAAAACAGTGTTTCAGTTCATTACTTATATACAGGTTGTGAAAGTTCAGTATGTATGAAATTCATTTTAAAACTTTTTTCTCCTTTCTCTCTACTGTTAAGATGTAACCCTGAAATAGACTGTAGAAACATTTTTTTCTTAGTCTTAAAATATAGCCTTGAAATGTACTTTGAAACTCTCCTCTCTTTCCCACCAGACACTCCCTTAAAATACGCACGCTTATCTAACTGTATGCTTGTTTAAAAATTCCAGGGACTTATTTTACAACAAGCCAAGCATGGAAGCCCAGTTGTGGGATTCTCTTCCACTTGGAAATTACCTCAAGATGGGTTATCTGCAACCTGGCTACAACTGACATAGTACCAGCTGGAACTCCAGGTGGACAATAATTCAAGATAGCATTTGCAGCAAGACATGCAGACCTGCATCCTGTACTACTTCTGTGTATTTTTCATGCCAAGCCTCTACTTTTAAATCCCTCCCCTCAGCCGAAGACCTAAAATGGTCTTTTAAAGATATGAGTCTGGCCATTTCCCAGTTGGTAGCATTTGATATATAAAACTGCCTTCCTCTCACCACACCTCACTTCTTGAGTTTTCGGCCTCTGAGCAGCAAGCAGCCGCACTTCAGCCAGCTACAAGTATATGCTCAGAAGTTACATTAAAGCAAAATCATATCACCGTTTAGGTGCAAGAGTATATCTGGTTGTGGATTACAGAGGCATAATCACTAACCGTGTCAGAAGTTGTCTTATGTGTAGGAAAAGGCAAGGACTAGGGTCATTTATCTTTTAAGGAATGTAGTGACTCAGGCAAGAGATGTGGTGTCCATGTGCTGTATCCTTGTTTTATCTTCAAATCATCCTTCTGGAGAGCTGCATATCATTACAAAGTCAGGGCTTTGTGAAATTTTGCTGGCAAGCAGAAATGAACAAACACGGCTTCTTACATTTGCAACTTTGTCTCACAACACACATTGAATTTTCTCTAAGGGACATTTTTTAAGTGAAAGGGTGGCACAAGAATATGGGAGCTACACCGGAAAGGTAGAGTGAAGATCTCCCTCAGTCTCACAGTGCTTGCAATTCAAAGTCCTGCTAGAAGAAGGATCAAGAAAAAATTTATTGTGTAAATTATATACTTGGCTTTTGTCTCTGTTTCCTGGCATATAATTCTTAAAATCTTTGGAATCTCCAAAGTGATGTTGTTTTGTATACTAACAAGTTTACTGATGGCTAGTAGCCCCTAGGTAGCTTCAGGATGAAGGCTGGTCATAGAAGAAAACAAGACATGATTAAGAGGATTGGGACTTTCAGCCCCATCTCCAACTTCCAGATAGGATAGAGGGGTTGAAGGTTAAGTCAATCATGAAAAGCCAATAGCTTCATCAATCATGCCTATGTAATGAAGTTTCCATAAAACCCCAAAAGAACTGGGTTTGGAGAGCTTCCAGATAACTGAATACGTGGAGGATCCTAGAGAGTGACACACTCGTCGAAGCTCCTCCCCTTCTCCCATACCTCACCCTGTGCATCTCTTCATCTGTTTTCTTTGCCCAATAAACTGGTAAAGGTAACAAGTGTTTCTCTGAGTTCTGTGGGCCATGCTAGAAAATTAATCAAACCCAAAAAGGGTGCTGTAGGAAGCTAAATTTGAAGCAGGTCTCTGTGGGATCTGATGCTGCTGACAGACAATGTTAGAATTGAATTGGAGGGCACTCAGGTGGTGTCTGCTATAGAGCTGATGGCTTGCTTGGTGGTTGCGAGAAACCCCCATATTTGGTCACTGAAATCTTATGTGTTGATTGTTGCAGTATGAGAGTAGACGAAAAACAGTTTTTGTTTTTAAAGTTTTAAGCTACGTCTAAACTCACATAGCTTTCAGTAGAACAATGGAAGCCACAAAACAATAGAATGACATCTTTAAAGTGATCAAATGAAAAAAAACATCAAAAATGAAAGTTTGGGTTTGGATTTGGGAAATATGGTAACATCCGTGGAAGTATAGATTTTGGATCTTTCCAAATCACTGCATGGGAACAGGGTAGTTACCAAAACCAAAGCCTATGGATGATATTTACAAAAGCAAAACAAAAGCGCTAATGTAACACAACTGATGGGTTTAGTTCACTGTAAAAGTGGCTGAGTGCAAGGGACCCATAGTAAGGCCTCAGGGAGCTGAAACTGGTTATTTCCTATTAACTTTCAAACTGAACCAACAGGCATTCCTCCCAGGGCAGGGCTCAGATCTAACGAGGAACTGCTTGGAGTGGAATCACAATAAGGATGACAGAGCAAAAAGAAGATGGGCCGGATAAAAGCGCTAGAGAGAGAACTGGAGAATCTCAGAAAACAAACTCAATTTTTTTTAACAACACACACAAAAAAAATGGATGAAGGGAAACTATTAAGTTATTAAAAAAAAAAAGCTATCTAAATCAGAATCTCTTCACATAGCCCAGAAAGAATAATTTCACATGAAAATGAGAGATACAAGATATTAAGATCAAATCTCATATGAATCTACCATGAGAAAAAAGTGTGAATAAGAAGTAGAATAATAATCCTACAGAATAACTGGAAAGGCATATTCAAGAAATAAACACAACTTTAATAGAATGTTTTAAAATGGGCTGAAAAACTTTAAGAAAATGATTCAAGACACAAAAGAACAGCACAAATCAGAATTAGAGTAACAGAAATTACATAACAGAACTTAAGAATCAGAGGCTGGGCGTGGTGGCTCACGCCTGTAATCCCAGCACTTTGGGAGGCCAAGGTGGGCGGATCACGAGGTCAGGAGATCGAGACCATACTGGCCAACACGGTGAAACCCCGTCTGTACTAAAATTGCAAAAAAAATTAGCCGGGCGTGGTGGTGGGCACCTGTAGTCCCAGCCACTCGGGCGGCTGACGCAGGAGGATGACGTGAACCCTGGAGGTGGAGCTTGCAGTGAGCTAAGATCGTGCCACCGCACTCCAGCCTGGGCGACAGAGCCAGACTCCGTCAAAAAAAAAAAAAAAAAAAAAATCAGAAACAAGATTTTAAAAAGACTTAACTCATATACAGCTTTTTTTGTGGAACATAAATTTTCATTTCTCTTGAATATAAATGAAATTGTATAATTGCTGGGTCATATCATAAGTTAGTTATATGGTAAGTTGGTATGGTGAATTACATGTTTAATTAAGAAAGTACTATACTGTTTTCCATAATACTGGACCATTTATATTCCCATCAGCAATATGTTGGAACTTTATTTTCTCCAAATCCTTGCCAGCATTTTATATCCTTAAAAATTTTAGCCTTTCTGATAGACATGAAGTAATAATAAATTTTGAATCAGGTGTTAGCCCTTAAAAATCATTCTTCTTTATCAAGTTGTTTTGCCTATTCTAGGTTCACTTGCCTTTTCATGTGGATTTTAGAATCTCCTCGTAGAACTGCTTGCTTGCTTGGTGGTTGGGAGAAATCCCCATATTTGGTCACCGAAATCTTATGTGTTGATTGTTCACAAAAAGCCTGCTGAGATTTGACTGCCGTTGTGTTGAATCTTGAATCAGTTTGGGAAGAATTGACATAACGATATTAAGACTTCCCACCTATAACATGGTGTATCTCTAAACTTACTTCAGTGGTCTTCAATTACTCTTAGCATTTTAAAGTTTTCAGTTTATAAGTTTTGCGTATCTTTTGTAAGCTTTATTCTTGAATATTCCAAAACTTTGAATGTGATTATAAAGATATAATTTTTTTAAATTAAAAAATAATTTAGAGACAAGGTCTTGCTGTGTTGCCCAGGCTGTACTTAAATAGCCTCCTGAACAGCTAGGACTTCAGGAAATTTCTGTTTCCAATTGTTTGTTGCTTGTATATAGCAATACAATTGATTTTTGTATTTTTATCCTGAAACCTAAACTCACTCATTAGGGCAGTTACTTTTTATAGACTCCATTGGATTTTTTGAATAGATAATCATGTCATCTGAGAATAGAGACAGTTTAACTTCTTTCTTTCCAATATAGTCTTTTATTTCTTTTCTTGCTATATTTCATTGACTGGAATCTCCACCTATATGTTGAATAGAAGTGGTCTGCTATGCTTGCTTTGTTACTGATCTTAGGAAAAGCACTCAGTCTTTTACCATTAAATATCATGTTTACTGTAGGTTTTTCAGGAGTTACTCCTTAATAAGTTGAAGAATTTTTCTCTAGTTCTAGTTTGCTGAGAGACTTTATCATGAAACAGGATTGAATTTTGTTAAATGCTTTTTTCTGCATATATTGAAATGATCATATGAATTTGCTTTTCTAAGTTGTTAGTATGGTGAATTATATTGATTAAATTTTGAATGTTGTGCCTACCTTACATTCCTAGGATAAACTCCACATGATCATGATATATTGCCTTTTCCACTTATAGTTGAATTAGATTTGTAACATGTTCTGAAGAATTATAGAATTTATGGCCATGAGGGATATTGATCTGTAATTTTTTTTTCTTATTAGTGTCTTTTTTTTTGTTTTCCTAACAGGGTAATAGTGGACATATAGAATGAGTTGGAAAGTATTCCCTCATCTTTAATTTTAAAAGACGTTGTGAAAAAAATATATATTTTTCTGAAAAGTTTTGTTTTCATTCCACAGTGAAGCCCTCTGGGCCTGAATTTTTCTTTGAGGGCATTTTTTCCCACCTTTATTGAGGTATAATTGACAAATAAAAATTGTATATATTTAAAATGTACAACATAATGTTTTAATATACATTTAAAATGTAAATATTTACCACCATCGACTTAATATATCTATAACCTTACATAGTTACCATTTTTTGTGATAACAATTTATACTTTTCTTAGCAAATTTCAAGTACACAATATTATTAACTATAGCCACCATCCTGTACATTACATCCCAAGAATTTATAAATCTTACATATATGAAACTTTACACTGCTTGATCAACATTTTGCCATTTCTCTTACCCCAGTCCATTCTACTTACTGCTTCTGAGTTCAACTATTTACGATTCCACATGTGAGTTAATGCAGTATTTGTCTTTTTGTGTTTCATTTATTTTCCTGTATGGATTTTTTTTTTTTAATTATACTTTAAGTTTTACGGTACATGTGCACAACGTGCAGGTTTGTTAAAGATGTATACATGTGCCATGTTGTTGTTGGCGGAATAGGAACAGCTCCAGTCTACAGCTCCCAGCGTGAGCGACGCAGAAGACGGGTGATTTCTGCATTTCCAACTGAGGTACCGGGTTCACTGGGGAGTGTAGGACAGAGGGTGCAGGACAGTGGGTGCAGTGCACCAAGCGTGAGCCAAAGCAGGACGAGGCATCGCCTCACCTGGGAAGCACAGGGGGTCAGGGAATCCCCTTTCATAGTCAGAGAAAGGTGACAGACGGCACCTGGAAAATCTGGTCACTCACACTCTAATACTGAGCTTTTCCAATGGTCTTAGCAAACAGCACACCAGGAGATCATATCCTGTGCCTTGCTCAGATGCTCCTACGCCCACGGAGCCTCGCACATTGCTAGCACAGCAGTCTGAGATCAAACTGCAAGGCGGCAGCGAGGCTGGGGGAGGGGCACCCGCCATTGCCCAGGCTTGAGTAGGTAAACAAAGTGGCTGGGAAGCTCGAACTGGGTGGAGCCCACCGCAGCTCAAGGAGGCCTGCCTGCCTCTGTAGACTCCACCTCTGGGGGCAGGGCATAGCCAAACAAAAGGCAGCAGAAAACTGCAGACTTAAATGTCCCTGTCTGACAGCTTTGAAGAGAGTAGTGGTTCTCCTAGCACGCAGCTGGAGATCTGAGAACGGACAGACTGCCTCCTCAAGTGGGTCCCTGACCCCTGAGTAGCCTAACTGGGAGGCACCCCCCAGTAGTGGCAGACTGACACCTCACACGGCCGGGTACTCCTCTGAGACAAAACTTCCAGAGGAGCGATCAGGCAGCAACATTTGCTGTTCACCAATATTCGCTGTTCTGCAGCCTGCCTTGCTGATACTCAGGCAAACAGAGTCTGGAGTGGACCTCCAGCAAACTCCAACAGACCTGCAGCTGAGGGTCCTGACTGTTACAAGGAAAACTAACAAACAGAAAGGACATCCACACCAAAACGCCATCTGTACATCACCATCATCGAAGACCAAAGGTAGATAAAACCACAAAGATGGGGGAAAAACAGAGCAGAAAAACTGGAAACTCTAAAAATCAGAGCGCCTCTCCTCCTCCAAAGGAACGCAGCTCCTCACCAGCAAGGGAACAAAGCTGGACAGAGAATGACTTTGATGAGTTGAGAGAAGAAGGCTTCAGACGATCAAACTACTCCGAGCTAAAGGAGGAAGTTCGAACCCATGGCAGAGAAGTTAAAAACCTTGAAAAAAAATTAGACGAATGGCTAACTAGAATAACCAATGCTGAGAAGTCCTTAAAGGACCTGATGGAGCTGAAAACCACGGCACAAGAACTACGTGACGAATGCACAAGCCTCAGTAGCTGATTCGATCAACTGGAAGAAAGGGTATCAGTGGTGGATTTCATGTGATATCATTTTCCTTCTGCTTTCCGTACCTAATTCAACATTTCTCATAGTAATCTTCTATGGTGAAAGAATCTTTCAGCTTTTTTATATCTTTTTTCTTTTTTGAGACAGGGTCTCACTCTGTCTATTTCTCAGGCTGGAGTGCAGTGATGCAATCCTGGCTAACTGCCACCTCTGTCTCCAGGCTCAGATGACCCACCCCGCTCAGCCTCCCAAGTACTAGGACTACAGGCATGCACCACCACGCCTGGCTTTTTTTTTTTTTTTTTTTTGAGATGGGTTTTTGCCATGTTGCCCAGGCTGGACTCAAACATCTGGGCCAAGCAATTCTCCCACCTCAGCCTCACAAATTGCTGGAATTACAGGTATGAGCCACCATGCCCGGCCCCAGCTTTTTTATATCTTAAAAGTTCTTTATTTTGCCAGTCTTTTTGAATTTCCACAGGGTATATAATTCTAGGCTATCACGTTTTTCCTTTATTATTTTAAAAATGTTGCCTCACTCTCTTCTGGTTTGCATTTAGACAAGAAATAGGTAGTTTTCCTTATCTCTGTGTCTTTTTTTTTTTTTTTTGTACTGTGTCTTTTTTTTTTTTTTTGCTGCTTTTAAGATTTTATTTTTATTACTGGCTTTGAGAAACTTGATTATGATGTACAAAACTTGCTGTAGTTTTCTTCATATTTCTTGTGCTCAAGGTTGATTGAGATACTTGGATCTTCATGTTTATAGTTTTAATCACATTTGGAAAAAAGTTGGCCATTGTTTTTTCAAACATCTTTTCTGGTTTTCCATTTCCTTTGAGGTCTCCAGTATTGTATATATCAGGATTTTGAAGTTCTCCCACTGCTACTGATGTTCTGTCCACTACTTTTTTTTGTTTGTTTTTCCCTCTGTTTTATTTTCAATGATTTCTGTTGATACTAATTATTAGTCTTTTATTCTACCATGTCTAATTCATCATTAATCTCATGCAATATTTTACATCGTAGTCTTCGACTGTAGAAGTTTTTAAAAAGTATATGTGTCTAATTAACATGTTTATCTTTGATTTAGTTTTTTGAACAAGTGGTATAGTGCTATAAAAGAGCTATAGTAACTCTTTTAATGTCTTAGCCTATTATATTATCTGTGCTATCTCTGGTTTAATTTAAGTTGTTTGATTTTTTTTCTCATTATTGAACACATTTTCCTTCTTCTCTACATACCTATTTAAAATTTTACTTCCTAACATTGTGAATTTTACCTGGTGGGTGCTGAGTATCTGTTCTGCCTTGCAGTTAAATTACTTAAACATTTTATTATTTGGATATACCTTTTAAGCTTTTTTAGGGAAAAGGAGAACAAGAGCAACAGTTAATCTGTGGGTATTTTTGCCTTCTAATGAGACAAAAACCTTCAGAGTACTCTAGCTCACGTCTCATGGATTGTAAGGTTAACTCTGACAGATGGGAACCAAAATATTGTCACGTTGTATGATCTCTTGGGTTTTCTCTAATCTTTTCGGATGATGCTTTTCCCATCTTTGATTAGTTTTCTCAGATTCATGTGCTGCTCAGTACGCAGCACCTCCTCAAGTGGGACTCTGTAGGTCCCTGGAATTCTTACTCTGTGCAGCCCTCTATCTTTCAGTACTCTGCCTTGCAAATTCTATCTACCTTGGCCTCCTTGGAACTCCAGCTCTATCTCTTTGACTCAGGAAGACCGTTCCACTACCGTGCCTAAGTTCCTCTGTGTTGTAAACTTGAAACTTTCTCTAGGCTGTAAGCTAGGGTTATTGTATTACTTATCTCATTTGTGTCTTATCTCTCAGAGATCACTGTCATTTATTGCCTAATGTCCATTGTCTTGTGAACTGTTGTTCCATGCATTTTGTCTGTTCGTTTTTGTTTTGGGAAATAAAGTAAATCTCGCTTCTCTTCTTCTGTCTTAGTTAGAATCAATGTCACAGGAGATTTTGAATGCTTTTTCAAACCACTAATGGTACGAATTGTCTCAGGTTGGGCTTTGTGGAAGCAGACATTGAGACATGCTTGGCATACAGGATATTTACAGGAATCAATATCTGTAGAAGGAAGGAGGTGGAAACAGGATTGGGTAGATGGAGATTTCAAACTATGATGCAGGCCCAACATTATCTTGCCAATCCCATGGGGAGCTCTGAAAAATATAAATACTGTCCTGTGGTGAAGTGAAATGGTCAGGTCTTTATATCAACATGACAATCACTCATTGCTTGTGAAACAACCTGGTAATGTATCCTATTATGTAAGGTGGCTATCTGCAGCTGAAGCTAATTGTAACCTGATACAACTGACAGAGATTGTATAGTGCTCTGTAGCAACAGTCCTTGAAGGGAAAATCTTAATGACACATCTCCATTTCCACCACATTGGTTACATGGAAATGCTATTCATGGTAAAGGCGGCACAGCAGAGCAGTAGTAAAAGAGATGAACTGTTCAAAAAGTTTTGCTGGGTTAATTAATCATATGTAAAAAAGAGTAAACTATTACCTATACCTCTTGCCACATACCTAAAAAGGATTCTTATTGGATTACAAATATGAAAGTAAAAACAAAACAAAATAAAACGAAAAACAAACTTCTGAAAGATGACATACAAGAACATTTCACTGGAGAATGATTTTTGAAACAGAATAAAGAAAACAAAAATCACTAAGTAATATACAAAGTATGATACTGCAATTAAGAACTTTTTCATCAATGGATGAGACTCTAAAAAAACAAACTACGGAGTGAGCTAAATTATTTGTAACTGATAGACATTTGTATCAACACTGTACAAAGAACATTTACATAACAGTAATAGAAATCAGTAGGGGAAATAAAATTTTAATCACCATCAAACATATGATCAGATGCTTGTCTCATTATTAATAAGTTGGAAAAAATGTCCTTTAAGATACCACCATACATTTATGTTTGGCTAAAGTTGAAAATATTGTACTTTAAGTGTTTCCAAGAAAGTACAACTACTGGTTCAGGTTAATTGGTAAAAATACTTTGTCAAATTTTGGCACTTTCTCATAATGATGAAGATGAGCCTTTTCCAGACCCAGCTACACCTTTACATGTATATTAATGCACACACAAAGACACCCAGGAAATATGTACAAAGATGTTCAAAACAGCATTATTTATAAAATCAAACACTGGAAATAATCTAAGCATTAATTAACTATAAAGGGCATGCATAAATTCTGGTATAACCATACAATGTAATACTATACAAAATTAAGAACAAATGAATTACAGATACACGCAACAAAAATTGGTGAATTTCACAAGTATAATGTTGAGTAAAAAAAGCTAAAGAAAAAAATGCATTCAGCATAATTACATTTACATAAAGTTCAGAAAAAAGGCAACCATTAAATTTAAGAATACATACTATCATGGTAAACCCATATAGAAAATTTAAGAAATTATTACTACAAAAAAACAGGCTATGGTTACTTATGGGGAGGTGAGAGATTGTGGTAGGAAAGAGGAATGATTCTGAGGCACTGGCATATTCCATTTCTTTAGATCATGGATGTTCACTTTATGATTCATAAAGCAGTATGTTTATGTTTTATGTACGTTTCCATATTATTATTTCCATATCACGGGAATCTGAGGCCTAGATTATTTAAATATTTTGAAATTTCCAGTGGCAACACACCTCTTAAATATTACAGCAGAAAGGCTGGGGGCGGTGGCTCACATCTGTAATCCCAGCATTTTGGAATGCCGAAGCAGGTGGATCCCCTGAGGTCAGGAGTTCAAGACCAGCCTGACCAACATGGTGAAATCCCATCTCTACTAAAAATACAAAAATTAGCTGGGGAGGGATGGGTGGTGGGTGCCTGTAATCCCAGCTACTCGGGAGGCTGAGGCAGGAGAATGGCTTGAACCCAGGAGGCGGAGTGCCATTGCACTCCAGCCTGGGCACCACAGTGAGACTCCGTCTCAAAAAAAAAAACAAGCAAACATTATAGCAGAAAAATTTTATGCATAAAATTAGATTAAATAATCAAATTAGATACAGATTGTGGTGGACTGTGTTAACTAGACAAAGAACTTGCAACTCTTATTTGCAGAGAAGGACCATTGGAAGCTGAATAGAAATAGGTAAACAACCAATTCATGTACCATCATCCATCCAGCCTCCCAAGCCAGAGACATAGCATATCCAGCGATGAGCAGTCACCTTTCACCTTCCTTCATGATAAGTTGTGAATCTGGAATACCATGTAGGATTAGTTACAGACCTAACCCGATGACCTACATACAGCAGGAAGTTCCAACCTCAGGGCTTAAAAAAAGACTTTATTTTGGTAAGCCATGTCATATTGAACACATACATTTATTGCCATTTTCTCCTCAGATTTCACCAAAATTATAGTGTAGGAATAAAAAAAAGTATATAAATCCACAAAGATAAAAGAGATTTAAATAGAAGACTGCAACAAATGATGTCAACTAAGTTTTGTTTTATTTTGTTTATTTTAATTGTCTTTATTTTGGTATATAGGAACTTTTGCATTTTTGTTTCAGTGGTTTTCTGTGTATTAATATCTTTATATAATTACCTCTTTCTTTTCTTACTTGGGCTTCTACTGTTCAGTTTGTCAGCTTTAACTGAGTGACCTTTAACTGCTTTCTACAGGACAATCAATGAGATTATTACATTGTTTTTCTTTCTTCCATCTTCTCTAATTTTTTTTTTACTTTGTCAGTGTATTAGTCTGTTCTCATGCTGCTAATAAAGACATACGTGAGACTGGGTAATTTATAAAGGAAAGAGGTTTAATTGACTCGCACTTCCACATGGCTGTGGAGGCCTCACCATCATGGCTGAAAGTGAATGAGGAGCAAAGTCACCGCTTACATGATGGCAGGCAAGAGAACTTGTGCAGGGGAACTCCCATTTATAAAACCATCAGATCTCGTGAGACTTATTCACTACCACAAGAACAGTATGGGGGAAACTGCCCCCATGATTCAATTATCTCCACTTGCCCCACCTTTGACATGTGGGGATTATTACAATTCACGGTGAGATTTGGGTGGGAACAGAGCAAAGCCATATTAGTCAGTAAATGTAGCATTTGTATAATAGTCTTCCACCCTTAAGCCCAGCTTTATTATGCATTTATAGTTTAAATATATTTATTATATAAATTATTTAATATATGTATATATTAAATTGACCTAAATTTATAAGTATATATTAAATTGATCTAAATTTATTTATTCATTTATAACAAATATATTTAATAAATATGTTCACTGGTTGCCATCCATCTTTTGGCTGCAGTTTCCTCAGTCATTCTTTTGGTCATATAAGGCTTGTACTCTAGTGGAGTCCTCAGAAATAGCCTATGAAAATAATATTCCTTGAGTTCTTACATGTTTAAAATAGCTTTTTCCAAAGGCCTGAAATGTGAAGGAGAGCTTGATATAAAATCCTTTATATACTTCTAGACATTTTTTAAAATGTTGCTTCACTATTATTTTGTTTTTTGTATTGCTTTCTGTAAAGGTTGTACATCTGAGATATGGTGAATGCTATTACAAATTCACTTAAGTAATTTTACATTGAAAATAAAAGTGTTTTATGAATATGAATATAATATGAATACTAATTTTGTTGGAGCACAGCAGGATGGTACAATGTTACGAAATTAAGAAATTTATGAAGCAGAAATATACTTGAGATTAGTGTTGGTGCATTATAATTTTGTTTAGTTAAACTATGATAGTGTACTATTTAAAATATAACTCTGTCAGAATTTACAAATATTTTTGTATACCATAGAATGACTAAACTGAACTTTTTTTGTGATGAAGCCTATGTTGAATTCCTTCCCTTCCTGAAAAACAAACAAACAAAACCTCAGTATGGCTGGACGTTTTCTTCTCTTTCTTCCTAGCATCAATCAAATTTTTAGGAATGTACTAAATTTATTTCACTACTTTGTAAATCAACATAAACACTACTACTCTATTTCACTATTTTGTAAATCAACAAAATGGTATTGCATATTTTATAAATGATTCTTCCAAAATTCAGTTGCATTTTCTTTTCAGAAGGAGCTGAACATCTTTAAACAAAACAGTTAATAAATTTACATTGCCAGAAAACCTTCAACTTTGGAAATTCTTAGAGAGTTGTGATTTTTAAAAATAAAGATTACAAATAAAAATACATTGAACTTTATCCCTACAAAGCAAGGAAAAAACTTAAATGGATACAAAGAGTAGGAGGAACTAGAGATGACAAAGTTGTTATTAAAAAACATAAATATATATTTTTACTCTTTAGCACATGCCTGTGTGCACTCATGCAACCATACACACAGTTATTTGAGGAATACAACTTTTCTAATGTTATTCATATTTGAGTTTCCTCTATAAACAGTAATCTTGATGGAAGTAATTTATTAAATTTTTATATCCAAATTGTGAAATACACTTTCTTATGATAAAATCTTATTTTTTTTTAACTTTTAAAATTTCCTTAATTGGTTTTAATAGCTTCATAAAAGAGCTGAAAAGTATCCCAGCACTTTGGGAGGCAGAGGCGGGCGGATCACGGGGTCAGGAGATGGAGAGCATCCTGGCTAACACAGTGAAATCCCGTCTCTACTAAAAAATACAAAAAATTACCCATGCGTGTTGGCGGGGGCCTGTAGTCCCAGCTACTCGGGAGGCTGAGGCAGGAGAATGGCGTGAACCCGGGAGGCGGAGCTTGCAGTGAGCCGAGATGGCGCCACTGCACTCCAGCCTGGGCGACAGAGCGAGACTCCATCTCACACACACACAAAAAAAACACCTGGAAGTGAGAGGAGTAAACACAAAATAGTGCAAAACTTGTCCAACTTAGGAATGGGAACTGGTGTGTAAATTCTCCCTGATTCTGTCTCAAGTGGAAAATACACCTGAGATGATTTCTACAAGGCTTCTTAGAAAGACTGAGCCCCAAGTAATACTGCAATAATTAGTGCAACAGTGTACTCTAAGGTTTAGTTTTCTTCCTTCCTTTCCGTCTCTTCCCAGTTTCCCACTTCTCTTCTTTGAGATAATTTAACAACAAACAATAAAAAAAAAAACTATCTGCTTACAAGCCTTTGTATTCAGCTCTGCTTTTGGAGAGGACCTAGGCATGAGACAAACTGAAATATTTTGAAGCATAAGCATTTTTACTGAGAATCTTTTTTTTTTAGATTAAAGGTTCAGAAAATGAAATTAATCATATTTCAGAATTTGATGGACTAAATGCTCTACTAATAACAAAAACAAGTTTACAGGCAGAGTGTTCGGAACCGTTGTTGATTAGGAAGAAGAATTTTTTTTGTGCAAAGATGGCTGGCATTTCCAAAAAAATTACATTTCCATTATTATCTAACATCCCAGCTTTTCTATACCATTTCAATTTTTATTAAACTTTAGTTTTTTAAATGGCGCATACAAGTGCTAAATGAATTGCTTTGTTCAGATTTAAATAAACTACCTACAGTTTTGAACTCTTTGACTGAATTTTTGTATATTTGTAGTATACTTTTCTATAATCCTATCAATACAGAAAGTTACTAAGACTTGTAGTTTCTACAAAATTTTATATGCGTGACCCTAACTTTGGAATATTCCAGACCATATTTCTCAAAAAAGTCTATTTTAGAGAGAATTTCTCCTATATCTTCCTTCCAAATCAGTTTGTTATAGCGGGAAATAAGTTTTTAAGGAACATCAGGACATATAAATCCACTCCATATATCTAACTAAAATGTGAACTCCTGGAAGGAAGAAATTTTTGTCTCTTTTTAAAACGATTATATCCTCCGTGTTTAGAGCAATGACTGACATAAGGTAGGTACTCAGTAGATACTTGTTAAATCGAATAAATTAATATATAAGAACTCAATAATAGGAAAGGAGCTCAATAGGTATATTCACAATGAAATCATCACTGAGGTTTTTCTTTAGCCTATAGAATTTGGAGCAAAATTGAACAAAAGCAAATTTCAGTAAGTTTAGAAATATTTATCTTACAATTAACAAAACAGTATGACTAAATATATACACATAAAAAGTCCATGTAGAGTTAAAAGTAAGTTGGCATGAAAGCAGAAGAAGAAATGCTTTTTGATTTTTAAGGGTTAAGTTGAAGTTTCTTTTAAAATAATAAATAACATTATGGATAATTATAGGCTCAGTAAATACTACCAAGTTTAAACATTGGTATAAAAAGATAAATAAATATTGTTTCTGTCCACAAGATGGCAGAAAAGATTTATTTTAGAATCAGTAAACAACCTGTCATTAAACCAAATAATGTGTATCTTAAAAAGCTAATGTGTAAGAAATGCAATTTTTTTTTGTGGTTGTTCCTTAGAGGTAAAACTTCATCAGAAAGGTTCTATCATTGGTGCATAGAGTTTCTGCGACTTTTTATACTTGCCTTCTCCCTTCTCCCTTCTAAACTCTCCACTTTTTTTTTTTTTTTTTTCCTGTGATGCAGCAGTCTCTCTCCCGCCCAGGCTGGAGTGCAGTGGCGGGATCTCGGCTCATTGCAACCTCTGCCTCCCGGGTTCAAGCGATTTTCCTGCCTCAGCCTCCTGAGTAGTTGGGGCCCGCGCCACTACTCCTGGCTAATTTTTGTATTTTTAGTACAGACGGCGTTTCACCATGTTGGCCAAGTTGGTCTCGAGTTCCTGACCTCAAGTGGTCCACCTGCCTCGGCCTCTCAAAGTGCTGGGATTACAGGCCACCGCGCCCGGCCTTATTTCATTTTTTAATATACATCCAGATTAATCTTAAATTAGAAATCTGAACATGTTACTCCCTAACTAAAAATACTTTGATAATTCCTTAAACCACAAGGAATAAAGAATAATCCGGACGGGCGCGGTGGCTCACGCCTGTAATCCCAGCACTTTGGGAGGCGGAGGCGGGCAGAGATCAGACCATCCTGGCTAACACGGTGAAACCCCGCCTCTACTAAAAATACAAAAACAAAAAATTAGCCGGGCCTGGTGGCGGGCGCCTGTAGTCCCAGCTACTCGGGAGGCTGAGGCAGGAGAATGGCGTGAACCCGGGAGGCAGAGCTTGCAGTGAGCTGATCTCGCACCACTGCACTCCAGCCTGGGCAACAGAGCAAGACTCCGTCTCAAAAAAAAAAAAAAAAAAAAAAAAGAATAATCCACTTAGTTTATTCACTCAACCAGTATCAGTAACCATGTTCTCTTTACAAGGCACTATGTATGTATCATGGGCACTAGCAATAGAAACACAAATAATTCACGAAGCTTTCCATTTTGAATATTATAAAGTTGTAAAGATATAGCTGCAAGAAAGCAATTACCTAGAGAATGGTTTGGGGACTGTGAAGGCACAAAACGATAAGGCTTAAGGGTAAATTCGACTATGGATCATCCAGGTCTGGAACTCAGGGAAAATACCTGGGCTTGAGAGGGCAGTTTAGAAATCATCAGCATATAAGTACAATTAAAGAGCTATAAGCATTAGTGGGTAATTTATTATTGACTTATATGGTTTGGCTCTTATGTTCCCACCCAAATCTCATCTGGAATTATAATTACCACGTGTTGGGGGAGGGGCCTGATGGGAGGTGATTCAATCATGTGGCGGACTTCTCTCTTGCTGTACTTGTGAGAGTTAGTGAGTTCTCACGAGATCTGGTTGTTTGAAAGCGTGTAGCACTTCCTCCATCTCCCGGTCTCTTTCCTGTCCTGCCATGGTAAAGAAGTGCTTATTTCCCCTTCGCTTTCCACCACGAATATTTTTCCTGAGGCCTCCCAGTCATGCTTCCTGTTTTGCCTGCAGAACTGTGAGTTAATTACATCTCTTTTCTTCATAAATTACCCAGTCTCGGGTATTTCTTTACAGCAGTCTGAAAACGGAGTAATAACATTGATTCTTAGAGTTATAAATAATAATTACAAACATATTCAAGAGCTACAGAAATGATTAAAGTGAAGTTCACACAGATTATTTCCATTGCCTAACATTTTGACACACATGTATCATATATACACATACACATATATAATATACATATTGATATCTCACACTTATCTTACACATAAACACAACTTTTATGTGTACACTCTAAATATCTATGTATAATATATCTGAGGCAGAAAAATAGGGAATTAGGATAGACAAGGGTTGAGGCATAAGTAAGCAAAGAATAGCAGGTGCAGCCCGTTCTAGGCAAAGGAATAGCAGGTGCAGCCAGTTCTAGGCAAAGGAATAGCAGGTGCAGCCAGTTCTAAGCAAAGGAATAGCAGGTGCAGCCAGTTCTAGGCAAGATTAGGCAGCATACAGGCCACGTCTTCACTCCTGTGATTACAAGACAGAAGTTTCCATTTCAGCCTCTGTTGGGTTGCAGGCCCATCTTTCATAGGGTATAACCAACTGGAGGCCACTAAAGGGCACCTAGGGGTGTTGCCAAGTTATTTTGGCTTTATAAAAACCCTAATTGGAGAGGCTCTTGATCTGCTTGCTACAGCCGGCTCCCACTCTGTGAATTGTTGTCAATAAATCTGTGCTTTCCTTGCTGCATTCTCCGGTTGCTTTGTCTTTCCTTGCTCTGTTCTTTTGTCACTTTGTTTCTGCATTTTGTTCAATTCTTTGTTCAACAGGGCAAGAACCTGGACAACTCTATCCAGTAACATATTTATGTATACATAATACATCATAAATAGTGCCATAATGTGCATCCTGTTTTTGAACTGCAATTCACTTAACAGTAACTCAGGAAGAGGGAGGTGGAGGACACAGCAAGTAAGACTGAAAAAGTATGGCCAGGAAGCTAAATAAGAATCTAGAGAATGAGGTCATGTAAGACAAGAATTGAAAGACTTTTCGGAATGGATAATTTATTGTCAAATGCTGCACAATTAAGAACCGAAACAAGAACTAAGAACTATTGACTGGATTTGGCAATTAGACTGGATGTGACCTCTGCCAGAACAGCTTCAGTAGCATGGCAGGGTGGGAACCTGATTGCTGTGTTGAGACGCAAAGAGGGGGCGTTAGTAATCATGAACTGTTTCTATGAGAAAGTCCCTTTGAAAAGACAGGGGAAAAACATTCTCTTTTCTCCACAGCCTCATCAACGTTTGTTATCTTTTGTCTTTTTAATAATAGTCATCCTAAAGGTGTAAGGTGATATTTTATGGTGGTTTGATTTGCATTTCCCTGATGATTAGAGATGTTGAGTACTTTTTCATATGCCTGTTCACCATCTGAATTTCTTCTTTTGATACGTGTTTATTTAAGTACTTTGCCGAATTTTTAATTCAGTTATTTATACTTTTGGTACTGAGTTGTATAAGTTCTTTATATATTTTGGGTATTAACTTCTTATTAGGTGAATGGTTTGCAAATGCTTTTTCCAATTCCATCAGTTGCCTTTTGATTTAGGTGATTGCTTCCTTTGCTGTGCAGAACTTTTTAATTTCATGTAATACTGGATATCTATTTTTGCTTTTGTTGCCATATCCAAAAACATATTGCCAAGACCACTGTCAAAAAGCTTTTTCCCTATGTTTTCTTCTAGGAGTTTTACAGTTGCATGTTGTTTAAGTCTCTAATTCATTATAGATTGGTTTTTGTACGTGCGTGATAGGGGTTCAATTTAATTTTTTTTTTTTGCATGTGGATAACCAGTTTTCCAAACACCAATTTTTTCTTTCTTAATAAACTATACCCATTATGTGTTCTTGGCACCCTAGTAGAAGATACATTGACCATAAATGTATGGGCTTATTTCTGGGCTCTCTAGTCTTTTCCACTGATTTAGATGTTTGTTTTTATGACAATACTGTACTGTTTTGATTACTATAGCTTTGTAATATGATTTGAAGTCAAGCAGTGTGATGCTTCTAGCTTTATTCTTCTTAAAATTGCTTTGGCTATTCAGGGTCTTTTGTAGTTCCATGCGAATTTTAGAATTGTTTTTTCTATTTCTGTATAAATTGCCATTGGGATTTTGATAAGGATGGCATTGAATCTGTAGATTGCTTTGGGTAGTGTGAACATTTTAACAATTTTAATTTTTCCAATCCATGAACACGGAACGTCTTTCTATTTGTGTCTTTTGAAAAATTTCTTTTGGTAATGTTTTACAGTTTTCAGGGTACAGGTCTTTTATTTCTTAATTTCTAAGTATTTCCTTGTTGTTATTGTTGCTAATTTAAATGAGCTTGTTTCTTGGTTTTCCTTTTGGAAAGTTTGTTTTTAGTGTATAGAAACACCACTGATTTTTGTATGTTAACTTTGTATCCTGTAATTTTATTGACTTTTTAAGTTAGTTATAATAGTGTTTTGTGTAGAGTCTAGGGATTTCCAGGTATATGATCATATCATCTGCAGAAAAAGATGATTTTTCTTTTTCCCTTTCGATTTGGATACTTATTTTTTCTTCTTCTTCTTGCCTGATTGCTCTGGCTAGGACTTCCAGTACTATGCTGAATAGCTGTGGTGAGAGTTGGCATTCTTGCCTTCTTACAGATCTTAGAGAAAAAGCTTTCAGATTTTCCCCGTTGATTATTATGTTAGCTGTGCCTCTTTCATATATGTCATTTATTGTGCTGAGGAAAGTTTCTTTCATATCTGTTTTGTTGATAGTTTTTATCTTAATGTTGAATTTGGTCCAATATTTTTTCTTGCATCTACTGAGATTATGTAGTTTATTCTTCTGTTAATTTAGTATATCACATTGATCGGTTCTTACATGTTGAACTGTCCTTGTATGTCAGGGATAAAATCTGCTTAGTCATGATATATGATTATTTTAATTCTTTTGCTAATATTTCATTGAAGATTTTCACATTTATGGCCGTTGAGAATGTTGGCCTCCAGTTTTCTTTTTTGGTGTTGATTTTTTCTGGCTTTAGAATTGTGTTGTTAGCCTCATAAAATGAGCTTGAGAGTATTATCTCTTCTATTTTTTTGCAAGAGTTTAAGAAGGGTTTGTATTAGTTCTTTGAATATTTGGTAGAATTCACTCATGAAGCCTTCTCGTCCTCAGCTTTTCCTTGTTGGAAGGTTTTTTATTACTGATTCAATCTTCTTGTTTGTTATTGGTCTACTCAGCCTTTCTATTAGTTCTTAGTTCAGCATTAGTAGGTTTTATATTTCTATTGCTTATTTCTTTTAGATTGTCAAATTTGTTGGTGTATAATTATTCATCATAGTTGTTTAATATCATTTTTATTTCTGTGGCATTAATTGTAAAGCCTCCTTTTTCATTTCTGTGTTTTATAATTTGAGTTTTCTTTCCTTTTTTCTTAGTTTAGCTAAAAGTTTGTTAATTTTATCTTTAAAAAAACCAACTCTGTAATATTATTTTTTCTATTGTTTCTCTCTCTTATATTTTCTTTCTTTCTGCTCTGATCATTATTATTTTCTTCCTCCTGTTGCCTTTGTGTTTAGTTTGTTCCTTGAGTTATAAAGTTAGGTTGTTTAGTTAAGATATTTCATTTTTGATGTAGGCATTTAACACAATGAACTTCCCTCTTAGTATATGGCTTTTGCTGAATTTCATAAGTTTAAATAAATTGTGTTTTCATTTTTGTCTCAAGATATTTAAAAAATTCCCCATTTGATTTTCTATTTTGCCCAGTGGTTGTTCAAAAGCTGTGGTTTAATTTCCACGTGTTTGAGAATTTTCTAGTTTTGTTTTTGTTATTTCTAATTTCATTCCACTGTGATCTGAGAAGACACCTGATATGGTTTAAATCTTTTAAAACTTGTTGACTTGTTTTGTGATCTAACATATGACCTATTTAGGTTAATGTCCTATGTGTGCTTGAGAATAATTTGTATTCTGCTGCTGTTGGGGAAGAAGGTCTGTGTATATCTGTTAGGTCTCTTTGGTGTATAGTTTTGTTTAAATTAGCTGTTTCCTTATTGGAATTCTGCCTAGATGTTTTATCCATTATTGAAAGTGAGAGTATTGAAGTTTCCTATTATTATTGTATTATTGTCAATTTCTCCCTTTGGCTCTGTGCATGTTTATTTAATATATTTATGTGCTCTAATGCTGAATGCCCATATATTTATAATTGTTGTGTCTTCCTGTTGAATTGTTTTTTATAATTACATAACAACCTTCTTTGTCTTGTGACATTTTTTGACTAAAAGACTACGTTGTTTGATACATGTATAGCCACTCACATCTCTTTTTCTTACAATTTGCGTGGACTACCTTTTCCCAGCCATTTACTTTTAGTCTCTGTATGTCCTTATATCTAACATTAGTTTCATGTAGATTGTATATTGCTGGATATTGTATTTTTATTCATTTTGATTGGGAGTTTATTCATTTACATTTAAAATGATCATTGATATGTAAGGACTTGCTGTTGCCATTTTGTTCATTGTTTCCTTTTTGTCTTGCAGTTCTTTTTATTTTTTTTTTCCTATTTTGTTGTTTTGGTATTTGATGACATTTTTGGTGGTTTGGTTTGATTCATTTTATGTTATTTTTCGTGTACCTACTGGAAATTCATGGTGTTCCTTTCATGTTATCATGTTTTCCTGATTCTTCATGATTCTTGTAGCTCTGCGTAGGTGTCTGTACATTTGAATAAGTAATTACTTCTTCCAGATTTTATGGACTAGCTTTGGTAAGGAAAGACCTTCACTTATAGGAAGGTAGAGGTAGGAAGGAGATGTGGGGTGGTGACTATGGGGTGTATGATGGAGCATACTATGGTAGCAAGTCTGATGGCATGGAGTGCCAAGTGTGGGAATGTGCAGTGATTCTACGTTTAGGAAGGCATGGTGGCTAGGGGGCTCAGGCCGTTAGTGTCAGTGGCATTAGCAACTTCGTGGTCCTCAGTGGCAAGAGACCCACTGTACTAGGTCTATAGTGGCTTTGAGAGCTGTTGGAGTCCTCAGCAGTGCCTCCAATTCTAGTTGTGGGTATACTTAGACCGGGGCTGAGGCAGGTCGCAGCAAGTGAGGGTCAGTGATGAACATGCATGTTGGTGAAAACCAGGGGCAGCAGTGGGCAAGTATGTGGCAGTAGGCACTGGTATGTGCAGTGTGTGCACAGTGATGGGAACTAGCTGTAGTATGCACCCAGTGTCAAGGGCTGGGATCAGTCAGAGGGGTTAGGGCTGATTGTTGGCATGGTTACAGTGGCAAAATCAGTGGTGAGTGCACAAGGCTACAGAGGTTGGAGCTGATGCCCTGTGATTGTGGTTGCAGGGGTCTGCTGCAGATGTATATGCTATGGTGGGACCAGCAGCTGGCATCAGGGCTGTCTGCATGTGCATAAGCTCTTGCGAGGACTGTGGCTGTGGTGTATGCGCATATAAAAGTGAGGGTTGGCAATATTGGTCAGAGCTGGTCATATGTATGCTTGGCTGTGGGTCCTGGACTCACAGTGTGTGTGTGTGCGCAAGGCAATGAGGACTGGTGGTTCGGGTTGACAGTAGATATGTACATGGTGGTATAGATGAGACTACTGATGGGACTGGGGTTGGTTGTGGAGCATATGGGGTGGCTGTACTCTGTCCAAGGCTAGGACACTTGTAGTGTGCTGACTGGGGTGGCCCTGGTAGAGGAGTGGGGACAGCAGCTCAGGTAGCGGGGCTCTGCAGAGGCGAAAAACTGCAGGATCCTTTGTGGCAAAAGATGTAGGGGTCTGTGGCAGCTGTGCTGGCTGTTGGGTTTCTCAGTGGTGAGAACTATTGGCTTCTCTGTGGAGCACACTTCTGGGGTCCTTGACAGCTCACATTGTGAGGTCTTTGATGGTGAACATAGTGAGTCTCAGTGGCTGTGATGGTTGTTGATGTCCTCAGCTGTGAAGTCTCCCGGGATCCTCTGTAGAGCACACCACTGGGGACCACAGTGGCACCTGCAGTATGGCTGACACTTATAGTGCACAACCTTCTTTGTTCCTAGCTGTCTCCAGATGTCTTGACTATTCCTATCTCCTTAGTAACCTGGGTGGGATAAAACCAAAGTGGTCCTTCAGGCAGTGCTCTGAAAAGGCTCTCCTTTTCCCTCATGAAGGAAACTTATGGACTCGGGGCTCCTTTTCAGTACTGAGCTGTGTGGACCTGGGGGATGGGATGATGCAGGCAAAAATAAAACTGTTCTTTCTACCCTTTCTGTGAGATTATTCTCATTTTTCTTCCCCACCACGTTGCTGCACCTTCTTAACTGAACTCCTGAGCTCTTCCGGAGGTATTTCCGTTTGTGGATAGCTGTCTAATTGTTGCTCTTATGGTTATACAAGGTCTAAAAGCTTTTCCTCCATCCTGCTGATGTCTTTATTCTTATTATTAAAAGCAAAATATATATTAATTTACCATTAAGAAAATGTTTATTTAATTTTTGTTTCTGCTTAAGTTTCCCAATGGTACTCCTAAAATCTTGTTAAATTTTTGTTGTGTGACTTTTTAGCAATATAAAAGAGTCAAATTGGGAAAAACAATAAAAGTAGCTGTGCACTAAAATTGTAAGAAAAAAAACCCATGTAATGAGAAGAGCCAGGACCTGGAGTAACAAGACCTGGCATTGAGTACAAGTGTATAATCTTGGGTATATACTTTATTTTTCAGGCCCACATGCTTCTAACCTGTAAAAAGTTTTTGAGGAGTATCAATTAAGAAGTTTTTGTTGTGAAAATGTGTTGTCAACTACAAATGGTTGTAAAAATATTAGTAAATGTTTTAAAGAAACATTCATATTAAAGCGTATTATACTTTTGAAGCTTTATTAAAATTACAGTATCTGATTCTCTATATATTTCACAGATTTTGATCTTCATATTGACAGCAATTTGGTTCTTATTACCACAAGTTGACAATTAAAAGTCCTTCAGTGAGTGTTTGTTATGTGAATAATTAGTGAATAGTGGATCCTATAAAGATATTTATCTTGTTTTTAAACATCTGAAAGTCTTTATTGCATATTTTAAATACAGGCACAGAATATTTTGGCTTGACTGGTTTTAGGTAATGGGCACTTAACTTCAGATTTTGACCCTAAGGTAATTTTGCTTTTTATTCAGAAGTCTAAAGCATTTTAATCAGAATTATGACAAAATTGTTTATTTTTGAGAAAATATTTGGAAGAAAATAATATTTTGGGTAATAAACATCATGTCAGTTTAATCTATTGATCAATTTCTGTACAGTTATCTATTCACAACTTTGCTATTTCACTTTACTGAAATTTTTATCAAAATATATTTTTTTTCTTTTAAAGTTTTTAACTGAGATTTGATACGCTGATTGTTTTGTCTCTATAAAATATTATTAGTTATAACTGCTGCTATTAGATATTTTTTGGTGATTATTATTTCTACAAAATCTAATATACTTGCACCAGATTTTATATATTATGATGTTACACATGAAATTTTATCTATTTACAATGTTATTTTTTTCCTGCTTATTTGTACTAGTTACATTCATCAAAAATTTAAAGAATGAATGTTTATATTTATCTCTCAGCTAGTCTTAGAAAAAACATACAGGGCAATTGCCTTCAGTTAGTTTAAATTGAGCCAATATCCAGGCTGGTTTCTTGTATAGATAAGCCAATTATTCCTTACTCTTTTTTCTTTTCTTTTTCTTTTTCTGTTTTTGAGACAGAGTCTCGCTCTGTCACCCAGGCTGGAGTGCAGTGGTGCGATCTCGGCTCAGTGTAGTGCAACCTCCGCCTCCTGGGTTCAAGCTATTCTCCTGCCTCAGCCTCCTGAGTAGTTGGGATTGCTGGTGCCCGCCACCACGCCTGGCTAATTTTTGTATTTTTAGTAGAGGGGTTTCGCCATGGTGGCCAGACTGGTCTCTAACTCTTGGCCTCAGGTGATCCACCTGCCTCGGCCTCCCAAAGTGCTGGGATTACAGGAGTGAGCCACCCACGCCTGGCCTACTCCTCATTCTTTTAATCCCTCTGTGTCCTGGCAATCTTTCCAATTCAGTTTTATTTCATTATGTATTTATAATGTGCCTTTTCTTTTTTGAAACCCTGCAAAATTTGTCAGCTCAATAAATATCATTTTAATAGACATTTAGAAATCATATATTTGGTAAGTCATATATTTGAGGATGAAGGGAGGAAGGAGGGAGAGGAGGAGAAAAGATAACTATTGGGTACTGGGCTTAATACCTGGGTGATGAAATTATCTGTACAACAAACCCCTGTGACATGAGTTTACCTATGTGACAAACTTTCACATATACTCCCCAAACATAAAATAAAATTTGAATTTTTTTTCAAGAAAAATCTTTTATAGATGCTAGTAACATTTGAAGAGTGGTCACTCATAGTTGCTCTCTGATAGATTTTCTGTCTTTGCACATCTTCTAAGGTGAAGAGGAAGTTTCTGCATGAGAGAGTTTAGTAGACTTGGCCCACTGCCTTAAATATCTTGATACACATATCTTTTAATCATGCTATAGATTTCTTTGCTTCTCTAACCGGAAGTTCCACGGAAAAGTAAGGCTTTGGACCATCTTAATAAGATTAATTTTTTAAAATGTTCCAGTTAACTGATTTTTATAAAAACATGCTATACATCTTTTACCTGTATGAAAACTTTTATATTTTTATCAGATATTCAAAAAATGTTAGATATTGAAGAAATTATGCAGCTCACTAAATAAGGATTTTTTTTAAAAAAAATACTATCAAACAGTTAACTGATTGGAAAATAGAAAAAGTTAATCTTATTAGAATGGTCCAAAGCCTTAAAGATTAAAGTTTCCAATTATTCTTTAATTACTGGCTTCTTGGAAAAAATAACAAATCCCCCTATTTCCAGTAATATCTATTTTAATCCATTTTAGATGTTGCTCTCAGATAGATGCTTCTAAGCTGTGGTTCTTATCCCTTTATGCTCTTGTTTACTTTGCAGTGGTTTGTCATTGTCTGTTACAGTAGATTCTAAGTAGGAGTGGACATATTTAAGTGGAGATACAAGATGATACACTAAGATATGGGAAAAACATATTAAAACTTTATTTGCATTGTCTTAATAATTAAGAGTATATATTTTATAAATGAGTGAATAAAGAGAAAGGTGTTGAGTGAGATCCTTTTCTAGTAAAGGCGTGATTATTAATACTTGGAATCACTGGTCTGTAGAATGAAATTGTCATAGCCAGGCATTCATTTACTCTGGAACATTTCACCCAACCATCACTTTCAGGCTACATCTATATTCAGTCTCCATTAGAGTCAAACTGAGGTGCTGCAGAAATTTCCTAATTTCCTAAGTGTTTATTCCCTCTGTCTGGAATGCTTCCCTTCATCCTTTTATGCTAAATTCTTAACTATTTTTCAAACTCTAGGTCAGATGCTATTTTCTTTATGAATATTTTTGTAGTTAGAATAGTTTTGATTATAAGTAGCAGAGAGCCACTCAAATTGCTATAATAAAGGAAATTTATAGGTTTATGACACAAAAAAGTTAAGATAAAGAAAAAGGTTCATGTACAATTTCATGAGGTGCCAGATTAATTTATACACAGTTCCCTTGTGTCTTTATTCCTTCATGTGATCTCTGTCCTTAGGTTGATTTCCTTTAGGGTTAGACAACGTTGGAGCAATTTTAAGTGTTACATTAACATTCCACATCACACAGAGCAAGAAAAAGAAAGCATCTCCCCAGTCTCTCCACCCACTCACCTCCAATTCAATAAAAGTTCTCGGCTTCATACTAAAATAGCTTAGGTGATATTCTCACTGATATAGGCTGATAAATGCTGATTAGATTAGATCATCAGAGCTTACCTCTGATCTAAGTTGGTCAGGGTCCTCCCCTGGAGTTTGCAGGTCATCAATTTCATGGCTGTTTGTAATTGATAAAAAAAAAAAATAATTGCTAAGGAGGCAAACCACAATGTCTGCTATAAGCCTTAAGCTGTTTACTAGCTAAAAGAGGACTCTTCATCTCCTGAATACTATGATATTTTATTTATATGCTTTCTTTTATCACTTATTTTTTCTTGTATTATAGCAATTTTCTTTCATATTTGCCAGGTTTTAAGTGTCTTGAGAAGCAAGTACTCATATCTGATTTATCATTTTATTCAACTTTCCCCTATGTGGCATCCAGCACAATGCTTTGTTGAATTAGAATATATGAATAAATGAACTTACAAATGAATGAAGAAATAAATGGATAAAATGATTGTATAAAATTATTGCTCTTTAAATACAGTGTCTTTTTTGTTAGAAGATTTCAAACAAAACTTAGCAGAAAATGTTCAGCTATGGAAAGGACTCATGTATTAGAGAAGTGCTGGATGCAATAAATTCCAAGACAACTTATATTTTAACAATTTATTTATTTCTTGAATATTTGATCTTTTGAGGTGGATGGTGTCTTTTAAGTGGCTTCTTATTAACTACATATCTTTTGTCATCTGCAGTTATTCCATGGAAAAATGTTATTTGTCTAGAAAGTAAAAAAAAAAAGTACAAAGTGGTTGTAATGGCACATTAACCTGCCAAATGTTATGCTTCTGTATAGGAAGAAGTTAAACCTTGGACAATTCTTACTTTTATTTAAATGAATAAGAGTAACAACCCTATTATTAGATAAATTAATCAAGCTTTCTTTGAAAAGATAACTTCTTCTCATCAGAATGTTAATTAAATGAATAAAATGTATATAGTTTTTATGCTCACAGATTCACTTTAAATGAAGGGTTTATTTCACATAATATATTAAGCTATAGATAATGAAAAGTATTTTTACATCACCTTATCCTTGTTATCAGAAATCCTTTCCCCAATAATGTTTCACTGAAGCATTAGATCCACATTGGTCTCCAAACTCATATACTATGGTTTATTTGAATAATCTACATAGGCCTCATAGTAAAAAACTGAACCCATAATCTGCTCCTATAAAACCAGTTTCTCCTCTAATGTTAACTCTCTTGGCAAGTGCGTTAAATCATTCTTGCATTTCTATAAAACAATACCTGAAACTGGGTGATTTATAAAGAAAAGAGGCTTAATTGGCTCACATTCTGCAGGCTTTACAGGAAGCATGCTGCGGATGCTTGCTGGGCTCCTGGGGAGGCTTCAGGAAGCTTACAATCTTGACAGAAGGCAAAGGGGGAGCAGGCATGTCACATGGTGAAAGCAGAAACAAGATAGAGGGGAGGTGTCACACACTTAAAAATGACCAGATCTAATGAGAACTCACTCACTACTGTGAAGGGACAGTACCAAGTGGATAGTGCTAAACCATTCATGAAAAATTCACCCTCGTGATCCAATCACCTCCCACCAGACCCCATCTCCAACACTGGGACTTACATTTCAACATGACATTTAGGTGGGGACAACATCCACACTATACCAGCAAATGATTTTTTAATCACTGAGTTGCCCTTTCAGAAACCTGGGAGACATCCTTAATCCTTCTACCTTACTCCTCACATCCACTTTATTATCAAATCTTGCCAATTCTACTTCCCAAATGTGCAAAATATGTCTTGAATGTGTTCATGTCTCTCAAACTGTATTGCTACTACTTGAAGCTACCATGATAAATTGCCTAGACTTAGACAAATAGCCTCTAAACTGGTTTTCCTGTTTCTAATCTTGACTTTCTCCATTCCAGTACTCACACTTTCACCAGATTGTAAAAACAGCAACAAAAAAACCATGTTATAGGCCCTTAATATCTTTCCATTGCTCTGTGGATAAATGTAAAAATCTACAGGATTCAGATAATATGGTTCCTGCCTGTTTTTACATCCTCATGGCTATGGTTTAGATATTTGACTTCCCCAAACTTCATGTTGAAACTTAATCTCCTGTTGAAGGTGGGGCCTAATGGGAGGTGTTTGGGTCATGAGGGCAGATCCCTCATGAATGGCTTGGTGTGGTCCTCATGTAATGAGTGAGTCCTCACTCTACTAGTTCCAATGAGAGTTGGTTGTTAAAAAGGGCCTGGCACCTCCCCTCTGTCTCTCTCACTTCATTTCTTGCCACATAATCTCTCTATAGACTGGCTCCTTTTTGACACCATGAATGGAAGCAGCCTGTGGCCCTTACCAGATGCAATGCCAGTGCCACGCATAAGCCAAATAAAACTAAAACAAAAAATTAGTTACTCAGTCTTAGGTGTTCCTTCATAGCAACACAAAAGAGTTAAGACACTCATCTTGCACTAATCATCTCCCTCTCTTGCTCACTTTGCTCCATCCACACCAACCTTTTCTATCCCTAAAATGTACTAAGATCTGTTGCCCTCATAACCCTTGCTTATACTGCTTCCTGTATGTGAGATATTCTTTTCACCTGTAATATAAACACACATACTTTCTCCCTTTCTCCTCTCTCTCTCTCTTTTTTTTTTTTTTTTTTTTTTTGAGACGGAGTCTTGCTCAGTCTCCCAGGCTGGAGTGCAGTGGCGCGATCTCGTCTCACTGCAGGCTCCGCCTCCCAGGTTCACGCCATTCTCCTGCCTTAGCCTCCCGAGTAGCTGGGATTACAGGCGCCCGCCACTACGCCCGGCTAATTTTTTGTATTTTTAGTAGAGACGGGGTTTCACCGTGTTAGCTGGGATGGTCTCGATAACCTGATCTTGTGATCTGCCCATCTCGGCCTCCCAAAGTGCTGGGATTACAGGCGTGAGCCACCACGCCCGGCGATTTTTTTTTGTTTTTTTTTCAGATAGGGTCTCACTCTGTTGCCCAGGCTGGAGTGCAGTGGTACAATCAGAACTTCACCTCCTGGGATTCAAGTGATCTGCCCACCTCTGCCTCCCATGTAGCTGGGACTATAGGCTCACGCAACCATGCCTGGCTAATATTTTTTTCTTAACTTTTGTAGAGAGAGGTTTTCTTCATGTTGCCCAGGCTCACTTGCTCTCCTTTCTAATTTAGCTAACTCCTACTCATCCTTCAACTATTAAATTAAATATTAGTTTAATTTGTCAGGGCACCATTCCCAGAACCTCTTGCCAGATTAGGTTATTTCCTCCTTTTGTAAACTTTCATAGCCATCTCTACTTTTGCTTAATAATATGCATAACAATCATTAAATAGTTATTTGAGCAATTATTTGTTAAGTATCTGTCTTCTCTATTACTGTATATCTACAATGAGGGTAGGCACTGCATTTATTTTGTTCATCATTGTTGCTACCTAACATAATGCCTAACATTTACTATGAACTCAATAAATGTATATTAAATAAATGAATAATAAAACGCATTACAGAAGGATAAGATTTACTGAATTATTCCATTTGTCAAAGGTAGCTCATAAACAGAAGGAGACAAGATGTAGCCTCCTGGAAAGGGAGAATATGAAGCCAAAGCAAAAGCGTTGTTCACTTAAATTTTTAAAACATGACCCATAAATAACACTTTTTTCTCTTACATCTTCCAGGTACTGACTTTGATTTTGCCTGCATCAGTTTCTTGAACCAATATTATTCTTCTCTAGTTTTAGTCTCTCTCCAAATTTTTCTTCATGTCATGTCAGTCATAAATTTTGATCATTTTATTTCATTGTGATATCATTACATAATATTCCTTTTAATCCCACTGGCACTGCTGTATTGCACAGCACAATTATCCTCAGTCTTCTGCAAAAGTCTCATGATACATCTTTCTACCTCCAATTAATATAGCACTCTTAATGCCAGATTAATCTTCCTAAAGCAATTCTCTATTTATGTCACTAATAGTTCAAAAGTTTTCATTTACTCTTTGTCATTCTATAAAAGAAATCTAGGTATTTTACTATAGCATTCATGGACTTTAATTATTCTCTTCTGTTTCTTTTTTATTATTATACTTTAAGTTCTGGAATACATGTCTAGAACGTGCAGGTTTGTTACACGTGCCATGGTGGTTTGCTGCACCCATCAACCCGTCAACTGCATTAGGTATTTCTCCTAATGCTATTTGTCACCTAGCCCCCATCCCCCACAGACCCCAGTGTGTGATGCCCCCCCACCCTCATGTCCATGTGTTCTCATTGTTCACCTCTCACTTATGAGTCGGAACATGCGGTGTTTGGTGTTTGGTTTTCTGTTCTCGTGGTAGTTTACTGACAATAATGGTTTCCAGCTTGATCCATGTCCCTGCAAAGGACATGAACACATCCTTTTTATGGCTGCGTAGTATTCCATGGTGTATATGTGCCACATTTTCTTTATCCAGTCTATTATTGATGGCCATTTGGGTTGGTTCCAAGTCTTTGCTATTGTGAACAGTGCTGCAATAAACATATGTGCATGTGTCTTTATAGTAGAATGATTTATAATCCTTTGGGTATATACCCAGTAACGGGATTGCTGGGTTAAATGGTATTTCTAGTTCCAAATCCTTGAGGAATTGCCACACTGTCTTCCACAATGATTGAACTAATTTACACTCCCACCAACAGTGTAAAAGCATTCCTATTTCTTCACATCCTCTCCAGCATCTGTTGTTTCCTGACTTTTTAATGATCGCCATTCTAACTGGTGTGAGATGGTATCTCACTGTGGCTTTGATTTCCATTTCTCTAATGACCAATGATGATGAGCTTTTTTTCATATGTTTGTTGACTGCACAAATGTCTTCTTTTGAGAAGTGTCTATTCATATCCTTTGCCCACTTTTTGATGGGGTTGTTTGTTTTTTTTTCTTGTAAATTTGTTTAAGTTCTTTGTAGATTCTGGATATTAGCCCTTTGTCAGACGGATAGATTGCAAAAATTTTCTCCCATTCTGTAGGTGGCCTGTTCACTCTGATGATAGTTTCTTTAGCTGTGCAAAAGCTCTTTAGTTTAATTAGATCCTATTTGTCAATTTTGGCTTTTTTTGCCATTGTTTTTGGTGTTTTAGTCATGAAGTCTTTGACCATGCCTATGGCCTGAATGGTATTGCCTAGGTTTTCTTCTAGGGTTTTTATGGTTTTAGGTCTTATGTTAAAGTCTTTAATCCATCTTGGGATAATTTTTGTATAAGGTGTAAAGAAGGGATCCACTTTCATCTTTCTGCATATGGCTAGCCAATTTTACCAACACCATTTATTAAATAGGGAATCCTTTCCCCATTGCTTGTTTTTGTCAGGTTTGTCAAAGATCAGATGATTTTAGCTGTGTAGTGTTATTTCTGAGGCCTCTGTTTTGTTCCATTGGTCTATATCTGTGTTTTGGTACCAGTACCATGCTGTTTTGGTTACTGTAGCCTTGTAGTGTAGTTTGAAGTCAGGTAGCATGATGCCTCCAGCTTTGTTCTTTTTGCTGAGGATTGTCTTGGTTATGCGGGGTCTTCTTTGGTTCCATATGAAATTTAACGTAGTTTTTTCCAATTCTGTGAAGAAAGTCAATGGGAGCTTGATGGGGATAGCATTGCATCCATAAATTGTCTTGGGCAGTATGGCCATTTTCACAATATTGATTCTTCTTCTCCATGAGCATGGAATGCTTTTTCATTTGTTTGTCTTCTCTCTTATTTCCTTGAGCAGTTGTTTGTAGTTCTTGAAGCGGTCCTTCACATCCCTTGTAAGTTGTATTCCTAGATATTTTATCCTCTTTTTAGCAATTGTGAATGGGAGTTCACTCATGATTTAGCTTTTGTCTATTGTTGGTGTATAGGAATGCTTGTGAATTTTGCATATTGATTTTGTATCTTGAGACTTCACTGAAGTTGCTTATCAGCTTAAGGAGATTTTGTGCTGAGACAATGGGGTTTTCAGAATATACAATCATGTCATCTGCAAACAGAGACAATTTGACTTCCTCGCTTCCTAATTGAATACCCTTTATTTCTTTCTCTTGACTGATTGCCCTGGTCAGAACTCCCAATACTATGTTGAATAGGAGTGGTGAGAGAGGGCACGTTTGTCTTGTGCTTGTTTTCATTGGTCCTGTTTATGTGATGGATCACATTTATTGATTTGCGTATGTTGAATCAGGCTTGCATTCTAGGAATGAAGCCTACTTGATCGTGGTGGATAAGCTTTTTGATGTGCTTCTGGATTCGGTTTCCCAGTATTTTATTGAGGATTTTTGCATCGATATTCATCATGGATATTGGCCTGAAATTTTTTTTTGTTGTGTCTCTGCCAGGTTTTGGTATCAGGGTAAGTCCGGCCTCTTACAATTAGTTAGGGAAGATTCCCTCTTTTTCTATTGTTTGGAATAGTTTCAGAAGCAATGGTACCAGCTCCTCTTTCTACCTCTGGTAGAATTCGGCTGTGAATCTGTCTGGTCCTGGATTTGTTTTTTGGTTAGTAGGCTATTAATTACTGCCTCAATTTTGAAACTTTTTATTTGTCTATTCAGGGATTTGACTTCTTCCTGGTTTAGTCTTGGGAGGTTGTATGTGCCCAGGAATTTATCCACTTCTTTTAGATTTTCTAGTTTCTTTGCGTAGAGGTGTTTATAGTATTCTCTGATGGTAGTTTGTATTTCTGTAGGATCAGTGGTGATAGCCCCTTTACCTTTTATTGTGTCTATTTGATTCTTGTTTCTTTCTTCTTTATTAGTCTGGTTAGCAGTCTATCTATTTTGTTGATCTTTTTAAAAAAGCAGCTCTTGGATTCATTAATTTTTTGAAGGGGTTTTCATGTCTGTATCTCCTTCAGTTCTGCTCTGATCCTAATTATTTCTTGCCTTCTGCTAGCTTTTGAATTTGTTTGCTCTTGCTTCTCTAGTTCTTTTAATTGTAAGTTAGGGTGTCAATTTTAGATCTTTCCTGCTTTCTCTTGTGGGCATTTTGTGCTATAAATTTCTCTCTACACACTGCTTTAAATTTGTCCCAGAGATTCTGGTATGTTGTGTCTTCGTTCTCATTGGTTTCAAAGAACATCTTTACTTCTGCCTTAATTTTGTTACCCAGTAGTCATTCTGGAACAGGTTGTTCAGTTTCCATGTAGTTGTGTAGTTTTGAGTGAGTTTCTTAATCCTGAGTTCTAATTTGATTGCACTGTGGTTTGAGAGACTGTTATGATTTCCATTCTTTCACATTTGCTTAGGAGTGTTTTACTTCCAATTATGCTGCCAATTTTAGAATAAGTGCAATGAGGTGCTCAGAAGAAGGTATGTTCTGTTGATTTGGGGTGGAGACTTCTGTAGATGTATATTAGGTCCGCTTGGTCCAGAGCTGAGTTCAAGTCCTGGATATCCTTGTTAATTTTCGGTTTTGTTGATCTGTCTAACATTGACAGTGGGGTGTTAAAGTCACCCACTATTATTTTGTGGTAGTCCAAGTCTGTTTGTAGGTCTCTAAGAACTTTCTTTATGAATCTGGGTGCTCCTGTATTGGGTGCATATATATTTAGGATAGATAGCTCTTCTTGATACATTGATACCTTTACCATTATGTAATGCCTTTCTTTGTCTCTTTTGTTCTTTGTTGGTTTAAAGTCTGTTTTATCAGAGACTAGGATTGCAACCCCTGCTTTTTTTTGTTCACTTTCGATTTGCTTGATAAATCTTCCTCCATCCATTTATTTTGAGCCTATGTGTGTCTTTGCATGTGAGATGGGTTTCCTGAATATAGCACACTGACGGGTCTTGACTCTTTATCCAATTTACCAGTCTGTGTCTTTTAATCAGGGCATTTAGCCCTTTTACATTTAAGGTTAATATTGTTATATGTGGATTTGATCCTGTCATTGTGATGCTGGCTGGTTACTTTGCCTGTTAGTTGATGCAGTTTCCTCATAGCGTTGATGGTCTTTACAATTTGGTATGTTTTTGCTGTGGCTGGTACTGGTTGTTCCTTTCCATGTTTCGTGCTTCCTTCAGGAGCTCTTCTAAAGCAGGCCTGGTGGTAAGAAAATGTCTCAGCATTTTCTTCTCTGTAAAATACTTTATTTTGCTTATGAAGCTTAGTTTGGCTGGATAAGGAATTCTGGGTTGAAAATTCTTTTCTTTAAGAATATTGAATATCGGCTCCCATTCTCTTCTGTCTTGTAGAGTTTCTGCTAAGAGATATGCTGTTAGCCTGAGGGGCTTCCCTTTGTGGGTGACCCAGCTTTTCTCTCTGGCTGCCCTTAACATTTTTTCCTTCATTTCAACCTTGGTGAATCTGATGATTATGTGTCTTGGGGTTGCTTTTCTCAAGGAGTATCTTTGTGGCGTTATCTGTATTTCCTGAATTTGAATGTTGGCCTGCCTTGCTAGGGTTGGGGTGTTTCTCCTGGATAATGTGCTGAAGAGTGTTTTCCAGCTTGGTTCCATTCTTCCTGTCACTTTCCGGTACACCAAACAAACATAGATTTTGTCTTTTCACATAGTCCCATATTTCTTGGAGACTTTGTTCATTTGTTTTCACTCTTTTTCCTCTAATCTTGTCTTCTCGCTTCACTTCATTGAGTTGATCTTCAATCTGTGATATTCTGTCTTCTGCTTGATTGATTCAGCTATTGATACTTGTGTATGCTTCATGAAGTTCTCGTGCTGTGTTTCTTGGCTCCATCAGGTCAATTGTGTTCTTCTCTAAACTGGTTATTCTAGTTAGCAATTCATCTAGCTTTTTTTCAAAGTTCTTAGCTTCCTTGCATTGGGTTAGAACATGCTCCTTTAGCTTGGTGGACTTTGTTATTACCCACCTTCTGAAGTCCACTTATGTCAATTTGTCAAAATCCTTCTCTGTTCAATTTTGTTCCCTTGCTGGCGAGGAGTTGTGATCCCTTGGAGAAGAGGTGTTCTGGTTTTTGGAATTTTCAGCCTTTTTGTGCTCGTTTCTCCCCTTCCTCATGGATTTATCTACCTTTGGTCTTTGATATTGGTGATGTTCGGATGGGGTTTTGGTGTGGACGTCCTTTTTGTTGATGTTGATATGATTCCTTTCTGTTCGTTAGTTTTCCTTCTAATAGTCAGGCCCTTCTGCTGCAGGTCTGCTGGAGTTTGCTGGAGGTCCACTCCAGACCCTGTTTGCCTGAGTATCACCAGCGGAGGCTGCAGAACAGCAAAGATTGCTGCCTGTTTCTTCCTCTGGAAGCTTTGTCCCAGAGGGCCACCCACCAGATGCCAGTCAGAGCTCTCCTGTATGATGTGTCTGTCAGTCTCTACTGGGAGTTGTCTCCCAGTCAGTTTACATGGCGTTCAGGGACCCACTTGAGGAGGCATTCTGTCCCTTAGCAGAGCTCTAACACTGTGCTGGGACATCTGCTGCTCTCTTCAGAGCCATCAGCCAGGGACGTTTAAGTCTGCTGAAGCTGTGCCCCCAACCGCCCCTTTCCCCAGGTGCTTTGTCCCAGGGAGATGGGGGTTTTGTCTATGAGTCCCTGACTGGGGCTGCTGCCTTTTTTTCAGAGATGCCCTGCCCAGAAAGGAGGAATCTAGAGAGGCAGTCTGGCCACAGAGCCCTTGCTCAGCTGCAGTGGGCTCCACCCAGTTCATACTTCCAGGTGCGTTTGTTTATACTGTGAGGGTAAAACCTCCTACTCAAGCCTCAGCAATGGTGGACTCTCCTTCACCCACAGAGCTTGAGCTTCCCAGGTCGACCTCAGACTTCTGTGCTAACAGCAGGAATTTCAAGCTAGTGGAACTTAGCTTGCTGGCCTCCATGGGGGTGGGACCCGCCAAGCCAGAGCACTTGGCTCCCTGGCTTCAGTCCCCCTTCCAGGGGAGTGAACAGTTCTGTCTCGCTGGTGTTCCAGGTGCCACTGGGATAGGAAGGAAGGAAGGAAGGAAGGAAGGAAGGAAGGAAGGGAGGGAGGGAGGGAGGGAGGGAGGGAGGGAGGGAGGGAGGGAGGGAGGGAGGGAGGAAGGGAGGAAGGGAGGAAGGGAGGAAGGGAGGAAGGGAGGAAGGGAGGAAGGGAGGAAGGGAGGAAGGGAGGAAGGGAGGAAGGGATCCTGCAACTAGCTCAGTGTCTGCCCAAACTGCCACCCAGCTTTCTGCTTGAAACCCAGGGCCCTGGTGGCATAGGCAATGGAGGGAATCTCCTGGTCTGCGGGTTATGAAGACCATGGGAAAAGTGTAGTATCTGGGCCACAGTACACCATTCCTCCTGGTACAGTCTCACAGTTTCCCTTGGCTGGGAAAGGGAGATCCCCTGACCCCTTGTGCTTCCTGTGTGAGGTGACTCCCCACCCTGCTTCGGCTTGCCCTCCGTGGGCTGCACCCACTCTCCAACAGTTCCAATGAGACGAATCAGGTATCTCAGTTGGAAATGCAGAAATCAGCTGCCTTCTACATCCATCTCGCTGGTTGCTGCAGACAGGAACTGTTCCTATTCATCCATCTTGCCAGTCCAATCTCTTCTGTTTCTTCTTTCTTTTTTTTTTTCTTTTTTTTTGCAGTTGCAAGATTTAATAGAGTGAAATCAGAGCTCCCATACAAAGGGAGGGGAACCAGAGGGTAGCTGTTGCTGGCTCGAATCCCTGGGTTTATATCCCGATCATTGTCCATCCTGCTGTGCTCTCAGGTGATAGGTGATTGGCTGTTCCTTTACCTCCTATGAATTCTCGGGGTCAGTGAAACCAATTCATACATATCTATCTCCACACTTTCACTAATTCCTTTCTTTCTTCTTGGAATATCTTCTTTTATTACTTTTTGTGTTTTTTACTTTCATATGTATTTTCTGACTGCTTCTACTGATAAAAATCTCTCCTTTTTCTGAATTTTTTTCTCTACTTTCTGGGCTAATCACTTGATACTATATATTATTTCTATCATTTACTTTAAAGTGTATAAGTTGAACCCCAAACTTAATTGCTAATAATTTGAAAACTTTATTGTAGTTCCAGCATCTAGGAGAGTATCTAGTAAGTTAATTGTAATTTTTTGTAACTGACTATAGGGCCAGCATTAGAATAGTATGTAATAATAAATATAACTCAAAAAAAGTTATGTTAATGATGATGGGTAATATTTTGAGGACAGAAGTTGGGCAAAATAAACAGAAAATTTTGAGGAAAGCATGTAGCATATCTTTAAGGATGAGGATAACTGAATTCACTTGAGATTCCTAATGGTTGATGAGGATACCTAGCAGTATATCAGCTTTAGCTGAATTGTTCCCTGATGCACATGAAGATGAGGGAAGAACATTTCAATGGATAGAATGGCATGACCAAAGGTTCAGAGTGTGGAAATATATGTGTACAGAAGATTTACTAATTTAATAATAGAGGAAATTGCTCACACCATGTGGGGAACATTAGATGACTATTTCTTTAGTAGGGAAAAAGTAAAACTGTGCTTATGTGAAAAAAAAATGTTTTGTAGGAGCTGTTTTAAAAGATTTTTTCTGGCCGAGCACGGTGGCTCACGCCTGTAATCCCAGCACTTTGGGAGGTTGAGTCAGGTGGATCACCTGAGGTCAGGAGTTCAAGGCCAGCCAGACCAACATGGTGAAACCCTGTCTCTACTAAAAATGCAAAAATTAGCCAGGCATGGTGGCACACACTTGTAATTCCATCTACTCAGGAGGCTGAGGCAGGAGAATCACTTGAACCCGGGAGGCGGAGGTTGCAGTGAGCCGAGATTGCACCACTGCACCCTAGCCTGGGCAACGCGAGATTCCATCGCAAAAAAAAAAAAAAAGAATTTTTCTTTCACTACCAACCTTCCTTTTTGAAGAGGTTTAAAAAATTGATCAACAGCTCTTTTAGGCTCCATGGGTGTAGGACCCTCTGAGTCATGTACGGGATATAATCTCCTGGTGTGCCGTTTGCTAAGACCATTGGAAAAGCGCAGTATTAGGGTGAGAGTGACCCGATTTTCCAGGTGCCGTCTGTCACCCCTTTCTTTGACTACACCATGGAATACTATGCAGCCATAAAAATGATGAGTTCATGTCCTTTCTAGGGACATGGATGAAGCTGGAAACCATCATTCTCACCAAACTATCACAAGGACAAAAAACCAAACACCGCATGTTCTCACTCATAGGTGGGAATTGAACAATGAGAACACATGGACACAGGAAGGGGAACGTCACACACTGGGGCCTGTTGTGGGGTGGGGGGAGGAGGGAAGGATAGCATTAGGAGATATACCTGATGTTAAATGATGAGTTAATGGGTGCAGCACACCAACATGGCACATGTATACATATGTAACTAACCTGCACGTTGTGCACATGTACCCTAAAACTTAAAGTACAATGAAAAAAATTGATCAACAGAAGAATAGAATTAGAGTATTTGACAGTATTTAGCAAAGCAAGTAAATAAAACTACACAAACTGAAGAACAACAGGAACCAACTGTTCACATCTTTTGCCTGAATAGATTGATAAACTATTTCTTGATACATTTGTATTATAAATATTGTCACTTTATGCATCTAACTCAAAAAAATACCCCTATAATTTGAAATTTTTTTTTCTTTCCTGGGATGTTGGTTTCTGATCCACGTTGAACTAGAGAAGATTTAAAGAAGTGAAAATTTATGGAATTCAATACTTATAATAACAAATTCTTAAATTTGGGAATGAAAAGAGAGTCTATAGAGTAAATAATTGTGAAAGATTATTTTCGGTTTAACAGAAGTCGAGCACACAAAACAATACAAACTGGTTTCTTAATAATAAACTAATATCTTACTCTACTTTTAGAGGAAATTTGATACTCTCCATTTCTTGCCTCCCGTAACATAATTTATTACATATCCTTTACATGTTATCATGTTAATGAGAGATGCTTGAGTATTAAGCTACACACTAAATAACTTGGTTGTGTTTTTAATTGCTTTCTCAGTTTTGTGTTTTTATTTTGATTTGCCTTGATTTTGACTCCACTTACTTAAAATCACTCATTAGACTTTTGTTGCAGAACCTATTAAGTAATGAATGAGTGAATTATAGAAGGTAGGCAAGTAGGTTATTTTATTTTGTTTTTTAAGTGTGAGCTTGGAGGGTTCCAAGGCATTCAAATATTTATGCTGGCTTCTTTTCCACAGGCATAAAGTAGCTAAGATAGTTACCAATAAAAGCATTCACATCTTCTTAATATCTCTCCACTTTTATCTGTGGTTACCAATGAAACTATAATTTAGTTATTTTTATCAGTATCCTCTTTAATTTCTCATACTGTGGTCATAATCAAGGTTAAAACTGAAGAGGACAAAGCAGAGGAGCAAGGTACATGCACCCATAACAGTCTTTTTCCCAAAGTCAGCATGTTTTCCTTAGTGACCTGGTGACCTTTCTAATTTTTCATATTGGAGCACAAAATAGTATTGTTATAACATCGTTTATGTCTATATGGCACTATCATTGTATCTTTGACTGAAGATTTATGAAATCAAATCATCACATCCAAGCCGCTGGAATGGTGACAAAGTAATAGGTCGTTGGGACAATCTAAGACTTCCGTGGCAGACAAATTAAGTCTTCTGTTGTCACCTGCCTCTAAGTGTAAGTAAGGATGCTGGAAGGTAGGAAAAGGGCATAATTTCACCTTTTGACACAAACTCTCATTGCTAGCTGAGTAACATATTTTCTTTGAGTTGATTTTAGGAACTCTGGAAAGCACTGGAGACGTACATTACATTTTTTAGTGGTCTAGCTGATAGTACTATGGTCTGAAAGGTTGAATGCATTGAATGCCCATTTGAAAGGAACTAATGGTCCTAGAAAGATGGATCACTGTTTCTGGCTGAAATTACATTTTAATAGAATTTCAACAAAACAACATACATTTTAATAAGTTTCACAAAATGGCAACATTTTCAACATGCAAAAGAAATAGCGAGAATGGTGATAGTATTTAACTCAGCATATGTAACATGGAAGTTCTGGAATATTGTGACAAGGTACAGAATGTACAAGTGGTTACTGTCTTTACTATTATAGTAATAATGGAGGTGGTTTAATGATTTATAGTTAAGAGTCTTGGAAACATGGGATCTACACTATAAAAAAGGTTATTCTATTCTTGGGGTGATAGTGGTAGGGAAGAAGGTAGGAAACAGACCATGAAGTAGGAGAGAGATGAATTGTGTATGTATTATCATGGAACACAGACTTTTGGTCTGAGAGCAATGCTTAATATATTCTATTCCCTCTGTGTTATCCCACTTATCTCTACATATGTCTAGATTAGGAGTTGGCAAGCATTTTTTAGGAAGGAACAGTTAGTAAACCTTTTAGGCTTTCTGGGTCAAATAGTCTCTGTTTTAATTATTTAACTCTGCCACTGTAGCCATAGACAATATGTAATCAAATGCATATGGCTGTCTTTCAACATGACTTTACTTTTTTTTTTTTTTTTACTATACAGCTTTTATTTTATTTATTTATTTTTTACTTCTTTTTTAATTTTATTATTATACTTTAAGTTTTAGGGTACATGTGCACAACGTGCAGGTTTGTTACATATGTATACTATTGTCATGTTGGTGTGCTGCACCCATTAACTCATCATGTAGCATTAGGTATATCTCCTAATGCTATCCCTCCCCCCTACTCCCACCCCACAACAGTCCCCGGTGTGTGATGTTCCCCTTCCTGTGTCCATGTGTTCTCATTGTTCAATTCCCATCTATGAGTGAGAACATGTGGTGTTTGGTTTTTTGTCCTTGTGATAGTTTGCTGAGAATGATAGTTTCCAGTTTCATCCATGTCCCTAGAAAGGACATGAACTCATCATTTTTTATGGCTGCATAGTATTCCATGGTGTATATGTGCCACATTTTCTTAATCCAGTCTCTCGTTGTTGGACATTTAGGTTGGTTCCAAGTCTTTGCTATTGTGAATAGTGCCGCTATAAACATATGTGTGCGTGTGTCTTTATAGCAGCATGATTTATAATCCTTTGGGTATATACCCAGTAAAGGGATGGCTGGGTCAAATGGTATTTCTAGTTCTAGATCCCTGAGGAATCTCCACACTGACTTCCACAATGGTTGAACTAGTTTACAGTCCCACCAACAGTGTAAAAGTTTTTCTGTTTGTCCACATCCTCTCCAGCACCTGTTGTTTCCTGACTTTTTAATGATCGCCATTCTAACTGGTGTGAGATGGTATCTCATTGTGGTTTTGATTTGCATTTCTCTGACGGCCGGTGATGATGAGCATTTTTTCATGTGTTTTTTGGCTGCATAAATACAGCATATCTACAACTATCTGTTCTTTGACAAACCTGACAAAAACAAGCAATGGGGAAAGGATTCCCTATTTAATAAATGGTGCTGGGAAAACTGGCTGGCCATATGTAGAAGGCTGAAACTGGATCCCTTCCTTACACCTTATACAAAAATTAATTCAAGATGGATTAAAGACTTAAATGTTAGACCTAAAACCATAAAAACCCTAGAAGAAAACCTAGGCAATACCATTCAGAACATAGGCATGAGCAAGGACTTCATGTGTAAAACACCAAAAGCAATGGCAACAAAAGCCAAAATTGACAAATGGGATCTAATTAAACTAAAGAGCTTCTGCACAGTAAAAGAAACTACCATCAGAGTGAACAGGCAATCTATAGAATGGGAGAAAATTTTTGCAACCTACTCATCTGACAAAGGGCTAATATCCAGAATCTACAATGAACTCAAACAAATTTGCAAGAAAAAACAAACAACACCATCAAACAGTGGGTGAAGGATATGAACAGACACTTCTCAAAAGAAGACTTTACTTTCAAAAGCAGGTTTGATTTGACCTGTAGGCTCTTGTTAGCTGCCCTATTGTCTAGATTCCTAACAAGATCTTACCAAGTCAGATCTTGCCTGGACCATAACATTAACTTCCTATCTATGAAAAATATATTTGTATCTTCATTAATATATTCAAGAATTTTTATGTAATATCTAATGAATACCAGGCATCAATCATGTCTTGCAGATACAGTGACAAAAAAAGATGACTTTTCCTCTAGGAGTTTTTGTCTATGACACAGATGATAAATAAATAATGAAGCGAGTAAATAAGATAATGAAAAATCATTTAAAGTGTATAAAGGAATTAAATACCATGATGTAAAAGGGGGTCACAGAGGCAGGAGCACAACTATTAATAGGGTGGTCAAGGAATGATTTCTGAAGAAAGTGACATTTAAGCCGAAACCTGAATGATGAAAAATAAGTGAGCCATATCACGAACCAGGAGAAGAACACTTTAGGAAAGGGTTCTGTTTCTCCGAGAACCCTAACTGATACATTATTCTCTTAACCAAATTTTAAGTGCATAACACAGTATTGTTAACTATAGGCATGATGTTGTACAGCCGATTTCTGAAACTTATTAATATTTCCTAAATGAAACTCTATGCTTGTTGATGTAACTCCCCATTTCCCCTTCTCCCAGCCTCTGGAAACCACCATTCCACTCTTTTACTGGACAAATTTGATGATTTTAGGTACTCATATAAATGGAATGATCCAGCATTTGTTCTTCCGAGACTGATTTATTTAACTTAGCATAATGTCCTTGACGTTTATCCATGTTATTGCATATTGCAGAATTTCCTTCTTTTTAAAGGCTGAATAATATCCATTACATGTATATACTACATTTTCTTTTTTTTTTTCGTCTGTTAAGGGGCACTTAGGTTGTTTCCACATCTTGCCTATTGTGAATAGTGCTGCAGTGAACATGGGAGTATAAATATATCTATGAGATCTTGATTTCAATTCTTTTGGATAAATACCCTGAAGTGGGATTGCAGATCATATGGTGATTCTATTTTTAATTTTTGAGAAAACTCCATAATGTTTTCCATAATGGCTGCATAAGTTTGTGTTTCCATCAACAGTTTACAAGGGTTGTTATTTCTCTACATCCTCACCAACATTGATAATAGACATTCTGACAGGTATCAGATGATACCTCATTGTGGTTTATATTTGCATTTCTCTGATGATTAATGACATTGAGCATCTTTTCATATAGCTGTTGGCCATTTGTATGTCTTTTTGGAAGAAATTTCTATTCAAGTCTTAAGCCCGTTTTAAAATCAAGTTATTAGTCTTTCTGCTATTGAGTTGTAGAAATTACTTACACATTTCAGATATTAACCATTCATCAGATACATAGTTTGCAAATATTTTCTCCTATTTCATAGATTGCCTTTTCATTCTGTTAAATATTTCTTTTGATGTGCAGAAGATGTTAGTTCAATGTAGTCCCACTTGTCTATTTTTGCCTGTGATTTTGGTGCCATGTCCATGAAATCATTGCCAAGATTAATTTCATGAAGGCTTTCCCCTATATTATCATCTAAGAATTTATGGTTTCAGATCTTATGTGTGGCTTTTTAAACCATTGTGAGTTGCTTTTGTGTATGGCATAAGATATTGTTCAAATTTCATTCTTTTATATGTGAATATCCAGTTTTCCCAATATTATTTGTTGAAGAAACTACCTTTTCCCCATTGTGTATGCTTGGCAGTATTGTTGAAGACTGTGTATTTATGGATTTATTTTTGAGTTCTGTACTCTCTTCCATTTGCCTTAGATAACTGTCTTTATGCTAGCACCATACTGTTTTACTTACTGTAGCATTGTAATACATTTTGAGATCATGAAGTGTGATGCTCCAGCCTCGCTCTTCTTTCTCAAGATTGATTTGACTATTTTGGGGTCTTCTGTGTTTCCTTATGAAATTTAGAGTGTTTTTTTTTCCGTTTCTGTAAAAATACTATTGGGATTTTTGATGAAAATTATATTGAATCTGTAGATTACTTTGGATTATATGAACATTTTAACAAAATTAATTCTTCCAATCTGTGAACACAAAATATCTTTTCATTTCTTTGTGTCTTCTTTAATGTTGTTCATCAGTGTTTTGTAGCTTTCAGTGTATAAGTCTTTCATCACCTTAGTTAAGTTTATTCCTATTTTATTCTTTTTGATGCTATTGTAAATGGAATTGCTTTCTGAATTTTCAGATAATTTATTTTTACTCTATAGATATATAATTAATTTTTATATATTTATTTTTTAAAAAAATTAATAGAGATGGGGTCGCTATATATTTCCCAGGCTAGACTTAAACTCCTGGGATCAAGCCATCCTTCACACTCAGCCTCCTAAGTAGCTGGGACTACAATATATGTTGATTTTGTATCCTTCAGCTTTACTAAATTTGTTTATTAGTTCTCACAGTTTTTTGGTCGAGTCTTTAGGGTTTTCTAGATGTAAGATTATGTCATTAGCAAAGGGGGACCATTTTACTTCTTCTTTTCTGATTTGGATGCCTTTTGTCTCTTTTTCTTGCCCAATTGCAGGAAAGTCTACCTAAGACATCTAGTACTATGTTAAATAGAAGTAACAAGAGAGGGCATTCTTGCTTTGTTCCTGATCGTAGAGCTTAAAACAATTTTCAGATTTTTTGCTGTTAACTGTGATGATAGCTGTGGATTCTTTATATATGGTCATTATTACGTTGAAATAATTTTATTCTATTTCTAGTTTGTTGAGAGCTTTTACCATGGAAAGGTACTAAATTTTGCAAAATGCTTTTTCTGCATCTGTTGAAATTATCATATGATTTTCATTTTTTCTTCTGTTAATTTAGAATATCACATTACTTGATTTTCATATGTTGAACCATCCATGTATCTCAGGGACAAATCCTTCATGGTCATGGTATATGACCTTTTAATATGCTGTTGAATTCAATTTGTTAGTATTTTAAAACAATTTTCTTCTCTATATTGATTAGAGATATTTGCCTGTAGTTTTCTTTTTTTGAGGTGTTTTTGTCTGGCTTTGATATCAGGGTAATGCTGGCCTCATAAAATGAGTTCAGAAGTGTTTCCCCCTCTTCAAGTTTTTGGAAGACAGGCAATAGTGACTGCCAACCCAAACCTCCATCTCTGTTTTCACTCTTCCCCCTACAGCTACATTTTGCCAGGTCAGTGCGCTGAGACTGGCAAAACAGAAACCAGTCCACTGTGAAGTCTTTGAAGGAAAGTTGGGATGCTGGATGCATGGACCAACTCTTTTCCTCCTCAGGGAGTAGCTGGGAGCTGGAATTTTCCCTCTGCTCATGCCATTCTGAGCTGAGGGGCAAAGCTATGGCAACTATGCCCCACACTGCTGTTTTTGTTCTCCCCCATTTGGCTAGATTATGCTCGTCCCATCAGGGCTCCTAGATTGGCAAGACAGAACCCAGTCCTCTGGGATGCTTCTATGGAAAAGTTGGGGCACTTATGTGTGAACCAATTCTTTTCCTTACCTGAGAGAAGTTAGGATCTGGGGGAGGGTGCCAGTGGTCTCTTTCCAATCAATCTTATGGCCCTATGTCAGGTGTGAGAATTTTGGTGGGAGGGTGTTCTGAATCTTCCTACTAGCTTCCATGAGTCTGGTTTTGTGTTTGCCCAGGGTACAAGAGCCTTTCAATTAGTTTCTCACAAAGGGTATCTGTCTGTGAATTGTTGCTGAATTGTTGTGTTCATAGGGGAAAAGATAGTCTAGAGCTTTCTACTTTGTCATCTTGCTGATATTACTCTTTATGTATATTTTTAAAATATTATTATGGCTGCTGGATAATGAATGAAAAGGGAGAAGCAAGAATGCAAGTAAGTAGATTACAAGTTTCTGCAATGGCTCAGATGAGAGATACTAAGAATGGTTATAGACAAGAGGTTGGATTTGATATGAATATTGGAAATAGAAAAATAGGAATTGCTAATGTATTGGATATGGCAGTAAGGGGAAGAGAAGAGTCAAAGATAACTCCCAGATTTTTAATTGAGTATCTGAGTGACTTGTAGTAATATGTATTGGGATTAAGAGGAGCAAGAGAGAAATGAATGGGGGTGTAATGAATCAAGAGTTCTGCTTTAGATAAGTTGAGTTTAGAATGCCAATGAGAATTTAAGTGGAAATATAAAATAGGAAATTGGATAAGTGTTTGTAGTTCATGGAAAAGTTCTGAGCTACAAGTTTAATTTTTGGTGGTATCAGCACATAGATGGTGTTTAAAATATTGGACCAGGCACCTATTTCTGTATTTACCCCTCCATTGTAAACAAATAAAAATACATATGAAACAATGGTTTACAGAAATTGGATGACTGACTCCTGAGAGAGGGAAAACAAACATGGTGAATTCTAGAATTGATACAGCTTACTATCTTAAGATAATATTTAGGATACAGTGGAGGGAGGAGAAATACAAACAGAGCCTGGCAGTTTCCCTGAGTCAAGGAAGCTAAGTTGAGAATGCAGAAAGAAATTCATTGAGCAGCACACTAAAGAGAAGTGAGGTGATGAGAAAGAGCTCTAGAAATAAGGAAAGGTTTTCTTCTTGAGTCTTTAGCTGAATACATGTTAGTGCTTATATGTGAGAAAGCTACCTGAGCCTGGAGAAACAGGCACAAATTCTTTGATATTTCTCTCCCCAGGAGGTAGAGCTTACAGTGGATAAACCTGGCAGATAGCATCTTAATCAAGTGATTGAAGTTAACCTCATCAGTACTAGGATATGTTGATATCATGTACCTCCTGATATGATATGATGAGAAGGCCACTTATTCTTTGTGGTATTATTCCCAGAATTCTATAACACAGTGTAATCATAATAAGCCATCAGACAAACTTACAGTGGGGACCATTTTACAAAATTCATGATCTGTGTTCTTCAGAAGTGTCAAAGTCATGAAAGACAAGGAAAAACTGAGGAGCTGTCACAGGTGGGAGGGGATTAAAGAGATATAACAACTAAATTCACTGTGGTACAGGCATACTTTGAAGATATTGTGGGTTTGGTTCTAGACCACTGCAATAAAGCAAATTTCACAATAAAGTGAGTCATATAATATTTTAGGTTTCCCAGTGCATGTAAAAGTCATAACCTATTAAGTGTGCAATAGCATGATATTTAAAAAATCATATATATCATATTTACAAATACTGTATTGCTAAAAATGTTAATGATTATTTGAGCCTTTACTGATGGAAAGGCTTGCCTCAATGTTGATGGCTACTGATTGATCAGGGTGGTGATTGCTGAAGGTTGGAGTGGCTGTGGCAATTTTTAACAAGACAACAGTGAAGTTTGCCTCATTGACTGATTCTTCCTTTCATGAAAAATTTCTCTGTTGCATGTAATGCTGTTCGATAGCATTTTACCTAAGTAGGCCTTTTTTTTTTTTTTTTTCAAAATTGGAGTCAATCCTCTCAAACTCTGCTGCTGCTTTATCAACTAAGTTTATGGAACATTCCCAGTGTGTTACTTACCTCAACTCTTAGCTTGTTGGGGACGGTAACCGGGACCCAGTGTCTGCTCCTGTCACCTTCGCCTCCTAATCCCTAGCCACTATGCGTGAATGCGTCTCCATCCACGTTGGCCAGGCTGGTGTCCAGATTGGCAATGTCTGCTGGGAGCTCTACTGCCTGGAACATGGCATCCAGCCCGATGGCCAGATGCCAAGTGACAAGACCATTGGGGGAGGAGATGACTCCTTCAACACCTTCAGTGAGACGGGTGCTGGCAAGCATGTGCCCCGGGCTGTGTTTGTAGACTTGGAACCCATGGTCATTGATGAAGTTTGCACTGGCACCTACCGCCAGCTCTTCCACCCTGAGCAGCTCATCACAGGCAAGGAAGATGCTGCCAATAACTATGCCCGAGGGCACTACACCATTGGCAAGGAGATCATTGACCTTGTGTTGGACCGAATTCGCAAGCTGGCTAACCAGTGCACTGGTTTTCAGGGCTTCTTGGTTTTCCACAGCTTTGGTGGGGGAACTGGTTCTGGGTTCACCTCCCTGCTCATAGAACGTCTCTTAGTTGATTATGGCAAGAAGTCCAAGCTGGAGTTCTCCAATTACCCAGCGCCCCAGGTTTCCACAGCTGTAGTTGAGCCCTACAACTCCATCCTCACCACCCACACCACCCTGGAGCACTCTGATTGTGCCTTCATGGTAGACAATGAGGCCATCTGTGACATCTGTTGTAGAAACCTCAATATCGAGCGCCCAACCTACACTAACCTTAACCACCTTATTAGCCAGATTGTGTCCTCTATCACTGCTTCCCTGAGATTTGATGGAGCCCTGAATGTTGACCTGACAGAATTCCAGACCAACCTGGTACCCTACTCCCACATCCACTTCCCTCTGGCGACATATGCCCCTGTCATTTCTGCTGAGAAAGCCTACCATGAACAGCTTTCTGTAGCAGAGATCACCAATGCTTCCTTTGAGCCAGCCAACCAGATGGTGAAATGTGACCCTCGCCATGGTAAATACATGGCTTGCTGCCTATTGTGCCATGGTGATGTGGTTCCCAAAGATGCCAATGCTGCCATTGCCACCATCAAGACCAAGCGTAGCATCCAGTTTGTAGATTGGTGCCCCACTGGCTTCAAGGTTGGCATCAACTACCAGTCTCCCACTGTGGTGCCTGGTGGAGACCTGGCCATGGTACAGAGTGCATGCTGAGCAACACCACAGCCATTGCTGAGGCCTGGGCTCGCCTGGACCACAAGTTTGACCTGATGTATGCCAAGCGTGCCTTTGTTCACTGGTACGTGGGTGAGGGGATGGAGGAAGGCGAGTTTTCAGAGGCCCGTGAAGACATGGCTGCCCTTGAGAAGGATTATGAGGAGGTTGGTGTGGATTCTGTTGAAGGAGAGGGTGAGGAAGAAAGAGAGGAATACTAATCCATTCCTTTTGGCCCTGCAGCATGTCGTGCTCCCAGAATTTCAGCTTCAGCTTAGCTGACAGACATTAAAGCTTTCTGGTTAGATTTTCATTTGGTGATCATGTCTTTTCCATGTGTACCTGTAATGTTTTTCCATCATGTCTCAAAGTACAGTCATTAACATAAAAAAAAAAGTTTATGTTATATTTTAGATCATTTGTTGGCATTTCAACAATGTTCACAGCATCTTCACTAAGAGTCGATTTTGTCTCAAGAAACCACTTTTTTTTCCCATCCAGAGGAAGAAGCTTCTCATCCATTCAAGTTTCATTATGAGATTGCAGCAATTCAGTCACATCTTCAGGCTCCACTTCTAATTGTAGTTCACTTGCTATTTCCACATCTGCAGTTACTTCCTCTAATAATGTCTTGAATACTCAAAGTCATCAACTTCTTCAAACTCCTGTTATGGTTGACATTTTGACCTTCTCTCATAAATCACTAATGCTCTTAATGACATCTTAGAATGGTTAATTATTTCCCAAAGTTTTTCAACTTGTTTTGTCAAGATCCATCAGAAGATTCACAATTTATATGGAAGCTATAGCCTTATGAAATGTACTGCTGAACAAATGAGACTTGAAAATTGAAATTTCTCTTTGATCCATGGGCTACAGAGTGGATACTGAGTTTGCAGGTATAAAAACAACATTAATCTTCTTGCATCTCTCCGTGAGAGCTCTTGTTTGACTAGGTGCACTGTCAATGAGCAGTAATGTTTTGAAAGCAATCTTTTTTATAAGCAGTAAGTCTCAACAATGGACTGAAAACATTTAGTAAATCATGCTATAAGCAGATGTGCTATCATCTAGGCTTGTTGTTTCATTTATAGAGCACAGGTAGAGTAAATTTAAGGGCTCTAGGATTTTCAAAATGAAATGGTAATGAGGATTAGTGGCAACTTAAAGTCACCAACTGCTTTAGCCCCTAACAAAAGAGTCAGCCTGTCTTTTGAAGCTTTGAAGTTAGGCATTAACTTCTCTCTAGCTATGAAAGTCCTAGATGGCATCCTCTTCCGTTATAAGGCTGTTTGGTCTACACTGATTATTTTTTGTTTATTGTAGCCACCTTCATCAATAATTGTAGGTAGATCTTCTGGATAACTTGCTGAAGCTTCTCCATCAGCACTTGCTGTTTCACCTTGCATTTTTATGTTATGGTGATGGCTTCTTTCCTTACGTCTCATTAGTCAACCTTTGCTAGCCTCCAACCTTTCTTCTTCTTCTTTTTTTTTTATTATACTTTAAGTTTTAGGGTACATGTGCACAATGTGCCGGTTAGTTACATATGTATACATGTGCCATGTTGGTGTGCTGAACCCAGTAACTCGTCATTTAACATCAGGTATATCTCCTAATGCTATCTCTCCCCCCTCCCCCCACCCCACAACAGGCCCCGGTGTGTGATGCTCCCCTTCCTGTGTCCATGTATTCTCATTGTTCAGTTCCCACCTATGAATGAGAACATGTGGTGTTTGGTTTTTTGCCCTTGTGATAGTTTGCTGAGAATGATGGTTTCCAGCTTCATCCATGTCTCTACAAAGGACACGAACTCATCATTTTTTATGGCTGCATAGTATTCCATGGTGTATATGTACCACATAACGGCTAGCTTCCAACCTTTCTCCTGCAGCTTCCTCACATCTCTCTGCCTTCTTGGAATTAAAGAGAGTTTGTGTCTTGCTCTGGATTAGGTTTTGAATTAAAGGAATGTTGTGGCTGGTTTGATCTCCTATTTAGACCACTAAAAGTTTCTCCATATCAGCAATAAGGCTGTATTGCTTTCTTATCACTCATGTGTTCACTAATTTCTTTCAATAACTTCTCCTTTCACAACTTGGCTAACTCTTTGGCACAAGAGGCCAATCTTTTGGCCTATCTCAAACATGCCTTCCTCATAAGCTTAATCATTTCTAGCTTTTGATTTAAAATGATAGTTATGTGACTCTAACTTGAACACTTAGAGGCCATAGTAGGGTTATTCATTGGCCTAATTTTAATATTGTATCTTAGGGAATAGGGAGGCCTGAAGAGAGGGAGAGAGAGATGAAGGAACGGCTGGTTGATGGAGCCAGTCAGAATGTACATAACATTTACCTGTTAAGTTCACTATCTTTTATGGACATAGTTCGTGGTGCCACAAAACAATTACGATAGTAATATCAAATATTACTGATCACAGGTCACCATAACAGATATACTAATAATGATAAAGTTGGAAATATTTCAAAAATTACCAAAATGTGATACAAACACATGAATTGAGCACATGCTGTTGGAAAAATGAAGCTGATAGAGTTGCTCAATACAGGGTTGCCACAAGTCCTCAATTTGTAAAATACATGGTATTTGTGCAGCGCAATAAAGTGAAGTGCAACAAAACGAGGTGTGGCTGTGTCCTAGAACATAAATATGTACTTTAGTGGAAAAGGTGGATAAACTAAAACAATTTTGTAGTTTAGTTCAGTGGTCCCCAACCTTTTTGGCACCAGGGACTGGTTTCGTGGAAGACAATTTTTCCAGACTCAGGCCAGGGTGGAATTGTTTTGGAATGATTCAAGTGCATTACATTTATTGCATACTTTATTTATATTATTATTACATCATAATATATAATGAAATAATTACATATATCACCATAATGTGGAATCAGTAGGAGCCCTAAGCTTGTTTTCCTGCAAATAGATTGTTTTATCTGGGGGTGATGGGAGACAGTGACAGATCATCAAGCATTAGAATCCCAGGAATGTGCAACCTAGATCCATTGCATGTGCATTTCACAATAGGGTTCAAACTCCTATGTGAATCTAATGCCACCATTGATCTAACAGGAGGTGGAGCTCAGGAGGTAATGCCAGAGATGAGGAATAGCTGTAAATACAGATGAAGCTTTGCCTTCTCAACTGCTGCTCACCTCCTGCTGTGCGTCCCGGTTCCTAACAGGCCATGGATGGGTACCAGTCCATGACCCAGGGGTTGGAGACCCCTGGTTTAGTTAATGGTAGTGTATGGTTTTTATATTCTTACTTTTAATAATTATACTTTGGTTATGTGAGATATTAACATTAAGGGGACGTTGGATAAAGACCATATGAGAATTTACTATCTTTGTAACTTTTCTTTAAGGCTAAAATTACCTCACCATGATTTTTTTCTTTAATAAAGCAATATTGAGACTTTAGAAGCAATAGGGCAAGGCATTGATATATCACTGGTGGGAGCCTCTCTAATTTCCCACAGGACAAAAAAGTCAATGATATTCATTTGGTCTCTTAATATAAAAGTACTGGGGACCTATAGCGGGCCAAGCATTATACTATGACTAGGTTATAGAAGTAAATGAAAGATATATGCTCTTTCAGTTGGCAAGGGGGTTTATGAGTGTTATATCCACAGGTAGAGGGAGGCTGAGAAGGTTTGGATTTGTGATAATAAAATCGGGTTGGAGTCTCTGCTACAAATATCTTTGCATCATCTTCAAAGTTGATGTGTCCTGGGAAAACCAAGTTTTCATGAAAAAGTAAGGTTTATAATGGAAATGCTTTAAATCAGCAATGTTTATACATTTTTTTAAACTCGTCTTTGATGGTCATATGTGTTGTAAGCTTTTTTCAATGCCTGAGTGTTTCTGGCTTGATAGAGTAGGTAGCGTAGGTATTAGGGCAGGCTTGCTAACATCCTCAGGTATGTGCTGAATATTCTCAATGCATTTGTCAGTATTAATGTTGTGAAATCCATATCTGTGTGTATTCTGTACCACTTTCAATATTCCTTTTCTATATCTCCTATTAAGAAAAACATTTAAGAGAGCTACTTTTCTGTCTTTATTCCTTTGTGAATAGTAATATTTAAAGGGATTATTACAGATATTAAAATAAGTAGACTGAATATTGAATGAGTGAGAATAGAGGTATTTATGAGATTTGTATGCTTCTGGCATCCTCCTGGGAATTTTTTTTCCAGCAGCATAGCCTGTAAATATTTAATATTTTCCAGATATTATCCTCAGAGCCTCAATCCATTAACTCAAGTGCATGCTACAAAAACATATTTGTATACTATTGACAGTACATGAAAAGAGGAAGGAAAGAAAATGAAATGATTTTTCTATCAAGTACCATGATTTAGTCATTTCTGTGTTCTCTATGGATTTAGCTCAGTGCTTGGCAATACTGGTAGGTGATAAATTCAATTTTGTTGAAGTGAGTGAGTAAATGAATATATTAACCATTGTTTCATTTAAAGGGTGTAAAGCATAATAACCTTTTCTTTTGTGTCAGAGAATGTTTTCCACAAAGCCACCAGGGTACCTGGTGCTGTTCATGTATTTCAGAAATGTTTCTTGTGTACCAGTAGATGGCAGTCCTTCTTCACGTCCTATCTTTCTTTAAAAGAAAAAAAGGATGAAAGAGATTGAAAAAGAAAGAGATGAAAATGGAAACAGATAAAGATAGTTTTTTAAATTCAGCACATTGTGTTTATTTAATTTTTATGAATAGATTTTAAAAAATTAACTGTTAAGAAGCAGGGAAAGTTAAAATGTGTCTTAAGTTAATTGGAAATAAACCATCAAACGCAATTGACTTTGTGCTAGCTCATCAAATTTCATACCAATGAATTACATTTTGATTAAATGTCACTGTGTATTTCTTTCTGAAAATAAGCTTATCAATAGCCACATGGCCTGTGTGATTTTCAACGTAAATGTCAGCCAGTTTCTTGCCATGCTGGACACTCAAATGATGCAGACTTCAGTTTAAGTTTGGGGGCTCCACTTTGTTATCAGCCTGGTACCTTGGAGAGTATTTAGGGAAACCGTCAAACTATTTTTCTCACCAAAACGTTTAAAATTTGTTGAGCAGCTCAGAATGCTGCAGATATCTGGACAACTGCATGCCCTCGCACTGAAGCATAGGATGGAAAACCGACCCAACAGGAGCTCATTATACATTTCCACAGAGATTCCCAATATGTGAAACATGCCGATGCATTCATATTGCATCTCCACTACAGTAGTTGCTAGGGAGCAAACTGAGTTCACCAGTTTCATTTCCTTTGGAAAGTATCTTTATTTGAAACCTAAATCATGGGTTCCAGAATAATTTCCTCAACCTCTTCCCCTGATTACATTCATCATTTTTCCATCTACTTCAGCCCTGTCACACTGACCCTACTCCAATGAGAAAAAACATGACTAAAGCCCAGGGAACAACTCAGAATTTCAAATACTGGGTTTAGTTTCCAATGGATTTCTTTTTTGTATTCTCTTACTTTTGTGTTCTACAATTTGCCAACAGCTGAAAGAACCACAACCTTAAATGTTTTCTAATCTACAGCCATTGTTAACCACAGAATTTAGGACATGATAAAAACACAGGTTCCTTGTATAGGGGTAGCTTCTCACATATTTCTCATGAAATTTATTCTCTAAAAATAAATTGCTATATGGATAGTTTGACTAACTTTATATTATACTCAGGCTCTGTATTTTTATTTTGCTTTAGTGTTTGAGGGATGTATAAAACCAACTACACACAATTGCACACACACACACAAATTGCAAAAGACACACCAAGACACTTTATGTTTACTGTGATTATATATGTCTTCCTTTGACGTAACTGGAAATAACAGTCAGAATGCACACAATTCAACCACTGAAGCTACATACTGAATAATTTTTAATGTTTGTGTATGTGTTTCCCCATTAGGCTTTGAGACAGATGAGGGCAGAAAAGTTTTCACATTAATTTATTTATGCAATCATGCTTTTACTAATCATTTGTTGGATACTTAACATATGAAAAACTGGGGATAAAATAATGAATAAGACAAAGACTCTGTCTTTATGAAACTTAAAGTATGTAAAGGTAAAGCAGACACATAAAAAAAGGTTAGTAAATCAGACTCCATGATGAAAATATTAATTGGCTATAGTGAAGGAGCAAAATATAATGAGTGTCTTTCTATCTATGGGGATGTAAGGAGGAGTGATGGAAAGCTTTATTAGAGAGAGATTTGAACTCCTTTGAAACGTGTACAAGAGTTCATTAGGTCAACTGTGAGGTAGAATTTTCTACACAGAAGGACTAATATGAGAATTACAGAAGGTTATACATAGCATGTTTTATTTGAAAACTGAAATTAGTTGATGTGGGGTAGTACATTACAGTAGTACTGTAAATGTAGGGATGTTGTAAAGGAATCTTTGTATATCGTACCAAGGAATTTGAACTTTATTGTCTGGGTACTTGGAGTCAGTCAGATATATGTTTTTTTTTATTTATTTATTTATTTATTTTTTTTGAGACGGAGTCTCGCTCTGTCGCCCAGGCTGGAGTGCAGTGGCGGGATCTCGGCTCACTGCAAGCTCCGCCTCCCGGGTTCACGCCATTCTCCTGCCTCAGCCTCCCAAGTAGCTGGGACTACAGGCGCCCGCCACTACGCCCGGCTAATTTTTTGTATTTTTAGTAGAGACGGGGTTTCACCGTTTTAGCCGGGATGGTCTCGATCTCCTGACCTCGTGATCCGCCCGCCTCGGCCTCCCAAAGTGCTGGGATTACAGGCGTGAGCCACCGCGCCCGGCCAGATATATGTTTTATGTAGGGCTCTGACAAGATCGCATTTACCTTTTTGAAATTTCACTCTGTTAGAGGTGTAATGGATAGACTGAGGAGTAGGAATTTCACAACAAGATCAGCTTGGAGACTTTCCAGTATTTTAGGCAAGAGATAATGAGGGGCCTGACTTCAGTAGAATTAGATGAATCCAGAAGAAACAATAACAAGCTCAGTTTTATATAGGTTTAGATTGAGGTGCCCATTGGGCTTCTATAGAAGAGATATATGACAGCATTTGTTATCAAAGGAAAGCTCTAAATTAGAACTGTGGCCTTGGGATCTATCAGCATGTGAGTGGTAACTGAAGCCCTGGATATGTATGAGATCACCTAGTGAGGATAAGAAGAGAAAAGAAAAAAAGAAGAAAAAATGAAAGAAGAAAGGACAAGACATTGAAAAATATAGCATTTGAGGTATAAATAAGATACAAAGGACCTCTGAGATTAAATATATAAAAATAGCAGAAAGAGAAGAAGGATAGAATGGACATAGAGAAACCAAAGTAGGAACAAGCAGTCAAAATGTCAAATGCAGCAAACAGGCACAGTAGGTTAAACATTGACTGTAGTCCATTAAATTTGGCAATTAGGAAGTAATAAGGATCTTTTCCAGAGTGGTTTATATGGAGTGTTAGGTTAGAAGTCAGGTGATTGAAGGTTGAAAAGGAATGGAAAGAGAAGGAAGAGAAGATAAGTATGTAGATTTTTCTTTCAAAGAGTTTTTGTATGAAGGGAAGAAGAAAGAACTATCACCAGCATGTAGCACAAGACCTAGCACTGAGTGGGTGTTAATATACACTTGTGGAATTGAATTTATCAAGTACACTTTGTCATCACTACAATGTCATCACTACCTCACACTACAAAGTGTGATCCATGTAACACCCAGAAATATTCATCTTCTATACTGATATGAGTTTTAGGATGCAAACCTGTATAATCAGGTAAAACAGCTAGTGTGTAGTTTAGTGAAAGGTTAAACCTTACGGTCATCTAAGGGGAAGGAAAGTGGAATTTATAGCTCTACCTTTAAGAATTCTCTTCAAGCTCACCAGATAGATGGGGTTTTTCCTTGTCTTAGTTTGGTGCTATAGGTTGCGAGCAGGATAATTCCATGGGCCGTCTAAAGCAGGACTGAGGATGTGAAGACTAGCTGACAGTGAAGAGGAACTATTAACTCATAAATTATGAGAACTGGGAGTTTTCAGAGATTATCTGGCTACAAGTTATTCAAAACCTTATTTTTGTTTTCTTAATGGAATCTCCTTTTACCAAACCCATTAGTATGTGTAATCTGAATGTATGATACTGACAAAAGGGTAAGACAATTAATATAAATTTATGCTATATATTTATTTTTATAACAGTTAAATATTTTGAACATGATAAAACAATGAGTCTGTTTTGATGAACACAAGTGTCTAAAATTCTAAATTTGGTTGCTAGAGATGACAGTTGGAATTACGTTAGCCTTAGTATCCAATTTATTTCTGTATTTTGCTTTGTTGGTACTGTTCAGAGAAAATCCTGAATCATACAAGTTAATTTTTTAAAATAATAACTACTTTTAAAAACAGATTATTATGAAATCCTGGGACACTCATCAAATAAGCTATCAAGAATGATAGGGACTCTTAATGCTTGTCTATTCATCCAGGGTTATAATTACGACTATTAAGAAGCACCTGCTAGGCCAGGCGTGGTGGCTCATGCCTGTAATCCCCGCAGTTTGGGAGGCCGAGGCGGGTGGATCATGAGGTCAGGAGATCGAGACCATCCTGGCTAACACGGTGAAACCCTGTCTCTACTAAAAATATAAAAAAATAGCCGGGCGTGGTGGTGGGCGCCTATGGTCCCAGCTACTCGGGAGGTTGACGCAGGAGAGTGGCTTGAACCCAGGAGGCAGAGGTTGTAGTGAGCTGAGATCGTGCCACTGCACTCCAGCCTGGGCGACAGAGCAAGACTCCATCTCAAAACAAAACAAAGAAACAAAAAAACCAAGAAGCACCTGCTAAATGTATTGCAATTTGAGGTTTAGATTTAACTTAATAAAGACTCACCCTTCCAAAAATTTTTTATTGAATGATTATTCTACAATAGAATACATATACAAATATGAATAAAGACTCAGTCTGTGTCTTTATTTAAGACACAGAAATTTACAATAAAGATGAAAAATTAAACATAGAAGCAATAAAAAATAAAAGGTGGAATGACAGAAGCATGCAATAAAGTAACGACTACAGTGGAGAAACAAAAAAGAAAGCAGATCTATCTGTGAGACTGCAGAAGAGAATTATATGCAGCTTCACAGAGGTGACACTTGTACTGTTGTGAAGAGTGTACAGGTGTTTACTAGGTTGAGAAAGTTTGAATATTAGAATATTAGTAGGTAATAAAAGATATGTTGTGTAAGTGATTGCAGAAGTCTTCCATTATGTAACAATTGCTGGTATTCTTGTCAGGTATACAAAAGTGAATCAACAAACAACCAATTCTTATACAGTAATCATAAAACCATAGTATGATATTATTCAATATGATGTATTATGCATTTACTTGTACAGATTATAGAGGGATCTCAAAAGCTTCTGGAAAATGAAATTAAAAGATAAAAAAATCTTAAATGTTCTCAGCATGAGCTTCATCAGGCTCAAGACACTTTTGTAAATAATGATGGCAGCTATTTAGTCCATCCCTAGAAAACCGAGAGTCTTGGAACATAACTATGTCAATGCAGTCTTTTTTACATTATTAAATAAAGAAAAATGGATGCTCTTTTTAGATTTTTTAAGATTAGGAAACAAAAAGAAGTCAGAATGAGCCAAATCAGTACTGTAAAGTGGATCTCTAATGATTTCTCATTAAAAATCTCACAAAATTGCTCTTGTTTCATGAAAAGAATGAGCAAGAGCATTGTCGTGGTGGAAAAGGACACTCTGATGAAGTTTTCCCAAATATTTTTCTGCTATATAAGCTTTATCTAAGTTTCTCAAAACACTATTACAATAAGCAGATGTTATCATTCTTTGAACCTCTGGAAAGCAGTAAGCAAAATGTCCTGAGCATCCAAAAACACTGTTGCTATGACTTTTGCTCTTGACCAGCCTGCTTGTGCTTTGACTGGACTACTTCCACCTCTTGGTACCCATTGCTTTGATTGTGCTTTGTCTTGCGGATCATACTGGTAAAGCCGTGTTTCATCTCCTGTTACGATTCTTCAAAGAAATGTGATATGGTTTGACTCTGTGTCCCCACCCAAATCTTACCTTGAATTGCAATAATCCCCACATGTCATGGGAGGTACTCAGTGGGAGATAACAAAATCATGGTGGGGGCCTTTCCCATGCTGTTCTTGTGATAGTGAATGAGTTTCATGAGATCTGGTGGTTTTATAAACCCTGCACATACTTTCTTGCCAGCTGCCATGTAAGATGTGAGTTTGTTCCTCATTCGCCTTCAGTGAATCAATTAAACCTCTTTCCTTTATAAATTACCCAGCCTCAGGTATGTCTTTATTAGTAGCATGAGAAGAGACTATACAGAATGCTTCTGGATCTTGGTCTCACTTGTATAAAATTTCCATTGAAAGCTCTGCTCTTATCTGCAAATGATCTGGGTACAAAGGTTTTGGCACTTATCAAGTGGAAACTTAGCTCAACTTTAATCCTACAGTCAGAATTGTGTGAGTGGAACTAGTTGAGATGTCTATACTGTTGGCTATTGTTTCTGCGGTTAGTGGTTGGTCCTCTTGAAATAGGGCACAGACAAGACAAACTTTTTTTTTCTTGAAATGTGGATGGTCTGCAACTTTGGGCTTTATCTTCAACATCATTTTGTCCCTTCTTACAAGTTATCCACTTGTAAACTGCTGATTTCTTTGGGTGCATTTTCCCTATAAGCTTTTTGTGAAAAAAGCATTAATGATTTCACCATTTTTCCATGCAAGCGTTACCATAAATTTGTTGTTTGTTTTAGCAGAATTCACAGGGGCTCTTTCAAACTGATGTCTTAACTTTCTTAGTGCCGTAAACAAGATCTTGTTCAGCCATGTTATAACAAGTTAGTATAAGCTGATTTCGGTGCAAAAAGTTTTGAAATTCTTTCTTCCTCCCTCCCTCCCTCCCTCCCTCCCTCCCTCCCTCCCTCCCTCCCTCCTTCCTTCCTTCCTTCCTTCCTTCCTTCCTTCCTTCCTTCCTTCCTTCCATCCTTGTCTTGTTCTGTTATCTAGGCTGGAGTGCAGTGGCTGATCTCAGCTCACTGCAACCTCTGCCTCCCCGGCTCAAGTGATTCTCCTGCCTCAGCCTCTTGAGTAACTGGGATTGCAGGTACCTGCTATCACGCCCAGCTAATTTTCATATTTTTAGTAGAGATGGGGTTTCACCATGTTGGCCAGGCTGGTCTCAAACTCCTGACTTCAAGTGATCCGCCAACCTCAGCCTCCTAAAGTGCGGGGATTACAAGTGTGAGCCACCCTGCTCAGACTCATGCATAGTTTCTTCATAGTGTGTTTTCCATGAACATTTTGAAGACACCTCGTACTACACCATAAAGAAAACAAACAAAGCAGGAAAACTCAAGCCCGATGGTTTGAGTATGTTGCTGAGTGCTTTAGTAGAATAACCTACATGTGAACAGACATACAGGCCTGAATTTAAATAAAAGGCCAGTGTCACAGTACAAGCATTATATATAGCTAATGATATATTTACACTAAGTTCAGATATATTAAATATGAGAGCAGGTTAATCTTCATTTTCAAAGTTTATACAAAAACACATTAATACACTGGAGATCAACAAGTGAAACTTTGGCTTGTGACATTTTCATGTTTGCTTATTCATTTCTTATTTAAGTATTTTAAAATACATTTAAACATTTAAAGATATATTTGTATACCCATGTTTATGGCAGTATTATTCACAATAGCCAAAAAGTGGGACCAACTCCAATTTCTAACAGTGGATGAATAAACAAAATGTGGTATATACATACAATGGACTATTATTCAGCCTTAAAAGGGAAGGAAATTCTGACCCATGCTTACAACATGGATTAATCTTAAGGACATTATGCTAAATGAAATAAACTAATCATAAAAAGACAAATATTTTATGATTCCACTTATGTGAGGTACTAGAGTAGTCAATACAAATTGAAGCAAATTAGAATATTTGCCAGAGGCTGAGGATGAAGGGAAATAGGGTGTTGTTGTTTAATGGTTATAGTTTCACTTTTGCAAGATGAAAAAGTTTTGGAGATTGGTGCACAGCAACATGAATATGTTTAACACTACTGAACTGTACACTTAAAATGGTTGTTGGTAAATTTTATGTTCTGTGTATTTTATCGTAACTAAAAATAAAAAATATTTAAATTTGTATAAACATTTATGAAATCCTGGCAGCTTCTCTGGAATACAATTTGAAAGCCACTGATTTCATTTCATCAATTTAGAGGTGAAACTACTGTAGAATACCTGACCATTCTGTCCATGTGTATCTAGAATTTCTAGAACTCTTTTCAGAGTTTTTTCCATAATAAATGCTTTCTTTTTATCTCACCTAGTCATCTGGAAAGTCTAGTACCAGCACTCTTACACATAAAGAAATGAGTACCCATTATGTCTGTGTTGATCTTTTCTTTGTTTTGTGAGATGAAAAAAAAATCATATTTGATCTTTTATTTTAAAAAGAAAGCCAGAAAAATGCAGCCTGCAAATATACATTTAGATTTAAGAAATATATTAATTTATTTCCATATCAATAATTTAAACAAATAAGAGTCTCTTTTTTAAACTGGGTGGCAGGGGGGTGGGTGGGTGGGAATCATTGCTTTCACTGGATGCTACTACTTTGAAACTGAAAGAATTAAAGTTTATTAAATAACTGCCATAATAATTACCAATTCCTTATCAAGCCTTCTTAATCATTGAAAATATATAATCAGAATATTTTGACCTATGTTTTGTGATCATTCTTTAAAAGTGTACCAAATTTAATAACATAATTATTAATGTAGATTTTTATTATTGTACTTTAAGTTCTGGAGTACATGTGCATAATGTGCAGGTTTGTTACATAGGTATACACGTGCCATGGTGGTTAGCTGCACCCATCAACCTGTCATCTACCTTGGGTATTTCTTCTAATGCTACCCCTCCCCTAGCACCTCACCCCACAACAGACCCCAGTGTGTGAAGTTCCCCTGCCTGTGTCCATGTGTTCTCATTGTTCAACTCCCACTTATGAGTGAGAACATGTGGTGTTTGGTGTTTGGTTTTCTGTTCTCTTGGTAGTTTGCTGACAATAATGGTTTCCAGCTTCATCCATATCCTGCAAAGGACATGAACTCATCCTTTTTATGGCTGCATAGTATTCCATGGTGAATATGTGCCAAATTTTCTTTATCCAGTCTATCATTGATGGGCATTTGGGTTGATTCCAAGTCTTTGCTATTGTGAACAGTGCCACGATAAACATATGTGTACATGTGTCTTTATAGTAGAATGATTTATAATCCTTTGGGTATGTACCCAGTAATGGGATGGCTGGGTCAAATGGTATTTCTAGTTCTAGATCCTTGAGGAATCATCACACTGTCTTACACAATGGTTGAAATAATTTATACTCCCACCAACCCTGTAAAAGCGTTCCTATTTCTCCACATCCTCTCCAGCATCTGTTGTTTCCTGACTTTTTCATGATCGCCATTCTAACTGGAGTGAGATGGTATCTCATTGTGGTTTTGATTTGCATTTCTGTAATGACCAGTGATGATGAGATTTTCTTCATGTTTCTTGACTGCATAAATGTCTTCCTTTGAGAAGTGTCTGTTCATATCCTTTGCCCACTTTTTGATGAGGTTTTTTTTTCTTGTAAATTTGTTTAAGTTCTTTGTAGATTCTGGATATTAGCCCTTTGTCAGATGGATAGATTGCAAAAATTTCCTCCCATATCTGTAGGTTGCCCTTTCACTCTGATGATAGCTTATTTTGCTGTGCAGAAGCCCCTTGGTTTAATTAGATCCCATTTGGCAATTTTGGCTTCTGTTGTCATTGCTTTTGGTGTTTTAGTCATGAAATATTTGCCCATGCTTATGTCCTGAATGGTATTGTGTAGGTTTTCTTCTAGGGTTTTCATGGTTTTAGGTCTTATATTTAAGTCTTTAATCCATCTTGAGTTAATTTTTGTTTAAGGTGTGAGGAAGGGATCCAATTTTATCTTTCTGCATATGGCTAGCCAGTTTTCCCAACACCATTTATTAAATAGGGAATCTTTCCCCATTGCTTGTTTTTGTCAGGTTTGTCAAAGATCAAATGGTTGTAGATGTCTGGTGTTATTTCTGGGGCCTCTGATCTGTTCTATTGGTCTATATATCTGTTTTTGTACCAGTATCATGCTCTTTTGGTTTCAGTAGCCTTGTAGTATAGTTTGCACTCAGGTAGTGTGATGCCTCCAGGTTTATTCTTTTTGCTTAGGATTGTCTTGACTATGCAGGCTCTTTCTTGGTTTCATATGAAATTCTAAGTAGTTTTTTTCCAATTCTGTGGAGAAAGTTATTGGTAGCTTGATGGGGATAACATTGAATCTATAAATTACTTTGGGAAATATGGCCATTTTGATGATATTGATTCTTCCTATCCATGAGCATGGAAAGTTTTTCTATTTGTAGAAAAACAAATTGAGCAGAGGTTTGTAGTCCTCCTTGAAGAGTTCCTTGACATCCTTTGTAAGTTGTATTCCTAGGTATTTTTTTTCTCTTTTTCGTAATTGTGAATGGGAGTTCACTCATGATTTGGCTCTCTGTTTGTCTGTTATTGGTATATAGGAATGCTTGTGATTTTTGCACATTGATTTTTGTATCCTGAGACTTTGCTGAAGTTGCTTATCAGCTTAAGAAAATTTTGGGCTGAGATGATGGGATTTTCTAAATATACAATCATGTCATCTGCAAACAGAGATGATTTGGCTTCCTCTCTTCCTATTTGAATATTCTTTATTTCTTTCTCTTTCCTGATTGCCCTGGACAGAACATCCAATACTATGTTGAAAATGAATGGTGAGAGACGGCATCCTTCTCTTGTGCCGGTTTTCATGGGAATGCTTCCAGTTTTTGCCCATTCAGTATGATATTGGCTGTGGGTTTGTCATAAATAGCTCTTACTATTTTTAGATATGTTCCATCAATACCTAGCTTATTGAGAGTTTTTTAGCATGAAGCGCTGTTGAATTTTTTTGAAGGCCTTTTCTGCCATCTATCGAGATAATCATGTGGTTTTTGTCATTGGTTCTGTTTGTGATGGATTATGTTTATTGATTTGTATATGTTGAACCAGCCTTGCATCCCAGGGATGAATCAAATTTGATTATGGTAGATAATCTTTTTGATGTGTTGCTGGATTCGGTTTGCCAGTATTTTATTGAGGATTTTCGCATTGATGTTCATCATGGATATTGGCCTGAAATTTTCTTTTTTTGTTGTGTCTCTGCCTGATTTAGGTATCAGGGTAAGTCTGGCCTCATAAAATTAGGGAGGATTCCCTCTTTTTCTATTGATTGGAATATTTTCAGAAGGAATGGTACTAGCTCCTCTTTGTACCTCTGGTAAAATTCAGCTGTGAATCCGTCTAGTCCTGGACTCTTTTTGGTTGATAGGCTATTAATTGCTGCCCCAATTTCAAACTTGTCATTGGTCTATTCAGGGATTCAACTTCTTCCTGGTTTAATCTTGGGAGGATGTATGTGTCCAGGGATTTATCCATTTCTTCTAGATTTTCTAGTTTATTTCCCTAGAAGTTTTTATAGTATTCTCTGATGGTAGTTTGTGTTCCTGTAGTATCCGTGGTGATATCCTTTTTATCATTTTTATTGCATCTATTGAATTCTTCTCTGTTTTCTTCTTTATTAGTCTGGCTAGCGGTGTATCTATCTTGTTGATCTTTTCAAAAAACCAGCTCCTGGATTCATTAATTTTTTGAAGGGGTTTTCATTTCTCCATCTCCTTTAGTTCTGCTCTGAAATTAGTTATTTCTTGTCTTCTGCTAGCTTTCGAATTTGTTTGCTCTTGCTTCTCTAGTTTTTTAATTGTGATGTTAGGGTGTCGAGTATAGATTTTTCCTGCCTTCTCTTGTGGGCATTTAGTGCTATAAATTTCCCTCTACACACTGCTTTAAATGTGTCCCAGAGATTCTGGTATGTTGTATCTTTGTTCTCATTGGTTTCAAAGAATATTTTATTTCTGCCTTCATTTTTTTATTTACTCTTTAGTCATTCAGGAGTAAGTTGTTCACTTTCCATGTAGTTGTGTTGTTTTGAGTGAGTTTCTTAATCCTGAGCTCTAGTTTGATTGCACTGTTGTCTGAGAGACTGTTTGTTATGATTTCTGTTGTTTAGCATTTGCTGAGGAGTATTTTGCTTCCATATATGTGGTCAGTTTTAGAGTAAGTGCGATGTGGTGCTGAGAAGAATGTATATTCTGTTGATTTGGGGTGGAGAGTTCTGTAGATGTCTATTAGGTCTGCTTGGTCCAGAGCTGGATATCCTTGGTAATTTTTTGTCTCATTGATCTATCTGATATTGACAGTGGGGTGTTAAAATCTCCCACTATTATTGATTGGGAGTCTCAGTCTCTTTGTAGGTCTCTAAGAACTTGCTTTATGAATCTCGGTGCTCCTATGTTGAGTTCATATATATTTAGGATAGTTAGTTCTTCATATTGCATTGATCCCTTTACCATTATGTAATGCCCTTCTTTGCCTCTTTTGATCTTTGTTGGTTTAAAGTCTGTTTTATCATAGACTGGGATTGCAACCCCTGCTTTTTTTTTCCTTTCCATTTGCTTGCTAAATGTTCCTACATCCCTTTATTTTGAGCCAATGTGTGTCTTTGCATGTGAGATGGGTCTCCTGAATATAGCACACCAACGGGTCTTGACTCTTTATCCAATTTGCCAGTCTGTGTCTTTTAATTGGGGCATTTAGCCCATTTACATTTAAGGTTAGTATTGTTATGTGTGAAAGGTTTGATCCTGCCATTATGATGCTAGCTGGTTATTTTGCCCATTAGTTGATGCCTTTTCCTCATAGCATCAGTGGTCTTTACAATTTGTTATATTTTTGCTGTGGCTGGTACCGGTTGTTCCTTTCCATTTTTAGTGCTTCCTTCAGGATCTCTTGTTATCTGGTGGTAACAAAATCTCTCAGCAATTTTCTTGTCTGTAAAAGATTTTATTTCTCCTTTGCTTATGAAGCATAGTTTGGCTGGATACGAAATTCTGGGTTGAAAATTCTTTAAGAATGTTGAATGTTGGACCCCACTCTCTTCTGGCTTGTAGCGTTTCTGCTGAGAGATCCACTGTTAGTTTTATGGCCTTCCCTTTGTGGGTAACCTGACCTTTCTCTCTGGCTGCCCTTAACATTTTTTTCCTTCATTTCAACCTTGTTGAATCTGATGATTATGTGTCTTGGGGATGCTCTTCTCGAGGAGTATCTTTGCAGTGTTCTCTGTATTTCCTGAATTTGAATGTTTGCCTGTCTTGCTAGGTTGGGGAAGTTCTCCTGGATAATATCCTAAAGAATGTTTTCCAGTGTGGTTCCATTCTCCCTGTCACTTTCAAACAAATCAAACATAGATTTGGTCTTTTCACATAGTCCTATATTTCTTGGAGGCTTTGTTCGTTCTTTTCACTCTTTTTTCTCTAATCTTGTCTTCTCTCTTTATTTCACTGAGTGATCTCCAATCTCTGATATCCTTTTTCTCACTTGATTGATTCAGCTATCTGTACTTGTGTATGCTTCATGAAGTTCCCATGCTGTGTATTTCAGCTCCATCAGGTCATTTATGTCCTTCTCTAAATTGGTTATTGTGGTTACTGATTTGTCTAACCTTTTTTCAAGGTTCTTAGCTTCCTTGCATTGGGTTAGAACATGCTCCTTTAGCTCTGAGGAGTTTATTACCCACCTTCTGAATCCTACTTCTGTCAATTTGTCAAACTCATTCTCCATCCAGTTTTGTTGTGTTGCTGGTGAGGATTTGTGATCCTTTGGAGGAGAAGAGGTGTTCTGGTTTTTGGAATTTTCAGCCTTTTTGCGCTGGTTTCTCCCAATTTTCATGAATTTATCTACCTTTGGTCTTTGAAGTTGGTGACCTTCCAGTGGGGTCTCTGAGTGGACATCCTTTTTGTTGATGTTGATACTGTTCCTGTTTTTTAGTTTTTCTTCTAATAGTCAGGACCTTCTGCTGCAGGTCTGCTGGAGTTTGCTTGAGGTCTACTCCAAACCCTGTTTGCCTGGATATCACTGGCAGAGCCTGCAGAACAGCAAAGATTGCTGCCTGTTCCTTCTTCTGGAAGCTTTGTCCCAGTGGGGCACCCACCAGATGCCAGCCGGAGCTCTTCTGCATGAGGTGTTCGTTGGTGCCTTCTGGGAGGTGTCTCTCAATCAGAATACATGGGGGTCAGGGACCTACTTGAGGAGGCAGTCTGACCCTTATTAGAGCTCGAATGCTGTGCTGGGAGATCCGCTGCTCTCTTCAGAGTCGTCAGGCAGGAACGTTTAAGTCTGCTGAAGCTGTACCCACAACCACCCCTTCCCCCAGGTGCTCTGTCCCAGGGAGATGGGGGTTTTATCTACAAGTCCCTGACTGGGGCTGCTGCCTTTTTTTCAGAGGTGTCCTGCCCACATAGGAGGGAATGTGGAGGGGCAGTCTGGCTGCAGAGGCCTTGCAGAGCTGAAGTGGGCTCTGCCCAGTTCGAACTTCCTGGTGGCTTTATTTACACTGAGGGAGCAGCCTACTCAAGCCTCAGCAATGGTGTACGCCCCTCTCCCCACCAAACTGGAACATCCCAGGTTGAGCTCAGACTGCTGTGCTGGCAGTGAGAATTTCAAGCCAGTGGATCTTAGCTTGTTTGTCTCTGTGGGGGTGGGACCCGCCGAGCCTGACTACTTGACTCCCAGGCTTCATCCCCCTTTCCAGGGGAGTGAACGGTTCTGTCTTGGTGGCATTACAGGTGCCACTAGGGTATGAAAAAAAACTTCTGCGGCTAGCTCATCGTCTGCCCAAACAGTTGTCCAGTTTTGTGCTGGAAACCTAGGGCCCTGGTGGTGTAGGCACCTGAGGGAATCTCCTGTTCTACGGGTTGTGAAGACCATGGGAAAAGTGCAGTATCTGGGCCGGAGTGCATGGTATGGTCCCTAATGGTTTCCCTTGGCTAGACAAGGCAGTTCTCTAACCGCTTGCGCTTCCCAGGTGAGGCGAAGCCCCACCCTGCTTCGACTCGCCCTCCTTAGGTCCCACTGTTCAACCAGTCCCAATGCAATGAACTGGGTACCTCAGCTGGAAATGCAGAAATTATCCACCTTCTGCGTCCATCTCACTGGGAGATGCAGACCAGAGCTGTTCCTATTCGACCATCTTGCCAGCACCTCCTATTAATGTATCTTTAAAAGCTACTTTATTTATAAATTATCCAGAACATTTATAAAACATTAATAAAATATTATGTATACATTCAGCTCTGAATTTCTCAATGTCAAGGACTTAGTTTGTTCATCTTTGAATTCCAAGCATTCTTCTTTGCACATAATAAAGAGCACATATTTGTAAAAATATTGGACTTGCCACTCTGGGACTTTAGTTGTAACACAGGAAAGAGTCTAAAATCCTAAAAACATAACCACTGATGATATATTGTCAGATTGACACCAATTAGGATCAAAAAATATTTGCTCTAAGAAAGATATTGGAAACAAAACAGAAAAGCCCTATGCTACATTACTTTCAACTGTTGAAATAGCTACATTTGGAATTTTTGTTCTCAACCTGAAGACTATCATAACATGGCAGGAGACAATTTAGAGAAAGCACATACAGCTTTAATTAGTAGACATCTGAAACTGCAGGCTTTAATTTGATTGACATTGGTTATAAAAATGTTACATTAAAATTGGGTAAGAGGGCTTGAGAAGAAAACAATTTTGACCTATTTTCTTCTCATGACATAAATACTTTAGTGATATGTGAAATTGCCTTTCGAAGCAATGTACAGGAAAGACAATAAGAAAATATTTACATTTCTGTGATTATAACTGTCTTACAATTAAGAGTCATGTTGGAAAGACAGCCAAATAGAAATGGGGTTACATAGTAAAAATCTAAAACTTTTCCATTTCTTTTCATAATCACATGAGCTTCTCTCTTTGTTTGTAGTAAAACATAAAGGGCAGCCCAAGATATTCAATTATCTCACTAAACATTTTTTGGTTAATCTTGAGGAATGCAACATTTACATATGAGGATTGTGATGACCACAAAACTTATAAAATGTTTGTTACAGGATATTGTATTTGTTCACTTAGCTGATAAAATGCTTTTTTTTTTTGTAGAAAATTGAATTTATCTACTTAATCTGTAAATAAATTAACAGCCTTGGGAAAACTAACCCACTGCTCTATAAATGGATTCTACCATCATGTAATCAATTCAACACCATGTGTGGGTTCTCAGATTAAAAAAATTTAACTAACTCTGTGTTGCCTTTGACAGATTTAATTCAAATACAATATGAAATCTGGTATCTTTTACATGTGTGACAACAGCTTAAAATACAGGATTTTCAGTTAGAAAAGATCAAATCTAGGAATTTTAATCACCTAGAAGTAAGAAATTATGAAGACTATGGATAATGTTAGCATTGACTTTATTATTTTTTGAGACATGGTCTTGCTCTGTTGTTCAGGCTGGAGTGCAGTGGTGTAATCTTGACTCACTGCAGCCTCTGCCTCCTGGGTTCAAGTGATTTTCCTGCCTCAGCCTCCCAAATACCTAGGATTACAGGTGTCCACCACCACACCCGGCTAATTTTTTGTATTTCTAGTAGAGATAGGGTTTCTCTATGTTGGCCATGCTGGTCTTGAACTCCTGGCCTCATCCACCTGCCTCAGCCTCCCAAAGTGCTGGGATTACAAACATGAGCCACCGTGCCTGGCCAACATTGACTTATTTGTCTGGAATAACTCTTTCAAATTTGAAGGAATAAACATGAGACAATGAGAGTATTTACATAAATACTAAGAGAAGATAAAGGCTTAAACATGAATTAGTTCAAGAAGATTTTAGTCAAATTAATGAAGGATGAAGCCAAGATGAATGTAAGGAAATATCACTAACTTTTTGAGATTTTAATAGTGTAAATTCCTCTCCTTCTTTACCAAAACATATTTAGATGCTACCATCAAAGAAGTGTTAATTGCATTAAATTATTATGGCTAGTACTGGAAATTTGGATATGTAAGTAATTTATTAAATATTCTCAAATGATACTAACATCCGTTTAAAAAAATCTAACTTCTAACTTAAATAAAAATACATACATGCTCAAACATGCTCTGCAGAAACTCTTTTCCTGTTTTAATTACATCTCAGGCATCCCCGAACTTTCTGGCTGCTTTTGAGTATAAAAAAGTCCAGAGTTCAGTCCAGTACAATTTAAATAAGTTGACCATTTTAAGTTCAGATCTTTCTCTCTGCATAATGATCATTTAAACTCAGCCTGAGGGTCTTAGTGTGGAAAAGGCATAATCAAATCTTTTACTCTTCTGCCTTTTTCCTCTTCTGCTTCTTCTTTCTCCTTTAGTGAATTGGATCTAGGATCAGAGATGGGGAAAAGGGGCAGAAATCTTTTCATTTAATTGTAATCCTCTTGGCTGTCAATGACACGGGCAAGAAAGGCATCTGAATGGCAACTCTCTCATGTCGAACATGTGTGAAGCCATTGGGAATTTTGAGAGGTTTTCCGACTAAATGGTTTTATACTGTGGAAGCCATTCTCTTCACACCTTCCTTCAGCTTTCTCCCCAAGCAGTGTATCAGTCATTTCCCTTCTGCTAGAATCTGCTTCTGAAGTGGCAGCTCAAGCCAGTTACCTTCTTATCTGGGCTTATCTGGCTCATATGACACTCCTACATCCTTATAATTCCAAGCAGTTTGAATGTTCTGTGTCCTACATTGTCTCTTCACTTTGCATTGCCTCTCCACTTCTCTTTTCCTCCTGCACAAATGTTCATGAGGGCCACAAGTAAATGTCCACCTAGACAATGTGGTGTTATCTCATCTTCTTTCAGGCTCCATTTTTTATAAGTAGTTTTCTTGGAGCCTCATTATTTGGATGGGAGGAGCAACTCTTATTCTCCCTTTAAAAGGTAATGTGTAACATTTTAACAGAAGGTCTGCATTTTCTACAACTCTTTCCATGGGCCCCTGTGTTTCCTTTCTTCTTTCATGAGGTCTCGGGGGGTGCTGGTGAGACTGACGGTATTTACTTCTTTTAAAAAACCCTCCTGAGGCCGAGCTCAGTGGCTCACGATTGTAATCTCAGCACTTTGGGAGGTGAGGCAGGTGGATCATGAGGTCAGGAGTTTGAGACCAGCCTGACCAACATAGTGAAACCCCATCTCTACTAAAAATACAAAAAAATAGCTGGGCATGGTGGCAGGTACCTGTAATCCCAGCTACTTGGGAGGCTGAGGCAGGAGAATTGCTTGAATCCGGGAGGCAGAGGTTGCAGTGAGCCGAGATCGGGCCACTGCACTCCAGCCCTGACAGTGCGAGGCTCTGTCTCAAAAGAACTAATTAAACCTTTGTCAGATGAGTAGATTGCAAAAATTTCCTCCCATTCTGTAGGTTGCTTGTTCACTCTGATGGTAGTTTCTTTTGCTGTGCAGAATCTCTTTAGTTTAATTAGATCCCATTTGTCAATTTTGGCTTTTGATGCCATTGCTTTTGGTGTTTTAGCCATGAAATCCTTACCCATGCCTATGTCCTGAATGGTATTGCCTAGGTTTTCTTCTAGGGTTTTTAAGGTTTCAGGCCTAACATTTAAGTCTTTAATCCATCTTGAATTAATTTTTGTATAAGGTGTAAGGAAGGGATCCAGTTTCAGCTTTCTGCATATGGCTAGCCAGTTTTCCCAGCATCATTTATTAAATAGGGAATCCTTTCCCCATTTCTTGTTTTTGTCAGGTTTGTCAAAGATCAGATGGTTGTAGATGTGTGGTATTGTTTCTGAGGGCTCTGTTCTGTTCCATTGGTGTATATCTCTGTTTTGGTACCAGTACCATGCTGTTTTGGTTATTGTAGCCTTGTAGTATAGTTTGAAGTCAGGTAGCGTGATGCCTCCAGCTTTGTTCTTTCGGCTTATGATTGACTTGGCTATGCAGGCTCTTTTTTGGTTCCATATGAAGTTTAAAGTAGTTTTTTCCAATTCTGTGAAGAAAGTCATTGGCACCTTGATGGGGATGGCATTGAATCTATAAATTACCTTGGGCAGTATGGCCATTTTCATGATATTAATTCTTACTATCCGTGAGAATGGAATGTTCTTCCATTTGTTTGTATCCTCTTTTATTTCGTTGAGCAGTGGTTTGTAGTTCTCCTTGAAGAGGTCCTTCACATCCCTTGTAAGTTGGATTCCTGGGTATTTTATTCTCTTTGAAGCAATTGTGAATGGGAGTTCACTCATGATTTGGCTCTCTGTTTGTCTGTTATTGGTGTATAAGAATGCTTGTGATTTTTGCACATTGCTTTTGTATCCTGAGACTTTCCTGAAGTTGCTTATCAGCTTAAGGAGATTTTGGGCTGAGACGATGGGGTTTTCTAGATATACAATCATATCATCTGCAAACAGGGACAATTTGATTTCCTCTTTTCCTAATTGAATACCCTTTATTTCCTTCTCCTGCCTGATTGTCCTGGCCAGAACTTCCAACACTATGTTGAATAGGAGTGGTGAGAGAGGGCATCCCTGTCTTGTGCCAGTTTTCAAAGGGAATGCTTCCAGTTTTTGCTCATTCAGTATGATATTGGCTGTGGGTTTGTCATAAATACTCTTAGTGTTTTTAGATACGTCCCATCAATACCTAATTTATTGAGAGTTTTTAGCATGAAGCGTTGTTGAATTTTGTCAAAGGCCTTTTCTGCATCTATTGAGATAATGATATGGTTTTTGTCTTTGGTTCTGTTTATATGCTGGATTACGTTTATTGATTTGCATATGTTGAACCAGCCTTGCATCCCAGGGATGAAGCCCACTTGATCATGGTGGATGAGCTTTTTGATGTGTTGCTGGATTTGGTTTGCCAGTATTTTATTGAGGATTTTTACATCGATGTTCATCAGGGATATTGGTCTAAAATTCTCTTTTTTTTGTGTGTCTCTCCCAGGCTTTGGTATCAGGATGATGCTGGCCTCATAAAATGAGTTAGGGAGGATTCCCTCTTTTTCTATTGATTGGAATAGTTTGAGAAGGAATGGTAACAGCTCCTCCTTGTACCTCTGGTAGAATTCGGCTGTGAATCCATCTGGTCCTGGAATTTTTTAAGTACTCAAACAAATTTACAAGAAAAAAACAGCCCTATCAAAAAGTGGGCAAAGGATATGAACAGACACTCCTCAAAAGAAGACATTCATGCAGCCAACAGACACATGAAAAAATGCTCATCATCACTGGCCATCAGAGAAAAGCAAATCAAAACCACAGTGAGATATCATCTCACACCAGTTAGAATGGCGATCATTAAAAAGTCAGGAAACAACAGGTGCTGGAGAGGATGTGGAGAAATAGGAACACTTTTACACGTTGGTGGGACTGTAAACTAGTTCAACCATTGTGGAAGCAGTGTGGCGATTCCTCAGGGATCTAGAACTAGAAATACCATTTGACCCAGCCATCCCATTACTGGGTATATACCCAAAGGAATATAAATCATGCTGCTATAAAGACACATGCACACATATGTTTATTGCAGCACTACTCACAATAGCAAAGACTTGGAACCAACCCAAATGTGCAACAATGATAGACTGGATTAAGAAAATGTGGCACATATACACCATGGAATACTATGCAGCCATAAAAAATGATGAGTTCATGTCTTTTGTAGGGACATGGATGAAGCTGGAAACCATCATTCTCAGCAAACTCTTGCAAGGACAAAAAAACCAAACACTGCATGTTCTCACTCATAGGTGGGAATTGAACAATGAGAACACATGGACACAGGAAGGGGAACATCACAAACCAGGGCCTGTTGTGGGGTGGGGGAGGGGGGCGGGATAGCATTAGGAGATATACCTAATGTAAATGACGAGTTAATGGGTGGAGCAAACCAACATGGCACATGTATTCATAAGTAATAAACCTGCACGTTGTGCACATGTACCCTATAACTTAAAATATAATGGAAAAAGTATACATAAAAAAGGAAAAATAAAGTTAAAAAAACTAACTAAATAAACAAACAAACTAAAAAACCCTCCTGAATGCTCTCTTTAGAATGCCTGTGGTGATACTTGGATGCAAATCTAAAGCATCAGGAAAAGTTAAATTCACAATTAATTACTTATATGTCGAGCTGGAGATTTGCAGGAGCACTCTTTATTCCAATGCATTTTTTCATCCACCCTTCCCACATTTTCAGATATGATAAATCATTCAACGGAAGGCACCGTTCTTCAATAAAACATTTAAGATTTTCAAATCATCTGTACTCAATGATTTCTGTTTAAACTTGCCGAAGTCTCATCTGTAGCTTGAAATCCAAATCCCTCTTTATCAGATTCTTGATATAATTAATTACTTATTTACATAGTTGTTCTAAAATTCTCTATTTTTAGAAACCTATGATTACATAATGGTCAAAGAACAAGCTCTATTACTGCAAATATTATTACAGCTAGTATTTAAATGGTTGGAAAATTATAGCACATCTCTTTTTCTCATAGACATGTAGGGGCAAAGTGAATGTATGCACATCTGAGGCAAAAAGAGATTACATTTATATATAATTTGTACCTGAAACAATTTCTGTTCATATGCCTTTTATAGTGTGCAGAATGAAAATAACGCCTCTCCCTTTAAAAAGAGCCACTTCTAAGGAGACTAAGCTAAGAATGTTTCTTCCATTTGAAGACAAATTTTTACTTTGAAAAGTAAAATATGATAGCTTATCAAAAATTCAGTTTGTTAAATCTTATTGAAGATTCAGACCAAAGCCATTTTGAAAGACTAGTATTTTAATTTGCCTGCTGTAGGTTTTTCTTATGTATTTATTTTATGTAGCTATCTTTCAGTTTCATGAAACAGTCAAGCAAATATTGATAGGTGTGTTGAATTTAGTAACACTACTTTCCTAACTTAAGTTATCTATTTCCCTTCAGCTGCCCGTTGAAGATGACCTCATGCTTGCTGATGTAATATTAGTGATTGATTGTTAAAAGGATGTTGATATTTCCGTATGCTGTTTATTTTGCTTCTTCATATATTAAATTGGTCTTCTTTTCTTTGTCCTTTGTATACTTTCTGATTCTTTTGAGAACATACAATAAGTGCTCATAAAATCAGTTATAAATTATATTGTTGAAAAAAATACAAATGTGAATTAGCTTCCTCATAATCAGACTTTCTTTCCTAAAAAAAAAAATTACACAGCTACATTTTTGAGTCAAAGTTCTCTCTTATTCATGGCTCCTATTTATTTTATATTTGAGCTACATTAACTATATACTTAGCACAAAATACTTCTATAAATTTTCTAATATGTTAGATCACATTATCTGAGAATATTTTCCCAGTTTTTGTCAACTTTGTGACATATTTCACTCACAATTCACATTTCACTGAACAATTTTGCTAAACACTTGCAATGTGGCAGTATTGAGCTATATCCTGAAAGTGTCACTAGTAAACAAGAGATGAGGTCTCTGTCCTCAGAGTTCAAAGTCTGGTTGTGGAAATAGAAAAAGAAAACAGCTAGTCAATGTATAAACTAGAAAATTAGACACTGTGATGAATATTTGAAGAAAATATTGGGTTCTCGTAGGACTTAGTCTATTATAAGTTTGTAGGATAAACTCAATTATTTGGTGTCTAGTATACAAACACCTAACTCATACATTTTCACCCCCCTTATAAATAACTATGGTTTATTTGAACATTTTATGTAGTTCAGTCAAATACAGCTTTTCAATTATGATAGTTTTATTATTTAAAAATACACCCTTACAAGTGAGTTAAAATTATGGACCCTTGAAGAGAAGTTTAAATTTCATGAATTATAGTTTGTAAGAACTATTTGCAACATGGGATACATGTGCCACACTTTGTACCTTTACTATATGAGGCTTAATTCTCCAGCCTTATATTTCACTGTTCTTCAATTACCCTTCTCCTCCCATGTTCTAATCTTACTGAGGTTCTTGCTCCTGAACATGCCTTACTTTTTTTCTTTTGACCCTCTAAATATACCATTCCCTACATCTTCTACAGTCTCTACACTTTTTCCCCACTATCATCCACCTACAAGACTATCGTATCTTATATGCAGATTCCCAGTATCTGGGCCATAGTACACATTCAATACATGTTCTTAAGTAAATAAATAAATAAATGGATGAATGAAAGAATTCCGCAAAGTGACAAGAAAGGCAGTTCTGTTTATACACTCAAGTCTGGGATGTAATTAATCTATCTTGAAATTATTTTACTCTTTCTTGTTTATAGCCAATGTATTAAGATCCTACATACAGTGTCTGAATCCTCATTTGGTGTTTCAGATGATCACAGAAGGTGTTACATAATTTAGATAATATACAAAACAAATTTAACTCAAATCTAAAATGTAAAATACCTCATTTTTAGGAGAGGAAGCAAGGATTCATATATGTAGCAAGCACAGAGAGTTATGATCCATTTTTGCAACTCTAATAGAGAAAAGAATCATTATATTCTACCCTGCTATGGTAATTTTAGATACAGCCTATAGATATGAAAAGATATTTTGGATCTTGGTTGAGTGATTCATCATTCAAAGCACTAAGATAATTTATATAAAGTAAAATGTATCTGTTTTGGGAATATAGCCATTTCACTTTATGTTGTTTACATCAAGATGATGTTAATCTCAAATCATTCATTTCTATACTAATCATACAGATGATAAAAGTTCTTATCCAATATATTACGTTGTTCATGGGTAAATTCCATTCAATATAGAATAAGAAATTTTATCTTACTTTATCCATATAAAAGGCAATAAAAAGTGCTATAAAAATAAATCAGGAGCTTTAAGCAGTTTGATTTTCAGATGAACCTAAGAAAATCATGGACAGCTGAAGATTTCTCTGCATTTGGAACCAATTATTAAATCCTGCTATGGAGAATGAAGCTAGTATAGATTTCTAGCCTACCAGATAATTCTTAGAATATCTACTTTGATTTGTTTTTCTGCTACATAAAATTGAGGAGACATCCAATGTATTTTCTGAGTGACCATTTCTAATAATGTAACTAGATAATCAGCCTGTTTATAGAATGACCCCCAGCAGCAAAATACAGCCCCTAAGATGAAGGCATTAGGGAGATTTAATGATTTTGCCTCTTATCAAGCACATGGGGATTCAGCATAGTTGTAGCTCCAGTATAGAATTAAAATGCTAGGGAGAGGTCCAATTGAATGGATTGGTCCAACCCAGCAGGAGACAGGGGAAGCATGCAACCCGATGAACACATAGGTACGTAGGGCTCAGTGTGGACTTACAAGATAGTGGAATCACAAGCCAAGAGACCAGTTCTGGACCCCATGGTTGTAGAGTTTGTTCAATAAATGGGTAAAGCAGAGTTTGAGAGATGTAGATATATCCCTACAGTTAGGAGAGTCAGGAGATGGCAAGGGCCAGAGAGGTGGATGTCTGAAAATGTGGCCTCAGTGGAAAATTAGACAGAAAAACCTAAATGCTTTTTAATCTTCTCAGGTATGTTTAAAATTCTTAAGAAAAAGCAACCATATGGACCGTTAAACACTAAAAGCAACACATTACTCCTTGAGTTTTCTTTATTGAGTTTTGAAATCATCAATTTTAATTAACCTCTTTTCATGCTTCTTAGACCTTTCCTTACAATTTTCTACTTACATTAACAGACTAAGAAATGAGATATTATCTGCATATTTCTTCCTTAAACTAACAAGGAAATTTGTCTAAATGGACAAGACAGACTTTATTTTTCACTAGCAGCGTTACACAAGAGAAATAATAAGTGGAAATTTAAGCAACTCAATGTAATGATTATCTGAAGTTGGCACTAACAGGCTGTAAGATAACAGATTTTCCTTCTTGAATTTTCTATCTAGGAATGTAGCTTTTCTATGTCAATTCATTATTGCGTCTATAATCAGGTGGTCTGCTGTAATTGATTGGATCTCAAGACACGTGTCTTAATCCAGGAAACATAAAATACAGAATACAGATGTCAAACTTGAAATTGCTTTCACTGTTGTAACCTATCTCTGTTGCCTACTCTACTTTCCAGTCTCTCTCTCTCTTATGTGCTTTTCTTGTTTCCTTTGTTTGCTTTCTTCCCTCATAATACTTCTTCAATTTTTGGTTTAGTAGAACCAGACATATGTTCCCTAACATATGTGGCTAGTCCCAAAGTGTCTTTGTATTAGCTTAAGTCTCAGTAATTGGTTATATTTGAACTTTGCTCTGCAGATGGCATTAGTTCTAATTTTTAATTCTAAATTGATCCTATTCAAGTCAGACAATGGCAAGATGATAGGAAAATATACAATCTCCCTTTCTACAGAGCTTCAGGATCTGAAAGTCCACTGACAATTTGAAGATCTGTGCTGACTATAAGGTCACTAGAATTCTCTCAGTGGGAGATACTTATGTGCTTTATAATTTATTTTGCAAAGGAAGCAATTTATTCATTTTAAACATATGTGAAGCATATTATCTGGTTCTATTTACTTATTTTTGAGGTATAATTTACATGTAAAATTGTATATATTTAAGGTATATAATGTGATGATATATTCATGCATTATGAAATGATTAGCACAATAAAACTAATTAACATACCTGTTACCTCACATAGTTACCTTTTCTTTTTATTTTGTGGTAAGAATATTTAAGATCTACTCTTCTAGCAAATTTCAAGTATGCAATACATTATTGTTAACTATAGTCACCATGCTGCACAATAGCTCTCCAGAACTTATTACTCTTATAATTGCAGGTTTGTACCCTTTTATCATCAACAAATAGTCCAATTTATTTTGAAAAACATAAATGCTTCTTCCTAAGGCTACAGTATTTCGTCATCAATTTTTTCTTAAATCACTGCAACTGGCTATATTGTGGTGGTATCTTCACTCTCCCAACTTAGTAGTTATTAGAAAGTAATGTCATACTTTTCAACAAAAATACATTTCCCCTTTGCATCCCTTTTGTTCAACAAATAGCTTCTTTAAGAAACTGCACTGAATACATCAAATTTTAATACAGTTGGTATTTATCTTTTGTGTGTATGAATGAGAACTTTTTTATTGTGGTAAAATACACATAACATGGAGTTTACCATCGTAACCATTTTAAAGCGTATAAATCAATGACATCTAGTACATTCACCATGTTGTGCAACAATCCACTAATCTAGATTAAGAATAATATTCCATCGTTATATAGATATGCCATTTTGTAGTATGTATCAGCACCTCATTACTTTGTTTGTTTTGTGACAGGAACTTTCTCTGTCACATTGTCTGGAGTGCAGTGATGTAATCACTGCAACCTCCACCTCCCAGGCTCAAGCAATCCTCATACCTCAGCCTCCTGAGTAGCTGAGACTACGGGCACGTGCCACCATACCTGGCTAATTTTTTGTAGAGACAGGACTTCACCATGTTGCCCATGCTGGTCTTAAACTGAAGAGCTCAAGAGATCCTCCTGCTTTGGCCTCCCAAAATGTTGGAATTACAGGCGTGAGACACTGAACCCATTATTTTTATAGCTGAATAATATTCCATTTTATAGATATTTTACATTTTGTTTATCCATTCATTTGTCAATGGATATTTGGGTTGTTTTCACCTTTTGGGTATTGTGAATAGGGCTGCTGTGAATATTTGTGTACGAGTTTTCATTTGAACACCTGTTTTTAATTCCTTTGGTATCTGCCTCTGCATTGATTACCAGGGGAAATTTATTGACAGTTTTAATTTCTTCTGGTAGAAATTGAGATAGGTATTTTCAGGCATTCCCTGTGTATCAACAGGAATACAGCTACTGGTAGGCAGAGAAGTGTGTTCCCTTGGGATTTGTTTTATCCACATGAGAATCTAAAGATGGGAATTGAATCACCAGTAACAGTATCAGAAGCCATAGAAGTGTGTGGAGTGCAGTGCTATAAAGTACTATGGTCAATGATAAGATGGTTTTAAATCTGGCTGGTGACAGAAATGATTATTAACATTAAACTACAGATAATTTTTCTAGTATATATATTACATGCTCTTTAGTAAGGTTTACAAAGTACATTTTTAACACTAGTTCTGCTCTTTCTTATATAGAAATATTCCCTAAGCAGTGGTAGCATTTTGTAGCATGTTTCTGCATTGGCCACAAGTAGTAAAGATAATCGTCAAGTTGTAGGTACTCACATAGGATTTATGAATGAGTTACTAAGGGACAGGGTCAACTAGCAGGCTCCATCAGTGTGCCTGTACCTTGATGAAATTTGATGATAACGTCTGTGGCCCTATTTCTTTGGCCAGTCAGTAGCTAATTTATTTAATTTGTGAATTTATTCCGTGTGAAGTTTATTAAAATCTAAAAGAAATGAAAGATAATAAAAAGAATTATAAGCAGCCAGATAATTTTCATACCAGATATAATTTTAGTTAAATCTTTCTAATGATCTTAAATTTAGGTATTATCTTTAAGTTGCAGACGAAGATATCAAAGTTAAGGTATTTGCCCACTGATGCTATTTCCTCAATGTCACATAAAGAAAATGTTGTGAAGATATTGTTTCAAACATTGTTTCTATAATTCCTGAAATCCGTGTTCTTTATGTTGGTAGTTAGAATATTGGGATAAAGATGGTCAGAAATGACTTTATTAGAACAAAGGTCAAAGGTGTGATGGAATTCAAAGTAGAATAGATCTCCTCTGGTTGAGAGAACTGGTGAGGACCAGATGAAATAAAGAAAGTGACATTTAGGCAGGGCACGGTGGCTCATACCTGTAGTCCTAGCACTTTGGGAGGCTGAGGTGGGTGGCTCACTTGAGCCCAGGAGTTCGAGACCAGCCTGGGCAATGTGTGGAAACCCCATCTCTACAAAAATTAGCTGGGCATGGTAGTGTGTGCCTGTGGTCCCAGCTACTCAGGAGGCTGAGGTGGACAAATCATTTGAACCCAGGAGTCAGAGGTTGCAGTGAGCTGAGATAGCGCCACTGCCCTCCAGTCTGGCCAACAGAGCAAAAACCTGTCTTAAAATAAATAAATAAATAAATGTGACATTTGAAATGTTTCTTAAAGAAATGGATAGGGATGCGATAAACACAGATTGGGAGTAAATATAGCAAGGTGTTAAAACATAGAGTTTGGACAGCAGCTGAAATTTGGGTTTTGAATGAGTAAGTAGTGGAAGATTCACTTGCAAGTAGTGGAGTTTGTGGAAAGCCTTGACTGAGAAGCTGAAGAGTTTTGGAAAGAAAAACAAGTTATTGAAGGATTTAAGTAGAGCAGTAATTTGAATGGATACAAGATGAATCTAGCAACTACGTGTATGATATCTTGGAGTGGAAAATTCTGAAGTAGAGGATATAATATATAAGACTTTGAAAAATAGTCCATTGAGAAAAATCAGCTGATGAACCAAAAGTGGTAGCAATAGGAATAGAAAGGAGCACAGAGGCATGTGAATTATTGTTCTAGTGACATACTGCTTGGTTCTAGTGGCTGACCGTATGGATATCTTCACTGTTTAGTGGAAGCATATGTCACCTCTTGAGAGTGTTATCATTTAGTTATTTAGGGACTGATGAAATTCAAATTTTAGCCTTATGTAAACACACACATACACAATTTCCTATGCTCTTGTAACTGTTATTCTATTAATTGTTAGAACCAGGGCTAAAAACTTGGGTACATTTAACCCCAATATTTAAAGAGGATAATAAATCATGTAATAATCGCTCAGTGAAACTGAGTGGGAGAAGTTGGGTCTGTCTGGATAATGGCTGCTCTGTACAACTACATAGACTAATAGAATATCAAAGGAAATAAAACTTTATTATTTTCTAATAAATGCAATAACAAAACCAGGCTCACAAAGTATATGTCAGATATATCTAGAGTTCATACCTTAACAAAAAAATGATTTGTGTCTAATACGTCAGGTATCCTGATATATATGTAAATGCAAATCATTCCTTCAAAATGATATCTCTCACAATATCTCCTTTTAGAAATTTTCTTTGTTCTACTAATTTACTTAGTCAATTTTTTTTCACCTGGCATAGAAAAGAAATTTTATTTTTCTCTGACTTATACTGATAACAAAGGATTCTACAGTGAGAATAAATTTTGAAATTACACAGTTCTTCATTAAGGCTAATCCTAAAAATCCCTTATGGAAAAGCAGTTTCAGCCTCAAGAATCCTGTATGACTTTAGGAAGGTTTAGTATAATGTTTCTCTACATTACTCTAATGTAGTCACCCATTTATTTATTTAACCAAACATTTATTGTGTGCCTACCATTGGTGAATAAATTTCCTATCATTGAGCTTAGTAGAGGATAGAAGATAGATAAAATACGTAAGAAAACAAAATCAATCTATAATCTAATATCAGGTGATGATGAATGCCATGAACAACAACACTGAAAAACTGGAAAAAACATAGCCCAGAAAAATACAAGGGAGCAGTGTTACTGCATGCCATTTCAAAGATATGATGGGTAGAGAAGGCCTCTGTGAGGCGGTGACATTTGAGTAGAGACCTGAATAAAGTGAGGAACAAGCCAAGGGGGATCTAGTGACGGAATATTTCAAAACAGCAAGAACAGTAAGCAAAGACCCTGAGGTAAAAACAAGATTACAATTTTTGAGAAGCAGGAAGAAGGCTAACATGAAATGAAGAGGACAGTGGTGGGAAGCTGGAAAGCTAGACAGAGGCCAGCTCACGGAGGACTTTGGAGGTGATGGTAAGGAGTTTGCATTTTAGCTTAAGGTTGATTAACATTTTTGAAGGATTTTGAATAGGGAAGTCACATAATCTGATTTATGTTTTAAAGATTAGACTGTGTTGTAGAAAGAGGAGATTGAATAGAGATGAGTGGAATCAAGCAGATAAGTTCAGTAGTTCAGTAAGAGATATTGTAACAATATACTTTTGAGATGTTCATTTCATTTCACATTCCATGAGTCTGGTTCCATTAACTCTATGTTATTCAACCTTTTTTCAATGTGGAATCAAAGACAGTCTAAGAGGAGATCATATGTCTTATTAAAAGGCACATGTGGGTAAAATTGGCAGGTGGGGACTGGTACTGAAATTGTGTTTTGATTTTACTTTTCCAGCTTTTTTTTTTTAAATCACAGTAGGCCAGTGTTAAGCAGATTTGATAGAATAGGAAAATAAAGAGAAACATAAGAAAGAAAAATAAGTGATATGTTTTTTCATATAGAACATCTCTTGGTGGTTTTGAAATTTTTGGAAGCCTTTACTGAGTACCTTCAGGACAAGATACAGTTTAACCTGGCATTCAAAGCCTTCCATGGCTTAACCTATGTCTACTTTCTAGCCTTAGTTTCTGTCACAACCTTGTTCATATTTTTCTGTTTAGCAATAGGAAATGGTCAAAAAATTCATTTTATTGCAAGTCTCATTGCTTTTGCTTATATTCTTCCTATATTACATGGTAAAATTATTTTTTATGCTTTAAAACTTACTTGATTAATCAGCATTACAGGGAGGTCTTTTCACTATCCCTCCTTATTCACTGTTGCTCACCTTTGTCAATGAAAAGTCAAAGAGTGACTGCAAAGCAGTAAGACAAGGCATTTACTCGGGTCTTAGGAATTGCAATTCAGGAGACAGAGACTCAGCTAAAAGCCAAATTGTGTTCTGAAGAAAGGTAGTAGGAATTTTTAAAAGCATGCTGAAGGCGATTACACAAGTTATTTTGAAGGAATAATCATTAATGGAGGTAGCTGGCATAGTACATGATTCCATAGTTCATTGGTTGTCATTGTTCATAAGTTGTAGTGCTGATGAAATGTAGCTGTTTTTCAAGATGTTGTGGTCATGGTGATTTGGCCCAGTTAAAAGGTTCAAGGCAATTTCCTGTTTTGCAAGGTTGCAGGTTGTGCAGGTAGTCCTTAGAAAGGCTTGCCAACTCCATGTTAGAGCTCTGAGCCATAGCGAGGCTGCTACAGGAACAGGGTCTTGACTCACCGAGTAAAGTGACAGCAAGTTTATTAGAGATGTAAAAAAACAAAAGAATGGCTACTCCATAGGCAGAGCAGCCCCAAGGACTCCTAATTGGCTATTTTTATGTTTATTGCTTGATCATATGCTAAACAAGGGGTGGATTATTCATGAATCTTCCAGGAAACGGATGGGCAGTTCCCAGAAGTGAGGGTTCGTCCCCGTTTTAGATAATATAAGGTAACTTCTGAATATTGCCATGGCATTTGTAAACTGTCATGGCGCCGGTGGGAGTGTCTTTTAGCATGCTAATGCATTCTAATTAGTGTATAATGAGCAATGAGAATGATTAGAGGCAATTTTTGTCACCATATTGGTTCTGGTGGGTTTCAGTTGGCTTCTTTACCACATCTTATTTTATCAGTAGGATCTTTGTGACCTGTATCTTGTGCCAATCTCATATCTCATCCTATGACTAAGGATGCCTAACCTCCTGGAAATGCAGCCCAGCAGGTCTCGGCCTCATTTTACCCAGACCCTATTCAAAATGGAGTCACTCTGGTTTGAACGCCTCTGACAATGCCATTTTGTATATCACATTTTATACCTTCTTTGGTCACTTCACCCAAGGGGAGCATAATTACCTCTTCTTGCATGCCACTTCTGTACCACCAACATGTGTCCAGAGTGTCATTAGTTATTCTGTGTTGCTTGTTTGCGTGTCTATTTTTCCTCCAATAATGTGACAGCTCTTTGAAGGTGTTTAAAACCCTCTGGTGTCTCTTTGTTGCCCTCATGGTAAAGTCTAAATTTCTAAAATGGCATAAAATAAACTTTTCATAAGATCCAGACTTGACTTTGCATTTGGACTCATCCTCTTACAGTAGGTAGGTAGTCAGACGTGAGCAGGGCAGGAGAGGGTCCCCACCTACCCAACACACACACCAGGAATGTCAGATGACAATCAGGTGATGTTCAGGCAGTTGTTAACTGTCTCTCTAAAATATTAATAATAATTGGTCACAGCCAGTGCCAGGGGAAGGCAATCTTCCAATAAATAGAAAAACCTGAAACTGGTGATCAGCTGCTTCCAAATAAGAACTCAGGAGTTTGGCAGGTGTGCTCAAGCATGTGCACTGAGAGGCAAAATGGCAGAGTTTAACTGGTATATGACCTTCTAGGAACATTCAACTGGTGAGGGAAAAACACCTCAAGTGAGCATGTATACAACTCCAGTAAACACACTGTGCATGTGGCCATTCCCAAGCACTAGCAGACCACTGAGCATGCAGACAGCCCACCTCAAGGGAAGAATTAGGGAGAAGGGATGCAAGACCCTGGAAGTATGCCAACATATAAAACCCCAAGTCAAAAGTCAAACCAGGCACTTGAATCTCTCAAGTTGCCTGGTGGGCCCTCTTCCAAGTGTACTTTACTTCCTTTCATTCCTACTCTAAAACTTTTTAATAAACTTTCACCCCTGTCTAAAACTTGCCACAGCCCCTCCTTCTGCCTTCTGCCCCTCAAATTCTTTCTTCTGAGTAGACAAGATTTGAGGTTGCTGCAGATCTATATGGGTTTGCCAGTAACAATCTCTGCCTAATCTCTGCTCTCTTTCTCTTGCTTCTATCTATACTATACTACAGTTAATTTTTGAGATTAGCCATGCTCTCTCTTGCCTCATTGCCTCTGAATATGCTGTCCTCTCTTCCTAGAACATCTATTCCCACCTTAATCCTGAAAATGCCTTTGCAAAAATTATAATACTGAGAAAATTATGGCAGTGTGGGAGATCTGATCTAGCAATCTCCCTTTTGCCTTTAGCCTTCAAACTGGTTAAATTATTTCTGGGCTTAGACTGGGCTATCTTTGGGAGACATTTAGTTTAAATGATAATAGCCCTTCCCTAAAACTCAACTGTCTTTGTAAAGTTAAGGAGACCATCAGGCTAAGGGGAGAAGAGGAGCCTGAATTCCGCTAAGGTGTAGACATAAATGATCACCTGCTATTATCTGTGAGAACACAAGACATGCAATTTCCCCAATTACTCCTGCAGATAATATCACTATTATATAATCTAAAAATTGGCCTTTTGAGAATCTTTTCAGTTTTTTTTTTTTTTTTTTTTTGGCATGTCTGACACCTGGCTGCACCTGGACCTGCCAATTGTTTCTGTGGCCCCACCCAGAAGCAACTCAGTGGAAGAGAGTAGCTTTAATTGGCTGTGATTTCATCTCTGACACAACCAATCAGCAGCAAGCACTCATTGCCTAGCCACCCCCACTCCTTCCCCTAAACTGCCTTTGAAAAACCCCTAACCTACAAGCCTTTGAGGTGATTGATTTGAGTACTAACTCTGTTTCCCAAGTGGTGTGGCTGGCTCACATCAATTAAACTCTTTCTTTACTGCAATGCCATGGTCTTTGCAATGGGCAGGAAGAACCCATCAAGCAGTTACAATCTCATTGCCTGGATAATTCCTACTTGTACTTTAGGTCTCAGTAGTCTGTACATTTTCCAGGAAGTCTTTCTAGATGACCATGTCTGGGTTAGGTGTGCCTCTGGTGAATACATTGCACTTGTGCCCTTGCCTCATCATAATACCATTCTGTGTTCCACTTATTTACTTGTCTGTATTCTCAACTAGACTCTATGCTACTTGATGGAGGACATCATGTTTGTATTTGTGTGATATGTGAAATATATATTAGTTCTTCATCGTTTCCTGGCGTATAACTCCTAGAATCCTCAGAATCTTCAAAACAATGGATCTTTTTGTGTGCTAATTAGTTGATGGATGGCTGGCAGCCCCTAGTTAGCTTCAGGATGGGGGCTGGTCACTGGAAAGACCAGAGAAGGAGTAAAAGGTTGGGACTTTCAGCCCTACCCCACAACCTCTGGGGAGCAGAGAGAGGTTGAAGGTCAAGTTGATTACTAATGGCCAATGATTTAATCAGTCATACCTATAAAATGAAGATTCCATAAAAATCCCAAAGAAGTAGGTTCAGGGAGCTTGCAGATAGCTGCACACATGTGGGATTCCAGGAAAGTGAACAAGAACACAGCCACATGTCAGGAGGGTGGTGCACCTCAACTCCATCAGAAGAGAAGCTCCTGTGCTCTAGATCCTTCCAGACCTTGCCCTGTGTATCTCTTCATCTGACTGTTAATTTCTATCCTTTGAAATATTTCTTGCAATAAACTAGTAAATGTAAGTGTTTCTCTGAGTTCTGTGAGCTTCTGAAGAACATTAATTGAACCCAAAGAGGGGGCTGTGGAAACTCTTGATTTATAGCCAGTTGGTCAGAAGCAAAATAACCTGTGGCTCTCAACTGGCATCGGAAATGGGGCTCAGTCTTGTGGGATCAACCTTTGTGATCTGATGCCATCTCCAGGCAACTAGTGTCAGAATGGAATTGAATTAGAGTACACTCAGGTGTCTTCTACTGCAGAACTGATTGCTCGCTTGCTGATGGGGAGAAATCCCCACACAGTGTCAGAAGCATGTTGTGAGAGTACAATAGTAAAAACAGAGTTTTTTTTTTTTCTACTTATTTCTTTAGCCTCCCCCCTGCATTTTGTTTACAGAGACCAACACCATTACTGGAACATAATAGGAGCTGAATACATACTTGTAAAATGAGTGAGATAGAATTTTATCTAGCTCCCTTACATACCCCCAGAACCTAGCACTGGGCTTAGTGTAACAAATGTGTGTTGAATTTAATTGTAACAAACTTACACATTCCATTCTAGGAGTATAAAAAGACAGGAAACTGAATTTGAGTACTAAGTCTTTACAAGAACAAAATGTAGAACATTTAACCTAATTCTCTCTCTGTCCCCCCTCCCACACCTTGTTTGTCTCCTCTCTGTCTCTCTTTTCCCCGATCTCTCTTCTCCCTGCTTCTCTCTCTCATTATGAACCCTCCACAGTGTGCTCTGTCATGCACAGTGTGCTCTGTCATGCTGTCTGTCTGCTGTTCTGCTGGCTTGCTGGTTGGCTAGTCTGCTGATCTGTTGGTCTCCTTCTGGAGCCTGAGGTTTGGGGTTTATATGGATGCAGGATAGGGGGTGTGGCAGGCCCAAAGGCAACTTTTGGGTGGGAAAATAGGAATGCTGGTCCTCATTTAGGGCCCTGGGTCTTCAGGCTTGAGGGTGGGGCCTTTGCCTGGTAACTGCCCTCTTCTACCCAGTATTTCCCTGTCACCTGTCCCTATCATTAACAGTCTCCACCTCCTGCACCTACGACCCTTCCCAGCATCTAGTAACCATCCTTCTACTGTTTATGTCCATGAATTCAATTGTTTTAATTTTTGGATCCCTGAAGTAAGTGAGGGATGCAATGTTTGTCTTTCTGTGTCTCGCTTATTTCCCTTAACATAATGGTTTCTAGTTCCATACAAGTTGTTGCAAATGACTGGATCTCATTTTTTTTTTAATGGCCGAATATACTCCACTGTGTATATGTACCACATTTTCTAATCTGTTGATGGACACTTAGGTTGCTTCCAAATCGTAGCTATTGTAAACAGTGATGCAACAAACACAGGATGCAGCTATCTCTTCAATACCCTGATTTCTCTTCTTTTGGGTATATGCCCAGCAGTTGGATTGCTGAGTTATGTGGTAGCTCAATTTTTAGAGTTTTTTTGAGGAACTTCCAAACTGTTCTCCATAATGGTTGCACTAATTTACATTCCCACCAACAGTGTACAACGGTTCCCTTTTCTCCACATCCTCACCAGCGTTTGTTATTGCCTGTCTTTTGGATATAAGCCATTTTAACTGGGGTGAGACGATATTGTAGTTTTGATTAGCATTTCTTTGATGATCATTTATGTTGAGAACCTTTTCATATGCCTGTTTGTCATTTGTATGTCTTCTTTTGAGAAGTGCCTATTCACATCTTACATCCATTTTTAAATTGGATTATTGGATTTTTTTTCCTATGGAGTTGAGTTCCTTATATATTCTAGTTATTAATCCCTTGTCAGATGAGTAGTTTGAAAATATTATCTTCCATTCTGTGAATTGTCTCTACACTTTTTTTGTTGTATCCTTTGCTGTGTAGAAGCTTTTTAACTTGATGTGATCCCATTTGTCCATTTTTGCTTTGGTTGTGCTTGTGGGGTATTGCTCAAGAAATTTTTGCCCAGATCAATGTTCTGGAGATTTTACCCAATGTTTTCTTATAGCAGTTTCATAGTTCGAGGTCTTAGATTTTAAGTCTTTCATCCATTTCGATTTCATCTTTGTATATGGTGAGAGGTAGGGGTCTAGTTTCATTCTTCTGCATACGGATATCCACTTTCCCAGCACCATTTTTTGAAGAGACTGTTTTTTTCCCCAGTGTATATTCTTGGCACTTTTGTTGAAAATGAGTTCACTATAGGTGTGTGGATTTGTTTCTGGGTTCTCTATTCTGTTCCATTGGTCTATGTGTCTGTTTTTGTGCCAGTACCATGCTGTTTTGGTTTCTATTGCTCTGTAGTATAATTTGAAGTCAGGTAATGTTATTCCTCCAGTTTTGTTCTTTTTGCTTAGGATAGCTTTGGCTATTCTCTGTATTTTGTGGTTCCATATAAATTTTAGAATACTTTTTTCTATTTCTGTGAAGAATGTCATTGGTACTTAGATAGGGATTGCATTGAATCTGTAGATTGTTTTGTTAGTATGGATATTTTAAAAATACTAATTCTTCCAATTGATGAACATAGAATATTTTCCCATTTTTTGGTATTCTCTTCAATTTCTTATCAGCGTTTTGTAATTTTCATTATGGAGATTTTTTTTGCTTCTTTGGTTAAATTAATTCCTAGATATTTAAGAATATTTATATTACGTTGGTGCAAAAGTAATTGCAGATTTTGCCATTAAAAGCATTAGCGAAATCGCAAGTATTGTTGCACCAACCTAATAGCTATTGTAAATGGAACTACCTTTTTATTTATTTTTCAGTTTGTTCAGTGTTGACATACAGAAATGCCACTGATTTTTGTATGTTGATTTTTATATTTTACAGCTTTACTGAATTTGTATTATTAGTTCTAATAATTTTTAATAGAGTATTTAGGTTTTTACAAATACGAAATCATATCATCTGCTAACAATGATAATTTAACTTTTTTCTTTCCAATTTGGATGCCCTTCTTTTTCTTGTCTGATTGCTGTAGCTAGAATTTCCAGTACTATATTGAATAAGAATGGGGAAAGTGGGCATCCTTGTTGTGTTCCAGATCTTAGTGGAAACTTATTTTTTTTAATGTCTGAGGATTAGTTTAAAATTTTTTGCTTGCCAACAAAGAATAAATTAAGACATTTTAGAGATTTTACAGATCACGTTCTCTCATTAATAATCTAGAAGTGCTGAAAAATTAGCTACTTGAAATTTAAGAAACATTGTCTTAAGTAATCTTTAGATGAAAAAGTAATTCACAAGTGAAACTATGAACTATCTAGAAAGCTATAAAAATTCTTATAGAAAATTTTACATCTTTAAATGACATTACTGTTAGAGAAATAAGACAAAAAATATAAAAGCTTATTTATTTTGGAAAAGTAAGTGAAAAACAACATGCTAAATTAAAATAGTAGATAGAATACATGAAAATAGAATCTGAAAATGAAATGGAAAATAAAAATCAAAAGCATAAATACATCTGAAAATTGATTCTTTAAAAGACCAATAATATACATCATCTCATTGTGAGCTCAATTAAGAAAAAAAAGAAAGCTAAAACACATATTAGAATATAAATGGAGATATAACCTAGGTACAGAAGAGATGAAAAGAATTATAGGTGGCTACTCTAAGGTAACCAATTTGAAAACCTGGATTAAATAGATGTTTTCTTAGCAAAAAGTTAAATTACTAACATTGATTCATGAATAAGCTGAAAACTTGAGGAAACCAATTACTGTATAAAGATTGAAAAGGAGATTTAAAATGTATCATTAAACATGAACACATGATCAAAGGCTGATCAAAGATTATTTAATCTTTAGAGAAGAGATAATTTTTAATTCATTTAAATTATCAACCATAAAAATGAAAAGCTCTTAAATTTATTATATAAAACTCATATAATATTAATATCAAAGCATGGCAGAGTACACAAAAATGGAGCCTATTAAATTTAATGATACTTTGAATTATAAATGCAAATAAAATATTAGTTGGAATTTAGCAGTGAGCCATTCAATATGAAGGTGACTACAAAACTAGGAAATTTATTGACATAATTTATGACATCAAGATATGTATATGTATATATATGTGTGTGTGTATATATATATGTGTGTACACACACACACACACACACACACACACACACATATATATATATATATATATATATAGAGAGAGAGAGAGAGAGAGAGAGAGAGACTGAGTCTCACTCTGTCACCCAGGCTGGAGCACAGTGGCATGATCTTAGCTCACTGCAACCTTTGCCTCCCAGGTTCAAGTAAGCCTCCTGCCTCAGCCTCCCAAGTAGCTGGGACTACTGGCGTCTGCCACAATGCCCACATAATTTTTGTATTTTTAGTAGAGATGGGTTTTTGCCATGTGAGGGAGAAGAAAAGGGAAAAATCAGTTGGGTAGACAACTAAGGCTAGTCCTCAGAGAAATAGCCTGCCTGAAAAATCACAGCTACAGGCAAAATAGAGCAATATGGGAAAACTCAGACTGCACCTGCACAGATAAGCAGGCAAGACAGACAAGGCCCAGCATAGGAGCCTTTTGTTCTTAATTATACAAACAAGAAAAGCTGCACTTTCTGCTTACCTAGAGACACCCCTCAGCTGGATAGATAGGGGGAGTTTTGCAGACAGCTTTATAGATAAGAGAAGTTACTCAAACAGCTACAGAGATGAGAGGAGTTTCTTAAAAAAGCTTTTGCATTCAACTGTAAAATGGCAATCTGTCTGGGACCCTTCTCTGCTGTGGAGAGTTTTCTTGTTTCACTTACTAAACTTTTGCTCTAACCTCACCCTTTGTGTCCAAGTTCCTTAATTCTCTTGGTCGTGAGACGACAAGCTTGCATAACACCTTCTGAGACCAGTGACTTTCCACTGTTTCAGTGTTGGCCCAGGCTGGTCTCAAACTCCTGGCCTCAAGTGATCCACCTGCCTCGGCCTCCCAAAGTTCTGGGAGTACAGGCATGAGCCACCACGCCTGACCAGCATCAATATATTAATAGAGAAAACCAATTGAATATCAAAAGTTATTTAATAAAATTTAACAGATGTTTTAAATAAACCCTTATTAAAACAGAAAATAAAAGGTCTTACTTCAACATGATAGTTTTCACTTGCAAATAATGAAAGGCCCATTTTGACTATTATTATTCAACTTAAAAAATACATTCTAGCAAATTCAATAAGAAAAAACCTTAAATAGCACTAACATTGGTAAAGAAGAATAAGATTATTCATATATTTGCTAAAAACTTAAACCAAAGAAATCTGTAAGTCTTTTAGTCCTTTAAAGGGAAATTTTCAAATTTGTGAATGTGCAGACATCAGTACTTTTTAATATTTGCTATAACCAGCTATAAATAAAAATAGAATTACCCTATTCAAAATATCAATGAAAACTACAAAATAATCAGGAATAATCTTAAGAATAAGACCTATATGAAGAAATTCATAAAATATTTCTGAAGGGAACTAATTAGGATTTGAACTAAAGGAAAGACTTACGTTCTTAATGGGAACATGTAATATAATAAAAGTGACAAGTCTTCTCCAGTTAATATGTGAATTATGAGAAATTTTGGCTGGGGATGGTGGCTCAAGCCTGTAATCCCAGCACTTTGGGAGGCTGAGGTGGGTGGATCACTTGAGTCCAGGAATTTGAGACCAGCCTGGGCAACATAGCGAGACCATGTATCTACAAAAAATAAAAATAAAAAGACAGCCAGATGCAGTGGATCACACCTGTAGTTCCAGCTACTCAGCAGGCTGAAGGAGAATTGTTTAAGCCTAGGACTTTGAGGTGGCAGTGAGCTATGATCACACCACTGCACTTTGGGTGACAGAGTGAGACTCTGTTTCACCCCCAAAATAATTTAGTTAGAAGCCCTAATATCTTAGGGCTTTGGGCTTTGTGTTTGGAATTTGATTAAAGCAATCTACAATTTATTAAAAGAAAAATATTCAAGAATATAATATTGACTTAAGAATGTGTGCATCAAAAAAGAATATGTGAATAAATTAATTAAAAAACCTAGTGATAGGCTGCAATGTGCATGTATATGTGAATGTGTGCATGCACATGTGTGTATATGTGTTTATTAGGCAAAGGTACTGTTTCTGTTCACCATGAAAAGATGGTTTACTTTACCAATAGTGCTGTTAAAAGTGGCCATCTTTCTGGAAGAAAATAGTTGAAACTTCTCACTGTCCTCATGTGTAAGTATACATATACACTCACATATGAAGGCAAATAAATAAATAAATACATAATACACAAATTCATTAGTGTAATGGACTGAACGTTTATGTCCCCCCAAAATTCATATGTTGAAACCCTAACCCCACATGGGATGGTAGTAGCAGGTGGGGGCTTTGGGAGGTGTTTATGTAATAAGGGCAGAACCCTCATAAATATGATTAGTGCCTTTATGAAAGAGTCCCCTGTGATCTCCCTCACTCTTCTGTCAAGTGAGGTAACAGTGAGAAAGCTGCCATCTTGAAGAACAGGCCCTCACCAGTCACTAAATCTATTTATGACTTGGTCTTGGACTTCTGCCTCTGAAATGGTGAGAAATGTCTGTTGTTTAGAAGCCACCGAGTTTATGATATTTTGTATAGCAGCCTTAACAGTCTAAGGCAGTTAGCATCACTGCTATAGGAATATGATAACAATCTCAAGAAAAAAATTTAGTAGAGTATTTGTATAACTTATGAATTAGAAGTCTAAAAAAGTATATATTTGAATATGTTTGACTAGAGAAAAGGTGAAAATTTCAGTAAAATACCATGAGTGAAGTCAAGTATATGGTAGTTGGGAAGAAAACTTAGGTCTCATATAAGATAAAGTATTGATATTTATAATATATAATTAGCCCTTACATGTTGATAGAATAAGCAGCCATAAAAATAAGCAAGAGGTTAAAATACAGAAACCACAGAAGAATAAATTGGAATGACAAATAATAATGCTAAAACATTCTCAGACTCATGAGAAAATGCAAATGAAAATAATAATGAAATATCCCTTTTCACAAATCATGTTGGCAAAAACCACTGTGGGACTAGACTCCAGTGAGGTATGTCCTCACAGGAGGCCCAAGCACTTCCCCATTCACTAGCCATGCCAGAGGAACCGTTTTGCTCTCATATGTACTAAGGTTGCTTTTGGAATATTGTATGCCCTGGAAATTGCCAGCAACTTTCCCATGCAGAGTATCTAGGGATGATTGGGTAGCTGAGTTCAAATGTCTTTACTGCTTATTTATCTATATACAGTATTCTTAGTTCCTACAGAGAATGAGTATAGTAATCTGCAGATATGAATAATCTTGCCAGTTAACTTTTACTATAAATTAACAAATTATCTTATGCAATTTGTTTTCTTACATATTTCCTTGAATTGAATTAGTATAAACAGTCTATTGAAGCCCAATCCTTACAATGGCTTTTAAAACCCTACAAAATCTGTACTTCTGCAAACCAGTCTTGTTACTCTCTGATTTTATCTTCTATCACATCACTTTTTCTTCACTTTGCTCAATCTGCAGTGCCTTCCTTGTTTTCCTGGATCTTGCTAATCCTACTCTTACTCCTTGACATTTGTGCTTGTTGTTTGTTGTTCTTTCTATGCAAAATACTTCTCCCCATCTTCTTCAGATTTCTTCCCAGGGATGACCTCTTCCTCCTCCTCCACCCCTCCTCCCCCTCCTCCCCCTCCTCCCGTCCTCTCCTTCCTCCCCTCCTCCCCTTCCTCGCCTTCCTCCCCTTCCTCCCCTCCTCCCCCTCCTCCCCTCCTCCCCCTCCCCTCCTTCTCCTCCTTCTTCTTCTTCTTCACCCTACATTACATTTAGCTCAGCATTTGCAATGAGAAAGAAGATCCCCTTTTGTGTTAGGACTGGACGGCTCAGTCCAAACCCTTTAAGTGTTTGTCCCAGATACCTCCTTCTTACTGGGGAGATTATCGCTGATAACTTTTATAATATAATAACACTGCCCCCACCCCAAACCCCTCTTTCCCAATTACCCTGCCTTATTATTTATTCATATACATGTGATCAACAAGCACATGAAAACATGCTCAACATTATTGGTCGTTAGTGAAATGTATATCAAAACCCATTAAGATACCATTTTACACTCACTTTAATGACTCTTATCAAAGAGACAGATAATACCAAGTGTTGATAAGGAGATGGATAAGCTAGAATCATTATATGTTGGTGGTGATAATGTAAAATGATACAGTCACCTTGAAAAACAATTTGACATAACTTAGAAAAGTTACACATAAACTTACTATACAACTCAGAAATTCTACCCCTAGGTATGTACCTGAGAGAAATGAAAATTTATATTCACATTAATTTTATATATGAATGTTTTAGCAACATTACTCAAATTAGGTAAAAACTTGACCAACTGGTGAATGGATTAAAAAATGTGGTATATCTCTATGATGTAATATTATTTAAGAAAAAAAATGGAAGTACTGATGTATGCCACAGCATGGATGAATCTCAGAAACATTATGCTAAGTAAAAGAAGCCAAATGCGAAAGACTACATATTGATTTCATAAAATCATTTGTATGAAATGTCCAGAAGAAGTAAAATCTTTAGACATAGAAATCAGACCAGTAGTCACCTGGGTATGGGAGTGAATGACAACATTAACTGCAAACAGGAATTGAGTAAGAGAGTTAGTCTTAGTCAGTCTTACTGGGAATTTTGGGGAGTAATGAAGATGTTCTGAAACTACATTGTTGTCATGGCTACATAACTCAATATACTTAGAGTTGTATACTTTCAATGGATGAATTTTATGATGTATAAATTATGCCACAATAAAGCATCAAAAATGGAGTTTTATTAGTTCTTACTATATAGGCAACGGTATGGTCAAACTACAATCTTCTTTCTTGCATTAGAATGTATATTTGGTTTAATTATTTTTCTAGCATAAATAGTAAGTACTTGTCTTTTTTTTCTGGGTATTTATGTTTAAAAATGTTAGGTACTCTCTACTCCATTAGGGAACACTGTTCTATAATTAAAAAAGAAATCCTTTCTGAAATGTTTGCTTGGAGGCCCTAAATTGATATTTGCACATGTGCATATTTGCATATCAATTAAAAATGTAAAATTATATTTGGTAAAACAACTGGTTGTTTGGGGAAATTTAAAAAGATGTTGGACTAAGTATGTTTGCTTATTCATTTAGTCTTTGATCACCAAATATGTACTTATTGAGTTTCTATTTTGTGCAATAGAGGCATACAAATTTAAAAGCTGGAAGAAAAGGCAAGAAAGATCTGATTGACTTCAGCTTAGCAAAAATAATAAAACTGAGTCAAATGGCTTGTCCAGTGCAAAACCCTAAATGACAAAATCGGAGCAGGTTCTGGTTGCTCCCATTCTTCCTATTACGCTTGTGCTAAGAAGTGCTGTGTTCATGAGAATTTACCAGAAATTTGACGAGTTAGTAGATTAAAAATCATATTTAATCACTATCATTTTAGGACTAACTCGTATGTACATATGGTCAACATTTGTGTCACTCAAGAGACACTAGGCTTTGGATGAGCTAAGGGACTGGGAAATTTACTGATAACAAACAGTGTTTTTATATTGAGAAAGGAAAGCATTCTAAACCTTGTCACATGCTTCTTCCACATTAGCTTACAATGTGATTTTATCCCTTTTAGCTATAAATATTATTAAAGGGACTTGAAACTGACAAGCCTCCTTGACAATAGTTTATGAAACTTGATTAAGCATTTATTGATTGGCAAAGAAAACTGCATACATCATTTCTAAGTAAATCATTCTACAGTCTTACAACTGTTAAATGTAGCCCAGACATATGAATCCCCTAGTTTATGTATTCTACACTTAAACATATAAGATCAAAGCATGTTGCATCTTCATCTTACAAATAACAAAACTGAAATTTTTTATGTTAGAAATCAAGTTTTTGTCAATTTCCATGTTTTCACTGGGCTGAGGGGAGAGAGGAGAATGGAGGCCTACTTAATACAGATTGGACATTTGTCCAGCAGCTATAAAACAGGTGAATAATAGATTTTTTGGAGACTTTTATCCTAAATATACTTAAAGTGAATTACAACTAAAATGTAATTGTTTTGTAACAGCATCACACCAGTCTGGTTCAATTTTCATGTAACAAAGTTATAGGTTGTTTTTTAGTTGCCATGGTCTCTCAAATTGAAGGTCATGGAACCTGAGAATACCCAGATAAGCCAAGCATGCAACCGTGGAGGGAACCTAAGTGATCTGATCAAATAATGGGGACAGAATTAAGAAGTGAATCCTGGTAAGATCCAGGATCCAATCAGATTGAGCCCTGATGTCACCCTATAACAATTCCCAGGCAGATCATGCCTCTAGACAACACCTCATTGCTCTATCCTTCTAAAACTTGACCCAGCCTCCAGCTTGGAAAGAGAGACTTGGGTGTTTCCTCTTGTCTCCTTGCCAGCTGACTCACAATAAAGCTTTTCTTTTCTTAAAAGCCAGTGCCATAGTATTGACTTCTATGTGCATCATGCAGCAAACTCTTTAACTGGTAACTCTTTAAAGCGATTTGAATATTCCAATTGCAATGCTTAAGTTAACTTCATGGTATACATTAGTTCTTGGAAGACAATGGGTAAAATTTTTTTTGAAGAGAAGTCCAAATTTTTATAATTTATCTTATTATTATTTATTTTTTGAGATGGAGTCTTGCTCTGTTGCCCAGGCTGGAGTGCAGTGGTGTGATCTCAGCTCACCGCAACCTCTGCCTCCTGGGTTTATGCCATTATCCTGCCTCAGCCTCCCGAGTAGCTGGGACTACAAGCACCTGCCACCATGCCCGGCTAATTTTTTGTATTTTTAATAGAGACAGGGTTTCACTGTGTTAGCCAGGATGGTCTCGATCTCCTGACCTCATGATCTGCCCACCTTGGCCTCCCAAAGTGCTGGGATTACAGGCGTGAGCCACCACGCCTGGTCAATTTATCTTATTTTTAAAAACTTGCTTTGATTTCTGATGGTCAGTTTCTCTTATTAAGAAATAAAAACCATTGGCTATTTGCTGTTGACTGACCCTCACCTCCAACCGTGGCAAAATCATAATCCTCCAAGAAGATCAATTATCTCTGTCTTTGAGTGGGTCATCCACTAGAAACTACATTGATATCAAAATTCATGTCATGCTTCCAAAATACATTTGTTAAAAGACTTTACCATTGAGCTCAGTTATATAAGAGAGTGATTTTTAATATTAAGTTCATATATACTGTGTAATCATTTATTAATAAATATTAATATGCCAGGATTTTACTATATATTGGGAAACGATTAAAAAAGAGTCATTTTCTGCTCTAATGAAGTTTAAAATATCAGATAGGCAAACTTTTACATTTATATTATAAACAATTATAATATAGTAAGATAATTGATAAGTCCTGAGCTAACTAAAACTATATGAGTTTTGTGGTCTCTACTGTTGAGTTTATTAAAAATTGTTTAGACTTTTGTGGATATAATTTTTATTATTATGTTGATAGGGAAATAGCATTTGTGGTATATGGCATTTTCAAAAAAAATTCACTGTGGTATTTCTGGTATCTTATTCTCTGAATCCTTGCTATACCACTGTCAAAAAGAGGAGTCTGTTTTCTCTCCCTATGAACTTGAAAGGGGTTATATCTTCTCTGACCAAAAGAGTATAGCAGAAATGGTACTAGAAATGATAGTATGGAACTTCCATGGCTAGATCTAAAAATTATACAGCTTCCAAATGGCTGTCTCTTGGGATGTTTGCCATTGGAACCTAGCCACCATGTTGTCAGGAAGCCCAGGACAAACAGAAGGTCATATGTATATGTTTCAGTTGCCAGCCTCATCAAAAGACTCGGCTGATAGCTAGTGTCCACTCTGAGATATATGAGTAAGCAAGCTTCAGATGATTATAGGCCTCAGCCTTCAAGCCACCTCAGTTGATGCTTAGTGAGCCAGAGACCAGCTATCCCTTTAGTAGCCCTGCCCAAAGTGCGCATTTGTGAGCAAAATAAATGCTTTTAGAATTTGAAGCCACTAAGTTGGGAGATCTTGTGTATGGGTAAAAAAAATATAGCTGCAACAAAGTGTCTCCATATCTAAACTTTGGTTTATAAAAATATTTTTTATAGTTCTGTATAGTGAGAGAACAGTGTTTCTTGAAAATTGACCACTTGTACTTGCCTAGGTTTATCACTCCAAGTTCATTTCCTTTTTGTTTTACATGTACTGTTTACATTCTAGTGAAACATAGCTTCTCACTTTTATCTTTTGCTTGTTCATTCCAGAGATATTTATTTGATATCTACTATGTGCTGGTTGTTTTGCTAGAGACTAGTTTTCTCTGTATACACTATGTTTTCTCAGCTGTCCATTTTTGCACATATTGTTCATTTGGTCAGAATACCTTTCTCAGACTCTCACAGAAGTCTCTGGAAGGACTTCACCTCCCTTCCAGAACGAGTTCCAATGCCAGCGTTACTGTGAAGACTTTCTTTACTACACTGGTAGTTGCTATATCTTTCTCATATTCAGAACACTATACATATCTCTGTTATAGGTCTTACAAAGAATTGTAATTCTCAATTTTAGCCTAACTCCTCCACTGGATCTTGAGCTCTTGGAGGTTAAGTACAAATGTCTTTCTATCTATGAATCTTCCTGCACTTTATACCACAGTGTTAGTAACATATTAGTTTCATGATACATGATGGTCAAATATTGTTAAAAGATGTTTATTGATTAAGCACTGTATTTTCTGATGTTTTTTTCATTTTTACTATTTTTAATACTTTATATGGGACTACTGTCACTCACATGATAATAGCAATTATGCCATTTGCTAGTACTGAGCTGAAGTAATCAACAAATTTCATATATATCACCATGTACCTATAAGGTAGTAATAGCTTTTGACTATAATCGGCTTTACCCTTATTTTAACAACCTGCTGGAAGATTAAATATTTCATTGCTTATTTCTAAACTTCAGACTTTTTTTAAGCTTTAAACATGGTCCCATAAAAAAGAATTTTCATTAACCTATGTACTGCAACAATGAAAACAAGTCTCTTTTATCTACAACTAGGAAATATTCTTTCAAAAAAGGTTAAGAACATTTTCTGCTTAATAGGATGTTTCATCCAGATAAAACTGTGTGATTGTTAATAGTACTTTTCTATTTAATCATAAGGGTCTTTTGTATTAGGAGCTGAACTGTGATCATTTACTAAGCTATGGTTTACTGGAGCCAAGAAAGATTTGGAAGAGCTTCTCTTTTATCTTTTCTATTTCAAAGCTGAAGTACAGGTACCTTATGTACTTTTTAGTTGCTTACATTCTAAAAGGGCTCATTAAGAAACAATGCCATAAAATCAATGATGTTAGAGTTTCAGCTTTGTGAGTGTGACCCTTGCCAGACTTGTAGAAAACCTGAGGGCTTTTTAGGGAGAGCTTCCTAATGTGTAAGTGTTACTCAAATTGGTGCCCATGGGGAAGAGAGTGAAAAAATAAATAAAAGGACTAATTAAGACTTTGCAAAACAATCTTTAAGTTGTCCATTTAATCATTTTACCTAGGATCAGTTCCATTCTCAGTAATTAAAACTTATTCCTTTAAACAGTGGACTGTATGTTTCACAGAGATATGTCTAAAATGTATTGTGCATTCCTTTGCTCTATTAAAGAGAGCATACTGCATAGAATATAAACCTCCTCCATGACATCATGACATCATTTTGAACATCTGATGGTATAAAATTCTACAAGGCAGAATTGTCATCAGTGCTATTGAGTTTCTTGCCCCTAGATTAAATTATCCTAGATTGCTGTATTGTGCTTTAATTCTCTTGTCTCACTCCTTAAAAGCAGTTGTCCCAGCTCAGAGCTGCTGCTTTTAGCAGCCTTTCCCCAACACTCCTCCACCCCTCACTTTCTCACTGATGCTCTGTAACTCTATAACTTTACAGTGTGAAAGTCCTGGATTTCAATATTTAGTAGCTGTTACTTGACCTCTTTAACTCTCATTTTGGGAGGCTAATGGTAGTACCTCCTTCAGGGACTGTGGTGAGAACCAAATTAAAAATGCACATAAAGCACGGAGCTTTTAGCTATAATTTATTTAACTGCCTGTGGTAGCTTAGTAACAATAAAAGATACCAAAAGAAAGAAAGTGTCTAACCTTATTAAGTGAGAAACTTGAATTTTAAATACAATTTTGAAGTTATAAAATTGTTTTCCAGGGGGAACATTTATTGCTTTTCTATGTCAGGATGTTTGTAGAGGTTTAGAGGTACTTTTCACTAATATTTAAGTTTAATGATGTTTAGGAGAGTTGAGGATTACAGAGCTTGGCAGAAAAGTGGGTAGTATTGTATTTTTATATATTGAATTCACAGAAAAATGGGTAAGCTTATATAAATAAAAATTTTAACTACTGGAGGAAATTGCTATTAATAGTACTAATATTTTTTAATATTTAGTGAACAATACTGTAAATGAGTATAATGTTAGAAGACATTTTTCCTTAGTTTATCTGTATAAGTTTTACAACTCAATATCATTTTTAACTTTTCCTTAGCTTTCCCCAGTGAATCAGGGGCCAAATCTTGTGTATTTTACCTGCATATTGTCTTCTGTTCTCTTTTTCATTCCTTGTCATCTCTCAGGAAGGAAAGATGGGCATTTTCCGTATATGACATCATACTTCATAATTCTTCTACCTGCTGTTTCCTAGTCTCGCCTCCAAGTTCTTCAAAAAGTTCTCAGCAGATTGATCTTCCTAAGCTTAATAATGCCACTTTATTGCTGAAAACCTTTGATTGGTTCTCTAATATTTTTGCTACTTCAATTTAAGCGTTCAGAAATAAAGTGCATATTATGATATTTTAATGAATATCTAATTTTCTAAAAATAGTCTTTTAGCTATTTTATAAGGTGCATAATTTGTCTCCCCAACTAATACTGTAGGTGGTTGGTGGTTTTTTGTTGCTGTTTTTTTTGTTTTCTTTTTTGTTTTTGTTTTTTTGAGTCAGAGTTTCACTCTTGTTGCCCAGGCTGGAATGCAATGGTGTGATCTTGGCTCACTGCAACCTCTGCCTCCCAGATTCAAGCGATTCTCCTGTCTCAGCCTCCCGAGTAGCTGGGATTACAGGTGCATGCCACCATACCTGGCTAATTTTTGAATTTTAATATAGACGGGGTTTCATCATATTGATCAGGCTGGTCTCAAACTGGTGACCTCAGGTGATCCACCCACCTCGACCTCACAAAGTGCTGGGATTACAGGCCTAAGCTCTGCTCCTGGCTACTGTAGGTTTTGATGTTACTGCCTGTGCTTTGATATTGCATTGGTATTGTGTATTTAACTCTGTGCTGCCTACGATAATGACAGGTGCATAACTAATGGCAAGTAGTTTTAGAATAGAGGGAAAAATATAAGAAGTGTGGATAGAGAGAAAAAAATAAGAATTGTGGGAGGTAAAACAGCTCTTGCTTCTAATATCATAAGATTACTCCTAAATTGTGTCCTAAGGAGTGTGCCGGGAATTTGCATTCTAGTGCAACATTTTCTAATTGAAGGACTTTGGGAACCTAAAGTGAATTTGTGAAAGGTCAGTTTTTAGTTGCTCATAGCCACCTACCTTTCCTTGCTTACACCTTTATTGCTGACATTCAGCATAATGTGAAGAATATCTAATTAAGAGTCCTTTTTGGCAAGTCACCTTTAGATTCCTATATTTTATTTGTGCCCTAACATCTATTTGAAGTGTCACCACCTTGGAACCTTGAAGGTATATGATCTTTATTATAATGGCCACTATCCAAGGAAATAAGTGTTCTAAAATAAAAGGCAGTATGACAAAAAGTATCAGGACTTCCTCCTTCCCATAAGATCAACACTCATAACCTTCAGGGCGTATCTTTTCCTAGCCTTTATCTTCTGGCTAGAACATTAGCATAGACCCACAGCACATTTATAACTCAATTACTCAAGGCTCTTTCAGCCCGAAAGTTCTTATGCCAACATGATTTGGTGGTTTACATCTAGTCAATTAAAGTTTGAGGGGATGGGTTGATATTGAGTGAATCAGAGTTTATCTAATAATCCTTAAGAACAAATTAGAAAACCCTGCATTCATCTAAGGAGCATTTTGTTCTAGGATCACATCTCAAATGGAAAACTCCCAGGTGATTCTGAGGGGGATGTTGTCATAGTACAATTTATTTTTGAGAGGCATGGTTGATAGAATTGAAATAACTAAGGATCACTGGCATTTTGCTAAAATAGCCAGGGGAATCAGAGAATCAAGGTAATGAGAAAAAAGATGCGTGCTTGTTTTGAATTCTAATAAGATTGCCTTTTTGTTCTAATGATTTCTATGGAGATTGCTTGAAAAAGTATATGATTCCTTTACTACAGACCTATTTTGTCTAAAGATATCAGAAAATTTATGTTATGGTATTTTTGTCTTTTAAAAATAAACAAATTTTGCTTTTAAGAAGCAAAATAAAAAGTAGCAGATGTATAGTTACATATTGACGAAGGCTGGACATATTTAGATGTGATTTTTAAACATATCTGGCTGGAAACCTTATCCTTAACTATGCTGGTATTTGATTTGATATGATATTGACCAAAATGGATCTTGAATCATCATAATTGGATAGCAGTAACTCAAAGGAGTTAACTGTGAAGTCATTCTTTGTCCTCTTCCTTCATCCCCAAAGCTGATCATTATCAAGAGTCCAAATCTTGGAACTATCCAGTGAGTTCAGTGATCTTGACACAAACACTGCCAAGCAGCTTAGGGCTCATTTAAACCCTTCAGACATACTCCCCAGTTTAGATTGATATTTTAATACCAAACATCATTACAGACAAGAACTACGAGTTTACTGAAGGAATCTGAAGACAAGAATGAAGAAAAAACAATCAGAAGTGACCAGCAAATAACTTTTTTAAACTGACAGTTTGTTCTTACAATTAGGCCTTGTGTATATAATGTTTAGTGATTTCATGTATACCCCAATATTAATAATGACAGCACTTTGTCATTATAACAGGAGAACAGTCCAATTATGCCTGTTTTTATGATATTATTTTTTATGGTGACACCGTAGAAATCCCTGTGAGCATTAGAGTTATATTGAATTTCATTATGCTTAAACTGATGTGGCCATACATAATCTTAGGAAGAGTATATTCTGGCCAACTTACTAGAAATTGAGAACAATCAAGATTATATTTAAAGACTAGTAACAGTGGAAATGCCACAAAAATGATGTTTGAGGATCTGGTTTGTGACACAAGACACACAATCAGAAAAAGATGACTAGTCATGAATAATTGTATGAAAAGAATGATGTGACATGTGTTGTGGTTTTGAGGAGTTTAGCAAAAGCAATGAACACCATGAGCTGGTCTGATTAAGAATGGTATAACAGAAGTGGGGCTTCACTGCATAGAATTCACATAACATCCAGGGGAAGAAATAAGCAACATTCTGGGCAAAGAGGCCACTCTATGGGGAAAGACAGAGGGATAATATTCAAGGCATATACTCTAGTTGAAATATACATTTTGCTTTGGGGTTGGAGAGGAAAATAAGGCTGAAAAAATAAGAAAATCAGATAGTAGATGGGTGTTGTATTAGTTTACTAGGGCTGCCATAGCAAAATACCACAGATTGGATGGCTAAAAGGGCATAGATCTAGTTTCTCAGCGTTCTGAAGTCTAGAGGTCCAAGATCAAGGTGTCAGCAGGTTTCGTTTCTTCTGAGGCTGCTTTCCTTAGCTTGCAGATGACCACTTTTTTGGGTCCTCACATGGTCTTTCCTCTGTGCATGCACATCCCAGGTGTCTCCTTTGCAAGTCCAAATTTCCTCTTCTTATAAGTACACCATTCAGACTGGATTAGGGCCCACCCGAATGGTGTAATTTTTACTTAATTTCTTCTTTAAAGACTATCTCTCCAAGTACAGTAACATTTTGAGTTTTGGGCATATTAGGACTTAAACATATGCATTTTGGGAGGACACAATTCAGCACATAACAAATATGCATGTCAAGTTGATGAGGTTTCAGAGAGAGAATTAGTGACCTGGGATCTAGCTCTATCTGGGCCATTCCTTTTCTGTGTGGCCTTTGGTGCACTGTAAAACCATTTTAATCCTACACATAAAATGAAAGAGTTGAACTGAAAATCTTTAAAGTTTTCCTAAATAAAATTTTATATTTGGGGAAATTCCCCAAAATATGAGAATAGGTCATATACCCATAAGTCATTTGCTGTCACGAATCATCTTATTTATAGGCAATTGGACCAGGAATACCTTCCAGAGCCCTGCTTTCCAAATTATTCCTAGGAACACTGGTGTATTGTGAGATATCAGCAGATATTGCCCAAAAAGAATTCTGAGGTTATAACAATTCAGGAAATTGGAGAAATTACTGTAAGGTGGGACTTCTTTGAGCCTTTCGGTAAACCAGTACATACCATGGAAGATAGGGAAGCATGGTACAGGTGCATTCTCCTTTTCTCCTGATGGAACATCACTGTCTTCAACCCCTACTTCTCAATTTGTACAACAAAGTTATTTTATTAGAATAGATACACTTGTTCTCTGTAGCCTTTTTTTCACTGTTCTCTGCAAAATTGGTCGCCAAGAACATTTTAAACAATTTAGGGTATGTCATTATAAGTACATTAAAAAATTCAAATAAAAATTAATCTTACCTGGGGCCAAGGAGATAGGAATCCAGAACATAATAAAATATTTCAGTGGTCTCAATTATCTTGATTGTATGTAGTATAAGACTTCTATTCTTAAAGTCATATGACAGCCTGCAAGAGTATAGAAAATTCTCCGGATGCTTAGAGGGCTCTCACATAGTCTTTCCTTGTTACTTGCTCACTCCCTTGGTTGGCATCGGGGCAGTGGGAGGGGCGGGGTCTTAACTTAGGCAAACCAGTTCTGAACCCATAGGAGCCTGATAACACAAATGACTGAATTCCTAAGCTTCCTCTTCCCCTTCCCTTGAGGGATTTGAGAGGTAGAAGGACATAATGTTTACAAATTAATTGATTTGTTCTGTGTTGGTTCTTGGACTAGTAAATGAGAATGGAACTTAAGATGGAAGAATTTGGCCGGTTGCGGTGGCTCACGCCTGTATTCCCAGCACTTTGGGAACCCTAGGCAGGTGGATCACGAGGTCAGGAGATCAAGACCATCCTGGCTAACATGGTCGTCTCTACTAAAAATATAAAAAAAATTAGCCAGGTGTGGTGGCTGGTTCCTGTAGTCCCAGCTACTCGGGAGGCTGAGGCAGGAGAATGAGGTCAACCCGGGAGGTGGAGCTTGCAGTGAGCCGAGGTTGTGCCACTGCACTCCAGCCTGGGCGACAGAGTGAGACTCCGTCTCAAAAAAAAAAAAAAAAAAAAAAAAAGATGGAAGAGTTCAATTCCTCTTTATTGAGCTCGGCAGAAGTGCCAAACTCAGGATAACTTTGTCTTTGAAAAGTAGATAGAATATACAGTAATTCCCAAGTACATTTGAGCACGTCCTTCTCTATTCGTGTGTGTGTGTGTGTGTGTGTGTGTGTGTGTGTGTGTGTAAGGGAGGAAGAGAGGGAGAGAAAATTTTCCCTTCCTAGATAGACTTTATTTCTTAGAGCATCTTCAGGTTCACAGCAAAATTGAGCATACAGTACAGAATTCTCATGTATCCCCTCCCCTGCACTCCCAACACACACAGGCACAGCACAGCCTGCCAGCAATTAACATCCGCGTCAGAGTGGTATATTTGATAGACTCGTGGTTTTGTACATTCTGTGGGTTTCTTTGTAAATTTGCTTAGGTTTATTTCTTCTATCAGTTTTAACAAATATAAAATAACACGTAGCCACCATTATAGTCTCACACAGAATAGGTTCATTGCCCTAAAATTCCTCTGTTCCGCCCCTGAGAATTCTGTTTCTGCTGGTATTTACTGGTATTGCAACTGACTCATTCTGGAAGATGCTGTTCTAAAACAACTATGGCCTATATTATTGAATAGGTAAAAGCCTTGGCTCTGCTTTATTGAAGTCAGCAAAAGGATTAAAACATTCAAAATACATGCTACTCTACTGTCTACCACAACTCTTTGACAGTGTACCATGTGTCTCACTTTATACTTTGCTAATACATCTCAGAGGCCGAAACACCTAATTTATCACTCACATATGTTAGGCACTTTAAAGGAAGGTTTACTTACTTTTTCTGGAATGTGGGAGTGTGCAGCCCGAAGCTACATAGAGTTTGTATGTTCTGTTTTAAAACTGAATCTCATGGAGAATTTCAGTTGGAAGAGCACAGATGCTTCACCTGAGGTGCCCACACAGAGAGACATATGATGTGATCATGGAACATGCTGCAAGGAAATAACAGCATGAATTTCCATCTTCAAAAGTGGAGTCAGCATTTCAGTCTAGTCCTGATAAATATTAACATTTATGTACATGGGCATTTTTATTTTATATGAGTATCAAAAGAAGACAACAGCCTTCCTGAAACATACTGAAAGTATCTGCAACAGTTATAGCATATCTTTACAAAGTTTCAATTCCAAAGTAAGAAAACCTTATGAATGAATGAGGAATATTTTTCCAGTAGAAATCAATCTTGAGTTTAAAAAGCTCAGTGAAGTAAACTTGGATGAGGACCCCTGAGAGTACTTTCCCAAGCTACATAATACTGGGTAAGATACTAACTTCTCTGAGTTTTTTTGTCTTTGCTTACAAAAAGAGGAGGTTGGACTAAATGATCTTTGCGTTTTTCTATTCTTAACACATATTTTTGAACGATGCTATGTAGAATACAAACAGTGCTTTGAACGTCTTGTCTACGACAATTCCTCCCTTGCCTCTGTTCTCTCTCTTTCTTCTTTCCTGTTTTCTTACCATTCTTCCTTCTCTTTTTACAAATATTTGTGAAGTTTTTGTACCAGGTTCTGGTAATGATATTGAATGCCGACAGCACAATGACAAATAAGACAAGGACCTTGACTTTAAGGAGCTTTTTAGTTTAGTGAGAGAGACAAACAAGTGAATTGGAAATTATGATACAGTGAGAAAAGTGGTACTATAGTGATAAATACCATAGGAGGACACAAAAGGGATACCTGACCTTCTCATAGAGTTTATAAAGGGAGACAGCTAGTTTACAGCAGAATGGCCAAACCACTTATTAAAACAGTGAAACCTTTTGTCCTGGTTGATAAGTGGACTCTGCTTGTGCTCCCAAGTGCTTCTGCAGATACCTTGGCTACCCAGGTTTCTCTCCAGAGAGCTCCTTACCACACCTGGCAGTTACACTGCAACAAAGGAATTATCCCTGGACATGAAAGCCTTCCAAAATTCAGTTCTAGCACTGTAGTTTATGACCGTTCTGATTAGTCCTGGGTAACTGTGCCACAATTATTAAATGTTTTGAATATCACCCCTGGTTCATAGACTGCCTCTTGGAGAACTGGGATATAAAAAATATTAGGAGTGAAGGAGAGAAGTGTTAGAGAAGATGAAATAATATTCTACACAAAGAAATCAATGTACACAAAGGTCCGTTGGTGAGAAAGCAGTTGGTATATTTAAGGAACTGAAAATAGTTTAGTAGAACTGTAGCAGTGAGTAGTAGGAGGGAAGTGGTGGGAGAAAATTCTAGGGAAGTGGACAGGATCCAGATAACATAATGCTTTACAGTAAAGGCTAAGTCGTTTATACTGGTATTGTTTGTGTGTTTCTGAAGATGGCACTACTGTGTTTTAGTGGTGGTAGAAATTCTAGAAAAAATACTACAGAAAAGCTTAGATATCAGCATTGTACAGACATCTGCTACTTGTGATATGTGTACCAAAAATCGTGTTATAAGTTAGGACTGGTTACTATTCTGATACTTATTCAATTTTTTCCAGGGTGTGCTAAAAGCACCGTATCTACTTTAATACCAAACACATTACAGTACACAACTGCTGGGTCTCTCTTCCCATTCTATTAATCATTCCAGAAAGAAAGATAGCTGGCATCTGGAAAGTAGACAATAAATTATCTTTGTATTTCAGCCATTTTGAATATGGTATTAATACCGTTTTGGGGAGTGAACTGTAAGAGCTATCTAGAATAAAGTTTGAAGACTGATCTTTTTAAGGGCCTCAATGTTAGTAGTGTGTAATGAATGTTTAATGGGTGGATAAGTTGATGAGTAAATAAATGAATGATAACCCTCAATAATCCTAACCCTCAAGTATAAGGTGGTATAAGGTGGAATTATTTTTTTCCTTTTTTTTTCTAATTGAGACAGGGTCTTGCTCTGTTGCCCAGGATGGAGTGCAGTGACACGATGATCTCAGCTCACTGCAACCTCCACCTCCCAGGCTCAAATGATCCTCCCACCTCAACCTCCCAAGTGACTGGGGCCACAGGCATGTGCCACCACACCTGGCTAATTTTTGTATTTTTTGTAGATATGAGGTTTCACCATCTTTCCTGCTCCTGGACTTACGCAATCCGTTAGTCTCGGCCTCCCAAAGTGCTGAGATTACAAACATGAGTCACTACACCTGGCCTTCTTCTCTTTTTTTGATATTTCCTTATCTATGGGGAAACCTTACTGACCTAACCACTCCCAGCATCTTTTTCTAATCTCTTCTGCTCCTTATTAGAAAGGGCAAGTGACTTATTGGTGAGTTTTGGAGGAATGACAAGACATGCATTGCCCAATAACTTCTCTTTATAGCTATTGGATTCAGTTGCCACAAAGGAGCAAATCATCTCTCATATTCCCTGGACATGCTTTTTGTTAGTGGGAGGGAATGGGCAGGACAACGTTAGGAGAGATTTTCCCTGTTCCAATGCTTCCATGTCTGGGCACCCACATTTATCTGATTTTGGGGTTTGTTACTGGAATACCTGCTTGACAGGATGTATTTGTCATATTTTACAGTATCATCTTTATTAGTAATAAAGGTGATATTTTCAGCCCCATTTACTGGCTCTTACATCTTATATATCATTTGGTTTAAAAATCAGGTAGAAAATTTGAGAGCTATTTATTGGGTCCCTCCCAAATGCCATGATGCATTATTTTCACATAAGCCATAGAAAAATATTTTCCTGCTAAATTTAGAAAAGAAATATGTTTATGCCTTAGCATGATAGCAGATTTACTTTTTGCTTCATATAGTTGCATACATATACTTTTGTAAATGTGTAAAAATTCTGTTCAGTGATTAATGTTTTAATGGCTTCTTGTGCTTGTAAATTGTCTAATTAAAGGATCCCAAATAGAATTATTATTTTCCCAGAAAGAAGAGAGGGCTAAATATTCCTCTCCAAGTTCTCTAAAAACTTCTGTTTACAAAACATGAATGGTAACACTTGAACACATTTTTCTGTCTTTTCTGGTTTGCAAGCAAATCAGAAGTTTATGATGCTCTTTATCAATGTTAATGTTCTAATATATTCTCATATTACAAATCACAATACAAATTAAAGTTATGCAAAAAACCATAAGAAATGTTATACGAAACTATGGCAAACATTTGAGAATGTATAGGAAATGAACTTTTTTCCTAGTTTCCATCTAAGGGAAGTGGAAATATTGATAGACTAATTGTCAAAAAGCAGAGATTGAAATGGTCATTAAGGAAACATCATTAAAAATGGAACCTATCTGACATATAAATAAAAGATGATTCCAATGCTGTCTAAATTCATTTTATGAATTGATTATAACTTTAATATCAGAACTTTTAGTACCACCTTATTTATCATTAACTTCTATTTTACCAATAAGTAAGTAGAAGTGGAACTAGGAAAAATTCCATTCTTTTTTTTTTCATATTTCTTTTATTTATTTATTTATTTATTTATATTATTATTACACTTTAAGTTTTAGGGTACGTGTGCACAATGTGCAGGTTAGTTACATATGTATATATGTGCCATGCTGGTGTGCTGCACCCATTAACTCGTCATTTAGCAGAAACAGATATCTATATAGTACTTAGGAATCAGATTAACAAAGGCAATCAGGAGCATGCTAAGGAAAACTACAAAATCTCATCGAAGCAAATAAATTTCATGAAAAATCACACATTGTTTCTGAATGGGAAAGTGTAACATCATAAAAATGACCACTCTCTCAAAGCTGTTAGGTATTTAATGCAATGACAATTTGAATTCCAATGCAATTTTTTAAAAAATTGAATTGCTTATTTTGAGGTTTATGTGTAACATTAAATGTAATAGAAAGAAAATTATGAAAATGATGAACACATATCAGGAAAATTATAAGGCCACAATAATAAATGAATATGATACTGACATAAAAACAAAAAGTAGATCGGACAAAAAGGGAATCTAGAGAATTCTGAAACAGACTTTAAAGAAAATGGTATGTAATTTAAATTATAAAATGGACAGAGGATAGAAGTAGGCAACTAACAGATGAATAATTCTACATGGCTAACAAAAATCAGAGAAGGTGATCAAGCTCAATAGTCAAAAAAGTGAATGCTGAAGAAAATATGAAAAATTACTTATTTTACCAAGCTGCCAAAATTGAAATATTCTGTGAAACCTATGTTAGCAAATATGGTGGTACAATTTTATTTATCATTGGTAGACTTTTCTAATTTTATTGTTTCCTTGGAAAACAATTGAGTACCATTTGTTTAAGAAATTTATATTTTTCTATAAAACTACCCCATTCCTAGGAATCAACCCCATAAAAATAAAAATACAGCATATAAAATTACGGTTTGGAGACTTTATAGAATTCTTGCTCTTGGGGACAAAAAAACTAGGAACATTTAGAAGTTTACTGTTCACTGTAATTTCTAAATATTTGGAGATTTTTCAGGTATTTTTATTTTAGAACATAATTTCATCCTGTTCTAGGAAGATAATTTAAATGACTTCTATTTTTAAATTTTGCATCCCATTCCAGCAAGCATAGCTATTTTTACATTGTTGTTGTTAAGGTATATTAAGGTATGAAAGTGACTGTTACCTATTTTGGTTGAATGTTACCTGACAGCTTGGAAAGAATGTATATGTTGCTGTTGTTAAATGAAGTATGGTGGCTCATGCCTGTAATCCCAGCACTTTGGGAGGCTAAGGTGGGTGCATCACTTGAGCCCAGAAGTTTGAGACCAGCCTCAGCAACACCTTGTCTCTATAAAAAATTAAACAAAATTAGCCAAGTGTCTTGGCACACCTCTAGTCCTAGCTACTCAGGAAGCTGAGGTGGAAAGATTGCTTGAGCCCAGGAGGTTGAGGCTACAGTGAGCCAAGATTACGCCCCTTCACTCCAGTCTGGCAAGAGAACAAAACCCTAATAATAATAATAAAATAATTAAAACATGGAGTATTCTATAAATGCCAGTGAGATTAAGTTGATAATGGTAGTGCTCTTTATAAAATTCATGTCTTTATTGCTATTTTTACCTGCTGGATCTGTCAATTATTGAAAGAGGGATGTGTATTGAAGCCTTCATCTATTATACTAAATTTGTCTCTTTCTCATTTCAGTTCTGTTTTGCCTCATGTATCTGAGCCAAGATCATGCCACTGCCCTCCAGTCTCGCAAGAAAGCTAAACCCTATCTAAAAATAATAATAATAAAATAATTAAAACATGGAGTATTCTATAAATGCCAGTGAGATTAAGTTGATAATGATAGTGCTCTTTATAAAATTCATGCCTTATTGCTATTTTTACCTGCTGGATCTGTCAATTATTGAAAGAGGGATGTGTATTGAAGCTTCCACCTATCATACTAGATTTGTCTCTTTCTCATTTCAGTTCTGTTTTGCCTCATGTATCCTAAATCTCTGTTGTCAGTGAATGCATGTTTGAGATTATGTCTTCTTGGAGAGTGAAGACTTTATCCATTATAGTATTCCTTGTTCTGAAGTCTTCTTTGTCTGAAATTAGTACAGCTAATCTAGTTTTTTCTTGGTTAGTGATAGCTTGGTATATCTTTTTCCATCCTTTTACTTTTTTACATCCTATCCATCTTTATGTTTAAAAATGTCTTCTTATGACAACATATTTTTATTTTTTTCCATTCTAATGATCTTTGTCTTTTAGTTGATGTGTTTAGACCATTAACACATAACTGTTTACATGGTTGGGTTAATATGTGTCTATTTTGTAACTTTTCTATTTTCTATTTATTGAATTTTCTCTTTGTTTCCTTATCTTTCCCTCTTCAGCCTTCTCTGGTTTGATTTGGGCATTTATGACTCCATTTTATCTCCTTCCTGAGCATATCATTTATCTTTTTTTGTAAAAAATTTTAGTAATTCCCCCCACAGTTTACAATACATTTATAACTAATCAAATCTCACTCTAAATAACACTAGTCTGCTTTACATGTATTGCAGGTAACTTAGAGTATTCCAGATCCCTCCCACCCATCTTTGTGATATCGTCATCAGTCATTTCCTGTATCCATATGCTGTAATCACTCGATATATTTTAACGTTTATTGACTTAAACAAATAGTTATCTTTTAGATCAATTATGAATAAGAAAAGTCAGATTATTTTATTTTCATTTATTTCTTCTCTGAGGAACCTTTATTTTTAATGTAGATTCAAGTTTCTCAGATTCTCACTCTGAGAACCTGGTAAGTTTCTAAAGAGAAAGCCATTGAAATTATGATGACTGAGACCCCAGGAGTTAGTTTCTCACTCTTAAGCTCAGTCTCCATTATTTCCTCAAAATTACTATTTGAATGTTTCCACCATCTAACGGCTCCAGCAGCTTTTGTTCCAGGTAAGCAGATCACAGTTGTTGTATCTTTCTGGATGTGCCTGTCTTTTCAGATTCCAGAGTGGCAGTTCTCTGATAGGTTCAAACACATCATTAATTTTTACTTTGCTTCACTGTTTTCTTGTTGTAAAGACTGAATTAATGACTTACAGACTCTTTACATGACAGAGTTCTCATTGATATTTTGAAAACTGAAAAATGCAAGTTTCAATTAATTTTATAGAAAGAATTTATCTTGGAATAAAAAGGACAAAAAATGCAGAGAAAAAAATCTATATATGTGCTTGCATTTCTTTCTCTAGGAAGAATAGTGTGATTTTATGCTCACAAGGTTGTTAACACTCAGTATTTTATACAGTTGGGATAGTAAGGCAGTAGGGGAAATGATAACTTTGTTGTCGTAAATTTTTGTATCATGTTAGTTTACCTATTTCAAAAAGCATGTATTACTTCTTTAACTTGATTATTATTTAAACAGTTGTATAGTTTGCCGGTAGCATTTATTATTTTTGTTCATGAATAATGATGACAAACCTTTAAAAGTAAGAGAACTCTAAATGCTAAGATAAGAATATGACCTTTATTTGAGAAGCCAAGAGGTGCTGCTGATGAATTTTGAGGAAAGAAATAATATAATTTGAGTTCTGCTTTTAGAAAACTTATTTAGCTGCTGTGTGTCGAATGGTAACCCATTTCAGAGGCTATCAGGAACCCATTTTAGAGGCTATCAGAATTGTGATAACAATGTTATTTTATATTTGTTCAGTGCTTTAAAATGTTTTGAGCATTCTCACTTTTATTAACCCATTTATTTCTCAAAACTGTACTGGGATCCATGCATATAAGAGTTCTACCTTACATTTGGAAATGTGGACACTGGCTCTAAGCAGTTACACAACATGCTTTGACCACACACTTGGTATGTTTCACAAGTAGGATGTGAAACTAGAAATTTTGCACTCTGTTCTATCATGTTGCCTCTGCACAAAAATTAACAAAAATAGCCTTATATTTTTATGGATGTTAGAGTTTATAAAGTACTTTCCCGGGGCAATATTAAGGTTGTAATAAAAATATAATTGAAACAATGTATACCAAATTCCAAACAAAAATATATGGGAAAGATGAATAAATGAAAAAAGTGGGAAAGGAATTAGCATATGTTTCATCTTTAATTTTATTACATCTTTACTGAACTGTATGGTGGCTACTAAATCTGCATTTTTTAAATGAGGAAATTTAGTTTTAAGGAGGTTGAGTGACTTGCTCTAAGTCACATAGCTTTTCAAAATGCACTGCCAAAATTTGAACCCATGTTCATCTGATTCCATGTCTGATGCCATGTTGCCTTCTGTAAATGATTGAAGTACAAGGTCCTCTTGCCAATGAATGTATCTGTTAGATGTCTTTTCTTTTTTTTTTTTATTTTATTTTATTTTATTTTTTTTTGAGACGGAGTCTCGCTCTGTCGCCCAGGCTGGAGTGCAGTGGCGGGATCTCGGCTCACTGCAAGCTCCGCCTCCCGGGTTCACGCCATTCTCCTGCCTCAGCCTCCCAATTAGCTGGGACTACAGGCGCCCGCCACTACGCCCGGCTAATTTTTTGTATTTTTAGTAGAGACGGGGTTTCACCGTTTTAGCCAGGATGGTCTCGATCTCCTGACCTCGTGATCCGCCCGCCTCGGCCTCCCAAAGTGCTGGGATTACAGGCGTGAGCCACCGCGCCCGGCCTAGATGTCTTTTCAAGGAATTAAGCTATAGGAAGAAGAGTGTGGTAGACATACTGGTGTGCTAGCCATATACCCTTGCCGCCCAGCTGTGGGGAGTGCTATCAGCAGATAGCCTTCAGCTGTCAGCAACATAATGGTCTGTTTCCCCTGCCTCAGGAATTCAAGGCAGCTGCATCACAGCTCAAATTATTCCTCTGTGAAATGTTGCTCCTGGGCTGGGCATGGTGGCTTATGCTTGTAATCCCAGCGCTTTGGGAGGTCGAGGCGGGTGGATCACCTGAGGTCAGGAGTTTGAAACCAGCCTGCCCAACATGGTGAAACCCTGTCTCTACTAAAAATACAAAAATTAGCTGGCCGTGGTGGCCCACGCCTGTAATCCCAGCTACTCGGGAAGCTGAGGCAGCAGTATTGCTTCAACCCGGGAAGCAGAGGTTGCAGTGAGCTAAGATCACTCCAGCTTGGGCAGCAGAGAGACTTTGTCAAAAAAAAAAAAAAAAAAGAAAAAAAAAGAAAAAAAAGTTGCTTCTGTCACCTTTCTTTCACAGGTGTTGATTCCTAATATCTTGCACCTCAAACTGTCTCAGCATCTGCTTCTGGAGAACTCATCTTGTTACATTCGATAACAGGAGTGGTCCTAGCAGGCAAACAGTAGTAGTAAATTTGGAGTTGGATCAGTTAGTTTCTTTGGCAATGAAGACCCTATCACTGATAATAGGAAGAGCACAGACAGCCCCTAGCATAAGATGACACTCACTCTCACCAGTGGTATGCTCTGATGATGTGCCAGTAGAAGGAAATATACTTGTGGATGTGATGTATTAGGTATTTGAGAGGTATGGAGGAAATAGTAGCTAAAAGGATAATGATATTGGTGGCTGTTGTGTTATTGATGCATTATGGAGAAATGATAAGAACTGAGAAACCTGCTGTTGACAGCCAGAAGATCTTTTTGGCTGCATAAATAAGTTTCTTATCTCCATCATCAAGAGAGTGAAGAAAGCCGAGGGCTAATCCTAGGACTTAACAGAATAGATGGTCCTAAAAGACAGTTAAATGCCTAACCAAGGCAGGCTTCTCATGTTAAGATGAAGGACCTGGATGGGAAAAATCTAGAATCCTAATATATGGGATAGAATTTATGTGAGAATGCTCTTCAATATTTTGATACCTTAGAATCCACTGAATCAGGAGTCCTCAGCCCCCAGGCCATAGACCGGTACTGATCCAGTGGCCTGTTAGGAACCGGGCCACACAGCAAAATGTGGGTAGTGAACAAGCTAGCATTAACGCCTGAGCTCTGCCTCCTGTCAGATCATCAGCAGCATTAGATTCTCATAGATTGCGAACACTATTTGTGAACCGCACATGTGAGGGATCTAGGTTGTGCCCTCCTTTTGAGAATCTAATACCCAATTATCTGAGATGGAACAGTTTCACCCCAAAACCATGTCCCCTCATCCCCATCAGTCCATGGAAAACTCAGACCGGTCCCCTGGTGCTAAAAAGCTTGGGGGCTGCTACTCTGAACCTTCTCATACACTGAGGAGTCTGGCTCCAGGAAAAAATTCTGTGTGTGAGTTTCAAAGCTTTGCCTGGCACATTTCCTTGGGGGCAGCTGCCATCCCCACCACAGACTTGGTGTGCAGCCTGTGTATGGTAGTTTTCTGGAGAGAAGTACAGTCAAGAATCCAGGTACCCTGGGAAGGCCGTGCTCATACTCATATCTGCATTTGAACCAAAGTGCCTCTACTAAGACTTATTTATGGAGGAGGGGTGGGGAGGGATCCTTGGCTGAGGCATTTTTCTCCACTTTGGCTAAGTACCTTTCCACTTCTAGCCTTTCCCCCTCTCCTTCCCTCTGGCCCATGAGTTCCTACAGTGGTAGATGTCTTTTGTTCAGGTCTCCCTGCATAACTCTGTTTTTTTTGGCCATCCAAGGAGGGGTGTGAAATTGCCAACAACTGTGTTGCTCCTCTGTCAGTGAAACTGGCAAAGCAGAACAGTGCATCATGAGAATTAGACAGGAGGTCTCCTGGATTTCTAGAGTAGATCCTAATGGGATACAGGACATCTTTCCTTGGATTAGTAATTGTTAAGGACCGTGACTATGATTCAGCCAGGAAGGGCTAATCATCCTGCTTGTGGTGACTTTGATATGGACCTGGTTTGCTATTGCCTTAGATTAACTGGCTATGATCACAGCCCTTCAATGTTCAGTTCATGATGGGGTAGCCTATTCTCTCTCAGGCTTCTTGCTTACATTATTGTAGTAGGTGAATAAAAGCCAGACTAGTACTTTCAGTTTGGCTCATTGTCCTAACTGACTACCTCTATATCTCATTGCATAACTCAACCCCCACCCCCTTGCAGGAGGACAAAGGGGAGCCCTTTTTCTTGAAAGGCAACATATGTCCTCTCAAGACACATCTCTATGTTCTATAAATAGAATTAAATTACAGCATCATTTGCGTGGGAATGTGATGAGCCTGATGAGAGCGGAGAGGGAATGTATATTCCAAAGGATCTGTGAGAATTAGCTGTCATATATTAGCAGGAGCTGGAGTAATAAATGTGGGAATGAATTAAAAGTTGGTAGATCAGGGTGGCTACAAGACACATTTGAATAGGGAATCATTATGTACACTCAGAAGCACTCTCTTGACATATATAACACTCTGGCAAGAACTGTAGATGATACAAACTTGCTACTAGTATTGGTCCTAGGGCACGCAATAAACAATAGCCCTCAGGGAGGTGAGTGTCAGAATCGTCATGGAAGAAAGTGGAGGAAGAGAGTAAAGATCTTGGGAAGTGGACATGTTGCGAGAGATAAACTATGTATGGTCAGAAGACCTGCCAGATGATTATATTTTTGGAATAGATCAAGAGAACATAGCATTTCACAAGGCCATAAGGAATATTTTGGTGAGAAAGGCAGAAACACACTATAGTTATTCAGTGGTCACATTCCGTAGATGGGGGCTGATGGCAGACTAGGCTATTACAGGTTTTGGATCACTTGAAAGGAGGGAGAAGATAGGACTCTGAAAAAATAGAGGCCAAGTATTGGCACTTGACTGTAAGAAGCCAGGGATCCATAATTATTATAATAAACCTCAGAGTCAAAATAGCAGCTGAGGGGGCTGATCTACAAAGAGTTGTAGAGATGGTTAAGAACATAGCTGCCCTAGAGCAGAATAGATGGGCAGCTGTCAGTTTCTTACTTAGCTTGTAACAACAGATAAAATCAAGGATAGATTATTGAGAGGCTGAAGGCATTCTCTTAAATGAAAAGCCAAAATTTCTTGCCAAGTTTACAAACATTGGCTAGTTTCTGTGCCTGAAACCCATAGACTAAAGAAGATGCTGTGCCCCCAAGGGAAAAGACCCTGCAAATACCACAGCAACTATAAATAGTAATAATTTTTTCCAGTTTTCCTCAAAGGAAACAATAGTCTGCTATTCGGGCAATTACTCACATGGAAAAAGGGAATACCTAGACATTTTAAGGACTGTTGTACATTGGAGTCTATGTTAATAATGATATCCAGAGAGCTAAAGCAATATCACCACCCTCCTGTTAAGAGTGAGGGCAAATGGCGATAGGGCAATGAATGAAGAAAAGTTCTGGCTTAAAATGGATCCAGTTTTCAACTAGGCTATCCAGTTGCAATCCCATCAGTCCTCAAATATGTAATTGGGATCGACATGCTTTACAGTGGGTAGTGTAACTCCCACATTAGGTCTTTAGCCTTTGAGGTAGTAGCTATCATTGTGGGAGAGACCAAGTGGAAACCTTTGAAATTCTTCCCTTACCCAGGCTTTGAAGTAAATAAAAATCAATATTGTATCTTGGGGGATAGATCTGGGGGTTGGAAATTAGTGATTTTAAGGATCTAAGCATACAATGGTGATTTTCCTCATTATATCTATGCTTAATTCACCAGAATATCCCCTTCAGGAACAGGTGGATCCTGGAAACAACTGTAGACTACCACAAGTTCAACTAAGTAATAGTCAAAAGTCCAGCTGCTGTGGCAGATATGATATTTTTGCTAGAACAGAGCAAAATGGCTTTAAATTTAATCTCAGCATCTGCTTCTAGAGAAGCCAAACTTGCAGCAGAAAGCAGAGAGAGACTGTAGAATTTGGCAGTTTGTATTCTCATTTCACAGGGAAAGCTAAGACAAGTGTAGTCTAGAGTTTTTTTTTTTTTTAAAGTAAGTATGGCTTCTAATTTATATGTGTATGTATATGTATGTATGTATGTATATATAGGGTGTATGTAGATACTCCTTCTCTCATATTGACACATGTAAACACATATCCAGGCTTTCTGTTAAAAGCTAGTTATTCACACCCATTTCAGAGTTTCTGGGCATTGTTATGCATGCAATGCAGGATGCATGGCGTATCAATACTAAGCTGTTAGAAAAAAAATGAATCATAAGTAATTTATAGGATATCGAGTGCATCCAGCTTTCTTTCAACATTTTTTGTCAGACTGACTTACATGTATATTACATTATTATTTGAATGCATTTCTTTATAGTATTAAGGAAAAAAGTTATGCTGGCACAAGATGCTTCCTGTGGGATGGGAGCCAAAGGATAAATAAACAGTTAGAGGCTTTTGATGGGAACCATAAGGGCTTACAACTGCTAATCATAAGGGACTCTGTCATCTGTCACTTTATGAACATTTGAGCTGCAAGCATAGTGGACAACTTGTATTTGTTTCTTCAGTTAGAGTCACCCTGTCATAACCTCCTTTACTGATCTATGACATTTTTTTCCTCTTTGTAGAATGACTGGATATTTTTCCAGTATTTGGCTGCTTCAGTACTGATAACTTTAATTTGGCTTATTTCTAATGATTCTCTTTTTGAACTTTTTGCTCTTTCCTCTGCCAGTAACAGCAATCAGGGCTGCTGTATAGGTTTTTTTTTTTTTCAGGTAGTTCCCTGAACAAGGGCCCCTGAAGAAGGAGCACTTGGGGGCTGAAATCCTCCATGAAACTTGTCTTGTTACTGTGTCACTCTAAGGAAAGAGGTGACCTTCTGTGATTCAGCCACTCAGACATGGCACCTTTTGCTAATTTACACAGGATGTTTTATATGACTCTGCCCCCAAATTTGGCTCAGGTAATAAAATTGCTAATTGATATTTCACTGTTTAATCATACAAAATAAATTAGGGTTTTGTAATTTCTGCTTACAATTTGATATAATTTTATCGAGTAAAATCTTATAAACATAATTTTAAAAGGCAGGTTTTCCTTTATTAAGCTTTTCTTCTTTGTAACGTTTACATTCTATGAGCTTATTTTCAAGTGAAATATTAGCCCCTAATTTCATAACTTTTTCCTATGGGTCTTTCTAAACTATTCCAGCTCTAATCACTGGTAATAACTTAGAATTTTACAAGTAATTTATTCCTTTTAATATAAATTATAAGCTCAAATATATATCTATTTTTAAAAACTTACATAGTCTAGCCTTGAGAGAAGATAGTATTAATGATTTGAGGCTTTTAACAGGAGCAAGGAAGAGGGAAGAAAGGCTTATGTGTTAACCAAAAAGAAATTTGACGTCTGTCCCTTTTTCACTTCCCAAAGCCCTTAGGCACTAGACCCAAAATTCACAAAATGTAAAGCTGCATGAAAACAAAGGTTTTAATTTGTTAGCACATAAAATAGTGCCAGCACAGAGCAGGTACTCAATAAATAGTTGTCACATAAATGGAATTTAGTAAAGCCCTTTAAGTGCATGCTTCAAACTTGAAAAATATCTAAACTTTATAAATAATAATTTCATTACTATTTCTTTTTCTCCTACAAAAGCTGAGCCTCAATTAAGCAGACTTTACCTGCTATATATCTAGTATCGATAGCAGGGATCTGGGCAGTGCAAAATAGCATTTATTGCAAAGGATTTTTATGAGGAATACATTTATATGAAATAATGTACCTTTCAGGCACCATGTTTAGGACATTATAAGTTTTTAATATATGTTAAAATACAAATAGTCCATATCCATTTGAGTAAATGTCATTAAACAAACTTTTTTGTCATTAAACAAGTGAACTTTTTTTTCTATATGCTATGTAATACTTTTTCTGTAGCATCTAACACTAAGTAGACTGGAGTTATGCAGTTTGGGTGTTTCCAATATTTATTGTTCAATAAGTAGGTAGAGGAGAATGAGTTATTTTGGATCACAATACATAGTAGTCATAGAAACAAAACAATGAATTGATGCTACTGTTTACTTTCAGGAGTTCAAACCAGTGTTGAGTTCAGAAACATGCGAGAAATATGGATGGCATATTGACTATATGTGTCAATAATATGTTAAATGTTAAAAATACATATATAATGTATTTTAGCAATCTCTGTCACATTTATATCAATAGTTGGTTATGCATAAACCTTGACCTTAGAAAGATACGTAAGATACTGCACCCAAATTAAATTATGATTGGTTTATCCTCCCCACAAATAGAAAAATGACTTGAAAATGCATTATGACCATGCATTTCTTCCTCCTAAATCTGTTATAAAAAGGATGCATTATAGCGTCTGAAACCAAAGTACATTGAAAGAATTAATGGGATTCAGTGTCTCAAATGAAGTGCTGACTAAACAGACGTAGATTTTGATGTTTAAAGGAAAATAAATCTATACCAAGAGAAAATTATATTTTGGGTTTAGAAGACATTATTTACAGAACCAGTCCTACTTCTTGAAGTGACTCAGTACCCAAAAAAGTCATTACTAAGGCCTATACATAATTCAATAAGCTGATTTAACTCTGGATATTGCTTTGAATGATATCCAATTTTAATCTTAGTAATAGATGTATTTGTTGTTTATTTATTTGTTCATTATATTGTCATGTTTTCAAGTTTGAGAATCTGTAATAGCACTTATATTTATTTTTTATTCATGAAAATGACTTCAGTGATTTAATTTACAGGAATTTTCTTCTCAAAATACCATGAAAACTCTGAATCATTGCTAGTGGTAATGCAAAAATGGTATAGCCACTTTGGAAGAGAGCTTGGTATAGTCGTATCATACAATTCAATAATCATGCTAGTAGGTATTTATTAAATGATTTGAAAATTATTTCCACACAGAAATCTGTACACAAATGTTTGTAACATCTTTATTCATAATCACTAAAAACTGGCAGCACTAAGATATCATTCAATATATGAGTAGATAAACTATGATATATTCAAAAAATGTTATTCTACTTAACAACAAAAAGGAATGCATTATCAAGCCATGCAAACACATGGATGAATGTTTAAGGCATAATGTTAAGTGAAAGAAGCCAATCTGAAAAGGCTACATGCCACATGATTCCATTTCTATGACAATCTTGAAAGGCAAAACTATAGAGATAGTAAATAGATAGTGATTGCCAGGGGTTCAGGGAGGGAAGAGATTCAAATAGATGAAGCGACAGGGGATGTTTTTAGGGATGTTTTAACTGTTCTGTATGATACTGTAACAGTGACATGACACTATGTATTTGTCAAAACTTGTAGATCCTTACAGCACAAAGAGCAAATCTTAATGTATGCAAACAAAGGAATCATTTAGGAAGTTGGAAATTCCAGAATGAAACTTAGACTGTGTTGCTCAGAGTTATTCAGAGAAATAGACCACTAGGAGATATACATATAGGTAAAGACAAAAAGAGAGAGATTTATTTAAGGAATTATTTGCTCACATGATTATGGAGGCTGAGAAGTCCCAAGATCTGCAGTCAGAAAACTGGAAACCCAAGAAGGCCAGTGGTATAATTTCTGTCTGAATTTGAAGGCCCAAGAAACAAGAGAGCCAGTGGCCTAAGTTCCAGTAAAAATGCTGGCAGTCTCAAGACCTAACAAGAGCCAATATTTCAGGCCAAAAAAAAAAAAAAGACCAATGTCCTAGCTCAAATAATCAAGCAGGAGGAATTCCCTCCTGCTCATACTTTTTCTTCTAATGAGGTCTTCAGTGAGGTCTATGTCCCTTAGAAAGGGAAGTCTGCTTTGTTCAATCTACCAATTCAAATATTAATATCCTCCAGAAACACACTAATAAACATACCCAGGATATTGTTTGACCAAATGTCTGGGCATCTGATGTCCTGGTCAAGTTGGTAAATAAAATTTAATGATCACACAGAGTATAACAAAATAATCCAACTATTACAAATGTATAAAATAACCTCACTGAAAATGTATAAAAAAACCTCACTGGTAAAAAAATATGCTGATCCAAGTAACTTGGAAATGAGTGTAGACGCTAAGAGTAAAGACAAAATAAATGAACATAAACACTGTATTCTGACTGATAAAATAGCTTCTCATGGAGGTACAGTTAATAATTCTGAAATCACTATACATGCATACTAGAATTGAACAATTAAGTAAATAGATAAAGAATGGTAGGAGCCACGTTTCTTACTTTTGGAGTGAGAATTATAGACAAGTTAAGAAGGCTGGAATGAACCACATAGTAATGGATTAGAATTTGAGACATAAATATGTAATATAGATACAGATTGTTACACACAGAAATCTTTATGCATTTGTGTATATACACAGGTTAGTACATATGCATATTTTTCTTTGTTCGGTCAGTTGAGAGTTCCTAGAAGCTAAGATACACCAGTAACAATGAGCACACCCAATACTCAGATGTTGGTTTATAATATTATTCTCCAAAATAAGAAGCCAGGTCTTTTTGGGGAAATGGCTGATTCTAGGTTTAAGGCACATAATATACAAGATGACCTGGAGCATTTTGTAGTGCTAAACACACACACACACAAACACACACACACTAGAAAAGACTGAGATCCAAAGGCCAAAGCTGTAACAATTTGAGCAATGGAGTAAACATTACTATTGGATTATAACCCACCATTCTAGGATCTGTGGATGCTTAGTTAATCAAACAAAGATCCTTCTTTGCTTATTATCAGGAGCGTACAATGCAATGTAATTGTGTAATTTGACCAATTTTGTAAAAATAAAAGAGGATGATTGTTTTGTTGTGGAAAATATAAAGGAAAATAATCCATCTTGTTTTTCTGAATTTTTTATATTTATTTCATCCAGGTATGCTGATGGCTGTGAGGACAAGCTATATATATATATAACCCTTTATTTTAAGTTCGGGGGTACATGTGAAGGTTTGTTACATAGGTAAACTCATGTCATGGGGGTTTGTTGTACAGATTATTTTATCACCCAGGAATTAAGCTTAGTATTCAATAGTAATCTTTTCTGCTTCTCTCTCTACTCCCATCCTCCACCCTCAAGAAGACCTCAGTGTCTGTTGTTTCCTTCTTTGTGTTCATAAGTTCTCATCGTTTAGCTCCCACTTACAGGTAGCAACGTGCAGTATTTGGTTTTCTGTCTCTGCATTAGCCTGCTGCATAGCTTGCTCCAGCTCCATCCATGTTCCTGCAAAAGACATGATCTGGTTCTTTTTTATGGCTGCATAGTATTCCATGGTGTATATGCACCACATTATCTTTATCCAATCTGTCATTAATCAGCATTTAGGTTGATTTCATGTATTTGCTATTGTGAATAGCGCTGCAATGAACATTTGTGTGCATGTGTCTTTATGGCAGAATGATTTATATTCCTCTGAGTATATACCCAGTAATGAGATTGCTGGGTCAAATGTTAGTTCTGCTTTTAGCTCTTTGAAGAATCGCTATACCGCTTTCCACAGTGGCTTGCCGGATCTGTTATTTTTTGAGTTATTATTATAGTAATAGCCCTTCTGACTGGTGTGAGATGGTATCTCATTGTGGTTTTGATTTGCATTTCTGTAGTGATCTGTGATATTTAGCTTTTTTAATATGTTTTTTGGCCACATGCATGTCTTCTTTTGAAAAGTGTCCTTTGCCCACTTTTAAAGGGGCTATTTGCTTTTCTCTTGTAAATTTGTTTAAGTTCCTTATAGACACTAGATATTAGACCTTTGTCAGATGCACAGCTTGCAAAAGTTTTCTCACATTCCGTACATTGTCTGTTCACTCTGTTGATAGTTTCTTTTGCTGTGCAGAAGCTCTTTAGTTTAACTAGATCTCACTTGTCAATTCTTAATTTTTTTTGTGATTGCTTTTGGTATTTTTGTTATGAAATCTTTGCCCATTCCTAGGCATTGCCTAGGTTGTCTTCCAGAGTTTTTATAGTTTTTGGTTTTACATTTAAGTTTTAATCCATCTTGAGTTGATTTTTGTATATGTTGTAAGGAAGGGGTCCAGTTTTAGTCTTTTGCATATGGCTAGCCAATTTTCTCAGCACTATTTATTTGAATAGGGAGTCTTTTCCTCGTTGTTTTTGTCAGCTTTGTCAAAGATCAGGTAGTTGTAGGTATGTGGCCTTATTTCTGGGCTCTCTGTTCTGTTCCATTGATCTAGGTGCCTATTTTTGTACCAGTACCACATAGTTTTGGTTACTGTACCCCTGTAGTATAGTTTGAAGATGGGTAACGTGATGCCTCCAGCTTTTATGAACAAGCAATACTGGTAGAGATTAAAAAAAAAAAGCAGATACTGGCCAGAGAAACAATGACAGCACATTGTGAAGCACATGATGGAAATGCTTATATTTTGTCTAAGCCTTTAGTTAATGATATTTATTGATGTCTCATAATATTCCAGGCACTGTCCTTCATGTTTTTCTCATGCTCCCCTCACTATAATTCTACAAGGTGCTGTATTGTTTCCTGAGGCTGCTGTAACAAATTACCACTAACTTAGTGGTTTCAAACAATAAGAACTCACTCTCTTGCAGTTCTAGAAGACAGAAGTCTGAAATCAAAATGTTGGCAGGATCATCCTCTCTCTGAAGGCTGGAGGTAAGAGTCCTTCACTAACTTTTCAAGTGTCTAGTGGCTCCAGGCATTCTGTGCCTTGCGGCTGCATAACTCCAGTCTCTGCCCCATCTTCATGTAACCTTCTCCTCTTTTGTGTCTGTGTCTTTTCTATCTCTTTCAGGGACAGTGTTATTGGATTTAGAGTCATTTATATAATACTGAATTATCTCATTTTGAGATCCTTACTTAATTACATGTGTAAAGACTCTTTTTTCCAAGTGAGGTCACATTAAAGGTTCCAGAGGTTAGGACAGAGACATGTGTTGTTAGGGACCACCATTCAACCCACTATAGGTGGGTTCCAGAAATAATAGTCACACTTTAAAAAGAAAGAAACAAAGACTTATAAAGGTTAAATAACTTGCCTAGGGTCACACAGAAAGAAAGTGACAGCATCAGTAAATAGGCCAAATGGCTTGATACTGCTGGAAATCAATTAATAATTACTACCTGTAAAAGGAAATAATTTAGGGTATCTTCCTCTTTATTTAACCTACATAGGCTGACTCATTTATCATAGACAGGGACCTATTTCAAGTGATAGTCAGAAAACATTTAACCTCTTGTTATCTCTCACTTCTACCTGCTGCTTTCATGGCCTTCCTAACTGGGACTGCCCCCAGTTTGCCTCATTCCCTTGTTCTTCTGTGCTGCAGATGTTATTTCTTCCCGCTAAACATCCTTCATTTGCCTTACAAAGCCTTCATCATTCTTCCCTTGCTCTTTTCTATCTAGCCATTCCTCCAATGACCAACCTCACGCCAAAGTGATCTATTTTCAGTGAAGTGTATACATCCTAAGCTGGGATTTTGGACATCTTGCTCCTTTGCCTGGAATGATTCTTCATCCTGTTTTTGCTTCTTCTCCTCAACCATATCTACTCATCCTTTGAATGTCAGCTTAGTATTTGTTTCCCCAGGGAAGCCTTCTACTTCTTATCAAGGGTGGGATAGATGTCCCTCATCTCATGAGTGCCCATAATTTTGTTATCACACTTTTTGCTTTCTTTGTAATTGTCTGCTTACATCTCTGTGTCCTTTTATTAATGTGTAGGTTTTGGGAGGGAGAGACTGTTGTGTTCATCCCTAGTGTCCTTAGCCCCTTGTACATAGCCTATAATTGAATTATCACTGAATAAACATTTGTTGAGTACATTAATGAGTAGGGAAGGTGAGAAAATAAATGTCCACTTTAGTTTAGTTGGGAAGGGGCAAGGCTTCAGAAATGTGGGGGACATTTTCTTTCCTCACAGAGGAATGTAATTCTATTCTAGATGTGATTATAGCTACTCTATTTTTTTTTTTCTTTAGAAAGACAATAGGAAATAAGGTAATGAAGACAGTAGGAAATAAGGTAATGAGCCCAGACTTTAGGTTTGAATAGCCCTGCCTTCATCTCTATTTCTCTTGTATTCATCATTAAACACATAGTAACAGATAACTAATTTTAATAAATCTGTATACTATGTGTCATTTAACCCATAATAATCCAGGGTGGTGATACAGCCATGGGTTCTTGAGCCAGTTTATCTGTGTTTGAATTTCAGCTCTGTTACTTATGCAAGTTACTTAATGCTTATGTGCTTCAGTTTTCTCATCTGAATAATAGGATAGAGACAATACTTACAGGATTCTTGTAAGGATTAAGTGAATTAGTATATGTAAAACACTCAGGAATGCACATCGAAGGTGCTTGGTATATGTTAGCTGTCATTATCCACTAAATGTAAGTTGGATGAGGCAAAACCCTTTTGTATTTTGCTTACTGCTTTTTTCTTCAACGTATAGCAAATAATAAGTGCTCAATGAATATTTATTGAATTAAATAAATGAATGTTTTGGAATAGTGTGTATGCTATGTGCCCTGTCCTAGACAATCGACTAAGGACACATGAGATATTGTCCCTTCTCTTTTAGAGGCTTTCAGTATTATGAATCCTGGCTTTCCACACATTCCCTACTTCTTAATATCTTTGTTCTGCCCTTGTTTGGGTTGTTAATGTTCTAGCATATATGATCAGACCACTCTCTGATAACAGGACACAGTCTTCCTCCATTCTGTCTGATAAAAAGAAGATAAGAATGGGTTCAGTTGCAGAACTGAGGGAGTTTCTGTGTGATGGCTTATACTTTATCTGTGAAATAAAAAATTAAGGTACATGGGTGGGGAGACTGATGTGGAGAAGTGGTAGAAACTGCTAGTGCTTCATAATACTAATGTTCTCTCATCCTTCCTGGACATAGAGGTCGCAGCTTCCCTTGTCATTAGGTGCATCCAGGTATCTGATTTTTGGCCAAAGTAAATATTGGTGGAGGCAATGTACACTGGCCCATTTAACCCATGGGGACATCTCTGAATTCTCTCTTTTTCTAAACTACAACTGAATTAAGAGGTTTCTGAGCATTTAGATAAAGTTGTGAAGATTGCTAAACTATTACCTGTCAGTTCCAAACCTGCCTTTTTACTTACTGCTTTGCCATTCTGCAGTGGAGTCTTAGCAAATTGCATTTCTTCTTTGCCACATGACTCTTAGGCTCTGCCAATAGGGAACAATAAAAAGAGCTCAAAAGAGAGGAAAATGGAAGAAGGGACTTCCTCCTTTATGTCTGCTTTTCATCCCTGTCGGTGTTACACTAACTGTGGCCCTTTACCTTAGCAGCAGCAGTTGGTACCAGTCTCCAGCTTTTATTCCAGCAATTATAGAACAAATCTCCTTGTTCCATAATAGGTATTATATTATATCTCAGAGGTAACAGCCAGATAATGGCCCTCTTCAACTCTTGAGTCCCAGATCCATGGCATCTTGCCCAAATGTCTCGATTCTCTAACTCCTACCTGTTACCTTTGGTCTCCAACCTAGGGGCAGTATGTGCTTTCTGGTGATACTGTCTCACCAGAGATAGTATTTCCTTAGTGTTCCATTATTCACTTTTTCAATCTTCTAGCACCGATTTAACTTACTCCTTATACTAAATATTCTCTCTGAATTTCTAATGTAGTTTACTCCTATTGGACACTGACTGTAAGATGAATTTACAAAATGGAACGAGCCTGATCTCTGAGTCACTACTTGAACAAAAGTTACTCAGGACAGCTGCTCTACCTGGATCTCCATAAGTGAAAATAAACTGATTAATCTAAACCACAGAGTGGGTGGATTGAGAAATGTGGAGAGAGTGTCCAACAGTAGTTACAGAGTATGTGAAAATCAATTAACTTGAAAATTATAGCAAAATTGCTGGAGCCCTGGTTAAATAATTCACAGTCATACTTTCCCTGGTTGAATTGTACTTAGCTGTCCAGATGCAGTTATTGAGAGGCAGATGGACGAATTCATCAAGATTTGTGAATCTGCTAGATGAATGATACAGGAAGAGAAATGAGAAAAGAGGAAAACAGTGAAGTACAAAACAGTTTTTAAAATAGTCTATATTTCAGTTGAAAACAAATATATTTCCTGATTTCTATACGTTTCTTCAGATGCCTCTGCCATTCCATATATTACGTTTGTAGGAAAGTCACAGAGAAAAGCGAAAATTTACTTTATAAAACTTACTTGGTGTCATTTGATATTTGAGAGATCAATACATCATTCTGTTAATTTTTAATTTGTTTAAAATTTAAAAAATATATTTTAGAAGAACGTATTTTAAATATAAATGCAAATACATAAGTATTGGTCTGCCTGATCAATAACAAATTTCAGGAGTTTGTTAAAGCTCTGGAATATTGTTTTCAGGTTTGTGATTATACATTTTCTTTGTTTGATTTGAATGTATTTTAGTTTTTGCTACATATCTTACTTTGAATTGATTTTAATTAAACTGCATGGGATAATTTATATCATGCCAATAATTTACATTAAATAATATTAAAATACAGTTAAAACAGAAGTACTTTATTTGACAGATGTGATAACCTCAGGAATATTTAATTTTAAGTCCCATATCAATATTACAGATACTGTACACAGGAGTTGAAATTTCAGTCATTTCTGTGAACCAGTTGGAAGGTCATTTTTCTTTAGTCATGAGGAAAAGTTATGAAGCAAAGCTGTCACAAAGTGTTTCATCAGCCCTTCAGCCCACAGACCGAAGAGTGGGAATTTTCATTATGTATAATGCAAGGCAGCTAACCCTACTTATTGCACTGAATTTCAATGCATATTCAATTCAACGAGAAGGAATTCAGAAACATTATATGCTTTTCTTATGGCCGTAGAGCATACCAATATCAATTCAAAGCAATGATCATATTATGAGTTGGTAGTATATTGTGCATGTTTATAGGTAAGATTTCCATTACAGAAGGCATTCATAAAGGAGGTTTTCAACAAATTTATTACAAAGAAAACATCCTCCATGACTATTAAAATGAAATGCTCATCAAAAACTCTGCTAACTGTAGTGATATTAAGATGTCTGACCCTTTAAAAATCAATCATTTTGCCAGCAATAGTTGGCACATGTAATGATGTATTGCTATTTATATTTAATTTCTGGACAAAGATTAGAGTTCCTCATAGTTATTCTACATTTCAAGTATCAGGAGTACAACACTTGTTTTGGTGACACAAAAATTAGCAAGCTAGTAAAATCTTTATAAGACCAAGTGCCAAAAAATCTTTTAAAGGTATTGGTTGAAATTTTGACTTAATATGGATAGGGACTTGCCTATTCTTCTTACCATTGGTTTCCCAATGCTTAACCACGTATTGGACATATAGGATGGTCTTTAAAATATTTGTGAATAAAAATAGAGCTAAATTGTACATCACATAATAATTTTCAAGAGCTCAGTTACCTATATTGATAAAAAGAATAATAATTATTAAAAGCATATATCCTGAATATGTAATACCTTGTATTTTGAATTAATAAATTCATTTAATGTCTCAGTCAACAGTTAAGTATGATCTAATTTCAGATTTTCTTCCCTATGTGTGTTACATACTCATTGCCTAATTTATCCACTTTAAAGAAATTATTGAGGTTACTTGTTTTCAAATCATTATTGCTTTTATCACTGAGCTTTTGTGAATTCTTTCTCTTTTTTTTCTAGGACTGTAGGAGTACAGTATAGACAGAAGAAAACGGGTTGTTTTATATCTGTTAGCTGTAACAAATGATTGTTTCAGAATCTTGTTCACCACTAAACATCAGTGTGCTTTAATCACCCTGATTATAACCTTTCATCTGCTATTCCAGGAACTCCTAGAATTCTATCACATAGTGAAAAATGTCTGTAATTTGTGAGGCTAGTTTGTGCCAGATATTGTGCTAGGCACTTTGTGTACATTATCTTTAATCCTCACAACATCTCTGCAAAGTAATTATTTTTGTTCCAGTTTTTATTTAAAAACAATGAGTGTGCTGCCCACGATCCTCTAGCTGCTAAGTGATGGAACTGAAACCCTTGTTTGTTGCCTGAGTCCAGAGCCTCTTAATAACTAGTGTCTCCCACTTTTGTTCTAGGTAGTGATTTTGGCTCTTTCTCATAAGCAGCTCTTTATGTCTTAAGTTGAATTCCTCTGAGAGCCTGCCCCATCTTAGGGGCATCTCTGAAACAGAAGGATGATTGACTAGCCATCCCCATGTTGGGTTGATCTTTCTCCAATACAAGGAACGCCTGGCAGGATCTATTTTGACAGTGTAGTTATTTCTACTTGGGATTTTGCCACTGATAAATCTGGCTTGCGTAAAATTCTCAACCAGCTTGGCCAACTTTCTCCTTCTGCCAGACCAGGTCTGTGGGTTACAAGTAGCTCCATGATGCTATTTAATGTATTAAAAATCATAAATAGTTTGGGTTTTAATTATGTGGTGGCTAACACCAGTAATGAGAGGGAGATTGGTGTTATGGAATATGATGTAATGAGATGAAGTACTTTAAGATCTAAATGACCTTGCAAGTATCAGACCCTTTATTCTCCAATGATATCAAAGAGAATTTTTTTGTATATTTATTTTGGTTTTTAGTAATCTGAAATATTATAAATACTTGTGATAACTAATAAAAAATAGAGGCACAAATATAACAGGGACGTGTAAATATTAGCTGAGTTTCAGTGAGCCGAGATCATGCCACTGCATTCCAGCCTGGGCAACAGAGTGAGACTCTGTCACAAAAAAAAAGCCATAGTTCTTCTCTCGAAATACTTTCTTGCTAGCTTTTTTGATACAAGTGAACATTTTCTTGAGAGTGGTGTCTTTCTGCATTCATAACTTAAAACTATAAAATTTTATTATTTACTCATAATTTATATTTTAAAGTAATCCAAGCACATTTTTCTTTTAAATCAGTGCTTAAAGTCTTAAAATGAAGAATATTTGTCCTCTTCACCAAATTTTCATCCTTCAAATCCTTCTTCTGAAGCAAGTTCTATTAACTCCTATTAGTTTCTTCTAGTAACTTTCTCTAAGTAAAATGCTTGTCTTGTTTCTTGATTTATCAATTTTATGATCATTTTCTGTTTTCTACCTACAATAGTTGAAGATTAAATTCTTGCATCTGTACATTTTGTGTTAGATTTATTGTATTACTGGACTCAATTTTTACACCTTGCTATGTTCACACCCTTTAAAAGTATCTTCCCAAACTTAGTCTGAGGTTTGCCATATGGGTTTGCTTTTACACTGACACTTTGGCAGAACTGATGCAAGGAGAGGCTTCAAAAAGCATTAGGACATTTTTATTTTCTCCCTTGGATTTTTTTTTTTTTTTTTTTTTGGCGGAGTCTTGCTCTTGTCGCACAGCCTGGAGTGCAGTGGGGTGATCTCGGCTCACTGCAACCTCCGCCTCCCTAGCTCAAGGGATTCTCCTGCCTCAGCCTCCCGAGTAGCTGGGATTATAGGCACATTGCCACCATGCCCGGCTAATTTTTGTATTTTTAGTAGAGATGGGGTTTTACCATGTTGGCCAGGCTGGTCTCGAGCTCCTGACCTCAGGTGATCCGGCCTCCTCGGCCTCCCAAAGTGCTAGGATTACAGGCGTGAGCTACTGCGCCTGGCCGGATCTTTGTGCATGCCATAAGAGCAAGTCCAGTCCAACCTACTGAAGGATCAGAGACTTCGGGGCTAACAACTGAGTGGTCCCAGCTGCAACCTTTCTGGACCTTTTATTCCTTAGCTAAGCTGACAGCTGACTGAATACACTTGAGTAAATCCAGTTGGTATTAACAGAATTAGCCAACCTGTGAACTCATAAAAAAAAATGTTTTTAGCTACGTTTTAGAGTAAAATACGTTGCCTTTTTTCACTTTCCAAATATGGTTGTATTGTATTATCTATTCTACCAATCTCCTTCCTCTCTCCCCATCTTTTTTATTTTTTGTTTTGAGCACTCTTGCTCATGCTCTAAGTGAAATTGTTGTTTTCTAGACACGCATTTCATCCTGAGGCTTCTACTTGCTGCTCTTCTGGGTTGAATATGCTGCCATTATCTGGAATGACTTTTTAATTTTGGTTAACTCTCTTGTTTTGCAGGACATATTCCACAACTCAATCCAAGAAAGTGTGGATGTGAAGTATATATTCTGAGTGCTTAAAAATTGAAATTATCAGCTGGGCTGTGGTGGCTCACGCCTGTAATCCCAGCACTGTGGGAGGCCAAGGTGGGTGGATCACCTGAGGTCAGGAGCTTGAGACCAGCCTGGCCAACATGGCGAAACCCTGTCTCTATTAAAAATATGGAAATCAGCCCAGTGTGGTGGCACGCACCTATAATCCCAGCTACTCAGGAGGCTGAGGCAGGGGAATTGGCTTGAGCCTGGGAGGCAGAGGTTGCAGTGAGTGAAGATTGTGCCACTGTACTCCAGCCTAGGCTACAGAGTGAGACTCCATCTCAAAAAAAAAAAAAACTGAAATTACCTTTATTATATATTCAACTCATTTGATATATTGATATCCTAAATGGAAAATTATTTTTCCTAAAAAATTTGACAGCATTTATCCTATGTCTTTTAGCATACATGTAGCTATTTAGAAGCTACATGTAGCTATTATTCTTAGTCTCATTTATTTGTATATAACCTGTCCTCCAACCGTCTGGATGCACTTAGGATCCTTTTCTGTGGATTTCTTCATTGTAACATGAAATAATGAACTCAGCAGCAAATAATAAAGTGAGCTTATTTAGGATGATGTTTGGAAAGCTAGATCTATCCACAGATAAAAGTAAAACTGGATTGAGGTTAACACTGTAGGCCAAAGTAGAATCTAGGTGAATAAAAAACCAAAATATGAAAGGTAAAAATATAAAGCTAATAAATGAAAATATAGGAAAATACCTTTGCAGTCTGTGGAAACAACTTAAACAAAATTTCAAAAGCATAAACACTTAGATTTAAAAGTTGAATTTGACTTTTTAATGATTGCCATTCTAACTGGTGTGAGATGGTATCTCATTGTGGTTTTGATTTGCATTTCTCTGATGGCCAGTGATGATGAGCATTTTTTCATGTGTTTTTTGGCTGCATAAATGTCTTCTTTTGAGAAGTGTCTGTTCATGTCCTTCACCCACTTTTTGATGGGGTTGTTTGTTTTTTTCTTGTAAATTTGTTTGAGTTCATTGTAGATTCTGGATATTAGCCCTTCGTCAGATGAGTAGGTTGTGAAAATTTTCTCCCATTTTGTAGGTTGCCTGTTCACTCTGATGGTAGTTTCTTTTGCTGTGCAGAAGCTCTTTAGTTTAATTAGATCCCATTTGTCAATTTTGTCTTTTGTTGCCATTGCTTTTGGTGTTTTACGCATGAAGTCCTTGCCCATGTCTATGTCCTGAATGGTAATGCCTAGGTTTTCTTCTAGGGTTTTTATGGTTTTATGTCTAACGTTTAAGTCTTTAATCCATCTTGAATTAATTTTTGTATAAGGTGTAAGGAAGGGATCCAGTTTCAGCTTTCTACATATGGCTAGCCAGTTTTCCCAGCACCATTTATTAAATAGGGAATCCTTTCCCCATTGCTTGTTTTTCTCAGGTTTGTCAAAGATTAGATAGTTGTAGATATGCGGCATTATTTCTGAGGGCTCTTTTCTGTTCCATTGATCTATATCTCTGTTTTGGTACCAGTACCATGCTGTTTTGGTACATGCTGTTACTGTAGTCTTGTAGTATAGTTTGAAACAACAGGTGCTGGAGAGGATGTGGAGAAATAGGAACACTTTTACACTGTTGGTGGGAGTGTAAACTAGTTCAACCATTGTGGAAGTCAGTGTGGCGATTCCTCAGGGATCTAGAACTAGAAATACCATTTGACCCAGCCATCCCATTACTGGGTATATACCCAAAGGACTATAAATCATGCTGCTAGAAAGACACATGCACACGTATGTTTATTGTGGCACTATTCACAATAGCAAAGACTTGGAACCAACCCAATATCCAACAATGATAGACTGGATTAAGAAAATGTGGCACATATACACCATGGAATACTATGCAGCCATAAAAAATGATGAGTTCATGTCCTTTGTAGGGACATGGATGAAATTGGAAATCATCATTCTCAGTAAACTATCGCAAGGACAAAAAACCAAACACCGCATGTTCTCACTCATAGGTGGGAATTGAACAATGAGAACACATGGACACAGGAAGGGGAACATCACACTCTGGGGACTGTTGTGGGGTGGGGGGAGTGGGGAGGGATAGCATTAGGAGATATACCTAATGCTAAATGACGAGTTAATGGGTGCAGCAAACCAGCATGGCACATGTATACATATGTAACTAACCTGCACATTGTGCACATGTACCCTAAAACTTAAAGTATAATAATGATAAAATTTTAAAAAGTTGAATTTGATCACATCAAAATAAGAAATTTTTGTTCACTAAATAATGCCACAAAGTTAATAGATGATACATATGGATAGCAAATGTGTGATGTCTAAAATGAAATCAGAGATAGATAGAACTTGACTTTCATTTTTTTTCACGTTCTTGAGATTGTTAGTGTTTTTTTAAAGAGACAAATATATTTTTACTTTTTGTCAGCTTCATGAAAATCACATTTTTATAAAATGTTAGTAAATGTTATAAACAATTTTAGTAAATATTTAATGATCATCAATTACATACTAGGCATGATGACAGAGTCTGTGAATATAACAATGAACAAAACAAGCATAAACCTTGGCTTCCTGAAGATTATATAATAAATTGTCTCTACCTAGTTTTGGGAGGTTTGTTTGGAAGCTAGAAATTCTTGATTAGCAAGTAGCAGGGACAAGAGCCAGCAAATCTATGGTTATATAGATAGGAGTCTTAGTTCTCTTTCTTGACTTAAATCCCCCCATTTTATTCTAGGTCATAATATTAGATAATAGAATCAATAGACAGAACTTATTTCAAATAAATTTAAACTAAAAAAAATGCATTCAGAGCCAGTGGGTAGACTAAACTGTGGTACCTTGAAGGGTCAAACATGATGACTTTTTTTTTTTTTTCACAGGAGATAGATTTTTAAAGACCGAAATTCTAGTGTATAATATCATAAATAATGTCATAACAATGATACTTTTAGAATAAGAAAATGAATCAGGAATTATAATAATTCTCTTCATATACTGTACTTAGCAGTCCATTTGGCACTATCTCCTTTATACTTTGGTGCTGCATTTGATGACTGAGATAGACACAAGGAATAGCAGTGCTGTGTAATAAGGGACAAGACCAAAGTATACTTTTAGCTTTGTTTTCTTAGGTAATCACTATAATATACCTGGGACTAATTTAGATAAATTTATTCCTACACATACATATATCTATAAACCAAGTGGTAAAACCTCAGGGCCTCTCACCTCAAGGACATCTCTATAATGTAGGAAGAATAAAAAATGTGACTTTGTGAGTCAGATTTCTTTTTTTTCTATCTGATCTTTATTTTGCCGTGAAATATCATTTTCATGTAATATCCCATGTGATATTAGACAACCTTTTAAGTACAAATTGGACTGCTTAGATAAGTCTTTCTTCATGTTCTTTTCTCAGAAAAAAATGTGGAGTGATTTGCAGGAGTTAGGGGGGTTAGGGAGCACAACACAGAAAATAAAATTATATCTTTAATTAAGTGGTTGGCACTTAAATCCCATAAAATTCACTAAAATACTGAATGTTGGAAGCAAGAAAGTTCTTTAATGTAGGAGGAAATGTCATTTACCAAGGTACTCTATGTGATTATGTTACTATACTTCAAGAACCGGGGAAGCGGGATGAATTTAGCCATAAATTCATTAGTTAACTCTCTCTATTGCTAGAGAGAAGACCTTGACAAAATATACTTCTGCAGACAGCCCAGCTCACAAATAGTACAGTAACAAGATTCTGAGTTTGCTCCTTGAAAACTCAAGGCTTGAGTTTTTACTGTTATCCTTGTCACCTGGTAAAAAATATTTTAAGATAACCTCTAAAATACACATAATGATCCAAACTAGATTAGCAAATACTTGATCCTTAATAAATAATGCTCTTAAACTCACCATCACAACTGGCTTCTTGGACATATGACTGTGAACTAGCTCAGGGCTCCTTGTTTAGAATGGTCCTGCACTTGGTTTAATATTCAGCCATTTGCATCCCAAAAATCTTAATACTTATTGAACAAGGGGCTCTGCAGTTTTTTAAAATTTTTATTTATTTAATTTATTTATTTATTTATTTATTTATTTATTTTGAGACAGAGTCCTCCTCTGTCACCCAGGCTGGAGTGCAGTGGCGCGATCTCTGCTCACTGCAACCTCTGTCTCCTGGGTTCAAGCAATTCTCCTACCTTAGCCTCCCAAGTAGCTGGGATTACAGGAGCCTGCCGCCACACCCAGCTAATTTTTGCATTTTTAGTAGAGACAGGGTTTCATCATGCTGGACAGGATGGTCTTGATCTCCTGACCTCATGATCTGCCCGCCTCTGCCTCCCAAAGTGCTGGGATTACAGGCGTGAGCCACTGCGCCCATCTGGGGCTCTGAAGTTTTATTTTGCACTGGGCCCTGAAAATTATCTAGTTGGTCCCACTACTCACTATTTAGTTCCACAGTATCTCCCCAGGTAGAAATCAGTGTCTATATACTCTCCTGAACTGCTGAAAATCATTCAAAAAAAAAAAAAAAAAAGAAAGAAAAGAAAAGAAAAGAAACAAATCTTGTTAAGATTAGTAGTATGTTGATGCCTCATTACTTATTTTCACTCTGGGTTAGTGTCAAAGAAATGTAATGACATTGTGATCACATGTTCTCCTTGAAAAGAGAATTTCCTCCTTTATTCTCTTCCTCTCTCCTTTTTCTTGCCTCACCAATTCCCTTCTTTATTTTTATATTCCATTAGCTTTGCTAAAAGTACATAAAATCCCATTTCATTACATTATGTTTTCATTTGTGTAAAATGCTGATCATACTGAAGATACTGTATTATTTAATTTTAAAAACAAAATGACTATACGTGTTATGAACTAAATAGTCTAAATGTATTTTTCTTCTTAATTCTCTATGACAGATTTTTTCAAGTGTATAATATTTAAATCAGTTAAACATTATCCTGAGGCCCCCTGTAGGCCAATAGTGTTCCTCCTCTTATAACCTTTCTTGAACTTCTCGTTTTTACAGTGTTTGTATATTTTGAAACAATATGTATTATTTATATGTTATAATATTTATGTATAGAAACAGTAGTATTAACTTAATTATAATTTTGATTAGGAAACTTTTATAGCAATAATAATTATACTTCATTTCTAATTTCTGTTTGACCATAACATAGTGTTAACAGAATATATTTTAAAAAAAATTTTTAACTTTTAAGTTCCAGGGTACACGGGCAGGATATACAGGTTTGTTACACAGGTAAACATGTATCATGGTGGTTCGCTACACAGATCATCCCATCATGCAGATGTTAAGCCTAGTATACATTAGCTATTCTTTCTGATGCTCTTTTTCCTCCCACCCCCGACCCTCTGACAGGCCCCAGTATGAGTTGTTCCCTCATGTGTCCATGTGTTCTCATCATTTAGCTCCCACTTATAAGTGAGAATATGCAGTATTTGGTTTTCTGTTCCTGCATTGGTTTGCTGAGGATAATGGCTTCCAGCTCCATACATGTCCCTGCAAAGGAAATGATCTTGTTCATTTTTATGGCTATGTAGAATTCCATCACATATATTTACCACATTTTCTTTATCCAGTCTATCATTGATGGGCATTTAGATTCATTCCATGTCTTTGCTACTGTGAATAGTGCTGGAGTGAACGCACACATGCATGTATATGTATAATAGGACCATTTCTATTCCTTTGGGTATATACCCAGTAATGGGATTGCTATGTCAAGTGGTATTTCGGCCTCTAGGTCTTTGAGGAATCACCACACTGTCTTCTACAATGGTTGAACTAATTTACATTCCCACCAACACTGTAAAAGCTTTCTTAATTCTCCACTCCCACCAACAGTGTAAAAGCACTTTTTCTTCACAACCTTGCCAGAATCTATTGTTTTTTATTTTTTTGACGTTTTAAATAATAGCTGTTCTGACTGGTGTGAGATGGTATCTTACTGTGGATTTTATTTGCATTTCTGATCAATGATGTTGAATTTTTTTATATATGTTTGTTGGCTGCATGTATGTCTTCTTTTGAGAAGTGTCTGTTCATGTCCTTTGCCCACTTTTAAATGGATTTTTTTTGTGTGTAAATTTAAGTTCCTTTTAGATGCTGGATTAGACCTTGTCAGATGCATAGTTTGCAAAAATTTTCTCCCATTCTGTAGGTTGTCTGTATATTCTGTTGATAGTTTCTTTTGTTGTGCAGAAGCTCTTTAGTTTAATTAGATCCTGATCCTGTTTCTCAATTTTTTTTTTTTTTTTTTTGCAATTGTTTTGGGCATCTTTGTCATGAAATACTTGCTTGTGTCTACATCCTACAGGGCGTTGCCTGGATTTTCTTCTAGGGTTTTTACAGTTTTAGGATTTACATTTAAGTCTTTGATCCATTTTGAGTTGATCTTTGTATATGATGTAAGGAAGGGGTCCATTTCAATTTTCTGCATATGGCTATCCAGTTCTCCCAGCTCCATTTATTAAATAGGCAATCATTTCTGCATTGCTTATTTTTGTCAGGTTTGTCAAAGATCAGATGGTTGTAGGTGTGCAGTCTTAATTCTGGGTTCTTACTCTGTTCCATTGATCTACATGTCTGTTCTTGTACCAGTACCATGATGCTTTGGTTACCATAGCCTTGTAGTATAGTTTGAAGTTGGGTAGCTTGATGCCTCCAGCTTTGTTCTTTTTGGTTAGGATTGCCTTGGCTCTTTGTGCTCTTTTTTGGTTTCATATGAATTTAAATGTTTTTTTTTTTTCTAATTCTGTGTAGAATGCCAATAGTAGTTTAATAGGAGTGGCATTGAATCTATAAATTGCTTTTGGGGCAGTATGGCCATTTTCACAATATTGATTCTTCCTATTCATGAGCATGGAATGTTTTTCCATTTGTTTATATCATCTCTGATTTCTTTCAGCAGTGGTTTGTAGTTCTCCTTGAAGATGTCCTTCACTTCCCTTGTTAGCTGTATTCCTAAGTATTTTATTCTTTTTGTGGTAATTTTGAATGAGAGTTCATTCATAATTTGGCTCTTGGCTTTCCTGTTGTTGGGTATAGGAATGCTAGTGATTTTTGCACATTTATTTTGTATCCTGATACATTGCTGAAGTCGCCTATCAACTTAAGAAGCTTTTGGGCTGAGGCAATGGGATTTTCTAGATACAGGATCATGTTTCTGCAAACAAAGATAGTTAGACTTTCTCTATTCCAATTCCATTACCCTTTATTTCTTTCTCTTGCTTGATTGCCATGGTGAAACTTCCAATACTGTGTTGAGTAAGAGTGGTGAGAGAGGGCATCTTTGTCTTGTGCTGATTTTCAAGGGGAATTCTTCCAGCTTTTGCCCATTCAGTATGATATTGGCTGTGGGTTTGTCATATATGGCTGTTATTATTATGAGGTATGTTCTTTCAATACCTAGTTTAGTGAGAGTTTTAACCTGAAGGGATGTTGAATTTTATTGAAGGCCTTTTCTGCATTTATTGGAAGAATCATGTGGTTTTTGTTTTTAGTTTTGATTATGTGATAAATCATATTTATTGTTTTGCATATGTTGAACCAACCTCACATCCTAGGGATGAAGCCTATTTGGTCACAGTGGATAAGATTTTGATGTGCTTCTAGCATTGGTTTGCCAGTATTTTATTGAGATTTTTGCATCAATATTCACCAAGGATATTGGCCTGTAGTTTTCTGTTTGTGTGTCTTCACCAGGTTTTGGTATCTGCATGATGCTCGCCTCATAGATTGAGTTAGGGAGAAGTTCCTCCTTTTCAATTTTTTGGGAATAGTTTCAGAAGGAATAGTAGCAGCTCTTCTTTGTACCTCTGGTAGAATTCAGCTGTGAATCCTTCTGGTCCTGGGCTTTTTTTGGTTGGTAGGCTATTTATTACTGCCTAAAATTCAGAACTCATTATCAGTCTATTCAGGGATTCAATTTCTTCCTGGTTCAGTCTAGGGTGGGTGTGTGTGCCCGGGAATCATCCATTTCTTCTAGACGTTCTAGTTTATGTGCTTAGAGGTGTTTATGGTATTCTTTTATGGTGGTTTCTATCTCTGTGGGGTCAGTGGTGATATCGCCCTTAGCATTTCTTATTGTGTGCATTTGAATCTTTTTTATTCTTTATTGGTCTAGCTAGTGTTGTATCTATTTTGTTTTACTTATCAAAAAACAGCTCCTGGATTCATCGGTATTTTGAAGGGCTTTTCATGTCTCTATCTCCTTCATACTATTATGTAATGCCCTTCTTTGTCTTTTTAAATCTTTATTGGTTTAAAGCCTGTTTTGTTAGAAACTAGGATTGTAACTTCTGCTTTTCTTTGTTTCCCATTTGCTTGGTAAATTTTTCTCATCCCTTTATTTTGAGTGTATGTGTTTCTTTGCATGTGAGATTGGTCTCTTGAAGATGGCATACCAATGGTTCCTAGTTCTTCATGCAGCTTGCCACTCTGTGTCTTTTAATTGGAGCATTTAGCCTATTTACATTTAAGGTTAGTATTGCTATGGGTGGATTTGATCCTGCCATCATAATGCTAGCTGGTTATTTTGCAGACTTGTTTATATGGTTGCTTCATAGTGTCACTGTGTACTTCAGTGTGTTTTTGAAGTGGCTGGTAACAGTTTTTCCTTTCCATATTTAGTGCTTCCTTTGAGAGCTCTTGCAAGGCAAGTCTGGTGATAATGAATTCCATCAGCATTTGCTTGTCTGAAATGGATCTTATTTCTCCTTCACTTATGAAGCTCAGTTTGGCTGGATATGAAATTTTTAGTTTGAAATTCTTTTCTTTAAGAATGTTGAATATTGGTCCCTAATCTCTTCTGGCTTATAGGGTTTCTGCTGAGAGGTCTGCTGTTAGTCTGATGGGCTTCCCTTTGTAGGTTACCTGGCCTTTCTCTCTAGTTGCCCTTAACATTCTCCCCTTCATTTCAACCTTGGAGAATCTGATTATGTGTCTTGCAGATAATCTTCTCATGGAGTATCTTACTGGGGTTCTCTGCATTTCCTAAGTTTGAATATTGGCCTATCTTGTTAGGTTGGGGAAGTTCACCTGGATGATATCTTGAAGTGTTTTCCAACTTGGTTCCATTCTCTCTGTCTCTTTCAGGTACCCCAATCAGTTGTAGATTTGGTCTCTTTACATAATCCCATAGTTCTTGGAGGTTTTATTCATTCATTTTTATTTTTTTTCTCTGTTCTTGACTGCTTGTGTTTTTTCAGAAAGACAGTCTTCAAGCTTTGAGATTGTTTCCTCTGCTTGGTCTATTTGCCTAGTCTTCCACTATTGGAACGCTAAGCTTGTAGGAGATATTTATGTCCATTCTACCACTCAAGGTCATCACAAGGTCTGATTTTTCACATAAAAAATTTGCAACCTCTGCCATAAATGGGTTAATACTTGTGATTGCATTGTGAAGTTACTGTAGTGTATTTTTCAGCTCTAACAGGTTGGTTATGCTCTTCTCTAAACTGGCTATTTCAGCTGTCAGCTCCCATATTATTTTTTCATGATTCTTAGCTTCTTTGCATTGGGTTACAGCATGCTCCTTAGCTCAGGAAAGTTCATTATTACCAACCTTCTAAAGCCTACTTCTGTCATTTCATCCATCTCAGCCTCAGTCCTGTTCTGAGCTTTTGCTGGAGAGGTGTTGGGGTCATTTTGAAGAAAAGGGGCACTCCGGCTTTTTGAGTTTTTGGCATTTTTGCATTGATTCTTTCTCATGTTTGTGGGCTTATCTACCTTCAGTCTTCAAGGCTGCTGACCTTTACATGTTTTTGTGTGTGTGTGGGTTTTGTTGTTGTTGTTATTGTTGTTGTTGTTGTTTTCTGTTTCTTTCGGGTTTTTTTAACAGGTCATTCTTCCATGGGGCTGCTGTGGTATGCTGGGGGAGCCACTCCAGACCCTAGTTGGCTCATGTTTTCCCCATCCTGGGAGGTATCACCAGTGAAAGCTGCAAAACAGCAAAAATGGCAGCCTGACCCTTCCTCTGGAGGCTCTGTCCCAACGGGTTACTGACATATTGCTGGCCCTAATGTGCCTGTAGGAGGTGGCTGGAGAATCCGGTTGGGAGATCCTTCTCCCAGTCAGGAGGAACGGGATCAGGGACCCACTTAAAGAAAGAGTCTGGCTGCTTTTTAGTAGAGCGGCTGTGTTGTGTTGGGTATCCCTTCAGGCCCCAGTTGGTTTGGGCTCTCCAATGCCCACAAGCTGGACTGGCTGAGAAGCCCAAAAGGCCAAGGTGGTGGCCTGCCCCACCCCTCAGGCACTTCATCCCAGGGAGAAATTAGAGCTCTGTTGGCCCATAGAACATAGGCGGGGCTGGCTGGAGGTCTGTCTTCGAGGACCTGGCTGGGAGGATCCAATTTACCAGGAGGAGTGGATTGAGGTGCTGCTTAAAGAAGTAATCTGGCCACGCCTCGACAAAACAGCTGTATCATGTTGGGGAACAACATTTGCCCCTGTCAGCTTGGACTCTCCAAAGCTTGCAGGCTGGAAGGGCTGAGTCATCCAACCAACCCAGGTGGTAGCCCTCCTTCCTTTAGGCACTTCATCCCATGGAGAGGTCAGAGCTCTGTCCTTAACATGTGTGGGCAGGCAGGCATGGCTGACCTCCTAGCCTAGCTAGGAGGTCTCACCCAGTGATCAGGCCCAGCTTAAAGAAGCAGTTTGGCCATGATCTGGCAAAGCAGCTGTGCTATGCTGCTGGGGGGACCCTTCCTCATCCAGACTGTTTGGGCTCTCCAAAGCCCACAAGCTAGAATGGCTGAATTGACCAAACAGCAGAGATGGTGCCTGCCCCTCCCCATGGGGGCTCCATCCAATTTCAGGCAGGCTACACCCTGTTGCTGGTGGCTGGTTGGAATTCCAAGCCAGGGGGTTTTATCTGGTGAATTGCAGTGGAAGTGGGGCCTGCAGAATGATGCTGCCCAGCTCCCTGGATTCTGTCCACCTTCCTAGGAGTATGTGTAGACCTCCCATTGCCTGAGTTGCAGACATGTTTTTTGGGGATCCCAGGGCTGAAGTATGTAAAGTTCCTGGGTCTTTGTACCTGCCTGAGCATCTGTTCTGCCAAGACTTCACACTGCTCTATGTGTCTGCCCCATAGTCCTGGTGGCATGGGATCACAAGGGGATCTCCTTATCCATGGGTTGCAAAGATCCGTGGAAGAAGCGTGGATTCCTCCCACGGTCCCACAATTACTTACCACTTCCCTTGGCTGGAGGTGGGGGTTCCCTTGGCTCCACCTTGCTCCTGTGTGGGCCTTCGCCCCACCTTGCTTTTCTTCGTTTTCTGTGGGTTGAGTTGTTTCCCTAATCACTCTTTATGCAAGAACCTCAATATTTCAGTTGAAGGTGCTATATGCACTTACTCCTTTTCATTCCTTTCTGTGAGTGCCACAGACTGCAGCTGCTTCTAACTGGCCATCTTGGCCCCTCCCCCAGTAGTCTTTTTCTAGAGTACATATTTATACTGCATTATAAATTAACTTTATTGTAACAGGCCATATAAAGCTCCAGTTTCTGTTCTAACAAAAAATGCCAATTATGCTCATGTGTTTATGCTTGAAGTTTTAATTGTAACACTATACTATCTCTCAGGGTAATCATAAGATATGTGGTCTCCATTATTTTCACAGGCAATCATAAGGTATGTAGATTCCATTCTTTTCCCCTTCTCTGGCTCCATTCTGTCCTGCCCACAGATCATTAATATTTACATTGAGTCTCACACTTCCTAAGGGGGCCATTTCATCCAGGCTTCTTAATTTATTCTTTCCACTTCTACTTATTCTCCCCTTGTATTCTTATTACTGGTATTGCTGGCATATTTTTTTCAGCTAGCTTGGGTGCAGACTTCAACAGACAGAATAAGAATATTAAATGGAACCTCAGAAAATCAGCATTTAAACATAAAAAATACTTGAAGCCTATGAAATGAAGGTTGTACTAATGGATTTCTATGATTCTATGATAATGATAAATATATTTTTGCTAAAACATAGAGTCAAACATATTTTACATCTTTCGCCTTGAAGTTGCCAAAACCTTTGGGCCATCAGAATTTGATCTGTAGGTACTCTAAAATTCTAAAATAAGAGATATGTTTGAACTTTGTGAATTTTCCCTAGTTAAGCCCTTATTAAATTGTATCAGGCAGTCTCATTGCCTGATATTTCTCGATGAGTCAATTTTGGGGATTAAAACACTGGAGATGAGTGTTAACATTTTAAAGATATTATGCATTTATTCTCATTTAATTTGACAAAGGTTTATTGGATGTTTACTCTATGACTCTGGTTTCAATTGTTCTCTAGTCTATGTGGCCTGACACTTTTCCATACTCAACTAGAGAGCAGAACACAGCTCCATTAACTGGGATTTTCTATAAGAAATTTATCCCGTTGATACTTATGTTTGCGGAAGTTTAGACTAAAATTGAAGGCTCTTAAGAAGGCTCACATTTCACAGCATGTAGCATTTATTTTGAGATGGAACTATTAGACAAAGCACTGTTCCATCTTCTTCTTCCTCTGCCTACTGGAGGATTTCTTCTCCACCACCCATCCTGCCACACTATACTACCCTTCCTGATTCTACCCTTAAAGACTGCAGTTCATCTGTGAATTTTAGTTGAACATGCAGTTCATCAGTTGAACATGCAATTCATCAGTTGAACATGCAGTTCATTATGAATTTCAAAATTCTTGTACTTTTATTTTGCAGAAAAATTTTGCATAATATATTTTTTTTTTGAGACAGTGTCTCAGTCTCCTCCAGGCTAGAGTGCAGCTGTGTGATCATGGCTCACTGCAGCCTTGACCTTCTGGGCTCAAGTGATTCTCCTGCCTCAGCCTCCTGAGTAGCTGGGGTCATAGGGATGTGCCATCATATCCAGCTATTTTTTTTTTTTTTCTGTAGAGATGAGGTTTTTCTATTTTGCCAGGCTGGTCTTGAACTTCTGAGCTCAAGAGATCCTCCCTCCTTGGCCTCTCAAAGTGTTGTGATTACAGGCATGAGCCACTGTTCCTATCCAATAAACATGTTTTAAATTTCAGTACGAATTACAGAATTCATCTTTTTTCCCTATTCGAACAGATTTTTCACAAATTTCCTCAGTAAAATGAGTTTTCCCTTTAAGAAATCTCAACTTGTTATAAGTTGCTAAATGAAGATTTTTTTCTTATTTTGTATTTGTTCCTTTGCTATCTATGTATTTATTTACCTCTTCATTCATCCAAAAATCATTTGCCCTATGGCCAACTTGTTATCACTATCATAGTCTTTGAGATCTTGTAATCTAATCAAACTCTATCACCCTATGGATGGAAATGAGATGGTGTCCAGAGATATTAAACGTTCTTTCCAGGTAATATCAGGGCTGAAATATCAGACTTTTTGTCTTTTGCGTATTACTTTTTCTAGATTTTTGTTGCTATCATTACGCATAACTTTGTTGGTTGGATACATTTATTAAATGAAGGTAATAAGGAAGGCAAAGGATTGAAATTTTCTATTTCAACCCATATCCATTTACTGAAGTCCTACCTATCCTTAACATTTATACCTGAGTTTTTACTTGAGTGCTCACCCCAAACCTCCACAGGGCTTTATATCTTTCTTTTCAGTTCTCTAAATTTACTTCACTATTCTAAAATCTCTTTGTCAGTTAGGGTTCCCAATCACGAACAAAACTACCAATTATGCTGCATATTGCCAGCAGATAAATGTATTGAAAGAGTGTTATGAAGATCATATGAATGTTAGAGAATCAGGTTCACGCAGGAAACAAGAATTGCTGGCTACCCTGCTGTAGGATGGCTGACCTAGGACACATGACTGGCTCAGTTGCCAGTGGACACTTGTTACCACAGGATACCTTACTCCATGCTGCTAACTAAACTCCACCACAGCAATCAGTGCGAACAAACTCTGGCTGACTGAGACTTTATACCACTGTCTTGAGACTCAAATCCTGTGTGGGAGCATCTGCTTTACTGTGATTGGGTGACACATGCCCTAAGCTGTGCTGTCCAAGATGGTAGGTGCTAAAGGTTTGTGGCTGTTGGGCACTAGAGTTGAACTAGGTGGTGAGTGCAAAGTATGCACCAGATTTTGAAGGCTCAGTCCAAAAAAAAAAAAAAAAATCTCAATATTTTTGTGGATTGCATATAAAAAGACAATATTTTGAATGTATTGGATTAATATTTTAACATGTTATTTAATTATAAAATCATGTTAACATTACTTTTACTTTTTCACTTTCCTTTTAAAAGTGTGGCTTTTGGCTGGGTATGGTGGTTCACGCCTGTAATCCCAGCACTTTGGGAGGCCGATGCGGGTGGATCACTTGAGGTCAGGAGTTTGAGACCAGCCTGGCCAACATGATGAAACCCTGTCTCTACTAAAAATACAAAAATTAGCTGGATGTAGTGCAGGTGCCTGTAATCTCAGCTAATCAGGAGGCTAAGGCAGGAGAATTGCTTGAACCCGGGAGGTGGAGGTTGCATTGAGCCAAGATCATACCACTGCACTCCAGCCTGGGCAGCAGAGCAAGACTACATCTCAAAAAACAAAAAACAACAGCAAAAAAAAATGTTGCTTTTAATTTAAAATTACATATGTGTCTCAGATTTGTGGCTTCATTTATATTTCTAGCAGATATTTAGGGTAGACTATATTAACACTCCTTGGGGGATGATGTGGGGGATGATATCACATAGGAAAAGGAATCACATTAGTTAACAATCAAAATTGGGACCATGAGGGAGCATGGCAAATGGAGAGATTGCCCTTAATTTGGAAAAGAAAGCCTTGGCCAAGGACTGAATGCAAGACATTTTGGTATTAGGTGGGAGTGTACTACTAGCAAGAGCTGAGGTAAAACCATTTAGCAAAAGAAGGGCAAAAAGCCCTACCTGGGCCGAATAAATTCTAAGGTTACAAGCTATACCTCAGCAAACCTCAGTGAAGGGAGCCAAGGGGCCCAAACATACATTTCATAGCACAGGATGGCAAGCATCCAGAGGAAAAAGCACAGACATCATAACACATAAACAACTCCATCCTTAACCATGTAGCCAGAGGCCCACTTGAGGAGGAGCGAGAGGTAATTTAACTAATTGTACATTACACCAAGAGAGACAAATTTATAAGTAGAAACTAAACTTGAAAAATATGAGGTATTTTTGATTGGCAGTTAAAGTTACCGTATTCACATACTCACTCATTCTATAAATGTACACCTCAATCAGGCCTTCCACTCAGCAGTGGTAGTTCATGAAGACTGTTCAATCAATAACAGAAACTAAAGAAGATTATGTGGTACATTTGTATCCATATAACACATTAATCTCACAGGATGGCCCATTAAGAAATTTCTGTATTCCAATGTTTAGAAGCATTGCACATAATGTCCTCCTTGTGTACAGATTTATGATTCATATTAGCGTATTGAAGACTCTGAGATGGCAAACAGTACAGAGACCTGTTCAAATGTTTTGACTCTTGTTATACCTTTGCTAACACCATTTCCCCAAACTTACTTCTGATTATAGCTGTCTCCCCACTGGCCACAGGGGTGGGACTAAGTATCTATATTCCATGGCACAAGGATTGGCTTAGTAATGAACCTATGAGCCAAGCTAGATCAAAGTCCTTCAACATGTTTTCTACATTGATTTGGTGAGGCCCTTTATCTGTGCTGGTTGCAAATGCTAAGATATAAATTTGGAGCTCACTATCACCATTGCTGTGAACTGTCCAGAAAGAATGTAGACAACCTAACAGAGAGAATCAAAGACAGAAATAGCAAATCAGCTGAGAGTTGTGAGTCTCTGGTTGATCTCTCTCCTTCCTGGTTGGAGTTTTTGTACTCGCAAACAAAGGGTCCAACCAACAGTAGGCCACTTAAGGTTTTCTTGCTGAGGGTAGGGGGAAGAAACCTATTAACAAGTAAAGGAATACACTTTTGGAAATACTGGTTTAAATTATATGCTGTCTAGATTTTAAAATTTTTTTATTATAGAAGCACAAGCTTGTGCTTATGTGTTACAAGCACAGAAATATGATCTCATTGACAAAGTAAGAAATACCCCTCACTAGAGACAGGCATGATGCTATCTGTCATTAAAATGCCATATTAATGGGAAATTCAAATCCAGACATGTTTAAGTCTCCATTGGTGTTTTCTATTGCTTCACCATTAATGGATATGGCAAAAATACTTACTAAAAATTACTTCCAGAACATGAAATGGATATTATACTGTTTAAATGGATGGCATATAAGAATAATTTGCTTTAATCATAACACAAACCATTGCTATAATGCCATATTCACTATGAACCTTAGGGATGTCTGCACTTAGAGCAGAATAAATTTAGGCATAAGTGCTTTTTGTGAAAAACTAATTCATAAAACCCAATACATTGAAAATAGAACCAGGTGTGAGTGACTTTTAAAAAAGAATTATGCCTAGATACATTACCCTCCTGAGTTTCAAAATTTCAAGGAATATCAAGGTATATTCAGGCATTAAGAACTTAATAATACTCAAATTACGTTTTTCTTTGTCTTTTATTCTTAATTTAAAACGTGTTTACAAGAAAACTAAAGACAAAATTTCTGGAGATATATAGATAGATATAGGTATAGTTATATAATTGACTTTAAAATGTGGCTTAGCATAATTTTTAGAATATTTTCAAGTGTTTAATATGACCATAGATTTTTTTCAATAGTAACCTGTTGTAAGCCATTAGAAATGTGAAATATGAACAACAGAGATTTAAATTCCATTCTTACAGGCATAGTTTATTTAGTGGAAAGGGCTAAACTAGGGAGTCTGACAAGATTGAATTTAAATGTTAGTCTTACCTATTGAAGGGTTATATAACTGCTGTGGTTTGAATATTTGTCCCCTCCAAAATGTATGTGAAAATGTAATCCCCAATGCAACATTAAGAATGAGGCCTTTAGGAGATGATTAAGCTATGAGGCCGTTGCCCTCAGGAGTAGCTTAGAACCTTATAAAAGGGCTTAAGTGGTTGAGTTTGCCCCTTCCAAGCCTTCCACCATGTAAAGATGCAGCATTTGTTTTGAATCTGTGATAATTCTGTTGTAGCAGCACAAATGGACTAAGACAGCAACCTTAAATAAATTAGGAACTTCCGGCCGGGCGCGGTGGCTCATGCCTGTAATCCTAACACTTTGGGAGGCCGAGGTGAGCAGATCACGAGGTCAGGAGATCGAGGCTATCCTGGCTAACACGGTGAAACCCCGTCTCAACTAAAAATACAAAAAATTAGCTGGGCATGGTGGTGGGCGCCTGTAGTCCCAGCTACTTGGGAGGCTGAGGCAGGAGAATGGCGTGAACCCCGGAGGCGGAGGTTGCAGTGAGCCAAGATCATGCCACTGCAGTCCAGCCTGGGCGATGGAGCGAGACTCCGTCTCAAAAAAAAAAAAAAAAAAAAAAAAAAATTAGGAACTTCGTCATTAACTCATCTGTAAAATGGGTACAAGACGTTTTACATAAGACTGTCATGCATATTCAATTTTGTTATATGCGATACTGCCTAGTGCAAACCAAGTATTCTTTCCTCAACCTTCACATGTAGATCTAGACATAATGATGGTACATATAATGCCTTCTCAAGACAGTTTCATTTTTCAAATTCAAAATGTTAATTTTAGTGTAGTGTTGACATTATCTTCACCATGATTATAGATTCCAAAACATTTAGGTAATTCTATAAAATCACAAATGGAAAGCAAACAAATTCAGCAAATATTTAATGAGGATCTGTTAGGTTCCAGCTCTAGGATATACACTGAAGGATTCATATAAATGAGAAAACCTATGCATTGGGGTTTCATCAGGGTTCCCACATCAGGGAAGCTTTTGACTTTCTCCTCAAACTATGTAACAAAGAAACACAGCCAGTAGACTACCCTCACCACAACCCCCACCCCAACTAAGAGGATGCATCCATGTGCATGTATCTCTTATTTATTATACTTTCCCTGTTTGAATCCCTCTTCCTTCTTTCACTCTACAAGATATAAATATCTGACATCTTTTTTTTCTGTTGTTTCGTTTTGTTTGTTTTTTGAGACGGAGTCTCGCTTTGTCGCCCAGGCTGGAGTGCAGTGGCGCCATCTCGGCTCACTGCAAGCTCCACCTCCCAGGTTCACGCCATTCTCCTGTCTCAGCCTCCCAAGTAGCTGGGACCACAGGCCCGCCACCACGCCTGGCTAATTTTTTGTATTTTTAGTAGAGACGTGGTTTCACCATGTTAGCCAGGATGATCTCGATCTCCTGACCTCGTGATCCACCCACCTCGGCCTCCCAAAGTGCTGGGATTACAGGCGTGAGCCACCGCACCCGGCCTAGATAACTGATATGTCAGCTATAAGATACTTGCTTACTGGTGCTTGCATATGTAACATAAACTTAAAACCTTTAGAAATCCGTTTTCTATCAAAGATTCTCATAAACAATCTTTATTCTCTATACTGTTATCTTGAGATTGATTCTGAAAGAATAATATAGTAAACTTTATAGTTCAAACCTAAAGAAGGACCACTTGGTTCTAGGTAGACTCCACCGTAGGAGACCAATGATATTGACTCAATGGGTTGGATGGTACGCAGCAAAAGGAACTTTATAGGTTATGAAAGTATATATAAATATTTCAAAATAATATTGTCATTACAGTAAATTTATCATAGCACAAGCTTTAGAGTATGCTGACGTGGTTCATCCTATTGATTAGCTAATGAGAAAAAATACTCCAATAGATATGCTTTGATTTTGCAAATTCAGACAAATTTTTAGAAAGTCAGGGCTAGATCCAATATCTCCTGTTGGCTCCCATTTAACCTTTTAAATGTATCTTTTGAATATAATCCTTCAAGAAATTATGAATTAACAGAACAACACAGATATTAACATCTTTGGCTTTTTATAGAATTTCAACTGGGAAGGGATATGGAAAGGAATACAAAAGGTGAGAAATCTCTTTAATAATAGCTAGTAATTTTAAAGTACTTGTGTGCAGGTGTTGTTTTGTGCTCTGCTTCTATAAATTCAATCATTTCTCACAAGAATCCAGTGAAGTAAGAACTATTATTACCCCAACTTTGCAGATAAGAAAATTGAGGCACAGAAAGTTTGAATAACTTGCCTTCTATCACATAGCAAGAGCATGATAAAGCTGTAATGGAACCTGTAAACAATCCTGCCCTAGAACCCATGCTTTGCCCACTACATGTACTGCTTTTTATAGACCTCTGGAGGAGCGATCTTAGGCTTCCTCTTGGCAGAATTTTATATTTCTTGGGGATCTTTTTATTAAAACAAAACGTTTAAATAAACAATGACTATAATTAGTCCCTTTATTCAATTTTGGAAGTGCTTCTAACAACTCAGGTGGGGAACCAGTGAGTTCTAGGTTCAATATCACAGAGATTTCCTTTAATTTTACGGCTCATGATTCAAGCTGTTTTTAATAAAACTGGATTTGGGAAGTAGAAGCTAAAATTAAAGGGAAAGCTCAACTGCTAAAAATAAATTATCTCTTTTTGTATTAGTTTGTGATGTCTTGAAAGTCCAATATCATTGCGAAAACCTCACCCCACCTTCAGCACCTGGGGTTTCCCAGCCCCAGTATTTCTATATGGGTAACATGCAATGTAATACAAGGAATAAAGGCAGTCGAGATTCATCATTTGAGTTATTTTGGCTTGTTAACTAACTCTGATAACAACCTCTAAGTAAGTGCTTATCTGCAAACTTCCTGAATGCTGAATTTCAGTTGTGGTTAGGGCTTAAAAAGTTTAGGAATGCAAGTCAAATATGGTTCTTACACATTTCGAGATAAATAAAGTCAATCATATTTCAAGTCATAAGCTCATTACCTAAGATGCAATAAAGGAAGCTCAGCTGTCTTACAGATATTCAATCCTTTCCTTTTTTTTCAACTTCTATTTTAGAAGAGCCCTCCAACAATGGAGTTAGGGATCATTTCATAGCAGATTATTGAATCTTATATGAGAAATTTTTTTGTGATAGTGTTAAGAGGACCAACCTTAGGTTTGAACAGACTTGGTACAAATTCTAGCACCACATTTTATTTCCTGTGTTATGGTGCTGAATCTCACTCTATCTGTAAAATGGAAATAACACCTATCTCCCTAGGTTTTTCTGAGAATTAAATGTAGCGATATTGAGAAAATGCCTGCCATATATTAATTTTTGTTTTTTGTTGTAAGATTTACCTTGATTTGGGATTGTCAGAATTTTCTTTTATTAAAGCTAGAGTGACAGGACTGTTTATTCCATTCACATCTTCAACATTTTAGGCTGTTACTAACATAGTTAATAGGACTAACATAGACTTTTATATGAGAAAAATGACTGCAGATTTTGCCACTGACTAATCTGATCAACTTTAATTTGGGGAGCCCATATTCTTACAGTGTGTTAACCATATTTCAGAACTCTTTCAATTGGAGGCGTGCTCTCAATATTTCTTCCTTTTACTTTTTCCTTGTACTGAGAGTAGGTGGTCAATGTATTTTGGGTGCTTCACTTTTAGAATTTCTGGAATACTATAATAGCAGTAGTTAATTTATATTTTTAAAGTTTAGCTAAAATAGACATATAAAATTTACCATATTTACCATTTTTAAGTATACAGTTCAGTGGGAAAAATAGATTTATATTCCTTTTTCTCCCTTTATCTCCCCCTACCCCTACATTTTCAGGCCTCAGGTAATCACCATTCTGCTCTCTGTCTTTAAGAGATCCATTTTTTTTTTAGCTCCTACATATGAGTGAGAATATGCTACATTTGTCTTTCTGTGCTTAGCTTATTTCACTTAACATAACGGCCTTCAGTTCCATCCATGTTGAATAGCAGTAGTTCAGTGGGCCAACTATATGAAATTGGTAGTATGTCGGAAAGTCTGGAGAGATAATTACTGTAACTATAGGCATCCTCATTACTTACTATAGCTAACTTAATAAATTCCTAAAGCTTTTCCTCTTCATGAAGGTCTTTCTGTCATAACATCACATAATATCTATTTTCCTGTCATAACTATTTTGGTGCCTTGTGTTGACAAAAAAATATCTTATGCTTGGATGTACAGTGTCTCAAAAGTGTTAACTTCTTGAGATAGGATAACATGTCCTTAGAAACCTGTATTATCTTTGGCTTTTGTTTCCTTCACTTCCATTATCTACCCAGCAAGCTGGGTTGTATTGCCCTTTCTGCATCAGTCATTTCCTATTCAACCACACTGTTTTCCATGCAGTTCAATTTACTTTAATATATATTTATTGAGTACCTACATATTATTCATAGTGATACATTCTGGGACAAATATGAACACAAATTATTCATGCCTTTGGGGAAACCTTAGTACAGTGAAAGAGATAAATAGGTTATCAAACTTTAGTGTGAATTAATGTGATATGAGCATCTTTTTGTTTCTCTTTCTTTACTGCATGGTATCTAATTTACCTGGTCACCAAAAATTTATGAAGTATACTGTGTATCCATTCCTGGTGTGGGGACAGTAACTAACAGAGTAAATATAGCCCCTGCCTTCTAGAATTTCCTGGGCTAGTGAGAAAAACAGGCTAACCAAATAATTACAAATACTTTCTAAAATACTGACAGATACTCTATGTACTATAAAATGAAATAAAATAAAACAGAAGATATTAAATAAATGATCACTTATGTCACTTAAATTTTAACCAGTAGAAAACAAAAGCACACAAGGAAACAAACGACTGTGCTTGCCCATAATATTATTTCTGATTGAGCTTTAGTTTCTAAAGTTAACACATATATGCTGAAACATATATTTTCTCACACACATATTACCAAATACATACCATGCACTAACTGATTGCACCACTGGAGCATCCAAACATATATTTACTTTTATTGAAAACATTTATTTTTATTTAGTATTGATTATCCCATGAATATAAAAAACTTATGTTCTTTTTTTCTAATAAGTTCTGATTAAATGTATCATCTGGTATTTGCTGGGAAAATGGCAGATAGGAGGCAAGACTAACTTTCAGCTCCCACTTGGACTAACAGAACAATGTGTGGAAACTCACATTGTGAACTTTTCCTCCAAGAACTACTGCAGGAACATACCAGCAAAACCAAAATAATTCACAGACTTTTTGAAAGAAGTGGTATGCCACTGCAAACTCCATGACACAGCTGAAAAAATGAGTGCTCAAAGTGTGAGAGTGGGAAAGTCCACCTCTGAACACACATTCTCACTGGGGAACCTAAATTTCAGATCATAGGAAAAGGATTTAACCTTACCTAGGCTGAAATGAATTTCAAGAGCTGAGCGAAATGTAAAAGTAGAAGAAACAGTGGGAAGAGCCCTGTAGGCACTCCCGACCCCCAGGGAAGCCCAGAAAAGCCATTTCTGACTTTATCTCTCAGGGGTCTTTGAGGAGGGCTGCCAGTGGAATTAGGGAATGAACACAGGGAAAACGAAACTTCAAGCTGAACTTCTGTAATTAATTTTGACCTAAAACAAATTTTCCTGGGCAGAATGCGAGGGTCAGGGAGGGTGGGGGCGGGGGGTTGCTGGTGAATAGGAAGCACAGAAGCCATGGCAGGCAGAGTGGGGCAAATCCTGAAAGTCCGGCTTGCTTCCTCAGCAGGGAGGCCTGTATCCTGGGGCAAGATCTCAGCCCTGCTCACTCGCTACCTGGATATGAACTCGGTGCTGCTGGTGGGGCACAGTGGGAGTAAGACTGGCCTTTCTGGCTAGGTAGGAGCTGGGTGAGGCTAGTCACTGCTGACTTTTCCCCACTTCCCTGGCGACCTCTATGATGCAGCAGAGGCAGCCATAATCCCCCCTGAACATAACTGCATTGGCCTGAGAGCCACATCTTCATCCCCCACAGTGGCTATATTGTGAAATTGAGAATTGAACTGAATGATAATAGTGACACAACCTATCAAAACCTCCTGAATACAGAAAAAAAGTGGTTCTAAGACGAAAGCTTATAGCATTAAATGCCTACATCGAAGAGTCAGAAACAGCACAAATAGACAATCTAAGGTCAGTCCTCAAGTAATTAGAGAAACAAGAACAAACCAAACCCAAACCCAGCAGAAGAAAAGCAGTAACAAAGATCAGAGCAGAACTAAATGAAATTGAAACAAATAGTACAAAAGATAAATGAAACAAAAAGCTTGATTCTTTGGAAAGATAAATAAAATTGATAGACAATTAGCACGATTAACCAAGGAAAGAAGAGAGCAGATCCAAATAAGCTCAATTAGAAATGAAATGGAAGATATTGCAACTGGGATACCTCAGAAATACAAAAGATCATTCAGGGTTACTATGAACACCTTTACATGCATAAACTAGAAAATCTAGCAGAGATGGGTAAATTCCTGGAAATATACAACCCTCTTAGTTTAAATGAGGATGAAATAGAAACTCTGAGTAGACCAAAAATAAGCAGTGAGATTGAAATGGTAATAAAAAAAATGCCAACAAAAAGAGTCCAGGATCAAATGAATTCACAGCTAAATTTTATCAGACATGCAAAGAAGAATTGGTACCAGTCATACTGACACTATTCCACAAGGTGGAGAAAGAGAGAATCCTCCCTAAATTGTTCTATGAAGATAATATTAGCCTAATACCAAAACCGTAAAGGACATGACAAAATAGAAAACTACAGACCAATATCCCTGATGAATATAGATGCAAAAATCCTTAAGAAAATACTAGCTAACCAAATCCATACCATATCAAAAAGATAATCCACCATGATCCAGTGGGTTTTATGCCAGGGATGCAAGGATGGTTTAACATACACAAGTCAATAAATGTGATACATGACATAAACAGAATTAAAAACAAAAATTACATGATCATCTCAATAGATGCAGAAAAAGCTTTTGACAAAAATTCAGCATCCCTTTATGCTTAAAACCCTCAGCAAAATCAGCATACAAGGGGCATACCTTAATGTAATAAAAGCCATCTATGACAAAACCAACAGCCAACATAATACTGAACAGGGAAATTTGAAAGCATTAGACCTGAGAACTCAAACAAGACAAGGATGCCCACTCTCACCACTTCTATTCAACATAGAACTGGAAGTCCTAGCCAGAGCAATCAGACAAAATCCGATAATGATTTTTATTAGAGCAGTAAATATCTGAAGCAATCATTGAAGAATGAGAAATATTTTGTTGTGTGGAGAAGTATCTACCAAGTTAGATAAATGTTTTATGAATTACCATTATAAACAAATTATTTGTTAAAAATATAAATACATAAACACACTGCAAGATAGTCATGTATATATAATATATATTCTAAATATTCCATTATTTTTATGTCACTATGAGAATCATGATGATAAAGTATATGACTACGTGTCTGCCTTTGAGAAATAGACAATGTATTTGGAGACAATCTCTACACAAAAGATAGCTAAATAGTATATACAGTTTCATAACTTCATGTCCAATAAGTGATCCATTCAAGATAATCCAAGATGCCATAATGTAGAGATTGAGTCTGAGATCTTGAACTAAATCACCTGGGTTTGCATTTCAGCTCCTCTACTTATTAACCAGAAAATTTTGTGACAAATTACTGAACTACTTTGTTTCAATGTTTCCAGCTGTCAGGATAATAATAGAATCTGCTTCAGTTGTTATGGAGTAAATGGGTTAAGCAAATGCTTAGAACAGCAGAATATAGTAAATCGGTAATAAATGTCAGCTGTTAATTTATTATAGTAAATGCTACAGTTGTTTAGAATGGAGAGTATTACCAGAACAGTATTGGTTGGGAACATATTTTGGAATAAGTAAGAATTTTGCTTGGCATTTGTTTGGCACTATTGAAACAGGAGAGATGAGAAAGGCATTTTAGAAGTGAATAAACGTGATTTGGCCATTGGCATTTTCTTTGATGTCATTTCATATAATTCTCTCCCATCACTACTTCAGCAACTGGCTTTTTTAGTTCAATCTGGAGGTAACCAGGTTGCTCTTACCTCATATCCTTGGCGTTTTCTGCTCCTGTCTTGAATGCTTTTCAGAAAGGTTTCCCCATGGCTAGCTTTCCTTGTCTTTCATTCCTCCGCTTGCATATCAACTTATCAGAGGCATTTTTAACAAAACATTTGAAAATTAATATGACTCTCACCTTCTACCCTTCCAATGTACTGATTTTCTTTCTTTCCTTTTTTGTCCTGTCTTTTTATTTCTTTCCATTTATATGGAGATAAAAGTGACAGTTGAAGTTTTTGCAAACTTACCACTCAAAATTAATCAGAATTTTTGCTATGAGATAATCGTTAAAAGCATGAACTCGGCACCCAAGCAGACTGGTTTTGCCAATTTTTACTTGTCTTGTCTAGAACAAGTTATTTAACCTCTCTGTGTTCCATTTTCCTTCTCTGTTATGTATATAATGATCTTAACTAACTTATTGAGTTACTATGAAGATTATATTATTTATACAATGTTTGGGACATATAATGTGCCCAGTAAATGTTGAAAGTCATTATTATTACTTTTTATTATCTATTTAAACTCTCTAGAATGTAAGGTCTTTGAGGACAATAACCATATCTGCCTTGTTTTCTGCTTTCTTCACAGCACTAGAAGAGGTCCTGGCACATAATAAGGGCTCCATAAATATTTGTTGAATACGTTAAAAAATGGATGATGCTTAGTATACCAGAGATCAGGATTAATATACCAAGTTTAATATACCAGAGTCAGTACACTGACTTCTGAGAGAATAGACTGGATTATTAGTGAAGTCAGGTTCTTTGATATAGCTCAATTGATTGTTCTGTGTTGATTGATAGCAAGCTTCTGTCTGTAACCAAAAGTAAGCCCAGAATTTCATTCACAGTGTGGCTTTGCTGAACATGTTTTAACCCTGGATGGCTCAATTTCTGGAATTTGAGTAATGGCACCACTACATATATGCTGTTGGAATATTGCCAAGTCATTGAGCCTTAGTTTTTCCCTATGTAAAATGACAAAAATTTCTGCATAAAATTTATCAAGAAGACTGTCCTTGACACAATGACTGGTGTTTCTCTAAGGAGGGTTGAGTAAATCATTTCAGGCAGAAAAAAATCTTTCTTTCTTAAAAATGCACCGTGAAAGGGATACCAAAACTTTAAAATTCCCCAATCTAGTGCTTAATCCTCTCAGGAAATTCTTTCTTCCACTGGAGGTGGTTTTGGCATATCTTTTATCAAGAAAGTATTTATTTAGTAGACCACCCTTCATGTGTATACTCTGAGAAGACCCAAGAGAGGGTTTTTGTAAATTCAGAGAGATCATGGGTTTTTTAGATACAGACCCTTCCTCAGAGTGGAGGTGACCACATTCCCCTTAGCAACCATGCATCTCTCTCCACTCTCAATCTAACTTTTCCTATATGGAACCACAATCCTCCTAATGCAATTTAAACCAGTTTCCTGTGGTGTTATCTCTTTAGGGATGGAGAACAGCTGGGCACCATTTTCTCTATAATAAATCTTTATAGGCTTTTAGGATAGCTTTAAATTTGCCATTCATTCTAAGCAAGGCCCAACTTTATTTTTTATCCCTTTGCACTCCATCTCACTCCCTTTAGGCCTTTTCTTCCTACCTGCTAATCTAGATATGTTTAATTCTCAAGCAATGCCAATTGCATCATTAAATGTAATTTTTGAGATTCTTAGTCCTATCTCCCATAGAATATGACAATTTAAATAATGGTTTTTACTAAAATGTTTTCCTTAGAGTTGGAAATACATAAAGTATTTCTTGCTATTTTAAGTTTTAAACCCTCAAGGGTAAACAGTTAAGGAATAAAACTGAATAAGGAAGGGATTTGTTAAAGATCTATTGTTAATTGCTGACATTGGAAGATGAATACTGCAAGTGGGTGATGAGAAAGCAAAAATAACATTTTTAGCTTTCAGATACCCTGACTTGATTATCACACATTCTATGCATGTAACAAAATATCGCATGTACACCATAAATATGTAAAATATGTATCAATTAAGTAAATTAAATTGTTTAATTGTTTAATTAATTGTCTAACATAGATTTAGCAGCAGGTGAGTGTTATATCAAAATTACAAAGCACAATTAATGTTTCTTGCCTGTAAATAGTAAGCACAGCAATTTAGCACCTGCAAGTTTGTGGACAACAACTTTCATTACCTTCCTTTATAATATTCCTCAGATAGTGACTACTTTCTTGCTATTGGTGCTATGTGATCTAAAAATCTTATGCAACTACTTAAAATATCAAAATAAATAATTAATAGATTTATTAGAAAGAAAAATAATTGATGTGGCTGATAACATTAATCAAATTAGGAATTTTTTAATCATACAGATACTGCCTTATTTATTTTAAATTTAGATTCGATTAGCATACTTTTTAGCACTTTTAATATGCTTAGATAATATAATAGGCTCTTTCATTTACATGTCCTTAATTAAATCCCCCAACATATTTAGAGGTAAACATTATTATTCTTTTTTATATATGTGAAAATTGATATTAAAACTGCATAAATTGCTTAAACCCACAGGGTAAACAGATAAGGAATAAAACTGAATAAGAAGGAGATTTGTTAAAGTTCTATTGTTAATTGCTGACATCGGAAGATGACTACCACAAGTGGGTGATGAGAAAGCAAAAATAACATTTTTAGCTTTCAAATACCCTCACTTAATTATCACACAGTCTATGCATGGAACAAAATATTGCATGTACCTCATAAATATGGAAAATATTATGTATCAATGAAATAAAAAGGCAAAATAACTACTTTCTAGTCATCAGCAATTTCTGATTATTGAAAAAAGTTTAGTTTCTATTGTTGTTATTGTTGTTGAGCTAATAGTATTAAGATAGTCTCTTATGAGTTAATCTTAGGTGTCAACTACATCAATTAGATAGATTATTCCCATTCCTTCTGAAATTACAAACTCAGTGGGGACAGAACTGAGAAGAGCAGCTCTTGCTGTGTTTCTAATGACAGAATTGGAAGAAAAATACTACAGTGGAGCCCATCTTGCAGATGATCACTGTTTCCGTTATTATTTCCATACAACAAACCAAAACGTTATAGCATTTATTATGTTCATGGATTTTGTGAGTCCGAAATTTGGAATGGGCAGTGGAGGGGGATGGCTTATCTCTTTTCCACGATGTCTTAGACTTCAGTTGGGATAGGGGTAACTTGCTGTCTGGAGTCTGAAATCATCTGAAGACTTGTTCACTCACAAGTTTGGTGGTTGATGCTGGCTGTCAGCTTAGACTTCACTGTAGAACTGTCATTTAAAATATCTAAATGTTGTCAGGACTTCCATGAAGCATCTGGGCCTCAGGATAGCTGAACTTCTTACATAGCATCATTAGGCTCTGAAGGTGAACGTCACAACTAAAAAGGTAGAATTTGAATGGTCTTTTAGGAATAGGCAAAGAGTTGTTAGTCTTGGTACCAAAAATATGACCCATAAATAAAAATTGTTAAATTAGACCTCATCAAATTTAAAAACTTTTACTTTGCAAAAGACCCTGTTAAGAGGATTAGAAGACAAGTTATAAACTGGGAGAATATATTTGACAACATATTGGTATCTAGAATATATAAAGAACTCTCAAAACTCAACAGCAAAAACACCAAATAACCAATTAGAAAATGGGCCAAAAACATGAACCGTCATTTTACTGAAGAAGAATGAAGTGGCCAATAAACATGTTTAACACCAATAACCATTAAGGAAATGCAATTTAAATATGCAAGGAGATGTCAGTATGTACTTAGCAGTATGGCTAAAATTAAAAAGAATGACAATACCAAGTGCTAACAATGATGTAAAGAAACTGTATTACATGGCTGGTGGGAATGTAAAATAGCACAGTCACCCTAAAAAATAATTTGTCAGTGTCTTAAAACTTAAATATTAGAACATTTAAGTCTTTAATCCATCTTGAATTAATTTTTGTATAAGGTGTATGGGATCCAGTTTCAGCTTTCTACTTACGGCTAGCCAGTTTTCCCAACACCACTTATTAAATAGGGAATCCTTTCCCCATTTCTTGTTTTTGCCATGTTTGTCAAAGATCGGATGGTTGTAGATGTGTGGTATTATTTCTGAGGGCTCTGTTCTGTTCCATTGGTCTATATCTCTGTTTTAGTACCAGTACCATGCTGTTTTGGTTACTGTAGCCTTGTAGGATAGTTTGAAGTCAGGTAGCGTGATGTCTCCAGCTTTGTTCTTTTGGCTTAGGATGGACTTGGCCATGGAGGCTCTTTTTTGGTTCCATATGAACTTTAAAGTAGTTTTTTCCAATTCTGTGAAGAAAGTCATTGGTAGCTTGATGGGGAAGGCATTGAATCTATAAATTACCTTGGGCAGTATGGCCATTTTCATGATATTGATTCTTCCTATCCATGAGCATGGAATGTTCTTCCATTTGTTTGTGTCCTCTTTTATTTCGTTGAGCAGTGGTTTGTAGTTCTCCTTGAAGAGGTCCTTCACATCCCTTGTAAGTTGGATTCCTAGGTATTTTATTCTCTTTGAAGCAATTGTGAATGGGAGTGCACTCATGATTTGGCTACTCTGTTTGTGTGTTATTGGTGTATAAGAATGCTTGTGATTTTTGCACATTCATTTTGTATCCTAAGACTTTGCTGAAGTTGCTTATCAGCTTAAGGAGATTTTGGGCTGAGACGATGGGGTTTTCTAAATATACAATCATGTCATCTGCAAACAGGGAAAATTTGACTTCTTCTTTTCCTAATTGAATACTCTTTCTTTCTTCTGCCTGATTGCCCTGGCCAGAACTTCCAACACTATGGTGAGAGAGGTCATCCCTGTCTTGTGCCAGTTTTCAAAGGGAATGCTTCCAGTTTTTGCCCATTCAGTATGATATTGACTGTGGGTTTGTCATAAATAGCTCTTATTATTTTGAGATACATCCCATCAATACCTAATTTATTGAGAGTTTTTAGCATGAAGGGCTGTTGAATTTTGTCAAAGTTACCATATGACTCAGCAGTTATACTCTTGGTCATTTATACCAGAGAAATGAAAACATATAGTTACACAAAATCCTATACAAGAATGTTCATAGCAGCTTTATTTGTAATAGCCCCAAAATGGAAACTCCGCATATGTCCTTTAGGAGGTGGGTGGGTACATATTTACTATAGAAAACTACTTAGCAATAAAGTTGAATAAAAATAGACTTTTACAACTTAGATGAATATCCATGGAGTTACCATGAATGAGAAAATCATATAGTATGTAATTTTCAATTTTTTAATTAAAAATATGTATTTAAAAACTACATACTGTATGATTCTACTTACGTAACAATTTCAAAATGATAAACTATTAAAATAGATTAGTGATTGCCACTGGAAGTGGAGGGGTGGGGGTGAGAGAAAGTGAGTCCAGTCATTCTAAGGGCAGCAAGAGGGACCCTTGTGGTCATGGATCTGTCCTGTAGTTTGACTGTGGCAGTGGTTACACATAATAAAATTGGGTAGAAATAAATATACCCACATACACACATAAGGGCATATAAAACTGGTGAGCTCTTAATAAGGAGGATATATTGTATCTATGTCAATTCCCTGGTCATCTTATTGTTCCATAATACAAGGTGTTACATTGGGGGATACTGGGTGAAGGATGTGTGGATCTCTAGGTTTTATTTCTTTTCTTTTTTTTTTTTTTTTTTTTACTTTTTAATTTTCTTTTTTTTTTTTTTTTTAAATTTTTTTTTTTATTATTATACTCTAAGTTTTAGGGTACATGTGCACATTGTGCGGGTTAGTTACATATGTATACATGTGCCATGCTGGTGCGCTGCACCCACTAACGTGTCATCTAGCATTAGGTATATCTCCCAATGCTATCCCTCCCCCCTCCCCCGATCCCACCACAGTCCCCAGAGTGTGATATTCCCCTTCCTGTGTCCATGTGATCTCATTGTTCAATTCCCACCTATGAGTGAGAATATGCGGTGTTTGGTTTTTTGTTCTTGCGATAGTTTACTGAGAATGATGGTTTCCAATTTCATCCATGTCCCTACAAAGGACATGAACTCATCATTTTTTATGGCTGCATAGTATTCCATGGTGTATATGTGCCACATTTTCTTAATCCAGTCTATCATTGTTGGACATTTGGGTTGGTTCCAAGTCTTTGCTATTGTGAATAGTGCCGCAATAAACATACGTGTGCATGTGTCTTTATAGCAGCATGATTTATAGTCCTTTGGGTATATACCCATTAATGGGATGGCTGGGTCAAATGGTATTTCTAGTTCTAGATCCCTGAGGAATCGCCACACTGACTTCCACAATGGTTGAACTAGTTTACAGTCCCACCAACAGTGTAAAAGTGTTCCTATTTCTCCACATCCTCTCCAGCACCTGTTGTTTCCTGACTTTTTAATGATTGCCATTCTAACTGGTGTGAGATGATATCTCATAGTGGTTCTGATTTGCATTTCTCTGATGGCCAGTGATGATGAGCATTTCTTCATGTGTTTTTTGGCTGCATAAATGTCTTCTTTTGAGAAGTGTCTGTTCATGTCCTTCGCCCACTTTTTGATGGGGTTGTTTGTTTTTTTCTTGTAAATTTGTTTGAGTTCATTGTAGATTCTGGATATTAGCCCTTTGTCAGATGAGTAGGTTGCGAAAATTTTCTCCCATTCTGTAGGTTGCCTGTTCACTCTGATGGTAGTTTCTTTTGCTGTGCAGAAGCTCTTTAGTTTAATTAGATCCCATTTGTCAATTTTGGCTTTTGTTGCCATTGCTTTTGGTGTTTTGGACATGAAGTCCTTGCCCATGCCTATGTCCTGAATGGTAATGCCTAGGTTTTCTTCTAGGGTTTTTATGGTTTTAGGTCTAACGTTTAAATCTTTAATCCATCTTGAATTGATTTTTGTATAAGGTGTAAGGAAGGGATCCAGTTTCAGCTTTCTACATATGGCTAGCCAGTTTTCCCAGCACCATTTATTAAATAGGGAATCCTTTCCCCATTGCTTGTTTTTCTCAGGTTTGTCAAAGATCAGATAGTTGTAGATATGCGGCATTATTTCTGAGGGCTCTGTTCTGTTCCATTGATCTATATCTCTGTTTTGGTACCAGTACCATGCTGTTTTGGTTACTGTAGCCTTGTAGTATAGTTTGAAGTCAGGTAGTGTGATGCCTCCAGCTTTGTTCTTTTGGCTTAGGATTGACTTGGCGATGCGGGCTCTTTTTTGGTTCCATATGAACTTTAAAGTAGTTTTTTCCAATTCTGTGAAGAAAGTCATTGGTAGCTTGATGGGGATGGCATTGAATCTGTAAATTACCTTGGGCAGTATGGCCATTTTCACGATATTGATTCTTCCTACCCATGAGCATGGAATGTTCTTCCATTTGTTTGTGTCCTCTTTTATTTCCTTGAGCAGTGGTTTGTAGTTCTCCTTGAAGAGGTCCTTCACATCCCTTGTAAGTTGGATTCCTAGGTATTTTATTCTCTTTGAAACAATTGTGAATGGGAATTCACTCATGATTTGGCTCTCTGTTTGTCTGTTGTTGGTGTATAAGAATGCTTGTGATTTTTGTACATTGATTTTGTATCCTGAGACTTTGCTGAAGTTGCTTATCAGCTTAAGGAGATTTTGGGCTGAGACGATGGGGTTTTCTAGATAAACAATCATGTCGTCTGCAAACAGGGACAATTTGACTTCCTCTTTTCCTAATTGAATACCCTTTATTTCCTTCTCCTGCCTGATTGCCCTGGCCAGAACTTCCAACACTGTGTTGAATAGGAGCGGTGAGAGAGGGCATCCCTGTCTTGTGCCAGTTTTCAAAGGGAATGCTTCCAGTTTTTGCCCATTCAGTATGATATTGGCTGTGGGTTTGTCATAGATAGCTCTTATTATTTTGAAATACGTCCCATCAATACCTAATTTATTGAGAGTTTTTAGCATGAAGGGTTGCTGAATTTTGTCAAAGGCTTTTTCTGCATCTATTGAGATAATCATGTGGTTTTTGTCTTTGGCTCTGTTTATATGCTGGATTACATTTATTGATTTGCGTATATTGAACCAGCCTTGCATCCCAGGGATGAAGCCCACTTGATTATGGTGGATAAGCTTTTTGATGTGCTGCTGGATTCGGTTTGCCAGTATTTTATTGAGGATTTTTGCATCAATGTTCATCAAGGATATTGGTCTGAAATTCTCTTTTTTGGTTGTGTCTCTGCCCGACTTTGGTATCAGAATGATGCTGGCCTCATAAAATGAGTTAGGGAGGATTCCCTCTTTTTCTATTGATTGGAATAGTTTCAGAAGGAATGGTACCAGTTCCTCCTTGTACCTCTTGTAGAATTCGGCTGTGAATCCATCTGGTCCTGGACTCTTTTTGGTTGGTAAACTATTGATTATTGCCACAATTTCAGAGCCTGTTATTGGTCTATTCAGAGATTCAACTTCTTCCTGGTTTAGTCTTGGGAGAGTGTATGTGTCGAGGAATGTATCCATTTCTTCTAGATTTTCTAGTTTATTTGCGTAGAGGTGTTTGTAGTATTCTCTGATGGTAGTTTGTATTTCTGTGGGATCGGTGGTGATATCCCCTTTATCATTTTTTATTGTGTCTATTTGATTCTTCTCTCTTTTTTTCTTTATTAGTCTTGCTAGCGGTCTATCAATTTTGTTGATCCTTTCAAAAAACCAGCTCCTGGATTCATTGATTTTTTGAAGGGTTTTTTGTGTCTCTATTTCCTTCAGTTCTGCTCTGATTTTAGTTATTTCTTGCCTTCTGCTAGCTTTTGAATGTGTTTGCTCTTGCTTTTCTAGTTCTTTTAATTGTGATGTTAGGGTGTCAATTTTGGATCTTTCCTGCTTTCTCTTGTAGGCATTTAGTGCTATAAATTTCCCTCTACACACTGCTTTGAATGCGTCCCAGAGATTCTGGTATGTGGTGTCTTTGTTCTCGTTGGTTTCAAAGAACATCTTTATTTCTGCCTTCATTTCGTTACGTACCCAGTAGTCATTCAGGAGCAGGTTGATCAGTTTCCATGTAGTTGAGCGGCTTTGAGTGAGATTCTTAATCCTGAGTTCTAGTTTGATTGCACTGTGGTCTGAGAGATAGTTTGTTATAATTTCTGTTCTTTTACATTTGCTGAGGAGAGCTTTACTTCCAACTATGTGGTCAATTTTGGAATAGGTGTGGTGTGGTGCTGAAAAAAATGTATATTCTGTTGATTTGGGGTGGAGAGTTCTGTAGATGTCTATTAGGTCTGCTTGGTGCAGAGCTGAGTTCAATTCCTGGGTATCCTTGTTGACTTTCTGTCTCGTTGATCTGTCTAATGTTGACAGTGGGGTGTTAAAGTCTCCCATTATTAATGTGTGGGAGTCTAAGTCTCTTTGTAGGTCACTCAGGATTTGCTTTATGAATCTGGGTGCTCCTGTATTGGGTGCATAAATATTTAGGATAGTTAGCTCCTCTTGTTGAATTGATCCCTTTACCATTATGTAATGGCCTTCTTTGTCTCTTTTGATCTTTGTTGGTTTAAAGTCTGTTTTATCAGAGACTAGGATTGCAACCCCTGCCTTTTTTTGTTTTCCATTTGCTTGGTAGATCTTCCTCCATCCTTTTATTTTGAGCCTATGTGTGTCTCTGCACGTGAGATGGGTTTCCTGAATACAGCACACTGATGAGTCTTGAGTCTTTATCCAACTTGCCAGTCTGTGTCTTTTAATTGCAGAATTTAGTCCATGTATATTTAAAGTTAATATTGTTATGTGTGAATTTGATCCTGTCATTATGATGTTAGCTGGTGATTTTGCTCATTAGTTGATGCAGTTTCTTCCTAGTCTCAATGGTCTTTACATTTTGGCATGATTTTGCAGCGGCTGGTACCGGTTGTTCCTTTCCATGTTTAGCGCTTCCTTCAGGAGCTCTTTTAGGGCAGGCCTGGTGGTGACAAAATCTCTCAGCATTTGCTTGTCTATAAAGTATTTTATTTCTCCTTCACTTATGAAGCTTAGTTTGGCTGGATATGAAATTCTGGGTTGAAAATTCTTTTCTTTAAGAATGATGAATATTGGCCCCCACTCTCTTCTGGCTTGTAGGGTTTCTGCTGAGAGATCCGCTGTTAGTCTGATGGGCTTTCCTTTGAGGGTAACCCGACCTTTCTCTCTGGCTGCCCTTAACATTTTTTCCTTCATTTCAACTTTGGTGAATCTGACAATTATGTGTCTTGGAGTTGCTCTTCTCGAGGAGTATCTTTGTGGCGTTCTCTGTATTTCCTGAATCTGAATGTTGGCCTGCCTTGCTAGATTGGGGAAGTTCTCCTGGATAATATCCTGCAGAGTGTTTTCCAACTTGGTTCCATTCTCCACATCACTTTCAGGTACACCAATCAGACGTAGATTTGGTCTTTTCACATAGTCCCATATTTCTTGGAGGCTCTGCTCATTTCTTTTTATTCTTTTTTCTCTAAACTTCCCTTCTCGCTTCATTTCATTCATTTCATCTTCCATTGCTGATACCCTTTCTTCCAGTTGATCGCATCGGCTCCTGAGGCTTCTGCATTCTTCACGTAGTTCTCGAGCCTTGGTTTTCAGCTCCATCAGCTCCTTTAAGCACTTCTCTGTATTGGTTATTCTAGTTATACATTCTTCTAAATTTTTTTCAAAGTTTTCAACTTCTTTGCCTTTGGTTTGAATGTCCTCCCGTAGCTCAGAGTAATTTGATCGTCTGAAGCCTTCTTCTCTCAGCTCGTCAAAATCATTCTCCATCCAGCTTTGTTCTGTTGCTGGTGAGGAACTGCGTTCCTTTGGAGGAGGAGAGGCGCTCTGCGTTTTAGAGTTTCCAGTTTTTCTGTTCTGTTTTTTCCCCATCTTTGTGGTTTTATCTACTTTTGGTCTTTGATGATGGTGATGTACAGATGGGTTTTCGGTGTAGATGTCCTTTCTGGTTGTTAGTTTTCCTTCTAACAGACAGGACCCTCAGCTGCAGGTCTGTTGGAATACCCTGCCGTGTGAGGTGTCAGTGTGCCCCTGCTGGGGGGTGCCTCCCAGTTAGGCTGCTCGGGGGTCAGGGGTCAGGGACCCACTTGAGGAGGCAGTCTGCCCGTTCTCAGATCTCCAGCTGCATGCTGGGAGAACCACTGCTCTCTTCAAAGCTGTCAGACAGGGACACTTAAGTCTGCAGAGGTTACTGCTGTCTTTTTGTTTGTCTGTGCCCTGCCCCCAGAGGTGGAGCCTACAGAGGCAGGCAGGCCTCCTTGAGCTGTGGTGGGCTCCACCCAGTTCGAGCTTCCCGGCTGCTTTGTTTACCTAAGCAAGCCTGGGCAATGGCGGGTGCCCCTCCCCCAGCCTCATTGCCGCCTTGCAGTTTGATCTCAGACTGCTGTGCTAGCAATCAGCGAGATTCCGTGGGCGTAGGACCCTCTGAGCCAGGTGTGGGATATAGTCTCGTGGTGTGCCGTTTCTTAAGCCGGTCTGAAAAGCGCAATATTCAGGTGGGAGTGACCCGATTTTCCAGGTGCGTCCGTCACCCCTTTCTTTGACTGGGAAAGGGAACTCCCTGACCCCTTGCGCTTCCCAGGTGAGGCAATGCCTCGCCCTGCTTCGGCTTGCGCACGGTGCGCACACACACTGGCCTGCGCCCACTGTCTGGCACTCCCTAGTGAGATGAACCCGGTACCTCAGATGGAAATGCAGAAATCACCCGTCTTCTGCGTCGCTCACGCTGGGAGCTGTAGACCGGAGCTGTTCCTATTCGGCCATCTTGGCTCCTCCTCTAGGTTTTATTTCTAATAAATGCATTTAAATTTCAATTATCTAAATATAAAAAGTTCAAAATACAAAATAAAACCATATAGGCAATTGAACAATATTGAACAATGAGAACACATGGACACAGGAAGGGGAACATCACACACCAGGGCCTGTTGTGGGGTGGGGGGAGGGGGTAGGGATAGCATTAGGAGATATACCTAATGCTAAATGATGAGTTAATGGGTGCAGCACACCAACATGGCACATGTATACATATGTAACAAACCTGCACGTTGTGCATATATACCCTAAAACTTAAAGTATAATAATAAAATTTTAAAAAAAGTATAAATATAGCATTTAAAAAAAAATGGGCACAGTATAATATAACTGATTTAACCAATATGAAAGAAAATCTTAAAGGAAGTTACAAAAAAAGGAAAGGTTACTTTCAAAAGAGCAACAATTACATTAATAGCTTCTCAATAAAGCAAGGAGGCCAGAAGACAATAGAATTATCTTTTTTAGATAGCCAAAGAAAAATAATTGCAAATGTAGAATTCTATATCCAGTAAAATTGTTCTCAAGAATGAAGTATCAAACAGAAATTGAGAGAATTTATCACTGGTGGCACTGCAATAGTGGTTTCTTTAAAAAGAAGGAAAATGATCCCAGATGAAGATCAGAATGCAGGAAGGAATAAACAATGAAAAGGTTAAATATGTCATTAAGTCTAAGTGATTGTTCACTGAGTAAGTATTTAGGGCAAGTTTAAAATACATGAAGAATCAAAACAGATAGCAAGGATAGTTTCTAAGTTAGAGTGGGATAAATGTAATTGTTGAAGAGGAAGGTAAATTAATATTCAACTCTGACAAATAAAAGATACGTGTAAAGCAGGGATGAGGAAACTAAATTCAGCCCATGGCTTGTTTTTGTACAGCCCGCAAATAATTTTTATATTTTAAGTGGTTATAAAAATTTAGAATAAAGAATCTGAGAGCATGTAATTAAGCCAGAAATCAATTATTAAAAAGAAAACTAAAACATAATTCAAAATCCCCAGTATTTTGAAATTGTAATAAACTGCTAAAACCCAAGGTTAAAAAAACCGCAATGAAAATGAAACAGTAAGAAAAAATAATGATTGAAACAGAGTGATTTTCAGGATAAATTATTAAGTGAAAAAAGAAAATATAAGAAAACAGGAAGAATGAGGAAATATACACATATTTATTCATTTGTGCAAAAAGAAACACAGGAACGATAAATCTAAAACTAATGGAGGTATGTGGAAATGAGGTGAAAGGCTGGAGGAACAGGAAAGGGAGGATCACTCACTTCTCTGAGTGAAATTTCTGTACAGTTTTGACTAAGCCAATTTATGCCTTTAAAAATATGAAATCAACATTGCAAAGAGAAACAAATGAATCAGAATGTATTTCAAGGGTATAATTTAGTCACCCCTGTAAAGGATGAAGGCAAGAACTTCCTCAAGTGACTAGAACTATTATGTTAATGATATACCATTAAGCTAAAGATTAGTCAAACTATAAACCATTTAAACTTATGAGTAGGTTTCTTTTTTCATAAGGTATGGGTTAGCACTTCTGGAGTTCAATGAGTATTCCAAGATTGAGCAAATGAGAAAATATTTTTGGATAGTGGGAGCCAGATTTTTCAATGTCAAGTAGGGAATTGCAAAGATGGAAAGGGGGAATACTTGAATGAACCTTGCAATATGTGATTGAAATTTGAGGTATTAGTATAAACTCATGCTTAAACAGATAGAATGATAGATATATAGATGATAGATAGATAGATAGATAGATAGATAGATATTTAGATAAAGATAGAAAACACTAGATTTTGAATTCTGAGTCACATCCTCCACTATCAGGTATCCAGGCCCATTTAAAATATGGCTGATTCCACAGCTGGACCTGGGAGAGTGCATAATAAACCTAGAACATCCTGCTCTACCAAAAATGTAAGGAAGTGTTAAAAAAAAATATGGGGGCAAGCAGAGAAGCCAGTTTGGAAGGACTACTATGGAGCAAATCTGGGTCAATTTGAGCATCAAAATAAATAATTATATTAGTGAATTATAACTTATAGATTGACATTAAAATTTATGAGTACACACTGATAAAAATAAATGAATAAATTATATGTAGAGAAAGGAAATCTTTTATGGTGGGATGCCAATTATTAATTTGCAGAAGTAATGGGATTTAAAAAGGCACCATTTGGCAACCACAATTGTAATCACTGACAAGTGGCTGCTAAAACTAGAAAGTGAAAATTTGATAAGAAACGGTATATTTATGTAGTTTCCAAAGCACCTCCAACAAGATGCATATTAATTAAAATAGAAAAATAATACTCTTCCAATGGGGAAGCTTGGCAGATACCACCAGGACAAAGTGATCAAAGTTAGCACTACCAGCCATGAGACGAATAGATACCGTGTGCCTCCTGATATGTTGCAGTGAGGATCCAGCATCACTTCTATGGTTGACATTCCTGCTGAAACTGCGTTAGGTAAATCTGATCATGTGAAACAACAGACACACCAAAATTGGGTGTCATTATATGAATTAAGTGTATATACGCTTCAAAAATATCGTGTTCATGAAAGACAAAGACTAAAGGACATTTTCAGTTTAAAGGAGCTATAATAAATAAAAGCTATTTTAATTGGATTTTTATTTTTGCTATAAAGAAAATGAGAGTGATAATTGCCAAAATTTGAATATGATCTATAGACTATATAATTGTTTTGTATCAATAACACTGTATTGACTTAATAATTTTTCATTAGTTATATAAGAGAATGCCCTTCCTCCAAAGCAAATGTAATAGAATGTTTAACATTGTCACTACATGTGGAGAAAGTGAGTGAAGTATATATAAAACTTATTATTTTTAAAAAATCTTTAGATACAAGGTTGTTTCAAAATAAAAAGTTAAAAAAAATTTTTTTACCTAATATATCACACTCTGTTAGCATTCCAGCCTAAACCAGGGCATCCCCTTCTATGCTCTGATGGGTACTTACTGGGAACACCTGTAGTTCCTTCACTGAGGACCTCTGTCTGACTTCAGGGGCACTATGGGCCATCTGGAAGGAAAGTCAAAAGTGCCTGCAAGGTAATAGTTCTGGAAAATGCCCTCATTAATGACGGATTTGTATATGTGGTAGACAAATACTCTAGATTGTTTGACCCTTGGTTAAGATAAGTGTGAGGTATCTTTTTTCATTACCTTCCATAGTTCACTAGTGGAATTAAGTCCTAGTTGCCCATAGTGGTAACTTGCTTGATAATGTATCCTTTATTTGCTTCCTTCCTTGTCTTAATTCCCTAGACTCTTGGCAGATTTCTGGGATATCTTCCCAAAATAAATTCTTGCACTTGATTCTTTGCTCTGGGGTCTTCTTCTGGGGGAACCAAAGTAAGACAATTAGTAACAATGGTAGCATATGCAGATCATCTATATAGATTATAGAATTTTGGTAATGTGTTAGTGTGGTAAGTACAAGTACTCGTTGTTGATGGTGAATGGGGTAAAAAATAATTTTTGGCATACTATAGGATCAAATTGGGATGGCATATAGGTGAGAGGGAATATACTGGTTTATGCGCTATTACTAGCATTTGACAGATATGGAATAATAATAGTTATTATTATTATTATTTTCAGGCACAGTCTCACTCTGTTGCCCAGGCTGGAGTGCAGTGGCACGTTATCAGCTCACTGCAACCTCCGTCTTCTGGGTTCAAGTAATTCTCATGCCTCAGCCTCCCAAGTAGCTGGGATTACAGCCACCACGCCCAGCTAACTTTTGTATTTTTAGTAGCGACGGGGTCTTCCCATATTGACCAGGATGGTCTTGAATTCCTGACCTCGAGTGATCCACCTGACTCGGCCTCCCAAAGTGCTGGGATTACAGGCGTGAGCCACTGCACCTGGCCAGAACAATAATAATTATAAAGATTGGGGAGTTGATTGGTTGTTGTTAACTGACATTGAACACTGAGGAAATAAAATTATGAAATTAGGACAATGAATTTATTAATTTAGGATACATTCTTGAGGCCTTTAGGGCATCATTTAGAAGAGCCTTGTGTCCTGCAAGTGGAGGGCAGACTATAGTGAATGCTGAAAATCTGATTTTGAGAGTAATGAAGATACATACAAGTTTAAATTAACTCTTAGCAAGACTGTTGTGCTAATTAGGAAAGAAGACACACTCTGAGATAGAGTGGGAATATTTCTGTGGGTATTCTTGATAACTTTGAATCCCTACATTCCATTGAATGATCTGGGATTATACATTACCTGCTTCCCTTTATGACAGGATAGCAGCCCATTGCTAAAGAAAAGCAGATGTTTCTTGATTAGAGAATATACAAAGTCCTTACCTGATTTATTATGTATGGCCAGAGAACTCACCAGGTGACTATATTCTCATAAGATATTCTTTCACTACAGCGATAAGAAATCCCCTAGTGTGGTAGTAGAGGTATCGTTGGGAAGCTTTATGGTAGCTATACCCTGTAGACCAGTATTATCAGTAGGCTTGCTGCTATGCAGTTGTCTTAGTCCATTTAAGTTGCTATAACAAAAAATACCTTAGACTGGGTAATTTATAAACAACAGAAATGTATTTCTCTCAGTTCTGGAGGCTGGGAAGTCCCAGATCAAGGTACCAGCAGATTCAGTTTCTGATGAGAGCCTGTTCTTTATAGATGGAAACTTGTCTGTGTTTTCACATGGTGGAAGGAGAAAATGTGTCCTCATATAGGGGAAAAGGAGTAAGAGGCTGGGATACTTCAATCAACCTCTTTTATATGGCAATTAATTCAATTCATGAGACTGAAGCTCTCATAAAACAATCACTTCCCAAAGGCCCCACCTTTTAATCATATTGCATTGGGGATCAAGTTTTAACACATGAATACTGGGGAGACACCAACATTCAGACCATAGCAAAAGTCACCAGTGAAAAGATCTTAGAATTGTGGCACTAAATTGTGAGAAGCAAGGTAAACATTTGCAGCAAGGCCAGAATGGCATGCATGGGGTCTTGACTCACAGGGTTCTGTGCTAATGGTTAGAAGATGACGGTATTTCCAAGGGTGAGATAAATAGGAGTTCAATAAGGGTATTAGTTGGAGTATACATCCAAAAATAATTAGAGATGAGTAGAAGAATGATGCCAGCCACTATAATAAAAAATTATGATCCTTTGCCTTGTTTCCAAATTTAAGCTATTTCTAAGATGCAGGATGCATGAGTTGAAAGGGAAGGCGGACACCCTTGAAAAAAGCAGTTCCTCTAATTATTCCCTGAAGTGACTATAACTATTTACCAGAGTGTCTGTATCCTGAGGAAAAGAGAATACTCAGATCCTTAGAAAGCTATTGGATACAAAGGCTAAGGTGACGTGGGTAACTGAAATTCCAACACAACATCATGGTCATCCAGTTTGAGTAGGGTTAGTGGTTCTGCATCTCTACCCCTATGATCATTTTCTTGGTCCCCCATTGCAAATTTGCGATTGTAGTTATTTGTCACTTGATGGAGCACTCATATGAACTCCTTGAACTGTGTAGGAAGAATCATAGTGGTAGGAAAACAAGTAGGAGCTCTGAAACTGCACCCTCCCTCACTCCCAAGTCAAGGCTGTAAATCAGAAGACACATAGCAACTTTGGTAAAATGGCAGATGTCACTTCCATCCTCAAAAACAAAAAAGATTCAGTTGTGGTCTACATCATACTTTTGCTTAATTCACCAGGCTAGGTCTTGCAAAAATAAGATAGATGATGGTGAATAGTAATGTGTTGCTGTAAACTTAACCAAGTGATGGCTTTAATCACAGGGCTGAATATGGTATCTCATCAAGAATAGATTAGAATAGACTGTAGCATTTGGTATGTGGGTATTTATCTGCCAAATGCTCTATTTACAATTTCTATCAAGAAAGAGGGTCAAATGCAAAGAGAATAGATGTTAAGTCTTCTCACCACAAAAATGTGAGGTAATGGATTTGTTAATCAGACTTAACCATTTTACAATGTAAATATACTTCAAAACATCATGTTGTACATGATAAATACATATGATTTTATCTTTCAATTAAAAAGGAAAAAGAAAGAGGATTGGAAACAGCTCATATTCAACTGGCAATAATTGTATGACACTAGTCATCATCTTGCTCCAGGGCTATGTTAACTCTCCACCTCTGCGTGGCAACATGCTCTGTAGGACTTGACCATCTGGCCCACTATATACTATGGTGATAACATCAAGTTAAAAGGATTTAGTGGGCAGGAAATTGCAACTATTCTAGATTCACTGGTAAACACCTGTGTGCCAGAGTGGGAAATAAACCCTATAGAAACTCAGAGGGCTTGCTCATTGCTAAAGCTGTTGGGTGTCTGTTAGTCAAGGGCATGGCAAGACATCTCCTTCAAGGTAAATGACACATATTGAACACTGAACCTCCCACCAAAGAGTCTTGATCTCTTTGGATTTTGGAGACAGCATGTAATATCTCTGTATCGCACTTATCAGGTTACCCAGAAAGATGCCAATTTTGAGTGTGGCTTAGTGAGCTTTACAATTGGTGTGAATTATAATACAAGTGGCCTTAACACTTGCGTCATTTGACTTGACCAATCACATGATGCTAGGGGTCATCAAGCCCTAATAGGAGGAATGAGACTGTGAGGAGTGAGAGTTTGATTTTTGCAATGTCTGTGGCCTTTCCATATTTTCTGAGTACTCACTTCTACACTCTGATGGTGTTATACTATGATCACCTGAAACTCTTTCCTGAAGGATTTTTTTTGGCGGGGAGGGGATGGTTTTCAAGAGCAAGATTGACTGATGTACAAGGAAAGCAATAACTTAAAGAGAATATATAATCTGGGAAAGGGCCCTCCATCAGTGACACAAGCAGATAACTGGAGGACAAACACTGTAGCTTTCTGTCTCATCAAGTGGGATAACTGAGAAATATTTCATATTGTGTTTCAGAAAGATTAAGCCCCAGTTTTCCACAATTGTAACCTACTTGATTATACCTTTTATTGACTTCTTTTTTTTTTTTAACCCATCTCACTTTTAGTTCCCTACTAATGTTTCTAGAGATCTCCTCCCAAATAAATTTCTTAGACTTAAAATCTTTGTCTCAAGTTCTGCTTCTGTAGGAACTCAAGCTAAGAGTTACTGGAAAAATCAATCAAAAATGGAAAAGATCTCTAGGCAGAAAACTATACAATGTTCCTAAAAATATAAAAGGAAAACCTATATAAGTGGATGAGAATATTAATTCATCAACTAGAAGACTCAATATTGTAAAGATGTCTATTTTATTAAAACTATTCATAAATTACATGCTATCTTAATTAAAATACAAGATACCATCAAAGTTTGAAGTAGTTAAACTCATTGTACTACATATCAAGACATATGAGAGTGTGGTATTGGCAAAAGAGACAAACTGGTAGAATTAAAATAAAGAGACCAAGAACAGGCACATTCATGTAATTTATGACACAGGTGGCACTGCAAAACAGTAAGAAAAGAATATTGTTTGCCAATTGACTCCCGCCTCATAGCATATATTAAAAATCATATGTATAAATGAACTAATTTTAGGGAAATGTTATATATAAATGCGAAAGACAAAACTCCTGTGATTATATGGGGAAAAATCTTTACATCAATGTACTGCTATCAGAACAATCAAGAGAGTGATTTACCATAAAAGATGGGACAGTCATAACCTCGGGGGGATACAACAAGTAGTGATTGGGATAGAAGATGAGGGAGTTATCTGGAGTGATGGTAAATCTCCATTTCTTGTCCAAGATTGGTAGGTATGTGGACATTCAATTTGTGACAATTACATGTTCTATATATTTTTGCTTGGTAAAATATTTTGTATGTGTTTTATAATCCATACTTTTTTTATTATACTTTCAGTTTTAGGGTACATGTGCACAACGTGCAGGTTTGTTACATATGTATACATGTGCCATGTTGGTGTGCTGCACCCATTAACTCCTCATTTACATTAGGTATATCTCCTAATGCTATCCCTCCCCTCTCCCCTCACCCTGTACTTTTTAAAAAAGAAACAAGACCTTAAAAGAAGGCCATTTTAAGTGTGGCCCCAGCAGCACTCAAAGTACAGATTGTTCAGAAGCAGTCACTAATACTGCATTCTTACCATCTACATTTATTCTGAAGAATGCCCACTTCTGGAAGCAACATGTGCTAAGCCCAAGGGCATATTCTAAGTAAGAGTACAATAAGGCTATGCTTTATTTGTTTTGTCCACAATACACAAATGAACTATTATTTTTTTCATCTTTGGAGAGCCCAGTATTGAGTGCTCAATTTAGCAGGTCTCTTGTGAATGGACTGGGGGGACTTTGAACAAACGGTTCCTCGTGACATATATTCTTTTAGCCAACACAGAAATAAGTGGAACAAGAGCTCTGTGAACTTTTTTTAGGTAGTCTAAAAGCTGTAAATGAAATCCCTGGAGCCAAGGTACATTTAGTTCTGCTGCCTGGCAGTAGAGCTATGTCAGCTGACCTCATAGCTACCATTGTGCAAATTTTAATGACAAATTAAGGAAATTAATTACTTGTGTTGACTAAGTCTACACTACTGACATCATTTCATTGTACTTACATTCCAATCTTGAACTTCTTTATTATACTATAAATGCAAATTAATAATGTAGGCTCTGTTCTTTTAAAATGTGTCATTTTTGCCTGAAGTGTAGATAAAAGCATTTGAAATCCATCAACACTACTTTTAATTAGCCAATTTATTAGAACGGGATTCTGCAAAACAAGGTTTCTTTCTCTGGAGTATACAGGACAGCCTCGGAGCACAATTTATATTTCTGCATTCCCAAGTATATGAATTTACTTTAACAGTTTTGTAATACAAACCAAGTCTGTTAGTTAATTTGCTATGGCACCTGATATTCTGTAGGTCACTAATCTCTTCTAATACATCCATAATTTCTGTTTTACTTTAAATAGTCAATAAAAATGCATAGTGTTTTTGTTCTCTTGATTCATGCATCACACTAATTATTGCATTTCTAAAAATCCCAAACAATACATCATAGTGATAATCAAAGAATAAGAGAAAAGGGTATTATCTATGATACTTTATAATCACAAATTTATATTCATTTATTTTTAGATCCTACCATTTTTGAGTATTTTTATGAAAAGTTAATTGCTTTTCACTTTGTATAGCTTCAATATGTTTCATTGTGGCAACAAGAAATATTTAAAATTAAGATGACCCCCTTCTCTCAAAACGCATTTTTCCAAATGTGTGTAGGTAAATTAACTGTATCTTTATAAGGCACAGATACTCTGTTCATTCATTGGTTCAAAATACTTAAGCTTGTTTAATTTTCTATTAAATATACAAATTTGTTCACATCTATTTTGAATATGGCTATGAGAATTACAATGAAAATGTCGTTACTTTAGGAAGTGATTTTATAATGAATTTATCATATTTCTTTAACAAAATATAAAATAATTTGTATCAGAAGTAACACTTTAGTCAGTGAATCAAAGTTTAAGTATCTCATATACCGAACACAGAGTGCTGTTTACTGGGGACACAAAGTCAGGTAAGCCATGTTCCTTGCCCTTCACTTTCTCACAGCCTAATTGAGAAAACAGGGTTATAAATCAGTGATGACAACCATTTTGAACAAACTTTAAGGTGGCCCTTATGATATTCACATTTTGATGTTCATACCTTCGTATAATCCTCTCTGCTTAAGTGTGGGCAGAATCTGTGGCTTGTTTTTAACCAATAAAATATGGCAAAGATGACAGGTTATGAATCCTTCATGTTATATAAGAATTCTTCTTGCTCCAAGATGTGTTCTTGTTACTGTCATTAAAGGAGGAAACAGCCATGAGTTGTACAGGTACAATAAAAAGAATTATGCCAACCCAATTAAGTGAGCTTGAAGCAGATCCTTTCCCATTCAGCCTGCAGATGAGAAACTAGCCTTTTTAGACACCTTGATTATATCCTTGAGTAAGCACCCAGCTTATCTGTTCCCAGAATTATGATCCACAGAAAATGTTAGGTAAATGTGTGTGGTTTGAAGCTGCTAAGTTTTTGCCAATTTGCTATGTAGCATAAAAAATTTAACAGTTCAGCATTAGCCTCATAAACATACTGTTGTGGGAGTCAGGGTATGTGCACTGAAATTAAAATCTAGGGTTGGAAGGATTTCTGGAGAATGTGACTCTTGAGCTGAAATTAGATGGATATTAGGTAGAAGAAACAGCTACAAGAAAATTTAGTTTGGAGCTGGCTAGAAGAAAGAGAGTTTATAATATTTCTCTTCAATATTTTGGATAGAAGGAATGTTCTTTGTGAAATCACAGAGGCAGGAATTGTGGCATTACTTGTTGAACTGCATATTTTTGTAATATGGCTAAGGTGATGGTGTATATTTTAGTGTAATAAGAAATGAGAGGTATTCAGGGGCCAGAATTTTTAAAGGACTTTTTGTCCTGATAAGATTTCAAGTTTATATGGTGGGAAACCATTAATATAATTTAAACTGGAGAAGATATGATGAGATTTATGTGGAAAATTGATGTAGCTTAGAACATGTAATATACAATGAGTCAAAAGCCAATTCTAGCTTTAAGAACAAAGATTGCAAGAATAAAAAATAACTGGCCCTTCCTCCTTTTCTCCCCTATTGTGTCCTCTAAGTACTATACTTCTGCAAGGACCTCACATGCTTGTATTGAATCTATTTGTTTACCTAGGACTCCAAGAGACTGTGAGTTTCCTTTGGGCATTGACCATGTCTTACTCATTTTGTTTCTCCAGAGGCTAACAGTACCTGGTACATGATTTGTATTACTACAAGATAAATTGTTATTGACCGAATAGACTATTCAGGTATGATTCTGGTGAAGTTGAGAATAAGTTCAGAATAAGAGACAGAAATACAGGGCAAGAATTTCTACTTCAGAAAATATGCCTGAAGCAACCCTGAAATAAATTGTAAAACAGTTGATTTTTTTTCTTTTTATATGACTGTAATAGAATCTGTATGCTATTTTTATAGGCTTTTTAAAAACATTATACCTGAAAAGTGAAAAAGGCAGTAATATCCATTTGGGAATTTATAATCAAATACATTGTATCCAACAAATTTTGGAGTTTATGTTGAGCTATAATTAGAATAGGAAACCAGCATTAGAACAATAATTAGCAATTAGATTTTTTAAATAAAATTTTATTATAGACTTCTGAGAGGTCATTGTAGTGTATTGAGCTTTACCCTACTTTAAGTCACATTAAAACATTCTTAGAAAATCCACACAATAAGCCATCATTCTTCTCTTATTCTCTTTCTTTCCAACTCCACGGCTATAGTCCAGGCACTTTTCCTTTCATATCTATAGTATTGCACTAGCATCCTGTTTAACCTCCTGTTGTCAAAACTAGAATAATATTGTGTAAAGGGAATGGATTTTAAGTCAGACAGAACATTGAAGCCTGGCCCTCTACCTGTTTGTCAAATAGCCCAATTTCTTTAAAAGTCTTTTCTTTATGTAAAACAAAAATAAAAACAAACACAAACAAACAACAACAACAAAACCTCCTAATTGTAAGGATTATTGGAAGAATTAAGTAAGATATACTTTAAATATCTTTAATCACAATAAATCTAATCTCCATATATTATTAATTACTTCTGGTTTCTTACCAATTGAATCGACACAAATAATTTAGGTACATAGAGGTGCCATGGGACAGAGGAACAAATATGACGTATTGAATCTCATTTAAAATCTTGTCTTTATTTCCTAATTGTTGTGTGATTTGAGACCAGTTACTTATTTTTTGACATTAAATTTATTCATCTGTAAAATGCAACTATTCTAGAATTTAAAGAGTTGGAAAATGTGCAAGAAAGGTCCTAATGGTATGCCTGGCACATAGCATCCACTAAATAAATGCTTTGTATGCATCTGTGCCAGAGATTATTCTAAATTTTAGTAAAGATTTAGACATTAAAAACTAGTACATGACTTTAAGGATTTTAAAAACTAAATGAAGAAGCAAGCAGACTATCAGATAGAACTTCCCTATGTTCTTGATTTTGTTGTACCTTTCCTTAAAAATCATCTAACTCTGATTTAGAAAATTTCATGTAGAAGTGGGAACAGCTTTAACAAAAACGACTGGAGAGTAAGCATACTAAAGTGGGCCTCAAACATTGTTTAGGAATAAAGTTGCTTCAATGAACCAACATAAGTAGTCCAGTTAACTATAGCATAGGAGCAGTAAAGCATCATGGGAAAAGCATGATCTTTGGAGACAAGTAGCTTTGGTACAAGATCCAAATCTCAATATCCTGATTATAAAATTATGGACAGTGCTTCTCATTTTGGAGGGTTGTTATAAGAATTAAAAAAATAAGAGGAATCATACCTAACACTACTTAAGTTCTAACTCACTTCTTTCATTCCTTTTCCTCTAAAGAGGAGATGGGTACATCAGTCTATCATAGTTTGATAACAGCTAATAAGATTATTCTAACCCCACTGACTTGAAAATTATTTTGTTACGGTAATAAGAGTTCAAGTTGGAGACTTCCTGAAAGAGAATATCTGCTGGGAAGTTGTTATGAGTGCTTCATTCTTCTTAATATTTATAACCTATTTTTTAAATCTTACTTTTATTTTATATTTTTTCTCTCCTGCTCCTTCTGTATATATCCTTACTGTAATTTAAGATTGACACTCTGTTTTACCAATCTCTTCTTTTGGGTTATGACATTCTACAGCTGATTTTGATGGACTCCGATAATACACCTGAGTTTCTTGATCTTTAAATATCTGAATACAATTTTGGATGGAAACAAATGTATAACCAACATTCAGTGAAGTGTCTAGCATGTACTTAATAACTATTGAAATAATGAATGTTTAAGGTAATACCTGCTTATGATGCCATGCCTAAGAAAGCCAGATAATGATCCTCTTGATATTCATCCATTAATATATTTTGAAAATATTTATTAAGCCTCTGTGATAAACACTCCTATGTACTGAGGAAAGAGGAATAAAACAGACAATAATTCACGCCCTCATGTGTCTAATCTCTGTTATGGAGGAACAGATACTTTAACTGCAGTTAAACCACATAATAGGAACTTTCTTAAAAATAACATTTTCTTGATGTAAAGTTATTATTATATAGACACATCTGCCATTTCCTAGAGATTTAAAAGATGTATTTAATCATGGATGTTTATAGAACAAAAATACAGGAGCATAAGCATTCACTCACTCAACAGATGATTTTTGAGTGCCTACTATATAATGGACACTGAGCTGAGGTACTGAGGAGGCAAGACTTAATAACACATGTATTAATTACTCTCTTGTAGCGTGTAGCCTCATGGGCAAAACTGCAAATATTTACAAAGTTGAGGAAACTAGTACTACTGTCTGCTAAGCTCTCCACATGGAACATGATAAGATGAGAAATTTGAGTCTTTTAGGTTACTATTCTGTTATATTAATTAAAACAGTGTTAAATTATAATAAAAGAATTGTAACATTCATAATATACGGCAATATCTTATTTACAGCTTATTAAGGACATTTTGAAATGTGATAATTCCTTAATATTTGAAAAATAGTTGCATTATGTACTCTGAAACGCTTTTTTTTTTTGGCTGTGGTCCAATCTAAACTCATCAAGAGTCACAAGAAAGCTTTCTTTCATCACCATCATCAGTTTTCAAAAGTTCTAGAAACAAAATTATACACAAGTGTAATTTTAAACTTTTTGACTATAGTAAATTTTAGAACAATTTAACTGTCATGTCAGGAATCATGGATAATATAGAATAAAAAATGAGAACAATGAGATACCATCATTACTGAGTAGAGTCTAAAATTAGCTGATGTACTGAATAAGACATGAATGCACAGTTGCACCTTCCATCTCTCGGGATTGTTTACCAGAATCCAGTTTCAGGTCAGAAATGTTGTTTCATGATAAGTATATCACACTAACATTTTACAGTAACTTTTTAATGTTCTTAAATTGTATTTATTTAGAGGCAGAGTCTCACTCTGTTGCCCAGGCTGGAGTGCAGTGGCACAGTCTTGGCTCACTGCAACCTCCACTTCCCGGGTTCAAATGATTTTCCTGCCTCAGCCTCCCAAGTAGCTGGGACTACAGTGCATGCCACCATGCCCGGCTAATTTTTGTATTTTTAGTAGAGATGGGGTTTCACCACAGTGGCTAGGCTGGTCTCAAAATCCTGACTTCAGGTGATCTACCTGCCTCAACCCCCCAAAGTGCTGGGATTCCAGGTGTGAGCCACCGCAGCTGACCTTACAATAACTATTTTTGAAAAAATGTTTTTATTTTTAATTTTTGTGGGTACATAATAGTTGTATATATTTGTGGAATATATGAGATACTTTGATACAGGCAGGTAAAGTAAAATAAGCACATGGAGAATGGGATATTCATACCCTCAAGAATTTACCCTTGGAGTTACAAAAAATTTACAATTAAGTCATTATTGACAAGAAAGAATGTATAAGACCTACTATTTGATAAGACAACAGGTGACTACAAAAACTTTTTAAGATTTCTTTTTGGCCTATCCCCTTTGAGCCAAAAACAAAGACTGATTCTGAGATTGGATGTTATGTGATGTATAGGAAATAGGCCACTTTTAATCAAGTTCCCTCGACGATTTTTTCTTCAGAGACTAGGACAAGATTTTAAATTCATTTTGAGGAAAGGCTGTTTAATTATTAAAACATAAAATACTTTGAATCAATTTGTATCCTCTTACAAATAAAGTTTTTGTGGGGATTAAATACCAGTTAAACTGTATAAAATCTCGCCCAAAAATAGGCGAGGATGTAAACTAACTCATTACATTTTAAATCAATATACAATCTCAGAGTTGAAATGAGTAATACCCCAACAGGTTTAAAATATAGGTAAGATATGAAGGAAAAATGGAGGTACTCTACATGTTAGACAAGTAATATATTCTCCCATGTTCTGACATTCTGCTCACTCTCTGTAGAGCTGTATTATGAAATTGATCTATATTTCAAATTGTGCTTATCAAGTTGTAGCAATATTTAAACTCCTTATGGATATTGAGAATATAACTAAATATTTTGTCCCTAAACATTTTCAAATCTCTCAAGGTTCATTTCATTAAAAATTTATAGCAACATTTTTCATATTTCCTAATATTTCAAAACCGAAACATTTTTCCTAATTCAAAATAACCTTATTTTTTCCAATAATAAAGTGACATCTCTTAATAATAAGATTAAAATAACACATAAAGTACAAATAAAGATTACTTAGTGTTTTGGTGATTATAGACAAATCCAAATGAATAATTACATAGAAAGTATTATTTATATAAAATTTATACTCATGCTATATTTATTCTGTAACCAGTATTTTCACTCAATAATATGTCAAGGACATCTGTCAATTAATACAGATCTAGATTATAGATGTCTGGTTTATAGGTTGGTTGCAATAATTTATATATGCATTCACCTGTAGATGGACATTTAGATTCCCCACCCCCCCCACCACTTATTTTATTACTATTATGTGTTTCTTTAACAAACATCTAAACACATTTTTTGTACATGTGTCTTATTATTGCCTTAGGATATATTTTAAAAAAGAAATAGTGCTAGTTAGAAAGACATGCAAGTTTAAGTAAATTTTGACATAGGAAGAGTGTTTCCAACATGGCAACCAACAGTGTCTGAAGAATCTTCCTCATACCCATCTTCACTAGGTTTTTAAATAGACTTTAGCGCTCTTTTAGATATCTAAAATCCCATTGGCATTGATGGGGTTCAGAGTATGGCATCTCAAAATATGTCATTTTCGAACAGGGTTATTTTGAGCTGAAGGCAATTGAAAAACAACAGACAGAGGAAAATCTCTCTGTCCTCTCCCTCTCTACATAAATGAAGGGCACAGATTTCCTTTGTAAAGATGATATACATTTTCTTTTGTAAAGGTGTCACCTTCCCATATTAGAAAGACTATAGACAGCACTTGAATTGAGTCTCCATAACAAACCTTACTAAACAAGCCTATCATCCACATGTTTTTCTACTCACCTTCTCTCAATTTATTGCCCTTTGTTAAAATGGCATATATGCCCCAAGTCTGCTTCTTTAGATTTTCACTTTTCTGTGGATGCCCCATGTACATAAAATTAAAAAGTTGAATTTCTTTCCCTCTGATAATCAATCTTTTGCCAGTATAGTCTGCAGGCTTCAGGAACATAACTTATGAGGGTAGAAAAAAATTTTCATCCCCTTCAATGTCAAATCAATTCTTGTTTGTGATGCCACAGAATTGAATGAAGAATGACATTAAAGTTTAAAAAATTTAAAGGGCTTTTGAAATAAAGTTTAATTTTATAGTACCCTATTTATGGTGAAGAATGGCTATCCATAAAGATGTGCTTAGATAGCTATTACTTAGTGTAAGATCTAAAGTTACACTATTGTAGCAGGACGAGCCGCAGGCCAAACCTCTCAGACACCAACTTGTAGAAGGAAGGGCTTTATTTAGCTCGGAGCATCAGCAAGCTACTGCCTTAAAATCCGAGCTCCCCGAGTGCACAATTTCTGTCCCTTTTAAGGGCTCACAACACTAAAGATTTCACATGAAAGGGTCGTGATTGATTTGAGCAAGCAGGGGTGTATGTGACACGGGCTGCATGCACTGGTGGTCAGAGTGAAACAGAACAGGGTAGGGAGTTTCACAATGTTCTTCTATACAATGTCTGGAATCTATGAATAACATTGGTTTCTAAGTTACGAGTTGATTTTTAACTACTGGGTTTAGGCCGGGCAGGCCCAGGCCTGGTTTCGGGCCTGGCGCCGGGCTGCCTGTCTTTGGTTTTATTTCCTTGTTGTTTTCTTAAAACAGGTACTGAGTATAAAACAATATAAAACAATATGAGAGGGTCTCTCTCTTCTCTCACTAGTACTTAGTGTAAATCTAAAGTTAATCATGACTAAGAAATAAAATACTGGCTTTCTTCTTCGTTTCCTCACTTCTTTCTTCCTCTCTCTTCTTCCTCTTTTCCACATCTTTTGTTTTATTGCAAACCATATTTAAAAGAAAATACTTGATCCGTGAGTGTTTTAAGGTGCTGGAACTTCAGCAAATTATGCATGCTTCTCTTTTCTAGGAGCTTACAAGTGGTACTGTAAAAACAAGTGCAGCAAAACAGCCTTAAAAATATGGACTTTTTAATGGTCTAATTTTGCGGGTGGCAAAAAAAGGCCTTCCTGTTGCAGTGCTGTTCCCTGGTGAAAATAACAAAGGCTTTTAAGTCAGTTCATCTGGCTCATTTTCTTGTCAGCCATCCAACCTGAAGCAAGCCTCTTAACTGTTACTAAGACTAAAAGTCCTTATTTGTAAAAAAAAGAAAAAGGGGGAATAATAACAACCTTTAGAAATTCCTTGAGAATTAAAGGTGCTTAGAGTAGCTCCACACATTGCTCAGTATTTTTTGCATTCAGTAAATATTATTTTCATTCTTTAGTTCATTTGTACTTGCAATTCCACAACAAAAACTGTAGAATGTTAGGGCTAGTAGGGACTTATTTATTAAAATAAAACATGGTTCTTTGTGTTAAAGCTAAAAACAATGTAACACACAAAAAGACAAAACTTAGGGCTTAGAATCAGAAGTAACTTCTTCAAGCATAAATAATGATTAGTTTACAGTTACACAAGTTGAAAGTACAAAAATCCAGAGTGTAGTGCTTATTATACAATTGATTGATTTTCTAAGACTTTATCTCATTTCAAAATTCAAGTTACCTTAAAGAGAGATAACATCTTAAGTCTAGTTATCACTTACAGTATTACTGATTATAGACTTACTAAAATACTCCCAGAAGTAGATAGTCATAACTTATATTTCATATAAAATTAGAAACTGTAAAGATGGAACATACCGCATGCTTTGAGGGGAACACCCAGCAGAAATAAATATATATATATGGATTACCAAAGGACTGAGGGAGAACCTCTGTGCTGGGCATTTATCCTCTGGTATTGCATTACTTTAAAAAATAACCTATATTAATATTATGTCATGGATGGCATTATCATCATTTTGAAGAAAAATTATGAGGTTCAGAGAGAAATTTAGTAATGAGCAATAGAGCCTGTATTCAAAATGAGTTCAGTTTGTCTTCAAAATTCATGGTATTCCCGTTATATCATAATGCCTTCAGCCAAGATTGACAACCTAATGGACAAAAAGTCCAACTTTTCTGTTCCATCCAGGTTATGGTCCCCAGCATAAACTTACAGACACTTTTGGTAATCCAGAAGAAATCAACAACTCTTATTTAACGGCCACAAGTAAAAGAAAGAAAATAGGACCTTAAGCTTAAAAAAAAAAAAAAAAAAAGAGTAGAAAACAATAATTAAACCTGGCTGGGCGCGGTGGCTCATGCCTGTAATCCCACACTTTGGGAGGCAGAGGCGGGTGGATCACAAGGTCAGGAGATCGAGACCAGCCTGACCAACATGGTGAAACCCCATCTCTACTAAAAATACAAAAATTAGCTGGGTGTGGTGGCACATGCCTGTAATCCCAGCTACTCGGGAGGCTGAGGCAGGAGAATCGCTTGAACCCAGGAGGCAGAGGTTGCAGTGAGCAGAGGCCACACCAGTGCACTCCAGCCTGGCAACAGAACAAGACTCCATTTCAAAAAAAAAAAAAAAAAAAAAGAAAAGAAAAAAACCTAATAATTAAGAAGCAGACTAGTTATTTATGTCTGCAACTGTCATACCAGACCTTCCCCGGTTTTTCTCTCCTTGACCTCCTCCTCCATTCCCACAGTCCTCGCTAGAGGCTTATTATTTTGGGTTTATAAAAATAGTCTTCCTAAATTTATGTAGCACTTTGTACTTTATGAGACATATTCACATTTATTTTTTAGTTCCTCTCGTTCTAATGGGAGTCCCCAGAGGCAAGATGGGCAGGTAATTGAGGATTTTTGTCTTTTAGGTCTGTAGAAATGATAAGAGTTTGAGGAAATTAGTAGAATTTCCTAGATGAAGACAGACAGAGGCACTTAGAATCATGGCATGTACATTAAGAGGGCAGCTTGTCTCTTACAGATACTGCTTGTAGTGGTTCTTGATGAGATAAACTGAGCAGGAAAACATCTGCATTCTGCATTTACGCCTCCGCAGCTAAAAGTATTTATTCAACTTCATTGTAAATGTTATTGATTATTTTCTAATTACTTCTGTAGAGAAACTTAGTCACCATCATCATCCACAATTGCAGATTTGGGCATGTGTTTTTTTTAATATAAGGAGGACACAGAGAGAAATAAATAGTCCTCAACCAACGGGGTGATAATAGTCAACCAGAGCTATGCCTGTTTTGTTCACCTTGTGTCTTAGTGCCTTACACCTGCTAATTAGTAGGTGTTTGTGGAATATTGTGTTACTATTCACCATTTATCTGATTTACCTTCTGTGACGCCACAAAATATGGGGGGATTATATATCTTTTCCTATTTAACCCAGGTGTAGCTATGTGACTTTCTTCAGTCAGTGAAATTTTGGCAGATGTGATGTCATTTCATGAAATAGCTTTAAGAACTAGTGTTTAGTTCAATATTGTCTCTTTTTTCCCTGCATCTGTGATCAAGGAAAAATAGAGATGAAATCTCTGTCAAACTGAATCAGTGGATAACCAAAGTGAGCAGAACCTTCTTATGAACTTGCAATGGACACACAGTATGAGTAAAATGTGTATTTTATAAGAATAAAATTGGCCAGTCGCGGTGGCTCACGCCTGTAATCCAAGCACTTTGGAATGCCGAGGCGGGCGGATCACGAGGTCAAGAGATGAGACCATGCTGGCTAATATTGTGAAACCCCATCTCTACTTAAAATACAAAAAATTAGCCGGGCCTGGTGGCGGGTACCTGTAGTCCCAGATACTCCGGAGGCTGAGGCAGGAGAATGGCGTGAGCCCGGGAGGCGGAGCTTGCAGTGAGCTGAGATCGCGCCACTGCACTCCAGCCTGGGCCACAGAGCGAGACTACGTATCAAAGAAAAAATAATAGTAATAATAATAAAATTAACTCAATTAAGCCATTGAGTTTTCAGCCTGTTTATTATTGAAGCATAAGCTCACCAAACTCGATGGATAGAGTGTGTAATATTAATTGAATACATTAATAAAGAATGGACTTGTTTTTAGTTTCTGATATTGACCATTGATATGGTTTGGCTGTGTCCACACCCAAATCTCACGTCGAATTGTAATTCCCAATGTTGGAGGAGGGACATGGTGGGAAGGCAGATTTCCCCCTTGCTATTCTCGTGATAGGAGTTCTCATAAGATCTTGTTGTTTAAAAGTGGGTAGCACTTCCCCTTTGCTCTCTCTCTCTTGCTCTGCCATGGTAAAACCTGCTTGCTTCCCCTTCACGTTCTTCCACGCTTGTAAGTCTCCTGAGGTCTCCCAGCCATGCTTCCTGTACAGCCTGTGTAACTGTGATTCAATTGAAACTCTTTTCTTCATAAATTACCCAGTCTTAGGTAGTTCTTTATAGCAATATGAGAATAGACTAATATAACTATGTTATTTGCAAATGACTTATTTGCTATAGGAAATTCAAAATTGCATACTGAAATTTTGCAAAAAAATTTTTACTCATAAAACTTAATTTATAAATTATGCATATAATTATAAAAATAATTCTGCCTTTGGATGAAGGGCAGTTTCATCAAGCAGCTTCTAGATAACAGGGTTTATATAGGTCCACAGTAAGAATATGAAAAGAGAGATATTTATTTGCTAATTCTTTAAATATTTATTGAGTGCCTACCATAAGCCAGGTATTTTGTTTAATATTTGATATTATTAAAACAAATAACATGTGAATCTCTGCTGAGTAGTTATTTTCTTTAAATTTTCACCAGGGCCTGGTAGCTTAATAACACCCTGGCAGCCAGGGAAGAGATTACATTTTATTCCATGCCATTGTTTCCCTCCTACACAGAGGATGGATGCCTTCTGGGAGACATTCACACTTGAAGACACTGATTATTAAAGCAAATTTGATAGTTTTACTGTTAGTTGAGAGGGTCATTAAAGTTTATATGCCCACTGATAAGAGCCAGCCAGTTTCTTCTCTAGAGCAGAAGTTTATTAAATCAAAGAGTCAAGAAAAGTCAAGGCTGAAAACAACCAGAGGACAGATTGTTGGTTATGGGGCCTGTGGGAAAGAAAAGCTCCTGTCCTGAATGGAACCAAAGTAGTGAAAGAACCAGAAGGAGGAAAATAGGTAATTTGGAGCAATTCATACTTTAAAAAAATTTAACTTCCTAGACTGGATTCTGTTGAGTTGAGCAGGAAAACAGAAGTCAGTTTTCCATAGGAATGAAAGATGTTAAAAATTCTGGAAAAGTCGGAGGGCAAGATGAACAAGGCGGTTCTGTTGGAAGTGTCCCTGGAAATCTCTCAGATATCTCACATCCAGAAGCTGGCACAGTGGGCTTTCATGGGTTGGCCTTCTCTTTGGCTAGGTCCCCATGAGCAGACAGGTTGTCATGATTATCCCTACAGCTAGAAGCAGCACTTGCCTCGCTAGGGATGCCCAATGGTATCTTTGTCAGGGAAGCCACCAGGGAAGATTATGAATTACTTAGGTAATAATTGAAGTATTATTTTAAAATGATAAAATATGGAAAACAGTGGAGAAATCATTTAAATTACATGTTGATTATTAGAGCCATTGACTTGCTTGTTTCATTGAGCCTATATTAGGGTTTAATGCCAATGTAACACCATAGTCAACTTACTGCAAATTCTACCCATTCGCTTTAGCCTATTTTAGACTTTACCTTTTCCAGGGGTCTTTTATGATGCCTTGAACTGGATATAACTTCTTTCAGTAAGCAGTGTTTACGTTTCAAACATGACTCTTATTACATAGGCCCTTCACAGTTGCATGGAAAGTCCAAAGAGAGTAGGCCTGTGCCTTATTTGTTTCTGTATCCCCCTCACAGCTCAGCATAGTTCTGTGAATGTAATGGGTGCTTCATTATTATTAATTGACTTTAATATTTTGTTTGATATATATATATATTTAATGCTATGAGAAACATAGTTGGCTATCTGGCTAACATAATGCTTTTTCTTTGAAAAATTGAAATGTATTCTGATAGTCAAAATTTAAACTTCTAAGTGTCACTAGAAATCAACCTTTTCAAATTCTGGTGATATATACTGCTAATAAAGGTATATTTTGATATAGCTATGATTTTAATGGAAACTATTTTTGGCAACAAAATTCTTGTCAGCCTCTGGAAAACTGTCATCAGTTTTTGGAATGATGACATTAGGCCATTTGCTAATGATATAGATACATATATAACTTCTTTCAGTAAACAGTGTTTACGTTTCAAACGTGACTCATATTACATATATATGTATCTATATAAAAATATATAGATCTATGAATATGTGTGTGTGTGTGTTTTCTGGAGTCTCTGTACTATCAGAACATCAAAACTTTAGGTCTTTCCAGTGACTAAAATTCAGTGTAACACTTAAAAAAAAAAAAAAACACATTGAAATGGGAACCCCTCTTGTTTGGTCCCTAACAGTTGCTGTGATTGGAATTGATGTATTTGTTCTTCTCTATAACTGCAGCCATGGCATTGCAGGACAACAGTCATTTAAATACTATAAGCTGAAAACAACATGGATAAGAGCCATGTTTGATGTTCATATGAGGTTTCTTGGCATCTTGTGTGCAGATCCATCTGTTAGATGGCAGAGTGCCTGCACACAAGGTATTAAGCCAGTTTCATTGGGGGTAATAATGCTAACTAAGAGTGGTACTCCATGGGCAAGCTGCCTAATGTTACAACTACCATCTCCTTGTTGAATCTTCTCTTTTGTTCTGGATTCTCCATTGTGTATATAAGCCTCTTTAAATCAATCTATTTTGTGTGGGTTTTTTTTACTTTTTATATTTTATTGTTTTTGGCAGTGACTGACTACTTGGGCATTGGCTATAAATACAAAATTGGGGGGTGCATATTGAGTGGCCAAGTTTAAAGGATACTAAGAGCTATACACATTGATCACTCATTCTGAAAGAAAATTACCAGTGAATTTAAATACATGTCAGAAAGACAAAAAGTCTTTCTGCTTTAGATTGCATCTTTTCTTCTTTCTCAATTATCTTAGAATGCTCACTGCAGAAGTAGTACTCCAGCACATATAAATAGAACAAGCTATTGAATGAAGAGACCACTGAATAATCAATAATTTAATTAAATCATTATAGGCCTAAAATTGATCAGGTGAAAATGTAACACACAAGAGACTACATTCCTGGACCATAGGTCAAATGTTTAGGGAGAAATTGCAGGAGGTGTCACGGACCTGGGGAAAGATAATCATAAAAGCTGCTTCAGATAGTGAAGGCTGAATGGTACTGAAATTGCTTGTTTATGTTAATGAGTTTTAGACATTTAATTTAAATTGATGTTAATTTATAAATCATTTATTTACGCTGGATGTCAGTCATGGCTATTTTGGGGAGGAGATTACAATAAGTCCTAATGCAGGTCCTTAAGGAACATACAGATTAATGAGGTAAGTTAAAAACAAGAAGCAACTACCTTTAATGTAAGGCATAATAATATATATGCTAGGTAAATTTTTAAAACCATGTTCTGGAAACATAAAGAATGAAATTTTGATGATTGTTTCACTGTGGAAGCCTTTCAAAGAAGAAGTTATGGATGAGTTGAGAATTTAAGGAAACAATATATTCCGGTAAGGCAACAATAAATGGTGGCCTGGAGGTATTCCTTTCAATGACCATGAGTAAAGGAATGAAGGTTAAGTTTTGGTTTGTGATATAGGTCTAAATGAGTTCATCTTGAAGAACTTTCACAATGAAAAACCTTGAAGGCAGTAGTGATACATCACAGGCTCGATGTGGGTAGTAGAAGATCAGACAGTTATTTTAGGTAATTAAGTTTAGCAGTAGCATGAAAATGGTTTTGGGCAGGTGAGAAACCTGAGTTTAAAAGATCAAGTTAGGAGGATATTTTAGAAAAAAGAGTAATTGTAACAAAATCCTCCTTTTGTACTAGCAGCCACCTTGAAGGTATAAGTTGTTTTTTTTTTTTTAATTATCCACTTAAATTTGTGTCGGCAGCGTATCTAGAAATAGAAAAGAAATATGAATTTAAGATGTAAATTGGTTACCTAAATAATTCTTAATAGAAGTCCAAGAGTGGTAAACATGATACATATTTTACATACCCATGAAGTGAGAAAAAGAGAAAAACCTTATATTAAATATCAATAATAATGATATAAAAATCAATATATGCAGGTACATTTCTTGATATAACAGCCACTGTATGCAGTTGTATTTCTTAAACTTTTTTTTCTGTAATGAATGGAAATAAACACATTTAAGGATGTTAGAATTTCTTCTGCCTTACTCTCAGAATAATTTCCAAAAAGGGCTTATGGAAAAGGAGAGAGAAAAAATAGCCAAAACAATTTATGAAAAAAATCCAACTGGATATCTAACAAATGCAAATGAGGAATAGAAGCAGACAAGAGCAGGTAGCAGTAATTATTGCCATCTGATAGTCAAGGATAGAGAAAAGGCCCTTTTAAATTCCGTTTACTTTTCACCAAATTTCAGGATGAAAATTACCCATGATATCACCCTTTCGAATGTGAATATATTGCGTGAGGGAGCTTGTCTGAGCCTGAAGTTGCCCAGTAGAGATTAGAATGGAAGGATTAGATAACAGGTGTGCTTGTTTTAACAATGTGTAATTCTGTGAAAATTCAAGGTCCTTCTAGTATTGTTAATTAATAGCTTTATGAAATCCCACCTCAGTCCTCTTCCCATAGGCTTTGCTTCTTTTTGCTTCCCTACTCTCATTACAGGTAAGCCAAATGTATTAGAACTTGGTGCGTGGCTGAGGGGTGTCCATGGAGAAACCTATTTGGAGTAAGCAGATTTGAATTACAAGAAACAAGAACTGTATTATGCAAATGTTCTATTAAAATTACTCTAAAATTGAATTTAAATTACACCGCTCCACACAGAATTAGGCATTGAAAATGACAATAGATCTGAAATGTAGTGGGCTCTGAAAGTTCTTTGTGACTAGGCCTTTACAGCCAGAAAAAAAGGTAATGGGCAGCAAGACCATTCAGAGAAAGGGACAGAAACACATGAAAAAGACTCTAGTATGAATGAGTGTCCAAGAGATTGTTAATAGCCAATATAACATTTTAAAGCATGTTTTTTTCTCTACATATTTAGATAAGAATGATCATATTACATATTTAGATAACAATTACCTTATTGCGCCGCTACAATGCTTTTTTTACTTTCTTAGAAGAATATGCCAAAAAGTACTTTAAGTATAGCAATGTATAAATTATAGTCTTTGTGCTGTGTTGAGCAAGTCCATGGAATTGGCCACCTGAAAGAGAGAATTCTTAATTGCCTGAGAATGATTACTAGTCTTATGTTTGTGAAGAACTTCCATCATTCAAAAGGCAAGCCTCTTCATTGTTAAGACTCAAAAATAAAGATACTTTAGTTAGGTGGAAAGGGTTGGTATGAAAAGCTGCAACACTTTAATTTTTGCTATTAAAATCACAGAAATTATGCAAATATTTTAAATTCTATAAATTGTATGAAAAATTCCTTCTCTTATTTTTTTTCTTTAGCAGCAGAGAATTCCAGGGCATAACCCACTTTCTGAACATATCCTCTTTTCCTTCTCTTTCTCTGATTATCTCTGAAGCTGCGTTTGAGGATAAGCCAGTCAATGAAGTTCTATCTAGTATGCTGGTATAAGAGGGGGCACCTACCATCACCGCTAATTCTCTGTAGCTGGAAGCAATTCTTTCCATTTTTTAGCGATCTTATAATCAGTCAAATCAGTGTTACTATTGGGGTAGACATACATATCTGGAGACCTCAACAGGGGAATGTAGTATAGGAAGAGCTGATAATTGGCCACTCTTTTTTTCAAAAATAAATTTATATTTGGGGTACATGTGAAGGTTTGTTATGTAGGTAAACTCGTGTCTTGGGGGTTTGTTGTACAGATTATTTCATCACCCAGGTATTAAGCTCAGTACCCAATAGTTATCTTTCCTGCCCTTCTCTCTCCTCCCACCCTCCACCCTCCAATAGGCCCTACTGCCTGTTGTTTTCTTCTTTGTGTTCATGAGCTTTCATCATTTACCTCCCACTTATAAGTAAGAAGATGTGGTATTTGGTTTCTGATCCTGCATTAGTTTTCTAAGGATAAAGCCTCCAGCTCCACCCATGTTCCCACAAAAGACATGATTTCATTCTTTTTTATGGGTGCCTATTATTCCATGGTATATATGTGTCACGTTATCTTTATCCAATCTGTCATTGATGGGCATTTAGGTTGATGCCATGTCTTTGCTATTGTGAATACTGCTGCAGTGTACATTTGTGTACATGTGTCTTTATGGTAGAATGATTTATATTTGTCTAGGTATATACACTCTAATGCATTTGCTAGGTCAAATGGTAGTTGGGCTTTTATTTCTTCGAGGAATCATCATACTGCTTTCCACAATGGTTGAAATAATTTACATGCCCACCAACAGTGTATAAGTGTTTCATTTTCTCTGCAACCTTGCCAGCATCTGTTACTTTTTGACTTTTTAATAATATCCATTCTGACTGGTGTGAGATGGTATCTCATTGTGGTTTTGATCATATATAATCAACCACAGCAATCTTTTCTAATGAGTTAGAACTTGGCTTCAGATCCTTGTTAACACAGAACTCTAATTAGCCTCTATTGCTTGATAAAATTTTCCATAAAGACAAAGCCCATTTTGTAATAGATGCATAAACCCAAGAGTCTAAAAAACTGTTTTCTGGTCCTGGTTCTACCACTTGAGCAACTCACCGAGCTTCATTTAGCTTCCTTAAACCTTAGTTTGACTAAGACATGTCTGGGAGCTTAACTGCTAACTTGGAGTTCCTTTCTTCCCTCATACAGAGAGTTTTAGAAGTTTTCACAAAGATTTTATGAGTTATACAATTTATTAACTTTCCAAGTTTCTTCTCAGTTTTTCTGTCTGCCAGTAATACTACACAGCTATCTGTATGACAGGACTGAGAATTCCAGCATCTTTGGTCATGTTTGCATTTCTATAGATAAGATCTGTATCTTGTTTTTGAAGATGGTTGGTGTTTGGGGGTGGTGGCCAGGGGTGTATATGGTTCTAAAGGGGTTCATAACAGTTATAGGCAGACATATATTGGCATGAAGGAATATTTTTCAGTTCTATATAAGATACTAAACTATCCAAGTTCTTCTAACTTTAGGAAGTTTTGTCAAACAGGGAAGTTCTTAGTTCATATTGTTTATAGTATCAGATCTATGTATACTTATTAATCTTATACCTCAATAACATTTATTTTCTACCTCAATACAATGGCAATTATGAAAATAACCACTAGTTTGCAAATATGTCATCTCATCCCTAAATAGAGATGAAGTTGCTTTAGTTTTCAGGTGCTATTTATTCCTTCATTAACATTATTCATTGTCTAGAGTCTTCCATGTGCCCGGCCCAGGGTCAGGAACTATGCATATAAAGATGAGAAATCTGCTCTCAAGAAGCTCAAGTTCCAATGAGGAAAGCAGACATGTACATGAATTATTATGCTATGTGAAACACTAGAATAGAGATAAGTTGAAAATACTTTAGATAATAGAAGAAAAGTGCAACTAGCTTTTGTCTTTACCCCTTCCACGTCTGTACTTTTTCATCATCCATGTTCTCAAGTGGTTTCATCACTGATAGCTATGCTAATTCTCTTGGTAACTGCTTAAGAATATTGCTGAGTTTCTGTTGGAAAAGAATGTCTTTAGTCATGACTAGGAGACTATTTTGATCAAAGAGATTGAATTTACTAATTCCAATATTTGAAGGGCAACATCATATTTAGTTCTTGGGAACTCCTTTCACAATATCTTGGCCATTTTACCATCAAAGCTAAGAGAAAATAAATGGCCATTCTCTGCTACCTCATTGAGACTTCCCTTCCAGTTCTGGGCTCCTTCCTGAGATAGCTGCTACATTTTCAGGATGCTAATACAGGGTATGATCTCACTATTCAGGTGTGATCCTCCTCTCTCTCACAGTGTACAGAATTTGTACTAAAATTCCCATGAGTATATTGCAATATAATAACACAATCACAACACTCACATAACTCCACAATCCAAAATTAGTATTTCCTCTCTCCCTCCAATTACAAACAGGCAATAATTTCTTGATTGCTTGTGTTTCCTGGCAAATTTCCTTTAATTAGTATGCCTGGTTTCCTGACACTAGCTGGAGTAACCTGGTTGGAAACTTATTTTCTAGGCTGGAAGTAAAGCTTCAAAAAGTTTTCACCACACAAATATATCTTTACACAAAGATACAGATTCACACAGTAGACATAAAGCAAACATGCCTTATTTACTCCTTGGGTCAGTAGAGAGAAAACAGGAGGAATCTTAACCGAAAGAATAATTAAGAGTTGAAATGTCTTATACAAGTTGAGATTTGACATATGTTAATGTTAAAGAAGAGCAGGTATAGTTGTTCAAAATCCCTACTGGTCCTCAAGGAGGATTCTCACTTCTGTCATCTGCTCTCAGAGTTTCCAATAGTAGTGGCACTGACTGATTAGAGTCCTGTTGCCTTAGGCTGCCTTTTCCAACAGTTATCAAATCCTCTTATGCCTCCTGCTGGTTGCAGGGCTGACCATTTTTCATATTAGCCAAGCATTTAAGGCTCTGAGTTACTCAAGAATCCCAAGAATTAACTATTTAGGGACTAAATTGCAAAAGCAAGAGTAATCAACTAGCCCTTTAAAAAATTATAAGTAAAATCTACTCAACACAGAACATTGATTTCTAAACAAAATATTATTTTCAAGTTTCATTAGCCAAATGTCGATACATAGCCTGTAATCATCTTGAGACCACAAAAATAATAGCTCAGTATATCACAAAGTAATGTTTTTCTGAGAGATCCACAGGAGGTGGATTGACCTGAACACCTTGCAAGACATGAATTCACATGCATTTTCAGCATGTCTTCTCCAACTTGATGAAAAAAATTCCAATCATAATACCTAGGATAACCCAACCTCCTTAGTCTTTTCAGTATTTAATATGGAATCACTATTTTGTAGAACTTACTTTAGTGATTCACTCATAGAATGTCATGTTATATTATTTATGTATGCGGCAGCCCACTGAACTGTGAAGAGATTTAAACTGTGTCTCCTTACTTATTCCCTGACAGTTTGCACATAACAAAGTATATACTCTTACTATTATTTGTGGGGTCTGCCGACTATTATAGTCTACTGAATAAATGTAAATAGTTACTTTCTACCCAGAACCTCCATAGTGCCTGCACTGAATCTCAACATTTTCCCCTCCATATTTTCATCTGCTTAGTCACTCTGTTCATTCAGTGACTATTTTTCTTCAGTCTCTTCTCATCATCTTGTCAAAGTCATAAATTGCTAAACATACCTGCATGACTATCTATATTACACTAAAATTATATTTATTCACTGCATATAAAAATAAAACAAAATGAATTTTTTTAAGCTCGAGTGCGTATTATTTTCCCACAGAATTGTCAAACCACTGCAATGTTTCTTTTCTTCTCTTCTACCAACCCCATCCTCAGTATAAAGAATAGTTCTAATCATAAAATTAGAATTGGTAGTAGGAGTAGTACAATGAACAGCATAAAATTAATGGCCTGGGCACATAGTTGAGCCTATTATTACACATTTATAAGCTAAATTTATATTTATATTTTTGAAAGCTATGCCTAGAATATCATAGTATAGCCAAAGGAGAATAAAAAATGTTATTGGTATTCTCTTCACATTATCATTTTCTAAAACATAGCTTTAAATTAATTTTACCTGAGTCCATTTTCTTCTCTTTCTCCAGCTCAACTCTTCATACTTAAATTCCATTAGTTGGTTTCCTCATCTCCAAAGCAGGGACATAAATAATAATACCTATATTTCAAAGACAATATGAAGGTTAAATTGAGCAAAGCAAATGAAAAATATTCTTTGAGCTGTACATTGATATACAAATAGATTTCTGTTATTTCCATTGGAGGAGTGTTTAGATATTATAAGGCACACTAGGGATAAGGTTTATTTGGCAGCTGCCTTGTCACTCCAAATAAATTTATTTATCATGTATTTATTGAGGAATTTATAGCCTCTAGAGAATTTTCTCTGTGAGAGCACTGCTTTTGAATTTTTTTGTTTCTTCTCCCACTCCACCCCTTTGGCTAGTTGAATTCTAGACAAATAATGTCTTACTTAGCTGGGTAGCTAAGCTGCAACTAAATTCTCCAGGGATTTTCTATAATATGGATTCAACGCTTAGGAAAATTCAACTTAAAAGTGGAAAACATCTCTTAACTAGAGAATTATCTCCTTCAAGTTCTGTCTTCAGAAGTGATTTCTGTCTTAAGGTCTACCAAGTATTCTTGGCTTTTGTTCCTGCATATTTTTCCAGGTTTAAAGTGTATTTTTCCACTTAATTAGACTGTAAGCAATTCTAATGTCATTTTTGTTTCTGATATATTGGTTTCTACAATATTTTGATTTTGATTGGTGATAACAAAATGGTAGTAATAATTATAAGGGTCTTAGTTTAAATATTTTCAAGTGGTATACTTGAGAGCTTCATTGATACAAGTTATATGTGTTTCATTGTGAAATAAATTATATACAGTAAGACCTATTTTAAAAATAACAATTTATTATAGAAAGGTGGTTTTGGCCAGTACTTTTCAAAAATTAAAAAAAAAGACTAAAATATATACTTTTTTTAGAATAAGCTTTTCCTTTTTTGTTGTTGTTTCATATCATATGGTCTCTTAAATAGCCCTTATGGCATTTAAATGATGTGATTTCCCTAAAATTATTAGCAATGTATGTAAGGATTTATGGCATGAAGTATATGTGGATATTTAAAATGGGGAAATTTTGTGATTAACAAGTTTAAACAAATAGCAGATAAATTTGTAAAATTTATAGTTGTGAATAAACCGTGTCCAAACATATTCAGTGACTATTACTAAAACATTATTATCATGCTATGATCTTTTCTGCTTGTGCATTGTAGTTCAAAGGTGTTGATAAGGGTTGATGCAGTGGAATTGGGCTTTCTAGCTTCAATGGGAACAACAGGATTACAGAATGGAGAGGCCAGATATACAGCTTAATTCAAAGGGATAAGGTGGGCAGAGTTATTACAATAATCTACACTGGGATGGAAAGATAATTAGAATATCTCATTCAAAGAGATCTACCAAATAGCTAATTGATCAAAGTGTCTTAGGAATGAAAACAATAAGCAGACTACCAATGTGCTTCTTGATTTATATATGATATGTATAACATATATCAAGATTTATATTGATTCTATATGCTATTACATAAATAAAACTACATATGAGATAACACTACACTCACACAGTAAATTCTCATTATACTCACTATTTGCAGTAGTTATATTCTATAAAGTTGCCATGAACACTTAATTAAGTGAATATTGTACTATTGCTCCAAAGGTAAATACAGGGATATGTTCTTGTGAGCTTCTGTTCACAATATTTCATCAACTAATTATCAGACAACCCTATTTAATGTGTTTTTGTTTAAAGGCACTTTATTTACTATATATAGTTGATTCATGAACATTGAACTCATGGCCAACAACACTATAATTTACATATGTATGAAGTTTATCTAACACGCTATTTTCTTCGTAAAGCGTATCATAGCCTTATTGAACTTAGGAGCACTATACAGGACTTCAGCTCTGTGCTCAGGGATCATTGTAAGCAGCAAAATCATCAATAAGAAGCACAAAAATGTGAAAAATGTGACACAAATATACTGACAAAAGAGCACTGGTTTACATATCAAAGGTGACACAAGAAGGCAGAAAATCAGCTAGTTTAAACTGAGCTGGGTATGTGGGCTTCAGGTGACCCAATTTTTTTTACACTTTGCATATGTTAGCAACTGACTGCAAAAGCCTCATGACTAGTGATTTGGGAGTTTTAAATAAATTTTAGAGAGGAAGATGGATTCACGAATATGAACTCTGTAGATAATACTGATTGACTACACACACACACAACACACAGAGACACACACACACACACACATTATTTTAGGTTTGATGGGAAGAATTCTGACATGCATTGCCACAGTTGGGATCCACAACCTTTTGCCTATGTCTTTGAATTAAGGCAGTTTACATATCAAGTTCCATTTTTGAGGGAGAGGATAGGCCCATTTGAAGAAAATCACTATAGACCATACATCTTCATCCAACGTTTCCCCAGAAGAATCTGTAGCCATTTACCAGAGTGACTATGCATTTGTGAAAGTGAAACATCTAGAATTTTCAGAGCTTAATAGATACTAGTTTTGAATTGATGCTAATCCTCAATGCCATTATGATCATCCAGTCATAATAAAGTCTTATGAAGGTGATGAAATGAGTTGACCAGTTCTAACAGTTGGTCCAGTGGCACTGTGAATGCACTCTGTGGTTGTTTTCCCATTCCCAGAATGCATAGAGGGAATAGACAGACATATAGGATAACTGGCAGAACCCCCATATTGATTTCCTGGCCCATGTAGTGTTAGCCTAAAGGAAAGGCCAACTGGAAGCACCTGGAATTGTTCCCTTCTTTGCAAGGAAGTTAAGCACAATACTGGGAGGTTGTTTTATTTTATGTCATCTTAAAAGATTTGAAAGAAGCATGGTTAAAGAATTACCCAACACTCATATTCAGCTCACCTAAAGAATGACCAGATTTCACAAAGTTCATCAGGTAGTGATGCTAATTGTAACTGTGGTCTTAGATGAGCTTTTGTTATTGAAATTAACAATGACAACAAACAGCAAAAAACAAAAAGCACATCTAGCACCTGGAATACAGTTATTTACCTAGAAAATGCTTTCTCTTCCCAAACCTAACAACAAAGATAACCAGAATCAATTTCACTTTACAGAACAAAACAATATTTCACATTACCTCAAGACTATGTCAATTCTCATTTTCTGTATCACAGCAAATTTTAGAGTTATCTTAATCATCTTGATATTCCATGGGACATCATGCTAATCTATTATATTGAAGATGTAGTAATTCAACCTGATGAGCAGGAAGCAGTAACCACTGAGTTGCATTAGTAAGATACAGGTATGATTGAGGATAAAAGATGAAATCTATAAAAATTCAGGCACCTGTCACATTGGGATAACTTGTAATGGTCTGGCAGCCTGGTATACATTTGCATATCCATCCTAAAGTGAACCTGCTATCTGCTATCTCAAAACATTAAAACTGAGAGACTTTTTTGGGTTTTGGAAGCAAGATGCATCATATTGTATTTTTTTTTCTTTTTTTCTGTGTTCCATTTTCTTGGTAACCAGTAATTTGCCAATTTTGAGTGGGGTAGAGTAAAAAGAGGCTTAAATCAGGCCACACTGTGGTACAAGCTGCATAGTACTTGGGCCTTACAAGTTGGCTAAATTAAGGAAACAAGGAGTGCCTGTGGCAGAGAGAAATTCTACTATATGGAACATTAAGCAAGCCAGAATAGGAATATCAGAATGTATATCCCAAGGATTTTCATCTGAGGTTATCCCTTCTTTTGCCAATAATTTTATTTCATTTGAAAATCAATTTGTGGCATGATACTAAACCCTCATGGATACTGAATGCCTGATCAAAAGTCCCAATAGACTATGTGATCTGAACCATCCATCATATACTGGGCATTATCTGATCTACTGCGTTATAAAATTGGATGTGTGCAGCAACATTCTGCTGTAAGTTAGAAAATGGCATATATAAATTTGGGTCTTAGAAAACCCAAGTCTAGAAAACACAGGTCTAGAAAACACAAGTAAACTGCCTGAGCAGGTGGCTTAGATTCTTAGGCTATATGTAGGTTTATAGCTTCTATCTCAATTGATACCTACTGCCTCATGAATATTTCCCTGCAACTTCTGGTATGCCAGCACCAACTGAATGTGAATGGCCACTATATGTACTACCTACTCAGGGGTAGCCCTGAAAGTAATGGTGAAAGGCAAGTCCTTAAGTCCTATGTCTGTATCTACTTTGTGAGAACAAGACTGACACAAAGTACTGATCTATACTAATTCATCCAAAGTTTATGATATATTGTCCAGGGATAGTAAGAATAGAATTGAAATATTGATGACAAATATTTTATATTGATGACAAAGATTTCAGAATTGGAATATTGATGGGAGAAATGTTGGTGAACATCTTGGAACTGGAACAGAATGTCAAGATATTCTTAGCCAATGTAAATGTCCATCTAAAGCAGAGATGAATCTCAGTAATCATATGGACACGATAGGCTGTCTTGTGTATGTCAAACAGCCTCTTTTTCTAGCCACTCCAGTGTTTAGTCAATAAATTAAAGTACAAAATACCATGACAAGTATAGAGGGTATGCATGGGTTTAACAGCATGGATTTCTTTTTATTAAGACTGATCTGATTTCTAACATTGCTGAGTATCCATCCTGCCAAAAGCAGAGGCTTATGCTGAAGCCCTCAATAAGCTCATTTCTGGAGGAAATAGGGGTCAATAGAGAAGATTGTTTATGTTTGACCCCACTTTTACAGGTGGACTATGGAAGGAGAAACAGAAATTAATCTTTATAGGAACAGATATGTATTTTCTATTCAGAATTTCCTTTCTATCCATTGAAGCTCTGCCAGCACCACCGTTTGTGGACTTACAAAATGGATACATTGTAATCATATCCCACACAGCATTCTCTTTTACGAAGGGACTTATGGAAAGATGAGCAAGGAATTCACAACTACAAAAGTCACCATTTTTACAGTTGACACAGAAGCAGTTGGATTAAATAGAACAGCATTCAGGCTCGGTCCTGGGTTCCTGTTTGTCCCCAGCTGCCACTGGCTCAATGGAGCATGCAGTTCTGGCTATGCCTCTCTGCTGTAGCTGGCGTGATAGCAGCAGCCACTCCAGAGGGCCTGCCACTGCCATCAATGGGACAATTAGAACCATGCCTAGGATCTATAGGATTCATTGAGGCGCTTCCTAGTACTTTCTTGCCCAACCGTCCTGATCAATAGAAAATTTAAGCAGGCCAATAAAGACAGGATCACCAAGGACTCAGGCATTACAAGAATGAAGTTTTGGTTTAACCCAGTAGGTGTATAAACACTTCCTGCAGAGGTGATGCCAGAAATAACAGAAGGCATGTACTTTGCAGTAGAGGGAAATTCTGATTACCAAATTAGACCTTATGATGCAGGGATTGCAGCAGTACTGCTTTGTTACTTAATATTTTCCTTTCCCCATTGTATTCTCTGCTACCATATTCAATGGCCATTTGTCATGGCTAAAATTTTAGGTTTTAGGTAGGAGTGTGTTCAGATTGACATAAACCCACACTATTATAGTAGCACCTTTTTGGATATAATGTGTGCCCATGTGGATCCACTCTCCAGTCTTCTTTCTGCTTTCTGCTCCAGAAGCCTGGCCTATATGGACTGCATTAACAAGCTCTCTACTCCTGTAGCTTCCAGCTGGGTTTGGCTATTGGGAGCTACCAGCCAAATAATTAGGTTGTAAAAGACCTCGAGGTCATGGTACCCTTGGTGTTCTTTGCAGGGTAACTAGAAATTGACTACATACCTTTTAAAAATCCATAGCTCCTCTCAGCTCTTGCCTGAAGCTTCTAGTACTTCTTGGGTAACAACAATTAATTAAGGCATGCTAAGGACTATGGGTAATAGTGTATCCCTGCTGTTGCCATTTCCATGGTACTTCACACACTCTGTTGAGTTTCTATCCCTGCCTACACATATATCAATAGTTTCCGTATTGCAAGCCTCAATTATTCTGTTTGAGCATGCCAGGTCCTTCCTGCCACGTCCCTAACTGTTTCATTTATCAATATTTATAAAATAAAGTGAGCAAGCAATTAAGGAAGGCTGTAAGTTCTTTTAAATGATTTTGTTTATACAAATAGAATGCCTTTAAAAATATTTTAGCTAAAATTAAATTTTGACGGTAAAATGGCCATAAATTAAATATCAAGTAATAAGACTTTAGTTATGGTATTTTTTTATAGAGAGACTTGTATTCACATGAGTTTTTTCATGGATTTGGAAGAAGGGATTGCATCACTCATAAGAGGCAAAGGAAAGAGAACTTCTGGGTATAACTGAGTTCATTCTCAGTGTGCTTGGTTGTTCATCTTCACCCCTTCTTTTTCTCTATCCCAGTTCTTCTGCTTCTCATTATTTTCTAATCCTTTTATTGTTGCTATCCATCACCATTAATCCTGCCTAGATCTGCTCGTAGCACCTACTTAGACCCAGTTATTTTTTGGTCCTGTTTTAGCATTTTGAACTTCTTTGGGACCTAATCCCTGGTTTGGGACGAGAAGATCATTTGTCAGTCTTACCCAAAAGGAGAAACAGAAGTTAATTGGTATTTCACTTAAATAATGTTCTTCACCCAAGATTAAGGCTATTGAATTTTATAATATACTATTGAATTTTATAATTTTCATATGATAGAGAGAAAATGACTAACTTAAATGTTGGGTACAGGATTGACTGAATGAAATGATTGTTTTCAGCAATGATTCTCATTCTTTGTGGAATTTTTAGAGTTTTAAAGTTTTAATCAATTATTATGGCCTAATATATTTGATTTTGTTTTCTCCTTGTTTCCTTATTTCCTGTAAAGTATTATTTATTATATAAATAAATCAATATAACAAAAGGAAATTTTATTTTAATACTAAACTGAATATATTATTTTAAGATTTTTCACCTACTCCTAATCTTGAGATAAATAGAACTATCTTGATGTTTTGGAAAGTCAGAAAATCAGGTATGAAGTTTTTGTTTATCTTGCATACCAGTTTGCTTTATAGATAAGGAAATGCAAACCGTCTATCAAATTTATCATATTTCAAAAGGTAATTATACTAATGATTTCTGCTTTTGGAGAAAATAAATTTATGAGAAATGCTTTGATTTCATTGAATAAATTAACCACAGATATTTAGAAAACAGATTGCTCCTGAATTCAGATTATTGTTTTCTCTTATTGTTAATATTCCTCATTTGAGGCTGGGAAACAATGATGTTAATTTGGGGCAGGTGGCATAATAAGACCAGCAACAATCATTTATTATGGACTTATGAAATCTCATTTCTTCCTTTAAAATAAGATCTTTAGGTATTTTTACCCTATTTTTACAGCTGAGAAAAACTGGGACTGAGTGAGAGTAAGAAACTGGATTGACAGTGTAGTATCCTGGGGTATAGGTTGGCTATGTCGTTAACTTGCTTTGAAAACTTGCACATAAAACCTAATATCTGAAGGATGCAGTGCACTCATCTGTGACAAGAAGAATTTAATAGGGTGACTTTCAGGTGTCATTTTAACTTTAACATTTTCATATACTGAGATATTCCTCTCTGCCATGGTTGAACTTATAATGATGGGCATGTTTATCGTAAGTACAATATCATTAAATATGCCATTAATCTTCATTATCTATTATACTACACCTATTAGATAACACTAACATTTTTGTTTTATAGTATCTTTCTTAGCTAAGCTATTTGTGGGATGTCAATTTTATACCATGACTTTTTTTTTAAGTGGAGTCAAACAGGCAACCTTAAATGGCTTAACATAGTCTTAAATGGCTTAACATAACCTTAAATGGCTTAACAAATTTAATAAAATTATTTTTACTTAAGCAAACTCACCAAAGCAATAAAGACATGATTAAAATTTAATAAAGACAAAATATTTTATGTTTCACAAGAGCAAAAACTCACTGAAAGGTAGGTATAGATTCTTCAGATGGGTCAATTATGATGCCAGCTACCCAGAATTCATAATTTTTAATTTTAAAGATAGAAAATGTTGCAACACTATATTCTTTAACAATATATTTACCAACTTTTATTAAACATATTACTTTGGGATCATTCAATTTTTTATACCATATATATGGTGCAATGATATATATTATGTATATAGTTATATATAATTAAGTTTAGAAAACTTCAAATTTCTTAAAGAATATTTGTGTTTGAATTAGGTTTTATTTATAATTGACAGTTTAAATATTAGCAAATATTCTATATTTCATTCCAATATTTATTGAAGTATAATAACATGTTGGGTATTTCCTTAGGTGCTTTTGTTACGGGGAAGAAAAGACAAGGGGAGGCAACTAGTTTTTTCTTTGAATAGTATTATATGCTAGATATTGGGCTAATTTATCCCTTATGTATGTAGACAGTCAGATCATTAAATTGTTTAATTAGTATTTTCTATAGGAAACATTTTACTTAGATATCTGATTAAATTAAATAAGGCAATATTACCAAGATTGAAGTTATGTATCTAAAATAAATCACTAGACTATAGATTATGTGTCAATTCAATTCAAATTAACAAACACTTATTGAGTACTTTCTAATATGTTGAGTCCCATATAGCAATAATTTGAGATTCCAAATTATTATAAGGAATGTTCTTTCACACAAAACTTTATGCAAGAACCTTACATTCCCAGCATGTGTCAATTATCTTCCTCTATTAAGGCAGCTGAAATAACCTCCTTAGCAAAGCTCAGCAATGATCTCAACTTCATCTTTGGCCTCTCCAATGATGTGGCCCTTCTTCTTGCCTTCAGTGGTTAATTTTCTCCTCGCTCTAAAACGTAAAGGTAGATGTCTCTATCGTAAGACAAACCTCTCTTAAATATCTTTGCATCTTAATGCTTCTCCATGCAACTCTGCTTCTTAATGAAATGTAATATTTGCTTCTTAATGCAACTCTGCAGTCACACCATAACATCACATCTCTAAGGGCTAGGTTGTTTCCATGTACTTCTAGAGATCTGTGCATTCACTCATCTTCCAAGTCTTCTGGAGGTATTCCCTGTGACTGTATTTATTAATAGTTACAGTTCAACTTTCAGTCAGTTTTGTTAAAAATGTCCTTTCACTGCTTCTGTTTTATTTTGCTCAAATCCTACAGCTTTGGTAGCTTCAAATACTACATTACTTGGTACATTAAAACAAAAACCACATGTCTTTCTTCCATGATCATCCATGTTCCTTCCCTTGCAACATACCATGGCAACTGGCCTCCTTTTACTTTCACTTATAGACTTGTGACTTTATCATTAGTCTTACTTGCCTATTCCTGTGACTTTAACTTTTATATAATAGGTACAATGCTAGACATTGAAAGGTCAAATATGAATAAGACCCAGTCATTTCCTTCTACATAAAATACGGCACACTAGCAAGTGAACAAATAGATAATCAGGGTGATAGACATCACTGTGTGCAAGTATGTCTAATGCACTCTGGAATCCATAGGAAGGAACAACTAATTACACTTGGAAGCATTAGGGAAACCCATAAGATGAAATAACATATAAGGAAGATCTTGAAGAAATTTGCCATATGGAGAAGTTTGGGAATAGAGCATTTCAGGCAAGGAAAACATGTACAAAGAAAAATAACTTATGGCATCAGTATCCATCCATTCAGTTAAGTTATAAACCTTATATTTTCAGATTTGAATTTTTTTCTAACTTGTCTTTCAAATCCAGCCAATTTCAGATCCTTTTGTGCTCTCAATATATCCTTTACCTACTTTTCTTTCTTCTACATTGTCCCAAAAAGTATCTTTCTAAATTATATGGTCCTTATTTTTGCTTAAAACTATTGGCTGCTTTCACATTGCATAATAATAGAATCAAGCTCTTTAATTTGTTGTTTGATGTTTTCTGGTCTCATTTCTGTCAAAGCAAAACCCGTATGAGACAATATCAAAGGCAGGAAAGACTAAGACAATCACAATAGTGGAGAAAGGCCTGAACTCACTTCAAGCTCAACTCTACTAAAACACGGGCCTGGAGAGCTTTTAAGAGCTGGGCTGGGGATGAGGGGTCATAGGCCATCTATATTTACCAATGGCTTTACCCAAAGTTAAATTTAACTTTCTCATAGCTTCATGACAGGAATAGTTTTTACAACTTGGAGCAAGGAACCTGCTAAATTTAGGCTCCTACCCTCCCACAGAAACTGAGATAGGGGTGTTTTCTTCCTTGATAATCACATATCAAGGAATGACATTGCTGCATTGAAAAAAATTGACAAGGAGCTTTTAAAAATATTCACATGTCCAAGGGGCAGAGAAAGAACTTACAATGACAGGTTTTTTAAATAAGTGCTCTAAAAAAATTGGCCAGGGGCCTAAAATCAGTAAGAAGCTTGTCTAAAAGTTTTCTCAACTTGCTGGGAGAGGAATGTCAAGGATGTCTTGGTCATCTCCAAATCTCCAACTTCCTCTAGTTATATTCACCTAGTTCCCCTTCTCTGAATATGCCACTTGCATTCTTACTTTCATGTCAGGATTGTGCCAAATTATTTTCTTAGAGCAGTAGAATTCCATTTAAAACCTCTCAATGGTGTTCACTGTTGTTATTATATAGTTTTTAACATGGCCTACAAGTCTTGTCTAACTGGTCTTGACTAGGGTTTCAGCCCACCTTGTATTATCCTCCTTCAGTACTCCGCTCCACTATAAGGCTTTTTGTTGTGGTTTTGGTGGTTTTTAAAAATCAGTTTTTGAGTGTGTCCTACTTCCTTATATCAAACAGTCTTTGTATATAAAATTTTCTTTTTAAAATTTCATCCTTCCCTCTGCCTAATTAACTCTAGCATGCTTAAGCAACAGTTTCTTGGGGTACTTTTGTGTATCATTTTACATGTTTTTATGGATGCACATTCTTTGTCTTCATATAATATGCTTTACACTGTATATATTCATTAAGAAGATTACTTAAGTCATTTCTGTCTCCTATATTAGATTGTAATAGATCAGGGAAATTATATCTTTATTACTTATCCCAATGCCTGGAACATAGGGGTTCTCAAAAAAGAGAACATAGGAGTTCTTATAAAAAGAGTGCATAAACAAATAAATGGGTGCATGAATCCTTCAAGAGTTAATTCTAATATTATTTCTTTGGTTAAATCTTTTCTCCTCCTTTAGAGGCAGGGTTAAACACTCTCTCACCTGTGTATGTACATCTGGTCATTGCACATAAATTCAAAATAGTATTAATTACAGGCCAGGCGCGGTGGCTCACGCCTGTAATCCCAGCACTTTGGGAGGCCGAGGTCTCAAACTCCTGACCTCAAGTGATCCACCCACCTCGGCTTCCCAAAGTGTTGGGATTACAGGCTTGAGCTACCGCGCCGGTTGAACTAAGTCTTAAAGCATTAGAGAAACATCTGGTTTTCAAATAAGTAAGGTTCAAATATGTTAGCTTGGCTGAAAAAACAAAACAAAACAAAAATAGCATCACACTTGAAGCTAAAATACATTGTAGTGTAGTGCTGGGAAACTACAGTCTGTGTAGCAGAAGGCATGCAGTTACTAGGTTGTGAGCAAAATATCAGAGAATTAAGATACAAACACTGGCACAACTTTCTTGTTTTAAGGTACAAGTTCAAAAATTATGTTCTATGTTATGAGGGTTATTATGAATTCACTGGTCTGTTCAACCACTGCTACAAAAATTCAATAATATATTCAGACAGCAGTTTTTAAATCTTTTATTTTTGCTTTCTTCTTTTCTGCGTTTCTTTTTTTCCATTTCTTTCATTTCAAATGTGTTTTCTTTTTCTTAACAAAAAATATATAGAAATAGTGTAAAATGACTTGAAAATACAAACATTTGTGATAAAAATTTAAAACTAAACTATATACATTCCAGTGACCTTTGTAGTTGTTTTGGTGTATGACATTATAAACTTTTATGCTTAAATTAAGGCTATTTACATAATTTCTGACAATAAGGAGGATAATTTATGTCCCTGATAATATAGCTTCCCTTTGATCTTTGCAGAGCAGGAAAGTGTGCACACAGACATCACACACATTATAAATGACTTTTATTCCTCTCTGTCAGCTACAGTGCTTTAGATGAAAGCGTTCTGACTTGAGAATGCCAAATGTCAATATCTGTTCTCTTTTATCCCAGTCATGAGATGTGTAGTGTCTAAATGTATGTAGAGAGGGAGGGAGTCCCGGCAGGGCAATGCGGTGGGGCAATGGATACTTAGGAAAGCAGTATTCCTTTACCGGGTTTCTGACTGAAACACAGCCTTGACTTTCAGTTAAGGTAAGAAATGGGGATAAGCAGAGCCTAAGGCTAGTTTTGTTAATTGGTGTTTTAATTCAGAGGCTGAAGTATACAAAGAGAGGCCACTAAATCTTGCTCCTAGTAGACATTCTTCCTTGACACTGGTGAATGTAAGACTGCTAGTCTAAATTTTCAGTGCTGATATGAGTACTTCATTGTTGAGTAGTTTTCTAATAATATTTTCATGTATAGAGAGATGATACAATAGAGATTCCTGCATTGACATCATCTTAACTTAAATGTTATTGTTTTCCTTTTAATGAATAAATAGTTTAATGATTTTTTTTTCTGTTGAAAATGCTCATTCACTTTGGATAATAGGAGCTTGGTTTATTCTAAGCCATATCAGTCATCATTTTGAAAAGGCTCCCCAAAATATAGTTATATTTGACTGGAAGATAAGAACTCATGAAGATGTTTTCATAATCAGTTTTCAAATGTCTTGTCTCTGTCATTCCCAAAGAGGGATGATAGTCACTTTATTACTCCTAAGCATCCCCAGAAAATTAATTGTGTTTTTCAGTTAACCTATAACATTAGTGGCCTTCCATATGATTAGACTTTCAAAATATGTTAATTTAATAGTCTTTTCTTAAACATCTTTTCTCTCTAGTATCTATCACTTTCTACTTCTTGAGACTATAAAGAGCAAATAAAATTTTAGAGTAAAGATGGACAAATTCTATCAATAGCAATTTTAAAATTCTGTGCTTTTGAAGTTTAGACAATATCCCCCTACTTTTATCATTCTATTACAATGGGTACTTAATTTTTGTATACTTTTCATAATGTTTAGAAACCTAGTAAGTTTATTTAGACTTCTGTGGGTGCCTTTAGGCATGTGATGAATATTTTTTGCTCTTTAAGATTCACTTAATACCTCCCTCCACCTGGCTTTCTGCCCAAGTGTCTGACAAATGGGCTCTATGTCTTCTAGATTCTAGTCAATGTGAAGTCTGGCAAGAGATCTAGATGGAGTGAAAGAGTAGAATCAGCATATTTATTTTCCAAGCTTCATCATTCCTAGGTCAACTCAAGTTAGTTGTATCACTTGTATGAAGGATAAAGCTCCTTTCAAGCACATACTCTATATAATTGTATTGGGTTGCGTAGTAGTCACTCCCCTTTCCACCCAAACAAAATTTATGTGCTTCTCAGAGTTCCAGATGTGACCTAATTTGGAAGTAGCATCTCTGTAAATGTAATTAGTTAAAATGAGGTCATACTGGCATATGGCGGGCCCTAAATTCAATATGACTTGTCTTTATAAGAAGAGAAAAAAACACAGAGACATAAATAAATACAGGGAAGATAGCCATGTGAAGATGGAGGTAGATATTGTACTTATGCAGCTATAAGCCAAAGAACATCAAACATGTTCCTGTACAACCTCATGAAGCCAGGAAGAGGCAAGGGTAGATTCTCCTCTAGAATCTCCAGAGAGAGCTCGGCTCTGCTGACTCTTTGATTTCGGACTTCTAGCCTCCAGAATGGTTACAGTATATTTTGGTTTTTTTAAGCCACCCAGTGTGTTTGTGTGTGTGACCTAAAACCTTAATACAACTACTTTCTCCATCAGAATTCAGGCAATTTATTACTTCTATTGTGTCTTTGGGTCCAGGAGTGGTAACAGTTATATCTCTCATTAATGTATAACGTTTGTAGCTTCTTTCCATTGCTACAGTTGTGAATTACCTCTTTATAAGGAAGCACTCCTCAAATTATCTTGTTTCAAGTATGCTATCTGTTTCTTAATGAAAAAACTAATTGTTGGCTAATTGGTCCTGCAAGTGATCAGAAAAGTAGCAATCGAATACATTTCTGAGATTAGGCTGGTCCATACTTTGAAGGAACAGAGGAATAATTTTCTTGTCTAGAGAAAATGAGACATGTCTAATCCTTACCTCAACTGACAGCATGACATGAAATGCAGGTAGAAGGCCAGGCTTTGGAAAATCACATAGCTGTAGCAACAAATCATTAGGGCAATATAGGTGACTATAAAAATTGTGGAATCACATATCTTCTTAGGCTAGCTCTAGGAATCACATAGACAGAAAAAAGTCAAAACTATTATCATGTAATTAAAGTTATCTGATTAAAATTGGAAGTCCTCCATAGCAGCTTTAAAGGAAGATGTTATCTGTCCTATGAGGACCAAATGTGGCTACTGATTGGAATGATTAAAGACCTTGAAGTACCAAATAAATGCTCAGTTTCACCAGCTCTCTTACACTAATGTGAACACTGTTGAAGAAGCAGCAGGAACTTGAGACATAGGATTGTTACATATGTACACTCATGGATGAAGCTAAGAACTTTGAACCTCATGTTTCTCTAAATACCTTTTACTCTTTCAGGTAACATGCTTCTCTTGTAAAGAAATGGTCTTATACATTTAGAAGCATTTTTCCTTGGTATCCAATCCAGTCCCTCATATTACCTGAAGGCCTGTCCTTGACAGGGGTGCACTTACCAGGGATTCTGTTTTTAATTAGTGGCCTCAACACTGGAGACTAGATTTAATAGTTGATTTGATTGGGTAGTTGAAGCCTGGATGCAATGTGGCCTTTACTTAATGAGACTTTATGCCAGAAGTTCCTTGTCACACTGCAGAGAAAGGAATCTGAAAGGTCCCAGAAATTAGTATCTTGGAATGAATTTATTATAAGAAATATTCTCAGCTACCTGTAAGCCACACCCCCTGTCAGTAAGAGAGGTCATGCCCTTCATTAAAGAATTAAGAAATATATTGGTTACAGCATACCAGTATCTCTAGAGAAACCACTGATTTTCCTCTGTACATGAGAAATTAAGTGAGAAAGAAGGTGAAAATGGTGCTGTAATAGGGCTAAATTCCATGATTTCAGTGCAAAAAAAATGAGATCCCAGTGTGACAGAGCTTGGTGCTATTGCTTAAATATCATAGGCAAGGTAGAAGCAATTAATAAACTACAAAGATTATATAGAAACCAGACTGTTTGAACATACAAGTATTTATGACAGTTCTAACTAATCACGGGATCCTTAAATGAAATTTGCAGCTGGATGTGGTTCTGCTTGACATTTATAGGTGGAAATTTCAAATATTTTGGTCAGAAATCTGAATCTAGCTTATATTGTAGAGATTTATGTACTCTTACTTTATGTAGGGGCTTAAGCCCACTAACAAACTGAGTGCTACATAAAGAAAGGCTGAGATCCTAGGTCAAAGATCCTACCATCTAGCCATGGGTTTAGCCACTAAAGTTACTCGAGTTACTTGAGCCACTAAAATTACCATCTAGCGATTAAAGTTCACTCGAGACTTTCTCAAAGGAACATGAAGAATCACCAAGTTGATTATACACTGAGAAAATACCCCCTTTCCCCTGCAGATATTCCTAGAGTTAATTGATATAGACTTTTTGTGCTTATCCCAAAAGACCCTAAATGTTACAAGACATGAATTAATGTAGTTGAGTGACAATTGAAGAGTTGACCTAAGTCAGTCTCACAGGGATCCAATGGAACCATGGAGGCTTACTGGGGTTATTTACTCAGTCCTAGAAAATATATTGGGAAATAAATATACTTAGTTTCTGTCAGAATCTTTGCACTTCTCACAAAAACTTACAGAGGTGGGAAGGGTGTTAAAGTATTATTTTGGTGAGAAGAATACAAAATTGTTCTATATAAATGCCCTCACTAGATGGCAAACTAAAAATGATACTACCTACCTTGGAAAAATTGCCAAGATAATAGGCAGTAAATTGAGAAATATGGTGATTCTTACCACATCCACACTTAACTTATCTGTTTGGCCAATGCAAAAACAAAAAGAGTTATAAAAATTAACTAATTGTTCAGACGTTGATATAAATTATTGCTTTGGTTCTGGATGTGGTAACTTTATTGGAGAAACCTAATACAGCCTTTCACACATAGTATGTAGATATTGACTTAGAATATACCTTTATTATTGTTTTTGTATTTCCATCATAAAGAGAAATCATAGATAAGTTGAATTCGTATAGAAAAGACTAAAATATAACTTTAGTCTCTTAAACTGTGGCCTTTATCCTGATTTCCATTCTTCTCCATCCTGTCATTATTTCATAGAATATCATAAAGGAGTGAAAACCAATGAAATACATGGAGATCTACATAATTTTTTTTTCTTTTTTTTTTGAGACGGAGTCTTGCTCTGTCGCCCAGGCTGGAGAGCGGTGGCGCGATCTCTGCTCACTGCAAGCTCCGCCTCTCAGGTTCACGCCATTCTCCTGCCTCAGCCTCCTGAGTAGCTGGGGCTACAGGCGCCCGCCACCACACCCGGCTAATTTTTTTGTATTTTTTAGTAGAGACGAGGTTTCACTGTGTTAGCCAGGATGGTCTTGATCTCCTGACCTCGTGATCTGCCCGCCTCGGCAGCCCAAAGTGCTGGGATTACAGGCGTGAGCCACCGCGCCCGGCTGGATCTACATAATTTTTAAGAAATTTATTTCAGCAAGAAACTACCTGCTTGGACTGAACAAGACAAAAAGAGTGCAAAATAAAAAGAGACTGTTGGAACTCCAGAATTCTACTGGCAGAAATTAGGCTGATATAATTTATTTATAAATACATGCTGCTTTTTATGTAAAAGGGAAGTTTGACTCAGAAGGCAAAACCAAGAGCCCAAATAGTAGAAGTAGGAGTCAGGGAAGATTATTCCTAGGCTTTGAAACCTATAAACCAATAACTATGGCTGGAATTTGTCCGCATGAATGTCAAAACTGTAATGGACCAGTGACTCCTTTTTACCTTCACTTTTCCATTTCTGATCCAGAATAACTATAGCTATTGTTCTATACATGTCCCATTATTGATTAGCTGTGTTTGGGAATGACCATTTTTCTCTTTAGTTTTACAGGTCCACAGATGGTAAATAATTGTACCCAAAAAGCTGTAGTTACTAGTTTATAACCAGGAGTCTCATCTCTACCTGGACTTGATCTAGATGATGAGATTATGGACTTTGAGCAAATGCTGTAAGGGGATGACACTGTTAGGAAACTTGGTAGGTGATGAGTGCATTTAGCATGTGAAAGGACTGTGAAGCACTGGGGGCTGGATGGCAGAATGTGGCAGTCTCTAAGTTTACCTATAGTGATTCCTTCCTCTTTATGTTCACACCTTTATTGCTCTGGTTCTGAGATATAGGAAACCATGTGCAAGGAACAGGGAGAAGCATCTAAAAGTAAAGAACTGTCATCAGCTGATATCCAAGAAGAAAATGAGAATCTTGGAATGCTGTCACAGGTAACTGAATTTTATAAACCACCAAACAGAGACTGGAAGCAGATTCTACCCAAGAATCTCCAGATACTAGCCCAGGCTGGAAAACATTATTTGGGGCTGGTGAGACCCAGGGAATAAACTAGTTGACCTACCTGAACTGTGAGATGGTATTTTGTGTTTTTGAAGCAAACTTTGTGATAACTTGTCATGGCAGGCAGCAATAAAAAACCAAAACAATCTATGGAGAAAAAGATGAAGGTGATAGATACAGAAAACATATCATGGTGTAAAATAAAATGAAATTGATATATGGTGTATCGAAAAATCAGTAAGTGCCACAAACACTATTATCTAAATATGTTGAAATAAATATCAGAAAAATAAAGTAGCTAAAAGTGTTCAAAGGGATTTACCCCAGAGATCACAAATGAGGGTGGTATAAAGGTTTAAAGCTGAGGACTGCTTTTAGCATTATTTGCCTTTTAAATGTATGTATATATGCAAATCAATAAATGTGATTCACCAGATAAACAATTAAAGAAAAACCCATATGATCATCTCAATAGATACGGAAAATGCTTTGGATAAAATCCAAATCTCTTCATGATAAAAACCCTGAACAAACCAGGCATCAAAGAAACAAACCTCAAAATAATGAATCATCCATAAGAAATCTGCAGCCAACATTATACTGAATAAGTAAAAGCTGGAGACATTCCCCTTATGAACAGGAACGAGACAAGAAAGCCCTCTCACCAACTCCTATTCAACATAGTCCTGAAAGTCCTAGCCAGAACAATCAGGTGAGAGAAGGAAATAAAAGATATCCATACAGGAAAATAAGAAGTCAAATTATCTCTCTTCACTGATGATATGATTCTATACCTAGAAAACCTTAAAGGGTCTGCCAAAAGGCACCTAGAACTGAAAAATGACTTCAGAAAAGATTTAGGATACAAAATCAATGTACAAAAATTGGTAGCATTTCTACACACCAATAATATTCAAAGCTGAGAGCCAAATCAAGAAATTAACTCCATTTACAATAGCCACAAAAAAATAAAACATCTAGGAATACAGTTAACCAAGGAGGAGAAGATCTCTACAAAGATAAATACAAAACACTGCTGAAAGAACTCACAGATGACACAAACAAATGGAAAAACAATCCATGCTCATGGATTGGAAGAATCAATATTGTTAAAATGACCATAAGCCCAAATCAATGCTGTTCCTATCAAACAACCAATATCATTTTTCACAGAATTGGAAAACTATTCTAAAATTCACATAGAACCGAAAAATTTCTCAAATAGCCAAAGCAATTATAAGCAAAAAGAACAAAGCTGGAGGCATCACATTACCTGACTTCAAACTATACTTTAAGGCTACAAAACAGTATGGTACTGGTACAAAAACAGACTCATAGACTGTTGGGAAAAGCTGAGTGTTGGGAGAAGCTGAGGCAGGGCTTGCATGTCTGACATAATGTAAAAGAGTCTTGGAACATGTCCACGGTCCAGGGTCTAAAACCCCTTGTGGCCTTTGGAACACCAAGCTCTGTGCTAAAGGGTGGAAGGCTACCCTGACACACCATAATCTAAGCCCAGGGCATAAAATACCTTGTAGCTTGGATAGAATCCAGGGCTTGTGGCTCTGGAATGTGTCTAGACTTGCTGGCTCCTTGCTCCTTGCTCTCCAGGATCGATTGTATCTTGAGTTAAAAGAACCTGCTCTCCATTATCTCAAGTAGCAGAGCAAATACTAAACCATCACAGCGTAAATCATGTGCTTAATGCAATGTGACCTTTTGACCTCCACATTCTCACCACCTGTTTCTTTGTTGGATTACCAATAAATAGGGTGGGCTCCCAGAGCTCAGGGCCTTCGCAGCCTCCACAATAGTCATGGCCCCCTGGGTCCCACCTTTATCTCTCAAACTGTCTTTTTCTGAATCCTTTGACTCTTCCGGACTTTGTCACCCCCACGACCTGGTGTTGGGTCTGATCACCCCAACATAGACAAATGAAACAAAATAGAGAATTCAGAAATAAACCCATACACCTACAGCCATCTGATCTTTGACAAAATTGACAAAAATAAGCAATGGGGAAAAGATTCCCTATTCAATAAATGATGCTGTGCTAACTGGCTTGCCATGTGTGGAAGAATGAAACTGGTCCCTTAATTTTCACCATCTACAAAAATTAACTCAAGATGCATGAAGGACTCAAATGTAAGACCTCAAATTATAAGAGTCCTAGAAAAACCTAGGAAATACCATTCTGGACTTTGGCTTTGGGAAAGAATTTATGACTAAGTTCTCAAAAGCAATTGCAACAAAACCAAAAATAGACAAGTGGGACCTAATTAAAGACCTTCTGCACAGCAGAATAAACTATCAACAGAGTAAGCAGAAAATCTACAGAATGAAAAAATACATTTGCAAACTGTGCATCAAAGGTTTAATATCCAGAATATATAAGAAACGTAAACAATTTCTTTTTTAGAGACTCAGTCTCACTCTGTCACCCAGGCTGGAGTGCAGTGGCATGATCTCGGCTCACCACATCCTCTGCCTCCTGGGTTCAAGCCATTCTCCTGCCTCAGCATCTCAACCCAAGTAGCTGGGATTACAGGTGCCCACCACCATGCCTGGCTTTTTTTTTTTTTTTTTTTTTTTTGGTAGAGATGGGGTTTCACCATGTTGGTCAGGCTGGTCTCGAACTCCTGACCTCAAGTGATCCACCCGCCTTGACCTCCCAAAGTGCTGGGATTACAGATGTGAGCCACCATGCCCAGCCAAGAAACTTAAACAATTTAACAAGCAAAAAACAGATAACAGCATTAAAAAGAGACGTGAACATAACACTTCTCAAAAGAAGACATACAAGTGGCCAACAAACATATGAAAAAATGCTCAACATCTTTAACTGTCAAAGAAGTACACATCAAAACCACAATGAGATTCCATCTCACACAAGTCAGAATGGCCATTATTAAAAATTCAAAAGACAACAGACGCTGGCAAGGCTGTGGAGAAAAGGGAATGCTTATACACTGTTGGTAGAAATGTAAATTAATTCAGCCACTGTGGAAAGCAATTTGGAGGTATCTCAAAGAACTTAAAACAGGTCAGGTGCAGTGGCTCACACCTGTAATCCCAACACTTTGGGAGGCTGAGGCTGGTGGATCATGAGGTCAGGAGTTCTAGACCAGCCTGGCCAAGATGGTGAAACCCTGTCTCTACTACAAATACAAAAATTAGCCAGACGTGGGGGCACCTGCCTGTAATCCTAGCTACTCGGGAGGCTGAGGCAGAGAATTGCTGGAACCCGGGAGGTAGAGGTTGCAGTGAGCTGAGATCGCACCACTGCACTCCTGCCTGGGTGACAGAGCAAGACCCCGTCTCAAAACAAAAACAAACAAACAAAAAAAACTTAAAACGGAACTTCCATTTGACCCAGTAATGTCATCACTGGGTATATACCTAAGGGAAAAGAAATCATTTTACCAAAGAGGCACGTGCACTCATATGTTCATCACAGCACTACTCACAATAGAAAAGACATGGAATCAACCTAGATGCTCCATCAATGGTGGATTGGATAAAGAAAATGTGGAACATAGACACCATGGAATACTACATAGCCATAACAAAGAACAAAATCATTTCCTTTACAGCAACATAGATACAGTTGGAAGCCATGATCCTAAGTGAATTAACAGAAACAGAAAACTGAATACAATGTATTAAGCATTGTGTACACATGCACATAAGTTGGGAACAATGGGCACTGCAGACAGACTGGGGAGAGAGGGAAGTGGGCAAGGTCTGAAAAAATCCCCATTAGGTACTATGCTCACTACTTTAGTGATGGGATCATTTGTACCCCAAACTTCAGTGTCACTCAATATATCCGTATTATGAACCTACACATATACCCCCTGAATCTAAAATAAAATTGAAATTATAAAAGAAAAACAAATGAAACAAAAAGCAAAAATATAATGTATGTGTAAATATCACATTAATAACTTTTTGAAATATATTAATAGGGGAAATCTATCAGTATTTCAGATTATTTTTCTGGTCATTTTAGAACTTTTTATATATTTTCAAGTTCTACAAAATGGATAATTATTGATTTTATGATCAGAAGCAAAGTTTTAAAATTTCTCCTGCCCATATTGAGCAAAGCCACGCTTTTAAATGAGATAACACTACTTATTTCTGTGTATGAATGTGCTAGAAATTTCATGTACATATTATTTTGATATCTTTCTGTCTATAGACTATCTAATAATAGTATCCAGTACCCAACACATGTAGCATGGTAAGTTCTCAATAAATATTCATTGAATATTTATAAACATTATTATTATTTGAAGCACTCTCATACACAACTGAAAGTTGTACTGAATTGTATTTATTTAAAGTATGTCTTTAAGGTACTTCAGTATTTGCTTACTAATCTTTTACTATGGGAATGTTTAATTTGTTAGTATGAGCATCTCGCATTATATGAGGAAAAATAGAGCTAGATGGGTGAAGTAACTTAGAGCACATCAATCAGCTGAAAAGATGAGATATGAATGCAAATTATCTGTCATGCTAGAAGTCTTTCTGGTATATGCTGCACTTTAATTTTAGTAATAATATTATAAAAAATAATTGAAAATCTGGTCTATCCTTACATTATGGTGTTGGTGTTGCCACATACTGTCATAAATTTTATAATCAATCCAACAAAAATACTAACCCTGGCCATCTCTCCTTCCATTCTCCAAATATTTCAATTTTGCATCCATTAATAGAAGTTTTTTTATAGCAGTCTGTGACCTGGCAAACAATCAAAAATGCTAAAGTCAGATTTTTTTTTTCCTGGCTGCTTTTTATTTCATTTCCTCATTTCTTTTTATGAGATTGGTTTATGTTATTTGATTTCTCATTAAATTTTATATTTGTGAGTTTATGATTTCTCAGTTGTGCCAAGACTCCCTTGCTGCAAGTGATAGTAACAAGATAGATGACTTTGAGGAGTACAGTTTATTAGATTAAAAAATTTGTGTCTATATGCTTTTCTCCCAAGAGCATTCTATTTATTGTTTTAAAGAAAACCTACAGGTCTCTATGTTCTAAATTCTGTTTGAGTTCTTTAAAAACCATTATTTATGTCATCAATGCAGCAGCAAATAAAAATCAGATTTATAAATGCTTTTTGTTTCATATTTTACCATTTATGACTAGGGCTTATAAAAGTAAACCATAGCCATAGAACTAGGGTGGAAATTGACTGAATCTCCTGGAACGTTGTTACTTTTTAAAAAAATGAGAATAATAATAACTCTCTTTTCTTCCTAGGACTGTTGTAAAGTCAAATGAACAAATATTAATAAAAATGTGCAGAAATGGGAAATACTGCTATTGTAATTGTTTTCCTTTGTATTGAAACACGATTTACATAGTGGTGGACATTATTTGCATATCTAATTTTTCTACAATGTTCAGATGACTCTCTCTGGCTTACCTTTCACATAATCCCCAAGGGAGGTGTTTGGTTTCATCTTATATCAGTAAGTGTGATAGTTCTCAGGGCTCTTGTAGTTTGTGTCTCAATATTTTAGAAATTCAAGGGGAATTTAAAAGATATTTACCAGCGATTTCATGGTTCCATTTATAGTACTATGACCTCTGGTGGAGTCATTGAGTTATAGCAGGGTTTATTTATGTAGGAACCAGAGGTTAATTAGTAAAATATTTTAGACTTGCACTTTTAATATTTTAAAAAATTATGTAGTTGCTGTATGAGTAATAAAATTAATGTAACATTATTCCATAATAGTACAATTATATTAAAAGCTTCTAATAAGTATTTGCATATTTTCTTAAAATAACTAAAAATTTTTAAATATAGGCCAAGTGCAGTGGCTCACGCCTGTAATCCCAGCACTTTGGGAGGCTGAGGCGGGCAGATCACGAGGTCGGGAGATTGAGACCATCCTGGCTAACACAGTGTAATCCCGTCTCTACTAAAAGTACAAAAAAATTAGCCAGGCATGGTGCTAAGCACCTGCAGTCCCAGCTACTCAGGAGGCTGAGGCAGGAGAATCGCTTGAACCCGGGAGGCAGAGGTTTCAGTGAGCCGAGATCGCACCACTGCACTCCAGCCTGGGTGACAGAGTGAGACTCTGTCTCATATTATTAATAATGATAATAATAATAATGATTTTAAAATCATTTTGAATTAAAATGTTATATTTCTGTTTATAGAAAAATTTTTTACTTAGGAGCCATGAAATTCTTCCAAATGGGGTGTGTGTATGTGTGTGTTTGTGTGTGTGTATTTAACCATTGTTCGTGGAGAATCCATATAGCTTTAAACTGAATATTTGAAACATCATGATCTAATAAAGAATGAAGTCCACTGTCCTACAAATTTGGAACAGCTAAGCTACACAATATGTGCTTTCTTTCTTCAGAATGTGGATTCGAGGGGAAACCCGTAAGATTAGCCAAAAATGACTAAATAATGTTTTCTGGCAGCACAACATTGTGAAGGTCATTCTCCCAATTCTCTTCATATTGAACTTTGGAGAGACCATGGTAAAGGTGAAAAAATATTCAGTGAAATGGCTGGAAGAGAAAGTCAGATTTAGGTGAAAAGAAGAAGAAAGCTAAATTAATGCTATGAAAAAATTTTAATCACAGTGAGGTGAAAGTTGCTGGTAAATGAGAAGCCTATTTTCTAACCTCAGCTCTAATGAAGAAATTTTTCATGCAACTGTACTATCATAAAATCTTTTGGTTGCAAGTGACAGAAATTCTGTTTTCTCTAGCTTAGGCCAAAGAGAAAATTGCCTTTTTGATGAGAGAACAAATTTTGTATGATTCTAATTCTTTAAAGTTTATTGACATTTATTTATGTCTCAGAATACAATTTATATTGGTAAATGTTCCAAAGGTACCTGAATTAAAAAAATAAAGAGTCCTTCTGCATGTGTTGAGGCAAGAATTCTAAAATATTAAATAGGTCAATTTGTTTGATATTGTTGCTCAAGTATTCTATGTCCTTGGTGATTTTCTGCTTGTTCTATCAATTACTGTATTGGGGAGTTGCAATTTCCAGTTGGACTTGTGGATATTTCTATTCATCTTTTCATTTTTGTTATTATTTACTTCATGTGTTTTGAACTTCTGTTATATATTTTAGAATTGTCTGTTTCTTCTGGCAGTCCTATCCTTTTTTGATTCATGTGTTTTAAAGTTTTCTGATTTGGTGCATAAATGTTTACAGTTGGTATGTCCTCTTAATGAATTGATCCCTTTATCATTGTGAACTGATCCTCTTTAACCTTAGTAATAGTCTTTGGTCTCAAATCCAGCTTTATTTTGTTTAGTGTTTGCATGGTGTATCTTTTATCTATTCTTTTAATTTTGACATAGTTCTTTATCTTTCAAGTGGATTTCTTGAGGGAAATATGTACAATGGTACTATTTTCAAAACACCCAACCTGGCACTCTGCTTCTTAGTTGAGTACTCAGCCTATTTTAAAGTTATTGTGGATATCATTGGGTATAAGCTACCATTTTCTTTTTATTATTTGTGTTTTTTATTTGATCATTCTTTTTTCTCCCTTTTTGAGGGTTTTACTGGCTTATTAGGTATATACCTTTTAAAACTGATTTACTTATGATTCATATTTTAAATTATTCACTTCAGTTTATCACAGTGTGCCTTTAAGTGTTATTAAATTTTACGTATTATGTAAGGACCTTAAAAAAGCACACTTCCAATTTCTCCTCTTTCTACATTTGTGCTATCATCATACATTCTACTTTACATTTATCATGACCTAACAATACATTGTTTTTATTTTTCCTTTAAAATTTGTTGTAGTCAGCTCTGCTGGTGGTTAATTTTTGCAGCTTCTCTATACCTCTTTTTTTTTTTTTTTTTTTTTTTGAGATGGAGTCTGGCTCTGTGGCCCAGGCTGGAGTGCAGTGGCATGATCTCGGCTCACTGCAAGCTCCGTCTCCCGGGTTCACGCCATTCTCCTGCCTCAGCCTCCCAAGTAGCTGGGACTACAGGCCCCCGCCACCACGCCCGGCTAATTTTTTGTATTTTTAGTAGAGACGGGGTTTCACCGTGTTAGCCAGGATGGTCTCAATCTCCTGACCTCATGATCTGCCCGCCTTGGCCTCTGAAAGTGCTGGGATTACAGGCGTGAGCCACCGAGCCAGGCCAATTGATGCCAATTATTTACAAAATCGTGTACAAAACAAATGAGAAGACAACACTTCCCATCTTGTTACCATTGTAATCATGATTACAAAAGCAGACAATGACATCTCAAGGAAAGTAAATGACAGACTAATACATGTGAAAATAAAGGCACAATTGAGATAGGAATAGCACTGGGTAGTCGTAGGAGGATGGAAAAAAAACAAACAATAGCTAAAACAGGAATTAGGCAAAAAAAAAAAAAAAAAAGAAAGAAAACAGAAAACCCAAAATAAGGGAGAACAAAGAGAAAATGACCAATACTCTTGTCACGGAGACATGTCCATAACTCTTCCAGGCAAACCCAAATAAGGGTGAAAGGGGCAGTAACCAGGAGACCTGAAATCCACTGTTTTCCAGAATACTTAATGATTATTCCAACCCCCTAATTAAAGACACACCCATCAAATTAGAAATCCAAACTCCGCTGTGCGTAACTCATTCTCATGAGGATGCCCACACTTCTCTAGGTGGCTACTTTTGCTTTACAGTAAAAGCTTCTTGGCTTTTACTTTATTGTGAGCTATCCTCGAATTCTTTCTCATGCTGATGACAAGAACAGCTAGACTGGTTGGGGCTGGGATCTCACATCATCTGGAGACCAACCTTAGCCCTCCGGCAACACAGTGATGCACAGCAAATCTCTAGAGCTTATATATTTTTCTTTACTGAAACTTTTCGCCCACTGCTTGGTAGTAACTCCTATTTGCCTCTTCCCCCAGCTCCTAGCAACCACCATTCCACTCTTTTTTTTTTTTGACAAATAAAACTATACGTATGTACTATGTACAACACACTATTTTAAAGGATATATACATTGTGAAATGACTGGCTTTAGCTAATTAACATATTCATTAGCTCGCATTATTATTTTTATGGTGAGAACACTTTGCATCCAGTCTGTTACCATTATTCATGGTTGCAAAAAAGTAGATCTCAAAAAAGTAGAGGGTAGAATGGTGGATGTCAGAGGCTGGAGTGGGTGGGAGGTGTGGAATTGGGGAGATGTTGGTCAAACGATACCAAATTTCAGTTAGAAGGAAAAAGTTCAAGAGGATCTATTCCACAGTATGGTTACTGTAGTTAACCACATATTGTGTTCTATTCTATTCTGTGATTCCATAAATTTGAATATTTTTGATATCTCATATGTCTTGGTGCTGTTATAACAAAATAGCATAGACTATGTAATTTATAAACAACATAAACTTATTTCTCACATTTCTGGAGGCCTAGAAGTCCAAGATCAAGGTGCTGGCAGGTTCAGTGTCAGGTGAGGGCTGCTTGCAAGATGACACCTTTTTGTTATATCTTCTAGAGGGGGGAACCTGTGTCTTCACAGACAAAAGGGGTTGAAGAACAGAAGGGCACCTACATGGTTATCTCTGCCCCTTCTGTAAGGAATTCATCCTATTTATGAGGGCAGAGCGTTCATAGCCTCATCAATGGCCTAAAGATGCATCTCTTAATGCTGTTATAGCAGAGATGAATTTAACATAAATTTTGCCTTTAAATACTAGACGTAAGATGCTAACTTAGATCTTCTGATACCAAATGGGTTGTTGTATTTCATACCACAGATGCCTCTATAACATGTTAACATTTAAATAACTTCACATAATGGTAACACTTAACAACATTATTGCCCAGTCACTGAAGTCTTAAAGTTCATGTTATTCATCCGAAAAGACCTGGATGAAATTCAAAATAGGACAGGCATGTGTTGATGAATTAAACACAAAGGAACTGGATTTTAGTTTTACATCAGATATACAAAGAGCTTGGAAGGGACAAGGGATTAATCACCAGAATATGTAAGAAGCTCAAACAAGTCAATAGGAAAAAAATCTAATAATCCAATCCAAAGATGGGCAAAAGATTTGAATAGATATTTCTCAAAAATAAGTCATACAAATGGCAAACAGGCATATGAAAACGTGCTCAACATCATTGATCATCAGATAAATGGAAATCAAAACTACAATGCATTATCATCTCAACCCAGTTAAAATGGCTTTTATTCAAAAGACAGGCAATAGCAAATGCTGACAAGGATGTGGAGAAAAGGCAACCCTCCTTCACTGTTGGTGGGAATGTAAATTAGTACAACCACTATGGAGAACAGTGTGGAGGTTCCTCACACAAGTGAAAATAGCGTTACCATACAATCTAGCCATCCCCACTGCTGGGTATATGCCCAAAAGAAAGGAAATCATTATATTGAAGAGATATCTGCACTCCCATGTTTGTTGTAGCTGTGTTCACAATAGCCAAGATTTGGAAGCAACCTAAGTGTCCATCAACAGATGAATAAAGAAAAGGTGTTACTTATACATAATGGCATACCATTTAGCCATAAAAATGAACTAGACTCAGTTATTTGCAACAACATAGATGGAACTGGAAGTTATGTTAAGTGAAATAATCCAAACATCACATGTTCTCACTTATTTGTAGCATCTAAACTCAAAATAACTGATCTCATGGATATAGAGATAGGATAGTCACGATAGGCTGAGAAGGATAGTGGTGGTGTGATGGGGAGGTGGGGATGGTTAATGAATACAAAAAAAAATAGAATACATGAGTAAGACCTAGATTTTGATAGCAGAACAGGGTGACTGTAGTCTATAATAATTAAATTGTACATTTTAAACTAAAATAGTATGATTGAGTTGTTTATAACACAAAGGATAAATGCTCAAGGGGATGGATGCCCCATCTTCCATGTTATGATTATTATATATTACATGCCTGTGTCAAAACATCTCATGTACCTCAGATATATATATATATATATATATATATACACACACACCTACTAAGGGCACACAAAATTAACAATTTAAATAAATAACTAGGAATAGATAAATAAATATATAAATAAATAAATTGGAATATATCCTATTACTAAATAAATAGGAATAGAAGGAACTATCTTTACTTGAATAATATCTGCCAAACAACATGATAACATCATACTTAATGGTGAGAAATGAGATGCTTTTCTTCTAAGATCTAAGGTACCTCATTACTTCTATTCAACATTATACTAGAACTTTTAGCTAGTGCAGCAAGATCAGAGAAAAATAAAAAGTAAACACATTGGAAATAATAAATGAATAAAAACTCAATTCACAGATAACATTATTGTCTAGGTAAAAAAACTCAAAGAATCTACAAGAAAACTAGAACTAATATGTGTATAAAAAACACAAGAAACAAGTTTAATATACAGGAGTCAAGAGGTTTACTACATATGTAAAATGCACAACTGATATATAAAATAAGCAATATCATTTATAATAGCACACCCAAAAATACTAAAATATAAATTTTAAAAAAGCAGCTGGACACAGTGGCTTACGCCTGTAATCCCAGCATTTTTGGAGTCTGAGGCGGGTGGATCAATTGAAGTCAGGAATCAAGACCAGCCTGGCCAACATGGTGAAACCGCATCTCTACTAAAATACAAAAATTTTCTGGGAGTGGTGGCACATGCCTCTAATTCCAGCTACTCAGGAGGCTGAGGCAGGAGAATTGCTGGAATCTGGGAGGTGGAGGTTGCTGCGAGCCAAGATTGCACCACTGCATTCCAGCCTGGGTGATGAAGCGAGACCCCCTCTCAAAAAAAAAAAAAAAAAAAAATCTAAAAAAATGTATGACACCTATATGTAGGAAACTTCAAAACACTGATGAAAACATTTTTTCAAAAGTATAATCAGTAGATATCCTGCACTCATGTAATCACAATATCCTGTCAAGTTATATTTTAAATATTGAACAACTGCTTCTAAAGTTTTTTATGGAAAGCCATAGACCTAGAATAGTTAAATAAATACTGAAGAACAAAGTTGGAAGTTTTACAGTACCACCCAACCTCAAGATTAGCTATAATTTTACAGTGATGAAGACAGCATGATATTGGTGAAAATATAGACACATACATTAACGGAAAGGAACAAGGAACCCAGAAATAGCTCCACGCAAATATAACTAACTGATCTTTCATATAGCAGCATGGTTAACTCAAGAACAGTGCTCTCAACAAATGATGTTGAAACGACTGAATGTCCATATGCAAAAAAAAAAAAAAAAAATGAACCTAGACACAGGCTTTACATGGGAATAACTCAAAATCGTCCTCATGCTAACTCTAAAATGTCAAACTGGCTGGGTGCAGTGGCTCACGCCTGTAATCCCAGCACTTGGGGACGCTGAGGTGGGTGGATCACAAGGTCTGGAGTTCAAGACCAACCTGGTCAAGATAGTGAAACCCTGTCTTTGCTGAAAAAAAATAAATTAGCTGGGCATGGTACTGTGCGCCTGTAATCCCAGCTACTCGGGAGGCTGAAGCAGAGAATTGCTTGAACCCAGGAAACCGAGGTTGCAGTGAGCCAAGATTGTCTCACTGCACTCCAGCCTGGGTGACAGAGCTAGACTCCATCTCAAAAAAAAAAAAAAAAAAAAAAGTCAAACTGTAAAACTTCTTGAAGAAAACATAAGAGAAAATGTACATGTTCTTGGATTAGTGATGAGTTTTAAAATATAAGTGTAACATCCCAATAACATGGTAGTTAATAGAAAATTGATAACTTAGAATTATTAACATTTAAAACTTCTCTGCAAAAGACAATGGTGACAGAATGAAGAGTTCAGCCACAAGGCTGGGAGAAAATATTTGCAAAACATATACCTGATAAAGTATTTGATTTTTTATTTATTTCTTTTGAGACAGGGTCCCACTTTGATGCCCAGGCTGGAGTGCAGTGGAGCAATCACAGCTCACTGCAACCTCGACCTCCTAGGCTCAAGTGATCCTCCCGCCTTAGCCTCCTGAGTAGCTAGGACTACAGGTGTGCGTCACGTGGGGTTGTTTTGAAATTTTTTGTAGAGATTGGGGTTTCACCATACCGCACAGGCTGGTCTTGAACTTCTGGGCTCAAGTGATCCACCCACTTTGGCCTCCTAGAGTGCTAGAATTACCAGGCGTGAGCCACTATGCCTGACCTTGAATTTAAAATGTATTTTAAAATGCTTAAAACAACCATAAGAAAATAACCAACTAAAAATAGGCAAAAGATCTGATCAGGTAGCTCACAAAAGAAGATATACAGATGGCAAGTAAAGGTGTGAAAAGATGCTTAACATCAGTTGTCATTAGGAAATTAAACAACAACAATAACAAGATACTATATTTCCATTAGAATGCCTGAAATCCCAAACCTGACAACACTATTAATAATTGCTGTACAGGATGCAAAGCAACAAGAACTCTCTTGGGAGTTACCAAATAGTACAGCCAGTTTGGAAGATAGGCAGTTCCCATAGAAAACTAAACATTGTCTCACTTTAGGATCCAACAATTACGGTATGATCCAACAATTATGGTATGATCCAACAATTATGGTACTACTATTTACCCAATTGATATAAAAAATATGTCCACAAAAAATCTGTATGCAAATGTTTACAGTATTTGACTCATAATAAAACTACAAGCAACCAAAATATCCTTCTATTGGATAAATAATTTATGATACTATTGTGCAATGGAATATTATTCAGTGATAAAAGAAAATAAACTTCAAGCCACAGAAAGGTATGAATGAATCTTAAATGCACATTGTTAAATGAAAGAAGCCAAGTCTGAAGTTCCGCATACTGTATGATTTTAGTTATATGACTTTCTGGAAAGGCTAACAGATCAGTGTTTGACAGGATCTTGACAATAGGTAAGGTTGAGGGTTGAGTAGGTGAAGCACAGAGGATTTTTTTAGGGTTTGAAAGTATTCTGTATAATACTGTAATGGTGAGTATAAGACATCAAACTTTTGTCAAAACCCACAGAAAAAGAATAAACTCTATATGTATGCAAATAAAAAATCATTAAGGATGTCAGAGTGTTCCAGGATGAAAATCAGAATGTAACAAAAGGATCTAAATGCTTTACAAAGATGTGACAACCTCATTGAATGGGTTGGAGGGAGAAGTTGTCAGCCTAGGTAACTTTGGAAATGAGTGGAGTCTGCAAGACTAAAGAAAAAGGAGCTGCCACGAAACTTTGCTCAAGTTGATAAAGTATTTTTCCCGCAGGAATTCATGTTAAAAATTCTGAAACCTTTATACATGTATTCTGGAATTGAGCAATTAAATAAATGGATGGCCAGCGATTGAAGTCAGGTTTCTCACTGGTGGAATGAAAGGTTAGAGAGAGACTAGAAAAGGATGCTTGAGTGATCCATATATTAATGTATGAGCATTGGAGACTTCAACTGGTGCTTATATTTAGCCTGATAAAGATAAAAATATACATATAAATATGTATGTATATATACATGTATTAGTATAGACACATTCATTTTCTTGTTCCATCATCTGGAAGGTTCTCAGAAGGTAGCAATGAGCATACCACTAGATCTTGGTTTCTTATACTATTGTCCAATAAAAGGAACCAGGGCTTTTGGTAGAAATGGTTGATTATAGATTAGCGAGGAAATTTACAATATTATCCTAGGTAATTTTGCAGTGACAGAAAGTAAATGCTTAAATAAACACCACATGATAGGTATGTCAAAGAGACACTAGAGCCTACTGAAAGAATTTCCAATTACTGAACAACATGGAACAACATGAGTGGAAAAAGAAAAGATTTTGTAATGAATTATAACTCAAAGTATAAAGTAAATACTCATAAATCTATATTGATAGAAATAAGTGAATGGATAAATAAGTGAACAGAGGGGGCCCCTTTTTCTCGCAAAGAATCCACTTTCACTTTAAGGAAGTGAGGCTGTAATCCCCACTCCTCAAGTGCAGGCTGTGTGTAATGATTTCATTCCAAAGAGTACAGTGTGCAAAGGGATAAAAAGAGTAACATTACTGTGGAGATTCTTGGCAAACACTACCTCAGCCATGCGATCAAGCTTAATATCACCAGTAGTGAATCACACTGATAGAATGTTCTCTTGATGTGATGTAATGAAACTAGCACTCTTTACCTTTGTGGTCATCCCCAAAATGCATACCTCCAGTCTAATCATGAGGAAAGCATCAGAAAAATCTCAATTGAGGGAGGGGCCACCAAATACCTGACCAGTGCTCCTCAAACTATCAAGGATATAAAAAACAACAAAAAAATTAAAATATTGTAAAATTCAAGAGGAGACTAAAGAGACATGACAATAAAAATGTGGTATCATAGGTGTTCCTGGGACAGAAAAATGATATTGGGTAAAAAAAGAAGGCATATAAATACAGCGTAGATAGTTAATAATGTATCAATACTTGTTAATTAACAAATGTATCATACTAACGTTAAGATATTAATAAAAGAGAAAATATATGCTAGTTATGAGAAAATTCTGTACTATCTTTGCAAGTTTTCTGGAAATTTAAAACTCTTCTAATACAAAAATTGTATTTAAAAAAGAAACAAAACTCAAATCAAGGAGCTTATTTGTTTTCCAGGTAATATCAACCGAAGTATTATTGAGCCAACTGCTAAGCCTTAGGGGCTGGGAACTGCAGTGTCTGGGGAAGAGTAGATATTACTATTGTAAGTGAGCTGTTCTCAATCTTGTCTTTTCAATTCCCTCGTATACTACATGCTATAGTCAAAGCAGTAAACCTTCCTTTCCTTAAGCAGACCACACTCTTTCATGCCTGGGTGTCTTTCTTCATACTGGCCAATTTTGCTTCAAATATCCTTCTATAGCTCGCCTCTCTAAAGAATTCATGTGTTAAGACATAACATTCATATTATCCTCTTTAGCCCCCGAGTAGAAAGAAGTGTTCAGTGTTCCAGAAATCATTGTTTACACCACCAAAGTGGATTATAATCACTGATTTAAGAATCTTTCTTCCACACTAGAGTGTGTATCCCTTAAGGATATTTCTTATCAGTACCCCAGTATCAAGGAGTTCTAAATGCTTGATAAGCTTTTTTGGCTCAATAATTGTTTATTAACCCACAATTATTTTAACTGTTTATCCCCTGGACTAATAGATGACCTTTGCTCATGGCTTTTGGGTCTCTATTCTTGACAGAAACATGTTCACAATTTTAAGTTGTATTCTGGGATGGATCTAGGTTCAGGTTTTATCTATGCTTCCTACTAAGCCTATGTGTTTGAACAAGTTGCCAAGCCTTTCTAATCATAATTATTTTCTCTGTAAAATAGGTATCATAATAGTACAAGCATTATAGTTTTTTTTTAAAAAGAAGATGCTAATATATACATATTTAGCATTATATAACATGTAGTAAATACTAAATTATTATTGCTAATAGAAAATTAATCCTTCTTTTATCTAGTTATAAGCCTGATCAAAGACAGTCCTTATAAATAAAGAGGAAGTTGCATTAATGAAAGACTCTTAAAAAATGCACAGTTCCAGGTATCATACCAAACACCCCAAAACCAATTCCTGTCCTCCAACTCTTTCCTTTCCCCAAATTAACAGATAGATACAAAAATAATAATAAACTGGTATTTCCCCCTTGAACACCATAATGTTTTAAAGTAATCAGAATTTTTACACCTTCATGTTTTGAGTTGTGAGCGTGTGCTTCTAATCAAAGCTTAATGTGGGTGTTGTATTTTAGGGCTAGAATGGCACACATGTGAATTATGGAGTCACCACATTTCGTTTCTTGGTTATTGACAAAAGTAATGTAAATCTAAAAACTTCAGAATGTTCATAGGAGAATATATGTGGGTTGCTATGGTTTGGTATTTTTAGGAGTTATTAAAACATTGTGACAGTAGTTATAGATTCAATTTTACAGGTTGTTTGTATTGTACATTTTTGTCATTCCCTTTTGGGCCATAAATAAATGCTTATTTTTTAAATCTTTTGATTTTATAACTTGAAATAATTGTTTCTATGATGAAAAATGATGAATTTGAAATTCAATATTTCTATGTCTGTTAAAGATTATTTTTGTTCTCAGATTTTCTGATATGAGACAAGCTTTCAGCTGTCACAAAATGTATTCCATCTTTTTCATCTTCTGAATGAAAATTGCTAAATTCTTTCAAGCTGCTCAGTAATTAAAAATAATTTCTTTACTAATTTGGACACAGTTGATTCAGCCCAGAGCCTCCTTGAAATCAAATAATGTAAACCACCAAACAGGTTTTTAGCTAAAAGAATAGAAAGGAAAATCTGATTAAACTGCTAAAATATTCAGAAATTCTATTTGAGTTTCTGGACGCTAAAAGAGTTGCTTAATAAGACATTGCCAAATTATTTTAAAGATTAAAATAGGTATTTTCAGTATGAATATTTGTATGAAAATATTAAAATTCTACATTACAATATGAGAGAACATCTTCCAAATATTTGTCTCTTGACCTACTCCTGGGAGGTTGTCTCTAAGACGTTAGAATATTCTGCCTGATAAGAGGGTCACTGGGGACGTGGCCATACAGGTTGGCTTATTTTATCAATATGAATTATCATGAGGTCCTTGGGCCAGGTGGTGTAAGTTTGGCTTCTAGAGGAGACTAGTAACTAAGGTCAACCACATATGCAGTCAGCCGTGCTTACATGACCAGCCTCAACTAAAACTCTGGCAACGCTTCTTGCATATTGCCACACATTGTTGCTGGTAGAATAAAATGTCTGCTTGACGCCACTGAGAGAGGATCACTGGAAACTTGCACCTAGTATCTCCTAGACTTTGCCCTATGCAAATCTTCCCTTTGGTGATTCTGGTCTGTATCCTTTTGCTGTAATAAACTGTAACTATGAGTATAGCGACTTTTCTGAATTCTGTGAATCCTTCTAGAGAATTATTGAAATTTAAGGTGCTCTGGGGGCTCTCCCTAACTAAGTTTTGAACATGTAACCTTCAAGAGTCAACAGTAACTATTCCTCATGCACAAACTCTGCATTAATTATCTGCATGAAACTTTTTACTGTTTCTAAACAAAAACATTCTATGAAGGTTTATTGCTATTTCCCCAGCACATTAAAACATTTCCTGACACAAAGCAGGCATTCAGCAACTATTTATTAATTGAGTGAATTGATGACAAGCCTATTTTTATCCTACTGTTTCCTTTCTGTATTAAGAAAGTAAAGACTCTTTAGTCTGTTACCGTCTATTACTATCAGTCTTATAATATCCATGTCAGCTACCACTCTATTTTTTTCCTTCCTTTTAGAGCAAAATTCTTTGCATTGTCTGTGCTTACAGTCTCAAAAATCTCTCCATGCATGTTCTGATCTTCTTTTTATTTATTGTTTTCATTTTTGTTCTCTACAAATATCCTGGTTACCAATGATCTTCACATTGCTAAATTGAACAGGAAATTTCCAGGTGACATAATACTTATCAGTGGTGTTTGACAGAGTTAATTATTTCTTCATTCTTGCAAGATTTCCTTCCTACTTGGCTTATAGGAAACAGCAGATTCTAGTTTTCCATCTACGTTTTAACTGATACTCCACATTATCTCTTGCTAGTTCTCTCCCTATCCTCTATTTCCAGGATATTCAAAAGCTTCAGAGTTACTTCTTGGAACATTTATTTTTTGAAATAAATTTTCACTTATATCCATAGTAATCTCATACATTTTCAAAAACCTAAAGTACCATATTTATGCTGATTAATTAAAATTCTATATCTCAATCTCAGACCTCTACCCTATATTCTGGACTCATATATCTAATCACTTACTTAATGATATGGTTTGGCTGTGTCCCCACCCAAAATCTCATCTTGAATTGTAATCCCCATAATCCCAATAATCTCCATGTGTGAAGCGAGAGACCAGGTGGAGGAAACTGAATCATGGTGGCAGTTTCCCCCATGCTATTCTCCTGATAGTGAGTGAGTTCTCAGGAGATCTGATGATTTTATAAGTCTTTGGTAGTTCCTCCTGCCTTCACTTCTCCACCCTGCCACCTTGTGAAGAAGATGCCTTGCTTCCACTTTGCCTTCCACCATGATTGTAAGTTTCCTGAGGCCTCCCCACCCATGTTGAACTGTGAGTCGATTAAACCTCTTTCCCTTATAAGTTTCGCAGTCTTGGGCAGTTCTTTATAGCAGTATGAAAATGAACTAATACAATTAACATTTCCATTTGGATATCTACTATGCAAACCAAATTTAGCATCTAATTTTAAACATCCAAATATTCAATGTCTAAAGCTGAGCTCCTGATATTTTTTTGCCACATTTGCTTCTCCAAAAGTCTTTTCTATCTCAATAAATGGTAACAACAGACTTGCATTTTCTCAGATAGGCAACCATAGAGCTGCTCTTCATTCTTCTCTTTATTCATACCCTCATCCAATCCATTAAGACATCCTGTGGCCTCCAGCTTCAAATACCTGGAATGTTGTCACTTCTCATCATCCCTAGTGCCACTTTGGAGACCTAGTCTAAACAAATATAAGCTCTTACCTTGGTCATTATCACTATTAGCCCTCTAATTGTTCTCCCAGCTTCATCCATCACCCTTTTACATTCTATCAACACAGTCACCAGAATAATATTGTTACAATATAAGTTAAATAGGTGAATCCTCTGCTCAGAACCCTCTAATGACTTCATGCCTAACTTGGAATTAAAAATAATTTATTAATTTTTAATAATTCCTAACTTGGAATTAAAAATAAAAATATATCTGTCTCCTATAATCACCATTACCTCTTTGATGTTATCTTCTATATTTTCTCTTTGTTTTCCACATTCAACTCACACAGTCCTCACTGGGTTTTTCTTAAAACACTGTAGGAGCACTTCTTCCTTAGGATCTTTGCATTTACCATTTCTTCCAGATGTAATGCTGCTCCTGAAGTTATCTGCATGGCTAATGTGTTCACCTCCATTAGGCTTTAGGGAGATAACACCTTCTCAATGAAGATTTTTCTTGCTACTCTAACCAAACAAGCAACCCCCACAATCCCCTTCATTAATACTTCAATACTCTTAATGTCTCTACTGTGACTTATTCTGTACCTTGACATTTATCACCATCTGAAATGTAATGGATAGATATTTACTTATGATTTCTATTCTATAGTTCTTCCCACTACACTAGAATATAAGCTTCATAATAGCAGGATCTACACCTTTAGTACCTAGAACAAAACCTAGCACACAGAAGTCATTCAATGAATTATTATTGAGTAACTGTTAAGTAATTTATTTTTAAAAATAAGTTTTTTGTTTTTTTTTTTCCAGTGGGTAAGCAGTATAGGGATACAGTACAAGCCACCACAAAAATTGCAGAATAAACATGGCAGTTGACAGTTCCCAAGTTATGCCATTTGCTAGCAGAGTGAATTACTCAAGTTTTAAAACAGGTCAAATTAGCAATTTCTATACTTGAAAGATTGATATAATAATAAAATTTCTAAAATTTACATGATAATTAAATGAGATAACATATAAGAGTGCTTGACATTGTAGTAGATGTTCAATAGTGCCAGTTCTTATTGTTCTTGAATTAAATACCTGTGTGTATGTGTGTGAATAGCTTACAAATAATGTCAATTAATGTAATGACTGTATGCACCTCAAGAAGTCATCAGCTTAAAGGGAATTAACAAGTCTATACAAATAATAGAAACTTGAAGCTAACCTTAGAGGCCATATATCCTAAACACTTCATTGTAAATATAAAGAAAAATCTGGATATGTTAAGTGATTTTTGATGAAGGTGGATACACAATCCAAGTCTCCTGAGCCCTAGAGTAGTGTTCTTTGGAATCAAAACAAAAATGAGAGGATAGAAACCCTGATTTTGTCACAAATGTCCACATGAAAGGCTGAACTCTGTCCCAAAATTCTTTTAGGTGTGATAACAAGGCTACTGAGTGGCTAGAAAGAGTCTTTCAAAAACCTGAGAGTAGAGAATAGTCTAGGACAGAGGTACTTTTATTTTTCCCCTTTATTCATTTAGACAGACTGATGTGACAGTAAAGGAGAAGCTCGCCTAGCATCCAGTCATTGGTACCCAAGAGAAGACACTAGCTGAGAATTAACTGAAGTGCAGCATGCTCCAAGGTTTGCAGCTGCGAGATTATCATAAGTCTGGGAACATAATGAGCCAGGAAGCTGAGAGCAAACTGTTTCCAATTCATGGGAAGTACATTTGTCTTATAATGGCCACAGTTGTCTTAGTGTCATTTTACTTAAAAGATGGTACCTTTATTGAATGAAGCTGGGGAAGGAAGAGCCAGCTCCAAAGACGTGCAATCATCATTGACCTGTAATTGGGCAGGCATGTTAACTGGTCAGACTGTTCCTTTGGATCTGGCTATTTAAAAATGGAAAGAAATAAAAGGTAGCTACAGCCCTATTGCCAACTGTTTTGCAAAAGATTCAGTCAGTCTTATCTTTTGCACTTAGCAGAAACACTAGTGGTGTCACCTGAGATGTGGAGAAATTTTATTGTCTAGGTGTAATCAGAATGGCCTGAGGCCTTTGTGAAATGCATTCTTATTGTTAAGAAAATGAAAGTATTTCAAAAAGCTCAATTGTCTCTTTTCAAAGAGAAACTCTTTCCTTTGCCAGTAATATCTACTGAATAAGCATAACTAGACTAAGTTTTTAAACTCTTCCTTCACCTAAAATGCAACTTAGAAAGATGAAAAATATCCCCACCAAACTGTATATTCTGTATCCTCTCCAATCCTATCCCTCATTGTCAAACCCAAAACAATACTATGACAGAAAAACTACGTAACAATTATAAAAAGCTAGAATAAATTATTAATTTCTAATATCGATTCTTAGAAATTGCTGCCAATAACTGTTATGCAAAGAGGATTATACTACTCTCCAGTTTGGCACCAAGTGGGCTTGCTATGTGTTTTCAATTAACTATGAGAAACCACAAATATCTATATAGAGAAACTGAAGGTGAAAGAATATCTACAGTTTTGCTCATTGCCTGCTTAGCTGCAATTTGATTCTCTGTTTTATTCCACAAGATAATTTTGTTAATCCATCTGATAACAAGAGGAAAAGAAAGGAAAAGATACTATGTAGCAATGTCACCTTACCTCAGTTACAGTAATGCATTTTTCAAGTATTTGATACAATGTCCTTGGTTTTGGTAGTACTGAGTCCTAATAAGAGCTATGTCCAGATATTTAGCTACACTGGTATTTGTCAGAAATTTATAAGTAGTCAATGTAAATGAGGACAGTAGGTAAAAATCACACCAGGCTGGACAATTGTTATGAAAAAAATATATTACCACTGTATCTGCCCCATTTCTGTTTTGCTTTCTATTGTCATTTGCTAATTCCCATGATTTTATGAGATGCATTAAGTACTCAGGGATTTCACTGGCCCAAGTTTAAATTAGCATTTTCTGAAGTATGTAAGTTAGTACTTTGCCAAGACTTCATGCTGAATGGTAAATCGACCTGTGCAAAATTGCCACCAGGTGGCAGAAGTCAAATTAGGAACAAGAGGAAGTGACTAATTTGACTAAAATAAGTAATGACTTGGGATTTATTGCACAACCATTTACTGATTGCTTTCTATATACTTCTTTGTTGAAAAACAATATGTCCTTTCTCTCCTCAAGAAAATTTCAATCCAATAACTTGTCAAGCTATCCAAGGAAAGATCGGGCTCTAAATCCTAATTCTGATCCATATTAACCATATGTGGTAGAGAAGAGAATTTGAGAAATCTTTCTCTCTCTGGCACTTAAAAGGACCCAACAGTAATGATAAATAATAAAGATAACATTCACAGGTGTTTTAATTATATAACTGTGAGGTTTGGCTATAGGAATTCACTTTGATTTGAGTCAATAATTGAGGGAGAAATGTATTTCCATTCTTTAGACTCCTTTTGCATGGCAAGATTTTTCATGTGGCTGATGTTACCTCATTCTTCAGAAAAATATACCCTTTTAAACTGATTTGAACCAGCAAATGATTTGTTAAATTATTTGAAATAGTCCAAGCAAGTGCTTCCATAAAGGGGAGTAGAGTTTATAGTTGTAAGAGGGCTGTTACTCTAATTAAATAAGAAGATTCATTCCACCAAATACTGATGGTTTTTTTCTTTTTTTTTTTTTTTTTTTTTTTTGTTCAGTGAGAATGAAGGAAGTATGGGGAGAGGCTCTCTCTCCATCCATGATCACTTCTCAATAATAACTCAACCTACAAGGTCATCTCCACCTCTTTCTACTGTTAGTGAAACTCCTTATGCATTTAAGGGGCAATGATACCAACTAACGATTACTGTCTTTCATGCTCAATTTTTTTTAAATTAAAGCATTAGTTGGTAGCCCATGCAATTCTGTAGGAGTTGTCATTTAATGGCATTTTTTATTTCTGGTTTATCTTTTAATAAGAAACCCTGCTGATCTGCCTTTCATTTTTCTTCAGAGTAACTCAGCTAGAAGATGAATACCAATTACAGTTTTCTGGGGTGAGCTAGAAGGAAACTGGTAAGCTTGGAAAGCTTGTCTATGGCCTAAGACTGACTCCTTCAACTTGCTATTTTCTAGTTAGAAACATTTGACCGGAAGGCCTTTTAAGATGCTTTTTATAAACCTTTATGATTCATGACAAGTACTTTTTTCTTTTTTTTTTTTTTTTGAGACGGAGTCTCACTCTGTCTCCCAGGCTGGAGTTCAGTGGCGCGATCTCGGCTCACTGCAAGCTCTGCCTCCTGGGTTCACGCCATTCTCCTGCCTCAACCTCCCGAGTAGCTGGGACTACAGGCGCCCGCCACCACGCCCGGCTAATTTTTTTTTAAATTTTGTATTTTTAATAGAGACGGGGTTTCACTGTATTAGCCAGGATGGTCTCGATCTCCTGACCTCGTGATCCACCCGCCTCGGCCTCCCAAAGTGCTGAGATTACAGGCGTGAGCCACTGCACCCGGCCGATTCATGACAAATACTTTTATGTATTTTTCAAGATTCGATCTCTGGGTTTGACTATGTTTGTACTAAGTTTCAGGTTATTGTTATAAATATGTTGTAAGCAAAAAATTTATAGAGCATGATTACACATTTTAGTGGGCAGATATCTGAATAGAAGATAAAAGAGTCATAGTAACAAAAAGAAAATATGCTTTTGAACTAATAAAATGAAGACTTTATTCCTATCCGTCAGTGGGGAGAAAGAAGGAAAGGAGAAGGACTTAGAAGAAGGTTTTACTGATAGAGGAGTATTTGTATCTAAAGTCACAGATAACATGGAACTTAAGGAAACAGGCCGAGCTAACAGTTACCTAGAGAACAGCATACAAGCAATAGTCAAACCAAGGAAAGAGCCATGGGTATAAACACAGGCAACGTAGCTTGTGAAAGTGAGCAGAAATGTTTCCCAGGCATTCATTCAAATCAACTATCAATAGAAAGTTTATAAAGGGCCCAGACTAGATTAAGAGAAAAATTATAGTGTGAGTCAGCCCAGGTTATTCTGTCTGATGCGCTAGGTAAGTGTTCTCATCAGTTTCTAGGCTAGAAAGAAATATACACTGTATACCTTGTGCATTTCATTACATATAAAAGTAAGAAAAACTTGATTTTATAGAAGTTGAAAGAGTAGTGGTTACCAAAGACAGGAAAATAGAGGAGAGAAGGAGATGAGGAGAAGTTCATCAATGGGTGCAAAGTTACAGTTAGATAGGAAGAGGAAGTTCTGGTATTCTGTTGCCCAGTAGGTTGATTATCGCTAACAATAATGCGTTGTACTTATCAAATAGCTAGCAGAGAAGATGGAATGTTCCCACAACAAAGAAATGATGCAGGTTTAAGGTGGTGGATGTGTTAATTCTTGGGATTAGATCATTACACAAGGTATGCATGTATAGAAACATCACATTTCACCCATAAATATGTATAATTATTACATGTCAATTTATAAAAACAGAGTTAACTGATGACAGAACATGTAAGGACTATTTTTTTCAAAAATAAATAATAAATGACTTAGGAAATTTACCAGAACTAGCACATGACAAGAGAGTATCATGCCAGAAACACACATTTTACTTTTGACAGGCATGAAAATCAAACTCCTAGGATAGGAACTTTCATTCATTACTGTTGGAAATGAAAAATGAGACAGCCACTTTGGAAAAGAGTTGGACATTTTCCCATGATGTTACACTTACCACACTACCTAATAATCCCAGTTTTGAGTAGTTGCCCAAGATGAATGAAAATATGTTCACCCAAAAACCTGAATATAAAAATTTATAGCAGCTCTATTCATAATTACTAGAAATAGAAAACATTCAAATCTCCTACAAGTGAGTGAATAAACAAAGTGTGGTCATCGTTATGCAGCAATAAATGGAATGACTAAAATTAATAACAATGTGTTGCATACCTGAAAATTGCTAAGATGGGAGATTTTAAATATACTCTTCATAAGAAATACTAAATATGTGAGGTAATGAAAATGTTAATTGGCTTGATTTAGCCATTTTGCAATATACATATTATCAAACATCAGTGTACAGTTTAATATATATGATTTTTATTTGTCAATTAAAAACATGAATTAATTTTTAAAAAGGAATGAACTGTTAATACAGGCAACCACTGGATAATCTCAAAGGCAACATGCTGAATGAAAGAAATCAGTTTCAAAATGTTAAACACTGTACAATTCCGTTTATATGACATTTTCAAAAAAACAAAATTATTGTGACTGAGAGCAGACAGTGACTCTGAGCGGCTGAGACTGGGGAGTGTGTGACTCTAAAAGGATGACACTGGGGAGGCTTTTGAAGTGATAGAGCTGTTCTGTTTCTACAGTCCTGATGGTTACAGAAATCTATACCTGTGCTAAAATTAAAAGAATTGTACACAGTAAAGCCAATTGACTGTATGTTAATTTAAAAAATATAATAAAGCAAAAAAGTAAACACACACAAAAAAGAATCCATTTGTTTGCCACCTGAATGTCAGTAAGTCTTCCAATTATTTGGTGTCTGTCTGGACTTTCATAGAAGCAAATTATCTTCAGCTCCCATGCCACCTCTTCTGGAAAGTTCAACCGTTTTCCTAAAATCTTCCATGGATCTAGAAAAACATATCTCAATTAAGTCTTTTGCTTCTGCTGAATTCTAAACTTTACATTGTGTGATTATTTTCTTTGCTCTGCTCTTTATATGATAAACATGGAAAATTTCCCCTTTCCTTCAGACCCCAGAGTCACTGATTAGATACTAAGACAAAATGGTTTTACTAAATAATAAATAATACTAGATGATCTCACTTATATATTGAATCTACATAATCAAACTCATAGGAGCAGAGAGTAAATGCTGGCTGCCAGGGACTAGGGGGAGGGAGAAATGGGGAGATGTGGTCAACAGATGCAAAGTTTTAGTTATGTTAAGATGAAGAAGTTCTGGAGATATAATATATAGAATGGTGACCATAGTTAACAATACTGTTTTTTGTACTTAAAATTTGCTAAGGGGGATAGATCTTAAATGTTCTTACTGAACACACATAAAAGGTAATTACGCGAGGTGCTGGAATATGTTAATTAGCATAATTGTGCTATTATTATACAAAGAACATGTACATCAAAGCAACAAGTTTTATACCTTAAATACACCGAATTGTTTTCAGTTATACCTCAATAAAGCTGAAAAAAAAAAGAATCAAAAGAATAAAGTGGATTTTAGCACAGCATAGAGCAAGTCATAACTTAAAATTGAATTATCAAGCAACTGAGTTCTTCAGCCCCTTGGCCATACCTGCTACAGACCCTTGGCAATACCGGCAACAGACCCTTGGTCATCACTGTCACAAGTAACTTTTCTCACAGCTTTCTTTCTTGTGGACCTGCCTGATGCCATGTTTGTTCGATCCTCTCTCTCTTTCTGTATCCTTAACTTCCTAATCCTCCGAATACCTGATATTCGTCATTCTCAGCAGTTTATTTTTTTGTCATGTGGTTACCCTCCTCCATACCTGGCAGGAATTGGGACAAGATCATTATAATCACCTTTCACAAGTATGTGGCAATCTATTTAGGTGCTTTCTCTATTTAATCTTGGTAATATCGCTCCTCCCCTAGAATGCAGCTCAGTAAAAATTATATTTTTAATAGTTTTTTTTAACTTTTGTATATTAAAATTATCTATAGGAAAGTATATGTAGTTCTCATTACACATTATGGATTATAGATTCAACTTTTCTTATTCAAGTAAAAAGTTGTAAGATAGTTGGACTGGGTGGAGATTCTGGTAATCAGAATGAAAAAAAATTATAAGCACCTTAGGACTATAAGTAGAACATATAACAAGGTTTACAAAATCTCACATTTATTATTGTTATTGAGAGTTTTTTCGGTGTTCTTGATAGTTGTTTTTGTGCACAGAAAATATTATGGTTGGTTCAAAAATAATTGTGATTTTTGCCATTGTGCAAAAATAATTACTTTCAGTGGTTTTCGAAAACAAAATTATTTTTGCACTGACCTGATAAAATTTGTAACAACTTTCACATTTGAAACTAACCTTTGCTTTATATTCCAAATCAAAAAATCTATCAATCCATAAACTTTTACTTTAATTTATAAATGTTATCATTCTTTTAATAAATCTATCAAGTTTTTACAATAACTTTAAAGTCAGCCTTTATAACAATTAAATTTTCTTAAAATTTTAAACTACCTTTATAAATTCAACATAATCAATTTTTTTCTGAAGTATTTCAACTGCCTAACAGAACTATTTGAAGTATCTAGATGAGCTTTATAAATATAATAAATAGATTAAATGTAAAAAATGTGATAATTCATATATTCCAAAATTGTAATCACATTTATTTTGCTTTTCACATGTAAACTGACCCAGTAGTTCCACAGACTGTTTTTTTGGATAAACTTCAAAATTGACCTTTCTCATTTTAAAGCTTGAAACTTATATTTGTTTTATCTGAGTTCCTTTCTCAGGAAATGACCTTCAAGCTTCTCAAAAAAACTATCAAAAAACTGAAACTTACCAGATCACCATACCAGATGCCAGATCCCTCATTCATCATGATTGCTTCCTTGCCCCTCCTAGTTCCTGTTTTCTTACACATTGTTACATTACTTCCCTGCTATATAAACCCCTGCTTTTAGTCAGTCAGGAAGATGGATTTGAGACTGAGCTCCCATCTCCTCAGCTGCAGCACCCAATTAAAGCCTTCTTCCTTGGCAATACTTGTTGTCTTATTGATTGGCTTTCTGTGTGCCAAGCAGCAAAACCTAGACCAAACCCCAGGTGTTTTGGTAACAACATTAAAATCAAATGTGTAATTTACTTAAATACTTCACTTAAATATTTTAATTATACTTAAATACTTTAATTATAATCATGAAATTAACTTATTACATACTCTAGCACATACCTTTCCATTAAACAATAATTACAATTATGTATATTTATTGTATATATTCAATATATATGTATATATATGTACACATACATTGTTCTTAAGCTTGACACTAAAGCATTAAAGCTATAGGCTCCATTACTTCTAACTTTTAATGATCTATTAGAAATTTTTAAAATTTAAAATATGTTTGCCCAACAAAGAAACATTAATATTATTTCAAGCAATTTAGGGTATTTCCCAAAGGAATTTGAGATTACATGCACAATCACAGAAACTGCTTATCAGTCAGGAAGAAACCTGGAGTCTGCATGGCTTTTCTCAGAATGATAAGATATACACAGAGACCTCACTTATAAATGCTGTGTATCAACTCCAAGTTTATACTTTCCAAATAATATGGCCTTTTAGCCTAGATCACCTGGATTGCATGCTAGCTAATAGATACTTCACAAGTAAAACTGGAGTCTCAAACCATCGTAGCTTTCATTATGAATTATTCCCATAAAATTCTCATATGGCAAGGCAGTAAATCTTAGGGCTATCTTAATATTACTTCTGACTGGATACTGTGTCTTATGGGTTAGTCTTGCATTTTGGTCAGGGCAACAAACCATGACAATGATAACAAGCCTGAAATGTGGATTATGCATACTTTCCCAAGTGAGTTATATATTGAACCACAGATATATGCTTACTTAATAAAATAATTCCTTTATCATATATACTTACATGTATGTCCATTTTGGAACAATACTGTCTATAGTATACTGCAAATTAATATTTTTCACAAACTCTAATTTCCTTCTACAAAGTGTACTTGATTTATATTGAACACCTAAATTTAAATTATTCATTCATTAAGTGTAAATATTATCACAGTGTAAATTATATTTGTTAAACTTACTGTATAATTTTCCAAGAAAAAAATTTCTCAAGAAATACATCCTCAAAATTATTTTGCAAATCATCTTGTTCTTGTTTGTGCATATTAATTTTATATATTCATACTAATATTGTTGTATACATCCTACATCATACTTTATTGTATTTTGTTTTAAATATATTAATTTATCAGGTGTAAATATCTAAGTCTTTTCTGGCGTATTTTCTTTTTCTAAAAAAAATACTAAGAATCCCAAAAAGTAAAAGTAGCCTAGGCCTTTTTGGATATTTGAGAATACATGGTTTTAATGAAGATTTGGGAAAATTGGAAAATATTGGGGGATTCAAAGATATCAGATTACTGATGAGTCAACTGAACTTTTATCCCCCAGATGATTGTATTTTATATTTATCAGGTCATTGTGTTTTATATTGTATATTACTTTATATTACTATTAAAAATTGAAGGAAAGTATGTTTTCTATTAACTCAGACATAATTTTCATCATATATTTATGACTTTAAGGAATATATAGCAGACTGCTCTGTAGATGATGAAAATATAGAGATACAACCTTCTAAAGAAATACAGCTTCTTTGAAAACAGATTATTTGTAAACAGTAAGATTAAGGCACAATATAAGTTTGATACTTTATTCTTAGAATGCAGAGTAAAGATAGAAGAATACGTATAGAATCAGTGAGTTCTCCTTATTCGTTCATCATGTTTGTTGATAATATGAGAGGTAGTGATGAATTCATTCATTTATTCATTAAATAAAATTTATTTATAAAATGGGTAGAATTCCTATATGTCAGAAATTGTTTAGATAAAAGGATAGAGGACAAATTAAAAAAAATCCTTGCCTTTAAGCTCTTATTTTAGAGGATCAACAAATCACTAAATAAGTAAAATATAAAGTATATCAGATAAGGTTAAGTGCTGAAAAGAAACATAAATCAGAGAAGGATGAAAGGGAGTGCTCACCCTAAGGTGAGCTGCTTCACTGTCCATGACACTTTATGATTATATTCTGGGGAAGAGGAATGCTCTAGGTTTCTTTTGGTTACCACTGTTAACAGGGATTGACATTGTAATGAGATTTTCTCAAGCTAAATTAATGGTGTTGAGGCAGTAAATGTTGTGAAAGTGGGAATGGTAGAAGTCTTGATAAAAGAACACAAAGTTCTGGGGCCACCTCTTCATTGCTGCCGATGATAGTGTGAAAGCCAGGAAAGGAGAGATCTTTATTTGGAACATGTTGGGAACACTGCATTTCCTCTTGACCACTGTCAGTGGAAGTAAAAATAAGGGAAGAGGTAAACCTATCTATGTGCTTCAAATTATACTCAGTGTATACTTGGGTTTTTATTGACATTCCGGTGATAAAGGTTAACTCTGATGGACTCCTCAATTCAGACTGTTAAAATAATAGATTAGTCAATAATTTATTCTTACTCTTGCACTTAAAGTAGAATAATGCCTCTAGTAAATAAATTTTTAATTTTAATCCTGTGGATTGCACCTTTTCTATGCTTACTTCCTACTTCAGCCACTTGACCAATTTGTAATTACATGACAAAGCCATCTTTTCTTCCCTTGTGTTGATCCTGCCATTTCTTCTTCCTTCCTAAACCTTATAGGAATTTTTTTGCTATCTCAGAAAGTAATTCTAACAGTCCATTCTGAGAATCAGAGCCCCTCACCAGCATGGTGCTTATAACTTTAATTCTTTCATTTTTGTTCAGATGTGCCTCTGATTTTCTGGTGTATAGCCCTGTTTTACTACTCATGTCATTCACTGGCCTGAGTTTTCTCCATGTATTTTATATCTATAATACTCTGGAAGACACAACATGCTCTATGCCTTTTAGAGATTTTTAATGCACGATTGCATATTAACCCAGGATAATTTTATGTAAATGCAGTAAGTAATCCTGTTCAATAACACTTTTCCTAAATTATTTGATCTAGGGTCCATAACAACCAATTCTCAATACTTTTTATTAATAGCTCATGGCAGTATCATTCTGCAGAAGACATTTAGAAAACCCTGATCTATAAGCAATTATATTTGTTCCCTAGACACATCTTTTTGGCTTATATTGTTTCTAGAACTGAAAATTACGATAAACTTGGCACAGGAGAGCTAAACATTCTATGAACTTTCAAATTAAAAAACTGCTGGAGTTTGGAAATGGATACAATCATTTAAATATTTCATTTTCTATTTGTGTCTTGATTCAGAGTATTTGGGTTTACCTAATAAGATTCTCCAATGTATTTGATTATAACAAAATTGGTGTTCATTTCTGTAGTATATTAGGAAAACAGGGTCATGTTATGCCTTAATGTAGTGATTCTTAAACCAGAGCATGCATCAGAATCACCTGAAGGATTTGGTAAAATACAGAATGCTGAGCCCCACTACTGGAGTCTCTGATTTAGCAGGTCTGGAATGAAGCCCCCAAATTTACATCTCTGACAAGTTTCCAATTATTGCTGATGCTACTGGTGCAAAGCCCACACATTAAGAACCAGTATCATAGTGCACAACATGCAAAATCACTTAAGTGTTGGTGAAACTCTTTGTCCAGGAATCAATGAGATGAAACTTAAGTCAACAGCCATTTACTATGATTTTTACATTCCTGATTCTCAATTTTTCTGTCTCTTTCCTCTCAATATCTCAGGCAGATTTGATGACTTCTTGTAACAAGGAGTCAAAGTCCCAAAGAAATAGAGAGCACATGCAGTATTAGATAATTCCAACAGGTTTATTTATTAAGGAAATATTTACAAAAGTGTAGATTTAGTACCATAACCTGAAACTTTGTGGTAACCAAGTTATTAACATCCTTAGGCTCAAAGCAATAAAGTGAGGGAGAGGATACTGGAAAGTGGAGACATACAGTTGATTAGAAGATCAGTAACTTTCAATCAAGCCAGCTCAAGATGGCTTTATAGGTAGGCCCCCAATCCTTCCTTCTGATTCTCAATGGCCAAACCTCAAAAGAAATCACTGGTTACCAGAACCTGTGGACATAGTTTATATGCTTTACCTCCAAGAGCCCAGCTTGATAGAAAAGATTGCATTCAACAGATCAGTTGCTTTGTACCATTTACTGGGGACTGTGTTAATTTTTTGTAACAAATACACCACATCTAGCATAGCAACTTCAATGGGACTACTACTTGGAAAAGTTTGCAGCAATCCACTGTCATCTACCATGATTCATTCAGTTTTGGTAGGGGCCAGACTGGTGAAAAAAAATTGTAATATGATGGGGACCCCCCTTCCTCATTTTTAAATTATTTTAGAGTGAGAGCAGTCATGGTTATTCCCATAAGGATTCAGTATTGTTGGTGATTTATTACCTTGGGGAGAAGGGACATTTTCAGAGCTTCTCCTTAGTCTTAATCACTGTGATAGCTCTTATGCTATAGGTAAAGGAATCAACATGAGGATTTAGCCAACTACAAGTTTATCCATTCAAATTACTTATTCAGTGGCTAGAAAAATAACTAGTAGGTGAATTTGTGAACCCTGTAGATACACTGTGAATTGGATCTGAGCCAGGACCCTATTTATTACCTACACTGCATATGTTCTTACTCCAACATAGGTTTTGATGGTGCTTTTTGTTCCTGGTTCCCTGTGTCTAACAGTTCTGGAACTGTTTGGGTACTCATCTTTCCCACATTATCATTATCTGATTAAATGGCCATATACTTCTTTTGGGAAGGCGTGGAGGAATTATTACTGGATATAATTTCTAGGTGCTTCCTCCAGGATACTCTCCTTTTCAGCCAGTGGATTTCAAGTCTAGGAAGCTGGACAAAATATCATTATTGGAATGGTTGTCCCCAGCTTTTATATACATAGCTTCTTACACATCCCCAATTTCTTTTTATTGTATAAAATAACCATAAATGATCATAAGTACAAATATGAATATTGCTTTTATAAATATAAAAGCAATATATTTTTTGGCTACCCTTCTATATCAATCTAAGAACAAAGTTCTTTTAATCATCTCCACAGCTGTCTTTGAATCACAGACTCCTGACTGCCATACAATCTCACGGAGGTTTAATTTTATGTTAGTTAAAGGAAAAAAAATTAAAACATACATAATTTGACTTTGTCAAATACCTATCCTGTGTCTTTGCAAGCTAAACTATGCTAGGAAAGTAAGAGTGTATTTGACGGACATATTTTTACATACTAGAGCTTTCAGTCAAAGATGCTCACAAATGCGCCTAGTAAAAGTTCCCATTAGTAATTCTCATATGGAACAAACTTTGATGTGGCATTAAATCTTTGGCATAAATTTAAGTGTTCATAAATCTTCCAAACATTTTCTGGGAATCTGTTGGCTCGGTTAGATGATGAATTAAGTAAATTGACAAAGTCCATTCTTTGCAATTAGTTGTAGAAGTTGAACCCAGATATAAAAGGAAAATCAACTGTGTACCTTTTCTATCGTGTGTTTTTATTTTTTTCCAGATAAGAAATTTTACAGGTAAAAACTGTTTTTTTAGAGAGACATTTTCTCTTTAAACACAAAATGATAACAATAACTGTAAATTATATCATACAATTTTAATTTGAATATCCTTCACTGTAGTCATAACTTAATGAGAAAAAGACCAGAAAGCATACTTTAAATAGGAAAGATAGCCTACTTGAATGATCTCTGGATAGACTGCTTAAAAGATTTTGTCACAGCTTTTCAGTAAATAGATTGGTGATCTTGAGTGCGTTTCTATTTATTCTGTGTTTCAGTTTTCTCATTTGAAAAAAAGGGTCAATATTAAGTGTTTCCTTTTTATTGTTTTATGGTCCTACTCTCTAACTAGAGGTTATGGCAGAGTGCACACTATCTTGGATGCTAGAATCAACAGACAAACAGAAGCAAAACAAAAATAGGTTTGATCTGGGCCTCACCACTAACCAGCTATGTTAACTTATTTTATTTCACTAATCCTTGGCTTCCTCATCTGGAAAATGGGAATAATAATATAAGAATAAAATTCAATTATGTGCTTACCATAGTTTTTGACACATAGAAAATGCTAAGGAAACAATGCTATTTTGTGCAGCAGTTAAGAGTGGAGACTCTAGAGAGCCCAACTGCCAGGTTCATATCCTGGCTCTTTCTAATTACCGTCTGTATGACTTTAAGCAAATAATAATAATAATAATAGTGTCTATGAAACTCACTTTTTTTCTATAAAATATTAGACTAGACCGTTCTCATGGGGTAGTTACAAAATACGTTAAGCATTGTCCCTGGCAAATAGTTGCTCTTATTAGATGTTATTCACCATTATTATTAACTTAGATTCTTACAGTGATCAGAATTTATTAGACTCTATGAAAGCTTCGTGTTCATATACATGAAAGTCAGTGATCCTTTTGGATATCCTGCCATATTTTCACCCATCCTAGGAATCTAAAAGTAACTGACAAATCATTGAAAGCAAGAGGCTGGAAGAAGAGTGAGTGAGTGCAATGGATTTCCTCTCTGAAAGCTATGCTCCCAAATGCGCAGTTAGCATAATGAAGCACGTGTGTTACCTGTTCTCTCAGCACCCATAATCTTCAAGGAAACCAAATTTCATTCTGACCAAAACATCTCTATAGATAGTGATATGGTTTTGCTGTGTCCCCACCAAAATCTCATCTTAAATTCCCAAGTATAATGGGAGGGACCCGGTAGGAAGTAATTGAATCATGGAGGCAGGTCTTTCCCATGCTATTCTTGTGATAGTGAATAATTCTCACGAGATCTGATGGTCATTGTAAGGAGGAGTTTTCCTGCACAAACCCTCTTTGTCTGCTGTTATCCACGTAAGACTTCACTTGCTTCTCCTTGCCTTCCACCATTATTGTGAGACTTTCCCAGCCACGTGGAACTGTAAGTCCAATTAAATCTCTTTTTTTGGTAAATTGCCTAGTCTCAGGTATGTCTTTAGCAGCAGCATGAAAATGGACGAATACAGTAAATTGGTAACAGTAGAGTGGGGTGCTGCTGAAAAGTTACCTGAAAATGTGGAAGCAACTTTGGAACTGGGTAACAGGCAGAGATTGAAACAGTTTGGAGGGCGTAGAAGACAGGAAATGTGGGAAAGTTTGAAACTTCCTAGAGACTTGCTGAATGGCTTTGACCAAAAACCTGACAATGATATGGACAATAAAATCCAGCTGAAGTGGTCTCAGATGGAGATGAACTTTTTGGGAGCTGAAGCAAAGGTGACTCTTGTTATGTTTTAGCAAAGAGATGGTGGCATTTTGCCCCTGCCCTAGAGATTTGTGGAATTCTGGTGGGAGGAATTTCTAAGCAGCAAAGCATTCAAGAGCTGACTTGGGTGCTGTCAAAGGCATTCCATTTTATAAGGGAAGCAGAGCATAAATGTTCAGAAAATTTGCAGCATGACAATGTGATAGAAAAGAAAAATATGTTTTCTGAGGAGAAATTGAAGCCAGCTGCAAAAATTTGCCTAAGTAACGAGGAGCAAAATGTTAATCCCTAAGACAATGGGAAGAATGGGTCTGGGGCATGTCAGAGGTCTTCATGGAAGCCCCTCCCATCACAGGCCTGGAGGCTTAGGAGAAAATGTTTTCATGTTTCTGGCCCAGAATCCCTGTGCTGTATGCACTCTAGGGACTTGGTACCCTGTGTCCCAGCCACTCCAGCTGTGATTAAAAGGAGCCAAGGTACAGCTTCGGCTGTTGCTTCAGAGGGTGGAAGCCCCCAGGCCTTGGCAGCTTCCATGTGGTGTTGACCCTGCAGGTGCACAGAAGTCAAGAATTGAGGTTTGGGCACCTCTGCCTAGTCTTCAGAAGATGTATGGGAACCCCTGGATGCCCAGGCAGAAGTTTGCTGCAGGAGTGAGGCCCTCATGGAGACCCTCTGCTAGGGCAGTGCAGAAGGAAAATGTGGGGACAGAGCCCCCACACAGAGTCCCTACTGGGGTACCACCTAGTGGAGCTATGAGAAGAGGACTACTGTCCTCCAGACCCCAGAAAGGTAGATCCACTGACAGCTTGCCCTTGCACCTGGAAAAGCCACCAGCACTCAATGCCAACCCATGAAAGCAGCCAGGAGGGAGGCTGTACCCTGCAAAGCCACAGTGGTAGAGCTGCCCAAGACCATGATACTTTGACATTTCTAGCTTCTTCTATTTGATATTCAACTCCACTTACTTTTCTTTAAGATGTTTATCATGTGTTTGATTTAATATTTCCTGGTTATTTTGTCTCTCTGTAAATTTATTTTTGTGAGTCAATGTGTTATGTACTACAACTTCAAGGGCTGCTGCTGCTGTTATTGCTCAAGCAATACTGACTACTGGGGCAGTAGTCAGCAAAGGGCATGGCCTCCAGGAAACCATAAGCAAAAAATGTATAAAGTGGTAGGAAAAGATTGAGAGGAGGAACTGGGAACACACAGGCTATGGATTCAGCTCTTATTAACTTTTTTTGCAGTTCTCTTTCTACCATATCATAATCATTCCCCAGCTCTAAAACAAGCCCCACTGCACTTGTTTTTGTATACCAAATGGGAACAGATAGACATAGTTATTATATTTGGTAATAAAATTTTGGGGATAAGTAAGATATATGGCATTGTTTTAGAAAAGTTAAAAATGTAATATAACTGTTATGATTGTTCTAAACAGCATTTTTGTTACAGAATAATGGTTGAAATTGGAATCCTTGTAATCAGTTGATGCAAATTTGGGTATTATCTTGTTGCAGTGATGCAAATACTTATGTAATAAACATAAGCATAAGAAACTATTACAAAGAGGAAGGGTCATTCGTTCCACACCTAAGAGACCTGGGTTTAAATTAGTTTGTTTCTCAGAACATATATAACCTTCAACAAATTTTTAAGTCTCTTTAATATTCAGTTCCTCATTTAGTAAAAGGAGACATTAATAGATATCTCTTAGCATTATATTTAAGATTAAATTAATTGATGCTTAATCCAATGCTTGGCATATTGTGAATGCTCAAAATGGTAGTGACATTAGAATTCAAATGATGGGATTTTATTCATTGGTGTTTCAGGTAAGGGGAATGAAAAATAATGTAGTTGATATGATTTGGCTGTGTTCCCACCAAAATCTTATCTTGAATTCCTATGGGAAGGACATGATGGGAAGTAATTGAGTCATGGGGGCAGGTCTTTCCCGTGCTGTTCTCATGATAGTGAATAAGTCTCAGGAGATCTGATGGTTTCATAAGGGGAATTTTTCTTGCACAAGCTCTTCTCTTGTCTGTCACCACGTGAGATGTGCTTTTCACCTTCCACCATGATTGTGGGGCCTCCCCAGCCACATTGAAATGTAAGTCCATTAAACCTCTTTCTTTTGTAAATTGTCCAGTCTTGGGTATGTCTTTATGAGCAGGTTGAAAATGGTCTAATATATTGGGTTTCTTTTATTTCTATGGGTGCATGAGTATATTGAATCTCAGAGTCATGAATTCTATCAGTGAAAGAACCCCAAGAGATCACCTAGCCCAATCTACATTTAGGAACAGAAGGTATTATTATTTCCGGTTCCTATATAAAGCAACTGAAGCCTGAAAGACAGTGAAACTTGGTCACATAATTGTAGATACAAAGAAGAAGACTTAATCCCAAGTCACCTGTTTTTTACCATAATTTTTTTCTACTTCTTGATGTCATTTTTATTAGATAATGAAGTGTTACTTTGGTGATGAGAAATATTGGATTAAAAGTTGCAAGGCTACTGAAATGGGTTGTAAAATAGATGCAAGCTTTCTAATGCAGCAGTCAAATATACTTCTTCCTGTAAATTTTGTTCTTCAAATAGGAGTCAGAGAGGTGCCATTTGGTGATGCTGTTCTAGCATTTTTAATTGTTGTAGATTTCAGCTAATGACTCTTTGATTACTTAATAAGAGCCCTCTAAGTAGTTTCAAATATCATTGTACCAATTCCTCTCCCCTCACTAAGGAAACTTAAAGAACTGTCAACATAGTATCAAAGATCATGACTTTTATTCATTTTACATTAAAACCAAGTTTTTAACTATTAATTGGTTTTAAACATTGGCAATTTTATGTGTAGTAGGATTACTAATTATTTTCCAGCTTAAATTCTAGTTTGGACAACACCCTCTGTCTCACTTACCTGAACTTCCATGATGACTTGAGGAAAATAACTTTATGCTGTTGCAATGAACTGTTAAAATAGCCCCCATCATTTGACTTCAGTGAAAGAATAAGTGAATTAATTACTATATTTACTTTGAGATTTGTAAAGTTGACTAGGATTGTTTCCTGAAAGTTTTCTTCCACAAGATGATAATATTAATTGTAATTGCATACTATTTCACTAACTTGCAAGGGCCTTTACATGTTGTTAGTAGACTGCATATTGATACTAAACTTAGACAATAATAGAGCCACTGGACTGGTTCAGTGAATAAGAATGTTTTGAATATTATTAAGATTTTATTATTTAGGATTGCCTTTGTGTGGCAAGCCAATAGCACAAAATGTTAAGGAACATTTTCTTGGCATGAAATCATGTTTAAAAATATTTCTTAATTTCTTAGTGGTCATTAAAATCCTTTCCTTCTACTTGATGCAGAATGAATAAATTTAGTTACTTTCTTTGTTTGAAGTATCTCCTTTTCAACTATATAACCATCTTACCACTTTCACTTTCTTGGAAAGGTTTCAGCATAATAAAACATTTTTTGATTATTATTACTTACTGCTGACTTATCTTTGGACTCTCTGATATAATTACTCTACATATATGCTTGGTTGATGATCTAAGTTATGTCTGGGAGGCTATGGCATTCAAAAGTGACATCTGCCCCATTGCCATCCCTTTTATCAATAAGTCACTAAAATTACACTCAAATATTTCTACAATACACTTCAGATTCAGTTTTGCTCAGGGAATTTGCCTTTCCATGACAGAAAAAAATGAGTGCAAGTGGGGTAGGGAGGGTGGCATCCCTGGTACTAGGACTGTAAAACAGTGGCCATTCTTGTGAATTAGGTGCAATAACATCTTTCTCCCTGGAGAGTTTGTGGTGGCAATGGCTGTGGGTTACTTTGGGGTCACAAGCTGCTCCTGTCCTATGTGGAGTAGGCCACTAGGGACTGCAGTGGCACTCATGTCATGGCTGATAATGATAGCCCCCACTCTTCTTTGTTCCTAGCTGTCTCTGGATATCTCAGATATGCTGATCTCTCTAGTGATCCTTTCTGTGTAGTTATTCATTTTTCCTCCACTCTGTTGCTGCAGGTTTTTAATTGAAATCTTTGAGCTCCTTCTCCCCAAGGCTATTCTTGTGAATGGACAGCTGTCTCCTTGTTGATCAAGGGGGATGAAGGCTGATATCTCCTAATCCATCATCTTGCTGACCTCCATATCAGCTTTGGAAGATAGGAGTCGTGTCAGTTATTTTTCTGCTAACAACACCAATTAGAGTGCCTAATCTATAGGCCATCAGTTTTGTGGGAGAATGAGCTGTGATATAAGAGAACATGACTTCTGTTCAGCAGAGTTTTTTAAAAGCCAACAGTCTTAAATTCATTTATTCAATTACTTACATTCTTAAGCATTTTTCACGATGCTGATTCTGACTATAAACTTGTCAGTTCCTTCACATACGTTTACTTTACTGTCATGATTTTCTATTCTCCCCCAACTGGTATTAACAATGAGCATTTTAGAAATGGGGAGGTAGTAAGTTCATAAATATTATTGCCTTTAAAAATTAAAACGTCTGAAGATAATGCTCCCTTTGTTAGTTTTGGGGGTAAAAGGAGATCTCCTGAAAGTGGTGTCAGGTAGAAGTTTTCATTTAACGTTACTTGGCAAACTGGAGTAGACATTTGGAAGTGTTCTTATTAAATGTATTCAGTTATGCCAGAGTGGTAGTGGCAGCCTCATTATCCCAAGCTGATCCTTGTATATAGCGGTGATCTCAAGCCAACTTTTACCATTTCATGAGCCAACTCTTAAGTTTTTAAGAATTTTTCAAACTGATTTTTTAAACTTCTAGTTTAGATTTGAGGGTGCATTTGAAGGTTTGTTATGTAGGTAAACTCAGGACACAGGGATTCATGGTACAGATTATTTTATCACCCAAGTATTAAGTCCAGTATCCAATAGTCATCTCTTCTGCTCCTCTCCCTCCTCGCATCCTCCATTCTCAAATAGACCCCAGTATCTGTTGTTTACTTCTCTGTGTTCATAAGTTCTTATAATTTAACTCCCACTTATAAGTGAGAACATGGGTTATTTGATTTTCTGTTCCTGCATTAGTTTGCAGGAGCAGATAATAGCCTTCAGCTGCATCTGTGTTTCCGCAGAATACATGATCTCATTCTTTTTTTAATGGCTGCATAGTATTCCATGGTGTATATGTAGCACATTTTATTCATCCAATCTGTCACTGATGGGCATTTAGTTTGATTCCATGTCTTTGCTATTGTGGATAGTGCTGCAGTGAATATTCACATGCATTTGTATTTATGGCAGAATGATTTATATTCTTCTGTGTATATCCCAGTAATGGGATTGCTGGGTCGAATGATAGTTCTGCTGTTAGCTCTTTGAGGAATCGCCATACTGCTTTCCACACTGGTTGAACTAATTTGCACTTCTACCCACAGTGTATAAGTGTTCCATTTTTCTCTGTAATCTTACCAGCATCTGTTATTTTTTTACTTTTTTTTTTTTTTTTTTTTGAGATGGAGTCTCGCTCTGTCTCCCAGGCTGGAGTGCAGTGGTGCGACCTTGGCTCGCTGCAACCTCTGCCTCCTGGTTCAAGTGATTCTCCTGCCTCAGCCTCCTGAGTAACTGAGAATACAGATGCACGTGACCACGCCTGGCTAATTTTTGTATTTTTAGTACAGACAGGGTTTCACCATGTTGGTCAGGCTGGTCTGGAACTCTTGAACTTATGGTCCACCTGCCCTGGCCTCCCAAAGTGCTGGGATTGCAGGCATGAGTCACCACGCCTAGTCATTTTTTTTTTTTTTTTTTTTTTTTTTTTGCTTTTTTACAATAGTCATTCTGCCTGATATGAAATGATATCTCACTGTGGTTTTGATTGCATTTCTCTAATGGTCAGTTTTATTGAGCTTTTTTACATTTGTTGGCTGCATGTATGTCTTCTTTTGAAAAGTGCCTCTTCTTGTCCTTTGCCACTTTTTTAATCAAGTTGTTTGCTTCTCTCTTTTAAATATGTCTAAGTTCCTTATAGATGCTGAATATTAGACCTTTGTCAGATGCATAGTTTGCAAATATTTTATCCACTCTGTAAGCTGTCTGTTGACTATGTTGATAGTTTCTTTTGCTGTGCATAATGTTCTTAAGTGTAATTGGATCCTACTTGTCAATTTTTGCTTTTTGCTTTTGGTGTCTTTGTCATGAAATCTTTGTCTATTACTATGTTTGATATGGTATTGCATAGGTTGTCTTTTAGGGTTTTTATAGTTTTGGGTTTCACACTTAATTATTTAATGCATCTTGAGTTGATCTTTGTATATGGTGTAATGCAAAGGTCCAGCTTGAATCTTCTGCATATGGCTAGACAATTATCCCAGCACCATTTATTGAATAGGAAATCTTATTTCCACTGCTTGTTTTTGTCATTTTTTTTTTGAAGATCAGATGGTCGTAAGTGGGCAGCCTTATTTCTTGGCTCTCTATTCTTTTCATTGGTTTATGTGCCTGTTTTTGTACCAGTACTATGCTGTTCTGGTTATGGTAGCCCTGTAGTATAGTTTGAAGCTGGATGACATGATACCTTCAGCTTTGTTTGGTTTGCTTTAAGATTGCCTTGGCTATTAGGGACCTTTTTTGGTTCCACGTGAATTTTAAAATAATTTTTCTTATTCTGGGCAGAATGTTATTGGTAGTTTGATAGGTATATCATTGAATCTGTAAATTGCTTTGGAACTATAGCCATTTTAATGATATTGGTTATTTCTATCCATGAACATGAGATGTTTTAACATTTGTTTGTGTCTTTTCTCATTACGCTGAGCAGTGTTTTGTAATTCTCACTGTAGAGATCTTTAACCTCCCTGGTTAGCTGTATTCCTAGGTATTTTGTTCATTTTGTGGCAATTGTGAATGGAATTACCTTTCTGGTTTGGCTCTCAATTTGGTTGTTGTTGGTGTATAGGAATGCTAGTGATATTTGTAAATTGATTTTGTATCCTGAAAGTTTGCTAAAGTTGTTTACCAGCTGAAGGAGCTTTTGGGCTGAGACCTTGGAGTTTTCTAGATATAGAATTGGGTTGCCTGCAGACAGGGATAGTTTTACTTCCTCTCTTCTTATTTGAATTCCCTTTATTTCTTTCTCTTGCCTGATTGCTCTGGCTAGGGCTTCCAATACTATGTTGAATAGAAGTGGTGAGAGACGGCATCTTTGTCTTGTGCCAGTTCTCAAGGGGAATGCTTCAGTATTTGCCCACTCAGCATAATGTGGGCTGTGGGTTTGTCAGAGATGGCTCTTGTTATTTTGAGGTATGTTCTTTCAATACCTAGTTTATTGAGTTTTTAACATGAAGTAAGGGTGTTGAATTGCATTGAAAGCCTTTTCTGTGTCTATGAGATAATCATGTGGTTTTTGCTTTAGTTCTGTTTATGTGATAAATCACATTTATTGATTTGTGCATGTTGAACCAACCTTGTATCCCAGAGATGAAGCCTAATTGACCATGGTGGATTAGCTTTTTGGTGTGATACTGGATTCAGTTTTTCAGTATTTTTTTGAGGATTTTTGTGTTGATGTTCATCAAGGATGACCTGAAGTTTTTTTTGTTGTTGTGTTTCTGCAAGGTTTTGGCATCAAGATGATGCTGGCCTCACAGAATGAGTTGGGGAGGAGTCCCTTCTCCTCAATTTTTTTTTTTTTTTTGGTAATGGTTTCTGTAGGAATGGTACTAGTTCCTCTTTGCACATCTGGTAGAATTTGGCTGTGAATCCATCAAGTCCTCAGTTTTTGGATGGGAGGAGTTGTAGGCTGTTTCCTGACTGATTAAATTTTAGAGCTCATTATTGGTTTGTTCAGGGAATCAATTTCTTACTGACTCAGTAAGAAGATAATCATGTGGTTTTTGCTTTAGTTCTGTTTATGTGATAAATCATATTTATTGATTGGGAGTATGTACGTATTCAGGAATTTGTCCATCTCTTCTAGAGTTTCTAGTTCTTGTCCATAGAGGTATTCAGAGTAGTTTCTGATGTTTGTTTTTATTTTGGTGGGGTCAATAGCAACATTCCTTTCATCATATCTAATTGTGTTTATTGGGATCTTCTCTCTTTTCTTCTTTATTAGTCTAGCTAGTGGCCTAGCTATCTTACTAATGCTTTCAAAAAACCAACTCCTGGAATTGTTGATCTTTTGAATCTTTTTTCATGTCCCAATTTCCTTCAGTTCAGCTCTGATTCTGGTTATTTCTTTTCTTCTGCTAGCCCTGGGGTTGATTTGTTCTTGCTTCTCTATTTTTTTTTTTTTTTTAAGAACACCAGGTTCTATTTAGTATAAGGCATCTGTTTTTCTTTGCTATACCTGCTAATAAAAACATTTTCATTTTCTGACTTAATAATCTGTGTTTATGAAAATAGATTTGCTTCTCTAATTCTTTTAGTTGTGATGTTAGGTTGTTAATTTGAGATTGTTATAACTTTTTGAAGTGGGCAATTAGTACTATGAATTTACCTGTTAACACTGCCTTGACTGTGTCCCATGGATTCTGGTATGGTGTATCTTTTTTCTCATTATTTTCAAAGAATTTCTTGATTTCTGCCTTAACTTCATTATTTAACCAAAAGTCATTCAGGAGCATGTTGTTTAATTTCCATGCAATTGCGTTATTTTGAGTGATGATCATAGTCTTGGCTTCTATTTTTATTGAGCTGTGGTCTGAGAATGTATTTGGTATGATTTTTATTCTTTTGCATTTATTGAGAATAGTTTTATGTCCAGTTATGTGGTTGATTTTAGAGTATGTGCCACGTGGCCATGAGAAGAATGTATACTCTATTGTTTTAGGGTGGAGAGTTTTGTAAAGGTCTGTCAGATCCATTTGGTTCAATGTTGAGTTTAGGTCCTGAATATCTCTGTTAGAAGTACAATCATCAATTATGCTAGAGAATAAACTTCATGGTGTTCTTGGTGTACTTCTAGGATTCCTTAGCTTTGAGATTACACTGCTTGCTGTTTCAAACATTTTGTAAACACTTTTTTTGTATTAAAACTCATGCTGCTTAAAATGTTGCCTACTTCTGGCACTAAGCCTATACTAATACTGCTTCCTTAATTTTCACTTTGTTCTTCTTGTTTCTTTATTTGCTTTAGGGTCCTCTTGTTGTCTTCTCATATCTGTTCTGATAGGAATGAAGTATGCTGAAAGGCAAAATTTATGCAACTTGGTATCTTCAAAGAACAATGTCAGTCTTACTGGTTGTGCCATGTATCCTGAGATATAAAATTTCTAGACAAGATGGCCTCAGAATTTTGTCCACTTCTTCCTCCACTAATGGTGTAAGGGCATGGTGCTATAAAGTGTAGAATTGCAAGGCAACTGTGGAGGTGATCCTGTATTATTTTTAAATTAGATTTCTTTGGTGAAAATTTCTCCCTTATTTTTTGTTTTGTAAGAGGCTTAGATTGAGACACTGCTTGAATCCAGTGAGGTGGTAGAAGTGTTTGTGATTTTAAAAAATCTCCTAACATTCTTAGTGTCAAATGTTCTTTGTTCTTTTTTAAAAGAGATACAATCTAAACCTATACTATGTCCTCTCTACAAAGAGCTACAAGCTAAAAATTAGAATAATGAGCTCTGATAATAGTTATATTCTGGTTACTGACTATTTCTATTTGACAGAAAAGAAATGCTTTAGAAATAGCATTTTATCTTAATGAAAAGCTTTAAAATATGGTCTGCCTATATCTCTCACTTTTTAAGTGGAGTTGACTAAACATAATTTACATTTTTAGAACAACTTATTTATGAACAGATGGCCATTAGAATTGTGATGTGCTTAATTATTATAATCATAGTTATTATGAGACTTGGACCTGAATAAATATGAATTGCAACAAGAAACCTGGAAATTGAATTCTTGAAAAAAGTGCCTATTTTATTATTTTGTGGAAAATTAGTTATTTGATAAAATCTAAAAATTTAATAAATGTTAATCAAGTTCAAGCTTTGTTAATATATCCTACTAATAATATTCATGTTATTTTTAAATGTTAATTGTACCTAGTAGAGAAATCACTTCCTTGTGATGTATTATAAATGCTTATGATTACTAAGGGACAAGTTAGACAAATATTTATCAAGCCCTTATGATGTGCCAGACATTATTTTAGTCTCTTGCTGTCCAAAGGTGAGGGAATAGACTCAGTTTTTGTTCTTATGGAAGTTAACTCTAACACAGAAGACAGATAATATCCAAATAAATGGAGAGACATATGCTGTCTCAAGATGTGCAATATAAAAATAGTTAAGTATATGAAGATGGAATGTGACAAGATATACTCTTTATATGAAGGGACTAACAAATATTTCCTTACAAAATATTATTTGAGGTTATTTGCTATGCAGATATGTAAGTCAAAACTTTTCCAGGTAGACAGCTTTGGAAATGGAGTTTGCTGGTATGCATGAGAAACAGCAAAAGACCATTGAGGGTAGAGCAAACGAACAAGGAAGACAGAAGATAAGATCAGATGGTGGCTGGGGGACTAGATCATGGTAGCACCTATAGCACAAGAAAACGATAACTATGACAGACAAAGCACCTAAGGATTTCACGTATTTTGACCCAATTAATCCTCACAATAGCATTATGAATTTGGTGCTTTAATTACTTTCATTTTACACATGTGAAAATTGAGATGTAGAAGAGTTAAGTAACTTAGCCAAGGTCATAGGGTCAAGAAAGGGTACAACCAGGATGTAGACTCTTAAGTTAACTCCAGTAACTATTCTTTTAAGCATTGAATTTGCCATGAGTAGTATCAAATGTGTCATAGTCTTTTGATCTGAAAAGTAATGGATCTGACTTCTTTTTATGGGGATCATTTCATTATGGTTTCTGGGTGGAGAATAGACTCCAAAGAGGCAAAGAAGCTAACAGTGTAATTTAGGAGGTTATTACAATACAATTCTCCAGGATACAGATGAAAGGGCCTTGTCTAGGACAGCACTGATGAAGGTGGGCAGAAGTAGCATGAGTATGGATATAGTCTACAGGCAGTCATCAATTGTGAGAGACAAGTAAGAACTAATCAGGCAAAGAAGCGTACAAAGAATCGTCTAAGTAGAAGATACTATTAAAGCATATATTAACTGTAATCCATATTTGCTTTGTAATAATTAATCTTGATGTTTTAATCAAATAGCAAATGCTTATTTACCACCTTTTATGTCTGGCCTCGAACTGTAGTGAAGGAGAAAACCAAAGTTTGCCTTCATGGAGATTGCATTCCAGGGGACAATAAAAATAAACACTCACACTACAATAGTGCTATTCTATGCGGGAAATGAAGTAGAAAAAACAGGCCAAGGTCATTTTTTGCTATGATGATAAATAAAGGAAACATGCTCTGAGGAGTGGATGTTTGAGGTAAGACCTGAAAAATGAAACTAAGCCAAACCATCATAGAACTGAATGAGGAACACTCAGGCAGAGAACATAGCGATTGCAAAGATACCAACAGGTATGTGTTCAGGGAATATAGCTGGAGTGCAGTGTAAGGTTTGTGAGTAGTTATGGTTTCTTCTAAGTGCAAATAAAAGCCATTCAATATTTTTAATCAGGTTTGTGGTACTTTTTGAAAGCAAAAGCATGGCTAGCTTCTTTCCTTTTCTCAACCTGTGCCTACACCCATTGTGATAAAGGCTATGATTCAGAAAGCAACTTGTAGTAGTGGGTTGAGGTTCTCCGGGCTCCACTCACCTCATTCTCGTTGGACTTCTGAATTATGTATGGCCACGGATTTCCTCTATATTGAACTATATAACTTACATTAAAATCACTTTATATAACTTAAATAAAATTAATTGTCTTAGTCCTATATCCTGATTCTTAAATGAATTATTCTTTTAGCCACATGTCACACATAGGATTCTTAAGACATTTTATTTTATTAGGGATATGATATATGTAAATATAAAGTTATTAATTTCCTCTCTGACTCCAAACATGTTGTTACTCCAGACCTCCCTATCTCAGTAAAACTACCATTATCCATCTGGATGCTGGTTAATGATTTTTCAGTTCTACTTTTGTTTCACTTGCCAACCTACTACCCATCATCTAGGTGTGTGAATTTTTCTTCCAGAATATATCACATGTTCCTCATATTTTTTCATCTTTTCTACTACTATAGTCTAAACCACAACTATTGTTTACACAAATCAGTGTACCAGTCTGCTTGTGGTTCTCTCTGCTTCCATCCGTGATCATCCCAATTTAGTTTCCACAAGCAGACAAGGAGATTCCTTAGGAACCCAAATCAGAAAACTATGCAAATCAGGAATACGTACGTTAATGTTGTCCTGTATCTAGAAGACCCTTTGTATTCTTATTTGCCTGATTAACTCTTACTTGCCTCTCAGAATTGAATTCAGATATTCCTTCTAGAGTTTCATGAACACTGACATTTTCTTCCTTCTCCTCAGACTGGACTGAGTGTCCCTCTCTGTTTCTAAAGTGTTCTATGCTTTCCTCTATCAAAAGCACTTTATTTTCTTTGTTGTATTGTGTGTTGACTTGCCTACGTATATATTTTTTCAATAGAATGTGGGTTGCTTGAGGACAAGGTCTATAATTTTTATTTATATATGTATTTTACTACCTGATATGTAATTAGTGCTCAGTAAATGGTGCAAATGAATGAGTAAATAAATGTAGATTGTGATAATTAGGAAAGGTTTTATTAAAAAAAGGTGATACTAGACTTGGAATGTGAAATATTGTCAATGTGAAATATTTACAGGAATACTTATTAGGGAAAATAGGGCAATGATTATTAATTTATAGTAAAACCTTTAAGATTCCTCCTGGAATACTTCGCGTGAGACAATGAAATACACTAATCAGATAGTTTTGACCCCCAACACCACAGTTTTTCTGGATTATGTTTGGATCATAATCTGGCCGAATTTCTGTGCTGTGGGATTTTAGCATGTTAGAATTATTACTCTCAATATGTGTTCTACTGAGGGAATAAAATACTATTTAGAACAGCAACCAGTGCTCAAGAAAGCCTATGGAAAGGTAGTTTAGCTTTTTTCATGAGTAACTCTTCATTTTAAGCCTTAATGATCTAAGAGAAATTAATGAAGCTATATGAAGTTGAACATACCATCCCATCCTTAGAGTCAAGAGATTAATTTTGTATGCAATATAGATTACAATTTTTTGAACCGTAAGTGTGTATAATCCTTAAAAATCTGTTTCACCTTTCGGAAACATACTGGCAGTGATAACACAGGATTGGACAGCTAGAAGGTTTATAGATCTTGATTAAAAGATAGCATTAGCTGTCTGAAAGTAGGTTTGAGTTCTACAGACTCAGAAAATATATATCTAAATGTGTATGCATGATATTCATGTATATGCATGTTTCCATAAACACATATGTATGTACATGCATATGTATGTACATGCATATGTATGTACATGCATATGTATGTACATGCATATGTATGTACATGCATATGTATGTACATGCATATGTATATACATAGATTGACAAAAAGCCAGACACACATAAATGTGTATGTGTATGTATATATACAATTTATATAATTTTTGATACTCTTATTATGGTTTTATAGTAATAATACATGTTCCTGGTTTAAATTATTCACAGTATGGAAGGGTATATGTAAAATTAAAAGCTTTCTGCTCCTCCGCCTCTGTGATACCCCATATCTTACAGAGGCTTACTACCCTACCATCTGTTATTCACATTTTCATTAAACCTACATGCTTTCACATCTTTATTTATTTATTTATTAATATCATTTTATCAGTTGGAAAACATGTCCTGGCATCTTGTCACCACAGCTGGAATTTAGGACAGGTACACTGCCCACCACCTCTATTTTTCTGTCTTTTCCCTGCTTCATTTTTGTTTTCGTCTACTTTTTTGTCTTTCTAGTAGTTATATTTGTTAACAATAAAATCATACATGTCTGTACTTTTAGTCCATAATTGTTAAACAGTATATACTAATTCCTTCCTACATAATAAGAGAAAATTAAGACTCATCCACAGCTTCTTTCTGCCTCCTACTAACTTTTGTCAGTTACAACGTAAGGTAGACATTTTTGAAGTTCCATGATTTCTGACATGGATGTTCCATAACTAAAATAAACTTCCTTGAATGTTTATCTTACTATTCATTCTATTAGAAAATTAATAACCACAGCATGATTAAATAAGAATATTTTAAAATAAATAATACTATAATTTGACCAAAGAAAAGAAATTCTTTTTTTTATCAAATCTGTATCACTCAAATAAGAATTTTCTATATGCCTAGGTCAAATAAAATATCTGCTCCTATATTCAAGTATTTGCTCAAAAATGTCTCCTTTAAGTTTATTTTATATTAAAAATATGATTTTCTTGCACTTTTAAAGTTTAAATTATTTTAAAGTTTTCCAGAGATTTTTGTACTTGTTGTTTATAAAGGAGACAAGTGAAGGCCTTCACTTTCATAATCACAAAATTTATGGATAAAAATCACCTTCTTTATCACAAACTTTATGAACTAGTTTTTCTTCTAGCTTTGATCTATTGTTTTCTAGACAGGCTGCAGAGCGTCATCTTTGATTGACACCATTTCTTCTCCTAGCTTAGTTCCACCAGTCTTGGATTCCATATAATGTTATATCCTAAATGTACTTATTCTTTTGCTTGAGTTTATCCTCAGGAAATCTTTCTGAAGGAAGCATGTATAAGAAATAAAATATCTCAATCTGTCTAAAATTGTCTTTTAAAAACTTGATAGTTGAATTGAGTTTGGAATTACAAGCTTAAGATCATTTTCCTCAGAACCTTGTTTCATTTTCATCAGGCATTTGGTGCTGGTGGTGGGCAATGTGATGCCAGTCTCTGAGTTCTCATTTATTTGGAAGCAATCTGTTTATATTTTCCTTTCTGAAATCGTATATAATTTCCCTTCAAATTCAGAAATTTTACCAAGGCATTTATAGGCTTGAAGCTTCTATTCTACCCAATTTGATGCTCAGTGAATTATTTAAATACAAGAAAAGATTACTTAAAATCGTTGAAATTATATTCTACTATATTTTTTCATTTTGTTTTCAAAATTTTATGTATTCTCTCATTTTGGAACTTCTATTAGATGGGTGCTACAATGCCTGTCCCATTCCATTGTGTTCCTTAATTTCTCTCATTTTATATCTTTTCTTCATATTCTGAGAAAGTTCATAATTATTCCATCCACAATGAATAATTTGATTTAAACCATATCCATTCAATTACTTAGTCATTTCATGTATTTTTTAAAAAAGTTAAAAAGCTATTTGAAATTTCTGAGAAACTTTCTTTTGTATGATTGCTTTTATTTCTCATTGTAGTGTTTTTTTAATGAAGAAATATTCTGTGTTATCTTTCTAATGGTAATAATTATACATTAGAAAGTTCTCTTTTATTCTTTAAATTCTCTCTGGCTTTTTTAGCGTCAGCTGTTTCATTTGTTCATTTTATTTTTTCTCTTTCAGCCTGTGGGTTTCCTCAAATGTCTGATGAATCTTGCTTGTATGTTTGTATTTATGGACAAAGGACCCTGATAAACATAAGAGAGCTTAAAGGAGTTTCCTTTGTAGGTTTATAGGTCTATTTCACTGAAGTCCTTTCCTCTATATTGGGAAGCTGACTACAGGTTTGTGGCATATCAGATTGTATGCATTGCTTTATGGTGACCTGGAGTAGTGGCTAAGAGCACGAGGCTCTTGAACTAGACTGTATACAAGATCCAACAATAGTACTTAGCAGTTGTATAAACTTAAGCAGATTACTTAATATTTATGTGCCCCAGTTTCCGTCTCTCTTAAATGGTGGTAATAATGGTATTTATCACATAGGGGCTTTGTAAGACCAAAATGAATTGATTTATGCAAATAATTCAGAATAGTGCTGACATATAATTATGAGGCATAGAATATCAAGAGTAGTCAGATAAGCTGAGGTACTTTCTCAAATGTAAAAGTTGTTCAACATATGTTTATCTTAGGCAGAACTGCCTTCCCTTTTATCTCCTGTTGCTACCACCATATATTTTTAAAGGAAGTTTGAAGTTACTTTGATCTCTTTTGCTTCTCTCTTAGACATAAAGACTCATAGCAGCTTTTTCCCGGGAGGGTGCGGTGGGAAATGAACTTTCTATAAAAAGCAGTTTTATAGATTTATTCTGGGGAAAAACACCATATACTTTTCCTCTGTTTGGGAATGCCTGTAGAGGAGAAGTGCCACCTGATCAAGTTATTGTATAGATAGTCACTAATTACTCTGTTTATTGCCAATGTTTGAGCATGAGCCTCTTTCAAGTCCACTAGGGAGAAGAGCTCTTATGTTTTGCTGGTTAAATTCTAGGCTTTAACCTCTATTTTTAGGTTTCTAAGTCAATATAATCCTACGAGATCATGGGTTTCTCTAGAGAACTTCTTTGATATGCATATAAGAGCAATTTTCATTTTCAGGGTGTTTATGATTATTCATATTTATACATCCTTACTATCATTTCATAGTTGAGAAGAGGAAGGGAAAATAAAAACATACATTTGATGTGCCATCTTTCACCAGAACTCCTGCAAAGATGTAACATGAGACAAAACAAATTGCTTCCCAAGAAGAAAAATAACAATTTTATTTTATTAGATTTTTTTGGCAGTTTATATTATTATGTCCCTACAACAAAATGTATTTATTTACTCCTTGTGATTTTTTTTATCATAAAAGTACTTAATTTTAAGACTTCTTTCTGCAGTCTTTGGGAAAAGGTGTGAGAAATTATGATGCCATGATACAATTTATAATTATGAAAATAATATCTAACTTAATAAAAATGCCTTTGAATATAATGAGAAATATGTGTAAATGATAAAGTTGTTATTTGTAATCCATCTCATCTTCTAGAAAAAGTACCTTTACTGTGAAAAGTTTATAAAGAATGATACTAGAAAAAAGATTTATAAAATCCTAGATTTCAGCCCCACGGGAGACAAGCCATGATTTCTATGTAAGATAAAATTAATGTTTGGCACCAATATAAATACATAATTGAGCTAATAATTGATGATCATGAAAATACAGAGGGTAGAGAGAGAGCCTAGTGTTAGCAAAGTAAATCTTGCATTTCTGTTTTACCTACATGGTTAGCAAATATAAATTATAATAGTTGAACCTGTTGATGAAAAAAAGCCAAACTCTGTAAAATATTTGAGGAGTTTTATTCTGAGCCAAACATGAGTGATCATGGCCCAGGATACAGTCTCAAGAACACATGCCCAAAGTGTCTGGGTTACGGCTTGTTTTTATACACTTTAGGGGGACAGAAGTTACGGGCAGATACTTAAACCAATACATGTGAGGAATACATTGGTTTGGCATGGAAAGGCAGGACTTCTTGAAGTAGGATGATGGGTCTCACAGGTCATAGGTGGACTCAGAGGTTTCCTGATTGGCCATTGGCTGAAAAAGTAAAGCCTTGCCTAAAAAGTAAAAGTCAGTAGAAAGAAATGCTTGAGTTAATATAAGGAGAGTGGGGAGGGTTGTGGAACCCAAGGTTCTTGTGATGTAAATGAAGCCTCCAGTAGTAGGCTTCAGAGGGAATACACAGTAAATTTCTCTTATTAGATCTTAAAAGATATCAGATTCTTAGGTAAATCTCTCCTGGATCAAGAAAAGACCTGGAAAGGGAAGGAGATTCTCTGGATAATGCAAATTCATCCACAAGAGATGACCCTTTCAAGATATGCCAAATAAATATATTTTGGGGTAAAACACTGATATTTTTCAGGGCCTGTTATCTGTCATGTGGTACAATACTGGAGTCAGATTAGAGTTGGATATCTTATTGCTACAAAAAGTCTGCTTTGTCAGTCTTATGATTTCTAGTTTAATGTTAGTGGTGGTCAGTTGTGCCTAAACTCCAAAGGGAGGAGTTGTAATGAGGTATGCCTGACCTCCCTTCGCATCATGAACTGAACTCATTTCAGGCTTTCTTTGGGATCCTCTTGGCCAAGAGGTGGAGGGTACATTCTTAGCTGGGGAGCTCATAATTTCATTGTTGATTTACAAATCTTAATAGTGAGGCAATAGTATCGTGGTTCTATTCTCCTTGCTATACTGAATCATTGTAAAAATGTGTTCAAAGGATTCTATTTCTCCTGAGGTTTGTTCTCACCTTAATAATCAAATACAAAGATGGCATGCATTACAGAATCAAATACAAAGAACTTAAGAATCAAAGACAAAGATGGCATGCATATATATATATATCTTATCACATTAATTTTGCCGTAGTGAATAATTCTATAGAAGGTAGCTTCACATATTACAAAGAAAAAGCTATGAAATATCCAGGACATATGTTCTTTCAAGCACCCTTCTTCCTAGCACGTACATATTGCCACTTAAAAACAAAAACGTTGTTCCTCTGAAAAATTCAAATGAGATTAATTAATAATTTTTTGAAGACAATTTAATTGGCTATTCCTTGATGCAAAGGATTACTGGTGCTGGCCAAGCATAATATAGACTCAGTCAGCTGTGAAAACTTTTTCAAACAGCCTTGCCAACATAGAGACTCAGTCACTGGAGCTTCTCCCTTCCCCCAGCCCTACCACAAGCATTGACCTTCAGAAACGAAGACTAAATAGAAGTTTGGTGCATAAGAGTGCTCAGGATGATGTCAACAAAAACATATCCAATTGTGCCAGATAGTCGAATTTTCTTGTATTCTATTCCATGGTTATGGCCAAGTAGTTTAAGTGAGATTTATGAAGATAATTAAACAAAACACAAATATTCGTACATCATCCAAATGGGGGAAGAACTCCAGATGCTGCTAGTTATAGGAGATATTTCAAGGTATTAAGGCAAGAGTTTAGGAACCAAAATTATCAAGTGAGTAAACACATTAATTGGACAAAGATTTTCATATGGTCTGTTCACAAAATTGGGTTTTAAAAACACTATAACCTGTATGTGTAGAATCCAAAATAAAATGGTGCTGTTTATGAGACTGTTTGTTCACTACTCAAGGCAAATTAGGCGCCTTCAAATTATAGTGGTGTTTGTTCTGTTCAAAGAAGTTCAAGTTCTCATACACTGGTTCATTTGACAGAAACAAACTTCAATGAGCAGTGTGAAGTAAAGAAGAGAATAAGATGAAGGAACAGAGGAGAGTTCAAAGAGGCATTTGACAGTTTATCAAGGTATAGTTGAAGGTACCTCACTTTACAGACAAACACACATGCAGACACACACATGCAGACACACACACACACACATCCTACCAAACAATAGTAAAGAATGTATGATCCTTTCTTACCCTTTTGCCCCTTTCTCTCTGCCCTCCCACAAAAATAAGATTATTATCTCTGACAGAGAAATCTTTGTTCAAGTCAACTAGGTCCTTTGTATACCATACTCAAGGAACCCCACAAGGAAGCCAGGAAAAATAATTTCTAAATGAATAACTCTATAAGGAATGTTACTTTGTGTGCACGTGTATTTTCAAATCACCCTTTTCATGCGTACTTAAGGACTATATAAAAAGCAAAGCAAGCACTATATCTTTCTGCTTCCACTGACAAGCAGTGGTAACTAACTCTTAAATCAAGTGTTCTACTGATGTCTAAGAAATCTAAAAGAAATTGACATTTTGCTCTGGACAAAAAGGGGATATGTATTATTTTTCTTATTTTGTGTCAGCATGTCTTGGAGCGATCCACTTAGTATGAGATTAATGCCTTGAATTGCTTGAAATAGAACATCTGTGGTTATCTATCATATTTGATCATACATACCACTATCAATCACTCAGGAGAATAACACCTAGTAAAGTTTTATCTGTGGATAGACTATGATAAAATCAGCACCCCACATTTTGACATATGTTTTCTCAGAAGTCACTAAATCTGCATATGCATGAGGTACTTTCTTAGACAGAATTCCTCTAGAGTTATCTAGTTTTGCAGATAACTTTTAAAAACAACAATAATACTAGCTGATGTTTTCTGACAGCTTACTTTATGTAAATCATTGTTTAAAGTATTTTAAATGCATCCTTTCATTTAGTCCTCAAATCCACCCTTTGGGGCAGGAATTACATTTCCCTTTCCTGATGAAGGAACAGATGTCAACTAGTCAGTAATTTGTCAGTAATTTTTTAGTAAGCTTAGGCAGCTAATAACTGGCAGAGCCAGGGTTTGAACTTGTGACCTTTTCCTTCTAGTTCCTGTAGTCTGAATCATTGCATAATATAATTTCTAGTACATTTTGGATAGGTTATTTTACATGTCTCTCTAAAAGATGTCGTATTTTTATAGTTTGTTATAGGTGAGTTCTCTGCTCTGGGGATTTTGCTATCTCAGTAAAACCCAAAGCCATATTGAGTCACCACTGTAGAAGGAAGACCTAAGATGTTCCAAGAAAGTGATGGATTTTGAAGAGCAATCTGAGAACAGGCAGATTGCTATGCATCAAAAACAGGAGGCAAACCTGTTCTCTTTGAGTGAGGATTATAGAGAGTAAAATCAGAGATCTCATATGGAGAGAATAAGAAATATGTGAAGAGAAATATCAGACAACTCTTTGACAAAGTACAGGCTTTCAAAATGGTAACAAAAACAATATTTATTCTATGAAAATATATTGACCTATCTTCTTTTATGAAATATCAGTTATATATATATATATATATATATATATATATATGAGAGAATCAACACATATATTCTGGTATGGGTTTTTTGTAGGGTTGTATAAAAAGTCTATATGTTTATATATTTAATATGTTTTTGTATATTATGCTATGCCTGCAAATGGTACAGTTTGTGTTGCTGTATAGGGTTAATATTGGTGTATCTAGAGTTAGTAGGTACAATTCTCTTTTTAGTTATACATAGTGTATATATATATATGTATATATATGTGTGTGTGTATGTATGTGTGTGTGTGTGTGTGTATATATATATATATATATTCCCTAAGAATGCTCTTTTTATAAATGGAATCAATGAATGTGTTTGTTACATCTTGGCTTGTAGATATATAGCACTAATATATTTATGAAATGACTATCTGTTGCTCCAGCACTATTAACAATTTAATCTTTTCTTTTGGCCCTGGTCCTTTCACACTGCATGTGTTTGCATGCAGAATCTTTCAACCTCCAACAAAGCTACTAAATTATAATGCTAACCAGATCTTAGCATCTCTGACAGTGTCTGCCTTTGCAGACAAATAGCTCAACTCAGAATAGCAGTGATTTGCTATCTCCCTGTGACTAGTTCATAAATAGAATATTTGGCAGGGATGAGGAGAAGTGAGCGGGAGTAAGTATTGTTGTGGAGAAAGCCCAGAGGGAAGAGCCCTTCTTCTATTATGGAATTCATGATGTGAGAAACGGGACATCAAACTGTGTGCACACTGTGTATTTAGGCAGCACCATCCTTTTTTGAAAAAGAATCCCCTTTTCTGCGTTATTTAAGAGCGAGAGTTCGCAGCTACTCTGTATGTATTCCTATTGCAGGGAATGCTGGGCGTATGGCTCGATTCTATCATGTAGGCAAAAGAGGCACCAACAGAATCTCAGATATTGCCTGTGTTAGCTGAGGAACCTGTGGTACAAGGGGAATAACTTGAAACAGGAAAGCCTAACATTCTAGATTGTGAATCAAAAGAAAAACTGAACTCTCTCAAGTGACAGAATTACTCTTTGGATATTTGTCACTAGAAAGGGTAAAGTAATAGAAGTTTGTGTTCCTTTTACTGTTAATTCTAAAAACGTAAATGCCTAGCCTACTTTGTTATTTCTATAAGTTATTTAATATTATTGTGATTCTTTAGAATAATCCTGAGGTTTATATATATTTTCTCCATTTTATAGATAAGTTAATTGGGACTCAGAGTGATTAAACAATTTGTCCAAGGTCATAGAGTTATTAAAGTAGTACAGGTGGGATCCTAACTCAAATGCGTCAGATGCTAAAACCTGCCTTCCTTTTATTATGCCATATTATTTCATGGCAAGAAAGTGAAGGAGGCTCTTTATTAACTGGGCTTGTTGCTTGATTTTCTATTAAGATTTCCCTTGTGCATTTCTATCACCGGGTATTCTGCCTGAGTACACTTTCCAAAAATGCTTTGCATTTCTGAGTAAACAGTTGCCATACTTTATAATTAAATAATTTGTTCTTATTTAAACAATACATTTCTGAGCAAACAGTCGCCATACTTTATACTTAAATTATCTGTTCTTATTTAAACAATACATATAATGAACGCTAGGAAGTCCAGTTCTCCTAGTTTGAGCCTTAGAGGGCTCAAACTTAGAGCTAACTTTGTTTCTAATATTTAAGGAAGTAAAACTTTAGGGGAAAATTAGTGAGTTTTATATGTTAACTCACAATTTTTAACTAACTAGTATTACATAGGTACAATTTATGTTCTATAATATGGACCTTGGTATATTCTAACATACTCGGTCGAGGAAACCCTAACCCAGCGGCACTAGAGGAATTAAAGACACACACACACAGAAATGTAGAGGTGTGGAGTGGGAAATCAGGGGTCTCACAGCCTTCAGAGCTGAGAGCCTCGAATGGAGATTTACCCATGTATTTATTGACAGCAAGCCAGTGGTACGCATTGTTTCTATAGATTATAGATTAGAAGTATTCCTTATGGGAAATAAAGGGATGGGCCAAGTAAAGGGATGGGTCTGGCTAGTTATCTGCAGCAGGAGCATGTCCTTAAGGCACAGATCGCTCATGCTATTTATTGTTTGTGGTTTAAGAACGCCTTTAAGCTGTTTTCTGCCCTGTGTGGGCCAGGTGTTCCTTGCCCTCATTCCTGTAAACCCACAACCTTCCAGTGTGGGCGTCATGGCCATCATGAACATGTCACAGTGCTGCAGAGATTTTGTTTATGGCCAGTTTTGGGGCCAGTTTATGGCCAGATTTTGGGGGCCTATTCCCAACACCTTGTATTATGTACTAGTCTTGTCCCTAACACTAAGAGAGAAGGGACGTACAGAAAGAACAAAAGAAGAGAAAAAATTCAACCCTGGGACTATGTAATCAAAAGGGACATTGAGCTTGAATTCACACATAAAAACATTCAAATGTTATCCTGGTAGTGAAATTTGCCTCAAGTGAGATTTATCTGATACTGTTCTCTGCTCCTCAGACTTGATTTTTTTATTTTTCATTTCTCATTTATTAAGACTCTTAGTTTCAGTGGGAGTTGAGACAGTCTGCTTTGTTATTGCTCTCTCTCAAGACAGGTAACCTATTATGCAGATCTCTATGAGCTTCAGAAGGAGAAAATGAAAACCAAAAGTGAGAATGTAGAGGAGGCATTAAGAAACTGTGAGAATTTCATGAACTAGGCAAATTATGACTGAAAAATAATCACAGGCAAAAGCACAGGGTTATTCTTGTTAGATTGGTTCTTTGATTTTTGAGATGTTCATTTCTAATTTTGCAAACTGCATCATTACAAAAGAATTAGACGCTTGTCTTTCAATGTGACAAGAATTTAGGAAAATGTTACCCCTTGAGAGCTCTAAGTGAAATTATTAATAGTAAAACAAAACATTTTCTGAATCTAAGTCTATGATATTTTTTAATACTGAAATGCCATTCCTAACCTCCCTTCTAAATCTATATTGCAAGACCCAGCTATGCTACAACCGCCAGTGTGAAGCTTCTCCAATTTCCATGCCACCCCCACCTCCTGTCTGCTTCCAGCAGACAGAATTAATTACAACTTCTTTTTCCTTCTCGCAATATGTAACTAGCCCTTCCACTTAGTTCTATGTAACTGGGACTTGTATTATAGACAGTTGTGAGTCTGCTTTCTGTGCTAAAGTGTAGCTTCCTTGAAAGCATCTTTTTATCCGACTCCACCTATTTGACTGCAAGCACTGAGTGTCTGACATACAGTGGATGCACAATCTTGGCTAACTTTAAGCTGAATTGAAAGTTAATTTCTAGCTAATTCTCAGTTCTAAGCAGAATGTGAAGTATAGGACTGACATTATTTAGCAAATCTGGTTGTTAAAGTTCTATATTCTTGTATACCCAAAGCTACTCTACAAATTAGTGCTGAGACCACTTCAAAAGCTGCTGGAGAAGCTTTTCAGCAATACCTCAAATTCCAAAGCAGCTTCTGGTGCCTGTATTTTCGATAACATACCCTGGTGCTACTGATAAACTGTCAAGTTTGGCAACCACTAGTTACAAATTACTTTGTATTTTGCAGGGCTATTAATAAAGTAATAAAGGTATACAAAGTAAATTTATTTATTCAAATAATATACATTAATCTCCATTTTCACATAGTGCACAAAATAGTGTTGATTGTTGGCCTCTTCCATTAGAATGTAAGCTGTAGGACAGCAGGAAACTTCTTTGTCTTATTTGCCTCTAAAATTCAATGCCAAGTGCATGCATAATACAATCACCCCATAATTTGTGTCTCCTGATTCCAATTAGCAGCAAGAATTATTTTTCCAAATCAAGAGCTAAACGTGGAATTTCCTGCTTGTAAACCTTACTCCTACAGAGTGGTTTTCAAACATTAATATATATCAAAACAAGTTATGGGATTTTAAATATATATTATTTTCTGGGTTTTCCCACAGAGATTCCTTCTCACTTGATCCTTTTTGGGGACAGGCAGCTCTGCAAATAATTCTTAATCACAACCAGTATCAAAAACATCTACTTTGATTATAAAAAACCAAACACTTTGATAGCACTCAGGATACTTCAAAATTGGACCACAGTTATTGCCCCAGGTTCTTTTTCATAAGACATTATACTCTAGCCATGAATTGGTTTTGACTACTTGCAATCCCCTAAACAATTTTCATTCTTCTCAGGAATTATACATACTTTCCCATTACCAGAATACTTTTCTCTCTCATTTGTATTCAGTGAAATTGTCATTGTGGTTCAAAATCTAGTACTAAAGTTACTTAGGCCATAAAGAAGCTGGTTTGCCCTAGAACTTATTTTCTTCACTATGCTTCCATAAGAGAGTTTATACGTCTTATAATACCCATTTCATGAAATCATATTTTTTGTTGGCCTCTTTCATTTAAAGATTGTGAAGCACATATACGCACATATGTACACACACATATGTTTAATTTTTATAATGTCATCTTGAATACAAGTGGGCATATAATAATGCTTAATACATATTTGTTGAATTTCATTAAAGATGTTTTGTCATCTTGAATACAAGTGGGCTTCATCTCTGGGATGCAAGGCTGGTTCAACATACACAAATCAATAAACGTAATCCAGCATATAACAGAACCAAAGACAAAAACCGCATGATTATCTCAAGAGAACCCTCATACACTGTTGGTTGGAATGTAAATTTGTACAACCACTATGGAGAACAGTTTGGAGGCTCCTCAAAAAACTTAAAGATACCATATGATCCAGCAATCTCACTGCTGGGTATATACCCCAAAAAGCAATCAGCATGTTGAAGAGATATCTGCATTCCTATGTTTGTTGCAGCACTGTTTACAATAGCTAAGATTTTGAAACAATCTAAGTGTCCATCAACAGATAAATGGATAAAGAAAATGTGATATGTATACACAATGGAGTACTATACAGCCATAAAAAGAATGAGATCCTGTAATTTGCAATAACATGGATGGAACTGGAGATCATTATGTTAAGTGAAATAAGCCAGGCAGAGAAAGATAAACATCGCATATCCTCACTTATTTATGGGATCTAATAGTCAAAACAATGGAGCTCATGGACATACAGAGTAGAAGTATTGTTACCAGAAGTGGGTAAGTGTAGTGGGGGGCTGGCTGGCAGGTGGAGATGGTTATAGAAAGAAGGAATAAGACCTACTATTTGATAGCAGAACAGAGTGACTATAGTCAATAATAACTGTACGTTTTAAAATAACTCAGAGTATAATTGGATTGTTTGCAACTCAATGGATAAATTCTTGAGGGAATGGATACCGATTTTTTATGATGTGCTTATTTTATATTGCATGCCTGTATCAAAACATCTCATGTACCCCATAGTAGGTGGGTATACCTACTATGTACCCACATAAATTAAAAATAAAAATAAGTAAAAAAAGTTTTTTGATTAGTACCCCTATAATTCCTGGTGGTTCTGTAGGCTGGTTTTTATAGTATATTAGGAGGCTTGCTTCTCATAGGAATACACAGAAGAAAAAAATTAGGAAGAATTCTGCTTTTAGACTGCATTTTGTTACACAAAAATCACAAATACTCTATTAACTATATAGCCTTTCTCATACATTTTCAACATTTTCCCCTTTATTGTCTCTTTTCACTTAACCTGTAAATGTGATCAAGATTTTCTTGTTCTAGAACAGTTAAAACAAAATCAAGCACCCATTCCATCTCATTTCTACTCCCTACCCCCTTTCCCCTTTGATCCTGCATCATTCGTGCTGTCACTCATTCTGTTACTATCTTATATATTTTTTCATCCTTACGGTATACAATAATGCCTGGAGCACAATGGGCAGACAGAAAAAAGTTAGTAAGTACTGTTACTGAACTTTAGATTGATCTATCTATGCTGTCCATTTCTGCTATTTAACATGAACTTACAAATAAATAAAGGCAGCGATGCGATTAACCAAAGTTTCCCATAAAATAAACAAAGATATCAAATGAGTTCTCTGAATTTGAAATAACTTTATATTTATTGAAACGGAAGGGAGCAATTTCAGGCATTCGGCTAGGCACCGTCATAGAACCGTGTACTTTTCCTAATCAGAAATTATCAAACTGAAATTTAATATGTTTTACAAAATTGTTTGTGTCATATCAATCTCTCCAGGCAGAGTAACAGCTTTATGAGAGCAAGAAAACTGTCCGTGTTGTTTACTGCTCTTTCCAGAATCTAACAGTGTCCCTGGCTTGACTGAAAACTCCCTGAGGACAAGGTCTTTGCTTGGCACACAGCAAGAGTTCTGCAGTCACTTGGTGAATGAATAAAAAAATGAATGAATGGACATACTGAACAGTTTTCAGTAGCTTATGAAAATGAAATTACTAATTGAACTTAAGAAGGGTAGTCAATATGTTCAGCAATTAGCAGATTAAATGTTGCACAAAAAATTGAGAAAACTTTCTAAAGTTTTCTGATAACTATTGTGAGGTGAACAGTATTATATTTTATCCTTGAAATTGATTCATTTATAAATATATTAATATATCCTAATAAGATTTGATGATTCATTAGCAGATGATTTCAAATATCCAATAGCTTTCATGTAGATGGCTTTTTAAGGGAATTGGGTAAGCTTTTATTTTTGCTTCATTCTTTAACGCTAAAAGCCGAATAGTGCTTTAAAGCTAAAAGCTGGAGTGGCAGAGCCATTATTTTCTTATGCTTCAGAAAAAAAAAAACCCATAAGTAATATCAGATGACATAGCATACTCCTTTCAGGGTGGTAAACAAATACTTTTGTTCTTTGTCTTGGAGATACATCAAACCAGGTAAGAAAATGGCAAGATTTATTCTGAATCTATAAATTAGACCAGCAGATTTGCCATATTTTTGGCTATTTCATCACTTGGGGATCTGTGAGCTTTTATCAGTGAAAGTACAAGAACATTCTTCTTGCTATAAGATACTATTATTTTACTGCAATTCTCTTAGGATTTCTGTGAGGTTCCCTTATATAGAAAAATGCACAGAGCTCTGATTTCATGTCTTTCAAGGGCTGTATCTTAGTGCATTAAATTGTCTTAATATCTTTAGCTCTGGAATTTTACTTCTTTGTTTCCACATTTGAAAATCTTCTTTTTTCTTTTTAGTATCTCATTTTAAAGAGCATATACATGTATGTGAGTGTGGCTGGGCAATTTTCTTAATGTCCAAATATAATTATCTTTAGGTGATACTTAACGCTTTCTTACAATTTGACTAAGAAAATTTGGTACACAAATTACAATGATTTCCATTATGTTCAACTGAGAACGTTCTTTGGCATTTGTAGCTATGATTTTCTGAGCCTTGCAATGTTTGTAAAAAAAAAAATTAGAGTAGTTGATTTATATCATAGTTTTAGTCTTCATTCAAGTTCCCTTCTTGTAATGTCACATGATTGAACACTAGCGTTTTTTTGTTTTAAAAATTTTATTTTATTCATTTTGTCAAAGATTTTATTCATTATGTCAAAGTTTTTTATTGATTTTTTTTAACCTGGGAAGTTATTGGCATATTGGGGGTGTAGGGCATGTGGTTACCTCCAACAACCCATAGAAAAGATTTTAAAAATTCCTCATGGTGTCAAATGATTAAAATACATCCCTAATAGGAGACAAATTTTCACTAGAATTCCTGGAATATATTCTTTCTCTGTCTCTCTTTTCTTTTGCTTTCTTTCTTTCTTTCTTTTTTTTTTTTTTGACGGAGCCTCACTCTGTTGCCCAGGCTGGAGTGCAGTGGTACGATCTCAGCTCACTGCAACCTCCGCCTCCAGGTTCAAGCAAGTCTCCTGTCTCTGCCTCCTGAGTAGCTGGAATTATAGGCATGCACCACCACGCCCAGCTAATTTTTGTATTTTTAGTAGAGACGGGGTTTCATGATGTTGGCCAGTTTGGTCTCGAACTCCTGACCTCAGGTCATCCACCTGCCTCGACCTCCCAAACTGCTGGGATTACAAGTGTGAGCCACCATGCCTGGCCCCTGGAATATATTCTTGAGTTATAGTTTCATCAATGATATTAACCAAGTTAAAGGATGAATTTATTAATGAAAGAGTGTAGCTAACCTGGGAAAACATTTTGTTGTTGTTGTTTGCTTTTGAGTCAGAGTCTGCTCTGTCGCCCAGGCTGGAGTGCAGTGACACCATCTCAACTCGCCACAATCTCTACCTCTCAGGCTCAAGCAATTCTCGTGCCTCAGCCTCCCGAGTAGCTGGGATTACAGGCATGTGCCACCATGCCCAGCTAATTTTTGAATATTTAGTAGAGATGGGGTTTCACCATGTTGGCCAGGCTGGTCTCGAACTCCTGGCCTCAGGTGGTCCACCAGCCTTGGCCTCCCAAAATGCTGGGGATTACAGGCATGAGCCACTGCCCAGCCAAACATGTTTTAGAGGGATTCTCTCTCTCTCTCTCTCTCTCTCTGTGTGTGTGTGTGTGTGTGTGTATGTGTGTATGTATTTATTGTAAAATTGTTGTCCAGAGAAATGCTGGGTCTGAGGGATACAGGCAGTCCTGCACCTATCGTCTTTCATGATAAGGTAACAAACTGCATCCTGCTTGGTACATCAGTCCCATGCGAATTCAATTGTTATAAGCACACCATTAGCAATTACTCATTTGTAAATGTACTAGCAAGTTTTTGGTTTTGGATCTTCAAGTCTTGGACCACTTGTTGTACTACTAACCTGTTACATACTTCTATTTATAATTTTAGCTGAATTCAAATATGATGTCTTTCTTCATGTCTTACAAGCTTTTGATGTTTAGCAGGACCATTAGACCTAGATTATTCAAATATGTGTATTAATTTTTTGTTATATCAATCTTAGATATGAAGGCTGCTTCTTATGGAAATATTTTATGTTTAACTTACTCAAGGTGGGTATTTGTCCTGAATTACACAAATACCTAAGACAAGAACATATAGGAAGTGGAAATAGAGTCAAGTAAATTGTCACCACCAAGATTAGTAGATGCCAGTGAAAAGTAAAGATTAAAAAAAAAAACACACCAGGAAAATGGCTTAGAATCACCATGAGCTATACACAATTGGTGCCAGGTTGGTACTACTTTTTATCGAAGGCAGCAGTATGAACTAAATAATATTTATAACCTACACCAATTCTCCTTGCCTCTTTTGGCTTTGATAGTGGCTGTTTCTGAAGGAATACCTTCAAGGTAAAATATATTTATTATATTACTATTAGGAGAATTTCTTCAGTTATTTATTTAAAACTTTAGGTTATTTAAAAAGATGGGTAGTTTTAGCCATGGCAGAAAAAGAGGTGTTAGATTTCCTCTCCAGATGTAAATAACTACAAAATTAAATAAAATATCTAAAACAATGGTTTCTATTCATGAGAAAACAGACAGCAGAGAGATGTGGTTTTTGATAGAAGGAAAACACATGAGCTGAACTTTAAATTCCACCTGATTATCTTTTTAAGGACACTTTCCAAGACATGGTACAAAGCAGTTAACCTAAGTAGTTATCGGTAGTCTATCTAGTTGCAGAGACAATGGAGCTCAGGCATCCTAAGGTAGTCGGAATTCATGGGGGCAGGCTTTTAGAGAAGAGGAATAAAGTAAAGGAGAAGCTCTAAAATGTTCATTGAGTTCCCTTGAGACTTTATAAAAATGCTAAACTGAATATACTTTGAAGCATAAGAGAATAACTGCTAGGGGAATTTGAGATAAATAGATACTCTGGAATTCACACAGTACTTGGAGACACTGGATTTCTCAACAGGAAAGTAGAGAATCTCACTGAATATTATTGATCCTTTAAAGTCACCATGCCTTAGCAAGAGGACTAGTCCATGTATGCTTTATCAAAATCCTGAAAACAATCCTTAAAATGTCAAGTCATCTATCACCAACTTCTTTACAAGAAGACAAATAAATGCAATCACGCAGCAATATGTCATTCACAATATTCAGCATGCAAATAGACATGCAGACCATAAATAGGAGGAAATACCACAGTTACTAAAATTAGTTCCAGAAATAATAGGAATGTTAGGATTATCAGATAAGGAATTATAAAATAAGTATTATAAACATGTTTGAAGATTTATAGTAAAATATACCATGAGTAAAACACAGATGCAGGGATATAAAATTTTTTATTATAAATTATAATTTTTTACATTTTTCTTAATAATAATAAATGGAGACAGGCTTTCACTATGTTGCCTGGGCTGGTCTTGAACCCCTGGCCTTAAGCAATCCTTCTGCCTTGGCCTCTCAAAGTGCTGGGATTAAAGATGTGAGCCACTTTGCCCAGGCTTAAAATTATTTGTAAAACAGTTACCTGGACATACTGGAACTGAGAAACATCTGAAATAAAAATGTTACTGAAATGAATTAATAGAACATTTGATTCTGTAGAAGAAAGAACTAGTGAACACGAAGGCAAGACAATGGAAAGTAAGCTAAGCTAGAGAAAAAAAAAATGATTGCAGCTCAGTGACCTGTGAGATAATCTTATACAGTCTAAGTTATGTGTAATAGAAGCTCAAAAAGGGAGGATAGATAAATTCAAGTGGAAACATATTTCAAATATTAATAGTCATATTTTTCCAAATTAGAGAAAAAATGTCAAAACAGAGATTCAAGAAGTTCAGTGAGCCCCAATCAGGATGAAAACATGGAAAAGCACATCTTAATCAAATTACTGAAAACCAAAGATAAATAGAAAACATTTTAAATTGGTTAGAAAAAAAAGACATTGTATGCAGAAAAACAATAGGAAAAAATGTACTGCTGACTTTACGTTGGAATCAATACATGGCAGAAAATAATGAACTTATAACATTAAAAAGCAGGAAGAAATTATCTTGAATTATATACCTAGCAAATATCCTTGCAAAAGTGATGGTAAAATATGGATATCTTCAAATAAATAAAAGTTGGGAAATTTTGTCACCAGTAAGTCTGCTCTATAGGCAGTATTGACAAAAGTTCTTCAGGCTGACAAAAAATAATATCAGACAGAAATGCAAATATATATGAATAAACATTGTGATAGAAATGGAAAGTATGTGGGTAAATATAAGATTTTTTTGTCTCATTTTTATAAAAGACAATTGTCTGAAAAGATAAATAACATGTGCTGGTGTGAAGTTTATAGTGTATGGAGAAGTAAACTGTCTAGCAATGTTAGCATAAAGAATGAGGAGTGTAAAGCACTCTTTTAAATTTTAAATTGTACCTGAAATAATACAATATGCATTCAAGACATACTTTGAAAAGTTAAGGACACCTGTAGTGAATCTTAGAACAACACTGAGAAACAAGAAAGTAAAACTAAAATCCAAAAGAAGGCAGAAAATAAGAGTTGAAAAGAGTTGAAACAAACGGTGAATAAAAAGTATAAAATGGATGTCCACTCACCAGTGTCAAAAAGTAATTCTATTAAATGCATTAAATAAAATAATCACACAAATTAAACACCATAGATTTTCAGATTGAATAATAGAAAAGCAAGACAACTACTTCTTAAACTAGATTCTTTCTAATTATAAAAGTACAAAGAGATCAAAAGTAAAAAGATAACAACAAGGCACCTTAAAGTCTAATTTCAATAAATCTAAAATGTGAATGGGAACAAAGCCATGAAAAAGTGTTCATTAGTCATCAGGGAAATACAAATTAAAACTTATGAGATACCATACATCTGCCAGGGAGGCAAAAACAAATTAAAAATAAAATGAAATAAAATAAATCTAAGCTCTGGTATCATCAAATATTGGCTCATAATTTTGTCATAAAAGTACAAGTGATGGATTCTTTCACACGATGGGTGGAAGTGCTAAATGGTAAATCAGTCTGGAAAAGTACTGGTAGTTTGTTATAAAGTAATACATATCTCACAATCCAGGAATACCTCTCATGAGACTTTTCTTTTGATAAATACAAATATATATCCTCAAAAAAGACTTAGATACAAAAGTTCACACCAACTTATTCAAAATAGTAAGAAATTGCAAATAGCCCAAATGTCAATCCACAAAGGAATCAAAAACTGTTAGGTGTATACATACAAAAGAATAGAATTCAGTAACAAAAAGGATGAACTGCTGATATGCACAACATAGATTAATACCTCAAACAGCAATGAGCAAAATAATTCATACACAGAAGAGTACATATATTATGATTTTACCCTTCTATAGTTTTAGAACAGGTAAAATTAATCTATGGTGACAGATGCATTCACAGGGTTTTTCCCTGGAAGGGTCATGATTGGCTGGGAAGAGGCATGAGGAAAGTTTATCTTGTGACGTGAATGTTCTATAACTTGACATGATTGTATGCATTTTCAAATTTATTAAACTCTTCAATTATAATCTATTTTTAGCTAAGTATAAATTATACTGAAGGAAACAAAAGACATTTTGTAATGATTACATATTTTTCTATATTAAAAATGTAAATTGAGCTTTAAAAAACCTTAATCATGAGTGAGGAACCCAGATATCGTATGCATATTCTCTAGTTCCAATTTAGCTACATCAATAAGTCTGATTTGCACGTAATCTTGTGCTTCCTAATTAGAGACCCTCAGTTACTGGAAGTGTAAAAAAACCATTAGAAGATTGATTAAAAAGTCCATAGTACTGGCATGTGTCAACACAAGAAACATCTTTTTCTTCAAACTGATTTGAAAAGTATTTGACTAAAGATCTTGAGTATCTGTTTTGTTGCTGTTGTTCCTCAATTTATTTTTGATTGAAGTAATAAACAACATACACATATAAGAATTCAAATAATTCTGAAAGGTTTCTGTGAAAAACAGCTCATTGTTTCTGCTCTCAAAAATGTATGTTCACTGCTTCTTCTTGAACTATTTACTCTGAATAGACTCTATTGTCTATTATAAGCTTTTTATGGTAGTTGACAGGTTTTCTTTCTTGGATACATATCCTATCCCCACTAACACAGTTCCAATACTCCTAATTATTCTTCTTTATAAGTTGTATTTAATGAAACAATAATGAGGACTTAAGGTATTATAATTATCCTTATATTTATCACTACTAAATAGCTTCTTTTAAAATTATATTTATTCTACAGTTGGTGTTATTTTTATTTGCTTAGTTTTGACACTGGGGCTGGTATTCTACCCAATATACTTCAAAATATCTTTCAACAGCTAGCAGTACATGATTTCCAATGCCCAGACACAGTCAATATTTTAAATTCCACTCTTCCATCACATTTCACCCTCTCTCTTCCTCCAATAGCTTCCATCTTACAGCAGCAAGTCTAGAAAGATTACTTTTGCTGTCTAGAGTACAATTGCTATCCTGGGAAGTCCCTTTTATTCTCCTTTGCTGGCTGTCACATCGTGATACCATGTTGTTCTGTTTCATCCTCTGCCATCATCCTTCTATTCTCTTTGTTCTTAAAAGTTCACAATTTCTTTTTTTCTCTTGTGATTTTGATTAGATATGGGAAAAAACATAAGCACATGTGATCATTATGCTATGTTTAGACCAACTTTCTGAGCATGTACTTTGTATTATTTTCTGTCATTTTTCTTTTAAAAATTAAAATGTCCCACCCAAGAACAAGTAGATGAATGATTTTGTTCATATGTGAAAAATGGCAATCGATTAAGTTACTGATTCAAGGGAAACAGAAATGTCCATCTATTCCCCAATCCAACCTGAATGCTGTCCTAAATCCAGTTTTCCTTGTGCTCAATATTACAGTTAGTGCCTTATGTTAAGATTAATAGCAATTACTTTTACATAAATCATATAAGAAAGGACCTGTCATCATTATTACAAAGAAACATCTATAATTAAAAGTAAGTAGACACTTGTCAGCTACAAGAAAATAGGCATATTCTCAATTTGTTATATATAAAATGGAATTAAAATTTCCTATTTTATGTTGTTTTGAAGAAAGATAAAATTTTTGTGGTAAATGATTTTGAAATATAAAGTATTATTAAAAATAAAGGTTAATTGATGCTTAATATCTACACGAAAAGTTATATCATTAACTGGAATGGTTTGTCTATAGCAAATGGAAAGCCACATGCAAAAACAATTTATTTCCTTTTTGGCAAAAGGAAAAGTGTAAGGGGCAAGGTTTGGAAGGCAGATACATTTGCACTGCTGCACAGGGAAGGAGGAAGTGGTGTTGCTAAGTGCCTGATAATCTAAAAGAAATAAGAGCAGCGGTTCCCTGACTTAAGAAAGTTCTGAAGAGACCAGTGCCTACTTCTCTGCATGATGACAGTTATTAGGCTATTTATAACTACTATAATTGAAGGGAGTTTCAAATGCATTCTCATTCTATTTGTAAATACAATTGATTGATTTGCTGAACTAAGGTAGTTTTGAGATATGTGACGTTGTCTGATATATATGGATGTTTGGTCAACAGTCCAAATGCATATGGAGCCAGATGCTGCTTAGTAATTTAATTGTTAAATAATAAAATCTGTGAATTGATGCTTTCTCATAGAATATTTAATGATTACACAAAGGAAGTATCATGCATTTTTTTTTACATATTAGGATTGGAATTAATTTCCAGCTCAGACAATTGAAAAAGAGGCAGCAGATATAAGATCACTCTGTACAATTTAAAGTAGATATGCAGAAGAGAGAAGCAGTTGGCCAGTGTGTACTCTGCATGGAAAGACAAGTAGTGGGTCAAAGCTCAATGGGGAGAAAGGCCACTTCTGGGAACACACAGCAAGTAACTAATGACATTCTGTGGAGCAGAATGAAAAGATAAATTATATATGAAAATGGTTCTAAATTAAAAGTAAAAAATAAGCAATTGCCAAGGGTTAGTGCACTCTAAACAAATAGTCATGAGTACCATGATGCAGAAAGGTACAGAAGCATGGAATTGTATATGAGAAACATAGCAAACAAAGCACATGAAGCACAGAGAATGGGTAAACACAATGTAAGCAATGTAAACAGAAGGTAAAACAGAGCCAAATAAAAACTGCAAAAATTCTCTTATTCTGAGTCTCATGTGTTCCTGGGAAAAAGAATTAGAAACTGGTATAAAAAATTTCCTGATGTAATATTTATAACTGGTCTGGATAATTTAGTATAAGTTGATTATGTAGAAAACTAGATATAATTATCTCGTCTTCTGCCTGGAGATCAGATATTCTCAACTAGTCTTTATGCTCATTTTCATATGTTTCTGAGATACTATTAGAGTTAAATATCCATACTAGATGGACAGCATGTCTATTTGCATATATAGATTCTGGTACCATAAGTGGGTAAAACTAGATGAGTCTTCTATATAGGACCCTGTTGTGATAAAACTTACTTTTGACTGGTCATGTTTTATATTGCACTTACATAATTTGTATTTGTTTTTAGAGCCAGAGTTAACCTAGAAGACAGAAGGCTAGGGTGATGGCTAAAATCCTTTTGGGAATCTTCCACTGGTGGTATTGTAGCCTAAATATTTATTTTAAGGGAAAGCTAGAGATAACCAGAAATAAGTATTGAATTCACAATGGAGGCAATAGAAGTTGCTAAAGTCAGAAAGAAGGACAAAGTCAGAATATAAGGGCAAGCACTATGGCCAGGTCCTAAGAAAACTGAATAAAAATTGTATCTGGAGGAGCTAGATGTGACTTTGTGAAGGCCACATAATCAAGAGATCATAGATATCTGTCTGAGAAATGTCACAACTTAGCAGGCATCCAATTTTTCTTAAATGGGCTGGCAAATGTGGTTTACAGGATGTTTCAAACTGGCTGTAAGAGATACCGGTAAACACCCATTAGGATAGCTATTATTTTTTTAAAAAAGGAAAGTAAGTGTGGGCAAGAATGCAGAGGAATTTGAATCTTTGTGCATTGCTGGTGGGAATGTGAAATGATAGAGTTGTGTAGAAAATGATAGAGTATTTTCTCAAAAAAAAAAACAACACAAAATTACCATATTATCCAGTAATTCCATTTCAGTGTATACACTCAAAAGAAAGAAAGCAGGGGCTTTAAAATGTATTTTTATAACCAGGTTCATAGCAGCATTTTTCACAGTAGTCAAAATGTGTAAGCAACCCAAATGTTCATCAATGGATAAATGGATAAACAAAACATGTTATATACATACAACGGAGTATCATTCATCCTTAAAAAGGAAGGAAACCCAGACAATTGCTATATTTTGAATGAGCCTTGAAGGTATTATGCTAAGCAAAATTAGCCAGTCATAATAGGATATAACAGGATAAATATCATACATTACAGTAGGATAAAAATTCTAGGCTGGGCTCAGTGGCTCATGCCTGTAATCCCAGAACTTTGGGAGGCTAAGGCAGGCAGATCACCTGGGGTCAGGAGTATGAGACCAGCCTGGCCAACATGGTGAAACCCCATCTCTACTAAAAGTACAAAAATTAGCCAAGCATGGTGGCAGGCACCTGTAATTCCAGCTACTCTGGAAGCTGAGGCAGGAGGATCGCTTGAGCCTGGGAAGCAGAAGTTGCAGTGAGCCGAGAATCACACCATAGCACTCCAGCCTGGGCAATAAGAGCAAAACTTCATCTGAAAAAAAAAAAAAAAGTATTAATGTACATATATGAGGTACCTACAGTGGTCAATTTTATAAAGACATAAAGTAAAATGATGATTGTCAGGGAATGGGTGCAGGATGGAGTGAAGACTATGTTTAATGGGTATATAGTTTCAGGTTGGGAAGATGAAAAAGTTTTGGAGATAGATGGTGATGATGGTTGCACAACATTGTAAATGTTCTTAATGTCATAGAACTAAACATTTAAAAATGGTTAAAATAGCCAAATTTTATATTATGTATGTTTTACCACAATTATAAAAAATTAAACATTACCAGCATCCCTTCCTGCTTACACATCAAAAAACTCCACCAAAATCAAAACAAAAACAATATGTAGATCTAAGTTTATGAATATGAGGTTTTACAACATATATTTTTATATTTTAAATTGTAGGACAATATTATGCCATGATTTTATTTATTGATGAATATACCTATGTTATTATATATGAATGTTTGTGTGATAAATAAAATGTAGGTATACATAGTTTCAAATAATTTTTTAAAATACTGCTATTAAGGCTGAGGCGGGTGTATCACCTGAGGTCAGGAGTTTGAGATCAGCCTGGCAAACATGGTGAAACCCCATCTCTACTAAAAATACAAAATTAGCTGGGCATGTTGGCGGGCACCTGTAATCCCAGCTACATGGGAGGCTGAGGCAGGAAAATCACTTAAACCCGGGAGGTGGAGGTTGCAGTGAGCCGAGATTGCACCATTGCACTCCAGCCTGGGCAAAAAGAGCGAAATTCTTTCTAAAAAAACAAAACGAAATACTGCTATTAGTATTAAAAATCAGATTTAAAAGGTAATAAAGAAAAGAAAAATAAACTCATATGAATAGCAGCTAGGATGAAAAAATTAGTAGTAACATGAAAGTCCTCAACACTCCCATATTATCATTTTGTAACTACTTGGTAGCCAAGCACTGCCTAAATCAACTTTAGTGGGAAGCTGAACAGGGGACAAATCTGATTGGGGGCTTTGCACCAATTACTTTACATAATTACAGAGAAAACTTTGGTTATGATAAAAATATCAAAGAAAATATTGGTCAGAATATTAACTTTATGGACAGTGTTGGTAGGCAGAAGAGCCAAAGAGAAGAGAGTCATAGACAAATGCGATACCACACTGCGTGTTCAGTGCATTTGACATCTGTTGATGTCTTCGCTCAGAAAAAGCTACTTTGTTTTGTTTTTAAAAAGTTAGGGTATGTTATTCCCTAACCGTTTAGGTTGTCCTCAGAAAAATATAGAGTATCTCTAGTTCAACATTCTCACCTATCCTGGAAATCTAATCCTTCCAAAATGGCTATCCATGCCATTTTCTCTTATAAATAACTCTGTTCTTAGTAGTTGCAATGATCACACTGAGAGTGGGTAGTGTGTGGAATATAGTAGGAAATTTTGAACAGCAAGATGACCAGTCTATAGTTAGAATTATTGTACCTCTGGGGGGCTGTATATACAATGTACCTAACCCTGTGTTCAGAAAGACAGATTCCTGAGATTGGCAATTGCATCAGAACCACATAAAGTTGCTTGAGAGCATTTGCATAGAAAAAGGGTTTTGCAGAAGTAAGGGAAAGAGAAAGGAAAGCTGAGAAGAAACAACTGATGTTCACTGCAAAATAGCTTAGCTTAGAGGGCAACAGAGTGCAGTTTTCCATCTCTATTTACTTTTGTTTCCAAGATACAAATGTCTAGTAGAGCCTAGTATATAAGTAAGAGGGTTGGAAGATACTAAAATGAAAGGACCTGCTCAGAGAAGAGACCCAGGATTGGATCTCCAGTCCAGCTGCATGGAAGGATGAAGGCAAAGTGGTGACCATTAATTCATACATTCATTTACTCTTCCATGCGTTTATTGAATGATTAGTCTTTAGCGTTGGGTTAGAACGGTGAACAGGATGAGCAAGCTTCTTACTGTCAGGGAGCTCAAATTATAGTGAGCAAAGAGAGAATGCTTGAGCCATCTTCAAAACTCACTGAGTGTTTGGCTCATATACTTTTTTTTTCTTTTTAATAGACAAAGGGTAGAGAAAACAGAAGAGAGGATACCAGTGAGGGTCAAGCCTAATGTCTTCTGACCTTTTTCTTTTTTGTCACTGAAGTGACATGGAGGAGAAGAGGAAAGGAGAAAGGACATTGCTCAAGTGTGTGGTCCTCCAGTGGTTATCTCAGTTATTAGTAAATATGATTAAATTGGCAAATAGGGGGTGGAGTGAGAAGCATTCCCTTCCATTTACTGATAAACTTTAAACGGATCTCTTTGTAGGAATTAGGGTCAGGTTATGAGTGTAAAGTATACAGGGAAATGGGTCACAAGCACACAAAGCATATATCCTGAGAGATAAATTTATTTTCTGTCTCCAAGACTCTGATGTTTTGGAAAAATTGAATCCAGTGTCTGTAAGTTTCTAAAAATATATTTTAGGCTGTTTAACTTTTTTACTTAACATCATGTAACTCAAATGTCACCAGCTTTCCCATTCTGCCCCCTGCCAAATATTTCCCAGTTTCTGAGTTTCTCAGATACTGCCTAAAAGTAATCCTAATCAAATTTCAAAGCCTTCTCTGCCCAGAACTCATCTTGCCCCTACATGGCTGCCCCTGTAATAACCACCAATGACCCTGGAGAGCCAGCTGTTCATTTGAACAGTACTGTCCTTCACTAGTGACCCCTGCCCCTGCCCCACTGTGGCCTTGGGGAATGCTGATCCCTTTGTTTTCCCATAGAACAAATGAAACCACGTTTTGCCTTGTGAAAATACTTACGGAGGAGAAATAATAGAAATATAGTCCAAATACTTATTTTTAAATGCTATTCAAATTTGCCACTCTCAGAACCCACAAGCTCAAACTTGACCTCAGAATCCTGTACCAAGCTGGCTTCTTCTATAACTTCTGAAACATCTGCAAACGGCAGGGGTCAAATCACCACCATGAATGCTCTGGCACTTTTACTTTCTAGACTTCAGGCCTGTCTAGACCCCAAAAAAGGGACATCTTTCTTCCCCTCATCCTGAGATCCATCTTTTTTACTGACCCAGAATTCACTACTTTCCAGAATTATAATTGTGGAAGTCATAAGCAGGCAACAACACCATTCCTTGCTAGCGTGGAATCTGGCTTCACAGGCCCCGAGAGAGAAACAGTAGCCTAATAGCACATTTATCAATCTCGAACTTATTTAATCATAGGTATCACCAAGTATTTCACCTTAGACTGTGCATTTCATAATGTCAAAGCTAGTCTCACAGGGTAACACTGGGTAAGATTAAAGGACTCTGTAACCAAAATGTCTATGTTTGAATCCTAGGTCTATGACTTTCTAGATATGAGACCATGAAGACTTTACTTAACTTCTCAGTTTTCTCATCTATAAGTTGGGGATAACGACAGTACTTGTTTTTAGAGATATCTGGAGAATTTAAAGAATTAATGTATGAAAATGACTTAAAACTGCATTTGGAACTATAGTCTGAAATAGTGGCTGTATAAATAAATAGTATGCAAGTATTAGCTCCTATTATTATTTATTAGCAGTAGTTTTTTTAATGGTGTTTTCTCCTGCATCAATTGACGAAAAATTTAGGGTTTACATTTACCTGCCATAGTCCAGTTTTGGCTCTTGATCACTCATGTGCTACATTCACATGGATAGCCCAGAAACAAAAATTTTCAGGTATAAGAAAATCCAAGCACATGTTTTGGAAAAGAAGAAAAAAAGACAAAAATTTTTATACTTATGCAGATAAATAATACTGCTAATGTACTCAAATTATCTTTTCAAATTGTATATTTACAACTGAAGATGTAGTACCAGTACTGGGTGGCCATACAAGCTTAATATTTTCTTTGTCAACCATAGGAAGGTATTTACCTTACACATTTATTCATAATTAAGAGTCTGACACAGCAGTTCTTTTAAGACTGCTGATACCAAGAGAATCTCTGTCTCGAAATAAATTTTATTATTTCTTTTAGAAGGTAGATACTTCTTTGCAACCACCAGTTCAATAGAACTATCCTCATTTCTAACCATTATTAGTATCTCCAGCTTTGAGATAACCTTAGCATGTGGTCCCCTTTAGGTAGCCAAAGCACTTGACACTTTTCACTCCCCATTACCATCTATGCATGCTCCTACCTTGATACAGGAAACTACTCTTATCTACACAAAAGGGAAATAAGGCATGGGGTGGTTAAAATGAGTTGTTCAAGGTTTCACAACAAGTAAGTGATAACATCATGCTCTGATGTCTTCTGATTCCAAATTCAGTGAGTGATCTTTGTCTACCTGATACTTTTTAGTAAGCCTTAAATTCTTATTTAAATTATAATACAATTATTTATTATCTCAGTTCTATAGATGAAAAAAACAGAGGCTTTTAGAGGTATAGTACTCTATATGTCTATACCTTTTAGAGGTATAGTACTGCCAGCCAAATTTATACGGCTGGCGGTCCTTCAAATGAGGCATGTATATTCACAAACATATATTCTCTTTAAATATCCCTGAATATATTTGAAAGTTAGACTAATTAAAAAATTATTTGATTTTGGAATAGATATACTCCCCTCTGCCAGTAATATAGGTATGACTCAGGGTTTTGACCTCATCAATGCAGCACTCGAATCAAATGACATGATCAATACACAAGTGCGTTGATCATGACTGGTGTGAAGCTGATATCAGTTTATATTGAGCCAAAATCAGTCACAGAGGCTGCTTATTAGTAGGGTGACCATGTGATTTATTATCTAAATAAGGATGCTTTTGAGAGTAAAATTGGTGCTATTAATAGCCATGCTAGGACAACAGGATTATCTGGGATTGTCCTAAGTAGACACACTTGCATGGCTAGCCTTCAAATAGTCTATGAATATGACCACTGACTTATGTGACCAGCATTGCTTCCAGTAAGGAAAATATATGGTCATTCACGGACAAAAAGAAAAAAAAACATGAAAGGGTTTTCACATTTTGGAGGCAGACACATCCTTGCAAGTTTCATCAAATGAGCTTTGTTTGCAAAAGAGCAGGGTTCATATTTTAATCATAAATACTTCTCATCATGAATCCCTTGAAGGACTGGAAACTCCTAAAATGTGTTTTAATAATAAATACTTTCATGTAGCTTCAATCTCCTCACCTCCCCATTTATCTGGTTTGTGGAATCAGTGCTTGCCTTGTTGAGCTGTGAATAGATTCTTCTATCCTGTCTCCAGCTATGTGCTTGCTAATTTCTCCTTGCCAGGTGGCCTGCAGAGCAGAGCCCTGATTTCAAATGCTATCTCCAAACAGAATGGCAGTGGGAGGCCAAAGGAATCTACCAAGAAAAGCATAATTGAAGAATGTTTAAAAAGTTATAATGGCCTGTCTTGATTTTGATGCTAATCTCATATTAAATCCTACAGTGTTTCTTGAAAACAATGGCATGGAAATGACTTAAAGGAATTTTGCACTCCCTAGGACCTTCTCTTCCTCCTTAATGTATTTATTAATACTACACGTTTAGGATTTTTTAAACTGTTTTAAAATATTAAGCTGAAAAGATTGGTCTGTCAATTAACTGAAAACTTGAAGAGCAGGCAATTTTTATTCCCATGTTTATATCACTGTTTCTTTTATGCAACTTTAGCCCTAGGCAAAGTAGTGGAGTCAGTAAGATTTCCCTTTCATACCCATCTAACCTTTTTCAGTGCCTGTCTCTTCCATTTTGTGTCTTCTAGGATTCTTACTATTATTTAGTACTCCAAGGGCTTGGTCTGTGTGCACTGTCAAGTCATAATTTTGTTAGATCTATCTAATAGGGGCCCAATGTACTCCTCTTCCTAAGGTCTACACTTTGTTATTGTAGACTTTTAAAAATTCCTCTCCTATACAACGTTTCCAAGCACCAGTGAAATGAATCTGTAGTAGTGAAATTTCACGCGGTGGCTCACGCCTATAATCCTAGCACTTTGGGAGGCTGAGGCGGGCGGATCTCGAGGTCAGCAGATCGAGACCATCATGGCTGACACAGTGAAACCCCGTCTCTACTAAAAATACAAAATATTAGCCGGGCGTGGTGCCAGGCACCTATGGTCCCAGCTACTCGGGAGGCTGAGGCAGGAGAATGGCGTGAACCCGGGAGGTGGAGGTTGCAGTGAGCTGAGATTGTGCCACTGCACTCCAACCTGGGCGACAGAGTGAGAGTCCGTCTCAAAAAAAAAAAAAAAAAAAAAGTGCAATTTCAGGCACTATCAACATGCAATGCCAATAGTCTCTGGAAAACTCTGCTAGAAGCTGTAATTGTATAGTATGAAAATGATACTTGCTCATTAAACAGGTTTGTGTAACTTGTAAGCACTGATGATTTGCAGATCAGAGGAGAAACTGTAGGGGAGACTGAGCTGGCTTTCTACTGAGGGACTAATATTTACCCCACCATCACCCCAGTGTCCTTCAAAAGCAAACATGAGAGACATAAACCAGAGATAAACCACTAAACTGTTAGCCGCTGGAGTAGGGGCTATGTTTCTTACTTGCTTTCTCTCTGTCTTTGCATCTGGCCCATGGTACATCTAACTGTCTCAGGTTTTTTATTTTATTATTTTGGTAGAAGGAAAGAAGAAAAGAAGGAAGGGAAAGAGGGAATGATGGAGGGAGATGGAAAAACAGATATTTGAACCAAAGCCTGTGTTTTTCATCATAAAATCTCCCTATATCTTGACTGTAGTGTATCGATGGCTTCTGTTGTGTCCCTCTTCTTTGCCATGTCATTATGTATTTACGAAAGACGCCAGGATCTTGCCTGCTCCCTGAAAGGAGGCTATCTACTAAAAAGCAATATGTTCTTTTCATCCAGAGATTTTCAGATAGATGGCCTAAGGAGATTGTATTTTGAATATTAGCTTGAGTTTTTGAGATCTTGAACTTTTGAATCACATATCTGGTGAGAGAAGTCTAAGTCTTATAAAGAATGAATTTCTGACACACAAATGTTCCAATTGCATTCAGAACAAATGTAGTTGGTTCTTAAATATGGTCTGAATGAATGAATAATATATAACAGAGTTATCAAAAAATGTTGTAGTCACTTCTTCTGTTCACTGATAGTTGTGCTTCTACTACCTGAAGACATATGGTAAGATTGTCTTCCTCTACCTCCTTAAAGATGCAGCCAGATGGTTTATTTTGGCCAATGAAATGTGCGCTGAGGTGACATGTGTCATTGTGACATAGGCATCTTTAAGATATACCATATTTTCCCCCATTACCACAACGGAACAGAAAATGGTGAGATTCTGGTTGGTGGAGTTGAGTTTGTGTCCCTGAGTGAAGATTATTTGGAACTATCAAACTGTAATTAAAATGTATTGTGAACAAGAAAGGTTTTTCAGGTTTAAGCCACAGAGTTCTGGAAGATATTTGTTACTATAACATAACATAATCTATTTCAATAGTCACATATAAATTCAACAGAAGCCAGAGTTGATGCTGCATTTAATAGAACCAACAACACATTTCTAGCTCAGCCTGAGAGGAAGAAGCATTCTTGACATGATGAAATGCCCTAGAAATTTAATTCCAATTTTCTTTAAGTGCCACCTATACCATATACCTATATGACTTGGAAGGAAGGAAAGGAAGGAAGGAAGGAGAGAGAGACAGAGAGAGAGAAAGATAGAAAAAGGAAATTTCAATTTGAATTGTACCTTACATATTTACCATATTTACCTTATTTGATTTATATAGCAACTCTAGATTATACCTTGTATAACTTTTTAAAATAAATCCTATATTTTAAAGCTGGGCATAATGGCATAAACTTATAATCCCAGCTACTTGGGAAGCTGAGGCAGGAGGACGACTTGAGTCTAGGAGTTTGATGCCAGCCTGGGCAACAGAGCAATACCTCATCTGTAATAAATATATTAATATTTCATTTTAGAAAAGTTTTTGATTTACAGAAAACTTACAAAGATAGTACAAAGAATTCCCCCTCACCTAGTTTCCCCTATGATTGCTATCTTACATTAGTATGGTGTATTTACTGTAATTAATGAACCAATACTGATAAATTATGAAATAAGATTTATATTTTTTTCAAACTTCCTTAATTTTTATTTATTTTTTTCCCTTGCTAGAATCCCATCGGGGGTATTCCATTACATTTAGTTGTAATGTCTCCTTTGGGTCCTCTTGGATGTCATGTTTTCTCATACTTTCTCTGTTTTTAATAATCTTGAGAGTTTTGGGGAGTACTGTTCACATATTTTGTAGAATGTCCCTCAATTAGAATTACTCATGATTTGACTGGAGTTACATGTTTTTGAAAGATCACAGAAGTAACATGACAATTTTTAATACATCATATTAAGGTTACCTACTATAATAAGCCTTAGCATCATTGATGTTGACCTTCACCACCCAGCTGAGGTAATTTTTGTCAGATTTCTCCATTACAGTTACTTTTTTTCTCTCCCCTTTCCATATTCTTCACTTGGGAACTAGTCCCACTCACTAGTCATGATTAAGAGGTTATACTTTATCTCCTTGTGGGCAAGGTATCTACATACTTTATTTGGAATTTTTCATCTTCCATGCTTATTTTCCCCAATTTATTTGTTTAGTTAATCAGTTTTTTTTACCAGTATAATAAAAGGGTAATACCAGAGTAACATTAAATTTTACCTATTTGTTTTGGTGAAACTATTCCAGCTTTTGCCATTGGGAGGTCCTTCAATTGGCTCCCATGCCCATTTACATATAGTGTGTGTGTGTGTGTGTGTGTGTGTGTGTGTGTGTGTTTTGAGCACTTTCTAGCATCTGCAAGATGACCTAGATTCGTCTTAGACATTTCTTGTCTCAGTCCCAGAATCAATTATTTCTCCAAGGATCCCTGGAGCTCTGGTTGCTTTTATGGAGAATAAATATTAGAAATCAAAATCTGAGTCCTAGGTGTGCTTATAGCTACTGCAGTGTCATTGATTCTAGTCATCTCAGTGGACAGAGCAAGAAAATATGTTTTTATACTAATTCACATATATACACATAACTATAAATACTTCTATAAGCATCTTTATCTACATTAAGCTAAACATGAGTGTATACTAATGTCACCAACTCTAATTCATTACCATATGGATCATTCTACACATTTTCGCTTGGTTATCTATAAACTCCAACAGTAAGAAACCTGATTCTCAACCTGATGCATATTTTTAGTCCTGTATTATAGATATGGACACTGAAATTCAGACAAGCATTATGGTTTATCTAAGGTCTATAACTAGATATCAGAACACAACCCAAACCACAGCTTAACTTTTGAGTTCAAATTCAGTGCTCTGGAGCTCTTTATCCTATGGCATGTTCTGCAGGATTTGTCAGTATCTATGGGTGAGTTAGTGCATGCCTTTGCTATCACCGCCAAATATTTGAAGGAAAAAAATCTTTAATCTTTTAAGAGATATATAAAAGACCATTTACATTTATGTATTGGGGGTAACTCTGTTATAAAAAAAATTCGTGTGGAAGACTGCACCATTACCACTTCCAGACACTTCAGATGAATTTGAACAGGACACACACACAAAAATCCATGCCCTCCTGCTCAGTTCTACAACATGCTCTAAGCTGACGTGTCAAAAAGCAAACAGAACAGAATGGATTTAGTGTAGATTTTATTATGATACTTTCTGTTCAGCTTTTTGAGCTAGCTGGAAAAGAATGCTACCTTATTAGCATTATTTTTTTTTCTCTTTTAGTTGCCAATTAGCAATAACATTAATGAGATCATACCCTTTCTTAATTTTTATGCACTGAGAATTTTTATACACCATGTGTTTTTTAAAGGCTGACATATGCTGTTTACACCTTTTTATCTGTATGATGAACAGATATTTTAGTTTCTTTTTTTCTAGAAGATTGTCAGAGCTCTTTGTTTCAGTCTATCTGGGTAGAAATAAGTTTTCCTGTAATTTCAGTATCCTCATTCTAGTGACATCTTTGAATAAATTTCCAGATCATCTTTAAATTGTTATATATACGGTGATCTGTCTGGCATGGCTTGAAAGCAATTCTAGCAAGAGGTAGGGAAACTAACCTTTGGAAATCGCTTTAAGCTCTGGGTTAATATTCAGAAAAAAATATGTTCTAGTAGAATATTTTTAGGTGGCAGTAAATTCCCTTTCTTAAAATTTATCAAGAACAGTCTATGAATTTAAACATCAACTCTGACTTAATGTTAACTGAAGATGAAAAAATGTTCCATTAAACAATAATTATTCTATTTTCAGTTAGTCTGTGGGCATGCCCAAATGTAATAATTCTCCCAATCCTGGCTTGTTCTCATATTCCCATATCCGGTTTATTCCAACAATCTCTTTGTTGGTCTCTTGGTTTCTCATCTCACTACTTAATACGTCTTCATATCAGCTTAGTTTCCCTAAAACATGACTTTCATCATGCTATACTCCCTTATTGAAAAGCCCTATGAATTTTCATTTCCAAAATCTTAATATCACTTCAATTCAGAGTAGGATTTTTGTTCTCCACACTATAACTTAGTGATTTTTGAAGTTGTCAAATGGTCTCTTCACTGTCCTCAAACTTCCCATGCTTTTAACCATGCTGTTAGCTTCACCTAGAATTATTTCATCTCTTTTTCTGCTTACCTAACTCTTACTCATTCTAAGGACAGCATAAGTTCTACTTCCTCCTTAAGGACTTTCCTTACTGGTTTAGACTCACTGATTTCTCTTTCATTCAAACAGTTACAGAATCTAAAACTTGTCATATTATATAAACATACGTATTTGGTTAGTTTGTGTTTATATTGTTTCCATATACATTCTGTCATGTAGTGTTAACTCTTGTTCTGTATACACCAATATTCTCCTCCCAGTCATTGGAAATTTGTTGCAAGTTCTATGCCTTCTAATTCTTGATCTTTATGTTGCCTTAGGAAGGGTTAAGAGCATGATGAACACTCAATGTAGATGATTCCTAATTAACAAGTATTTTACTTACAAATGGTATTGACATATTAGCAAATGTCATTCCTTTTGCCTTCACTTGCCATAATCTGCCCATTTGTTTTCATGTCTGAGAAATCTAGTGTGGAAAAAAAATTCAACTTCGAATTTTAGAAAATATCTGGATCAGAGATTTAGGAAATAATGATTCTACATTATTGAGAATAATAATAAAGATAATAATAGATGTCTGGACTACCTATGTGGTCATTTCAGACTTCCTATTTTCATTTTACTTGGTAAAAAAAAAATAGGAATTTTAGAGTCTAATAGACTTACAGGTAAATTCCAGATCCACACTTTGACAGTTGTATGGTTTCAGCTAAATTTTCTCTACACAAGGGATAATAATATTGTGTACTCCAGAACCACAGGGTCATAATGCCCATGTATTGTTTCTAATTGTCATATATAGTACATATTCTCTCTATTTTTAGTATTTATATCTCCTTATGAATACTGGAAAATTCTGACAGATACTAAAAATTTAGTAATGACTATTGAATCTAGCCTTTGTATTTTAGAAATAAGGATCAGAAACCAAGAGAGATCAGATGATTTGTTCAAGTTTATAAAACTGGATAGCAGTGCCATTCAGAAGACAGCCCAGGTGCCTGGGGTCCAGGAGCTTCTCCTGCTGTGCTGTATCCTCCCCATCACATGCCTCATTATGATTCTCTTCATTACTCCCTACATGCTCCTTCCTCCACTCTACCTTCCCATAGTGTTGGTGATCAATATCTTCCCATAGTTTAGTGTGGTGTTTAGAGCAAGGATCCACATCATTATTGCGTTTTATTCTATTGACTCTGGTTTTGATGTTTCAGAGCAGGTTCAATTATTGAACATAAGAATCTCATTTAAATAATAGAAGAACTACTGGATTGCATTAGGAGCAAGATAGAAGTATTTGAGTTAATAAAAGGGCTATTGATACAATTGTCTCACAGCAATCTATCTCACAGATAATTTTTAGAATAAAGCCCATAACTACAAGAAGATATTTTCTTGATTTTGCTTTCTGCAGTTGATAAAATCCAGAATGACATTGTGCTTGGCACAAATCTAAGATATAGCGATCTTTTGTCAATTAGCTATCTTTTCTGTAAACATATTTAAAGAAGGTTTTGGAAACAGTTTCTTGATAGAAAGGAAAGCCATTTCAAAAGAGTAGCAGAATTATGAACTAAATCATACACTTTTTTTTTTTTTAAAGTTCACCTAAGATTACTATAATGGAAGCCAGAGAAGCCATGGACACCAAGATCAGAGCTATACTGACCGCTGTTCTTTAACTTTCCATAAATCTCTCTCTGGCAGATCTCTCTCTGTATATGATGGTAAAAGCAGAGCCCATGTTTTAATATTTATTGGTATTCTAGTTTTATGATTAGCACCTTCTTGTCTGCCGTAGCACTTTCTACTGCCCTGTGTGTTCTTGCTATCTTTATGTGTAGCAAACCTCACTACCATAAATGTTTGTCTCTTTTTCTATACTTACTTTTGGTAATTCCTTTTTTTTGTTTTTTAATTTCAACTTTCATTTTAGATCCAAGGAGTACATGTGCAGGTTTGTTAGAGTCCTTTGTCTGTTGTTCCCACTTTTGCGTCCATGTTTACCCATTGTTTACCATTTATGAGTGACAACAAGTGATGTTTTGTTTTCTGTTTCTGTGTTAGTTTGCTTCGTATAATGACCGAAACTGCATCCATATTGCTGCAAAGGACATTATTACATTCAGTTTTATGGCTGTGTAGTATTCCATAGTGCATACGTACCACAGTTTCTTTATGCAATCCACTGTTTATGGGCTCCTAGATTGATTGCATGTCTTTGCTATTGTGAATAGTGCTGATATTTGCCATTTGTTCATGATTGTGACTGAGGAAATGTAATACAAAGTTCATATTTGCTTTAATAAAGTATTATTTTAATTCCAAAAATGGTTATTGGGAGCCAATCTATAAAGTGGATGATCCTTTTATTCTCCTTAAATGTGAATAGAGCTTACGCACATGTTAGTTTAATTGTAAGTATCCCATTTATCTCTTAGAGGAAGCATATGTTATCCAAGTATTTTAGAGAGACAAAGGCTTATAAAATAACTAGTGATTGTGAAACTATAATTGAATACTCTCCACTCCAGTGTTACAACTATTAGCACTTTTCTTATACCAGAGTTGCTGCTCAGAATCATCACCAAAATTTGGAATTAATATTCTTCTTAGTTATAAAATGATAATTTTTTTGTATTTATTTTTCCAGTGTAGTATGTTTGTTTTATTATCTCTTTATGATTTTAATTTATATTTTTCCGATTAAAGAGGAGCTTAAAAAACTTTTCACATGTTTAAACTTCCTCCTGTGTGAAGGACTGATTGCCTTTTTCTTATTTATCTGTAAAAGATATTTATATATTCCACATATAAAACTTTCATTGGATATTTATATTACAAATAATTATTCCCATTTTATGGCTTCCATTTTTTACTAAGAATATGGTATACTTTTATGAACAAAAGTCTTAGTTACAATGTAGCCTATTTTTACCAATTTATTTTCTTTAGAGTTAGTGCTTTTTGAGTCTTGTTTAATGAATTATTTTCTAACCCAAAGTTATAAAGATTTTTCCTCTGCTATGTTCTAAAAAATTTATTATTTTTCTTTGCATATTTAAGGCTATTATCTATCTGGGATTTATTTGTATATGTAGAGGGTAAGACTCCAAAAGTATTTTTATCTATTTGGATCTCCAAATGTCCCAACTTATTTATTTAAAAACAAACACTTTGGGAGGCCCAGGAGGGTGGATCATCTGAGGTTGGGAGTTTGAGACCAGCCTGACCAACACGGAGAAACCCTGTATCTACTAAAAATACAAAATTAGCTGGGCGTGGTGGCACATGCCTAGAATCCCATCTACTCAGCAAGGCTGAGGCAGGAGAATTGCTTGAACCCAGGCAGTGGAAGTTGCGGTGAGCCAAGATCATGCTATTGCACTCCAGCCTGGGCAACAAGAGCGAAACTTGGTCTCAACAAACAAACAAACAAACAAAAACACACTATCACTCTCTGACTATTTTGGCGTGCCAATTTTGTCATAAATTAAACGTCCATAAATGTATGTTGTATTTCTGGTGTTGCTATTTAGTTTCCTTGGTGTGTTTGTCTATCTTTTCTCCAGTGCTACCATGTCTCATTGTGGCTTTTTAATAAATTGTTCTGTTCAATAGGGTAGTTTCTCCCCCTTTGTGTATCTTTGAGTATCAAGTATTCACTGTTCTTGGCCCTTTGACTTTGTATATACACTTCTGAATAATTGTTAATTTCCAATGTAAAATCCCTGCTGGGATTTTTATCGAGTTCATATTGAATCTATAGATCAATTTAGAGACAATTGACATTTTATAATGTTAAGTCTTCCTATGCCTAAACATGTGTATCACTTAATTTTCTCTCATTAAATTTTTATAGATTGTTCCAGAGATGTCTTATATACCTTTTATTAGATTTAGTTCTCAGAATGTAATATCATTTATGACATTATAAATAACATTGATTCAAATTACATTTTAATTGTTTTCTTTTATAAATAAATAAGCTGATTTTTGTATATTTGTATATTCAATCTAGCTAAATTAAAGTATGTGATTGATATTTAAGTTTTAAAATACACAATCATATTACCTATGGATATTGACTGTTTTATTCCTTTTCAATTTTTATTTGAGTTTTTCATACTTAATATACTCATTAGCACTGGACAATGTTGAAGATTTTTGGTGATACCTGGAAACCTTGTCTTATTCCTCATCTCAGAGGGAAATCTTTCAATATTTCCTCATTAAGTATAATTTCTGCAGGTATATCCTTACATATATAGTAGATATTTATTATTTGTGGATTTCATTTTTGCAAATTATTCTACTAGCAAAAAATTATTTGTAACCCCCAAATCAATGTTCTATGCACTTTTATGGTCATTCAGAGACATACTCAGTGTTATGAGAAACTTAAGTCACCCAATACCCCTCTTCCCAGCTAAGGTTGAACAAGGTGATTCTCTGTCTTTTTGTTTTCAACTCTCATGCTGTAAAGAGTATCCTTTTTTGCAGTCTATTTAGTGCCACATTTTCCAAATTTTTATGTTTGTTTGTTGGGTGAGTTCACATTTAATATGCCACCAAGTGTAGTGAAGTGCCATCTAGTGTTGCTAAACACAGGAAGACTGTGATATGGCTTACAAAAAAAGAAAATACTTGGATAAGCTTCATTTAAGCCTGATTTGCAGTGCTGTATCTATTACTTCAATGGTAGCTATAATATATCCTATTTATATCATGGTAGTACTGAGTTAAGGTTATTTACATTCCCTCCTGCCAATATTCAGGAGTGATATTGGTGTGTATTCTGTTTCTGTGTATTCTTGCAGTGTCTTTGTAGAATTTTAAGACCAAGGCTATGCTAGTCATCAAAAATAGTTGGTGGCCAGGTATGGTGGCTCATGCATGTAATCCTGGCACTTTGGGAGGACAAGATGGGAGGATTTCTTGAGGCCAGGAGTTCAAGACCAGCCTTAGCAACATAGTCAAACCCTGTTCCTACTTTTAAAAATAAAATAAAAATTAGCTGGGCATAGTGGCACACATCTGTAGTCCCAGCTACTTGGGAGGCTGAGTTAAGAGGATTGCTTGAGCCCAGAAGTTAGAGGCTAAAATGATCTATAGTGGTGGCACTACACATTTGCTTGGGTGACAGAATGAGACCCTATTTCTTAAAAATAAAAATGTTGGTAGGTATTCTTTTTTCCAATTCCCTGGATTAATCAGGATTGACTAGACTATTCTCCATTAACAAACATCTTCAGAATCTCATAGATTACACACACACATACACACACACACACACACACACACACACACACACACAGAGGCAAACACATACTATTTCTCTTTAATAAAAAATCTTCTGGCCTGCGATCCCTATCCTGTATACAGAAAAGTCAGCTCAGTCGTAGAGATTTGCCTTTCAGAAATTCAAGCTTTGTTGATTCTTTCTTTGTTAATCTATTATGTGTGTGCTTTAAAAAAATTAGTTAATTTCCATTCTTCTTTCATAACACAAGCCTTTACATTATTAAGTTTTCCTTTAAGTACTGATAGAGTTGCATCCCGCAAGTTTTGATATACATTTCCATTGTTATTTAGTCAAAATATTATCTCAATTTTATTATACTTCCTTTTTTGGTCCAGTGATTATTTAGAATTGTACTTATTAATGTCTGAATGCCGGAGGATTTCCTACTTTTATTTTTGTTGTTGATTTGCAGTATAATTATATTATTATCAGAGGACATACTCATGATTTCAGCCCAAGGAATTTGGGAATTTCACTCTTTCTTAATTAATACATTTTCTTTCATCTAAGCACTGGGAGAGTGGGGAAATTTAAACTAGTAATTCAAGGACTCCTTCAGAATCAAACTCTTAATCTGGTTGTTGACTCTGTTAGTCTACAGCTACAAGAGATGAGAGACTTAGTCTATCATTCATAAAAACTGACCATTTCCTGGGATAGACCGCTGGGTCACTATAACATTTGGATCTGGTTTGCCTACATTGAAGAAGATAAGGATGTCTTCAAAAGGCTAGCTTGAAAGGGGATATCCATCCTCCACAAACCTCACTCCCATCAGCCCTCATTGCCTCCAGATCCATAAATGGAGTAGATTCTGTCAGGCTCAAGCAGAGGCAGATTAAAGCGTCAAAATAGAGTGAGCATGCTTTGTATTTATGTGAATATGTCTTAATTATATTAAGTGGAAACATGCTATTGTGTCAATATTGTTCTTTCTCCTGTATTTGTACCATTAGCATGCAAGCATGTAGTTATTTTTCTCATATCTTTATCCTACTCTGCCTCTACTTCATTTTTCTACTGTCACTTTTTTCTCATTTTAATGCTCAATAGAGTTGCGTATACTCAGTCTCTAGTTGTCTCTATTCTCATTTAAGTGAATCTAGTCAGGCTTACATGCTGCTGCCTACCACCACATGAAACTGTCCATGTTGCAGGGTTCAGTGACCACCATGTGGCTATTTATAGTGATCAAATATCACCATTTATCAATTTCGAACTACCAACATCATCTGGAAACTTCCTTAGATATTTTTTACTTGATGTATTGGGTTGAATAGTGTCCTCTGAAAACTTATGTCCACCTGGAACTTCAGCATGTGACCTTGTTTGCAAATAGGATATTTGTAGGTGTCATTATCTAAAATTAGATCATCCTGGGTTGGTACAGTCCCTAAACAATAACTGGTGTCCTCATAAGAAGAGAAAACATACACAGGGTCACACACAGAGACAAGATGGCTGTGTAAATACATAGGCAGAAATAGGAGTGATGAAGGCTAAGAAACCCAAGAATTCCTGGCAATCACCAGAACTAGGAAAAGACATGAAGGAATCCTCTCTCAGAGACTTTAGAGCAAGCACAGCTCTGCGGACAACTTGATTTTAGACTTCTTGCCTCCAGAACTGTGAGAAAATAAACTTTTGTTGTTTTAGGGCACCCAGTTTGTGGTACTTTCTTAGGGAAGCCCTAGGAAACCAACATGCTTGCATCTAGGACTTCATAGCCTCTTGTGTTTGTTCATAGCCCATTGGCCTTTCCTAAATCTCTTTGGTTGGTCCTTCTTCTTACCCCTGATCTGTTAACATGGTGTTCTAGGCCTGTGCCATGACCGTTTTTAGCAATCTACACTCATGTCCTTTGTGACTTTACCAGTCCTATGACTTCCAAAATGATGTGTTCCCTGAAAACTCCCAAATGTGCATTTGCCACATGGAACACTGTAATCGCAAGTCTCACATTGATCAGCTTGCCAACTGACACCTCCACTTGTATTTCTAGTAGACATCTCATATTTAGTATGACTCACCAAAAAACAAACAATAACAGACACCTTTCCTCCCCTTCACGACCTGAGATTTATCTTCACTTTTTATCCTGTCAATTAGTAGCAAGTCCATCCTTTTATTTGCTCATTCAAAAAGTTTGGAATCTTCCTGTATGCCTCACTTGTTTTTCATCAGAAAATCCTTTGTACTTTATGTTCAAAATGTATTGAGAACTGCATTTACTGCTCATCACCTCCCCTGGTAGCACAGCACCATTATCATCGAGAAGGGTTATTGCTATAGCCTCCTAACTGCCCTCCTTCATCCGATCTTGCTCTTCCCCTTCAGTCTATTCTGAATGCGTTAGACAAAGGGATCCTGTTCAAACACAAGTTCCATTGTATCAGTCTGAGGGCCTAACTATTCCATGTATATTCATCTTGTTCAGAGTAAAAATTAAAGTCCCCATTAAAGCCTATAGGCTCTGTACCATCTGACCTCCACTATCTCTCTCTTCTCCTCTCCTACCACCCAGAACTCCTGACTCACTCACTCCAGCTATGTGAAGCTCCTCATTTTTCCTTCAATATTAAACACATTCTTTTCTTCCAGGACTTTACATTGTCTATTTTTGGGGCCTAAAATGCTTTTCCTACAAATTTTTCATGGCTTACTTCTCACCTTAATTCTTTGCTCAAATGTCCCCCTTTCAATAAATTTTACTCTATACTTTAAAAATTACAATCTTCATCATCTGGCACTCACTGTCATTTCTTGCTTATTTTTTTCCCAAAGAATTTATCATATTAAAGTTCTAATATGGTACGTAACCTATTTATGCACTTTTAATGTGTGTCTTCTTTGACTAGGTGTGTAAACTCCATGAAGTCTTTATCCACAGCACCAAACATATGACTGGCACACAATAAGTTATTTGACAGATCAATTAGTGAAGCAGTGATTAAATAAATTTATATTCTACCAGTCAGATGCACTTGTGGAGGACTTTAATTTGGAACTGAAGAAAACAAGATGAGAGATACAGCGTGGGGCATCCATTTTAAACGTAATTCTTAAATCAGCTTCAATATGTTCCATTATCTGGAACTGAAACGTGATAGATATGCATATACATTTATGAAAAAAAGAACTACTTTATAGGCATATTCTATACATTGACTATTATACACTCATTTTCTTTCATTTTAATTTTTAAAATAAAAAATTAATTTTCGTTTTATTTTTATTTCAAGTATAAGAATTATTTTCTTTTTATAAGTAGTCATTAGGTGTCTATTTTATTTCAGGTACTCTGCAAAATAAATAATATAATGGTGTAATAAAAATAACCATAGGCATCAATTGAGCAATAACTACCATACTTTGATAATTACCCACACATACATGCAAACATGCATAGACACACACACACACACACACACACACACACACAATCTCATTTAACCTTTACAGCAACTCTGTAAAACAGGTGTTATTGTTCTCAATATACAGAATAGGAAATTGAGGTTCAAGAGGTTAATTAACTTTTTGAAGTTCACACAAGTAATTATAAGACAATTTGAACCACCGTTTGTCTAAATCCAATACCTTCTCTAATTGGGTAATGCTGCCTCAGAGTTTATAAATAGGAGGAAAGACATAATTAAACCAATAATTGTTTTTAACTGTTAAAATATTGTAGTATTTACATTCATTATACTAGAATACCAAAAATATCTATGTTTTGTGGTAATTTCACAGGCATTTATGAAGTAGGGACCTGGAATTGAAGAGACTCCTAAAGGAGAGACAGAAGTTTGAAAGAGCAAGAAGAGTGGATGTGGATCCAGACAGAAAAAGAGAACAGCAAATATTTGAAAGAGCTTAAGACGTACTCCTCAAGGTAAAAAACTCTATTTTATACATATAACATAATGTTAAATCTATTATTTGCATGTTCAGTGATGAAAAAAATTGTTCAGTAAAAAATAGGAAATTGCAATATTAATAACACCTAACATTGAAGACTGACTTACAGTGTAATAAATACTTTATATGGATCATGCCATTTAATCCCCACAATAATCATAGAAAGCAGAAATGTTTATGAAGCCCATTTTTAAGAGGAGAAAACTGAAACACAGAAATATTACAAATCTTGACTAAAATTATAAAACTTGCTAAAGCTACAAAGCCATTGGCACGAGGAACTGGTAATTAAACCTGGTAATATCGCCCTAAAGCTCAGACACTTAACCACTATGTAGTTATCTATCTGTCTCTTTCCCTTCCTCTCTGTCTCCCCAGTCATACAGGTCTCACAGATAGTTTAATAGTAATTGAAAAGTATTTCTCTTTTATTTATTTTTACTTCCTGGGTACTGAAATTTCTTTATGTGTTTGAAATTTTGCCTTCTATGGGTGAGATACTTGCTTTTGCAGAACTTTGGAAGTTAGGTTGTAAAAAGATGTCTGACATTCAGCCAATCAGAGGTTTTGCCCATATTTTTTTGCACTTCAGTGGGTGATTTAAAGACTAAACTACAGTTTAGGTTTGCATTTGTCTCATCATCATGGAAAGTTGCATTTTGCATGGTACACTGAGTGGTGCTGGCAGTGACATCAGGATCCTGGAGCTGTGCTGGAACTGGAGTGACAGGCAGTGTCCAGGGTAAGCATTAGCGTTGGCTTGCAATAACCAATGTCCAGCAATAACATGCCTCTGGTCTTATTTGTTTGCTTGACTTGACTGTGGTTCTGACACTGAGCTTGCCTGTTTTCCTTTTTCTTCTTTCTTTGTTTTTATGGTGTCTTTCTTTTCTTTTCTTTTTTTTCTTTCTTTCTTTCTTTCTTTCTTTCTTTCTTTCTTTCTTTCTTTCTTTCTTTCTTTCTCTTTCTTTTTTTCTTTTTCTCTCTTTCTCTTTCTTTCTTTCTGTCTTTCTCTCTCTCTCTCTCTCTCTTTCTTTCTTCCCGGAGTTTCGCTCTTGTCACCCAGGCTGGAGTGCAGTGGCGTGATCTCTTCTCACTGCAACCTCCACCTCCTGGGTTCAAATGATTCTCCTGCCTCAGCCTCCCGAGAAGCTGGAATTAACAAGCATGTGTCACCATGCCCAGCTAAATTTTGTATTTTTAGTAGTGACAGGGTTTCACCATGTTGGTCAGGCTGGTCTCGAACTCCTGACCTCAGGTGATCTGCCCCCCCTTGGCCTCCCAAAGTGCTGGGATTACAGGCGTGAGCCACCTCACCTAGCCATTTTTTTAAAGCCACTTCTGACTTCTGGGCTTTGTTTTCTGGCATTTCCACTTCCTTATATCCATTTATCAAATATTATTATTATTATTTTGCTTAAATTAGCTAAATCCTTGCACACTTGAGAACGAAAATCTATTCTGTAGGCAGAAAATTCTCATCCAAATTCCTTGAACATTATCTAAACCTTACATAAATTTTCTCCATGTCATCCTTCAGCAGTAATAAATTGGATAGAACTTGGTTTTATCCATAAATATGTAGAAGTGATTTTTCTAAAACTGCTACAAATAGGAATGATTTTGTTGATTTTTTACTCCTGGTTTTCATAAGCTAACACCGAGAGCACAAAAGAATTTTATTTAGGTAAGATTGGTCAATGATTTGAAGCTTGAGACATTAAATATTAATAATTCAGAAATTTATTCTACTTCTGAGCAAGCATCTTTATTGATCATAAGCATTACAATAAGAGTTTGGGTATAAAAAATGCATGTAGTCAGAGAAATGGTGTGCTGAGTGATGCTTAAATTATTGTAGACCTTTTCAGAAGTCATGTGGTTTTGTATTAAATGGGAATGCAGTGATAAAATAGTGTGATAAAAAGTTTAGCCCAGCAATGCTATAAAAAGTATACAACAAACGAAGAAGAAAACAAAATCGGTTACAAAATCTTTTAAGGATAAAAGTGCAGATTAGAAACAACTATTTAACTAGAGAACCCTTATCATGCTTTTGAAAGAATATAGCATGTTGAAGTGAGGGACCTAGCTATTACTTCTATGGACTAAAAGAGGCTATACTAAGTTTTTTATCTCTTGTCTGTATTCTGAGGGTATACACTCTTTGTACTTTTTTAAATGCATAAACTTTTGAATTTGCAGCTGGCTTGCTAATTTAGCTCCAGTTTTAGTTTTGTTGCAAGATCAAATTACCTTGGTGTTTGTAGAACAGTAATTAAAAATTATTTTTTATTATTTACATAAGATTGAATAAACTCATTTTACTGACCTGTCATAATCAGCTCCAATTTTTCTTTCTGCTAGTAAGGGGGTTGGTAGTGTGTTTATTGCTCTACTATAATTTCAACAACCTAATCTTATTTAAAGAGACAATCAAATAATTAATGTTTGTATGCACCTATGTATTGATTCTTAATGGGCTATATTCAGTAGCATTAAAGCAGGAAAGAGGTTAATTCTTTCTATGTTCAACGCTGGTTTCTTTCATTTGAAATAACAATACCTACATTGGGTATTATAAAGTCTATTTTAGTTTAAGCCAAGATTTTAAACTTTTTTTTTTCTTCTCTCTACCTAATGCCTGGTTGAAGTTCAGGAGAAAGAAGAGTCATTTGTTTTGTTCTTTTACTATTTTTGTTCTTCTTAGGTCTTTGCTTTATAACTTAAGTAAAATACGGAGTTGTGAAGGGGAGGAAAAGAGATAAAGAAAACAAAACAAAACAAAAAAAGAAGGCCTGCTTCCTCAGCTGTTCAAGCACCAAAATTTATCTTTGGTGATTTATCTGGAAATCTTCCTGCAGGGACCTTTTCCCTTACAAGCTTCATGACCTTGCTTTCTAACAAGCTTCATGAACAACTCTCCAGATACCTTCATGCTCCTTGTTAATTCCTTTCCCCTAAGCAGTGTCCTATGGCCTCTTTCTATTGGGAAACCCATGGCAAGAGGACAAACCTACAGTCCCACTTAGCCCACAGGGAAACTCACGCATCTGAGGTGCAGCTTGTCCGTCGAGTGCCAATGAGGTCTCCTCCAGCAAGCCTCTAGCTCTGCTCTATAACTTAACTTACATTCAAAAGATCTTGGGGATATATGTGAGATTCTCTCAAGAACTCACTCATGCTTATTCAGATTGATGCAAACAAATAGCAGCTCAGCAAGTAGCCAGCCAGGGGTAAAATGCCCATCTTCTTTCTTGCAAACAATCTCCATATTTATGATCTGATTTCTTGGAGCCTCTCTACTTAGCTGGCATTAGAAAGAAGTACTATACTTTTCTCCTACAAGGATTGCACATTGTTTTTTAGTAACTGTTCTAAGCATATGACATGTATGTTGGAATTTTGCAGAGATCCAATAATAATTTATCTCTGTTTCTTGTGTGAGATATGAACCAATTGAGAATTATGACCAAGAAACAGGAAGATGACAGTCTAAATTAAACCTTTCTGAATTACAGAACCAAGGTTGATATGAGAAGCAAATGGGTCCTTCTAATACCTAATTTTGAACCCTAGAATAAGACCAATGTACTAATATGATTATGGAGCTTTGGACTGGGTTACTCCACAGGTGATGCTGTTACCTAGAGAAGTGAAAGAGGGTGTGTGCTCTCAAAGGGTATTCACTTCTCCAAAAGGAACAAGGTGGGAACTGAGCTCAGTATCTTGAGTTGAGTAAATGGGCAAAGAGAAACTAAAAGTGAGGCAGAACTGAGTATCCTCTTGGAAGAAATCATCAGAGGAGGAAAGAAACATTCTTCTTAGTGATGCATTAATTCCTTTGTCTCAAAAAATGATGAGAAAAGCTTAGCAATTTATATATAGTAAGGCAAGTGATATTGTAGGAATATGCATGGGATACCATGTTACTATAGAGCATCTAGTCTAGACCAAGAGTGAAGGTAGTAAGATTATAATGACATAATATTTAACTGTATTATAATTGTCTAAAAATAAAAATGTTATAAATATCTTAAAAATTAAAGTATTTTATGCAAGGCATATTTTATACCTGAAAAAACCAAAGCTTAGACAGGTTAACTTTGCCAAGTCTCCACATTGAATTCTAACCGGGCTTCAAATTCAGATTGGTCTGATTCCAAAACCTGTGACTTTTGGTTTTCAGAAATGATGCTTCTACTGAATTTTAAAGGGCAAGTAGGAGTAGTTAACTAATTTGCAAAGGTGAGAGAGGAAACTACAATAAAAATAGTGTATCTTTTAGCTTTTGTTGTGTAACAAACCATGTCATAACTTACTAGTTTGAAACAAAGGCCAGTAAACTATGGCAACATTATTTTTACTGGAACTATAAATCATGTTTAAATAAAGTTTTTTCGGCATACAGTCATATCCATACATTAATCTATTGTTTATGACTGTTTTCTTGCTACAGTTACAAAGCTGAATGCTTGAGACAGAGATCATATGATTCACAAAGTCAAAAATATTGTTATATGGCACTTTCCAGAAGCCTAGATTAAAAAAAAAAGTAAACACATCTTTGTTATTTCTCACAGTTCTTTGGGTTAGTTGAATGTTTCTTTGGTCTGAGTCAGCTCATCTAGGGCTGCATAGACAAAGATAGTCCCCTGTATAGTGCTTAGCAGTAGACACAATGGCTGTTCCTAGAAAGACTTCAGTCAGGGAGGATGGTCTCTGCTCTGTGTGGTATCATCCTCTAATAGAAACATCTTGTTTTTTTCCTATGCAACAACCTCATGGCTCCAAACAGCAGAGATGTCCCAATGCACAAGCATATTTCAAGCCTCATCCCATTTAGTAACACCCATTAACCAACGCGCAATGGCTTACAAGGCACAGAATGAGCACTCTGATAAGCCGCAGTCAGACTCCATGGAGAACGGGAATACATGATCTTTCATGAGTCAACAGTAGCTCTTGTGGTCTGAGAGCAGTTCTAGTCATTCAACAGCACAGCTTATTCCCTTCTCAAGAAAACGTTACCTCTTTGACTTAGCCTGCCATTTAGTGATTCTTTTCTACTCATTTGTGTTTTCTGCTCAGCTTTTGCCATTTTTTTCCCTTTTTCTCTCATGACTCATATTTACCCGTGTTTTTTGATCCCTTGTAACTTGTACTGCTTTTATTTTTAAAATTCTCCATTTTTATTTTTAACTCTATTTTATATATTCTCTGGAAATCACACTTCAACCTTCTTAAGAGGGTTTAAGATTTAGTTAGCCAGATGCAGTTTGGTTAAGAGTTTTTTTTTTTTTTTTTTTTTTGTCAGAGTTCTTACATAAGGACACTTCATAGCTACCAGTCGGACTCTAGATTGCTACCCTGGGCCAGATAATGGAATCCTATAGTTAAAAAAGTTAAAGAAAAAACAAAAGACAACAAAACACCCTGCCTCCACAAAAAATTACCTATTAATCTTTTTAGGAGTAATGTCTCAGAAAGATCTTGTTCTATAAATGAGCAATTTCCAACAAATATGTCATAAATACCTTTTAAGTGTGCAAGATATTGAAACCCCCAGGCTGGAGTGCACCAAGGCAGGCCCTGGGAAAATTAGAATTCTTGGTTGGTTGTCTCTGTCCCACTGACAGTTTCTCCATTCACCCTAATGAGTTTACAAGTATTGTCATATTTATATGTGCTATTTCATGAAAAATAATAGCAAACACAGACTTTGTGCTTTCCTCTGCTTTCTCTGCTCAACTGGGATATCCAAAGCTGCATAGCTTTCAGGAACAGATTCTTTAATGTATAGTTTCCACAACAGTTTTTTTTTTTTCCTTTTGACTTTTTGTAGCATTTCTAATATTTACCATCCCATTTAAATCTTATTTTTTTTGGTTAAGTTTCTCCATTGTCTCACTGAATTATATATGTCATTGCTACATCTCAATCAAAATATTTTATTTCTCCAAGGGAAATGCAAGTATGGAGAAACCAAGAACATTTATCCTACTTCTTTTTGTCTTTGTCATGGCACTTATTATAGTATTGGGCACAGGGTAAATATTTACTGTTTTTTTAAATGATAGAATTAAGCTTGAAAAAGGATGGCATACTACACATTTTGCAGATAATAAGGAACTTTCTGTAAAGACATTATATACTGGCATTAGTAATTTGACTAACTGCAGTCTGAAAAATTGTAAGTCATATAAGAAAATGAATAAATGTCTAAAAGGAAACAAACAAGAACTTCTACATGTCTTCATTCTAGGACTCAGTGGCTATCAAATCTCATAGCACTTCTTGGATTTTAGTTTAAGAAGGTGGCACCCAATCACAAAATTATTCTAGTAGCATATTTCTTCACATGATTAGTTCTTAGGTTGATTTTTACTTCATTATGGAAAGACTTGTTTAGAGGTGACACTATGACATGGAAGGCATTGCATCTAATCACAATCAAATTAACATTGGATCATTTACTGCTGATAATCTCACTTTGGCAACCGTTATCAATCAAGTTTCTCTGAGGTTTGTTCATGCTTTAACAATTCATATTTCACGGTTGTGATTTTATGGCTATGAAATGTAATTCCCAAATGCCCAGACTACATGATCTTGAAACTAAGTAGGATATGAAAAATCACTCAATTCTGTGGCTAGAGCTACAATATTTAGTATGAAAAAAATTATGTATGTAGGCTGATTTTGAAACATGAAGAAGACAAAGGAAGTCTCTACCCTCAGGAGTCTGACTTGAAGTTAGGCAGACACTATAAATATATATATTTTTTTTTTTTACACTGAGCAAGTACTTGGTAGGAGAAAAACAATTGGTACAGAAGCCAAGATCATTGTAGGAAATGTCAGAACACTTAAATCTTTTACTTCTCTGTTCTTGTGTGTCCCAGCGTGGAAGCCTTGTGAAAACCCCAGGACAGATGTTTTCTCTTCTCTATACTCTGAAATAGCATGGCTGGTGTGATGATGTAACTCTTCTATGATAGGAATTCTTAACTTAGGCCCACAGACAGGTTCAATATATCAAAGAAATCCACAGAGTTATTTACATAATTTTGTCTGTAGGGGAAATTATGTATTTTTACTGAGAAAAATTTCATATATTACACAGAAGTCTCTGAATTAAAGCAGATTAAAAACAACACTTTATGTAAGTACTATCCAATGTGAATATAATGTGAGTTACAAATGTAAACCACATATTTAATTATACATTTTCTAGTTGCTATGCTATAAAAGTGAAAAGACTGGTAAAATTCATTTCAATAGTTATTTAATTTACCCCAATATGTCCAAAACATAGTTTTCAATGTATGTCATCCATCACTTAATGACAGGGATACGTTCTGAGAAATGCATTGTTAAGTAATTTCATGATTGTGCAAACATCAGAGAGTGTACTTACACAAACCTAGATGGGATAGCTTACCCTACACCTAGGGTATATGGTATAGCCTATTGCTACAAATCTATACAGCATGTTACTGTACTGAATACTATAGGCAGTTGTACCACAATGATAAATACTTGCGTATCTAAACATCTAAACATAGAAAAGGCACAGTAAAATTACCTTATTATAATTTTATGAAGCTACCGTTATACATGCAATCAGTTGTTGACCAACAGTTTGTAATGTGGCTCATGATGGTATATTCAATATGAAGTCATTAACAAGGTTTTTTTTAATAAGTTTTCAGATTTACTGTATATATTACACTCATAGCAAATCTCAATTGGGAGGAGTCAAATGTCAGATGCTCATTAGCCACACCTGCCTATTGGCTGCAGTAATGGACAGTGCAGCTCCAGCGTCTCCCTTTTGTTTTATCTTTCTACCATGATATGGTTTCATGATTTTTATCTCATCCACTGGCTTTCAGCATGTCCTGATGTCTTACTATCTCTCTCTTTCCCTCCCTCCCTCCTTCTTTTCTTCTCCTTCTCCCCTTTCCTGTCTCCCTTCTGGTTAAGGCCTCTGTCCTAAACATCCATTAATTCAGTAAATACTTTTAAGAACTATATTCAAGATGAGGTCAGAGAGATCAGTTATTTATAACATAAGTTGAATTACTGCTCTCAGAATCCATTATGAAGTCAAAGTCCTATGTGTAGGATTTCAGTGCATTCATAAAGGAAGGAAGGTTTAGAGGTTGCACAGGTCCATGAAGAAATCAGCCTATGCTTTTACCCAAAATGTTCCCTCTGCACACATATTCTTTGTTGTAAATAATTTCTATGTAACATACATGTTGCTAAAACACTTTGCAAAAGTAAATTTACCTTCTCATGTATAATTTGTAATATTTTTGTACATTATCCTATGAAATGGAACTGTTATGAAAAGCAAGTGGACATTGACACAAACAATACTAACTCTCTCTCACCTCTCTCTCTTTCCAAATAAATTATTCCCATTACTTAGTCTTTTAATCATATCTCTAACTTTTGAAGTCTTTTGTGATTTTGAGCTTCTCTCACCAAGTAACCTTTTTATATCACTTATTGTTAAAAACCCCATCAATAGCCCATGTTCTAACATGCCTTCTGCTAATTCACTCAATCGGCAAACATTTATTTAGTGTTTAGTATATTTCAAATATTGTGATAGGTTTTAAATAGACAGATGATAATTACATTAGTGAGATGCTTATTTTATTTGTCCTAGTGCAGATACTCATGAACTCATACTTTATGCCCCACTGAGTGTGGCTTAACTGAATTTTCAGTATATCTGATAACAAAAAAAAGAAAAAAAATTAAAAATGTATTTAAAAAGCCAGAGACTCCAGTGAGAACGTAATAATGTCTATCTCTGACATTTTGGGGTAATTAGTTTAGTTTCTAATATGCCCAAATCTCTTACCAGAGACCATTAAGTTCTGGTCTTTGGCCAGAGATTTGAGCATTGCAGAAACTATACTACATACTTAAATAAAAAATGTCAAACTATATATATAAATAAAAATTCCAAACTATATAAATAAAAATCCATGAATGATTATTTGTGTAATGATCATTACACTTAATCAGCCTAAGGTACAAAACAAGGTCACATATCTTTTACTATTTCACTTAAAATGTTGGAACTTTGATTTTCCTATTTTAAAACTCTTCTGCTTTACACACCAGCTTCTTCTCTTCTGTGATAATTTTACAAAACACTCACAATATTTTATTATATTGAATAGATAATTTCTAGTCATTCTTAGCTGGTTGTTGAATCAGAAATTACTTTCACAACTTCAGGCTTTGAGAAGGCCCAACTCTTCAAAGTGGTTACTTCAGAACAGTTTGTTGCACCAAGACAGAGATTCGTTGTTACACTTGACAGCCTAGATGTTCAAACTATTTAACTATTATAACAAAAATGTTACAATCTGTTATTCTAGGCAATGTAATTGAGACTGTTTCCTTCAACCTTGTAACTAGTATGATTCCAAATGATTTCATCCATTTAAAAAATACATTGGAACTTCTACTTCTGGGCAAGATTGAGCAATAAGGATGAATGTATGTTACAGCTTGAAAAAACCAAAACATGATACAATGGCTAACAAGGCACTGGTTGCTTGAAAACAAAAAAAAAAGTAATCTCTGAAAGATGAGAAACAAATAAATCCTAAAAATTCTTCCAATTCAGTGCGGTGAATTTCTAGGCAGCAGCACAGGGAGATAGCATTCAGTTGGAGACCTTTGAATTCCCGTGTTGTGGAGACAAAACTAAGAGTTGAGGAATAAGAAGGTGACTAGAGTTACCAGGGCAGAGAAAGGAATGCTACAAAGAGCGAGAACTCTAGAGATCAACAGAGGAGTCTCCTCAAATATTCAGCTGAGTGTTGACAAGCTCATGCATGCACAGTAACTGTATCAGGCCTGAGAAGGAACCACGTCAGACTCTATTATTAGAGGAAATAGTGACTAGTGCTTAAACAGGTGCTGGGACAAGTGCCTGTTCCAAAGAGAATCGAGAAATTCATGAGGCATTAGGTAGAGAACACAGAAGGTTCTTGCCTTAGAAGGATAATTTAACACTATGCTAAATGCTACACTGTTCTTGATTTATAAAAATTAGCAAGACATATAAGAAACACACTCTATCTAATTGACTTAAGTGAGTACCAAAATGAAACTTTTGACTGTTTTTTAAAAAGAATATTAAAAATCTGTCCCCTAAAGTACAAAATCCTTAATGTTTAGTATTTATTATTATTTTGCAAGCTGAAAAGCAAGAAAATGAAAACAATATTCAGGAGAACATTTAGACAAAACCAATTCACGACTGACACAGATGTTAAAGGATGAGGATATTATCATAGTTATAACTATGACAGGGTAGATACCAAAAAATATACAAATCAAATTCCAGAGGTAAAGACTAAAAATTTTGTAGTGAAAAATACAAGTTTTTTTTTTTTTTTCCCCAAGATGGCAGATTAGAGGCTTTTAGTGTGCCTCAGCTACTTGGAAATAGCAAAATAGTGCATAAAAATCTACTCTCTGAGCTTTAATTCAAGAAGACAAACAGGAAACCACTGCAATTGTGAAAGACATCCCAGATCCTGGGAAAAAGGTGGGCAAACTGTCGCAGTGATGGTGTCTGGCTGATAAAAATGAGTTAAGCCTCAGTTGGTGAGATTGGCAGAAAGCTTACCTCTGTGACTTGCTTTTGCACTGGGAATCTGAGCAACCCAGGACATGGGAGAGCACTTTATTTCTCCAAAGCCCTGGAGCTATCCTGGGGAAAAGGTTGGAGACACTGAGAGAGAGAGAGACACTGGGAAAAGTTGCAGGCATCTTCCAAGACCCGGGACCAAGAGCAGGATACCATTTTTAATTCAGATGCATAAAATGTCAGTCACTCTTTAGTAACCCATCAGTGTGGCCTCACAGGTATTTTAATCTCGAACCAGAGATTGGAGTGCTTGCTCTCGAGTGGGACGGGGGCCTCCACAGATAGAACTGTGGGAAGTTCCTCAGCAGTAGGTGCTGGATTTATGCCCTCCCCCATCACAAGCCTGGGGCTAGAGAAGAGCTGCTACTGCTGCAGTTTCTTCTAGCTGGTGACATGAAGCCAGGGCCAGCTTGGTGGCTTGTGTCACTGCTGGGTATCCCAGCCTTCACCCTTGAGATCATGGTATGTTAAGGCCCTATCCATTCCATGCCCAGGCAAATCTCCGGGCATTTGGAGCACCTGCTTATCTGGTATATCAGCAGACTCACCCACCCCTCCCTACCTGTGCATAGATCATCGTGCAGTGGGGCTTTCCCTGCTCTATCCCAGGCAGATCTCCAGGCATTTAGAGCACCCACTCACTTGAAACAGCAGCCTGAGCCACTCTACCCTTCTTGTACAGAGATTGTGATGAAGCAAAGCCTTCTACACTTCACACCTAGGTAGATCTTCAGGCATCTGGAGAACTCACTCTCCTGGGTTCGGTGTTTAGATGACACCCATACTCATGTAGAAAACTTGGAGCCAAGGAGGTTTCTTAGTGCCACACCTAGGCATATGTCTGGGCACTTTGTGGCTGGCACTGGATTCTCCCCGGTGTTGGCGCTTGTGCCTGCCATTGGGGGACCTGTAGGTGGGCCTGCCCAGAGAAGCCCCACCCAACTTGGCTCCCTCTCCTGAGGTTGAGCATGGAGCTCAGCCCACTGTGCAACCCGTGGATTAGCCCATTGCCTTAGGCAATGAGAGCTTCTCCTAGTAAACAAGGATTAAGTATATACTTAGCCATGTTGGCCACAGCTAGCTGTTACTCATTAACATCATCTATGAACTTGTTAGTTGAACAGCAAAGTCCAATAAAAAGCCTGCTGACAGAAATGCATAGGGCTATAGAAGCAAAATCCAAAGACCCTGTCCAGCATTCTCTATAATCACACCCTCTGTTGGTGGTGGGGTGTGGAGGGAAAGGGGAGGAAAGTAAAAGAGAAAATGATAATAATACAGAAAAAGAAAGAAACGGCCAGGTGCAGTGTCTCACACCTGTAATCCCAGCACTTTGGGAGGCCAAGGCGGGCAGATCACCTGAGGTTGGGAGTTCGAGACCAGCCTGACCAACATGGAGGAAACTTGTGTCTACTGAAAATACAAAATTAGCCAGCATGGTGGCACATGCCTAGAATCCCAGCTACTCAGGAAGGCTGAGGCAGGAGAATTGCTTGAACCCGGGAGATGGAAGTTGCAGTGAGCCAAGATCGCGCCATTGCACTCCAGCCTGGGCAACAAGAACGAAACTCCATCTCAAAAAAAAAAAAAAACAAAAAAGAAAAGAAAAAATTTTATCTGCTCCAAAATAATTACAAAAATTAGAAGTGTTAGCATCTCCCAATGAAAGGAACCAGTGCAAGAATTCTGGCACCATGAAAAACATAAATGTAGTGACACCACTAAAGGATTTCATGAGCTGTCCAACAATGATCCCTAATAAAAATGGAAACTTAGAAGTGACAAATAAGGAATTCAGTGCATGGATTGCAAGGAAGATCAATGAGTTAAGGCAAGGTTGAAAACCAACACACAGAAATTCAAAAGCAATCCAGAAAAAGAAGGAAGAGATATACATATTAAAAAGAAATCAGAGCTTCTGGAATTAAAAGACTCACTTAAAGAATTTTAAAATACAGTCAAAAGCTTTATCAATATACTAGATCAAATAGAAGAAAGAATTTCAGAGCTTGAAGACCAGTCTTTTGAAGTAATCCAGTGAGACAAAAATAAAGAAAAAAGGTTTTTTAAAATAAATATTCTTCACGAAATATGGGATTATGTAAAGTGACCAAAGCTACATATAACAGGCATTCCTGAGCAAGAAGGAAAAATGTAAACAACCTGGAAAACATACTTGAGAGAATAATTCAGAAAATGTCCCTAATCTTAGAAAGGTAGACATGGAGCTAAAAGAAATTCAGGGAACACTTGAAAGATACTTTATAAAATTAACATCACCAAGAGAGTTAGTTACCAAGCTTTTCAAGATCAATGCTAAAGAAAAATTCTTAAAGGCAATTAGAGAAATAAAAGTCAGATCTTCTCGTTAGAAACCTTACAAGCCAGGAGAGATTGGAGGCCTGTTCAGCACTCTGAAAGAAAAAAAATCCAACTGAACTTTATATCCTGCCAAAGTAAGCATCATAAGTGGAGAAAAAAAAATTTAAATAAGTAAGCACTACGGGAATTTGTTAAAACTAGACCAACCTTACAAGAGCTTCTTAAGGGAGTTCTTAGCATGGAAACAAAAGAAAAATATCTGCTACCACAAAAGCACACTTAAGTTTACAACCCATAGACCCCATAAAGCAACCACACAATAGAAACTATAAAGCAATCTCTTAAAAGCTTCAAGACAGAATTAAAACCTCACATAACAATATTCACCATTAATGAAAATGTTCTAAATGCCCCACTTAAAAGGCACAGAGTGGAAAATTGGATAGAAATAAGAACCATCCATCTGCTGTCTTCAGGAGAACCATCTGACATGTAATGACACCTGTAGGCTCAAAGTAAAGGGTTGGAGAAAGACCTATCACACAAATGAAAGACAAAAAAGAGCAGAGGGTCCTATTCTTATATCGGATAAAACAGACTATAAACCAACAGCAGTAAAAAGGGACAAAGGAGAGCATTACATAATGATAAACGGTTTAATTCAACAGGAAGACTTGATTATCTTAAATATATGGAAACCCAACACTGGAGCACACAGATTCATAAAACAAGTACTTCTTGACCTGTGAAAAGACAGACAGCCATACAATAATAGTGGGGGATGTCAACACCCCACTGACAGCATTAGACATATTATTAAGGCAGAAAACTAACAAAGAAACTCTTGACTTAAATTCAACCCTTGACAAATTAGACATAATAGATATCTACAGAATACTCCACCCATCGGTCACATAATATACATTCTTCTCATCTACACGTAAAGCATACCCTAAGATCAAGCACATGCTCAGTTGTAAAACAAGTTTCAATAAGTTCCAAAAAATTGAAATCGTACCAAACATACTCTCATATTATTACAGTGGAATAAAAATAGGAATAAAAATTGAGAAGATCTTTCCAAACCACAGAATTATATGGAAATTAAGCAACTTGCTTCTGAGTGACTTTTGGGTAAAAAATGAAATTAGGGCAGAAATCAAAACATCATTTGAAATTAATGAAAATAGAGATACAATATATCAAAATCTCTGGGACACAGCTAAAACAGGAATGTTTACAGTGTTAAAGCCTACATCAAAGTGTTAGAAAGATCTTTTAGTAACAATGTACTATCACACCTATAGGAACTAGAAATACAAAAACAAACTAACACCAAAGCTAGCAGAAAAATATTAATAACTAAAATCAGAGCAGAACTAAATGAATTTGAGACTCCAAAATCCATACAAAAAAATCAACACAATCAAAAGTTGGTTTTTGAAAGGATAAACAAGATCAATAGACTGCTAGCCAGATAACAAAGAAAACAGGATAAGATCCAAATAAGCACCATCAGAAACAACAAAGGTGACATTACAACCAATACCATAGAAATACAGAAGATCTTGAGAGACTATTATGAATAACTCTCTGTAGACAAACCGGAAAATGTAGAGGAAATACATAAATTCTTGGAAACATACAACCTCCCAAGTTTGAATCAGGAGAATTTGAAACCCTGAACAGACAAATATCAAGTTCTGCAATTGAATTAACAATTTAAAAATCCCTACTGTCTGAAAAAAGCCTCCAACTACATGGATTTATAGCCAAATTCTAACAGATATACAATGAAGATTGGTGTCATTCTACTAAAACTATTCCCAAAAATCAAGGAGAGGCTCCTTTCTAATTCATTCTACAAAGCCAGCATCACCCTGATATCAAAACCTGGCAAAGACATGACACAAAAGAAAACTACAAGCCAATATTCCTAATGGCAATAGATACAAAAATCCTCAATAACATACTAGCAAACCAAATCCAGAAGCACATAAAAGTTGATTCACCAGGATCAAGTAGGCTTCATTCCTTGGATGCAACATTGGTTCAACAAACCAAAATCTATAAATGTAATTTACCACATAAACAACTAGAAACAAAAATCATATCATCTCAATAAATGTGAAAAATGCTTTTGATAAAATCCAACTTCCTTTCATGATAAAACCCCTCAACAATCTAGGCATCAAGAAATATACCTTAAAATAATAAGAGCCATCTATGACAAACCCACAACAAACATCATACTGAAAGGGGAAAAGCTGGAGGCATTCCCCTTAAAATCAGAAACAAGACAAGCATGCTTACTCTCACCACTCCTATTCAACATATTATTGGAAGTCCTAGCCAGAGCAATTAAGCAAGAGAAAGAAAAGGCACTAAAATAGGAAAAGAATTCAAATTTTCTCCCTTCACCAGTGATATAATTCTGAAGTATTTTTCAAAAGGCTCTTAGACCTGATAAAATACTAAAGTAAAGTTTCAGGATACGTTCAAGCTGAAAGCCACATCAAGAACATAATCCCATTTACAACAGCCACACACACAGAATAAAATACCTGGAAATATTTATATACAAGGAGTTGAAAAGTCCCTACAGGGAGAGCTACAAAACACTGCTGACAAATAAATAATAGATGACACAAACAAATGGAAAAACATTCCATGCTTAGGGATTAGAAGAAGTGATATTGTTAAAATGGCCAAACTTCCAAGCAATGTAGAGATCCAACACTATTCCTATCATATTTCACAGAATTAGAAAAAAAAAAAACTATTCTAAAATTCACATGAAATCAGAAAGGAGCCTGAGTAGCTAAAGCAATCCTAAGAAAAAAAAAAAGGAAAAAAAAAAAGAACAACAACAACCACAAAAAAACAAGGCCAGAGGCATAAAACTACCTGACTTCAAACTATACTTGAGGTTACAGAACCAAAGAAGCATGGTACTGGTACAAAAACAGGCACATAGACAAATGGAACAGGTTAGGGAATCCAGAAGTAAAACCACACAACTACAGCCATCTGATCTTCAACAAAGCATATAAAAATAAGCAATGGGGGAAAGACTTTGTATTCAGTAAGTGGTGCTGGGTAGTTGGCTAGCTATATGCAGAAGAATGAAACTGGACCTTTTCCTTGCACCACGTACAAAACATAAGATGGATTCAAGATTTAAGTATATGACCTCAAGCCACAAGAATTCTAGAAGAAAACCAAGGAAATACCATTTTGGACGTTGGCCTTGAAAAATAATTTATGACTAAGTCCTCAAAAGTAATTGCAATTAAAACAAAAACTGACAAGTGGAACCTAATAGAACTAAATAGAGCTTCTGCACATCAAAAGAAAGTATCAACAGAGTAAACAGACAACCTACAGAATGAGAGAAAATATTTTCAAACAATACATCTGAAAAAGGTCTATTATCTATAATCTATAAGGAACTTAAAATATTCAACAAACAAAAAAGAAATAACCCCCTTAAAAGGTGGGCAAACAACATGAACAGACATATATCAAAAGAAGACATATAAGTGGCCAAAAAACATATGAAAAGAGGCTCACCATTATCAATCATCAGAAAAAGGTGAATCAAAACCACAATGAGATACTAACTCACATCAGTCAGAATGGCTATTAATAAAATGTCAGTAAATAATGGATCCTGGTGAGGCTGCAGAGAAAAGAGAACTCTTAAACACTCTTGTTGGGAATGTAAATTAGTTCAGCCACCGTGGAAAGCAGTTTGGTGACTTCTCAAAGAACTTAAAACAGAACTACCATTTGACCCAGCAATCCCATTACTTGGTATGTACTCAAAGGAAAAAAAATTGTTGTACTAAAAAGACACACACACACTAATATGTTCATCGCTGCAATATTCACAATAGAAAAGACATGGAATCAATGTAGGTGCACATTAGCCATGGATTGCATGAAGAAAATATGGTACATGGACACAATGGAGTACTATGCACCAATAGAAAGGAATGAAATCAGATCCTTCACAGCAACCTGGATATGGCTGGAGGCTGTTATCCTAAGCAAATTAAGGCAGGAGCAGAAAACCAAATACCACATGTTCTCACTTAAGTTATTAAGGAGCACCAGGTACCTATGGACATAAAGATGATAACAATAGACACTGAGGATTAGTAAAGAAGGAAGAGGGGAATGGGGACAAGTGCTGCAAAACTACCTACTGGGTACTATGCTCATTACCTGGGTGATGGGATCATTCATACTTCAAACCTCAGTGTCACACAATATACCTGTGTAACAAATCTTCACGTGTACTCCCTTAATCTAAAATAAAAGTTGAAATTATAAAAAGAGAAAGAGAAAAATAAACTGATGAGAATTATAAGAATAGATATTTCAGAAATAAAATATTAGCAAGCTTAAAAACATAACAATGGAAATCACCCAATATGAAACACAGAAAGATAATTGAATTTTAAAAAAGAAAGAAAGAAAAGAGCATCAGTGAGAAGTATGCCAATTTCAAGTAGCCATGTGTATGTGTAATTTGGAGTGCTAGAAAAAAAAAAGGATACAAGGATACAGTGGAAGGGGAGGACAGTAAAATACTTCTAGAGATAATGGACAAAATTTTTCCAAGTTTAGTGAAAATTATAAACCAATACGTTTAAGAATTTCAATGAACCCCAATTAATGAAAATACAAAATTATCATCTGGCTTACCATAATCATAGTGCTCAAAACAACAGATCAGGAAAAAGCCTTAGCAGCTAGAGGAAAAAAAATGTTACATAAGGAGAGACAAAAATAAGATGACAGCAGTTTTCTTGCCAGAAACAATGCAATAGAGAGACAGTAGAGTAGTTCCTTAAAACACTAAAGGAAACAGAAGAAAACCCAAACTGTTAATCTAGAATTTTTTACTCAGTGTAAATAGCTTCTAAAAACTAAGAAGATACAACTACCTTATTTTTTCCCTCTGCATACATTGAGACATACATCAGGCAGTGGTATAATTTTTGGTTTAATAACGAAATATAACCTAGAAAACTAATGAGAATCAAATTCTATTATATTCACTCATTTTAAAACTATTTTCATTGTTTTAAATGAAAACAATGTTCCTGATGTTCCAAGATCCCTTTTTATATCATCTTCGTTTAGGGAACTTCATTTAGCCATCATTTTAAGGTAGATGCATTGGTGATGATATATCTTATTTTTCTTCATCTGAGAATGTGTTGATTTCCACTGAAAATACTTTTCTGGATATGAATTGAGGTTAACAGTGCTTGAAAAGTGTTGTGTCACATTGTAGGCTAAACTTGCTATTTTTTCACTACCTTAATTTGGCAGTTTAGATTATTGGTTTTACACATTTCTTTTTTTCTTTTTTTTTTTTTTTTTTTTACCAACATGGGCATTTAAAGCTATAAATTTCATTTTAAAACTTCTATAGCTGCTAACTCTAGAGCTTAATATATATACTGTGTTTTCTGTACCTTCTAATTGAAAATATCTTAGTATTTCCCCTGTGATTTTATTTTTTGTTTACAAGTTGTATAGACTTCTGAGGCTTAATTTCCATATATTTTGGGATTTTCTAAATATCCCAGGGTTACTAATTATCAATCTATCACCATTGTGGTCAGAAAACACATTCTGTATTATCTTTATCATTTGGAATTTTTGATACATATTGTATCATGCAGTATATGATCTATCTAGTGGTTGTTCTGAAGTATAATTGAAAGCAATGTGCATCAGCTGAATTTTTCTGAATTTTCAGGCTTCCAGAGACACTGCCTTATACCCATCAAGACCTAGAATACTTGAAAGTCATTCTCTGAGATTTTCTGTCTTGCTCCCAGTTTTCAATGGGCTTCAGCCTGGTACTTGAGAATGTCCCTGTCTTCCTAAGGAGCTTACTCAGCTCTTGCTTTATCTGGTCCTCACTTTACTACTTATATGCTCTCAGTAAAGGCCTGTGGAAAACAATTGAGTGAGTGCAGATTTGCTTGATGTGTTGGGCTCATTGAGTTCCTATGATTTCATTTCTTATTCTACTTGTTCTCTTTATTTGTGAGGGAGGGACATAGTTTTGCTACTTAAAAAAATTAATCAGAAGTGAAAGTTCTCTCCTGGAATATCTTTTATGATTTCACTGTAATTCATGTCTTCTAAGAAGCCATGTTTTCCCCTGCCGGCATAGTCACTCATGGCTATACCTCTTAAGTAACAGTAGGAAAGATATGATTTAACGATTTATTTACGCTTATCTCCTTTACTTAGCTGTATGCCCATCCAGGTTAGGCTCAGTATTTATTTCTCTTTTAAACTGTAGTGTCTAACACAGTGCGTGAAGCATCTGTTATGTTTTCTCATTTATTTTATTCTTTTGCCAAACTGGTATTAAAAAATAGTAGTGTGACTATGACTGCCAGTGTCCTAAAAAATGGCACTGCTGAAATTGAACTTAGAAGAGACTGGCAGATCTAATGCTTTTACTCTGTTTATTAGAGAAATAATTAGCTAATTTATGCTAATATTGGACCATTAGGTAACAGACTCCTTAATGAGCTCAAGTTTTAAAAAACATTATTACTTTTTATAAAAAAAAGCATACTTAGGCCAGGTGTGGCGACTCACGCCTATAATCCCAGCACTTTGGGAGGCCAAGGCAGGCGAATCATGAGGTCAAGGGTTCGAGACCAGCCTGACTAACATGGTGAAATCCTGTCTCTACTAAAAATACAAAAAGTTAAGCCGAGCATGGTGGTGCACAACTGTAGTCCCAGTTACTCAGGAGACTGAGGCAGGAGAATTGCTTAAACCTGGGAGGTGGAGGTTGCAGTGAGCCGACAATGTGCCACTGCACTCCAGCCTGTCCAACAGAGCAAGACTCCATCTTGGGGGAAAAAAAACCCAAAAAGGATACTTAAGAGATTTGAAAGAGTTGATACAAGATCTTTTAGTGACTTGCTATGTTGTGTCTGGCTGACCAACTAACCTCCAACTCTTCATTAATAGACTGAAGATAATAAAATATACGCTTGGTAATTTTTTGAAAGCATCTCAGGGTCTATAAAATTAAAGCACTTTGATGACATAGAAAATGTCATAGAAGTTTAAAATACTTTTTCCTCTCCTTCTTCCATGCATTTTTTTTGTTTTCTTTCTTCTTTTTTTTTAATGAAAGATCAAGTGCTTTCTTCTTTACTTCTAGCAACTACTGTGACAATGTGATAAAACACTAGAACATTTTGAGTGAGCTTTCCCACGTTTTTCCTTGAGGGCCTGACTTGCTGTTCAGGATGGCCATCAAAATGTTAACTTATTACTTAAGTCCTTATTGCAAAGGTAGTTCTTTGTGGTGGTAATTTATTGTCAACTTTCTTTTCTTGTTTTCCTATTATAGAACAACTGATCCTGTCTATGAGTAGGAAATTTGCCAACCACATTCAGTCTGATTTTTTACCTCAGTTTTGCTCACTGTAAATCTTCCCAGTTCATGTGGCCAATTCTCAACTTTGTTCTCATGTTACAAGAACTCTTGTTCTGCCCTATTCTTTTGTTTTTTGATGTATTATTATTCTGAGTAGTGGTTATTCCCAAAATAAATCCAATAATTTTTGACACTATACCTCAAGAACAGAAGTTTTACCCCTCCCTTAGTTCTCTCAACCAATATGTAGTTGTAAAGAGACTGTTTATTTATTTATTTATTTATTTATTTTTAACTTAAAAAAACAAGCAAAATTGGGAAAGTTAGTTAGGCTTAATATCTAGGGTGATGAAATAAACTGTACAACAGACCCCCATGACACAATTTACCCGTGTAACAAACCTGCACATATACCCCTGAAATTAAAATAAAAGTTTAAAAAACAAAATGAATATAAACGGAACAAAACACAGTGACAAAATGTAGTCCTACAAGAAAAATTGAAAGTGTGCAAAATTTTGTGATAGTGTGGAAGACCACATTTGTGAGATAGGCTTGTTTTTCATACACTGCATGTTAACTTTGATAAAGAGGAAATGCTAACTTTTCTACTTGATGCCAGGTCCTCAGATACTATAAACCACTATAGTCCTATTAAAAAAAATCTTTTTCCAGCAAACCTCAACTTTTTCTAATTATCTAAAAATAATACACTATTTACATTTCCCCTAAGAGAAATATTGGCAGTAACACAGATAAAATAGGGTTTTCTGACAAAATAGTGTGTAAATGAGGCATAAAGTTCACCAGATCTTATTTTCGGTCATTCCTAGTTGCCACCTACATAATTCAGAAATGAACACACATTTTATAATTACATATAACATTCAAATAGTAATTTACAATTTATAGATTACTTTTACCTATTAGCCATTTAACTTCTGTGAGTGAGAATATTATTAGACATTTTAAATTACTTTTTAAAAATCCAGTCAATAGCAACAATCCTAATTTTGAGTGGGTAAACAGACTAAAGAATTAAAATAAATTGCTGATCCAAAAACAAAAAACAACCAAAATATAATATTTATAATATTGTTAGTCATCTTTCCTTTGATGCTCAAAGAGAACCACATACTGGGAGGTGTTTTGTTTTTTTTTTTTTTACTGCAATAAATGAGATTGTTCAAGTTCAAAATATTTAGTAAAAAAATTTCATGTGATATTAGAGATCTGTATGATGAAATGATAAGAAGCATAACAAAATAGCACCTATAGAGATGATAAAATTATCTGAAATAAGATTGAGGAAAAATATAATTAAAATCAATAATATAAGTTTTAAAATATATATTTCACTGGAGATTCAGTTAAATCCAGTACAGATCCTCAAATGTAGTTTTAAAGGGCATTAAATACAATAGTGCCAATCTTTGCGTTCTTAGATCAAGCAGACTATCTTCATATAAACAAAGTTTTCTCCTCTCTGAAACATGGCAATTTTAGACTGCTGGGAATAAGGGATACAATATCCTGAATATTCTAATAGTTATTTAGTTATATAATTAATATTATAATGTATAATTAACTCATATTGAAATTTAGATCCTTTCCTTGTTCCATTGTGTTTGGGTGCATGCGTGTGTGTGTTTTTAGAGCTGGAAACAAAAGTTGAGATTCAGTTTTCTGGAAAACAGTCAAAATCTAAATTTTAGTTTTGGCCCACATGAAATAGTATAATATTTTAACAATAATACTGTCTTACAATGTAAGTATTCTATGTTCTTTCTGCTAGGCAATTTAAAAATATTTAAATTCATTTAAGTGATTTTCTTTATGATTACAAAGATATAATAAAACTAAGAGTTTTCATAAAATGTTAAGAATGTCATTTAACATACAGTTTAAACTATATCTTGTCTCTAACTAGGACTATCTGAATTAAATTGCAAGAAGATCCTAACACTCTAAACTTTTTAAGTAAATGAAAGCAGAATAATCTGCCACCCGCCACCCCCCAACCTCCCCAACATACCTGTCTCCTAATGCTTAGAATCTGTGGATATATTAGGTTACATGGCAAAGGTGAATTAAGGTCCTAACCAGCTAGCCTTGAAATGGAAATATTATCTTCAATTATTTCAGTGGGGCCAATGGATCACAAGGGTCCTTATAAAGTGGAAGAGGGAGACGTAGAGAGAGTGAAAGAAAGACAATCATGTGAAAAGGAATTGGCCTGGCATTGCTAACTTAAAGATGGAAGAAAGGGCCATGAGTGAAGGAATATGAGCAATTTCCAGAAGCTGGAAAAAAGCAAGGAAGTACCCTCTAGCACCTGCAGAAAGTTACAGCCCTGTCTGCCAACACCTTGATTTTAGTCAAAGGAGAACCATTTCTCACTTCTAGAACTGTAAGACGGTAAATTTGTATCATTTGAAGCCACTAAATTTGTGGTTATTTGTTATAGCAGTATAGGAAATGTTATGAAATTTAAACTATACCTTGTCTCTGATTAGGTTAACCTGAATTATGAGAAGATCCTGACTGATGTCTGAACATTTTTAGGTTAAAAAATTGGTTCAATAAATAAAACTGTAGCTCTAACTTGGCAATTAATTGAGCAATTAAGTTTCAGTGCCTCTACAGCCTTAAAATTGTTTCAAAACATTAAGCAGATAAATATATTCAATAAGTTACCAATCTCTCTGGCCAATTGATTACTTCTCATAACGGTGTTTTGTTCTTTTCTCAAACTTGGTTTAAATATTAAGCAGATAAATATATTCAATAAGTTACCAATATCTCTGGTCAATTAACTGCTTCTCCTAATGGTGTCTTGTTCTTTTCTCAAACTTGGTTCTATGTTATTAACCCATGGGGATACAGTAACGCCTGTCTGGCCCCTTTTATGCTGAGAATTCTTGATTTTCTCAACTGGCTTAATAGTACTAACTGTTTAGGAAAACTTGTGGAAATTTTAAGGGGCATTTCTGATTGTCTCAATGGGACATTACTGGCATTTAGTGACCAAAGCTCAGGTATGTAAAACATCTTATAAAGTTCTAGACAATTTTGTACATTCTAGAACTGTTCCAATCAAAACACTAATAGCACTCTTGTTGAGGAACTCTGAAATAATTCCTTTTTTTTGTACTTCTCCCTTATGTATTTGAAAGAGAACTGGTTTAATATTGATATTATTGCAGCCTTTGCTCTTAACTTTCCTCTGTACTAGAGAAGTCCTGTGCCTGCTGAGACTCTAAGGAAGTAAAGATTCCTTTGACTCTAAAAAGTCTTTCTTGGGTGTTCTGTGGGCTCCCTATTCATGATCTTGGTAAACATATTTTCAATTCAGTGAATTTTATTGAACATTTTGAGGATTGTGTATACATGTATTCTTTCTTTTATAATGCTTCTGTGTAGTTGAGTAGGGAGAATTGAGCCTTCTAAATCTTCTACTCCTTTACAAATCTGCTGTTTTATGTCAATTTCTTTGGCAAAAAAAAAAGTTGCTTATGTTTTTTCTGGCCAAAGATTCAGTAAGTTTTTTTTTTTTCTTTCTTTTTATTGTTTCTTTGGAAAGGGAATTTCAGTAATCCTGACTTCTTTCTTCTTTAAGTGAAATAGTGCTACCCAATGTAACTTTCTTTAGTGATGAAAATGTTTTATATTCTCCACTTTCCAATACAGCAGCAAATAAATGCACTTAAAAAACACGTTACTACTAAAATGACAGAGGAACTAAAGTTTGATTTTTTTCCAGCTTTTGTATTAGGTTCAGGCAGTATATGTGCAGGTATGTCACATGGATCAATACTGTATGGCTTGGGATTTGTGAACAAATGATTTGGTCTCACCCTGGTAGTGACCATAGTACCAGATACGTAGTTTTTAAATCCTCGCCTGTCTCCTATCCTCCTCCCTCAGTAGGCCCCAGTGTTTATTGTTCCCCACTTTGTGTCCATGTATACTCAAAGTTTAGCACCCACTTATAAGTAAGAACATGCAATTTGATTTTTCTGTTCCTCTGTCAATTTTCCTAAGATAGTGGCCTTCAGATCCATCCATGTTGTCGCAAAGGACATGATTTCATTCTTTCTTATGGTTGCATAGTACTCCATAGTTTCTATGTACCACATTTTCTTTATTCCACTGTTGATGGGCATCTAGGTTGATTCCATGTTTTTGTTATTGTGAACAGTGCTGCGGTGAACATATGTATGCATGTGGTGTCTTTATGGTAGAATGATTTATATTCTTTTTTTTTTTTTTTTGAGACAGAGTCTCACTCTGTCACCCAGGCTGGAGTACAGTGGCACAATCTCAGCTCACTGCAACCTCCACCTCCTAGGTCCAAGCGATTCTTCTGCCTCAGGCTCCTGGAATGATTTATATTCTTTTCAGTATATGCCTAGTAATGGGATTGATGAGTTGAACGGTAGTTCTGTTTTAAGTTATTTGAGAAATCTCCAAACTGCTTTCTACAGTGGCTGAACTAATTTACATCCCCATCAGCAATGTATAAGAATTTCCTTTTTTCCACAACCTCTCCAACAACTGTTATTTTCTGAATTTTTAAAAATACCATTCTGACCGGTGTGAGATAGTATCTCATTGTGGTTTTGATTTGCATTTCTCTATTGATCAGCAATGTTCAGCATTTTTTTCATATGCTTACTGGCCATGTATATATCGTCTTTTGAGAAGTGTGTGTTCATGTCCTTTGCCGAATTTTAATGGGATTGTTTGGTTTTTGCTTGTTGATTGGTTTTAGTTCCTTATAGATTCTGGATATTATATCTTTATCACATGTATAGTTTGCAAATATTTTCTCATTCTGTAGATTGCCTGTTTGCTCTATTGATAGTTTCTTTCACTATCCAGAAGCTCGTTAGTTTAATTAGGTCTCATTTGTCCATTTTTGGTTCTGTTACAATTGCTTTTGGAGTCTTTGTCACAAAATCTTCGCCAAGGTCTATGTCCAGAATGGTATTACCTAGGCTATATTCAATGGTTTTTATAGCTTTAGGTTTTATATTTAAGTCTTTAATAAATCTTGAGTTAAGTTATATGGTAAAAGAACAGGGTCAGTTTTATTCTGCATATGGCTAGCTAGTTATCCCAGCAGCGTTTATTGAATAGGAAATTCTTTCCTCGTTGCTTATTTTTGTAGGGTTTATTGAAGATCTGATAGTTGTAGGTTTGTCACTTTATTTCTGGATTCTCTAGCCTGTTCCATTTGTCTTTGGCTCTGTTTTTATACCAGTACCATGCACTTTGGTTACTGTAGCTTTCTAATATAATTTAAAATCAGGTAATGTGATGTTGCTGGGTTAAGGCTTTGGTATCAGAATGATGCTGGCCTCATAGAATGAGTTAGGGAGGAATCTCTCCTCCTGGAATTTTTTGAATAGTTTCAGTAGTATTGGTACTAGCTTTTCTTCATAAATCTAATAGAATTCAGATGTGACTCCATTTGGTCCAGGGCTTTACTAGTTGGTAGGTTTTTTTAAATTACTTATTCAATTTTGGAACTCTATTGATTTCTTCAGGTATTCAATTTATTCCTGGTTCAATCTTGGGAAGCTGCATATATCCAGGAATTTATCCAATTCTTCTAGGTTTTCTAATTTCTGTGCATGGACCTTTTCATAATAGTTTCTGAAGGTTTTCTGTATTTCTGTGGGGTTGGTGGTAATGTCACTGTATTAGACCATTCTTGCATTGCCATAAAGAACAACCTGAGACTGGGTCATTTATTAAAAAAAAAAGAGGTTTAATTGGCTCATGGCTGCAGGCTTTATACAACGCATGGTGCTGGCATATCCTTGTCTTCCGGTGAAGAGTCTGGGAGCTTGCAGTCAAGGCAGATGGTGAAATGGGAGCAGGCACTTCACAGGGCAAAAGCAGGAGCAAGCAAGAGGTAGAGGTGGGGAGAGGTGCGACACACTTTTAAATGACCAGATTTCACTAGAATTCACTATCAGAAAAGAGTATGCCAACCCCGTGATCCAAGCACCTTCCACTATGTCTCTCCCCCAGCATTGGGGATTACAATTCAAAATAAGAGTTTGGTGGGGACAAATATTCAAACTATATCAGTCACCTTTGTCGTTTCTGATTGTGTTTATTTAGGTTTTCTCTTTTTTTTCCTTATTAGTCTAGCCAGCACTCTATTTATCTTATTTATTCTTTCAAGGAATAAACTTTTAATTTTGTTAATCTTTTGTATGGATTTTCGCATCTCAATGTCATTCAGTTCAGCTCTGACTTTGGTTATTTCTTTTCTTCCGCTAACTTTGGGATTAATTTGCTCTTGTTTTTCTAGTTTGTCCAGATGTAATGTTGGGTTATAAATTTAAGATCTTTCTGATTTTTTGATTAAAGTGTTTGGTGCTATAAACTTTCCTCTTAACACTGCTTTAGCTGTGTCCCAGAGATATTGGTATGTTGTATCCTTGTTTTCATTAGTTTAAAAGAATTTCTTGATTTTTGCCTTAATTTCTTTTTTTTTTTTGCTTTGTTGTGTTGTTCATTTTATGAAATAAGGTATACTATGATTATTTCAAGTCACAACTTTAATTTGTTACTCTTTAGGGCTACCAAAATTTTTATCTAGAATCAATGAAATAAATTGTTATCCTAATAAATACATTAAAAGTAAGAGTGAAAGTACATTTCATTGTTAAATCTCAAGCATTCTTATCATTCAATGCAATGGTTCTGTGGATTAGTTTTGTTTGTGTTTTCATAATTTAACTCATATATAAAGGGATATATACCAGGGCTATGGATTCAGCTGATACAGTTAATTATATAATCTGTATAAGGATATTCTCAATTTATTTTCTGTAGTCATTAAGAAATCTTGAGCCAAATTAACTCCCTTAAGCATTGTTAAAAAGAGAAAACTTTCTAGATCTGCTGTTTCTTGTGAGTCATGAGACTCACCTTCAGCATCTTTGGTCTTTTTATGGTGTTTTGAACATTAACACTATTGTTAGAAGAGTTTTAGATTTACTCCCAAATTGCATATATACTACAGAAAGTTTCCATATATTCAGCACCTAGGTTATTTTATTATTAACATAATATATTAGTAGGGTTCATTGACCATAATTAATAAAGCAATGTTTGCATATAATTATTAATTAAAGTGCATTCATTATTCAGTTTTTCTTAATTTTTGTCTAATGTCCCTTTTCTGATCCAGGATTCCACAAGGATATCATATTACATTTTGTTATCCTGTCTGTATGCTACTATTGGGTGTGATGGTTTCTTAGACTTTCCTTGTTTTTGTTGTTCTTGACAGTTTTGAGAATCATTGTTTAGATATTTTGTAAAGCATCCCTCACTTGAGACTTATCTGATTTTTTTATCATAATTATTTTGGGGTTCTGGGTTCTGAGGAGGAAAATCACAGAAGCAAAGTGCAATTTTTATCACATCATATCAAGGATATATACTATTAACATGAGTTACCACATTTAATGTTGACATTCATCAACTCTCTGAGGTAGTGTTTCCCAGGTTTCTGCTCTCTAAAGTTACTCTTCCCCACTCTATTTCATAGTGTATAATTCTTATCTGGGGCAGTAGTTTGTACATAGGTTTTCAGCTGAAAATACAGATTAGGGTGCATGGCAGCTGAGTGGTTCTTTTACAAACTCAACTGCATGTGAAGTGATTGATTCTGGCATAAGCATTGAATGATTCAATGATCTAAATACATCAAGATCTCAAATGATCCTTTTAAAAGCCTGGTGTACTAAGGATGGAATCTTACAAGGTGAGGAGTCTTTCTCTGTTATGTGAGAGAAGCGTTCCCATTATAATCTGTGAAAATACACTCTAAGCCATATCTTAACCAATTCATAATATACAAACTGAGGTTTTTAATAGTGGTTTCACTTATACAGTAGTTTCAGATATACTTTCCCAATAGCTTGTAAAAGTAAAATATTTAAAAGTAAAATTGATCTTCTGATATTAATTGCTACCTTCAAGCATGTTTAATAATTAGCATTGCTTTAGCAACTCATGCCCCTGGCCCACTGTTCATGTGTTCTTAATTCTTACTTCTAAATAATTTAAACACTAACCAAAATGCTGAGTTTTAGAACACATTAGCTTTTTTTATTAATGAGTAACCTTAAGGACACTTCACACTACTAAAAATGTTCTCTTATATTTCTTGAGTAATCAGTAACAGTTGGTTTATTTCACTTTTAAGAATTTCTAATATTTTTCTTATGACATCTCTCCCTGAAAAGAGGTAGAGATCTTATAATATATTTCTATAGTCAATAAGCTCCAGAGACAAAACGCTAGCAGGTAATGGAGGTGAAACAGCAAGGTCTGATACATAGGTATCTAAGGCTCAACATATATCCAAAAGATAGAAACCCACATCACTGCAGCAGATCAATTTTTGAATAGACTGAGCTGCATTCTAAGATAGTATATTGTCTAGATATTTGTTATAGTGACTTTTATACTGATAGCAGATTTATGAAATGAATTTATTATTAATTTAAGAATTAGACTGTTTAGATTCTTTATAAAGGTAATTTAACATTGAAAAAAGGCATTCTATGGATTACCTGCAAGGCAAGTGCTTATCGAGTTTGCTGGCCAATTTCTTACCAGGTTTAGCTATTTTAGGTTTGAGGGTTATCTTCAAGAGTAGAAGAGCAAGTCATTATAACACCATTAGATTTGGTGTTATTTGCATAGAGCCAAGATGTTTTATAGTTATCTCTAATTAGAAGAGGTGCAGATGCTGCAATATATTAAGCCGAATTTTGAAATCCAAACTGAATGTTCTCTCATTTCTTTCTAACACTACATTAAATATTATAATTTGTTGTTTGTTTTAGAAAAAGAAGATAATAGAATAGGAAAGGAAAATGTGATATAAATCATGAATGTAAAATGTGATTCACATTACAATGGGACAAAATGTAGGTCTTCACTAAATAGACTTACCTAATAAGCAACTCATGGAAATTACAATATAATGATTTTCCTCTCTTATTTATCCTCTAGGTGATGCATTTTTGTGTGTAATTGCACATTTGCACATTACTGAAGGCTGAAATGATTATCTACCTGAAAATTTATACTCTTATTCCTTTCCTGTGTGTGTTTTTGTGTATAATTGTGTGTATACATGTGCACTAGAGAGAAGGGAAGAGAGACACACACACAGAGACAGAGACGGCGGATAGAGGGAGAGAGGGGGAAGGAGATGAAGGGGGGAGAGAGGGAGAGGAAGAGGGGGAGAGAGAGAGAGATTGATTGATTGATTGATTGATTTTTATGGCTAAAAAATTCCTGTGACTAAAAAATCCCAAGAGTGTGTGTTTAATCGCCAAGTACTTGACTTGCAATTATGATTGTAACTGTGCCTTAGATTATTTAGTATAGATCCTATAACTATTATCAAATGCTAGATAAAATATTGATTTTAAGTAATTTAAAATAGCACTGATGATGCTAGAATTTTCTTTTATATGTATAAGATATTCAACATCCATAAATGCCCAACAATTTATTGAACCCACCTTTCTAGCATGCATCATGCTAGATGTGTAGGTGTAAAGGGGAGTATTCTCAACAGCCTCTCCAGGAGTATGCAATGATGGGTGAGGTGACATTAAATTAAAGTCACAAACATAATTCAATTATAAGTGCCCACTACCTTTGGAGGAATAAATGAAAACATTAAAGTACAGATAATAAAACACAGGGTATTGTGAGAGCTGTGACAGAGAAATTAAACTTATCTAGATGGCAAGGTGGGTGATCAGAGAAATGATCCCTGAGGAAATAAAGTTTACATTGAGAAAGTAAAACTATGAGCTAATTAGCCAGGAAAAGGGAAGGCTGGCATGAGTTGCTGGTTTAGATCAAGGTAGAAGAAGTTATTCCCCTAAGGAGGAACATACACTTATGGTCCAAAAATAAAAAATAAAAAGCAATGATTTTTGAAATTAGAAACATACACAAAGGGATAGTCCTGCAAAGTTATAAAATCTTATAAAACCACTACAATCTCTAAAACAAACAAAAAGACTAACAAGACAAAGATAAGTAGATTTTTCTTTTCTTTTTATACTTTAAGTTTTAGGGTACATGTGCACAACATGCAGGTTTGTTACATATGTATACATGTGCCATGTTGGTGTGCTGCACCCATTAACTCGCCATTTAACATTAGGTATATCTCTAATGCTATCCCTCCCCTCTCCCCCCACCCCACAACAGGCCCAGGTGTGTGATGTTCCCTTTCCTGTGTTCATGTGTTCCCATTGTTCAATTCCCACCTATGAGTAAGAACATGCGGTGTTTGGTTTTTTGTCCTTTGATAGTTTGCTGAGAATGATGGTTTCCAGCTTCATCCATGGCCCTACAGAGGACATGAACTCATCATTTTTATGGCTGCATAGTATTCCATGGTGTATATGTGCCACATTTTCTTAATCCAGTCTATCATTGTTGGACATTTGGGTTGGTTCCAAGTCTTTGCTATTGTGAATAGTGCCTCAATAAACATACGTGTGCATGTGTCTTTATAGCAGCATGATTTATAATCCTTTGGGTATATACCCAGTAATGGGATGGCTGGGTCAAATGGTATTTCTAGTTCTAGATCCCTGAGGAATCGCCACACTGACTTCCACAATGGTTGAACTAGTTTACAGTCCCACCAACAGTGTAAAAGTGTTCCTATTTCTCCACATCCTCTCCAGCATCTGTTGTTTCTTTTTAATGATCACCATTCTAACTGGTGTGAGATGGTATCTCATTGTGGTTTTGATTTTCATTTCTCTAATGGCCAGTGATGATGAGCATTTTTTCATGTGTTTTTTGGCTGCATAAATGTCTTCTTTTGAGAAGTGTCTGTTCATATCCTTCGCCCACTTTTTGATGGGGTTGTTTGTTTTTTTCTTGTAAATTTGTTTGAGTTCATTGTAGATTCTGGATATTAGCCCTTTGTCAGATGAGTAGATTGCAAAAATTTTCTCCCATTCTGTAGGTTGTCTGTTCACTGTGATGGTAGTTTGTTTTGCTGTGCAGAAGCTCTTTAGTTTAATTAGATCCCATTTGTCAATTTTGGCTTTTGTTGCCATTGCTTTTGGTGTTTTGGATATGAAGTCCTTGCCCATGCCTATGTCCTGAAGGCATGGCCTAGGTTTTCTTCTAGGGTTTTTATGGTTTGAGGTCTAATGTTCAAGTCTTTAATCCATCTTGAATTGATTTTTGTATAAGGTGTAAGGAAGGGATCCAGTTTCAGCTTTCTACATATGCCTGGACAGTTTTCCCAGCACCATTTATTAAATAGGGAATCCTTTCCCCATTGCTTGTTTTTCTCAGGTTTGTCAAAGATCAGATAGTTGTAGATATGTGGCATTATTTCTGAGGGCTCTGTTCTATTCCATTGATCTGTATCTCTGTGTTGGTACCAGTACCATGCTGTTTTGGTTACTGTAGCCTTATAGTATAGTTTGAAGTCAGGTAGCATGATGCCTCCAGCTTTGTTCTTTTGGCTTAGGATTGACTTGGCAATGTGGGCTCTTTTTTGGTTCTACATGAACTTTAAAGTAGTTTTATCCAATTCTGTGAAGATAGTCATTGGTAGCTTGATGGGGATGGCATTGAATTTATAAATTATCTTGGGCAGTATGGCTATTTTCACAATATTGATTCTTCCTACCCATGAGCATGGAATGTTCTTCCATTTGTTTGTATCCTCTTTTATTTCATTGAGCAGTGGTATGTAGTTCTCCTTGAAGAGGTCCTTCACATCACTTGTAACTTGGATTCCTAGGTATGTTATTCTCTTTGAAGCAATTGTGAATGGGAGTTCACTCATGATTTGGCTCTCTGTTTGTCTGTTATTGGTGTATAAGAATGCTTGTGATTTTTTCACATTGATTTTGTATCCTGAGACTTTGCAGAAGTTGCTTATCAGCTTAAGGAGATTTTGGGCTGAGACAATGGGGTTTTCTAGATATACAATCATGTCGTCTGCAAACAGGGACAATTTGACTTCCTCTTTTCCTAATTGAATACCCTTTATTTCTTTCTCCTGCCTGATTGCACTGGCCAGAACTTCCAATACTATGTTGAATAGGGTGGTGAGAGAGGGCATCCCTGTCTTTTGCCAGTTTTTAAAGGGAATGCTTCCAGTTTTTGCCCATTCAGTATGATATTGGCAGTGGGTTTGTCATAGATAGCTCTTATTATTTTGAGATACGTCCCATCAATACCTAATTTATTGAGAGTTTTTAGCATGAAGTGTTGTTGAATTTTGTCAAAGGCCTTTCCTGCATCTATTGAGATAATCATGTGGTTTTTGTCTTTGGTTCTGTTTATATGCTGGATTACGTTTATTGATTTGCGTATATTGAACCAGCCTTGCATCGCAGGGTTGAAGCCCACTTGATCATGGTGGATAAGCTTTTTGATGTGTTGATGGATTCGGTTTGCTGGTGTTTTATTGAGGATTTTTGCATTGATATTCATCAGGGACATTGGTCTAAAATTCCTTTTTTGTTGTGTCTCTGCCAGAATTTGGTATCAGGATGATGCTGGCCTCATAAAATGAGTTAGGGAGGATTCCCTCTTTTTCTATTGATTGGAATAGTTTGAGAAGGAATGGTACCAGCTCCTCCTTGTACCTCTGGTAGAATTCGGCTGTGAATCCATCTGGTTCTGGACTTTTTTTGGTTGGTAAGCTATTAATTATTGCCTCAATTTCAGAGCCCCTTATTGGTCTATTCAGAGATTCAACTTCTTCCTGGTTTAGTCTTGGGAGGGTGTATGTGTCAAGGAATTTATCCATTTCTTCTAGATTTCCTAGTTTATTTGCATAGAGGTGTTTATAGTATTCTCTGATGGTAGTTTGTATTTCTGTGGGATCGGTGGTGATATCCCCTTTATCAATGTTTATTGTGTCTATTTGATTCTTCTCTCTTTTCTTCTTTATTAGTCTTGCTAGTGGTCTATCAATTTTGTTGATCCTTTCGAAAAACCAGTTCCTGGATTTATTGATTTTTTGAAGGGTTTTTTATGTTTCTTTTTCCTTCAGTTCTGCTCTGATCTTAGTTATTTCTTGGCTTCTGCTAGCTTTTGAATGTGTTTGCTCTTCCTTCTCTAGTTCTTTTAATTGTGATGTTAGGGTGTCAATTTTAGATCTTTCCTGCTTTCTCTTGTGGGCACTTAGTGCTATAAATTTCCCTCTACACACTGGTTTGAATATGTCCCAGAGATTCTGGTATGTTGTGTCTTTGTTCTCATTGGTTTCAAAGAACATCTTTATTTCTGCCTTCATTTCGTTATGTACCCAGTAGTCATTCAGGAGCAGGTTGTTCAGTTTCCATGTAGTTGAGTGGTTTTTAGTGAGTTTCTTAATCCTGAGTTCTAGTTTCATTGCACTGTGGTCTGTGAGACAGTTTGTTATAATTTCTGTTCTTTTACATTTGCTGAGGGGTATTTTACTTCCAATTATGTGGTCGATTTTGGAATAAGTGTGATGTGGTGCTGAGAAGAATGTATTTTCTGTTGATTTGGGGTGGAGAGTTCTGTAGATGTCTATTAGGTCCTCTTGGTGCAGAGCTGAGTTCAATTCCTGGATATCCTTGTTAACTTACTGTCTCGTTGACCTGTCTAATATTGACAGTGGGTTGTTAAAGTCTCCCATTATTACTGTGTGGGAGTCTAAGTCTCTTTGTAGGTCACTAAGGACTTGCTTTATGAATCTGGGTGCTCCTGTATTGGGTGCATATATATTTAGGATAGTTAGCTCTTCTTGTTGAATTGATCCCTTTACCATTATGTAATGGCCTTCTTTGTCTCTTTTGATCTTTGTTGGTTTAAAGTCTGTTTTATCAGAGACTAGGATTGCAACCCCTGCTTTTTTTTGTTTTCCATTTGCTCGGTAGATCTTCCTCCATCCCTTTATTTTGAGCCTATGTGTTTCTCTGCACATGAGATGGCTTTCCTGAATACAGCACAGTGATGGGTCTTGACTCTTTATCCAATTTGCCAGTCTGTGTCTTTTAGTTGGAGCATTTAGCCCATTAACTTTAAAGTTAATATTGTTATGTGTGAATTTGATCCTGTCTTTATGATGTTAGCTGGTTATTTTGCTCGTTAGTTGATGCAGTTTCTTCCTAGCCTGGTTGGTCTTTGAAATTTGGCAATTTTTTGCAGTGGCTGGTAGCGGTTGTTCCTTTCCATATTTAGTGCTTCCTTCAGGATCTCTTTTAGGGCAGGCCTGGTGGTGACAAAATCTCTCAGCATTTCCTTGTCTATAAAGTATTTTATTTCTCCTTCACTTATGAAGCTTAGTTTGGCTGGATATGAAATTCTGGGTTGAAAATTATTTTCTTTGAGAATGTTGAATACGGCCCCCAGTCTCTTGTGTCTTGTAGAGTTTCTGCTGAGAGATCAACTGTTAGTCTGATGGGCTTCCCTTTGTGGGTAACCCGACCTTTCACTCTGGCTGCCTTTAACATTTTTTCCTTCGTTTCAACTTTGGTGAATCTGACTATTATGTGTCTTGGAGTTGCTCTTCTCGAGGAGTATTTTTGTGGTATTCTCTGTATTTCCTGAATCTGAATGTTGGCCTACCTTGTTAGATTGGGGAAGTTCTCCTGGATAATATCCTGCAGAGTGTTTTCCAACTTGGTTCCATTATCCCTGTCACTTTCAGGTACACCAATCACATGTAGATTTGGTCTTTTCACATAGTCCCATATTTCTTGGAGGCTTTGTTCGTTTCTTTTTATTCTTTTTTCTCTAAACTTCTCTTCTCACTTCATTTCTTTCATTTGATCTTCCATCACTGATACCCTTTCTTCCAGTTGATCAAATTGTCTACTGAGGCTTGTGCATTCATCACGTAGTTCTTGTGCTGTGGTTTTCAGCTCCATCAGGTCCTTTAAGGACTTCTCTGCATTGATTATTCTAGTTAGCCATTCATCTAATTTTTTTTCAAGGTTTTTAACTTCTTTGCCGTGGGTTCAGACTTCCTCCTTTGGCTCGGAGTAGTTTGACCGTCTGAAGCCTTCTTCTCTGAACTCGTCAAAGTCATTCTCCATCCAGCTTTATTCTGTTGCTGGTGAGGAGCTGCATTCCTTTGGAGGAGGAGAGGTGCTCTGCTTTTTAGCATTTTCAGTTTTTCTGCTCTGTTTTTTCCCCATCTTTGTGGTTTTATCTACCTTTGGTCTTTGATGATGGTGATGTACAGATGGGGTTTTGGTGTGGATGTCCTTTCTGTATGTTAGTTTTCCTCCTAACAGTCAGGACCCTCAGCTGCAGGTCTGTTGGAGTATGCTGGAGGTCCACTCCAGACCCTGTTTCCTGGGTATCAGCAGTGGAGGTTGCAGAACAGTGGATATTGGTGAACAGCAAATGTTGCTGCCTGATCGTTCCTCTGGAAGTTTTTTCTCAGACGGGTACCTGGCCGTGTGAGGTGTCAGTCTGCCCCTAATTGGGGGTACCTCCCAGTCAGGCTACTCGGCGGTCAGGGACCCATTTGAGGAGGCAGTCTGTCCGTTCTCAGATCTCAAGCTGCATGCTGGGAGAACGACTACTCTCTTCAAAGCTGTCAGACAGGGACATTTAAGTCTGCAGAGGTTTCTGCTGCCTTTTGTTTGGCTATGCCCTGCCCCCAGAGGTGGAGTCTACAGAGGCACGCAGGCCTCCTTGAGCTGTGGTGGGCTCCACCCTGTTCGAGCTTCCTGGCCACTTTGTTTACCTACTCTAGCCTCGGCAATGGTGGGCACCACTCCCCCAGCCTCGCTGCCGCCTTGCAGTTTGATCTCAGACTGCTGTGCTGGCAATGATTGAGGCTCCATGGGTGTAGGACCCTCCAAGCCTGCTGCAGTATACAATCTCCTGGTGTGCTGTTTGCTAAGACCGTTGGAAAAACGCAGTATTAGGGTGGGAGTGACCTGATTTTCCACATGCTGTCTGTCAACCCTTTTCTTGGTTAGGAAAGGGAATTCCCTGACCCCTTCCACTTCCTGGGTGAGTTGATGCCTCGCCCTGCTTTGGCTCACGCTCGGTGCGCTGCACCCACTTTCCTGCACCCACTGTCTGACAAGCCCCAGTGAGATTAACCCGGTACCTCATTTGGAAATGCAGAAATCATTTGTCTTCTGTGTTGCTCACGCTGGGAGCTGTAGACTGGAGCTGTTCCTATTCAGCCATCTTGACTCCACCTGATAAGTAGATTTTTCAGATGTATCATTTGTGCTTTGTAAGGTGCTTTATATGTGATGTGATGTTAAAAGTTTAGTCATGAAATACATTCTTAGTATGTTAATATTAGACCCATTTTTTTTTCCAGAAAGGAAATCTGAACCTAGAAGAGTTAAATTTGTGAGAATCACTCAGATCATAGGTGGCCGAATGGACATTTACACTTAGATCCATCTGACCTCATTAGCTATTTTCTTCTGACTTGATCACTCTTCATTTTTCCCTTTTTCACTTCTTAAGTTGGTAATATTAATTCTGTTTTCTAATTTTTGGCTCAGGAATTCAACACTCCTTACCCTCTGGATTATTTAGTCAATATCTTCTTTCTTCCTACCTGGGACTCACCTACCTGCAATAATCAGGAAAGGATGATGTAAGAAGTCTCCTAGACATTCATTTAAACTGATGTGGTTAACAATTGATAAATAATATATGATTATGAAGAAGCAGGAAAAGCTTTAAAATAATTTAATAAATGAAGGCAATATCACTTTTCCTAGATGCCCATCTTTCTGAGATCATTTCATTTGTTCCAGCGAGGAGTAGTAGTTCTAGAATAGATAATCTTAAGGGTCAAAGATTCATCTCAAGCTTTCTATTTACCACATATTCATCTCAATTTCCTTAAGAAAAAGAAAATGTTAAAAAATATCACAGATAAGGTGATACACCACTGCTTGTGTACTTTTTAGCTTTGCAGGTTGTTGAATGATATGTTCTTTAGTTGAGAAAAGTGAGAAATTCTTCTTTATCTCTGAGATTATTCCACAAAAGTAATCAGTTATTGTTGTAACTGCTACCTGCCCATTAAAGTGAATTTTATTGTCACATTTATCAATCAGAATGATTACTAGTAAGAATGATTAGATAATTGAACCTTTCTATGATTCAGATTTATTTAAAAAATCAAGCCTTATGCTTTTCACTACATGATTTAGAAGCAACAGATATTCTACAGACTCCAAACTAACCAACATGCAATTAAAAACTAATTATTTATAAATTGTTTTATTCCATGTGACGTTACCCACATTGTTTGTGGGAATATAGAAATTGTTTTTTCTTTAGAAGCAATTTAATATACCATATGCTCTTTGATATTGAATTTTCTTTATTCAGAATTGTAAAAAAAAACATGTCAAATCATGTTAGAGGAGAAAACTAGGAGGATGAAATGGAGAAAAATTCTTGTCCATTCAATTTTTCTCAACTTGTATTTGTAAAGAAAGCTCTGGGTTTAAGCTGTTTCCAATAGCACATAAGACTCAGGATTCGCAATTTAACTCTTTTAAGGATATTTCCATATAAAAGTAGAAATGAAGATACCTTCCTATACAGTAGGCTGATTTCAGTCTACACTTCAGACATAAGTTAATTCTCCAAGTCAGTTTAATAATCTATGACCATGAAACAATAAAAAATTGTAAATAATTTTCTCAAGCAAAAACATAACATTAAAATGGTAAGAGCATGTAAGCTTCTAAACAGCATAAACAGCACACATTTTGACATCTTTTTATCACTGAACTTAACTGAAATGACATGACATTATTTTCTTTCTATTTTCTGACTAAGTAGAAAATCAAATAATTGAATATAAATAGGTCCTATCATTGTGCTAGCTAGTTTTCTATATACCTTGACAATATTATAATCTTAAAATCAGGATATGTGATCAGATAATTTCTAATTTATAAATGAATTTATATATATATGGTCTTATAAATTTATAGAATTTAAATAACCTTATGCATTTAATAGAGTGGCTTAAATGAAGAGAATAAAATTCTAGAAATTTAAGACTCTTCCATGAGAGACAATACCTATGCTTGCCATTGTTTTTGTAGAATGATCCCCCAATGAATAAGTTGCAGCCTTTTGTTCAATCTTATTTTAATTTTGTTAGGCAATGGGCCTTGAACCACTTCCCTTGGGAGAAACAGCTTAAATAGATTCTTGCCATTAGAAGGTTTGCTTTAATGTGTTTCCTGCTGGCAAGTGGGCTCCCATTATATTCTGAATCTGGGTCTCACTCACTGATGCCTAATAGTTAGAGGTGATTTCAAGAAAAGATAATTTAGTTGTGGTTAGAGGACAAAAGAAAAACTGCCAAATAGCACATTCAAAAGCAGTTCTCATGAAATTTTTAGAGCAGGCAATTCCAGCCACCAGGCTCCATCAGGTTAATGGAAATGAGGCCCTGATGCATGGAGCAATGTTTTGAAACATGTGCCGTGGAGGTATTGAAAATCTTTTCTTCAGCTATGACAGTAGGTCCAGCTACATTGTTATTTACATAATGCTGCTGATTGACACTCTATAATTATTTCTATATATAGGCCTTGCTTTTTAAAATATTAATGGGATCCATTTCTACTAGACTAATTTCTGACTATAAAACCAGCCAGCCAGTCTGTCTCAAATGTTCATGCTCTTCCTGGAAGCTTCTTTATTTCTTTGAGGATTTCCCATAAATTGGAGCCATCCTTAGAACAAAAGCACAAATAAATATAATGATTAAAATTTCAAAGTAGCTGAGCACTTTCTGTAGGATAAGCACATTTTTAATTGAGCTCAAATTTTTCTAGCAATGATCTGAGAAACGTATGAATCAGTTTTTCTCCTTAAGGAAATGGATTCTCAGCACATTTAGCAAGCATGCTCAGGAAAACACAGCCAGAGCATGGCAAAGCTGAGATATGGTTCTAAAGTCTGAATTTTTTCCATTAGTCACAGGATGTCTTTTTAATAATAAGTTCTTACTTGGGGGAAGCAGAAAACACATAGATGACAACTAGTTCTTCAATTATATTCTATATCATAAAACAACCATCATAAAATAATCTTCATTTTCTTTAAGAATGCAATAGGAAGAATATCAGACACTGAAATTCTGTTAAGCTACTGGAATTTTGGGCTTTCTTTTCTAATCTCCTGTTTCTCATCTATAAGATAGAGACAAATGCATACTTCTCAAAGGTGGTATAAAGTAGATACATGTACTTGTTGATCCAGTGCTTGCCACACAAAATGACCCATCAATTTGAGATGTGGTCTATTCTAGTGATTATAAGTGTAGCACTACTTGGATGTGAATCCTGGTTCTACTACGTTTTAGCTGGATTATCTGTATGCATCTTACTTGGTCTGTGGTGAGAAAAAAATGAGTTTGTAAATGTAAAGTTCATAACAGAGTTCCTGGCCCATTTAAAGGGCTCAAATGGTTAGCTATTAGTAAATGATCATTGTTATTAAATCTAAATGTTTTAAACCTACTCTTTCTTTCTGCTGAACATTTATTTTTTGTAGTGGAGCTTTATATATTTTTAATATGGCTTATGCATTTGTTTCACTTTTCTTTCCTCTATTTCCTTTCAAAAGCTCCTTTGTTTTCTCACAGTAATCTGTTGTGTTTATCATCTATGCAGACGGATTTGAAGATCTTCACTAACAGATCAAAGATAAAGAATTGGCCTTGCTGTGCAGACAGCCTCAGTCTGTAGGGAGCGTAAAACTTTAACAACAGTGATGGAGTCTGTATTGTTTCATTTCTTCTCTCTCTTTTCAGCTAATTTCCAAGCAACTTTTTACTCTCCAAAAAATACATTATCTGTACTTGACAAATTCTCAAAAAGAGGAACCCCCCCACACTATATAAACTAAACTTCATATAAACTTGCTACTGTTTATTTTTTTTAATGGAGGCAGAAAGAGGCTTTTTATCACCCCTGAGACTTCTCAACATCATTAAAAAAAAAACAAAACTCAAGACATGTTTCATCATTTGGCATGCTTCTACTTTCCTTTTCATTTCTTCATATTGGGAGTTTCATCTATGATAGTTTGGCAACTTTTTGCAAAATAAAATATATTTTACCACCTTCATGCGAGACTGACAGAAATTTTAATACTTGCTTCTAGAGAGGAAAATTTTTTCTCTCTTTTTTTCTCATAATAACAGGAATAATTGGAAAATATTTTAATGTAACACATAAACCTCAGTGTTAGCAAAGTCTAATTTTCTATAACACAATACAAACTCTCAATGTGGAGATCCTAATGGAGGCTACTGGCACAAATGTAGGGATCCTCTCCAAACTTATTTTTGCTCCACTAAAGACCTTGGAATTAGATTCCTACACTAATTAGAAGAAGCATCTGGGCCGGTGTGGTGGCTCATGCCTGTAATCCCAGCACTTTGGGAAGCTGAGGCAGGCAGATCACTTGAGGTCAGGAGTTCCAGACCAGCCTGGCCAACATGGTAAAATCTCGTCTGTAGTTTAAAAAAAAAAAAATACAAAAATTAGCCGGGCGTGGTGGCAGATGCCTGTAATACCAGTTACTCGGGAGGCTGAGGCAGGAGTGCATGAACCCGGGAGGTGGAGGTTGCAGTGAGCTAATATCACGCCACCTCACTCCAGCCTGGCAGCCTGGGCAACAACAGAGCTAGATGCTGTCTCAAAAAGAAAAAAAAAAAAAGCATCTGTAGTAAAGCAAAATCGAAACCAAGAAAATGGCACAGTCTGGAGGCAATTTATATGAGTCAAATTCTAATATTGTTTGAAGAAAGAAATTAAACAGTTTTGCCACATTTATGTTGTGGAATAAAATTCTTAGAATATTTTAAAATATCTATCCATTTATAGTCAGGAAATGATTTTTTCACATAAAATTTTAAATTTAAGTTTGCAATTCTGATTTTATCATATTTCTCTAAAGTAAAATATCAAACTTGTTTATTTCCAGGCCATATAGGTGACATACATTACATTTTAGAAGCAGCTCATTAACTATGCTAACAGAAAAGCATCTTTTATTTTTTAACATGCACAATGTTAAAGCTAATCTGCAATGCAGATAGATTCAATAATACAACAACAGCTGTTGTAAAAATACAGCTTGACATCAAAGTCATTCATTGCACTCTTATTTGAATGTTTAAAACAAATTGTAGTTTGGGAGGCAGAAATCAAATATGATTTATTTCATTTACTTTACAAAAGATGGTTATTTAAGGAACTATTCGAGAAATAAAATTATACTTGTCACCTTGAGAAAAGGCTGGGATCCTTGAATTAATTACATTTGGTGCATTTATAGGACTCTCATATAAGATTCATCATGTCGAATATGTTTGCTGCTAGATGTCACTATAGTTTCAATGTTACTCAACCACGGAATAGTTTCTTGGACTGTAAGATGGGAGTTATTGAGTTGGTCATCCTTGTTGTCCAGCATATGATTCACAAATGGAAAAATCTTCAATACTATTTCTATTAAGAAAAAATCATGATACATGCTTAGAGTACACATTAGAGATATAATTTCACTGAAGATTTTCTAATGGCATGTTTTGTGGTGTCAATTATCAGAATGACAGGAAGTAGTGGTGGTAATAGTTGGGGAAAACTCTACAGTTTTGTCTATATTTAAGGCTAGGTAAGAATCTCTCAAAATAATAAAAACAAATATGTTTTACCAGTAGACATACTTGTTTGGTTTTTAAAATATCACAATATGTTTGTTTATTTTATGTATTTAATTTACTATGTATATAAAATGAAATATATTTTTCTCCCAAACTATGTACCATTCCCTGTGGAACTTTCATAAGGTGATTAAATTTGTTACTCTGACATTGTTACTAAAGGCTTTACCAGCTCCTTGCAATTGGAAATCAGCTATATTTCCACTCCTCAACTGAATATAATGTGTTTAGCACTCTAGGGGATAAAAACAGAAATATTGGTGCAGTTGCCGATATTTATGAGGAAAAACTGTTTCTACAAAATAAAAGTTGCACATGTTGCAATACTGCCCAGTGATTTTTACCCATAATCACTGGACTTCATTATCATGTTAAAGAGTATACTACTTACTTATAGGGGAATGAGAAGATTCATTCTGAGTTCATAGCATTGTCTTATTAAAATGTAGCACATCATTTTTATTTAAAGAAAACATTACATAAATATCTTTTATTTAAAGATATTTACGAATATCCATTGATGGCCTCCTTTGTGAACAAAAGGGAATGTTGCATCATAGTTCAAGAAAATATTGCAATTTAAGACAAAATGGTCATGATGACTTATAATTTTCTTGATGAGATCAAGAGCTCTCATTTATTTTAATTTATAGTACAGACCCTGTCAGGATTTTTTTTAACCTGTCACATGAAATATGTTATTAAGTGTTTTATTCATGTAAAATAAAGCAGAAATAGCATCTTCACAATTAGATGAGGTAATATGGCACAGTAATAACCTAAAATGACAGCTCAGTATAATGTGACTTGCTGTGTGGCTAGCTTCAGGGTGTGAACAGCTTCACAGGAAACACAACCCGTGAGTAGGAAGGGTTATATCGTTTTACTAAATTAAGCAGTTGTGAACTTGTAGGTGTTATTTCATTTTTCATGAATTAGTTCTCTGAAAGCAAATGAATGAAATAGGTAAAATTACATCAGTATTTTCATTTTTAATTGAAGGTTTGACCTTCAAAACATATTTTCTAAGCCATTATGTTTAACAATACAAATATACAGATCACAAGGAAGCAAACTTATCTTCATAACTAATTATTTTTAATAGTTATACATTAGAAATATTAAACAACAAATAATTTCCTTATTTGCTAAGGCCTAGGAAGATGTGTTCACAACACTTATCTAAGGGATACAGAAATGCTTTTTAATCCTGCTCTCTGGAATGAGGGGGCTGACCAGAGAAAAAGGCCTCAGATTTGCATCTGGTTCACATGCTACAGAAAGGCAGTATGTGCATGTCAATGCAGGTCCTCAGAAGACCCCATCCACTTGTAAATGCAGTCCAATGAATGATCTGAAATGTGACAGGTCAGTATGTCTACCTCTTGATTTGCCAGAAGCTGGAAAAGCTCTGCATTTATGTTAACATAAAAACAAGCTCATGAGACATAATGTATGGAATCACACTGTTAGCATAGCGCATTCACAACTTCTACTTTGATAGTGATTTTCAAAGATATTTTATTTAAAAAGACTGTTTTTCTCAATATACTCTAAAACACATAGATTTTAACCATATTCTAAAACAGACTTACAATATTCATGTATTGTTTTCCCCTGAGAAGAGTTTTGCCTTGGTTACATTCACTGTAAAAAACAATTTAAAAAGTAGCTATTTAAAAAATTATTCTGGAATGACACTAAGATACATTTTTGCCTCTACTTTTAAGCTATCAAAAACTAAACTGTGTTTATTGAGTTTAATATTATAACAAGTTATTTAAAACAAAAATTACTTTTGAAATTGAACAAAGCAAATGTGATGAATAACACACAAGTCATTCCATAGTTTCAAACATTTTAAAAAACTACTTTAAAGTGCATATGGAACCAAAAATGAGCCCTCATTGCCAAGACAATCCTAAGCCAAAAGATCAAAGGGGGGCATCATGCTAATTGATTTCAAGCTATACTACAAGGCTACAGTAAGTAAAACAGCATGGTACTGGTACCAAAACAGAGATATAGACCAATGGAACAAAACAGTGCCCTAAGAAATAATACCACACATCTACAATCATCTGATCTTTGACAAACCTAACAAAAAAGAAATGGGGAAATGATTGCCTATTTAATAAATGGTGCTGGGAAAACTGGCTAGCCATATGTAGAAAGCTGAAACTGGATCCCTTCCTTACACCTTATACAAAAATCAATTCAAGATGGATTAAAGACTTAAATGTTAGACCTAAAACCATAAAAACCCTAGAAGAAAACCTGGGCAATACGATTCAGGACATAGGCAGGGGCAAGGACTTCAGGACTAAAACACGAAAGCATGGCAACAAAAGCCAAAATAGACAAATGGGATCTAATTAAACTAAAGAGCTTCTGCACAGCAAAAGAAACCACCATCAGAGTGAACAGGCAACCTACAGAACAGGAGAAAATTTTTGCAATCTACCCATCTGACAAAGGGCTAACATCCAAAATCCACAAAGAACTTAAACAAATTTACAAAAAAAAATCAACCCCATCAAAAAGTGGGTGAAGGACATGAACAGACCCTTCTCAAGACATTTATGCAGCCAACAGACACATGAAAAAATGCTCATCATCACTGGCCATCAGAGAAATGCAAATCAAAACCACAATGAGATACCATCTCACACCAGTTAGAATGGCAATCATTAAAAAGTCAGGAAACAATAGGTGCTGGAGAGGATATGGAGAAATAGGAACACTTTTACACTGCTGGTGGGACTGTAAACTAGTCCAACCATTGTGGAAGACAGTGTGGAGATTCCTCAAAGATCTAGAACTAGAAATACCATTTGACCCAGCCATCCCATTACTGGGTATATACCCAAAGGATTTTAAATCATGCTGCTATAAAGACACATGCACATGTATGTTTATTGAGGCACTATTCACAATAGCAAAGACCTGGAACCAACCCAAATGTCCATCAATGATAGGATTAAGAAAATGTGGCACAAATACACCATGGAATACTATGCAGCCATAAAAAAGGATGGGTTCATGTCCTTTGTAGGGCCACGGATGAAGCTGGAAACCATCATTCTGAGCAAACTATCACAAGGACAGAAAACCAAACACCGCATGTTCTCACTCATAGGTGGGGATTGAACAATGAGAACACTTGGACACAGGGTGGGGAACGTCACACACGGTGGTATGTTGTGGAGTGGTTGGGGGGGAGGGATAGCATTAGGAGATATACTTAATGTAAATGATGAGTTAATGGGTGCAGCACACCAACATGGCACATGTATACATATGAAACAAACCTGCACGTTGTGCACATGTACCCTAAAACTTAAAGCATAATCAAAAAAAGGCAGGGTGCAGTGGCTCATGCCTATAATCCCAACACTTTGGGAGGCCAAAGTGGTCAGGAGTTCAAGACCAGCTTGACCAGCATGGTGAAACCACATCTCCACTAAAAAATACAAAAAATTAGCCAGACATGGTGGCACATGCCTGTAATCCCAGCTACTCAGGAGGCTGAGACCGGAGAATCACTTGAACCTGGGAAGCGGAGGTTGCAGTGAGCCGAGATTGCGCCACTGCTCTCCAGCCTGGGCAATAGAGTGAGACTCCATCTCAAAAAAAAAAAAATTATTATCAGACAGAAAATTGGTAAACTCAGTTTCTCTAACAATTACTTTTTTCTCCTTTCCCATTTCCTCCCATCTTATTTCAAATAAAAAGACTATTTTTATAAGAACATTCACATAAAGATTTACATGATTCTATTTGTTTATATTGTTAAGTCTAGTGATCAGGAATACTCTTAGTTGGAGAAAATATATCTCTGGCCGAATGACATTAGAGGAAGAATTACTTTGATTTAGATTAGCTACTAATACATCTATTCAAAGTGCTTCTTTTTAAGAACCTTCAGCTGTCTTCAGATGGTTTCTTTCTGGGTGTTAACCTGGCAACTAAACTTGGTAGTTAAGGTGAGGTCTCTGGAGTATGGCAGATCTTTCTGGTTTTGACTCTGTAAGAACTGGAGCAAATTGTTTAACCCTTTGGGCTACACTTTCCATGTAGAGTGGGACATTAGGGTAATGTATTAGTTGGATCTGTAGGACACGGAGGCTAGAGAAGGTGAGTGGATAGGGAAGTAGGCTGTTAACTGTGAGAGCAAAATTTGGCACTGAATCATTGTTCAAAAAGAGGAAGCAGAATTGAATAAACTTCAATGTGGTCCTATACATGTTGACCAAAAAAAAAAAAAAAAACTATTTTTGCCAAAGCATTGATTTCACTGGACAATCCACAGAGTGCATAATGGGAATTCTTGGCAAAAAAAAAAAAAAAAAAAAAAAAAAAAATCTAGAATGACAACAAAAAAATTTGACCTCAAAGTGCATTCCTTTTAGAGAGATGTGCTGTATCAAACATATATTTCCTTAATCATACAGGTAACAAGCTATAATTACATTAATCAGATTCTATTGTTGAGTCTTTAATGCCAGCATAACTCAGAAAGCTTTAATTAAATGATATAGATATTTTGCATAATCTTTTCAGGAGAAATTTCGTGTCTCAAATAAAACTTCAAGGTAATCCCATGTCAATAGTGAATATTCCAGTACTTATGATCCCCTGGATGTGATACTTTCTGATGCATCTGAACATACTACACACTGCTACTTCACAGATGACTTCTTAGCCTTCTTTTCTTGAAGTCTTTCCTTAAGATCATCACTGAAGTTATTTCTTCCAAGATCCTTGCTTTATCCCATTTCTTTGCCCTCAGGCTGGACAGGGTGCTCAAAATTAGTCAGAAATTGTAAATACATTAGAAACATTCTAGAGAGTTGTGATTTTTCATTGTTTTGATTTCTTTTTCATTTTGTCTTGAGGGTTCTCTGTTGCGAGGAACCATAAGCCAAGACAGCCCCTCTCTAGGAGAACCCTGACAGAGGGAAAGTTAGGTTCAGGTGTGTCAGTTAGGTGAGCTACAATGAGGAGGTGAAACCAAAATGCTGGAACCAGAAAGCAATTTATTATTTACAGATCTCAGAGAGGTTAGTGGTGTCAATGGGGAGGTGAGGCAGGAAAAGTCTGGGGGCAGCATGGAGCTCAACCAGCAGGCAGGGAGCAAGAGAGAGAGAAAGGACCTGTGGGACTATATCTTTACTAAAGTCCATGAGCATTATTTTTTAGGCTTTCCCACAAGAGGTGAGGACTGGGTAGTTTAAAAAACACATGTGGAAGAGGAAACATTTTCATGACTCTGGTTTTATCATCGTCAGCAGCTGTTGAGTGTGCTGGATTTCAGGTCAGTGGGACAAGGAATAATAATGCTATACCACAAACACATCCACACGGTAGGTAAGTTTTTACTAAGCCAAACGTGACAGGATATGATTGTTTTAAACAATTTATGTCAGGACTAAAAATGGATGCTGAGACAGCAACTGTATTAAACAAATTTATAACAATATAACAATAGTTTAAGGAGAAAATTATTAAGTGTTATCAACAGCTTACAATATTTTTAGGAAGAGCTCACATTGTTTTCCAGGAAGACTGATGAAAAGAACTCTTAGCTAAACTTCCAGGAAAACTTCCAAAATTGCAGCTCAACAAAGCCAAGGGAGCTGCTACCTCTACCAGGATTTGCAGACCCAAGAAACTGCTGCTGTGGCCACTAGCTCTAGAACAAGCCACCTCTGCCATAATTGGGTGGCTGCCAAATCAGGGTCAAGTGCTTTATTGAGAAGTGGTCAGCTCTGGAACTACACAGCTTGTTGATATATATCGTCAAAATAGAAATTTTCTGCACTCTGCCTCTCTTCCCAAATAATTTAGTACTTTTAGAGGCTTATATAAGCAATATTATTGGTGGATCCTAAATCATATATGGGATGCCAGTTATACAGTGGAGCAGAAAATTCAGCTTTTTAAAGCACGCTAATCTGTCTTTTCCACCGAGAATGGAATGCCAAAAAGTGTTGAACACAGAATCTGACGTATGCCCCTTCATTGTGCCCACTAGGAATTTATGTGTGGCACTCACCCCCTGCAGCAGATAAGGATTATAATATTATTGCAGCATGTCTGTGATTTTTAATCAGCTATATCAGCAGGGCCTATCTCACAGTACTGTTATAATCTCAAATAAATAAATACATAAAAATACTTCAAAGTGTAATCCACACATTAAAAACTCTAAAATAACTGTTATTATGACTTTACCTTCTTGCTTGTATATCTACCTCGATTGCAGATTCCTTCAGAATAGTGACTATATCCTTATTTTATAACCTAGTGCCTATCAGAGCATCTGGCACATATTAGGTGACCAATAAGTCTTGGTTAAAATATTATAAGAGTGTAAATAATCTTTTGTTGTGTTTTCCTTAGAGATTGAGGCCATAGAATACTAAGGGTATGCATTGATATTTATTAAAGATCCTTGACTTTTAAAAAATGGGGACAGTTTGCATAGATAATGAAATCAAATTACTCATTTTTGTTTATTTGCAAGTCAAGTAAAAATAAAATGGTTAATGAGTATGCTTTCTAAAAAACATTTGATATATATTAAAAATTATGGCAGACTCTTCTGTTGACTCACATATAACTTAATCAGCAATGTTAAAAAAAATTTAAACCTATTCGTCAATACATTTATCTCTACATATTATGGAGGGTATTATTTCTTATAATAAATGTAACCTAGATATTCTGTTATTTATTACTCATAAACCAAATGAAACATAGATTGGCTGGTAAGAGATGATACTGCATGTGTTTAATTTATGGGATTCGGTGGTGAAAATTTTTAGATCTGAAGTTTGAAAATCAGCAAAACAATGTGTTATTTTAAATATTTATTTTTACCAAGTATTTTAAATTTTTCTGAGTCATTACTTTTGTTCTGGTTTTTATCCTTTTGTAAATGATTTTATTTTTAGGTAACTAAAATCACTCTAGCTTTTTTGAGTTGAAAGGGATGTTTGATCATCTGCTAACTTCTCAACTCTGGGTGGCACTCCCCTTTGTGCAATCCTTACAAGGTGGTTGCCCAATTTCTGCTGTACTATCTTAAAACATTCAGGATGGGAAACCTTTCACCTCACAGTGTAGCCTTATTTCCTGCATTATAATTTCTATAAAACCATTTTTTTAAAAAAATGGAAATCTGTTTTTCTCTGCCTCATACTTCTTGGTTTTATTTAAGTAAAAATAAAGGCTTTAAAATACGTTACTGATCTTACAAATGGAATGTTTATTGTTTTTACACGTTTGAAAAAGTCCTCAATTCTACCCCAATTGTCTTCCTCCTTATGTTGATAAATTGTACACTAAATGCCTATCGAAAATTTATTCTTCACCCTATCCACTTCTTCCTGATCCAAGATTTCTATTCTCATATTTCAGGCAAGGGAATCATTTTCTTTCACTAAGAAGTTTTCCCCTTCAGTGCTTCTATCTGTGAGGTCTCCTTTAGGACTACCACAAATCTATAGATTAGCTTTCAACTGCAATATGGCTATACTTGTAAGAATTACATGTTCTACTCTTAAACTGTCTTGTGAAAAAAGAGCTTTTTTTTTTGAGGCAACATCCCTTTGTCACTGGCTTAGTGGATCCTGCCTCACAGGGCAGAGTCTTTTTTACTTTCCACACCATATACAAGGCAGAGGTGGTAGCAGTGATCAAACATCAGAGGTGGTCTTCTAGGCAGATCAACATAAATTGTCCAACCTAAGTAACAGAGAAACTAAAAACTGTGAAAGATGCAAACACAGCCTCAGGCAACTATCAAATGATATCAAAAAGTCTTACCTTGGTATCATTGGACTGTCAGAGAGAAAAAGAGATAGGTATGCAAAAAATATGTGAGGAAATAATGATCCCAAATTCTGCAAATTTGAGGAAAAACAAGTTGGAAAATTCAACAAACTCAGTGAACTTAACAGGATGAATTCAAAAAATTTACACTCAGACACACTAAGTCAGACTATTGGAAACCAAAGATAAAAAAATACATCTTTGTGAAGCATCCAATTTAAAAGTGGTACATATCATATAAAGAAACAAAGATTCAAATTACTTCAGATTATCCACCAGAAACCATGAAGATTGAAGACAGTTGAACAACATATTTAAATCACTGATAGAAAAGAAACGTTATCTTATTCCTACAACTAGCAAAAATTTCTTTCTGGAATAAAGCCAAAATAAAGGTATTGTCAGATAAAATAACAGAACCAAACCTGGTTAGTAAAATAGGTCATTTTTTGCTGCTTAAGTTTATTAAATTATGTATGGCTGTTGAAAGCTAAAATTATAACACTTTCTGATGGGAGTTTCAATGTAAGTAGATGTCACATCAAAAAAGCAAGAGAGTAAGGAACTGTTTTTAGTAATAAGAAGTGGTTTTGTACGAGTGTTGTAATCTCTAAAGCAGCAACTATATTTAATTGCAGTTGACAAAATGGAATTCTAAAAAACATTAAAAAACAAGCAAAATTTAAAAAGGGAACACAGAGGAACAGAAATAAAAAGGAAGGGCCCACAAGAAGACCAATAATAAAATGGCAGACTTTAATCCATCAATAATATCGGAGGTAAGTCTAAGCATACCAAATATAAAGAAAAGCCATTTTAATTTTATGTTTTAAAATACCTTTTTATCTACTATTTATAAACAATACACTTGAAGCATATTGATTTAAAATAGTGTGGTAGAGAAAATATCATGTCACTAGCCATTTTAAAAAACAGCTCACGTGTCTTTAGTAATATCAAGCAAAGCAAATTTTAAATTTTAGAATGAAGAAATTATTAGGGACAAAGAGGAATATTACAAAGTGATGATGTCAATTCACTAAGAAAACATAATACTTCTAAATTTATATACACCTAAATCCAGATCCAAAATACATAAAGCAAAAGCTGATAGACTGGAAAGATCAGTAGATAAATTTACAATTATATTTGAAAACTTCAACACTCACCTATCTGTAATCTATAGAATGAAAATAAAAAAAATAGCAAGGATGAATTAACTGACATTTCTGAAATACTCCACTCAGCAAAACAGAATACACATTAACACAAAGTGCACATAAAACATTCAGCAGGATAGACCACATTCTAGATCATAAAATACACACTAATAAATATAAGACAATTGGATTTATTCCAAATGTACTCTTTGGTCATATGGAAATTAAACTAAAAATCAATAACAGGATGTCTGGAAAGTCCACATCTATTTGGAAATTAACACAGAACTAAATAATCCATATGTCAAAGAATATGTCTCAAAGGAAACTAGAAAATATTTTGAAAGTAGAAGTAGAATATATCAAAACTTATGAGATGCAGCTAAAATGTTACAGAGATGGAAATGTATAGCAATACATGCTCACATTAGAAAAACAGGATATTAAATCAGCAATTTTAGATACCACCTAAGGCACAAGAAGAGAAAGCTAGTGCTAAACCAAGCAGAAAGAAGGACATGAGAGAGATTAAAGTAGGAATCACTAAAATTAAGAACAGAAAATCAAAAGAATAATTTATTAAGCCAAAAATATTTTTTAAAGCATCAATAAAACTGATAAACCTCTTGACGGTTTCTCCAATAAGAAAAGAAAGACAACACATTGCCAACAAGAGGAATAATATTAATATAGATGGTAAAGGGATAATAACAAAATAGCTTGAATGACTCTATGCACATTGGTTCCACTACCCAGATGAAATGGGCCAATTCCTTGAAAGACAGAAACCGCTAAAAGTCAATAAAAAATAAGTTAATAATCTATGATGCTATATTTTTTAACATAAAGTTTTAGTTAAAAATTTTTTCAAACAAAAGAGAACACTGCAGAAGAAAACATTTGCTGGAGAATTTTATCAAACATTTAAGGAATAATTAGTATCAGTTGTATATCATCTTTTATGATAGCAGAAGAAATACTTCCCTACTCATTTTATGAGGCCAACGTTACTCTGATACCAAGACCAGAAAACGACAATGAATGAAAAGAAAACTCGAGGCCAGTATCCCTCATATGTTAAATGACTGTGAGCTACTTCAACACGTTTTATAAAATGGAATACCGCAATATATAGAGAGTATGATACACCATGGCCAAATAGTTTTACACCAGAATTCAATGCTAATTCAACATTTGAAAGCTAATCATTCGTTTCCACTATATTAGTAGACTAAATAAAGAAAAACATGATCATATCAATAGCTGCAGAAAAAGCATTTGACAAAATTCAGAATCCATTTTTTGTCTTAAAAATTGAAGAACACTATGAATAGAAAAATATCTAATTTTTTTTTCTCAGATGCTATCATGCAGTGAAAGACTGAGCACTTTCCCTGCAATCCAGGTACATATGACTACTCTTGATCTCTCCTATTTATTATTGTGCTGCAAGCTCTAGAAAGTACACTAAAGTAAAAAATAAATAAATGTATTCTAATTGTTAAGGGAAATAAACTGCCCTAATTTACAAATACAATGATTTTATAAGTAAAATACACCAGTGAATACACTAAATAGCTTTAAGAGATCATAAGTAAGTTTAGAAAGGCCAAAAAAAAATCAATCATGCACCAAAATTAAGAATTAGAAACCGAAACTTAGAAAGAAAAAAAAAAGACTACATTTTACAATATGCTTCCCATCCTAATAAAATATTTAGGTACTGATTTAGCAAAATATTTGCAAAATATATATGGTGAAATCTATAAACACTGATGACAGAAACCAGAGAGGATGTAAATAAATGGATAATAGTTTTACTTTGTTAAAAACTGAAAGATACAGTAAGATCACTTCTCTCCAAAATGATGTATGGAGTTAATGGAATCCCAGTCAAAATCTTCGCAGAATTCCTGATAGATACATAAACTTTATTCCAAAATTTATATGGAAATCTCAAAAACTTGAATTGTCAAAACAATTGTTTAAATTACAATAAAGTTGGAGTTATGTGATATTAAGTCATATTATGAAGCTACAGTAATGAAGACAGTATAGTACTGACAAAATAAAACATGTAAACCTATTGAACAGTATACAGACCTTCAAATATGGCCAACTGTTTTTGACAAATGTGCAAAGACAATTATATGGAGAAGAGCAAAGTTTTCAACAAATGGTGCTGGAACAGTTGGACGTTCACATACAAAAATAATGAACCTGTAATATCATATGCAAAAAATTAACTTTAAATGGTTCATGGATTTAACTGTAAATGTAAAACACTGAAGAAAATATAGAAAAAGTTCTTTATGACATTGGTTAAGCAGATAGTTCATAAATGCAAAATCAAAGCGTTACCCAAAAAATAAAAAAGAAGATAAATTAGACTTTATCAAAATAAAAAAAAATGTTCTCTAAAGGACTTTATACAGAAAGAAGTAAATCAAAAGTAGGCTGGGCATGGTGGCTCATGCCTGTAATCCCAGCACTTTGGGAAGCCGAGGCTGGTGGATCACCTGAGGTCAGGAGTTCGAGACCAGTCTGGCCAACACAGTGAAACCCCGTCTCTACTAAAAACACAAAATTAGCTGGGTGTGGTGGCACATGCCTGTAATACCAGCTACCTGGGAGGCTGAGGCTGGAGAATCCCTTGAACCCGGGAGGTGGAGGTTGCAGTGAGCCAAGATTGCACCTCTACACCCCAGCCCGGGTGATAGAGTGAGGTTCTGTCTCAAAAAAAAAAAAAAAAAAAAAAAAAAAAAAAAAAAAAAAAAAAGCAAAGCAAAAGTAGTAGAAAATATTTACAAATTATAATTTTGAAAAAGGAATTGTGCCCAGAATAAAGAATACAAAAAAAAATCAGCATTAGGAAAACAAACAACCCAACAGAAATTAGTCAAACATTTGAATAGTCACTTAATTAAAGAAAATATCTGGTTGTAAAATAAGCACATAAAAAAATTCAAATTCATTAGTCACTAGGAAAATTCAAGTTAATATCATAATTTGACACCATTAAAAACTTATTCAAGTGGTTACTATAAAAATATTGGCATTTGTTACATATGGATAGCAGAGAAAAAAACAAACAAACAAAAAGAGTTCTGACAACAAGGACTATAAGAATGAAGGATAACTGAATAGCTCCTGCATTGCTTTGCTAGAGAAATACAAATGCTACAGACACTAGTAAACAGTTTGAAAGTTAATTACAAACTTAAAAATAGAATTCTCTTATATCTCAATAATCACATTTATAACTATTTATTCTGGAGAATGCAAAACATATGTTCACAGAAAACCTGAACATCTGGGGGTAATTTTCACCCAATGAGAGATTGTCTGGAAACATTTTTGGCTTTTCCATCTGGAGAGGAGGGTGCTACCGGCATCTGGTGTGTACAAGACAGGGATCCTACTAAACATCCTGTAGTGCACAAAACTGTTCCCCATAGCAAAGAGCTATCCAGCCCAAATTATCAATAATGCTGACATTGAGAAACCCTGCTGTACATACAAGCTTATAACAGCATTAATTGTAACCACTAAAAACTAGAAACAATGTAAATGTCCCTTAATGACTAACTTGATAAATTTTGACATATGCATATAAAGGAATATTCTCTGAAATAAGAAGGAACAAACTGTTCCTACACATGCAACAACTTAGATAAATATCAAATGTTTTATGCTAAGTGAAAGATGACAGACTCAAAATGTTATATACTGTATGATTCCATTCACTTGATATACTGATAAAGGTAAAGCTTTAATGATAGTGAAACTTTTTGTGGTTTCCAGGGATTAGGGCTCGAAGTTGAGTCTATCATGAAGAAATCATTAGGGGTGCTAGAATTATTCTGCCTTATGTTAGTGGTATTGGTTACATGAATCTATGAGTGTTAAAACTCATGGGATTCTATACCCAAACAGAGACTTTTACTACAGGCAACTTAAAAAAAAAAGTAAGTTTATTAATGCAATTCCTGTAATTCAGTTTTATTGTTAGAAATATTATATTAGCAGTTTCCTGTAAGCATCCCATAGCTTCACAAAAGCTTTCATTCATTGTGATATGATTGTTATATGCTAGATGCTTATATACATTATCTAATTCAACTCCCACAACACTGTAAGGAATATGTAATTCTGATTTTACAACTGGACAAATAGTTATTTGTACAGTACTAACTGGGGGTGGTAGAATATAAATCATGCCAGTAAATTATAATTTTACTGTTATTTTCAGTTATTTTTCTGAGATATTAAATTTTAATTCTCAAAGGCTATATATCTACCTTTCTTTTAACTAAAAAGCACACAGAAAGAATAATGGTGAGCATAGCATTTGCATTTTCTTCATTCTTCTGACTTTTGATTCTGTACTTGGTATTGTTTAAAATTTTTTTCAAGTGTTCATCTTTTTATTAAAAATCTCATATTATTATGACTATCAGGAAAAGCTGTAATTGGTTAACAAATCATTGTTAACACATGATATGGTTTGGCTGTGTCCCCACCCAAATCTCAACTTGAAGTGTATCTCCCAGAATTCCCATGTGTTGTGGGAGGGACCCAGAGGGAGGTAATTGAATCATGGGGGCTGGTTTTTCCTGTGCTATTCTCGTGATAGTCAATAAGTCTCACAATATCTGATGGATTTTTCAGGGGTTTCTCCTTTTGCGTCTTTCTCATTTCTTTTGCTGCCACCGTGTAAGAAGTGCCTTTTGCCTCCTGCCATGATTCTGAGGCCTCCCCAGTCATGTGGAACTGTAAGTCCAATACAACTTATTTTTATTCCCAGTTTTTGATATGTTTTTATCAGAAGTGTGGAAACAAACTAATAACAGTAAATTGGTACCAGTAGCATGGGGCATTGCTGAAAAGATACCCAAAAATGTGGAAATGACTTTGGAACTGGGTAATAGGCAGAGTTTGGAATAGTTTGGAGGGCTCAGAAGAAGACAGGAAAATGTGGGAAAGTTTGGAACCTCCTAGAGACTTGTTGAATGCCTTTGTCAAAAATGCTGATAGTGATATGAACAATAAGGTCCAGGCTGAGGTGGTCTCAGATGGAGATGAAGAACTTGCTGGGAACTGGAGCAAAGGTGACTCTCGTTATGTTTTAGCAAAGAGACTGGCAGCATTTTGCCCCTGCCCTAGAGATTTGTGGAACTTTGAACTTGAGAGAGATGATTTAGGGTATCTGGTGGAAGAAATTTCTAAGCAGCAAAGCATTCAAAAGGTGACTTGAGTGCTGTTAAAAGCCTCCCATTTTAAATGGGAAACAGATCATAAAAGTTCAGAAACTTTGCAGCCTGATGTAGTAGTAGAAAAGAAAAACTCATTTATTTGAGGAGAAATTCATGCCAGCTGCAGAAATTTGCATAAGTAATCATGAGCCTAATGTTAAAGCTCAAGACCATAAGGAAAATGTCTCCAGGCCATGTCAGAGACCTTCACAGCAGCCCCTCCCATCACAGGCCTGGAAGCCCAGAAGGAAAAAGTGGTTTTGTGGGCTGAGCCCAGGGTCCCAAGCTGTGTGCAGCCTAGGGACTTGGTGCCCTGTGTCCCAGCCACTCCAACCATGGCTGAAAGGGGCCAATATAGAGCTCAGGCTGTGGCTACAGAGGGTGGAAGCCCCAAGCCGTGGCAGCTTCCATGTGATGTTGAGCCTGTGGGTGGACATAAGTCAAGAATTGAGATATGGAGGGGCCAGGGGCAGAATGATATGGTTTAGCTGTGTCCCCACCCAAATGTCAACTTGAATTGTATCTTCCAGATTTCTCACATGTTGTGGGAGGGACCCAGGGGGAGGTAATTGAATCATGGGGGCTGTATTTTCTTGATAGTGAATAAGCCTCATGAGATCTGATGGGTTTATCAGGGATTTCCGCTTTTGCTTTTCCCTCAAATTTCTCTTGCTGCCGCCATGTAAAAAGTGCCTCTTGCCTCCGCCATGATTCTGAGGCCTCCCCAAACACGTGGAACTGTAAGTCCAATTAAACCTCTTTTTGTTTCCAGTTTTGGGTATGTCTTTATCAGCACCATGAAAGCAAACTAATACAACACATAATTTTGTTTTTGTTTTTTTCAATCTAATGAGGAATACTTCATATTTTTACTCACATTTTAGAGTTTCTTTGTGTGTATCCACAAGTTTCCTCCCAAGATTTCTTGGCCTTGAACAATCTCTGACCAATGAAGTGTTTTCATTTATCTTTACTACCTATAATACGAAATATTTCACTTATGAATCTCTTTATCATTGTATTTATAGATAGCATCTTTTTATTTCATTTCTCAATAATAACAGACAGATTGTGAAGGAGAAGCTGTGGAATTCTAAGCATCCTGACTGACTGTGCTCCTTCTCTCGTATATAATGAAGCACATCTAGATCTCAGTGCTGTTATGCAAGATGTTGGTACTTTGGCTTTTTACAAAAACTGTCTTCGGAATGATTTCACTGAAGCATTTCTTCACCTAATCCCATTTGATACTACATGTATTAAATATGCAGTATTTTATTAGGGATAATGAAATAATACTTCAGAATGATTTTTTTTGCATTTAGAAGCAAAGCTTTTGCAATTAGATCTTATTTTTAAGAATAATATCAACAAGCACATAGCATGCTTCATATATGTATTTTTTAATTGAAGATAGCTGCTTTTTTCAAATAGAGCTGTTAATGCTCTTCGATATTATTATTATTATTAAGTATTCTTTCAAACTAAAATTTAAAATGCACAATTTGCCTAGATGCTCTGAATTATGCATTTTTGATATAACAGTAGTAAGCCATTTTTATAAGTACAAATCCTCCGATAATAAATTTCTCACACGGGGCAGGGGTTCTCAGTGGATAGTATTCAAACTTTGGTGCACTTCTGTGGTGGGAAGACCTTCAATAAGCGCAAAGTATACTTTAGAAAGTATACACTCTAGGGTAGATTAAGGTTACTTGTGTGAGAATATTAATTCTAAATGAATCCTATAAACTTATTTCTCTAAAGTCTCTGATTGATGTAAGAATCTTGTGATAAGGAAAAGACACTAAATTGACTCTAGCCATGTTGGAGGTGGCATTACATTTGTGGCAGCATAACAGAATGTTTAAAAGCATGGTTAGAATGGTGGCAATCCTAGTTCAAACCTGGCTCCGTGGCAAATTACCTGGGTTATTGTAAAGTAAACTGTGAACCTGTTGTCTCCTCAATTCATCTACTTCTTTTTATGTAGCCTATGGTGTCATTCATTTTTATAGCAGCTGTAACATACATAAAACTCATTAATTTACCATAGGCTGTAAGATTGCAGGCCCTGGGGAAAAAAACTATGTGCATTAGAATCCTAGATCCAACTTACTAGAAGTGTAAACTTCAGCAGATACACTTAGCTTCTATTTCCTAATCTGTAAGATAAACATAACAGATCTACCACATATAGTACACAAACTAATATAAATCACATATTCAGTACCAGGTAGATAGAATTATTCAAGAAATAAGATAAAGTGATGATGACAACATTTATATCATGCTACATAAGTGCCATCCTCTCTGTGTGAGAATTTGCTTCTGTACCTGAGGGAACAAGATTATATTTGTACCCACAAATACCATCTTGTATATTTTAGCTTATTATTCAACATTTTTTGGATATTTTGGGGTCTTGATTCTGTACCTTGGTTGTGTCATATCTACCACATATGTGATGAATAGTGCCTTCATTTAGGGTAATATTAATACCATGTAACAATACATATCTGAGTACCAAACTCTAGGGGCAAGTTAGTAAAATTCACCATTTAAGAAAATATTGGTTTATTAGAGATATTGTATTAATAGAGATTTTTCTAAATATTGGATAGTCACATACCTAAGTATTATGTAAAATTAAGTTCTCAAGCTGGGCAAGGTATTGCATGCCTTTAATTCCAGCTACTTGGGGTGAGAAGGTGAGGAGTTGAGGCAGGAGGATTGCTTGAGTCCAGCAGTTTGAGGCTAGCCTGGGCAGCATATCAAGACCTTCATCTCAAATAGAATGAAATAAAATAAAATGAGATAAAATAAATTGCAGTTCTTCCTGCAGAGCATAGAATATAAACAAGATAATCAAATGCCTTTTTTAATGTTTAATTTTTGTGGGTACATAGTAGGTATAGTAGGTATATGTATTTATGGAGTTTGTGAGATATTTTGATACAGTAATGAAATGTGCAATAATCACATCATGGAAAATAGAATATCCATTTCTTCTAACATTTATCCTTTGTGTTACAAACAATCCAGTTATACTCTTTTAGTTATTTTTAAATGTACAAATAATTTATTTTTACTATAATCACCTTGTGCTATCAAATACTTGATCTTATTCATTCTTTCTAACTTTTCTTACCCATTAACCATTCTCATCAATCCCCGACCCCAGCGCTACCCTTCTCAGACTGTGGTTACCATCTTTCTACTCTCTATCTCCATGAGTTTAATTGTTTTGATTTTTAGATCCTGCAAATAAGTGAGAATATGTGATGTTTTTCTTTCTGTGTCTGGCTTATTTCACTTAACATAATGACTTCCAGTTCCATCCATGTTGTTGCAAATGACAGGATCTCATTATCCTTTATGGATGAATAGTATTCCATTATATATATGTACCATATTTTCTTTATCCATTCATCAGTTGACAGACACATAGGCTGCTTCCAAATCTTGGCTATTGTGAAGAATGCAGCAACACACATAGGAATGGAGATATGTCTTCAACATACTGATTTCCTTTTTTGGATATATACCCAGCAGCGGGATTGCTGGGTCATATGGTAGCTCTATTTATAGTTTTTTGAGGAGCCTCCAAACTCTTCTCCATAGTAATTGTACTAATTTACATTCCCACCAACAGTGTATGAAGATTCTCTTTTCTCCCTATCCTCTCCAGTTACTGCCTGTCTTTTGGTTATAAGCCATTTTAACTGGGATGAGATGACATCTTATTGTAGTTTTGATTTTCATTTATGTGATGATCAGTGATGTTAAGCACATTTTCATATACCTGTTTTTCATTTGTATGTCTTCTTTGAGAAATCTTTTCAGATCTTTTGTCCATTTTTAATCAGATTATTAGGTTTTTTCCCTATAGAGTAGTTTGAGCTCCTTATATATTCTGGTTATTAAACCCTTGTCAGATGGGTAGTCTGCAAGGATTTTCTTCCATTATGTGGGTTATCTGTTTGCTTTGTTGATTGTTTCTTTTGCTGCGCAGAAAAACTTTTTAACTTGATGTGATCCCACTTATCCATTTTTGCTTTGATTGCCTGTTCTTGTAGGTGCTTGTAGGGTATTTTACTCAGGAAATTTTTGCCCAGAAAAATGTCCTAGAGATTTTCCCCATTGTTTTCTTCGAGTAGTTTCACAGTTTCAGGTCTTAAATTTAAGTCAAAGTTCTGGCTTCCTCTGACCAAGTAAGTGGCTAAAACCACTGAACTCCATTGGCACACTGTTTAGAACTAGGGAACAGTAAAAATGATGGTACATTTGCTTGTATTCTTGGCCTTATATACATTATTTGCATTCCTTGTACACTGTTTAGATAGTAAAATGACAGGAAAACAAGCTTAAACCTTACCTAACTGGTCATTCTTGCTAAAGGTCTAACCCAGACCCACCTCTGTGGTCTTGCCTACCTCTTCATGATATTTGAAATTACGACTCTTGAAGGAAATTATGTAGAATCTGAAAACAATAAGCTTAAGAAAAAAACTCTATATTGTGTGATATTATTAATTTTAGAACTTGGATATTAAGTATTTATTGAGAACTTTGGTAGGCCTGGAGGTATGTCATCTGGATTTCCTCTAAGATACCTGTAAGAGAACTTTTGTGAGAATTAAACAACATAAAATATGTCAAGTCCTGTAATAACTACCAATTAGTTCTTGGAACTTTACCTGAGCCTCTTATTTAACTTTATTCTCATAATACACTGTAGCTAAGTAGGCTTTGAAATGGTGTTTCTTTGAAAATCCAAAAAGGTAGATACAGGTCTGGAACCCAGGACTGCAAATCTTTTCCTTGCACCAGTAGATCTTACAGGATCTAAGGCAAACGTATATGAACTTTGGCTTTATTTTTACTGCAAGTTAATGCTGGAAAAACAGGGCAATTTTTCACAGAGAGAACATCCTAATAATATCAGTTTAGTACAAAATAGCGGCATCTTAGTGAACCTTGTATTTTTCCTTTTTGTTGCAGTTGTTGCTAGAAAACATAATCGGAAGGTAGCTATTCTTTTACCATTATTGATTTTTCTGCACTTTCATTATTTGGGATCAGGTAAATGCTGGTTTCTTTTGTGGGTTTACAGAAAGAACATATCAAACAGAGAGTTAAGGCTCCCAAAGAGACCAGCTGTAAAGAGAATACTTCAATGGTGGTGAATAAACAGATAAATATCTAATGGGGTAACATCATACCTATTTGTTCCATTTGATCACTTGTTCTTTGTTGTAACAGAAGCTTGATGTATTTTTTTTCAGAAAGCCTGAACCTGGCTGATGTGCTTTGTATGTGGTAGAATCATATAGTAAAAAGACCAAATGCTTTGAAATTACACTCATTTAGGTTTAAATGTATGCTGTATCTTTTTTCCCCCCCATGGGGTTATAGGTATTTTTAAACTCCACGAGTGTCAGTTATTTTTTCTTCTTAATAAAAATAGATGATCATAGTGCCTACTTCATAGAGTTGATATATAGATTAAATGAGATAATTATGCAAAATATCAAATACTCTTCTGGATGCCTTATAAAGACTTAAGCAAGTTCTTACTAATGAACTATTATTCTGTTAAACAAATCTATTTATTCACTCTATCAATTAAATATTTGTTAATTATTCCTATGCGTCAGATGATACTCTAGATGCCAGTAGTCCAGTGGTAAAGAAAGTTCTTGTTCACAAATAAATACATGACAACATGTGATACAAAAAATTAAGCAGCTTAAGTGCTTAGAGATTGCAAAGTGGTATTATTTTACATAGGGTAGTCAGGCAGATGTCTCTGAAGGTGTGACATTTGAACCACGAACTAAAAGACACAAGGGAGCAAGCCAAGCAAATAGTGAGAGAAGGAGTGTAAGAGCAGAGAAAAAAGCAAGGCAAAGCCTAGAGATCATAGTGTGCTGCAAATGATTGAAAACCAGAATGTGGAGAGAGTGAGCAGAGTGGTAGGAAATGCTGTGGAAGAGGTAGTGTGGGGAGGAGCCTTGAGAGCCAAGTTAAGGAACTTATTCCAAATGTGATGAAGAGAGGCCCTTGGGGAATTTTGAGCAGAGGGCTACCAAACCTGCCTTACATTTTTAAATTCTTGGTTTGAGAACAGCCTATAGAAAGGTGAGAGTGAAAGCAGGGAGGCAAGGTGGGGGCCTGGAAGTTTCAAGGAAATAGATAATGAAACTTTGGTCTGGTGGCAGTAATAAACCTTGGTAGAAATGATGAGATTCTGAATAATTTTGGAAGCAAAGTGGAGAATAATTATCTGACAGATTGAATGTGTGTTTTGAGATAAAATTAACCATGAAATCTTGTGTTTATCTTTTGAACTTTTCTTGTATTTATTTTTTGCATGAAACATGCAACTGTTGAAAAGGCAATACAATGAATCTGATTTATGCACTATTCACCTCCATAACTTGAAAACATAGCCAAGCTTGTTCCAGATACCCCTTGTCTCTTCCTTTGAATTGCTTTGATGCAAATTCCAGATATCTCCTTACTGATCTATAAATACTTCAATACATATTCTAAAGTATAAGAACTCCTTAAATTTTTTAATTGCAATATCATTATCTCACTAAATTAACAATAACAAAATCAAAATTCATTTGGTGTTTGTATTTCTCTGAATGACTTACAATGTGTTTTTGCTTATGTGTATTTGAATAAAAATCTAGGAAAATCTATACATTGTAATCTATTGATATGCCTGATAAGTTTCTTTTGATTTGAGAATACTCTTCTCTCTCTCTTTTTTCTTTTCTTTTTCTATTTGAAATTAATGTCTACATATCCTGTAAATTGATAATACTAATTGATTTTTTTTTGCTTTTAGGGGACTAGGCTACTATAGAGATTGTGTGATGTATTACCATCATGTGATAACCAATGTCTTGTTCTCTCTGTTTTTGTAACAGTTATAATTATTAGTTACTAATTATAACTGTATGATTCACTAATTTGAAAATTCAAATTTCTTCTTCAGTTTTGGCTGGAATACTACTGTAAAGAGATTCTTTCTCTCATCAACATTTTGATTACACAAGAGTACAGATAAGTATTGCAATCTTTCCTTTTATTAAATGTCCTCTGAAAGTGACCAATGAGGCATATATTTGTTTGTTTGCTTGAATCTTTATGAACTTATGGATTTAAATCTATTTGATATTTAAATTGTCCTGACTTTGACCAGTGAGAGTTTATTTGATTTGGCGTTTGAGCCATTGATTGGATGATGCTCAGCTACACTGAGGAGAGCAAACCACTTTACTGAGTTCACCTATTCAGATGCTAATCTCATCCAGAAACATCCTCATAGACAAACCCAGAAATAATGTTTAACTTGGGCATTCTCTGATCCTGTTTAATTGAAACATAACATTAACTATCACAATATATTAATTTTTTACTTTATCTCTTTTTAACCACTCTAAAACATTCAATTCTTAAAGACATAAATGTCATTACTTCACTGATATTTCCACAGTGCGTGTGTACCTGGGCATGTGTGTGCATGTGGATGCACAAACAAAATAATTGTCTTAGAATAAAAGTATAAACATCACCCCACCATAGATATAATTGCCAAGAGCAGTTTAAGATATTTTAGCTTTTCTCTTTGTGCTTAAGGAAGATATAGTTAAATTTTATATATATATATATATATATATTTTTTTTTTTTTTTTTTTTTTTTTTTGAGATGGAGTATTGCTCTGTTGCCCAGGCTGGAGTGTAGCGGCATGATCTCAGCTCACTGCAACCTCCGCCTCCTGGGTTGAAGTGATTCTCCTGCCTTAGCCTCCTGAGTAGCTGGGATTACAGGCACCCACCAACATGCCTGGCTAATTTTTTGTATTTTTAGTGGAGACGGTATTTCACTATGTTGGCCAGGCTGGTCTCGAACTCCTGACCTTGTGATCCGCCCGCCTCAGCCTCCCAAAGTACTGGGATTACAGGCATGAGCCATCATGCCCAGCCAAATAATTGTTTTTAATGATCACTTGGAATATTTCTCTGTGTATATATTATGCTACCAAATGAACACAAATTATGTTCATTTGTTTAATTTCCCTTTTTTTTAATATATTTTTTATTTTTATTTTATTTTTTTGAGAAGGAGTCTTGCTCCGTTGCCCAGGCTGGAGTGCAGTGGCTCAATCTTGGCTCACTGCCGCCCCTGCCTCCTAGGTTCAAGTGATTTTCCTGCCTCAGTGTCCCGAGTAGCTGGAACTACAGGCACATGCTACCACATCAGCCTAATTTTTGTATTTTTAGTAGAGATGGGATTTCGCCATGCTGGCCAGGCTGGTCTTGAACTTCCGACCTCAGGTGATCCACCCTCTTTATCCTCCCAAAGTGGTGGAAGTACAGGTGTGAGCTCCCATGCCTGGCCAATTTCTCTTTTTATTTTTATTAATTGTCTTACAATAATTTATTTAATTTTTATAACATTGTAAAATATACATAGTCTGTCTTAGTCTGTTCCAGACTGCTATAACAAAATACATTTGATTTATAAATAATAGACATTTATTCATCACAGTCTTAGAGACAGGGAATTGAGGGAATTGCAAGATGAAGGTGCTGGCACACTTGGTGGCTGGGGAAGGCTTGCTGTTTGCTTCACAGGTGCTGTTTTGTTGCTGTGTCTTCACGGGAAAGCAAGGCAATAAGGGGGGAGAAAAAGAATCCCTCAGGCCTTGTTATAAAGTCACTAATTCCATTCATGAGGGGAGAGCCTTCATGACCTGATCAAGTGTTTGTCCAGGCTACTTAACAAATTTGTTTTTGTTATTTATCCCCTCTCTTTATAAAGAAATTTATTTAATTAAAATTAGATAATTTCCTCCATTTTATAAAAATTCTACAGTTAAAAATACTTTATTCCTATTATCTTTTACTACAGAATCCTTTTTTCCCTCCCCCAAGGTCACCAATAATTGTCATCAATAATTTCTGTGTTGCCAAATTGAATAGTCTCAAACAGGCCTCACCTACTTCAAGTTTTCTGCAGCATTTGATAATTTTTTGTGTGTGTTTTTGTTTTTTAATATTTCCTACATTTGGCACCTGTCAAAACTGGAGAGTGGATAAATAACAGAAGCAAATTTCCTAGGTAGCCTGTAGGTGCTGGGTGCTGGGATCCAGTTTTTTTTTTTTTTTTTTTTTTTTTTTGGAGAGAATTGACCTCAAAAAGGAGCACAAACTTTTATCCATGGAAGGAAGAAAGATTACATAGGTATAAATACAAATAGGTTTACATGTGTTGTGGTTGAAGTGGTTTGAAATTATATTCTTATTGTACCTACTTTCTAGTGAAATATGAAGATTATATTGTTATGAGAAGTAAGAAGTTTGAGTGTAAGAAAGCATTATGAGAGGTTAGAGAAGGTAAAAGGAAGTATAAAATACACAACCAAATGAGTGGAAGAGTAGACCGACCAGAAGAATATACAGAAACATATATGTTTGGTGTTTGTAGCCGTGTTTGAAGTGAACTGTAGCAGGATGAGCCGCAGACAAAACTCCTTAGACACCAAGTTAAAGAAGGAAGGAGTTTATTTGGCCGGGAGCATTGGCAAGACTCCTGTCTCAAGAGCCGAACTCCCCAAGTGAGCAATTCCTATCCCTTTTAAGGGCTCACAACTCTACAGGGGTCTGTGTGAGAGGGTCGTGATCAATTGAGCAAGCAGGGGGTACATGACAGGGGCTGCATGCACCAGTGGTCAGAGTGAAACAGAACAGACTGGGAAGTTTCACAATGTCTTTCTATAATCTATATATAACATCAGTTGCTAGGTCAGGGGTCGAATTTTAACTACCAGGCTTAGGTCAGGCAGGCCCAGGCCTGGTTTCGGGTCTGGTTCCCTGGTTTCAGGTCTGGTTCCTAGGCACCAGGCTACCTGCCTTTAGTTTTGCTTCGCTTTCCTTTTCTGTGTATAAAACAATATAAAACAATATGAGAGGGTCTGTCTCTCTTCTCTCAAGACTGATCACTCATTATGGTTATTTGTCTTTAGAAACTTTAAGCTGTTTGAGGACTGGCAAAGACTAAGTGGATAGTTAGAATTATATAAAATTTAAGTTTTGTGAGGTAAGTAGAAGCAAGACAGAGAGCATGCCAACATAGTGAAGCTGTGTGCAAGTAAATGTCTGTAACAATAGTAATTGAAATTAAGCTAAGTAAGAAAGAATGTGGAGACACATGGAGAAATAATGGTTAAAATTTGCAAGACTGAAGATTCTGGTATTTAACATTGCATCACTTGGACCAATAGGATTTTGTAGTCACAAAGTAGGATTTCTTATGTTATGGTTTTACGGTGATGTGGTTATTAATAACAAAGTCTATGATAGTAGTTAACAAACTTTTTGGCTTGTGATCCAATATTAGAAACAGGATAGTTTGCAAATATTTTCTCCCATTCTGTGGGTTGTCTCTTTACTGTGTTGATTGTTTCCTTGGATATGCAGAAGCTTTTTAGCTTGATGTAATCCCATTTGTCCATGTTTGCTTTCTTTGACCGTGCTTTTGAGGTCTTACTCAAAAAATCTTTGCCCAGACCGATGTTATCAAGCATTTCCCCAATGTTTTCTTCTACTACTATCATAGTGTCAGGTCTTAGATTTAAGTCTTTAATCCATTTTGATTTGACATTTGTACACGTACATCACATGTGTCTCACAAATATATACAACTATTGTGTACCCATAATAATTAAAAATAGAAATAAAAATAAAGAAATTGAGAACATCCTAAAAGTCTTAGTTTGAAATTGCCATTAGGCTTTTGGAACACTCATATTTTACATTTTTACATTGAGACATACTACATAAACATACATATATTTGAATAAAAAATTTTTGAAAACAATTTTAATCCATACTACATTAGAAAATATTAAATATTTTCTATTCTATTCTGTTTTTAATATGCTTATTATTATATGCCCATTTTCATGACTCATTAAAGGCCAAAACATGTAGTTTGAAAAATAGTGGTTTAGGGTGTGACCATGGGAACTGGTGACCAAGACAGGCACATATGAGTTAGAGGAGCCCCAAATTTTGCATAGACAAATGACAAGATTATAAACGGAGGGAGAAAGAGATAAATGCAAACAGTGAGTGACAGAGGCCTGAAAGTAGGATTCAGATAACTGAAGCAAAGAGGGGAGGTGCATCACCAGCAGGTGGCCATTCGTTTTAAAAAGGTATTTTATCAGATTACTGGAGAAAAAAGATATTCTTTTATTACTGTGTGTGTGTGCATGTATGTGCATGTATGTGTATATATATATGTGTGTGTGTTTGTGTATCTTTTTGAAAATTCTATACTTTTTGCATTAATGTATCATTGTTCTCTTAAGTAATATCTGTACCCTCACTGTAAGTGCATATGGAAATACCTAAGCAAAATGCTTTTCCAGGAGGCAATCTCATGGATAAAAGTGTGCCTCTAAGATAGGATTCTGGATGTGGTTGGGTGGTTCTTATTTATAGAGAGTGTTTGAACTTATTGGTCTGCGTTTTACAAAGACATGATTTCTAAAAGGATACTTTAAGAATAGGGTGTTACAATACTTTTGCTCATGAAAAGAATGTACTAGAACTTGAAATATTTCAAACAAAATGATAGGAAATGTTAATTTTTAAAATTCCCATCTATAAGCACATTGTGTTCATTACTAATATGTTTTGGATTTATTTTTATTTGGTTATCCATAGTATTTTACTGAATTTAAAAAAATACAGCCAGTCTCAATTGTCCTGAAGGAGATTATCTGAACGGCATTTATTTTATTACATGTTAAGTTCAGAGAGGGCAAGAGGGAGCAGCCTTGCCTTTTGAGTCTGATTTTGATGATGATACCAAGGTCAAGAAAACCTGAAAAAGAGTTAAAGAAACACGAGGACAAATTTTAACAGATTTTTCTCAACTGATTTCCTGTACTAATTTAGCTATTCTGGATTTTATTTTATTTAAGAAACAGAGCGTTTTCTAACACCGATGAGTCTAAAGCCTGTAATGATAACATAATTATCTGGAATAAATTTCATAGACAAATGGAGGAAATCTGTGAAATCACTTAAGTAAAACCTTTTTATTGGGAACTTTTTATGTGTCAGGCATTATGCAAGGTACTCTTAGAATGCACATTTAAGATAAATAAATAAATAAATAAATAAAACTGTCCCACAATTCAAAACTCTTAAAGACTCATCAAGATAAATAAGCATTATTTATAAGACAAGCAATGCATATATTTATACGCCTATTTGTGATGTCTCCCCTAAATTAGATTCATAAAATGAATGCTTGTGAGAGTGATTTAAGTGTTAAAGTTACTTGGAGGATGCTGTTTTATTAACCAAATAATACTCCATTTCATTAATAATTAAATAAATATTTTTCTCTCCTCATAATGGCACCATTTCTAAAGAAGGAAAACTTTAATCTGAAAAACTGGTAATGATAGAGAAATGTAGCTTACAAATAAATATATGAGATAAAGAATATATCTCACAAATATATGAGATAAAGAATATTAATAAATTTTAAAAAGTGAGATATAAAAATGAGATTTAAAGAAAAGTAGAAAGAAAGTCTTGGGATTGTTAGCCACGGTAAGTCTATTTTCTTCATTGACACTTGGCATCTTCCGTCTGTTGTAGATGAATGCAGCTGCAACTCTCTGCCAACTATAATTTGGTTGGCAGTAATTCTACCCTAGCAGAGGGTACATGATTGCTACTTCTCCAGCAGAAACAAAGACATCGTGAAGTGTAATTCCATGTTCATGCTGCTTCTTCATTACTATACTTTATAAATAATTTATTCATTTTGCTTTATTTTAAACCCTAGGTATTTGAGTATGGCATGACATGTTTTACTCTAAACTACCAAAAAGTACTTATAATAGACACACCAACCAAAAATAATTATGATAATAATAATAATAATAAATTTAAAAGGCAGTATTTACTTAGTGTTTATTACTATGTGCCAGACACAGCATTTTGATGTATTACTTATGTAATATAGTAACCTATAAAATATCCATTATTATATAGGTTAATATAGTAACCTATAAAATATCCACCATTTTATGGGCAAAGAAATTGAGACTTAGATAAATTAAATACCATGCCAAAAATTACATACTAGTGTATTGTAGGTTAAATACAGGGTTTCTATCATTGTTTTAAGGGATAAGGGGTATTGTGATGTTATAATTTATTTTTCTCCAAGGAAACAAAGAGAAGGTTGATGAAAAGACTGAAAATCACAGGATATATTTCTCTATTTGTCCAAGTATTTGAATCACAATAAGAAAAAATCATGACACAAATGATTTCAAGAAAAAACTGTGACCAATCGCTGATAAACTCTCCATATTGTTTTTGCTTTTAAGCCTGGCAATAGTATCTAAAAGTATCAAGAAATTTGGATCAAAGCTTTCAGATACTTTAGAGGCAAGCATAAAAAAATATTAATTAGTTAACTATGAAATGATTTCTGGAAGATTTCAAATCCTGAAAGAATATCTCAAGAAATCTTTAAATATGGTAACATACCTAACAATTGGAAATATCAATCGAATTGTCTTTGAAGACTGATATTATATGGGTATTTTCTACTCAGTACATAAAACAGACATCACATATTACAATTACTGTATTTGTGTAAGGAAATGAAAACATAAATTTAAGCTCTACATTGAAATTCTATTTTATAATGCTGTGTCAAAGTTCTAGTTTATTCGGTGTAATTTTACATTAGCTTTGGTTGTGGAGGGGTTTTTCTTCTTGTTTCTTCCTATCCAGGCAGATATATTTTTCTTTTATTCTCAACCTCATGTTCTGAGACCAAGACTTTATAGATAGATACACACACACACACGGACACACACACACACACGCACGCACATTTATGTGTTCTCCACATTCGATAACAGTTTTGGGTTCAAAACAGAGAAAATAAATTTGAAAGTATCTAATTTTATTTCTCTAGGGAATGAGTATCTTAGATGAAGTATCATAAAATAGACTGGTTTTGGTGGTAGCTTGATGATACAGGAAAGCATGAAAAATATAACATGAGAGACATATGAACAAATTTTCAGTAAGTCCACTGAATCATGTTTTATAGGATTTTCAAACAATTTGTTTTGTTTCGCAGGGTAGTCAAGAAGTTTCTATATATCCGTGAGAGATTCAAGGTCAAGATCCATGCTTTGGTTTACAAATCTCTCTGTTGACTCTGTCTAAGAGCACTCATAATGCATTAGGATCTATTTAGTTGCCTGACTTCACCCATAGACTGAATGTCTAGAAAACACCCCAACTTCTGGCAACTGCTGTTCTTTTTATTATTCTATAACTTTGCCTTTTCCAGACTGTCTTATAAAGGAAATACAATATCTTGCTTTTTCACATCACTTTACTTATAAGTATTTATGATTCATGTATAATTTTGCAGTGGCTTGACAGCTCACTCTTTTTCATTGCTGAATAATTATCTGTTGTAAGAATGTACCACAATGTGTTCACCCAGTTACCTATTGAAGGATTCTGATTGTTTTCAATTGGGGGCAATTATGAATAAAGCTGCTATAAATATTTATAGGAAAGCTTTTTGGTTGACTTACATTTTCAAATAAGTTGGATAAATATCTAAGGACTTCATTGCTGGATTGTATGGTAAGATTATGTCTAGCTTTATAAGAAATTATAAAAATGTCTTCCAAAGTGATTGTACCATTCCGCATTCCCACTAGTAATGAACAAGTGTTCTTATTACTCTGCATCCTTGCCAGTAATTAATATTGTGTGTCTTGGATTTTTGCTATTCTAATAGATATTTAGTGGCGTCTTATTGTAGCTTTACTTGATACAAGATAACCTTGATGTCTGCATAATATTCCCTTTTGTTGATATGAAATAAGACTAAAGTATTTAACTTGGTTTTATAGGTTTATAATTTTATTTTTTAAAAATTTAAGTAATATTATGGTAAACATTCTTCAAATAAATCTGTGTGTATAATTCTGATGATTTCCTTAGAAATCATCATTTTCCTGTTGTTTTTAAAAGAGTCTTTCATGTATTTCGGATGCCAGTCCTTTAGCCCAAATATATTTGTTTTGCAAATATTTTGTCAGTGTAAGGTTTCCTTTTCAGTCTCTTAACCATATATTTTGCTGAAGAGAAGTTTTTAATTTTAATGAAGTCCAATTTATCAGTTTTTTTCATGGATTATGCTTTTGGTGTTTTATTAGCCATCATATTTTACTCACCCAGTCACCTGTCATTGGCATTTGAGTGGGGTTGGTTTCATATATTGCCATCATAAACAATTATACAAAAAATCTGTATGCATATCTTATTTCTCATGTGTGTAAGTATAGTTATAGGATAAATTTTCAAAAGTTGTTGATGTAATAGCTGATTAAAAAATATTTTAACTTTTGATATACATTACCAAATTTTCCTTTCTAATATTTGATCCAACTCACAATTTTATCAACAGCATACAGAATTGTCTGTTTTCCCACAAACATTGTCAAACTTTTAGATTTTATAGATAAATAGTCAAAAACAAATGACCAAAACCATAGTTTAGAATTTATGAATGAATGTGTGAATCTTGAGTTTCTCACCTAAAGGGAGTTTTTGATGTATTTTTATTCAATTGCTTCCATATGCATAAGAGAAAAGTCTTGCTATCTGAGCCAGACATTTCACTGTACTGCAAACATATGCATTGTTTCAGGAATGTAGACCAAGGAAAAGCAAAAGAAATATTCAGGCCTGGGGGAAAGGTATTATGCTGCAAACATTGCTAAATGTGAAAAAAGGGGAAATTTAATTTACAAATTAATTAAACAAATTATTATTTTTTAAAAGCATCAGCAATATCAGACTTGACAAAAAAATTACCAAAGATAATGAAAGATATGAAACTGACCAGAAATAAGATTGCCATCATTTTCCCAAAAGTCCACATAACCAACAGATCATATTCACATTACAGGGTAGTTCTCAGAGATCATATTCTTTATGTATAAAATGTGGAAAATAACATAATAACATAATCTACTACCTAAGGTAATAACGTGCAAACCCACTTTATAAACTGTTAAACACCACAAAATGTGAGTTACTATGAGGAAACTATGAGGGAGGCGGTAGAGCTACTAAAGAAAAATTCTGATTAAGTCTAGATGCTTTTCAAATTAGAACACAATTGAATAAAATGGAATAGGAAGCTATTTTGTGATGCTATGTAAGAGGAAAGGAGATAAAGAAAATAGAAATTTATTGAATACCTACCATATACAAGACAGCGTGTTGATGGCTTACATAGATTTTATTTAAACTTAAAAATAAACTGATACTTATATGACACCTACATTAAACATACTTTTTAATGAAAGCTTAGCATTGTGAGCAGTAAAACACATATATATTATGTGGTCATGAGTTTTATAAGGAACTTAGGTTCACAACATAGATCCTGCTGCCACCACCCTGTGAAATGCTTTAGGTGACACCACCAATTGGAGTGTACAGACCTGCAGTCTGGGAGCACCTCAACTCACAAGCACAGTGGGTTCCTAATCTTGAGGAGCCAGAAAACAAATTCAAGGCCTGATACAAGTTCCCCAGAGTTAGAACATGCAGTCCAAGAGTTGGGAGTGGAGCCTTAACTCTCTAAAATCTTAGAGATGTGAAGCCAGTTGACTGAACCCACCTTATACCACAGTCAAACCCTCAAGAGCATAAATTGAATAAAAGATACCAAAAAATCCAAAGGGCAGCCACTTTAAAGACTGAAGGAACATCAGCTCCTAAAGATGAGAAAAAACAAGCACAAGAACCCTGACAACACAAAAGCCAGAGTGCCTTCATTCTTCCAAATGATGACACTACCTCTCCAGCAAGGGTTCTGAACTGGGCTGAGATGGCTGAAATGACAGAAATATAATTCAGAATGTGGAAGGAACGAAGATCATTGAGATGCAGGAATACATTGAAGCCTAATCCAAGAAAGCTAAGAATTACGTTAAAATTATACAGGAGGTAAAAGACAAAATAGCCATATAGACAAGAACATAACGAACATGATAGAGCTAAAAAACACACTATAATAATTTGACAATACAACTGCAATTATTAATAGCAGAGTAGACCAAGAAGAAGAAAGAATATCAGAACTTGAACACTGGCTTTCTGAAATAAGGCATTCATACAAAAATAGAGAAAAATGAATGAAATGGAATGAACAGAACCTCTGAGAAATACAGGATTATGGAAAGAAACCAAATCTATGACTCACTGGTGTGTCCCTGAAAGAGATGGCCAGAATGGAAGCAACTTGGAAAACATATCTTAGGATATCATACATAAGAACTTCCCCAACCTAGCTAGAGAGGCCAACATTCAAATTCATGAAATGCAGAGATCCCCACGAAAAGGTCATTCCCGAGACACGTAATCATCAGATTATTCAAGGTCAAAATGAAAAAAAATATGTTAAAGACAGAAAGATCTGGTCACCTACAAAGGGGAGCTCATTAGCCTAATAGTGGACCTCTCAGCAGAAATCATACATGCCAGAAAAGATTAGGGGCCAATATTCAACATTCTTAAAGAAAAGAAATTTCAACCAAAAATTTCACATTTGGCCAAACTAAGCTTCACAAGCAGAGGAGAAGTAAGATCTTTTTCAGATGAGCAAATGCTGAGAGAATTCATCACCACCTTACTTGCCTTATAAGAGCTCCTGAAAGCACTAAACATGGAAAGGAAACACCATTGCCAGGCATTACAAAAACACATATAACTATACAGACTAGTGACATTGGAAAGCAAGCACACAAACAAGTCTGCTTAATAACCAGCTAACATGATGACAGAATCAAATCCACACATTTCAATACTAACCTTGAATGTAAGCAGGCTAAATTCCCCAATTAAAAGGCACAGACTGGCAAGCTGGATAAAGAAACAAGACCAGTTGGTATACTGTCTTCAAGAGAACCATCTTGAATGCAATGCCACCCATAGGCTCAAAATAAAAGGATGGAGAAAAACCTACCAAGCAAATGGAACACAGAATAAAGCAGGAGTTGCAATCCTAATTTAGCAAAATATACATTAAACCAGCAAAGATCAAAAAAGACAAAGAAGGTCATTACATGATGGTAAAGAGTTCAATTCCATAAGAAGACTTAAGTATCCTAAATATATATACACTCAACACAGGAGCACACAAATTCATAAAGCAAGTTTTAAGACAGCTCCAAAGAAACTTAGACTCTTGCACAATGATAGTGATGGACTTCAACACCCCACTGACATTATTAGGCAGACCACTGAGGCAAAAAAATTAACAAAGACATTTAGGACCCAAACTCAGCATGGGATCAAATATACCTGACAGACATCTACAGAACTCTCCACCCCAAAACAACAGAATATACATTCTTCTCATCGCCATAAGACACATATTCTAAAATTGATCACCTAATTGAAAGTAAAACACTCCTCGACAAACGCAAAATAACTGAAATTATAGCAAGCACTCTCTCAGATCACAGAACAATTAAAATAGAATTCAAGACTAAGAGAATAGCTCAAAATTATAAAATTACATGGAAACAGAATAATCTGCTCCTGAATGACTTTTTGGTAAATAATAAAATTAAGACAGAAATTAAGAAGTTCTTTAAAACTAATGAGAACTAAGATACAACACAGAAGATTCTTTGAGACACAGCTAAGGAAGTGTTAAGAGGGAAATTTATAGCACTAAACATTCAGTAATCCGAATGAAAGCTGAAATGAAGGACTTTGAGACAAAAATAACATTCCAAAGATCAATCAATCCAGGAGTTGCTTTTTTGAAAAAAATTAATAAAACAGATGAACTGCTAGGTAGACTATGAAGGAAGAAAAGAGAGAAGATTCAAATAAACACAATTAAAACAAAAAAAGGGATGTTACCACTGACCCCACAGAAATACAACCATCAGATACTATGATGAACACCTCTATGTACAGAAATCAGAAAATCTGGAAGAAATGAATACATGCTTGCACACATACACCCTCCCAAGACAGAACCAGAAATAAATTGGATCCCTGAACAGAATAATGAGTTCTGAAATTAAATCAACAATAAGCCTATCAGACAAAAAGAGCCCAGAACAAGGTGGAATCACAGACAACTTCTAACAGATATACAAAGAAGAATTGGTACCATTCCTACTGAAACTATTCCAAAAAATTGAGGAGTTAGGGACTCCTTCCCAACTTGTTCTATGAGGCCAGCATCATCCTGATACTAAATCCTGGCAGAGGTACAACAAAAAATGGAAAACTTCAGGCCAGTATCCTTGATGAACACATCAATACAAAAATTCTCAACAAATACTTGCAAACAGAATCCAGCAACACATCAAAAAGCTTATCCACCATGATCAAGTAGGCTTTATCCCTGGGATGCAATGTTGGTTCAACATAGGCAAGTCAATAAATGTGATTTATCAGATAAACAGAACTAAAGACAAAAACCACATGATTATCTCAATAGATGCAGAAAGTCTTTCAATGAAATTCAACACCACTTCATGTTAAAAACTCTCAATAAACTAGGTATGAAGAAGCATACCTCAAAACATTGAGTAATCTATGGCAAACCTATAGCCAACATCATGCTGAATGAGCAAAAGCTGGAAGCATTCCCTTTGAAAACTGGCACAAAAGAAAGATGCCCTTTCTCACCACTCCTATTCAACATAGTATTGGAAGTCTTGCCAGAGGAGTCAAGCAAGATAAAAAAATGAAGGACATCCAGATAGAAAGAGAGGAAGTCAAACTATTTCTGTTTGCAGATGAAAAGATTCTATATCTAGAGAAACCCACAGTATCGGCTTCAAAGCTCCTTAGGCTGAACTTTAGCAATGTCTCAAGATACAAAATTAACATACAAAAATCACTTACATTCCTATACCCCAACAGCAGTCAAGCTGAGAGCCAAATCAGGGATGCAATCCCGTTCACAATTGCAACAAAAAGAATAAAATACCTAGAAATAACGCTGACTAGAGAGGTGAAAGATCTCTGTAATTACTGCTACAAACCACTGCTCAAAGAAATGACACACACAAATGGAAAAACATTCCAAACTAATGGGTAGAAAGAATCAACTTCATTAAAATGACCAAACTGCCCAAAGCAATTTACAGATTTAATGCTATTCCTATCAAAGTACGAATGACCTTCTTCATAGAACCAGAAAAAAAACTATATTGAAATTTATATGGAATCAAAAAAGCCTGAATGGCCAAAGCAGTAATAAGCAAAAAGAACAAAGCTGGAGGTGTCACACTACCTGATTTCAAACTGTACTACAAGGCTGCAATAACCAAAGCAACATGGTACTGGTACAAAATCAGACACATAAAACTAATGGAACAGAATAAAGAATAAAGAACCCAGAAATAAGTCTGCACAACTGCAGTCATCTGACCTTCAACAATGTTGACACAAATAACCCATGGGGAAATGACTGCCTATTCAATAAATGGTGCTGGAATAACTGGCTAGCCACATGCAGAAGATTGAATCTGGACCCCTTCCTTACACCATATACCAAAATCAACTCAGTGGATTAAATACTTCACTGTAAAACCCGACACTATGAAAACCTTGGAAGATAACCTAGGCAATACCAATTTGGACATAGGAACGTGCAAAGATTTCATGATGGAGATGCCAAAAACAATGGGAACAAAAGCAAAAATGGACAAATGGGATGTAATGAAACTAAAGAGCTTCTTCATAGCAAAAGAAACTGCCAACAGAGTAAACAGACAGAATGGGAGAAAATTTTTGCAAATTATGAATCTGACAAAGGTCTAATACCCAGAATGTATTATGAATTTAAACAAGAAAAGAAAATTTACAAAAAAATAGACAAAGGACACTGAACAGACACTTTTCAGAAGAAGACATACATGTGGCCAACAAGCATATGAAAAAAAGCTCATTATCACTGATCATTAGAGAAATGCAGATCAAAACCACAATAAGATACCATCTCATGCCAGTCAGAATTACAATTATTAAAAAGTTAAAAAATAAGAGATACTGGCGAGGTAGTGGAGAAAAGGGAATGCTTATACACTGCTGGTGGAAATGTAAATTAGTTCAACCATTGTGGAAAGCAGTGTGACAATTCTTCAAAGAGCTAAAAACAGAACTACCATTCAACACAGCAATCCCATTACTGGGTATGTACCCAAAGGAACATAAATCATTCTATCATAAAGACACATGTATGTGTATGTTCATTGCAGCACTATTGACAATAGCTAAGACATGGAATAAGCCTAACTGCCCACCATTGGTAGGCTGGATGAAGAAAATGTGGTACATATTGTGTATTGTGCAGCCATAAAAAAGAATGAGATCATGTCCTTGCAGGAACATGGATTGAACTAGAGGCCATTATCCTTATCAAATTAATGCAGGAAAAGAAAACCAAAGACTGTGTGTTCTCATTACAAATGGTAACTACATGACGAGAATACAAGGACACGTAGAGGGGAACAACAAACACTGGGGCCTACCAGAGAGTGGAGGGTAGGAGGATGGAGAGGATCAGGAAAAATAACTAATCGGTAGTAGGCTTAATATCGGTAGTAGTGATTAAATCATCTACACAGCAAACCCCCATGTCATGAGTTTACCTATATAACAGAATTGCCCTTTTACCCCTGACCTTAAAATAAAATTTAAAAACAAAAAAAAAACCCTGAGGTTCAGATAAATTCAACTTATTCCACTTTTTCCATCTAGTGGATAGTGGCGGTAGAATGAGTACAGAACTCTCTCATTCTAAACTATATAGTCTTCTCAATACACTTTGCAAGAGTGGTTCCATATCTCCAAACATGTCTCCTATTGGCGTCACACAAAGTTTGAATGGTTGCAACTAATTATCTTTTAGGCTAAGCACTTAACATTTTCTGTCAAAATTTATTCTTATTAAAATCTGTTCAATTATTAATGCATTTAATAATATAATTGAAGAAATTCATAGGCGGCTTACAATGTGCTAGGTACTGAAGATAAAAGAATGGGGGGTCTTTTTCCTCAAATAATAAGTCTAGGTAATGACTAGGAAAGCTGCACCAGGAGATAATAAAATAGAGTTTGGGCACATACCAAAGGTTGGGTGAAAATCTAAGAAGTTTGGCTTCAGACTGCAATGCAACACAGAGCTGCTGGAATTAGAAGCATTTGAGGCAAGAGTCCTTTCTATCGCTTTTTATTTTCATCATATAGATGATTTTCTGTCCCCTATGTGTAGAGCTTACCCCCTTATAAGCACCAGTTATTGGTTCAGTGTTATTTCCTAGGACTGGGGAAAACCTATGAGATTAATCTTTCATAGTTCACCTTCTTCTAGAAATGATTCTTGCCTGGTGCTTTTTTAACCCTGTTATTTTGCTCAATGTTCAAACTTTCAATCAGAAAAAGTTATAATAAATTCCTTTATCCTTAAGGCTTAACATTTTACTTTCCCCAGAAATATTTTATTTTCAAAAAGACATGAAAAGCCTTGGAGCGAAAGATATTAATTTCTCACTGTACAGTGTAAGATGTGTTGAATCAGGTACAGAAACAAGGTATTCAGGACTATCTCAGCCTCTCTTTCCATTTCTAGTCTCTGTTTTCTTTGGTATTAGCTTCTTTCTTTCACAGATTCTCATGTGAAAGATCTCTCACCACAAGTCCAGTCTTACCTACTTCCTAAATTTTACTGTCTCCAAAAGAGAGAGACTGTCTCCCAATAATAATGTTCATCCCTGCAAAAGGACCCACATTGGCCTTTCTTGAGTCATCAACCTGCCCATCTATTGTGGTAGAGGTAGAGCCTCTTAAAGAGGATTTAAAAAGATATCAAGAGTGACATACTCAAAACAATGCCTCACAAGTGATCTGTTAGGAAATGTTAATTCTCAGTATTAATTATATTTTGGATGAGAACCTCTATGGGTCACTTAGAGATAATCATAAAAATTTAGAATAAGCAGAATCCAGAATTCACATCAGAATAGAGGAATAGAGGAAGAAGTATTCCAGAATATGTAGTGAATACTAATTTTTTCTTCTTTTTTTTTTTTTTTTTTTTTTTTTGAGGCGGAGTCTCGCTCTGTCGCCCAGGCCGGACTGTGGACTGCAGTGGCGCAATCTCGGCTCACTGCAAGCTCCGCTTCCCGGGTTCACGCCATTCTCCTGCCTCAGCCTCCCGAGTAGCTGGGACTACAGGCGCCCGCCACCGCACCCGGCTAATTTTTTGTATTTTTAGTAGAGACGGGGTTTCACCTTGTTAGCCAGGATAGTCTCGATCTCCTGACCTCATGATCCACCCGCCTCGGCCTCCCAAAGTGCTGGGATTACAGGCGTGAGCCACCGCGCCCGGCCTTTTTCTTCTTTTTAATAAACAAAGTCCTCTTTTACCTAAAAAGCTTTAACATATTGATGGAAATCACTAAATAACAAAAACTAGTAAGAAATTAGCAAATATGTTAAGAATGTATTAACCAAAATGTAATTTTAAAACAGTAGAAAATATACAATGTGAGGCAGGCTTAATTTACTCATAGTAAATATGTTAGGGTTTGCAGGCTATATTGGTCTCTTTCACAACTATTCAACCATCATTGTAGTGTGAAGGCAAGCATAGGCAATGCATACACAAATGACTGTGATTGTGTTATAATACACTATTTATAAAAACAAGCAATAGGCTGGATATTGCCCTTGAGCCATAATTTGCTGACCCCTACTATAGGCAGTGATGTTTCATATAACTATGGAGTTGTAGATTACTGGAAATACTTCCATAGAACGTTAGTGTGGTGTTCATTTTTGCTTTTGCAAATTATTCCATTTCTTTTGGGCACCATGGTAGGTTTTATTTCTTTACTCCATTTGAAATAAGGCATGACCACTGTGTTTTGCTTTTGTTCGTAAAATGTGAGCAAAAGTGTCATGTGTTCTTTCTGGGTTGAAACCGTAGAAGTCAGGGCATGACTTGCCATGCCCTATTCACACCACCGTAGTAAGTTTAGATGCATGTGCTGAGATTGGTCTTCAGAAGCATGTGTGATGGGCAGAGTTTTCTGATGTCCTACTATGGGCACATATTATGTATGGGCAACATAATTTTATTTTGTTATTCCACTAGAATTATGAGGTTGCTTCTTTTTTGCAGCATAATCTAGTCTCTTCTGAATGGTATCTCCAATTCCATTGGCCCACCGGTTGAGAATCCCTGGTTTTACCTCAGTAAATGATATCTTAATAGATTTTTAGAGAGAAAGAAATGGATCTATATACTTAAAATTCTTTAGAGGACTAATCTAAACTTTTCCATGCAAGTGAAATCAATGTGAACTAGTTTGCAGAGGGATTTTTAAATGATACTGAGATATCATGTATCAGTCATTTCTTCCCTCATTTATTCAAGAAATATTTATTGAGTATACATTATGCCAGGCACTGCTCTAGGCACTAAGTATACACTAGTGAAAAAAAATGTTTACTACAATATTAGAGAGTGAAAGGTGTTAAGAAGAAATGAATATGAATTAGAAAATGGAAATTTATGGAAAGGGGATAATTTGGAGAATATTAAACCACCCAACTAAAGAGAAAACAGCAGTGTGGATGGGCCTCCAGATGCCTACAACCAGGAACTCAAGTGCTTAGAAAAAGCTCTCTCTGTTTTTTTTCTCTCTCTTTTTGTTTCTTTCTCCCTTTTTTTCTCTATTCTTCACCCACTTTGCTCCATGTCTCTATCTTGCCTTCATTTCTTGTTTCCTTTTCTGTCAGCTACATGTTCTTTCATTATAGGCCAGCTGCTTCACATGGCAGGCAACAGCTTCTAAGAATTGCCAAGTCTTACTTCACTAAAGTTTGTGCCATCAGACAGAGACACAATTTTTATTGTCAATTTCAGTTTCAAAAATTCTGAGGAAAGATTTTGATTGGTCCAACTTGGGTCTGTTGGCCATCTTTAAATTGACTGTGATTAATGGCTCAGATAAATAAGAACATGCCAGCCCTGACCCTGAAGAGGTGTATTGAGAGAGTCAGGGATCAATTTCCTACAGATGAAGGCCCAATATCATAAGTATCCACTAACATACTTTAATACATGCTGATATACTAATGCATATTAAACTGAATATATCATTCATTCCACAGTGAAGTTTTGTCTTGACTATTATTTTCCTAATAGTTTAAAAAATTCTCATTAGATGATTTTCACATTTATGTCCTCAACATTTATGTCCTCACATTATGTCCTCCCTACTTGACAAGAGTGAAGATTCTGTTACCCCGAGTGGGAAAAACCAGACAAGCATTCTTCTCACAAAATAGTACTTTAACAAAATATATTTCTAAATGTTTATGAAAATGTTAGATTATCTGAGGGAGAACACTTCTCAATTTCTTAAATCACACCTGTGTAAGTAGTAGTGTCTACCTACAGGACTGTCCTGCCTGCACCTTAGGGTAATTTATCAACATAGAATTCAGTGTCTAATACTTTCTGGCATAGACACAATATTTAAAAGCATGTATTGCTGAAACTACTCATAAAAGAAAACATTAATAACAAACCCCACAGATTATAACTGCTATTTGTTCAATAAAATATGATCATTGGCAAAAATAATTGTAAAGCATTGTTCATTTTCGTTGCTAGGTCTTGGGATTATTAGTGAAATGAAAGAAGTTAAGAACAAAAGCAACTCTTGAAAAGTAACTCCTGACTCAATCTCAGACTTATGCTTGAATGTGTGAGTGGAAGAAAAAACTGGTGAGCAATCATTGTGCAAATGTGGTGCTGCCTGCAGAAATGCTATATATGCAAACCATGTCCCATGCTATGTATATTTGGGAGGGTGAAGGCAAAAGCCTAAGGGAATATTCTTTTGGAAGTTATATCAAGCCCAAGAACAGACATCTGTCTGTTCTTTAAATCCTCACAAAAAGAAAGAAGTTTAGCCCTGTATGTGGAAATGGAATTCTCGATGGAGTTGGGTAAGTACAATCAATACTCATAATTAAGGGAGAGCATTTCAGACAGCTGCATCTAGTGTGACACAGTTCCTCGTGATCACAGAGCACTAAGGCAGCCGCCAAAGCTTCCTATTCCTTGAGGACAGGCAAACTTAGAAGCAAGCTGTTATTGAAAATGAGAGTAAGCTATATTTCTGAAATTCTTAAAGGCTTGAGGATGCTTTCGCAAGGAAAAGACAATCCTTTGGAGAAATTTTTGATAGTTGGGTAAAATAAATAGATAATTTTTACTTGTTCAAGTATATTGTAGCTTTACTTACTCACTTGTAAACATCTTGGGAACATCATTAAATGGTTGTATTAAGAAAGATAGTTATATGTTAATTTTAAAAAGAAAAAGAAGAGCAATAAGATGGGATTTTGGAGAATAATAAGGCTGAAAGACACATCAGCAGCCAGGAAATGGAGGCCCCTAGGTCAAAACAGACACAATTTTTGTTTATTGTGGTGGTGATTAAAGAGACACACTAACTTTGAGACCAGCCTGGGCAACAACAGGCTGAAACCCCGTCTCTACTAAACATACAAAAATTAGCCAGGCATGGTGGTGCACGCCTGTAATCCCAGCTACTATGGAGGCTGAGGCAGGAGAATCGCTTGAATCCAAGAGGTGGAGGTGGCAGTGAGCCGAGATTGTGCCACTGCATTCCAGCCGCAGTGACAGAGCAATACTCTTGTCTCAAGAAAAAAAAAAAAAAAAAAGAGAGAGAAACTAAGTAATAGGTGATTGTAACTTGACCAATACTTTTTTTTTTTTGAAAACTGAATCTGAGAAATTACAAAATATCTCCTCTGACCTTTCCACATGCAAACTTGTTTCCCAACCAACTGACTAAGTAGCAATCTATTTGAGATGTCTCATAGATGCTGGGCATTCTGAACTACGTGATCCAGTAGATGGAAAAGGAATTGACCATCACACAAATTATTTTTAACTAAGATTTCCTATTGTTTCTGATTTAGAAGTATGTTTATGATCCTTTTCAAAGCAATGTTGTTTCTCCTTGTTCATTTTTACCTCTTACTCATCTTATTTTTTGTTTTAAATTGGCCATGCAATATGAGGGGAAAGAAGATATAAGAAACTTTGATTTGCATCTCAACTCCATTACATACTTATTTACTTGAATGTGGAAAACTCAGTTTACTTTCTGAATCTATTTTCCCATCAAAAGAGAGGAGGATTTAGATGATGAATAATAACATATCATATAGTACTAAGATAATGATATAATTGGAGTTAAAAAGAAAAACAGAGCTACATGTTCTGAGTTTCATTAGGAGACTGATATATAGTCTCCTGTGTAGATGAACAAAAAATCCTTTCATTTGTTAAATAGGTAATATAAATTCAGCATTTTGTCAAAGATAAAATTAAAAGTCTACCACCAAGGTAGTAACAGGGATAAGAATAGCCTCCTGCCATAAACAACTATAAAACTAAGTATAATGTAGAAAATAGTTTCATAAATTAGACAACACGATATATGAACCTGTAATTCCAAAAAAAAAGTGAAATAAATGGCATGTGCCCCGCCATTTTCCTAGCTTTATTCCCAGTGACAATTTCTTGTCACTGGTTCAGGGAAGTGGTGTCCATAGAAAGCACGATAGCCTGAAGAGTACAGGAGAAAGGTAGTGGAGTTTGGACCTGCTTGGTTGGTAGTTTTAGTGTTTCAAGAAATTGTTCTATTTCATTTAAGTTGTCAATGTTTTGGGCATACAGTTGTTCATATTATTTTGATGTCCATGGATATGATAGTAATAAGCCTTTTTTAAAAAATTTCTGATATTGGCAATTTGTGTTTTTGGTCTTTTTTATCAAAGTTAGTCTAACTAGAATTTTATCAATTTTATTGATCTTTTCAAATCAGATTTTGTTTTGTTATTTTTTATTTTTTTGTTTTCAATTTTATTGATTTATACTCAAAATTTTATTTATTTATTTATTTTTGCTGCTGCTTCTCTTTTTTTTTTTTTTTTTTGAGACAGAGTCTTGTTCTGTCACCCAGGCTGGAGTGCAGTAGCTTTATCTCGGCTCACTGCAACCTCTGCCTCCCGGGTTCAAGCGATTCTTCTGTCTCAGCCTCCCAAGTAGCTGGGATTACTGGCTCCTTTCTAGATTTTCTATTTTTCCTTGATTTACTGCAGTTTGAATACAATATGTGTAAATGTAAAATTTTTGGTAATTTATGCTGGTTGGTGTTCTCTGACCTTTCTAGATCTGAGTTTCATATCTGTCATTTATTTATGGAAAATTATCCATTGTTACTAATTTAATATTTTTTCAGCTATGCTCTTGTTTCTGTTACTACTAGTCCAATTTTGCATATTTTACACCTTTGGAAATTGACCAACAGGTCTCAGTTATTCTGTTTTGTTTCAAGTGCACTGATTCTTTCCTTTGGCCTGCTCAGTCTACTGTTGAGCTTAAGGAGTAAATTCTTCAGTTCTGTCACAGTGTTTTTTATTTATTCTCAGAATTTCCATCTTCCTGTTGATATCACCCATCTGTTGTCACACACTGTCTACTTTTTCCATTAAAACCTTTAATATGTTAATCATCATTATTATTTTACATGCCCTGTCTGATAACTCCAAATCTGTGTCATATCTCAGTCAAGTTCCTATGTTGACTTTGTCTCCTCAGACTGTCTTTTTCTTGCCTTTCAGCATGCCTTGTCATTCTTGATTGAGATCTGAGCATGCAGTATTAGGCTAAAGGAACTGAGATGGAGTCTTTTACTGTGAGTCTTTCAATTAATTTGGTTAGAAGATGGTCTGTGTTTAATGATTGCTATAGCTGTGACAGAGGTTTCAAATTATTAGAGTTCTTCAAATTGTTCTTGTGTTTATATGTCTTGTCATCTTGAGAATTCCTAAGTTGAGTTTGCATCTTAGGGTTCTTTTAGTTGTACTCCCGTATTATTATGCTAGAGCCCTGTTGAGGTAGTGATTAGATATGGAAGGGGAAGTATGCTATAATAATGTAATTAAATCTCAGTCTTTTAGTAGGCCTGTGTGTCTGGGTTATAATCTTCGCAAAAAGTTTTTTTATCATTTAAAAATTTTATTATGTATTTATTTTAGTAAAATACCCATAACATAGAACTTACCATCTTAACTATTTTATGTGTATAGTTCACTAGCATTAAAATATTCATAATGTTCTCTAACCATCATCACCATCTATCTTCACTATTCTTTCTTCTTCTAAAACTGAAGCTTTGTACCCATTAAACAATAAATCCCCCACCACCCTGCCATTCTCCTGGCTCTTAGAACCAACATTCTACTTTCTGTCTTTATGATTTTGATTAATTGCATCATATGAGTAGAATAATACAGTATTTGTGTGTGTTTGTGTGTGTGTGTGTGTGTGTGTGTGTGTGTGTCTGGTGTATTTCACTTAATGTCCTTAGGGTTCATCCAGGTTGTAGCATATTTCAGAATTTCCTTCCTTTTAAAATCTAAGTAATGTTTCATTGTATGTATATCTGACATTTTACTTATCTGTTCATCTGTTGACAGGCACTTGAGCTGCTTCCACATTTTAGCTATTGTGAATAGTGCTGCTATGAAATGGGTATACAATCATCTCTTTGAGACTTTGCTTTCCCTTCTTCTGTGATATATCCAGAAGTGGAATTCCTGCATCATATAATAGTTTTTGAGGAGCTGTCATACTGTTTTCCACAGTAGTTTTACCATTTTACATTCCTACCTACATTGCACAAGGGTTCCAATTTCCAAGCATTCTGACCAACATTTGTTATCCTCTATTTGTCTTCTTCTTTTTTTAACAATAGCCATTCTAATGGGTGTGAGGTGGTATCTCTTGTAGTTTTGATTGGAATTTCCATAACTATTAGTGATGTTGAGCATTTTTTCATGTACTTATTAGCCATTTATATATCTTCCTTGGAGAAATGCCTATTCAAGTCTTTTGACCTTTTTTTGAATCATATTTTTTTTGTAGTTGGGTTTAAGGAATTTTATATATTTTCTAGACTTCAGTCTCTTATCAGATATATAATTTGCAAATATTTCTCTCATTTTGTGGATTACTTTTTTATTCTGTTATTACTGTCTTTTGATGCATAAAGATCTGTGGGTATGGTAGGTAGATGTAGGAGAAGGAAAACACTCTATAATATTTTGATTAAGTCTCAGTCTTTCAGTGGACCTGTGTCCCTGAGTTATAATCTTCACAGGTGTTTCTTAGCATATTACCCCCCCCCACCACCCCCATTTTCATGCTGCTATTAAAGACATACCCAAGATTGGGTAATTTATAAAGGAAAGATTTTAATTGACTCAGTTCAGCATGGCTGGGAAGGCCTCAGGAAGCTTACAATCATGGTGGAAGGGGAAGCAAAGAGGTCCTTCTTCAGATGGTGGCAGGAAGAGAAGTGATAGCAAAGTGGGGGAAAATCCCCTGATAACACCATCAGATATGGTGAGAACTCACTATCATGAGAACAGCATGGAGGTAACTGCCCACATAATTCAGTTACCTCCCAATGAGTCCCTCCCACCTCAAGTGGGGATTATGGGAACTACAATTCAAGATGATATTTGGGTGGATACCCAGCCAAACCATCTCATTCTGTCCCTGGCCCCTCCCAAATCTCATGTCCTCACATTTCAAAACACATTCATGCCTAGGCATGCATTCATTTATATGAAATATCCAGAATAGGTAAATACAGCATAGAAGCAGAAAACAGATTAGTGGTGACCAAGGCTCAGGGCTAGAGGGAATGGAGACCAACTGTTTAATGGATATGGGGTTTTCTTCTGAGATGATGAAACAGTTTTGGAGATAGTTTGTAATGCTTATGCAACACTTTGAATATACTAAATGGCATTTAATTGTACACAGTAAAATGGTTAAAATAATAAATATTTTATAACGCATAATTTACCACTATGGAAAATAAAAAAAAAGATGTTAGCTCAAGTTATTCTGTTCTCCTTGATCACATTTTTATTATTTTATTTTTATTTTGAGACAGATTCTCACTCTGTCACCCAGGCTGGAGTGCAGTGCTGTGATCTTGGCTCACTGCAAACTCCGCCTCCTGGGTTCAAGCGATTCTCCTACCTCACCCTTCTGAGTAGCTGGGACTGCAAGTGCCCGCTACCATGCTTGGCTAATTTTTGTATTTTAATAGAGATGGGGTTTCACCATGTTGGCCAGGCTGGTCTTGAACTTCTGACCTCAGGTGATCAGCCCGCCTCGGCATCCCAAAGTGCTGGGATAATAGGCATGAGCCAACGCACCTGGCCTCATTTTAAACATATATACCTTCCAATTTTATTACTCCACTCATTTTAGTACCCCCATCCCTGCTGCTACTCAGCATGTTGCCTTTTGCTGTAGTGCTCTTACCTTTTGTCCTTGAAGTCTTCTCTACTCTAGATGTTTGTTTTTCTTATTTAACAAAAATTACTCTAAAATCTTTGTTCTTTTAAATTTCTACTCTCAGGTTTTATTCAACTACTCTGTGTGCTCATGGCTGAAAAGGGCAGTGCTGTTTTTCTTCCTGCTACCGGCAACTCTCCCCTATTCTTCTCCTGTTGTAGTTGGAGAATTTAATACTTTCACATAAAAAGTAGTCACTGGCAAGAATTTCTTATCCCTGAAATGAAAGCACATGGCCATTTTTCTACATATTGACTTCTGGTTCTCCCCACTCTGTTTTACTTCCTTTTGCTCTGGGAACTCACTCACGCTAGTGGAGACCAATCCTGCTGGACCATGAATCTTGGCAGTAAGCAGCTGGAGAATAAATTAGAAAGGAGGAGGCAGGCCAGAGTTTGTTTGCAAACAATTCTAGTGTGAAAAATGACCTTAATGCAATAATGTGTGTAATAGGAGTTAAGTCCTCCTTGCTTTCAAGGACAGCTTTTGCTAAACTCCTTGAATTCAGGTATTTTGCTTTCCTTATTTCTAAATCTTTAGCTGAGCAAGCAAGTAATGGACACACAGTACATTTGTAGTAATAGTAGTCGTAGGTTGGAGCAAGAGTAATTGCAATTACCAACCTATAGTAGTAGTAGTAGTAGTAGTAGTAGTAGTAGTAGTAGTAGTAATAGTTGTAACAGTTAAAGTTGGGGACTGGAATTTATTTCTACCTAGTCTGATACATCTATGTGAAAGAATTTTGACTTGAGATAGACTCCAAGGGATTTGTTGAGTGAAATTCATTGGTACAAATTTCTGAGGTATTTTATTAAACTGTGGAAATCATTGAGAATTCATTCTCTTTATTCCTTTCCTATCTTCCCCAGATTAGTATGAGACTGCATTCCCAGGGAAGGGGATAGGCTCTGTAGACTGAGACTTTCCATGAATGTGCTTTCAAGTTACACACTTGCAGGAGCTTGGGAATAATCTAGTAAGCCTTTTTGTCTGCAGGTCAAAGATACATTTTCTTTTTTTAGCCTATCAAAAATAAAGCCAACATTTTTTTCCTACTCATTTTGTTTACACTGATTCCAAAGTACAGAGGTGCCAAGCGAGGAAGGGATAAGTATTGACATTCTATTATTCCAGTTAGTATTTATTGCACCTTTGTTACATGTCAGTCATTGTGGTGATTTCTTTTATTTTTTATTATACTTTAAGTTCTAGAGTACATGTGCACAGTGTGCAGGTTTGTTACATATGTATATATGTGCCATGTTGGTGTGCTGCACCCATTAACTCGTCATTTACATTAGGTATATCGCCTAATGCTATCCCTCCCCACTCCCCCAAACCCATGACAGGCCCCGGTGTGTGATGTTCCCCTTCCTGTGTCCAAGTGTTCTCATTGTTCAGTTCCCACCTATGAGTGAGAACATGCAGTGTTTGGTTTTTTGTCCTTGTGATAGTTTGCTGAGAATGATGGTTTCCAGCTTCATCCATGGCCCTACAAAGGACGTGAACTCATCCTTTTTTATGGCTGCATAGTATTCCGTGGTGTATATGTGCCACATTTTCTTAATCCAGTCTATCATTGTTGGACATTTGGGTTGGTTCCAAGTCTTCGTTATTGTGAATAGTGCCCCCAATAAACATACATGTGCATGTGTCTTTATAGCAGCATGATTTATAATCCTTTGGGTATATACCCAGTAATGGGATGGCTGGGTCAAATGGTATTTCTAGTGCTAGATCCTTGAGGAATCGCCACAATGTTGAACTAGTTTACAGTCCCACCAACAGTGTAAAAGTGTTCCTATTTTTCCACATCCTCTCCAGCACTTGTTTTTTCCTGACTTTTTAATGATCAACATTCTAACTGGTGTGAGATGATATCTCATTGTGGTTTTGATTTGCATTTCTCTGATGGCCAGTGATGATGAGCATTTTTTCATGTGTCTGTTGGCTGCATAAATGTCTTCTTTTGAGAAGTGTCTGTTCATATCCTTCACCCACTTTTTGATGGGGTTGTTTGTTTTTTTCTTGTAAATTTGTTGGAGTTCATTGTAGATTCTGGATATTAACCCTTTGTCAGATGAGTCGATTGCAAAAATTTTCTGCCATTCTATAGGTTGCCTGTTCACTCTGATGGTAGTTTGTTTTGCTGTGCAGAAGCTCTTTAGTTTAATTAGATCCCATTTGTCAATTTTGGCTTTTGTTGCCATTGCTTTTGGTGTTTTAGACATGAAGTCCTTGCCCATGCCTATGTCCTGAATGGTATTGCCTAGGTTTTCTTCTAAGGTTTTTATGGTTTTAGGACTAACATGTAAGTCTTTAATCCATCTTGAATTAATTTTTGTATAAGGTGTAAGGAAGGGATCCAGTTTCAGCTTTCTACATATGGCTAGCCAGTTTTCCCAGCACCACTTATTAAATGGGAATCCTTTCCCTATTTCTTGTTTTTGTCAGGTTTGTCAAAGATCAGATGGTTGTAGATGTGTGGTATTATTTCTGAGGGCTCTGTTCTGTTCCATTGGTGTATATCTCTGTTTTGGTACCAGTACCATGCTGTTTTGGTTATTGTAGCCTTGTAGTATAGTTTGAAGTCAGGTAGCGTGATGCCTCCAGCCTTGTTCTTTTGGCTTAGGATTGACTTGGCAATGCGGTCTCTTTTTTGGTTCCATATGAAGTTTAAAGCAGTTTTTTCCAATTCTGTGAAGAAAGTCATTGGTAGCTTGATGGGGATGGCATTGAATCTATAAATTACCTTGGGCATTATGGCCATTTTCATGATATTGATTCTTCCTATCCATGAGCATGGAATGTTCTTCCATTTGTAGGCCAGGGCAATCAGGCAGGAGAAAGAAATAAAGGGTATTCAGTTAGGAAAAGAGGAAGTCAAATTGTCCCTGTTCACAGATGACATGATTGTATATCTAGATAACCCCATTGTCTCAGCCCAAAATCTCCTTAAGCTGATAGGCAACTTCAGCAAAGTCTCAGGATACAAAATCAATGTGCAAAAATCACAAACATTCTTATACACCAATAACAGACAAACAGAGAGCCAAATAATGAGTGAACTCCCATTCACAATTGCTTCAAAGAGAAAAAATACCTAGGAATCCAACTTACAAGGGATGTGAAGGACCTCTTAAAGGAGAACTACAAACCACTGCTCAATGAAATAAAAGAGGACACAAACAAATGTGCTGATTTCTTTATTTGAAACATCTCATTAAATTTTCACAACTGTAAACTTAACCTAGAGACAAAGTGAAAAGAATTTCCTCTTTCTTCTTTAACAATTCCTTTCAGCCCTCAACTTAGGTTTTTATAGTTCCTTTTCTGTATCAAAGATACTAATTAATATGACCCTAATTCACCTGGAGACACATAGGATGGTAGAATAAAGTCACCTCAGGATCACACCAATCTGAATATTTCTTAGACAAGAAAAGCCTTAAAGAACTAGATTACACAGGACACCTCAGAGGAAAGTCTAGGCTTACTAAAAACACAGATGGTCGCCAAGAATACGAATTCACGCTTATTATCCTACCAACTTCCACGTGAAGAGATTCATGCTGACTAAATATAAGTTATTTGCTAATTTTAATTATTCAAAGTGATTATTTTTCAAGCCACACTTATTCCAAAACCTCTCTTGACCTGCTTTCTGTAAGATGGATAAGTTTTATTTGCCTTGATATTCTGAGTGTCCACTACAACATTGTTCCTGAATAAGTAATAACACGTATGTATATTCTTATACACTAGAGAAGCTTCAGAGTTATCAGACTAAAGATTTTTAAAATGCCTTTACATAAAAAGCAGGCAAAACAGCATTTTCACTAGTACACAAATATCCAAGTGCTTAAAACATGTGGTTCAGAAAGTAAGCATCACTGCAACTCCAGCTGATATATCTGTATGTAGTACGATTATATCATGCTTGTGTTAAGAACCCAGACATGTGAAAATTCACATCTCCTTACAGGGAAACAAAGGAACAAGTGTGGGAGAAAAATCAGAGAGATGCCTCTGATAATGAACCACAGCCAAAAACCTGATGGGGGCTAGTTGATCAATATAATTTACCTTCAAATAGCTCCCACTTTGTCCACTCATCAAGCAATTCACACTGAACTCCTAGGGAACCCTGAAGGAACATTTGGCTCAAGGTGAATACATCTGTATAGATTGCCTTGTGGGTATTTTTTATTAATTTGTCTTCCTTGTCTCCCCTCATAGTGAGCACTGATGAATCACAACAGCACTTTGGCTTTGACAGACAGAAAAATCTAAATTGGGGTTTTCTTAAAAAAAAGAAAAGAGAAAGGAGAGTGGCACTACCTTGAGAATAGGTTTAATAAAGCAGTAAAGAGAAAAAAGGAGAGTGGGGGTGGTGGTGTTCCTCTGACTCGGGAGTCATTGGTATGTGTGGGGGTCATTATAAGCTTACATGCTCATTATACAATTGTTAACATGTGAAATCAGCTGTGTTTTGATGAATAACATATGCTACCAGGGAACTCAGAGTCTCAAGAAGGAAGGTAATTCCTGCCAGCTGCATAGCATTAGTGCTTACTCTTTTGAATAGCACCAATATGCCCTTTTCCATTTGCATCAAAAGGCACAAAGAGAAGGGCAGTTGTCTCTAAAAGCCAAGATTGGCATTTTGGTGATTTTGGCTCAAGATCATAAGACAACCATTTTGGTAGCCTCCTGGTCTATCAATAATTGCCAAGGCCTCCCAACATGCTTGTGATACAGAGCCAAATAGGGAAACAAGCTAGTTGTCTGGTCAGAAGGAAAGGGAACATTCCTAAGCTATTTCTTTTATGTTTTCTTTTTTCCATAGCTGTGCAGAGCAACTGGGAACACTAGAGGGAGTTCTGATTTTGTGCAAAGTCTTGTTCTCGTTTTTAAATTAAGTCATTGCATATTGTTTAAAGTCAACTTTATTTCATTTTATATTTATTTATTTATTTATTTGTTTGTTTATTATAGAGATGGGCATCTTGCTGCATTGCCCAGGCAGGTCTCAAACTCTTGGCCTCAAGTGCTTCTCCCACCTTAGCCTCCCAAAGTGTTGGGATTACAGGTGTGAGCCATCATGCCCAGCCTCTACTTACCTTAAATAGCAAAAAATTTTTCATTGCAGGTTACTAATTCATAGGGAAATTATTTTTTTTCCATTGGGAAAATGAGGAAAGCTTTCACTTTCATTTTGTGGAATAAGTCAAAGTACAGACTTCAAGCTTTAAAAACACTGAGATGGATGTATATTGAGCCCTTTTGTCTACTCAGCTTGGAACATTCTCAGCCTCCTGATACATACAATTATCCCAAGTACAATGTATTTATGTGTGTGTATGTATACATATGTACATATATGAATAATATGTCTACACCAAGTACTTGAATTTTTTTAATATTTCCAGAATTGGAACAGCAAGTGAAAAGGTTGGAAATATGCCAGAAGTCTAGAACTGTTATTTCATCTAGAAAAGAAGAAAACGTGAAGCATATGCTTTTCTCTCTAAAGGTGTTGAGATAGACCACATTGTGAATTATCTAAGTAATAGTAATTCCACAAAAATGAGTTTAATTGTTTAACAGTTTATTTAGCTCTTCGTTATGCATATACATATATGGAAACGTAAACTGGGTTTTGAGAGCATACTGTGAAGTCCAAACTTGTTTTAATTTACTAATGGCCAATAATGGATGAGTGAAAAGGACAGACATTCTTAAAAAACATATTAGTACTGTTATTTGTTTTTTTGCCCTAACTAAACAATTGCAAGGGAAGCATGTTTATGAAAAAAAAAAAAAAACTCTATAGTATTTTTTTCAGTTTATACTCATCTTTACAATATAGTTATTAATTGCTTTCAATTATTTTCATTTATTTTAGTTCTAGAACAGAAGTGGAACCCTGAATGTTAAGATTTAGTTTTGTTCTGTATGCATTTAGAGTATGTAAGTTTTAGTCCACAAATGCAAACATGCAAGAAATGTCATATTATTTTATTTATTTTAATTAAATTGAATCTAACTCCAAGCCCTATTTCTAGATGATAAGAAATTCTAACACAATTATTATTACAACCATTCCCCTACCACAAGCTGTGTGAAAGATTCTGTGGTGTTTGGTATACAAGTCCACAGGAGTCATATTTACTCCAGGTAGGAGTAAAACATTTGGCATAAAACATTTGGGAAGCTCTCTGGTCTCAGGTCCACACTGTTCTGATAAGATGTCAATTGCATGCATCTCTGATCTGTTGAAATAAGAGAGCTCTGTATTTTTCTGTGGTTGAAGAATATTTTTAAGCTGCGGTACCTCCCAATTACATCTTTCAATCCCCTAGACCTGCCACCTTTTCCTAAGGTACTGCAGATAATTGAGTCACGTGCCCCAATCCCTTTCAAACCCAAAATCTTACATTTATTTTACCATCTTTCAGCCTTAGGCCCATTGCAGCCACTATTTCTTCTTTAAAGTACTCATCCATCTTGTTTCCCAAGAGAAACTTCTTGCCCCAGGAGCTCAGGCTTTCTGAAAACTAAATCCAGGAAATAAAGTTGTCTGCAAACAACTTCAGCTTTCAGCTTTGTAACAGAAATCTTTCCTGAGTGAGGAATAACAAAGACTTCTAGCTTCTCTCTTGAAATAAGGATTGGGGCCGGGCACGGTGGCTCACGCCTCTAATCCCAGCACTTTGGGAGGCCAAGGCAGGTGGATCACGAAGTCAGGAGTTCAATACCAGCCTGGCCAACATGGTGAAACCTCGTCCTTAAAAAAATTTGCCAGGCATGGTGGTGGGTGCCTGTAATCTCAGCTACTCGAGAGGCTGAGGCAGAGAATTGCTTGAACCTGGGAGGTGGAGATTGCAGTGAGTCGAGATCGCGCCACTGCACTCCAGCCTGGGTGACAGAGCAAGACTGTCACAAAAAGAAAAAGAAAAAATAAGAATTGGAAGAATATTTTTAAAACAACATGCAAATTAACATCTTAATATATGACCCTGCCACATATGTTTTTGTGTTTTCTGAAATTTCCACAATAAACATGCATTATTTTCTTAATTAGGAAAATATTTTTTATGAAGTATACTTACCTTCAAATTATTGTAACTAGATGTGTTTAAGCAAATAATGTAATGAAAAGGATTTTTTTTTCCAGGCGGAGGACTAGTGAACTACATGATCTTTGCACTTTTTAAACCCTGTATGATGCTGTTTTCCAGTTCCACTAAGTTTTAATAGTATTAGTTGCTTACATATTATTAAAAATAGACAATCATTTGTATCTCATTTTGCAGAAATTTGAAGTCTTAAAGGCATATAAAATTTCTTCATTTTTTTAAGTATCAAATTTGATTTTCACCTGTCAGGATACTTTTGAAATAAAATCGACCAATCAGCATTCTAACATCCAGGTATCTAGTAAAAGTAGGAGTTCTACTTTTTTTTGCAGTTCTTGAAGTCGACTCTGATATTTAATGGCCAGTATGGCTAAAACACCAACCATGCAGTGATGTGTGCCATAACTCCTTAAAATACAAATAACCACAATGATCCTGGGGTGCAAATCCAAATTTCCCCAGGTTGAATGAGATGATCATTAGATATGTTTCTCCATCCAAATTTATATTTAATAGATCGGTCAAGGAGAACTAATTTTTCCAGTTTACTAATGGATTTATTGGATTGGTTACCACCTCTTCTTATCACTAATAACTCAGCCAATTTTTGGAGCAATAAAATGCCAACAAAGAGAGACCCTTTTGATGCAAATTAGAAGTTTCCAGATACAGTTGGCCCTCCATCTCTATAGATACTGCATCTGTGAATTCAACCCACTGTGAATTAAAAATATTTTTAAGAATTTTGTCTCCACTGAACATGTGCAGGCTTTTTCTGGTCATTATTCCTTAAACAATACAGAAGAACTATTGATGTAGCATTGTCATTTTATTAAGTATTATAAGCGATCTAGAGATGATTCACAGATTTTAAGTATATGATTGAAAGAGGATGGGCATAGCTTATATGCAAATACTACACCATTTTATATCAAGAACGTGAACATTCATGGATTTTGGTATCCGTGGGAGATCCTGAAACCAATCCCCCTTGGATATTGAGGAACAACTATATAGTCCATCTCTTTTCAAGGTCTTTAATTTGTTCTAAGAAGAAGTTTGCTGACCCAGATAAGTGGAAGATGTTCATAATATAGAAGCACTGGCCTAACAGGGAATTGTTCAATTGTTTGAACTGAATGAGTGTCCTAGAAAAAAAGCTTACTGAAACATTTGAAGAATAGGCACTTGGTGTTTCTTCTGGCTTCTAGGTTACCAGCTTCTTTTGCACTTGGACCATATCTGTTTTGTATTTTGACTTTTGATGTCTCTACCTTCGTTAGGTTAGAATAAAATATTGGTTACTTTTTGGTAGATCAGCAGTATCCAAGAGAACTCTCTGTGGGGGAAGAACCGTGCTATTTTATATAGTAGCCACTACCTGCATGTGTTTAGTAGACACTTGAATTTTGGTTAGTGTGAGTGCTGGAGGGTCTGAATTTAAACTGAAATAGAAATAGAAATGCAGTTACAATATTGGACAACACAGTGCTAGACTCATTAAATCTCTCTTTGCAGAGGTTTAATTAAACAGTCTATTGTTTATATATGAGATTCTATACTGATGAGGTCTGAAACTCCAAGAAGAAATTCAAAAACATATTTTTTGATTGAATGTGCTTTCCTGACAGGGATGAAAACTCAAAAATAGATACATATTTCAGTCATTGTAACCCTTAATCATTAAATCATATCTAAAGACCTGTATATTGTTTGCCTATTTCTCATGTAGGTACAAACTAGATATTGTCTACTCTTTCCCTCTCAAACAAAAGAGATTTAAGTAGAATTATAATAGAATTCCTGCCAAGTGTAAGTCAGAATTACATAGGAGGAGGCATCTAGATGACTGAAAAGGCAAGACAGGGGTGAGATCTGTGCTCAGCTAAGACTGCATGAAAGCATCGGTGGAGACAATGACAAAATAAATGATGCAAAGACCAGGATTGCAATGCATGGAGAGGGACAGGAATACTACTACCAATACAAAAATAATACTAGTGGTAGCAAATATTTATTTGCAGAAATTACAGTGGCAGGGCCCTGTGCTAAGTGCTTAACATGCATAATTATAGTTTGTCTCTGTCTCTGTCTCTCTCTTTCTCTCTCTCTCTCTCTCACACACACACACACACACACACACACACACACACACACACAAATGAAACAAGTGCCAATAAAATTACCGTTCTGTAGAGATTAAATGTCCTATACCAGGGGTCCCCAACCCCTGGTCAGTGGACCAGTGCCGGTCAGTGTCCTATTAGGAACTGGGCCACACAGCAGTAGGTGAACAGGAGGCAAGTGTGCATTACCACCAGAGCTCCACCTCCTGTCAGATAAGCAGTAGCATTAGATTCTTATAGGAGCGCAAACACTATTGTGAACTGTGCATGGGAGATATTGAGGTTAAGCCCTGCTTATGAGAATCTAACTAATACCTGATAATGTCAAGTGGAACAGTTTCATCTTGAAGTGGAACAGTTTCATCCCAAAGCCATCCCCCTCACCCACCTGGCCCCCGTGCCAAAAAGGTTGGGGACTGCTGTCCTACATTATTCAATGAATAGACAAAAAACAGACTGGATAGAGGTGGGATTAAGGGAGCTACAGTAATGAATGGAATGTGTGTAAAAATCTATCAGCAAATGAGCACAGAGAGATTTGAAGTAAAAACCAGAGTAGTAGGTGTAGCAAAGGAATGCCCTATTGGTGCAAGTCATAATTTCAGAGTGTACCAGCAACTCCAATTTAACAAGACATCCAATGAAAAAGATAGTTCTTCTGGTACCAGCCAATCCACAAGGAGGTACTCTGACTGTCAATTTATACAACCCCAAAACTTCCTTCTATACAAGGAAGACAGTCTTGACTTACCAAGACTTTATATGAAGTATTACTGACTGTTTAAACCAGCTACTCAGTTTGTTCAGAAAAGTAGTGGAAGAGCTGTCATTTGAATCATTCATTTGTAAGTTGCCTTGAGATGATCTAATATTTAACTTTTTAAAATCTAATGTGTGTTTAAAGGTTTAATGCCAACTAAATTAGTTCTCTTTCTTTTTCTACTAACTCTGTCCTTCATATATTATATATTATATAACAATCAGATATTCTATTAACTTCAAATGAAAGAATTGGAAACAAATATTTTAAGAGAAAAATCACCAAAGCAAGTTTTGATCGGTAGTTGTATAATCTGAAGCAGCGATTATTAAAATGCAGTGGGGCTGGCAGAGAAAGGCAGAGGAGAAGTTACTTCCCTCCTATCTCCCCAACATACATGCACAGATTCTATTACACCTTCCCTTGACTACCCTGAGTTAAGAATTGCCAGAAAATCACTAACAGGGTACTTCATGCTATAGGAAATTCCAAAGATTTGAATTCCTCCATTCCTCAGTCTATGGAAATGTGTATTCTATAATATCTCCAATCACTGGTATGTCAAAGTACACTGATTTCAGTGCTTATTTTTAAAATAAAAAATGTAAAAAACAAACAAAAAAACCCCTTCTAGTTCAGACTCAGAAATCTTGAAAACAGGTTATTTTGGAAGAGAACTCCGTGGGTGGCTTTAATTTCTTATTTTTGCACTCAGAACACAGCTGTCACTCGTAACAAAGTTAAAGACGGTAAAGTCCTGCTGTAGTTGGCTATTTAGTTCACAGCCAGGAGGAAGCTTTTCACAGTGTATTCCCCAGTGACTTGTCTAATCTAGTTTAAAATGACTGAAATGATAAAGGCAGAGCACTTTTACTAAGAAGCTATTAAATAGCCTAAGATAACTTCATTGTTCCAATAATATCACCAGGTTCATCATCTGGTGCAAAGAATGGGTGTATATTTAGTTTATAAATTTACTTTTAAAAAGCATATAGTACTTTGGTAATCTCAAGAGTCAACACAGAAATTATCACTCTAGGTGAAATAGAACTAATTTGGGGATTTAGCATTAGAAATTTAAAAAAAAAAACACTTAAGACAGAAAATGCTTTGACAATGAGAAGAGACAATTCTTATCATAGGAAGAATTACTGGCTGTTTAATTCCAGCTTTCATATTTGTTTAATGCCAGTCTTCACAGTCTTGATAGACTAGATATAAATTAGTAAGGGTGACCCCAGACAAAATTTCTAAGCAGATGAAGGTATTCTCCACAAAGATTCTTTAATTTTATCTTCTTTATCTTCTTCCTTCCATTGGCCCAGTGACTTCTTCTACAACTATGCCACATGTAACACCACACTTTTAAACCCTACCCCATGTCAGAATCCCTTGGATTCCAGAAATTTATTGCTTTCTCTTCTACAGCCCTTTTCCCTGATTCTTTAAACCTCAGCTCTCCCTGTAGTCACGCCATCAGATATTTGCTCCCTATCAGATGACTAATGAGTAATCTCATAAGCAAATTAGTGTTTTAAATAAAATTAGTCTCTACATATATATTTTCTCCCTTTTATAAGACACCCACAATTTAACAAGCTCTTTATGGTAAAAGGGAGTGGAAGTACAATGTCAGTACAGCAGATTCCAACAGGAAAATGTATAATATTACAATAATTCACTTGACAATAAAGGTTTAAAAAATATTTTAGTCATGAAGTCAATCTTAGAAATTTTAGTTAGGTGACCAGTTTGCCTGTAGAAGCCTAATTAACCTATAGTACTTTTGTGTATCATTATATTGTGTTCCTTTGTTGCCAAGAGAAGACATTTTCACTTTCAAATGAGATTCCATGACTACTGAAGTGAGCGAGTGACTCATTTTCTCAGTTTATGATCTAGTCTTGAGAAGAGAACCTATCTTATACAAGGAAAACTTTCATGACCTCTCCACGTTTGTGGTTACAATATTAAGAAGAGTGGTAAGGGAATATTAGTGCCAAATGAGATAAAATGGACTGGGATAGAAGGTGGTGAAAAGGTATTGTAGTTGAGAGAATGGCGAAGCACCAGTTCTAATGAATATAAATAATATAATAATAATAATAATAATAATAATGAGGTTTCTGTTTATATAGTGTTTGAAAATTTTACAGTGTTCATTCTGTCCACCCAGAGAATGCAAATCTAGATTTATCCTCATCCAAAATATTTTCTGCGTGTTCCAATTTCAAATAGATGCCCAGGTGCCACTTAGATATAAAGTAGGTTAATAGTTTCCATATGTACTTCTGCTTTTACAAATAACATGAGACAGACTAAAATATCTTTCTCTCTCTCTCTCTCACCCTCTCTTTCTACCTTTGTTCTCTCTTTCTCTCTTATCTCTTTTTTTCTCTACAATCAGCTTTATTTGGTTTATTCTGCACAAAAGCGGGCTGATGTAATTTGAAATTAAGTTCTAAAATTTTATGAATATTCTAAATGAAAATTAAGTTTTAATTTCTTAATAAGTGATAAAATATACTTTAGAAAGATTAGATTATAGACTTTTAAATAAACACATGCTTCCTAAGGATGAATTGCTTTCTCTTACATTTCATTCATATTTTGTCTTTGTTTGAATTATACTAGTGTAGAAAAATGTAAATTTTGGTCAGTAATATATGGAATTTGCTTTTTACTATATATTTTCTTTGGATTGGCTTATTAAACTATTAAAATGAAAAAATTTGTAGACAAAATACAGTTGAAAATGGTTGTTCTAAATAGTTTAGAGTGGCCCTGCAATGCTTTTAGTGATTATTGTCAGTAAAGAGACACTCCTATTGTTAAAACTTTATGAATTATTGATGCTTTTATTAATTGAAAAATTCTAATTGGCTACATACAAAGTAAATAACATTGTCCTAGTGGATGTGTCAGTCTAGAGATAGGGCTCTGCATCTGAGAGAGGCTTAGCTATAATAAAAGTTCTCAAGAGTGATGTGGGAGCTCTTCATTTAACATGATACAAGGTAACATATGCCAAATTAAGATGCAAATTACTTTATTTAACTGAATGATTAGTTAGTCAGTAATAATTACAGGCTGTGAAACCTGTAACAATGTTTTTAATTAGCAACATTTTGGTAGAGATTTTGATTTATACAATTCAGAAGTCTCATTTATAGTAGTTCACATTCCCTGCTTATTTTGTGTATGGCTTTTCCAACTCATTACAGACAGACAATATAGAAGAAATAAGGGCATCATTTAATTTTTAAAATATTTCTTGCTAACAGTGCTTTAGCTTCATCCCAGAGATTCTGGTACACGCTATCTTTGTTCTCATTAGTTTCAAAGAACTTCTTGATTTTTGCCTTAATTTCATTATTTACCCAAAAGTCATTCAGGAGTAGATTGTTCAATTTCCATGTAGTTGAATGGTTTTGAGTAAATTTCTTAATCTTGAGTTCTAATTTGATTGTGTAGTGGACCCAGAGACTCTTATGATTTCAGTTCTTTTGCATTTACTTTGGAGTATTTTACTTCCAATTATGTGATCAATTTTAGAATAAGTGCCACATGGTAATGAGAAGAATGTATACACTGTTGTTTATGGGTGGAGAGTTCTGTAGATATCTATCAATTCCACTTGATCCACAGCTGAGCTCTAGTCCTGAGTGTCTGTTAATTTTCTGTCTTGATGATATGTCTAATATCACTAGTGGGGAACATACCTCAAAATAGTAAGAGCCATATATGGCAAACCCACAGCCAATATCATACTGACTGGACAAAAGCTGGAAACATTCCCCTTGAAAACCAGCATTAGACAAGGTTGCCTTCACTCAACAATCCCACTCAACATAGTATTGGAAGTTCTGGCCATGACAATTGGGCAAGAGAAAGAAAGAAAGGTGTATTCATATAGGAAGAGAGGAAGTCAAACTACCTTTGTTTGCAGATAACATGACCTTATATCTAAAAAACCCTATTGTCTCAGCATGAAAGTTTCTTAAGCCAATAAGCAACTTCAGCAACATCTCAGGATACAAAATAAGTGTGCAAAAATTGCTAGCATTCCTATAAACAACAACAGGCAAACCAAGAACCAAATCAGGAACACAATCCCATTCACAATTGCCACAAAACAAACCTAGAAATACAGCTAACAAGAAATGTGAAGGACCTCTTCAAGGCGAACTAGAAACCACTGCTTATATTATAGATGACATACACAAATAGAAAAACATTCCATGCTCATGGGTAGGCAGAATCAACTTCATTAAAATGGCTATATGGCTCAAAGCAATTTATGGATTCAGTACAATTTCCATTAAACTACCATTGAAATTCTTCACAGAATAAAAAAAAACTATTATAAAATTTATGTGGAATCAAAAAAAGAGCACAAATAGTCAAGGCAATCCTAAGCAAAAAAAAAAAAAAAGAAAGCTGGAGGCGTCATGCTACCCAACTTCAAACTATACTACAGGGCTACAGTAACTAAAACAGCATGCTACTGGTACAAAACCATACACAAAGACCAATGAAAAAGAATAGAGAACCCAGAAAAATAAGACCACACAGCTACAACCATTTGATCTTTGACAAATGTGACAAAAAATAAATAAAAAGCAATGGGGAAAGTATTCCCTATTAATAAATGGTGCTGGGAGAACTGGCTAGCCATATGCAGAAAATTGAAAATGTACCCCTTCCTTACACCGTATACAAAAATCAACGAAAAAATGGTTTAAAGACTTAAAAGTAAGACCCCAAACTATAAAACCTTAGAAGAAAACCTAGGCAATACCATTCAGGATATAGGCACAGACTAGTATGTTATGACAAAGACACCAAAAAGAATTGCAACAAAGCAAAGATTGACAAATGGGATCTAACTAAACTAAAGAGCTTCTGCACAGCAAAAGAAACTATCAACAGAATATACACACAACCTACAGAATAGGAGAAATTGTTTTGCAATCTATACATCTAGCAAAGATATAATATCCAGCATCTATAACGAACTTAAACAAATTTACAAGAAAAAAAAACATGACCCCATTAAAAAGTGGGCAAAGAACATGAACAGATACTTCTCAAAAGAAGACATACATGCAGCCAACAAACATGAAAAAATCCTCAACATCACTGATGATTAGAGAAATGCAAATCAAAACCACAAGACATATCATCTCACACCAGTCAGAATGGCAATTATTAAAAAGTCAAAAAACAACAGAAACTGGTGAGGTTGTGGAGAAAAAAAAATGTGTTTATTCTGTTGGTGGGAGTGTAAATTAGTTTAACCATTCTGCAAGACAGTGTGTGACTCCTTAAAGACCTATAAATAGCAATTGACACAGTAATTCCATTACTGGGTATATACCCAAAGGAATATGAATTATTCTATTATAAAGACACATTCACACGTATGTTCATTGCGGCACTACTCACAGCAGCAAAGACATGGAATCAATCTAAATGCCTATTAATGATAGACTGGATAAAGAAAATGTGATGGGTGCATATACACCATGGAATACCATGCATCCATAACAAGGAATGAGATAATGTCCTTTGCAGGGATGGATGGAGCTGGAAGCCATCATCCTTAGCAAACTAATGCAGGAACAGAAAACCAAAGACCGCATGCTGTATCTTTTAAGTGGGAGCTAAATTTTGAGAACACATGGACACATAGAGGAGAACAACACACTCTGGGACCTGTCAGAGGGCAGAGGGTGGGAAGAGAGAGGGGAAGAGGAAGAAGAGCTAGTGGATGCTGGACTTAATACCTAGGTGATGGGATGATCTGTGCAGCAAACCACTATGGCACACATTTACCTATGCAACAAAACCACCTCCTGCACACGTACCCCAGAATATAAAATAAATGTTGAAAATTTAAATAAAGAAGATTTCTCAAATTGTTATTGTTTCCGCTTTAAATGATCTCTTTGATCTTCCTTTTTTAAAAAAATTTTGTTGTTGTTGTTAAATAACATTTCACCCAGTAGTGAAATAACTTTACATATTTTCTGTGTCTGGATAACAGCATAAGACAGTAAAAGGTTTTGTTGCTGACAGTTACTGGGTGAAGGCAAGCAGTGAAGGGGCCCACTTTAGATGTCTACTTCCTTCTGCTTGTATTGTTGCAATGTGCATTTATAAAGAAGTTTTTGCTTCATGTTTTAATTTCTAATACTTGCAAAGAAAGCAAAAAAAAAAATGCAAGTTTCTGATCATGTGGAATTAAGTGTGATGGCTCTCTATTAAGTGGTTCATTTGCCTATAGACACCCAAGGGAAACCCTGTGTTAACATAAAATCTTTGCAGTCTAACAGAACTTTACGTAGTTGAATATCTTTCAGCAGCATTTTCTTTCTTTCTTCTTCTTTTTTTTTAACCTCAGGCAATGTTACCTATGAAGGTGTTATCTGGGAGTCATAAATTGGGGTTAACAAAAATAGAATAAAATGTAAAAAAGAGGAAAAATATAAAATAAAAGAAACGAATATGAAGAATATTAAAATTCAAGAAAACCGATTTTCTAGTACTTGCTTTGCTGCTAAATGTGTGCCATGAGCAGGTCAGGAAACTCCAATAATTTAATATGGTGATCTACATAATGAGATGTTCTGAGATAATATATGAAATTGTGTACGCATAATATAAAAATGCTGAATAGATTTACTGAGGGCATAGCAAGGTAACATAGGTAAATTTTTTCCTTGATAATAGCAACCAAATATTTTTAACCAGCATATCTTGTACCTCCTTTAACATAGTTAAAAACTTAAATATTTAGAAATGCTCCTAGTCACTTAATTTCTCTTCAAAGCTCTAATGACTCCCATATCATTCAAGACACTTTGCTAAGGCCTCTAAGTCCCACATGATCTGACTCTTGAAGTCTTTTTCACCCACTCACTACTTTTATGACTTCAACTCCTACGACTCTCTCCCTAACATCTGTGTGCCAGCCACATCTCCATGCCTCGTTCTTGTATTCCCCTCATATTTCTGATCAAATACCTTGTTACTAGGTAAAACTTTTCAAATCACTTTATGTAAAATAGCACACCCTCCATCTCTCTTAATCCCCCTTAACCTCTTTTTATTCATTATTAAAATTTGGAGCCAATTTCCCTGGACTGAAAGATTTGCCATTTAATAATTCCCAACTTGATCAAGTTACTTAATCTTTCCGTGCCTCACTTTCCTCATCTCTAAAATGAAAATACTAATAGTACTTTTCTTTTAGATGAATTAAAAATAATAGTAGTTTAAACACATTAACTATATTTGGCATATAGTATTACTATTATTTTTATTACTATAATCATTATTATTGTTCATAGCATTTACTTTAAACTGACATATATATTTTTGTTTGTATATTTCACCCATTAGAAATATAAGTCCATGGGAATATTTGGATTTGCTCATTGAACAACTCCCTGTGTCTCTAATAGTATCTTGTATTTAGTGGGCACTCTGTTGGATAAAATATGTTGGATTAATATCTATTGGATAAATATCTGTTGGATAAAAATTGGAGGTGACTGTATTGGATAAACTTTGCTTCATTTATAGGTTAGTCCCAGAACTAGTGTTATACTTGATAAAATTAAGTTTTCTGCTTGATTATAACAAGAACCACAAAAAATTATATTTTTATGACTTTTGCTATTCACCAGGAAAATTTCTGCAAAGTACACTGGAAGCAAATACACAAAAATCATGAGTGCAGCAAAACACTTTCATAAAACCATACAGAAGGTTCTGATGTGGAATGTGGCATTTTGAATAGTTGATTGTAAATAATCTTCTCCAAGAGTCAATGTTACCCTGAAAGTTCCAGGGCAGATGTGACTTTGCTATAGTAACTTTGAGCTGTCTACCTATAGGGATTCCCTGAGTTTCAGGCCAGCCTGGAAATACAGAAGGATTCCCATCATAAAAATAAGCTTGCTAGTGTTCAATGCATTTCTTATGATTTTTTTCTGAATCCATTATGGACTAAAGGAAGTGAAGGAATGTCAAAGCTAGCAAGGTCCAGGCTACAGCAGCAAATAATTGATGACATAGGTCTATTCTTCCTGCGTTCCACTTATTCTTCCCTGAGGTAGCTTTATGACACACCCTAGTCCATCACTCCTGTGTTCACCCACAGTAGTCACTTTGTTTTTCTATCTCAATACAGGCAAAGGGGTATTTTAGTTCATTTGTCTATATTATCAGCAGACTATAAAGTTATATAAGTTTTCTGAATATGTTAAGTCATTGACCTGCTGTCATTGCCACAATCTCCCTCTGCCTCAAAGGCATCTATAACTACACTGTATCTTCCTAGCCCTTTTCCTGTGACCTATTTTCTTGTTCACAGTAGCTGATAGTTTTAAATAATAATTTGAACCTCCTGCAAATTTGGGCACAATATTAGTACTGATGAAGGCGGAGTCAACTGCACATGTTGAAATGTCTGAATCCCAGGGGGACCAGAGACTCAAAACCATCCATGTACCCTTTTGTAACCAGGCACAGATTCCAGTAAACAGTGCCCTCAGAGTGAGATAATCTTATTTTATCTGGGTTTCTCCATCTTACTGAATTTGTTTTCTCAGCATAATCATTGGAAAAAGAGGAGATTTAATTAAATTTGAGTAGGATTCTCTCTTATGCAAACTTCTACACCCTTATCTCAAAAGTCAAGGAACTGATTTTCCTGTACTGTTTCAAGTTTTGAATACATGATAATAATGCCGTATGGAACTATACCATCCAGTAAAATGCAATAGCATTTAACATCCAATAAATTCATGAAGAGAAGCTAGAAATCAAATTACTGTTCATTGTGTTTTTCCTTTCTCAAAGGGAACTGTAATGATTTCCACCTGTATCTTTGAAAAGGCTTAAAATCTAATTTATAGCTGTGCACATTAGACTTAAAGTTATATGGATATCTTTTATTTTCTAAAATGACATTGAATATTTAGAAAAGCATGTAAGTCTCAGGTGCCTGTAGTCTCCCTGAATATAGCCCACAATTTACCTTCTTTCTAGTAGGAAACAGGTTTTACTTAATCTCTGAAGAAGCTGAACATTGCCAGAAAAAAAGAACCTTCTCTGTAAATCAGAAACATTAAAAAATGTCAGAGAATAAACACAGAGAATCCTATTACTTCTGAATATTTGTAGAGATCTATCCCAACCATGTCACCCATCATGAAGTCAAAAGTCACTTTCTAAATGCCCTAAATCACTTGGCCTTCTCACTATAAAAAAGGTAAATTAGGAAAGAATCTTTTGGAGTCACTTTGAAAACCTTTTCTGATGAAGCCCACAAAAATTTAAATTTTGGACTGAGTAGGCAGGGATTGGTACATATAGCTTTTCATTCATTTTCATGCAATAATAATTCAAACACTATATTTTTAAGTTTCATCTGATATCAACATAGATGTGGCATATTTTAAACAAAAAATAGCACTGTCATTTACTGACAGTACCATGAGCAAACACTTCAAGGCATCCTATCCTTATCTTCAATTTTTAGGTGAGAAAACTGAGGTTCATAAAGTTTAAGTAATTTGTACAAAGTTAAATAAACTAGATAGTAAAGGCTGAGACTGGCTTTAAAGACACTGTGGTAATTCCTCAAAGACCTAAAGAGAGAAATACCATTTGACCCAGCAATCCCATTACTGGGTATATACCCAAAGAAATATAAATTGTTCTATTATAAAGGCACATGCACCCATATGTCCACTGCAGCACTATTCACAATAGCAAAGACATGGCATCAACCTAAATGCCCAACAATGATAGACTGGATAAAGAAAAGTTGGTACATATACACCATGGGATACTATACAGCCATAAAAAGGAATGAGATCATTCCCTATGCATGGACGTGAATGGAACTGGAGGCCATTATCCTTAGCAAACTAACACAGGAACAGAAAACCAAATAATGCATGTCTCACTTAAAAGTGGGAGCTAAATGATGGACAAGTGGACACATGGGGGGAACGACACACACTGGAGCCTTTTGGAGAATGGAGGTTGGGAAGAGGGAGAGGATCAGGAAAAATAACCAATGGGTACTAGGCTTAATACCTGGGTGATTAAATAATCTGTACGACAAACCTCTATGACATGTTTACCTATATAATAAATCTGCGCATGTACCCCTAAACTTAAAGTTAAAAAAGCCATACAATCCCAGAACTTAGTTCTTTCATAAATTATAGTACTTCTCTCTATAAAATACAGTCATGAAAATATCCATGTAGTAATCATTTTTGTCATTAAAACAAGCGAATATCAATTTATTAATTTGGAATCATTGTTGGAAAAATGTTTTAACATCAAGACTATGATTGACATAATGCTGTGATTTCTATTTTAAGTCATAAGCTTCATAAAATGATTTCAAATAAAAAATAAAATGTTTAAGCTCTTAGACACAATATAAATAAAATTCTAAAGTTAATTTCAAATGATTAAGGAATGTAAAATATACATATATAAATATGTGTGTACGTATATTTATACACATATATAAATATATAAATATATGTATACACACATAGACATAGGTTAGTTTAACATTTAAATGTGACTTTAACATTTAAATATATGTATATACTAGTATACATGGGTTAGTTAACCTATGTAACAAACCTGCGCAAATATACATACGTATTTATTGACATATATGTATCTTTTATGTATACATATATTTATATGTAATATATGTGTATACATACATGCATTTATACATATATGTAAACAAATGTATGTGTATATATTTATGTATTCCCTAATTACATATTTTTAAACCTGTTTTTATATAGTATATATTTTATATAAATAATTGTATATTTTATTTATAATGATTACATATTTTTAACATTTATTTGAAAGCAATTATACATTCACATGTAGTTGTAAGAAATAATACAGAGAAATCTTATGAACGCTTTACCTAGTTTTCCCCAACAGTACATCTTCCAGCACTTCCAAAACATTCAAGACATGGAACATTCCCTTCCCTACCAGGATCTTTTTGTAATTCTATCCTGTAGCTGCTTAAAAAAATATTACCACAACTTAATGGATTACAATGCAAATCTACTATCATATAGTTCTAGCAGTCAGATATCTGAGATGGGTCTCATTGGGCTAAAATAAAAGTGTTAGTAAGGTCATGTTTTTTTCTGGAGACTCTAGAGAAGGACCCATGTTCTGAACATTTCTAGCTTCTCCAGGTTGCCTGCATTCCCTAGCTCTTGAGCACCTTCCGCATTCAAAGCTAGCAGTGCCCTGTTGAGTCTTTCTCACACTCTATCACTGTGATGCTGATTGTTCTGCATTCATCTTCCACACTCTTTAAAAGCCCCTCATGACTACGTTGGACCCAGTGAGACAATACAAGATTATCTCTTTCATTTAAGGTCAGTTGATTAACAACTTTAATTTTATTTGTAATATTAATTATTTCTTATGAAGTAACATAATATATTCACAATTTTAGAAGATGGGGTCATGGATATTTTTTGGCGGGGGTTGGGGGAGACATGGGCATTACTCTGCCTTCACACATATTGCCCTGCGATAGCCACACCCACTTCCTTATTTCCTCCATACTCACCTGTTCTCATTTCTAACCTTCGGAAAAGAGTAATCTTGTATCCATTTCTGTAACTTTGTCATTTCAAGACTGTAATATAAATGGAATGATACAGTAGGTAACCTTTGGGATTGGCTTTTATATTCAGCATAATTCTCAAGATATTCATTCAAGTTGTTTTGTATACCAATAATTCATTCCTTTTTATTGTAAGTAGTATTCTGTGACACAAATGCACTACAGTTTTTTTAACCATTCACTTGAGAAAGGAAATTTAGTTTTTTTTTCTCATTTTTGACTATTTCAAATACAGCAGCAGTGAACATGAATATATAGGTTTTTATGTGAACAAAAATATTAATTTCTCTGGGATAAATGTCTAGTAGTACAAATACTGGGCTGTATGTTAGATGCATGTTTTAGTTAGTTTAAGAAACTATCAAACCATTTATGCAGAGTTGTAATCCCAGCAGCAACTAATGAATGATGTGCATCGTTGCCAACATTTGGTTTTGTCACTATTTTTAGTTCAGCCATTTTGATATGTATGTGGTGATATCTCACTGTCATTTTAATTTGCACTCTCCTAATGACTCAGGATGCTGAACATCTGTTTATGTGCTTGTTATGTGTATATCATCTTTGGTGAAATGACTGTCCATATCTTTGAACATTTTCTAACTGGATTTATTATTATTATTAATATTATCATTTACGGTTGAGATTTGAGAGTCCTTTATAAATTCTATAAATTACTTCATTGTCAGATGTGGTCTGCAAATATTTTCTCCCACTCTGTGGCTTGTCTTTTGAATCCTCTTTACAGGGTCTTTTTCAGGGCCCAAGTCTTTCTTTTTTATTTTGATCAGTCCAGTGTATTGGATTTTTTTTTTCTTTGATGGATCATTCATTTGGTGTCAAATTTAGTACTCTTTGCTTAGTTCTAGATTCTGAAAATTTATTTTTAAAATTACAGCTTTACAATTTACATGTAAATCTGTGTTTCATTTAGAGTTAATTTTAATATAAGATGTGAAAGTTAGGTTGAGGTTTTTCTCCCCCACAACCCCTCCAAAGGGTATCTAATTGCTTCAGCACTACTGGTTGAAAAGGCTATTCTTTCTCCATTGAATTGCTTCTGCAGCTTTATCCAAAACAAGTTTGGGGTAAATTTTTGTGGTTCCTTTTCTAGGTTCTTTATTTTGTTCCATTGATTTATGTTTCTATTCCTCCACCAATAACATACAGTCTTAACTGGTCAAATTCATATGGATATAGTTGTTCATAGTATTTATTATTCTTTCAAGTTCTTCAGCATTTGTAGTGATAGCCCCTATTTCATGTTTGATATCAGTAATTTGTGTCTTCTGTCTTCTCTTCTTTGTCAGGCTTATTGGAAGTTTGTCAATTTTATTGATCTTTTCAAAGAACAAGCTCTATGTTTCATTGATTTTTCTATTAAAATTTTCTCTTGTTTTTAATTTTATTGGTCTCTGTCTTTACACTTATTATTTTCTTCTTTCTGCTGCTTTGTGTTTTTTCTCTTCTCTTTTTCTAGATTCTAGGTAAAAATCATAATTAGGGAATTAATAATATTCTAAAATTAAACACCCATATTATCAGCCTCTTTAGGTTGCAAAGAACCTAAGTTTATGCCTCCTCCTAGATTGATCTCCATCCACTGACTGATGGTACAAACCTGGATATCACAACTCAGCTTACGAAAACTCAAAAGGGCTTTTCTAGTTCCAGAGCTCCCCATGGGGTTAGCCAAAGCTGTCATTGACCCTGCATTGAAAGAAATTCTTTGCTGTGCCTAGTCCTGCTTCTTCTTTCCCTTCTGGTGTTCTTGTCCCCAAGGACTGCCCATAATAAAAATCTTTCATGATAATCTCCATATCAGTGTTTCTTCTTGGTGAAACTTACCTTTCACAGAGTCTGATAATTGTTTTGTTTTAACTAGAGTGGTTAGCTTGATTTTTACTTTTTTATTTTATTTTATTTATTTATTTTTTTGAGACAGAGTCTAGCTCTGTTGCCCAGGCTGGAGTGCAGTGGTGTGATCTCGGCTGACTGCAACCTCCGCCTCCCGGGTTCAAACGATTCTCCTGCCTTAGCCTCCTGAGTAGCTGGGATTACAGGCACGCACCACCACACCTTTCTAATTTTTGTATTTTTGGTAGAGATGGGTTTTCACATGTTGGTCAGGCTGGTCTCGAACTCCTGACCTTGTGATCTGCCCGCCTTGGCCTCCCAAAGTGCTGAGATTACAGGTGTGAGCCACCGCGCCCGGCCTGATTTTTACTTTTTAATACTGATAGACTTTGATTTGTTGTTACCACTTTAGTTTTCACTTTCAATTTATTCATTTCTCCCGTTTTTATTTTGTCTTGTTTTGCCATCTTTTGGATGATGAATATTTTTTCTTTTTCTTGGGCAGACAGGCAGCCTTTTTAAATTCTTTCCCTGCTTACAACCTGAAATTTACATTATTACATTATTTTTTCTATTGAATTGTTAGTTATGCTAGATGCTTCATTTTGTATGATTAAAAATTCTAAAGTTATTTAAATTTCTTTACTTTTATGCAATTTATTATATGGAAATGAAGGCACTTTCATGCCGATCTCTACATTACCCAAAATTATCCAGTATTTTAACTTTCTCATGATATCTCAAAAAATAATTATTATTATCCTTTTATACAGGCAGTATTTATTTATATTTACTCATACATTTAATAATTTTTGTTTTTGTTTCTTAGCAATCATTTAGCTTCTCAGAACATCTGTCTTTGGTCCTCATCCTTTTGGATGAATACATTTATTAGACACTCCTTTAGTGAAGATTGATTGATTATAAACACTCGACTTTTTACTAGTTGAAAAGTCTTTATTTTATGCACCTTCTTAAAAGTTAGCTTTTCTTGTTATACAATTGTAACACATTTGCTTTTAGTACCATGAGAATATTATTACTGTCGTTTTAGTTTTCATTGTTACATTTGAGAATTCAGCTTGTTAAATTATCTTTTTTATTAACTGATTTAAGTCCTTACTGTTTGTTTTTGTTATGCTACAGCTTAGTTCACAAACATACAGACACATACACACACATACACTATCAATTATAGACTTAACATTTGTTAGGTTATTTGATTTTCATTATTAATATTTTATGATTTCTAGCAAATTATCACCCTTTACTTTTTAAAATATTGTGCATCTTCCTCTCTCTTTTATTCCAATTGGATCTCCAGTTGGATATATATGGAGCCTCTGCACTGTTTTTCCCATGTATCCTACTTCCACTTTTATGTTTTTTATTTTTTGGAGACAGAGTCTCGCTCTGTCACCCAGGCTGGAGTGCAGTGGCGCGATCTTGGCTCACTGCAGGCTCTGCCTCCGGGGTTCACGCCATTCTCCTGCCTCAGCCTCCCGAGTAGCTGGGACTACAGGCGCCCACCACCACACCCGGCTAATTTTTTTGTATTTTTAGTAGAGACGGGGTTTCACAGTGTTAGCAAAGATGGTCTCCATCTTCTGACCTTGTGATCCGCCCGCCTTGGCCTCCCAAAGTGCTGGGATTACAGGCGTGAGCCACCGCGCCTGGCCTCTACTTTTATTTTGAAACAGTTTTAAATATTTCATTTTTCTGCGATACATTCCAAGAAATTAATTATGCTATATTTTCTAGATAAATATTTCATCCTTCAGAGAAATCAAATTGGTTTTTAAACTGTCCATATCATTTTAAATTTTATTTTTTTCATTCATTTTACTTCCCTTGGAAATTGTTTTTTAATCTGCTCATTTTGGTAGTTTCTTGGATATTTATATCTTTTATTGCTTTTGTAATTTTTTTAATATCTAGACATATTAAACTGTATTAGTCAAGGTTCTCTAGAGGAACAGAATTAATAGGATAGATGTATATATAGAGGGGAGCTTATTAAGAAGTACTGACTCACATGATCACAAGGTGAGGTCCCATAATAGGCTGTCTGCAAGTTGAGAAGCAAGGAAGACAGTCCAAGTCCCAAAGCTGAAGAATTTGGAGTCCAATGTTCGAGGGCAGGAAGGATCCAGCACAGAAGGAAGATGTAGGCTGGGAGGTTAACTCAGTCTAGTCTTCTCAGGTTCTTCTGCCCGCTTTTATTCTGGCAGCACTGGCAGCTGATTGGATTGTGCTCACCCAGGTTGAGGGTGGGTCTGCCTTTCCCAGTCCGCTGACTCAAATGTTAATCTGCTTTGGCAACACCCTCACAGACACAACCAGGAAAAGTACTTTGCATCCCGCAATCTAATCAAGTTGACATTCAATATTAACCACCACAAGTCCACCCCTTGTCAACTTGAACCCATACATATCTCCTGAAATCATACATAATCTTCATAAACAACAATAATAAGGCCATAATTATACCTAACTCAATACAGTTATCCTTTGTACAACCGGAAACGCAGCAATCCCCAACCCAAATACTATTACATAATGTTAGCACACTTAAATGAATATCCATTTGATACATATTTTGAAGGTATATGTCAAATTATACTTAGAAGAAACAGAACGATATTTCAGCAATCAACAAAAAACAGTTTTAATGGTTCCAGTGAGTTGAAATTCTGCTGACATAATTAGATTATGGAAGTTAGAAAAGCTAAGATTACTAAGAAAAGTTAAATATTTGACCTTGGCCAGAAGTCTATCACTTCTTGAAAGCTATTCAGAAAAAGGAAATCTATAAATATCTTCTGTCTGATAAATGTATAACTTTTCTCTGATGAGGAAACAGAGTTTCTGTGGTTCACCCAAGGAGATAGAACAATTTTCTATTTCAAAGAACTCTTTCTCTGATTCCTCCAAATTTCAAAATGTTTTAGTTTATATAGGTCACGTAGGTTTTAAAGAGTTTAACTTTTGTACTTTATAAAGAAATTCAAAGAAGACATCAAAGCAATTACATGCCTGATTTGTAATACTTTACTTCAAATGTATAGACATGGATATAGGAAAGTAGAAAAGAGAAAGATAATCATTTTATGTCTGAAAATTTTTATAAGTAAAAAGAACTCTAACACTTGACATTATTGGTAATGGCTTGATATATAATATAATATTATAATTATAAATGCCTCAATGGTCTTTTATCATCTGATTTTTACTGTAATGAGCCTTATAATGAGCTTCATTGACTTGCATAAGAAATAACTATTTCCCCAAAAATTTATAAAAGTACAGGAAAGCTTAATAAAACTTTAGGGTTAAAAAGAGCTTTCAAGATATTCAAACTTTTATTAATGTTCCATATACTTCATTTGCTTTTTATCTTCCTGAGCTGTTATATGTTTGGACTTTGAAGGATCTATCCACCTAACAAATTAGGTTAGCAGTAAAAATAATTTTAAAATTATATTTTACAAAAAAGCAAAACAAAACAAACACAAAACTATGATTATTCCTTCTCAGTATTATACAAAGATAAATCTGTTAATGAAATGGCAGCCTCTTAACTTGCTGACAGCTATCTTTCTCTGTTAAACTTTTTTTGATAAATTAAAAGTTTTTCAATAAAGTTAAAAAAAAAGGTAACCTTGTTTTTCAGCTAATTTTAGAGAAAATTTTATCCTTGAATGATCTTTCATGTTCTGATTTAATGAGTAAAATATTTGGAGTTAATATGAAAACTTTATATTCATAAATTGACACAGAAATATCTACTGCTATGAAAAGCTGCAAATCAAGAAAGGTTATTTACCAACTGGTTCTGGGTCTATAAGGAAGAAAATGCCTTCTAAGCATTTTGTATAAAAATATCCAATTGCCTCTGGGGCTTCTCAACAATCTAGTTTGAGAAATAATAACTAAGATTCGTAAGTTTATTTAGTGCTAAAATGGGACTGTAAAAATCACTTATTCAAGTCCTCTAGTTTCAAGATATTCTAATACAGCCCATGTAAAGCAGTTATGATATTCTGAATTATTAAAATTAAAACCAAGGGAATGTAAGTACTTGTATTACATTCCCATAAGAAGACCCCAATTGAGGTCAGAGTTTTTTATTCTGTCTGCGTCTACTCTGAATATTGGTATAGCTGTGTAAATGATTTCATAGTCATTATGAAACTGCATATTTGGTTTAATTTTCATACTGTAGGACCATAGGAGCAGATAGGAGGGAGGAACAGAAGTCTGTTGCATTTCTTCTTCATTGATAAGATTTGGTTGATCTCAGATAGAAAGTTAATAACCACCTTGTTATTGAAATATATGTGTATTAGAGAAATTCAAAATCTTTGTCCCTCATCCAATATGTTGTTCACAAAACTTTGCAGCTGCTAGTTGGGACTTCATGACTTAATCTTTGAGAAGGTAAACACTTTTTTAAAAGTATGAGTGAGGAAGACTGTGGAGAAACAGTCACAAATTAGAGAAATCAAGATTAAATACACAAAAAAGTCTTTTAATACCTTCTTTTACTTTTATGTAGCAAACATTTCTTTTTAAGGATGTTAAATTATTTTGATTTTGTTACTATCTCTGCATTTGTCCTGCATTAATATTATCTATTTGGTGTTTTCCTTTCCTGAAAGATAGTACGTTTCTTAAAAACAATGATTATGTCTTATTAGGTATATATCCTCACCTCTATAGCACCTGGTCACAAAAGTGTGCACTAATAAATAATTTTAAAGAAACTATTATGAACGTTAGTAGAGAAATGATAATTTGCAAGATACTTTTCTACACATATAAATCATAAAAATAAAGACCAAAAGGATGCTACTGATCCTCAAGATACTTAAAATATATTAGCTTTCTCTTCTTTCACTAAGGTGTGCTTTTATCTCTACTCATAACACTTGTCATATGCAACTTTTTATCTAATTTATCTGTTTACATATATGTTATCATGTTTTATTCACAAGCAACAGAAACCCACATAATATGGCTAAAGAAGAGGGGGTTGACTTTGAAGAACTTAAGAAACCTCTCAAACTTACTCAAGAAGAGGAGAGGGAAAATGCTAGGCTGTGTAAGGATCAAAGCTATAGCGAGCTTCTGCATTCAAAACACTCTAAGATCTTAGCAAAAATAGTTTTCATAATTTAACTCCCGTGTTCTGGAATTAATGTAGTTTAGCTTCAACTCTTGTGTCTCATTTCCATCTGTCATGCTACTAAATAACTTCTTTCCTCACAGATCCTATACCTCTGAAAATTTGTATTTCATGCCATTGGATTATTGTAGACTTTTCATATGGACCATATTCTATTTCCATATTATTTCAAGTTTTAGAGGGACAACAGTTGTTTTTTATTTAACAAATTATCTAAGTTAGAGCAAGAAAATATATATAATTAGCCAAAAATGTCCTTCAGAACCCACTTCCAGTACCTCTTCCTCTGTGAAGCTTTCTTTAATGCTGACTTCTGGTTGTCCTTCAGCCTACAGAAAATAACTGCTTTGGGTTGCCACTTTGTATGCATTCACCTATATACTACACTGAAATGATTTCTTTATGTGACTGTCTCTCCATTAAACATTAAGCTTCTTAATGACATTTGCTTATTTTAATTTCTACCTTAAATGCCAAGGAGGTTATAAAAGTATGTGCTTAATAAGTGTTTGTGAAGGAAGTGATGGATACCATAACTAAAGGCTTAGAGGTGTAGATGAGTAGAAATCAAACACTGCTTCGGGGATAAAGTAGTGTTTGAGATGGACTTTGGGAGATAAACAAGTAGGAAGAGATGAAATTGAAGACAGCTGCTCTAATGAGAAGAAAACATAAAAGGGAAACCATAGTCTTGCGCATGTATGAAAAGCTTACTCTTTTTTTTTGTAATTAAACTTTAAGATCTAGTGCACATGTGCACAACGTGTAGGTTTGTTACATGGGTATACAGGTGCTGTTTTGGTTTGCTGCACCCATCAACTCATCATTTACATTAGGTATTTCTCCTAATGCTATCCCTACCCCAAGGCCCCCCACCTCCTGACTGGCCCCGATGTGTCATGTTCCCCGCCCTATGTCCATGTGTTTTCATTGTTCAACTCCCACCTATGAGTGAGAACATGTGGTGTTTGGAAAAAACCTCTACGCAAATAAACAAGAAAAACTTCTTATGTTGAGCAAATAGTTCTAATTTATTCATTTATAGAGGTAGCCATTTTTTTAAAGATGAAACTCAATTGGGTAGAAAAAGAAAACGCTTTCATTTTTTCCTACTATTAATTTCATATACATTCTGTTGAATAACCCTTCCCTACTGTTGAATAATCCTTCCCTACATTGACTATATCTCCGGCAGTTATCGTTACTTTCTTATCTCTTTTAATTATAACAACAGTCTCATTTTCCTTATTAAAACTCATTTATAAGTATTAAAATTTCTCTTCAACTCAAATCAAAACTTCAATTTTAAGTCAATAGTGTCCACCCTCTTGTGCAGGTAGTATCAAGATGGTGTAAACCTAGTCATTGTTTTTTGTTTTGTTTCGTTTTTAATTTCTTCTAAAAAAAAGAAAGGAAAAACAAGATACATGTGCAGAACATGCAGATTTGTTACATAGGTATATGTATGCCATGGTGGTTCACTGCACCTATTGACCTGTCCTCTAAGTTCTCTACCCTCAACTCTGACCCCCCCAGTGGGCCCTGGTATGTGTTGTTCCCCTCTCTGTGTCCATGTGTTCTAAATGTTCAACTCCTGCTTATGAGTGAGAATATGTGGTGTTTGGTTTTCTCTTCCTGTGTCAGTTTGCTGAGGATGATGGCTTCCAGCTTTATCCATGTCCCTGCAAAGGACATGATCTCATTCATTTTTATGGCTGCATAGTATTCTACAATGTATATGTACCACATCTTCTTTATCCAGTCTATAATTGATGGGCATTTGTGTTGGTTTCATGTCTCCTATTGTAAATAGTGCTGCAGTAAACATATGTGTGCATGTGTCTTTAAAACAGAATTATTTATATTCCTTGGGGTACATACCCAGGAATGGGTTTGCTGGATCAAATGGTATTTCTGGTTCTAGATCCTTGAGGATTCCTCTAGATACAATTTCTCTAGATCCTTGAGGAATTGCCACACTGTCTTCCACAATGGTTGAACTAATTTACATTCCCACCAACAGTGTAAAATCATTCCTGTTTCTCCACAGCCTTGCTAGCATCTATTGTTTTCTGACTTTTTAATAATCGCTATTCTGACTGGTATAAAATGGTATCACATTGTGGTTTTGATTTGCATTTCTTTGATGATCAGTGATGTTCAGTTATTTTTTCATATGTTTTTTGGCCACGTAAATGTCTTCTTTTGAGAAGTGTCTAGTATCCACATGGTAAAAATTCATGTGCCATTATCAGGACAAATATTAGAATTTTCTACCAGCTTCTTGCTTCAAAATCCTTTAGGAAGAAAGCAGATTCCAGCTTTTATGTTAATGTATGCCCCCCCAAACTGCAGAAGACACATGTTGAGCTCACTTAGAAAAGCATTAACTTCTGCACTAGACACATAATGAGGAACATTGTAAAAACTAGAGTAAATAGGCATCTAGGAAGGGAGTGTATTGCCTAACTCTTCTTTTTTCAAGTAATCATGACCTCTCTCATGGATTCTCCTGGAGTCCTCTCACTTGCTTTGAGGAGTCCTTCTCTACTTATGAAGGAGTGAAGGAAACTGTACAAAACACTTTACCCCAGGCTAATAATTCATTACTTCAATCAATAACTATGCACATCTAGTCTTTGGTTTTGTAAGCAGGAAGAGGGTGTCAAAGGACCATTAGCTACATCTCTGTGATTTGTGTGAGGATATGTGTTTCATTCCCTTTGTAAGAGTTCTTAGAGACATATGTCTTCAGTAGAAATTCTAAAATAACAAGGTAAGAATGCTATTCCATTCTTTGCTTCTGAGACATTTGTAGTTAAATCAGAACCCAAATATCATCCTTTCTGCAAAAGCTTCACATAATATCTACTTCAGGAAATAAACTGCCACAAAACAAATAGTGTTTAGAAGACAGTGTGAAATCAAGTAGTAATCTGTATAAACCACAGAGTCAGAATTTATGTTAAAAGATGGAATGATCAGTATGAGAAGGAGTAATGAGGGAACACTTCTAGAGGAGGCAGGGTTTGAACACTTGGTATCCATCATCCCCTTCTTCATCGCTAACAAAATTCCACTTTTGTGGAAGGCAGCAATAAGTTCTGTTCTCACCACAACCACAACAACAATAAAAAGTTACATTTCCTAGTTTCTGTATCATGTGAGTATGACTATATGGCTCAGTATGCCAAACTTAGTAATATTAATAATTATTATATTAATTTTTCATTGAAAGACTGTTTGACAGTATTAAATTTAAATAACATTTTATTGTTTTTATAGTTAATTTTCAATTTATCAAATACAAGTAGGTGCCAAGAAGCTCAATAAATATTAATTATAAGTATTCATTATTATGTACTTCCATTATTTCTCTCTAAGAATATAAATTATCAGTGGCATTGACTGTGCCTTATTAATTCACATAACTTGTTAGGACTCAGTCATTATCAATTCTGCTATCAAAACAATATTGATTGAGTAGCTACTTTATTTTGTGTCTGGCACAATTTTTTGCTCTAGGGATAGCTATATAGTTGACAACTCATTAAAAAATTTCCTACTCTCAGTAAGTCTCTTGTAAGACAATAGACAAAGGATTAAGCAAAATATATAGTATATTAGATAATACTATATTTATTGATTAATAAGATAAAGGAGCTACAATTCTGATAAAAACTGGTTTTTTTGAATATTGAATATATCTTTTATTTTGGTATTGATTACCAAATGTCTAGTTTCCCAAATAACTAAGTAAATAAAATAAATGGACTTGAAATAATTAGAGGGGTGAGATATTTTGAAAACTGTAAATAAAATGTATCTTATCACATAAAGTTAAAATATTGTAATTAGATATTAAAAATAATATCTAGAATTTTAGAAAAGAAATAGAATATGTCATGAAGGGGAGTCAGAGAAACGCTAACCAGAACCCAAAGATTGATAGTCCCAGTGGGTAAGACAGTCACACCTAACTTTTCTGCAAAATAGATTGAATGACCCAAATTGCTCTTGTGTTTATGATATTTACTTTATTATGCCCTTAGTAAAATTGTGTTCAGCACAGAAACACTTTTGAATGATCAACCTGAAAGGTGAAATCAGAATGGTTGAGATTAAGAGAAAGATGCAACTGTTTCACTCTTTCGCAGGGACATTGCTTTAAAAAAATTTATTGCAGTAAAAAACGAGAGGAAAAATATAGAATAAAATATGTCTTTAATTTTATCTGGATTGGTTATGGACTTCACACCTTTTAGAAAAGAAGCCAAATCAGCAACAGTGTTTAGGTTTGAACAGAAAGATGGTTTCTTCTAGTTTGTAGTAGAAGAACAATGCCGAATAGGAGTAGGTGAAGATTTCTTGCCAATGCTTTATTTTTTTTTTTTCCTGTGGGAGGTAGACTGCAAAGTTCACTGTGTACCAAGGAAAATATATCAGTAGGTCCCTTGGCTCATACAGAGATTTTGCTTTAACTCTGAGCTCTTCCTTTTCTATAGGAGGCTGTGAAAATATCTGAAGCTAAAAGCCTCTGCAAATGCTCTCATAACTTCCTAATATCCATCGGTTCCTATAATAGAGTCAGATTGTCCAAGGCATCTGATTAATTAGCCATGGCTCTCTTACTCCATAAAACTTTGGCCCAGTGTCCTTGATATGACTTCTACTTTCTCAGCACTGCCAAAGATTTCCAATTTATATAGACACACATGCTGTTTCTCTTCCCCATACTCCCATCTCTCTCTCTCTTTCTCTCTCTCACACACACATACATATATACCCACACACTACCCAATATAATGATATTTACTTATCATTTCTAAGTTGAAGGAACAGAGGGAAAGTGAAAGAGGAAGATAATAGTTAACAAAAGGATGCCCCTATGCTGTATAGAAACATATGTTAGAGACTAATTAGAGTGACCACATAGAAATAATAATTCAGAGATAAGCATTGACATGGTCAGGTTTTGGTCTTCCATTTTACTGGCTATGAGATTTTTTGGTTTTGTTTTCAAGTCTCTAAGCCTTTTTTAAGGAGTCATATATATATATATATAGTGTGTGTGTGTGTGTGTGTGTGTGTGTGTATGTATATACATATATACACACAAAATTATTTAGGTTTACAATATCTCAAGTATATTTAGTGTGATTAAGCCTCTATCTGAAAAATAATAATTATTCTACTTTGTAATTACAGATACAGATAGAGTCTAGGAAATGGCACAAAACAATTACTTTTTTGCTCTTCCTGTTTAATAATTTCAGAAAGAAATTCTGTTTTTTATCAGTTTCTTTTTTCTTGTCTCCCTTTATTTTCAATTTTTTTTTTCTATTTTTTTCTGTCTTTTATTACCTCCACCCCCTCCCTGAATCCTGCTTCTTGCCTGGAGAAGCAGCATAGGACTTTATAGTTCTGTGTCTCACTCCTATAACTATTCTGTAAACAGATGCAAATCTTAGAAGGCATTTTAGTTCCTTTAGCACCTTCAGGGCAAAATAGCTACAAGACAAAACCAAGCAAACATGACAAAGGAAAACATCATTCCCTTGCGGATATTGAACAAACTTCACTGCATTATTTTCTTTGTACTAGTACGCCTTCAGAATATCTTTCTCTTCTTAATACTTTTTCCCTTGATTTGTTCCTTCAGAAAGTATAAGGAAAGCATGGGGTAAGGGATAAAGGAGATCTAGGGTTTGCATAATATATATTAGTTATGATCAAACTGCAAAGGGCCAGGTGTTAGATAGAAGTCTTAACACGAAATTCTGAATTAGAGTAAGGAAAGCACCACCAGAGACTAGGCTGGAGATCCAAAGGTGCTAAGGTGTTCAGGACAATGGATCCAGAAAGAATTGGGAAAAGAGCGTTTGTGTTATGCCCTGGCAAGTTGGAGAGGATCCTTTGAACGTGAGTGCCTCTTCTACTTCTCTGCAGCCTAAGGTTGAATAAAAACTGAAAGATGACTTTTTCAGGAGACACAAAGGGCTGAAATACCTGAGGGCAATTGGCAAAGAGAATGACCTCAGCTGGGTAAGGGTGGTGTCCTTGTCAGAGAAGATCCTACTGGTGGGACCAAAACAAAACAGTTAACCTTTCATAGTTCACACTTTATATCATGTGGTCCACTCACAAGTAAGCATAGTTCATCTTAAGGGGAGAAACTCCTTACAATTATCTTTATGTGACGGTGAACGAATCTATTAACTAGAGTTCTCTATTGAGTCAAACACCTTTCTCTATTGCAATTATGTTTGTGGTCCTATTTCATGTAAAACATAATATGAATGTACTTAAGAGGAAGAACTTGGATGTCAGAAAAATTGGGGCTTGAATCTTCATGACTTCCTATCAATGGACAACCTAATCAATGGACAACCTGCGTAGACTTCAATTTTATCGCTTGTGAAATAGAGACGCAGAAAATTATTTGAAAAAAATAATCAGATATATGTGAAAACGATAAGGCAGTGCCTGGGGTGACATGTTTGTATATAACAGTATTTTTATATAAGTAATATAGTGGTGAGTTTTTGTCAAGAGAGCTAATACGATTCAGTTGATGAAAAAGAACTTCAGATACTTTCCTTCTATAGAAGAGACTAAACTGTAGTTTTGCTACTCCGTTTTCCTTTAATTCTCTCTGAAATTACAAATGGATAACTATACTGATATCTTCACAACTTTTGTGCAGTTTCCTGGCATGATTAATATGTAATGAGAGCTTTTAATGAATGAGCATGTCACAGCTTTTTCTTGTTCGACTGTCACAAATTAGAAATTGGGCAGCTACTTTTCTGTAGATCAAGGCTTTCACTTTTAATGTGATATACTATCTAAGCATGGACAGACGATTGTGGAAAAATTGCTGCTTCCCACTGATCAGCACAATATTTTCTCTGCAGTTACAGAGCTGTGATTCACATGGGCTGTTCTGTGCATGGCCCTAATTTTCTTGCACTGATGTGGTGGATGGGATGAGAAGATGTAATAGTTACATAATCCACTTAAACCAGAAGAGAGAACAGCTATAACTTTCTCATCTAATGCAATGAAATGAACCCTGAACTAGTTATCAGGAAGCCCAGGGTGTTAACTCATACTGTTTCCATGAACACAGTCAAGTGGCTTAAATTCTAACCCTAATTTTTCTCAACTATAAATTGTGTCTGTGTGCCCCTATATGTATCTGCATGGGTGAGGAAGAAGATAATGAATTTTCCTAGTGTATTTGAAGGAATTATGATTAGTGTTCATTGAGACATTTGTTAAGAAAAGCTGGAGTAAGTACCTTACAAATGTGGAAGTTTATTTTAGTGTCATTGCCCTACTTCAGACAGAGAAAAGCCACATGTCCAGCAACATCTGTCCTAAATCCTGTCATTCCACTGTCATAGATATATCATAGATATATATTCCTCTTGACATTAAATGCACATGAAGTTCTATGAAAATAGCAAAATGCTGTATAAACTATTTCTATCAAATAATAGTTGGAAGAAGTACTCCTTTTGTTCCAAATAAGAGGTTAGCCTCTGAATCAAAGTTAGATTTGAGTAATGTTTTGGTGGGGAAGAGGTATTACAAGGCAAGAAAGGGATGACTTAGAAGTGGAAAAGACTTTTGAAGGAAAAGGGAAGGGCGAGAAAGATTAATATTCTTAGATTCTCATATTTACTTCTGTTTAACCTTGAAATTGAAACCATTATTTTTAAGAGAAAATATGCTGAATTTGTATTCATTCGTTTATTCTATAAATATAAATTAATCTTCCACTATGTTCAAGGTACTGCGCTAGGTTCTAGAGGTACAACTGTGAATTAGACATGTAAAGTGCCAGGAAGAAGTTCACAACCTCATTAAAAGACAAGTGCCCTGACGAGGATAAGCAGAGGTCACCAGAGGAACACAAAACAGACATATCAGAAAAGGCTTCCTAGAAAAAGTTGACATGCAGGTTGAAGCCTAAAGATAGGACAGGAATTAACGTGTTGAAAAAGTACCATTGAAGAGATAGTACCATTGAATCTAGAGAATGTGGCATGTAAAATGTAATTAATATTCTTCATTTAGCTTCCTATTCCTTAATATTATTGCTACAATTTTGCTAATTGTATGCTGAAATTCATGGCATGAAAACTATTCTTTACTATACCAACCACATTTGCTTCCACAGACTCATTAATTTCTAAAAGTACCTATTTCATAATTGTAAAGAATGACAGCAATTTCTATAGTTTTTGGGTACCTCCAAAGGGCAGAAAATGGGTGTCCTGGGCATTAAGAGTTGATGTACAGGCATAAGAAAATATGCAGTATTTAGTGTGAGAAGTAAAATATTACATGTGGAAAAGTAATCAGGGAAAATGTCATAAAATGGTTTGAATGCTAGGGCCAAGTTTGAATTTCATCCTAAAAAGTTGGGTAAGCTTGTAAATGTTTTAAGCAAATAAATAGTATAATCATAATGGTGTTTTAGAAATGTCACTCTAGCTCTGGATGTGTTATTCAAATATTTCTGATCATATACCTCTATTAATAAATCATTTTGACCACAGTCCTCAACATAGAAAACAGTGAGAATTCTTATTCTGATGCCATAGGCCCCACACTTGGATTTCTTGCATCATTTTCATTTCTTTACTTAGACTCTAATGACTCAGAATGTCCATTTTTCTCAGGAAACACATGCTCATTATAGCAGATATCACATGAAGGCAATGCCTTCACTCAGAATAAATTATTTATAAATAGGAAAGTCAGAACTATCAGAGGAAAGGTTAGGAAGCAATAGGTGGTGTGTGTGTGTGTGTGTGTGTGTGTGTGTGTGTGTGTGTGTGTGTGTGTAGCTTCAGAGGTAGCAGCCGAATCTGTGTGTATGAGAAATATTTTAAAAGTTTGTGATATTTTTGAAGTCAAAACTTGAAGGCATCCCCTCTAGATTATTCTTTACTTGATTTTTTGATAGGAGAGAATGAATAATATGGTAAGCTAAAAATCTAAAATTATCAAAGTCATAAAAAGGAAAATGCGTATTTTACTTACGTAATTTTCTATTCAAGACAAAATAACTAATAGTATTGAAGTTGTATATTTTTGGGCAATTAATCATGTTGAGGTAATGATGCATGAAGTAATCAAAATGTCTAAATAAGGCTCAATGATATAGAAAGATAAAGTAAAGAAAACTAATGATGAATAATTCTTATATGTGTTATATTACCTTATCCTAAAATATTTACAAAATAAATGTGATAAGTAAACAAAAGACTCAAAGTTGATTAATAAATTAAAAATAATTATACATTAAAAATATACTGAATATACAGCAAACTAAAATAAATCTAGAATACCTCACCCCCACAACTGGACTGGAAATTATTTCTAAACTGATATGTCACTAATTTATACTCCCATATAGTGAAGACACATAACCTGTACATTTCTTTATTTTTTAAAAATAAGCTTACTTGACTAGATAATTTTTAAAATTGCTTTTAACTCTAACAATTTTGTGTTCTTTTGCTCTCTGACCAATTTTTAATCTCTTCATTATTCTTATTGCTTAAATTGTGTTAAACTAATGAAAATATCCCAACGTGGTCAAGACCTTAGTGCTTGTCAGCTATGTTTTATTATTAGAGTGATTAAAAATGTTCAGTCTTCAAGTGCTGGAATTTCACTTGCCACTAACTCTTCAAAGGGGTTTTTTTTTATTAACATAGGCACCCCATCTGGAACTTATTCCAGTCTAGACTCCTCCCTGCCACATCTGCTCATGTGCTTAAATCAAAATTAAAGACCTTGTGCTTAGTTAATATTTTTCCATTTTATTTGTCATCAATTTTTTTAAAGTCTGAGTTTAACAGCATGGAATATTAGAACATATTTTGGAGGAACCATGTTTCTAAATAAATTTGGACAGAAAGATGCTTAATGGCATATACTTCGTGGTCCCTTTTTCTGAGTACAGAGTTCAAAAATTTATTAAAATGTTTTTGCTGTGTGGAGTACAATGCCATCATTTAAAAAAAAAAACATATTTCTCATTCCAAAGTATTCAGTTGGGTGAAGTCACTCTTTCCTAACAGTGCCATATTTACAAATAAACAACTAAGTCAATTTCATATTAAGTGATAAATAGGCTATTTTCCAACATATTGTATTCCCAAGTGATGCTTACAGATGCTAAAAGGGAAGTACTATGGTATTAAGAAAATGGAAGAAAAACCTCAAAAACTCTCTTTATATTTGTAAAGATGATGATTCCAACAGCAAAAAATTGAGTCTAACAAGCATTGAGCACATCAAAATACAGATTTCAAAAAGTGAGTGTAGCTGGTTGGTGAATTATATTCATAGAACCCTCTGATTAATGAGGCAGAAAACTACAGCTCATAACAAAGAAAAAACCTATTTATTGCTGTTCAGCAAAATAATTCTGATGCAGGGAAGATTATAGGGGATCCAAGTGACATTGGTCCCCTCAGAGTGGATCCCTTTTTAGCCTTCATAGAGCTTGTTCTTTTAAGCACCCTGGTTTAAATGCCATTACCAAAAAAGGACTGAAAATTTTGAAGCTGAGTAAAAACACTTTATTTCATAAAATGATTATGTTAGATGATATATTAAAATACTATGTTATATAGAATGTTTTTCTTATGATTTCCAGCAACTTATCTGTGTTATCTTTATAAAGTGTTGAATTAAAAAGCTATGTAGGTATTGTTATATAAAACATTTGTAAAGAGCTGAACATACCCAATTATTAGAATCAAGATTCTTTTTTATTTATTTATTTTTTTACAGTAAGCAAAGTCTGGAAAGCCACCTACATTCATCCCAACACCTCCCTGATATGATTTGGCTCTGTGTCCCTATACAAATCCCATTTTGTAGCACCCATAATTCCCATGTGTTGTGAGAGGTACCCAGTGGGAGATGCCTGAATCATGGGAGTGGGTCTTTGCCATGCTGTTCTTGTATTAGTGAATGGGTCTCAAGAGATCTGATGGTTTTAAAAATGGGAGTTTTCCTGAACCAGCCTTTCTCTCTTGCCACCACCACAAAAGAAGCACCTTTTGCATTCCACCATGATTATGTGGCCTTCCCAGCCAGGTGGAATTCTGAGTCCAATAAACTTCCTTCTTTTGTAAATTGCCAAATCTTGGGTATGTCTTTATCAGCAGCTTAAAAACTGACTAATACAGTAAATTGGTACCATTAGAGTGGGGTGTTGTGGAAAAGATGCCTGAAAATGTGGAAGTGACTTTGAAACTGAGTAACAGGCAGAGATTGGAATAGTTTGCAGGGCTCAGAAGAAGACTGGAAAATGTGGGAAAGTTTGGAAATTCCTAAAGATTTGTTGAATGGCTTTGCCCAAAATGCTGACAGTGATACGGACAATAAAGTCCAGGGTGAGGTGGTCTCAGATGGAGATGAGGAACTTGTTGGGTACTGAAGCAAAGGTGACTCTTGTTATGTTTTAGCAAAGAGACTGATGGCATTTTGCCCATGCCCTAGAGATTTGTGGAACTTTGAACTTGAGAAAGGTGATTTAGGGTATCTGGCAGAATAAATTTCTAAGCAGCAAAGCATTCAAGGGGTGGTTTGGGTGCTGTTAAATGCATTCAGTTTTATAAGGGAAGCAGAGCATAAAAGTTTGGAAAATTTGCAGCCTGACAATGTGATAGAAGAGAAAATCCAATGTTCTGAAAAGAAATTCAAGCTGGCTGCAGGGATTTGCATAAGTAATGAGGAGCTGAATGTTAATCACCAGGACAATGAGGAAAATGTCTCCAGGGCATGTCAGAGGTTTTCACAGCAGCCCCTCCCATCACAGGCCTGGAGGCCTAGGAGGAAAAAGTGGTTTCATGGGCTGGGCCCAGGGTACCTGTGCTGTTTGAAGCCTAGAGACTTGGTGCCCTGGGTCATGGCCACTCCAGCCGTGGCTGAAAGGGGCCAATGTAGAGCTTGGGCCATGGCTTTACTGTGTGCAAACCTCAAGCCTTGGCAGCTTCCACATGGTGTTGAGCCTGACAGTGCACAGAAGTTAAGAATAGGGGTTTGGGAACCTTCACCTAGATTTCAGAGGATATATGGAAATACCTGGATGTTCAGGCAGATGTTTGCTGCAGGGGCAGGGCTCTCATAGAGAACCTATGCTAGGGCAGTGCAGAAAGGAAATGTGGGGTCAGAGCCCCCACACAAACTCTCTACTGGGGCACCACCTAGTGGAGCTGTGAGAAGAGGGCCATTGTCCTCTAGACCCTAGAATGGTAGATCCACTGACAGCTTACACTACGTGCCTGGAAAAGCCACAGACACTCAATGCCAGCATGTGAAATCAGCCAGGAGGGAGGCTGTACCTTGCAACGCCACAGGGCAGAGCTGCTCTAGACCATGGGAACCCACATCTTGCATCAGAGTGAGTTGGATGTGAGACGTGGAGTCAGGAGAGATCATTGTGAAGCTTTAGGATTTGACTGCCTCGCTGGATTTCGGACTTGCATGAGCCCTGTAGCCTCTTTGTTTTGTCCAATTTCTCCCATGCGGAATGGCTGTATTTACCCAATGACTATATCCCCATTGTATCTAGGAAGCAACTAACTTACTTTTGATTTTACAGGCTCACAGGTGGAAAGGACTTGCCTTGTCTGGGGTGAGACTTTGGACTGTGGACTTTTGAGTTAATGCTGAAATGAGTTAAGATTTTGGGGTACTGTTGGAAAGGCATGACTGGTTTTGAAATATGAAGATATGAGATTTGGGATGGGCCAGCAGCAAAATGATATGGTTTGGCTCTGTGTCTCCACACAAATCTCATTTTGTAGCTCCCATAATTCCCACATGTGTGTGAAGGACCCAGTGGGAGATAATTGAATTTTGGGGGCAGGTCTTTCCTGTGCTGTTCTCATGATAGTGATTGGGTCTCACAAGATCTGATGGTTTTAAAAATGGGAGTTTCCCTGTACCAGCTCCTCTCTCTTGCTGCTGCCATGTAAGACATGCATTTCGTGTTCCACCATGATTGTGAGGCCTCACCAGCCACATGGAACTGTGAGTCCAATAAACTTCTTTCTTTTGTAAATTGCCCAGTCTTGGCTATGTCTTTATCAGCAGTGTGAAAACAGACTAATATACTCCCTACCCATCATCACCACATATATTTCGCTAATATTATTCTATCTGTGTTCTACATTTAAGTTCTTTTTTTTTCCCACTGGAAAATACTTCTAATTTACCCTGTGTAACCTGTCAAATATAAATACTCTCTCCTTGCTTTATATACAGGTGGTACTGGATGAATATGTCTTGAACTTTATTACTAGCAGGAAAATGTGCAATGCTATTTATTATTTCAACTGTGAAAATACATATTTTTGATATTTGAAATCTTTAATATTTGATATTTAATATTTTTAATCTTTAATATTTGAAATTTAAATGGCAAAACTGACTATATCATTGGCCAGATGTGCTATCAGTCAAGAAATTCACATTTGGATCACAAGTAGAATCAATTTCAAAGAACTGATAAAATAACAAAGCAGTAATGCTGTCCTCAAAAGTTAATAGGCTATATTAAAATTGGGGAAGAAATGAACCCAAAGGAATTCTATATAATACCTTTCCATTTACAGTTGTTGTGGACATGTTTCTCAATAATATTATGTTGCCTACAGCAAATTAAGCACGTTGAATTTAAAATATTTGAAAATAGATAACAATCAGGTGTCCATTCAGTGAATTACAGAACTGGGCATCAAAAGGCCAATAGAATAGGGGATATGAGGCAACAAAGGAAAAGATACATTTTAAAGGCTTGGCAATGTAAATTTTCAGAAGGCAACAAACAGATAAGAGGAAGGTTATAAAAGGAGAAAAACTACGCTATCAGATGAGTAGACATGAGTTGCTTAAGAAAATAATGAGAAATGGCAATAGATAGCCTTGGAGGAGACAAGGAAAATCATGTATTCCCTCCATTTTGATTCTAATCTGTACGTAAAGGTTGTGTTGAGAAGAAGACAGAGATTTGTGTTTGAAATAGGGCAGAACTAGTTTCAAATCCCAATTGTAGTATTAACTACATAATTTGATTCAAGTTAAATTTCTGGTTTCCATTTTCTTTTATGCAAAATGAGGATAATCATTTATACTTCTTAGAATTGAGGTGAAGATGTAACAACATCATATATATGTAAATATTTCTTACAACATATGGAATGTGGTAGGCATACATATCTTCTTCCCATGCAAGGAAAGAGCATCTCTCTAGACTGTTTCCTATCTCAATGATTTATATCATCACGAAATTAATATCACACTGGAATAAATATCAGAAAACTGAGTATCTTATATTAGGTTCACCAGTATCCAGCAAATAACATATCTGGCATGATGTATTTTTCATTTGTACAGTTTTGTTACAAACAGAACATGAACAGCTACTGTTTGTAGTCAAGAAACAAAAAAAGTTATGGCAAGATAATAGTATCTGTTGAATTAACTGAATTTGTTAAGTAAAAATGGAAAAACATAGTTCATATAAATTAGTAAGAGAAGCAACAGTTTGTGGAGACTACTTTGAATCAATTTGACAAAGTTCATGGAGCATATACTATGAATAAGATGCTTTACAAATGATACAAAGATGAATTCAACAGTTTTTTACCTGCAAAGAACTTAATCTCTGCTAATTAAGAAAAGAATTGCACATAGCTAAATGTATTATATGGTCAAGTAGAATACAATATATATTAAAGGTAGAAAGTGAAGTTCTAGAAAAAGGTGTTACTATGACAGACTGATTAGTATCCATGTCTGTTGCTAATCATTACTGATTAGTATTCATGTATGTTCAGTTTATCAATAAATTTTACCAAATGCCTTCTTTGTGCAAATAACAGTTTAAGGACATTACAGTTTTTATCATCAGTGCCATGTCTAGGCCTGCTTCCCAACCTAGAGCTAAACTGCTTATTTATGGGTGCAATGGATTTTTCTTAAGTAGCACAAGATTGCACTTTCACCTATTTAGATTTTTCTTGTTTTTTTCTCTGAAGCCTTCATCTAATTTTTCAAAAGAAAATACAAAAGGAGAGGGTAGGTGAATCATTGGCCCTGAAAGAGACAAGGAATTGAGAGTAATTTGAATTATACATGATGTTAATTTGTGCTACCTCAAATTCTAAAATGTGATGGGGAAAAAAATGATCACTTGAAGTCAGTTGAAGCATGTTAGAGTCATATAAATGATAACAATTAGATACTGTAATCTATCTCAAATAGCAAGTTAATAATGATTGTTTTTGGTACTAAGGCCTTAGAGAGACTCTTGTCAGTCAGTGCCTAATATTCTACAGTATTTAGAGAAGCCCAGCACCAGTAATCATGCTAATTTGTAATGAGACCATGACAGAGGTGAAAGAAGGGGATTGATTGTTATTAGATGCTTATTAATTTCCAGGCACTTGTATATGCATTCGATTATTTAATTTTCATAACAACTATGTGAATTAAGAATTCTTATTAATATTTAAAATAATAAAATGTAGGCAAAGGAAGGTTAAGCAACACGATCTAGCTGCTAACAGAGCCACATTTCCCATACTAGCTACACAAATGCTTCCAAAAATTGCCTGATTACAATAAATCCTACAAAAAATCCTCTTTGGTACAACATAAAATAAAATTCTCAGGATTCTCCTTTGAAATTCTTGTTCAACATTTCTAGAGTGAGGCCAGAAAGCTGAGATTTTAACAACAGTTATTTTAGATCATTTTATCACCAGGCAAGATTTGGAAATATTACACCATGCCACGATTTGGAGATGGCTCCAGATATTCTTTATGTGGGCCTTTTATTTAATATGTAGACCCCTTTTCTCTACCGTTTTTGGCGTATTCCTGTAGGTCTCTTGTCACATCAAAACCTACTCCCTGGAAAAAAAATATATTTTTAAGTCAGTCATTGATGCCTGAGTATGAATTTAATTTATAGTGTTTTCTCTCCTGGGGAGTTTGCATCTTTAGCTTTAGTTTAGGATGTGGGAGAAAAGTTTTTACCTTCTGGTTAGTTTTATGAATAAAATATTCAGAAAACTGGCAGGTGAGAAATGTGGAAAGAATGCATAAGAAGGTATTTTTAAGGCTCTTGAAATCACGGGGAAGGAAAGGCAACTTTCTAGCCTTATGTTTAAAAAAATGTCCTCAATTAAACTGAGGATGTGAAGAATGACTATGTGAGTATAATATTTTTGTAGGAATTCAAGTGTTCACTTGGAATTTATATTTTAAAATACTTTAGACTTATGATTAAGAATGTAATGAAAAAGAGGGAAATCCTGATGCTGCCAGGAGAAAGCACAGAAATTTTCCCGCATGGCTTATACCTCAGCTGCCAAAAACACACCTATTCCTGGTATTTCTGGTATAGTGCAAAACTAACAGTTGAAATGACAAATGATTCTTTTGGTTTATAGTTGAAGCATTTCCGCAGCTTAAAAGATTTTGTTTGCCCATGTTGTAATGAACACTATTCCCTGCATTTTGCAAAACAATAAATTGTTTATTTTTTCCCCTGAACCTTATAGACTAATACTAGATTCACTTATAAAAACAAAACACTAATGACAGAGCATATACATTTATGCAGATATAGCATACCTTGAAGATATTGTGGGTTTGGTTCCAGACCAATGCAATGAAGTGAATATTGCAATAAAGAGAGTTACATATTATTTTTTCACATCCCAGTGCACATAAAAGTTATAATTACATTATACTATAGCCTACAAGTGTGCAATAGCATTTTGTCTAAAAATTGTATATGCCTTACCTTAAAAATACTTTGGTGCTAAAAAGTGCTAATGATCTTTTTTGAATCTTGCCTTCATGTTGATGGCTGCTGAAGTTTGGAGTGGCTGTGGCAATTTCCTAAAATAAGAGAACAGGAAAGTTTGCTGCATCCATTGACTTCCTTTCATGAAAGGTTTCTCTGTAGCCTGTGATGCTGTTTGATACTATTTTACCCAGAGTAAAACTTCTTTCAAAATTAGAGTCAATTTTCTCAAACCCTGCTGCTGCATTATCAACCAGGTTTATGCAGTATTCTACGTCCTTTGTTGTCATTTCAACAATGTGGAAGCAGCTCCACATCCTTTCAAGTTTTATCATGAGATTGCAGCAGTTCAGTCACGTTTTTAGGCACCACTTCTAATTCTAGTTCTTTTGCTATTTCCACCACATTTGCAGTTACTTCCTCCATGGAAGTCTTAAACCCCGCAAAATCATTTATGAGGGTTGGAATCAACTTTTTCCAAACTCAAGTTAATGTTGATATTTTGAACTGCTCCCACGAATTACAAATGTTCTTAATAGCATCTAGAATGGTGAATCCTTTCCAGAAGGTTTTCAATTCACTTTGCTCACATCCATTGCAAGCATCACTATCTATGGCAGCTATATCCATACAAAATGTATGTCTTAAATAATAAGACTTGAAAGTCAAGATCACTCCTTGATCCATGGGCTGCAGAATGAATGTTGTGTTAGAGGGACAAAAATAACATTAATCTCCTTGTACGTCTCCTAGCTCTTGGGTAACCGAGTGCCTTGTCAATGAAAGAAATCCTATTTTTTTTTTTTTTTTTAGCAATATGTCTAAATGGTGGGTTTAAAATATTCGGTAAACCATATTGTAAACAGATGTGCTGCCATCCAAGCTTTATTGTTCCATATATAGAACATCCAGTCAGTGGAATAAACATAAAACACACAACATTGATTAATTAAGTTCATCATTTTATATGGGTGCAGTTCATGGCACCCAAAACCAATTATAATAGTAATATGAAAGATCACAGATTATCATAACAGAAGTAGTAATAATAATAACATTCGAAATATTGTGAGAAATACCAAAATGTGACATAGAGACATGAAGTAGGCACTGGCTGTTGTGAAAATGGTGCCAACACATTTGCTTGACACAGTCACCAAAGATCTTCAAATTGTAAAAAATGAAGTATCTGTAGAGCACAATAAAATGAGGAATGCTTATATAAGTTGAAATAATATATGGAGTAGGAAAGTTTACACTGAGGGCTAATAATAAATTGTTAAGTGCCTTATCAAACCATAAAAATAGATATTTTATTGCACATAACATAGTTCATGTCGAAGTAATTTATGTTAGTAGCTCTTTTCTTGTTTTTTTTTCTTTTCCTTCTTTTTGCTATATTATACTAATGGTGGGTGATACATGAAAAAAGCTGTAACAACAAACATGCTGTATAATAAAAAATACAATTATGAGTTGCTGGTGTATGCTGGTGAAGCTGATACTATGATCATAAACAAATGTAATTAGTAATTTATTTCTAAGGGTAATAATATGATTGATATATAGATAAGACTTTGGTTTAATACAATGGAAATTATTTAAGAGGTTGATCATCTAGGCTCTGCAGTGAGACTGCTTGTGATATAATATTGGCCTCATATTTTGCATACACTAACTTAGTGTCCTAGTAGTAACTATTCAACTCTTGTGTGTTTCATTTTCTATCTCTGTTAAGTGCAAATTAAAAGGTATGTATTGTATAGTTGTATATACATATCTGTGTACATATACACAGACATATATGCAGCATATATGCAAGTGTATATACAGCCGTGTGCCACATAACAATGTTTCCATCAATGACAAAACACATATTTCACAGTGGCCCCATAAGATTATGACACCATATTTTTACTGTACTTTTTCTATGTTTAGATATACACAATTGCTTACCATCTTGTTACAATTGCCTGTGCTATTTAGTACAGTAAGGTGCTGTACAGGTTTGTAGCGTAAGAGCAATAGTCTACACCGTATAGCCTAGGGGAGTAGCAGGCTATGCCACTAAGGTTTGTATAAGAATACCCTATGATGTTCACACAGTGACAAAACAGCCTAACGACACAGTTTTCAGAATATATTCAGTTGTTAAGTGAGGTGTGACTGTATAAATACTCTTAGTTGGAGTCCCAGGGAAGCACATATAACACACTCAAATTAGAATAATTGAAGATGAGATTATTATCAAGGAAATTAACAACACAAGTGGAGGTAGGGTTCAGAGATACTGGAGGGGAGCACAGGATTCTGAACAAATAATAACAGAGCTGTTATCACACTAACCCCAAAGGGACAAGAAAAGGAAGGGGTCTCTGGAACCTGAAAAGACAGTTATGTTAGGCCACCTAGAGAGGAGTAGTGGGTTTCTTTCAAAGGATAGTCAGTCTAAAGACTTTTAAATAGTTTTGGAAAGAAAGCTGATGGCTACTGAGTATACCGAATTATGTTCCAGAAAAGTAAGTTGTTTACGTCAGTGGTTTTCGATCTTTGCATCTCTGGGGCTGTTATATGGTCTTAAAAAAAGTGAGAATGCCAGAGAATATATCCAGTTATATCTCTTGATGTTTACCATCTTGGAATTTACAGCAGACAATTTTAAAACTTTCATTGATTTATTTTAAAATCATAATAAATAACTCTGGGAACCACACACTTTTTCTGTGAATGGCTGGATAATAAGTACTTTAGGTTTTTTGAGCCATTTTTTTTGTAATTATTCAGTTCTGCTGCTGTAGAACAAAAATAACCATGGACGATATATAAAACATTGAGTATAACTGTGTTAAAAAAAATCATTATTTACAAAAATAGGCATGAAGCTAGATCAGGCCTTCAGGCTGGATTTGGTCTTTGATAACTCCAGATAAAACTGTTTACATAAACCTATTAACCTGTTAATGTAAATAATATATTTTGATAATAATTAGTTTCCAATAGAGTATGGTGAGAAAAGAGACACCATTTCTCATTTTTATTAATCTCTAATGTCTGGTTTTATAAGAAAGCTGAATTCTTTTATCTAATTTGGCATTAAATTTATCACAATGTTGATTTGATTGACATGTGTAGGAATATCTGGCCCCATCCAAGTATACAGTTTGAAATATGAGGTTATTTTACTAACTTTTTGAGATATTTATGTTCTTTTTTAATGCTATACCAAAATTCAACTAGCAGTTGATTTCAAAGGATAATTGCAATGTGTAATCTGAGACCATATCAATATACATTTAATATTTTTTATTAAAAAACATTTGTTTTTCTCACATGAAGGTGATTCTGTAACATGCATAGATCATGTAAATAATACTGTTTGGTGTAGTGATGCAGAGCTTCCAAATATTAACACAGTTTATTATACAATATTTTATAATTAATATTACTGTTTATCTGCCAAGAAAAGTCTTTATATTCAAAAGGTGTCAAGCTCCTGGTAGCAAGTACAGCTTTTCCAACATTCTGACTTTTGCTTGAAAACATTAATTTTATGTAGCAAATATTGTTTCATAAAATTAAAACTTTATAGTACAAAATGCAAAACTTTTTAGTAACAAATATTGTTAACTGCTTTTCTTGAGGTAATGGTCTTACTTTGTTCATTTTCAAGACAATATCTATCAAAATCCTAAGTTTAAATAACTATAGTTTTTCTGTCTGTTCTTTCAAGTAAAAATTTTGTTCCCTGAATAAAGCAGCTAGTTTAGCTTGCACAGAATAGACTTGCCAATTGCTTCTCCTTAAGATAGTCCTCAAACTTTGGTATACAACAGAAGTATTTCATGTGTACTTACCATTTCATCATACAGAATATTAAACGAAAATTATGTAAGTAAGAGTAGAGATTTAAAAGTTGAGTAATTTTTATTACTTCATCAAAAACATGGTAGTGAAAACAATAACTATTAGTATGGTTGGGTGCCGTTTCCTTGACTTGTACTAAGGTACCCATATTTTTACTCACCATTGTTTTTGCATCATCAGTACAAACGTTAACACAATAAAAAAAACAAATAATATTTTAGTACTATTCTAAAATACTTTGGATCTCACATGCCCTTTGAAAGGTTTGGATATCTCCGAGTGTCCACTTGGAAAAACATTACACTTTATGAATGAGAAACAGTGAGGGTCCAGAAAAGATAAAAATAATAGTTTGGTGTCAAAATGTCAAATAACTTTATAGGACAACCATGAAAAGAATATGCCTTTACTAACTTAAAATTAAAAGTCTCTCCTGAATGCTCTGCTACTTCATTTGTATACTAATATCTTACACAAATTGTCTTATTTACCTTGAAAATTATGAAGCCCTACTTATTTTCAAGGTACTAACACTTACACTCACCACTGTATTGGATTCTGAAACATGAGTTTACCACAATGGAAAGCAGATAGATGTACTATGGCTTTATCAAGCATAGCCACTGAAGGACAAAGCAGTAAAACAATTCAGTTAATACAGAAAACCAGGCGATTAGTTTGATGTAAATGGCCAAGATTATATTTTTATTTTCTGTTTGTTTCCTTATAATATAGACATTGTTCTTTCAACTACAAAATGTAATAATGATTTTACATTATGTACTTCTTTTACTTTTCAAAATTATTTTAGAATTATTGACAAATATTTAATAACTAAAGAAAAATATTTTCAATACGTGATTAAGTTCAAACATAGAAGTTATTATGTCAATTAAAGCAAGTCTTATTTCCGGCTTAAAATTAGGCAGGAATTAATATAAAAGTAAATATTCCCCCAAGATTTCTATTTAACTAACGGCATTATTTTTGCATTATAACTACTCGTATTGCCAAGACACAGAGTTGAGTGCCAATGATTAATTATATCTACACTTACAAAAAATCCTAATCTCTTAATATTTTTTATAACTCTAAATAGAAATATAAAATTATTAATATTTTCATGAGTCACCGCATGCACATTTCAATATTTATTTTAAATACTGGTTTTTTCATTTTTTATTTTATTATTATTATACTTTAAGTTTTAGGGTACATGTGCACAATGTGCAGGTTTGTTACATATGTATACATGTGCCATGCTGGTGTGCTGCACCCATTAACTCGTAATTTAGCATTAGGTATATCGCCTAATGCTATCCCTCCCCCCAACCCACAACAGTCCCCAGAGTGTGATATTCCCCTTCCTGTGTCCATGTGTTCTCATTGTTCAATTCCCACCTATGAGTGAGAACATGCAGTGTTTGGTTTTTTGTCCTTGCAATAGTTTACTGAGAATGATGATTTCCAATTTCATCCATGTCCCTACAAAGGACATGAACTCATCATTTTTTATGGCTGCATAGTATTCCATGGTGTATATGTGCCACATTTTCTTAATCCAGTCGATCATCGTTGGACATTTGGGTTGGGTCCAAGTCTTTGCTATTGTGAATAGTGCCGCAATAAACATATGTGTAAATGTGTCTTTATAGCAGCATGATTTATAGTCCTTTGGGTATATACCCAGTAATGGGATGGCTGGGTCAAATGGTATTTCTAGTTCTAGATCCCTGAGGAATCGCGACACTGACTTCCACAATGATTGAACTAGTTTACAGTCCCACCAACAGTGCAAAAGTGTTCCTATTTCTCCACATCCTCTCCAGCACCTGTTGTTTCCTGACTTTTTAATGATTGCCATTCTAACTGGTGTGAGATGGTATCTCATTGTGGTTTTGATTTGCATTTCTCTGATGGCCAGTGATGATGAGCATTTTTTCATGTGTTTTTTCACTGCATAAATGTCTTCTTTTGAGAAGTGTCTGTTCATGTCCTTCGCCCACTTTTTGATGGGGTTGTTTGTTTTTTTCTTGTAAATTTGTTTGAGTTCATTGTAGCTTCTGGATATTAGCCCTTTGTCAGATGAGTAGGTTGCAAAAATTTTCTCCCATTTGGTAGGTTGCCTGTTCACTGTGATGGTAGTTTCTTTTGCTGTGCAGAAGCTCTTTAGTTTAATTAGATCCCATTTGTCAATTTTGTCTTTTGTTGCCATTGCTTTTGGTGTTTTAGACATGAAGTCCTTGCCCATGCCTATTTCCTGAATGGTAATGCCTAGGTTTTCTTCTAGGGTTTTGATGGTTTTAGGTCTAATGTTTAAGTCTTTAATCTACCTTGAATTGATTTTTGTATAAGGTGTAAGGAAGGGATCCAGTTTCAGCTTTCTACATATGGCTAGCCAGTATTCCCAGCACCATTTATTAAATAAGGAATCCTTTCCCCACTGCTTGTTTTTCTCAGGTTTGTCAAAGATCAGATAGTTGTAGATATGCAGTGTTATTTCTGAGGGCTCTGTTCTGTTCCATTGATCTATATCTCTGTTTTTGTACCAGTACCATGCTGTTTTGGTTACTGTTGCCTTGTAGTATAGTTTGAAGTCAGGTAGCGTGATGCCTCCAGCTTTGTTCTTTTGGCTTAGGATTGACTTGGTGATGCGGGCTCTTTTTTGGTTCCATATGAACTTTAAAGTAGTTTTTTCCAATTCTGTGAAGAAAGTCATTGGTAGCTTGATGGGGATGGCATTGAATCTATAAATTACCTTGGGCAGTATGACCATTTTCACGATATTGATTCTTCCTACCCATGAGCATGGAATGTTCTTCCATTTGTTTGTATCCTCTTTTATTTCATTGAGCAGTGGTTTGTAGTTCTCCTTCTAGAGGTCCTTAACGTCCCTTGTGAGCTGGATTCCTAGGTATTTTATTCTCTTTGAAGCAATTGTGAATGGGAGTTCACTCATGATTCGGCTCTCTGTTTGTCTGTTATTGGTGTATAAGAACGCTTGTGATTTTTGTACATTGATTTTGTATCCTGAGACTTTGCTGAAGTTGCTTATCAGGTTAAGGAGATTTGGGGCTGACACGATGGGGTTTTCTAGATAAACAATTATGTCATCTGCAAATAGGGACAATTTTACTTCCTCTTTTCCTAACTGAATACCCTTTATTTCCTTCTCCTGCCTAATTGCCCTGGCCAGAACATCTAACACTATGTTGAATAGGAGTGGTGAGAGAGGGCATCCCTGTCTTGTGCCAGTTTTCAAAGGGAATGCTTCCAGTTTTTGCCCATTCAGTATGATATTGGCTATGGGTTTGTCATAGATAGCTCTTATTATTTTGAGATACGTCCCATCAATACCTAATTAATTGAGGGTTTTTAGCATGAAGGGTTGTTGAATTTTGTCAAAGGCCTTTTCTGCATCTATTGAGATAATCATGTGGTTTTTGTCTTTGGTTCTGTTTATATGCTGGATTACTTTTATTGATTTGCATATATTGAACCAGCCTTGCATCCCAGGAATGAAGCCCACTTGATCATGGTGGATAAGCTTTTTGATGTGTTGCTGGATTCAGTTTGCCAGTATTTTATTGAGGATTTTTGCATCAATGATCATCAAGGATATTGGTCTAAAATTCTCTTTTTTGGTTGTGTCTCTGCCTGGCTTTGGTATCAGGATGATGCTGGCCTCATAAAATGAGTTAGGGAGGATTCCCTCTTTTTCTATTGATTGGAATAATTTCAGAAGGAATGGTACCAGTTCCTCCTTGTACCTCTGGTAGAATTCGGCTGTGAATCCATCTGGTCCTGGGCTCTTTTTGGTTGGTAAGCTATTGATTATTGCCACAATTTCAGAGCCTGTTATTGGTCTATTCAGAGATTCAACTTCTTCCTGGTTTAGTCTTGGGAGGGTGTATGTGTCCAGGAATTTATCCATTTCTTCTAGATTTTATAGTTTATTTGCGTAGAGTTGTTTGTAGTATTCTCTGATGGTAGTTTGTATTTCTGTGGGATCGGTGGTGATATCCTCTTTATCATTTTTTATTGCATCTATTTGAGTCTTCTCTCTTTTCTTCTTTATTAGTCTTGCTAATGGTCTATCAATTTTGTTGATCCTTTCAAAAAACCAGCTCCTGGACTCATTAATTTTTTGAAGGGTTTTTTGTGTCTCTATTTCCTTCAGTTCTGATCTGATTATAGTTATTTCTTGCCTTCTGCTAGCTTTTGTCTTCTGCTTGCTTTTCTAGTTCTTTTAATTGTGATGTTAGGGTGTCAATTTTGGATATTTCCTGCTTTCTCTTGTGGGCAGTTAGTGCTATAAATTTCCCTCTACACACTTCTTTGAATGTGTCCCAGAGATTCTGGTATGTTGTGTCTTTGTTCTCGTTGGTTTCAAAGAACATCTTTATTTCTGCCTTCATTTCGTTATGTACCCAGTAGTCATTCAGGAGCAGGTTGTTCAGTTTCCATGTAGTTGAGAGGTTTTGAGTGAGTTTCTTCGTCCTGAGTTCTAGTTTGATTGCACTGTGGTCTGAGAGACAGTTTGTTATAATTTCTGTTCTTTTACATTTGCTGAGGAGTGCTTTACTTCCAACTATGTGGTCAATTTTGGAATAGGTGTGGTGTGGTGCTGAAAAAAATGTATATTCTGTTGATTTGGGGTGGAGAGTTCTGTAGATGTCTATTAGGTCCGCTTGGTGCAGAGCTGAGTTCAATTCCTGGGTATCCTTGTTAACTTTCTGTCTCGTTGATCTGTCTAATGTTGACAGTGGGGTGTTAAAGTCTTCCATTATTATTGTGTGGGAGTCTAAGTCTCTTTGTAGGTCACTCAGGACTTGCTTTATGAATTTGGGTGCTCCTGTATTGGATGCATGTACATTTAGGATAGTTAGCTCTTCTTGTTGAATTGATCCCTTTACCATTATGTAGTGGCCTTTTTGTCTCTTTTGATCTTTGTTGGTTTAAAGTCTGTTTTATCAGAGACTAGGATTGAAACTCCTGCCTTTTTTTGTTTTCCATTTGCTTGGTAGATCTTCCTCCATCCTTTTATATTGAGCCTATGTGTGTCTCTGCATGTGAGATGGGTTTCCTGAATACAGCACAGTAATGGGTCTTGACTCTTTATCCAATTTGCCAGTCTGTGTCTTTTAATTGGAGCATTTAGTCCATTTACTGTTAAAGTTAATACTGTTGTGTGTGAATTTGATCCCATCATTATGATGTTAGCTGGTTATTTTGCTCGTTCGTTGATGCAGTTTCTTCCTAGCCTCGATGTTCTTTACAATGTGGCATGATTTTGCAGTGGCTGGTACCGGTTGTTCCTTTCCATGTTTAGCGCTTCCTTCAGGAGCTCTTTTAGGGCAGGCCTGGTGGTGACAAAATATCTCAGCATTTGCTTGTCTGTAAAGTATTTTATTTCTCCTTCACTTATGAATCTTAGTTTGGCTGGATATGAAATTCTGGATTGAAAATTCTTTTCTTTAAGAATATTGAATATTGGCCCCCACTTTCTCCTGGCTTGTAGAGTTTCTGCTGAGAGATCCGCTGTTAGTCTGATGGGCTTTCCTTTGTGGGTAACCCGACCTTTCCTCTGGCTGCCCTTAACATTTTTTCCTTCATTTCAACTTTGGTGAATCTGACAATTATGTGTCTTGGAGTTGCTCTTCTCGAGGAGTATCTTTGTGGCGTTCTCTGTATTTCCTGAATCTGAATGTTGGCCTGCCTTGCTAGATTGGGGAAGTTCTCCTGGATAATATTCTGCAGAGTGTTTTCCAACTTGGTTCCATTCTCCCCGTCACATTCAGGTACACCAGTGAGACATAGATTTGGTCTTTTCACATAGTCCCATATTTCTTGGAGGCTTTGTTCATTTCTTTTTATTCTTTTTTATGTAAGCTTCCCTTCTCGCTTCATTTCATTCATTTCATCTTCCATCACTGATACCCTTTCTTCCAGTTGATCGCATCGGCTCCTGAGGCTTCTGCTTTCTTCACGTAGTTCTCGAGCCTTGGCTTTCAGCTCCATCAGCTCTTTTAAGCACTTCTCTGTATTGGTTATTCTAGTTATACATTCGTCTAAATTTTTTTCAAAGTTTTTAACTTCTTTTCCTTTGGTTTGAATTTCCTCCTGTAGCTCAGAGTAGTTTGATCGTCTGAAGACTTCTCTCAACTCGTCAAAGTCATTCTCCGTCCAGCTTTGTTCCATTGATGGTGAGGAACTGCGTTCCTTTGGAGGAGGAGAGGCACTCTGCTTTTTAGAGTTTCCAGTTTTTCTGCTCTGTTTTTTCCCCATCTTTGTGGTTTTATCTACTTTTGGTCTTTGATGATGGTGATGTATAGATGGGTTTTTGGTGTGGATGTCTTTTCTGTTTGTTAGTTTTCCTACTAACAGACAGGACCGTCAGCTGCAGGTCTGTTGGAATTTGCTAGAGGTCCACTCCAGACCCTGTTTGCCTGGGTATCAGCAGCGGTGGCTGCAGAACAGTGGATTTTCATGTACCACAAATGCTGCTGTCTGATCGTTCCTCTGGAATTTTTGTCTCAGAGGAGTACCTGGCCATGTGAGGAGTCAAGTCTGCCCCTGCTGTGGGATGCCTCCCAGTTAGGCTGCTCGGGGGTCAGGGATCAGGGACCCACTTGAGGAGGCAGAGTGCCCATTCTCAGATCTCCAGCTGCGTGCTGGGAGAACCACTGCTCTCTTCAAAGCTGTCAGACAGGGACATTTAAGTCTGCAGAGGTTACTGCTGTCTTTTTGTTTGTCTGTGCCCTGCCCCCAGAGGTGGAGCCTACAGAGGCAGGCAGGCCTCCTTGAGCTGTGGTGGGCTCCACCCAGTTCGAGCTTCCCGGCTGCTTTGTTTACCTAAGCAAGCCTGGGCAATGGTGGGCGCCCCTCCCCCAGCCTCACTGCCACCTTGCAGTTTGATCTCAGACTGCTGTGCTAGCAATCAGCAAGATTCTGTGGGTGTAGGACCCTCTGAGCCATGTGCGGGATATAATCTCCTGGTTTGCTGTTTTTTAAGCCCGTCAGAAAAGCGGAGTATTACGGTGGGAGTGACCCGATTTTCCAGGTGCCGTCTGTCACCCCTTTCTTTGACTAGGAAAGGGAACTCTCTGACCCCTTGCACTTCCCGAGTGAGGCAATGCCTCGCCCTGCTTTGGCTCGCTCATGGTGTGCTGCACCCACTGTCCTGCGCCCACTGTCTGGCACTCCCTAGTGAGATGAACCCGGTACCTCAGATGGAAATGCAGAAATCACCCGTCTTCTGGGTCGCTCACACTGGGAGCTGTAGACTGGAGCTGTTCCTATTCGGCCATCCTGATTTTTAAACTAAGATTATTTATCAAATTTTTGACTGAAGTACCAGTCCAGTGTTAGTGGAGTTGGTTAGATCCTATTTGTAATCTTGAGGTAATTGGACTATTATAATCTTGTTGATCCCTCAATCTGAATTTTTTTAGTAATCTGCCTACCACATACATGACCTTCATGAAAGTTTCTGTCCATGCACAGTATAAATTCCTCTTATTCCCTCTAACATTAAATATAGCCTTACCTTCCTCAGTTACTGGACTCAGTTCTTGAATTGGTCTCTTGCAGGCTCCATCATGCAAAATTATGGTTTAGAAAAGGAAATAAAAACAGTGAAATGTGGGTTAAGATCATAACATACACTGCTATGGAAGCAGTCAAATTCTTGCTAAGGTAATTTTATTGGTGCAAAAAAATCTCTGGGTCAGTCCTTCTCAAGTCACTGCCCAGCAGTATGCCCTGGAGAGCTTACACTCAGTAGCCAGGAACAGGAGGAGCCAGAATGCAATTAGAAGCTAGGTGTGAACTTAGTAGCCTTGTAGTCACAAGTCAAGGGAGCAAAATTCTGTTCCTAAGTACAGTTGCTAACTTTTGGTCCAAATCAATAATTTTATGAACAGTGGTCAAATAATAGTTAAAGCCATTGATCTCAAATATAATAGGTACATAATGGTCATAATCAAAGGTTTAAAAGCCAGTTAGATTCTGATTGTGATGGTTAGTTATTTGGGTCAGCTTTACTGGGCCATGGGGTCCCCAAATATTTTCTCATATCTTATTCTGGGTATGTCTGTCAGGGTGTTTTGGATGAGGTTAATATTTAAATTGGTAGACTAAAGCGGATTACCCTCCTTTTTGAAGGCCTAAATCAAACAAAAAGGCTAAATAAGAGAGAATTGCACTGATTTAATGGTTGAGCTGGGTTTTTGATTTTCACCTGTCCTTAGACTGGAACTTTTGCCATCAGCTACTGATATGGTTTGGCTGTGACACCACCCAAATGTCATCTTGAATTGTAGTTCCCATAATACACACATGTCAAGGGAGGCATCCAGTGGGAGATAATTGAATCATTGGGGGTGGTTACCTCCATGCTGTTCTTGTGATAGTGAGTTAGTTCTCACAAGATCTGATGGTTTTATAAGGGTTTTTTTCCCCCTTTTACTGGGCACTTCTTCCTGCCACCATGTGAAGAAGGATGCGTTTATTTCCATTTCTGCCATTATTATAAGTTTCCTGAGGCCTCCCCAACCATGCAGAACTGTGAGTCAATTAAACCTCTTTCCTTTATAACTTACCCAGTCTCAGGTATTTCTTCACAGAAACATAAAATGGACTAATACAGTAAATTGGTACTATAGAGAGTGAAGTGTTGCCCTAAGGATACCCAGAAATGTGGAAGTGACTTTGGAGCTGGGTAACAGGCAGAGATTGGAACAGTTTGGAGGGCTCAGAAGAAGATAGAAAGATGTGGGAAAGTTTGTAATTTCCTAGAGTCTTGTTAAATGGCTTTGACCAAAATGCTGATAATTATATAAGTAATGAAATCCAGGCTGAAGTGGTCTCAGATAAAGATGAGGAACTTTTTGGGAAGTGGAATAAGATAGTTCTTGCTATGCTTTAGCAAAGAGACTGGCAGCATTTTGCCCCTTCCCTAGAGATCTGTGGAATTTTGAACTTGAGAGAGACAATTTAGGGTATCTGGCAGAAGAAATTTCTAAGCAGCAAAGTGTTCAAGGAGAAACAGAGCTTAAAGCCTGGAAAATTTGCAGGCTGATGATGCGATAGAAAAGAAAAATCCATATTCTGGGGAGAAAGTCAAGCCCAGTGCAGAAATTTGTATAAGTAAAAACGAGCCCAATGTTAATCACCAAAGCAATGGGGAAAATGTCTACAGGGCATGTCAGAGACTTTTGCGGCAGCCCCTCCCATGACAGGCCTGATGGTCTATCAGGAAAAAATGGCATCATCGGCCAGGCCAAGGGCCCTTCTGCTGTGTGCAGCTTTGGGACTTGGTGCTCTGTGTCCCAGCTGCTCCAGCTGTGGCTAAAAGCAGCCAAGGTAAAACTCAGGCCATAGCTTTAGAGGGTGCAAGCCTTGAGCCTTGGCAGCTTCCACATGGTGTTGAGCCTGTGGGTACACAGAATTCAGGAATTGAGGTTTGGGAACCTCTGATTAGATTTCAGAGGATGTATGGAAGTGCCTGGATGTCCAGGCAGAAGTTTGCTGCAGAGGCAGAGCTCTCACGCAGAACCTCTGTTAGGGCAGTGCAGAAGGGAAATGAGGAGTTGGCATACCCACACAGAGTCCCCACTGGGGCACTGCCTAATGGAGCTGTGAGAAGAGGGCCACCATCCTCCAGACCCCCGAATGGTAGATCCACTGATAGTTTGGACCATGCACCTGGAAAAGCCAAAGACACTTATGAAAGCAGCCAAGAGGGCACTGTACCTTGCAAAGTCACAGGGGTGGATCTGCCCAAGGCCATGGGAGCCCACCTCTTGCATCAGAGTAACCTGGTTGTGAGAAATGAAGTCAAAGGACACTATTTCAAAGCTTTAAAATTTATTTACTGCCTCGGTGGATTTCAGATGTGCATGAGGCTGTAGCCTCTTTGTTTTGGCCAATTTCTCCCTTTGGGAGTGAGTGTATTTACCCAAAGCCTATACCCCCAATGTATCTAGGAAATAACTAACTTGCTTTTGATTTTACAGGCTCATAGGCAGAAGGGACATGCCTCATCTCCAATGAGACTTTGTACTTGGACTTTTGGGTTAATGCTGGAATGAATTAAGACCTTGAGAGATTGTTGGGAAGGCAGTATTGTGTTTAAAAATGTAAAGGCATAAGGTTTTGGAGGGACTGGCGTGAAATGATATGGTTGGCTGTGTCCCCGCCCAAATCTCATCATGAATTGTAATTCCCTTAATCCCCACTTGTGGTAGGAGGGACTTGGTGAGAGGTAACTGAATCATGGGGACAGTTACCCCCGTGCTGTTCTCATGATCCTGAGTTCTCAGCAGATCTGATGGTTTTATAAGGGGCTTTTTCTCCCATTTGCTTGGCACTTCTCCTTCCTGCCACCATGTGAAGAAGGATGTGTTTGCTTCACCTTCCACCATGATTGTAAGTTTTCTGAGGCCTTCCCAGTCATAAGGAACTGTGAGTCAATTAAACCCCTTTCCTTTATAAATTCCCCAGTCTTGGATATTTCTTCATAGTAGTATGAGAATGGACTAATATACCTCTCCTGATTCTTAAACAATTGGACTTGAATGAGAAATTATACCCTCAGTTCTCTTGGGTGATCAGCTTGGCAGCTTCAGATCTTGGAGTCCCAGCCTCCATAGTCATGGGAGCCAATTCTTTAAAAGAAGAATCTCTGTGTCTTTCTCTCTCTCTCTCCATATATATATATATAGTGTGTGTGTTTTTATCCATATCTATTGGTTCTATTTCTCTGTAGAATATTGACTAAATATACTAATACTGCATAATGAACAAGAGTAAACATTGAACAAGGGGAGCAGAATGGGCTAAGAGCTGTTTTTATTGTGCCTTCAGGCTTTTATGTATTTCTATTTTTTAGAAACAGAAATAGAAATCATAGTATTAGAGGTTATTAATAAGAATTGAGTTAGATTATAAACAGAAAACTACAATAAATAATTTAGTAAAATTTAACATATATATGTTTATTATATGTATGTGTGCATATTATATACACACATACATATAATAAAAATATATTAACTATTATATATGTTTGCATGTATGTCTAATGTGGATACACACACACACACACACACACACAGTAACTTCCTATTTCTGTATCCCTCATGCCATTCCCTAAGTGTAGTGCATTTGTGAAGTAAATTTGTATGTAGTGGCTGAATGTCAGGTAGAGTGCTCTGATATATCTCAAGATTGTAATTTAATTTGAGTTTAATAATGGGGCACATTACTTTTATTTATGTTGCCAGCACAATTAATAGTGATTTCCTTGTCTTTCTTTGAATATACATTCTTGAAACCCTTGGGAACTCTGTGCGGTCATTAGGCCACAGTTAGAGGCAATCCAAAATTTATTTACATAGGTCAAGAATAAATTATTACTGGTTTCCAAAATAAGCATCATATTGTAATGACTAAAATTTTCTGCTGCTGAGACTGGAGCATAATTATATCATATCACAGCAATATTCTGATGACCTGGGGTTCTCTACAATATAAACAGAAGTGTTAGTTGCAATCTCTGCAATGCATTTAAGGAATTTATTCAGTAGTAGAAGCTAATGTAGAATCAAGTATTGGAATAAGGAGACCCCCTATAAATTTAAACTCTTCAAATCATTTATAAATTGGCCTGCGCTTAAGGCCAATTTAGTGAAACCATTATTTTACTTCCTGAAATCTTTAGCTATTATATTTTCTTATGAAAAGGTTTAGTGTTTTGAAAAGTAAATTGGTCCATATTTCACAGTAAGACTGCATCACTATTACTTTAACATTTGTTTTTCTAAATATAAAAGTAATATTCCACCACAAATATTCCAAAATAAGGAAAAGGCATAAAAAACTACCCATACATCCAGCATTTAAATATGTATTAATACAATCTGAGTGTTTTCTGCCAATTTTTTTCTAAGACAATTTCTCTACAGTTGTAACAGAGTATATTATGATACATGTATACGTTTCATTGATTGTGATATCCTAAGCACATGTTATACTGCTGCATAGGTTTGCTAGCCATAAGTTTAAATAGCTACATAATAGTTCACTGGATAAATTCAGCATAATTTTTAACTTTTAATTTTCAAGTGGAGATTTGCCTCTTTGAAAAAGTTGATGTGGGAAAATGAGAACAGGAGAATAGAAGTTATAAAATAGGTTAAATATTAGTTTATCTGAATTTTTAAATATAAGAGGTATGAACATATATAAGACATATATAAATAACCAGCATTGGTCAGGGAGAAATAAAAATTTCTCTTTGGCAGAGAGATATGTAAATGGCCAACATTGGTCAAAGAGAAGTGATTTTTTGTTGTTGTTGTTAAAAAGATAGCCATAAGGATTGGCGAGAACAGCCAATTCTTGTATTTATATCCAATTTGATTCAGAATAAAGTGAAAAAGTATAATCATCTAACATGTCTATGTGACAAACATAGAGTACCAACTAAATTTAAAATAAGATATTGAACTGCCACTGACTATATCTTCCACATGGAAGTAACAGAGAATTAGAGAAATCTTGCCCTTAAGGTCAGATATGCTATATATACATGTACACATGCATATACCTACACTAGACAAATGGAAAACCAAAATTTAAGTTAAAAATTGGGTAACTTGTGTATTATGTATCACCAAAATTATAATAGTGATTTTCAGAAGAAAAAAATTTTTCAATGTGTATATGGGGTTTGGGCAAATGTAAGGAATTATAAGTAAAGGCTTTGTTTTTTCTACATATTTGAGGCTTTGCAGAATTTGAACTTGTGGAAATAGAACATGGAAGAAAGGTAACTTCAGACAGAAAAAAATAAAGTCAGAAAACAAAAATTCACAGGAAATATCAGCAGAATAGTAAATTCACAGAGGTTTTAGAGAAAAGCATGGTTGTATTAATGAGTATGAAAAACACTGATGCTTATCAGAACCTCTTTGAGAAAAGACAAATGAATGAACAAGTGAATGAATAAGTGAATGAGAATATGAAAATATTCCTTAGGGGAGAACAGAATGAGATTGTTTAGGAATTCTGTGGAAACAAGTTAAGAGTTGAGGTGTAATCCAACCCATATTGTTACTGAATCCTTGACTTCCACATCAGACTCAAAAATATTTAGCAGTAGGAACAATGGTCTGTTTTTTAATGTTATATCTCTCGTTTAGTAGTGTCTGGCACATAGTAAATATTTAGTAAGTACTTGTTGAATTGGAATGATACTTAATAAATGATTTATGAAAATGACTTGATACCCATCAGATTAGAAGTAAGAAGAAACACCAGTAAAACTATAATAAAGGAATACACTCTAGGAAAAAAAATTAATTAAGATACAGCAGTACCATGTGATAAGTTTAGAAAAAGACAGGTGGAACATAGTGTTAAGTCTTGCAAAAAAAGACCCCAGTTAATAACCTTGTATTTACCTAGAAGATTGTCTTTACTTATTAATAGGCTATAGATTTTAAGAATGGTAATGAATAGAAGAATGAATGGAGTCAATAAAAATTAGCAGTAAGCAAGTAAGCATTTCATAAAATAAAATATTGTATACATAATGTGAACACAATGTTATGGAATTTCTGGTTGGAAGTAGAATGCTGGGTGATAGTGCTGCTGGATTATGGACAATGGAAGGGCTGCTTTTAAATTGGAGGTTATAATGCTGATGAGAGGGTGTATCATAATGTTTAAAGATTGTTTTGATGGTGAGACACAACACAATTACACTTAGATAGATGAAAGGCAGAACTCTTTTGTCAGTTACAGCAACAAGGGAAAGAAAGCTACCAGGGAAGGCCACACAGGAGGCTCTACCTGAGGACAGGATAATAGCATGCTGGAACAGTAGGAGGTAGCTATGTATGACAAGTGGGGTAGGAGTTAGCTAGGTTTTTCAGGCACCCTGTGGACTGACTAATTTGAATAATTCCTCTGGCTTTTGGGCATAACAGCTTTCTCTGGTTGTCTGGTGGGTAGCCCCAAGAAGATTAGGTCTGGCACATAGTAGCCTGGATTGTAAGAGGGAAGTGATTGGGGTGTTGTCTTAATCAACTACTCAGAAAGAGTACTGACCAGCTACTAAGAGGGCCTCAACACTGGGTCAACATAATGACAACAAACATTATTACACAGGGGCTGCCCATGAATCACAGGTTATACTGAGATGAGCTGAATAGAATTATCTCATGTCTTGTGGATTAGAGAGGGAAGGTCTGTGGAATAGTTTTCAGTAATATATAAAAGGAGATTTTTGTGAGCTATAGTTTATGAATGATAGAGCCAAGTTATGCTCTTGACCTGAGGCTAGAAAAGGAGATGGCTAAAGATTTCTGAGAATAATCACTCTTTCAGGGCATTTGTTTAAAGGTGAAGGAATGTCAGTCTTTAGTTAAATCTTCTTCACACTGGAAATAACCAAAATGTCAAGGAGATATGTCACCAAGGAATGGCCAGACATGGCTTTATGATGACTACTGCTCTGAGAACAATAGGGTATCCAGCCCAGCTTAAACAGTTTGAGAAGCATTTAGGACACTTTTCAAGGTCTCTGCTCTTGAGGAGTTTACAACTTGGTGTCATATTGTCATAAAACTCTTCATGGCAATTGTCATGGTGGAAGATTTTCTCCAAGCTCTATAAAATCTACTTTATAGTTCCCTGCAGCTTCTACATGTAATATTAATTATTAGCCTATAATTTTCTTTTCCTTTCCTAACAACTATTCTTAGTTAAAGCAATTTTAATGGTATTGTTTCTCTGACAAGTATTATGGGTATTTTATGGAAGTTAATATTGGTTTCCCAAATATTACCTAAAACTATTCAGAAATAAATAAAAGAACACCTTCTTGCTGAAATTCTATAGCTCTTCTTAATGATAGAGAAGCATTGCTTCTTCATATGTATTTCCAGGAAAGCACCTACTTACTTGTCCTGATGGTGCTGCTATGGAATGGTAACTTCAAAAATTACAAATTTAGCCTGAAGACATGGTGACTTTGAAGACACATAGGACTCGAGTTCAGCAAGAGAAAAACCCAATGCCATATTAACTATTCAAATGGATTGGATGTTTCCTTTTAATGGCTTTTAAATGAAGATTTGCCCTCTGTTCCTTTCCATGATTTATTTGTGTTAAGGAAATATAACATCGCATTACGAAAACTAAACTACATGGCCTTGTGCCTGAAGAATACATATATAATTCATGAAATGGGTCAATAGTTTTGTAGGAAAACAAATGGCTACTTTATTTAGGGTGGACAATTAAATTGCATTGGTGGAAGAAAATTATAACTGAGTACTTATCTTTATTCATGAATGATAGGGCAGCTCTTTCCTGAACTTACTGGAGAGGGACACATATGGCTTAAACCACCAGTACAGAGATGTGCCAGGCAGCTTGAGAGACATCTGAGCTTGGAGGCAAAACTAAGAATTTGTCAGTTTGCATGAATATAGCATCTTTCCTGGTATTTATACCACCCACTGTCTGTCATAATGAATCAAGCTCAGATTAGAGTCTGTTAACTTTCAGATATAAATATTATAGTTTAGTTTTTTTTTTCTTTTTCAAAGAAAAACAAGAGGAAAGGGAGAAATTGCTTTTATAGATTGTTGCTAGGGAAACCATTCAGCTGGGCTTTTTACTTTATGGCCTGTCTGCCTTATTCTGTATGTACTCCACAAAGAGTCACCGTGTGGTTTGCTCTCAAGTTCAAATTGGGAATTATGCTATGGGTTTTAAAATAGTTTTTAGAAAATGAATATATTATCTGATTTCATTTACAGCATCGCAGTACTTATTCATTGTTGAGCTAGTTATTTATAAGAATCTACTGGCCCGGATTCTTAAAAAGGTGAGAAAACTTGTAAACCTTTGAGGCTTTCTTCCTTAACAGGTTTGTTAAATTTCATCAATTCAGAGCTTAGCTTTTGCTCAAAAAAAAGACCTGTTTTTCTTTTCCGTAAGCCTCGACAAACATCATTCTCCATGTATTCTTTAATTTAGCCTAAATCAGTACTACATCCAGCACCTTAGAAAATTGCAGGCTTGTCACTCAACAAATATGGTAATGATAATACAAACTATTCATACAGAACTTTTCAAAATTTTATCATATGCATGATCTGCTGTAAAGGTCACAAAAGTATTGTTACTCTCATCTCAAAGATAAAACTGAGTAAATTGACTCATTAAAAACTATAGAGTGAATAAGTAACATAGCCACTACTTAATTTATTATTTTCATTTCCATACAGTGAAAAATATTTGAAGAATCATCAGGAAATGCATGCATCCTGTGATTAAATATGTGTTTATTTTGTATTTAAGTGGGCCACCTGAGATACTTGCCACAGATAATTCAAACAGAAGGGCCCCAGCTGTGCACACTATGTAACACTTTTTTATATCTTCTGACATTGAAAAGTGAGACTTACGGGAATACTTAGCCTCGTAAATGAGAGAGTGGGTATTTTTTATTTAATGGGACTTTTCCTCCATGTGAACAGTGAGTAAGAAGCATTGAGAAGCAGGTTTCCCTAAGCTAAGAAAGATTTCCCAAGTCATATCTCTTTTTGAAAGGACAGAAAATACCCTTATAAAAATAGTTGTGTTACAGTACTCACTTCTGGAACCCAGAGCAGGGCAAGACCCCTGCAGTGATGTTAAGTGACTCATTTCTGGATGGTGATTTCAGAATCAACTTGTCCTGAAACAAGCATTATACACGTTATGCTAGGAGGTAACTTTATCAGCAACAAAAAATCCTAAGAGAAATATCATGATATTTCTTTTTGCAACAGCAAAAAGGCAGGGCTTATGACAAATATGAGAAGAGATATTAAATACATGCAGAAGCGTTAACATATAACCAAATAGGAAAGAGAGTCCGGGTGTGACTACATTAACAAAAGGCACTGACAGCTGAGATAAGAGTGTTTGTGAAGAACTACTCCATCCCATCATGGCCACTCTGCTGGGGAACAAAATTGGCCGGGATGGGAAAATCTCAAATACCAGCAATTACACAGATAAGGACTAACTCAACATTTGTGGATTTTGTTGTTATTGTAGAACTCTCATTTTTTCTTTTTTTCTCAAATTGTTCGCTGGAGTAGTGCCTGTTATCTTTCTTATTGCAGTTAAACTAGCAGTCCATTATTCCACCTCTAAATTATTTGGTGGGTGAATGTGGAAAGACACCAAAATGTTTTTTTTTTTTTTCTTAAATACACATTGTGCTATAAATTATATGTATAGCATAAGTTGAGTTCCCTTGGAAACAGACTCCCTGCAGTTGTGGCTAAGGCCGCTATTGTCCTTTCAGGGCAGTTAAACCTTCCCTCTTCCTAATCCTGCTGCCACTGTCTTTTAATGCTGTTGTTCCTAGGAGGATTCTCCCAAAACTTTTTGCCCACAGGGACTTCTAAAACTGTGTATCCTCACAAGGACCAGTCATCAGATGACAGCTACAATCTGAGCGAAGCAGCTTTCTTTAGCTGAGGGAAATTTCTGGACAAAGCTTTGTACACTCAGTAGCCAATAATCATCAGTCTTAAATGGAATAATGGTGGCTGTGATTTTTTTGTTGTTGTTGTTGTTGTTGTATCAACTTGGCTCATTTATGGTCCTCAGTTGCTCATTCAACCAAACACTATTCTGGGTGGCCCTTTGCAGATACTTTTTAGATATGATTAACGTTAATATGTTTAAGTTAAAAGAGATCGTCCTCAATAATGTGAGTAGTCCTGACTCAGCCAGTTGAAAGGCGTTAGAAGCACAGCAGAGGCTTCCATAAAGAAGAAACTTTATCTGAAGATAGCACCTTAAGCCATGCTTTTAAGAATTCCCATCTACTCTTCCTGACAACCTGCCTTACAGATTTGTGCTTTCCTAGGTAGCCCCACAATCATATAAGCCAATTTCTTGCAACACATTTCTCCAGATGTGTCTCCTACTTGTTCTACTCTTCAAGTTGAACCCCTTCTGATACAGTGACAAACCACAACATCCATTCATAATACCAGTGCTGGCTTCTTATTGTAATTAGAGCCAATTTTCTGTGCTAGCATGGTAACTCCTGTCATTTCTATCCCTGTAAGTATCTTTGCTACAAGGAGTCTTGAGTGACTATATGGGTTCCACAGATTACAGATTAATGGGACTCTTCGTCTGTCCCAGATGGAAGTATTCCATTCCATTCACTGAGCCTAGAATTATGGAGGAGTAAGCATAGATTTCCCAAGTGGATGCCTCAGAGTGATGGTAATGAGACTATTCCTATTATTGTCTGAACATAGAATCTACATAATGGGGACACAGCACCAAACAGTAATTGTTGATTTAAGATATATGATGCATCCTGAGAGATGGCTGTAATCATTCAGGTACCATTTCCATGTACAATTGAAGTACCTGTAAAACTTTGCTTATTGGATGTTATAACATCCAATTTGTAGATAGAACAAATAAATAATCTTGTCATTTGCCCACCATTGCACCTTTTTTGCTAATGTAGATATCTTGGTCTGATATGAGGTAATATGGTATGGATCCATGTCCCCACACAAATATCATGTTGAATTGTAATCCCCAATGTTGAAGGTGAGGCGTGGTGAGAGGTGATGGATCATGATGGTGGTTCTTCATGAATGATTTAGCACCATCCCCACTTGGTACTGTAGGTACTGTATTTTGAGTTAGTCATTGTGAGATCTGGTTGTTTGTAAAGTGTGTGGCAACTCATGCCTCTCTCTCACAGTCCTACTCCAACCATGTAAGATATGTCTGCTTCCCTTTTGCCTTCTGCCATGATTCTAAGTTTTCTGAGGCCTCCTCTGGCCAGAATCATATTTGCTGTACAGCCTGTGGAACCATGAGCTAACTAAACCTCTTTTCTTTATAAATTACCCAGTCTTAGGTATTTCTTTATAGCAATCTGATAATGGACTAATACATGAGGTTATGTAGTGTCATGTACTTATGGATCAAACATGTTTTAAGTTATCTGAGAGTGGTGCTGACTGAGATCTGGGAAGCAGGAAAAGCAGAAACAATCCTGTGTTACATATATTCAAGATGAATTACTGACACTTCAGAGCAAAATGGTTTAATGTAATCAACTTGCCACAACAGAGCTGGTTGGTTTCCTGAAGAAATGGTGGCATTTCAAAGGTTCAGCATTGTTCCTTTTGGCTGGAAGTCTGGATGTTCAGCAGCAGAGTAGTTACGGCAACCTTGGTGAATGAAAACACATCCCTGTGGGGCCATGTGTAACTTCTGTTCTTGACACCATTGCTATTTTGTTCATAAGCCTAGTGTACTAGCACTGAGGTGGCAGATGTCAGAGGCTGGAAGGTGTCAACTGATTGAGACATTTAGTTTATTTGGATGTGAAATCCCTTTTCCATGGTAGATACTCTCACACTTTGTACACCATTAACCCATCTATACAGTTCTTCCCTAAAACTCTTTGTCCTTAGCCTTTCATTTTTTTTTCTTTCTAAGCACTTGAGTTACAAGACAAGCCATTGAGCACTGTCTCTGATTCTACATATATTTTTACCCCAGATACTTCTTTTTCCAGTCAAATTGGGAACCAATTGATCAAACTGGTTCACTGAGAAATACTTTGCCTATTGGGAATATACTCCTTAAGCAGTGTCTTTCAAAGATATCCCTGTGTAAGGCTAAAGTGCAGCCACACTCTTGTTTTCAGCTTTCACTCACACTTTGAGTTGACCCTCTCTGATCCACATCTAGCTTTTTTCCTTCTTCATCGGCTGCTCATAGAGGAACCCCCTAAGAAGCTGCCATATGTATAAACTGCAGGAGAGTCACAGGCGCAATTATAGTGGATTATACGGGAGTTTGAGTCACACGGTCATGCTACTTATTTGTGCTTTTTGGCTGTGTTCCACCTTGGTCCCAGACATGCCACTTTCATCTTATGATGGATGCTGTTGAACTTGCTCAAACATATGACTTATTGACTCTGACAGAATCCAGTCTATGATGGACAGTCTGGCTGTATAGCCTGTTGATGTTCAGTAGCCAGGCACTCCATCTCTACTAGGACCCAGTCGATGCCACAGGCTATATTCTGAATAGTGTCTAATTGTCTGTTACTGATTGCGTCATCCCACTCCAGAATCCTGCAGGTTTCCATTGTGATTTTTCTATTGGAGCTTGCCATCAACTGCGAAAGACAAGTTTCTCCAAAACAAATACCTTTGATAATTCACTGGAGGCCAAATTGTATGGCTCGTGAAAGACGGTTTCCTACATCACAGTCTGTAGATGCTAAAGAGCCCTATTCTATGCTTGATCAAACTCAAACAAGGCAGTCTTTTATACCACTCAGTAAATGGATTTGGGTCAGATTCCAAAATGTGGAATATGGCACCTACAGAAAGTGAGGAAGTTCATTAGACATTATACTCAAATTTGAAAAGAATGTTCTGTAATGTCCCAGACCACTGGATGCCTAAAACATTACCTGATATGACAGCCCTCTGAATCTCGTTCAATGTCATTTCCAGCCCCCATTCCTGAAGTACATATCTTATCAAGGCCATCATTGTACTTGCCACACTTTCTGTGAAGCATTTCACAGTTTTCTATGAGTCTGACACCCTGGCTGCCACTCTGACCTTGCCATTTATTTTGATAATTGCACTAGCCCTCCTTCTGTCAGTTACGCATCACCACCTGGCTTCTAATATTTTATAATCCTGTGATCCCCATTGTTATCAGGGAGCCTAGTTCTAAAACTGTATCTCCTATTATTAGCCTAAGCCTCCAAAGAACAGTCACCAATTGGTTTCTTAAGAGTGTCCATGCCTCTCTCACCAGTGAACCCCTATAAATTTTTGGTAAATAGAGTGTCATCTGGATCCTTTTATGGATTGTAATCATTTGATGTATGTAGTAGGTATGTTTGGTATGCCCATTTCTCTGAGCCTTTTGATCATTTTTCCCCTTCTGTCATGGAAGTTCTGGAATTTCTGTTTCATTTTGTGTGGGTCTTTGCTTTCTTCAAGCTTCTAAGACAATCACAGCAATGCATGTCACAGAATAGTTTTCCCATATCAATAAATTCTCCTTTATGCAAATTTATGTTCTGTAACATCTCTCTGTGGCCCAACCACCCTAGAATCCAGTTCCTTGGTGTGTAGTCAGTTTGTGTCATATTGTCAACCTGTATGCTTGACTGTACACATTGTCAAGATTATGCAACTCCTGAATAAAGTCCTTTTCTTCTCTTGGCCAAGAATTTCCTCAGGTTATATTATGACTTAAATTGGTATGGTGGTCTACATTTTTTCTGATTGCAAGGAAAAGTATTCCTCAGTAGGGCATATGTTATTTGGTCTAGTGATACACTGGAGCTGGCTTGTACCAACTCATGGAAGAAAATTGTGAAGCATTTCAGAAATTTTGTGAGCCAATTGCTAAACTGTTGGTAGCTTGAAATCTCAACTATGATGTGTTTATTTACATCATGCAAAGCAGCAAATACTACATGTCAGGGCTTTGCCCATTTGTTTGATTTTCTTCTCAGACTGTTAAGTACTTATCAGAAAACCACTGGGATTAATCGCCCTTAAGCCACAATAAAGTGAGAAACTTCAACAGTCTCAGAGGGTTCAAGAGATCCTGGGGATTTAAGATATTTTAGTTTGCCCACCCAAATGTCCCTACCCAATGTCTCAGATTCCACTTACTTCCAAATTAGATGTCTGATCTTGGTGTATCAAATTTTCAAAAGTTGAGAATTTGACCTCTCCTGGAAATCTGCCACTGCTACAAATAAGTCATTGGCCTGATCTAAAGCTGTTTTGTCCTTTGACTAAGGAAGCTAAGAATATATTTATTGCCAAGGAAGCCCTCAGGTGGTGAAAGACTGAGTTTAAATCAATGATTAATTACTATCAGTTTTTCATAGACTTTCTATAATGTATCAATTACCCTAGCAACAGTTCTATGACTGTTTAATCCTTACAGTTACTATTCTTCAGTATTTCTCAATAGCCTGAGATATTACACCTGCTAGTGCAATTCCTTTCATCATTGCCACACTGAATCTCATCATCCATGAATGGTTTAAAAATTCCTTTTCCTAAATGCCATTCAGCTCCAAAGTGTCATTCTAGGATCTGCCTTCCTGCTACTACTTTGGACACTAAATGTCACATTTTGGGTTCAAAGGGAAACAGACTCTTAGACTCTGAGATTTGCATGCAGCAGGTTTATTAGAGAGTGATTAGAGGGTTATCTCTGGAATAAATATGTGAGTGAGTGAGGAAAGCAGGACTGGGCAGAGGGAAAGGTTGATCTACAAGCTTTCATATCAGTGACCTCAGTCAATCCTATGGGGAGCTCTAGAGCTGGAACAGCCCTATAGAATTGTTCTCTATCAAGGCAAGGACCTGCACCTTTTTACTGCCCCATCAATCACTTATTGCATGATGATGGCTTTCCCAGCAAAAGATTCAAAATTAATGCATCAGCAGGCACTGCCCTTGAAAGGTGAAAAATGGAGTCACTCAGTCCTGAAGTGGTATTTGGGTGGCTCTCTTCAACATCCACTACCAACAGGTAATCAAAATGTCATTAATTTAGGAATCAATTTTCATAATACTATATCTCTCATATTTGTTTATAAGAAGGGTTTGGCACCTTAAACTAATGAGGCTTTAAAACAATATTTCGTGTTAAGAACTCAAAGATCTTTACCTTACTGTTTTGAAAAGACAAAGAAAATAGGGGTCACAGAGATCAGCCTCTCAGGAGGTGCTCCAGGGTGTAAGTAATAGAGATCTTACAGTTTGTCTGATCTGCTGAGTAAAATGAAAAAGCCAGAAGCTGCATTATATAAATTCAAATAGACCCTCATAATTTAGAATAAGTATTTGGTTATGTGTTAACTATAAAAAGAAATGGAATCCCAAGTTTATAATGGCCAATATACTTCCACTATGTAAATAAGTCAGATTAGCCATGGGAATAGAAACTGTTATAATGTTAATATAATTAGTCTTTTCATAATGTTAACATAATTAGTATTTTTGCTACAATTTTAACATTTTTGTATCCTTGCAACAGTACTCATTTGAATTACTTATTAACATTTCACAAATTTTGAGTCATGCTTCATTGAAAAAAGCTTGCTAGAAGTTTTTGATTACCAAACATGAAAATTAGATTTACTTATGTTCCTGCGATGAATTATACTTTGGAAATTCTATGCATTTTTCTCCCAAAATCAAGTAACATTTTTGATTTTGCTATTTTTTTATGGTTAGGCATAGATGAGTATTTAATCAGAAAAAAAGAGTAGTTCTACTGTTTGATATGTGTGTACAAAATATATAAATCATACATTTCTTATGTAATTTTGTATGTGAGTGAGAAATATTTATGTGAGGAAAGTACTATTTAGTTTTGTAAAAATTATGAAAATGATCAAAATATGCTGAAATTATTCAGAAAGGTGGGAGTCTTAAGAAAATTTACTTTAAACAAAAGATTGTTAAATTTATTGATTAGAGATTTTCTAGTTAGTTGAAGTGGAAAGGACTAGAAAGATAGAAGTGTAACTGCAAATAATGTAAGTAAGAAAAAAACTCGTGGGGAGCTTTTTTTTTTTGAGACAGAGTCACCCTCTCTCTCCCAGGCTGGAGTGCAGTGACACCATCTGGGCTCACTGCAACCTCCGCCTCCTGGGTTCAAGAGATTCTCCTGCCTCAGCCTCCCGAGTAGCTGGGATTTCAGGTGCCTGCCACCATGCCCAGCTAATTTTTGTATTTTTAGTAGAGACAGGGTTTCACTATGTTGGCCAGGCTGGTCTCAAACTCCTGACCTCAGGTAATCCGCCCGCCTCGGCCTCCCAAAGTGCCAGGATTACAGACATGAGCCACTGCACCAGGCCTTTTCTTTTTTTCAACCAAACACTTTACATAGTCAATCCTCTTTCAAGGACAAAGAATAACTCTTCTTATAAACACATACATATGTTGATATATTTTAATGCAAATATGTATAGTTCTAAAGGTTATTATTTACTTGTGTGAGTGCAATAATAATTTATCCATCCACAAAAGAAAGTACACAGAGAGAATGACTAAAAGTATAATCTTTTAAAAATCTTTTTCTTATTATGTTGTAGGGACAGGGAAATAGAAGTTGGAAACCAGAACAATATATGAAATTGAAGTTTGAGTCCATTAGAACAAAATTTTAAAAACAATGCCTGAGATATTTTGGTGCCGAATTTCTAAGTGGCTGACTTGCCCATTGAGTTTATAAACATGCATGGAGAATTGTACTTCCTCAAAATGATTTATGTGAGTAAATAGAAGGGGCCTTAGTTCTCCCTCTGAGGCAGCTAAGAAGATAAGAATTAGGGCAGATGCAGGTAAATGTGTAAGTGGGTCTGGGAGGTGATATGTATGCAAGTCACATAATCTCTTTCTGCTCTATACAAAAATGAAGGCCATCTGACCATTAGGGAGAGATGATGGCAGTAAGATGCAGAGGACTTAAGAAAAATAGTAAACATTTGGAGTAACTGTTGAGAAGAAGAGAGAAAAACAAACTATCCTTTCTAAAAATAATAATAATTATTATTAAAATTAAAATAATTGGCAAGATTGAGGGTACATACTTGGTTGGATGCCATAAATGTATACTGAAAGCTGTTCTTCATGATATATTTATTTTCTGCAGGAATGCTTAGGAACCCCAATTTAGAGCAGCAGATATGCCATGTTACATTGATAGAGGAGGGGAGGCTTTCTGATTAAGCAAAGACAATGGAGAAATAGGTGAAAAATCGTTGAGTCTGTGTTAGCTCAGTTTGGAAAAGATCTTAGGTAAGAGATGAGTGACATTCATATGAAGAATGCAAGACACAGTAAGATCTTCAAATGACCCATAAACATTCAAAACAAGATTAATTATTTTCACTTTTGTTTTAGTATGTGTTGAAAATATGCAATTAACTCATGGTATGCATACATTCTAATGACCTATTAACCTAAATATTCAGTCAACCAGAACATTGTATTCCCTGACCAGTCTAGATAAACAGGAATTTGATTTATGCCTCTGCCAAGATACATATTTCAGAAATCATTGAAATCCAAATCAAATCTCAAGTTTCTGTCCATAATATAAGTAACAGAAACTCTTGAGATTTGCAACGCTTTACACATACCAGAGAGCAATTAGGGAGAAGGCAAAGTAATTGAAAGGTGATCTACATTTAAATACCAAATACAATTACTTTTGAATTCTGCTTGAATTTATTCCATTAATTTCCAGAATCACTGTGCTCATTTTTCAAATATTTTTTAATTGAAATTTATTACTCTCATAAAGGTAAGTTACATGAGACTTTTCAGGTCACAGATAAGCCAGTTTTTTATAGTGGTGGTTGTTTTTACATATTGTCCCCAGCTCATGTTATTCTCTCCTCTAAAATGATAATACTATAGCACTTATTAAATAGTTGGTATGTGCCTGGCATGGTGCCTAGAACTTTGTAAGTATTTTATCTAATTAAAACATAATATAAATATTATTATTTACACCTTTTTTTAATATGAGGACACTAAGTCTAGGAGAAATTAACTTGTCATAATTTATGTTGCTGATAACCACTATTCTTTATCTAAACAGGTCTAATTGATTCTAGATACCATGATTTAAACCTCTGCAATTCTACTGCCCTGTTCCCCCTCCCCAATTGCTTTTTGTACCCATTGAAACTTATCCTTTAAGGCAGATTGGATTTTTTTTCATCATCATCATCTTTATTTTTATCTTCCTATTAATACATTAATGTTTTCCCGGTATATAAATATTTTCCTAAAATTGTGTATATTCAAAGGCTGCTATTACATTTTTTTATTTGTACATAATATTTGTATTTATTTATGGGATACATGTGATATTTTGTTGCATGCATAGAATGTGTAATATTCAAGTCAGTGTATTTAGGGTATTCATCACCTCAAGAATTTATCGTTTCTATGTGTTGGAAACATTGCAAATCTTTGCTTCCAGCTATTTTGAAATATACAATACACCACTATTAACTATAGTCATAAACTCTGCTATGAAACATTAGAACTTATTTGTTCCATCTAAATGTATGTTTGTACTTACTTATTATCCTACCTAACTTAATCCCTCCACCTCCCACTTCCACCCCATCCCTAACAAACACATCCTTCCTACCTTCTGAACATCTGATAACAAATCTAGATCCATCTAGGATACTGGTGCTCCAAAGCTATGCAGAACAATGATCCTGCTTATTATCTTTCATGTATAGTCTGCTAGATTGTTGAATTTCTGAATTCATTTCCTGTTTATTACCTTTCTACTTCTTTTCGCGATTTAGCATGCAGAACTCTCAAGTTTTTTTAAAAGACTTAACCTAATAAGCCAATTCTACCAGTATCCCGGATAGAATATTCTAGATTTTAAAATATTTTTCACATAATGTATTTACGTATGATCATATATATAGATAGCTAGATAGAATTCTAAAGATTTCATATACATATATGAATTCTTTATGTAAATTTATTTCCTGTGAGGATAAGCTTATTGAAATTAGAGTCATCCCTATATATCTGTGTGTCCTGTTGCATTACACAAAGTCTTGAATGTATTAATGTCTTAAATAATACCTATTATTAAAATAATGCTGAAATTCACCCACATGAGATTTATTTATATGGATTGAAACACTACTTTCTCAAAAGATAGATTTTCTTTGCTGAACTAATATGATAGGGCACTATCAGTTAAACCTTCCTGTAAGATTAAATGATCATGTCCTTTCTCATGAGAAGATAAACAAGAGTAACTTTTTAAATTTTTAACTTGTATTTTAAGTTCAGGGGTACATGTGCAGGTGGAGAGTAACTTTTTAAAATTTTTTTTTGATTGACACATAATAGATGTGTATATTTATGGGCTGTATGTGATAATGTAATATATTCATTCATATAAGAATCAAGCCAGTATGATTGAAATATCTCTTAGCTTAAATATTTGTCATTTTTATGCTAGAAAAATTTGAATTAGTCTCTTCTAGTTATTTTAAAATATGCACTAGACTATTGTAAAGAATAGTCACCCTACTCATCTATCAAACACTAGGTCTTATTTCTTCTATCGAATTTTATATGTGTACCCATTAATTAACCTCTCTACATTCCCTGTTTCGCTATCCTTCATGGCCTCTGATAATCACCAGTCTACTCTCTATTTTCATGAGATTCAACTTTTTAACCCCCACGTATGACTGAGACTGAGATGAATATGATATTCATCATTCTGTGCTTGGCTAATTTCACTTAACAATATTAACCCCCAGTTCCATCCATGTTACTACAAATGACAAGATTTTATTCTTTTTATGCCTAAATAATATTCTATTGTATATATAGAATATTGTGCACATTTTCTTTGTTCGTTCATCAATAGGCACTTAGGTGTATTTCATATTTTGGCTATTGTGAATAATGCTGCAAGAAACAGAGTGCAGAAATCTCTTTAATATATTGATTTACTTTCTTTTGGGTATATATCTAGTAGTAGAAATGCTGGATCATATGATAGTTCAATTTTTAGTTTTTTGAGAAATCTTCATAAAGTTTTCTATAGGGACTGTACTAATTTACATTTCCAACAACAGCGTACCAGGGTTTCCACTTGTCCACATCCTCATTAGCATCTGCTTTTGCTTGTCTTTTTGATAAAACTCATTTTAACTGGGATGAGATGATATTTCATTGTGGTTTTGATTTGTATTTTTCTGGTGGTTAGTGATGTTGAGCACTTTTTCATATACCTGTTTGCTATTGTATGTTTTTTTTGAGAAATGTCTTTTGAGATATTTTGCACATTTTAAATCAGATTATAATTATTATTATTATTTTGCTATTAAGTTGTTTTAGTTCATTATATTTTAGGATATTAATGCTTTGTCAGATGAAGCATTTGCAAATATTAATATTTTCTCATTCTGTGGCTTTTCTCTTCATTGATGGTTTTCTTTACTGTGCAGAAGCTTTTAAGCATGATACAATCCCATTTAACTATTTTGTTTAATTGTCTGGACTTTTGCAGTCTTATGCAAAAATTGTTTGCCTACACCAGTGTCCTGGAGTGTATACACAACATTTTCTTCTAGTAGTTTCATAGTTCCACAGCATAGATTTGAGTGGTTAATCCATTTTGATTTGATTTTGGTATATGAAGAGAGATAGGTGTCTACTTTCATTCTTCAGCATATAGTTATCCAGTGTTCCCAGCAGCATTTATTTTAGAAACTTTCCTTTCTCTACTGTATGTTCTTGGCTCCTTTGTTGAAGATGAGTTGGCTATACATGTATGAATTTATATCAGAATTCCCTATTCTGTTTCTTGGTCTATGTGTCTGTTTCTATGCCAGTAATATGCTACAGCTTTGTAGTATATTTTGAAGCCAGATAATGTGATGCCTCCAGCCTTGTTCTTTTTGCTCAGGATAACTTTAACTACTCAGGGTCTTTTGTCATAACATATAAATTTTAGAATTTTTTTTCCTATTTCTTTGAAGAATGTTATTAGTATTGTAATAGTAATTTCACTGAATCTGTAAATTGCTTTGCTTTGTATTGCCATTTTAACAATATTAATTTTTCCAATCCATGAGCATAGAGTGTCTTTTCATTTTTTGTGTCCTGTTTAATTCTTTCACTAGTGTGGCATAGTTTTTCCTTGTATACGTCTTTCGCTTCTGCAGTTAAATTGATTCCTAGGTTGTGATTTTTTTTTTTTTTTTTGCTAAGTATTATAAATGGGATGCTTTTTAAATTTCCTTTTCTGATTGTTTGCTACTGAAATATTAGGGGCTAGTGATTTTTTTATGTTAATTTTGTATCCTGCCACTTTACTGAAAATCAGTTCTGACAGGTTTTGGGTGATGTCTCTAGGTTTTTCTAAATATAAGGAGATATCTATGAACAAGGCTAATTTGACTTCTTTCTTTCCCATTTGGATGCCCATTATTCCTTTCTTTTTCCTAATTGCCCTTGCCAGGGCTTCCAGCATTATGTTGAAAAACAATTGGTGAAAGTGGGCATGCTTTTGTTTTTCCAGATCTTAGAGAAAAAGCTTTTTTTTTCCATTTTCACTGTTCAGTATGTTAGATGTGGGTTTGCCATATATAGCTTAATGAGCGTTTTCATCATAAAGGGTTGTTAAATTATACTGAGTGCTTTTTCAGCATCTGTTGAAATGATCATATAGTTTTTGTTCTTGTTTTTGTTAATGTGATATATAATGGTTATTGATTTGCATAAGTCGAACCATCCTTGCATTCCTGGGATGAATCCCACTTGATTATGGTGAATGATCTTTGTAATTTGTTGTTGAATTTGGTTTTCTATGCTTTTGTTATTTTTCATTTATGATCATTAGTAATATCGGTTTCTACTTTTCTTTTTGTGTGTGTGTCCTTGTCTGCTTTTGGTAATACAGTAATTCTGGCATCATAGAATAATTTTGTAAGTATTCCCTCATCTTCAATCTTTTTGAAGAGTTTGAATAGAATTTGTATTTGTACTTCTTTAAATGTATGGTAGAATACAATAGTGAACACATCAGATCCTGGGCTTTTCTTTGATGGAAGCCATTTTATTGTTTCTTCAATCCTATTTCTTATTAGTTTATTGAGATTTTCTATTTTATCATGGTTCAATCTTGGTGGGTTATGTGTTCAGGAATTTATCCATATCTTCCAGGTTTTCCAATTTGCCAGTATATGTTGATGTATGGTTGTTCATAATAGTTGTCAATGATTCTTTGTATTTCTGTGATCTTAGTTATATCTTCTTTTTCATTTCTGATTTTATTTATTTGGGTCTTCTCTTTTATAATTTGTTAATCTAGCTCAAGGTTTGTAGATTTTTTTTCTTATCTTTTCAAATAACCAATTATTAATTTTGTTGTCCTTCTGTATTTGCTTTTATTCTCAATTTTATTTATTTCTGCTCTGATATTTATTATTATTTTTCTTCAGTAACTTTGGATTGTATTTGGTCTTGATTTCCTAGTTATGTTGTTTATTGAAAACAACTTTCTACTTTTTTGATATAGGTGATTATTGTTATAATCCTCTTAGTATTGTTCTTGCTATATCCCATAGATTTTGGTTTGTTATATTTCCGTGCTAATTTGTGATATGGTTTGGCTCTGTGTCCCCACCCAAATCTCATCTTGAATTATAATCCTCATTTGTTGAGGGAGGAAAGTGATTGGATAATGGGGGTGGTTTTTTCCATGCTGTTTTCATGATAATGAGTGAATTCTCATGAGATCAGAGTGTTTTATAAATGGTAATTTTTCCTGCACGCACATTTTCTCTCTCTTGCCTCTTGCTATGTAAGGTGTGCCTGCTTTGCCTTCTGCCATGATTGTAAGTTTTCTGAGGCCTCCCTAGCCTTGTGAAACTCTGAGTCAATTAAACCTCTTTCCTTTATAAATTACCAAGTCTTGATGGTTATCATAATAGCGGTGTGAGAATGGACTAATACAATTTGTTTCAAGAAAATTCTTAATTTATTACTTAATGTTTTCATTGACCCATTGGCTATTCAGGATCATATTATTTACTTGCCATGTGTAGGTGTATTTTCTGAGGAAAATAATGTATATTCTGCATCCAGTGGGTAAAATATTCTATAATGTCAGACCTATTTTTTTCTAGTGTGTGATTTAACTTCTATATTTTTTGTTGATTTTCTGTCTGGATGATCTGCCTATTACTGAGAGTGGATTGTTTAATCTACTACTATTGTGTTGCAGTCCGTCTATTCATTTATATCTATTAAGGTTTGTTTTATATACTGGGGTGCTCCAGTGTTGGGTACATAGATATTTATAGTTTTTATAACCTCTTGCTGAATTGACCCCTTTATCATTATATATAGTTTCTTTGTCTCTTTTCACTCGCCTTGATTTGCAGTCTGCTTTATTTGATGGAAGCATATCTAATCTTGCTCATTTTTGGTTTCTAGTTACATGACATATCTTCTTACACCCTTCCATCTTCCTTTATGTGTGCCTTTATAGGTGAATTAAGTTTCTTGTAGGTAGCATATAATTTCCTCTTGTTTCTTTATCCATTGAGCCATGCTATGCCCTTTAATGGGAGAACTGAGTTTATTTACAGCCAGTGTTATTGTTGATACATAAAGACTCATTACTGCCATTTTGTTGATTGTTTTCTGGTTGTTTTGTAACTTCTCTGTTTATTTCTTCCTGTCTTCCTTTGTGATTTTGTTATTTTCTCCAGTAATATATTTTAATTCATTGCCTTTATTTTTAGTGAATGTCTTATAGGTTTTTGAATTCTGGTTACCATGAGGATTACAAAAAAAATCTTAAAGATATACAAAGTTACTTTAAAGTGATGACAACTTATACAAGATCACAAAGAAAAGAAAAGAAACAATCAAAAAATGAAATAAATAAAATTCTATGCCGTAACTCCAAATCCTCAACATTTTTGCTTTATGTTGTCTCAATTTACATATTTTTATATTTCATATCTCTTATCAAGTTGCTGTAGCTATTATTATTTTTAGTATATTTTTCCTTTGGGTTTTATATTTGACTTACAGGTGGATTGCACACCACAATTACAGTATTTTAATATTCTGGTTTGTCTGTGTACTTAATGTCAGCAGTTGGGTTTTCTACCTTGAAAAATGTTTTGGTTTTGCAATTTAGTTTTTTTATTTTTTTCTTCTTCTTTCAGGTTGAAGAACTCACTTTGGCATTTCTTGTAAGATGGTTCTGGTGGTGAGGAATTATCTGATCTTTTTGTTTATCTGAGAAAAAACTCAATCTGTCTTTCATATTTGAAGTATAGCTTTGTTGGATACATTAATCTTCTATGGCAGTTTTATTTTTTATTATTCCCAGCATGTTGAAAATGTCATCCCAATTCCTCCTGCTTTGTATGGTTTCTGTTGAGAAGTCTGTTTCCAGATAAATTGGAGCTCCTTTGTATGTTATTTGTTTCTCTTCTCTAACTGCTTTTAGAATCCTCTCTTTATCCTTGAACTTTGGGAGTTTCATTATTATATGTATTATGGTAGTCTTATTTGGGTCAAACTCTTTGGTATTCTCTCACTTCCCTATGCCTGGATATTTATCTTTTTCTCAAGTTTTGGAAAACTTCCTGTTATTTTTTGAATAAACTTTCTCTCCATTGCTCTTGCTCACCTGAACAATTGTTCTTAGATCTATTTTGTTTTTTGAGATATTTTCTATATCTTTTAGGTGATACTTCTTCTTTCTCATTCTGCTTTTCCACCTTTGTGTGTTTTTAAAAATCCTCTCTTTGAGCTCACTAATTATTTTCCTCTGCTTGATCCATTTTGCTGTTGAGAGCTTCTAGTGATTTTTTTCTTTATGCAAATGTATTTATCAGTTCCAAGGTTTTTGATTGACTTTTTAATTATTTCAATCTCTAGTTAATTTTTCCAATAAATTTCTGAATTGTTTTTCCTTTTCTGTGTTATTTTGGACACCACTAAGTTTCCTTAAAACTGCTATTTTGAATTCTTGGTCAGGTAGTTTACATATTGCCGTCTCATTCTGGTCAGTTACTGGTGGTAACTTGCTGTTGTTTCTTGTGGATCTATGCCTGTGTTGTTGCATTGAAAGTTTAGTTAATTATTCTAGTCTTTTCTTTATGGCGTGTTTTGGTTTCTATTATGTTTGCTTTGAGATTTGTTTATCTGTTGATTCCCTCTCCTCTCCTCTGCTCTCCTCTCCTCTCCTCTGCTCTGCTCTCCTCTCCTCTCCTCTCCTTTCCTCTCCTTATTATTTTTATGCTAGGTCACTGACTCTTTTTCTGCACTTGATTGCCCCTTAACCACAGATTTGCTTTGGTTCTAATAAACAATCAGATTGCCCTATCCTAAATGGTGAGGGATATTCCAGCAATATGGGAAGGTTGGCTAGGGGTTTGTGTTTAGGGGACCTTAGAAACAAATCTTTTGCAGTGTGGTGCCCCACAACAGCCATTCTAATGTGGTACTCTCCTTTGGCTGAATTACATAGCAGAGTTTCCAGGGCAAGGATGGTAGTCCCACCTCCACCTTTGTTTCTAGCTATTGTCAGGGATATTTTTCCCTTCAACTACTCCCAATACTTCCTGTTGTTTGAGGTAGGGATAAGTTCTCTGCCAAGAGACCCAAAATGTGGGAAAGCTGGTTGTCCACCTTGATTTCACTTTTTCCAGTGTAGAAATCATGAGACATGGGGAAGCCTTCTATGCCATCATTTTGAAACGCAACACGTGAGGTTATCTAAAAAATAAATAAATAAATAAAAATAAAATCATGGAATTTTGTTCAGAAAACTCTTGGTTTTACAATTCAGTGTAACATTTCTGGGTATCATGAAAAAGGAAGAAACTTTGGGAAATGGATATAGGAGAGCACAGATACTATTGTACTAGTGGCTTGGCATGACCAAGAAGAAATATATTGTGTTGACTCCCATGAAGCACAAGGTCCAAGAGGAAAAACATTCATAGGAGTCAAATCCAATCCAAAGGTTGTTATATATGGGCAGTCAGTGAACCCAATAGAGTAGACAGTCTAAGCAATGATAAGAGCATCCAAAACATAGGTGTGTCTCTTTAGTAGATGTGCCTAAGGGAGCCTCTTTTGGTGGCCTGGGACTCCTTTTCCTTATGTTTAAAGTGATGTGGTTAGTTACCCATTAGTGATTTACCTTAGACTAAAGGTAAAGAGAATAACTTACAGCAGTATATTTCCTTTAACAGGCCACTTCTCTAATCAGTAACCATTTTGCTCATTATATACATTTTTCTTCTCAGTAGAAATGGGTAATGATGAGAACATTGCAAACCTCTGACTATTGTTTGAAAACCAAAGAACAAGGCAATTAACTCATTCCACTGAGATTGGGAACAGAAAAATGTAGAACTGTGACAGTTAATATTGAGTGTCAACTTGATTGGATTGAAGGATGCAAAGTATTATTCTGGGTGTGTCTGTGAAAGTGTTGTCAAAGGAGATTAACATTTGAGTCAGTGGACTGGGAGAGGCAGACCCACCTTCGATCTGAGTATGTACCATCTAATCAGCTGCCAGTGTAGCTAGAATAAAAGCAGGCAGAGGACTGTAGAAGGACTAGATTGGCTGAGTCTTCATCTGTCTCCCATGCTGGATGCTTACTCCCCTCGAACATGGGACATCAAGTTCTTCAGCTTTTGGACTTTGGGACTTGCACCAGTGGTTTGCCAGGGGATCTTGGGCCTTCAGCCACAGACTGAAGCCTGCACTGTTGGCTTCCCTACTTTTGAGGTTTTAGGACTTGGAATGGCTTCCTGGTTCCTCAGCTTGCAGATAGCCTGTTGTGAGACTTTACTTTGTGATCATATAGTGAATAAACCTTAATAAACTCCCTTTCATTTATACGTCTATCCTATTAGTGCTGTCCCTCTAGAGAACCCTAATACAAGAACTAAGAGTATTTTTTCTGATTTTTTTAAATAATTTCTTGAAAACTGGGAATGATAGATTAACTAAAAAAGAAAGATCCATGTTGTTTAGTGAATTCTAAATTGTCTACAATTAAATTTCTTTAATTTTTTTAAAACTTTTGGACTCTTTGCTATAAACTACATTGTTTTTAACTGAAAATACTTTCTCCACACATGTCAAGTTATATGGTAGATCACAGAAAATGTTTCTAATCAAATGTACTTTAATTAAATTTATTTTCTATTGAAATGAATAGATAGTTTATATTTTATTTCAAATATCTTCACAGGCTCTGGTTTTCATTTTCATCAAAGTACCACTCTCTTGTCTACTTAAAATGATTTTGGAAGCTTTATGTCATTTGAGTTTATGGATTTATTTTTACTTTCCTCTTATTCTGGCACAGAATATGAATTTGTTGATATAAAATTAAGAATTTCATTAAATATTTTTCACAAGTTGAAATATTCCAAACTAAAATTATTGGATTCAAAATTAAATGTTTTACACTATTTGAGCTCAAGTTATTTAAATTTTTTGTGTTGCAAGTTAATGTTTTCTGTGATAGCATTTGTTGAATACTTATATTTAACACATTTAACTCATTTTGAATATGGGGCAACTATATTTAGAGGCTATTTTTAAAAGACATTCTAGCAAAACACCAAGAATAGGCAATTCAATCTTGAATGAAAGCAAAATTAGAAGATGGACTACCCAACTTTATGACCTACTATAAGGGTACAGTGATCAAGACAGTGTGGTATTAGTGAAACAATATACCGATACATTAATGGAGCAGAGTAGAAAGCCTGGAAATAGACCCACATAAAAAGAGTTAACTGATCTTTGATAAAGAAACAAAGGCAATGCAATGACACAAAGGTGATCTTTATAAAAAAATGGGTATAGAACACCTGGAAATTCACATGCAACAAATAAATCTGACTATAGACCTTAAACCCTTCTCAAAAAATGTAGGTAACTCAAAATGGATCATAGACCTAAATGTAAAATGCAAAACTGTAACACTCTTAGGAAATAACATGAATGAAACCCTAGATGGCCTTCAGTATTTTGATGACCTTTTAGATCCAATATGAAAAACACAATCCATGAAAAATCAATCGATAAGCTGAATTTCATTAAAACTAAAAACTTTTCTCTGTGAAAAACAATGACAAGAAAACTAGAAGGTAAGCCACAGATTGGGAGAAAATATTTGCAAAAGGCACTTCTGAAAAAAAGCTGTTATCCAAAATATACAAAGAACTTCTAACAATTCAGCAATGAACAATGAACAGGCTGATTAAAAGGTGAGCAAAAGACCCAAAAAGACACTTTACCAAAGAAGATATACAGATGTCAAGTAAGCATATAAAAAGATATTCAACAACATGTAACATTAGGGAATTGCAAATTAAAACAATGAGATACCGCTATGCAGTTATAAGAATGACCAAAACCCAGAATACTGACGTCAAATGCTGGAGTGGATGTGGAGCAATAGGAACTATTGTTTATTCCTGGTGGAAATGAAAAATTGTGCATACACTTTTGAAGAAAATTTGGTAGTTTCTTACAAAGCCAAACATACTCTTACCACAGAACCCAATCAAGCTATTTAATATATAGCCAAAGGGATTAAAAATGTATGTCCACACAAAATTTCACACATAACATTTATGGCAGCTTTATTCACAATTGCTAAAACTTGAAAGCAACCAAAATGCCCTTTAGTAGGTGGATGAATAAATAAATGTCATATCTGCAGACAATGTGATATTATTCAGTACTAAAAACAAATGAGCTATCAAGCCATGAGAAGACACAGAGGAAACTTAAATGCACATTACCATGAAGGATGCCAGTCTGAAAAGGCTACATACTATACCATTCCAACTATATGACATTCTAGCAAAGGAAAAACAATAGAGACATTAAAAAGATCAGTGGCTGCCAGGGTTTAGGGAGGAGGGAGAGAAAACAGGCAGAGCACAGATGGTTTTTACAACAATGAAACTATTTTCTATGATAATGTAATAACTATTTTCTGTGATAATGTAATAGTAGATACTTGTCATTAAACATCTGTCAAAACCTGTAAAATGTATAACACTAAGAGTGAACTCTAATGTAAACTATGGACTTTGGGTTAAAATGATGTGTCAATGTAGATTTATTGACAGTAACCCACATAACAATTTGGTGTGGGATGTTGATAGTTGGGGAGTTTGAGCATATGTGGAGACAGAGGGTTTACAGGAACTCTCTGTACTTTCCATTCTGAACCTAAAAGGGCTCTAAAAATTAAAGTTTATTAATTTATAAAGCAAAAGTGATTCTAAGATACTAATATTTCTTTTAAGTGTAGTTTCCAAAGTCTCAAACATTTCTAAAATTTAATTGGCTAGCAATGAAGACAGAAAACATGGACGGTCATGCTGCAGTACATTTTTAATAGACATCAGTATACTCACAAAAATTATATTTTAGTTATATTAACTGTGTGCATATATGACAATTTTTTAACTTTGATAACTGTGGCTTCTATTTTAATTTCTGAAATATTTAAAATTCTTTAGATGAAATTTTGAGTTGTATAATTGTTGCAACAAAATCTGAGTACTTTGTAATTTCTACTTCACAAATTTCTTAATTTGATGAGAATGTCATTTTTACCATGATGCTGTGCTACATCAAAATTTATATCCATATCTTTACCAAAATAATTCATAATTTTTAATCCAATATTAAACTTTTTAAATGAATTTACATGAAAAATAATATTGGTTGTTTTATCTTAAACAGATAAGACTTCCAAAAAATTTATCTGAGTCCACAAATGTGATATAAAAATGATTAATTATTGGAAATAACTGATATTTTATTCTAAGTACTTAATGGCACTGATATAAAACAATTACCATGTAATTGTGTGGAAATTTCCTTTAATGAAATCAATGAATAACCAGTTATTATGTCATTTTAGTATGTGCACAAAAATCTTGGAATAAGAAAGAGCAAAATTAGCCCACAAAGCAGTTATTTTATCTAAATTGCAGTATTCACATGTGTGATAAAAGTTGAAAACTATATATTATGCCAGTTAAATGATCAATTGAAACTTGCTTAAAAATTGGAAAGTCAGTATTTATTTTTAAATTAATTTTGTACTTACATTTTTTCATTCTTCAATCCTACAAAAATGGATTTAGCAGAATCTAACAAGAAAAATAAATGATTTTAGATATATAGTCACTATTGGGAACGGGTGCTCAATGTCGCAAAATCAGCACTGAGACAAAGGATCTCTCAGCAAGACTAGTTTACTTTCTGCAGAAAGGGTGCCGCTTGCTAGCAGTCTTGCCATGAGAGCACACATGAACAAAGGAGACAGGGTCATTTATAACCTGATGTGTCCACTCTACTGCTGTGTCCGGTTTCCATTAGCTGGAACAGGACCTCACATTCTGTACTCAAACCGATTGGCTAGCAACTTAGAACTTCCCAAAAGAGGCAAAAGCAGAAGATAACAAAGGAAGAGAGGAAGTAACTTGCGTAATGCTGAGAGAGGCAAAAACACTTCCAAATAAGGAAGAGGAATAGGCTATGACCTAATGCTTGGACCACTTCAGTCATGCCAGGGCAAATATCTAGGCTAAAATATGGGAGTTAAGAACACAGAGTATATTGATTTCTTTATTACAGCTAGCAAATATTTAAGAATATTAACACAGGTGTTTGAGTAAATTTTGCTTCTAAGAGAGGTTATTATCTATTCTCAGTTGGACTGGGAGGAAAGTCCCTTTGAAGAGGAACCTCTACTTATTTCATTTTCTACAGTCACCCTACCAAAATGGAAAAAAAAGTGTGGCAAAAATATTTAGGCTACTTAATACCTTAATATACACTATGACAGGAATGCTCAACCTTTATTTTCTGTATATATTTTGCATACAATTAACCTTCTCTTTTTTTTTTGGCATTTGTCCTTGATTCCTAATGACTGAAATTCACCTGTTTTTTTTGTTGTTGTTGTTTTTTGTTTTTTGACACAGAGTCTCTCTCTGTCACCCAGGCTGGAGTGCAGTGGTGTGATCTCTGCTCACTGCCAGCTCCACCTCCCGGGTTCAAGCCATTCTCCTGCCTCAGCTGGGACTACAGGTGCCCACCACCACACTTGGCTAATTTTTTGTATTTTTAGTGGAGGTGGTGTTTCACCATGTTATCCAGGATGGTCTCGATCTCCTGACCTCGTGATCCACCCGCCTCAGCCTCCCAAAGTGCTGAGATTACAGGCGTGAGCCACCTCACGTGGCCCATTCACCTGATTTCTTTATGCATCTTTCAGGTCAGATCAGAGTCCACAGCTAACTTAGCTCAGAACCAAGTAAATGGGAGTTAGAGGAACATCAGATCCTTCTCTCACTACCATTCAAGACTGAAGGGATTTAGCTGTCTCTAGCCACTCATTTCCAAATGACTTAGTTTTATCAGCAAGTACCTTTGCATACTGCCCTTGAGGGTGTAGGTTTCAAAATATTCTAAAAAACAGAAATATGATACCGCTGACTGCCTTTTTGATTTAACTTTGCATAAAAGTGTACATAAATGCATAACATGGTGCTAGAAAAATGTGGAAGACACTGGAAATGCAAAGTCGGTGGGAGGTCTATCTAATCCTGGGTTATTGTCATAAAAAATTGGTAATAATTTATTAAAAATTAAAATTACGGGACAAATATTACATTTTAAGGAACATTATAACAGCAGGTGTACATGAATACTATCCTGGGCAAACTGAAACATACATTCTCACATTCCTCATGTAACCTAATAGCATATGCTGTTTGCTGCAATGAGAGCTAAAGGAAGAAGCACCACTTGTCTTCTCCAAGTACAGTATTCTTATAATCAGATTCTACATAACCAAGTCTATTTGCAAAGCATTCCAGAATTATTAATTGAAGAAATAAACAGTTGGTGTCAGAGAGTAGTTACAATTAAATATTTATAAAGATTTATTAAAATAAAGTAAATGAAAGTATTCTGTTCCAAGAAAGAGAACTTAAATATAAAGTTTGTTAAACATTCCCTAAGACTAGACATTTGATCAGTCCTGCTTTCTGAACTACTTTGTATTTTTTATCTGACTAGATACTACTGGAAAGCAAAGATCTCATTTTCTATGGTTCTTTTTTTAAAAAAAATTTAAGTTCTGTGATACATGTGCAGAACATGCAGGTTTGTAACATAAGTATACAAGCAAACCTCTATGATTCTTAGTAAGTGTAATTGTCTTACTGCTACAGCGTTGTTGCAAGAAATGAAGATAACTTCTTTCTTTCTTTCTTTCTTTCTTTTTTTTTTTTTTTTTTTTGAGTTGGAGTCCCACTCTGTCACCCAGGATGGAGTGCAGTGGTTCCATCTCGGACCAGTGCAACCTCCGACTCCCAGGTTCAAGCAATTCTCTTGCCTCAGCCTCCTGAATAGTTGGGATTACAGGCATCCACCACCATGCCTGGCTGATTATTATTATTATTTTTATTTTTAATAGAGATGGGGTTTTGCCATGTTGGCCAAGCTGGTCTCAAACTCCTGACCTCAGGTGATCTGCCTGCCTCGGCCTCCCAAAATGCTGGGATTACAGGCATGAGCCACTGCACCTGGCTAGGAATTTCTTTACTGTAGTTGAGTTGAAAGTTAACCATGGCAGCTCTCTTTAGTTCCACATTTAAATGATGTCTTTAATGTTTAAATTATTTTAATAATAATAATACTCTATTTATAATGCAGAGCGCTTTCAGCAATTCTTTTAGTTAATGTTTGCTTTTGTCATATTGGACCCTTCATTACAGGAAAACTAACAATTAACGATATATTAAAATTCTTAGGTCTACTAAACTTTATTGGTAACAATTTTGTCCTTATTTTATTATTTAGTATTGCTAACCCATTGGCCTATGTATTAATTTACTAATGTTGTTTAAAGAATAGTATGGAAAGTGTTTATTTTGTCAAATCTGTAGGTATGATAATTAATGCTTATATCACAGCAAAACTTCAGTTTTGTTGGTAGTATTTTCCATAGTTTGAGCAAATATACAAAAATACATTGAAAAAGAATAATTGGATTATGTATTTGAATTATTAGGACAATATAGTAATACATGCTAATAATTATGACTAAATAGTTTAGTCATAGGTTAAATAAAACAAAGCTTTATTTTACAACTTACAAGAGAACAAGTGAAAAAAGACTGATAATGCTTGTCGTGTTTCCCTGCAGTCAACAGGAGTCTCCCTGATAGGAATGTACAACATTGGTGATATAGAAAAAGAATGAGCGCCTAAGGATACTGAGTAATAGGAATTGAGATGAACCAAAAACATTCATAATTATAGAATTAATAATATATTTAATGTATCTTTTACATTTTGATTTATTTTTTACCAAGCATATTGTGTAGGATATGTAATGTTATAGGTAGTAATTACAAATGTGTAATAAATTTAATCCATAATCTCACTGATTTAATGTAACAAATATTTATTTCTTGCTTACTTTGTATGTCTGGTGAACATCTGGCAAGTACTCTGATCCACACGGTCACTCCAGCATTCAGGCTGATGGAAGTTTGTCATTTCTGTGTCAGGAAAACAAAAGACTGGAGATCATAATTTGATTTTATTTTTTTCCTGTCTCATCCCAGAAGTAAAACTTACGAAATGTAGTATTTGTAAAAATTTTAGTCTCCATGTCTCTGTGATTATAAATATATATATATATATATATATATATATATATATATATTTCAAGTGGTTTAATGTCATGTTCACATACAAAACACTTTCTGAAAGTTATAAAACTAGTAAGTAAACCTAGTGAATAGAGATGACACTGAAACCCAAGTCTCTCTTCTCTAACATTCTCTTTCCAATATAGCACATTGCCTCAGTAGGTTGAGAAGTAATTCCAAATTTACTACCAAATGTCAACTTTCTGCTTTTATTAGAATTATTAAGAAAGATCCTTGAGGAAAGTCTATTTTTACTACATAATATAGTTCTATTACTATTTTGAAAGTAAAATTAAAAAGTGATTCTAAAAAAGAGTGTATACTTGGATACATGTTAATGTAGTCAGGTCAAGTTTTTTTTTTTTTCAGTGAGAAAGAGATAAAAGAGGTGTGTATACACACACACACACACACACACACACACACACACACACACACATACTTGATTACTGTGAGGGCTATTCTCTCAAAAGGATTACTTCTGCTTTCTAACTACTCTCTTTCCATTTAATTTGTTTCAATATTTGTCACGTTATAGTTATCTCCATGGTGATGAACTGTGATATTGCAAACATTAGCTAAATCAGGCTGGAGGAAAAGATAATTGGGGAACAAAGGGCTCTTGGTCCACAGACAAATAATCTGGTACACATCAATTATGAAAAAGTTTGAAGGAAAATAAAAGAATACTATAAAAGGATTCTAATGATCACATATGATATAAAAAGAAGAGAAAATTGAAAATTTAGCTTTCCAAAGGCCTTAGAAGTTATAAACTGAGCAATAAGCTCTCAATATAGTAGTAATCACTATCTTTTTAGGATATTGGCAATGCTTCAGATAATAAGGAAATCCATGTCATTTTTGATTGGATAAGAAGAATGATATATTTTTGAGATACTTACAGAGACATAAGAAATGTAAATAAATAGGAATAGTTTTTTTTTCTTTTAAACCTCACAAGGTTAATTTCGTTGTATTGCTTTATTTAATGGATTAAGGGAAATCCATTAGTCAGTTTATCTGTTCAAATTTCAGAAGTCATTATGGAGACACTCTCCCCTTTTTCTTTTTGAAATTTACTATGTTTGTGTTACCTGCAGTAGAATCCCATATGCAAACAATTAAAATATATTGTACCATATATTAAAAGATAAATGTTCTTCGTTCCCTATTTCCTCCAGGAAAGTATTATTAGTGCCCTTGCCAGAGAGGTATTTTAGACAAACTTTCCTGATTCTATTAAATGGTAAGCCCTTTAATCACCTTTGACACCCTCCATTCCAATATATCAAATCCCTGAAAATTATGCATTTATGTATTCAACTACTAAATGAATATTTGCTGAGTTTCCAGTATGTATAGGCACAATTCTAGTGTTTATCTTCCATAGTATAAGGAGAGTCAGTAAGTTGACATTATATTTAAAAGTCCTCTAAAATACCATTCCAATATATGTTTATACAATATACTTTCTCTGCACAAACACATATTCCTACAAAACACAGACATATGAAATCATACCTTCAAATCACATTTTAGAGTCAGTATGTACTTTTTAAAACTTTTATTTTAAGTTCAGGGTACATGTACAGGTTTGTTATATAGGTAAACTTGTGTCGGGGGCGGGGGTTTGTACAGATTATTTTGTGACCCAGACAGATATTAAACCTAATACCCATCAATTGTATTTCCTGATCCTCTCTCTTCTCCCACCCTCTACCCTCTGATAGGCCCCAGCGTCTTTTATTCTGCTCGGTGTGTCCCTATGTTCTCATTTGGCTACCACTTATAAATGAGAACAGGTGTTATTTGATTTTCTGTTCCTGTGTTAGTTTGCTAAGAATAATGGCCTCCAAGCTAGATCCATATTCTTCTTTTTATGGCTGCATATTATTTCATGGTGTATATGTACCACATTTTATTTATCCAGTCTACCATTGATGGGCATTTAGGTCTATTCCATGTCTTGGCTATTGTAAATAGTGCTGCAGTGAACATTTGTGTGCATGTGTCTTTATAACAAAATGATTTCTATTCCTTTGGGTATATACCCAGTAATGGGATTACTGGGTCAAATGGTGGATATATTTTTAGGTCTTGGTGGAATTGCCACACAGTTTTCCACAATGGTTGAACTATTTACACTCCTGATAGTGTATAAGCATTCCTTTTCCTCTGCAATCTCACCAGCACCTATTATTTTTTGACTTTTTAATAATAGCCATTCTAACTAGTATGAGATGGTATCTCATTGTGGTTTTGTTTTGTGTTTCTCTAATGATCAGCGATGTTGAGTTTTTTTTTCATATTCTTGTTGGCTGCTGTATGTCTTCTTTTGAAAAGTATCTGTCCATGTCCCTTGCCACTTTTTAATGGGATTGTTGTGGTTTTTGTTTTTTTCTTTTTCTTGTAAATTTGTTGAAGTTCTTTTTACATGCTGGTTCCTAGACGTTTGTAAGATACATGGTTTGCAAAAATTTTCTCCCATTCTGTAGGTGGTCTGTTTACTCTATTGAAAATTTTGTGGTGGTGGTGGTGGTGGTGGTGGTGGTGGTGGTGGTGCAGAAGCTTCTTTGTTTAATTAGATCTCATATGTCAACTTTTGCTTTTATTTGCAATTGCTTTTGGCATCTTTGTTATGAAACATTTGCCCATTTCTTTTTTTTTTTTTTTCTTTTTTTTGAGACGGAGTCTCGCTGTCGCCCAGGCTGGAGTGCAGTGGCGCGATCTCGGCTCACGTCCCCCGGGGTTCACGCCATTCTCCTGCCTCAGCCTCCTGAGTAGCTGGGACTACAGGCGCCTGCCACCTCGCCCAGCTAATTTTTTGTATTTTTAGTAGAGACAGGGTTTCACCGTGTTAGTCAGGATGGCCTCGATTCCCTGACCTCATGATCCGCCCGCCTCGGCCTCCCAAAGTGCTGGGATTACAGGCATGAGCTACCGCGCCCAGCCCATTTGCCCATTTCTATATCAAGAAAGAGATTGCCTAGGTTGTCTTTCAGGGTTTTTACAGCTTTGAGATTTACATTTAAGTCTTTAATCCATCCTGCGTTATTTTTTTTTATATGGTATGAAGAAGGGATACAGTTTCAGTCTTCTCTATATGCCTAGCCAATTATCTCAGCCCCATTTTATTGCTTGTTTCGGTCAGCTTTGTTTAATATCAGATAGCTGTAGGTATGTGGCCTTATTTTTGGGCTCTTGATTCTGCTCCAGTAGTATTGGTGCCTGTTTTTGTACCAGTACTATGCTGTTTTGGTTTCTGTAGCCCTGTAGTATAGTTTGACATGAGATGGTATGATGCTTTTAGCTTTATTCTTTTGGCTTAGGGTTGCCTTGGCTATTTGGGCTCCTTTTTTGTTCCATATGATTTTTAAAATGTTTTCTAGTTCTATGAAGGATGTAACTGGTAGTTTGATAGAAATAACATTGAATCCATAAATTGCTTTGGGCAGTATGGGCATTTTAATATTGATTCTTCCTATCCATGAACATGGAATGTTCTCCCATCTATTTGTGTCATCTTTAACTTCTTTGAGCAATGTTTTGCAGTCCTCCTTGTAGAAATCTTTTACCTCCTTGGTTAGCTGTATTCCTAGGTATGTTATTCTTTGTGGCAATAGTGAATGGGATTGCATTCTGGATTTGGCTCTCAGTTTGACTGTTGTTGGAGTATAAGAATGCTAGTAATTTTGGTACATTGATTTTGTATCCTGGGATTTTGCTAAAGTTTTTTGTCAGCTTAAGGAGCTTTGGGGCTGAGACTATGGCATTGTCTAGATATAGATCTTGCCATCTGCAAACAGGGGTACTTTGACTTCCTGTCTTTCTACTTGGGTGACCTTTATTTCTTTCTCTTGTTTCACTAAAACGGTTGTCAAAGTAATTACCGATGACAGCTGTAGGCTTCAATCCAAGGAACATATTTCTGTACTTACCTTACTCAGGTCTTCCTTTTTGAGTTACTTTTCCACTGGCCTCCTAGGTAACATGCCCTTTTAACTTTCTTCCCACTCTGTCTGCTACTTCTAAAACTCTGTCGCAGAATTATTAGTGTTGGCGTTACTCAACCCTCAATCTTAGAGCCACAGTACTTTTCATTCCATACACAAATAACTCACAATCTACTGTGTTTAGTACAAAATCTCCTCTGATTCACTGACCTATATTTTCAAGTATCTGCTGAAATTTAGTGGCTGAACTGCACTTCAAACTCAATATGTTGAACTCAGATGTTCTTATCTATTATTATTCCATGGCTTCTTATCTTCATCAGAGAAGTATACCCTCTTCTATTCAAACAGCAAATCAAAGACCTAAAAATGTTATTTTAGACTTCTTTTTACCTTCACTCAACATACCAAAATCTATCTTCAATTTCTATTACTTTACTTCCAAATAGTCTTCAAATTCAGTTGCTTACCTCTGTGTTTTCAGTGCCAAACTCACTAGTCCAAGTAGCCATTAACTTTTGACTAGAGCTTGGCAAAAAAATAATAACATGTTTTTCTGCATAAATTCTATTTTTCTTTCCTAGTTGTCCTCCATAATGCTGCCAGGGTAATCTGTTCACAACACAAAACTACTTATATTATATTCCTGTTTAAAGTGGCTCACTACTGTTTTGAGGAAGATATAAATATGTAACTTGGCCATAAAATAAAGACTTCCTCCTTCTCAGCATCAACATATATTATTCCACTTTGCTTTGTTTTTTAAATTAGCCTCCTCTAACATTTTTTCATCTGTCATGCTTTCTCTCTATTTCACATCTTTGGAAATCTATGGCATGGATGGTTGTGATCATAGAATGACATGATTAACAGCATGGTATTGAATAACAGAGACATGTGTGAATCTGTGATATATTTACTTGGTTTATAATTTAAAGGAAATGCCTTATGTTCTTTTTTCTCTCTTTTTTTTTAGAGATGAGGTCTTGCTAAGTTATCTAGGCTGCCTCAAACCCCTGGGCTCAAGTGATCCTCCCACCTCAGCCACATGAGTAGCTGAGACTACACCACTGCACTTGGCTTCTTATCATTTTTAAGCTTTAATTACTTTATTATAGAAATGGACTTAGTAGTAATATTAACTTTATAGGTTTCCTGGGTATATTAAATAATGATTTTAAAAATAACGAGCTAAAATTCAACATGTCAGTCACTGGTTTTGTGCATTTTGACAAGTCATATATCATTTTTAGATATATTAGTATCCTAATCAGTAATAGAATGTTGGGCTGCATATGTTATATAGTGGATGTATTAATGTTGATATGAAGTTCTTATTAATGTTAAAAAATATTGGCTAAAAGTAGAAAATAATCTTTTCCCCTTTTGACTTCAGTTTTTTGGCAAATAGTTATTTTTGAATAATACCATTACCAAATTCAGATAAATTGAATGTTGGAAAGTTAGAAAATTTTGTGCCTTAGTTTAATCAGTGCCCCAGAAACTTACTATGCATTTTAATTATCTTAGGATATTTTAAAAATACAAAAACTAATTTATTTAATCGAGTGGTTTTCAAAATTCTACATTTCCAGCCATCTCCCAGATGATGCTGTGATTCCTACCTTTAATTTACCTTTTAGTCATAGTAGTATAGATGGATAGATAACATATTATCAGTATTAATCAATCTTTGAACATTTGAACATGGTGTATTTCCTAACTATATTATGTTGTAAGAAAAAAATAAGTATAAGTCATATGAGTATCCTTCCCATCATGGTAATTAAAAAGGAAGATTAATTTTTTTTGGCCAGACACGGTGAGTCATGCCTCTAATCTCAGCTCTTTGGGAGGCCCAGGCAGGGGCATTGCTCGAGCCCAGGAGTTAGAGACCAGCCTGGGCAACAAAGTGAGACCTCATCTCTACTTAAAATAAATAAATAAGCCAGACATGGTGGCACACACCTGTAGTACCAGCTACTTTGGAAGCTGAGGTGGGAAGATCACATGAGCCTGGTCAATTGATGCTGCAGTGAGCTGTGATTGCACTACAGCACTCCAGCCTGGGTGACAAAACAAGACCCTGACAAAAAAAAATAGATTAACTTTTTAATGGAAGAAATTTTATTGAGAAAATTTAAATTGTTGTGATTGGTGCAAATCAAATGGACAGTTGCATCATGCTATATACATTGTAGATATGCAGTAAGCACTTAAAATGGGAATTCAATAAATGGATAGATTTTTACTGGCATTAATAATTAGGATAGGATTAAGAAGATTTGAGTTGAGATTTGGTGGATAGGTAGATACGATTCTTTACATACACAAAAAAGGAAAATTTGGGATACAAAATAACTTTGAACAAAGTCACAGAAGCGAGAATGAAATTGGTACATGTAGAAATATCAGGGGGAGTTCAAGTGAATTTACAGAACGTGGAAAAATTTGGTTCTATGCAGCATAGAGCTTATAAAGATTTGGTTCTCGGCAGCAGTGTTTTGACATGCTAGTAAGTCTTGGTGTGTTATGTGCAATTTGCTACTTAGATGGTTTTAAGTACTCAATATTCATGTCATATAAATTAAGGTAAGGTCAGCATTCAATATTATTTGTAGAATAACAATATTCAGTTGCATGTCAATTCTATTCCTTGAATTCCAGAGGAAAATGGAGCAATGGCTGGCATTTCATGGAATTTCATATTGGGAAGTATGTCACATAGACAAATGTCGGGTTGGCTTTAGCTCAAGCCATTGCTTCTTCATGCCAGACTTTCCATCTGTCATAGGTGAATGTCATTGCTTACATATGTAATAGCAGTATAAAACTTAGACTGCTCTGTGGTGGAGACTAATGCCTGACACATAGTAGGGACTCAAAAAATACTCGCTGATTGAATGAAAGAATGTCCACATATTAGGCAGGATGGGCTCTGAATACAGAAATTCTTCATGCTAAAGCATAGTATTAGTTGTAATAACTTTTGATAGGAAAGTGTATATTGATATTGCCTTATTTTGTGGGAAGAACCACACACATTTATTAAAAATTCTGTCTTATTACCAACCACATTTAATAATAAAAAGATTAGGATAACTGAGCAGGTAAATTAATATTTTCAGAAAGACAATCCTTATCTGGAGCCCCTATATCTTTGACATATATGAGCAATTTTAATGCTGTAATCTTCCAAATCCTGAAAGCCAGGATTATCTGAGAGACTGTGCAACAGTTTACTTAAGGAAACACTAATATTTAGATGCATTCCAGGTTCCATTGGAAGGATCTGTCATTCAATTAAGCATCACTAATGTACCAATTGTTTTCCTGATTGAAAATACAAGTATTTATATTCTCTCATGCTTCAACGCATCTGTTGCCCCAAGTACCAATGTGATACTGTTCAAATTAAATTAGAATTTCAATATTGCCACCATTTTTATGTCACTTCTAAACTAGCAATGTAATTATATACACCTTTCTTCTGGTATTTATTATTAATAAGGAGATAATAAAGTGGGTGATTAAGCATTTGCCAGTTGCTTCTGTAATCACTGGACCAGCCTGAGGGGAATAGGTTCAATAACATGTCACCAAAAGGATAAAATCTTAATGAGTCATTAACTAGTGATGGAATTGTGAGGCACAGATCAGATAGAGTTATTTTCTTGGCCATAGAAGGGAGAGTTGAGGCTGAGAAAATAATTCATATGACATTTCATAAGAGAAATGAATACATAGACTCTAATTCTAGATTTTTTTATTTTCTCACCTTCAGATGCTCTGAAATATAGGTGAATTATCTTCCCCTTTATCATGAAATACGTTAAGTACGAATTATTTAGGAAACAATAATTCCAAACATCTTTGTACCTTTGAATCTGTTCATTCTAATTAACACAACAGTTATCTTGTCTAACAACTTCCTAGTTTTGAGTCCCTTAGTAGTTTTTTGTCTTCCATTGCAAAGCAGATAGGTTACCAAAAGTAACAACCACTTCTCAATTTTTATGTCCTTTAATTCATGTGGGTTAGAAATATATTTATATACTTATCAAGATGGTTGATGTAGTGCAGATTCTATTGTAGCCTCTACAACTCAAGTCACTTGAGTTACTGAAAGATTAATTCCCAGTTGGCATGAGGGGCACAGCTTGTGTCCTTGTGGTACATAAATGACAGTGCCCTAGGAGAATCCCTAAGATATGACTACTCTTTTAGGTAGCCAGCCAAATCATTAATGAAACTTATAAACCTAGCCTTAGATACCAGCTGGAGGATTTAATGGCCTCTGACTAACGGAGGGTAAAAAGAATCACAACCAGTCTGGCTGCTACATGGCTGGAAAAACATTTGTAGGTCCTAGGGAGATTGTCTTAGAGAGTATTGAGGAGTGGCATGATGGCATATTTTAAATAATTCACCTGGGAGACTTCGCTTGTAAGAAAGATAAATAAAAATCACTTTAGAGAGAGTGTTTTTGAGGATCTTTATTAAGCTCAAGAGAGAAAAAAACTGTCAAAGTAATGGAGACTTCAAACGTGAATTTTCTACTATGTGAGATAGTATGCTTCCCTATCTTTATTTTTAAAAGTATGAATGATTACTTATCAGAGATGTAATTTTTGTGATTTTTGCATTTTATATTAAATATCTTGTGTTCTGCATAAGATTGTTCTGGTAATCAAGTGACTTAATACACATAAATCACATAGAACAGCCTCTGCGACATAGAAAATGCTTAAAACTGGTAGTATTCAACTCTTCTATTATCAATAATTTTATAACTGTGTTTTATCAATTATGTGATACAATATTTTTTCATAGTGCATACACTGTCAAATTGAGTTGTGTCTTAAACAGCAGCATTTATTTTCTTTTTTGGTAATATGTAAAATAATAATCTCTTTAAATCAATGGTAGCTTGCATAAAATATGCTATTAAGTTTATTTGTCTTAATACCTGACAATATTTAACTTTCCCTTTGAGATAACACTACCCCACTAATAGCCACCTGTTCAGGAATTCTAATGTTGGATGATATTTATGCAAAAGTTTCCCTGATCATTCTGGAAGTTTCACCTGGCCCAGGGCCAGTCACTCCATAACTTGTCCAGTGACTATGAGGTAGGCACCAGAAAAGAGCTATGCTAAATACTAGCCATGTAAATTTGACTGTTTTCTCTATCATTTGGTACATAGGCAGCTTGCTCAGGAGTAGAAAATGAATGAAACAAATGAATAGAGAGGAATATGGATGCTATAAGAAAGAAAGACTGTGAATGTAATTTATTCCTAGAGCTAGGTTCTTTCCTGTTCTGAGGATTAATAAGACTATAATCTTTAAGATATGTCTAACATCTGTCTAGTTAGGGAAAAAATGTATCAATATCAATCACAAATATAAAGTATATATGTCTGAATTGAAAATGAATTCAAGAAGAATTAAAGATTTAGCAATACCAAGAAGACTTGGAAGAATATCCCCAAAGCAAACCTCTCTTAACAGTTTGGAGGTTTTTATGTTGGTGAGAAGGGTCTCAACAAGTTAATTATTCGTTGTAAGTTCACCATTTTAATAACTGGAGATATTATTAGTCTTGGAAACGTAACCATTATTATCAAGATTTTATGATCACTGAATTTCTCATAGAATGATTGTAAAATGTTTTGCTGACTGATGAAGAGATTCTTTAGAAATATGAGAATGTGACATATCTCTGTACTAGAGACTGCTATATGCACCCCATATTCATTCCCTACTGTTTTATTGTAATAGAACTTTCAGCTTTAAATTCTTTTTTGACAAAACCTCTATTACAATAAAGTAGAGAATGAATATGGGGTGCATAGACATCCAGGCAGAGATTACATTTTCATTTTCCTTGCTATTAGGAAACCGTATGACTAAGTTTTGCTTTAGGGATATGAACAGAAATGATATATGATACTTCTGTGTCACTTGTATATCAATAAGTTGTTTACTCTACTTTTTTCATCTGGTGAAATATGGAGCTGAAATGAAAGCCAGCATTTATTATTCAGGTAAGAGGAATACTCTAGTGAATATAGAACAAGACATAAGGAAGGTAAGCCCTTAGATGACTTCATGCGATAGAGATTCCCTTTTAATCTTGGTCTCTACCTTGGCTTCTGACAAGTTTCCCTTCACCTACTCCCTGCACATTGCCTAGCTACTTCAACACATACATGCCTTTTGTTTATACTTCCTGTCAATCTAGGTATTTGAAAAACTTCTATCTTGTTTCATCCACAATAGTTCTTATCTCCCGGTTCTTAAGGAGCTTAGCCTATTCCATAACTAATGCACTCTATAATATATTTTACATAAGGCTAGATGATGACTCTTTTTTTTTTTTTTTTTTTTTTTTTTTTTTTTTACAGATTGTATGATTGGTTGTTGTAGATTTTTCTCAAATGAAATGTGAGTGTTGTTAAGACTTTTTGCTCACAAAAAATGATATATGCTGAAAAAATATCTCTCAGTATCATGGTACTAAATTTGACCTTGTGAATTAAGATAGCTTTAAATAGCTCAAACTTATTAAATCCAACTCAGCTCATAGATAAGTAGGTAGATAGATACATACATAGATGAAAAAAAGAAAGGAAGACAGAGAGAGAAAAAAGAAAGAAACTTAATTGAGTATGGCCAGCTTTAATCATAGATGTTTCTAGAACGGGCAGCTACGGAGTTGACGCATGAAATCTGCCCAACATGAAATCTGCCCAAGCAGATCAAGAAATCCATGAAAAAAAGAATCATCACTTAGATAAGTATTTTTATAATTTTACAGAAGTTACCATAACTTGAGGGATCACAGGGGAAGATTGTACACACATATTTAGATATTTGGCTTGGGGAATAATTTTGCTAAACGGACCTTATTCCTAAAATAGAATGAACCATACATAGTTGGATTTCAGAATCATTTAATAGTCACAGGAAAATCTACATAAAAGTTTTGGATAAATAAAAAATTTTCTTACTTTGCAATTTTCCTAATTCTCCCAGTGATAATTGCAAGATCACCCAATTGTGATTCATGTTGTAGAAATAACATGTGGCTATAATCAGGAAGGATACAAATGAGAATAATAAAAAGTCCTGGTAGTTGGGTCTACATATTCAACATAAAATGTAGATCAATTACTTCATTCTTTTATTGATTGAGCTGGAAGCAATCTCAGCTCTACTCCCTTGACTCACAAATGAGAAATTAAAGGCCAAACAGTTAGATAATGTAAAAGATTAATCAAGGTCATAATAATAATTAGGGACAGCATTAAGGCTAGAACCTTGTTTACCTGGTTTCCAATCCAGGGATCTTCCCACTAAACCTTGTTGTCTTGAGGGGTCTATTTAAAAACAGTCTGGTTAAAATATGACTAGAGAAAAGAGGCAAGTCTCTCCAGGTAGCCCAATCAAATGCAAAATTCCTGAAAGTTCATTCAGATAAAGCACATCTGGCTAGAGCACCAACACATAGCTATAGCAGTGCATGTAAAAGCAAAGAAATTGGAATCTGAACATGACTAGCAGGGTTTGCAAAGTCTGACACCATGAGCAGTGGGATTAGGGCCACATTTTGAGCTGCTGGAAAGAGAGGGGAAGATTTAAGCCCCAAATGGGGCCTAAATGAAGAATAAATCTGTTAGCAGAGCAATTACTCATGTCCTCAGTACACTGCCTCCTTCAAGGATTAGCAGATAAATCTAGGCCTAGGCATTGATGTTTTCTTGGCACATCTTCCTCCTTCTGCACATCAATAACAATGTGTTTACCCAATTATCAGATAATCCCACTTAAATTGATCAATTGATAGCTCCCCAGTCCCTTCAAAGCACTGCTTTGTTTTCTTTGGCCTCAAACACCTAAAAATATTTCTAGAGGTCAGAAAAGTACAAATTGCAAATTTATTATTCTTTGAGTTGCACGATGACCTTTAACCAAGCATTTCAAATCTCTGTGTGGTGCCTTGGAAAAGTGATTTCCATTAAAGTAAACAGGAGTCCAAGGGCAAAAAGCTGAAGGGAGCTTTGAGGTTTAACCCTTTCATGAACTTAGCCCACAGTGGGGAAGAAAAATGGGCAATTGCTTATGGTACTTGTCATTTTTAAATCACCTCACTTTTAAATGTTTTTCTTCCTCTTTTGCTTTATTTTTGCCCCTTGACTTTGCAACTTAACAAAACCCTGTACAAATTATTACAAAGTGATAACTCTTATGGAGAAAATAATTTATTCTTCTCATACATGTGCCATATAAAACATTAGATTAGTTTAATTTAAAGAAGAATGTTACAGATACTCAATTCTTGTTTGTTATCTTTTCACTAACAGATGAGAACTGCTTCAAGTCCAGTGCTTTCATAGTTTTAGGAGGAGTTAACAGACTTAGCAATAAAAAATACAGGATATCCAGTTAAATTTGAATTTAATGCACAGTAGATGGATTAAATTTGTCAAATTAAATGGTAGATCAAACTTAAATTTGATCTACTATGATTTTTTAGTATAAGTATGTCCTAAATATTTCATGAAACATATGTATACTAAAAATGTATGTGTAGTGTATTTAAAGTTCAAATATAAGTGGACACTCTTTAGTCCAATATTATGCCTGGAAATGCAACAATGGGAGAGCCTCTCACATTTTAGTTATTAATGGCGTGATGGTTACCAAACAACAGGGGAAGGCAACAGCTGAGGCAGAACATAATTTTGGACACATTCTGCCTGATTTTAGTTTACCTAAGAATCAAAATAAAAAAAAGATATAAGCAAGGTTTATAATTAAAAAAAAAAAAACTTTCTTCATCAACACCACCTTTACAATTTGCTTCCTACTTGCAACTGCATCTTTCCCACCTGGGTTGTATCATTCTCTTCACCCCACTAACTCCCTTTTTTGCTTCAAGAATGTACTTGGCTATTCCTCACACTCATGTATTTTGATCACACTGTTGCCATGTCTGGTATAATACATACTGTTCCCACCTGTACCTCTTCAAACTCTTTAATCACAATCACAATCTAAGTCTCAGTTCCTCTGTGAAACTTCTCTTGTTATACAATGACCTTGCTCTCCATCTTGAATCACCAGATAAACTCTCATATCCTTTATTTGGCACTTACATTTCATTGGGATTCCTAAAGTGTACATCCTCCCCCCGCCCCACCTCTATCTCTCACTCTCCTCATTCTAGAATACACACCCCCAACTCCTCAAGCTTGGTTTTTTAGTTAAAGGGCAATCTCATGAATATGAGGCACATAACTTTACTTAGTTTTATTTCTATTTCAGTGATGATAAATACACTTAGTATATATCTGCTCAAGTTTATTGGTCTTAATATTTAACCAGTCTCCTAACTTGAAGTCATTTTCTATCTCTTTGAATTAATTCAAACCATCTATTCATTCTTCCAAAAGTATCTATTGAGCAACTATCACGTGCTAGATGTTTCCCTAGCTTTCAGATCACTAAAACGTAAGCTGCATGAGGGCAGGGATTATATACATCTTGTTTAGCTAAATCTCAGAAACTAGAGCATGTGGTGGAGGCATAATAGCTAACATACTGAAAACACACGCCTTTAAAAATCATTCAGTGCTTTTTAAATAGATAGTATTTTCATTTTAATTAAATTTAAATGACAATTTTTACCACATAACCATTGCAGAGACAGGTAATAAAGCATAGCTCTTAGGAGAGAGGAATAATGAGAAGACAAAAACGATTAAAGCAAAAGTAGATGTTCAATGATTATTGGTTGAATAAGTAAAATAAAACCTACTACCTATTCTTGCTAGTTTATCTTCAATTCATGCTTTGTTTCTTCTAGTACCACTGCCTTAGATAAGAACTCATCCGTCTCTTTCAAATGATCACGTTGCTATCTGCAATAGTTATGCTGCCTTCAATCTTCAGCTTAATATCTATTATACAAGTTGCTACTAGGATTATAGTGTGTACTAATATATTTACTTCTCTGCCTATGTGCCTTCTGTGATGTCTCATTATATAATATATAAAGTCCACACTCAATAATGGCATATACACTACTTCACAATGTGGATCTAACTTAAGTCTCCAGACTTAGTTGTTTATTTCCGATTCACACTCTCAGGCTTGAACCAAATCCATCTAATTCCCCTTTGATGAAGCTGTAAACAGTTAGAGTTGTGTGGAGTCAGGCGGTCAGTGAATGTGGGGGTGAAGGTCACTAAAATTTCTCATCATTTTAAAACTCACCAGCCATTTGCTGTTTAATGCTTTGCATATGTTACTATCTGAAAGATCCTTGCTTATTTTTGTCTGAGTGCCTAGACTTCTGTTCCAGTCTTCTCACATGGAACTTTCTATATTATGTCCAACTGCCTTCCCTACTTAAAAAGAGAAATTCCCTCTGTGTACTCCTATAATATTTTGTCCATATGTCTGCCAGAATGAACATGTTAAGTCTTAACTCATCTATTCACATTTTGACTACTTTGTCTAGTCTCAGAATTCCCTGAAGGCAAAGATCTTGCCTTGTCCATCTCTGTATATATCGGTTCCCCTAATGTGTTAAATAGGACATGAATTATTTTGGTAAGATTATTCTGTTTGGGTATGTTCTTTCTCTTTTTTTGATGATCATTATATGAGTATATTTCCTCCCGGGTTCTGGTGTTTCTTTTGCTATTCTTTATATTTTGTTGGATCTTATTATATTAGGCAAGTTTCTTCCACAATTGTGCAATGGTAAGAGGTAGCCAGCATCCTCATGTGGATTAATGTAAATAGGAAGCATGTGAGTGATTTATGAATCTGCCTGAGTTTTGAGTCTGAGATTACAAATGTCAAGCCAAAAGCTGATTATAACCCTAGGTTTCTCACAGAGGTCCAATCTAGACCACAGACTCCAGGAGAGAAAGGACTTTTGTTACTTGTGTTCACTTCTCTATCCCCAGCACCTGTTACTATACTAGGAATATAATGACCACTAAGTTAATACTGTTAATTGAATAAAAAACACTCGCCAAAAGCCACAGAGCTGAAAAATTTCAGAATTATAACTGATGTCAGGACAGTCTGATTTCTAAGATCATTTGTATTTAAATAGCCTGCTATCTCTCAAGATGGAAATTATTTAATTTAAACTCATGTTACAGACCATGCAAATGGAGACTTTCCTATATACTCATTCTAATCTGTATATTCAGACTTGCTCTTCTGGTGCTAAGTGCCTCATAATTTCCTCTTATATAAATGGTTCGTGATGATTGATTTTGCGTTATTTACAGGCACCATTCTAGGTATTTTAGATTCATGAAGATAATGAATCATGACAAGAAACTTACTAGCACCATTTTGAAAATGATGCAACTGAAGTATAGTGAGGTTAAACAACATGCTCAAAGTCAAATAACAAGCAGTTTTCAAGCTGGTCAGTCTATCTTCACATATGTAGACTTTACACTCTAGAAGAGTTCAACTGATCAGTATCTCTAAAAGTAGAAATCAGCAAAGGAAGAGCTGTTAGCCTGAGTCTAGCTTACCAGCTTCTGAAGGTTTACCTGTGTCTTCAGAGAGGCATGTCTACTGACCCCTGCCATACTGCTATCACTAATGATGTGAATTGGTGTCTCCCACAGCCTCCTTTTGTTTGCAATGGCAGCATTTCACAGACCCCATCTGCTTGAACATAAATAGGTGTCAAATCTGTAAAAGCGGGCAGGAAAATAGCATAAACACAGGGCATGAAGTCGTTAAATGTACCACCAGACAGCACCCCCAGTATTAGGAATACAGAAATGCATGTGGAGATATAATAGCTAACATATTGAAAATACATGACTTTCTAAAATCATACGTTGCTCCTTTCATAAGCAATATTTTCATTTTAATTAAATTCGTGTAGTGTTTTTCACCATTTAGATGTTTCACAGACACGTATTAAAGCAAAGCTTTTAGGGGAAAAGAGTGAATATTAGTCAAAAAAGCTTTAAATTAGGATAATTTACGTAGCAAATTTTTATCGTGTGTTATTGGGGAAAATGAAATTTATGTGTAATATTAAATACACTCAAACATATGAGCATAAATTAGTACAAATACAAAAATAAGATGTATGTGTATCTCCCTGTATTTACAGGTAATGAAAATATATAAATAAAATATTCTTGAAATTGTAATATTCCTAATACAATCCAAATCCTCAAAAATCTTTTTTGCTTAAGAATGGTTGAGTCAGGCTGACGTTGATTGCATCTCCTAAGAGGTAAAGTAAGATCAGAGCCATCGCCTTAGAAAGAATAAGCCTTTTCATAAGAACAATTGATGAGTCCTCATTCCTCTTCCATATAATGCTCATGCTCTAATTGTAAACCAAAGTCATTCTCTTTCAACCCATTAAAAGTCTTCAGTGTTCTCCTTCCACATGAGTTGCCTGTATCTGTGTTTACTCCTTTGTTGATTTAGTCTATACTTATTCTTTAGGAAACTATGCATTAGATAACTTTTTAATTGATCACTTAATATAAAGTGTGTGTGTGTGCACACACATGCATTATGTAATGTGTAATATAGGAGTATAGATATATGTTACAAATATTTTTCCCAGTTTGTTGTAACTCCTCTAGTGATGAAGATTTCTGTTATTCAGGACATATTTAAGATTTAATTTGTCAGTCTTTTCTTTTGGAGTTGTGTCACATGTATAAAGTTCTCTCCAAATTTAAAGAAATTAAATGTGTTTTATTATGTCACCTTGTACTTTCATATATTTGTATTTTTGCATTTAATTTTTTAATGAAAACTGGAATTTATAGAATTGAAATTTTGAGAGATTGATTCAACCTTATTTCCTTTTCTAGATAACTACCAAATTGTTTGAATATCATTTGTTGATTAGTCCATATTTTCCCCACTGATTTGAAATATTAAAAAAATCTAAATATCCCTATATACTGAGTTTGTCTTGAGTTTTTTTAGTTCCATTAATGTATTTATTTATGAGCCAGTACTATATTGTTTTATTTGTTATGATTTCTAAGAATTTCAGCATCTTGTAAGAATAATTTATCGTCATTACATTTTCCCTTGGCTATACTTGATTTTTTTAAAAATAAACCTAAAAATCAGTTCATTTAATTATAAGAAAAAGAATCTGTTTCTATTTATATTATTCCCAAAATTTGGCACCCATCTGGACCACAAAACTCTGCAGGTTTCTTTACATTTGTATCTTTTAACCAGAAACCCTGAGCAGTGGCAGGCAGTATTTTGAAACTCCTTTACTCTAAGAAGGGCTCAATGACTATTCTATTTATAACTTTAACCAGAAGTACATTTGAGTCAAACCACTGCTTAATTATTTCCCTGGATTGCTTTTTCCATGTCTGTAATATATATTGAACTATTTTTTCAAGTACCAGGACTGAAGGTTGATTTCCTTCTTCTCTACAAGTTATTTTATATGACTCACCATAAGACAGTTGTGTGCTCTTCTTTCTTTTAAATTTTTTATTATTAATAACATCTTTATTGAGAAATAATTCTCATTATCCCAATATAAAATTTGATGATTTTTAACGTATTTAAATAATTGTATACAACTGCCATCACTGTCAATTTTAGAATATTTTATTATAGCAAAAAGAAGCCCCATACCTTTTAGATATCAAACTCCCTACTCTCCAACCCTGCAACCTCTAAGAAACTACAAATCTACGCTCCAGTTTATAGATTTGACTATTGTAGATGTTTTTTATACAATGAATCATATCATGTGTAGTCTTTTGCGTCTGGCTTCTTCAACTTGGCATAATGTTTTCAAGGTTCATCCATGTTGTAGCATATATCAAGATTTTGTGCCCCTTTATGGTATAAACATATTCAATTATATGAGCATACCACAAATTTATTTATCTGTTTTTCAGTCAATGGACATTTGGGTTATTCCCACTATTTGGTTGGCCATCATGCAGAGTATCATTATTATACAAGTTTTTGTGTGGACATGTGTTGTTATTTTGTTGGTTATGTACCCAGAAATAGAATTTCTGGGTCATATGATAACTCTGTGGAAACATTTGAAGAATTGTCTGACTGTTTCCAAAGTGGCTTTACCACTGATATGGTTTGGAGAGCTTGGAAGAAGACAGGAACATGTGGGAATGTTTAGAACTTTCTAGAGAGATGTTGAATAATTTTGACCAAAATGCTAATAGTGATATAGACAAGGAGGTTTAGGTTGAGGGAACTTCAGCAAAGGTCACTCTTTCTATGCTTTAGCAAAGAGACTGGCAGCATTTTGCCCCTGCCCTAGAGATCTGTGGAACTTTGGACTTGAAAGAGATGATTTATTCCAAAGTAAAATATACTTTTATTCTTAAATATATATTTATTCCAAAATAAAATAAAAAAAGATGATTTAAATATATATATTTAAATATAAATTTATTCCAACATAAAATAAAAAGAGATGATTTGTTCCAAAATATACTCTGTCACCTCTTGAACACTTTTGCGGCTAAGAAATTCCTTCTGCCACCTCACAGAAGTGGATTTCTTTTGCCACCTGGCATTTGGAATGGGAGCATTTATTCAATGCCACCTGCCAAAAGAAATTTCTTAGCAGAAAAGTGTTTAAGAGGTGACAGAGTATAAAGGTTTGGAAAATTTGCAGCCTGGCCATGTGTTAGGAAAGAAAAACCTAATTTCTGAGAAAAAATTAAAGCTGGCTATAGAAATTTGCATAAATAATGAGAAGCTGGGAATGTTAATTACCAAGACAATGGGGAAAATTTCTTTAGGGCATATCAGAAATCTTCACAACAGTCCCTCCCATCACAAGCATGGAGGCCTAGGGGGAAAAAATTGTTTCATGGGCCAGGTCCAAGCTCGTCCTGCTGTGTACAACCTAGGGACTTGGTGCCCTGCATTCCAGTCACTCCAGCCATGACTAAAAGGGGCCAAGGTATAGCTTGGGCCATTGATTCAGAGGGTACAAGTCCAAGCCTTGATGGCTTCCATGTAATACTGGGCCTTAGGGTGCACAGAAGAGTTCAGCTTTGGGAACCTCTGTCTAGATTTCTGAGAATGTATGGAAATGCTGGATGTCTAGGCAGAAGTCTGCTGTAGGAGTGGAGCCCTCATGGAGAACCTCTGCTAGGGCAGTGTGGAAGAAAAATGTGGGGTTGGAGCCCCCACACAGTGTCCCCACTGGGGCATTACTTACTGGAGCTGTGAGAAGAAAGCCATTGTCCTCCAGAACTGAGAATGGTATATTCACTGACAACTTGCACCATGTTCCTGGAAAAGCCTCAGACACTCAATGCCAGCTATAAAAGCAACCAGCGGGGCATACCCTGCAAAGCCACAGGAGCACAGCTGCCCAAGGCTATGCAAGCCCACCCCTTGCATCGCTGTGCCCTGGATGTGATACATGGAGTCAAAGGAAATTATCTCAGGGATTTAAGATTTAATGACTACTCTGCTCAATTTCAGACTTGCATGGGGCCTGTAGCCCCTTTGTTTTGGCCAATTTCTCCCACTTGGAATGGAATCAATTATCCAATGCCTGAATCCTCATTGTATCTTGGAGGTAACTAACTTGTTTTTTATTTAACAGACTGCTAGGCAGAAGGAAATTGACTTATTTCTGATGATACTTTGGTCTTGAACTTTTGGGTTAAAGCTGAAATGAGTTAAGACTTTTGGGGACTGTGGGAAGACATGATTGTGTTTTGAAATATGAAGACATGAGATTTGAAAGGGGCCAGGGCCAGAATGATATGGTTTGGCTCTGTGTCCCCACCCAAATCTTATCTTGAATTGTAATCCCCATTATCTTCATGTGTCAAGGAAGGGACCTGGTAGGAGGTGACTGGATCATAGAGGTGGTTTTCCCCATGCTGTTCTTGTGATAGTAAGTGAGTTTTCATGATATCTGATGGTTTTATAACTGTTTGACAGTTCCTCCTTCACATGTTCATGCTCTTTCCTGCCACTTTGTGAAGAAGGTAAATGCTTCCCCTTCTGCCATGATTGTAAGTTTCCTGAGGCCGCCCCACCTGTGTGGAACTGTGAGTCACTTAAACCTCTTTACTTCATAAATTACCCAGTCTCAGGGAAGTTTTTATAGCAATGTGAAAATGAACTAATACAATCATTTTACCTTCTCACCAGCAGTTTGCGTATGTTTCGTTTCTCTACATCCTCATCAATACGTACTATTATCCAACTTTTTGATTATACCTAGTAGGTGTGAAATGGTATCTCATTGTAGATTTGATTTGCATTTGCCTGATGATGAATAATTTCAAACATTGAATTATTGCATTTGCTTTTTTCCTGAAGCATTCTTTAGTATTTCTTTTAAAGTGGGTCTGTTAGTAACAAAATTTTCACAGTTTTTGTTCATAAGGGAATCTCTTTATTTTACCTTTATTTTTCAAAGATAGCTCCACTGGCTATAGGATTCTTGACACTTTTTTTCTTTGAGCACTTCAAATGTGGTATGCCAGTGCCCTTTAGCCTTCATTGTTTCTACTTACAGGTCAGCTGTTAATTTTATCTTGCTTCACTTTTAAATAAACATTTTTCTCTGCCATTTTCAAGATTTTCTCCTTGTCATTGGCTTTCAGCATCTTTATTCTGATGTATCTGTTTGTGAAACCCTTTATGTTTATTATACATGGAGCTTTCTGAGCTTCCTGTATGTATAGATTAATGCTTTTCAATAAATTTGGAAGGTTTTAGCCAATTGTTCCTCAAATATTTATCTCGTCTCTTTCTCCTCTTGTATACTTTCATTATGTTTATGTTGATGAGTTTAATGGTGTTCACATTTGTCTTAGGCTCTGTTATTTTTTTCTCTATTCCTGTTTCTGTCTGTTCTTTAGATTACATAAAATCAATTAATCTGTCTTCAAGTGCAACAATTCTTTCTTCTGCCAATACAAATTTACTGCTGTTTCCCTCTATTAATTTTTTTATTTAAGTTGTACTTTTTAGTTCCAGGTTTTCCATTTGGAAATTTCTTTTTTAATATATTCTATTTCTTTGTTGATATTCTCTATTTGATGCAATACCATTGTCATACTTTTATTTACTTTCTTAATCATCATTTCCTTTAGGTCTTTGAATATATTTATAATAGCTACTTTTAAGTTTTAGTCTGCTATATAAGACATATGATTACTTTCACAGGCATTTTCTGTTGCGTAACTTCTGGTGAATGAGTTATATTTCTCATTCTCTGTATGTCTCATAATTTTTTGTTGTTAACTGAACTCTTTAAATAATATGTTGCAGCAACTCTGGGTACTGGTACTCCCTCTCATGCCAGGCTTGTTATTTTTATTTGCTTTTTTACTTGTTTAGTTATTAACTGGCTTATAATAGCGAAGGCTATGACTCTCACCCCACCATCACCAGCAGTGTGAAGTCTCTGAGATTGCTTCTCAGGGGTAAAGAATTCAGTAAATACATAGTCACTCTGTTGTCAATGGTTTTGCCAGAGTTCCCTTTGTCTCTCTCATTCCCTAATCACACCCAACTGTCAAGCTCCATTAATTTTCAGCTTTTTTTATTGTTTTGACAATATCTGGAAGGATAAGTTGCTTCCCATATTAACCAAAATTAGATTTGCTTGAAGAAATAATTTCTGCAGTCAGTCTTTGAAATTTGTTCTGACCCAAGGAGGGCTATTTCCATCTCTCTCCCACTTTTCTCTCAAGCAAACTAGCTGGCTCATAGTTTAGCTGATATCTCCAGTGGATATATTAATCTCCTTCATATTGTCTTTTACTACAACCTCCATTGTTGTTGAGAATGCTCATAGGTTTAAATTTCTCTGTACTCTGTTGTAAATAAAGTCAGTTGCTTTGGGGAGAAATTTTAAATACAGTTTTATGATCTACTTTTCCCTCAGATAAAATCTCTGAGCCATAGGTCTGGTGCTGTGAGCAGGGACAATGACATCAAGTTTCCCTGAATGACACTCCTGCCTTAGGAGCTGAGTGCTTTGTGGATGGGGAAAGCAGTAGCTTTAGGTCACCTAAGCTTGCCCCTCTCACTATGGAATCCTCACCACTTCTGCCTGTATATGAGTGATCCAGGCCCCAGTATTCTTAATGGCATTGCACTCAAAGTGGAATCTCTGTTGCATAAGTAGTGGTTGGGCGGGAGAAGGGAGCCCTCTTTTCCCCCAGATGCATTTGCCCAGAACTGAGTCTGAGCAACAGTTATCTGGGAGCAGAATGAGAAACACTGATATAAGGCCCTCCTGGAATGATAGTCCTTTGAGAAGTTAGGGAAAGGGAGTCCTGTGCCCTTGGCTATATCCATCTGGAGGATAGTGTCCAGCTCTCTGAGATGAAAGATGAAAGGTAGGTAGCTCTTGCTGTGCTTATGGAATTTTGGTAATTTTTTTGAATATATGTTCCTTCATTTGCTGCATGACCTTAGGCATATTTCCAGAAACTTTAAATCATTTATTTTTTTCATTTGCTTTTAAATTTTTTTAATTTTAATTTTTTGATTTTTATTTTAGGTTCTGGGTTATATGTGTAGGTTTAAATAGTTTATTTTATTTTATTTTTTAGCAATTTTCACCAGTTTTTCTTGGGTGCGAATCTGGAGAGCTCCTCATGCTTTCTTGCCAGAAATAGAACTTGTTTTCCTTTTAAAAATGAATCAGTTTTCCTTCTGTGTTTTGCAGGGCAGATATTTCTAAAATTCCCAGTCGCAGAGGCCTCAGATAAGAAGGCAGGGCTACCAGAAACTGCAAGGGGTTCTGGACTTAAGATTTGAAATCATAATTCCACAGAATCATGGAAAACCAAATCAGAGTCTTAGAAGTGGGCAATCTTTAGTTCAATCTCTCTTAATTTTGTGTAAACTCACCATTTATTGATCAAATACATTATATTTAAATTCACTTATTTATCACATATATGGATGCAATAAAAACAAAATCAAGTAGAAAAGCAAAACTTTTAATGAGAAGCAGCCTGACATTTCCTCCTTGTCTTCTCTATCTTAAACTAACAAACAAACCAAGTTCATCTATGTCTAAATTTTGTACAAAGACATAAACATAGATTAAATTATATAACTTTATATACACTATAGTTATGTAAAATTATTTCTTACCATATGTAAAATATTAATACACACACACACAATCCTTCTCATTTACCTCTCCCCAATTTTTTTAACTTTTATTTAAGTTCAGGGGTACATATGCAGTATGTGCAGGTTTGTTACACAGGTATGTGTGTGTCATGGGGGTTTTTAATACAGATTATTTCATCACCCACATATTAAGCTTAGTATCCATTAATTATTTTTCCTGACTCTCTCCTTACTCCCACATTCACCCTCTGATAGGCCCCAGTGTGGGTTGTTTCCCTGTAAGTATCCATGTATTCTCACCATTTAGCTCCCATGTGTAAGTGAGAACATGTGGTATTTGGTTTTCTATACTTGCATTAGTTTGCTAAGCATAATGGCCTCCAGCTCCATCCATGTCCCTGCAAAGGACATCATCTTGTTGCTTTTTATGGCTGCATAGTATTCCATGATGTATATCTACCACATTTTCTTTATCCAATATATCATTGATGGGCATTTAGGTTGATTCTATGTCTTTGCTATTGTGAATAGTGCTAGCAATTACTGGTTGTTTTTCAATGTTTAAGTTTTGTATTCCTTTGTTTACCTAATGTTGAAACTCACTAAAGAAGTGCGGGTGGCAGAAACTGCCTCATCTCTATTGAAAACAGACCCTCAGATCCTACTTTCTCATAATTCCCATAGTCTGGGCATTCACATATGAGCTAGGCTCAGCTATATTGCTGTACACTCCTGGAGTTTTTTTTCCTTTGAATACTGCATTTAAAAAAATTTCAATAGGTTTTTGGGGAACAGGTGGTGTTTGGTAACATGAGTAAGTTCTTTAGTGGTGATTTCTGAGATTTTGGTGCACCCGTCACCTGAGCAGTGTACACTGTACACAATGTATGGTCTTGGAGTTTTGTTGTAGGGTTAGTGATGTAAGAAATGTTTTAAAAGTGGATAATTCACTCTTGGAGAGTCATTATCAACTCTCTCCAGTAGCAGTACAGCTACAAATTCAATACTCAGTGGTGCTGCTACACACAGGCTTATTCTAAAAGATCATTTGAAATGTAGTTTGCTTGCCTGGGATCTCATTGTGCCGTTCTTTTTTGTTTTTTTTTTTTTTTTTTTGGTTTTGTTTTGTTTTTTCTATTTTCTGGTTTTCCAGCCTTCCCAGAAATTCTGTGAGCTACATAGGGCTTTTCTTACAAATGCCTTTTCTACTTAAAACAGCCTAATAAAGATTATATTACACTCTTTATTCAACTTTCCAAATGACATAGTATTCATTAAGTTCTATTCTTTAACCTCTGATTTATTGCTATGTTGATACTGAATTATCCTGTTTTAGCCCATCTCCCTTTTACCTTTCATCACACAAGTAGATTCCAAGTCCAGAGTTTTGAGATCCTTCTTTCTTCAATTACTATATATTGGGCAAATTTAGGTGGAGTTTCCTTTCACCTGACAACGTTCTACCTTTCGCCTCATTTTTAAAACATGCAGTAAAATGTCTTATTTCCTGATGGCCCCACCCTCTTTTATTTTCTTTTATAGATTTACTGCCTTAAAAAATCATCACTGTCAATTTAAAGATTAAAAAAAGAGAAAAGTGTATAAGCTTATGCATCAGTCTTAACCCAATAGCTTGAATTATCTTTTAGCTTTATATCTGCCAAGTCCCAGGATTTAATAAGTTTTTACTGGATAAACTATTTTCAAACACTTTGTATTTATTTATAGCTATTTCCTTTTTTATTCTCCTAAGTTAATATTTTACACCAAGGGTAAATGACAAGTTAACTATAATCTACAAATGATTTGCATATTTTTCTGATTAGCCATGAGTTCTGTGGCTATCATTGCAGCTTTGCCTACCAAGTTCTGGCAGAAAGGGAACACTATTGCTTACTTGAAATACCTATATTGTCTTGAGTATTTTACCATACAGGTCATTATAATACTTTTTTCCTAGTAGCAACCAAATGATTTTTGAAATTTAAATTTTTCTATTTTTCAGAAGAAAGCATTTGTAGTCACTCTCCTGCTTTAAGGTTTTTTTTTTTTCATATATTCTTCCAAGTCATTAAACCAAATACATCCTTCTCTTCTACTAGTATGTCATCAAGGTTAAATAATGTTAAACTAATAAACTCTCTGATTAGTGGTCAGCTTTGAGTAAGCCTTGTCTGATTTGAAACTTAATAACTATTATATACTTTAATATGCAACTATCTTCTTCTAAACTCAAATAACATTTTTATTGCCATTGTACCACTCAATGTTAATTTAGCACAGCTCAAAAGACTCAATAGAAGTGACGAGAATAGACATTTAACCACTGACCTTCACAACTGAATCAAGTCTGAGCAGTTTATATTTGCTGGGGACACCCAAGCCTAGTCAGCTAGCAGTCCTTGTGAACTAGGGTTTTCATTCTTCCCTATCACTCTTGTCACTGTCGGTCATTATACTGTATCCCCTTGAATGAATTACCTATTATCTCTGGTCTGTTTTATCATAAGATAAATTCATAACAAAAAAATTATATTAACTTAAGTTAAAATGTATTGAGTGATTACTATGGACTAGATATTATTCTAGGTTCTAGGAATACATTGGATAACAAATATTCCTTCATGGAGCTTCAGCTCTGCTGGTGTAAACAGACCATTGGCCAACAAATAAGTAAAATATATTGTTTATCAGGTAGTGAAAAGTGTTGTGAGATAAACAGCTACAAAATAAGAATAAGGAGAGTTGGGGATGAGGGATTAGCATTTTAAATAGGGCAATTAAGGAAGCCTTCACAGATAAGGTGGCATTTGAACACAGATTTGATGGAGGTGAGGACATGAATCTTAACCATATCTGGGAAATAGGTAGTCCAGGCAAAAGTAACAGCAAGTTCAAGTGTCCTGATACGGGAATGTGCTTAGTATGTTTGATAAACAGAACAGAATCAGTCAGGATAAAAGTTGTAGGAGGTAAGGTAACAGTGTTAGAATGGGAGCAGATTATGAGAAATTTGTCAGCCATTTATAAAATTTTGGCTTTCCCTCGAAATGAAAGGAGAAGCTACTGGGGGGTACTGAAGATAGAAGTGACATCTTTTATTATAAAAGGATCAATTTGATTTTTGCATTGCCAGTGGACTAGAGGTGGGGACAAGCATAGAAGCAAGAGACATTATAGAAGATTATTTCAACATTTAAAGTGCGAAATGATGATGGTGTGCACCTGGGTGCCTCTGGTGTGGTGGAGAAACAGATTCGGTAACAGAATTTTTTTTATGACAGGACATACAGAGCCTGTTGGTAAATTGTATATGAGGTGTGAGATTAGAGTTAAGGATGAATCCAAGACTTTGGTCTGAGTAGGTGGAAAAATGGAGTTAGTGTTTACTGAGATGTGGAAAAATGTGGTGGGGAGGGGAGGATATTTTCAGAGGTGAATGTATTTCAAGAGTTTGGTTTTGAGGCATGTTAATTGTGAAGATGTTATTTAAACATACAGTTAGCGATGTCATGGAGGCAGTTGGACATACAAGTCTGGAGTTATTGCGTGGTGGGGCTAGAGATATACTTCATCATAGAGAAGGTATTTAAAGACATGGGACCTGATGTGGTAATTTAGGTGGTTAGTGAAAGTAGGTAAGATAATTTATTTTCTTCCTGCTTTAAAAAATTAGAGCTTATTTCTGTTTTACGCAAGAGATTTCTTTTCTGTCATTAGTTCCTTTCTATCTTCCAAATTATCTCAAGCTGAGGATAAGCGATCCAAGGAATTGAGTTCAAAGAATCATGCATAGAAAAAATGGACGTGTAAAAGAAGCTGCAATGCAGATAAGTATCCACTACTGCTAAGGACAGAAGAATTAGGAGGAAAGATCCCAAATTCTTCATTGTATCCACACAAATGGTGTGTCTGAGTCTAACTTTCTCTTATGCTTCATAGGCATCAAATTCTTTTTAGGGACTTCAGGAAACCCAGAAACAACCAGGAAGTGGTCAACTAAAATTATATAGTGGAAATAGCACAGTGTATGGAGTTAGAGAAACCAGTTTGTGTCCTGATCAATTCACTAGCTCTGATACTTTGGATTCATTGACATTTCCTAGGTTGAGATTATTTATCATTAAGATGCATACAATAATTTATGCCTTGAGCACAACAGTGAACTGTCTTTGAAGATAAAATGAAACAGTCTTTGAAAGAGTTCTGTGTAGGGTCCTTAGTAGACACAACATTTTGTCATCGATCTTGGGATCAGTAAAGTTTATTAATCCTTGTACAAAGCAAGAGTGTACTACGAAATGGAAAATTAAGCTCTTAATATTAGCAACAGTTTTATCACTGATTGAGGATTTTTTTTCTGTGTATAGTTCAGTGTTAGGAAATCTACATATTGGGGTATTCAAGAAAATTCAGGTGGCAGAGGTTTAAAAAAGGAGTAAGATGCTGAAAATAAGAAGAAAAATAGGACTATTGCTCTTGGAAAGTTAGAAACAGCATTGAACACTGCAGTGTGATTGCTTAGCAAAGACACTGTGGGGAGAGTGAATGAATTTAGGATGGATAGCCAGTTAGCAGCTGGAAAAACAATGACTAGTCAGAGCATGTTGGTCTTGAGGAAAGACTGATATGGCTCTAGCACTTTTAAGGACATGCAGAAGCTTCTGCTTGGGAAGATACGTCACAGGAAAACAGAAGATACAATGTGATTAGCACACACAATCTGAAAGAATCTTCTAATTGCCTTCAGATAATTAGATAATCTGTTGTTATCAAATTAGCTATGGCTAGTAAAATTCTATCTCCATTTTCATATGTAGTATGCTGTTTTGCCTCTTTTTGTGTTTTGCCTATTAAATTACACTGAAAAATCCTAGAATAAATGTGATCTCACAGGAAGCAGAACAACAGGATACATTTTAAATATTAATTTAGGATTTGAAGATTCATTCAGAGAGGTAGAAATGCCAAGGTACAAACTAAGTTTTCAAGTTCACTTTGTCAGATATATTTGTAAAAATATGAAAGCTATCAAAATTTTGGTATCATTATTTCTTCCTTTGCTTACAAATTAAGGTTTGGATTATGTGATATATAAATGGTAGGAGTATTAAAAGACATGTGATCCTAGACATCTTAATAAAAATGCTAAATATATGCCCCAAACAAATTTTATAAATTTAATCTTTTCAGTAACCATAAATAACGCTTATGTATTAGTGAAGTACCACTATATGTAAGATCCTTTGCAAAATTATAAAATATCACTTAATTTTAAAAATAATTGTATTTTATAAATGATAAAATTAAGGGTAAAAGACAATTCATATATAGTTAAAAAGCAAATAAGTAACCAAAATAAGATTCAAATGCAAGTTTAACTTCAATTTATGTATTATTTTAATCACACCACATTGCTTAACAGTATTCTCTCTATCAATACAAACTTTTAAGCTACTGCAATGAAGATCTAGATAGCATCAAAGTTTAAGGGCTCCTAGGATACTGTCCACATTTTTCTGATTGTTTACACAATCTCTGTAGCTAATTGTGGATGGTTGTTTCCCATGTGCTTTTTGATATGACTTCATTAGCATTACCTCTCAATCACAGTTAGTAGAAAATATTAAGATAGAATTCAAAATAACTTCTAGAGCTTGGTCTAGCTCATAATAAAACTAACAATAGTAATTACAAATTGCCCAGTCCCTGCAATAGTTAACGTATATGTTCAATATCTCTATTCTTCATATTAACCTTAAAAGATAATACCATTTCTTTCACAGATGAAAACATTGAGATTAAAAACAAATAAATCATTTCCCTACAATGACAATGCCCTAAGTGGGATAGAATCTCCAGTAAAATTAGGCGCCAGTGCTTCTTTATATCCCAAAAACATACTGTCTCCCTATTATGCCATTAAGCAATGCTTATTTCACTACTACTTTCTTATGGGATAGACATCTTGCATTCAGTGGCTGTAGAATACGGTGAAATAGGCAAAACAGAGAAAAGTAACCATACATGTTGAGTAGCAGAAAGAGTCTGAGAAAAAAAGTGTCAAATAGGTATTTCTTTTTGAGTTATTTTGGCTTTAGGAGGTGCTGTTTTAGGAAGTATTCTGAATTCAAATTTAGTTGAGTAGAAAAGAGAGCCTTTGCTTGTTAGCATTATCTTTCATGGAGTAGAAAAGAAGAAATGAAGTGAGCTAAGCATTTTCTAATCTGGGTTTTAGTTGATTGTTAAACCAATCTGCATTTTTAAGAGTGAATCTGACTTTCTGAATTTATACATTCATTAGAAAACATTAGACAAACCCAACTTAATGGATATCCTGCAAATTAATTGGCTAGGATTTTTAAAGATACCAACATCATAAAGCATAAAGGAAAGCAGAAAAACCATTCTAGACTAAAAAGAATAAAAAGCTTCACAACCAATTACAATGCATAATACTTGACTGGATTCTGGACTAGAAAATATATACAGGCAAAGGATACAGAGATAATTGACAAAAATTGAAATTAGTCTCTGGAATAAATACTAATAATATTACTTTAAAGTTAGATTGATTGTAATTACTGTAGAATATGAAAGAGAATGTCCTTGTTAATAAGTACACAGTAATGTACTTAGGGATAAAGCACTTAGAGCCAACTTACCCTCAAATGACTGAGATCAAAGTTTTAAATATCTAAGTGTGTGCACATGTGTGTGTGTATGTATGTATGTGTAAAGAAAGAGAGAAGGATAAGACAAAAAGAGGCAGAATGTAATCAGTTGATGATTCTGGGTAAAGAGTATGTATGTGTGTTACTTGTTTTATTCTCAAAACTTGTCTGAAACTTGAAAATGTATAAAAAGTAAAGTTACAAAAATAAAAGTAAGTAAAAGCTATAATTTGAGCCCACTCATCACTATAAACAATGTAGAACAGCCACATTTTACCTGACTCCAATGATGCAAAACAACTATATAGAATTGCTATTAACTATTCTTGCCCAAATTGTCTAATCTGAAACTAATCACATCTTTAGATCAAATTTCAATTGACGAAAAATATAGGATACAGGAACGAATGAAATGATGCTACGAGAAAGCAGTCATCAAAAATCATAAAGTTGGAAAATTCTGTAGGAAAAATTGACCTTATTTTCAACAAATCAGTGCCATGAAACATATGGGTCTATTTTATATTAATTATTTTTAAAAAGTGTAACCAAAGGCAAATCATTTGTAAGTGATTCATTGGAAAAATTGGGGGAAATTAAAGGAACTGTTATTAGATTATGATAAGAACTATTCTTAATTTTCTGTTGTGTGGTAATAAAATTATGTTTATATAGTGACATATGAATTAAATGTTTTATATTTTGAGAAATAGTGAAATATTTAAAGGCAATTATCATTGTGTTTGAAAGTTAATTTAAAACATTTTTTTAAAGTAGACCAAAATGTGGGAAATACTAAGCTTGAGACCTTGCTGATAATTATATACATTAAATTATTCTTTGTATTTTTGGTATGATTAGTTATTTTATATTAAATTTGCAAGAGTTAAATAAAATTAAGTAGAATTGTGACTCATCAGTGAAAGTAGACTGGTAAACGTCAGCTTCAGTAGGCAGAGAAGTCAGAGAGAAGACATTTGAGAAGTTATAATTGCACACAAATAAGCATGACACCAATGGCAGAAAATAATTACAGATCAGAGGAGGAAAGCCAGGAGGAAAATATAGTTATCAAGCTGATCCAGGTCTGAGATAAGAGTTGGAAATTGTATTAAGCTCCCAAAATAACAGGAACCACTCTTGAAGTGAGTTCAGTTTAGAAATTTGCTACATTCTCCACCCCTGGATTTTGATGGCAAGAGAACCACATTGGAAAAGAAAAAATAACAGCTTTTCCAATAATAGAATTACATTCCTATCATATCACAGAGAAATAATTCTCCCAAATGCAAACTAAAGGTGCCATTAAGAATCACATACCTCTTGCTGGCAACAATGAAAATGAAGAAAAACATAATGAAGTCAGAAAAGGCTGCTGAAATGTGGAGAGGAAGAATTGGGTATTTTGTTAGCCAAAAATTTTAAATAATTTTATTTCACTTTTACAGATACATTAATGGAAAATGAAATACTTATGCTGGTCCATATTTCTAGATGTAAATGTTACTACATGCAGAAGAAATAAAATATACAATTCTAAAACATATTTTTAAAATGTATCTCTAAAACCATAAAAATGAAGATCTCAGAGATACAGCATTATGTTGAAGAGGAACATATGATGACTCTTAGGCAATAAAATTATCAATGAAGAAGGAAAGACCTACATTTGAGGAAATTGTGAAGCTGAATTATAAGTATATCAAGAAATAACAATCAGATCATTGGTTCATATTTGGACATTCGTGATATCATTCTAGCAATAAGGTAATTCTCAAGATGCTGAAGAGTTTTAAGGATAACAAGTGACAGAATCAACATTAATCATAGTATATTTCTTCAAGCATTCTTCAATAATATCTCTAGTAGACATACTGCTAAAGTTATAGGTACAAAGACAAAAGGAGTATTTTTAGGCACTTTGAATCTGCAAGACAGTAAGATACACAAATAATCACCATACAATTCAGTAATTTTTATTTAGAGTAATTTATTCATTCGCTGTGCTCTTAAGAACTATTCATTAAAGACCATATAAGCTTTATAAGCTTGGAGCATTTGAAGAACCAAATGAGAGTTGTATACTAAATAAGCACTGCAAAAATATAAGAAAGACAGACATCATGTACATTATGGTAGACTATGTTAAGGAATTTAATTTTATTCTAAATCATTAGCTAAGAAAATCATTGACAGTTTTGAAACAGAAGAGTGATGTAATCTGATTTATCACCCTGGGTGCTCTATGGAAATATATTGCAGGGAGAGCAAGAGGCACTGGAGAGACCAGGTTTCAGGCTGCTGCGATGCTCCAAATAGATACAAACAGCAGTAAAGCATGAGATAGAAGAATTTAACTTCACCCAGGAAATCTGGGAACTCATACGCATTGCTGCTGTTGATGTAAATTGATATAACCACTTCGGAAAACATTTTGGCAATGCTTTATAAAATTAGGCACACATTTACCATACAATGCAGCAACTCGATTCTTACATATTTATTCAAGTGAAATAAAAACACATGTCTACTCACCTTTGTTTATAATGGCCCAAATTACTGGAAACATCCCAAATGGACATTGACAGGTGAGTAGATAAACAGACTGTGGTTTATGCACACAAAGGGATCCTACTCAGAAATATGATAGATTAATTTTATAAATATTATGCTTACCCAAACAATTGAACCACAAAAATACATATTGTATGATTCCATTTATCAGTAATTCTAGAAAAAATAATTAAAATTTTAGTTACAGAAAGCAGATCAGTGATTCTGTGCATCTTGGGGTTGAGTGGAGTACAAACTTTTAAATTGCTCAAGGATAAAAATTGGGAGTAAGGGAAATGAAAAGGGAAATTGAATACAGTAAAGATGTCAATTCTTGCCAAATTTATATTCCAGCAATACTTTTTATTGATATAGGAAAGATTATTCTAAAACTTATATGGTATTAGAATTAGGAAAATCAATTCTGAAAAAGAAGGGTAAAGTGAAAGAAATCATTCTACCCTATTTCAAACTTATTATATAACTAGTCATTAGGACTACATAGTGTTGGCAGAAGGATGGACATATATAGATCGACAGAACAGAATAGAGAACACGTATCTAGCTGCATATGGGTACAGCCTGTCAATTTTTTAAAAATAAAATTGCAAAAGTAATTCAATGGAGAAAGGATAACTTTTCAACAAATAGTACTGGAACAATTATTGAACATTAATAGGCAAAAAAGAATTTCAACCTAAACCTCATTCTTTATACAAAAAATAACTCAAAATGGGTCATAAATTTAAATATGATAATTATACTATAAGAACTTAAAAGAAAGTACAGGAAGAAATCTTTAGAGCCTAAGGCTTTATGAAGAGTTTTTTGACATGATACCAAAAGCATGATCCATAAAAGGAAAAAATAATAATATACTGGACTTTACCAAAATTAAAAGCCTTTGCTTTGTAAAAAAAAAAAAAATGCTATAAGAGAATGAAAAAGAAAGCTAGCAACTAGGAGACAAGATTTTCAAACAACATATCTAACGGACTCTCAAAATGTAGGAAAAATAAAAAAACAAAACAAATAAAACACTTCAATTAAAAAATTAACAAAAAACATTGAGACATCTCATCTAAAAGATATAGCAATAGTAGATAAGCATATGAAAGATGTTCATCATCATGAGCCATTAGGGAAATGTTCTATTTAGAACAGGTAAAATGTAAAGTTTTGACAGTACCAAATACTGGCAAGGACATACAGAAACTGGATCACTCATATATTCTTGGAGGGAATAAGAGATGTTACAGCCACTCTGAAAAATAGTTGGATGATTTTGTAAATACTAAACATACACTTACTATGTGACTCAGAAATCACACTCCTGGGCATTTATCCTAGAGAAATGAAAATATATGTTCACACAAATATCTTTACATAATTGCTCGTGACAGCTTTATTTATAGAAACCCAAACCTAGAAACCCTCTAAAGTAGGTTGATAGTTGTACAAACTGGTACATCATAGCATCGAATGTTGTTCCTCAGTAAAAAGAAACAAATATTGATAAACACAACTTGAAAAGACCTCAAGGACATCATACTAAATGAAAGCACAGAATATCAAAAGATAAGATACTGGGCAAATCCATTACTTAACATTAATAAAATGATGCTATTTTACAGATGTTAAATAGTTGGTTTTTGTCAGGGCTTAGCTATACTAGAGATAAGAAGGGGGAGATATAGGGATATGTATATAGCTATAAAGGGAGTGGTGAGTTGAATGGTGACCTGCAGAAATGTATGTCCACATCCTTCTCCTGAAACCTGTATTATCTTTTATGACAAAAGACAGAATTAGTTAAGGATCTTGAGATGAAGAACTTATTCTGTGTGGTCTGGGTTGATCCTAAAGGCAGCCACAAGTATCTTTATAAGATATACACACAGAGGGAAGACATGCAGAGTAGAAGGAGATGGGAAGATGAAGCAGAGAGAGATAGGACCACAAGACAAGGTATTCTGATATCTGACAGACACAGAAAGAAGAAAGAAAGGATTGATTTTTCCCTATAGCTTCCACAGAAATGTAGCCCCGCAGACACCTTTGGAATTTTAGCCTCCAGAACTGAAAGAAAATAAATGTCTGCTAGTTTAAGCCACCAAATGTATGTGAATTTGTTATAGCACTCACAGAAAATTGTGCAAAGGTCAGTGTAAGATAAATCTTTCTGGTGATAGAATAATTCTTTACCTTGATTGCAGTGGAGGTTACATGAATCAACACATGTGATTAAATAATGTAGCCCTATTATTAGACTAGATTTTTTGGTTTTGCTATTGTACTTTAGTTATATAAGATGCAACCAATGGGAAAAACTGAGGGAGTGTACATGGGCAACTCTATATTATTGTTGGAACTTCCTGTGCATCTGTTTCAGAATAAAAAGTTTATAAAATTCTGTCAGCAAAAATTGAAGTAAAAGAAGATAATGTTTTTCCCCTGAGGTTTTTGGTCAATAAAACTTTCATTTACACCATGTTACAATTTTCAAACAATTTAGTTCTCACACATATGATATGATAGAAAAGTATCATCTCTGAACTTTAAGTGGGTGTAATTCCTATTTTACATCTAAAGCAACTTAGGCCTTTCTAAAGCAAATATACTGACTTTATAGCAGCAGTTCCTCAGTAGTAAGGGCCAGATGTGGTGTGTCTGCTTAGAACTGAAGTGGGAGAGTTTTTCTTTGGTCCAGAGCTCTCATTCCTTCATTCTCTTTTTTATTTTATCTCTGTGCTTTTCCCCAAAGACCACATTGTTGCTCTTTCTTTCTGGTCACTGCCATTTCTAACTATTCCTACAAGCTGTGTCTTTGCTCCTTTCAGATAATATCCTTCCCTCATTGACCTGATTCCATTTGTATCCTGAATCAGAGTTTTGTTAAGAAATTTGTTAAAATAAATGTCTTTCAAAAATTTATCTTTCAGTTGTCAAACTGAATACTGAAGCATGTTCAGAGAAAGGATGCAATGAAGACTTGGTGGAAGGTTGAACAAAGGCATGATTACATGAATTAACATAGCACATTAAGGCAGAATTGTATACCCAAGAGGAAAGCTCAGAATGAACTACTTGGTGGGTGGTAGTGACTGATTAGCCCTTCATCTTGCTTATGTGTAAGACTCAGGATCAATTTAGAATTTGAACACTCATTAAGACACAAAGTATTATTTAGAACATGCATTAATCTAAAAGTTTGGTTGTTTACATGTTATATTTCTAAATCTAATCAGTGCCACAAAACACTGAAGGCCAGGCTGATGATCCTGGATATCAACTTTCGGTTCCTTCGGTTTGACCTAAAAGAAGTCACCAATGTAAACAGGTGGTAAAGATAGTGACTGAAAACATGACTATCCCATGGTGGCATGTGTCTGTTAGGTGTATGTGATATCTCATATGCATTAGTGCTTGTATCAGCATCTATTTTTTTAAGTGCTGTTGACTCATGACTGTTCAAATGTACTTAATAATTCCATTTGCTTCAGCTGTGGCAAACTACTTACACTTAACCAATGTGCTCTATCTACTCTTTTTATTAATAAAGTTCTCTGCCTACAAGGACACAAGCTACTTAGTAAACAATCAATAAATATTAGCAATTATTATCTTTTACTTCTCTGATTTTTAAAATCTTAGAAGATTGAATATGTATTATCTATATCTCTTTATTTCTAGTAACTAGTTTAATGTTCGATATATAATATTCAACCAGTAAATGTTGGTTTAGATAAATTACAACGGAGTCTTTTCATTAAAGTTGATTCATGTTTCAATATATGAGTTTTTCTCATATGATTTTTCCAATAGGAAATGTTGTTTTTGTATTATTGCCTATTCCCATGCATATAAGTAGTGATAAACTTGTCCATAATGTTCATAGTAGCAGCCTCTGGATTGTACAGGTTAGTTATTGTTATCTGCATATGCTGTTGATTGCAACTAGTAAAGGAGAAGCAAAAGAAGGCTATATAAGAAAGGCACTTTACAATTTAATTAACCAGGAAAAAAAAACAATTATTTGACTATTTACTGTTGTTAGAATAAACTGCAATTTTAGGCGCCATTAAATTAGTCATTATAGGCTTAGTAAACTAAATACAAATCAACAAGAAAATATTTGCTTGAATTCAATGAAGACATTTTTTAGATCAGGTATATTTTTCCTTCTTAACATGAATCAAAGAAAAAGGGACAATATTGTAAATACTTTGCAGGTTAGCAATTAGAAAACTAAGACACATGGGAATTGAGTGTAGTGATTTTCTCAAATAAAGTGATGTATGTTATTTAGGTATAAATAACATACATCTCATTAACTCAAATCTAAATCTCCCAACTTCAATATACTGAAGGATTTTAATAAAGTACTATTTTCATTGTTCATTCTTTTGGATAAGTCATTCCTTTTGTGTGGAAAAGATACTAGCTCAGCAAGACTAATCTATATACGCTTTTCAAGCTAAGTGACTAGAAGAGAAAAACAGAGCAGTTAAGAATTTCAGGCATAAATATAAAATTTGAAATGTGGATAAAATAAATTTGATGTGGGCAGTATCATTACTACTTGTAGAGAAATTTCTGAAAATGTTAGAATAAACAGCATTGTAAATAATAATAATTTAATGCATATTTCTTTGGAGATCGATGGTACACAGAAGCTTATTTAACATAAAATCATATTAGTGAAATAGGGTTTGAAATATTTTTAATCAAATGATTTTTTTCTTAAAATTCATTTTTATTATATGTCTTGGAAATAACGTTAGTTTACAATTACCACTCTACTTCATACATTAAATGACTCAGCTAATAGATGTGGTTGGTTAAACATTGCATCTATTTTCTACTGGAATAACCACCATCACTTATACTGTTAGTTCTATATTTCGCATCTGTGTTGATGTAAAATACTACAAAATCAGGGCCTGAAGCTTTATTTGTATAATTCTTAGCACTCTTTCAGCAATATCAGCACACTTCATTTTTGATACTGTTTACACTCATTATAGGTGGAGCTGGGGTTTATTTATTTATTGTAGAGACAGGGTCTCACTTTGTTGCCCAGGCTAGTCTCAAACTCCTGGCCTCAAGCGGTCCTCCCACCTTGGTCCCCGAAAGTGCTGGGAATGTGGCTTTCAGCCACTACACCTCGCTGAAGGAGCTGCTTTTTAAATATACGAATTGTGCTTATGTTCTAGAGATAATATTCTGAGATCTTCCAATTTATTACTAGTGAGTAATACATTATATATCTGAATGTTTTGCTTTGTGCTTTCTCTCTAAGTTTTGGTGTTAATTCCTAGACAAAATATTTTATTAATTAGACTCATGATATGAGCCTTTGTTACTGCAGCATATGAACACAATAATATGGGGATATAATCTATAGGAATATTGGAAAATTAAATAGTTCATCAGAGATTAAACTGAGACTAGAAAAGAACTCTCTGGTTAAGATGGAAAAAGTAAGGAAGAGAGAAAAAGTAAGTTGGCAACTACCAGCAGAAAGATTATGATTCTGCCCTTCCTTGCCCTTGGGTCCCAGAGAAGGTCGCAACACCTCTGCTCCTTGTATAATTTAAAGGCCTCTGGAGTGTTTAAGTGTAGAAAGTCACTTGCTACTGCCTGGATTTTGCCTTTTGGATGACAGGAGACAAAGGGATCACAAATCAAATACAACAATACAGTAGAAATAACACCAGTAGAAGGAAAAATGGTAGTTTGACTGATACAGAGCTGAAAGAAAATTCCTTGCTGCTTTCAGGATATAAAATGTTCATTAAGTATGAAGGAAATTCTAGGAGGCTGGATGTTGAAGAAAACGAACCCTGAAAACTTGATTTTTTTCACCCCTCTAAGAAACTATTTAATGTTTAAGGTTCATTTGAATGACTTTTTATACTGAAGGCACCTTGTAAACTTAATGCCTATGTATAGCCTAAAAACTTAATGCATAATATCTGTATTATATTTTCTATTAATTAGATGTACTTATAAAACTTTTTGAGAAAAATACTTATTTTGTATTTCAGTTATTCTAAGTAATGCTATGAAATAAAATAGCATGCCAACTGTAAACATTTCATGAAATTGATATGATGGAGTGTAATTTATGAATGATCACATGTATTATCATACTACAGGTATCTCTGAGAAGGCATGGCAGAAAATAAGATACCTGGCTGATTAATATACACTCTTAAAAAAATCAATAGTTGAAGCTTGCTCTTTCAGTCACTTTGACTTCTGTTTCTTAATAATTTATCTCTTTATAGTCTGTTTTGTGGATATATTGCGGCATGTTGAGGAACTCAGTTGGTATTTGATTAGGAAGCAATATGAGGGCACATTTATCGAAGCCCTTAAGCACGGTTGTTCAACAATGTTGCTATTGACATTATGAGCCATTCTGGTGGGGGGGGGCATGTTCTGTGCATTGTAGTATGTTTAGCAGCGTCCCTGACCTCCATTCGCTAGATAGTAGGAGACTTCTCCTCAGAATCCCAGCCCCAGCTAATTGTCATAACCAAATTGTCCTAACCAAATTTGTCAAATGTACTTTTGAAGGCAAAATTGTCCCTGAGTAAGGACAACTGTCTGAGACAATTATAGCGATTGCATTTTACTCCTCAGTGATTGATTTAGAAATAATGAAACACATCTAGGTCAAAATCAAGTTTTATAAGTTGTAAAATTAGGGAAGCAAAGAGGGAAGAACTTCTGAGCCAAACAGAGTTAGAGTCCAGTTATGATTCTGTGAATTTCATTAAGCTACTTAATTTCACAGAGCCTCAGATTTTTCAGCTGTAAGTGGACATAATAGCATCTATGTCTAGAATTGTTTTGGGAACTAGGAAAAATGAATGTGAACTCCTTAACAGATTACCTGGAATATGGTAAATACTCTTCTGTTAAACATTAATGCTTGAGATGATGAAAGAATACCAAAGCATGGGGATTGTATTAGGAAACACTTTGAAAAATTTGATGGGAAAATATTGATACTCCATAAAATTTAAATTCATTGAGATCTCACATGTAGATATATATTTTATTTTTATTAAAATGCTAATAATATGTTTGATTTTTATAATTAATATTGAATTCCTAACAAATTCAAATAAATTTAATGCTAATAGAAACATAACAAGGTGTAGCTATTTGAAGACCTACATTTTTAGAATGTGTGTTTCAAGAAGTCATGAGAAGAAATTTGACATAGTATCATAAACTGAGACCAATAACATAAGAAGTATGCCATATAAAGTTAACTCCTCTAAAAAAAATCAACAAACGTGTGGTTCAAATTGTACTTTTTAAATCTAAGAGGTAGAACAGGACTTAATGCCTCATAGTTGCACTTTATACCTCTGTGTAAAAGTGATTATACTTCATACACCTGAATTTTCTTAAAAACTAATTTACTTATGTATTTATTTACCTGAAGGCCACAGATCCACTGGGAAGGGAAATAAAGTCTCACAGGGAATATTCCTTTAGAGAAATAAATTCATATTTGATTTGTTAAATATTTGGCAGATTCTGTACTTTTAGCTGTTTATATGCATAAATAGAAACTTCAGAAATACCGAATGACTCCTAGATATTTATACTCTTCTATTTTTCAAGTTAAAACAATAATCTGTTTTGTTAATATATTCATTCTTTTAAATTTAAAGGTAGAGATTTTAAAGAAAATAAAGGAGAATAGAAATGATAAAGAATGGGACAACAACAAATAAGAGATGAAACCAATGAGAAAGGCAGACACACTCACAAAGACAGAAATGGAGAATAGAAGATATCGGAAAAGCAGCCACTAAGATGTTTTCAACTAATCTACACTGGCATCTGTAGCAATATGTAAATATTGCTGCTTGTGATTCATAAGATTATGTTGTGCTTTCATAGCTATATTCACATATGGAACATCTATGCCTGTCACTTGCCTCAGCTGCTAGATAAAATTAGGTCGCAATTTATTTTGGCACAACTGGTGAATAAAGCTAAGTCTGGAATTCACAAGTAGGTCTTTCTTCATTGAAACTCATGTATACATTCTCATGCCAGCAGCACCTCCTGCCACACAAAGTGTGGTCAGATACAGAGAAGCAGTTAGGAGCTGTGTGCCTGCAAAACATTCCTTTATTTTCTCCTTACCGTTTTCTCATTACATTTTGGTAAATGAGAATGTTCTATAACATACTCAAAACAGAAGGGCCCAGAAGCCTCACTGAAAAGTACTGAAGATTGTTAAATGTTCCAGTAGAATTTGGGTTATTATTAGTTGTATAGGAACTGTTTATTAAGAAACAATGTGCTTAATCTATAATTATCTGAAGCATTTGGAGTAGATAATTCATGTGGTAAATTTGAGTTATTGAGATATCATAATTATTGTTTAGCTTCAATTTAATTGTTTAATTGTATTATTAATGTGTAATTTAATTTGGAGGCAACAGTTTCATTGGTGGACTCTATACAAATCATCTAAAATTTCATTCATTATTGGCAATACTTAAACCAATTCTGAGTATTTATTATTAAATGAGAAATTCTTTAAAGAGTCTAGGTTGCTGTTTAGCATGTTATCATCTTACTGACTTTCTGGCACTTTGTTTACCTATCTTTTATTCTTCTTGTGCATATAGGCTGAGTTCTTTGGGAAATTATCTCAATATTTTACATTGAAATTCTATGTCTCAAAAGGAAAGATTAATAAAAATAATATATGAATGTTTTATTAGAGTTTTGCAATTATTTTAGGTTATTATTAGGCTTCATTATTTTAACAAAAAGAAGACTTTCTTGGTGAATGTATTTTAAAGTTAGATAAGATTTATTACACCTAGAGGTTTATAGAAACATAATGCAGAACAAGGTTTATGGTTCTTCCATATTTTCTTAATTTTGTCAGCTAATGGTATGATTCTTATTCATTTCTATTGCTTTGTTAAGCTGGTAAAATGTCTACAGATTTTTCATCTCTAACAGATAATAGGAAAATGTTATATGAAAGTATAATAAAGCACATATTAAAAACTTAAAGTCCATTAGCATGTGCTTTAGGTAAATTTCACTGATCAAAGCTACTAGAGAATATTAAATAATTTATATGCATATCTTGAATTCTTTTTAAAGACACACATTCTAATTCATTTCGAACAAGACTAAAGTGTTAGATCAGCAAGAGCAGACTGACTCTTCTGGAGAAATGGAAAGAGCAGAGGGAGCACACATAGGAAAAAAGAGAAAGGGGAAAATGATGAAAAGAGGAAGAAGTATGTAAAGGAAATCTAAGAAAATTGAAAACAATGGGGGAAGAGGAGAGAATGAAGAAGAGGAAAAAAGGGGAAGAATTCAGATAGGGAAGAGAGGGAGAATAGGAAGAGGGAGAGGAGGAAGAAGATAAAGAAGGATAAAAGAATGAAATGGAGAGGAAAGGAAAGGGAAAACAAAGAGAAAGGAAGAGTTGGAAGAAGGCAAGGCCAGTGAGGCAGAAAGAGTTACATTGGTTAAGTATCCTGAGGTGAAGAATTACATGCCTACATTTCTGAATTGTCACTCTGGAATTTTGATCCATGGCTTAGTTCTTCAACATTAAAAAAAATATATGAACAGGAAAATAAAACCAAAAAACAAACAAACAAAGACTAAGGAATTGGTTTTTAAACAACAATCCAAAATTGCCAGCCAGTTCCCTGTGTTTCTGGGAGCTATGTCTAGATTGAAGTAAATGTACATTATAGATTTATTACTGCTTAATATGCATTTATGCCTCATTTTACTTTGCTAGACCTTTGAGTATCCTGGCTAGAGAAGAAAACATTTGACTTTCCTAGATCTGAATTCTACCCCAATAGTCTCAATATACTACTGGTGAGATGTGGAAAATTCTTCCCAGACTTTGGGAATGGTGTTATCCTACAAAGAGAACTTTAAGAGTTAGAGAAAGCTTCAATACAAACACAAGAACTATTTCTGTGTGCTCTGCCTGCATATTCAAATATCAAGCCATTTCCTTACTACTCTCCTTAATTCTGCTAACTGGATTTGATTGTATTTAATGTATGGACGTAGACACAGAGATGAATAAAACATAACTCACAATGTCTCTCCACATGTATTAACCCATATTAAGTACACATGAAATAGCAGAATGTAGATAAATTAAGCAGTATTTTATCAATATCTGAGTTAGTAGGCCAAGGTAAAGCAGGTTGAGTTGAAGCACACAGGTACAACTGGAAGCTTCAGTAGAGCCTACTGATCACTATTGAATCTGAATCTTGGAATTTGTAGCATAAAAAAAAAGTTGAAGAACAGGTGGGTTAGAATAGGAAATTTGAATAAGCACATTCTGAAATAATTTATATACCCAGGCACCATAAATCAGGAAGGGATAATAGGCTCTCCAGGTCCAAAAGAGGGCACATACAGTCTATTGGTTGCATGAAGCAGATGCATGAAGTAGAACGAGAAGAATATTAGCAAGAACAGAAAATGGGGTTCCTGCTTCCAAGGCATACAAATATAACCTACTAGGAATTATTGCCCAGTGACTGTCTGGAGCATTAAAGTACCAGAGAAGAAACATAGAAATGGGGTACCCAGAAGCTAATTTAGCATGGGAAGATACAGCTAATAGTTCCCCTGTTCCTACATTCCAGTAAAGTCAAGACTTCCAGGATGGTTCTTTTGTTGTATAATTTCCAGATAAAGCCAGACTCTCCAAGCAGTATGGAGCTTGACCGAGTCTGGGGTGAAATTTTAAAGTGGCTGTGACCTCTGGCTTTTGGTTACTGTGACCCCGAGTCATCAAGTTGAATTGATAGCCATTCTGGAAATGTACTGATCTAGTGGGAGCCTAAATTGCAATTATAGATTAATAGGAAATGTTTGCAAATTATTGAAACTATTTGCTACATTTTTGTAATATTATATGCCTCAGAGTCATTGTGAGCACTATCTATTGCCTAATATTATACTCATAAACAATTAGTTAAATGTGAGGAATGTAAAAGACTTACAGATCAGCCCCTTAGTTCACTACTCAGCACAGTATTGCACACCATTCAGACATAATAACACATTTTTTCAGTCTTTTTCTTTTAAGATTCATTTATTTTTATGCATTTAAGCATATACAAATCACCTTACATTTTTCAGAGACATAACCGGGGGATTTTACACACACAGGGAAGCCGCTTCAAACGTAGAGGTGTTCTAACCAATTTCCTCATCTCTCAAAGAGCACCCATTACTGCATTTATGATGTCCAATCAAATTTCGGTACCTCATTTGAGATGAGTACAATAGGCTCACCCTCTCTGTTCTTTAGTAGCAACACTAAGTGGCAAGCTGTCAGAATTTTTGAAAGAGATCTTTTTTAGGAGGTGTCATCAAGATGGTTGAGTAGAGGCATTCAGCACTCATGTCCTCCACAAAGAAGAACCAAAGCAACGAATTGATAACCACATGTCCAGTAGAGCTTCTGAGAAAAAACACTGGAAAGGAAGGAATTAACAAAGATCCCGATCTCGTGAAGCATGGAAACTTAACATGGCAGCGTAGAGAGGGAAGCAAAGCTGCCTGCCACATTCGCACAACGGATGCCTGCAGTCCTGATACAGGAGAGCCCTACAGCCCTCACAGGCCCTCAACTTCCTGGAGTCCCTGTGACTGCATTGTCCCAGAGAGAAAAATTCATGCTAGGCCTTCCTTATCCTTGAGACCCAGGCTGCTGCTTCATAGCACCATTTTGAGAGATGAGCAAACATCAGACTACATCTTGTCCTGGGGCACAATAGCATCTGCATCTCCAAATCCCTGGAACTCCACTAACATTTCCCCACATACACCGAAAGGGCTGGAAGCGTTCCAACACCAGATGGACCCAGCAGTGCAGTTACCTTCCCACCATCCCAGCCCATACTGTACTCGGTACCCCAAAGAAGAGGCTGTCCAGTACATAGGGGAGGCTGTCATCAAGACAAAAGGAGCCATAGTACCTGCTTCTAAAACCCTAAGGGCCACCTTCTTAGGGCTACAAAACACTCTATCTGCTACAGCAGCTGGCTGCTGTGCACCTGCCTGTTGCCTAGAGACTGAGAACCAGCCCACATGTGACCTGTCACAGCCACCACTGAAGCTCAGGCTTGCTGAGCAGGGGTTGGAGGACTGTTCACCTGGTCCAGGACCCAATGGCTTCACTGCTGAATTCTACCAAACATTTAAAGAAGAACTGGTAGCAATTTTTCTCAAACCTTTCTGAGAAATAGACGCAAAGGGAATACTTCTAAACTCATTCTACAAGGCCAGCATTACCCTGATTCCAAAAGCAGACAAGGACACAACAACAAAAAACTACAGGCCAATATCCCTAATGTACATAGATGCAATAATTCTCAACAAAATATTAGCAAACTTAAATCCAACACCACATCAAAAACATGACACACCATGATCACACAGGTTTTATCCCAGAAATGCAAGGATGCTTCAACATACAAATATGGTTTTTTGTCCTTTATTCTGTTGTTGTGAGATATCATGACTCTCTCTATAGATACAGAAAAAAAATACCATTCAACATTCCTTTATGATAAAATCTCTCAACAAATTAGATATAGAAGGAACATACCTCAACACAGTAAGGGTTATATGACAAATCCATGGATAACATCCAATTGAATAAAGAAATGCTAAAATATTTTTCTCTAACAACCAGAACAAAACAAAGATGTGTTCCTCTACCCCACTTATTCAATGCAGTACAAAAAGTCCTAGACATGAAAATAGGCATGAGAAAGAAATAAAGAGCATCCAAATTAGAAAAGAGAAAGTCAAATTTTCCCTCTTTGCACATGACACAGTCTTATATATAGAAAACCTAAAGACTTTGCCAAAAAGTTCTTAGAACTGATAAATAAATTCACTAAAGTTGCTGGTTACAAAATCAATATACCAAAAGCAGTAGCATTTCTATATACCAATATGAAATACCTGAGAAAGCGATTTTGTTTATTATAGCAACAAAAAATCCCATAGGAATAAAAGTAATCAAGGAGGTGAAAGATCTCTGTGATAGAAACTATAAAACATTGATGAAAAAATAGAAAAGAACATAATAAAATTGGGAAGACATCCCATGATCATCTATCAGCAGAATTTATGTTGGTAAAATGACCATACTATCTAAAGCAATCCATAGATTCAATGCAATCCCTATCAAAATACCAATGGCATCTTCACATAAATAGAACAAAAATTCTAAAATCAGTAAGGAACTACAAAGTCCCTTAATTGCCAAAGGAACACTGGACAAAAAGAACAAAGCTGGAGGAATTACATTAACTGACTTCAAAATACACTGCAAAGCAATAGTAACCAAACAGCATGCTATTAGGATAAAAGCAGACACATAGACCAATGGAATGGGATAGATAACCCAGACATAAATCCACATACTCACAGCCAACTAATTTTTGACAAGGCTGTCAAGAACTAAGAACATACACTGGGGAAAGGAGGATTTCTTCAATAAATGGTTCTGGGAACACCGGATACCCATTTGCAGAAGAATGATCCTAGACCCTGATCTCTCCTCATATGCAAAAATCACTCAAAAGAGATTAAAGACTTAAATGTAAGACTACAAACTATAAAACTATATTTACAAAAAGTAGGAGAGGTTCTTCAGAACATTGGTCTAGGTAAAGATTTTATGGGTAAGCTCTCAAAAGTACAGGCATCAAAAACAAAATTTGACAAATGGTATTATTTACAACACAAACGTCTTCACACAGCAATAAAATCTATCAACAGAAGAAAAAGACAATCTGTAGAATGGGAAGAAATATTTATAAACTAGTCTTTCCACAAGGGACTAATATCCATAATACACAAGGAACTAACAATTCAACTGCAAAAAAAAAAAAAATCTGACTTAAAATTCAGCAAAGGAGCTGAATAGACATTTCTTAAAAAAAGAACAAATGACCAACAGGTATAAGAAAAAATGTTCAATGTCACTTATTATTCAAAGAAATGCAAATCAAAATGACAACGAGATATAATCTCACTATCCTGGATGAAGAGAAAAGGAAATTCTTATACGTTGTTGATGGAAATGTAAATTAGTACAGTCATTAAGAAAAAAAGCATGGAGGCTTCTCATAAAACTAAAGATGGAAGTTCCATGTGATCCAGCAATCCCACTACTGTGTATTTACAATATTACAGGAAAGAAAATCACGGTATCAAAGAGAGAGCTGCACCCCATATGTTTCAGCACTATTTACAATAGTCAAGATAGAGTCAACCTGTGTTCATAAAGAGATGAATGGATAAAGTGTGGTATATACATGCAATGAAATACTATTTATCCTTGTTAGTCTTCTATCTTGTTGATCTGTCTAATACCCCACTATTATTGTGTGGGAGTCTAAGTCTCTTTGTAGGTCTCTAAGAACTTATTTTATGAATTTGGATGCTCCTGTATTAGATGCATATATATTTAGAATAGCTAGCTCTTCTTGTTGAATTGATCCCTTTACCATTATGTAATGCCCTTCTTTGTCTCTTTTGATCTTTGTTGGATTAAAGTCTGTTTTGTCAGAGACTAAGATGGCAACCGCTATTGTTTTTTTCTTTCCATTTGCCTGGTAAATTTTCATTCCTCCCTTTATTTTGAGCCTGTGTGTGTCTTTACAGGTAAGATGAGTCTCCTGAATATAGTAACCAATGGGTTTTTACTCCTTATTCAATTTTCCAGTCTGTGTCTTTTAATTGGGACATTTAGCCCATTTACATTTAAGGTTAGTATTGTTATATGTGAATTTGATCCTGTCGTCATGCTGCTATTTGGTTATTTTGCACATTGGTTGATGCAGTTCCTTCAAAGTGTCATTGGTCTTTATACTTTGGTGTGTTTTTGCAGTGCCTGGTACCAGTTTTTACTTTCCATATTTAGTGCTTTTTTTAGGATCTCTTGCAGGGCAGGCCTGCTAGTAATGAAATCCCTCAGCATTTGCTTGTCTGGAAAGAATTTTATTTCTCCTTCACTTATGAAGCTTAGTTTGGCTGGATATGAAATTCTGAGTTGGAAATTCTTCTCTTTAAGAATGTTAAATATTGTCTCCCAATCTCTTCTGGCTCGTAGAGTTTCTGCTGAGAGGTCTGCTATTAGTCTGATGGGCTTCCCTTTGTAGGTGACCTGGCCTTTCTCTCTGGCTGCCTGTTACAGTTTTTCCTTCATTTTAACCTTGGAGATTCTGATGATTATGTGTCTTGGGGTTGATCTTCTCATACAGTGTCTTAGTGGTGTTCTCTGTATTTCCTGAATTTGCATGTTGGCCTGTCTTGCTAGGTTGGGGAAGTTCTGGATAATACCCTGAAGTGTGTTTTACAGCTCATTTCCATTCTCCCTGTTTCCTTCTGGTACTCCAGTCAATCATAGGTTTGGTCTTTTTATGAAGTCCCATAGTTCTTGGAGACTTTGTTCATTCCTTTTTAAACATTTTTCTCTATTCTTGTTCGCATGTCTTATTTCAGTAAGGTGGTCTTCAAACTCCAACATCCTTTCTTCTGCTTGGTTGATTCTGCTGTTGATACTTGTTTATTCTTCACCAGGTTCTTGTACTGCATTTTCCAGCTCTATCAGGTCGTTTATCTTCCTCTCTAAACAGGTTATTCTAGTTAACGATTCCTCTAACCTTTTATCAAGGTTCTTAGCTTCTTTTCATTGGGTTAGAACATGTTCCTTTAGCTTATCATAGTTTTTGTTACCCATCTTCTGAAGCCTGCTTCTGTCAATATGTCCATAAGATCCTCTGCCCGGTTTTTTTGCCCTTGATGGAGAGACGTTGAGATCATCTGGAGGAGAAGAGGCACTCTGACCTTTTGGGTTTTCAATACTTTTACGTTGTTTCTTTCTCATCTTCATGAGTTCGTCTAGTGTTGGCCTTTGAGGCTGCTGACCCTTGGATGGGGTTTTTGTGGAGGCCTTTTTGATGTTGTTGTTGATGCTGTTGTTGTCACTTTCTGCTTGTTTGTTTCTCCTGCGATAGTCAGGTCCCTCTTCTGTGGAGCTGCTGCAGTTTGCTGGGGGTTCACTTCAGGCCCTATGCATCTGATTCGCTCCCGTGCCTGGAGATATCACTCAAGTAAGCTGGAGAGCAGCAAAGATGGGTGCCTGCTCCTTCTTCTGGGACCTCTGACCTCAAGGAGCACCAACCTGATGCCAGTAGGATCTCTCTTGTGTAGGGTGTCTGACAACCCCTGTTGGAGGGTATCACTCCGTTGGGGGGCATGAGAAGTTGGATCCGATTAATGAAGCATTTTGTCCCTTGGTGGAGGGGGTATGTTTTGCTGGGGGGAAAGCCACTTGTCTGGGATGCCGGGATTCCTCAGAACTACCAGGATGAGAGGCTAAGTCTGCTGCTTTGCAGACTGTGGCCACCTCTTCCCCTAGGGGTTCAGGCCCAGGTATATTCAAATTCTGTCCCTGAGCCTCTGGCTGGAGTTATTGGAGAGACTGCAAGGAAGCCCCACACACTGAGGAAAGATGTGTCAGGGTTAGACCTGAAGAGGCACTCTGGTTTCAGATTGCCACAGCTGGTGTGTTGAACTGTGGGGACAAGTCTTAGGACCAAGCCATCCAGCCACCCTGGCTCCAGTAGGGAAAAAGCACAGCCTGGAGCTATAGAAATGGGTGCCCCCACTTCTCCTGCCCAGGGAGCTTAGTGTGTTCGGCAGTTGCTAGCCCCAGTGCTGGCTGCTGCCCCTCCCCCAAGGAGCTCAAACAGCTTAGACAGAGGTCAGCTGCAGCCTGTGTTGGTCGCCCCTCCTGCCGGGAGTTCAGTAGGCTTAAGCAGATTCCAGCTGAGAGGCTGCAAGAATTTGCGAGTTCCAGGGTTGGGACGCTAGGCCTTGGTGTGAGATCACGAGTGTGAGATCACGAGTGTGAGATCATGAGTGGGATCTTCTGATCTGTGGTTTGCACAATTCAATGAGAAAAGCACAGTTTCCCTGGCTGCGTAGCCAGCTCATGCACTGCCTCCCTTGGCTGGGAGGAGGGGTTCTCCTTCCCCTCGTGGCTCTCATGTAAGCTATAGTGTAGCAGGAGGAATCATAGACAAAATCCCTCAGACAGCGGATTGTGGAAGGAAAGAGCTTTATTCCGCTGGGAGCATTGGCAGACTCATATCCTAGAAATCGATCTCTCTGAATAAGTAATTCCTGTCCCTTTTAAGGGCTCACAACTCTAAAGGGGCTGTGTGAGAGGGAGGTCGTGATTGATTGAGCAAGTGAGGGGTATGTGACTGGGGGCTGCGGGCACCAGTAATCAGAATGAAACAACAGAACAGGGATTTTCATAACACTTTTTCATACAATGTCTGGAATCTATAGATAGCACAGCCATGAGGTCAGGGGTTGAATTTTAACTACCAGGCCCGAAATGTGGCACCTGGTTGTCTGACTATGTTTTTCACTTCTGCCTACTGTTTTAACTTCTACTTTTTCAGCAAACAAGAAATTAAGTATAAGACAATATGAGGAGTGTTCTCTCTCAGCACCACACTGCTATTCTTACTCTCCGTGGGTTATGCCAGCCTTCTAGTAAATTCACAAGCTAATTATGTTTGTTTTTTTCCATAAGAGCCTCTGATGGCGGCTACTTCTGTGGGCCATCTTGGCCCCACCCCCTAGGATACTTGAAATATCTTCAGAATAAGGCAAGAATCAGCCTTTCCTTTAAACTCAAGTTTCCAACCCAGTTAAAAAGGGAATATGACAGAAAGTGAAGAGTAACCCGATTCCAAGATTATAAAAGTGAGAAGAAAAAAGAATTATGGTTCACCATAGAGAAAAGGCAGAAAAATCAAACAAGAAAAGAATAGGTAATCAGTGAAAAAGAAAAAAATAGACCGGGCATGGTGGCTCACACCTGTGATCCCAGCACTTTGGGAGGTCGAGGTGGGCGGACCACGAGGTCAGGAGGTCGAGACCATCCTGGCTAACACGGTGAAACCTCGTCTCCACTAAAAAAAAATACAAAAAATTAGCCGGGCTTAGTGGCAGGCACGTGTAGTCCCAGCTACTCACGAGGCTGAGGCAGGAGAATGGTGTGAACCTGGGAGGCGGAGCTTGCAGTGAGCCGAGATGGTGCCACTGCATTTCAGCCTAGGTGACAGAGTGAGACTCCATGTTAAAAAAAAAAAAAAAATACCAGCAAATGTCAATAACCAAAATACATATACTTAAATGTATATGAAGACAAACAGAATGCATATTTTTAATTCACATATAACTGCTTACTCTGGCAAGAGTTACATAACAAGTACACCTTTTTCTCAAGACCATTGCTCCCCCCCATTAAAATATTCTGATGTATAATTAGCAAACAATACCAAGTTCTCTAGTATGATTTTGATGTGTGCTTCATTCAAGATATTTTTGCAAAGTCCCTGATAAAGTTGCATATAAATACTTTCATTCAATGTCTCTTTCCATATTAGTAATAAAAGACTTAAGCTAATTACCTTTCTTTAAGAAAAGATTATATTACACTGATTTATTAAGAATATGAAAATAAAACAAGAAAATTTTGTATATATACCAGTATAATCAGCTCTTGGTCACAATGGGGATATGTATACATATTCCATTAAGAATGGGTAAAAACGACTTTACCGTTATGTGGTATGTGAAGAGATCATCTCCCAAACTTTCTACCTTACCATAAGGATTTAATGATTCATGACCCTGAGTGATGTTTTTGAAATGTTTATGTGGTAGATGCTCTTTATAATGTGGCTTTGCAGCTTCTCCATCAATGAAAAATCTCTTTTCTCATGCCCTTGAATCTGGGCTTCCTTGTGACTTGCACTGGTGATAGAATGTATATGAAATTAAGATGTGCCTATCCCGAGCTTAGACCTCAAGAGGCTGGGTGAGCTTTACTCTTTTGCTTGGACCCATGAGAACACCATGTGAACATACCCAGGTTAGCCTGCTACAGGATTAAAAATTATGTGGTGTGATACCAAATCCTCCCAGTTCACACTGTGTTAGATCAGTCAGTTCTCACAATCAACCAACCAGCTGACCATAGACCCATGAGTGACACTAGTCAAGATCAGGTGAACCTGGCATAAACCCATAGAACTATTCAACTAATCCCAAGTCCAGCAAGGTAAAGCTAAATGCTTGCTTATTCTTTTAACTATAGAGTTTTAGGCGTAATTTTTAATTCAGCAATTGATAACTAATATAGCATAGTGGAATTCTTAACTGGTGATTCAAATCTGGGAACAATTCTCTCACTATTGCCATCACGTCAAAAGAAAACAGTCATATTTGTGGACACATTCAAGCCATAGGTCTAGAGGTAATTTGTTGCTGATGTTCACTGTTTCCAGCATAGTCACTAATTCAATAAGTTTCTAATCCAGTACAGTCACTAATTCTGTGCCACATGCCAGAGATATAACATCAAAATATTTAAATAAGAATATATACCTTAGATATATAAGTAAAAGCAGAAAGTGGTATGTACAGAGAAGAAAAATAAAGCAGGGTGAAATGGGAAAGCCAAGGACTTTCAATTTTGAATAGGGCCATTAGGGAAGGCCTCTTTAAGGAGGCCGCATTTCATAAATGCCTGCAGGAGGTGAGGGAGTAAAGCATTAGGATATCTGAGGGAAGGATATCCCATACCGATGCAAAGTCTATGCAATACTGAAGGTAGAAAGATGTCTGATGTGTTGAAGAAACTTAGAGGAGGCCAGTTAGACCAGCACTGTATGAACCATGGGGAGAGTAATAGGAGATAAGGTCAGAGAAATAATGGGGGTCAGATTAACAAGAAGAGTTTTCAGGTCATTCTAAGGCTTTGACTTTTATCCTTACTTAAATGGGGAGCTGCTGGAGAATTTTTAGTAAAGGAATGTCAGGAATTGGCTTTCATTTTAATAGCATCATTCTGAATCTTGAATTGAAAATGTACTTAAAAGAGACAAGGGCAAAAGTAGAAAGATAAATCAGGAGTCTGTAGCAATGACCCAAGTAAGAAAAGATGATGTCCTGGTTCAGCATAGCAGCAATAGAAAAATGGTCAGATTATGATTACATTTTGCAGATAGGGCTAAGGAATGTGTAATAGATTCAATATGGAGTATAAAGGAAGAGAAGTTTTTGGCCTGAAAAATAAGTAACTGATACATTATTCTTAAATGAAATGAGCTTACAGTGTGGACAAACTGATATCAAATCATAAGACCAGTTATTCTGTTTTTTTATATAGCAGGTAATTTTCAGAATATTTGTCTTTAGATGCGCTGAAAGGTAAAAAAGATTTATAAGGGGATAAGACGAATCTCCATGTCTCCCTTCCCCCATGAGGACTTGATGACTGTAAACTGTTAATAATTCATTTTGATCATTTGAGATACTTTACATTTGAAGCCTGCATATAATGTACTGATTAAATTACATTATGTGTAACTGAGTGGATATATTATTAAACAAATTACCCCTTTCCATAACCATGAACTGTGCATCTGTAGCAAATGGTTGAGCATTTTAATAAGGAGTAGTGTAATTATATTATGTTCACTGCCTTTTGCAGGCTTATTGGCCACATTTTAGAGGTGAATATCTTCATCTGAAGATATTTATTGCAAAGGAAGGGTTTTTAAGTTATAGTCAATACTCATAATTCACTGAAAATATCTCTGCTTACAAAATAAAAGAGCATTGGGGAGGAGCTTTTGGAGAAATTATTAAACTTAGAAAAGATAAATTACCAACTAGCCTTTCTGTTTTTCTTCAGAAATCCCATCCTTAATATCTATCTATCTATCTATCTATCTATCTATCTATCTATCTGGCAAAACAACCAAACCAAACAAAACAGAATCCTCTGTCTTTTCATTGTCAGAAAATAAATAAATAAATAAATAAATAAATAAATAAATAAATAAAACCCTCTAGTAAGGTTTCTAGTAAGTGGAAAAGTGGAAAACTCACTTGGGACTCTGGCACTTGCCATCAATTATTTAATTATTTGTCAGGACTCAGTACAGATTAAAAAAAGAGAGAGAGCAATCCAGCTGGGGTTCCTAATTAAGAGAATTCAAAGACACATTTAATAATTGAAAAAATCATCTTGACTATCCAAATCTATTACCTCAATACAACTTGCAATAAGTCCAAAGCAAGTGTGTCAGAATGAAAGGGATTACACTGTGTTTCAAAGATAACCAAAAGATAAAAAATAAAGAATCCCATATTGGAAAGAAGTTTGGGTTTCGCCCATGCAGAGTTTAATGATGGTTTTTCAGTAATGCACCCAATCAAATACGAGAAAATGGAACATATAACAAGGTGATGAATTTGATGATTTATTGGGAAAATAGCAGAAAGCGATATTACTAAATAGTAGTGTTTTTTTTCTGAATAACTGGTGAAGGATAAAGTGAAGTGAAAAATCAGTGAAGAAAATGACAATTCTACCATTGAAGTACTAGAATACTTTAATTAAAATTCTAATAATTGAACCAATTTGCCCAACTACTCTTCTTTGACAGAGTAAAATATATTTTGATATTTCAGGATGGGTATAGAGCTGTGGCTGGTTCTCCACCTAGACTGTATTTTACAGTCACCTTTGTACTTTCAGATTATATTCATGCTCAGGCCCCACCCTAGATTAATTAAATAGAATCTATAAGCAACAGGGCCAATGCATTAATAGTGTCAAAACTCCCCACGGTGATTCTAATATGCAGCCATGGTTAAGAAATACTGGCTTAGAACACCAGGAAAACTTTGTTCAAAATAGCCCCAGGTATGCCAATGATTGAAGAACCATGTTCAACCTAAGAGACCTTCTCTAAAAATTTATACAGGAGGTTTGAATTTCAGTTATGACAATATATTTGTAGATTTTTTAAATTAGCAAATCCTTTCCTTAACATGCAGCAGAATTCAATCTTCTTAAAAAAATAAGTTTATCTTGAAATGATTTAAGTTTGCAAAAGGTAGTGGAAGAAGGAAGTAAATAGCAGATATGACCAGAAACAAGATCTATAATACTTATGAGACACATAATACATGCACGCACACACACACACACACAATATTAGTCCATATTCACACTGCTATGAAGAACTATCTGAGACTGGGTAATTTATAAACAAAAGAGGTTTAATGGACTGATAGTTCTGCATGGCTGGGGAGGCCTCAGGAAAATTATAATCATGGCATAAGGTGAAGGGGAAGCAAGGCATATCTTACATGGTGGCAGGAGAGAGAGACAGAGCAAAGCGGAAGCTGCCAAACACTTTTAAACCATCAGATCTCCGGAGAACTCACTCACTATTATGAGAACAGCATAAGGAAACCCACCTCTGTAATCCAATCACCTCCTTCCAAGTCTCTCCCTTAACATGTGGGGATTACAATTAGAGCAGAGATTTGGGTGGGGCCACAGAGCCAAACCGTATCACATGTGTGCACATGCACACACACACATACACACACACATCAAACGTAGAAAATATTAGAGTGGTTAACCTTATATCTCATTATTAAGTTGTAGAATGTTAGGAGAAATAGTGTGACTGCTAGAAGAGAAATGAATATCATCAAGAGATAGATAAATGGGACTTTGAGGCATCATGTTTAGGGAGAGTGTTACAGTGTTTGGAATTGTGTGAAAGCAAGGATTATTGGGTCATATTAGGAAGAAGCATGACTTTGCTGTTGCCTTTATTTGGAAGTTAAATATGGTAAAAAGCTATGTGTGGAGTCAGTTTGACAAAGGATGAGCTGAACTGGACTGTTTGATTGTCAGCTGCATTATGTTGGGAAAAATATTTTCCAGAATCCCCTTAACTCTGTGGTTTCAGGTTAGAATTGACAAAAATTGCAGTTGTGTGAGATTTGGCAGGTGAAAGAATAGGACCTTTATGTTTTGCAGGTTGTTGGTTAGAAGCAGTAAGATTCAAATCCAGTTTCCAGAGGACTCTAATGCGTACTTGCTCCTGTCTGGTCTATATCCAGCTTTCCTGTGAGAGTGCCACCCCTATGACCAACAGTGACCTGAGGCTAACCATTACACACTTGTAGAAACTTAGATGTGGAAACCATATAGAGCCAAGAACCTGCCATCAACCTCCCTTCATGGTTCCGCTCTAGCAGCTGGATGTGCCTATTTTTCCAAACTTCCTTACAAACTGACTGTGCCAAAGCTGGGTAGGGATTTTTCTCTGATCCTCCCAATTCCTTTTGATACCTTTATTTTTATAGTTCCTTCACCTATTGTTAAATTTGCATGATAAATTCCTTATTCTGTAACACTCATAGTATTAATAGTACTGATTGAGTCCTGACTGATACATAGTGAGACCAAATGCACTTGAAGTCCAAACTCTGTGAAAATGAAACTAGGAACATCAAAAAACATTAAAAAGAAAGAATATTGAACTTAAGATAAAACACTGTAGATTTAATCAAAAAGACATTTTGAATGAAATCTTCAGTTAACTTCAATTAAATTTGAAGAATGTGACTTCAAATATGGGTAAAATTGAGCACTAGAATGAGCTTGGAAACTATTTTGAGATGGGGCTTACATTTTACTTCATTTTATACAATAAGTGGCTCAACCCTAAAGAAGACAGTTTCCAATAAAACTTTTTAATTGAGCATGTAGCAAGTCACAGGCACACTTACCTGAAAGTCTTTAAAATATCTTCCAAAACAAATGTTTAATCTTAGATAATTATATATTGCTTTTAAAAAATATTCTTGTTGAACTCTTACTGAGATATGAAACAAGTGAGTTATTAAATGTGTTGCCCAGAAAATGTATGCATTGATATATAAAATGTTTTAATATTTATGAATAACTATTAGGATTTTCTAGAACATTGAGTCTGTCTTTTGTTATGAACACTAGGACATTCTCTTTAGCTATAGTGCAACATTTCTAACTAGATTGGGCAGCACAGTACTTTTTTAAAAAATTTTTGTTTTACTTTTCAATCCAGGGTCCTGGTGACAGTTTTCAACTTTTGTTATAAAGGCATGGACTGTCCACTTAGTTGTATAAAAAAAGAAGAGGTCTCCATGACCATGAAAATCAGAAAAAAAAATACTAGAAATGTTATCATAGTTTCAAAAATCAATAAAACACACGAACTGTTTTTTTTTTCACAAGTTCAGTTATACTGAGGAAGACAGACACACAAAGATGAGTAACTGAGCCAATTTTCTCTAAAACATCTAGATGAGCCTTTACTTATAATTTTTAAGTGAATTCAGAATTAGAAAATATAAGTAGATCCCATGACCACTTAGTCCAACAATATTTTTGTGGCCTATATGAAACCAACTTAGTGGTTTGACTGAATTTTTAATTTCCATCCAGATATTCTCAGGTCTTACGCAAGGAACTCAAAGCTAGTCTCCAAGTTTCATGAAAATTACTATTTAAAAAAAACATTGCTTTTCTGCCTCTTTTACCTTATTGAGCAAAATTAGTTAAGCTGGTATGAGAGAACTATTTATGTCAACTTGAGCCTGTTTGTATTATTGTATTAATTATATATTATTATTATTATTATTTTTACCTAGGGAGCTGTTTCAATCATTAAATAATAGTTTAACAGCAGCAAACTGCATTAGACAAAAAACAACTACGAATTTTGAAGGACCAAGTAGTGACTAAGATTTTATTTGTTATTGTTTGTTGTGAAGGAAAAATACTGTGTTTAATAGAAATTGCGTTAACCATATTGAAGTATAAATGCACAGAATGGCTTTTTCAATTATCAGCTGTCTTTGCTCTCAGCTCTGCTTTGGAACGTAACCAGTAACAGAAGAAATACATTGCTTTGCATGCTGACTTATTGTGACATTGTCCCTTAAATATTCTTTACACATGTGCAAAGCCCTCATTAGAAAACTTCTGCATTTGAATGTCTCCTAACAATACACCCATGTGCAGTATAGGTTTTAATACAGAATGCCAAAACTGTCTTATAAAAGAAAATTTCCATCCAGAGATGTCTATGGAAAAGCAGTTTTCTTTGTTAAGCTTCAATAAACCCATTTAAGAGACTGGGGACGAAGGCAAAATTCTTTTTGCAGTAGCTTCCTTTCCTAACAAATGCTTTTCAATATGCCTCCATCTTACTAATGAGCATAATATATATTCTGTGATCTGATAGTAAATTGGAGTGAAAATACACTCTTAAGATGTTGATTTTTTAAATAAAAAATGCACCGACCTACCCTCTGGAAATAAAAATATGTGTAAGCTCTATATGTTTCTGGTCCTCAAGGAGATGCATAGTAAATGATAAATTCTAAAGTGCAGATGTTAAATTTCTAAAATGTAGCAGCTATTAAATAAGTCTCCAAGGAGAAGTTCGGAAAGATTTCTCAGAATAGAAGGCACTTATAGTTGCTACAGGCACAAAGAAGAGGAAATGCAGAATTTCAGAAATAGAGTACAACATGTGCAAAAGCATGTGTGATAGAGGTTATGAATTGTTTTTATCTGACTAGGTGTGGCCATGTGACTATATTCAGGACATTAGAAGGTAAATGAAAGTTACGTTTTCATTTTCCAGGTCATATCCTTTAAAAAGATAGCCAGGTGTAGTGGTCCATACCTGCAAGCCCAGCTACTCTGGAGCCTGAGGGGGGAGGATTACTTGAGCCCAGGAGTTTGAGGCTGCAGTGAGGTATGATCACGCCACTGCACTGCAGCCTGGATGACAGAGCAAGAACCTGTCTCTAAAAAAAGTAATAATAAAAATAAAATTTGAAAAGAAAGTTGCTTATTTTTTGCTTCTTCCCTTTCCTCTTTTTTATACTGAAATTCAGACAAGGTGATAGTGAGTAAACTTTAACCATGAATGTGAGGTCTCTGTCCTGGGAAATGGTTGAGCAACCCAATTAGAAGAGACCTGGTATCTGTCTACTCTGAATTGCCTGTCTACGTCTAAACTGTCACATGAGAAAAAATAGAATTGTATCTCATTAGAGCTGCTATATTTTCTGTTCCTCTTGTAACAGTAGCTTAGCTTATACTCTAATCAATACATTATGAAAGGATGAGATAAGATGGCATGCTTGTATTATGTTTAGAAAAGCTGGAGACTCAGGTTGAATGAGGACACTGATTAGATCAAAACCTTGAAAGAAATGTCATGACTATATCTTGAAGACCCTCATATGAATGAGGTTTGAACTACGTATAGATACAATCATGAGTCATCAGATTTTTATGCAGTCTAGTAATATCAATTCAGAGCACATACTTAGGTCAGTATAATCACACAATTTCTGGTAACAGCATCCCAAATTCCTTTTGAGGAATCTACCCCTTGTATGAAGCATCCATGGTTTGGTAAATCAGGGTGAACTAGTAGACATCTGATAGCCATGTGACCTGATCTAGGCAGTCAGATTCTATCTCCCAGAACTTTGAATCTTGAGTGGATTAGTATAAGTATGTACACATGCTTATTCATTAAATATATATTCATTAATTTGCTTATCCTCTATTCCACGTCACACACTGATCTAGAGATCAGGGTTAGTGTTCAAAAAAGATAAAAATTCTCACCTCCATAGAATATGTGCTTTACAAATATTCACATACACTGAATCATTTTAGCAATAGTGCCCAGATTGTGAATTTTCTGTTCATGTATTCTAGTGTTTTCTCAGTTCCTTTACTTTCTTACCCTTTCCTCCCAAATTTCCTACTAAACAAAATGTTCCCCAAATTTCTACAAATTTCCCATTTCCTAACATTGAGATAGTGTCTATTGCAACCAAAAATACCAAATACAGATTTGAGTTAAAGAAGTAATACTTTTATTCAGTTCAATTTGACAGACATTTATTACTTATCTGCTGAATACCAGAAACTGTGTGATGTTCTGGAAAAAAAAAAAGACATGACACTACTTGTTGTAAATAGAATATTGAACCAAATGTCAACCATACCCTTAACTACAAACTTATTATGGTGAGTATACTCTCTTGGCCTTTGACTTTGGACTTGGTCTAGTGACTTGATTTAGCCATTGGCATGTGGATAGGCAAGACAGTATGGTAGTTTCAAAACTAGAACTTTAGAAACATAACATGTTTCTGTTTGCCTTCTTGTGTCTCTGCCATCAGCATGCAAAGAATATGTTCTAATTAGATTACTAATTTAATAGTGGGTGAGGAATGTAGAGCAGACTCAGACCAACCCACCTGCACAACAGAAAGGAAAATAATTATGTTTGTTTTTTTTTAAAGAAGGTTTACTATGAAAATGTTAACATTTTTCCTTCAGTTAAGGAACTTAAGGACTGCAGAAGAGACAGGCACATTATCAGATCATTTTCATGTGTCTTTGTCATACATTGTCTTTAAGTCAACCTAATCATCTTCCTATATAATGACTTTCAACAAAATCCCCTTATACTAGCATAGGGTTAATTGATCACTAGAATATATTACTTTATATAGCGTGTGTTATCCAGATACAATTTCTGCAACATAAAATTTCTAGAAAATCTACAATGGGAAAACTCACTAACTATGAATACTGCCAAAAGTGAATAATTGCTTAAACCTTTATTTTACCTAGAGTCACATATATGTAAGATATATCTATCAATCTATTTTTGATATAGATCGATAGATATGCTATATATCATATATGTCACATATACCATGTATGTGTGCTATATCATATATGTATCTTATATATAAAATACCCTATATATGTTTTAAATAGATAGAAAAAAATTCAGAATGTCTATAGAACCAGCAAAAACCCTAAATAGCTAAAACAATATTGAGAAAGATAAAAAAAACTAGAGGCACCACACATTCTGTGTTTAAACTATATTACAAAGCTATAGTTATCACAACAGTATGGTATTGGCATCACAACAGACACAGACTGATGGCACAGAATAGAAAGTCTGAAAAAAAACATGCAAATATGGTCAACTAACTTAAAACAAAAGTGCCAATAATATGCAATAATGAAAGAATAGTCCCTTCAATAAATGGTGCTGGAGAAACTAAATATCCACATACAAAATTAAAATTGCGCTCTTCTCTTACACCGTACACAGAAATCAGTTATAAATAGATTAAAGACTAAAACATAAGTTTTATGAAACTGTAAAACTTCAAACGGAAACAGGGAAAATCCTCCTTGACCTTAGTCTTGGCAATGATTTTTTGTATAATACCACAACACAGGCAAGAGAAGCAAAATATAAACAAGTAGGATGATATCAAACTAAAAGATTTTAACACGGCAAAGGAAACAACCAATACAATGAAAAGGCAACCTACTGAATGGAACAAAAAAAATATGTAAAGTATATAACAAGGAGTTAACATTAAAAATATATAAAGAAGATAAACAACATCCAAAAATAAAAGCAAATAATTTACAAAATGGGCAAATGACCTGAATAGACATTTTTCCAAAGAAGACATACAAATGACCAACAGGTATATGAAAAAGTACTCAAACAACACTAACCGTCAAGGAAATACAATTCTAAACCACAGTGATATCGCCTCATACCTGTTGGGATGGCTATTTTCAAAAAGTTAAAAGACAACAAAATTTGGGGAGGAGGTACAGAAAAGGGAACCTTTATATATTGTTGGTGAAAATATAAATCAATAAAGCTGTATGGTAACCAGTATGGATTTTTCTCAAAAAACAGAAAATAGAATTGCCATATGAGCCAGCACTCCCATTTCTGTTACATATCCAAAGGAAATCAAATCAGTATGTCAAAGAGATATCTGAACTCCCATTTTTATTGGAGCATTATTCACAGTAGCCAAGATATAGAAACGATCTAACTTCTCTCAACAGGTGAATAGATAAAGAAGATGTGGTGGTTATTCATATAATGAAATATTACTCAGCCTTAAAAAATGAAAATCTTGCCATCTGCAGCAGCATTGATGGACTGGAAGTGCATTATCCTAAGGGAAATAAGCCAGACAGATAAAGACAAATGTTGCATGATCTCACTTAAATGTAGTATCTAAAAAAGTTTAACTCATAGAAACAGAGAGTGGAATAGTGGTCACCAGGAGCTGGAAAGTGGAGGAAGTGAGGAGATGCTAGTCAAAAAGTGAAAACTTTTAAGTTCTTAGAAGAATATCTTCTGGGGAGCTAATGTACAGCATGGTGATTATGGTTAATAATACTTGAAATTTGCTAACAGAGTAGATCTTAAGTGTTGTCACTATACACAAACAAAAAATAATAACTGTGTGAGGTAATAGATGTAATTAACCTGAAAATCAATTTATAATGTATACATATATCAAATCATGTTATACACTTTAAATATATATAACTTTATATATCCAATACATATCAATAAAGCTGAAAAAATAAAATTATATGTTTGGCTTGTTAGATAGATGATTAATAGCTAGTTAGTAGCTAGATAAATTAAACTCAAATCAAAAAAGAACTCATTTGGTGAATGAATATATGATTTATGCTGAAGAATATTCCATGTGCATTTGGGAAGAATGTATGTTCTCATTCCTTGGAGTGAAGTGCTATGTATATACGACATTGCACAAGATATAGATCTTGTATATAGTTGTTCTATCCATTATTGGAAACAAGATATTGAAATGTTCAATATTATTGTCTAATTGTCTTATTATTATTGTCTATTGTCTAATTTCAATTTTTCTTCATGTATTTTCAGACTCTGCTGTTAAATGAATATGTGTTTATAATTGTTACATGCTCTTGATTAATTGACACTTTTCTTAATATGTAATGCCCTTTATCTCTAGCAAGATTTTACTTAATTTTTCTTTTATATGGTATTTGGCTATTCCAGTTTTCTTTTCCTTATGACTTAAAGAGAATATCTTTTTCCATCCTTTCACTTTCAACCTATTTGTGTCTTTGAATATAAAGTGAATGTTTCCTATCCAGCACAGAGATGTATCTTTTAAGAAAATTACATTCTTCCAATCTCTACATTTTAATTAGAGAGTTTAATTTTCATTTAAAGTAATTACCAATAAGGAAGGACTTCTGCCACTTTTCTATTGCTTTCTATATCTCTCATGTGTTTTTGGTTACTGAATTCCTCCAAAACTGCATTCTTATATGCTTAGTTGACTTATTATAGTATATAATTTTGATTCCATTCTGTTAGCTTTACGTATATAGGGTTTACTTATTTTATTGTGGCTATCTTAAAAATTACAATGAGCATTTCAACCATATAAAAACCTCATTTGAATTAATACCTACTTAACTTCAATAGTATCCAAAATTTCTACTTCTATACATCTCACTCCTATGATTTTGTCATAAATTACATCTTTATACATTGTGTGACCATTAGTATAGGTTTATAATTATTTTTCAATTTTTTTATATAATACAGAAAATATAGCACTACAAAACATAAATACAATAATACTGACATCTACATTTATCTAAACCATTGTTCTCTTTTTTCATATGACTTTAAATTTCTGTCTAATGTCTTTTCATTTGAGCCTGAAAGACTTCCTTTAGCATTTCTTGTAGAACAGGTCTATTAGTAGAAAACTCCTTGAGCTTTTATTTGTATGACATCATCTTAATATATCTTTTGAAACATAGATTTGTAGAATATAAAATTCTTTATTCACTGTGCTTTTCTTTCAGCACTTCAAAAATGTCATCCTACTCCCTTCAGGCTTCCATAGTTTCTGATAAGAAATCTACAGTTTATCTTATTGAGGATCTCTTAAATAAGATGAGTCACTTCTCTCTTGCTGATTTTAAGATTTTCTCTTTGTTCTTGGATTTCAACAGTTTTATTTTAGTGTGTGTCACTCTGGTTCTGTCTATCTATAAATTTTTGTCGAGATTCTTAGATGTTTAGATTCATATCTTTTATCAGATTTGAGTGTTGTTGATCATAATACCTTCGAATATTTTTTTTGCCGCTTCCTCTCTTCTCTTTCTTGAATTTCCCTTATGTGTATGGTCTCCCACATGTCTCTCAGGCTCTGCTCATTTTACAATATTATTCTTTCCTTCTGCTCCACACACTGAATAATTTCACTTGACCTTTCTTTAAATTTGCTCACTTTTCTTCTTCCTACTGAAGTCTTCCGTAGAACTTCTTCAGTGAAATTTTCATTTCACTTATTGTAGTTTTCAGCTTCACAATTTTTATTTGGTTTCTTTTATAATTTTGATCTTTGTTTAGATTCTCTATTTATTGAGCTATAATTTTCCTCTTTTCCTTTAGTTATTGGTCTATGAGTTTTTTTGTCTATTTAAACATACTTAAGACAGTTGATTTAAAGTTTTTGTCCAGCATGTTCTATGACTTTGATTCCTCAGTCAGTTTATATTAGTTTATTTTTTCATTTGATTGCACTATATTTTCTTATTTCTTTGAAAGCCTCATATTTATTTCATGAAACTTTCCATTTTTAGTATTTTGGCAGATACTACATTCTTTGTTGCTTTTGGCATTTGTGGTCTCTGTTCTTTTAGTTAGTGCTCAGCTAGTCATCTTTTATTTTGAATTTTAAAATGTGGTAACTTTGCAAATCAGATTCTCCCTACTCTTCAGGGTTAGTTCTAGTTGCTTATGGTAGATTGCAGTTGTCCATTTTTTTTTTTTTTTTTTGAAACAGAGTCTTGCTCTGTCACCCAGGCTAGAGCGCAGTAGCTCTATCTCTGCTCACTGCAAGCTCCACCTCCCAGCTTCAGGCCATTCTCCTGCCTCAGCCTCCCTAGTAGCTGGGACTACAGGTGCCCGTCACCATGCCCGGCTAATTTTTTTTGTAGTTTTTAGTAGGGACGGGGTTTCACTGTGTTAGCCAGGATGGTCTCGATCTCCTGACCTCATGATCCACCCGCCTCGGCCTCCCAAACTGCTGGGATTAGAGGCATGAGCCACCGCACCCGACCAGTTGTCCATTTTTTCAAGTGGCTTTTTCAAACTGTTTTTTGCAAATATTGTATTTCTTTTTGTATGTGGTTACTAAACTGTCTGTTCCTTTAGCTCACCAGTTAGCCAGTGACCCAGCAGACTTTCCTTTAAATGCTTGGAGTAACAGAAAGAGAGAAAGGGGGAGAGATAGAGATTGAGGGAGAGAGAGAGAGAGAGACAGAGAGAGAGAAAGTCAGGAAGGTGGGAAGGCAGGCAGAAAGGAAGAGCAAGAAAGAAGGAAGCAGGAAAGAAAATTCTCTATGTCTTTGTAAATGGTGTCTGTTTTGGGGCTTAGCCTGTCCATTTTTGACTCTGTCTTAGCCTTTACCTCTTGCTAGTGTGGAGCTTAAAGTTTAGCTGAGGTCAAATTTATGATCTCTTCAAGTCTTTTCTGAGTGTCTTACCCTGTTTATGTGTATGGCCTTTTAGTTAACTTGGTATATGTAGGAACTTTTCACAGTCCTTATTCCCCAAAACTCTCACTTCCCAGATTTTCCTCCAAGCCTTTCAGTGTGTCAAATATTTGCCCCATCTGTTACTTTTTGCTCCAGGTGGCAGCACCTTTTCATTTGGCTTTCAATGTTTTCATAGCCTTTCCTGCCTGATAAAATTCTTAGGCAAAACAAAAAAAAAAATTCCTTTTGTTAATACTTTGGGGAAACTGTCAGGTAAGACAAACAAACAAACCCCCAATATGTCTTGGAAACAGGGCTGTTCTGCTCATTCAGAAATCAAGTATTCACACTGAGAATGTAGGCTATCGTCTCTGATATGGTTTGGCTGTGTCCCCACGCAGATCTCATCTTGAATTCCCACATGTTGTGGGAGGGACTGGTGAGAGGTAATTGAATAATGGGGCAGGTCTTTCTCATGCTGTTATGATGATAGTGAGTAAGTCTCATGAGATCTGATGGTATTAAAAAGGGGAGTTTCCCTGCACAAGCTCTCTTCTCGTCTGCCACCAATGCTTTCACCTTCCACCATGATTGTGAGACCTCCTAGCCACGTTAAACTGTAAGTCCAATAAACCTCTTTCTTTTGGAAATTGCCCAGTCTCAGGTATGTCTGCGTCAGCAGCATGAAAATGGACCAATACAGTCTCCAAGACTGCTATGTTTGGGAGGGAGAGAAGGCTAGGGTTAGTTAAAATGCTACAAAGATCATATTCCATGCTTAGGTAGCCTTTCTCCTGGTTTCTTTTGCTTGGTTGCTCTAAATCTTTAGCTGGCTCCATGACTTCCAGTAGGATTGATTTTGATAGTTTCTGTTAGAGTTTTTAGTGTTTTTATGAGGAGAAATGAACCCCCAGAATTCCCTACTATGCCACTTTCCCTGACATTACCTAATTTCTGCATTTCTTAATGTGATTAATTATCCACTGTCAGAGAACACATGACTCTAGTTCTTAGATCTTCCAATATAAAAGAGGTCATGTGTATTACACAGAAATGTGTTTATATACATAAAATAAATTATAATCAGTGATGAAGCAGTGTATAGTTGGATCAGCCAATCAGGGAAACTGACTAGTTCTATGTTGCTTTGTTATTTTCTGATAGAACAAGGTATAGAGCCTACATATATTTTTAGTTCATCACTTTTTTAATGCATAGTTTTGATAGAAGAAAAGGTTGCTGTTGAATATTAACTAACACATATTTTGTAACTTTCAGTTTAGTCTCCTGTTGGGGACATGAAACCTAGATTAATACTAATACATATCACCAGTCCTAAAGGCCAGTAACGTTGGTCTTCATAATGACGATTTTGAAATGTTTTTATATCTGACAGTTCCATAAATTCACATTTTAAGAAGAAAGTAGAAATATATTTTGCTCCTTTTTACATTGTGTCAAAATAGCAATGAAAAATTAAATTCCAATTGTTATCTTTAAATTTTCTTAAAGATATGTTGTCCTTCTACTTCTCCCACATTTGCATCTTATATTTTTGGCTTTAGCATTGATTCAAATGAGACCAAATGTAAAGAACAGTATGTGTGTATTTGTACAGGGGAGGAAAACAATAAAATGATAGAATGATGTAATAGAAGAACTACTTGAAAAATCTTTGTGCAAACATGTTAGTTTAATTTACTGCTTCACAAAATGTAAGAAGGCACTTCATGTGCTTTGAACAAGCTAGGGAGAGTTGAACTCTTGGACTAGAGAAGATATAAAAGCAGAATGCACAGCCTGGTATTCTTACCTGGTCCCTGATATCCACGAAATACAATAAACTGTTTTACAAGAAAAGAATGCCCGGTAGCCAGTCAATTATGTGTTTCGACATACAAATGTGCAGATATCACTTCTGGTTGTAAAACTTTTTCTAGCATCTTTTATTAGTATTTTTATTTGCAGACAATTTTAATGAGCATTGTAGCTTCTGTCCTTCTCATATCCAAGGCTGATGTCATCCTGCCTAATAATACTTAGTAATATCCAAAGGCCAGAATTTTGTGATGTTGATGTTTTTCCTGTGCTTTGGCTTATAAAGTTGGTAGGTGATCTCTGCAGGCAAGCTTTTCAACCTGACATAGACACCACTGTTTTATTCCAACATAGGTTCCCAGCTGGAGACTATTTCATGTTGGAGAGATGGTGATATAATTTTAAAAGTTTGTGAAAGGTCTAAATGGAAACAAAGGTTTTCCCCATACTTTAATTGCTTGTAACACACTTGAAATTTTATCTGAACAGAAAAATAAATCTGAAACATCAAGTTTTGTGGTTTCACAGCACCGCTCAAGCTTGAAGTCATTAAGATATATATTCAGCATTAACAATAAATCATTTGAAATACAGGCAACCAGTATGAATGCTTTATCCTTCCCTGATGGATGATGGCTTGGGGGATAAGTGCCTCAGAATCATTATTCTTAGAAGAAAAATAATACATTATTAATAAAATAGGACTCAGAGTCTTTCATTTAAAGACCTCTAGTTACTTTTTTTCTGGGGGAAAAAGCATTTTGTCATTTGAAAACAAGGAAATGGATGTGTGTGTTAAGTGATTTATCCCAGGTCTGACTGAAAGATTCAGAATTAGCTTCTATTTTTGCTTATGTCTATTTTTTGCCTAACCCTCAGGTGGCACCCCATGGCATATATAGAGGAGGTGTGGGCAGATGTCCACCACATGGGCTCCCACGATGCATGTCGGTTTCACATGTTAACCTGCCACGTTCTCTTGAGTGTTCTTTTTTGGACTTTTAAGAAGAGCGGAGATATGGCATTGAAAACTAAAATTCACAATCTGCTCAGTCTAAGATTTCAATATGATATACTGATATTTGAAATTTTAAAATGACATATTTTGACATTATTTCATACTGTGAGAGAAATTAGAAATGCTAAAGTTGATTGCAGGGCTAGTGTATTTTTTTGTTTGTTTGTTTTTTATTTTTTAATTAATTTTTGCACCCATTAACTCGTCATTCAGCATTAGGTATATTTCCTAATGCTATCCCTCCCCCCTCCCCCCACCCCACAACAGTCCCCGGTGTGTGATGTTCCCCTTCCTGTGTCCATGTGTTCTCATTGTTCAATTCCCACCTATGAGTGAGAACATGCAGTGTTTGGTTTTTTGTCCTTGCGATATTTTTAAACATTTTTTTTTTCTCACCAAAACACACACAAAAAAGGAGAATGTTTAGAATTTAGCATGTATCGTAAGGGTAAGGCTAAAAGTAGGAGTAAAATGGGAAGTGATTTTTAAAGATTGATCAGTTTTCTGGCAGATATCTCTATGGATAAGGTCATTACAAATACATGAATTATCCCGTGTTCCCCTTTCTAACTCACATACCCTTTGCTTTTTTCTATATTGTATATGTTATGATTTTATTTGAGGCTTCAGAAGTAGATTAATTAATAAAATCCTCTTGGGTTTTACAAGTATGTTGGAATTTCACCATTTTGTATTCACCTTAGAAAGCCATGCTTTTTTTACTGATAACACCTGTGCTTCAGGCATAAAGCAGAAATAAGCTTATTAACATATACTTTCTAATTGGAACTTAAACAGAAGGCAAATTCACAAATGTGACTTTTATCATCTCCTGGAAAGTGTATTTGTGGTTCTTAGTCTTTCAGTGTCGTTACCAGTATGTTGAACAGAAACTAAGTACAAACCAATGAAGTTATCAACAACCAGTCTGTTTCCTTTATCTAGAATTTCTGATGTAAATTATCAATGAGTATTTAATGAGGTCCTACTTTAAGCCTATTGTCAATGCAGTTTTTTGTGAGTGAAATAATTGTATATCCACGTGGCCATGCCACCCCATATGCTGGACTTATCCTGTTTCTCACTATGTTCCCTCCCTTTATTATTAACCCCTCCCCTGTTTCTAAATTTAACTCCTAGGAAACTTAAGCCTTAAAAATAGAATATTATAACAGGAAAATTGGCTTGTTTCTGAAATTTCCTCAGTACTTTTATTTCCCACAGCGTGAAATCTTTTAGTTAGCGCTCCAAAACCGTAACAAAAGGATAGGTATAGACAACAGGAGGGCTGAGCCAGGAATCCATGTTCCTCACTACTTACTCTATCTCAATGGAGCATAATGTCCTCAGGGTATTTTTTGTTGTCACAATTAGGGGAGCACTACTCTCAAGGTAGGAGGAAATAGGCAATATGCTAGTATTCCTGCAATGTTCTAGAATGCCCCACCTATCAAAAATATTGTACATCATTCCATGGAACTTCCAAATATATTTATGCCTATTAATTAGTGTGAAAGTCATGTCTGTAGAAATATAATCTTAAAACATGTCTTCATATAACAGTTAAAATTATAGTAGTTTTCATCATTTGAATAGTCATTAAATTTTCCAGGAAAAAATATCATGTAAATAGATTGAATATTATATTTTCTATTGTTTGAAATTTCAACAGGAGTGGTTTATACCATTTAGAGAAAATCACATGAGTAGAAAGGTCACTTTTGGATATTTGAGTCATCAATATAACTTTCAATTTGAATTCATGTATGGTTCATTAATAATCCTATATACAGAAGCAAGCATATGATCATTCCATTAAGTTTTCTAGTAGCCATGCCACAGCATTTACATATTGAATACAAATTATAACAAATTATTTTTAGATTTCTTTTATAGATTACTAGATTACTGTTAGGACATTATGTTGATTTTTAAGTAATATGAATAAGTATTTAATATACTTTGTAAATTCCATTAGAATGCTAAAGAGGGCTTCATATCATAAAGTTATTAAAGAAGGACATAGGGCCTGCTAGGATTAAGAATCATAGTTCTATTATAAATAAAGTGATTATGGAAAAATAAAGGGCAAAAACTGAAAAAGAGAAAAAATGGCTTTCTGAATCAACTGGAGTCAGGTGGCAGAAGCGGTTTCAAGTGGCCGGCTGGTTAATTCAAAGGGCATTCGTTCTAAGAATGTGGAAAGAAGAAAGTGAGTAACGATGAAAACAGTCAGGGTCTAAAGGAGCTGCTAGCTGAGTGGGTGAGGGTACAATCAGTGGTGAGGGCAAGGCTAGAATGGTGTTTGGATTTCTGCTCAGCACAGAAGCTTTGTGTGCTAAGCTCCAGCCAGGCTATAGGACCTGTTCATAATGGAAACCAGAGCAATTAGATTGCCCTCCTCTGGTGCTTCCATTTATGTCTTCTTCCATTCTTTCCTGCATTTCGTTTCTGTGGGCCTCTTGTTTCTTGGTCAACAGTGTGAATGCTGGCCCCTTGCATTGCCTTCCCTTTAGGCCTTTCTGTTCTCACCTGGATTGCAATTCCTGAGGTGCTTTTTATCTCAGCTTCTGGTATCCACATGTGCCTGATGGATTGCTCTCTCCAAACTATAGTTTTGATTATGGGATCTGGGAAGGCCTAAATTTGTATGTGTTTGCTGAACTCCCACCTAGCACAGAATTTCTCCTAAAATAATCAACTACCCCTTACCCAATTATTTATTCTTTATCACTGCCCTGGGTCAAGTGCTGTCACATATACAGGGAGGTTACAATAGGACTTTTGAAAGATGATTTACTCTTTCAGTTTGTTTAGGTACCATTTAGCTGATGGCTTTCTTAGCACAACAAATGGAAAAATTCATTTCTCTTTTGAGCCCTGTAATCATTATGTGGATCCCAGAAAAATATCTTAGCAGAAGATGTTATCTAAGCCATTTGCCATAAAGTGAGACCATTTAACTGTTACAGGTTGGCAGACTTTTCACTAAAGGACTCCATAGTAAGCATTTTTGGCTTTGTAGTCCAGATAGTCTGCCATTGTAGTCAAAAGCAGCCCTACGCAAGGCATAAACACATGAATATGGCTTTTTCCTATAAAAATTTGTTTACAAAAATGGTAGGTGAGCTGGATTTGATCCACAGGCTATAGTTTAGTAACTTTGGACTATTAAATTGGCAGTTCTTAATTGCTTAGTAAATTAATTTGAAATTAAATTTGTTTTATCATTTTTTTTCCTGTTGTGTAGTCTATGCCTAAGATGTTTCCACTGTAAAACTTCTACTTTGCCCACCCAGATGAATCAGTCAAACTCACTTAAGATAGTCTGCGATATATAGTATTATGTTTACTCTATAAAGTATCCATTTACAATTTGTTAAGCCTTGTCAAAATTCTGCAGACAGGAATATAAATGATCAAACTAAAAACTGAAATAAAGTCCAAATTTATTATTGTAAGGAGATATCCTATTATTTTTCTTGCTCCCCTACCCCACTGTTAACTGCTTGAACTGCTTTGCAGTAGTTAAATCGTGTGACCAAAGTAACCTTTTTCAGACAATGAGAGCTAATTCAAAAAGCATCAGTGCTCCACACAATTAAAAGAATGAAAACATCAAAAATATGGTGCTAATGAAAACACATTAATGGAAAGATATTTACCTAGCCATTAGTAATACCATTATTCTTTTGGCTTAGTCAGGTAATAGTTGCGAGTATATGTGGAGAGAGATTGTTTCTCAATAAAAATAGTTCTCCAAATCTAATTATTTTACCATTTATCAAAATTTTTCACATGGTAGGTTGAAGGCAGCATTTCCAGAATTAAAATCAGAGCTTGAAAACTATACTTACACTGAATTTAATTTTAATTTAACATTTCTTTTTTGGATGACTTTCCCATTAAAAGTTTTACCTAAAGTATCTCAAATGAATGTTAATCTACATAATTTAAAACATTTAGGATTTTTAATATAGTGTTGAAGAGATAAGACCAAAGTCCAAGTTCTTAAACAGTGGTTTAGTGAAGTCTCTGATATGCTCTGAAGAAACTTTACATTTATTTTTGCAAAAAGAAAGAAAAACCTGTCATTTCTCACAAATAATTAAGAAATTTTGCATTTTGCTCTTTTCTGTATCTTAACTCTATCAAATTATATTTTTTTCATTTATCTATTTAGCAAATACTTATTGAGGGATTTCTACATCCAAGGCTTGTTTTTGCAAAGGTAAACAGACATGATTCTTGTTCTTATGGAGTTTCCAGGCAAAAAGAGGGACCAGAATAAACACATAAATGAAGAAATAACATTGATTTAAAATGTAACCAATTGTTATATAGGCAGAGATAACAGGATAGGCATGGTGTAGGGGAGACAGAGATCATCTCCAACCTCCCTGTAGCTCTTATGTGGGCTCTTTGGCTGTATCTAGAAACCAAATTGACTCCAGGCAGATTAATGAGAGAAAGGCATACAAATTTTATTAGTTTCACATGTGCATAGGAATCTTCACAAGAGAATGAACTCCCCAAAGAAGTGGCCAAGGCAAGATGTGTTTATACATTTTAGACAAAGAATGATACATTTGAGAGGAAATGATGGGACAAAGAAAAGCTGACTGGGACAGTAAATTTCTAGAAGAGTCACTAGGAAATATATTGGTGGGAGTTGGGGGTGCAGATCCAGTGGAAGATAAAGGTTCCTTCGTTATGTATATTTATTCAGCTTCATTGCAGCCACTAACTCCCAGTCTCTGGTGATAAGGGCTATTTTCTCACCCTTGTATGAAGAGGATATCCCTCCCAAAGGAATCTTTATAGCTTGCTGCATGCAGGATGAAACGGTCAGCTAATCCATTTTGAAACTACATTTTTTCCATTTTTTTAACTCAAAATAATCAATATACTAATTTGGTGCATTTCGGGATGGCACATCGTTTACTCTTTCAGCAGTATAGCGTGAGCTGTGCATATGAAAGGAAGATACATGTCCTTTTTGTTGTACATACATACTCTGATCCAAAGGGGTCATTCACAGAGAATTCAAGGGGATCAGTATGTCTTGTGTTGGTAACAAGATGTTCCTCATACAGTGACAGAAAACAATAGTGTGATGGGGGATAGGGAGAAAGGGAAAACATGAGAAGAGAGATATGCCTTTTGCATATGGTAATCAGGAAAGATCCTTTGGGGGAGTTTATAAACAGAGCGGAAAGCAAATTCAGTCATGTTATCACAGGGAAAGCGTTTTCTAGGAAGAGAATACAACAAAAACCAAAACCATAACTGTGGAAAGACAGTTGTTTCTTTGAGGAAATGTAAAAAATAAAAAGATCAATGTGATTGAAGCTAAACCATGTGGCATGTGGTGACAGAGTAAGAATTCTAAGTGACTTTTTGAGTAACAGCAAAGATTTTCAATTTCATCAGTGCGAAGGGAAACAATTGAAGAAAGGGTAATGTGATCTGATGTGTTTTCAGAGGAAGCTTGACAGCTTTATAGGTTAAAGGTGCTTGTAAAGAGACCATTTAGGAAGCTATTTCATTGGATCATGATAGTGTAGTAGATATCAAGAGAAATAGACTAATCTAAGATATATTGTAGGGAAGGAATTCACAAGAATTTGCATTTATTTATTCAAAACACACTTGCTGATTACATGAAGCATAATGATATCCTGTGTGGGCAGCTAGAATGGATAGAACTATAAACTAAAATATCTAATCAGACTTCTATAATAACGCCAGATAATTTGACCTGGACTGGAATTTTCATTGTCATTCAAACAGACTAAGCTTTTTATTTAAAAAAATATTTAAAAGATGATAGAAAATTTGGCTGGACGCTTGTAATCCCACTACTTTGGGAGGCCAAGGCAGTTGGTGGATCTCTTGACCCCAGGAGTTCAAGACCAACCTGGGCAACATAGCAAAACCTCATCTCAACAAAAATAAAAAAAAATAGCCAGGCATGGTGGAGCACACCTGTGGTCTCAGCTACTTCAGAGACTCAGTTTGGGGATCCCTTGAGCCCAGGAGAGGCTGCAGTGAGCCGAGATCACACCACTGCACTTCAGCCTGGGTGACAGAGTGAGACCCTGTCTCAAAAGAAAAGAAATAAAGGAAAAAAATTCAAAGCACAAATAAATTCCTCTCTTACGTAAGAAATCCCTTTAATCAGAATGATGAACTGCCTGAATGAATCTAAACTATTGGTTTTAATAATCCCTTGCTTACTTTTTGTTTCACAGATTTTCTAGGGCAGAAAACACTTCATTAAAATAACCTTAGTGGTTAAATGAGACATTTCCTAGTATTCTTTGCCAATTCACTTCCATTAAATATTCATTCGTTAGGCAATATTTAAAATAATCAACACATGCCAAATCACTGCTTTGTGCCTGACATTAGAGATCAATAATAGTAATAAAAGTCAAAGTGGTCATTTTTCTCTTGACACCATATTATCTTATGTGGCAATAATTTTGTGTTTTGTTCAATATCATGGCCCATTATAGTCAAATGTCACAGACTTTTATATTTGTTTATTGCTTAATTTTAGACTTTGAATCTTTTCATTTATTTATATATTTTTATTTTTATAATGAATTTTTTTCCAGAGGATATAAACGGCCCATACTTTTGAGTTCCATTTAGAGAATAAAACTTGTTAATGGAAATTGATTGTTTTTTTCATGAAAAATAATATAAATTACTGTTGAGATCTTTGTTTTAGTTTATGATGGAAATGTAAATATCACACCTTCATTAAATAATATTGGCATTAATATTTTAAAATGTAATGTTGTATAGAAGGTCACACATCATCACTGAAACACTATAAAGTACCAGCTATCTCAAAGTGTTTAATTTCTTTACAGAGATAAACTTGAGACTTCCAATTTAATACTAGAAACTTCATGATCAAGGCCATGAATGAGATCTACTAGCCTATTTTTTCATTGAGTCTATCTTTAGAATTCTAACATTCTTGAAATTTCCCTGAAAAAAAAGATGGGTAGAGAAAACTTGATTATTACCTATAATGCTATTTCTTAAGATACACCAAATCAACATAATTTGAAAAATAGTAATATTTGACAGCTTCATCCTATATTCATCGTTTGAAATCCTATATGTGTACATCTTTATAATTGAATCCCACAGATGGGGCATCAATATGACTATGACACTTTTGCAGGAAATAAATGGAATTCCAGAATATGGCTAAATTCTTGATTAACTTCTGTTAAGAAAAGGGTCTTATTTAATTATTTTTGTAGAGTACCTATTATATTCAGGCATGCATTTCTGCATTCTCTTTTTGAGACTCCTATCACAATTTGTCTAATATAATTTCTTTACCCACTACCAGGCTTTCACTTCAAAGTTCTTTAGCCAGCAATCAATCAAATAACACCTCTTTCTCTAAGTCCCAGGAGAAGATGTCAATTTTGGCAGAATGAGTTCAGGAAAAGCAATACCTGCCACGATCATAGTCTAGTTTATTTATAAAATGCTGAAAATCTAGATAAGACATTCACCTCAAATATTGTAGGAAAGGAAACATATTTTTTCCCTTTTTGGTTTATACTTAAGACATCCTCCTGAAAACAAAAGTCAGGTTTATTAAAAAGAAAAAAAAGAGATATAATTGTGTGCTATACCCATTATACAGGACAGGACTCAGTTTAAAAGTATTTTCCTTTTAAAGCAGTAGCTTAGGGGCCCTAAGTAAAGACCCTCATTATTAACAAGGCAATGAAGGTTGAGATAATTAAGGCATATTTCTGAGAGCTTGGTGCATTTGGACAAACAGACATTTCAGACTCCCAGCTGGCCTCCCAGCTGGCCTCCCAGCTGGCTAACTGACATGAACCCAACAATTTATGTCCTCCAGGGTGGTAGAAATCAAAGAATTAATTCACTGGTTACAAAGCCAAGTTTCTCAAGAAACAAAACAAAATGAAAATAGAACCTTATTATGATTTTATTCCTCATGACAAACCACAAAAAGAGAGAGAGACAAGGAAAACAAAGATCCTTGGAAAACTAAAAATCAATAACCAAGTAGGTACCCCCAACAGATAATTATTATAAATGTTTTTTCGCCAATCAGAAACTAGAAAGGAAGAGACAAGAAACAATTTTTACTTTCTTTTCTTGACCAGGTACCACAGATAGAAGCCTTGAGAAGCTTACTTTGGTCAGAAATTTTGCCTTTGTCTGCAGGCTTCTACCAGTTCGATTCCATCTGTGGGTCTTAGGGTGAGTAAAGTGCATCTGCTAGTCCCATATGGGTCGCCAAATTGTAGAGAAGAAAAAATACTTTTTCTTTGTTTTTAGAATTTTAGTTGAAACACTTTCCTGAAAACAAAAGTCAGATTAACAACAACAACAATAGCAACAACACCCCAGAAGTTTATTAATGTGTGCCGTACCTGTCATGTGGGAGAAGCCTCAGCTTAAAAGTATTTTTCTCTTAAGGCGGTAGTTAGGGGCCTTGTTTAAGTAGTAGTTTAGTAAAGAGTCATAACTCATATTAATGACAAAGAAGAGAGCATCTTGAGGCTTTTCAATGGCAAGAAAATGTGTGAAGGTAAATTTAGGGGAAGACTAAAGTCTGTTCTTAGATCCTCTGGTGCCATTGTCTCTGAGCTCTGTTTCTGAGCTCATCAGCAAGTGTTGTAAATGGAATTACATTTAGATGGGAAAGGCAGAGAAGAGTGGCAGAGTGTGTCCCTGCATTTTAGCCTTTCTTTTTAGCTAAACAATCTCCAGTATTTTAGAGAGTAATATTTTGGTTTCCTTTGATAATAGTTATTTTAACATCATTTTGATTCTAGCAATGAAATATGCAGATAGGTGGGAAAGAGATTTTTTTCCACCATGGTATAGACCAAAATAGTAAAAAAAAAAACACTTTTAATTTATGAACATTATTTTTTAATCCGGTTTTCCTCTATTGAGTCTTTTAGAACAATTTTAAGCCATTACTGTGGTACATAACTTTGCAAAATATTAGAGCTAGGGATATCAGACTCTTAGCTCAAAGGTGGAGATATTTTTCAACACACACATGAAAAATGAAAATAGAATATATTTCTTTGCTTACAATACTTGGGTAATAAAATTTTCTTAGGCTTTGGGGCAAAAGTATCTCGATATGTATATATAATAAGAAAAAGTGATTCACAAATTTAATTATATATCAGAATCTCTCAGAGAGCTTAATAAACAGTATCATAGTCTAAAATCTTGCAGGGTAGGGCCCTGGAAACTGATTTTGTAAATATTTCTCAGAGAGTAAAAGGAGTAACAAGTATAAGGCATAGTTATAAAATAGAGACATCTTGGTTATACAAAAAGTAATTGTACATTAAATAACATATTATACATTAAAATTATGTTTGAAATCATATATAGATTAATTCAGATATTTAATATATTACTGTGTGAAACTGATTTATTCATTTATATCTGTATCTCTTTAATATTTCTATTACTTAGCATAATTCTATATAGTAGTCACTCAAGAGATTTTTGTGGTATGATTATATAAATTAAAAAATCTAATAACAGGAAATAGATCTTATGCTACTCCATATCTTTTGGTTTCTAAGAGAGTTTTTTGAAAATAACAACAAAAGTCCTTCTGTATACATAAATTTAGCAACTATTATTGAGAGAGAGAAAGAGAGTCAGGGAGAGGAAAGAAACAGAAGTTAATACACACAGGTATACGCACACACAAATGAAGACAAAAAGAGACATAACTAGACAACATGAAGAAGGTGATTCTGATTCGGTTTTGGTGATGACAGAATAGTTTTAATTGAATTAACCACCCCCCCACCCCAGTGATAATACATAAATCCTGGGAAAAGTATTAAAAACAAACTGTATGAAGGCACAGGTAAGTGACTAATGCAGAAAGAATCTAGAAGGAATGTGTCTTTTGAAAGAAAACCACATTGATGAAATCAATCTGTATATAGCTTCCCCTCAAGGGCAGCACCTGAAAATATAATGAGGCCGCTAGAACTCAAGCAGAGGGTCGCAGTGTTTGTGGACTTAAAAGTCAAAGGGAAGAAATATAAAAACCAGAAAAGCTGGCAATTTCAGGGAATATAAGTAGGAAGAACCTTCAAGAAGGAAAGACCTCAAAATGAAAATAAATTCTCTTTAAATCATTGGCTGACACGCATGTGCAGGTGAGATTATAAGCATATTAGAAAGAGACAATAACTAAAAGACTGAAATAAGTTAGCATAGATTACAGCTGCTGTCCACTACAGGGATAAAAGAGTTTGGAGTTCAAGTCCCGTGAAATTAGCAAGACTTCAAAGTGTATTAGACTTCTCACTAAAATGCACCCCGCCGCGCCCTCCCCCCGCAAAAAAAAAAACAAGCTAACCTTTTGAGTAAATTCTAGGAAGGCGTTAGGCATAAAGCCAAAACTAATACATTCATCCTAAAATTAACAGCAAAAGCAAAGTAGACTTACCCTAACAAAGCATAGAACTAAATTATGAATGGTTGAAAGTGACTTATCAGTAATTAAACTGCTTAATACAACAATACTTAACATTGTTTAGGGGAAGATAAGAAAATACGGGAGGTCTATACAATGTGTCATCCATATTTCTGGAATACAATAAAAATAATGGGATAAAAGAAAACAGAAAAAGTTTGATTCATTGTCAAGAGAAAATTTATGAAAGAGAAGTAGATGTACTAACAACCCAGTTGTTGTAAGGAGCAGACATGTACTTTAAAATAACTATAATAAATATATGAAAGAAACTGTAGAAAAAGATAAATGAAGGTAAAGATTTTCAGAAAGTATTTGGAAATTATAAAAACTATAAAAGTATAAATTTACAAAACTAAAAATTATAAACATTACTTAGGAAATATTAGAAATGAAGAAAATGCAAAATCTAAAAAAGAATAGCAGATTAGAAACAGTAGATGAGAGTATCAGTGAACCAGAAAACAGGTAAAAATAAATCTAGAGGGGGAAAATCAAGAAAGCTTATTGGTTGGTGAGACACTATCAAATGAGTTAATAAATATATATTTGAAATATCAAAAGAGAAGATAAGATTAGGGTAATAAATTTTTGAAGAAATATGGGCTAAAAAATTCCCAGGTATGATCAAAAAGGGGAGACTGCATATCCAAGAAGCTCAGCAAATACCATGAAATTACAAAGCAAATTTTACCTACGAATATCATAATCAAATTTCAGAAGAGAAAACCATTAAAAGCAAGAGAAGAAAAAAACAAATTATGTAAAGTAAAACATTAATATTGTTGAAAGCTGAATTTCCATCAGTAATGAAAGCCAGAAGAAAATGGCATAACAACTTTAAAGTGTTGAAAGAATTATTTCCATGTAGAATTCTATATCCTGTAAAATTTTTCTCCAAAATACATACAAAATAAGGACATTTTTGGGAAAACTGAGAGCTGAAAGAATTTGTCACAAGTAGACCTGTGCTATCAAACACACACACATGCACACACACACTTGCACACACGCACACACACACACCCCCCCCAGAACAAAAACAAAAGAATACTCTTTGGCCGAAGGAAAATGACACCATATGGAAAGTAAATTCCACAGAAAAAAAGGAATAGTACTTGAAATGTTAAATATATGGATAAATATATTAGATAAGTTTTCTATCTTTAAAAACTTTAAATTACGTAAAGCATGAGTCATAACAAATAAATGTGAAGTATGTAAGGTATGTAGGTATAAAGTACGTAACAGTAGTACAAAGTGTGGGTAGAGCTACATATGTAATTATAGAGTAACCAGTTTGTTACATATTATGTAAAAATGGTAATATGAAATAAGACAGTATGCAGTAAGCTATACCACAGAAAATCTCCAGAGAAACTACTTAAAAATATAGAGATGTAAATTTAAAGTCAAAATGTGAGTTAGATTTAAATAGTAAAAGTTATTGGCTTTACCAAGATAAAAAAGAAAAGGAAGAAAAGATAAATAAAGATAGTAGAGACAAATAGAAAATAGCAAAATAATGGGCATAAATTCAACTATATTGACTATTTAAAAGTCAGAGATTGACTAGATTAAATAGAAATATCTGACTAAATATAAGGAAAGCAAGTAACATCTAAAAACAATTGTTTTATTAATAACAGGATGAAAACCGAAATATCATGCAAAAGTCATCATTGGATAGCTGAAATGACTATACTAATATCAGAAAAAACAGACTGGAAAGTAGATTCTTTATCCAGAGATAACGAAGTTGGTTGTATATTAATACAAGTGTTAATTCATTCAAGTATAAAAATTCTAAATGAATATGGGCTTCATTGGTGCTTCGAAGTGCATGAAATAAAGATTGTCAGGTTTATGTAGGGAAATAAAGAGATCCACAAATTGTAGATTTTGTTAATTCTCTCTCATTGACAGAAAAAATCAGTAATTATATAGAAAATTTGAACAACCTTTAAGCAATTTGAATTAATTTACATTTAAAGACTGACACATATAAAAAAATTCCAGATTACACATTTTTTCCAGTAACCATGATGTATTTACCAAGATAGATAATGTATCTTCTCATAGAATAGGACACAATTAATTGTTAAGTCTTGAAGTCACTCAAAGTGTCTTTTATGAGTGTCTTAGTTGTAAATTAGAACTAAATAACCAAAATAAATCTAGAAAATGTCAAAACATTTGGAAAACATGCAATTATAAATCACCTATGGGATAAAAAACAAAACACAAGGGGAATTGAAACCTAATTTGGCCTGAACATTAATGAAACTACAACACATTTGTGGGGTGCAGATAAAGCTTTGTTTAGAGGAGATATATATAAGATTATATGCTTATAATAAAATAGAGATTCAACATCAATTATCTACACTTTCATATCAAGCTAAAAAAACTAGCAAAACAGAGAGAAAGTAGAAGAAAAAGAATAATAAATAGAACAATGAGAAATCAATGGGCTATATATTACAAATAATAGAAGAAATCATAAGGCCAAAAGTTTGCTGGCTGGTTGCAGTGGCTTATTCCTATAATCCCAGCACTTTGGGAGGCTGAGGCAGGAGGATCTTTTGATCCCAGGAGTTCAAGAACAGCCTGGGCAACATAGTGAGATGCCATCTCTACAAAAAAAGTAACAAAGTAGTCAAGTATAGTGGCACATCCCTGTAGCCCCAGTGTATTAGCCTGTTCTTGCATTGCTATGAAGAAATACCCAAGACAGGATAATTAATAAAAGACATTTAATTGGCTTATGGTTCCACAGGTTGTACAGGATACATGATGCTGGCATCTGCTAGGCTTCTGGGGAGGCCTCAGGAAACTTACAATAATGGAGGTAGGTTAAGGGGAAGTAGGCACTTCACATGGCCAGAGTAGGAGCAAGAAACAGAGATGGGTGGGGGGGTGCTACACACTTTTAAACAACCAGATCTCACAAGAACTCACTATCACAACAACAGCATCAAGGGGTTGGTCTAAACCATTTGTGAGAAACCTGTCCCCATGAGCTAATCACCTCCTACCAGCCTCTACCACCAACACTAGGTATTACAGTTCAACGTGAGATTTGAGCAGGAACTCAGATCTAAATCATATCACCCAGCTACTCAGGAAGCTAAGAGAGGAGGATAGCTGGAGCCCAGAAGTTGGAGGCAGTAGTGAGCTATGCTCATACCACCACATTCCAGCCTGTGTGATAGAGGGGAGACTGCAACTCTTAAAGAGGGTTGCTCTTTGAAGGGTAATACAATTGATTTTATTGACTAGAAAATCTAATCATGAAAAACTGAAAAGAGAATGAATGAGAGAAAGGAAACACATTACTGATATCAATAATATTTGCAAAGATAACACTATGGATCCTAAAGACATCAAAAAGATAATGAGGAAATATTATAAGTGGCTTTATGCCATCAACTTTGTAATTAAATAGCATAATATTTTTAAAAACATAACTCCAAATATAACACAAGAAGAAATAAAAAATCTAAATAGCTACATATTTACTAAAGATACTAAATTTGTAATAGACATTTCATGGGGAAGATAAAAAATTTTCATATAGGTCATAAAAACTATCAGTTAAAAAAAGTAATTAATTGGAATTTATTAAGGTCAAAATCTTCTGTTTTTCAAAAGTCAGTGTAAGAACGTGAAAAGACAAGCCATATATTGGAAGATAATATTCACAATACTTTCTAACAAAGGACTTACCCAGAATTTATACAGAAGTACAAATTAATAATTAAAATATTTGAAAAGCACATTAAAGAATATATAGACTACATATTATATATAATATATATTTTAACATATATGGCTAATAAACACAGGAAAAAAATGTTCCTTGTCAATAGTCATCAATGAAATACATGCTAACTAACTTTCAGGTATGACTACACTACCAGTAGAAAGACAAGAAAACCAAACAGACAAAAATCTGACAATAGCAAATATTATCAAGAATATGGAGTAATTCAGATTATCATATTTTTTGGTGTGTAAAATACTACAACCACTTTGAAAAATTCTTCTGCAGGTTTTTTAAAATTAGGTTCAGGTATACACATACAGGTTTGTTATGTAGGTAAGTTGCGTGTCATAGGCATTTGGTAGACAGATTATTTCATCACCCAGGTAATAAGTATATTACCCAATAGGTAGTTTTTCGATCAAATTAAATGTGCACTTACCCTTTGAACCAGAAATTTACCTTAGATAAATGAAAACATACATCTACCAAAACACTTGTATTCAAATGACAAGCAATATAAAGGAATATAAAATATTAAATATATTAAATGAAAAAATCTACAGTTATAAAAATCTTTTTATATTTCTTCAATATGAAATAAAAAAATTGGTAAATCTAAACTATTTTGACATAAATAAAAACAGTCACTACCTCTGGGTGGAGGCATTGCCAACAAAAGGGCACAAGTATATTTTCTGCATTGATAGAAATTTTCTATTTTCTTTTTTTGTTGTTTTTGGATAGTTGTTACTTGGGTATATGTAGTCGTTACAATTCATCTAACTGTGCGTATAAATAAGTGCATTTTACTGTTTATACATTTTAGCTCAATAAGCTAGAAATGCATTCCAAGCTAGAGAAAATTATAAAGTTGACTATAGCAATTGCATATAATATATAAGCAAATAAAACCCTCAAGCATGAGAAAGTGATAAAACTATTCTAAAATTGTATGTGTTGCAACGTGAAGAGCTATGGCTAAGAGGACTGGGACAGAAGGAAAAGGGGAGTGGAAAGAAGAGAAAGTATTCCAGGTAAGAGGAGATTTTAGGAAAATAAGAGAAATAATTAAGACGTGTGTAGGTAATCAGTATTTTCTCTATCAGCACTATAAAGTATTATGAGATAACTGTATTTGTATTCATATAAGCTCCTCTCTTTCCCTGTACATAATGTGTATACCAGAAGAGAACTATAAAAAATTATTCTGTTTAAAAAAAAAATAAGTAAAAGCCAAAAGTTGTGAAATATTAGAAGGGCTATTGAAAAATGGGAGAAATATATTATTTCTAAAACAAGAATTATGTCTCCTCTTTGTGGAATAATTTCTATACCCTATATTTAGGAAAGAAATGGACTTGATGTATTACTGACCATGGCTGGGCATGAGAATTGTCCTCAGGATTTATTTAAAACAGGGATCCTCAGGTACTACTCTGGGAGATTCTGTCTTAGTAGAACAGGAATTTGTAATGGAATTTGTCCCTAGAAACTTTTTTTTTTTTTTTTTTTTTTTTTGAGACAGAGTTTCACTCTTGTTGCCCAGGCTGGAGAGCAATGGCACAACCTCGGCTCACCGCAGCCTCTGCCTCCCTGGTTCAAGTGATTCTCCTGCCTCAGCCTCCTGAGTAGAGGGGACTATAGGCATGCACCACCACGCCTGACTAAGTTTTTTTGTATTTTTAGTAGAGACGGGTTTTCTGCATGTTGGTCTGGCTGGTCTTGAACTCCTGACCTCAGGTGATCTGCCCGCCTCAGCCTCCCAAACTTCTGGGATTACAGGCATGAGCCACCGCTCCCGGCCCCTGGAATCTATTTTTAACAAGCTCAGTTAGGTAATTCTGATGTAGGCAGCCTCATATTACCATTCTTCAGAGTGCTGTTTGGAACACTTTGGCCGGATGAACACTCAAAGTACACTCATTCTTCTGTCCTAACATGCTTAACACAGTGCAAAATCAAGAAGGCAACATTTAAAATTTTTGACCCACTTTTGAAATTTAGTAAAATAGAAAACTATTGGATGAAACAGTGCATGATTTGCAACTTAAGGAAGCAGAATAAGATTATCTCTGCAAGTAAAGTGATTTTATATTCTTTTGTATTTTTAAGGAACAATTTCAAATTAAAATAAATATTTTATCATTTGAATAATGTTTTTTGAACAGTTTTTACTATTATCTGTCAAGATCAATGCCTTAAGTTGACTTATCAACCCAAAAGTGGAAAACATGACTCAAACTTGCCTTCCAACTTCAATGTACTCAGTTAACTTTTGAAAATAAACTCATTTGTGTTGCTGAGCAAAAGATTGTATTGCATGAATATGTCACAGGCATCAGGTGAATATTTCACAGAGATCAAAATGCCCTCTTATAATGTAATACAATGCAAAAGACCACAGAGTTTTTTTTTTTTAAATATACTTTCAAACTGCAAAGGAATTGAGTTTATTATATTAATAGTAATGCATATTGTTATGGTATTTGAAGTAATAGCCTTCCCAAGTGAATAGTTGCTGTATTATATTCTAATTTTTGTTTGTTTGTTTGTTTTAACGGGAATGTCTAGTAAATCAAAGACCATTTGTTTTCCATTTCTCTGAATTTTCAGTGTCAGGATATGTAACATCATTCGTATCTGGCACACCTCTATGTACCAGTGAAGGTATGATAACCCAGTGCAAAGAAGTACATGAAAGAAGAAAAAATTAAGCAAGTTAAAAAACAAAACAAAACAATAACAACAACAACAACAAAAAAACACAGATGTTCGGAGGAAATACTGAAAGGCAGTTAAACTTTTTTTTTGAGATAGAGTCTTTCTCTGTCGCCCAGGCTGGAGTGCAGTGGCGCCATCTCGGCTCACTGCAAGCTCCGCCTCTCGGGTTCACGCCATTCTACTGTCTCAGCCTCTGGAGTAGCTGGGAATACAGGCGCCCGCCACCACGCCCTGCTAATTTTTTGCATTTTTTTTTAGTAGAGAAGTTGTTTCACCGTGTTAGCCAGGATGGTATCGCTCTCCTGACCTCATGATCCACCCTCCTCGGCCTCCCAAAGTGCTGGATTTACAGGCTTGAGCCCCCGCGCCCGGCCAACTTTGGTTTTTATTGGACATTGGGAAAGCTTTCCTATTGTATCAGTGCTCCTTTTCAGCTGAATTTACCCAACAAGTGCTGCAATCTCACTGACATCCATTACCACATTAAAAGTTATGAGGAGAAGAGGGGAGAAAGAACTAGGATGGGTTGTCAAGTAATTAGTTATTATAGCTAAAGTAGACAAATCCGTTAAGAATGAGAAATATGTAGAGAAATAACAAAGCATTTTGAATTAGAATACCTGAGTTGAAATAATGATTTTTTTTTTTTACATATCGAGCTTCACAATATTGAACAAGTTATTTAGAATGCTTGCCCCTCACTGTTCTGATCTATAAAATATAGATAACAATGCTTTCTGAAAGGGTTGTGGACAGGATTAACAGTTTAAAAAATCTTAGCATGATATCTACAATTTAAACAATGTAGTAGAAACTCAGTCTGCTTAGGCAGAACTTATTTTATGTTTTCCTTGGGTATGAGAAGTTGTACTTGCTACCTAAAAGGCCAGAAGATGATCATCTAAAACTAATTGAAAGGTATAACAAAAAGAAACAATAGTAGTAACAAAAATAACCGATATTTATAAAACACCTCCAATGAACTACATGTGCTAAATACTTTAGATTTTTAACCTCTGAACAATCCAAAGAAGTAAGCACCATTGCTTTCATTTTGTAATAAATATCTTAGGCACCCAGAGAGATGAGTTCATTTGCCCAAGATTACTCTAGTGATTGACTCTAAAACACCTGCTAATAAGCACACGGTGAAATATTACCAAGACACCACCTTTTTTAAACTGGTCTGTGTTAACATTCAGAACTCCATATATATAGCAAGCATTTGTCATTTGATTGATTTCATAGATTCAGAGAAATTTCGAGTTGAAAGGGACCGTAGGAATGATATTCTTCAGTGGTTTCCAAAATCCACAACTAGAGTTGTTCCATGACAATTTTAGTAAAATGAGACAAATAAGAACAGTTCTCTTTTTGTCAAGACTAATTATTTTCTATTTAAACAATTATTTGCTATTAATAATTGGTTAACACATAGCTATTAAATTAATGCATAATCTTTTACCAAATAAGACAGATTCATATTGCAAAAGTAAAAGGAGACCAATCTACCAAAGTCAGTCTCCCTCTCTTATCAGGCCATTCTTGCATTGCTATAAAGAAATACCCAAGACTGGGTTATTTATGCAGAAAAGAGTTTTAATTGGCTCATAGTTCCACAGGCTTTGTAGGAAGCATGGTGCTGGCATCTGCTTGGCTTCTAGGGAGGCTTCAGGAAGCTTACAGTCATGGCAGAAGGGGAAGGGGAAGCAGGCATATCACATGGTGAAAGCAGGGGCAACAGAGAAAGACTGTGAGGATGGAGGTGCCACACATTTTCAAATAACCCAGTCTCGTGAGAACTCACTCACTACTGCAAAGACAGCACCAAGCCATGAGGGATTTGCCCCCATGATCCAAACACCTCCTACCAGGCCCCACCTCCAGCATTGGGGATTATATTTCAATATGAGATTTGGGCAGGGACAAATACCAAAACTATATTACCCTTTGTTTTTAAAAAGGGTTTACTAAACTGCAAAATCAAAAAATTTTGATTCCGATAGTAAATTTTATATGCTAATATAGCTAGGTTATAATTTCTAGTTATTTAAGCACACACTAGTCTAGGTGTTGCTTTGAAGATATTTTGTAAATGTAATTAACATCTGTAATCAGTTGAATTTAAATAAAGGAGATATTCCTAGTAATCTTGGTAGATCTGATTTTATCAGTTGAAAGATTTTAAGAGAAAGGCTTAAGAGAAAGGTTTTAAGAGCTGAGGTCACCCTGAAGAAGAAATTCTTCCTGTGGATTGAAGCTTCGACTTACGCTTGAGAATTCGATCTTGCCCTTCTTCATGGCCTGCCCTACATATTTCAGACCTGCCTAGTCAACCTCCAGAATCATGTAAATTCCTTGCAATAAATCCATATATATATATATATATATATATATATATATATATGTATATATAACATTGTTATAATGTTATGTATATATTGTATACATATATTGTATATAACATTATGTATATATTGTTATAATGTTACGTATATATTCAAGTATATATACTACTTGAATTTATATAGTCTATTTCTCTGGTGGAACCATGACTGATAACATCTTCAACCTAGACCAATATACTTATTTTACAAATGAAGTGATTATAGCCTGTAAACAGTAAGATTTGCCCAAGATCACCTGCAAATTTATAAATAGAGACTGGACCTGAATTGAAGTCTTTTCCCTCTAAATCCTGCATTCATTTCTCTATCATACTTTTTAATTTAGGCATTTTTGTTAGGAGATACCATGTTCTTCATGTTAATTTCATGTTTCATGGACCATTTAGGGAGAAAATCTCATGACATATGGAAAAATGACACACTTGTCTTTCAAATAATTGCTTCTTATATATAAAAAAATTAGTCAAATAGTTGATGGAATTATTTACATTTTTGCCATTTACCCTTTCTACCAAATTAAAAGTTCATTAGACATTAAATTACATAGGAAACTCTTAACTATAAGGTGTGGTCCTTGGTTCGCTATGAATCTGATGCTAAAACATTCTAATACTTTCTAAGTCTTCTATTTTATTTCTACCTGGTTTAACCAATGAGGACAAAAATAAATTTAACAAGGAATGTGCTGTCTTTAAAGTACACTGTCAATATGAATTCATCTTCTTATCGACTTTGTAGTATTTTAATACATATTTTGCTAATTTTTTCAGGAAATTACTGATTAAAATTCATATTCTATTGGGAGAAATTGAACTTTTTTAGGTCACTGGATTATGGCAAGTTTCACTCAAGAGGAATTTATCTGTGAGTTTTCAAAAGACCAGTGCATTTCCATACTCAGGGAAAAGATAAAGGGACCAACATAATCTCAGTCCATTCCAGGGCTGGATATTCTCATTTGCATCTTGAGATCTACTTATCATATTTAATCATGCTCTATTGCCCAGAAACTTATCCTAATGAATTGTATCAACCAGCCAGTTTGCTATCTAACCCCAAGTTGGGTTAAACCTACAGAAGGTATAGGCAGAAGATTGGAGGGTAGAAGGAGAGTAAACATGAAATATATTTTCTTCAGCTTCATCTCTGTTGGGCTTCAAGTTAACAGTGGCTACATCCCTCTGTTGAAGTCCATGATGCTTACTTATGGTTAAAACCACAAATCCTGCAATTATATCCTCCCTTTCCACTAAAAGTATAGGGGAAGAAAAAAGCTCTCATTTTAACTAGGACAAGCACATTTTCTCATTTCTTCTTGGTTTCCCTTAACCCTACCTTTCTTAGTTCATCTTAGGTTGCTATGATAGAATATCACAGACTGGGTAATTTATAAACAGTGGAAGTTTATTTGTCTCATGGTTTTAGAGGCTGGGAAGGAATGAAGTAATTGCATTTCAATATAAGTTTTGGAGGGGAAATTCAAACCATAGTAATCTTCCCCTGGCCCTCCAAACTCGTGTATATGTCACATACAAAATATGTTAATTCCATTCCAACAATCCCAAAGTCTCAACTCATTTCAGTACCAACTCCAAAGTCCAAAGACTAGTGTCTCATTGATGGGGTTTGTATCTATGTCCACATCAAATCTCAAGTCAAACTGTAATCTCCAATGTTGGAAGTGGGTCCTCGTGGGAGATGTTTGGATCATGGAGGCAGATCCCTCATGAATGACCTAGCACCACCCCATTGGTGATGTGTAAGTGAGTTCTCATGAGATCTGATTGTCTAAAAGTGTATGGCACCTCCGCCAACATTCTCTTACTCTTGCTTTCACAATGTGACATGCAAACTCCCACCTCACCTTTCACAAGTAAAAGCTCCCCAAGCCCTCCTAAAAAGCTGAGCAGATGCTGGCACCATGCTTCTTGTACAGCCTACAGAACCATCAGTCAAATCCACCTCTTTTCTTTCTAAATTACCTAACGTCAGGTATTTCTTTATAGCAATGCAAGAACGGCCTAATGGACTCATCTAAATTACATATAAATGAGAATCAAGGCACAATTAATCTTGAAGAAAATTTTCCTCCTGTGATGCTATGAAATCAAAACAAGTTATTTGCTTCCAAAATACGATGATGGTACAGGCGTAGAATAGATATTGTAATTTCAGAAGAGAGAAATAGTCAAGAAAAAGGCGATCAGTGGTCTCAAGTCCAAGTAAGTCCAAACTCAACAAGGCAAACAACATGAAATGTGAAAGCTGGAGACTAATCTTCTATGACACAATGTCTCACATCCTGGACACACTGGGGCAAGGGCTGGATCCCCAAGGCTTCAGGCAATCCCACCTCTAGAGCTCTGTTTGGCTCAGTCTACTCAGCGCTCCCGTGTGTTGGAGTATTGTGCCAGCAATAATCCCAGGCTGGCATTGAATGCTAGTAGCTCTATAGTTCTGGAGGCTTGATGGTAGTCTTGCTCTCAGTGCTCTTAGTTCATTTATCTCAAGTTCTGTATTCCATAAACACCCAACACAAAGACAAAATTTCACCTAGTTTTTGGAAGTATATAATAAAAATGCCCTTTACTTCAGTTTCCAATAACTTGTTCCTCCTTTCTATCTGAGATCTCATAAGAATGGCCTTTATCATCTATATTTCTATCAGCATTCTGATCATGAGCATTTAAGTAATGTCTAAAATGTTCCAGACTTTTACTGTAGTTCTTGTCCCATTCACAGAAACCTGAACTTTTTCTAGTATGCTCCTCCAAATTATTCCAGTCTTTACCCATTACCCTGTTCCAAAGCTACTTCAGGTACAGATTTTTTTAGATACTGCAGGTACAGCAGATTTTTTTAGATACTGCAGGTACAGCAGAATCTTCACTTCTGACACCAAATTTTCTTAGTCTTTTTTATGTTGCTATAACAAACTATCACAGGTGGAAATTTATAAGCAATAGAAGTTTTTTATTTCACAATTCTAGAGGCTGGGAAATCCAAAAGAATGACATTGGTACCTCATGAGAACCTTTGTGCTGTGTAATTCTGTGGCAGAAAGTGAATGGGCAAAACAGCATATAAAACAGAGACAGAGGATGGAGGCCAAATTGTATCCTTTTATCAGAAACCCACTCCTATACAAAAAGTAACCCAGTTTGGTGATAGCTGCTTTAATTCATTCATGAAGGCAGACCTTTTGTGTTAGTCTGTTTGCATTGCTATTAAGCAATACCTAAGGCCGGGCACTTTATGAAGAAAAGAGGTTTATTTGGCTCACCATTCTGCAGACTGTTCAAAAAATGGCAGCAGCATCTGCTTCTAGCACAGCCTCAGGAAGTTTCCAATCATGATAGAAGGTGAAGGGGTAGTCAGGATATCATATGGCAAGAGAGGGAGCAAGGGAGAGAGAAAGGCAGAGTTGCCAGGCTCTTTTAAAAAACCAGACGTCATAAAAATCATCACTATATGGAAGACACCAAGCCATTCATAAGAAATCTGCCCCAGTAAACATACGTGTGCATGTATCTTTATAGCAGCATGATTTATAATCCTTTGGGTATATACCCAGTAATGGGATTGCTGGGTCAAATGGTATTTCTAGTTCTAGATCCCTGAGGAATTGTCACACTGACTTCCACAATGGTTAAAGTATAATAAAAAAAAAAAAAAGAAAGAAATCTGCCCCCATGACCCAAATACCTTCACCACGGGATCACCTATCAACATGAGATTTGGAGGGGACACACATCCAAACCTTATCAGCCCTTGTGATTTCACCACCTCTTAATACTGTCACAATTGCAAATAAATTTCAAAATGAGTTTTGGAGATAACATTCAAACCCATAGCACTACTCAGACCTTATAAACCCATTCTATGAATTTGCCTTGTGTCAGACTAGGGTCCCATTACATGACACAGACTTTCCCTTTTATAGGATGAAATGTGATCATGTGTATATTTATGAATAAATAAGTAAATTTTTCAACGACTTGTCTAGTGTTTATTACCTCTCACATGACCTAACAAGTGGTCTTTTTAAATTTTACCAAAGACAGGGTTAATCTTACCACACTAAATTAAATGTGCTTATTTCTGCTTATGACTTATATTTTATAAAGGAAAGATGCAGGGGTTAAGTTTCATTTCTATGCAAGATACACTATAGATTTTGTGGAATGAAATATTATAAACTGAGACATATATGTGCTTGCCATGCATGTGTAGAGAGAAAGAGATAAGAGATATATGCAAAAAGGCATGTCTAGATTTCATTTTATATAATAGAAATCACTTTTTAAAAGTTTTCATGGAGCCTTGAATTTCTTTGGCAATTTGATTTCCCATATAGTTCTATGGTATACATGGGAAAATACAAAAGTAGAAGAAAAAACAAAGATAAGTTTTTAATTCTTCATTGTTTTCTTTAAACATTTTTATTTCCAATATATAGTTAAAGGAGATTACATGAAAATACTTCTATAAGCAAAGTTCATAAACTATCAAACAGTTTCAATTTCAGCTATAGGTTTTAAACTTCTTTTAATTGCATGTACTATTTTCAATTTTTGAATAATAATTTATAACTTGCCCTAAGGCCATTTCCTGATTCTCTTCTAACAATTGAATATCACAAATCTCAATCCTTTTTATGTTTATGGAGGCTCCAGTTGATTAGACAAGAGAGACAGGTATGAAAAAATTCACAACCAGTGGAGATATTAAAGTCTACAAGCTTCATTGCACTACTTGGAGCCAGATATTTTATTTATTCATGATTTGGATTTTTCCACCCCATTTTACAATGTAAATGAAAAGACATATTTATCCTGACCCACTTACAGGAGAAGTTCTAAAATCTTTCTATTTTTACTCAATAACACTCATATTCAAGTCATCAGAGCACATCACGTACTAGTAAAATGTTCCATAAAACTTTTTGAACTTGGATAGCTCAAATATTGATCCTTTCAGTTTCTGGATTTGGCTGAGAGTTGTGAATAAATATCAGACTTAGTTTTCCTAGGATTTTGCCAAATTATAGATACTTATGTGCATATTTATTAACGGTTTTCACACATGTTTACAGTCTTCAGTCTCTAAATTTTCATTTACACTAAGGCCTTGGTAGGCAGTGTGAACTGATGGAAGCAGCTAAGGCAATATGAATTTTTAGTCAACCAAGTTTTTATTTTATTGGATCCTACACAATATTGATTATTTTATTTTACAGCAAGATGTTAATTGCGACTATCCAGTCAACCATTTAGAATATATTAAATTGCTGTCAAAGTGGTAGGTAATCCAGGGGGCATCTATGAGAAGAATTGCACCATGATCTCATGGATAATGGAGAAATAACTGCATTGTATTATCTTAATAATCTCAGGGCCTGTTGTTTTCTAAGTAAATGCATGTGATACTTTATATCATTATATAGGCATACCTTGGAGGTATTTTAGGTCTGATTCCAAACCACTGGAATGAAGAGAGCAATGCAATAAAGCAAGTCACATAATTGTTTTGTTTCCCAGTGGATATAAAAGTTATGTTTATACTATAGCATATTCTATTAAGTGTGTAATAGCATCATACTTTAATTGAAACTATATTATTGCTAAAAAATGCTATCAATCATCTGTGCCTTCAGTGAGTCATAAACTTTTTGGTGTGGAGAGTATTGCCCCAATGTTGATGACCACTGACTAATTAGGGTGGTGGTTGCTGAAGGTTAGAGTGGCTGTGGAAATTTCTTAAAATGAAAAAGGAAATATTTTGCACTGATTGACCCTTTCTTTCAAGAAATATTTCTCTGTAGCATGCAATGCTGTTTGATACTGTTCTACTGACAGTATACTTTCCTTTAAAATTAAAGGTAATCCTCTCAAACTCTGTTGCTGCTGTATCAACCAAGTTTGTGTAATATTCTAAATCCTTTGTTGTAGTTTCTACAATGTTCATAGCATTTTCACCAGGTGTAGATTACACCTTAAGAGACCACTTTCTCTGTTTTTCATAAGAAGCAACTCCTGATCCATTCAAGTTTTATTTATGAAATCAGAGCAATTCTGTCAGATCTTCAGGTTCCATTTCTAATTCTAGTTTTTTTTTGCTATTTTCTTGGTTTTGTTTTTGTTTGTTTGTTTGTTTGTTTGTTTGTTTTTGAGATGGAGTCTTGCTCCATTGCCCAGGCTGGAGAGCAATGGCTTGATCTCGGCTCACTGCAACCTCTGCCTCCCAGGTCGAAGCGATTCTCCTGCCTCAGCCTCCCGAGTAGCTGGGATTACAGGCACCCACCACCACACCCAGCTAATTTGTGTATTTTTAGTAGACACAGGTTTAGCCATGTTGGCCAGGCTGGTCTTGAACTCCTGACTCTTCTTGCTATTTTCACCACAACGGCAGTCGCTTCCTCCACTGAAGTCTTAAACTACTCAAAGTTATGCAGGAGGGTTGAAATCAAGTTCTTCCCAATTCTTACTAATGTTGATTTTTTTTTTTTTTTTTTTTTTTTGAGAAGGAGTCTTGCTCTGTCCCTCAGGCTGGAGTGCAGTGGCATGATCTGCACTGCAAGCTCCACCTCCCGGGTTCACACCATTCTCCTGTCTCAGCCTCCCGAATAGCTGGGGCTTCAGGCGACTGCCACCATGCCTGGCTAATTTTTCTTTGTATTTTTATTAGAGACGAGGTTTCACCATGTTAGCCAGCATGGTCTCGATCTCCTGACCTCGTGATCCACCCACCTCCGCCTCCCAAAGTGCTGGGATTACAGGCATGAGCCACCGCGCCCAGCCTAATGTTGACATTTTTACCTTTTCTAAGGAATCATGAATGTTCTTAGTGGCATGTAGAAGATTAAATCATTTCAAAATGTTTCCAATTTACTTTGCCCAGATCAATCAGAGGAATCACTATGTATGGCAGCTATAGCCGTACAAAATCTATTTCTTAAGCTATAAAGCATAAAAGTCAAAATTATTCCTTGATTCATGAGCTGTAGAATAGATGTATGTTAGCAGGCATAAAAATATTAGTCTTTTTGTATATCTCCATCAGAGTTATTTTATGGGCAGGTGCATTGTCAATGAGCAGTAATATTTTGAAAAAATTCTTTTCTTGTGAGCAGCAGATCTCAACAGTGAGTTTAAAATATTCAGCAAACCACACTGTGAACACAGGTGTTGTCATCAGGTTTTATTTTTTCATTGAGACAGCACTGGCAGAGTCAATTTAGCATATATATATTTTTTAAACAGAGTCTCGCTTTGTCACTCAGACTGGAGTGCAGTGGCACGATCTCAGCTCACTGCAACCTCCACCACCCTGGTTCAAGTGATTCTCTTGCCTCAGCCTTCCAAGTAGCTGGGAGAACAGACGCACACCACCACAGCCGGCTATTTTTTGTATTTTTAGTAGAGATGGGTTTTCGCCATGTTGGCCAGTCTGGTCTCGAACTCCTGACCTCAGATGATCCACCAGCCTTGGCCTCCCACAGTGCTGGGATTACAGTCATGAGTCATCATGCCCGGCCAGCATAATTCTTAAGGACCATAGTATCTTTGAAGTAATAAATGATAATTACTTTTAAATTAAAGCCACCAACTTCATTAGCCCCTAACAAGAGAGGCAGCCTGTCCTTCAAAGCTTTAAATTCAAACATTGACTTCTCCCCTTTATGTAATTTCTTGATGGCAACTTCTTCCGATACAAGCCTGTCTATTTTACGTAGAAAATGAATGAGTTGTTAGTGTAGTCATTTTCATCAATTATCTTACCTAGATCTTCTGGATAACAGGTACTTCTACATCATCACTTGCTGCTTCATTTTGTATTTTTTTGTTAGAGAGACAACACGTTTCTTTAAACCTCATGAACCAATCTCTGCTAGCTTCAAACTTTTCTACTGCAGCTTTGTCACCTCTTTCAGCCTTCATAGTATTAAAGAGATTTAGGACCATGGTCTGGATGAGAAGTTTGCTTAAGGAAATGTTATGGTTAGTTGAATCTTCTATCCAGACCCCAAAACTTTCTTCATATCAGCAAAAATACTGTTTTGCTTTTTTAACATTTGTATGTTTATTGGAGTAATACTTTTAATTTTCTTCCAGAATTTTTCCTTTGCATTCACAGTCATGCCAACTGTTTGGTGCAAAAGGCCTATATTTAGATCTGTCTCAGCTTTTGACATGCCCTTCTCACTAAGCTTAATTATTTCTAGCTTTTAATTTGAAGTGAAAGATTTGGAACTCTTCTTTTCACTTGAACATGTAGAGGCCATTGTAGGATTATTAACTGGCTTAATTTCATATTGCTCCTCAGGAAACAAGGAGGTCTGAAAAAGGAGAAAGAGATGGGTAATGACCACTTGATGGAGTAGTCAACAAATACGCAACATGTATCAATTGAGTTCATTATCTTCTATGGACACCCCCAAAACAATTACATTAGTAACTCAAAGATCACGGATTACAGATCACCATAACACATATAAAGATAATGGAAAATTCTGAAATATTTCAAGAATTAGCAAAATGTGACACATAGGCAAGAAGTGAGCACACAGTGTTGGAAAATGGTGCTGATAGAATTCTTTGACACAGGGTTGCCACAAACAGTTAATTTGTAAATGTTGCAATATCTGTGAAGCTCTATAAAGTAAAGTCTAATAAAAAGATGTATGTCTGTATATGGAAAAGGTCTTTGTCTCTTTTGAATCAGTAGATTTTATCCCAGAAGTCAATTTTGTACCATAATTCTGGGTAGACCTGAATATTCATATGCCTTTTTAAAAATTCAGTACCTATAGAAAAGAGTCATTTCTCATTCAAGTAGCATAATCATTTTTATAACTTTTGAGTCATCTGTATATCATACTACTTGGTCTCCAATAGAATCTTGTCCTTTAGAACTAAACAGAGCTTCCTTTACATTTCCCAGTTGTCTAAGACATCCTTCTCAGATTCTCTTCTTATTTTCTCAACACTATTTCCTTTTTTTTTTTCCCTCAAAGTTATCTGCTTGCTCTTCCTTGGGAAAATCTTCATCTCAACACATTATTTTATCTCTTACCCTAAATAGAAGTGGAATAACTAAATTGTCTGCCCTTTACTAACCCTCTCACATCTGAGCTTCTTTATGAACAAACTCTTTCTTTCTTTCTTCCATCTAGTCTCATGAACAAGTAATTTCTACTCTTTTTCAAGATCCTATGATAGGGATTAGTTGAATTAGTCTCAGTTGAGTATTCTTAGGCACATGGCATTTTTGAATAATTCCTATCCCTGAGATTCTCTTCTTTTCTTATATGTCGACACTATTTTCTCTTGTTTTTTTTGTTTTGTTTTGTTTGTTTGTTTGTTTTTCTCAAAGTTATCTACTTGCTTTTCCTAGGGAAAATCGGGGACTCTTTACAGATATACCATTCTCCATCCATTTAACTACAGTTATATTTAAAAGTTCTATACTTAGCCCTTTTCTTTGGCCTCTCACCCCGGGCAATGTTATCGATACCCAGAATTTCAAACATTTGCCTCCTAAATGCATGTGTCTACCAAACTTGCAATTTGAATCCAGTCCTTACTTTTTGAGATCTACATAATCAACTTCCTGCATGCAGATACCTCAAATTCAACAAGCAATATGCTAAAATCATCTGTCTCTGTGTATCTGTTACTTCTACTAGTTTGCTTTATTCAATGATGTGCACCTCAATTAGCATAGTCATACAAGTAAGAAACTTAGAGATCAGCCTCCATATCCAAAGACTCCTAAAGTTTTGTCAATTCCATATTTCTAATTTGTGTATATTTTTCACATGTCCCTTCCCTATCCCAACCTTTCAACCATTCATTTACATAGCAGTTATATACTGAACAACTGTGGACTTGGCACAATATTAGGCTTTTTACTGCCTGAAACTAGAATGTCCTTATGTCTCATTATTTCTTGCTTTATCTGTTGCAATCATTATAAAATAAATTCCACCATGCCACTTTCCTACTTAATCCTTTGGTAAATCTTCTTTAAGTACAGGTTAAAGTCCAAGCTTTCATGCAACATCCCTCTTGATCCAGCTACAACCCATCTTTGCAGAATCCAGCTGTTTCTCAAATTTGTTCTGTTCTCTCAGGCCTTCCTAGCAACGCATTTTGGCTTCCTTTCTTTCGAATATTTATTTCCTCATTTTTTATAGCTAGTCAAATCCCATAAAGCCTTTAAGATTTAATTCGCTTGTCCATTAATCTTGGAACACTTTCCAGATGTGTCCTCCAACAACGTGTTAAATACTTGACTTGCGTTACAGCACAGCATATAATATTTTATTACTTAGTCTATCTTTCTCATGTATGACAAAGTAATGTCTCTTCTTTACCCATTGCAAGGTTTACAGCTGACATCCCAATCACAAAAGACAGATTAGCAAGAAAAAAGTATAACAAATTTATTAATCAAAGTTTTATGTGACATGGAAGACTTTAGAAATGAAGATCCAAAGACCTAAGGAAAACTGTATATTTTTATGCTAAGTTTGATGAAATAAGTGGATAACAGTGGAGAAAGAAGCATAATCGGAAAGTAGAGTATGATTTAATGGAGGAATCCAGCAAAGCCTGTTTGTTCAGATTCTTCTTGGTCTCTCTATGTAGCAATTCTTTCCTCCAGGTATAGCGTAGTACATCTGTCACAAGAGGGTCTTATAACCTACGTTAAGGGAAGGTAGGTCAGAGATTGAACTTCCTAGGTTTTATGGCGTGGTTCAGAGCAGTAAAAGGTGAAGGAGACAGGAGGGCTGAAGAATGTAACAGAAATCTTGCTTCTGAGGCCCTCCTGTCCATTTCAGCTAAAAAATACTCAGCATGTCAAGGCACCATACTGTGGGATATGATATTTTGAGTTCTGGCATTTAGTAGACTGTGAACTCCTTGAGAGAAGAAAATGTGTCTTTAATCTATTTTTATCTTCAATTTTTCAATACATAGTGCTCAAATATATTCTTTAATATAGAACTGAGTAAAATACGATTGAAAATATCTTATAAGGTGGAGGTGTATGTAGTGTGAAGGTACTCAGTATCTTTACTTAATTTCCTTACTTGGAATTGATGTTTACAGGTTAATAACTTGGGAGGAGTCTTTGTTGAATTAATCTTTCCATGACTACTATAGCCTTTAGGGAAAACACTGTAATGAAAAAAGATTTTTTGGCAGAACATTGTCTACTACCTAACTTGACAAACATACCTAGTGAGGAAAATATACCTGAGTATAGCATCAGCAATCACTAAATAATAATACTAAAATATATAAATAATAAAAAATAAACATGCCTCTTGTGGTTTGGCCCCAATATTATATGATATGGCATATTCTTAAAATTAATACCACTAAGGTCTATATGTTAAGAAGCAGTGTGAAAAAAGGAGAAAGGTATATGAAAATTTGAAAACTAAAAAAAAAAAAAAAAAAACCATGAGTTTATCATTACAATATGTAAATGTCTCTGGCAAGAAGAAAGAATGCAATTGTGAGAACCAGCAGAAATTGTTTTTTTCCCCCTCTGAGTAGTAGTTTCTATTTTCTTGGACTGGCCATTGTTCAATGGGGAATAAAGATTAAAATTTTAAAATTATTTTAACAAACTAAAAAAACGGAAAATAAGTAATTTCAAAGGGGCCTTCACAACCTGAGGAAATTGAACATTTCTGTATTAGATCTAATATTTTCCACTTTGTTCTGTCTTGTGTCTGTGGGGAAGATAGCTGTAAGATACAGCGATTATTTGCATTCAGATTCCTCTGTTTATAAACTTTATTTAGTCTATCAATCTCAATAAAATAAAACACATGCTAAAAATTTACACTTAAATAATTTTAGCTAGTGTATGTTTATTGAGAATGTCTTACACGCAAGACTGTATCAGATTCTGAGAACTAAATAAATGAAATTAAAAAAAAAAAAACTGTCCTTAAGGTACTCCCAGAGGCAAGTCTTAGGGAAGGGGTGGTTGGTAAAGAACCAATAACTAGAATATACTGAGATTTATGTCATTGTGCAACTAGCATGGAATTTTATTGGAGTAAAGATGGAGGAGCTAGTGGGATAAAGAATGGAGGTATAATTATCAAGTAATTTAAGCTCTAAACCATACTTATGTCAATCATAATGAAGTGAAGAACCCCATAACTGGTTCATTCTCTATTGTGTATTGCACACATAGCCCAAATTGTAAAGCATCATTATCCTTCTTTTAGAAGCTAAACTATGAATTGCCACTGTAAGCCTTGGACCTCCCAACCTCTTTGGCCTCCCACTTGTGTGGCAGCCCAGCATGCCTTCTGATTATGAGGACCATGAGCCACTGCACATTGCTAGAACACACAGACGGGTGGCAGCAGTGGTTTTTTCTTTTCCTTAGCTTAGCTATTATGTAAGGCACATCAGGGAAGTGTGTACAAAATTGGCATCCAGGTGTTAAGGAAAAAGAAAAAAATACAGTGAATGTGTGAGGCTCAATTGAGCTCATTGTACTGTCTAGAAACCACTCTTGTTCCAGCTGCCCTTGAGACTATCTGGAAGAATCACAGAAGAGCTGGGCTACAGTACAAAGAAAGCTTAAAGGGATACTTTTTAAAAAGAAAGAATTAAAACTAAAAGAAGAATAGCTATCTCTGTTATAATAGCTAACTTGGAATAAAGAAGATACGGAGGGTATTTAATTGTTATTATAAAAAGACAACATACTTTTCAGAAAATTGAAAAGGGGATAATGCCCCTATATAGAACAACTCTAAAAATGATTACTATCATTTTTTCCATCTACTGTCCCTATGCATTATACAGATTGCATGATTTATGGAATTGGTATTTCCTTACTTCCCTTTCATCCCTCTCTCCTTCATTCTATTTTTCTTCCTTCTTTCTTTCCTTCCTGTGTTCCTTTTTTCTGCCTTTCTTCCTTTTGTTCTTCTGTTTCTCTTTCTTTCTTAATTTCTGGCTTGTTTCCTTTTTCTTGCAAAATCTGATATATCTGGGATTAGCAGTTGCAATCATAGTATAAACACTATAGACTGCTATCATAAAAGCTGCTTAACTACTGGAACCTCAATTTTCACATCTGTAAATTGTGTGCAATGTAATTTGCTGCCTTAATTAGCTTTATGCTAATTATGTAAGATCATATCCTTAACACAGTTGTTGGCATTTAATGGACTCTTTAGTAGTTTATGCAGTTGTCATGGTATAGCTCTATAGCTTTTCCTTGCTTTGAGTATTTTTCATTGAGACAAATTACTACCATAAATGTTTAACAGTTATGTATTTTTAAATATTACCAAATTGCATTATAAAATTTCTGTGGAAATTTGAAATAACCTTGTGATAAATATAGAAAAATATAGCTTCTGTTTCATTCTTACACCAAATTTTAAGTGGATTACATATATAAAAAGAATAAATAAAATGTCAAGAAGAAAATATTTATTTACACAGTCTTTTGTATAAAAAATTTTCTATACCAGAAAACAAGAATAGAAAGTATAAAGGTGATCATTTCATGGATTTTACTACAACTAAAACAACAGCAACAATTGCAAACATCAAAAAAGAAATTATAAAAACAAAAATGCAAATAACAAACTTGGAACAATGTTTTAAATAATTTTCCTGAAAAAATATTCTTTTTCTTAAAATGGAGAGTGTTCTTACAAATCAACAACTAAAATATATAAAAATATGTAAAGGAAGCATAGGGAAGATATTCAAAAAATAGTCCCAATTGCTAATAATTATATTAATATATGTTTAATCTTATTGGCTATAAAATAATGGCAATTTAATACAATATCCTTCTACAGTTAGCAAGTTAACTGGAATTAAATGAAAAGAATGATGTTTATGTTGTTGCAGACTATAGGGAAAGCTCTATTCTACTATTGGAAATCTGTATTAGTAAAAAAAATATAGAGATTAAATTGGCAATGCTTTAGAATTTTGCTTACCTCCAGAGTTATTTTTATTTTAAGAATATATCTTAAGGATATCAACTTATATTTGCATTAAACAGTGGATCCTAATGTTTATGTTTTTACTAGTGTGGAGAAAAAAATGTCAAAAAGTGTCAAATAACAACAGCATGAATTATATTCTTACTAGAAAATAATATAAAGTCATTAAGCTGTTGTGGTAGAATAATATCTAATGATAAAGGCAATATTTATTATTATATTTTTAAATACAAGAAAACTGACTTATACACAGTTTTTCTTCTGCCTCTGGCACTCGTGAGACAGCAAAGAAAACCCATCCTCTTTGTATTCCTCCTCAGCCTACTCAAGGTGAAGACAATGAGGATGAAAGCCCTTAAGATTGTTCACTTCCACTTTGTGAATCACAAATATATTTTCTATTCCTTATAGTTTCCTTAATAACATTTTCATTTATTTAGCTTTCTTTATTGTAAGAATACAGTAAACAAAGAAATACACATAACATATAAAATCTGTTAATTGACTGTTCCTATTATTACTAATTGATGTGATCCAAATAGTTTTGTTATTTTAGCATTTTCCTAGTTGATTGTTGGAATGTTGTAAACTTTAGAATATATTTGTTTTTTAGGTATATATTTACTTAGTTGTAATATGGTCAAATCTGGAATTCTTCAGCTCTATACTTTAATTATTTAAGTCTTACTTGATAATAAAGCATATAGGTTTCATAATGTAGTCATCTTTAATAATTTGGCTGTGATTATATTCAGCAACCTATCAAATTGTAAAGAATCAGCAACAAAGCAAAAAGAGAGCTAGAATCCCACTGTAATGTAGCCTTTGGCATAAGGTAGACAGTACTGTGAGCTATGTAGCATATTTGCTGTTCTTGCACTGAGCAAATGACACTCTAACTTTTAAAAAAAAATTCCAAAGTCTCAAATAATTTCTAGACAAGTTTTAAAACTGCATTTGGATCATATCACAGTATATCGAAAAATTAAAGTGACCCAAGTAATTGCATTATACAAATGCCAAATACTATGTTCAGTTTGTTTCTTTTCATTATGTTGAACAATTATTTGACCATAGGTCCTCAAAAAGAATAGAGTTTTGTTCTATACCAACAAAAATCTATGCATCACAATTTGTAAAAGGGAAAAAGAAGAAGGTTTTTGTTGCTAGTGTGAATGAAACAAGGAGTGGCAGGAGGTGAGGTTGAGCGGTGAAATTGGGAGGGACAATGAGGATCCTTCTATAAAAATTTAAAGGAGCCACAGCTATATCCTAGAAGTAATGTGTGTTATCAAGTGATTTTAGAAAAGGATTTTACAAAATAAGCTCTCTTACTGAGAATCTTCTATGTGCTAGGCCCAGCAATGACCACTGAAAATGTACAGACTGAAGAAGTTTTACCTGCCCTAGCTTATAAGAAACAATGATAATCTAGTTTAAAAAATGCAACGATAGAAAAAAAATGCAGAGGATTTGGACCACATGCACTGCAACTAGCTTGAGAAAGGAGATGGGTATCACTGGGTTAGGCAGTGATATGTGTATATGATAGGTGATTAATTATTGAAAACCTTTTTTAAAACCCTCTAATAAAGATACATCTTTCTCACATTGAGTACAAATATATATTTGAGTCCAAAATATTGTTCTTAAAGATCAGTTTCTTAAATATGATAATATGTAAGTAACTCAGAACAATGGCTGACTCATGGTTTGATCTCTAATAAAAATATATTAAAATCTTTGTACAACTTATGAGTGTTAAACCCAAATGTCATTTCTTGGGTTGTTATTAATTAACTATTAGCAAGTCTTGATTGGAAGTCAAGCCTGATAATCTGAAAAGTAAACAGGAGAAACCCTTTCCTCAATTAATGGACACTAGAGCTACAATGGCCTCCTTTATTTCTTTCTCCAAGTCCCACTGCTTGAATATACCTCTTATATTAATGAACGATCTTTCTATCACTTAGTGCTGCCAAAATCCAATACCAAAAGCACCCAGCAGAAACCGCATCCCTAATCAAAACTGAGCGAATTATCATTCATTGATTCGGTCTTTTGTAGGAATGAGGCATACGTGGTGTTTTATTGATTTTGTCTTCAAAAGGCAGCATGGACATTAAGAAAGAAAAGGTTCTTTTTGAACATATTTGGTACTTTTGTTGTTGTTGCTGTTGTCATTGTTTAAAATCTCACTCCAGTCTAAAACAGTTAAGATTTTGTGACCATGGCCAGGCTTAATTGGAAGACTCAGGACCTAAAACCAAAATTCCCCTGTATGAATCAATAACAGAGACAGAATTTTATTTAGAGAACAAACAGACAGCCCATTTCAAATGCTACGTTGTGTTAATTGGGTTGACAAAAGGCTGGAAACTGTTATTTAAAAATCCTAATTAATACTTGACATTTTTTAAAGAATGCAACAATTTACAAAGTTTACATATGCTTTTTAAATTTTAATCTTACAATTTCCTGTGGAGTGTGTTAGACAAGTATTAATAAATGACAAGTTTTGTAAGTGAAAGGACCAAAACCATTAATTAGAGCAAGTAGATGCTGGAGAGGCAATGTAACTATAGTGTAGGGGTTACAAGCATGGACTCTGGAATGAAGCACACCAGGGGTTAAATTTTGACAATGTTACTATTGTATAACTACTGATTAATTGTAAGTTGATTACAATTCATTGTCTTTATCAGTACAATGACAATAACCATATCTATTTTACATGGTTGTTTTGAATACAAATTAGGCTATATATATATATATATATATATATATATATATACATATATCACTGTTTAGTGCCTGAAAGAGAGTAAACATTCATCGAATGTCAACCAGTTTTATTACATGTGTCAAGATTCTAGTCTCTGATACCTACTTCATTGTTTTTATTTTACATTTTAGTATTGTGGTAGGTAGACTACAAATTGATCAACAAAGATACCTGGTCCTAACCCATGGAACCTATAAATATTACCTTATTTGGAAAAATAACCTTTGCAGATGTGTTTAAGTTAGGGATTTTGTGATAGGAAGATTATTCTGGGTTACTTTAGTAGGCCTTTAATGTCATTACAAGTCCTTTTTTAAGAAAAAGGCAGAGGGAAATTTGATGTACAAACAGAGGACAAGGTGATATGAAGATGAAGGCAAGAATTGGAGTGACAGAGGCACGTACCAAGGAATGCTAGCAGTCACTAGAAGGTGGAAGAGGCAAGGAATGGATGCTCCTATGGAGCATTTGGATGGAGTGTGGCCCTGCTGACACATTTGATTTCAGACTTCTGACCTCCAGAATTGTGACAAAATAAATATCTGTTGTTTTAAGCCACCAAGTTTGTAGTAGCTTGTTACAGTGGCAGTAGAAAACTAATATCACTATACATATTCATTAGCTTAATAACTTACTATATTTATTCTTATGTAGTATATTGATAACTAATATTAGAAGAGTAGCTTACCATTTTTTTTTAACATGTAGGATAGGCCAGTCAGCTTTTGATACGTCATTATCATTTCCCAACAATCCTAGGAAGCATTTCTCTTGGCAATGAGTTCTTTGAATATAGGGAACTAAAAAATTCTATGTTAGCTGGTATCACTCCACCTGCTGTAGAGTGAGAGGGCTCTTTGAGGATGCAAATGGACCAGGTACACTTCAGCCCCAGGACATAAGGATTAATCACTTATTCCTATGTTGTTCCTAGTTCACCTGCAATTGTATCTTCTTCTTATATATATAAATAAAAGAGATACTACTTGAGACATTCAGATACAACTTGTAATAATATGTATCAATACAGTCAGTTGAGTCTGAGATACCTTCAATACACTCTATCCTTTCACCTTAGTGACCATATTTTTGTTGGATAAAAATATCTGCTGATGAATTGATATATAACCTTCAAATAAATTAGAAGCACTTATTTATTGTAAACCATCCTGGACTAACACCCTCAACTTACTTCGATTTACTCTAGATGTTGGATGTCATCTGGGTGTCTGAACTAGGGTAAAAAATCTTCAACCCAACAGATGACAGTTGGGTAGATAGGAAATGGCAGACTTCTGCTCAGAGGTGGCTAACACTGTAACAGGTTCAGGTATTTTGAATAATATAAAGAAAATAATGAATTTTTGAAATTTTGATCTTTCACTCAAATCTTTGCCACTCTATGCAGCTGAGAAAGCTCCCCAGCTGTGACCTCCCTTTTTCTTTTAGGGAAGTCACTACTGAAGAGCTTTTATTATTTGCTTTTATTATTATTATTATTATTATTATTATTATTATTATTATTATTGAGGCAGAGTCTCACTCTGTTGTTGCCCAGGCTGGAGTGCAGTGGCACGATCTCGCCTCATAGCAAACTCCACCTCCCAGGTTCAAGCGATTCTCCTGCCTCAGCCTCCCGTGTAGCTGGTGTTATACGCATGCGCCACCACACCCAGCTAATTTTGTATTTTTAGTAGAGATGGGGTTTCTCCATGTTGACCAGGCTGGTCTTGAATTCCCGACCTCAGGTGATCCACCTGCTTTGGCCTCCCAAAGTGCTAGGATTACAGGCATGAGCAACTGTGCCCAACCGAATTTACTTTTTAAATCTAGCATGAGCTTAGTTATCACACAATTTTGATCAATATAACCTTATAACCTAAATTATTTTTTGAGTTTGATTGATTGCAACTTTCTGAGCTCAAGCAATCCTCTTGCCTTAGCCTCCTGAGTAGCGAAAACTAGAGGCACATGCGACCACACCTGGCTAATTTTTGGTAGCGATGAGGTTTTGCCATTTTGCTCAGGCTGGTGTCAAACTCCTGAGCTCAAGCAAATCACAGGCCTTGGCCTCCCAAAATGCCAAGAGGCATGAGTGACTGCGCCTGACTTCATTTCAGTTTTAGATTGTTTAGAAGCCAGTGATTATACGCAATTATAGGAATCTAATAATACTGACACAACACCATATATTCAGCCCACATGAACACTCACTGTGAACTGGACTGTATACAAGGGTCCATTTTAAAATTTATCCTCAGGCCACCATATACCCTAATAGTAACATGAGGACATCATGGCCCTTTGGGTCTCCATATTAGGTGTTTGGTTTTCTGTTCTTGTGTTAGTTTGCTGAAAATGATGGTTTCCCATTGTGGAGGAGAGTGTGGCGATTCCTCAAGGATCTAGAACCAGAAATACCATTTAACCCAGCAATCCCATTACTGGGTATATACCCAAAGGATTATAAATAATTCTACTATAAAGACACATGCACATGTATGTTTATTGCCACACTGTTCACAATTTGTGAAATTTTTATCTTTCAGAATTATGATTTTGAGAATTTACAATTTTAGAGATTTCGATATTTTGGGATTTCAACATTCAGAATTACGGCATTCGGGATTGTATCTTTTGGGATTCTTACCCAAAACCCATTTGTAGGCAATTTCAAAACAGAAAACTTCATCACTCTTTTACAGTGAAAATCAATGTAGCATAGCACTGATTAACAATATCAAGGTTGGTGCCACACACATCTGGATTCCAATTCCATCTTTGCCACTCTATGTACCTGAGAAAGCTCCCCAGGTTTCTGAGATACACAAAGAATGTTAACAATTCTGCCTAGGAAAAGCTTCAGAACCCTCAACTTGCACTCAGGTACTTCTCACTGTCTTCTAAATGTGGGTTGAAGCAATGTGACAGACTAGGGAATTCTATGAAGACTGAAATCTACCTATCAATCACTACAGAAAACTATCCTGTATTAACACTCTGAATTCTGATTTACTTGAGACATTCAGATACAACTTGTAATAATCTTCAACAATACAGTCAGTTGAGTCTGAGATACCTGCAATACAGTCTATTTCACCTCAGTTACCATATTTTTGTTGGACAAAAATATCTGCTGATGAATTGATATACAACCTTCAAATAAATTAGAAGCACTTATTTGTTGTAAACCATCTTGGACTAACACCCTCAACTTCGATTTACTCTAGACGTTGGATGTTATCTGGGTGTCTGAACTAGGGTAAAATATCTTCAACAGATGACAGTTGGGTACATAGGAAATGCCTGACTTCTGCTCAGAGGTGGCTAACGCTGTAACAGGTACAGGTATTTTGAATAATATAGAGAAAATAATGTCTATAAAGAGGGAGAAGGAGGGAATTGCCTGGCTTTTGCTAAATTGTATTGATGCCCTGCTTCCTGCAGAAGCAAAATGGGAAAGCAAAGGCTAATAATGGCTAAATAAGAGCCAGAGAGCTTCTGTGGTGGCTTATAGAGTCTCTCGTCACCTATAGTGGAATCGTGGAAGCAGGTCCCTAGAGGGAAGAATCCCGTGTTGTCATGGCAAATACATAGCATGTAGTTTCCCAGGTTTTACCCAAGAGCACCTACAGCCAATTACTTAAGTTACATATACTGGTAAAAGGGGAATAATAAGACACTCTGAGGACTACAGAGCACAGGAACCAGCTATGGTTTGAATGTTTGGCCCCTCCTAAACTCATGTTAAAACTTAATCTCCTATATAACAGTATTAGCAGGCAGAGGTTTTAAGAGTGATTGGGTCATGAGGGCTTTCCTTCATAAATGTGAACCATTCGTAGATTAACAGATTAATGAATTAATGAGTTCATAGATTAATGAATTAATGGATTAATAGGCTAATGGATTAATGGATTATCATGGGAGTGAATTAGTCATGAGAGTGTGTCTTGTTAAAAAAAGCCTGGTTGGCTCTCTCATGAGCTCCCTCACCATGTCTTGTTCTGTGTAGCCTCAGGACTGTGTAGAACATCCTCACCAGAAGAAGGCCCATATCAGGTGTAGCCCTTTGACCTTGGACTTCCCAGGCTCCAGAACTGTATTTTTTTTTTTAAATTTATCAATCACCCGGTCTCAGATATTCAGTTACAGCAATAAGAAACAGACAAAGATGGAGCCAAATTGACACCTAATATGGAGACCCAAAGGGCCATGATGTCCTCATGTTACTATTAGGGTCTATGGTGGCCTGAGGATAAATTTTAAAATGGGCCCTTGTATACAGTCCAGTTCACAGTGAGTGTCCATGAGCCCATCCAGTGGTTATATCCTCAGTCCCTGAGTGCATCATTGACATTCACTGACTTACCAGAGTAACCCTTACTTTAGGGACCTGCTCTGTGGAATAAGAACTATCACTGCGAGGAAAGCCAAATGAAAACCTCTAATTGCCTTAACCTCACACACATACATACACATAAGTCAACAAAATAAATAAATAAATCAAACAAAAAACATTTAATTTTTGAAGGAATGGTAGTCCTATCAACAAAGACCTAAACTGAGCAGGGATGGTGGGGACTATACTATATCTATTTAACTTTCCAGGCTGGCTCTTGTAGAAGCTAGATAGATCTATGAGATGGTAGAAGAAAAACCCTTCAAAGATTCATGAACTGGCTGCTTCAAATTACAGAGGGTCTAGAAGTCAAGGTACCCTCTCCAAAGTAAAAAAACAAATTGCTGTATCTTGCATGCCCCACAAAAATGAAGAAGCATAGTGCCTGGCAGGTCTCTTTGAGTCATGGAGGCAATATATTCCTAGAAATATTATTGACACAGAATGTTTTCAGCTTTGAGTGGGACCTGGAGAGTGAAAGGGCACTGTCATAGGCAGAACGACAGTACAGTCAGTCTTCCTTCTTGGGACATGTGATCTGTGAAATTAAATGTTTGTTAGAGGGGCCAAAGATAGAGATGCAGTATGGAGCTTGTAAAAAATTTCTGAAGGGGAGTCACAATACACATCTTGGAAGTTTAAATAAGGCCATGCCTTCTGCAGCAAGGTGCTCCCAGAAACAGGTCTGTGCTCTCAGGGCACAGTAGAGTTAGATCACTTGACGAAGGTGCACAAAGTGACCATGCATTCAGAACTATCCTTTACTAGCTTTGCTTTGTTGTAATTTCCGAGTCATAAAGTCAGGTCATCTAAGCAGTAGTCCGTAGAAAAATGGGCTTGGTACAACTGTGAAAGAGCCCAAGAAGGACCAGTGCATACAACTAAGTTCTGTTAACGGACAGCTTAGACATCCTAGTTGAGCAACTATCTGATTCAATGCTGCAGTTGCTGATTTTACATGCATGATATACATGCTAATGTCGTTGTAAACTCAAACTATTGATAACATAGTGCACTTTAATAGTTTTCATAAATCAGCATTTCTAAAGCATTGCCTTTAATTAAATATGTGTCCTTTCTTCCTTTTGATCATTTTCAGGACTGCATCTATTTGCACTCCCATTCCCTTACATAAAAATTATGAATGAGATAATAAAATATATATAGTAATGAATATAAATTCCCATTGAATTCTGGTAAAATCATTATGGATACTTTTATAAAATTAAGATCAGTTTTAAAACCAAGTTTTTAAGAGGTCAGATAATGTTATGTATATATAGAGAAAGGAAAATAATGATAGAAATAGGTGAATAATATATAATAATTTTATGTAATTGAATTAATAACCAGAGAAAAATTCAAAAACCACAAAGCAGTTATAAATCAAATTTAAATTTATTTAGTTTTCAAAGGTATACATGAATAGGAGATTGACTTGGCTAAGTCCTTATGTCTGGGTTAAATCACTGGACTGTTAGGCTTCTTACACAATATCACTAATGTGACTCAATGAATTAATATAATTTAGAAGCACAGAGAGCAGGACAATGTGTGCCACATGGATGGAAAACACATGAAGACAAAAGCATGTTCTGAGTTTTACCAATTCCATACCTCTCATTCCTCAAGCTCCGAATTTTGTATTTGCTAATAAAAGTAAATATCTGAAGATATAAAGCTGGCTTTCAATTGTGGACTTTTATAACAACTTCTATAAGCCATTATGAACTACCTCAGATTTAAGAGCCTATTTCTTCTAGTCCAGACACTAAATAGTTTTACTTGCTATATTGTTGGGTTTATGTAGACAATGCTGAAAGGAGACATTTCACAGCTCTGCATTAACAAAATGCTTATGCAAATAAAGATTATGACTTAGCAAAAGAGCCAAAGGGAACATAAAAAGGCTCATTGTGAGAATGCAGTCTGCTCCTACAGAGGCTAATTAGCAGAAGACCTCCAGACCTTTTGTGTCTTGGACACCAGAATGAGTATAATTTTTCTGGTGCACATTCATTGGATGAGTTAGGTGCACTTACTAGTTCAATACTACAACAAGTTGTTGCCATCCTGGATTATGTTATTAGTACCCAGCCTGGCCTCATGTTTCTGTCAACAATTGAAGAAAACTGAAATGACTGGGAGAAAAATACGTTGCAGTATCAAAATGACACTGTGTTTTTCATTGGCAGTGTAGTCCTCTATTGTCATGTGGATAATCAATTCACATTCAAAGTTGGTCACTCTCTGCTAACACTCATGGCCACAGATGTTGTCGATGATCATAAATGAAGTCAATGCCTCTTAAAAATCTTGCCACACTCTATTTCTCAGTTACCTAATGTATCAGACCATTTGGACTGCCTTTTTAGTCATTAAGAATTTATAGTTTCCTGGGGTTCCCTGGGTAACCTTTCATTTTAAGAAAACAGAATTGGGAATTACAGTGTCTCAGAAATAGCTACCATTTCAAAAGCTAAAAGCTCATTTAAATTATGGAATGTGAAAATGTGAGTCCTAAAAATACCAACAATTTATATTTATGTGTAGAGTTTTAGTTAACTATAAAAAGATGCAGATTCTTTTTCAGAAGTGTAGGTGCAATTGATCATTGGCCCTTAACTCTGTTTCTTGACACTATAAGTGTAAAACTAATGTCATGATTTTTTTTTAAATAGAAGTCTCAGTGGATTATATCGTTTTACATTAATTCCTGCCTATATGTAAACGTTAAATGGACTTTGCTTAACTTCATATAATATCTTCTATGTTTACACTTTATAATTTCATGGGAAACTTGTTTCTTAGGTTCTGAAAACATAGCTTAACTTATCAAAAATTATTATGAAAGTGAAGACAATGAATTTTGTAAAAATCTTTGTTATATTCGAGGGTGGGAGGAATAATGTCTATAAGAAAACAAAAAAAATTGATGGTTAAAAACTCCAATTAACATACTAATAATTTTATAAATCAATACTTAGCAAACTAACTGACTTTATTGGATTAACTGAATTGTTTAAACACATTGCCTTGTACCTGCATGCTTGATAGAGCCATACATCCCGTTCCTAGAGTGGTTAAAGTCATATTTCAGAAAATAATAAAGCAATGAATATGAATATGGGGGTGAGATTTATCATAAAAAGAGTAGAAGTGATTGTATTTTAAAGGGATGTCCAAAGTCCTTTCACCTTTTTTTTTAATTCTCATAACAGTCCAAGATAAACAAGGCAAGTATTTATAATATTTTCATAACAATTCACATATGCTGTAGATTAACACAGTAACTTAACACTTAGAAGATACAGATTCTTCTACCGACTGTGCCACAAATTAGATGTTTGACACACATAAACAGTTTCCCCTTCTTTGAAACTTTGCTTTACTCCTTTCATCTATAGCAGGGGTCCCCAGACTCCCGGCCCACAGACTGGTACCAGTCCATGCAGCAGGGGGTAAGCAGGGGCTAGGGAGCATCACTGCCTGAGCTCCACCTCCTGTCAGATCAGGGGTTTCCAACAACGTATCTGAGCCACCAGCTAAACTTCATGAGAGAAAGCTTTTACACATACTCTTACTTACCACTCTTTTTTTCAGTTTCTTGGCATGTAATAGACACTAAATTTGTTTAGAAACTTGTTCAATAGTGACTGGCTTGGTGATAGAGACACAATTATATCTCTTGACATCACTTTAGTCAGAATTTTTTGTTTTATTTATGAGATTACCATTAAGATGTATTTGTATTAAGAAATCTAATATTTAAATACAGTTTTGTAGATCTAGGCTGGATGATCTGTATGATCTTCTAATTTTATATAAACGAGGTCTTTTGAAGGTTTTGCATGCCAAAGCTTTAAAAGCTAAAATAGGAATAGTATTGGAACCCAAGCTTCCTGACATGGTAGTCACAACTTTTTAGATAATAAAACTACCCAAAATAATATTTCATTTAAAAAAGTGATTTTTCAGACCCTTTGAACTCTTCAAAGAACCAGAGAAATATACTATGATGTTTAAAAACATGGTTTAAAGATAGTTATAGATTCCTAGACCAACTCTGTAACTTACAACTTGCTTGATTATTTAATATGTAAAATAAAAACAGTAATAACATTTCCTTATGAGATTCTTGTGAAAATATAAATAATATAACAACAGATGTGTGCAAACTAAAAATCAATAAACTGGAAAATATATTAGAATTAATTATTCTTAATACAGCATAGAGAGAATAAAGAGAGAACGAAGAATAAAAAAAGTTAAGAGGTTAAAATAAATATCTTAAGTTTTCTAAAGATACATTTAATTGTAGTTCCAAGAGGATGGGAAAGAAAGAATATGACAGATACAAACTAGAAAAGAGAGATGAATCTTTCCAAATACCTTCTGTTGATTCAAATAACTGTAAGAATATCAAGCAACATAAATAAAAAGCTATGCGCATCTAGAAACATCGTTATGAACTTTAAACTACTAAAAATAATAGCAAAATCAAACAAAAAAAGTCAACAAGAAGGGATAGACGTGAAAGAGAGATTATCTCCAGAGGTTGGATTATTAGATCATCAGTTAATTTCTCAACAGCAAAGATGAAATTCAAATACAGAGCTTTGATAACACCAAAGTGTTTAAAGTTCCCAATCTAGAATTTTACTTTCACCAAAACATACTTTCAAAAATGAAGAAAAATGAAGACATTTCAGAAAAGCAAAACCAGAAATGTTCATAAGAGTACACACTGAATTAAATTTTAAAAGATTGTTCTGTAGTTAACACAAAAGAAGTTTTACATGAAAGAAGAAAGGAGGAGCAAAGTAAGTTGTAAAATTAGTAGGTAAATAAAAGATGATTAGCCACTACGTAAAATAATCTGAATGATTTGAGAAGGGGTTCCAGAGACAGAATTAAAATACATGAGAAGAGAATGCATGTAAGTTAGTTAGCAGGGAAACATGAGCATTAACATACTTAAGATTGTCTTAGCTCTCAGGAGAAAAGTAAAGATGTATGTCAGTTTTAGGCATTCATGTTAACTATGTATGTCACTATTCCTAAGGAAACCAATACATAAATAAATAACCAAACAAACGATATTGTACTTCCATGACTACCTGAGAGAAAAAATTAAAGATGAGGAAAAAATCATCAGTGAAAAATGTTAAGAAAATAGAAAATAAAGAAAACAGATTGAACTGGACACTTCTAAAATGCAAAGGAAAATGGTAGATACAAATTCAGTTATATTACTTATTATATTAAATGGAAATGGAATAAATGCTCAGACAAAATTACAAGGGATTTAGTCTGGAGTTTTTAAAAGTACACCTATTTTATTTGATAATTTAGAACATAAAGAATGAATATAGAAAGAGTAACAGTTAAAAGGTAAAAAATGTGAAGAATAGTTAAGAGAAAATTTATAGAATTAGGAGATACAAAATTAATTTTAAGGCAAATTGCATTATTAGAGATAGAAAATTTATTTCATAATTTAAGAAACATTAAAATGTGGTATAATAATTAAAATGATTGATATACTAGTATAAAAATATATAAAGCCACAACTAAGAAAACATAAGGAAATATAGACAAATTCTTAACATATTTGGATATTTTAAAACACTTAGGAAATACAGAAAAAGCTGGCAGAAATCTATAAAGCAACGGTACATTTAGCACTCTTCAGTGAACAGCGTTTTATAGGATATCAAGCCATAAAAGTTTAAATTATGCATTCTTTTAATGCATGGACAGTAAGTGTTTAAAATGGGCTCCATTCTGGGTTACAAAGCAAGTTTCAACAAATTTGAAATGACTGGAATGATCAGAGTGTATTCTCTGACAACAATACTGTTAAGCTAGAAATCCATAATAAAAGCATAACTAGAAATGTCTGATACTCCTAGAATTTACAAAACATATTTCTAAATAATTCAAGGCTCAACTATGCAATACAAATGGAAATTATAAAATAATTTGAATGCAACAATTGGAATACTATACTACATTTTAACCCTTGTGGAATGCAGCTAAACCAGTATTTTGAGGTTTAGCTGCATTCCATAAGCGTTAAAATGTAGTAATACATTAGCTTGAAATGCCCAAATTAGATAAGAAGGGCTAATCACTAACATTTTAACTATCATGAATTTACATAATGAACAGTAAAATGAATACACTGTCCCAATGTTGTTATGAAGTAAATAGTAAAGAGCAGAAATTAATGAGAAGAAACACACGCATACACACAGAATCACACACACATGCACCCAAACATACAGTAGCTCAACATATCAAAAAGTTAATTCTCTGTAAGAAATAATAAATTTGGCAACTTTTAGATGAAATCCATCAAAAAAATTTAATTATAACCAATAATAGAATTAAATGATTCTATTATGTACCAACAACAGAATTGAGGGATATTCTTTGATGACATGGACATTAAAACAATAATAAAACTCACAATATAAATTCATATTTCAGTAAAATATGGGGAGAAGAATATTCAAAGAAGTTTTATTCTTAAAATACAAACACTGAAAACAACTCAAATGCCTATCAAGGGTAAAATGGATAGATAAATTATGGTATTTCTATAATAAATTATCTACAAGTTAAAATTATGGCTATACACATCATGGGTACTTCTCCCAGACTTAATATTGAACAAATTAAACCAGGCACAAAAAGTACACATCACGTGATTTCATTTATATCAAGCTCAAAATTAGTCAAAGTTGATGATGAAGATAGAAAGCTGAATTGTGGTTACTATTAGGGGTATCAGCCCAATAGTGGCATATTGAAAACCAATGGGGCACTGGATTTGTTTTTCATCTTGTTCTGGGTGGTAATTACGTGAATATGTGCATAAGTTAAAATTCATTGTGTTGTATATTTAAGATTTATGTACATTATAAATATATAACTCAAAGTATTTCAAAGTATTTCAATAAGAAAACATTATGGACAGATCTATGACAATAAATTTTAACAATACAAGACTAAATGTATAAATTTTCAGAAAAATATAACTTACCCAAATTCCCAAACTGACTTTAACCTGAGTTGTCTTGTGACTGCAAAATAATTCTAAAAATAAATGTTTACTACACCCCGCAAACAAATATCACCACTACAACATACATATGCACACACAGAATCACACACACCCAAAACAGACAGACTGAAATGGTATTGGCAAATACTTAGTATCTTCAGTAAAATAATTGATAAGGAACTAAAAGAAGGGAAGAGAGAAATAGAGGAGCTATCAAAATTGAGACAGGGTGATAATAAATAAACTGAAGGACATTGAAAATGACTGTTGTTGAATTAGCCAAGTGGCATAATAAAACTTTGTTGTTATATATATTTCTCTAAAATTTTCAATAATTCATAGTTTATTAATAGATTTTGTAAATTATGCTATAAGTTTGTGTGTGTGAAATTCAAACAAGGAGATATATATTACATCTGGTGTTAACACCCACACTTGCTAACACATGGCACAGGAAGTCAAAGACTTCATAAGAGGGCTTGGTAAGGGCCCTGGTTTTCTGTGAGCTGAAGAAGTATGTGTGTCAAACAGGGCTTCATTTACTGAAGATCTACAGGAGCTAGGAACAACTAGGTGATAGCTCTGTGACTCCATATTGATAGACATTCTGTTTTTCAGCTTTCTAATGTAAATGCTGGTCTTACATAGGTAGCATGTTTGAAGAGGAGGTAAGGGTCCATCATAGACAAGAAAATAGAGTAAAAGGTTAATTTTTTTCATTATCTCTCATTTATGAATTTTAAATTATGTCTCACTAGGCTGTGAGACCCCAGGGACAAGGAGTATGTTGGCCACTTTTGCATACTTCCATTATTAGGAATATGTTATTATAATACAAACATGGTATTTGCATTGCATTTGGTTGAATCCGTAGAAGTTACAATAGCCCAACTGAAATATATTTCTGTTGTTTTCATGACTGAAACATATGCATGAAATTAAACATGATATGGTTGTTTTACATCTATTTTTATATATTTTGAATTCAGAATAGCTAATGCTTAGTTCTGATACCATACTTTTAGAATTTTTGTTGGATAGTTTTCAACCACTGCAGCCTCGTTACAATCCTCAGGATCCTGAGAATCCTGTCAAAATTCTGACTTAGAATGTTCTAAAGGTATGTTTTTAAAATACTGCAGTATTAATTTTGTGGGGCTATATAGTCTTTGAATGATTCTTTTGAAGGGAAGATGTTGTAATAATTCTATAGTTACTCAGTGCAATTGAGTTCTGAAAATTATTGTTGGTTTAGGAAGTTAAGCCACATTGCTGCTATGTTTTGAAGATTTGTTCCCCCTGTCTTGCCCCCACATGCACACATTTATATGTTGAAACCTTATTACAAAGGTGAAAGTATCAGGATGTTGGGCCTTTTGGGAGGTGATTCAGTCATAAGGGTGAAGTCCTCATGGATGGAATCAGTGCCCTCATGTAAGAGGCCCTAGGGAGTTACCTTATCCTTTCCTCCATGTGAGGACACAGTGAGAAGGCTTCCACTATGGAAACAGACCCTCATGGGACACAAAATCTGCCAATTCCTAAGTCTTGGACTTGTCAGCCTCCAGAACTGTGATACATAAATTTCTGTTATTATAAGCCACCCAGTTTATGGTATTTTGTTTAGCAGCCCAAATGGAGTAAGACATGGACTATATTTAAAGCAGTGCATTTTAAATGTAAGTCACATGATCTCTAACTTTAAAGCTCAGACACAGTCTCAGAGCTTTAATCAAACTGGAAGACAGAAGGGAGAGTTGCTGATGAAGGCTTAATTCAGGTCTATTGGCTTTGGGATATTGATTGTTTATAAGTTCTGCTATCATAAACTTGATGCTAACCAGTAATGCTGGACTACATATGTGAGCTTGTAGTCTTACCACCTAGATACTTGCCTTCACATTTTAATTTTTTTCCATTCCAATTGTAATTTCCTATTTTATTTTGCATTGGCTGTGGGTTCCACCTCAGATGTGATTTCTTTGAAATATTTGAGTTGATGTCAGCCTCCCCTTTTCCTCATTCCATCACAGAAGTCCTCAAACATCATCCAGAGACCCACTCAGTCAGCTTATCACAATCTGGAAAACAAACAAACAAAAAAATAAAAAAAATCCACACACAAAAAAGACTAACAAAAAAACCTTTTTTTCTTTTTTTTTTAAGGCTGTGAAAGAAGTAGATATATGTTACCACAAAGTAGCAACTTCCCAATCTAATATATCATGATTCCTCTGGGTATGGTTAATTGAGAAAATAATAATCATGTTTTTCCCATAATTACCTGTTTTTCTTCTCCCTGCCCCACTCCCCACACCAACTTTTCTGGGAGAAAAAGGAAGAAACTTACCTTTTTATGTGGATATTTCCTGGATTGGGACAAGGTAGTTCTGTGCTCAGTGGAATAAGAAGCACTGCCAATACCTCTCTCTTCATTCTCACAATTCTCCGGAGTCAGAAAGGGAGAGTTTCTTGTGCTTCAAATTCTCTTTCCCCCTGACTCAAATTTTCTTTTCCTTGGCTCTGGCTAATTTTCTGGCTAAGCTTTAATAGAAAAATAGATACCTTTAAATAAGCATTAAAAAAAGCTATAATTTGAAGACTAGGATAGATTACTGATATGCACTTTCTCAAATCAACAGCTTGACTACAATGTTATTGCAAATTTGATTTTGAATGTCAAAAACTGACTACTATTTTTCTCTATTTTCATTACTTCTTTAACAAATTTTGATGCATAGTCCAGACAGGGATATTTTAATCAACTAACTACATGACATTTAGGTCATATACTCAAGAAGGACAAAAACGATAGTTATGTATATTATTCATGTATTTGAAAAACTGTCTCTGTTTTACCAAGACTGAAAATACAGCAGTCCATGAAACTTGCTCTATTTTACAGTCCACCAATCTGCTCACAGTAGAGTGCATGCCAAACATGCCTATTTTTGAAACACACTGAATTTGGCCAATGGAAAATATAGCATAAGGGGAGTATCTTGAGAGTCAATTTTTTTACTGCATATTCATGGATAGGAAAGTTAAAAATGTGTTCAGTAAGAAGCTGTATTTTACTGAGCAGTCATACTCAGCATCTACTTACGTAGCCGATGAGTTTATGGTTGAATAAACATCTCAAATATTTACCTGACTTGACAGTGTCATCGATTCAAATTTCCAAGGTTTTCCTCATTTGCCTTGTATTTTTGTCTGCAAAGGTCATTTACTAGTAGATATGTAAGGTGACGTAATAATATATATAACTTAACAAGACTTTTCTTTATAGAGTCAGATATTAGGAAAACGTTTATTGTTTCCCGATTTAGGACTCAGTAACACAGATGTGGAAGCATATTCATATTTGTTCCTAGTAATCAATCTATTCTAAATGATTTGAGACACATTGGACTGTATTTGTATATGTCAAATAAGTCACTCTAATGTCAGGCAAATGTGTAACTATTTAACTATAAAAGTGGATGTGCAAAAAGCATGATTCTATATACTATATTCAGTATGTTATAAAACATAGATGTATATATATTATATTTATCATAATACAGTACTTTCCTCTTACCCACAGTTTCAGTTACCTGAAGTCAAATGTGGTCCAATACACAGACTGGAATAAGAGACATTGGAGACTCCAAAAGGTGGGCAGGTGAGAGGGGGGTGAGGGATGAAGTATTATTAATTTGGTACAATCACGCCACTATACTCCAGTCTGGGTAACAGAATGACCTTGTCTCAAAAAAATAACAATGCACACACAAAAACAAAGTCCAGACTCACCACTACACAATGACTCATGTAACACAACAACACTTGTACCCCTTAGTCCATAAAATTTTGTAACCCTAAGTCCAAAACAAATGTTGAAAAATAAGTATGTTTAAAAAGCAAATGTAGTCCTAAAAGATTAAGTGGAAAATTCCAGAAACAAGCAATTCATAAGTTTTAAATTGCATGTTGTTCTGAGTAGTATGATGAAATCTCACGTTATTCAGCTTTGTCCTGTCTAGAATATGAATCATCCCTTTCTTCAGTGTATTCATACTGTACATGCTATCCACCTGTTAGTAGATGAGAGAGATGACATTTACATAACATTTATCACTGCATAGTTATAATTTTTTATAACAATTGTTTTTATAGTCTTTTATGTAACTAAATATTATCTATTTGTAGTTATTGCTATTAATGTCTTATTGTGACTAATAAACTTTATCAGAGGCATATATGTATAGGAAACAGCATAGCATTTGCTAGGGGTCTTGTAACGTATCCCTTGTGGGTAAGGAAGGGCTATCACTTACATATATATATTATATATATATTCTGCAATTAGAAAGATGAAATGTAATAAAACAAAAGTAGTTAGAATGGAAGAAAAAATCATTGTACCTCAATTTGTATTATTATTGCCTTATGTATCTGAATATTTTAAAATTCATTAATATGTCTCACACATTACAGGAATCTTATGAAATCTATGCAGAGGAAAGAAGGAAAGTAAGGGAGGGCGGGAAAGAACAAATAAACTACTATAAGATTAAAAAGAAGAAAATATAAAGAGAGAGAAAAATAAAAGAGGCAGACACATGGAGCATTTAAAGAAGGCACTCCTTTTGAGAATTAGCCTATAAGGAAATCAAATCTATGCCTTGGGTGTAATTAGCTGCTTGTCTTAAGCAGATCAACAAATGTGCAGTCATGCTGTACAAATTAAACAGAAGGTGATATTATCATCGAATACTCTAGATGCAGAACTTGAGATAAAATTCAACAGTATGTATGTACAATATGCATACAAGATATTTTTCTTAATTAAAAAAAGTTCTCCAATTTTTTGAAAGTTTCCTTAGGAAAATTTGTTTAATGTAATAACTCATGAAAAGAAATTGATAGAATAAAAATCAATATGTCTAAATAAGATATCAAACATCTAAAGAGAATAACCTATCACAAGTATGAGGTGTTGCAATTTAAAAGACATCGTTTATCTAAATTTAGCCAAGTTCATTAAAAAAAATTTAGTTAAGGAATACATTTTAAAACATAATTGAAAATTAAAATATAATTTCTCCCAGAGTTTACTGAAAAAGAAACTATTCTTCACCAATATTAAAAAAATGAGTCTAGAATTGGGACAGCAACTTGGATATCATTTATAATAAGAGAAATTCTCTCCTTTGGTTGTTAAATAATTTAGTCAGTGAGCTGAATAGAATTGCTTATTTTTGCTTGTAATTAGGGCAAAGAGTCCTGGTCAGTGGCCTGAAAAGCAAACTATGATTTAAAGACTGTTAAGTTAACTTTTAACTCTAATAAAATGAAATAATATTCCTGAAACCATAAGAAAATCTTCTGGAGAGACACTGACTTTATATGAGATGGAGATTTATCTATTACACTGCTCTGTCAGTTTGTATCCACAGGCAAATTTACTGGAAACAGTGTTCGTTATCTCCTCTGAGCATAATAGTTCAGGTATGAGCAAAGCTGCTGGCTCTAGGCAGAACAGACAAGTGGTCCAACTTTGCCTGCCGTATTTCTTTCTGTGTTGTTCCCCAGAACTGATAATCATCTGTGTTTGTACAACTCATAGCACTCTTATTCTCTTTCTCTCTCTCTTACTTCTTTCTCTCTCTTTTTTTCGCCTCTCTCCATGATTTGCAAAAAAAAAAAATTGTTTTAAGACTATCACATATTTATCTCATCTGAATTACTCAGGGTTACCTAAAGTTTTAAGGCTGACTTCAGTGCAACATTTCTTTCATCTATTGGAGACCTAGAAATTGATCTTTCTTTCCCTCTTCTTTAACTTGATCACTATTTATTCTATTCCCAAGGGTTTCTGTTCTCTCAAGATTATAGGTTTGAATCTAAAAAATTTACAATTGTAACATATATTTTTCAAAGTTTTTATACTTTTATCCTTTGCATATAATGAGATACCTAACAAATACAGTTCCAGATGGTATAGTAGGCAACTCAGAAATGTATAATCTCATGTAAGTAATTTATACTTTAAGTAATGTCATCTAATTTAACCCACTTATGCCTAATGTTCCATTATTGAAATACTAAGCATGTGGAAGTTATTTATAGCCTACTGCTCAAGGTCATCGCCAAAATCTGATTTTTTCACTCATGCAAAAAATCAAAAAATTGCAACCTCAGGCATAAATGGCTTTTAAAGTGTTGCTGGTCTGTGTAGTTTTATATAAAAGAGTAAGTGAAGTGAGTGAGATGTAATTTAAAAAATGTAGAGTGCATTGGGCTTCCAGTAGTGGCAATTCATCTACTGAAAATAGCTCTGACAGCTAGGAGATTTTATATATCCAGTGAAGGCCCTGGAAAGCTAACAGTAGTGGAAAATTAAAGGACTGTGATGTAAGAGAAAGATATCTATCATTTTTAGTATTTGGGACCACATTGCCCCTAAGGCATTGCAGAAGAATATCTGTGAGGTCAACAAGAAGGAAAGGAATGTTGACTGTCTTTTAGGCCTAACAGAACAAAAGTTAGAGTTGAAGGCCATTTAGGGAGAAGGTGACCAAAAAATTCCCTAGTACTTTGGGCAGGGTCCCCATAGAAATACATTATAGAATTAAAAAAGAGACACAAGTAGAACTACCCTCAAGGACTGAAGCATAACTTTGCATTATTTTATTTCCTAAATTTAGATTCATGTGATCCAAGTGGCTAGTGTCTCTAGCCATCTGCTAGAAGTAAATATAAATTTTTTTCTGAAGAAAGATAAGAGTATACTTAGTCTCTAGTTATTTTTTCCCTAAATTTAAAATATGCAATGCCTATCACTGAAACAAAAATTATCAGGCATATGAGGATAAGGTATGTGACCAAAATCCAAGAAAACACACAAATCACAAATCATCAGGATCGTTAAAGGATTATCAGACAGACACTTTAAAATTAATGTGATTAATATGCTGATAGAAATAAAAGGAAATGTTAATAGCCTTGCCAGAGAATGGGAAACTATAAAGATTACTGAACTGAAAAATGTAATAATAATAAAATTTAAGATCTCAAGAGGTTTAACAGTTGTTAGATGCACGTGAAGAAGGAACTGGAAGATAGGTTATTAGAAAATATGAGGAATGAAGCATTAAGAGATAAAATGGTAAAACAAAACACAGTAAAGATTATAAGATGCCTAGGGTATATAATATTTTAGAATTCTACCATACATGTGATTGGAGTTCTAGAGTATGACCTCAGATGTGAAAGACAAGAAGAAAAAGGGCAAGGAGGAGGAGAGGAAGAGAAAAGAAAAGAAAGGAGGGAAGAAGAGGGGAGAGGAAAAGAGAAGAGAAAAAGAGAATAGAGGAAAGAGAATAGAAGGGAACAAAGCAGAATCAGTATTTGAAGAGATAATGGGTGAGAATGTTTTTAGAAGGATGAAAGATATCAAGCTATAGATTCAAAGTTTTACGAACCTGGAGCATGTAATAGAGTGTTTTGGCACCTGGGAGACAAAAAAAGGGGGGCAGATTACATATTGTGTGAGTTATTTATGGGCTCTACAAGTCATACTATTGTGTTTGAATAAGGATAATTCAGAAAGGAATCTGAACAAAATAATAATACAACTTCAGTAATAAACTCAGTTTATTATCCCATCTAACTCAACAACAGTACATGTATTATACAATTATTTCTTCTAATTTACAAATGAGAAATTAAGATTGAAACGTCTTGTTCTAGGTTACACAGTGAGTAATAGGTGCGACTGAGCTATGTTTACTTGATGTAAGAGCCAAACTCTTAACCATTATAATATCACAATCATGTTGACATCTATATTTCATTTTAGTTCAAAAAATTACAGTTGTCAAGGTCTATCATTTCAGAAATATTATCACTTATTCTCATAAATGCTGTAGTCCATTTCATATTCATTCACATATTTACTAACAACAAGTATTTATTTAGTACCCTCAATGGGCCATACATACACTTCCATAAGCATTAGAGTTACATCAGTGTCAACAACTGAGAAGAGTCTGAGATTTTTCCCTACTATTAAGTTAGCAAGTTTTCCTGCCGCGGTTTCATAGGCGCTGACAGAGAAAGCAAGACTTCTGGGGCAGAGGCAAAAGAAGTTATTACTCATGGCACAACGGACAATATGACCTTCATGTTGGTTCCAGTTTCAATTGCCTTTTAAGTCATACAGAGTGACACAGAATGACTTTGGAGGATGCTGTGCACACAGTAAGTTTGCATCACTGCTGAGGAACCCCAAGTTTAAGAAGATTGCACACCATTATGCAATTTTAAGAAGACTGCATACCATTATGAAAGATTAACCCTAATCTTTCATAATGGTATGCAAGTAAATACACCCAACTTTGGCCATGAAGGGATATATTATATTTATTTATTATACTGGGAAGGAAAGAAACTTGTCCTCTGTTTTGAAGGAAGGGACAATCTATGATTTCTTCCAAGAATGTTTGCTATGCACATATCCTTGAAAAGGGAGTAGAGAAGAAAAGGCTGTAGTGCCTCTACTTATAAGATGTACACAAATCAAAATGACTCATGGAGAACTGTTTCTCAATAGACAGATGGACAAACATTTCTTGTGAAGCTTACATTTTAAGGAAAAACACCCAGTAAATATAACACATTTTTTAAAAAGGTTTTTATTAGATTACAGGTAATCAATGCTAAGGAAAAAAAAAAACAGTGGATAAAGGAGATTGGGAGTATTTGAGAGTGTAGTTTAAATTTGGGTTGGTTAGGGTAGGCCAAGAAAAGAAGTAATATATGCAAATAATTACAAATAATTTCCCTGAATATTACATTTTTCACTCACTTTTATCCTAATTAATTTCATTGGGAGAAAGACGTATGTTTCACTTAAAATGAAACATATTTCTAATTTTGTTTATTGTGGTTTAAGTCTTCACATGAGAATGATAAGAATAGTGTAGAAGAGAAAGCCTCTGTAAACCATCATTTTTGATATTTAGTGATCATTAGAGATGATAGAAAAACAATATATATATGTGTGTATATATATATATATATATGCTGTAGTTCATTTCTTATTCATTCTCTAATTATTAACAACAAATATTTATTTAGTACCCTCATGGGTCATACATACACTCTCATAAGCATTAGAATTACATCAGTGTCAACAACTGGGAAGAGTCTGAGATTTTTCCCTACTATTAAGTTAATGAGTGGTCCTGCCATATAGAATATATATATATACAAACACACATATATATGTACACACATATACACACACACACACACACATATGTGTGTGTGTGTGTGTGTGTGTATCTCTCTCTCTCTCGAGTGGTCCTTCCATATATATGTGCACGTGTGTGTGTGTGTGTGTGTGTGTGTATACACATATATATGTATGTATCTGGAGTTTGATTAGCAGTTACATTCAAGTCTCCAAAATGTTGCTGTGGAAAAGCAATTTTGAATCCCTGAAGTGCTTTGGCTTATTCTATATAATCCCTTTGGTACCCATTTTATTGTAAATAAGAAACCAATTTTTCTCCAGAGAAGCAAACAAACGAGACCTCATCTCAAATTCCCAGAGGTTTAAGTTGACTTTGCAAGTCAATGCCCATGAGATGGAGGTGTTTGCAACCTGGGTAATGTATATTTTCCTCGCTTGTGATATATTTTCTGGTCATTAACCATGGTGCTCTCCCAACTCACAGTTAATTCATCCAAACTGGCTTGCATCCTCTGGGGCTAAAGTAGGAAGTTTGGGCCTACTTATGACTGCAGGAAATGCCATTTTGTGTATTTTGAGATAATAGAAAAACTGATGGTTTAGATATTATAAAATCCTACAGTCTCTTGAAAACAGTATACTTCACATAAGGTATGATGATAAAAAATACAACAAAGATTTTTTTACACAGATCCACCAAAGCAAGCTCAGAGACATAATATGATTATGGAAAATTTATACTGCCATGTAACTGGATATTGTAGAGAGAATATACATAAATATTTGAATTAGATTTAAAGGCAGTGAAATTTAATGCACTGTATATAATTTACTAAAATAATTTTTCTGCTGACTCAGCACTTGGAAGATTACTTGTTTGAAAGAGAGTGTAAGAAATAAAGTTCTGGATAAAAATGCTCTCTTTTTATCACCTATTCTACAAAATACAGTTATATTTATGGCTGGAAGTTTTACAAACTATAGATTTTGCAGCTGCTAACTCTTGAAATGATTGCCTAACATTACAGTATTTAGGAAGTGTAAATTAGGATTCAATGCTGTCAATAGTTGCAGTAATACTTTCTTACATATATAGACAATTTGATTTGCATTCATAAAAATAGAATGCAAATCATTCCCCACTTATCACATAGAAACATGAAAACATAGTTCTGTCTTCAAATCATGAACAGAAGCACATAATTGTCAATGTGCTTACTTGAATAAAGGTATGTAAAAATTTGCATTACAGCTTATTTAACTATTTTACTTTTTCTGAAGTTGGTTCTCATTAATTATATAGTATTCTGCCACACTAGATTGTGGGCATTAATGAACAAGTTTCAGAAAGTCATATTCACCTACTATTTAAAGAACATAGTTTTCTTATGTTCGAATGATATATTTTTGCAATATATCATATTTTAGAAAGCTCTATAATGCACTGGAATGTAGTTAGCATTCATATATATGAGAAATTGGAGGAGGATACATTGTTGGTGAAGCTATCACAAATTTAAGATGTTAAAAAAATTCTATTTTAATAATTATAATAATTTTTAAAAACTGCCCAACTACCAAAGTGGGGCGCTGATCTTTTTCTGGTCTAATAACCTGAGTAAAATATAAGAAAACAATACATCCAGGCATTGTACAATATCCAATAGAAGAATGTGACAACTGAAAGAAGGAGAACTCATGAGGTAAGCTGCAAAATCATCCTGGCTTTCTGTAGAAGATTCTCCAATGGCTGCAACATGCTAAAGTAAAATGAATGGGACTGATTTCTGTGCACTGCACCTGCTGAATGTAGCAAAATGATCATACAATTTTTTAACATTATTATGTTGAATTGCATTGATTTTTGGAAGTTAAACACTGTTTTGGAATATAAATCTAACATGAATATGATATATTATCCTTTTTAATATAGTTCTTTGATTTGCTAAGATGGTTAGAATTTACATCTATTTTATGAATGACACAATTTTTCTTTCTTATAATTTATTTTATGTTTTTGTATTAATGATAACCTCACAAAATAAGTTTGAAGTATTTTCTCTTTCTATATTCTCTAGAATATTTTCTGGTAGACTGATATATTTCTCCTAAAAAATTTGGAAAAATTTTGTGATGAAGAAGCTACCTGGGCCTGAAGATATCTTTTCTGGTAAGATTCAAATTACAAATTCAATTGCTATAATAGATACGTAGATTTTCTAATTCTTTTTGCATCATTTTTGATATGTTGGGTACTTTGAGACATTAATCAATTTCATCCAAAGAAAAATGTTTGTAAAAATATAAAAAGAAAGTACACTATATAATTTTCATGCATTAATACATATGATAAATTTTCATTTATAAATTGTTAGTGTATAAATGTGAGAAATTTTGAATATTTTTAGTTTTTTAATGTTTGTTACATATGATTTTCAAATGCATATTTATAACAATACCTGTTCTGTTACAGAGATGACTCATGTTGGGTCTTGATTTCAAAGGTTGATTTATATTCAAAGAAAATTTTCTTCATAGAAAGAATTTTTAATTACACTTTGGAAAACACTCTTGTTTCAGTCATAAAACAAATGATATTAGCTGTTGATAGAATGAGAGAGCATTTCAAGAAACATAATCTATAGAATTAGATAAATTATTAAAGGGTAGTTCCTAATTAGGCTTATAAACATCAATAATTAATAATTCCCCAAACTCATAACAAAAGTGCTTTATTCTTTTCAAAGAGTTTTCTTTTTATTTCCGTATTAGATGCTCACATCAACTCTCTGAGGTAACTTGGGAAAACATTACCCTCATTTATTGGGTGAGAAATGAATTCTTGGGGATGTGTGCAGTTTGTTTATTATATAAATACTATGAGAAGAAAGGTTCTCTGAATCCCAGGGCAGCTTCATCATCAGAGGGCTAGCGTGGAATTAATGTAAAATTCTAACATTTCACTGTGTGAACCATGCTTTTCTCCAGGTCCTTACAACGTATAATAGTTTATAAATCCAAGCTAACAAATGTGCTACAATTAAAGTAAACCAAATGAATCAAAATAAATAAAACAAAACAAACAACAACGAGAATACAACTATCATGACAGAAATCTCATTAGGAGAGAATCTGTGAATCATTTAGGGAGAAAAATGATGGAGTGCTCTGTATTGAAATAATACGCATCTCTACAGTCAACAGTTAAAATAGGAAAGAAGGAAGGGAGGGAGGGAGAAAAGAAGGGAGAAAGGTAAGGTGAAAGGAAAGGAAGGGAAGGGAGATGCTCAGAAAAGGAAAAACAAAAGGTATTTTCCAGTGGGGGAAAAAAAACAAATTTTTATTTGCTCTATTTCACTGAAGAATCTTGATTAATACAGGTGCTATTTTTTATTTTTATTAAAAAGTTATTTTTTCTTTTCTTTTATATATTATGGAGATCCATCCAGCCCTTCTGTTTGCTCAAAGGTGGATGTGGCTCATTATTGGCAGAACTGTGTCCACTTAGGCATTTCAGATCAAATACAATTCCTCGTCTTATAAACCTGAAGTTTGTAAGGTACCTATGATAGTTATGTTTTATGGAAAGATAGGTTGACATTCAGAATATGACTGGACAGCTCATGTAGGTCTACCTAGAGAGAGAAAATAGACTGATTATGAGGGGTGCAAATGTTGTTCCTGTGACAATTATAGTTCTCATAGTGAGTTAATCACTTGCCATTCTGAATTTATAAGTGTCTTCAGAGCTTGCTTCATGTGTAGATACCTCTGACATATTTATTAATGCCCCTTGATGTGCTGATGAATCAGTGTGCTGCACCAGGAAAACAAGGGACCAGATCTGAATCTTAATACATTAATCAATCAAAAAAGTGAGTTTAACCCCTAGAGGCCTCTTGGTAGTATTCTTGGGTGTATCAAACAGACTATGCGGATGAATAGTGTTTTTGAGGAATCAACATTCCTCTTTTTTTTTTCAAACATGAGAGCTCAGCATTTTTCTTTTCTTTTCAAATTTCTGCCCATAAATGTAGAATGCAAAGGAAAAGAGAAAGTTGAGGAAAACGGGTATTGCAACAGTACAGATAATTTAATTTTTAATTTGTTTAAAAGAAATTCAAATTAAATCATCTCTGATGGCTTATCTTTGATATAGCCTATAGTACAGTAACAAGCACTAGAACATAAGATGTTCACGGATTGTAATGTTAAATAACACAACATTGAATCCCTAAAGTCAAGCATAAAATCTGCATATGGTAGATGCTTAATAGAAATTGCTCACCAGATATTCATTATCATTAAATAACCCTCTTAATGAACTATTAATCATAATTATCTAATAAACTATTATTTAATGATAGTGAAGATGCCTGATTAATAAATACCTTAATTGATAAACTGATAATTGTATTAATTTTAAATTTAGTTTTAAATTGAAAAATGAAAATTTTATTTATCATCGATGTTGAACACAGTACAGTGCTGAAGAGACATGAAGAGACATACATATTAGGTAGGTTGTATGTACTCTTGCTCTTTCATAGTCCCTATTATTACTTTTTAATGTTTTCTTTTGGTTTAAGAGGGCTGACAAGTCACGTTTTTTCCTCCTCTGAATTTGTAATCAAACTGAGAATATAACAAGCATCTGTTAGGAATAAAAACAGTCAACGCTGGTGTTATGACTGGATTGAAAACCTTAGGAGAAGGAACAAAGCATGGTGGCTCTTTATTTTTCATCATATTGAATGTAAACTGTCTGTGATCTTCTCTGCTTCTGTTTCCAAATGGTAAATATTCTGGAGTCACAACTGACTTTTTACAAATTTAAAATACTTACTATGATTCAACATGCTTGGTGATTCTAGCAAAAGCTGTAATACAATAGATTAGATTATATCCTAGTAAAGTATACATTCCCAAAATTGATCCAAGAAAAGAGAAAAGCACACTAAAATAAATATACAAATGATTTTAGAAGAGATTGGAAAGGTGATGATTAAAGAGTGCATGTGTGTGTGTTTTGTATAAAGGCTCCAGGACAACATAATTTCATAAAAGAGGTTTATCTAATCTCTAAAAAAAAAAAAAAAAAAAAATTATCCTGAAACTTAAGTATTCCAACTAATCAGAAAAGGTAAAAGTTGACAGCCAGGCGCAGTGACTCATGCCTGTTATCCCAGCACTTTAAGAGGCCAAGGTGGGTGGATGACTTGACTTGAGGTCAGGAGTTCAAGACCAGCCTTGCCAACATGGTGATTCCCCGTCTCTACTAAAAATACAAAAATTAGCCGGGTGCGGTGGTGCACATCTGTAACTCCAGCTACTCAGGAGGCTGAGGCATGAGAATCACTTGAACCCAGGAGGCAGAGGTTGCAGTGAGCTGAAATCACACCACAGCACTCACTCCAGCCAGGGTGACAGAGTGACAGTCTGTCTCAAAAATAACTAACTAACTAACTAACTAAATAAATAAAAAGAAAAGAAAAATGATAAAAAAAGATAAAAGTTTTTTTTGTTTGTTTGTTTTAGGCAGTTACCTATTTCTAAATACTAAAACATGAATAAGATGGAGAAAGAAAACAGAGAAAGAATACCCATTGAAAAAATAGATGTGTAATTTTTAAATAAAACATTAGAAAATAGTACCTAGCAAAGTATAAAAAGGATAGAAATTATTCTAGGAATGTGTTAATTTTTCCATATCAGAAAATGTATTGCCATAATAGATTACATCATTAAGCTGAAGTGCAGAAAAGCCATACACTTTATCTTTCTGTCAGAGAGATTTTTTGTTTCCTTGTCTTGAGATTCCAACAATTGTACAAGGTATGCTAAAGTCTTTTAAAATAAGTGCTGTCTAGACCACAATTAAAGCTTCAATTTGACAGTATAACGTCTTGCTTAAGGTTAGAGAAATCTCTTTCTATAGTTTTTTGCAATATTACCTTTTTTTGGTATGTTGAGAGTTTTTTTACTCAATTTCTTTAAGCAACTAATTCAGTAATAGCCATTTACTCTAACTTATCATATAATTGTCTTTTAAAAATCTTAAAATCATGCATTTGTTAGTTTGTATTCAGTAGTTCAATCTCTTTAGTTGCAACTTTATTTTAGTAGGAAACATGCAATATGGAGAGACTAAAAGGAATCTCAAATTTGCAAACCTTGTACCTGAAAAAGACATATCAGAATACATAAAAACTTTCACAACTCAAGACAACAAACTATCTAATTTTTAAAATGGCAAATGATTGGAAAAATAAAGACCTCACTAAAGAAGATATATCAATGGAAAATACGCACATGAAAATGTGTTCAGCATTATTAGTCATCAGAAAATTCAATGGGGTTGTTTGTTTTTTCCTTATGAATTTGTTCAAGCTCCTTATAGATGTTGGATGTCAGAACTTTGTCAGATGCATATCTTGCAAATATTTTCTCCCATTCTATAGGTTGTCTGTTTGCTCTGTTGATAAGAGTTTCTGCACAGCAAAAGAAACTAAGTTAAATTGTGTTCCATTTGTCAATTTTTGCTTTTGTTGTATTGCTTTTGGCATCTTTATCATGAAATCTTTGCCAGTTTCTATGTCAACAATGGTATTATCTAGAAAATCTTTGCCAGTTTCTATGTCAACAATGGTATTATCTAGATTGTCTTTCAGAGTTTTTATAGTTTTTGGTTTTACATTTAAGTCTTTAATTCATCTTGAATTGATTTTTTTGTATATACTGTAAGGAAGGGGTCCGGTTTCAATCTTCTGCATATGCTAGCCAGTTATCCCAGCATCATTTATTTAATAGGGAGTCCTTTCCCCATTACTTGTTTTTATCAGCTTTGTCAGAGGTCAGATGGTTATAGGTGTGCAGCCTTATTTCTGAAATCTCTCTTTTTTTCCATGGGTCTATGTGCCTGTTTTTGCACCAGTATCATGCTGTTTGGGTTACTGTAAAGGACATCGAAACTTTTCAAAAGAAGATATACTTGCAGTATACAAGCATATGAAAAATAGTTCAATAACACTGATCGTTAGAGAAATGAGAAAACATCTCATACCAGTCCAAATGGCTATTAGTACAAAGTCAAAAAATAACATGCTGGCATAGATGCTTAGAAAAGGAAATGTGTATACACTGTTGGTGGGAATGCAAACTAGTTCAGTCATTGTGGACAGCAGTGTGGTGATTCCTCAAAGAGCTAAAAACAGAACTACCATTTGACCCAGCAATCTCATTACTTGGTATACACCCAAAGGTATATAAATTATTCCACTATAAAGACACATGTATGCATATGTTCATTGCAGCACTATTTACAATAGTAAAGACATGGAATCAACCTAAAAGCTTGTAAATGGCAGAATGGATAAAGAAAATGTGGTACACCAAGGAGGAGCTGGTACCATTCCTTCTGAAACTATTCCAATCAATAGAAAAAGAGGGAATCCTCCCTAACTCATTTTATGAGGTGAGCATCATCCTGATACCAAAGCCTGGCAGAGACACAACCAAAAAAGAGAATTTTAGACCAATATCCCTGATGAACATCGTTGCAACGATCCTCAATAAAATACTGGCAAAATGAATCCTGCAGCACATCAAAAAGCTTATCCACCATGATCAAGTGGGCTTCATCCCTGGGATCCAAGGCTGCTTCAACATATGAAAATCAATAAACGTAATCCAGCATATAAACAGAACCAAAGACAAAAACCACATGATTATCTCAATAGATGCAGAAAAGCCTTCGACAAAATTCATCAGCCCTTCGTGCTAAAAACTCTCAATAAATTAGGTATTGATGGGACGTATCTCAAAATAATAAGAGCTATTTATGACAAACCCACAGTCAATATCATACTGAATGGGCAAAAACTGGAAGCATTCCCCTCGAAAACTGGCACAAGATAGGGATGCCCTCTCTCACCACTCCTATTCAACATAGTGTTGGAAGTTCTGGCCAGGGCAATCAGGCAGCAGAAAGAAATAAAGGGTATTCAATTGGGAAAAGAGGAAGTCAAATTGTCCCTGTTTGCAGATGACATGATTGTACATCTAGAAGACCCCGTCGTCTCAGCCCAAAATCTCCTTAAACTGGAAAGCAACTTCAGCAAAGTCTCAGGATACGAAACCATTGTGCAAAAATCACAAGCATTCTTATACACCAATAACAGACAAACAGAGAGCCAAATCATGAGTGAACTCCCATTCACAATTGCTTCAAAGAGAATAAAATACCTAGGAATCCAACTTACAAGGGATGTAAAGGACCTCTTCAAGGAGAACGATCTTCAAGTAGAACTACGAACCACTGCTCAACGAAATAAAAGAGGACACAAACAAATGGAAGAACATTCCATGCTCATGGATAGGAAGAATCAATATCGTGAAAATGGCCATACTGCCCAAGGTAATTTGTAGATTCAATGCCATCCCCATCAAACTACCAATGACTTTCTTCAACAGAATTGGAAAAAACTACTTTAAAGTTCATATGGAACCAAAAAAGGGCCCACATTGCCAAGACAATCCTAAGCCAAAAGAACAAGGCTGGATGCATCATGCTACCTGATTTCAAACTATACTACCAGGCTATAGTAACCAAAACAGCATGGTACTGGTACCAAAACAGAGATATAGACGAATGGAACAGAACAGAGCCCTCAGAAATAATACCACACATTTACAACCATCTGATCTTTGACAAACCTGACAAAAACAAGCAATGGGGAAAGGATTCCCTATTTAATAAATGGTGCTGGGAAAACTGGCTAGCCATATGTAGAAAGCTGAAACTGGATCCCTTCCTTACACCTTATACAAAAATCAATTCAAGATGGATTAAAGACTTAAATGTTATACCTAAAACCATAAAAATCCTAGAAGAAAACCTAGACAATACCATTGAGGACATAGGCATGGGCAAGGACTTCATGTCTAAAACACCAAAAGCAATGGCAACAGAAGCCAAAACTGACTAATTAAACTAAAGAGCTTCTGCACAGCAAAAGAAACTACCATCAGAGTGAACAGGAAACCTACAGAATGGGAGAAAATTTTTGCAATCTACTCATCTGAAAAGGGCTAATATCCAGAATCTACAAAGAACACAAACAAATTTACAAGAAAAAAACAACCCCATAAAAAAGTAGGCAAAGGATATGGACACTTCTCAAAAGAAGACATTTATGCAGCCAACAGACACATGAAAAAATGCTCATCATCACTGGCCATCAGAGAAATGCAAATCAAAACCACAATGAGATACTATCTCACACCAGTTAGAATGGCGATCATTAAAAAGTCAGGAAACAACAGGTGCTGGAGAGGATGTGGAGAAATAGGAACACTTTTACACTGTTGGTGGGACTGTAAACTAGTTCAACCATTGTGGAAGACACTGTGGCAATTCCTCAAGGATATAGAACTTGAACTACCATTTGACCCAGCCATCCCATTATTGGGTATATAACCAGAGGATTATAAATCATGCTGCTATAAAGACACATGCACACATATATTTATTGCGGCACTATTCGCAATAGCAAAGACTTGGAACCAACCCAAATGTCCATCAGTGCTAGACTGGATTAAGAAAATGTGGCACATATACACCATGGGAATACTATGCAGCCATAAAAAAAGATGTGTTCATGTCCTTCGTAGGAACATGGATGAAGTTGGAAACCATCATTCTCAGCAAACTATTGCAAGGACAAAAAACCAAACACCACATGTTCTCACTCATAGGTGGGAATTGAACAATGGGAACACATGGACACAGGAAGGGGAACATCACACACCAGGGCCTGTCGTCGGGTGGGGGGAGGGATAGCATTAGGAGATATACCTAATGTAAATGTCGAGTTAATGGGTGCAGCACACCGACATGGCACATGTATACATATGTAACAAACATGCACGTTGTGCACATGTACCCTAGAACTTAAAGTATAATTTAAAAAAAAGAAAATGTGGTACACATACATGAAGGAATACTATGCAGCCATAAAAAATCCAGATTATGTCCTTTGCAGGAACGTGAATGAAACTGGAGGCCATTATTTTTAGCAAACGAATGCAGTAACACCAAACCAAATACTGCATGTTCTCATTAATAAGTATGAGCCAAATGGCTAAATGATGGGAACACATGGACACAAAGAGGGGAACAACAGACACTGAGGTCCACTTGAGCTTGGAGAGTGAAGAGGAGGGAGAAAATCAGAAAAAAAAAAAAACTATTGGGTACTAGGCCTAGTACCTTGGTGCCAAAATTATCTGTATAACGAACCCCAGGGACACGAGTCTCTCTATATAACCAAACTGCACATGTATCTCTGCACCTAAAATATGAGTTTACAAAAAAGAAAATTCAATTTAAAACCATAATGAAGTGCCATTACTATGAACCAATAGAACAACTAAAATGAAAAAGGATTAACCATACCAAGTGTTGGCAATGATGTGAAGTAATCAGAGCTCTCGTATACTGCTGGTGAAAAAGTAAAATGGCACAACTACTTTGAAAAACAGTTTGGCATTTAAAAAAATTTAAATAGCATATAGTAGTCATTCTGCTCCAAGGCATTTCAACTAGAAAAATAAATGAAAGCATATTTATTCTCACAAAAACATATACATAAACGTTCATAGCAACTTTATTCACAAATACCTAAAAGATGGAAACAAACCAACTGTCCATCAACTGGTGAAGGAATAAACAAACTAACTGTGGTATATTCATATGAAATAATACTCAACAATAAAAGACAATGAAGTATTAATACATGATCTTTAAAAACTTTGTTAAAATAGTGAAAATAACATTGCTGAGTCTCTAACCTATGTTAATGAGTGAAAGGAGTCAAGATGAGAAAATGGTACCTATTTTCTTATTTCATTTATATAAAATTATGGAAAACGCAATCTCATCTACAATGACAGAGAGCAAATCACTGTTTGGGGATAAGGGGAAGATGTCCAAAGAGATTATAAATGGGAATCAGGAAACATTAAGGAGTGACTGACATATTCATTATCTTTATTGTGGTCATAGTTTCATGAGTAAAATCAGTTTCTAAAACTATGTATTATATATACATATGTGTATATATATTTATTTTCTTATATAGCTTTCATTATTATTCTACCCCGTCTTACAGATACCTTCATATATATTCCTCTAGATGTTATACAGTATTAGCTTTTAACATTTCGGTCTATGATCCATTTTTAGTTAATATTTGTGTATGGTATAGGGTAAAAGTTATCAAGGTTCATTGTTGAATATGTATGTCCAAAAGTTCAGGTACTATTTGTTAAAAATAATAATATTTTCCATTGAAATACCTTTTTTTTCAAAAAACAATTAGTGTGTATGTGTCGATTTTAGCATGTTCTAATCTGTTTCATTGATCTTTCTGTCAATCTTTACAATAAAGCCAAATTGTCTTAACTATTATTTGCTTACGGTAAGACTTAAGATAGATAGTGTCTATTTCATTTTTCCTTTATTGTCGCACTTATTTTGCCTCTTCTAGGTCTTCTACATTTTTTTATGCTAAATTTTAGTATTAGTTTGTCAATTTTTGTAAAAGAGCCAGCTAAGGTCTGCATGAAAATGCAATTTAATCTACAGATTAATTTAGAATAACTGCCGTCTTAAAAATCTTATTAGATATGCTTCATAAACAAAATATATCTCCCCATTTACTTAGCTCTTTAATTTATCTTATCAATGTTCTGTTATTTTCAGCATGCTTATCAATTTTGTTAGATTTATCAAATATTTCATCAATTCAATTTTCTATTGTTCCCTGCAAGCATATTATGGAAATACAGTGAATTTATATATATTCACCCTGAATCTTGTAACCTTAGTAAATGTTATAATTAATTATAGTAATTCATGTGTAAGTTATTTGGGGTTATATTTAAGCAATCATGTAATAATTAGAAATTACTACAGGTAAATCAAAATAGATTTTTTAGGTTGATTCCATGTCTTTACTATTGTGAATAGTGTTGCAATGAACATACATGTGCATGTGTCTTTATGACAGATGATTTATATTTCTTTAGGTGTATACTCAGTAATGAGATTGCTGGGTCAAAGAGTATTTCTGTGTTTAGATCTGAGGAATTGTCATACTGTCCTCAACAATGGTTGTACTAATTGGATGGAGCTGGAGGCCATTATCCTTAGCAAAGTAACAAAGGAACAGAAAACCAAATACTGCATGTTCTCACTTATAAGTGGGAGCTAAATGATGAGAACACATGGACACAAAGAGAGGAACAACACACACTGGGGTCTATGGAAGGGTGGAGAGTCTGGGGGGAGGGAGAGGATCAGCAAAATTAGTGGGTGCTAGGCTTAATACCTGGGTGATGAAATAATCTGCATAACAAACTCCCATGACACAAGTTTACCTATGTAACAAACCTTCCAATGAAGCCTGAACCTAAAATAAAAGTTATAAAAAGAAATTTATCTTTTATCTTTCCTTTGCCCTTTAAAATTTCCTTTCTGGACATTGTGCTTACTCAGATCCTGATACAATACTGTACAATAGTGGTAAGAGAGGGAGCTATGGACAGAATATTTGTGTTTTCCCAAATTCCTATGTTGATGCCTAATCTACAATGTGATGATATTTTCAGGTGGGGCCTTTGGGAAGTTATTAAGATATGATGGTAGCGACTTTATGAATGAATGGGACTAAGCCCTTATTACAAAAGATAGAGTTTGCGTTCTCTCTCTCTCTCTCCTCCCCACCCCCCCTGCCATGTGCGAATACAAACAGAAGATGGCCATCTACAAAGTACACAGAGGATACCCACCTGTCACCGGATCTGCCAGCACCTTGATTGTGGACTTTCTTGTCTCCAGAATCGTGAGACTTGTTTCTGATCTGCGTGGGAAAGAATTCAGTATTTCTCCATTTAATATGACATTAGCTATAGATTTTTTATATGATATTAGCTATAGATTTTTTATAGATGCCTTGCATTAAAGTGAAGAAGCTTCATTTTCTTCCTAATATTCTGATTTTTTTATCATAGATATGTTTTATCTAATTTATTGAAAAAATAATTTCAAAAATGTGTGGCCAGGCACGATGGCTCACACCTGTAATCCCAGCACTTTGGGAGGCCGAGGTGGGTGGATCACGAGGTCAGGAGATCGAGACCATCCTGGCTAACATGGTGAAACCCTGTCTCTACTAAAAATACAAAAACTAGCCGGGCGTGGTGGCAGGCACCTGTAGTCCCAGCTACTCAGGAGGATGAGTCGGGAGGATGAGGCAGGAGAATGGCGTGAACCCAGGAGGCAGAGTTGCTGTAAGCCTAGATTGCAACACTGCACTCCGGCCTGGGCAACAGTGCCAGACTCCGTCTAAAATAAAATAAAATGTGTTTATATATGTACACAGGTAATCAAGTATCTTTATGTCTATATGTGTAGTATCCATACATATTTAAATAACTGCATCGTTATGGGAATTTATCAATAAGTCAGCCAGAACAAGTTTTGGAAAAAAGTATTGTAGTCTCCAAGAAGGGACTGAAAATCGAAAGTCAACCTAGTTTTCTGGTCACAAAGTCTCCTCTCTAACCCATACTCACAACTGCACAAAGGCAATGCTCTAATATTAAAGGGGAAATAAAAATAATTTAGATATCCATTTCAAATTTCAAATGCATGCATTTAAATGAAAGAGCATAATCCTAGAAAAATTTACATCACCAATGTGTCAGTAATATGAATAAATCCCATTTTGTAAGCATTAATAGAAATATAACACTAAAGAAATACATGTCTCTAATTACTTATTCAGTATATTAATCCAAAGTCAAGACTTACAAGATCCACAAACCTAAGTAAAGTAGACAACAAATGGTGAACATCGGTATTAGTTTTTGGAACAGAGTTCTACTTAGATCCCTGGGTAACATAACATGTTCTAAAATTACTTGCAGAACATATCATTAAAACAATGTCAGGCCTTTTTTTTTTTTTAACGTAGAACAAGTAAGTTTTTATTTTACTTTTTTCAGTTTATTTCAAAGCTGGTTTATTTCATTAAATCCAGCTCCTTATGCACAAAAATGTCTTTGAAGAGTGGAGTCAATGCTCAATGAAAAAAAAAATCATTTTAAAGGCCTCCAAGGGAAGCTATTCTGTAATTTCCTTTGATAAACCATCATAGTATATAATAATCCTCATGACTGGAAAATTTACGTTTCTATTTTACATAAAATTCATATTCCACAGTTTTAGCCTGAATTTTTCTCTTCTGTCCTTTCAGACAATAGAACACATATTTTTAATTTATTTGTATATGGGGACCCTTGATATTCTGAAAAAAAAATAAATTTATATCTTTCTTTCAATACATATATTCATTTTTTTTTTTTTTTGACCTCGGAAGAGGAAAGGGTCCAAGGCTTACTGGAAGGCAGTACATGGGAAGAGAGTGGGTGAGCTCAGCAACATATTTGGTCTTTGTCCTGTGGCATCTTTGCCTTAATTCTCATTATTATAGTTGGATCTTATTCTCAGGCCAGGCACTTGTATCTGCCTCAGAATAATTACTGAGCTTTGAGGGCATTTTTTGCAGTGTCTATGCTACCGCCAACTCCCTCTACTTTCATCAGCAAAATGTAAGGCTTTGCAGACAATGCAATATGTGAAAAGAAATAACACATATCATCAGAACCAACACTAGTCAAGGGTAAAACTTTAAGGAAACACATTCCTTTAAGGAAACAGAAACACACACACACACACACACATGCACGTGCACACACATACACGCGTGCGTGCACACACACACCATGTTCCTTATGAGGACAGTCTCTCTATATATCCTATTTACTACTTTGTATTTTTCGGGACATTTCTTTATGCATATACATCTTTCACTCTCATACTTAAAATATAAAAAATAAGTAAGTTTTTAAAAATCCAATTAACTTTTTCAACTATGACTTTTTCAAACCTTTGCCTTTGCATACTTTGTCCCTAGCACTTTAACACTATTTGAATATTTTATAAATCAGGAACTTTCCAGTATATAATGAAAAGCTACAAACCTACACAGTTCCTCCATTTTCATTTAACAAATAATTATTGAGAATATGCTAGCTTTTGGGAAAACACTGGTGAGAAAATATAGTACCTCACTCTGTTTTGTTCTCATTTGGAGTCATTGGACTTTCTGCAATTTACTTGCCTTGTCCTATGCTCCAATACTGGAATTTTCCTACAAATTGACCCTGGATGTCCCCACCAACCCCCACCCAACCCCTGACTTTTGGTATTGTGTTGTCTCTGGAAAAAAGCCTACACTCCAATTCTGTCCCCATGGTCAACATCCCACCTTAATCAGATTTTATTTTTCCCAGCACATATCCAATAGTCCTCTTAAAATGGTCCTCCTTATGCATAAACACATACAAACTGACACTAACAAACAAAGCCACAGGGCCTATTTAGAGAGCCTAGATAACTGACAATTCTACATGTTGTAACTTCTAACTTTCCTCTCCTCATTCTACTAATCATCTTGTCTTCTGTCACTTACCTCCACCTCCTTTCTTTGCTTTCATCATAGATTCTCTCTCTCTCTCTCTCTCTCTCTCTCTCTCTCTCTCTCTCTATATATATATATATATATATATATATATATGAGTGTGTACGTGAACATCTAAGTAGGAATTTATTTTATTGCCTTTATATTATTAATCTGAAAATATCTTGGCTCTTGACTTCACAATCTGAAAGCCATAACATTTCTGCAATTTACTTTTATTGCTTAACTTTGTCTTTGTTGTTATATGTTTAGTATTTTATATTCACTCAGAGACCATGGCAATGGGTGCACTTTTATAAAGCTAAAAATTAAATGAATAAATTATAAATGAATATCGTTTCCTGTACACAAGCCCAGAGACTGAGGAAATGGCTACATTTTCAAAACCAGAATATAAATAATCATTTTTAAATCTGGGTGCAGAGTACATTTATGTAAATTACGTTCATTATTTCACTTTACAATTTTAAAATGTCATCTTCTGTATCTAAAGAAGGCATCAGGACTGTTACCCCAAAACCAGAGGTAAAAATGGCCCATGTTTCCATTACTCATTCTTATTATCATACTTTCTCAGAAATGGATTTGTAGTGTCACTTTCTCTGGTTGTTATATCTTTGCCAAGAAAAGGAGATGTAAGAATTCTAATGTTTGATACCCAACATGAAGACAGGTAGGATCACCTCTTGATTGGGCTATAACCTTACTGTGGAAGTTCTCACTTGAGAGATCCCAGCAAAGACTACTATGTGGGATTCAGTAACCAAACAGCCTCCCTTAAAGCACTGTGGCCTGCTTCTCTCACCAAAACACTAGCAAAATTAGGTTTTACTGTAGAGACAAAGATTGCAATGTGATGTGGCACAACATAAATACATCCTTGTAAGAATGATGGCAAGGAGAATTGCAAACAGTCAAGAAATCTTCCCAATTTTTGTTATCACCTGATGATGGCACCTTAAGAGTCTCCTCCAAAGCTCTTCTTCCCTCTGCAAAATAGTTATAGATTTTTTTTCATTCTCCATTCATTCTTGCTTACAAAACTGAGAGCTGTAATTCTTACAGCCTTCATTCTCCCCATTTTTACTGGAGTTATATGTTCATAGGAGACATCTTTCTGAGATGGTACTGAATAACAAGGTGAAAATAACTAATAAACATTATATAGAGTGAACATCAATCATGTCATTAAGAGCAAAAAAGTGTTTAGAAATATGTTTCTTTGTCTTTTCTATTTCACGTAATACTGATGCTTTGGGTAGTGGGGGGGAAACACTCCCCAAGGTTTTTTGCTGCATCTATCTTATAAATGATTCCCTTTGATCAAAATCTAGTGCAAGCTCACCTTTTTTAGAGTCATAGAGGCAATGATTTCATATCACAGTATTTTGACTCTTGACAGCTCAGTGGGAGTAAGGAAAATGAGGAGGGGGATTATGTAAAGGAGAGGAAAATGTTGGGGAGAGGAATTCAAAGTCAGGACAAAGATGACAGGCAAAGCATGAGAGCAGCTGTACAAAATGTTACTTGCTCTCTTCTAGAGATTGGTGTGCTGGAGTGAATGACAACTACTAATTAAAATGGTGGCTTATTATCATGTAAGAAGTGACACAATTTGTCTAAGACCTGGTGTAAAAGATGAATCACTTTTATTTGTAGAAAATTCTAATTTAAAAATATGCATTTTTAGATGAACATCTGTGGTGTTTTTGACAGGAGACATGTGATAATTAAAACCTTTTTTATTTTCTGACTGAAATGTTCATATTATATTTTTGCTGTGTGCCAATTTTTATATTTCTATAAATAAGAACAAAGCAAGTTTTCTAGAACAACTAGAAGTTTATACGATTTATAATTTTTAAGTCCAAGTGTCAAAATTAGATACCTAAATCATGATTATAAGTTTGTATATTGCCAAAAAATATATTGGATATTAACTTTCCAACTTAATGATCTCTTTTTTTTAAATGGATTTCTATTAAAGCAGATGAATTGGTCTTTTGCAGGACAAATGTACGTTACTGTTCTCAAAACACTTACTGCCTGGTGCTTTTTTTTTTAACTTTTTGAGAGCTTAAAAAAGATAGCCTTGGATTTGCTCTACTTTATACATATCTTTCACAGTTAAGAGAATAATTCTCAAATTATACACATGCGGCAAGTAATTTTATTATTCCAAGTAAAATATGTATCTCTCTGATACCAAACAGTTGTTTATGATTTTCAGAATTTGTCAGGATAAGTTAAAGCATGCCATAAATGGACAAGAAAATGCCTCAATCAGATAAACAATAATACTAAATAAGCAGATGTTAATATAAAAAATAAAGGAATAACTTATTTTATTGCACTTCACTTTTTGGCCCTCTGCAGATGTTGTGTGTGTATGTGTGTATGTGTGTTTAACAAATTGAAGGTTCATGGCAATTCTGCATCAAGCAAGTATATTGACACCATTTTTCCAACAGCATGTGCTCACTTCATTTCTCTGTGCCACATTTTGGTGATTACTTCTAACATTTTCATTACTATTATGTCTGTTACAGTGATCTGTAATCAATGATCATCAATGTCACTATTGTAATGGTTACAAACTTAGCCCATATGAGATGGGAAACTTAATTGGCAAATGTGTGTATTCTGACTGCTCCACAGACCAGCTGTTACTGCATTTCTCTCCCTCTCCACATGTCTTTCTATTCCCTGAGACAAAACAATATTGAAATTAGTCCAATAATAACCCTTCAATGGCCTTTAAGTGTTCAAGTGAAATGAAGAGTCACACATCTCTCACTTTAAATCAAAAGCTGGAAATGATAAAGCTTACTGAAGAGGGCATGTGGAAAGCTGAGGTAAGCTGAAAGAGAGGCCTAATAGACAAGTTGTGAAAGTTAAAAAAAAAGTTCTTGAAGAAAATTAAAAATGTTACTTCAGTGAACACGCAAATGAGAAGAAAGCAAAATGGCCTCACTGCTGCTATGGAGAAAGTTTCAGTCATCTGGATAGAACAGATCAACCACAATATCCCCATAAGCCAAAGCCTTATCCATAGCAAGTCTCTAGTTCTTCAGTTCTATGAAGGCTGAGAGAAGTGAGGAAGCTGCAGCAGAAAAGTTTGAAGCTAACAGAGGTTGGTTCATTTGGTTGAAGGAAAGAAGCTTTTTCTGTAATACAAAAGTGTAAGGTGAAGTAGCAAGTGCTGATGGAAAAGCTGTAGTAAGGTATCTAGAGCTAAGATAAATGATGAAGGTGGCTACACTTTCCAACTGATTTTCAATGTAGACAAAACAGACTTATATTTGAATAAGATACCATCTAAGATTGTAGCTAAAGAGGACAAGTCAGTGCTTGGCTTCAAAGTTCCAAAGGACAAGCTGACTATTTTTAGGGGATAATGCAATTGGTGACTTTAAGTTGAACCCAATCCTTACTATTCTGAAAATCCTAGGGCCGTTAAGAGTCATAATAAACTATCTCTGCCTGTTCTCAATGGAACAGCAAAACCTAGATGGTAACTTGTATGCTTACAAAATGATTTACTGAACATTTTAAACCCACTGCTGAGGCCTGTTCCCCAGAAACTAGAAAAAATTCCTTTCAAAAGATTACTGCTTATTGATAATCATGTGCTCATCCAAAAGCTCTGATAGGGATATACACAAGGTACGTTTTCATCCCTGCTAATAAAACATTAAATCTGCAACACAAGGATCAAGGAGTAATTTAAGCTTTCAAATTCATTATCCAAGAAATAATTTTTGATATAATTCCTCCGATGGACCTGGGCAGAGTAAATTGAATACCCTCTGGAAATACTTCATTATTCTAGATGGCATTAAGAATGTTTATGATTCAAAGGAGAAGGTCAAAATATCAACATTAATGGAAGTGTAAGTGAAGTGAATTCCAACTCTCAGGGATGCCTTTGAGCGATTGAAGACTTCAGTGGGGAAAGTAATTGCAGATGTAATAGAAATTGCAAGAGAACAATTAGATGCGGAACTTGAGGATGGAACTGAACATCTATAATTTCATGATAAAACTTCAACAGATGTGGAGTTTGTTTTTATGAATGAACACAGAACATAGTTGCTTGAAATGGAAACTACTTCTGGTAAAGATGCTATGAACACTGTTGAAATGACAACATATTTAGAATATCACATACACTTGGTTGAAAAAGCAGCAGCAGGGTTTGAAAGGATTGACTCCAATTTCAAAAGAAGTTTTACTGTGAAATTCTACCAGATAGCATTGTATGCTTTGGAGAAATATGCATGAAGGAAAGAGTCAATCAATGCAACAAACTTAATTGTTTTCCTATTTTCAGAAATTGCCACAACCATTCTAACCTTCAGCAACCACCACCCTGATCAGTCAGCAGCCATCAATATCGAGGCAAGACTCTTACAGCAAAAAGTCTATGACTCTCTGAAGGCTTAGCTGGTTTTTAGCATTTTTAGCAATAAAATAAAGGTATGTACATTGTTTTTTAGATGTATTGCAATTGGAATTATTTTATATGCACTAGAAAACCAGAAATAAAAAATATGTGACTTACTTTATTGTGACATTTGCTTTATCGCAGTGGTCTAGAATAAACTTGCACTATCTGCAAAGCATGCCTGCATGTGTATTAAATGAAAACAGCACAGTTTAGCTTGGTATTTTATTTTGTCTTAAGTTCTTTTTCCAAGCCATATCTTTAGGCCTCTACTTCTATTCTCAAAGCAGTTTATTTCGATCTTCCCTTTCTAAGAAGTTTGTTGCTTCCTCATTTTTGTTGTCTTTGCTGTTATTTCTACACATATTTTAACCACACTGTCAAGACTGAGCACATTATGTGTGTTAGGGGTATGAGGAGGGAGTCAGTGAAATTAATGCATGCAGGAAAGATGTCGGAAGAACAAATCCAATAGAGATCTAAGGCAAGTGGCATAGGAAATACTGCCAGCAGACAAGAAGGTAGAATATAAAAACTAATATTTAAGATGTTTCCATTTACTTCCAGGAACTGTACTAGCTGTTTGACAGAAAGTATCTCATTAAATCCTCAATAAAACAGTGTAATATATTCATTATAATTTCTGTTGTAAAGATAAAATTTTTAGCTCAGAGAAGTATTCTATTTTTTACAATCACAAAGGCTATATAGAAATTACAGCTTTAATTCAGATTATATAGATTTCAAATACATGTGTCCCTTTCCATAATACACTGACTTCTAAGTAAAAAGAATAAATAAAATAAAGTTTTGATGTTTTAAAACTTCTTCTTCAATATGTATCCTTGTCTAATAGCTGGAATGCATCCTGTGACTTTGACTGGCAAAGGAAAAGGATATACCAGAACTTACTTTTTAAATATAAATTAAATATTAATACTTGAACTCCTTTCTCACACCATATATGATAATTGACTCAGAATAAATCAAAGACTTAAATGCAAGAGTTAAAACTAAAAAACAAAAAATAATCTCAGAAGAAAGCATGGAGAAAAATTTTCACAATCACATTTGATGGTGGTTTCTTAGATGAGATACCAAAGGTATAAGCAACAAAGAAAGAATAGCTAAAATGAACTACAATAAAATTAACAGTTTTTGTGCTTCGAATGATACCATTAAAAAAGTGAAAAATAAAGAGAAAATATTTGCAAATCATATATCTATTATATGACTTCTGTGTAGAATACAAAAACAACTATTACAACTCAATAATACAAAGACAACCTAAGTAAAAATTGACCTGGCTAGACATTTCCTCAAAAAGAATATACAAATGGACAATAAGCACATAGAAAGATGCTCAAAATCATTATCATCAGAGAAATGCAAATCAAAAGTTCAGCAAGATACCACCTCATACCCACTAGGATAACTGTAATAAAATATCAGATAATAACAAGTGTTAATGAAGATGTGGTAAAATAAGAATCTTCTTTCATAGCTAGAGAGAATGTAAAATGGTGCAGCCACCTTGGAAAACAGCCTGAAAGTTGCTCAAAAAGTTAAGCATCAAGTTACTATTGGACCCAGCAACTCTACTCCTAAGTAGATTCTGAAGAAAAAAATGAATGTAATTGTTTATGTAAAAACATGTACACAAATATTCATAGCACTTTTATTCATAAAAGACAAAAGGCAGAAACAACTCAAATTTCCATCAACTGATGAATGAATTTTTAAAATGTGACAAAGACACATCAGACAAAGAAAACTACAGGCTAATATCCCTGATTAACATGGACACAAAAATCCTCAACAAAATACTAGCAAGCCAAATTAAGCAACACATTACAAAGAACATTTGTATGACCAAGTGGGATTTATTCCTGGTATCCATGGATGGTTCAATATATGCAAATCAAACAATGTGACACATCATATGAACAGAATGAAGGACAAAAATCATATCATTTCATCTGATGCTGAAAAAGCATTTGAAAACATTTCAACATCCTTGCATGATAAAAGCCCTTAAAACACTGGGTATAGGAAGAACATAACGCAATAAAAGCCATGTGTGACAGAGCCACAGCTAGTATCATACGGAATGAGGAAAACCTGAAAGCCTTTCTTCTGAAATCTGGAACATGACAAGGATGTCCACTTCCAACACTGTTATTCAACATAGTACTGGAAGTCCTTGCTAGAGCAATCAGACGAAAGAAATAAAGGGCATCCAACTTGGAAGAGAAGAAGTCAAATTATCTTTGTTTGCAGATGGTATGATGTTATATTTGGAAAAGCCTCTTGTCTAAAAGGCAATAAGAAATTCTGGCAACGATGTTGAGAAAAAGGAATCCTCATACACTATTGGTGGGAATGTAAATTAGTACAACCACTGTATAGAACAGTTTGAATGTTCTTCAAAAACTAAAAGTAGAATCACCATCTGATTTAGCAGTCCCACTGCTATGTACATACCAAAAGGAAAGAAATTCAGTATATCAAAAATATATCTGCACTCTCATGTTTATTGAAACACTATTCACAATAGCAAAGATTGAGCAGTAACCTAAGTATCAATCAACATATAAATGCATAGAGAAATATGGCTATTCAGCCATAAAAGAATGAGATCCTTTCATCTGCAACAACATGGATAGAAATGGAAGTCATTATGTTAAGTGAAATAAGCCAGGCACAGAAAGACAAATATCACATGTTCTCACTTATTTGTGAGAGCTAAAAGTTAAAACAGTTGAACTCATGGAGATAGAGATTAGAGGGATGGTTGTAAGAGGATGGGAAGTGTAATGGTGGAATGTGGTTAATGGGTACAAAAATGAATAGAATGAATAAAACCTAGTATTTGGTAGCACAACAGGGTGACTATAGTCAACAATAATTGTACATTTAAAAATAAATAACTAAATAATTATAATTGGATTGTTTCTCACACAAAGAATATGTATAAATACTTGAGGTGATGGATATCCCATTTACAGTGATGTGATTATTATAGATTGTATGCCTGTGACAAAATATCTTATGTACCTCATAAATATATACACCTACTATGTACCTACAAAAATTAAAAAATGAACACATATCTACAATGACCTATTATTCAGACATAAATAAGAATGAAGTACTGATACATGCTGCAATGCAGATGAACCTTCAAAACATCATGCTAAATGAAAGAAGCCAGTCACAAAATATTGCATATTATATTATTCTATTGATATGAAATGTCCAGGACAGGAAAATCTATAGGGACAGAAAGTATATGAGTGGTTGCCTAGGGCTGGGGGAAAGGGGGACTTTGGGGAGTGATAGATAAAGAGTACAGGGTTTCCATTTGGGGATGATAAAAATGTTGTAAAATTGATTATGGTAATGATTTCACTGTTCTTGCTCTTTTAAGTGCATTTTGTTGTAATAAGCGATTTGAATTATTGAAATAAAATGCAGGCTTTGAAATCATGCCAGCCTATATTTGCAGTCTGTAAATAACACCTTCTAGCATAAAGGGAATGGATTTAAAGTCAAAAGTCAAATCTATTAGAAGTGACCTCAGAAGACATAGAAAAAGTAAACTCGTGTATAGACAGTATCAAAATAAATAAAAAAGCGGGGAAAAAATTCCTAAAGCCATGTTAAAATTTAAACCCCTAGCATTAAACAAACAAAAATAAAAATAATGCCCTTTCCTATGAATCTGGATCTAGTCTTAGACTCTTTCAAAGAGAGCATCTCAGGAAACTAGCTTAAGATAATTAAGGATGAAGAACATGATGCAATACCTTTTGCCTATTAAACCTTGGGTAATTCAAGACTTTTAAGTTCAGTTCATACTATATGCCAGGCCTGAGGGTAAAATGAGTGATACATTATTCATGCCCTAAAGAAGCTCAGAGTAGAGCTCTGGGAGTGTGTGTGTGTAATACACACACACAATACACATACACACTAATTTTAACAGTATGTTCCATGTGGGAGCAGATCCATTACCTCTAGTATGATTCACTTCATCTAGTGGGCATGGGGTAGAGTGGAGTGGCTAATACAAAGGTCATCTAAGGGATATCATTTAAGACAGATTTTTAAAGATATGTAGGAGTTCACTAGATAGACAAGGTTTCAAAACAAAATTCTAGCTCGAGTAAACCAAATTCACATATTAATATGTGCTTTAAGAAAATAATGACAAGGTAACTTTAAATTGTTAATGAGAAAAAAATGCACAAAATAAGTTTAAGTGAGCATCAAAAGAAATAAGGTGAATAAGTAGTTATGAACCAAGTTTTAAAGAACTCTAAAACATTCTAGAATAGAAAGTATGAACCTTATTCTATTTCAGTGATTAAAAATTATTAAGATGTTTTAAATTAAGTACTGGTATGATTGGATTTGAATTCTAAAGTAGTTTTAAAGTTCTACCTATCAGATTATCAGTAAAACAAGTGAAATAATAAAAACCCTTTTATTGGAACCCACTATAAACCAGGCACTACGTGAGTCACTCTAAATGGATTACTGCTAATCTCCCCAATGACTCTACATCAGGTGATGAAATATGTTCAGACCAACAGAAGTACTTCTCCCAAGATCCTAGAGATAATAATGACAAGATTCAAGCCTTAGACAACTGAAATCTAGGATCTGCCCACTATGTCTCTCTGCATCTGGAGAACACTCTAATACACTGCAGGATGCTTTAAGGAGTGTTTGTGATCTGAAAGTAGGCAGACATATTAGGTGGAAAATATTTTTAGGATTACACCAAGTGAGTGCTTTTACTACATTCACCTATATAAGAAAACTTTTTTTTCTCTTTTTCTAATTTGAACCAAAGCTCTCTGCAGTTTAGCAAACTATAATGACCTCAATATGAGCTTACAGTTCAGTGGAAAAGCTCCAGTCCTAGAGTGGAGGATGATTTGGATAACACTTCTAGACAAAAACCCAGAGACTTGAAACAAGATTTCTGGGCTAGTTTTCATGGTATATAATTGGCAAAGAGGAAGTGGCAAGAAGGCTCCATTATCAGAATTTAAGAACATAGAAACAGTGAGAGATGTAAAAATATGATCATCATATAAGAAAAAGAATAAGAGATCCAGAGCCAGATTGCTTTGGTTCAAATCCAGATTCTATTATCTTATACTGTAATAAACTCTGGTGTGATAACATCTCTGTTCCTAACTTTTCTCATCTATATGTGGATATATTAGTGGCCTATCATTCAAAATGCTGTTATGGTACAAACATGACAATACATGATAAAGTGCTGAGCAAAATATGTGGCACAGAGAAAGGACCCTTCTGTTTTTGGCTATCTCTCGTGTGTTTGTCTGTGTGGGCATACATATATAAAGTCATCCCCCAGAATTCGTACGGGCTTAGTTCCAGGATTTCCACAGACACCAGAATCCATAGTTACCAAATTTTGTGTATGCTCAAGTCCCTGAAATAAAATGATGAAATAATATAGCATCGACATATAATTCGCACACATCCTCCTGTATAGTTTAAATTGTCTCTAGATTACTTATAATACCTAATGCAATGTAAATAAAATGCAAACAGTTGTTCTAACATATTTTATTTGTATAATTTCTATTTTTGTACCATTATTTGTTGTATGTTTTTATAAAATGTTTTTAATCTGTGCTTGGTTGACTCTGTGGATGCAGAACCTGCAGATACAGAAGGCTGAGTATATACACATAAGTAATGAATTTGAGCCAGCCATTTAACTTCTGTAATCTTTGTTTTTAATATTTCTAAAATTAGGACAATAATATATTTTCTCTCTCCAAAGGGTATTATAAAAATCAAAATGAGGCCTGGCATGGTAGCTCATGCCTGTAATCCCAGCGTTTTGGGAGGCTGAGACGGGCAGATCACCTGAGGTCAGGAGTTCGAGACCAGCCTGGGCAACGTGGTGAAACCCATCTTTACCAAAAATACAAAAATTTGCCAGGCATGGTGGTGTGCACCTGTAATCCCAGCTACCCAGGAGGCTGAGGCAGGATAATCGATGGAACCTGGGAGGCTGAGACTGCAGTGAGCCAAGATCGCGCCACTGTACTCCAGCCTGGGTGACAAACCGAGTCTCCATCTCAAAAAAAAAAAAAACAAACAAAAAAAAAAAACCCTCAAAATTAAACACTGTTAAATTGTTAAGCTCTAAAGGACAAAACATGAAATTACTAGTATAGAAGCAGAATGGGTGACAATATCAGTAGTAGAAACTTAACAATAATAAAATATAGGAATAAGCAACACATGTTGTTATCTTACAGTAAGAATACATCAATATTCTCCTCAGATTTTTAGGCCATTCAGGCAAGATCTCAATATTCAAGTATGACTTCAAATAATAGAAAACGCAGCATAGTATTGCACATTGAAAGAGAAGTAAGACAAAGGTAGGAGGTTGGAAAGTCATTGGCTGTGTCCGAGAGAGGTAATAGATTAGTGAGATAGCAGACTATTGTATACAGAGTGATACAATTAAAGATGAATTTACAAAGATAACTTGGAGCCAGATTATGAAAGACCTAAAATTGTATGTTAACAAGCCCACTGGAATCAGCTTAGATCGTGTTTCTTATTTTTCAAAATATTGTGTGGATACAATTTACCAGCAACAAGCTAGCCTAGGAACTGATTTCCACTTCCTGTCACCTACCTCATTGATTTGTTATAAATATTGTGAGGAATGACAAGTAAAGAACCAATTGCATTACTGGAACTCAATAAATAAAATATATAATTATAGAGCAAGTAGGAGGTCACTTTAAAATATACAAGATAAAGAAGTCCTTCTGTAGATCATAAACATGGAAACTATCTCAAAGTATTATGCAGATTATGCATTAAGTACATTGCTTAACATATCAGAGCTTTAAATTTTATATTTTTACAAAAATTAATTAAAAATATTCTTATCCCAGTGAGAATTAAATACTGTATATAAAAGCATCTTGCTGGCTGGAAAATACAATTTTAAAGCAATTAATAATTATATATAGGTTGAGTAAGGGTATTTCTCAATAATAAATTCATAACCAGTTAATAAAGCACTATAATCTCAGTTGGTAAAGTCTCACATAGCACAAGAGAGAGTTACAGAACCAATAAAGTTATTAAGACCCTTTGGAATAAATGATATTTAGGTTTGGAAGTGGCCAAGAGATGAAGCCTTGTGCATGCTATGCAGGAGTCTTTTGGTGGTTGCTGTGTCCATAGAGAAGTGACAAAGTCACCAATTCTGTGCCAGCTTCATTTGTCTTTTCAGTGAAAATGTACAGCTTTCCTGTTTGCCAAAATAAAGTGCCCAAAGCTCTAAAGGCCCTACTGAGCAGTCTGGCAAGATACCAACTGGTGCTAACTTGATTTCCCCGGCCTAAGAGAAGTGTTGAATCACCCACATTTCCTTGGATTATGTTGCCCATAGCTCTCATCTCAGGACATCAGTCAACAATCAGTTGTGCTACTTCCCCCATCGGCCTGCTCTCTTTCTCAGTAATATCCCTACCACTTCCTAGACTAATGCCTTGGTTGTCAGCACTTAATCTTAGTCTGCCTCTCACGGAGAAGCAAAGTCAAGTCAGAGGGGTGCAAACACTCTGCTGAAACCAGACTCTACTTCTACTATGGTTACAGCTCATACAGACTACTCTTCTGAATCAGGCCTGGGAGAAATAACATAGATAAACAGAAATTCTGATACAAAAATTCAAACGACGAATAAGTTACTATAATATGTGGTTTTTAAAATGTTGTTGAATCGGCCAACTTAAATTGATGTAAATGATTACTTTGGCCTATTTATTCTCTCTAGTAGTTTAGCCCTGAATTAGCGTTTCCATTCAAGAAGCCTTTGTTGAGCACCTATTGGATTCTAGTAACAATGACAAATATGAATAAGAAATAATCCCTACTCCGGAAGAACACTTAGTTTAAAGGCTATAAGTCAAGCAAAAATATAACTGCAGAAAAAGAGACAAATCTGAATGAAAGGACTGAAGGAATTGCCTAGGATGTCCATCTCTACCAGCCAATAAAGTATCTGGAGTGTTAAAACGTCCCCAAGAAAAAAAATTAGACAAATGGCTAACTAGAATAACCAATGCAGAGAAGTCCTTAAAGGACCTGATGGAGCTGAAAACCAAGGCACGAGAATTACGTGACGAATGCACAAGCCTCAGTAGCCGATTCGATCAACTGGAAGAAAGGGTATCAGTGATGGAAGATCAAATGAATGAAATGAAGTGAGAAGAGAAGTTGAGAGAAAAAAGAATAAAAAGAAACGAACAAAGCCTCCAAGAAATATGGGACTATGTGAAAAATCCAAATCTATATCTCATTGGTGTACCTGAAAGTGACAGGGAGAATGGAACCAAGTTGGAAAAGACTGCAGGATACTATCCAGGAGAATTTCCCCAATCTAGCAAGGCAGGCCAACATTCAAATTCAGGAAATACAGAGAGCGCCACAAAGATACTCCTCAAGAAGAGCAACTCCAAGACACATAATTGTCAGATTCACCGAAGTTGAAATGAAGGAAAAAATGTTAAGGGCAGCCAGAGAGAAAGGTCGGGTTACCCACAAAGGGAAGCCCATCAGACTAATAGCTGATCTTTCGGCAGAAACTCTACAAGCCAGAAGAGAGTGGGGGCCAATATTCAACATTCTTAAAGAAGAGAATTTTCAACCCAGAATTTCATATCCAGCCAAACTAAGCTTCATAAGTGAAGGAGAAATAAAATCCTTTACAGACAAGCAAATGGTGAGAGATTTTGTCACCACCAGGCCTGCCCTAAAAGAGCTCCTGAAGGAAGCGCTAAACATGGAAAGCAACAACCAGAACCAGCCACTGCAAATACATGCCAAATTGTAAAGACCATCAAGGCTAGGAAGAAACTGCATCAACTAACGAGCAAAATAACCAGCTAACATCATAATGACAGGATCAAATTCACACATAACAATGCTAACCTTAAATGTAAATGGGCTAAGTGCTCCAATTAAAAGACAGGACTGGCAAATTGGATAAAGAGTCAAGACACATCAGTGTGCTGTATTCAGGAGACCCATCTCACATGCAGAGATATACAAAGTCTCAAAATAAAGGGATGGAGGAAGATCTACCAAGCAAATGGAAAACAAAAAAAGGCAGGGGTTCCAATCCTAGTCTCTGATAAAACAGACTTTAAACCAACAAAGATCATAAGAGACAAAGAAGGCCACTACATAATGGTAAAGGGATCAATTCAACAAGAAGAGCTAACTATCCTAAATATATATGCACCCAATACAGGTGCACCCAGGTTCATAAAGCAAGTCCTTAGAGACCTACAAAGAGACTTAGACTCCCACACAATAATAATGGGAGACTTTAACACCCCACTGTCAACATTAGACAGATCAACGAGACAGAAAGTTAACAAGGATATCCAGGAATCGAACTCAGCTCTGCACCAAGCGGACCTAATAGACATCTTCAGAACTCTCCACCCCAAATCAGCAGAATACACATTCTTCTCAGCACCACATTGCACTTATTCCAAAACTGACCACATAGTTGGAAGTAAAGCACTCCTCAGCAAATGTAAAAGAACAGAAATTATAACAAACTGTCTCTCAGACCACAGTGCAATCAAACTAGAACTCAGGATTAAGAAACTCACTCAAAACCGCTCAACTACATGGAAACTGAACAAACTGCTCCTGAATGACTACTGGGTACATAATGAAATGAAGGCAGAAATAAAGATGTTCTTTCAAACCAATGAGAACAAAGACACAACATACCAGAATCTCTGGGACACATTTAAAGCAGTGTGTAGAGGGAAATTTATAGCACTAAATACCCACAAGAGAAAGCAGAAAAGATCTAAAATTGGCACCCTATCACAATTAAAAGAACTAGAGAAGCAAGAGCAAACACATTCAACAGCTAGCAGAAGGCAAGAAATAACTAAGATCAGAGCAGAACTGAAGGAGATAGAGACACAAAAAACCCTTCAAAAAATCAATGAATCCAGGAGCTTTTTTTTAAAAAAGATCAACAAAATTGATAGACTGCTAGCAAGACTAATAAAGAAGAAAAGAGAGAAGAATCAAATAGATGCAATAAAAAATGATAAAGGGGATATCACCACTGATCCCACAGAAATACAAACTAACATCAGAGAATACTATAAACACCTCTATGCAAATAAACTAGAAAATCTAGAAGAAATGGATAAATTCCTCAACACACACACCCTCCCAAGACTGAACCAGGAAGAAGTTGAATCTCTGAACAGACCAATAACAGGCTCTGAAATTGAGGCAATAATTAATGGCTTACCAACCAAAAAAAGTCCAGGACCAGATGGATTCACAGCTGAATTCTACCAGAGGTACAAGGAGGAGCTGGTACCATTCCTTCTGAAACTATTCCAATCAACAGAAAAAGAGGAAATCCTCCCTAACTCATTTTATGAGGCCAGCATCATCCTGATACCAAAGCCTGGCAGAGACACACACAAAAAAAGAGAATTTTAGACCAATATCCCTGATGAACATCTATGCAAACCGAATCCAGCAGCACATCAAGAAGCTTATCCACCATGATCAAGTGGGCTTCATCCCTGGGATGCAAGGCTAGTTCAACATACGAAAACCAGTAAACGTAATCCAGCATATAAACAGAAGCAAGGACAAAAACCATATGATTATCTCAATAGATGCAGAAAAGGCCTTTGACAAAATTCAACAGCCCTTCATGCTAAAAACTCAATAAATTAGGTACTGATGGGACGTATCTCAAAATAATAAGAGCTATCTATGACAAACCCACAGCCAATATCATACTGAATGGGCAAAAACTGGAAGCATTCCCTTTGAAAACTGGCACAACACAGGGATGCCCTCTCTCACCACTCCTATTGAATATAGTGTTAGGAGTTCTGGCCAGGGCAATCAGGCAGGAGAAGGAAATAAAGGGCATTCAGTTAGGAAAAGAGGAAGTCAAATTGTCCCTGATTGGAGATGACATGATTATATATCTAGAAAACCCCATCATCTCAGCCCCAAAGCTCCTTAAGCTGATAGGCAACTTCAGCAAAATCTCAGGATACAAAATCAATGCACAAAAATCACAAGCATTCTTTTACACCAATAACAGACAAACAGAGAGCCAAATCATGAGTAAACTCCCATTCACAATTGCTTCAAAGAGAATAACATACATAGGAATCCAACTTACAATGGATGTGAAGGACCTCTTCAAGGAGAACTACAAACCACTGCTCAATGAAATAAAAGAGGATACCAACAAACTGAAGAACGTTCCATGCTCATGGGTAGGGAGAATCAGTATTGTGAAAATGGCCATACTGCCCAAGGTAATTTATAGATTCAATGCCATCCCCATCAAGTTACCAATGACTTTCTTCACAGAATTGGACAAAACTACTTTAAAGTTCATATGGAACCAAAAAAGAGCCCACATTGCCAAGTCAATCCTACGCCAAAAGAACAAAGCTGAAGGCATCATGCTGGCTGACTTCAAACTACACTACAAGACTACAGTAACCAAGATAGCATGGTACTGGTACCAAAATAGAGATATAGACCAATGGAACAGAACAGAGCCCTCAGAAGTAATGCAAAACATCTACAACAATCTGATCTTTGACAAACCTGACAAAAAACAAGAAATGGGGAAACGATTCCCTATTTAATAAATGGTGCTGGGAAAACTGGCTAGCCATATGGAGAAAGCTGAAACTGGATCCCTTCCATACACCTTATACAAAAATTAATTCAAGATGGATTAAAGACTTAAATGTTAGACCTCAAACCATAAAAATCCTAGAAGAAAACCTAGGCAATACCATTCAGGACATAGGCATGGGCAAGGACTTCATGTCTAAAACACCAAAAGCAATGGCAACACAAGCCAAAATTGACAAATGGGATCTAATTAAACTAAAGAGCCTCTGAACAACAAAAGAAACTACCATCAGAGTGAACAGGCAACCTACAGAATGGGAGAAACTGTTTGCAATCTACTCATCTAACAATGGGCTAATATCCAGAATCTACAATGAACTCAAACAAATTTACAAGAAAAAAACAACCCCATCAAAAAGTGGGTGAAGAATATGAACAGACACTTCTCAAAAGAAGACATTTATGCAGCCAATAGACACGTGAAAAAATGCTCATCATCACTGGCCATCAGAGAAATGCAAATCAAAACCACAATGAGATGCCTCTCACACCAGTTAGAATGGCGACCATTAAAGAGTCAGGAAACAACAGGTGCTGGAGAGGATGTGGAGAAATAGGAACACTTTTGCACTGTTGGTGGGACTGTAAACTAGTTCAACCATTGTGGAAGTCAGTGTGGCGATTCCTCAGGGATCTAGAACTAGAAATACCATTTGACCCAGCCATCCCGTTACTGGGTATATACCCAAAGCATTATAAAACATGCTGCTATAAAGACACATGCACACATATATTTATTGTGGCACTATTCACAATAACAAAGACTTGGAACCAACCTAAATGTCCAACAATGATAGACTGGATTAAGAAAATGTGGCACATATACACCATGGACTATTACGCAGCCATAAAAAGTGATGAGTTCATGTCCTTTGTAGGGACATGGATGAAGCTGGAAACCATCATTCTCAGCAAACTATTGTAAGGACAAAAAACCAAACACCACATGTTCTCACTCATAGGTGGGAATTGAATAATGAGAACACATGGACACAGGAAGGGGAACATCACACTCCGGGGCCTGTTGTGGGGTGGGGGGAGGGGGGAGGGATAGCATTAGGAGATATACCTAATGTGAAATGATGAGTTAATGGGTGCAGCACACCAACTTGGCACATGTATACATATGTAACAAACCTGCACGTTGTGCACCTGTACCATAGAACTTAAAGTATAATTTTAAAAAAATGTCCCCAAGAAGAACAGAAACGTTGCATTTACCAGCATAGCCTGCCAGAATTACTATTACAGATAACTGGAAGGAACGCTTTGATAAGTCACTGAGAACGGAAATATAACGTTTCCAAAGGGAATATTATTTTGACTGAATGTCTTCTAAATTGAGTTCATTGTGGAATTTTTGTTTTACTTGGTGGAGCACACATATTTGGGTCCAAAGCTGAATTATGAATGAGAGAGTAGAGTTGGAATGCCCTTACAAGTATTGTTCCACGATGTCTTTTTACTATACTATGAAGATCCTCTTCTCTAAATAAAATTAAACAAATATTAATGTAAGACTTAACTTCATGTCATACTGTCTCTTCAAAATGACCATAGCCCCATTTATGTATGTTATCAACGAATAAAATTGCATCATAATTCATTAATATAGATGCAAATGGAGCGAGATTCTATTCTATTTTTATTGCTATATCACAAACCTACTTAGATCAGAATCTCATTTTTTAAGGCTTTCCTCCCAGTCCAATAGGGAAGTGTATCTGCTCCTCTCAAAAGTATGTGTATCTCCTTGTACTCAGGATCTTCTTACTCTTTCCTTCTTTAGAACTGTATCCTTCATTTATCTGCATTTTCTTTCTAATTCCTTTCTCTCTCTTTTCTCTCCAATCTCCCTCTGCCTTACTATTCTGGATTATTCCCTTAGAATAATATATATGATATAATATATAATGTTATGTATAATAATATATTAATTATAATTATATTTTATTTCTCATAATTATATTTTATAATTATATTGATTATATTAAAATATTAATGTAAATTACAATAAATTAATTTATACAATAATATATTAATATACAATATATTAATGATACAATAATATATTAATATATAATTTTATATATATATATATCCCTATCACAGACATAAAGCACTATGTGACCTTGTTGCTGACCTCCCTCCAAAATCTTATCATCTTCCCTCATTGAGCTACAGCCATTTTCTTGTTCTCTCATACACTATGCTCTATCTCCTCTCTGAATTTTTATACTTGTTGCACCCTCTTCCTAGAGGAATCATCCTTCACATCTATTCTTCAGTCTGAATTTTTGACACCTTTTGGCAGAAACAGCTTTGTTCACCACTCTAGTGGTGGTTGGTTGGTTACCCCATTTATGTATTCACAATCTCTTAAATCTACTGCTACAGCACTTGAGCCATCTTTTTATCTTCTTATCACCAAATGTTTATTGTGCTTACAATATAATAGAAACTAGAAATGAGTTTAATTGGTAAACTTAACGGTGTTCAAGATACGTGGGTTATTTTAGAGATCCCTCTCTCCTTTAAATAAATAAACATGTGAATCAAAAAAAGCCTTAACCCTTCACCTTTTGGAGAGACAGTCAACACTTGATTATGAAATGTCCATGCTTGACTACAATTTCAAAAGATTTTGTATTTGATGATAACTATAAATTTATAAATCCTCATTGTACATTGAATATTGTGTCAGCCTTAAATTATTTCATTCAAGATTTTACCAGAGCACCAAGAATTGAGGTAACATAGATGAAATAGAACTACTCTAGGAATTTGTTATTCCTAATTTGTTAGTATATTTGGTGTGACAAATGACTATATGAGGACCTCCACACATCTTAGTGTCTACATTAAGCAAACCTACTATTCCATTGCCTTCAGTGGCAAAATTTAACTACTTCTAGAAGCCCTTCTCCAGGCAAGTAACTTTATTGTTCATTATAGGAACTTCTCAACCCACTGACTTCAGTAGGAAGCATCAACAGAGTTTATACATAAGACACTCTGACTATCTCAACTTAAAATCTTTTGTCTTGCTGTTTCCATTGATCCTAAATATACCATGATGGACACACAATTCTAATTCAGTCCTCACATTGAAAAACTCACCTTAAACCCAACTTCAAATTCTCAATAAAATCCAATCTTGTCCTTCTCCCTGTGAGATACTACCAAAGCCTAGTGTTCTTGCTTACTGAGGTGATAAGTAAATTAAGCTCTCTCCTATCAACATTGTGTTGGACATAGTCAACTATATGTAATGGAATATGGCCCAATATTGCTTTTATTTTTAACTGAGTATGGAATTTGAGAGTGAATAGCTAGTCTATATCTGTATTTTGGCAGTACCAATAATGGCCAGAAATAGCTAAATCATTGTTTATAACCAAGTTAATTTGGGCCAGATTTTATCAAGGTCTAAATTCAAATATCATACATCAACATGGTCTTCTCTGACTGCTGAATTGAAAGTTGCCTTACTCATTTAGTCACCATTTTGTCACTTTTTTTTTTGTTCTTCTTCACAGCTTTTATTACAATAATTTAACTTACTAATTTTGTGTTAATGGGTTGGATTTTTTGGATGTGGGTTTATTATTTGCTTACTCATTCATTTATTCATTTCATAAATATGTTACTTACTAAGCATGTTTACATCCAGTTAAGAATGGCCAATGTTTTAATTATCTTCTTCTTTTGTTGACACCTTGGTTGACAGAATAAAGAGCTGTAATGGCATGTATTAGTCTTTTGTCAACAAGTTGTTTTGAATTTAATGAGTAAAGAGAATAGATGCGTACATGAATACCCACTCAAACGAATGCAAAACTTTAGCCTGCACAGGTAGTCAGGTGTTTTCTGTGCCAGACTATACTCCGTAGGCCTTCTTACTTCAGTGTGTTCCAGCCTATTGCCTTCTGCTGGAATATGCATCTCTGTGCCTGAGGGTCTTCTCCAAAACAGGCCAGAAGTTAGAAATGCTTACACCCACAAATAACCCATAATCAGTAACTGAGAGGAGTTAGGGTCTAAGTACCCAGGTCAATGGCCCTTCTTGTGCCACAACTCTGAAGGGTGAGTTTTATGTTGGTTCTCTAATAACTTACCCCATAGGCTTATCTCCAGCCATACAGCACTAGTTGCCTTTTAAATGTACTATATGTTTGCTTTTTCTCTTGCTTACCTTACTTCATTACTCTCATATCAATGTCTCTTGCACCTATTGTGAGGATCTGTTCCTGGAGTATCCAAACTACAATACCCAATTTCCACATATATTGAGTCAGCTCTACATATGTACTGGGGGCTAAATTAGCACCTAGAAGAAGCCTTTGAAAGACCCTAAACTGTCAAGTGACAACTGAGCTGAGTCTTGAAGAGGCCCTCAGTTGATTTCCCAGCTTTCCTCTTTCACATACAATCTTCTCTCTCTTTTAAATATATTGGAATATTTTCCAAATGGAATCTTGGTCCTCATTTCCTTCTCCATGAATTATATTTTACCTTATTCACCTTCAACATCCATTCTAAAGGCCTCCTTTGTTTCACCTCAGGGAGAAACAACCCATAGCCTGTTATATTCAGTCTCAGATACCAGACTGATCTACAAACTGCAAAAACCTTTTCAAAGAACTTCTGAACCTTTGCCTATTATTGAATATGCTCATTTAATAGTTAACACTCCTACACAATTTTAAAAATATATTCATTTTAGGCTTATGTATTTAATACACGGTCATGGATTATAAATTTTTAATTTTTATTTGTTGAGTCACAACTTTAATTGGTGCAACTCAGTGTGAATTTTATAGTGCTACATAAAATATTAAATCATGATTCCCATTACACTAATTATAATAATTATCCATCATGATCAAAAAGCAATAATTATCCTCCTACACACAATATTATACAAAGAAAATCACCTATCCTGTGGCACTTAATACCTAAAACATAAGATGCTAATGCACACAAACATCTAAAAGTATGAATAGTATGTATTTATGGCATTAATATTAAAAACTACTGATTTACCTTTCAGTAAGCAAAATAAAAATACCAACATTTAAATTTTGAAAACCCGTGTTTTAATAATTCACTCTACCAATTTGAAATTGTACTTAGAATTTCCTGAAATAATCAACTTCTTAATAGAAAATAATATTTTTTCTTATTAAACATTTAACTTTATACACATTTTTAGAGCCATACTCACTTATTATCTCTTTAGCAATAGGATAAAACTCAAAGAAATTATCTACAAGCATTTGTAAAAATAATCCCACCTGTGTATTATCTGAATAAACCAAATCAAAAAAGTCAACAGAAACCAATATCTCAATAATTCAAGGGTATATTGATTAACAAATTCCTAATTACATGGATATTTTAAAGGGATTTTATGTACTTGAATTATGTCAATAATTGTTCTGAACTTGTTTACTATGTAGCTTTAAGAATAAAATATAGGAACATAACATAAACATAAACATAAAGGATAGGAAACTTGCCAATAATTTCATATTTTGAAAGAAGTTGGATTTCAAAATATTTTCATGCTATTGAAACAAATGGGGCTTATCTAGTTTGATGGAGTACTTTCCATAAACTTGGATCAGAGGGAGTTAAAATATTGAGGCAAAAATTTCCTATTTAGAAACATTTAAATATTGTATTTTAGAGTGAGGAGGAAATTAGAAAAAGTAAAATAAATCTATAAATACTAATATGTGATTTTGATGGTTCTATACCTGGGTCCCCAAATTTAAGACAGTTATCTTATTAAACGTTGGGGTCTATGGCCTTTTTACTTGGATTTCAGGTGATTTGTGGCTGCTTTAACCCATAGAATAGTGATGCCACATGGCTTCTAAGGTCAGAAAAGGCCATGTAGTATCAACTTGGTCATCTTAAAATGCTTGTTGTTGAGGCTCTCTTTTAGGAAGTTCTTTTAGGGAGCTCTCTACGAACTTAACTGTCATACTACAAGAATTCAAGCCACATGTGGAAATCATATGCAAGTACTGCAGTTGAAAGTCTCATCCGAGATCCCAGCTGACAGTCAACATCGGTCACCAGACATGTTAAAAAAGATGCTTCCAGATAATTCCATGCCCCCAGTAACAAAGTTACCCTCAGTCATGGAGTCATTCCAGCTGAGGGTGCAGATGTCATGGAGTAGACATATACCATGTCTTCTGTGATCTTCCTGAATTCCTGAGTCTCAAAATCTAATCTGTTTTATGTGACTACATTTTGGAGTGGTTTGTTTAACAGCAATAGTCATTGAAACTATGACTAAATTTCATCAATGTTTATAAAAATGCAAATAAAATCAATGTGATGATGCAGATGCATAATAGCATCATCTATCTAACATTTAATCCTTTAATCAGTCTGTCCTTTAATAGCCAAAAAGGACAAAGAATAATGGATTATTTTAATTTCACAGATGAAGAACTTGAAGAATTAATAGTATAATTAATTTTCTAAGAATTCCATGTTTTCTAAATGTCAAAGCCAGGAAAAAAACAAAACAAAACAAAACAAAACAAACTTCAGGTCTTCTTATTCCAAGTCCATTGCTATAGTTGTATCTTTAGAATATGTTCTACTGATGTATTACTGGTTGTCAATCTACCAGTTATGCTGGATGGAGGATTCACAATGTAAGTGGTTATATTTGTCCATGTCTACTGTTTCTTTAAAAATGATATATGCATTCATTCTCAGTGCATTCCCCTTCACTCGCTGCCATCATGCCAGATGGGATATCTATTTGTCCAACTAAATTAGGTACTGGAATTAGAGTGACTCTGTGAGGTTACACAAAGAGGGGCACATTGAAGCGTTTAACACAATGCCCAGCATGTGGAAAGTGCTTAGTAAGGATAACCTTAAATTATGGCTATCACTATTGAGTACTTTTCATATTATGATTATTATTATTGTCACTAGACAATGCCTACTAAAAAGAGTTGTAGTAAGATAATTTTTCAGGAAAAGAATGGCTTGAAGGGGGGGTATTTGAATAAAGATATGGGAGTCTTCTAGGTTTTTCCCAGTAAAGCAATAACATAAGTTGCTTAGTCATATTTATTAATTATAATCGAATGTATAGAGAGGCATTTCTAGTCATTAGGACAAGCACTTTATTACACAGGCAAACAACTTTTTCTCTTTTTAACAACCTCTGAAGTAAATAATATTTCTCCCCTTTACAGATAAGGGAATAGGCGTTCTGAGACTTTAAGTAATTTGTTTAGCGTCATTGGGGTTAGATAGTGACAGAGCCAGAGTGGAAATAAGTTTTGAATGCACACAAAGCTTTCATGGGTAGTCACTACATTTCTTAATGTGCTTTAATAGTTTGAAACATGAAGTTTAAGTTTTATCTGAATTTGTTTGCTATGGCATTCCACTAAATAGAGATATATTTAATTACTTTAGGCTGGCATAATGCGTACGTGTGTGTGTGTATATTCAGAGGAACCCAAATAATTAATGCTGTGTAGGTTTTGGAAATTAATAAAAATATTTCTGTGCACAGCAAATTTGAATTTTCATTGTTCTTAAGAAGTTTGCTTTTTAAATCAATTTTTGAATATTTTATCCTGTAGCTAATACTTTGATATTCTTTTTTTTTAGGGCAATGAATTGTTTTTCCTTTTATATTGGTCAAATTAAACATAAAAACATGTTATTTAAAACATGACATATATAAATGTATCAACTTTTCCCCCAAATTCTAGAATTAAAATGAGTAAACCTCATCTGCTGAGATTTGATAAAAGCTAGCCTTTCATATTAAATATATGCACTAATGCCCACTCTTGCACCTCTATTTAAAAAGAAGGTAAAAAAGATACTTTAATGTAATAATAAACTTCTTAAGCATAAAGTTTCAGTACTATTTATCATTGTTCATCTGGATAATTTGGCACACTACCAAAAAAATACTCTATTTCTCACTCCCTCTCCTCACAATTAGTATTATGTGGACAGAGCCAAAATGTTAATTTTGTTCTGGAGAAGTTAAACATAGAATGATGATTTCAATATTGTTTATTCATTTGGTTTTATCTTTGGCTATAAAATCCACATTAGGAAAAATCTTTATATTTATCCAATCTAACATAAATAGATATACTGTGCCAATATTGCAGAGTGATTTTGGCTATGAGTCTCAACATTCTGTGCAAGCTCAGATTTGGCTCTAAATGATTATATTAATAATGTAATCATAGGTTCATCAAATCCATTATGTGTCATCTTTTAGTTTTTAAAAGAGTATACTATAGATTTAACTATTCACTTCCTTCTCCAATGTATTAGGCTATTCATTTTGGTAAAGTTTTAAAAGCAACTGTTGTCTATTCCACTGTGTTTAATTTTTTTTAAATGAATCATCTAGAAGAGGAAAAGTAGAGTGAGGAATACTAAAAACTTCTTGCTTAAAAATATATGCTATTTGAGATTAAAAAGGATAGCTTCTGAACAAAGATTTTAAACAGAGCTCTCCTCCACATATATCAACATACACAGTACATTCAGTCTGTACTAAAAGTTTACCAATTCCTACAAATCACTTAGAGGTGGTGGTTGGTAACTTTATTTCCCATACCAACCTCTCTGAATGGTGTTGTTTTTTTTGTTCAATGAGCATTCAACTTCAGAGTTAAATGGTAGCTAATTAAGTGATTAATCACATTGAGTGAAAGCCTAAGTCTCTTGTCACTAAAGCTATGCTTTTCCAAATAACCGCCACCCCACCAACACATGCTCATGGAGAAAAGAAAACTGAACACTTACCAATTTTAAGGGCATATCGAATATAGGCAACAACTGGGCTATAGCATTCTCACCAGAAACAGACCTCAGTTGGATTTACCTTCTTTTTCAACTAGTATCCTGAGTAGTTTTCACATTAAGCCAGTTGCTACCTGCTGTGATGTCTTTTTTCTCTGTTGGTTTCTCATACCTGCAGATACTAAAATTCACACCAAACCGAATTTCCCTGCTGATCCTGAGAATTTGCACTTATCTTCCTTCCTCCAAGGAAGTCAATTATTATCCCTTAAAATTCAGTCCTAATTCTGTGTTATTGGGAAAAAAAAAGGTCAACTGTCCCTCCAGGTTTGAGTACTGGCCCTACGGGAAAAAGCAAACGTCAATCAAGTGTTTGCTTAAGAAGGTTGTCAGATGACAAGATTTCGAGGAAGACAGTTTTCTATTTGAGATTTTTCATATTAACAGTTATGCCCAGAAAACCTAAACAATTTATGCACCTTGAGTGAGCAAGTATTGTAGTGATAATTTACATTAGCCTTCTTAAAACATGAGTGCAAATGTGTTTTTACTAGTTTATATTAATTATAGCTCTTCCATATTATAATAATTAACTATGGTATAGCTAATTAACATATTTAATTAATAAACTATATGATTATATTATTTGCAACTAATATATAAGATGGCTTTGCACTATTCACTTTAAGTATTACTGATTTTTAAAATAAAAGCACAGCATTTTCCCTTTTCTATTATTTCTCATTTTAATTCTGAAATAATCTTATAATTTCTCATTTCAGCTTTTAATTGTGATTTCTCAAATAGTAAATTCCTTGGGAACATATTAAGCATTTAAAGTATACATAATAGAATAAATCACATAATTGCACTAAGTAGTATTACATGCTTAAAGGGACTGTGTACACCTGTGCCAGGAATGTCCACATGGGATTGGTCTGTCTTAGAATAGAGAGTTTACAAAATTGTTTCTCATGTTTTGTTTGCTTGTTTGTTTTAAGTTTTACCCAGGGTAACTGCTGTCTTTACATGCCGTATCAGTATGCCAAAGATATCTTAGGGATATGGAGAAGTATGAAGGGAAGCTGCCCTATTGCCCAGTCTCTGTGTCTACATGTGTATTTCTCTTGGGTTTTATGTATTTGTTGAAACCGCTGGCAATCTCTTTTCCTCAGCCTCTCAGCAGTGGAACCCTAATCTCTCCTCTGTCACTTCTCACTAGAATTATACAGATCATATGGCTTTCATAGGGTTTTGCAGTAATGCACAAGTCAGTGCTAGCATACTGATTTGAAAGTACTGTTCACTTTTTTTATTATAATCTCAGTTTTGTCAGCTACAAACTTGGAACAGTTACATCTACTCTGTGTTTTTCATCAAGCTGTGAATGTTTTAATTAAATAGGTGAAAGGGCTGTGTATTTTTTTTTGTCTATGATCTGGTAAGGTGGAACAAATAACCAGCTGAGGATCATGTTATTTTGTTTTAAAAGCATTCCTTTGATAGAAAGACTCCACTTCTTCCATCATTTTCTCAAACTGTCAAATTAATATATTTACAAATTTTTCTACAAAGATTTTCTTAATCAGCCCTGTTTGGATTCCTGGACCATTAAGGCCCCTGAGGTCTATACTCATATTTTCTGGAAGATATTTCTCAGGACAGGCATACTTAATTTCTCATTTTAAATCCTATAGAATCTTAAAATATATTTGCTTGAACTACTGGAGATTACATTTATTGAATATTCTATGCCTGGGCAACACTTGCCTGATGGTATTTAGTATACAAGTCAGGAGCACGTGGAATTAGGGTGAACAAGAGTGAGAAAATGAAAAGAAATAAAATGGTAATATCCTGTTCAGATATTATAGTGTTCCCACAGAAATGCTACACACACAGATACACACACACACACACACACACACACACACACACACTCTACACAGAGTCATCATTGGAAGGACTTAACAACAAAAGGTAAAGATAAAATCTTCCAGGGATACTAAACCATTCATAGGTTATTTATGGTTGGTTAATACTGTTTTAATTTGTGCCAACATTTTAATTCCCAATTTATGTTACATGGTGATTCCTGATGGGTAGGGAAGGAAATATCTCTGAATCACCTGAGAGTGTGGAATGTTAACCTTGGATATTCAAATTCTTGCACCCTAATAGGCATCCCTCTGTATCCTTTGAGAATCACTGCTCTGGTCACCACTCTTGAGAGTGTGTCATCCACCTGGAATGGCTAAAACATTTACAAAACCACCAGGGTATTTGGTTTAAAATACTCATGCTATAGTTTCAAACAGATTCAGAATGTAAAAAGTACTATTTTCTGTCAGTGTGTTAGTTTTCTGTTGCTGTGTAACAAATACGCCATAATTTACTGGCTGAAAACAGTTATTATTTCAGTTTCTTTTTTTTTTTTTTTTTTTGAGACAGAGTCTTGTACTGTTGCCTGGGCTAGAGTGCAGTGGCACAATCTAAGCTCACTGCAACCTCTGCCTCCCAGGTTCAAGCGATTCTCTTGCCTCAGCCTCCCTAGTAGCTGGGATTACAGGCATCCACCACCAGGCCCAGCTAATTTTTTGTATTTTTAGTAGAGACGGGGTTTCACCATGTTGGCCAGGCTGGTCTCGAACTCCTGACCTTGTGATTCGCCCGCCTCAGCCTCCCAAAGTGTTGGGATTACAGGCGTGAGCCACCATGGCAGGCCTATTTCAGTTTCTGTGTGGCAGAAATCTGGGGGCAGTTTTGCTGAATCAGCATCTTTCTAAAGTGTTGACTAGGGATTCCTATATCTCAAACTGGTTGAGGAAGGATCTGCTTCTGAGTACATTCTTTTTTTTTTTTATTTTATTTTATTTTATTTTACCTTAAGTTCCGGGATACATGTGCAGAATGTGCAGGTTTGTTACATAGACATACATATGCCATGGTGGTTTGCTGCACCTACCAACACATCACCTAGGTTTTAAGCCTCACATGAATTAGGTATTTGTCCTAATGCTCTCCCTCACCTTGCTCCCCACCCCCCGACAGGCCCGGGTGTGTGTTGTTCCCCTCCCTGTATCCATGTGTTCTCATTGTTCAACTCCCACTTGTGAGTGAGAACATGCAGTGTTCGGCTTTCTGTTCCTGTGTTAGTTTGCTGAGTACATTCTTGTGTCTGTTGGAAGGTCTGAGAAAATTGGCTTCCAAGTTCACTTATGTAGGCCTTCCCACATGGCTACATTATAATAGAGGGCCTGGCTTCCAAGATGGCAGAGCAAGTCATCAATGACAGAGTTAGAGAGAGCCCCTGGTTCGTGAGTCACAGTTCTTAGATAACCCAATTCTACAAGTGACATCTCATTACTTCTGACATATCCCATTCACTAGAAACAAGTAAAACAAGTCCAACTCACACTCAGAGGGAGGAGATTACACAAGCACACCAGTAGGTGTGGATCAATGGAGACTATCATAGAGGCTACTTACTTTACTCATCTATTGGGACATTTTTATATGGTATGAAATATACCTTAAAAATCAAGGAAGAGAGGCAGAATACTGAGGACATTATGAGGTCACAGGAAACTGCATTGGGTAAGACGTTTGTCGTAGTTAGGAACAGATTAACCACTTATGGGGCTAATTGTGTTTTTGTTTCTATGTACGATTATGGTTGCCCTACATTCACCTTCATAGTCTCAAAATTTTGTTTTAATCCCAAAAGTAGTTTTTTATTGGGACAACTATATTTTTTCATGATTTTAGGCCCCCATATAATTGTTTCTAATTGAAATATTGATTGGACCAAGTCATTTTATATGAAAGAGTAAAACCATGTTTGATGTGATAAAATTATAAAAGGATTAATAATATTGTAACTACCTCTAGTGCAACAAGAACATAGTAGATGCAAAATAAATACGTTCTCAACTGAACAAAATCTAGTTCTTCAAAAAACTATTTTCTTCATTGTAGTTATTTGGATAATCTCATTGTTTTAGATTGCTAGTTTCATCTATATCTTCAAAGTCATAATAATCATGATTTTGAACAGGAAACGCACAAGCATGAGGTTTGTGTCTACCTTTGTTAGAGGTCAACAGTTGTTACCTGTTTGACTTTGAGCAAGTGTTCAAATATTTATGACTTACTTTCCTCAACAGTATAAGACACAAATAACAGCTCTGCCTACCTGTTACAGAGATTTTCAAACAGGTGAAACATATAAGAATGTTGTTATATTGTAACTGCATTTGCTCTTTTGAATGTATATTAACAATAATATTAAAAATATTTACTAAGCTTTTCCTATAAGTTGTATTCTGATAAACACATGCACGTGTTATTTCATGGAATACTCATAAGAGCCCTATGATACAGGATGTATTCTAATCAGTTTAGAGAGGAAGCAGTTAACAATTAGACAATTGCTTAAGGTCATCAGTCTAGTGTAGGAGCCATGGTTTTAATTCAGGTTTGTCTTATAAATCTCATGATTTTGTACTACTGTTGTTTGTTTACCATTTTTAATGAAAGGAGAACTTACTCTATACTTGGAGGAGAGAAAGAGCTATGGCATACCCTGGTAATTGCCAATCAAAGTGCCAATTCACCCTTCATGCTTGCTATCAAATCTCTATTTCTCCAGATATTGGTAAGGAGCATTTTGCTCAGGAAAGGAATTCTCCTGTTCCTACCCAAGGGGTAAATAATGATTTGTCTCCATGATGGCATTTTTATTTCTTCATGCCATCAATTAACCAAGAGTCAGCATGTGATGTAGTTCTGACTAAGGAATTGGAAGGGGAAGTCTGCTGGACACTTCTGGAAAACAGAAGATAAGCAAGAGAGCCTATGATATTCTGTCTCAAACAAAGAACTGATAACCTCTCAAGGTTTTATTGATATAAACACTTGTGCTTATTATTAAAGCTTCTATAATTCTGATTTTCTGCCACTTAGTAAACATAGTATAACTGAAAAAAAAAAGGCCTTGGACAAAAGGAAGACAGATGATTATTCTGTAATTAAAATAGCCTTATAATTTGATAAAGCTTTTAAGCATTTTTATTTTTGGAGTTCCACAGTTAGGCTGGTTGTTGTAGTTTGCAACTATAAGGGTGCCTCCATCTTATTTTTGAAAAAATATAATAAAAGGAGAAAGTCAGTTGTAAATAAACATTCACTTATTCAATAAATATGTATTGAGTGCTTACTATGTGTTGATAAGTTGAGGAATTAGGGAGTGAAAGAACATACACAACTTCATTTCATCATGAAGTTTACACACTAGGATTTTCAGTGGGAGGACACAGATGACAAACAATAAATTCATAACATTTACAATATATTAAGTACTGTAATAAATACTATTGAGAAAATAGAGTGAGGAAGTAGGATAAAGAGTTGCTGGAATGGAATGTATTAACAATTTTAAAAATAGTAGATATGGAAGGCATTACTGGGAAAGAGGTATCTAAATAAAGATTTGAAAGAAGCAAGGGTGTCCTAGGGAAGCCTATACCTGGCACAGGGAATAGATAATACAAATGCCTTGAATCAGGCACAGGCCCAGCTTTTAGAAGATACAGCAAAATGCAGACACAGTCAAGTAAAATAAGATGAGGTCGGAGAGATGACAGAGTGATCCAATTGTCTATGACTTTTTGGGCTTTGATAAAGACTTTAACTTTGATTTTACAAGAAATAGGGAACTATTTGGAGGATTTGAATGAAAGAGTAATGTCAACTCTCAATTATGATTTAAAATAACTAGTGTGACAGTTTGGTTCAGATAGTCTGTACAGGCAAACAAGGACAGAAAGTAAGGAGAACAGTTGGGAAGCTATTGCAATGATTTCAGTGACAGAGGGTGGCATTTTGGGCCACAGTGGTAGCAGTGGGCATGGTATGAATTGGTCAAATTCCAAGTGTATTTAGAAGTACACTCAGTAGGTCTTGCTGACAGATTAAATAAGATGTGAGGCAAAGAGAGTGAGTCCATGATGATTTTAACCGTCTTGGCTGATGTAACTGCAGATATGAAATTATGGCAGGAGAAACAGACTCAGGGAGATGCTGAAAAATTCAGTTATAGACATGTTTCGGTTGAAATGCTTTCTATCCAAGTGGAGCTTCCAAGACAAGAGTTTAATATATTAGAGCAAGGAGATTGTAGATGAGGTGTTGGAGATAAAAATTTTGGAGTCATTAAGAAATATAGTATGTTTTATGGTGATAAAGTAATGAATCTGGATGAGATCACCTAGGAAGGAGTTTAGATAGAGGAGATAAGTGGTCTAAGAACTGACTATCAGGGCTGTTCATTATAAGGAGGTCTGGGAGATAAGGATGAAATAGAAAAGTAGACTGAAAAAGAAAAGTCAAAGTAGTAGGAGGGGAACTGGGAGGCTGTGATATGCTGATGGCCTGTGAGAAAACAGAAAAAAAAAAAAGATTAACAATATTAAATGTGACTAGTAGGTCAAATAAAATAAAGGTTGAAAATCTACTATTGAGTTTCTTAGTATGAAGATTTCAGTTGATGTTCCAAAGAGGAGAGTCAGAGAATGATAAAGGTAAAGTCTGACTGTAGTACTTTAATAAAGAATGACAGGACATGATTAGAGGCATTGAATACATACAACTCTTTTGCAAATTTCCCTATAAAGGGTTGTAGAGAAACAGCATAGCAGACGAAGATGGAAGTACAATGAGAAGAAAAAAAATTAGTTGAGATATATAATAGTATATTTATACAAAAAGAGGAATAACCAGAAAGAGAGGAAAAACTGAGAATTCACTTGATCCAATTATATCACTTTATAAATTAATTTTTTGTTTACTGTTTCTTCCAAAGTTCTACCAATTTGTTTTATGCCCCAGTCCTACTGTAGAAATGGAGATACTGAATTATGAAATTTTGATTTTGCCTCTTCCCAATTTAATTTCCTCTAGGCTTCATAATTGTCCTTTTAAAATAATGTGGATTTGAGAAATTACTTCACAGACATCTTTTAGTTAACAGTTTCTGAATTCTATAAAGGATATACCATTGATGGACAAAGATAAAGAACCTCATACAGCTATTTATGTGTATGTATGTGAACTAAAATACATTTGTTGAGCCAAAACACATTTAGTTTCAACAATGTTGGTATTACTTAATTCATCATTAATATATGTTTATTCCCAATTTGAAGTATGAGTAGTTTAGAAACAAAAATGACAAACCCTAACAGAAAACTGATTTGTGAATATATCTCTATGAAATTCTATGAAGAGAAACGTAACACATAATTCATAGTAAGAAATACTTGGCATTTAAAAAACATGTGTTCATCATTTAAAGTGCTATTCAAGGAAAATAATCAGATAAATTAAGGGGCAGCAGGACTTTGGAACAGCAGAGTAAGAATCTCAAAAAATCCATTCATCCATACAAGCAATGAGACCACTGACAAAAATTGTCAAAGTTAACTTTTACAGAACTCTGGAAATCAACCAAAGACTTCCAATAATCTGCCTATTATGTATTCAAGGAAAGCTGCTGAAACTCAATGTTAATAACAAGCTTTACAGTATTTTTAACTATCCCTATTCTCAGCTTCTTGGTAACTTTGAAAATGCATAGCCACACAGTAAATATGAAAACCACCAAAAACAGCAGCCATCAAAGAGGAAATAACAGGGTGAGAACTCCTCAAAGAATTCCATCCTCAGAGTATTGTTATTATTTTACCTGTCTGGCAGCCCCCTGGGAAAAGTTTTAATCACAGGACAATACCCTATTTACACTGATTTGGGGCTCACTTGGTGGGAAAAGCTCTATTCTATAGAGCATTTTTCAAAAAATATTAGTGTCATTTTGTTAATATTGTGGCTATATGAGAAAGAGATACCAATTAAGGCAAAGAAGATCCTTAAAACTTAAAAATTAATATCTGAAAAATAAGATATGCACAGGGGCTCTGAAAAATAACAGCATGTTCTTTAGGATGTAGAAGGCTAAAAACAATTACAGGACTATATTCATGCCCAAGAATGACCTGAGAAGTCCCAACCTCTCATCTTGGCTGACGTTGTTGCCTGCACAAGTAGAAAGTAAAGGCTAAAGAACAGTTATAAATGGCTGGAACATGGAAGAGCTGCCCCAATACACCCACTGAGCAACTCAGCAAGGATACAAGATGTATTGGTTCAAGGAATTTAAACACATTTCTTTCCAATTATTACCTTAACGTTAAACTAACTGAGATGGGACCTCAGTGACTGTACACAACAGCAAATACAAATTGTATAGAATATCTAAGAATGCAAGTAAACAATTAAATGCTAGCAACAACAACAAAAAATGACACACAGTAAAAACATTAAATGTGGGGAGAGGATCTCATTTCCAGAATAATAACATTATATCATTTTAAATGTCCATTAAAAAGACATATAAAACACTGTATTATTTAAATGCTTATTAAAAAAGAAACAAAGTAGTATAACTCATATGCAAAACAAAACAAAAGAAACAGTCCTTGAGGGAGCCTAGATGTTGCACTTAACACACAAAGGCATTAAATCAGATATTATAAATATGTTCAGAGAACTGAAAGTAACCATGTCTAAAGAATTATAAGAAAGTATCAGAGCTATGCCCTACTGAATAGAGAATATTAATGAAAAAATTATTAAACTAAAAACAAAAAGTCAAATTGAAATTTGGGAGTTTAAAAGTATAATAACTACGATGAAAAGTTTATTAGACTGACTAAAGAGTAGATTTGAATTAGCATAAGACAGAATTAGAGAATTCGAGTATTCTCCAGTCAGAGAACAGAAAGGGAAAATAAAAAAGATAAATAAACAGAGTCTCAGAGATCTGTGAAACATAGTCAAATAATTCATGAATATTGGGTTTCCAAAAAAAAGGACAGAAAAAATATTTGAAGAAATAATGTCCCCCAAAATTTAAGCATTGTTTACTGTACTGGATTATATGGCCCAACTGACAGAGTAGCTTGAATGGTAATCTAGATCTCTTTCGGAGCCTTCTTTAGTTCTGGGCCTCAATCAAAACTAGCAGCTTTCAGACCACTCAATGAATGGGCCTCACTAATACTCTCAAATGGGGAATATGTTGCCTCTAAAATTCAAATTGGCCCGCTAAGCATTGAACCTCTGTTTAGATTATTAAAAGGGCAGATTCGATAACTTATTATTCATCTTGAGGGATATCTCAAAATTCCTTACATCCCTGGGCCCCCAGAAACTTCACTGAGATAGAAAACCCTTGAAATTTTGTAAGATTTATTTCCTTCCTTTGACATGCAAATGTCTTACCAAAGAGTTTTGAAAAGTGTTGCTTCTTGCCAACTAGTTTTAATCAGCATAATGTGATCAATATTATGGACTGGTGTGATAGCATGTGGAAGAAAACCAGTCAAGATCTCTGTGAACGAAATGATGACATAGGGCTGGAGAGTTGATATACTCCTGAGATTTAGGACAGTACTGATGTCATTGCCAGCTGAAAGCAAACTTCGTCTGGTGATCTTTACTAAGTTTCCAAGGAGAGAGCATTTACCGGATCAATTACTGCACACAAAATACCAGGGGATGTATTAACTTGCTCAAGTAATAAAATTACATCTGGAACAGGAAGTAAAATTGAAGTCACCACTGGGTTAAGTTTATGGTAACCCACTGTCATTCTTCAATATCCATTTAACTTCAACACAGGCAAAATAGGTGAGTTGAATAAGGATGTGGTGAAACTCACCAGGCCTGGATCTTTTAGGTCCTTGATGATAGCACTAATCTCTGCAATCCCACCAGAAATGTGACACTATTTTGATTTAGTATTTCCTACATAGAGACAATTCTAGTGGCTTCCACTTTTTCTTTCCTACCATAATAGTACTCACTCCATAGGTTACAAAGTTAATGTGAAAATTCTGCAAGTGCTGAGTATGTCTTTTCCAATTACGCACTCTGAATCTGGGGAAATAACCACGGAATACGTTTGAGTAGTCACTGGACCCACTGTAAAATGAGCCTGAGCTACAATTCTATAAATCGTGTGAACTTCAGAAGCCCCAATTCTGATTGGTAGATCACAGTGACATTTTGAGTCAATTTAGATGGGGTAGATCGCTGTCACTATTGGCAAAAAGACTCAGCAGAGTTTAAGGGTTCAGTGTCTTCTGCTTCATCAGAATCTTCCCATATGTTCCCATTGTAATATTTGATATCCAATTTTTTCCCAAACAATGTCCTTAGTTTAGAGCATACATGCTGTGAGGTTGGGAATTCAATTTGCCTTGTAATTCAACCATTCATAGGATGAGATTCTGAGCTTGTTTTTCAAAAGTCTCAGCTCTACGTCTAATGGAAATTAGAGTTTCTTTCATGGAGGACAGAGAAATTTTCAAGTTGTGTATGTGGAGCTTGAGCTGACAATTTGAATACCTGAGTTCATCCTTTCCCCCACCCTTACTTTCTTGGAAGCCATTAGGAGAAAATAACTAATCTCATTATACACATTAATTTGATAAAAGTGTTCTAATATATCAAATACAAGTTCACAAGGAACTTGCCATTTATCAGTATTTGATTAGATATATCCAACAGTGATATTTTTATATCTCTATTGCCATATCTTGTCATGACATATCAGTGGTTCCTTTATAATCGGAAAGAGTTATTTGTGTCTTTAAATCTAATCAGATTAGAGAACTGATTTCAGGAACCTCAGAACCAACCCAGAAAATTCATCGTTTTTTTTCTTCTTTCTTGAGATGGAGTCTTGCCCAGGCTGGAGTGCAGTGGTGCAATCTTGGCTCACTGCAACCTAAGGCCTCCTAGTTTCAAGCGATTCTTGTGCCTCAGCCTCCCATGTAGCTAGGATTACAGGCATGCACCACCACAACCAACTAATTTTTGTATTTTCAGTAGAGATTGGATTTCACCATGTTGGCCAGGCTAGTCTCGAACTCCTGACCACAAGTGATCTGCTGGCCTCGGTCTCCCAAAGTGCTGGAATTACAGGCATGAGCCACTGCACCCGGTAGAAACTTCATCTTTTTAATTATTTTTCTCTAGAATGACTCTCGGTATCAAATTATATATCACACTTCAATCCAAAATAAGAGATTGCCAGAAAATATAACAAACACATGAAAAATGTGATGTCACTATATAATGCTAAAAGAGGTTTTAATTTCAAAGACATGAGTAGATTAAAAGTAGAAGCTGTATTATACCCAAAGTTACCAAAGCAAAACAAAACTGGAATTGCTCCACAAATACCAGACAGTAGACTTTAAGAAAAATAAGTAACTAATGACAAGTAATGGCATTTAATAGAAATGAATGAGTAAATCTCCCAAAAAGATATAACAATTAAAAACATATATTCACCTAACAACTGAGCCCCAAAATATAAGAAAACTTGGCAGAATTAAAGTCAGAAATAGGTAATTAAACACTGATAATTTGGATATCACATTTTCAATATGTAAAGAGCACAGCAGCAGATCAACAAGGAAATAAAAGACATGAACAATGTTATAAACCACATAGACCATGTTAAGCCAAAAAAAAAAAAACTCAGTAAATTTAAAATGTTTAAAATTATACTTAGTATGTTCCCTAAACCCAATAAAATTATTTAGATATCAAAAAAAAGGCAATTTTGTTTGAAATGAACAGATATATAGAAATTCAACAAAAACACTTGTAAATAAACAATGGCTGAAAGGAGAAATCAAAAGGGAATTCGAAAACTCTTTGAGATGAATAAAAACAAAAACACAATATACCAAAACTCATGAATTAAAAGTAGACAAATTCTATTTTTAGGGTAAAATTAATACCTATAGATGGCTATGTTAAAAATATTTTGAATCAATATCTTAAACCTCCACTTGAAGAACTGGAAAGAAAAGAGTGAATTAAACCAAAGCAAGTGGAAGAAACAGAAAAATAAATACTAGAGTGGAAATGTTTACAGTACTGAATGGAAGACAATGAAGAAATTCAACAAAACCAAAACTTGGTTCACTGGAAAAATAAATGCAATTGATAACACTTTAGCTCTACTGACTAAATACAAGAGAGAGACGATTCAAATCACTAAAGTCCTGACTGATATCACTACTGATTTTACAGAAATAAAGTTAATACTGATCCTTCACAACCACTTCCAAAAAATTCCAGGTGGCAAATATTATCTTGATATCAAATGCAAATATATTATAAGAAAAGAAAACCACAGATCAATATCTTTCATAAGTGCAGAAATCCCCAAGAAAATACTAGCAAACCAAATACAGTAACATATAAAAGGGATTGTATCCCTTGACCAAGAAGGAATTATACCTGGAAGAGAAGGTTGATTTCATAACAACAAAAAGTAATCATTTCAATGCATCATATTAATAGAATGAAAGACAGGAAGTATGTGTTCTTCTAAATTAACAGAAAAAGCATTTGACAAAATCCAACATCCTTTTATTGTAAAAACTCTCACCAAATTGGAAGTATCTGCAGGCTTCCTTAAGCTAATAAGGGGCTTCTACAAAAAGACAGACAGTTGCCTTCAACTAAGTAAAAGATTGAATGCTTTCCTTCTTAAGAATATACTTAAACTGAAAGTTCTAGCAAGGGTAAATGGGAATAAAAGAGCAATAGAAGTTATGTAGTTTGGAAAGAGGAAATAAAATTATACCTATACTCACAAGACATTGATCTTTTATATAGAAAATTATGATGTGTGTGTGCACACACATGCACACACACACACCCCTATTACACTAACAAAGATAGCAGCAAAGTTGCATGATACAACATTAATACACATTTAATTTTATTTCTATGCATTAGCAATGAAGAATCTAAAAATAAAATTTAAAAAACAGTCCTATCTATAATAGCATTGAAAACAGAAAAAATACTTTTGAAAAATTTTAAAAAAGAAGCACAAGTCATATACACTGAAAACTACAAAATGTTGAAATAAATGAAAAAACCTAAGTAGTGGATAGATATTTATGTTTATTGATCAGAATATTAAATATCATTAAGGGGACAATATTCCCCAAATTGATCTACAGATTCAACATAATATAAATCTAGGACTTTTCCACAGAAATTTAAAAGCTGATTCTAAAATTCACATAGAAATAAAAGGTATCCAAAATATGTAAACCGATCTTGAAGAAGACAAAATAGGAGAAGTACTCAAACTTTCTGATTTTTAAAACTTAACACAAAACTACAGTCATCAACACAGCATAAGGATAGACTGATAGGTCAATGGAATACAATAGAAGGTTTAGAAATAAACCACTACATTTATAGTTAATTCATTTTTTTCAATGGTGCCTAGAAAAGTCAATGGGGTAAAGAATAGTCTTTTCAATAAATGATATAGGGAGAAGTGTGTATCCCTGTGCAAAACAAGGAATTTGGACCCACTAATTTACCATACACAAAAATTGACTCAAAATAGGTCAAAGACCAAAATATCAGAGCTAAAACTATAAAACCGTTACAAGAAATTATGGGCAATGGGTTCCTAGATACAACACTGAAACACAAGGAACAAAGTAATAAAAAAAAAAAAACAGACTTCAGTACTTTGGGAGGTGGAGGCTGGTGGATCATGAAGTCAGGAGTTCGATGCCAACCTGGCCAAGATGGTGAAACCCTGTCTCTACTAAAAATACAAAAATTAGCAAGGCGTGGTGGTGGGTGCCTGTAATCCCAGCTACTCAGAAGGCTGAGGCAGGAGAATTGCTTGAACCCAGGAGGTGAAGGTTGCAGTGAGCTGAGATCTCACCACTGCACTCTAGCCTGGGTGACAGAGCAAGACTCCGTCTCAAAAACAAAAAACAAAAAATAACACCAAAAAAAAAGAAGTCACACACAGAAAAACCCCAGACTTCATTAAAATTAAAAAAAATTGTGCTTCAAAGGGTACCATCAAGAAAGCAAAAAGCAACCCATAGAAAAAGAGAAAATACCTGTGAATCATGTATCTGATAAGGGCCTCCCTAGGATTCAGAATTAAATAAATTATTACAGCTCAATAATAAAAAGTATTAACCCAAATTTTAAATGGGTACAACATTTGAACAGTCATTTCTTAAAAGAATAGGTGCAAAGATCAGTATGCACAAAAAAGGGGTCAACAATATTAATCGTTAGGGAAATGGAAGAGGAAATGCAAATGAAAAGCACAAGATCCCACATCCTGTCTACTACAATGCCTAAAATCGGAAGGAAAGACAATAGCATTTGTCGGCAAAGATGTGGAGAAATTGAATCCCTTAGACCTTACTGATAGGGGTGTAAAATCCCACTTTGGAAAACAGTTTGGCAATTCCTCTAAGTTTTAAGCATAGATTTACAATTGTACCCAATAATTCCACTGCTAGGAATCAAGAGAAATGAAAACATACTTTCACACAATCGCTTGTATGACCTTGTTATTGATGCGTATTTTTTTCTGAGGTATGAAACAGTGGTCTGCAAACTACTGCCCCTTTGGTCTCAATTCAACAAGCTTCCTATATTTGTGAACAAAATTTATTGGAACATAGCCATGCCTGTTAATATATATGTTGTCTCTAGCTTTTTTCTTATTCTTTTTCTTCCACAGTGACAGTGTTGAGCAATTGTGAGAAAGACTAGATTGTCATCAAAGCCTACAAATTTACTATATGACCTTTTATAGTAAATTATTGCTGACCCTAGCCTAGAGTCCGGGGTATATCTTCCTTACAGAGATGACTGATTTGAAATGATCAGCTCTATTATTTATTATTTGATAAAATGTTATGATAAAACGTGTTAAGGACTCATCCTATCTTGGGACTTCATGATTATTTTCTAAAGCTGTCCTAAATTATTACCAAAACAGTTCTCCTACTGCACTTATTAATTCCATTTTTAATTATCTTATTTACTCATTAAATATATATTGAATGGCGAGTATTTGTCTGTGACTTCTATATGAGATTTTATACAATCAAATCTGGTGTTATTTATATGATAGGGAGTTTGCATTCTAATGGAAGAAATAGTGGAGTAAAAGGGTGTGGTATGTGTCATGGTAGATATACACATAAGGAGGGCATGGAACAGCAGGGGAATAACATATAGATCAGCTGCTGAACAAGGGCAAGGAGTAAAAGAAATCTCCTGGAAATATTAATGAATGAACTGAAACTTTAAAATAAGAAAAAGAACCCTAAAACTTTTCTGTCAGATTGCAAATGAGACTGAATTGAAGGGAGGAGAATAATTGTGATGGGAACAAAAATTTGGAGACTACAACCAAAATTCAAGTTATAAGACATTAACTGAGGTAATGGGAATGGGAGTGCTGCGTAAAGTGAACTATAAAGGGAGAAAGTGGATAAGACCTGGTGATGATTGCTAGTTAGAGATGGGGGAAAAAAAGAGATATTTATGGTAACTCAGGTTCTGGTTCTGACAATCTACTAAGTAAATGGTGACTTTATTCACATAGACTGGAAATGCAGGGATAAAAACAGACTTGCAGAAAAGAGCTCATTTTCTCACCCTCATTCCAGGAACCAAAAAATAAAAAATAAAAAACCAAAAAACTGACTATGCTGCTAAGTGAAAATGAACATTTATACTTTGATTTATTCATTTGTTTAAGACAAACAATATGCTAAACACTACTAGATTTTGGACCAAATATATAGAATGGAAGCAAGAACACTATTCTGGCAAAAAGAAACCAAGCAACTAATTATAACAGATTGTGATAAATCTTTCATTGTTATGTAAAAAAATTGCTGTTCTTATTGGTAAACATCTAGAGTTCAGATCTTCTTCCTCCTACACAGAATTATTTTTTGCTAAGTCTTTGCAAAATCTTTGATTTCTAGCCAGAACAACAACAAAAAAATAAAAACAGTTTCTCTTCCCTTGAAAAGTGGAGAATTGAAAGCCTCTACTGGTAAGAAGAACAATAGTTACTCTTTTAACATAGAATTTCTCACAGATGCCAAGGTCACACCAAACTATGCCTGAAAACCAAGAGCTCATCAGAAAAAAAAAAAAATGTTAAATCTACGATGCTTGCAGGCAAGAGTCAAGTATGCTCATTTTTAAACTGCCAGACTCAGGAAAGACTGCTGAATGCTTTGTTTTCAAAATTTAGGAAACAATTTATGAATATAAAATAGATTGTTTTCTTGCTTGTAATAACTGTTATTGTTGAAACTGTTAGTGTTGAAGGTGTTGAAGATGTTGTACTTATAAATAATCTCTTACTATTATAATTATTTTACATCTATAGAAAGCTTTAAATAACAACTTCAAATGGGCAATGGGGTATGAAGTTTAATGAAGATAAAACATGAAATATTGGTAACAGCAATACAACGAACAGTTTATATACAGGGGATAGAGGACTGTTAGAAGGAAACAGATGTTATCAAACTTTTATTTCCTATATTTTACTTATGGAGTATTTAAAAGTCCTCTGTGAATCAAAATTGGTATGATCTCTGACACTAGTGGATCTCAGAGATACCTAGAATACTCTCAAAGAATACCAAGGTTTAACACTTGCTTTTCATGTAAACAATACAATACCCTTATCATGAATTTGTTTGCTAGACAGAATGGTTTCTAAAATATTTTTATATTAATACTATTGTAAAATAGGAAAGTGGCTGCAGTAGCTGGCTGAACATGAAAATTGTGGATCAATGCCTACTCTGGAAGCTATTTATAGAATGCATATCAAAGCTTCATCTTGGGATGCAAAGAAATTAGTAGACCTAAGGTTAGCCCAAGACAATGTGAAATAGTCTATCCCAGCTAATGTGGACATCCTCAGAGGCACTGGATATCCAGTTAGTAACCTTGAGTCAGAGTTAAAGAGAACGGTCGTTGGCTCCATAGAGGCCATTTATGTTCTTTCCAACTTGTTAAAGACTAATAAATGATCAAACCACAATTTGCTGCAGGGACTACCCTTAAAAACTGTATCAAAGACTTAGGTACCCTCTAGAGGGTGCCATTTTTCCATGGCTAAGTAGAATTTACGATAGTGTCATAAATCTTAATATTAAATGAAAAATCTGCTAAAGAAATATTAAACACAGAGCAGACTTGGAAATGGCTATTTGCACTTTAGAGGGACCCTATTCTTAATCAAATCACTGGATATAATGATGAGAACTGAAGTTCCTGTGGACTTGAAGGGAATATTCCTAAGAATTATGGGGTGAGTTGGTAAAATGAGAAAATGTTTTTCCATAACACTAACTTCATATCATGTGATGATAGGCCAATTTATAACTACCTATGAGGCTGGGTGCTGTGGCTTACCCCTGTAATCCCAGCACTATGGAAGGCTGAGGCGGGCAGATCACCTGAGGTCAGGAGTTTGAGACCAGCCTGGCCAACATGGCGAAACCCTGTCTCTACTAAAAATACAAAAATTAGCCGGGCATGGTGGCATGTGCCTGTAATCCCAGCTACCTGGGAGGCTGAGGCAGGGGAATCACTGGAGCTGGGGAAGTGGAGGCTGTAGCAAGCCAAAATCGCGCCACTGCACTCCAGCCTGGGCAACAGAGTGAGCTCCATCTCAAACAAAACAAAACAAAACAAAACAAACAAAAAACTACCTATGTAGTCAGCTCAGACCAGTTTAGCTCCCAAAATTTTAGGTAGTGAGACCTGGAGAAGCAGAACATACTTTTTTTTTTTTTTAATTGCATAACTGTGTTTTTTTAAAGAAACTTACTTAATGATAGAATAATTGTCCTGGGTATCAAAGTCCTTTTCTTTCCCTGGCAAGAAACAGTAGAAGGGGAAGTGGTCAACTGGAGAAATGTGGATCCCATCACCTTTTGCAGGGGAATGGAAAATTTAAGCCTTCTTATTTTTGGAACATGACTACAGAGCTGATGATATCAGTAAAGCTTTTTAATTTTCTTGGAGCTATGGAAACATGTTTTTCTTACTCAAAACAGTCTTCTATTGTCTAAACGACCCAAGTCAAGAATAGTAGAGAGTATAAATTAGGTGAGAGTCTTCACATTGTCATTGAAATATAAATAATGCTAATAATGTTAATAATAACAATGATGGTCATTTTGTGGCATTTCTCCATGCCTCTACTTTTGATAGTTGTTGTGTTATTAACAATAAATGCTACTATATTATGCTTTATATATATGTGATAACATTATAGAGTTCAGCCTATGTATTACACATGCTATTCTGTATATGTGAAATAAAACATTAAGTAAGGCACAATAGTGCATGCCTATAGTCCCAGCCACTCAATAGGCTGAAGTGGGAGGACGAGTTAAGCCGAGGAGTTCAAGGCTATAGTGCACTAGGATGATGCCTGTAAATAGCCACTGCTCTCCATCCTAGAAAATAGAGTGAGACAATGTGTTTTAAAGAAACTGATAAATACAATAAAATACATAAAATAAAAAATAAGTAAAACAATATTATTGATGTAATTATCATTCATTCCATATAAAAAATTAAGCAGCTACTATATACATTTCATGGTATATTAGTCCATTTTGCATTGCTATAAAGGAATACCTGAGGCTGGATAATTTACAAAGAAAATAGGTTTATTTGGCTCACAGTTTTGCAGCTTGTGCAAGCATGGCACTAGCATCTGCTCAGCTTCTCATGAGGCCTCAGAAAGCTTTTACTCATGGCAGAATGTGAAGGGGGAGGCAGGCGTGTCAAGTGGCAAGAGAGAAAGTAAGAGAGGGGAGGAGGTGCCAGCCTCCATTAAACAAACAGCTCTCATGTGAACTAATACCACCAGAACTTGCTGATTACTATGGGGCGGGGAGGGGACACTAACTTATTCATAAGAAATCTTCCCCAATGTTCCAAACACTTCCCACTAGACCCTACTTCTAACATTGCAGATCACATTTCAATGTGAGATTTGAAGGGGACAAACATCCAAACTATATCACATGTTCATCTGGCATTGAGTTAAGGTAATAATTTAAAAGCTTGAAATTAGCAAGACCTGTATGCAAAAGTTTAAATCAGCTTTACTCATAATTGTCCACACGTGGAAATAAACCAAGTGTCAATCAAGTGCTACACGGAAACAGTGCTGTAGTATAACGATCCAATGACAAGCTATTTATTAATAAAAAATGAGTAACTAGGCCCACGCGGTGGCTCATACCTGTTTTCCCAGCACTTTGGGAGGCTGAGGCGGGCGGATCACGAGGTCAGGAGATGGAGACCATCCTGGCTAACATGGTGAAACCCTGTCTCTACTAAAAATACAAAAAATTAGCCAGAAGTGGTGGCGGGTGCCTGTAGTCCCAGTTACTCGGGAGGCTGAGGCAGGAGAATGGCGTGAACCCGGGAGGCAGAGCTTACAGTGAGCCGAGATCGTGCCACTGCACTCCAGGCTGGGCAACAGGGCAAGACTCCATCTCAAAAAAAAAAAAAAAAAAAAAAAAAAAAGTAACTAGTGGTACATGAAACAGCAAGAATAATGTCAAAAGTATTATGCTAAGTGAAGAACACCAGATATAGAAGACTATATAGTGTATGATTCCATGTATTTGACATTCTGGAAAATGTAAAACAATAGAGACAAAAATTATATCAATGGTTTCTAAGTGTGAGGGGTTGGAGGAGGAGATTAACTACAAAAGGGCATAAGGGAAATTTTAGGGGTGGTTACCGAACTACATACATTTGTCAAAATTTATAAAACTGTACATCTAAAAATGAGTAGATTTTATTATCTGTAAATTTTATGTCAATAAACCTGAATTTACAAAAAGTTTGCTTCTAGAAGTTGGAGTGCAAAACTGTTTTACTTCAAATATTCCACAAGCATATTGAAACCTCATGAATGTGCCTGGCAATGGTGTTGATGATAATGATTCGGCTAAATATGACAATTAACATCCTTCAACACACTTTGGGATAAAAAGGGGATCTTACTGGAAAGTAGACCACAGTTTATTTTCTTCTACTTGACTACGTTGTCTTATAATTTCAGAGCAGAGTCTTTGATTACCTACAATTCAGTAGTGATACAGGCTTGAGCATATACCTTTGCACAGTTTCACATAATTTTTTTTTTTACCTTGGGACATTGTAGAAGAATGGGGGCAGATCATTCTTTTCACATTGACTCTGAACTGATGCCACTGACTCATTTCCTCACTTTTGTTTTTGCTTCTAGTAATGTCTACCTCCGACAGGTGCAAAATAAGACATTGAAAATAAAAAAGACATAATCAGTCATGAAGAAAAACAGATAAAGTGATCATTCTGTAATGATGGGCTTGACAAAAACACCTCCAATGTTTTTAACATTCTACTTGGTGATTTAAATGTTCTTCTGGAAGTTGTATGGGAGTATCCTTTTCCTTTTTTTTTTTTTTTTTTTGAGGTGGAGTCTCGCTCTGTCGCCCAGGCTGGAGTGCAGTGGCGCCATCTTGGCTCACTGCAAGCTCCGCCACTGGGGTTCACACCATTCTCCTGCCTCAGCCTCCCAAGTAGCTGGGACTACAAGCGTCCGCCACCAGGCCCGGCTAATTTTTTGTATTTTTAGTAGAGACGGGGTTTCCCCATGTTAGCCAGGATGGTCTCCATCTCCTCACCTCGTGATCCACCTGCCTCAGCCTCCCAAAGTGCTGGGATTACAGGTGTGAGCCACCGTGCACGGCCATATGGGAGTATTCTTTCTTCAAATAGTTTGCCATCCTGATGACTCAAATTATGAGGAGCTGGCATATTTTAAAAATTAGTAGTTATGTTTACAACATAAATATTATTTATAAACATCTAAGCCTGGCTTAAACTTAGTTTCATAGCTAAGTGTCTGTAGGTATCATTTTATTTATAGTACTTTTTTTTTTCATTTAGAAGCCTTACTGTTTTATTCATAACATTCCACTAGATAATATTTATATGCATTTTGGACTTCTACCAGTTAAATCCTATAATACTACTACTGTTTATGACAAGGTGAAGTGATTACATTTAAATATTTTTATCCATGTTGCCCTGACTATAAACTTGATGCTATTGTTTATCAAACTGAAATAACATAAATTTAAAGTTAAGAGAAAGGGAATAAAGTCTTATAAAATAGAACAAGGGAGTAGATGGTTTCTGAAGAAAGTTATATCATCAGTAGAAAGCACTTCTATTTTAAGAAGGAGGTGGGGCAGTTAACTCCATAGGCTAAGAAAAACAGTCCTTTTCTACCCTAAGAACCAAAATTGTCTAATGTAGGTATTATTAAACCATATTTTAATATGCAAAACACAAGACCAAAAGGAGTCTAGAAATGTCAAAAATGTCAAAATGTGCAGGTTTTTCATTTAAGAAAAGTGCCTTCTACATCATGTCATGCACAGCTTTCAGGTGTTTTCAGTTAATTAACTTAATAGAAAAAATCTTGAGTACACCCAGAAGATAGATATACATCTAAATGCACAAGCACATACCTGCGCACTTTTCGCAAATATGAACAGAGTACCTGCTACAAGCACGACGTTCCATTAGCCTGGATCTTGTTCCTAATCAAACAAGGTAAAAGTCTTTCATAGCATAATAGCTTTAAAATAGGATTCCTGGTGCCCACAGAGATCCCTTGAATAAGGTCCCAAAGATGGAGCCAGGAAATTTGAACATTTACTCAATCTCACTGGTCTTTCACCAATTTATAAAAACAAACATACGGACACAGACAATAGCAGTTAATGAGCTGATGGTCAGTAAAGAACTTAGTTTTCAAAGTAAATTCTAGTTTTGAAATTTTTTACATATATATAGTGAAACTGATAAAGAAGAATGCTCTAAGCAAGTGCTTCAGGCTATTTTCTTCCTAGTGTTCATTAACTGCCCAGTGACATGATTTACCTGGTCACTTTCCCTTCGCTGTTAGTTCCTTTTATGTAGCCACAACATATTCAGTCTTTCAAGCCTTTGCTTTTATGACTTATACATCTGCCTATTTGATATTATGTCTAGTCCAGACCACCAACTTTTTCATAAAAGCCATAAAAAACCTTAGTAAATTGACTTAAGGTAGATAAAAGTCAGTGATCTGGAGATAAATAAGGTTATTCCTTTATACAAAATAAAAGTTGTGAGCCTTCAGCCTTTTTCTCTTTATTTAGGTGGACATGCTGACATATACCAGCTGAAAACTTTTAAAGCTCTTTCCTTTAATCTTATGCTCTGAGAATGATCTGCAAATTCCAATACTAAGTTTATGTTGGCCTTGTAAATGTCAAAGTATTTCTTAGAGATACAATCATTCTGGCAGAGAATTTCCACATATAATTCCTTGGAAGAAAGTTAAGATATTTATCTGAACGTATTTAAAATTACCTTTTTTGGGATTTTGTTTAACTCATGAACAGAATTTCATCAGAAGGCTTATTTTTCTTTTTTAATGATGTAAGAAAGATTTTTTTAAAAGGCAAAAAAAAAATCAAATGGGCTCTAAACTCTCATTTTAACACATGTATAACCAATTACTAAAATAATTATATTATGTGTTTTTTATAACAAACAAAAACAACTAAACAATTTATCTCATTTCAGCATTGTATCAGTCGAAATAGGCTGTATGATGCTGACATTATAGAAAATCTAACAAATAACATAATATTTCAGTGGTTTCAAAATAGCAGACATTTATTTCTCATACACAGTAGACATTCAATTGAGGTTTGCAAGCAGGCTCTGCTTTCATAGTCATCCACAGACCTAGAGTGATTGGGGCCATAACTTGATGGGTAGCACAAACTTGGGAACGTTGCAAAGTTTGCAATGGCTCTTAAAACTTCTAGCAGCATATTACACACATCTATTCAGCTCATATTTCATTGGTCAAAACACATCATATGGTCATACCTAACATTAAAGGAAACAGTGGTGGGCAATCCTGCACATGCTTTAAAAAAGTTAGCAGGAAATATGTGACAAACATCATAAGCAACCATTACAAGCCTATACCTCTCCAGAATTGGAAGGATGACACCGCACATTTACTGGCTCTAATCATGGTACAGAGACCTGGTGAGTGAGACAACAACCTAGGGAAGTGCTGAATCACCAACAGAGAAGCACATACTCCAAGACATTTGTGAAAGAGAAGGTAGTCAGAGGGTTGAATCTATGTGAAAATTCAATAGATTAAGTATAGGAGGCCAAATGAAGAAAGCTTCAAAACAGAGAATGGAAGACAGCACTTGAGGCATTTTCTCTGTTAATTCATGGTTAAATGTAGAGAAATTTTAGTTCATCCTGGATTTCAAGAATAAGCATGCATAGTCAGAGGGATTAGACACTGAGTAGGTTATACTTAACACATTTTTCTTAGATTAGATATCATATACTAAGATGCTATCTAAGTCAACACTGTATAAGGGGCTGTTAATTATTATTAAATGCATGATATATTAACATTTGCATTTAAAACAATAATTTAATTTAAAGTAGCATAGCAGGTACTTCAAAATTAGGGTTGGCTATTTCCAAACTTATTATTTAACAGTCAAAGTGATGCTGCTTGATTATTGACAGTAATATTCAGATGAATATTAAATTTCCTTCTGTGGTTTTCCCACTTAGGACAAAGTAAATGAATGATTGAAGACCTGCAAACTGTGTTTGTAACGACTTTCTAAGATTGATAGCCTCCGTGTTTCAATGCTCATGGAGCAGATGGATATGACTGACACTGCCCTTAATACTACAGCATGATCCAAAGCATCACCAAAGTCTTCAAAGAGAAAGTAAAAAAAAAAAAATGCCTCTCCATTTTCACTTCTACTTCAAATCCTGCAATTTGACATAAAAAGACAATATATCTGTCTCCTTCACTAGACTAAGGGCGTCTTAAGGTAGGGCTCATGGCTTTTTTCTATGTTCTCCATACCTAGCATACACTATACACATCCATTTTTTTAAAAAATAAAATATTAATAATTTGGCCTTTGTGGAAAGGATAGTTTTTCTAAGACTTCTGTGACTTGTTTAGCAATGTCTTTCTATTGATTTCTTCACTTGCTTCACTTGCATGTATGTGACATTGTGTCACTTTGGGGCAGAAGTTTTAAAAGCCAGTATGGAGTTCATCATATCTCTTTTATGGCTGCAATAATAAATGGCAATATTCAAGATAGAAACTCTACCAACCTGGGATCCCGAGTGAAGACAGTATGGAGCAGGGCCTTGGCTGACTCACAATGGGCATGGGTGAGAAGCATTCTTTGCTGCTCCAAGCAGCTGAGATATTAGGATTGTTGGTTGCCTCAGTGTAACCTAGCGTATTTTGACTGATATATTATGGAATATTTGGAACAAAGCATAGGACTTCAAAGAACAATAAAATGCTATTAAGAAACACAATAGTTGAAACAAAATTCATAAATTAAAGCCTGTGGCTTTGTGTGTATAAGTAATTTCTCAAACCCAAACTTAGTTTCTGCATGTAAAACCTGAAGCTAAGTTGAGTAACTTGACCAGTTGCACAAAGTGACTTCAAAATCACTTCATGCTCTTTCCACTCTCCTCTATGCCATGCAGTTTTTATTCCTGTTTCACAGAAAGGAAAGCTGAGTTTGTGGAAGATAGTTACTAAGAAGGAGCTCAATTGGCTTCATCCCTAGTGTTATTTCCACTACTAAAATTATCCTCACTGTCAAGGAGAACACTTAAAATTTATATTTTAGAGAAGTGGTGTAATACAGATGGTGATAAGCCATCCACATTACATACTTACCACTCCTTTATTCCTTCCACCTTCTGTTTATGCAGTGAATCAGAACAAGCATAGCTGAATTCCAACTTCAGCTCTACCTCTTAGAAATCATAGAGATAGAAGCCATGTATCTATAAAATGTGGATTAACAAATATATAAGGTCCCTATCATAGTGAACCAAAGCAGACAATGAATCAATGTGAATTATCTTCCACTGTAACTTCTCTATGTAAGAATCCTTACTGATAAATATGCATATGATCAAATCTGAGCAAGTCACAATTAGAAATGGGCCTTAAAAACAGTTGTTTAGAAGGCATTTTTTTCTTCCTTTGGCACCTATTCAACAGGAAAGGGTATTTATTGTCCTATAATATCAAAGTTGAGGCCTGGTGTGGTGGCTCATACCTGTAATCCCAGCAATTTGTAGGCTCAGGTAGGAGGATCACTTGAGCCTGGGAGTTCATGAGTAGCCTGGGCAACATAACGATATTTCATTTCCACAAAAAACTAAATAATTAGCCAGGTGTGGTGTCACGTGCCTGTAGTCCCAGTTACTCAGGAGGTTGAGGTGAGATGATCATAATTGCTGGAGCCCTGAGACCAGGAAGTTGAGGCTTTAGTGATCCATGATTGCACCACCGCACACTAGACTGGGTGACAGAGTAATAACCTGTCTCAAAAAATAATAATAGAAATAATTGAGAACTAGGCAGACTGAATTAAATTATCATAATTGTATTTGCACATTTTAGAGATGTTGGAGAAAAGAAAAGCATTTTACTGTCTCTTTTGTATGAAAATGATTAAACTCTAGGAATTCTGAATCCATTCCAGGTTAAGGAAGCTAATTGACAGGACTCAGCAGAAATCTAGAGCTGGTCAGTCAAGTATGAATCAGGAGGCTGTGATAGACTGGAATTTCACAGTCTGCCATTCAGGCTCTACTCACCAGGGCTCAGAGAAAAATGAGAGATGCCTTAACAGGTTTACTGGCTCCTATTGAGATGAAAGGCAGTAGGTAACTTGGCCAGCCTTTCTTCTCTGTCTTTTCCTAGTCCTCCTGCCCTTCAGATGAATCATATGAGCCCATAATCAGGATTCTTGGGGACTCAGTGAACTTTTCTAGAGCTCTGAAGAGGATGAAAAATCCTCCATTTAAAGGGAAAATAGCTATTCTCTAAAGGACATTCAATATTCACACTCTATTAGCAATCTTGCCTGACTTCTATAAATTCTATAATCCAGTAATATATCTACTTGACATTTGTAAAAACCATCTATACTGTATCATGTTCTTTTCTCTGGGAAGCATTTATGAAATTGCAATAATGCCCACTATTGTATCTAAGGGAATGCTAGAAATAACACATGAAAATAAATTATTGTATTATCTATTTATTCCCTTGGTGAATAAAATTGTCAGCCTCCATTTTCTATTTTAACTCCCTCTAGGATAGCATTTACTTCATTGGGATGGGAATGGGAATCTGCCATCACTCTTTATTGTTGTAATCCAAAGTATTACTTTTGCTCTGTGCCTTTCTTCTTTGAATTGAATTTGGTACTTGAAGCCCTGCAGAAGGTAAATGTGTCTGCTCTCCAAGGTTTCCTCGCTTTGTAGGAAGAAGATATATGGGTTATTTAATTCCCATTTCTATGCCTACAAAAATACACTGCCATCTTCTACTTACTCCACAGTGGGAATATATCTGATTTATCTTTTGCTTTTTGCACTAAACAGAAAGGCTTCAAGCCAAGTCTTTTATTCTAGAAAATGCTTATCTTGACTGAAGAAATTTTTTTGTTAATGCTATTCTAAAACTATCGCCCCTTGAAAACTGGCTCAACTGCTGACCACGTTGAATAATAATATAAAATGGTTACCATGGTGGCTAGTGGTTTAATGAAAAAGAATCAGTGGGTTGCATTTGGAATCAGCAAATCGGGTCAGAAAGAAAATCACCTTTTCTTTCTGCAAGCTTCAGTCATTTTATCTTGAGTCTTGACTAAAACCTTTGCCTCATTCTAAAAGTTTCATCAGTTGTCAGGCATGAAAGACTCTATCCATATCTCTCTCCTATGAAACCCCTATATAGGCTCAGAATCCCAAGAAATACAAAGGGCTCAATAATTTATTATGCTTACTTTATTTATAATGCCTAATTCATTTATTTTGCCTCTGACAAAATATGTACAGATTAACTTTTTTTGGTCTAAAATATTCTGGTGTGGCTTGGTTCTGGTGGCTAGCTCATTTTGCTTAGTGCTAATGAGTCAAGGGTTATGAGTTCAAACCCTACGTAAGTCAGTTAAGTTTACTTGCCCTTAAAGTTGGAAACAACCTGCATTGAATAGAATATAAATAAAGCACCACTAGTGGACAACCAACCAAAAGTATATGCTTTTGTGATTGAAGGTTAATAACTTCATTTATATGAAGGAAATCACTGGAAATATGTTACCATTATTCCATACATAGACTCTCAACTCATCTGACAGCATGTATAGTTCAATGATCTTAAAGTAAGACATTTTGTTTTCTATATAATCTTTGAGCTGGAGGTCATCTCAAAAGGTCTTTTGATCTGGTTCCCTGCCTTCCAACAGGTGAATTTGAATTCCATTTACTGCTTAGCTCATACTCATTTTGGAAATGTAGAACAGCTGGTAGGCATTTTCTTAGTAATGCTTCTTAATATCCTTAAAGACAATAAAGTCATTCATCAGTCTTTTCATCTCATTGAACAATTCTAACACATAATTTTTAGGATTTCAAATATATATTGTTTAATGTGCTTTTTTTAGTATGCTTATTTTTTTTGCCTCAATTTTCTAGAAAGTCATTAATATAGACACTACAGTTTTTCTCTCTTGCCTTGGACTACAAAGACCCCCATGCAGGAGCATGAAGCCAACTCTAGTGAAAGTGACTCTTTTAAATGTACTGATTATTTGATGGAAGTCATTGTCTTATAAATAAATGTACTCCGGAGCATGCATTCATTTATGTCCCATCATATGTTTCCTTGAGGATTAAGAATAATGTCCTTAATAATCTTAACATTTCTTAATGGAACTAGAATCATTTTGTATTACAGTTATCATTTATCTGCCTCAGAGACATTTCCAGCAGGAATCATCATCACCCTGATATAATGGGACTGATTTGCCAAACTGGAAACAGTAAAGGGTAGTGGCACATCATATGCCATTGACAATGAAAGCAGCACATGACACAGCTGTATTCAATTTAAAGGCCCCTGTGACTAAAAACGGTTTGCCTCTGAATTTTATTAATTGAGATTTAGGTGAGCATCATTTAGAGAACAATCAACACAAACAGAAAAAAAAAAAACCTAATCTGATGGCAAAACTGGCAATCTTGAAGATTAGAACAACATTGAAAGAAAATTTGGACAGCTTGAAAATAAAACATCAAAAGGAAATATTTTAAACGTGATGACATAACAAAAATAAATCATAGTTCATCTGAGTGCAGAAAACCAAAAGCAAATCTTACTTAAAAGCAGGAAGTGATGATTGTTTTAAAGTGAAAGGAGCGAATTGGCCAACACCATCAGGAAATACACTTTCCACAGGAAGACAGCAAAAGGATTAAAGACAATGAAATAAATGTCAGTCACACAAGACAATAGCCCCAATACTGAATCTTTATCTAACTTCCAAAGTTACAGGGCATATATTTCAAAGTTGTTATAGCCTGTGTATAGATTCTCATGTGGCTACTTTGAAAGTTGGATTGCTAAATTTGCTTTGGTTCACAGGCAAAAATAGATCTTACGTACCTTCCCTCAAAGATAATGTAGACATAATTTAAATGCATGTAAATGTTTTCAGCCAGCTAGTGCAGCATGTACCCTTGTTACCAGGTTGTCCTCTAATCCTCAGTTTGTATATTGATGGATATTCTGCCAGGGCCATTGTTTTTATTACATTTTTTGAGAGTTTTTGGTGATAGATTTGCAAATGTTTTAAAGATCAGACATTGTAAGACTATTCCCATTATTGGCATCAATAATTCCTTAAAATGTTTTGTAGTGATATTTAATAAAGTTGGCTCATCTGTCAAAGTAGAAAAATACTAACTAATATAAAATTGGGTCCAGTAAGTGTTGTTCTTTTCAGGTGACTCATGGGCCCAGATGTCCACTGGATGGACAGGAGCAGGTAGGGAAGCTACACTATTCTTGCCTTGTTTTTTCTCTTTTTTGAGTGAATCCTGCTTTACTTCCTTTGCAGAAGCAGCAGCAATTCTTCATGTTTTCAACACTTTCATGAATTTGGATTGCTCAAGACATTTACATAAAAAGCACATATTTTCATGAAATTCACAGATAAATATAGGATAAAAGAGTGCCCTTGTTTTGACTGACATTTGCACTCCCATTTTTGTCATATTTCAATTTATTCTTAAGGCCAAATTAAATGCTATATTTAAAATAAAACTTTCCCTTACAGCTAATGATTCCAGGCAGAGTCCTCCATACTCTTATGAAAATTTAATAATTTTTCTTATCCATAAAAGTGGTCACACAGCATCATCATTATTTCATGGATTGTGTAATCCATGAAATGTTTGAGGGCACAGATAGAATTACAGATGTCCCTGACTTACAATGGTTCAACCTTTTTTTTTAACTTTACAATAGTAAGAAAGGGGTACACAGTCAGTAGAAACTACTTCGAATTTTGATTTTTTTTTCTTTTCCCAGGCTAGCAATATACATCAAGACATTCTCTCTCAATGCTGAGTACTGACAGCATGTGGCAGCTCCCAGTCAGCCATGCAATCAGGAGGGCAAACAGCCATGAGTTATTCAACATTGTGTTATAAAATAGACTTTGTGATGATTTTGCCCAACTGTAGGCTAATACAAGTATACTGAGCACATTAGCACATTTAAAATAGGTTAGGCCGGCCAGGCGTGGTGGCTGGCGCCTGTAATCCCAGCACTTTGGGAGGCCGAGGCGGGCGGATCATGAGGTCAGGAGATCTAGACCATCCTCGCTAACATGGTGAAACCCCGTCTCCACTAAAAAATACAAAAAATTAGCTGGGCGTGGTGGCAGGCGCCTGTAGTCCCAGCTACTACTTGGGAGGCTGAGGCAGGAGAATGGCATGAACCCGGGAGGCGGAGTTTGCCCTGAGCCGAGATCGCGCCACTGCACTCCAGCCTGGGAGACAGCAAGACTCCGTCTCAAAAAAATAATAAAAAAAAAGGTTAGGCCAAGCTACAATATTCTGTAGCTTAGGAGTATTAAATGCATTTCTCTTATAATACTTTCAATTTACAATAGGTTTATTGGGACTTAACCCCATCATAAATCGAGGAACATTTGTATTTAATCATAAATGTGACAATGGATTCTACTTCAATGCATAAAACACAGACAGGCAATAAATACATATTGACATAGACTGAATAAGTCAATGAAAATCTTATCTGAATATTGCTGAGCTAATCTATCTGTGACATCTGGCTTCTGAATATCAAACTTTTACTACAATTAACCACTTCTCTGTAAACAAGGTATATTTACTCTGTTCCTGGTCTTTTATTCTGAACTACTGTATTGATCTATTATCTTACACACATCAGTAACAAGAGGTGAAGATATCTACCCCTTTTGTCTGGATGATTGCATATGTGTAGTATGTACAAATATTTACATACAGGTCATAGGTGGATTCATTTTCTGATTGGCAACTGGTTGAAGGAGTTAAGTGCCTATCTAAACACCTGAAATCAATAGAGAAGAGTGTCGGGTTGAGACAAGGGGTTATGAAGACCAAGATTCTTATTATGTAGATGAAGTCTCTTAGGTATCCAGCCTTAGAGTCAATAGATGGCAAATGTTTCCTATTCCAACCTAAAAAGATTTTAGGCTCTCAGCTAATCTCTTCAGGACTAGAAAGGGAAGGAGATTATCTACAGAATATAAATCTCCTTCACAAGAGACAGCTTTTCAGGGCCACTTCAAAATATGTCAAATAAATACATTTTGGGGTAAAATACTTTGATTTCATTCAGGGCATGCTACTGTTATGTGATGCCATACTGGAAGCAGGTTGGTATTTGGTATCTTACTGCTATAAAGAATCTGTTTGTCTGTCTTAAGATCTTGTTTTAATGTTCATGCTGGTCAGTTGTACCTGAATTCCAAAGGGAGGAAGATATAATGAGTCATGTATGACTCCCACTTCCCATCAAGGACTGAACTAGTTTTCAGTTTTCTTCGGAATCCCATGGGCCAAGAGGAATGGTCCATTCAGTCATTTGGGGGGCTCAGAATTTTATTTTTGGCTCATGAGATATATTTTTATGTACAGTGGTTTAAGTGTTTTGGGTGACTTACTAGGTTCCTAGTTCAAGATTGTTCTTTTCTGATGATATATTAACATTAATATATAATATTAATATATTAAATAAGTTTATTTAAATCAATGGTACAATATTTTGGGGGTGGGGGGGTAAGAAGACAGTGGGTGTTGCAGTTATTCCTTCTGATCTGATGATTGGAAAGGATCTTTTAACATCTATCTCAACTCCTTCTTTCCCCTTCCCACTATGCCATCAAGGGACTCCTTGCCTTTCCAAATTTCCTCTTCTTTCTAAAAAAAGCCACTTCATGTATTGTATATTTTCAAATCTTCATTCTCACTTCTGAGTAGCCAATGCTTATAGATCCCAGTACTCATATATGTTCTCTGCATTATCTGCATCTGTTTTAGAGTAAATTTACCTGTGTTTCATTACCCACAGGCTCCCCATTGTCTCCGTTCTTTATTGAATATGTTTAACTCTTAACTCAGTTGTAAGTACTAAACTTGGCTTAGTTATTTTGTATATTTATTTCCCTACTTACATGTACTTCATGAGTTTTAGCATTCTGTGTCTCCCAGGTATATTGCAGGCATGGGCTAATGTTGGTATAATTTGCCTTCTTATCAATATGGGTTTTGAGTGTGTGTGTGTGAATGTGGTGTGGGAAACATATGGAGACACCCAATCTAAAGAAGCTTTTTTATTCTATAGAAACCTAGAACCAAATTTTTACCAATTTTTTCAAACTTTCAAAAATTCTACTAGTGCGTTAAATGATGCATGTAGCCACAAAAGTAGGAAGTAGACATCACAAACTTGGGGTTTTTTATGCAGAAGCATTATAATGAAGACATAATCTTCCATTCAACAAATACACAAATACACTGAATCTTTTTTTGTGCCAAATGCTATACTTAGTATTGGTGATATAGTGGCAAAGAAGACCAAAATTTATAGAATTATAATGTCAGAGGTGTGTAAACCAGAGCAACTTCATCTTGAATAGGAGCTGGGTAAAATGAGGCTAAAACCAGTGGGCTGCATTCCCAGGAGGTTAAGGCATTCTAAGTCACAGGATGAGGTAGGAGGTCAGTATAAGATACAGGTCATAAAGACCTTGCTAATAAAACAGGATGCACTAAAGAAGCCGGCCATTACTCACCAAGACCAAGATGGCCAAGAGAGTGACCTCTGGTAGTCCTCACAGCTATACCCCCACCAGTGCCATGGTAGTTTGCAGATGTCATGGCAACATCAGCACATTACCCTATATGATTTAAAAATGGGAGGCATGAATAATCCACTTCTTGTTTAGCATCATCAAGAAATAACCATAAAAATGGGCAACCAGCAGCCCTCAGGGCTGCTGTGTCTATGGAGTAGTCATTCTTTTGTTTCTTTACTTTCTTAATAAACTTGTTTTCATTTTACTGTATGGACTCACCCTGAATTATTTCTTGCATGAAATCCAAGAATGCTCACTTGGGGTCTGAATCAGCACTGCTTTCCTGCAACAATGAAAAGATAGATATCAAATATATACCTATAATAAATAAATGCAAAGCCTAAAAATAAACACTTTGGTATCTGGATTATGCAAAATAAATAAGAAAATGTATTTACGATAAAAACAGAATGATGTATTTCAATAGGCTATTCAGCGAAGGCAAAATCTAAATCGTAAACAACTATAAAGGGAGCGTCTTAACTTCATTTATACTGAAATAAACTAATATTACAATCACACTGAAATTACACCCACAGAAAGGCAGAAAATAGAAAGTAGGAGAGCACCATATATTGACAAGCATGCAGGAAAACATAAATCTCAAGCACTATTAATGGCCATTTAAACTGATGTAGTAGTTATGAAAATCATTTGGCAGTATTTTTTTTATATATTTTTGAAGCAGAGTTTGGCTCTGTCCCCAGGCTGGAGTGTAGTGGCACAATCTTGGCTCACTGCAATCTCCACCTCTTGGACTTAAGTAATCCTCCTGCCTCAGTCTCCTGAGTACCCTGGACCACAGGCACATGCCACCACACCTGGTTAATTTTTGCATTCTGACAATATTTTTATAATTAAATATATAAACATTTCATGATAGCAATACTATTTGTGTACATGTGTGATATGTATATATGCATATATAAGTGTATGTATGTGTGTGTGTGTATCTGCAAGAGAGGTAAACATAAGAGTGTTTACTATATAGATTATAGAAGAGATGATATTCAAGAATGGTGTTTGTGGTGAGATGGAACAGGAAGCAATGGAGAAATGAAATGTGACATATACATGGCGGCAAATGCTATGCAACCCATTGGAACAATAAATGGCAGCAACACTGTAGATCTTAATGTTGAGTGGGAAAAAAATAGTAATGACCAAATAATAGTAACCAAAGTAATAGCATATCAATTGAATACATTGGCCATGATTGGGAGTTGAATAGAAGTGGAGATCAGCTATGAAGGGGCAAGAAAATAACGTGAGACAGGTTCGCGTTCTTATAAGGAGCAGAAGAGTGACTGACTCAACTTCCTGCACTTAGGATCACATCGAATACCTGTATGAAATATAAGAAAAAAAAGCCAAACTTTATTCTTCATCAGGCTTTATTGATTGACGCATTCTATACATGGACAATTATTGAAAATCCCATTCCTAAAGTTTCTGTAAGACTTCTGATGGAAAAATATTATCCATTTGTATTGTCTTTATTCCTTTATTTCTTAGTGTAGTCCCAGAGGCATATACAACTTTGCTGTTTGTTTATTTGGCAATTTTTATTCTGATCATTTTTACTGGAGATAATCAAAAGTCATAATAGTAGTATGATGGATATAAAAATTATCACAGACGTCTTATATTGTGATTGACTTCACTCCCTCTACCTATCACACATTCTTCTGTGGGTGCTGTAATGTCTTCATGCACTTTCTTCTCAATGCTGCTATTTTAATTTTCCATGTTGATTGCTCAGGAGCACAACTCTATCATTATTTTTATTTTTTAAATCATCTTTTAAAATCTACTGTTGTTTCATATCTCTTTCTCTTCTTGCAGCATTTCATACCCTGTAGATTTTCCTTTAAGTTAAAAAAAGTCAATAATTCAGTGCATTCCATAAAAATATATGTCAAAAGTAATGACTTGGCAACACTAAGATATGGAATTGTCTTTTAAATTATTAAGGAAAGACAAAATTGCATGGACTTTTTAAGTGCTATGCACATTTAATTAGAATATGTACTTTTTTTTTAAAAAAAAAGAACCTCTTTCCTTGTCAATTAACAGAGTATTTTCTTCAAAGTCCAGCACAAACATCACCTTCTCTGTAAAGATTTCCTTGCCTCATTTTAAATAAAATGAATTCTAAACAGAATTAATTTTGCCTTCTTCTCTGATCTTCAGTCACTGCTTTGCTTTGGCCTGGAATCTGCTTCCTATGTCTAAGATATTTGAATAAGACTTTTCTCTGCATTCTGTTTGTTCATTTTGTTTTAAGTCTATGCTTTCTTTGTTAGATCTAGTCGCTTTCTTTGTTAGATCTAGTCACTTTTTATTTTCTTTTTTAATTTCAGCAGCTTTTTTAGTTTTGCAACTCTTCTTTATTTGTGATTATTTTTTGATTTGAATAACAAGTGACTAGTTTTATTTTGCAAATATTATTTTACTTTTATTTGGTAAAATGCTACTTCTTTATAATTTAATGCCTTGGAATGTATTTGATCTGTTTGCTTAGCTCTTCAGTTTCCTTTTTAATGATAGTCCATAATGTGGTTTCCAAATAAGGTGTTTCAGCATTATATGCAGAGCTTCTTAAGCATGTAAGTTCCTCATTCTCAACCTATGTGCACCAAAATAGAATTTTCAGAAACAGACCACTAAGGTCTGTATTTCTTACAAATCCACATGTTTAGGAGGCCGAGGTGGGTGGATCACGAGGTCAGGAGATCGAGACCATCCTGGCAAACATGGTGAAACCCCGTCTCTACTAAAAAATACAAAAAATTAGCCAGGTATGGTGGTGGGTGCCTGTAGTCCCAGCTACTTGGGAGGCTGAGGCAGGAGAATGGTGTGAACCCGGGAGGCAGAGCTTGCAGTGAGCGGAGATCATGCCACCATACTCCAGTCTGGGCGACAGAGCAAGACTCCATCTCAAAAAAAAAAAAAAAAAAAGAAATCCACATGTAACTTTGACATACAGTGAGGTGGAAATCTCACCTCTAGCTCTATTTTTACCCAGGATCAATTCCCTTTTGTCTATACTATTGTGATTTGCTTATTTTCTTTCCGTTGAAAGAATCACTTTCTCATTGAGTACCAGTTTCTAATTATACAGGTCTATATTTTCTGTGTCACACTTTGTGAAGTTGCATAAAATATACATACATATATATATATTATATATGTATTTTACTCAGTAGTATGTTAGACTCAGGTAAGAGCATTCTTGGTTTTGGAGCACGCATTTAGATAGCCCTAAAAGTCACAAATACTCACACAAATAATAATGTTATTTAGAAATGGGTGTCTCAGGAACTCAGCATATGGTGCTCAATTGTGGCACAATACACCACATTAGCCAAACTATCTACTCTCATATTTAACACCATATAGACCTTAGGGAAACAATTAATCCCGACTCTTGTCCTATGTTCCTGAAAGGAAAGGCAGCTATATCTAAATTGTTTGAAGGTTTGCAGATAATGCTACCATTGATGAGATGGAAGTCTGCTTTTGAACAAAGGAAGAAAATTAATTTGACATTTTTCAGAGAATAATAGTGCAATATATTCTTACACATTTATATGATAGTTGTATGATATTTACGTGGAATGATATTACGGGCCAGAAAACAATGTTTGAACTAAATATATACAATCATGCATCTCTTAATGACAGAGATTTTTTCTGAGAAAGCATAGTTATTTCATCAGTGTGTGAACATCACAGGGTATACTTACACAAACGTAAATGGTAAAACCTACCACACACACAAGCAATAAGATATAGCCTATTGCTTCTAGGCTACAAATTTGTATAGCATGTTACTGTGCTGAAAGCTGTAGACACATGTAACACAATTGTATATATTTGTTTTGCTAAATGTTCCTGAACATAAGGTACAGTAAAAATAAGGTATCATATAATCTTATAGGACCACCTTCATATATGCAGTTTGTTGCTGACCAAAATGATATTTGGCATGGGACTATAATATTTTGTAAATAATGTATTTATTTTATTGCATATCTAAATGACACTGTCCACTAACAGAAGGAGACATATGTCAAAAACATCAAATTCAATCATGTTTGCCCATTGTCTGTGTATAATATAAACATTACAGCATTGCATATTTTAAATTATCAAGACATGTTCCAAGATACAGCATGCAACATGTTTTATTTAATAAGTCATTAATTTGATTTACAACTTTTATATACTTAGACAACAATTATGTTGCTTCTATTTACATGATTATTCTAGGTCCTACAAATATTAAGCATCAGCCTATCCCTACAAACAGATTTAAAAGGCTCTAAGTTAACATTAATTCATTTTATGTTTAACCAATATTATTTACGATACACAGCTATGCATTTCCATTGTCTACAGATGCATGAATTTTAACTAAGGCCAACAGTTATTCTGAAAGTTTGGAAGCCACCAGGTAACAATAGCTGACCAAATAGAAAAGCTGCTACCTAACACTGTGTTACAGATAGAGAACAATATTGTATTAGTCTGTTTTCACACTGCTATAAAGATACTACCTGAGACTAGATAATTTATAAACAAAAAAGGTTTAACTGACTCACAGTTCTGCATGGCTGGTGAGGCCTGGGGACACCTACAATCATGGTGGAAGTGGAAGGGGAAGCAAGGTATGTCTTAAATGGTGGCAGGAGAGAGAGGGAGTGCAGAGGATACTGCCACTTTTAAACTATCGGATTTGTGAGAACTCCCTCACTATCACAAGAACAATCTGGGGGAAAGTGCCTCATGATCCAATAAGCTCCCACCAGGTCCCTTCCTCAACACATGAGGATTACAATTTGAGATGAGATTTGGGTTGGGACATAGAGCCAAACCATATCAAATGTTTAAAGCAGCATTTATCATCATGCCAAAAATATGTTGTTAGTATGCACTCAATGAATGCTCATTGAGTTGAATTGGACTCATTTTCCTATTAGGTGAGACACTCACCTGTGCGCTGCCTCCCATAATGGGTGGCACATAGCGGGTCCAAGTGAGTGAAGTTTGATCCCACCAGCACCAAAACGACCAGCTGGTTCCAGTGCTTATGTACTCCAGTTCCCACCTTATTCACTCATGTGCTCCCTCCCATGCGTGTTGACAGCGGTGGGCTGAGTAAATGAGACACACTGTCACAAGTCCTGTGAAGGGGTCAGGGAACTATTCTACTTCATATGGAGTCTCCTCTGGCATGTCAGAAAGGTGAGTAAATGTGGATCTGTTGGATCTCTCTCTTCTTGTCCTCAGACTTTTCTCTGAGTTATGCCATTTGCAGAAGACAGGATGCAACCCTGCCACCTCTTTCGTTCTTTTGGGCAAAAGGAATGCTGGCTCTGTTTCCCTTCATGGAAGTCTAGCTGTCGCATGGGGCTGGAATAAAGTCCTGGGGCAACTGACACCATCTGGCTGAGGGCACTCCTTGGTGTTGCCAGAAGGCCCCTAGACTGGACCCCATCGCCAACCACCTGGTAGGGCATCAACCAAGACCTCCAGACTTTTCTATGGTATCTTTCCTTCTTTCTTTTATGTTTTGAAATGGCTCCTATCTCTTCTTTTATAATGTAACGGGTGTTACTGCAAACTGCAGAAATGCTACTAGGTAGAATGAGCATTTGACCCAGTCACGAGATACGCGATTCAGAACAATGTGATTTTCATTTGTGCTTAGAGGAGAGACCACCCCCCACCCCCACCTCAACAGCCACGGGTGTGTTTAGCACAGGACAGCTCCCCTCCTCACTCACTCCCCTCCTACCTGGGGCACTTCTGCACCCAGGTCCAGTTCTCCTTCCCTCTACAGGACTTAAGGCAAATTAAGGGGGATCTTGACAACTTTTCAGATGACCCTGAAAGATATATATAGGCTTTCCAGTATTTAACACAAGTATTTGAACTTTCCTGGAAAGATGATTAGTTACTTTTGAATCAAACCCTGACTAGCACTGAGAAGCAGACTACTCTGCAAGCAGCAGAGAGATTTGGGGATGAGCTTTGTATCACATATAGTGTCAGGGAAGGGGTCAAACTTTATCCAACTGGAAGAGAAGCAGTACCAATTGGATGACTCTAGATGGGATCCCAATAATAATTTGGGAGAATGGAAAAGGAGACACTTTCAGGTGTGCATAATGGAGGGACTAGTATACCAATTACACCAAGTTCAATTACACCAAGCTATCCATGATAGGCCAAGGATTTGATGAGAATCCCATTGCCTTCCCAGAGAGTCTAAGAGGGACCTTGGTAAAGCACACCTGTAGATCTCCTGTTTCAGCTGAGAGACAACTAATCCTAAAGGATAAATTTATTACTCAGCAGGAAGGTGCAGAAACAGGCCCTGGGACCAGATAGTACTTTGAGAACCTCCTGAAAGTGGCCACCTCAGTCTTTTACAATACCTCACTGGAATAGATTCTTGGATTTATTATACCTGAGTAAAGGCCTGGGAAGCTGATGGAATTACCTCCCTCAACCCAGAAGAGCACCCAAAGTACCAACGTGAAGAAACCAGGCTCAAGCTAAAAATCACAAAAGGTAAGTGTTAATAATTCACCTTCCATGGATATCCTCTTTATAGTCTTGCCTATGCTTGCTGATCTTACCTTTTTTCTGTTCTATGCCACAGGGTACAATGTTTTAGGGATGATTAGTGTATTTCACTTCTTATTTCTGTAATCTTTGGCATTAGATTCTTTTATTTTAACCCCTTTTCATACAATACACATATTTGATCAATGCATACTTAACTTTGTGAAACTTGTTTCTTCTCACCTAGAGGTCATCAAACTCCAAATGGGAAGGCAATCTGATCCTTGGACAATGGCTCCCTCTTCCTGGGAACCCTAAAATAGATCTCTGGGAAGAATCTGACTGTTGTTCACCTCAAAACTACACCCACTGTCGGCAGGAATTAGCTAAATCAGTCATTGTCCATGTTCTAACAGCAGTTAGATGTGCCTCTTCAGAGTGGGGAAATAATAGGGACAGGAGACAGACAAATTCTAGACAGAAAAAGGCAGGTCCTTGGCGAAAAACCAACCCTCAAGCAGAAAAGCCTGAAACTGCGGCCCAACGTGACAACTTATATCCCTGTTTTCCCACTTGAATGTTGCCTTTTCCTAAACCACCCATGGCCGTGGCCCTTCCCATCCTGTGCCTATAAAGACCCCAGACTCAGCAGACAGAAAGGAGAAGTAGCTGGACATCAGAGAGAAGCAGCTTGACTTCAGAGGGACAGCTTGATGGCATAAGTTAGGAGAATAATCCAGACAGACATGGCCAGACTTCAAAAAAGATTAGCTACACAACCCATCCCCTTTTCAGCTCCCCTTCCCACTGAGTGCCACTTTCATTGGCAATAAAATCTCCTGCATTTACTATCCTTTCATTTGTTCATGTGATCTCATTTCTCCTGGATGCCATACCAGAGCTCAGAAGCCATGAGTCTGGATACAAAAGGTTGTCAACGTGGCCCTTTGCCCTCACTGGTGGAGGGCAGCTGTAGGCCCACTGAGTTGTTAACACTTAAGGCATCCATCAATGGCAGAGATAAAGAGCACTGTAATACACTCTCTGAGGCTCTGTGAGTTCCAGGCACCCTGCCTGCACACTGCCATGGAATCTGCAGGGAATTTACCCCCGCTGGTGCCCAAAAGCACTTGCTCCAGCTCCTGCACCCTCTCATCTGTGAATTCCCTCCCATGAAGGGTGGAACACAGCAGGTCTGAATTAGTGGAGTTTGCTCCTGCCTGTGTCAAAATGGCCAGCTGGTTCTAGCACCTGTGCACTCCAGTTCCCACCTTGTTTACTCATGCACTCCTTCCCATGAGGAGTTGAGAGGGGCAAGCTAAGTAAATGAGGCACCCCTGTCGCAAGTCCTGTGAAGGGGTCATGGAAATATCCTGCATTAATAGTGTACTAACAGAAAGAAAAGTCAGAAAAACACATGAGAGAGGTGTCAGGGAAGATTTATTTGAGGATCTGATTTTATTTTCCTGAGCTTGGAATGATGAGATGGGAAAGAGGATTCCTGGCACAGGGCACAGCAGTGGCATGTGCTAGCAGTTAAAAGGGTTTGGCATGCTCATGGACCATGAAAGTGACCATACTGAGCAAGGCACAGAGTGAGATAGCTTAGATGGGAATTCTAGGTAAAGGCCAGATTAGTAATATCTCCTTATACCTCATATTACATGATTCAGTTTTATTCTAAGTTATAGAGATATTGCATGTGTTTGTATTCTATACAAACACATATATAATGTACATACTATACACACAATATATTAATATATACAGTATATACATATATATGGTATATAACTATACTGTTTGTATATATATATAATGAATTTTTATATACAATACATTGCATCCATTTTAAGAATAAACTTTGAATTTTGACAACCAGCTATGCCCCTGTAATCACCACTGTAATTAAAACATTTTCATGGCTCCAGAACAGTTCCCTTTTGTCCTTTGCAGCCATCTTCTCTCCACCACTACCTTTAGAAAATCACTGGCTTTTTTATAACTGTATATTAGGGTTTCTCATATTCAGCAATATTAATACTTTGGGCTGGGTAATTTCTTGTTGGGGGAGAGGGATGCTGCCCTGTGCATTGTAGGATTTTTAAGCATCATCCCTGGTCTGTACCTATGAGATGGCAGAACTCTTATCCCACAATTCCAGTTGTGACAACCAGAAATTACTATAGACTTTGCCAGACATACCCTGGGGAGCAAAACTGCATCTACTTGAGAACCCCTGCTATGAGTTAGTTTTTCCTCTTCTATTATTTAATAAAATACAATCATATAGAATACAATATTTGGCCTGGTTTCTCTCTCTTGGCATAATGGTTTTGAGACATATCCAGGTTACGTGCACCATTTTCTTATTTATTTTTAATAAATAAAGATTCCAGTATTCATAAACCACAATTTGTTTAAACATATACTTTTTCCATGTTCTTTAAATCCTTGACATAGCAGCTTCAATCTTTAATTTACACTTTTATCATCTCAGACTTTCTGAGTCTTTTTCTATTAATTTATCCACTGGTTGTGAGTCACATTTTTCTCTTTCTTTCTCATGTTAGTGATTTTTTTTTCAGTGGATATTAGACATTATTAATTTACATTGTAGGATGTTGGATTTTGTTGTCTTTCTTTAAATAGTGGATTTTTTTTTTGGCCAAGCAGTCAATTTACTTATAGATCATTTTGTTCTTTCAAGTCTTCTATTTTGTTGTTGTTATTCAGGTGGACAACAATGTATGATTTAAAACAGAGAAGTAATATAAGTGTGTTTTACTAAAACAACAAAAGCAACATCAAAAAACTTTGTGGCTTATATCAGATCTAGCTAAAATGAAAATAACACCGTTCTGATTTTCTGTGTAACACCTTTCAAATCCTCATGATCACATAATGAATGGAGTCCAGTTCTCTTAGCATTGTTTGCAAAACCCTCCATTATCAGGCTTATGTCTTCCTATTCTCTTTTCTCTTCAACCATTCGCTGCCCCTCCTATAACATTCTTCAAACATGGATATGCTTGGGATTTTTTTGTGTACACAATTTTTTTAAAAATATACACCTATATTCTGTAGCTTCCCTTTGTCCTTTTCCTCAATGGAAAACATTACTCTGCCTCTATCTTTCAATGTTAAATTATGTATACACATACATACAAATGTGGACTCAGTCAATCAGTCAATACATATTGTTTCATCTGATTCCTGTAAACAATCCAATAGTAAGTTGAAGCTCATAGGGCTAAAGTATTTGTCTAGATGTGAATCCCATAACTCAAGTGTGGTTGAGCTAAAACTCAAATTCGAGTTCTCTGGAGAAAATGCATTCCTCTTTTCATGATATCAATTTTTTTTCCTCCTATTCCTTAGGATAAGTGAAGAAACTCTTTGCTAGGAATATAATTCTGTTCTATAAATTTATCTGATTGGCTAATTTAAGAACCAGGAATTACAAATTCTGGAAGACTTCAAACTTACAGCTTCAATTTTCTGCCTTTTCAAAAGCATTAATTTTTTTTTCAGACCACCATAATTTTAAGATCCAACTGAATGTCAATGCTTAATTAGCAATGCTAATTTAACTCTCAAAATCCAGTAGTTACAGATTTTTAAATAGGTCAAAAGTTACCAGAAATTCATCCTCTAAGCTAATAACCCAAGCACAAAGGTCCTGTTAGAACATAGAAATTGTATTTAGCAATTTTTCCTCAAAGGATATAAAACTTCTGATTTTATAACCCTTTCAACAGACTAAGTAACAACTATGCAGATAATTACAGCTTATCCATTGCATTTAAATTGAATTTCAAAAGTTTGGGTGTTGTATTATTTTGTAAGCCAAAAATTATAATAATATCTTACACTTGAAAGGGGTTTTATGTTTAGAAAGTACTTTCATATGCATTATCTTATTTTATCCTCATGACAATCCTATGGAGAGATATTATTATCACCCACCACTTTACATGTGCTGAAACAAACTCAGGCATTGCAAATTGCTCAATGCCACTCAGCATATAGCCACACTGGGGCCCATTTGGGGACTTAAAATTCATCCAAATTTACACCCTATTATATAAAGAAAAGTATTGTTAATTACCAATACTCTGATAAAATAGAATTTGAGAGTTGCATAACTAAGAGAGGAAAGATGGCTATTTATTTTTCTTCAACTCCAGTGTCCACATTTCTTTCAATCTTCAAATAAACATGGGATTATAATAAAACAAAATAACATAGTCCCCTCTAAACTTCGGAGAAATTAAATATATCTCTTCTGAAAACATTGCAATAAGGCTAGCCACAGTGGCTAATGCCTGTAATCCCAGCAATTTGGGAGGCCCAGGAGACCACTTGGGGCCAGGAGTTCGAGACCAGCCTAGCCAAAATGGCAAAACCCCATCTCTACTAAAAATAACAAAAATTACTGGGCATGCCTGGTGCTTGCCTGTAATCCCAGCTACTCAGGAAGCTGAGGCATGAGAATTGCTTAAACCCAGGAGGCAGAGATTGCAGTAAGCCAAGATCGCGTCACCTCACCCCAGCCTGGGTGACACACTGAGACTCTGTCTTAAACAAACAAAAAACAAAAACAACAACAAAATGTAAGTAAGCAAATATAAGCTATTCCACTAATAAAAAAATGAGTATAAAAATTTAAAGATCTAAATCAAGATCACTCATTTAATTTTTGCTGTAAACCTATGGTCAAGGAATTGCCTCCACTTAATAGATTTGGTGTCTTCTCATAGACTACAGGCATTTCCTTCAAACAAAACAAAAGAAAATATTTATTTATTCTTCTGTATAAGAAATGTGTTTGATATTATAGGGTATAAAAATATGAATTACATACTATCCCACTCCCTATAGGGGTTTGAAAATTATCAGAGGGGACCAATGCATACACAAATGATGCAATACCCTCCATATAACTGGGAAGTTACTTAGAAAAAAACAACACTTATATTGAATTTATGTTTCTACTGAAATGAAGTCATATACAGATAAAGTGGAACTCTGAAACCTTTGGAAAAGCAGACATATCACTGTACACCTGAAGGCAGTTTACCCACAAGAAGAAGAGATGAGACTTACACATGAGCTCACATCCTCAGTAGAATGATGCTGTGAAGCTGACCAGAAAAGAAGAAAGACAAAAATTTCAAAAATACAGCCTGCTTCTGCCAAATGAGTGGAGGGGAGGCTTAAGGAGTAGGTTGTGAGAAAAAAACGTAATGAACATCTACAGAATCTAAGAAATCCCAGTCACAGAAATAAAAACACCATATAATGCACGGCGCACTCAAAGCCAGTAACTAAGGCAGAAAATGGTGGTAAAAAGAATTCATGAAAGCGTTCAAAGTTTTTGGCTGTTATGCATGAAAAAGACTATACACTTCATTGATATTACAGGATGTGAAGGCAGGGAGTGTTGTAGGTGCCAACATTGGTGAATACTTTTGGAGAAAAAGTTAATAAGAGTATAAATCACAGATAATTAAAAGCCAAACGAAAGTGTTTTTTTTTTTTTTTTTTTTTTTTTTTTAGACAGAGTCTCGCCCTGTCACCTAGGCTGGAGTGCAATGGCACGATCTAGACTCACTGCAACCTCCACCCCCCAGGTTCAAATGATTCTCCTGCCTCAGCCTCCTCAGTAGCTTGGATTACAGGCACCTGCCACCACACCCAGCTAATTTTTGTATTTTTAGTAGAGACAGGGTTTCATCATGTTGGACAGGCTGGTCTCGAACTCCTGACCTCATGATCTGCCTGCCTGGGCCTCCCGAAGTGCTGGGATTTACAGGCATGAGCCACTGTGCCCGGCCAGGAAAGTAGTTTTTATTGTGCTAATCCTTATGAAGGACCATACAAGAGTTAACAGAAGCTAAAAACAAGTACGTTATCCGTGCAAAACTGTGTTCCCCCTTTCATCTACTGAACATGTGAGTAAAGTAAGTGACAAATCCCTTTGCACTTTAACTTGTGAGGGTGTTGCGGATATAGAACTGGGAAAAGAAAGCACAATTATCTGCTGGCCCCTGAAGATCCTCAAGTGTCTCTGAACCATAGGGTCTTGTGATCAGTGATATTCAGTGAAATTTAGGTTTTCTACTCAGTAAAAGAATAGGCATGGATCTGGCTAGAGGCTGCAGGTCTTCCAAAGCTCTGCTTTCCTATGGAGTGCTTAAAATAATATGCCCAGGCTTTCATTGACCATCAAAGTTTGCCCTGTTTATTAGCAGATGAATCTCCCCTGGGAAAGCAACATAGCTGTCTTTTATGAATCACTTACTATGGATCAGTCATAAAAAAAAAAAACCTCTATGTATATTTTCTCATTAAACTCGAGTTATAATGCCTACTCTGTGAGATGCTGTAGGTTCCCCATTTTGAGGCCCACGAGTTTAAAGAACAAGATAATATAGCCAATTAGCAGCCACAATAAGATTCAAAGTCTGTTAATCTGTTCGCAGACAGAATGCTCAACCATCACTCTAGGCTGCCTTTAGGAAGTCCACATAGCTATAATGTATGTTTTCTTTGTGCTATATCACAGGTGAATCATTTTATATTTCTGTTTGTTGTACAGGTCCCTTACCCTTACAGTAATCAGTAACCTGAATCTCAGAAAGTGAAAGAAAGGAAGGTAATTAAGGAGGGATCAGAGCTCCAAAGAAAGCATGAAAAGGAAAGGGGAGGGATTCACATATAAAATGTTATTATGCGAGTGCTATAATATTAGTCATTGGTCAGTGTTTGTAATAGGATACACAAGATAGACTCACTGGTTACTGGAATTGCAAGAAGAAATTATAGTTTCTATACTTCTGATTAATGGAGGATTAATACCTATACCACATGCTAGAGACAGCATTTTCCATTAAACTACCCTTGCACTTAAGAGAGTATAGAGGTCAGGGAGATGAGAAAGACAGAGCTGTAGTTCCCTGACAAATAAACTGGGCAGTTGGTACTTTTTACAACAAATGGTGTCCTTGGAAACAGCTAATAAAGATTTGGTCAGTTAAAGACTGTACCATAAGAAACACAAGCTCCTTAAGAATGAATATTTAAATGATCTTCTATTGTCTGAATGTTTGTCCCCTAAAAATCCCTGTTATAATCCCAAGGTGCTGATACTGAGAAGTCGAGGCTTTTGGGAAGTGATTAGATCATAGGAGTTGAAACTTCATGAGTGGAGTTAGAGTCTTTATAAAAGAGGCCCAAGGGAGCTTCTTTGCCACTTCCACCATGTGAAGACACAGGGAGAAGGCACCATCTATGAGGACGGGGCACTTATGGGGCATCAAAGGTACTGTACCTTAATCTTGTTCTTCTAAGGATCCTAGACTTAGAGAAATAAATTTCTGTGTTTTATAAGCCACCTACTTTATGATATATTTGTTATATAAGCTCAAGAACATCAGAACAGAACCTAAAGGATGATCAGATTTCTAGAGACCTGGGCAAAACTTGCACGCAATGCTTTCTTTGTTCCTCAACTTTGACCCTACAAATTGAGTTCCCCTACCAAAGTATACTGAACCCAACACATTCAGGAAGAATATCCCCAGGTCCCACCCTACTCACTGCCAATTCCTGAATCTTCTTTCTAGGTTCTTACATCTGATTTTCTAGGCTATTACTGAATTTCTTTAGTTCCTGACCTTTTTCTGGTTCTACATCTAATTTTTAGTCTTATGTTTTTCCTTAACATAAATTCGTTAACTCTGGCCTACAGCTCCCCTCCTCAGCTGTCATTTAGTAACACTCTCCTTTGCATTCGCCTTTGGAGCCATGTAACGTTCATATGTGTGGTAGTTTGTGCCTCATTTGATTCAGTTGGATGCTATGTGTGATGTTAACAGTCTGAACTGGAACACTCAAACAAAGATTAGGCCTTTTCCCACCATTATTTCAGATATTTTCTTCTTTTCTTCAGAGTCTTCCCTGAATTATACCCTGAGTCCCTAGACATTTTCCCATGATACAAAAGAAAGAAAGGAAAGAAGAAAGAAGGAAGGAAGGAAGGAAGGAAAAAGGGACAAGAAATATTCTAAATCAATGAGTATCATAACATGTATCCTGGTTAATGATTTTGACACAATTGCTAGGAATATCATATAATTTCTTATACATTTATAATTCATTCTTTGTTCATTTTAAACCAAAGAAGCAGCAAATTGTAATGCACATTGTTCCAATTAACTGTCCCTGTAGTCCAGTAAGAAAAAGAAGCTTAAAACAAATACAAGTATTTATTTCTTTCCTTTGCCTCACTTGCCTAAGCTTTTACTGAAAGCTTTTAAACAAATGTTATACTTCATGGATATGACCAAAATAACAGGAAGCTGCAAAGATATATTGACTTGAGACCAAGGCTTAATCAATTGATTGGAGATATGTAGAATAAAAGCAAAACTTTCAAATGGCCTTTGGATAATTTTGTCTCACTAAGTTTATCTGAAATAAAAAATCTATATGGTTCTTCAGACTCTTCCATTGACTGATTTTTGCAACCACTTATAAAACCTGATTTTTACTCTCACATAGTACAAAGAAAAGTAGAATTTGATAAGTACTTAGCAAATTTGACAAATGTGGGTATGTCTATACAAAGTTAAACTCTGTGCTGTGAAGGGAAAGTCTCAAGCCTCAAAAAGCAGGAGAGTGAAGGTATTACAGTGAATAGAAAACTGACTTTATAGTCACACAAATTCTAGACTAAATCCCTTTTCACTGCTGATTATGTAGCATAGATTGAATTATTCATCTTGGCTAAGTTTATGCCTTCTCACCTGTACAATAGAAATAAAACTAATTAAAATGTAGATATCATGAATATTAAAAATTACATGTACACATCTAAAATAGCTGGTATCCAATGAATAGTGGCTTCTTTTAATATTACTATAGATTACTGTAATGTCATTATCATCATTTCGAACATTCATATGTAGATTTTTGTCAACTAATTATACCCTTCAAAAGCTAAATTGACAAATATGATGTGAATATGTTATGTTTTATGTCATATAGAATCTTTGTATTTTTATGTAGTGAAGCTTAATATATAGTAATTGTTAAGTCAACTATAGGTAGTCAATTTAAAATATGAGTTTCAAATATATATCTCTTCAAATTTATGGAGGTCTACATAGAATCTGATCATATTTGTTACTATATGAGGAAAAACTAAAAGGAATCAAGCTAGGAACTTTAACTTTTCATCTATACTTTAACATTATTTAAAATTTTCACCTTGAGCACTGCACGTGTATGTGTGTGTGGTGTATGAAATCTCACAAATGTTAGCAATGCCTGGGCATAGTGTCTCACACCTGTAATCCCAGCACTCTGAGAGGCTGAGGTTGGAGAATCACTTGAGCGCACGAGTTTGAGACCACCCCTGGAAACACAGTAATAACTCTCTCTCTACAAATAATATTAATAATTTTATAAGTGGACATGTTGGAGCATGCCTGTAGTTACAGCTACTCGGGTGACTGAGGAGGGAGGACCACTTGATCCTGAGAGGTCAAGGCTTCAGTGAGCCATGGTTGCACCACTGTAGTTCAGCCTGAATGAGTATATGAAACAAAGGTTAGCAGTGGTAATTTCTGGGTCGGTAGAATTATGAATGTCTATATATACCTTTTACTTGCCTACATTTTCTGTAAAGCATGATAATTAGGGTAAAAATTGCAGAGTTCAAAAATCTGGATTTAAATTAGTTTTTGTTACTCCTTAGAGTTCCAAGATCTAAGCTCATTGTTAACCTGTCTGATGCTGTTTTCTCATGTTCAAAATGAATTAGTAATAATTCCCATCTAATAAGAAGATGGTACACATCAAATGAGGTATGTTGTGGTGGTACCAAGCACTATTTGTTGCCAGTGCATAATCTATCTTAAATAAGAATAGTCATTATTATTTCCATGTGGTTATATATTAATTTTATGAAATGAGTAAACACTGTATTTATTTTGAAAAATAAATAACTATACAAAATAGTTATTTAGTTCATAGGAGATATAGCTAATAATAGGAAACCGATGATACAAATATAGCCCTGGTTTTATTACTTCTTTAACTGAAAGCCTAGTTGGCCAGAGATATAATAAATGGAATGGCTATACAGTGGTAAGAAAAGCTGTAAAAGCCGGATGCGGTGCCTCATGCCTGTAATCCCAGCACTTTGGGAGGCCGATGGGGGTGGATCACCTGCAGTCAGGAGTTCGAGACCAGCCTGGCCAACGTGGTGAAACCTCCTCTCTACTAAAAATACAAAAATTAGCTGGGTGTGGTGGTGGGCGCCTGTAATCTCAGCTACTCAGGAAGCTGAGGCAGGGGAATTGCTGGAACCCTGGAGGTGGAGGTTACAGTGAGCTAAGATCATGCCATTTACTCCGGCCTGTTGTGACAACAGTGTGACTCTGAAGAAAATGAAAGAAAGAAAGAAAGAAAGAAGGAGAGAAAGAAAGAAAGAGAAAAAGAGAAAGAAAGAAAGAAAGAAAGAAAGAAAGAAAGAAAGAAGCAGGCAAGCAAGGAAGGAAGGAAAGAAAGAAAGAAACAAAGAGAGAGAGAAAGAAAGAAGGAAAGAAAGAAGGAAAGAAAGAAAGAAAGAAAGAAAGAAAAAGAAAGAAAGAAAGAAAGAAAGGAGGAAGGGAGGGAAGGAGGGAAGGAAGGAAGGAGGAAAGGAAGGAAGAAAGGAAGGAAGAAAGGAAGGAAAAAGGAAGGAAAGGAAGGAGGGTCATAAAAAGGTTTCAAGGAGGATTCCTAAAGGAAGCTTAACCAGCTGCACAACTTTCTCAAGAATGGCTGTCCCTTTGTTTTGTACATGGCTGATCATTTGACCAGCCATTATCTGAGTTTTCTGAAATTATTCAGATATCTTGATTTTTTTTTGAGATCTTTTCTCTCACATGTTGATAGATCCCTAATGGGTCTTCATTGCACTAATTATCTCATTGTGAATAGAATAAATAATTACAATAATATTATCTTGGATTATTTTTTCCCATTGCAAAAACTGTTAGTTTTGATCACTTTAAAAAGTTCATGTTCCTGCCTTACAGCTGTAGTAAAACCTCTGGCAGCAATTGGAAAAAAATAATAAAAATGACAATTTGTCTGTGTCTCAACAAACCAAGTAGTCAGTAAAAAAGCAACTGAAGGAAACTAAAAAATCTTCTCATTATATCACCACATAATCATGACATGCGAGCTAAACATAATGCCTTACATCTGGAGGGACAAAGACGATGTGTGGAGGATGATCATGTGGTTGTACAGAAAACAGAATTGTTGGATTTCTTCTCATTTGCATCATCTAGTTTGTATTCTATTAGAGGGTGATGTATTAGTTTCCTATTGCTGCTGTAACAAAAAACAACTGAACTTATTATTTTATAATTCTGGAGCTTGGAAGTCCAAAATCAGTTTCACTGGGAGGAAATCAAGATGTTGGAGGTAATGGCTTCACCTAAAATTTCTGAAGAAAAAATCACTTGATTAGACAGAACTGTGGGGAGGATTTGGGACTGGGCTTATAAATTTAGGAGTCACTAATTTTGATCATTCCAGGTACTTTTTACTTAAAGGGCCTATCACTATTTTCCTTTTCAAATCTCTTTATCAATTGTAAAGTTGCTGATCTACAAATTAAAGGTGTTTATCCACATTATAATACTCAGCTTTGGCTTCACAAAATTCTGATTCTTTATAAACTTTGCTATTACATGTAATACTCTATTTACTTTGTATTTGGCTCATTCTGTCAGAAATTTGCCAAAACAGAAAATCAGAAAGATGTAAGGTGGTAAAAACAGTGATTTGACATGGAAGAATATGTTTTAGGATTAAGTAGAAAAGGCTAATTTAAGTGATGCGTTTATTAGTGCCATTTTCCAGACAGGGAGAGTTTTGCTTCACTGTAACCCTGAAACTTTAGAAACTTCAGAATAAATATGTATAATAGAATTACTCCCTAAAGTATTGATATACTAATGCATAAATTCAACATTTATTTATTCAAAAATATTTATTGGCCTTTTGTTAATAGGTAACACTAATTGTAGTGTTAGGTATATAGTTGTAAAAAACATAAACAAAAGTCCTTCCCCTCATGGGGGCTACATTCTAACGGAGTAGATTTAAATTTAAATAAGTAAAAAATGAAATATGTTAAATATATTAGAAATGGCTAAGTTAAAATATATATAAATACAAATATGTATCAATAGTCTTCTTGATATATACATATCAAGCATATATAGTATAAAATATTAGAAAGTGGATACCATTTTATATAAAGTACCATGGAACACTAAGCAGGCGACTTTTGAGTACAGACCTGAAGAAAACTCACTCTACTTTTGTTAACTAATATTACATTATATTCCTTTATGTTGTATGACATTATATTAATGGTTTATTTCTGTGCTGTTTCTTTGTTTTTTCCACTAGAAGTAAGTTCCATGAAAGATGAGAAAATTTATCTGGTTTTCTTTTTTAGCCACGTATCCCTCTATCTGAATCATGCTTGGAACATGTAGCTAGCTTAGTAACTGTGTATTAAGAGAATTAATAAATAAATACATTTATTTAACAATTATCATAAATGGTCATGGTAATTGCCTTCAAAATGCCCACTGGTGAAACACTCTACACACGCAGGCTTCAAAGTAACACACCTTAGACTAGGAACAGAAAAATGGTCTAAATCTTATTTTAAAGATTTAAACTGAAATTTAGATCTGTAACATTTAAATTATAGAGATAGAAAAATAGTTAAGCTCTTAAATTGACCAGAACATTCTACTTTCATGTTAAGAAGAAAATAAAAAGTCAAGGTGTGTAGACAATTCAGCTGTATCATTCAAATCTTAAAAATAAAGAAAATAGTGATAGTAATATTGTATATAAAAATCATAAGCATATGCAATTGTTTCAATATTCAAATTTAATTGAAAAATTTAAATATTCAATTATATTATTTTCTGTGACAGTCATTTTTCCACCTTATGCATTTATTTAGTCATTCAGTATGTATTTGTTCTGCATTAGAACCCCAAGTAATGTCCAAATAATGTTATCTTTACCTTCCAAATCTTTTAGCCATGGAAGCGTAAAGACAAAGGCAGGAGTTAAAGAGACAGCCTAGGAATGAATAAAATGTAAGGTCATATATAAAATGCCAATATAGAAATTTAGTTGATGTATTTCATAGAATGCAATTCATTTTCAATTTCCAACTGAGATTCTCCTAAAGGTGTCACTTGTAGTGTAACATATTGTGTTGTGTCTTTAATCTTATTGAACTGCTTAAAGCCATTTCATTTAGCCTCAAAACAGTTTCCATATTTTAGAAATTATGCCTTTTCTACTTGTCTTTCTGTGGCAAAAATATTCACTCAATCTTTCATAAAAAGTCTAATGCCTTAGTATTATTATTTTCAGAAACAAATTTATTAATAATTATTATAAACAGAAGTTATTTAGATAAATCCCTCTGGACATTGATCTTTCTTGTTTAAAAATTCTCAATAATTCTCTATTGCTTCTACAATAAAGTTGAATTTCCTCACTATGGCAAAAATATCCAACCAAAACTATCCAAACATTATCAACAACTATGTAGCTTTCCTAAAACTACTTTCTAGTGAATCAAGTTCAGATTATCTAATTAATATGTTTACTAAACTTACACCTTTAGTCTTTTGTAAATGTAATAACCTTTCTCCCTATTACAACTATAATTGTTATTCTTCACATGTAACTACTTTAAAGCTTCAGCTTAACTCATTCCTTAATGAAACTAGGCAACCATATCCTAAAGTGGTCTCTGTGTACTCTAAATTTATACCTAACTATATCTGGCTATATAAATGTATCTTTTTTTTTGAGGCGGAGTCTCGCTCTGTCGCCCAGGCTGGAGTGCAATGGCAGGATCTCCGCTCATTACAACCTCGGTCTCCTAGGTTCAATCGGTTCTCCTGCCTCAGCCTCCTGAGTAGCTGGGACTACAGGCGCCCGCCACCATGCCCAGCTAATTTTTTATACTTTTAGTAGAGACAGGGTTTCACCAAGTTAGCCAAGATGGTCTCAATCTCCTGACCTTGTGATCTGCCTGCCTTGGCCTCCCAAAGTGCTGGGATTACAGGCATGAGCCACCGCCCCCAGACTATAAATGTAAATTTTAAATGTTAAAATTAAATAAAATTAGTTTCTTAGACACATTGGTCACATTTCATTTCCTCAATGGTCACATGTGGGTGGTTGCTACCATATTGGACAGTATAGGTCAAAGGTATGTTGTTAATCAGGATGGTAAAATCTTGACTTTGGAGAATGTCAACAGAACTGACGTTTTGATTTTTTTTAAATAAAGGAGTTGGGTGGGTATGGCAGCCAGTTTCTCATAACTGATAGACTGTCCTGTATCAAAAACCTCTAACTTGGTCACTGTGTCCCCAAAAGTCAAAGTGAGGAAGTAAGTGGAAACCATAAAGACATGGATTTCAGTTCCATATTAGATAGGATTTGTGTTCAGACCATAAAAAGTAGAGGACATTTCTTCAGGGGCATAAAATGGCCAGTAGTCAGTAGAAATGTGTTTAGGACATTTGAACCATAGACAGTAAGGACCCAGCCTGCCATTAATGCTGCTAATGCCATGAATTGTCAGTGAATGGCAGTAGCATTTGCGTAACTTCTCTGAAGAAAGAAATTATCTGGGTCTTACACTCCTAAGCCCCACCCAGTATTACTTAATCAGAATTTATAAGAGAAATATCTGATAATCTACATATTTAATACATGTCCAGGTTATTCTAATCTTCAAGGGGAGATTGGGAGACTCTGAAGTAAATGATACAAAAATGATTGATACTCAATTTTATTAATGAAGCAGATCAAAGGGGACAGCACAATTTGGCAAAGGTTTTAATAGAGAGACGTAGAGCTGTATTTAGAAAAATAAACCTAAAAAGGGAGAGAAAAGAGGAAAAGCATTTCAGGAGTCTTGAACTGAGGAATGATTATGGTATATTCAAAGATCGGTATTTTATTTTTTACAGTTTCTTGTCTTAAAAACATTTAAAGAGTGATGATAAGAAACGGACATGACCTCTCCTATCTAGAAATGTAAATATAAAAGGTAAGTACACCAAATGAAATAAGCAAATAAAATGCTGCCTTTATAGAACACATTCAGAACTTCCGAAGAAAAACTGGAGTTACTGACTGAAGCAAGCTTGATAATGTAGAAGAATAAGTAACATATTGTGAAACATATGTGTTTATAGGAGTAAATAAAATATCGCTTTAGATGACTGTAGCACTTGGTATATATTAAGGAAATCATGAATAGTGTTTGCTTAGCTAGAATAAAGAAATTTACCTTGGTGCTTATACAAGATGAGACAAATAAGCAAAGAGGTTGAAAACAGGAAGGGATAAGTGTCTATTATTTAAAAATTCAATTTAATTCAACAGTTATTTATATAGTAAGCAACTACTCTCATCCTGGCACTGCATAACATGTCAGCAGAGGAAGGAGATTTTGTTATATTGTAACATTTATGTACTCCTGAACTTGAAAGTATCAGAAAAATGAATACTGATTTTAGGTGATAATGACCATGATTGTGGGCTGCAAGATTGGAAAGAGTCCCTGTAATTTAATCATATTGTTCTGGCACACCTTGTAGATGCATCTCTTGAACAAATAATTCATTGCTTCTGACACATGGGTTGCACCAGCACAGGAAAACTGACGTGTAAAATACAGCAACCACTTAGAAAACTCAGATCATTGATATTATTGTCATAGAATATGTTTCTTCCCTATATTATTATGACTTTTAATTTTTATTGATCACTTTCATGTGATTATTTTTATATGAACTGCTTTATCAAATCTACGCTGAACTGAGTTACATATAGTTATGAACTGGAATCAGCATCACCAATATTGATAACAGAAGTAAGGATATAGCTTAGAAATGACCCATAAAGGGAATCAAAGAGAACTCAACAATTCCAAATGAAAAGCTGCCAGCTCTGTGTAGTAATTTCTACTTTCCCTTCTGATCTGATACTATATCTGGAACGAGATTTAATAGACCCAAAGTGCATAACTTCTGGAAAGTGTTATTTTATATATATATAAAGATATTTCATTAGCTATATTTATTAAAGGTAGCATTTAGTTGTGTCTCTCTTAAGGAATCTATTAATAATTTTTTACTTAGGACATGAGAATAGAGGGATAAAGAAAACATGCTCCCTCACCTCAAGAATTTCATAATCTAGTAAAAGTCTACTATAAATGCTAATAACTAAAAATCTCACAAATTCCTTCGGTTAATAAATATTGAATATTAAACACGTGATTAGTATGTTTGTTAGGCAGAATAATGTCCCTTCAATGATATGTATGTTGTAATCCTCAAAACCTGTGAATATGTTACATTGCATGGCAAAATGACTTTGCAGATGCTTAAATTAAAGATATGGATTTAGGCAGATTATCCTGCATTCTCCAGGTGGGCTGAATATAATCACATAAGGGTCCTAAAAGTAAAAGAATATCAGAATCAGACAGAGAGACTTAAAGATGCCTCGCTGCTGACGCTGAATACAGAAGAACAGGTCATGAGTCAAGGAATGTGAGCTACCTCTCAAAGTTGGAAAATACAAAGAAATGGATTCTTTTGCAGAGACTCCAGAAGGAATACCTCCCTGATGACAACTTTATTTTAGCCTAGTAACACCAATTTTAGATATCTGACCTCTGGAACTGCAATATAATAAATTCATGTTGTTCTTAAGCCACTATATTTGTGGTAATTTGTTGTAACAGTAATAGGAAAACAATAGAGTTAGAGACCTATTTCTGCCTTTATGGAGTAAACTTGATAGTAGGGGTTACAGGCAAGTGACTGAAAATGTAGCAGCCAGTTACAAATTCTGAGTTACATTAGTCCTCAGAAAATAAATGTTTGAACTGGGTCTTAAAGAATACCTATGAGTTTGTCAGATTACAAACAACGGAAAATACATTTCAGGCAAAAAACAATTAAATGGATTGAAAAACTGACAGTAGAGTAAGGGAATACAACAGCTTCATAAAATGACAAAAATTCAATGCAATATAAGGCAAGAAGTGGTGAGAAAAAAAAAGTATCACTCCTCAACTCCAGGGCTTGTTCACTTTGCAACCTATGCGAACGTCTGTACACGGCACACCTTACAAAGACCACAGTGCACAAGCGGCCTCTAGTTGGGAACTGAGGATGCTGGTGAACAGGCAAATTGGCCCCAGGCTGAGAAGAGTATTGAATGCCACTCCATATAATGTGGATCTAGTTCATAATCATTAGAATCTTACACATGATTTTTTAAAGAAGTAAGTGTCATTAACCAATCTACGTTCAGAAAGATATCACAGATGAAAGGAGTGATTCAGTACAGAATGACGGATGTACTGTAAGTTCCTGCGAATAAAGGTCCATACAATAATTACCTCTGATATACACATTAAATGCAATATAAATAAGTAATTATATGGGGGAACATAAAGATATGCCATCAAGATTTTTCAATCTCCCAAGCAATACTTTTTGAACTTAATTACTTGGTGGCATAAACCTCTTTTTCCATTTCTAGTTAAGTAGAGTATTAAGGCAGTAAATGGAATGGTTTTCACCCCTTAAAATACTTCTTCATATATGAATTACTTTGCTTTATGTATCTGTTTTGCTTTATATAGGAATATAAAATTATCAGAATGAAACCAACAACTATTTTGCTGTGATTTTTATTGACATTTTATACTCATTAGAGTATAGGTCATATCAAACTGTCAAATGCTTCACTGATTTTTTATTCTTTCCTTTGGTTTACATTTCTCCTTCTTGATCTCCACTGGAATAACTGCTAGTTCCTTGCCTAGAGGTGGCACAATTCACCAGATAAAGCACCAGCTGATACCCAGGGGTACCAAAGATTTGTTTTGGCTCAACTTACTTAACACTTTATCTTGTTCTCCTTTTCTTAAAAATAAGAACTGAAGTACTAACCTTTATAACCTTACAGGAATATTCAATCCTTTGAAAAAAAAAAAGGTAGTGATAGAGAAAGGAAAATTCCAACATAATTAGACTTAATACTATTTTTCTGTTATGTAACCATGAGATTTTTAAAGAAGAAAAGAAAGTATTCTTATCTGGATGGCTAAAGAACAAGAAGAAGAACTTTGTGGGAAACACAGATTACCATTTTATTTTGGTATCTTTGTGGTGGTACTCTTCCTCAGTACAAAAAGAGAAGTGAACATGATATCAGAGTGTCTTAAAATTATGAAGTTCTGTAAGAGTCTGAAAGCATTTTTCTATTCTATTTCATATGCATCTGACCCCTACTAGAATGTAGTGTATAGTCTATAACATAATTATTCAAAAATATGAGAAGAATATTATTAAAAATTAAAGCAAGTAATAAAATGGACAAACCATGGAAAATAGGCAAATTGGTTAAAATATCTAAAAAGGAGCAAATTTAGTAATTCCCAAAGCACTTTTTCACAGGGTGTTCAGAGATATTACATGAAAAATGAAGCTCATAATGAAAAACGATTAAGAAGTGCTGAGGAAATTTAAGTTAAACATGCTTCTTTGTGTTAAATGGACCCAGAATCACTAATAGATTAATGTGCATCCAAAAAAAGGATACGTTTTCTGGCAGTCACTGACTTCCTTTGACTGCAAAATATTTTGGTTTTTATCCCAACCCAGTATTTAAGATACTATTGTCACATGGACTATGCATTGAAAAGTGCTTGTTTAGAGAAGAGCACGCAACATTTCAAAAGTACATGTAAAGAATAATGACGTCAATTATCAGTGGTCTCTGCTTATATCTCCAGGAATTCAAAAAACAGTAAGTGAGAGTCAATTAAGTAAGAGACCATTTAAGTTAGACAAAAGGACAAGTTCTCAGAGGGGAGCTAGTTTGAACAAAATGAACATTTGGAGGTAGGTAGAATTTACTGCATTAAGTGCAAGGAAGAATAGAATATGACGTTCAAATTATCTCTTATTTTGTGGTTGCATTGATAATAGCCACTATCAACATTTGCAAAGCTGCAAAAGCTGTTAGATTATGAAAATAATAAATTTCAATTATAATGGAAATACATTCACAATATAAAATGAATTACTAAAGATAAGAATACTCTGTCTGCTTTTAAGAGCCCTGCAGGTAAGGATAATAATAATAATATATTTTAAAAATTAAAATTAAAAAGCCAATAGTTTCCCTAAAAGTGATTAAATGATATAATTTGTTTTGTGGTGGTGGTGATGAAATTTGAGCAGAAATAGTGAAAATCAAGGAGCAAATGCAAATATGAGGTACCAAAATTGGTAGGATCAAAATGATGAGAAAAGTAAGACATGGTTCAGTTTGACTAAAGGCATTTTTCAGCAGATTTCTTTCTTTGGGTAAGTTTAAAGAGACCGAAGTGGGCAAATTATGATGTGCTTCACTGAGAAAATAAGAATGATAGAGGCTTATATTTTACCGATTATTTTAGGAGCAAGTGAATATAGTGCTCCAACCTAAAGATAAGTAAATGGATTTTTTGGACAGACATCAGAGCTCAAGAGTTCAGCTATTTATGAAAACCTCATACTTGAGTTTTAGATTTTAAGCATATTTTGGCATTTAAAAGAATGTTTAAATAAATACACAATAAAATAAGGGTGAGTTAATTGTATTTCTAAAAGAAAGTTAAACTGTTAAACTTGAGTCTACCTGTGCTCATAAACATGCATTAGAAGAAATTTATAAGACATGTGTTACAAGGTATAAGAAAAAAAGGAAAAGAAGCACAGAATATGAAAATAGTCACATGACAAAAATCTTAAATAAATTATGATTTTCCCCAAAAGAAAAAAATGTAAGAATTATATTTTTTCACCAGGAAAAAAATCAAAACAAAATCATTTTTTCAAGATTACCTAAATGTAGAGGGCCAAAAATGCTGTTGAGATACCTGAGGACATTATATAACTATACAGTTTTGTGTAATGAATGGTATAAATAAATAAATATCCTTTTTTATATATGTGCAATAAGACCCTATTTATATGCAAGCATATGTTTACTGAATACCAGGACCAAAGATTAACTATTACAATAAAACTCTTTCCTCAATTCTCTTTTGCCCACATTCCTTCTCACCCTAAATCAGAGCGAACACCTTACCTCTAGGATTTCTAGGCTTTTGGTCTTGAACACATATTATTTCAATTCATTCATTCAGAAAATATGCATTTTATGTAGGGGCCAGCATGTCCTATGCATATTGTTATACAGAGGAAATTCAAAGTTAAGAAAGTCAAGGACATCTATTCTAAAGGAGTTCATTCTATTAGCTCAACAACTTTCTTGCTCTGGGACATTATTTTCCTCAATTGTAAATAGGCAAAATAATACAATCTCATAGAATTATTATAAAGATTAAATAAAGTAATATAAATAGCACTTAGCCTATCCCACAGAGGAGTCAAGAAATGCTGCTTGGATTCCATATTAGACACATTATATTCCATCTACTATAAAGTTTGCTATATTGGTAGACAGTAGATCTACTGCCAAAGGTATTTATTCATTTTTATTTTGTTTGGATGGATTTTCTCCTCCACTAGATTATGATCTTTATATAGGTAGAAACTGCAATTTCCTCACATGATTTTCCTGTGACCTAGCTCAATTGTTAGACCAGAGCTGAAAGTCAATAAATTATATAGAAAGAGTAAGGAAGAAAAATCTGATATAAGGAAGGTAGGGGAAGAGTTATAAAATATGGCCATTATAGAAGAGACTAGTCGGGGCATGGTGGCTCATGCCTTAGTCCTAGCTACTCAGGAGACTAAGGCAGGGTTACTTGAGGCTGCGAGTATAAGAGCAGTCCTGGCAACATAGCAAGTCTCTTCTAAAAAAAAAATTAAAATTACTCAGATGTGGTGGGGTGTACTTGTAGCCCCAACTACTTCGGAGGCTGAGGCTGGAGGATTGCTTGAGCCCAGGAGCTTAGAGTGAGCTATGATCCTACTACTGCACTCCAGTCTGGGCAACAGAGTGATAGCCTGTCTTAAAAAAAAATTGAAAAAGAGAGAGAGAAAGATCAAAGTATTTCAGTTAAGTAAAGGGTTTCTTGGAAAAGCTGAAAAAGTCTGCCGAAATGGTCATCAATAAAGCAAAATGTAGTCATGGAAGCAGGAGGTAGTAGAAAACATTACAATTTCTTCATTGTATTTCTCTTCTCAGTTTGCTGCCAACATAATGATTTCTCTTCTTGCTCTCTCCTTTTTTAATTTAAAAGGCCATCTAAATGCTTTTACTCTTAGATTTTACCTGTTTTCTTACATTTATGTTTGCCAACTGGCTCCAAAATCTTCTTTGCTCTGGTGACTTTAGAGACCAGGTGTTCTAAGTACAACCTGGAAAACAAGTCACTGAAAATTTTTGTAACAGGCTTTGGAACAGAAAATATAAAAAAATGAGTTCAGAATTAAAATAAAGGATGTTATAAAGAGCTAGCCATATGGGAAAGTTGTCAATTATCTTTGGAAAATATAGCAAGAAAGATCAAGTAACTTCATTTTCCTTTCAATAAAGTTTAAGCTTTGATGAGTAACACCAACAGGGAAGAATCTGAACTATGCTAGGTAGGCACTGACTTAGGATATTTGTATGTACATTAATTATTTACTTCTTTAATGTAAGATTTAGAGTTCTCATTTTAATAATTATATTTTAATTTTTTAAGATATACTTTACATTCCCTATTTTTATAAGAATGAAACTAAACTTTGGAGAAATCATGAAACTAGTGCCCAAAATTCAAGGGATTATTAATGTAGAATTCATCTACATACATCTTAATTCTCATTATATATGAGTCATTTGTTGTCTTTTGAATATCTTCTGAAGTTCCTGATTAATGAAAAAATCTAAATCTGATCTATAATAAACATTGATATTGAAATCAGACTATGTCACTTTTCTACTATAAAAATGTTCCATACATTAAGACAAAAATCTAAACTTATTTGGATTTAAGATGCTTACCATTATTAGCTCCTGCTTCCTGTTTAGCTTTATCTTTGTTGACTTTATAGTTTTTATTTTATGTTTGAGAAATGCTACAGTGTTATTGAAATTGTAAACCATACCTTGTACACAAGGTTGTCTCTGCATGGGAAGCCTTTTCCAAACATGTCTACTAAGAAAACTCATCCTCATCTTTCAGACACAGCATGAGAAGAAATATCCTACATTCTGCATTGTACCTTTCTTGACCTTATGAGCCAGGACAAGGCATGATTTCTTCTGTTCCCATGCTGTTCTGTCAATATCCCAATTAAAGCAATTGTACTCCTGATTTACAATGATCTTAATTCATATTAATAGAAATAGGTAAGTTTAGTTGAGTTCTCACAGGCTCTTTAACTGCATTGTTATCAGTAAGCCTTCATTACAATCCTGCATGGAAAGCTTCAGTTTACAAGATGACTCAATGAGCGAGTGGTAAACTGGAAATAAAAGCCCAAGAAAAAAGCTCAGTGTCTTTCCTATGACATTTAAAGTGCTTGTCTGGTGTTGTTTTCCTCTAGATGAGAGACTCTTTTAATTCATGAACATGTAATAAGTCTTAATATCCACATAACGCAACAGGTATATAACAATAAATAAAGCATGTATATACATCCATATTCATTCAAATATAAATATAATATTTTAAAAACAGAAAAAGTCAACAATTTATAAATGAACTTGGATTTCAAAGTGGGACTATTTTAAGCACAATTTAAAGGAAAAATATTTTTTAAATACAAAGTAATGATAACAAACTCTGGTTTCAGCTTCACTATGTAAAGTGCTTAAAGTCTTACTCCCATTCTTACTTCAAGATAAATGTAGGAAACCCGAAAACTAATAACTTTTCACAGACCCAACAAATAATTGATGTTGCAGGACATACTCCTACTTGGAAATGAGGGAAGATAAGCATATTCAGATAGTCACAACTAAGATATCTTTTACCTGGAGCAGAAAACTCTGCCACCCTAAACTGGTACAGACACTTGAATGGTAACTGACAAATTTCTGAAGCTAAGTGTGGACTAGCATTAGAATGAGAAATTCCTATTGACTGAAGTCTTAAGAGAACTCCCACACATTTGTGACCAGGATTCCTAACCTGTTCAAATGTTGAAACTCTGGAAAAGGTTCCCTCATGATTCAGGAAGTGGAGGTAAAAACTAATCATTGTGAAATATGCTCAGAGCTTTGCCTTTTGGAAAGATTCTGACATTGTCGTATACCATTGGGAGAAATGCATTTTTGTCACTCCAGTCTCTTCTAGTCTTTTATCTCACCAGCGGGGAATAAAATACATAGTTACTGAGGTTTAGGCTGTCAGATAGATAGACTGGAGTTCTGTAGCTAGGGAGGAAGTAATGAGAATGTTTGGGGGCAGGAGGGAGAATGTTACACCACTGGAGTAACACATGTGAAGATCACAGCCCTTAGAAATAGGCCCATTAAAAGACAGATTTAATTATAAGATTGTAGAAAGCCCTCCCTTGTCATGTCACCCGCACACCAAGAGGCTTCCATTATAATAACTATGAATAACAGCTTAAAGAGTTGCAAGATACAGATTCTCTGTGATGAGTGTACTTAGAAAAGTCCAAACTGAAGATGAGAGACAAAAATGGGGCAAAAGAGAATTTTGATGTTTTAAGGTACCTATGGATATTGCAAATATTATACAGCACTACTTCTAGCCCTATTAACATAAATTTGCAAAATAAAGGCCAACTTTAATCAGTTCTTCTTTTTCTATAAAATACAACCTGTTTTCAACAAAAAGTTACAAGACATGCCAAAAGACAAGAAAATTAGTGTGGAAAAAAAATTTGTAGAGCCAAACTCAAATATCACACTGACTTTGGAATTAACAGAGAAATAATTTAAAATAACTATTAATCATATGTTAAGAACTCTCATGAAAATAATAGACAACATGCAAGAAAAGAGGAGTCATGTAAGTATCAGGGGCATTTGAACCAGAATGCCTCCATCTTGAACAGGTACTGGGTCAAATGAGGCTGAGACCTGCTTTGGTGCATTGCCAGGAGTTCGGCATTCTTAGTCACAAGATGTTTATGAATAAGGGAACAGATTAATATGTTTATTAAACAGACCCACACCTAAAAGACTCAGGGAATGTCCTGATGTCCTGTTATCTTAAGGGCAAAAGCATTCTTCATTTAAGAATAAGTTTCACTTTAAATAAAACCATATAGAGTCTTGTCAAAGTCAGTAGTTAAACAAAGATGAACAATACTTTGTCAGGAGTCGTTGTAATAGAACACACCTCCCCTATGTTTTTTTTTTCGCTTTGTTATCTTATATATAAACAAGCACTAAACCTAATAAAATGGGAGCATTCCTCTTCTTGCTTTTGGGAATGCCCTGCTCTGTCCATGTAGTACCCATTATTTTGTCTCTTTACTTCTTGAATACAATTGATTTCAGTTTATTCTGTGGATGTGCCCTGGAGTATTTCTTGCATGAGATCCAAGAACTCTCTGTTGGGGTCTGGATAGGGACCTCTTTTTAATAACATAAGCAAAGAGATGAAGACTTTAAGAAAAATTCAAAAATAAATGCCAGAAAATAAAACCACTGTACAAGTGAAGAGTTCCTTTGATGAGCACCTCAGTAGACACAACAGGAGCAAAAAACAAGATTCAGCGAGCATAAAGTTAGGTCAATAGAAATTTCTCAAACTGAAATGCAAAAAGAAAGAACAAAGTAGATTTAAGAACAGTGGGACAATTTCAAAGGGTCATAATATATACATAATTAATATTACAAAAAGCAAAGAGAGCACAAGGCAGAAGAATAATTAGAAGTAATAATGGTTGGCCAGGTGTGATGGCTCACACTTGTAATCCCAGCACTTTGGGAGGCCAAGGCGGGTGGATTACTTGAGGCTAAGAGTTCAAGACCAGCATGGCCAACATGGCAAAAGCCAGTCTCTACTAAAAATACAAAAAATAACCAGGCTTTGTGGTATGTGCCTGTAATCTCAGCTACTAGGGAGGCTGAGGCAGGAGAATCACTTGAACCTAGGAGGTGGATGTTGCAGTGAGCTGAGAAAATGCCACTGCACTCCAGCCTGGGCAACAGCTCAGTCAAAAAAAAAAAAAAAAAAGAGTAATAATTGATAATGGCAGGAGATTTTTCAATATTAATGACAATCACCAAACCACAAATTCAGGAAGGCCAGAAAACAACAAACAGATTAAAAACCACTCCCCTAAAAATAAAAACAAAAGGACACACAGGAAAACATACTCAGGCCGTAGAAAATCAAAGACAATGGGAAAATTGACAGGAAAAACAATTTACTATATAACATGAAAATAAATAATTTAAAACCTAAATTGTCAGAACTTTAAAATATTTTGAGCCTTAATAAGATTATGGGACCTGAGTCAACTAAACAGGTAGCTATAATGGTTGTTTATCTTATTATAGATTAGCCTTGTTCTTTGCATACATTGTTTTGTAAAATGTTGTTAAAGACTCAAGAATGCCAGGGAAGACATCTTCCCTCTTATTGTTAATCTTCATTATAGATTAACTTTCCTCTCACTCCTTTGACTCAAAGACTTTATGACTAGCACATTGTCTAAGAAGGAATATTAAATGCAAAATAGTGCTAGGTGAAGGTGGTCTTATATTAGTTCAAATATATATTATAAAATCTGGAGAAAAAAGTAAAACAAATTATAAAGAAGATAACTAATACACTAAGAGAAGAAACACAATGAAATTGTACAAAATGTTCAATAAAACCAAAAAGTTGTGGGGACAGGCAAAAACAAATGCAATGAATGGAAAAGAGTTAGAAATATGGTTGATACTAATCTGATTAATGATTATTTTGAAGGGAAATAGTCTAAATATCACAATTGAAATGCAAATATTGCCAGAGTAGATAAAAAATAAGACACACCTATATGTTGTCTATGAGAAGCCAACATTAACTATAAAGAATTAGGTCAAAAGTGAAAGGATGGAGAATGATATCTCATGTTAATGCTAATCAAAAGAACGCTGGAGTAGCTATATTAATTTCAGGGGTAAATGGACTTCAGAACAAAACAATAAATTGGAGATAATGGGTGCCATTATATAATGATAAGTGGCCAATTCTCTAAGAAGATATACTATCCTAAATGGTCATGCACCAAAAAATAGAACATCAGAATGCATGAGACAAAAACTGATATAACTCAAAGGAGACATAGACAGTTTACTAATATTTGGAGATTTCAACACCCCTGTTTAGTAGATAATCGATTAATTGATCAGGCAGAAAATCAGTAAGACTATAGTTGACCTGAACAGCACTATTATTTAACTTGGTATAATTAACATTTATTGACTATTTCACTGAAAAAGAGCAGAACATCCACTATTCTTAAGCTCACATAGACTACTAACCAAGACAGTCTGCATTATGGACCATAAATCCACTGTAATTAGTCTACATTAATAGAAATCAGACAAAATAGGTTCTTATACTAGAATGGAGAAAATCGGTAAGGATATACTATGAACTGAACAGCACTGTCAATCACCTGGATCTAATTGGCTCTATAGAATACTTCAGTCTACAATAGTAGAGTATACTTTCTTTTCAAGGACATAGGGAAAATTTGCCAAAATAGACCAAATTCTAGGCCATAATCATACCTTGCCAAATTTTAGGGAATAGAAATGATACAATGTCTGTTCTCAGACCATGATGTAATTAAACTAGAAATCAGTAACAGAAAGATAGCTTCAATCCCCAAATATTTGGATAATAACACACTTCTACTAAATAACATATTGGTCAAAGACATCTCAGAGAAATTTAAAAATATTTCAAACTAAATAAAAATGACCATAATAAATATAACTTATCAAAATATGCGGCATGCAGCAAAATCAGTGCTTAGAGGAAAATTAATAGTATTGAATGCACATATTAGAAATGAAAAAAGTGCAGAATTAATAATCTTCTATATTAGGAAACGCTAATGCAGTTCAGGAGTTGAGAGTTGAGCACTGACCCCCTAAAATTTTCCAGAAACAAAGCCAGTCAAATGAGCCCACATTATATCACAATCAAACCCTAAAGGTCATCAAATAGGATAAAAGAAGGAAAAAACCATCCAAATGTCAGCAACTTCAAAGTCTGAAGAAACTGACAAAAGCCTACAAAGATGTAAAAGAACCAGTGCAAAAACTCTGACAACTCAAAAAGCCAAGGCGCCTTCTTGCCTCCAAATGAGTGTGCTACCTCTCAAACCAGGGTTCTGAACTGGGCTGAGATGTCTAAAATGACAGAAATATAATTCAAAAGCTAGATAGAAACAAAGACCATTGAGAGGCAAGAGTAGTGGAAACCCAATCCAAGTAAGCCAAGAAATGCTATCAAACAATACAGTAGCTGACAGACAAAATAGCCAGTATAGAAAAGAACATAACTGACCTGGCAGAGCTGAAAAACATACTACAAGAATTTTGTAATGCAGACACAGGTATTAACAGCAGAGTAGACCAAGCAGAGCAACTAATCTCAGAGCCTGAAGTCTGGCTTTCTGAAGTAAGACAGCCAGACAAGAATAGAGACAAAAGGAAAGAATAAAACCTCCGAGATATATGGGATTATGTAAAGAGAATAAATCTATGACTCATGGGTGTCCCTGAAGATAGGGAGAGCGTAAGCAACTTGGAAACCATATTTCAGTATATCATCCATGAGAACTTCTCCAACCTAGCTAGACAGGCCAACGTTCAAATTCTGGAACTGCAGAGAACCCCTATAAGGTACACCATAAGAAGATCAGCCCGAACACACATAATCACCAGATTCTCCAAGGGGAAAATTACAGAAAAATTGTTAAAGGCAGCTAGAAAGAAAGGTTGGGTCAATTAAAAAGGGAACCGCATCAAACAGCAGAACTCTCAGCAGAAACGCTATAAGTCAGAAGAGATTGGGGGCTAATATTCAACATTCTTAAAGAAAATAAATTCCATCCAAGAATTTTTTTCTAGTCAAACTAAGCTGCATAAGCAAAGGAGAAATAAGATCCACGATGATCAAATAGGCTTCATCCCTGGGATGCAAGGCTGGTTCAATATATGCAAATCAATAAATGTGATTCATCCCATAAAGAGAACTAAAGACAAAAACCACATGACGATCTCAATAGATTCAGAAAAGGCTTTCAATAAAATTCAACACTACTTCATGTTGAACACTTTCTATAAACTAAGTATGGAAGGGGCATATCTCAAAATGATAAGGATCATCTATGAAAAACCCACAGCCAACATCATACTGAATGGGCAAAAACTGGAAGCACTCCTCTTGAAAACTGACACAAGATAAGGATGCCCACACTCACCACTTTTATTCAACATAGCATTGGAAGTCCTGGCAAGAGCAATCAGCAAAAGAAAGAAATAAAAGCATCCAGATAGGAAGAGAGGGAGTCAAACTATCCTTGTTTGCAGACAACATGATCCTATAGATGGGAAACCCCACGGTCTCAGCCCAAAAGTTTCTTTAACTGATAAATAACATCAGCAGTCTCAGAATACAGAATCAGCATGCAAAAATTACTACCATTTCTATACCCCCAAAACAGTCAAACCGATATCTAAATCAGGAACACAATCCCATTCACAATTACCATAAAAACAATAAAATACCTAGGAATACAGCTAATCGGGGAGGTGAAAGATCTCTACTATGAAAATTACAAAACACTGCTCAAAGAAATCAGAGATAACACAAACAAATGAAAAATATCTGATGCTCAGAGATATGAAGAATTAGTAGCACTAAAATGGCCATACTTTTCTAAGCAATTTATGGATTTAATGCTATTCCTATCAAACTAAAAATGACATTCTTCACAGAAATTAAAAAAACTATTTTAAAAATTCATATGGAACCAAAAAAGAGCCAAAGCCAAGACAATCCTAAGCAAAAAGAACAAAACTGGAGACATCACATTACGCAACTTCCAACATTACCACAGGGCTACAGTAAACAAAACAGCACGGTACTGGTACAAAAACAGGCACATAGACCAATGGAACAGAATAGAGAGCCCAGCAAAGGCCGCACACCTACAACTATCTGATCTTCAACAAAGCTGATGAAAACAAGGAATGGAGAAAGGACTTCCTGTTTAATAAATGGTGCTGGGATAACTAGCTAGCCTTATGCAGAAGATTGAAACTGGACTCCTTCCTTACACCATATCCAAAAACCAACTCAATATGAATTAAACCAAAACTATAAAAATCCTACAAGACAACCTAGGTAATACCATTCTGGACATAGAAATGGACAAAGATTTCATGACGAAGACAACAGAAACAAATGGAACAATAGCAAAAATTGACAAATGGGATCTAATTAAACTAAAAAAGCTTCTGCACAGCAAAAGAAACTATCAACAGAGTAAACAGACAGAATACAGAATGGGGACAATTTTTGCAAACGATGCATCTGAAAAAGGTCTAACATCCAGCATCTATAAGGAACTGTAAGCAAACTAAAAGGAACACATTTACAAGGAAAAAACAAGCAGCCCTATTAAAAATTGGGCAAAAGACATGAAGACACTTTTCAAAAGAGAACACACATGCGGCCAACATGCATATGAAAAAAAAAATCTCAAGATCACTGATAATTACAGAAATGTAAATCATAACCACAATGAAATACTATCTCACACCCATCAGAATGGCTATTATTAAAAAGTAAAAAAATAACAGATGCTGGCAAGGTTGCAGAGAGAAAGGAATGTTTATAGACTGTTGGTGGGAGAGTAAATTAGTTGAACCACTGTGAAAGATAGAGTGGCAATTCCTGAAAGACTTAAAAATATAACTATTATATTTGACATAGCAATCCAATTACTGGGTATATACCCAAAATAGTATAAATCATTCAGTCATAAAAACACCTGCACACATATGTTCATTGCAGCACTAATCACAATAGTGAGGACATGAAATCACACTAAATGCCTATCAATGGAAGACTTTATAAAGAATATATGGCACATATACACCATGGAATTCTATGCAGCCAAAAAAAAGAATGAGATTATGTTCTTTGCAAGAACATGCATGGAGCTGGAGACCATTTTCCTTAGCAAATTAAGGCAGGACGAGAAAACCACATACCAAATATTCTCACTTATAGATGTGAGCTAAATAATGAGAATACATGGACACATAGAGTGGAACAACAGACACTGAAACTTATCAGTTAAGTGAAGTGTGGAAGGAGCGAGAAGGTCAGGAAAAATAACTAATAGGTACTAGGCTTAATACCTGGATAACAAAATGATATGTAAAGCAAACCCTCACAATACAAGTTTACTTACATAATGAACCTGCAAATGTACCCCTGAACTTAAAATAAAATTGAAAAATAATCCAAAGTAAACAAAAGAAAAAAATGAAAAAATTAGAACATTAAAAATCAATAACAAGAGAAACTTTAGAAAATTCACAAATACATGTACATTAAATACATTTGCAAATAACCAATGATTCACTGAAAAATTAAGTTTTATAATATCTTGAAAGAAACAAAAATAGATACATAAAATACCAAACTTATTATGCCAACTTATTGCATGCCACTAAAGCAGCTCTAAGAGGTAAAGTTTATAGCAATAAATGCCTAAATCAAACAAGAAGCTCTTAAATTAACAAAGCTATGTTTTAAGAATTTTTTTTAAAGAACAAACGAATCGCAGCATTAGGAGAGGAAATAAATAATGGAGTTCAGAGCATAACGAAATGAAATGAAATGAAATGAAATGAAATGAAATGAAATGAAATAGAGACAGATCACGAAGTGAGGAGATGGAGACCATCCTGGCTAACATGGTGAAACCCCGTCTCTACTAAAAATACAAAAAAAGAAAATTAGCCAGGCATGGTGGTGGGCACCTGTGATCCCAGCTACTCCGGAGGCTGAGGCGGGAGAATGGCGTGAATCCGGGAGGCAGAGCTTGCAGTGAGCCGAGATCACACCACTGCATTCCAGCCTGGGAGACAGAGCAAGACACTGCCTCAAAAGAAAAAAAAAAAAAAAAAAAAAAAAAAAAAAAAAAAAAAAGCCTAAGATCTAATGGCCTCACAGTTGAATTCTGCCAAACATTTAAAGAATAACAGTCCTTCGCAAATGCTGCCAAGAGACTATAAAGGAGGGAATACGTTCTTTTTCTTTCTTTCTTTCTTTTTTTTTTTTTTTTTTTTTTGAGATGGAGCCTTGTCACCCAGGCTGGAGTGCAACGGCGCGATATCTGCTCACTGCAACCTCTGCCTCCTGGGTTCAAGTGATTCTCCTGCCTCAGCCTCCCAAGTAGCTGGGATTACAGGTGCCCGCCACCATGCTCGACTAATTTTTGTATTTTTAGTAGAGATAAGGTTTCACCATGTTAGCCAGGCTAGAGGAGGGAATACTTTCAAACTCTTTTGATGAGGTCAGCATTATCCTGATACCAAAGCCAGACAAGGACAATACAATAAAGAAAAAATGCAGAACAATATCCTTGATGAACATAGATGCAAAACTTCTCAACAATATACTAGTAGACTGAATTCAACAACACATTAAAAGGGTTATTCATCATGATCTAGTGTGATTCATTCCTGCACGAATGGTTCAACATAGGCAAATTAATAGATGTGACACATATATTAACATAGTGAAGGACAAAAACCACATGATCATGTAATTTGATGCAGAAAAATGATTTTGACAAAATTCAACATCATTTTATAATAAAAACTCAACAAATTAGATATAGACAAAATGTACTGCAACACAATAAAGGTCATATTTGAGAAACTCACAGCTACCATTATACTCAACAGTAAAAAGTTGAAATCCTTTCCACTAACATCCAGAAAAAGACAAGTGTGCCCACTCTTATCACTTCCATTCAACATGGTATTGGAAGGCCTTACTATAGCAATTAGGCAACAGAAAGAAATAAAGGCATGTAAATATGGAAGAAAGAAGTGAAATTCTTACTGTTTGCCAATGATGAGATCTTATATACAGAAAACCCCAAAAGATTCCATGCATACAAAAAGATTGTTAGAAGTAAATACATTAAAGTTACAGGATATAAAATTAACATGCAAAAATCAGTAGAATTTCTATATGATAACAGGCTTTCTGAAAAAGATATCAAAGGAGCAATCCCATTTATAATAGCTACAAAAACTAAAATACTTAGAAATAAATTTAACTAAGTAAATGAAGAACATGCACACTGAAAACTATAGAAAGTTAGTGAAATAAATTGAAGAAAACACAAGTAAATTAAAAGATATCTTGTGTCTATATACTGGAAAAATTAATGTTAAAATGTCCATATTACCTAAAGTGATCTACATATTCAGTGCAGTCACTATCAACATTCCCATGTCATTTTTCATAAAAATAGAAAAAAAAACCTACAATTCATGTGGAATGGCAAAATAAGCTCAAATAGTCAAGGTAACCATGAGTAAAAAGAATAAAGCTGGAAATGTCATACTATTTGATTTCAAACTATAATACAAAGTAATATTAATTAAAACAGCAATACACTGGCATAAAGTAGACATATTAACTAATGGAACAAAATAGAAAGCCTAAAATAAACTGAACATAAAGAGTCAATTGATTTTAAACAAAGGTGCCAAGAATACACAATAAAAAGGGCAATATCTTCAATAAATGATTTCGAGAAAACTGGATATCCATGCACAGAAGAATAAAATTGAACCCTTATCTCAAACCATACACAAAAATCAATTCAAAGTGGATTATAAAGACTTTAAAAAAGATGTGAAATGGCAAAACTACTAGAGAAAAACTTAGGGGGAAACTACACAACATTGGTCTAGGCAATGGTTTTCTCGATTAGACTCCAAAAGCACAGGCAAAAAAAGCAAAAATAGACAAATGGGATTAAAACAAAATGAAAAGCTTTTGCACAACAAATAAAACAACTAATTCAAGAGACAACCTATGGATTGGGAGAAAATATTTGTAAGCTATAGATCTGATAAGAGGTCAATATCCAAAACATATAAGATTATCAAACTACTCAATAAAAAGAAACAAATAATCATATGAAAAATTGTCAAGGAAAGGGGACAGAATAGATATTTCTAAAAAGAAGACATTCAAATGTCAACAGATATATCAAGAATGCTCAATATTATCATTAAAGAGATGCAAATTAATTATGCTATTCCCAATGAGATACCATCTCACAACTTTCAGAATGGCTATTATGAAAAGGATGAACAATACCAAGTGTTGGTAAGGTGTGATGAAAAGGAAACTGTTGTACATTATTGGTGGAAATGTAAATTAGTGCAGCTATTATAAAAAGCTGTATGGAAGTTCGTCAAAAAACTGAAAATGAATTATGATATGATCCAGCACTCCTACTTCTGGACAATTACTCAAAAGATTTGAAATCACTGTGTGAAAGATATGTCTGCACTCCCATGTTCATTGCAGCACTATTTGCAATAGACACGTTATGGAGTCAACCTAAGTGTCCATCAACAGAAGAATGAATACAGAAAATGTGGTATATGTACAATGATGAAATTTTATTTGGCCTTAAAAAAGAATATATTTCTGTCACTTGTGATAACATGGATGGGATTGGTAACCGTTATTCTAAGTGGAGTAATCCAGGCACAGAAAGACTAATCTTACATGTTCTCACTTAATGAAATCTACAATAATTTAACTCATAACAGCAGAGAGTAGAATAGTGCTTACAAGAGGCTGACGGGTGGGGGAAATGGGAAGATGATGGTTAAAGGAGATAAAGCCTCAATTAGACCAGAAGAATAGGGTGATTTTTTTTTTTTTTGAGATCTATTGCACAGGGTGATGAATATTGTTGATCCTCTGTATCTGTGAGTTCCACCCATGGAATCAGCCAATCATGGATCAAACGTATTTTGGTAAAAAAAGCAATAAAAAATAAGAGTACAATAATAACGAATAATACAAACGTTAAAATATAGTGTAACAACTATTTGCATAACATTTACATTGTATTAGATATTGTAAATAATCTTAAAATGATTTAAAGCATATGGAAGGATATGCATAACTTATATGCAAATACTATACCTTTTTATACAAGGAATTTGGACATCCGTAGATTTTGGTATCTGCCAGGGATCCTGGAGCCAATCCCTTTCAGATACCAAGGAACAAGTGTTTTGCATATTTCTAAATGACTGAGTTAATTTCAAATGTACTTACCACAAAAAATAATAAATATTTGAAGTGATGGATTTGTTAATTAGCTTGACTTAAGAATTCTACATTGTATTCATTAATAATGACATCACTTTTTAACCCATTAGTATATTCAACTATATATTTTCAATTTACAATAAAAAATGATCAGAAATCAATGGAATCGAAAACAAGAAATTAATAGATAAATGAAACAAAAATGGTTCTTTGAATATATCAGTGAAGGTACTAAATCTATAGCTAGGCAATACAAGAAAAAGAGAAGAAACAAATTACCAATAACCAAAATAAGAGAGTGGTCATCACTTCTGATCCTGCAGACATAAGGTGATAATAATATAAAGAGTCTAGGCCCACAATCTTCATAACTTACATGTATTTCCTTCCCCACATACACTACCCCATTGTAAAAATTAAAAAAATTAAGAAAAATTTTAATTGATGGGCATTTGATACAATATCTGATTAGTACTCCACTAAACTTACAAAGTATCAAAAATAAGGCCCATATAAGAAAGTCTCATAGCCAAGAGAAGCTTAAAAAGACATGAGCACTAAATATAATTCAGTATACTTAAATGGGATCTTGGAACAGAATGAGTATAGTAGGTTAAAATCAGAGAAATCTAAAGAAAGCAAGAAATATTATTATTTAAATCATATTCCTTAAAATGGCAGGATCAAAATAGTCAAATAAAATACAAAATAATTTTAAAAATATAAAAGTAATGAGACATTAAGTAGTATAATTCAGTATAGAAATAAAGGATCTGAAATGATAGTAGCTTCCCTATAATATGATATCAAATGAGGGCTCTATTTACAAATTGATCAATAATATACTACTTAAATACTGATGCAGAAAATAACAGATTAGGGAAAGGCTTATATATGTTATGAATTCATTTACTCAGAAAATTATTAGTATAAGGTGATTAAAATGTCTTCTGAAGAAGAGATACAAAGCTAACAAAATGTGGTAATGTCTATGAATGCATCACAAGACTTCTTTGTTCTCACAATTCTTTTTCATGTAAGTAGTTGTTCAGGATTGTCAGAACAATAGGCACAAACCAAGTTAATACAGTGGTGGAGAAATTATCCATCAAAGCCATGGCAAAAATGGGACAATTAAACTAAGAAAAAGTTGAAATCAGGAATTGTGTCAGTTAATAATTTTTCAAATTCAATTAAAGATAAAGGTATGAGCCATACTCAGAGGTATTTCCCAAACCTGAAATTACTACACGTGTAAATGTGAATGACATTTCTAGATTGGCTAGAAAAATCTCATAAATGATGTTTTTATTTTTATGTCTGAGGCCCAATTTTGACAGTACTATAGTATTTAAAATCTGTGACTTAAAAGGGGCCATCTGATAAAATATCAGAAAGGACAGAACAAACTGTAGCTATAAAAGAAACAACAGTTTCTTTCCTTAAAGGAATGAAACTAAGAGTAAGTCATATCCATAGACCATTGTATTAAAGTTATATTGAAATCTTTGCCCCCTCCTTCTCAATTTAAGGTTACTTACAAAATATATAAAAGATGAAATTTAAAACAAGATGCTGTAAAGAGCATATCATTTGGAATTTTTTTTTTGTATAAATTAATTTTTTTTATTATTATTATTTTTTTTTTTTTATTATACTCTAAGTTTTAGGGTACATGTGCACATTGTGCAGGTTAGTTACATATGTATACATGTGCCATGCTGGTGCGCTGCACCCACTAATGTGTCATCTAGCATTAGGTATATCTCCCAATGCTATCCCTCCCCCCTCCCCCGACCCCACCACAGTCCCCAGAGTGTGATATTCCCCTTCCTGTGTCCATGTGATCTCATTGTTCAATTCCCACCTATGAGTGAGAATATGCGGTATTTGGTTTTTTGTTCTTGCGATAGTTTACTGAGAATGATGGTTTCCAATTTCATCCATGTCCCTACAAAGGATATGAACTCATCATTTTTTATGGCTGCATAGTATTCCATGGTGTATATGTGCCACATTTTCTTAATCCAGTCTATCATTGTTGGACATTTGGGTTGGTTCCAAGTCTTTGCTATTGTGAATAGTGCCGCAATAAACATACGTGTGCATGTGTCTTTATAGCAGCATGATTTATAGTCCTTTGGGTATATACCCAGTAATGGGATGGCTGGATCAAATGGTATTTCTAGTTCTAGATCCCTGAGGAATCGCCACACTGACTTCCACAATGGTTGAACTAGTTTACAGTCCCACCAACAGTGTAAAAGTGTTCCTATTTCTCCACATCCTCTCCAGCACCTGTTGTTTCCTGACTTTTTAATGATTGCCATTCTAACTGGTGTGAGATGATATCTCATAGTGGTTTTGATTTGCATTTCTCTGATGGCCAGTGATGATGAGCATTTCTTCATGTGCTTTTTGGCTGCATAAATGTCTTCTTTTGAGAAGTGTCTGTTCATGTCCTTCGCCCACTTTTTGATGGGGTTGTTTGTTTTTTTCTTGTAAATTTGTTTGAGTTCATTGTAGATTCTGGATATTAGCCCTTTGTCAGATGAGTAGGTTCCGAAAATTTTCTCCCATGTTGTAGGTTGCCTGTTCACTCTGATGGTAGTTTCTTTTGCTGTGCAGAAGCTCTTTAGTTTAATTAGATCCCATTTGTCAATTTTGGCTTTTGTTGCCATTGCTTTTGGTGTTTTGGACATGAAGTCCTTGCCCACGCCTATGTCCTGAATGGTAATGCCTAGGTTTTCTTCTAGGGTTTTTATGGTTTTAGGTCTAACGTTTAAATCTTTAATCCATCTTGAATTGATTTTTGTATAAGGTGTAAGGAAGGGATCCAGTTTCAGCTTTCTACATATGGCTAGCCAGTTTTCCCAGCACCATTTCTTAAATAGGGAATCCTTTCCCCATTGCTTGTTTTTCTCAGGTTTGTAAAAGATCAGATAGTTGTAGATATGCGGCATTATTTCTGAGGGCTCTGTTCTGTTCCATTGATCTATATCTCTGTTTTGGTACCAGTACCATGCTCTTTTGGTTACTGTAGCCTTGTAGTATAGTTTGAAGTCAGGTAGTGTGATGCCTCCAGCTTTGTTCTTTTGGCTTAGGATTGACTTGGCAATGCGGGCTCTTTTTTGGTTCCATATGAACTTTAAAGTAGTTTTTTCCAATTCTGTGAAGAAAGTCATTGGTAGCTTGATGGGGATGGCATTGAATCTGTAAATTACCTTGGGCAGTATGGCCATTTTCACGATATTGATTCTTCCTACCCATGAGCATGGAATGTTCTTCCATTTGTTTGTGTCCTCTTTTATTTCCTTGAGCAGTGGTTTGTAGTTCTCCTTGAAGAGGTCCTTCACATTCCTTGTAAGTTGGATTCCTAGGTATTTTATTCTCTTTGAAGCAATTGTGAATGGGAGTTCACCCATGATTTGGCTCTCTGTTTGTCTGTTGTTGGTGTATAAGAATGCTTGTGATTTTTGTACATTGATTTTGTATCCTGAGACTTTGCTGAAGTTGCTTATCAGCTTAAGGAGATTTTGGGCTGAGACGATGGGGTTTTCTAGATAAACAATCATGTCGTCTGCAAACAGGGACAATTTGACTTCCTCTTTTCCTAATTGAATACCCTTTATTTCCTTCTCCTGCCTGATTGCCCTGGCCAGAACTTCCAACACTATGTTGAATAGGAGTGGTGAGAGAGGGCATCCCTGTCTTGTGCCAGTTTTCAAAGGGAATGCTTCCAGTTTTTGCCCATTCAGTATGATATTGGCTGTGGGTTTGTCATAGATAGCTCTTATTATTTTGAAATACGTCCCATCAATACCTAATTTATTGAGAGTTTTTAGCATGAAGGGTTGTTGAATTTTGTCAAAGGCTTTTTCTGCATCTATTGAGATAATCATGTGGTTTTTGTCTTTGGCTCTGTTTATATGCTGGATTACATTTATTGATTTGCATGTATTGAACCAGCCTTGCATCCCAGGGATGAAGCCCACTTGATCATGGTGGATAAGCTTTTTGATGTGCTGCTGGATTCGGTTTGCCAGTATTTTATTGAGGATTTTTCCATCAATGTTCATCAAGGATATTTGTCTAAAATTCTCTTTTTTGGTTGTGTCTCTGCCCGGCTTTGGTATCAGAATGATGCTGGCCTCATAAAATGAGTTAAGGAGGATTCCCTCTTTTTCTATTGATTGGAATAGTTTCAGAAGGAATGGTACCAGTTCCTCCTTGTACCTCTGGTAGAATTCGGCTGTGAATCCATCTGGTCCTGGACTCTTTTTGGTTGGTAAACTATTGATTATTGCCACAATTTCAGAGCCTGTTATTGGTCTATTCAGAGATTCAACTTCTTCCTGGTTTAGTCTTGGGAGAGTGTATGTGTCGAGGAATGTATCCATTTCTTCTAGATTTTCTAGTTTATTTGCGTAGAGGTGTTTGTAGTATTCTCTGATGGTAGTTTGTATTTCTGTGGGATCGGTGGTGATATCCCCTTTATCATTTTTTATTGTGTCTATCTGATTCTTCTCTCTTTTTTTCTTTATTAGTCTTGCTAGCGGTCTATCAATTTTGTTGATCCTTTCAAAAAACCAGCTCCTGGATTCATTGATTTTTTGAAGGGTTTTTTGTGTCTCTATTTCCTTCAGTTCTGCTCTGATTTTAGTTATTTCTTGCCTTCTGCTAGCTTTTGAATGTGTTTGCTCTTGCTTTTCTAGTTCTTTTAATTGTGATGTTAGGGTGTCAATTTTGGATCTTTCCTGCTTTCTCTTGTAGGCATTTAGTGCTATAAATTTCCCTCTACACACTGCTTTGAATGCGTCACAGAGATTCTGGTATGTGGTGTCTTTGTTCTCGTTGGTTTCGAAGAACATCTTTATTTCTGCCTTCATTTCGTTATGTACGCAGTAGTCATTCAGGAGCAGGTTGTTCAGTTTCCATGTAGTTGAGCGGCTTTGAGTGAGATTCTTAATCCTGAGTTCTAGTTTGATTGCACTGTGGTCTGAGAGATAGTTTGTTATAATTTCTGTTCTTTTACATTTGCTGAGGAGAGCTTTACTTCCAACTATGTGGTCAATTTTGGAATAGGTGTGGTGTGGTGCTGAAAAAAATGTATATTCTGTTGATTTGGGGTGGAGAGTTCTGTAGATGTCTATTAGGTCTGCTTGGTGCAGAGCTGAGTTCAATTCCTGGGTATCCTTGTTGACTTTCTGTCTTGTTGATCTGTCTAATGTTGACAGTGGGGTGTTAAAGTCTCCCATTATTAATGTGTGGGAGTCTAAGTCTCTTTGTAGGTCACTGAGGACTTGCTTTATGAATCTGGGTGCTCCTGTATTGGGTGCATAAATATTTAGGATAGTTAGCTCCTCTTGTTGAATTGATCCCTTTACCATTATGTAATGGCCTTCTTTGTCTCTTTTGATCTTTGTTGGTTTAAAGTCTGTTTTATCAGAGACTAGGATTGCAACCCCTGCCTTTTTTTGTTTTCCATTGGCTTGGTAGATCTTCCTCCATCCTTTTATTTTGAGCCTATGTGTGTCTCTGCACATGAGATGGGTTTCCTGAATACAGCACACTGATGGGTCTTGACTCTTTATCCAACTTGCCAGTCTGTGTCTTTTAATTGCAGAATTTAGTCCATTTATATTTAAAGTTAATATTGTTATGTGTGAATTTGACCTGTCATTATGATGTTAGCTGGTGATTTTGCTCATTAGTTGATGCAGTTACTTCCTAGTCTCGATGGTCTTTACATTTTGGCATGATTTTGCAGCGGCTGGTACCGGTTGTTCCTTTCCATGTTTAGCGCTTCCTTCAGGAGCTCTTTTAGGGCAGGCCTGGTGGTGACAAAATCTCTCAGCATTTGCTTGTCTATAAAGTATTTTATTTCTCCTTCACTTATGAAGCTTAGTTTGGCTGGATATGAAATTCTGGGTTGAAAATTCTTTTCTTTAAGAATGTTGAATATTGGCCCCCACTCTCTTCTGGCTTGTAGGGTTTCTGCCGAGAGATCTGCTGTTAGTCTGATGGGCTTTCCTTTGAGGGTAACCCGACCTTTCTCTCTGGCTGCCCTTAACATTTTTTCCTTCATTTCAACTTTGGTGAATCTGACAATTATGTGTCTTGGAGTTGCTCTTCTCGAGGAGTATCTTTGTGGTGTTCTCTGTATTTCCCGAATCTGAACGTTGGCCTGCCTTGCTAGATTGGGGAAGTTCTCCTGGATAATATCCTGCAGAGTGTTTTCCAACTTGGTTCCATTCTCCCCATCACTTTCAGGTACACCAATCAGACGTAGATTTGGTCTTTTCACATAGTCCCATATTTCTTGGAGGCTTTGCTCATTTCTTTTTATTCTTTTTTCTCTAAACTTCCCTTCTCGCTTCATTTCATTCATTTCATCTTCCATTGCTGATACCCTTTCTTCCAGTTGATCGCATCGGCTCCTGAGGCTTCTGCATTCTTCACATAGTTCTCGAGCCTTGGTTTTCAGCTCCATCATCTCCTTTAAGCACTTCTCTGTATTGGTTATTCTAGTTATACATTCTTCTAAATTTTTTTCAAAGTTTTCAACTTCTTTGCCTTTGGTTTGAATGTCCTCCCGTAGCTCAGAGTAATTTGATCATCTGAAGCCTTCTTCTCTCAGCTCGTCAAAATCATTCTCCATCCAGCTTTGTTCTGTTGCTGGTGAGGAACTGCGTTCCTTTGGAGGAGGAGAGGCGCTCTGCGTTTTAGAGTTTCCAGTTTTTCTGTTCTGTTTTTTCCCCATCTTTGTGGTTTTATCTACTTTTGGTCTTTGATGATGGTGATGTACAGATGGGTTTTCGGTGTAGATGTCCTTTCTGGTTGTTAGTTTTCCTTCTAACAGACAGGACCCTCAGCTGCAGGTCTGTTGGAATACCCTGCCGTGTGAGGTGTCAGTGTGCCCCTGCTGGGGGGTGCCTCCCAGTTAGGCTGCTCAGGGGCCAGGGGTCAGGGACCCACTTGAGGAGGCAGTCTGCCCCTTCTCAGATCTCCAGCTGCGTGCTGGGAGAACCACTGCTCTCTTCAAAGCTGTCAGACAGGGTCATTTAAGTCTGCAGAGGTTACTGCTGTCTTTTTGTTTGTCTGTGCCCTGCCCCCAGAGGTGGAGCCTACAGAGGCAGGCAGGCCTCCTTGAGCTGTGGTGGGCTCCACCCAGTTCGAGCTTCCCGGCTGCTTTGTTTACCTAAGCAAGCCTGGGCAATGGTGGGCGCCCCTCCCCCAGCCTCGTTGCCGCCTTGCAGTTTGATCTCAGACTGCTGTGCTAGCAATCAGCGAGATTCCATGGGCGTAGGACCCTCTGAGCCAGGTGTGGGATATAGTCTCGTGGTGCGCCGTTTCTTAAGCCGGTCTGAAAAGCGCAATATTCGGGTGGGAGTGACCCGATTTTCCAGGTGCGTCCGTCACCCCTTTCTTTGACTCGGAAAGGGAACTCCCTGACCCCTTGCGCTTCCCAGGTGAGGCAATGCCTCGCCCTGCTTCGGCTCGCGCACGTTGCACACACACACTGGCCTGCGCCCACTGTCTGGCACTCCCTAGTGAGATGAACCCGGTACCTCAGATGGAAATGTAGAAATCACCCGTCTTCTGCGTCGCTCACGCTGGGAGCTGTAGACAGGAGCTGTTCCTATTCGGCCATCTTGGCTCCTCCTCCAGTTAATATTTTTCTGTCCCCGGCCGTGGCTCCTCCTCCCCGAGCAGTGGGGCTCGCTGGACAAGTGTCCTCAGATAGTCCAGAAAGTTTGCTCTGCGGTCCCGGGGACGCCTGCGCGGGACCCAGTGAGGAAATCGGGGCTGGCTCCTCGCACCTCAGGCGGCCGCCGCTCGAAAGTCTTGGCCCAGGTCCTCCAGGCCCAGCTCAAACTCAGGAGTGGAATTTTTTTTAAATGAAATAAAATAAAGCCAAGATTAGTTATCTATATAATGTGCATGCTCTGGAGGTAAGCAGAATCATTTCCTTTTAAAGGTTTGCTAGCTGAATTTCCAAAACAAATGTGCATGCATATACTTTATACTGTATATACATATAACACATACAGTTGAACCTTTAACAACACAGATCAGAAAAAGCAGAGAAGGTATCAAAGGAAAAAGAGGAAATAATTACATCATCTAAAGCATAGCAACTGCCGTCCTCTCTTCTAGAGCTGCTAATGGAGCCAAAAGTGAAAGTTATAGGATTGTCTTGGCAATGTGGGCTATTTTGTGGTTCCATGTGAACTTTAAAGTAGTTTTGTCCAATTCTGTGAAGAAAGTCATTGGTAGCTTGATGGGGATGGCACTGAATCTGTAAATTACCTCGGGCAGTATGGCCATTTTCACGATATTGATTCTTCCTATCCACGAGCAGGGAATGTTCTTCCATTTGTTTGTGTCCTCTTTTATTTTGTTGAGCAGTGGTTTGTAATTCTCTTTGAAGAGGTCCTTCACATCCCTTGTAAGGTGGATTTTTAGGTATTTTATTCTCTTGGAAGCAATATCGGTACGTCACCATCATCAAAGACCAAAGGTAGATAAAACCACACAGATGGGGAAAAAACAGAGCAGAAAACCTGAAAAATCTAAAAATCAGAGCACCTCTCCACCTCCAAAGGAATGCAGCTCCTCACCTGAAACACAACAAAGCAGGATGGCAAATGACTGACGAGTTGAGAGAAGAAGGCTTCAGATGATCAAACTTCTCCGAGATAAAGGAGGAATTTCGAACCCACAGCAAAGAAGCTAAAAATCTTGAAAAAAGATTAGACGAATGGCTAACTAGAATAACCAGTATAGAAAAGTCCTTAAATGATGTGATGGAGCTGAAAACCATGGCACAAGAACTATGTGACAGATGCACAAGCCTCAGTAGCCGATTCGATCAACTGGAAGAAAGGGTATCAGTGATGGAAGATCAAATGAATGAAATGAAGCGAGAAGAGAAGTTTACAGAAAAAAGACTAAAAGGAAACGAACAAAGCCTCCAAGAAATATGGGACTAGGTGAAAAGACCAAATCTACATCTTATTGGTGTACCTGAAAGTGACGGGGAGAATGGAACCAAGTTGGAAAACACTCTGCAGGATATTATCCAGGAGAACTTCCCCAATCTAGCAAGGCAGGCCAACATTCAAATTCAGGAAATACAGAGAATGCCACAAAGATAGTCCTCGAGAAGAGCAACTCCAAGACACATAATTGTCAGATTCACCAAAGTTGAAATGAAGGAAAAAATGTTAAGGGCAGCCAGAGAGAAAGGTCAGGTTACACACAAAGGGAAGCCCATCAGACTAACAGTGGATCTCTCAGCAGAAACTCTACAAGCCAAAAGAGAGTGGGGGCCAATATTCAACATTCTTAAAGAAAAGAATTTTCAACCCAGAATTTCATGTCCAGCCAAACTAAGCTTCATAAGTGAAGGAGAAATAAAATACTTTATAGACAAGCAAATGCTGAGAGATTTTGTCACCACCAGGCCTGCCCTAAAAGAGCTCCTGAAGGAAGCATTAAACATGGAAAGGAACAACCGGTACCAGCCACTGCAAAAACATGCCAAATTGTAAAGACCATCAATGCTAGGAAGAAACTGCATCAACTAATGAGCAAAATAACCAGGTAACATCATAATGACAGGATCAAATACACACATAACAATATTAACCTTAAATGTAAATGGACTAAATGCTCCAATTAAATGACACAGACTGGCAAATTGGATAGAGTCAATACCCATCAGTATGCTGTATTCAGGTGACCCATCTCACATGCAGTGACACAAATGGGCTCAAAATAAATGGATGAAGATCTACCAAGCAAATGGAAAACAAAAAAAGGCAGGGGTTGCAATCCTAGTCTCTGACAAAACAGACTTTAAAGCAGCAAAGATCAAAAAAGACAAAGAAGGCCATTACATAATGGTAAAGTGATCAATTCAACAAGAAGAGCTAACTGTCCTAAATATATATGCACCCAATACAGGAACACCCAGATTCATAAAGCAAGTCCTTAGAGACCTACAAAGAGACTTAGACTCCCACACAATAATAATGGGATACTTTAACACCCCACTGTCAACATTAGACAGATCAATGAGACAGAAAGTTAACAAGGATATCCAGGAATCGAACTCAGTTCTGCACCAAGTGGACCTAATAGACATCTTCAGAACTCTCCACCCCAAATCAACAGAATATACATTCTTCTCAGCACCACATTGCACTTATTCCAAAACTGACCACATAGTTGGAAGTAAAGCACTCCTCAGCAAATGTAAAAGAACAGAAATTATAACAAACTGTCTCTCAGACCACAGTGCAATCAAACTGGAACTCAGGATTAAGAAACTCACTCAAAAACACTCAATTACATGGAAACTGAACAACCAGCTCCTGAATGACTACGGGGTACATAACGAAATGAAGGCAGAAATAAAGATGTTCTTTCAAACCGATGAGAACAAAGACACAACATACCAGAATCTCCGGGACACATTAAAGCAGTGTGTAGAGGGAAATTTATAGCACTAAATGCCCACAAGAGAAAACAGGAAAGATCTAAAATTGACACCCTAACATCACAATTAAAAGAACTAGAGAAGCAAGAGCAAACACATTCAAAAGCTGTCAGAAGCCAAGAAATAACTAAGATCAGAGCAGAACTGAAAGAGATAGAGACACAAAAAACCCTTCAAAAAATCAATGAATCCAGGAGCTGGTTTTTTGAAAAGATCAACAAAATTGATAGACTGCTAGCAAGACTAATAAAGAAGAAAAGAGAGAAGAATCAAATAGATGCAATAAAAAATTATTAAGGGGTTATCACCACTGATCCCACAGAAATACAAACTAACAGCAGAGAATACTATAAACACCTCTACGCAAATAAACTAGAAAATCTAGAAGAAATGGATAAATTCCATGACACATACACCTTCCCAAGACTAAACCAGGAAGAAGTTGAATCCCTGAATAGACCAATAAGGGGCTCTGAAATTGAGGCAATAATTAATAGCCTACCAACCAAAAAAAGTCCAGGACCAGATGGTTCACAGCTGAATTCTACCAGATGTACAAGGAGGAGCTGGTACCATTCCTTCTGAAACTATTCCAATCAATAGAAAAAGAGGGAATCCTCCTTAACTCATTTTATGAGGCCAGCATCATCTTAATACCAAAGCCTGGCAGAGACACAACAAAAAAAGAGAATTTTAGACCAATATCCTTGATGAACATTGATGCAAAAATCCTCAATAAAATACTGGCAAACCGAATCCAGCAGCACATCAAAAAGCTTATCCACCATGATCAAGTGGGCTTCATCCCTGGGATGCAAGGCTGGTTCAATATACCCAAATCAATAAATGTAATCCAGCATATAAACAGAACCAAAGACAAAAACCACATGATTATCTCAATAGATGCAGAAAAGGCCTTTGACAAAATTCAACAATGCTTCATGCTAAAAACTCTCAATAAATTAGGTATTGATGGGACATATCTTAAAATAATAAGAGCTATCCATGACAAACCCACAGCCAATATCATACTGAATGGGCAAAAACTGGAAGCATTCCCTTTGAAAACTGGCACAAGACAGGGATGCCCTCTCTCACCACTCCTATTCAACATAGTGTTGGCAGTTCTGGCCAGGGCAATTAGGCAGGAGAAGGAAATAAAGGGTATTCAATTAGGAAAAGAGGAAGTCAAATTGTCCCTGTTTGCAGACGACATGATTGTATATCTAGAAAACCCCACTGTCTCAGCCCAAAATCTACTTAAGCTGATAAGCAACTTCAGCAAAGTCTCAGGATACAAAATCAATGTACAAAAATCACAAGCATTCTTATACACCAATAACAGACAAACAGAGAGCCAAATCATGAGTGAACTCCCATTCACAATTGCTTCAAAGAGAATAAAATACCTAGGAATCCAACTTACAAGGGATGTGAAGGATCTCTTCAAGGAGAACTAGAAACCACTGCTCAGCAAAATAAAAGAGGATACAAACAAATGGAAGAACATTCCATGCTCATGGATAGGACGAATCAATATTGTGAAAATGGCCATACTGCCCAAGGTAATTTATAGATTCAATGCCATCCCCATCAAGCTACCAATGACTTTCTTCGCAGAATTGGAAAAAACTACTTTAAAGTTCATATGGAACCAAAAAAGAGCCTGCATTGCCAAGACAATCCTAAGCCAAAAGAACAAAGCTGGAGACATCACGCTACCTGACTTCAAACTGTACTACAAGGCTACAGTAACCAAAACAGCATGGGAACCAAAACAGAGATATAGACCAATGGAACAGAATAGAGCCCTCAGAAATAACGCCGCATATCTACAACTATCTGATCTTTGACAAACCTGAGAAAAATAAGCAATGGGGAAAGGATTCCCTATTTAATAAATGGTGCTGGGCAAACTGGCTAGCCATATGGAGAAAGCTGAAACTGGATCCCTTCCTTACACCTGATACAAAAATTAATTCAAGATGGATTAAAGACTTAAACGTTAGACCTAAAACCATAAAAACCCTAGAAGAAAACCTAGGCATTACCATTCAGGACATAGACATGGGCAAGGACTTTATGTCTAAAGCACCAAAAGCAATGGCAACAAAAGCCAAAATTGACAAATGGGATCTAAGTAAACTGAAGAGCTTCTGCACAGCAAAAGAAACTACCATCAGAGTGAACAGGAAACCTACAAAATGGGAGAAAATTTTCGCAACCTACTCGTCTGACAAAGGGCTAATATCCAGAATCTACAATGAACTCAAACAAATTTACAAGAAAAAAACAACCCCATCAAAAAGTGGGTGAAGGACATGAGCAGACACTTCTCAAAAGAAGACATTTATGCAGCCAAAAAACACATGAAAAAATGCTCAGCATCACTGGCCATCAGAGAAATGCAAATCAAAACCACAGTGAGATACCATCTCACACCAGTTAGAATGGCAATCATTAAAAAGTCAGGAAACAACAGGTGCTGGAGAGGATGTGGAGAAATAGGAACACTTTTACACTGTTGGTGGGACTAGGGAGCCGAGATTGCGCCACTGCAGTCAGCAGTCCGGCCTGGGTGACAGAGCGAGACTCCGTCTCAAAAAAAAAAAAAAAAAAAAAAAAAAAAACTAGTTCAATCATTGTGGAAGTCAGTGTGGCGATTCCTCAGGGATCTAGAACTAGAAATACCATTTGACCCAGCCATCCCATTACTGGGTATATACCCAAAGGACTATAAATCATGCTGCTATAAAGACACATTTACACATATGTTTATTGCAGCATTATTCACAATAGCAAAGACTTGGAACCAACCCAAATGTCCAATAATGATAGACTGGATTAAGAAAATGTGGCACATATACACCATGGAATACCATGCAGCCATAAAAAATGATGAGTTCATGTCCTTTGTAGCGACATGGATGAAATTGGAAATCATCATTCTCAGCAAACTATCGCAAGAACAAAAAACCAAACACCGCGTATTCTCACTCATAGGTGGGAATTGAACAATGAGAACACATGGACACAGGAAGGGAGGGGAACATCACACTCTTGGGACTGTTGTGGGGTGGGGGGAGGGGGGAGGGATAGCATTAGGAGATATACCTAATGCTAAATGACGAGTTAATGGGTGCAGCACACCAGAATGGCACATGTATACATATGTAACTAACCTGCACATTGTGCACATGTACCCTAAAACTTAAAGTATAATAATAATAAAATAAAATAAAATAAAATAATCTGTTAAAACTAACAAATTTAGTAAAGTTGCAAGATATAAAATGTTACATTTTTATACAATGACAATTAACTATTTGAAAAAGCAATTAAGAAAATATTACTATTTATAATAGCATCAAAATAATAAAATACTTAGGAATAAATTTAATGAAAGATAAAAGAGTTGTAAGTGAAATCTAAACAATATTAATAAAATAAATGGAAGAAACAAATAAATTGAAAGATATCTCTTTATAGACTAGAAGAATTAATATTGCTAAAATGCCTGAATCACCCAAAGTCTTCAACAGATGCAACACAATTCCTATAAAAGTTACAGTGGCATTTTTTACAGAAATAGAAAAAGAATCCTAAAAATTTGTATGAAAACACAAAAGACTTCAAATAGCCAAAGCAATCTTGAGAAAGAACAAAGGTGGGAGCATTACATTATCTAATTTCAAAATACATACATATCTATCAAAATCAAACTCTATGGTACTGGTATAAAAATCTTTGCACATACACTGAACTAATATTTGAAGAAGGTGCCAAGAATACACAATGAAAAAAATAGAGTCTCTTCAATAAGTGGTGTTGGGAAAACTGGATATCCAAAAACAAACAAACAAACAAACCGAAGAACTGAAATTGTAACCTATCTGAAACCATTCACAAAAATTAACTCCTAGTGGAGTAAAGAATTAATGTCGGTTCTGATCCACGAAATTTGTAGAATAAATATCGAGAATACGCCTTTTGACATTGTCCTGGTTGAGACATTTTCAGGTTCAAATTACTTGGAAATCTTCTATTTTATTTTATTTATTTGCTTATTTTAAGTCTCGAGATACATATGCAGGATGTGCAGGTTTCTTACATAGGTAAACATATGCCATGGTGGTTTGCTGCACCTATCAACCCATCACCTAGGTATTAAGCCCTGCATGCATTAGCTATTTAGCCTGATGTTCTCCCTCCCTCTGCTTCTCCAGCAGGCCCCAGTGTGTGTTATTCCCCTCTCTGTGTCCACGTGTTCTCATTGTTCAGCTCTCACTTATAAATGAGAACATGTGGTATTTGGTTTTCTGTTCCTATGTTAGTTTGCTGAGGATAATGGCTCCCAGCTCCACTCATGTCCCTGCAAAGGACATGATCTTGTACCTTTCAATGGCTGTATAGCATTCCATGGTGTATATGTACCACATTTTCTTTATCCAGTCTATTATTGATAGACATTAGGGTTAATTTCATGTCTTTGCTATTGTGAATAATGCTGCAATGAACATATGTGGGCATATATCTTTGTAACAGAATGATTTATATTCCTTTGGGTATATGCCCAGTAATGGGATTGCTGGGTCAAATGGTATTTCTGGTTCTAGGTCTTTGAGTAATTGCCACAATGTCTTTCACAATGGTTGATCTAATTTACATTTCTACCAACAGTCTAAAAGTGTTTCTATTTCTCCACAGCCTCACCAGCATCTGTTGTTTCTTGACTTTTGAATAATCACTACTCTGACTGGCATGCGATGGTATCCTATTGTGGTTTTGATTTGCATTTCTTTAATAATCAGTGATGTTGAGCTTTATTTCAATGTGTTTTTTGGCCACATAAATGTCTTCTTTTGAGAAGTGTCTGTTCATGTCCTTAGCCCACTTTTTTTTTGTTTTTTTTTTTTTGAGATGGAGTCTTGCTCTGTCGCTCAGGCTGGAGTGCAGTGGCGCGATCTCGGCTCACTGCAAGCTTCACCTCCTGGGTTCACGCCATTCTCCTGCCTCAGCCTCCCGAGTAGCTGGTACTACAGGCACCCGCCACCGTGCCTGGCTAATTTTTTCTATTCTTAGTAGAGATGGGGTTTCATCATATTAACCAGGATGGTCTCGATCTCCTGACCTTGTGATCCACCTACCTTGGCCTCCCAAAGTGCTGGGATTAGAGGTGTGAGCCACCGTGTCTGGCCCCTTTGCCCACTTTTTAATGGGGATGTTTGATTTTCTCTTATAGATTTATTTAAGTTCCTTGTGGATTCTAGATATTAGACTTTTGTCAGATGGATAGATTGCAAAAATTTTCTCCCATTCTGTAGGTTGCCTGTTCACTCGGATGACAGTTCATTTTTCTTTCTTTTTTTTCTTTCTTTTTCTTTCTTGTTTTTTTTTTTGTTGTTGTTGTTGTTTATTTATTTTGAGATGGAGTCTCACCCTGTTTTCCAGACTGGAGTGCAGAGTTGTGTGATCTTGGCTCACTGCAACCTCTGCCTCCCAGGTTCAAGCAATTCTCCTGCCTCAGACTCCTGAGTAGCTGAGATTACAGGTGCATGTCACCAACTCCAAGCTAATTTTTGTAATTTTAGTAGAGACAGTATTTCACCATTTTGGCCAGACTGGAGTCAAACTCCTGAACTCAACTTATCCACCCACCTTGGCCTTCCAAAGTGCTGGGATTACAGGTGTGAGCCACCATGCCCAGCAGACGATAGTTTCTTTTGTTGTTCAGAAGCTCTTTAGTTTAATTAGATTCCATTTGTCAATTTTGGCTTTTGTTGCAATTGCTTTTAACACTTTTCATCATGAAATCTTTGCCTGCGCCTATGTCCTGAATGGTATTGCCTAGATTTTCTTCCAGGGCTTTTATAGTCTTGGGTTTTACATTTAAGTCTTTAATCTATCTTGAGTTAATTTTCATATGAGGTATAAGGAAGCGGTCCAGTTTCAATTTTCTGCATATGGCTAGCCAGCTTTCCTAGCACGACTTATTAGAGAATCCTTTCCTCCTTGCTTGCTTTTGTCAGGTTTGTCGAAGATCAGAGAGTTGTAGATATACAGTCTTATTTCTGAGATTTCTATTATGTTCCATTTGTCTATGCCTCTGTTTTTATGCCAGTACCATGCTGTTTAGGTTACCACGGCCTTGTAGTATAGTTTGAAGTCAGGTAGTGTAATGCCTTCAGGTTTGTTATTTTTGCTTAGGATTGTCTTGGCTATATGGGTTCATCTTTGGTTCCATATGAATTTTAAGGTAGTTTTTCTAATTCTGTGAAGAACATCAATGGGAGTTTAATGGAAATTGCACTGAATCTATAAATTACTTTTGGCAGTATGGCCATTTTCACAATATTGATTCTTCATATCCATAAGCATGAAATGTTTTTCCATTAGTTTGTGTCCTCTCACATTTCCTTGAGCAGTGGTTTGTAGTTCTCCTTGAAGAGGTCCTTCATTTCTTGTTAGCTTTATTCCTAGGTATTTTTTTCTCCTTGTAGCCACTGTGAATTGGACTTTATTCATGATTTTGCTCATTGCTTGTTTATTACTGATGTATAGGAATGCTTGTGATTGTTGCACATTGATATTGTATCCTGAGTCTTTGCTGAAGTTGCTTATCAGCTTAAGAAGCTTTTGGGTTGAGACAGGGTTTTCTAGATATTGGATCATATCATCAGTGAAGAGGGACAGTTATTTGAGAATCTTTAAACCTCATAAATTTAGATGTACATTTCTCTCCCCAAATTTGAGAAGTTTTTGGCTACTATTTATATAGATTGTTGGTCCCTTTCTGTTATTCATTTGAGATTTTCATAATGCACAAATTATTTTGCTTAATAATGTCCCATACATATGACTTATTCACTCTTTTTCATTCTTTTCTTCTTTTAGCTCCTCTGACAGGATAATTTTAAATAACCTCTCTTCAACTTTAACAGTTATTTCTTCTGCTTGAGTCTTCTTCTAAATATATTATTTTTTTTAATTCAGGCATTGTATACTTCAACTTTAGTATTTTTGTGTGATTTTTAAAAAATTCAATGTTTTCTATTTTTGCTGAATTTCTCATTTTGTTCGCAAATTGTTTCCTTAATTTTATTAAATTGTCTATCTCTGTTTTCTTGTAGCACACTAAACTTAAGAGGATTATTCTAAATTGTCTGTCAGTCAGTTCACAGATCTTCATTTATTTTATTTCATTTTATTTATTTTTGAGACAGGGTGTCACTCTTGTCACCTGGGCTGGAGTGCAATAGCATGGTCTCAGCTCACTGCAACCTCTGCCTCCTGGGCTCAAGCAATTCTCGTGCCTCAGCTTCCTGAGTAGCTGGGATTACAGGTGCACACCATCACACCTGGCTAATTTTTGTATTTTTAGTAGAGATGGGGTTTCACCATGTTGGCCAGTCTGGTCTCAAATGCCTAACCTCAAGTGATCCACCTGCCTCAGCCTCCCAAAATGCTAGGATTATAGGCGTAAGCCATCGCACTTGGCCCAGATCTTCATTTCTTTAGTGTCAGTTATTGGAAATCTATTAGTTTTCTCTGGAGGTTTTTTGCTTCCTTGGTTATTTATGAAAGTTATATATTTGTTGTGATGACTGTGTATTTGAGAAAGTGATCACTTCTTTCAGCCTTGGCTGGTTTGCTTAGTGGGGAAAGACCTGCACCATTCTGTCCAGCCTGGAGTTCTAGACAGGCCAGCTGGTAAATTCTGTGAGGAGGAGGGGCCTGATCTCAGAGCTTGTAGTTGTTCAGGTCTGCTGCACATGCTTTACGGTTTAGTAGGGTTGCTGTCTGGGATTTGTAGTTAGGTGTCTTCTGACTGAGCTCTGTATTGTGGTAGGACCACTTCCTGAGCTTTCTGGTTCAGTGGGGCAAGTAGCTGAGCTTTTCAATCACCTCTGGTCATGCAAGTTTACAGGCTATTCCCTTTTCTAGAAGTGTCATTGGTTTACCTCCATGATTGGGTCAAGACACAGGTAAGCTCTGCAATCGCTCCTGGTCAAGCGGGATGCCATTTTTAGCTGCTTGGTGTGTCTGGCTGGACTCCACTTTCAGGTAGGACTGTAGGCTGGGTTCTGCTATCAAATGAGGTCTCAGGTTGCTTGTGCTTCACAGTTGGGTGTGGCTTCACGCTATTTTCTGCTGTGAGTTAGGGTCACCGGCTTGGCTCCCTAGTTTAGTAGGACCACAGACTATGCTCCATGACTGGTCAGGGCCACTGGCTGGGCTTCTTGCTTAGGTGTGGCCACATGCTATGTTCAGCAATTGGTCAGGGTCATGGGCTGGGCTTAGTGACCGGGTAAAACTTTATGTAAGGCTCCATGACTCAAATAATCTTCGGTGAGGAAAATTCTATGCTGTTGATTATTGCAGATAAATGAGTAGAACTCTGTTGTAGGAGTTCATTGTCAGTTCAAGTAATTCTACCTTTAATTTTCTTTCATAAACCAGGCTCATGCATTCTTCTTTCTCCATCAACTCATTATAGAAAATTCTCCTTGAAACTATAGATATACATAGACATGGGATACCTATTAATTCAATTGTGTCTTCCTGAACTTCCTAGGATTCGTCATACCATATCAAGGTGTATTATACCATTTCTGTGTAAAAATAAAATGCTTATTCACATTCAAAAGTTTTCTTTCATGTCCAACTTTATGATTCAGTATATCAGACAACACTTAATTTGTGATGAATAGCTCAAGTTGCATATATACTTGGTTGCTTTTTCTTGAGCATTCAGTCTCTATGCACTAGAAGTAGCAACCCACTAGCAGTAGCAAGCCAGGAGCTTCTTTTTAAATGAAGAACATTGTTAGCAAAATATTGCATGTCCTTGTTTCAAACATTGCAATTCTTCTATCAAGCCTTATTAGAAGAAAAATTCACATTTGCCACAGGCACTTAAAGCACAATTGTATCTGATGGGCTATAAGATCCAAATGACACGCGGCATTTTATTAGAACTTGAATGTGATAGAGAATTGTTTTTTGCTCCAACAAAGCAGGCAGCCTTATAGGTAAGCTGACAAATGGATAAAGCAGCACACATTTACACGTTTATTTAAAATGTCTTTGTTAACTAGGCACGGTGGCTCACACCTGTAATCCCAGCACTTTGGGAGGCTGAGGTCGGCAGATCACTTGAGCTCAGGAGTTTGAGACCAGCCTGAAAAACATGGTAAAACTCTATTTCTACCAAAAAATTAGCCAGGCATGGTGGCACACACCTGTAACTGAAGCTCCTTAGGAGGCTGAACCATAAGAATTGCCTGAACCCAGAAGGCAATGGTTGCAGTGAGCCAAGATCACACCACCGCACTCCAGTCTGGGTGACAGAAGAGGAAAGACTCCCTCTCAAAAAAAAAAAAAAAAAAAAAAAAGTCTTTGTTTCTCTGGGACTTTACAATCACTCATTCTATTGGTCTTTGGTCTGATCTTTAACCATATTTGCTTTTGGCTACATAAGATAAATAACTCCTTTTTTTATTTTACATTGTTAAATGTTCATTTTATGTCTATGTATATTTTCCCTTAAATTCCAACTTGTAAAGTTTGAATGTATATTATACATGGAGATTTCTAAAGATGAATTTTAAGCAATTTTTGTGTTGTGTGACATTTTCCACTGCCTACGCTCTTTCCCTTAAATTTTAACTCCTGAAGCAATACTTAGTTAAGAGCCATACTGTTTTTTGCTTTTTTGAGTACTATATTTCTGTTGTATTAGTTTTTCTGAGTATGTTATGTTTCTTTGGAACATGAAACAATGATAATATAGGTTTTAAGATTAAAACGCAGTGTTCAAATTTTTCCCATCAAATGTGTCTCTCCAAAGAGAATATGGGTTTCAAGAGGGCAAGATCCTCATCTGCTTTGTCCATTACTCTAAGCTTAGTGTCTTATATCATAGGTGCTTAATAAATATAAGCTAAATTAGTGAGGTAAGGCCAGGATTATGCTTGAGAACTGTCTGACTCTCCGCTTTTAATACTTTGGTAGTCATCATTATGATAAGGATGGCGTTCAACTCCTTAGCTTGGCATCTAAAGTATTAACATTTCTCGTTCTGTTTAGGCTATAGCTCATATCATTGTATGGACTCTAAGGATTAATATAGTCCAGGCCTTTCAAACTGCTTCATTTCATATGTCAGTTTTTCTGCCACTCTCTAGGCATTAATCACCTACCACTCTCAAGTTATTTAAATATTCCAAACATAGAAACTACAAATAGTTTGTCTTCTGCATTCAAGTACCCTACCTGTATTTCCTTTACCCTCTTAATTTCTCTTAATATTTTCTAGGTTAGTGGATATTTTACTTCCTCAGGCACTTATTTTCTAACCATCAATGTTAGGTTTTGTATCCATTTTATTTTATATTAGATTATAGTACACTTCTTATAGCTTGGAAATGTATGTTAGCATTGATAATTGTGGAAATGTCTAAAATGTAAATCTAAAGTCAGAGTCTGTGTCAAACTATTTACTCATTATTGTATCCTTGAAATGAAGCATAGTGACAAATTTGTGCTTAATAAACATTTGCTGGATACAAATAAAGAGGTACATAAGTGGATACATGCTTAATAATCTAATACATCTGCATTTTTTCCATATGGATCTATTATTTATAAATGAAAACAAGTTTGGTTCACCAAGCGTGCATGCACTTCGGTACCTCTGTGCTTCTGCAGATATTAACCCTTCTAAACACATTGTCTTCTGCCCTGTCAACTGCACATTCCTCTCATTTTCTCTTTATTTTTGCTCCCTCAGATTCCAGAAGATCTTCATATAATTTAAAGATTCAGGACACTCCTAATTTCTTATCTATTATGGCAGAATTTACATAAGGCAGAATTTTCATTACTCACAAAAGGTGAATCTTCCAGGATTAGATTTTTAAGTTTGTACTACTCTTTTGCAAAACTACATTCTCTATTGAAAATAAATTTTATAATTATGCTGTGAATTTGAAGTTTTTCTCAATCAATAGAAATAACTTCATTTTTGCCCCCTTGGATCTATTATTTCTACATTTATGACAGTAATTCATGTAAACAGGTGGTTTTCCTCTTTCTGATGATTTCCCATCACATATAACACAAGTTCCAAATATCTTAGTACAGCATTCTGGTGCTATATTAAGTAGCACCTGAAAATTTTTCAAGTGTTATTGCCCATTATTTATTACTCACAGCATTTATCAAATTGATTCATACAGCAAGTATCTATTGAGAATCTGCTATGTTTCAGACACTGTTTTTAAGATTGTAGACAGAGCAGAGAATAAAACAGGCAAAAATGTCCTATGGTGATGCAACATGTATTCTGGATGGCAGGGTGAGGAGAAAACAAAGGAAATATACAGTATATTAGAGAACAGTAAGCATTTCAGGGAAAAGAAATAAAACTGAGGAGAGACAGTGAGTATCAGGAAGGGAAATGCAATTTTAATGTGGTCAGGGAAAACATTGTCTGCAACATTGGAGCAATGACATAGTAGAAGTCAGAAAGCCCCAATTCTAAATGTGACTAACTTTAAAAATCTGTCAGGACTCAGTTATTTTATCACATGCCAATGTAAGACATAAAGGAGATACCTGTTTCCCTCCTGACAACGTTGAGTTTGATGCCCTATATATGTGTTTTTATAGAATTATGTGTTTATCATTCTCATAGTACTTGCTTGGTAAATTAAAAATATCCCTGTATATGTCTCTCATCCTTTATCTACTAAAATGCAATTCTCTTAAAAAATACTTTTTTTGATAGTGATCTTAGCAAACATGCATAGTAAATGTTTCTTGAATCTATTTGACCTAGTTGTACTGGGATGGTTTGCAGGCTATTCCATAATCACCATATTATGATAGTCCAATCGTTTTTACATTTTATAGTTTCCTCTTTGTAAAATGAGAGAAGTGGTAAGTTGTGGGGAAGTTTAGAAGAAAAAGAGTGGTCAAATTTCTTCATTACAATGAGATGGAACTATTATCATTATCTAGGATGGTCTTCAAACTGCCTTTATAAAAAGTAAAACCTCTCAAAGGAAATCACTATTTTCTTTATATTATCATTCCTTTTATACTGAGTATGAAATTGGTTGTATTTCCAGATCAGTGAGCCCAGCAGAAGTATAAAATAAATTTAGTTAGTTTGAATTTTATTCACAACCAAAGTTACAGATTTTGATGGTTTTTTTCTTTATTAAAAATTCCTAGCACTGAATTTCTGCTGCAGTATGATTGAGTGGTTGCTATTATACCCATTCCTCTACCAGACAACTATAATATCTAGGAGCAGATGAAGGGACGTTACCTAAACACTCAGAAATGTGAGCAAATACATCCAGGAGATGACACTTAGATAAAGGGAATAGGAAGGGTAAGTTATCAATTCCTATATCTCTGAGTCTGAGGTCAGCCTGTAATAGATGCTACTCCGGGGAGATGAAACTCCAGTGGCAAAAGTTCAGAGCAAATCATGTGGCTAAAAAAGAGGGGAGAATCCCAGAAAGGAAATGTTCAAGGAGATATCACCAAATTATTGGTGTAACTTTCTCTGAATCTCTGACCCCTAAATCAGTCATGTGTGAACAAATTTCAGATAAAATAAAATTGAACAAGCAGGTTAATCCAAATAATGTAATGCCTGGAAACATCATAATCAAGCTGCTGCAAAACAAACAGCAACAGAAAATTTTGAAAAAGGCCATAGAAGTCTGACATTTCACATAGGGAAACAACCTCTGAATGAAAGCCAGCTTCAACAGAAAATATCAAGTCCAAAAGACATTGGTAAAACATCAGTAACATAATGGCAGGGATGAACTTTCAAACAGGAATTACATACCAAGCAAATATATCCACTGAGACTGACATTGTAACAGATTAATCTTCATATAAAAGCTACCTGAGAGAGTTCTTTCTATTGGACCTGAACTGGAGATTTTGAAAGAAATTTTTCAAGCCAGAAATAAGGAACATAAAAAAATGGTAAATATTTGGGTAAACATTTTTATCTTTTCTATTTATTTAAAAATCATAGATCATTTAAGGCAAAAAGTAAAATATCATGTCTTATTATTTATATTATATGTAGATATACTAGAACTTGAGTAAAAATTGAGAATTAGATATGTGAATTTATGGTTGCAAGGTTAATACTAACTCCAAGAAGACTAAAAAGTTAGGGATAAAGGAAAGTTATGAGTTCAGATCTTGGAGATGTTTACAAGTATAATACAATAATACTGTGGATAATTTTATGCCAAAAATTTGACAATAAAGATGAAATGCATAAGTAACTATAAAGATACAACCTAGTAAAATGACTGAAAATGACTGAAGAAATAGAAAGTATGCATAGCCTTATATCTATTAGTTACATATAAAAAATAAACTGCCAGAAAGAAATTGCCCAGGAATAGATAGTTTTATTGATAAATTTCATCAAACACTTAAAAAAGAAATAATACCAATCCTATTCAAATCATTTCAGAAAATATACAGGGAAAGGATACTGCCGAATTGTAAGTCCAAAATAACCAGAAATAAAATATTCTTTATGTATATATTATATATACATATATATATGTAAAAATAGTTCAAAACATGTTAGCAAATGCAATCTAGGAATATGTAAAAGGAATAATATATTGAGATCAAGTAGGGTTAATTTCAGAAAAGTAAGGTTGGCTTAACATTTTAAAAAAATTAAACAGTATAACTCACTATATTTCTAAGAGAAAGAATACAAAATAAAAAAAGATGGTCTCTTCAATAAATATTTCTTTGGAAAACTGGATATTCATATATGAAAGAACAAAATTGGACCCTTAATCATCTTAAAATGGACTAAAGACTTAAATAAAAGACTTGAAACTTCAAAACTGTAAGAAGACAGTACAAGAAAAAAACTATATGACCTGGATTTGCTGGATTTGGACAATGATTTTCTAGATTTTACCCCAAAAGCACAGGCAACAAAAGCAAAAATAAACAAATGAGATTACATCAAAATAAAATGGTTCTGCACAACAAAGAAAACAATTAACAGTGAAGAGACAATCTATGGGTTGGGAGAAAATATTTGCAAGGCATAATCTGATAAGGGGTTAATGTCCACAATATATAAGGAACTCAAACAATGGTATAGAAAGAAAACAAATAATCCTATAAAAAATTGGCAAGGGACCTGAATAGACAATTCTCAATGTCTATTGTAGACAGTGAACAGAGAACAGTTAAACAAAAAAATGTTGAATGTCACTAGTCATTAGGGAAATTAAGATAAAAACCAATGTGAGATACCACCTTATACTTGTCAGAATGGCTAGTACCAAAAAGACTAATGATAACCAGAGTTTTTAAGGTGGTGGAGAAAATAGAAGCTTTGTTTATGGTTGGTGGGAATGTAAATTACTACAGCTATCACAGAAAACTGTATGGAGGTTCCTCAAAAAACTAAAAATGAATTACCATATGATCCAGCAATTCCACTTATGGGTGTTTATCTAAAATTTTTTGAAATCAGTATGTCAAAGAGATACCTGTACTTCCATGTTCATTGCAGCACTATTCACAGTAGCCAAGTTAAGGAGTAAAACTAAGAGTTCATCGACATATGCATAAAGAAATGTGGTATATATACACAATGGAAAACTATTCAGTCTTACACAAGAAAGCAATTTGTCATTTGCAACAACATTCTAGAACATTATGCTAAGTGAAATAACCTAGTCACAGAACGATAAATACTGAATGTTATCATTTGTACGTGGACTCTAAAACAATTGAAATCATAGCAGCAGAGAATACAATGGTGGTTCCCAGAGGCTTGTGGGTGGAGAGAGTTGGAAGATGATGACCAAAGAATACAAAGTCTTATACAAGAATACTAAATTAGTAGGGTTTTTTTTTAAGATGTATTACACAGCATAGTGAATACAGTCACTAATAGTGTACTGCACATTTCAAAATTGCTGGTAGTAAATTTCAAAAGTTCCCACCACAAAAATATAAATATTTGAGCTAATGCCTACGTTCATTATTTTTTTATTTAAGTTATCTACATTGTATTCTTAAAACATAGTATCAGTTTATACCCCATAAACATGGAGAAGGATAATTTTTCAGTTTACCATAAAAAAGAAGAAAAATCATGAGATCTTATCAATATTTGCAAAAAAAAATTTTTTAATAAAAAACTAATGATTAAACTTCTTATCAAACTGGAAACAGACATTTTCTCAATTTGTTAAATTGCTAGTATGGAAAACCTCTGGCTAACCTCATAATTAATGTGGAAATAGTAATTATATTTTTCTAAGATTGAGAACAAGGTAAGGATGTCCACTCTGATCAATATTATACTAGAGCTTTTTGACAATGAAGAATGCAATAGAAGAAAACAAAAGGCATGTAAAGGATTGTTATCAGGCATGTAAAATGAACTCCTACAACTCAGCAATAATAATTAGGATACCTAATCCAATAAAAATATACAAATATTTTGAGCAGAAACCTCACAAAAGATGATATACAAATAGTGAACAAATAAAATGCTATTTCACAGCATTAGTCATGAACAAAATCAAATTTTTCACTAAAAAATGGCAACAATACACACCCAATTAAAATGTCTAAAATTAAAAGACTGACAGCATCAAATATTAGAGATGACATGGAGCAACTGTAACTACCATGCATTGTCAATGAGATTGTAACATGGTGCAACCACTTTGGCAAAGGTCAGGCATTTTCCTATAGAATTAAACATACACCTACCACATGACCCAGCAATCCTAAATATTTATCTGAGTATTAAAATACATTTACAAACATTTGTACAAGAATATTCATAGAAGCTTTATTCATAATAACCAATAACTAGAAGTAGTCCAAGTGTCCATCAACAGGAGAATGACTTAACAAACTGGTTTATTCGTATACTAGAGATCTAATCATCAATAAAAGGGAACAAACTACTGATACATTCAATAACACAGATCTAAAAGTTATTGAGATGAGTTAACGTTAATTTATTCAAAGTAGTCATACTATATGATGCCATTTCAATGAAATAAAATGGCAAATAAAATAAAATGGGCCAGGCAAAGTTAATTTGGGTTGGGGGAAAAATTGCAAGAGTTATTGTCTTCAGCTTTCAGGAGGATTAAGTGGGGGATGAGGAGGAAACTTACATTTGAAGTATTTCCCTATTTCCCTGGTGTGAATAATACTACCATCACCATGATAAATTACAAGCTACCGACTTGATGTCAGCAAACAGAATTTTGGAAAGGGTATGCATAATTAGCTCTTATGAGCTGATTTAAGCTGATTCCTCACACAGTAGAGTGTGAGGGAGCTTTTTAGAAGACAGTAATATTCTGTATCATGATAGAATTTTAACAATAGTTAGCATTTGAAAAATCTCAGCAAATATGCAGTTACAATTGTGCATTTCACTTTTTGTAAATTTTCCACAAAATAACTTTAAACAAATATAGAACTGTAGCTAATGATACAAAAATCTAAAATATTTAAGGGGGGTACTACTGATGTCTGACATTTTCTTTGAAATGTATTAAATAAAAAATAGTTGATAAAAAGGTGGATGAATAGATTGTGATAAAGCATGTATAATAACATCAATAATAGAATCTAGATTGTGATGACGTAAGTTTTCACTCTATACTTCTTTCATCTCTGCAACCTGTTTAGAAATATAACAAAATATCAGATGAAAAAATAGCTTCCTTCTCTAATAATTTATTTTAAGCAGTTATAATTTATATCAAATATATTTTCTTGTCTTACAAATGTTATACTGGATTTTCTAATTCATATTTAAAGGCAAAATATATTTTATTTATATAATTATTTCCTATTTCTTCTGGAAATCTGATTTTTCTAACTCTAGTTTTATTTGTATTACATTTTAAAGACAAAGTAATGTCATTTTCCTAATACATATGAAATTAAGTAAAATCACTGCCTTGATTGAAAAGCTTTATTAGCTCTCTACAGTCTGATAAATTAATTTTAACCACATAGAATGTCACATAATACTGTACAGTTTCCCATTGCTGCTGTAACAAATTACTATGAAGTTAGCATGCTTAAAATACCATAAATTTATTATATATTTTTTTTGGATTAGAAGTCCAACAGGAGTTGGACAGAACTGTGTCCTTCCTAGGAGCTCTAAAGGAGGATCTGTTTCCTTGCCTTTTCTATTTCCAGAGGCTGCCTGTGTTACTTGGCTCATGATTTACTTTCTTCATTTTCGAAGTCAAGAACAGCACATCCCTCTGACTCTTCTTCCACAATCACATCACTCATCAACCATAGATAGGAAGGGTTCTCTGTTATTAAGAACTCATGTGATTTAATTGTACTCATCCAGATAATTCAAGTTAATCTCCCTATCTCAAGGTTTATACTTTTAATCATACCTGCAAAGTCCCTTCTTCCCTACTTACAGTCTCTAAGAAATTAAGGTGTGGACATCTCTGGGGACAATTTTACTGCTTTCTACACAGTCTGTGATTATGTAATATTAATAATTAAAACTATAGGCAAATTTCTCTCCCTTCAACATAATGCTATTTGTGTTCTAATTGAATCGGATAATTTGCCCAGTTTACCTTTAACCTTGAGTCTTATTATGGCCCTTTCATTTTGTTCACCTGTTTAAAAACATTACTGCTAGTCAAAATTTATTGATCATCTACTAAGTATTAACTTCAATGACTATCAATGAAATGTCATTCTTCTGAGAAAAGTAAAAAATGGTAATACTTTATTAATGATTTATCTATCTTGGTAAAGTAAACACTCTCTCTAGGCGACATTGCATCACATTTATAGTAGAAGTTTTTCCTCCCAATACATCTAAAACCCCACTGAACATTGGTTCTACATTTATTTTATGTAAAAACAACTATTTTCTCTTACTTGAGTCACCTACAGTAGGCCATTCAATACATCTGGGTTGTTTTAAATTGTGTTGAAACAACAAATATGTATAGAAAATATATTGTGTATGGGGCTAAATATAACATTCTGTTTGGAAATTTTAATTATGTTTGCATTGAAGTTTATAATAAAATGCAGACAAAAAGACTTATAAAATTATTTAAAATATAAAGTAGCATATGCTTTATTCCAAATGAGTGGTATAAACAAAAAGTGTTAAAGAGTTATGATGTCCAGGATCTCAAACATCTGTAATTGATTTCTACAACTTTGACTTAACTGAACTGAACTGAAAAAAGTAACATTCTACCTAATTCAGAACAGCCGTCTATCTATAGTTAAGCCACATGGTAACGATGCCCTGCACTCAAAGAGAAAGCCACATTAAAGTAATGGTTGTAAGATTTTTTTTGTCACCATTTTTCACAATAATAAACAGTTTATGGGGAAATAGGAGGAAGAACAGAGAGACAAAGAGGGAAAAGAAGACAAGAAAGAAAATAATAAAGAAAAAAGTTTAAGGACCAGAAAAGCTGTATAACAACATGATGTCTAACATTCTTTAAAAGCTTGACATAATTAAATTCTATGATTAAATAGTCATCCACTACTTGGGAATACAGTATAAATTTTAAAACCACCATCAAAAATGTCTTCTTCTGAAAGTAAAATAAAACACATCCTCTATTGGATCCTAGAAATGTAGGTGGACACTTTGTTATGCATTTCTGTAGGGAAATTTGCATTATTATTTTAATATTTATAAATCAGAAAGACAGGAGCCTTCGGGATTATGGTGCCCTTTCTCATGAGTGCTTATAATAATACTAGACACGCTCCTTCTTCATGGGAAAAATAGCTTCAAAACCAATTTTTTATTTTCTGTAATTATAAAATGGAAGGGTTCCCATTTTTATATAAGTACTATTTTGTGCAAAGCAGTCGAATCAAACTTATAAAATCGGAAGGCCAACTTTTCTCATCTTACATTACAGAAATCAGATATTTGCTTGAAGATTTATTATTATCAGTTTAACGACCTATGTGGGTCTTATAAGATAGAGCAGGATATGGAGGTTGCTGCCGATCTTGGTAGCACACAGACCTGGTTCAAAATAAACCTCTGTCACTTCTTAGTTTCTTTTCATCTCCATTTCCACATCTGTGAATCCTTTTATTACAGAATTAAATATATGCATATAATGTGCCATGTGTGTTTAATAATTATAGCAATGAATAACAATATGTCCAAGCATTTTGTCACATAAATGTGACAAAAATTATGCCCAAGCATAAAGTTACAACCCAAATCTCTACTATGTTTTAATTTAAATTCATATTAATTAAGTTATGATATCACTTATATTGAGAATCTGGGAGTTGAGGAATAATAAAATACGCTAGTGAATAATGGACACAAAGTAGAATAATGACTGCTTTATGTATCTTGTTATGATCCATATAATGAGTATAGTGTTGCATTTCAGTGATTTGCCATCTAAAAAAATTAACTGCATACTCTAATTACCTATTTAAATATATATGTATATCAATATGTCAAATGTACATATTTGTAAATATTAAATTAACAACATGAAATACTACACTAGCTTTTGCCAAAATCCCAGACGAATTATTGTCTCTCAAGAAATAAAATACTTTATATACATTCTTTTTCTGTGTTTGTTACCACTCTATAATATTAGTGCTACCAAAAGCTGCATTAGAAAGTTTTATTTATTTTGTACTCTCCATGTATGAATAACTTTAATTATCCAATTGACTCTAAAATTTTTTGTTTATTTGTTTTTGTGAAACGGAGTCTTGCTGTGTCACCCAGACTGAAGTGCAGTGGTGCCATCTCGGCTCACTGCCAACTCTGCCTCCTGGGTTCAAGCAATTCTCCTGCCTCAGCTTCCTGAGTAGCTGGGAAAACTGGCATGCACTACCACACCGGGTAATTTTTCTATTTTTAGTAGAGGCAGGGTTTCAGCATGTTGACCAAGCTGGTCTCTTGGCCTCAAATGATCCACCCACCTTGGCCCCCCAAAGTGCTGGGATGACAGGCATGAGCCACCATACTCAGCCTCAATTTACTCTATAATATTGATTGTATTATGAATTATATTCTTTTTTTATTATGCTTTAAGTTTTAGGGTACATGTGCACAACGTGCAGGTTTGTTACATATGTATACATGTGCCATGTTGGTGTGCTGCACCCATTAACTCGTCATTTACATTAGGTATATCTCCTAATGCTATCCCTCGCCACTCCCCCCACCCCACAACAGGCCCCAGTGTGTGATATTCCCCTTCCTGTGTCCATGTGTTCTCCTTGTTCAATTCCCACCTATGAGTGAGAACATGTGGTGTTTGGTTTTTTGTCCTTGTGATAGTTTGCTGAGAATGATGGTTTCCAGCTTCATCCATGTCCCTACAAAGGACACGAACTCATCATTTTTCGTGGCTGCATAATATTCCATGGTGTATATGTGCCACATTTTCTTAATCCAGTCTATCATTGTTGGACATTTGGCTTGGTTCCAAGTCTTTGCTATTGTGAATAGTGCCGCAATAAACATACATGTGCATGTGTCTTTATAGCAGCATGATTTACAATCCTTTGGGTATATACCCAGTGATGGGATGGCTGGGTCAAATGGTATTTCTAGTTCTAGATCCTTGAGGAATCACCAAGCTGACTTCCACAATGGTTGAACTAGTTTACAGTCCCACCAACAGTGTAAAAATGTTCCTATTTCTCCACATCCTCTCCAGCACCTGTTGTTTCCTGACTTTCTAATGATCGCCATTCTAACTGGTGTGAGATGGTATCTCATTGTGGTTTTGATTTGCATTTCTCTGATGGCCAGTGATGGTGAGCATTTTTTCATGTGTCTGTTGGCTGCACAAATGTCTTCTTTTGAGAAGTGTCTGTTCATATCCTTTGCCCACTTGTTGATGGGGTCGTTTTTTTCTTGTAAATTTGTTTGAGTTCATTGTAGATTCTGGATATTAACCCTTTGTCAGATGAGTAGATTGCAAAAATTTTCTCCCATTCTGTAGGTTTCCTGTTCACTCTGATGGTAGTTTCTTTTGCTGTGCAGAAGCTCTTTAGTTTAATTAGATCCCATTTGTCAATTTTGGCTTTTGTTGCCAATGCTTTTGGTGTTTTAGACATGAAGTCCTTGTCCATGCCTATGTCCTGAATGGTAATGCCTAGGTTTTCTTCTAGGGTTTTTATGGCTTTAGGTCTAACATTTAAGTCTTTAATCCATCTTGAATTAATTTTTGTATAAGGTGTAAGGAAGGGATCCAGTTTCAGCTTTCTCCATATGGCTAGCCAGTTTTCCCAGCACCATTTATTAAATAGGGAATCCTTTCCCATTTCTTGTTTTCATCAGGTTTGTCAAAGATCAGATAGTTGTAGATATGCAGCACTATTTCTGAGGGCTCTGTTCTGTTCCATTGGTCTATATCTCTGTTTTGGTACCAGTATCTGCTGTTTTGGTTACTGTAGCCTTGTAGCATAATTTGAAGTCAGGTATTCTTTTAACGTCATATATTTTTATTTTTAATATGTATTTATATGGATATCTCTAAAGTACAGACAATGGAAATAGTGTTTTCTATTTCTGTTGTATTATCAAACACTCTCAAGAACAATCTTCCTATTAAGCAATAGCATTTTGTTACTATTAAACAGATTACTGAAACACTGAGATACTAAAAAAAAATGGCCTGGTATTATTCCTCACACTTTTATTTTCTTTATCTTGGCCAAATTCCTTCATAAATGTCTGAAACACTTTGATATTTAGTCAAAAAAGAAAATATGTTTATGGAAATATTAACTGCACTCCTGACTTTTGCTCCCTATCTCAAATATTGAAAATGGATCTTTTATCTGATTTTGTTTCCACCGTGCTATTGCATAGCATCTCAGAAAATTAGCTTCCTAGAAAAAAGTGAGTTTTTTTGGGAAACGAAATTTAGTTTGATCTTGTTATTTTGTTTGTTGTATTTTTGTTTAACATTTGGTGAAGTACAAGATAACCATTCTTGTAATCAGACGCTTAATATTAAAGCTGTGAAATCTTAAGTTTACTGACTATGCAGATTAAGTCCGGTGCTCCCAGGAGGAAAATCGTGAAAAAACCACTGATCTTTCATGTAAATCACACAACTCAGAAATCCTTGACTCTGTAAAATACACCAGAAAAGAATGAACATAAAGAAAGGCCTCACAGTTCTAAAGGTAAGATTACTAATTAAGTTGTCTGTCTGAGATAAGAGTAGTTTACTTCCTACTGTGATGGTGAGGTCATTTCCTACTGAGTGAAAACTCCTATAGAATGAACATTTTAATGTGACTATTTCTAAAGAACTTTAGTAACATGATATTTTCGTAGAAACTGTTCTATTAATTCCTACTTAATTACAATTCAACTGTATATATTTATTTTTGTTTAAGAATTTTTGTTAAATTACCATCTAAGGAAAAGAGTTTTCAAAATACAATTTTCTCAGGATGTTGGATTTGTCATGACAAAACATGTTAAGTGTTTTGAATTAAAGCTCTGACCATAACTGTGTTACAGCTGGAGCTGATTTTGTGTAGACATAGTTAAGGCTTACTGATTCACCTTAAGTTGTATTAAGTTTCCTCTTTTTTTTTTTTTTTCTTGACATGGTTTCTTTTCCAGGATAGGATTTAAGAGAAGGTAGGATTATGGTTTCCTAGGCGAAGAGATTAGCAGCTAACACAAGAAGAAACACTTCATACAAAATGCATCTGTTTCCACAAAGTGCAAAATGCAGTATTTTTGTGGATCTATATAACTTTGGAGAATTACATGAATATTTGGTGCTGACTTGTTGAGCTCCTAGGAAGCTGAATTTATAGTTTTAGCAAAAGAGTGTCTATATGATGTCTTAATGCATTTCAAACAAGAAAATAAATTAATGTTGAAGTAGGACATATTTTAAGGGGCGATTAGAATATAGCATGTATAGGTTTTACAATATGGTAAAGAACTTATGGGGTGCAGAATAGGAAAAAAATGGCAGAACAAATATTTCTCCCTACTGACTATAATAATGATCAGGTATATGCAAAGTGCTTGCTATCATTTTAAAGCAAAGAAGCAATCTCATCTGTTTCATATTGTCACTAGGTTTGGGTTAAATAAGCTGTCTAGTTATAAATATTTACTGTAACAAAGTTTAGTTCATGAATTTGGCAGTGTTTTTTGTTATAAACCTTTGATTTCTCATGTGTAAAATAGTAATAATGACCTCCTAATAGAGCTACTTGACAGTTAAGTAAACAAATAACTATAAATACAAGTTAGCCTAGGTCAGGCTATAGGTTTTCAATAAATTGTAGTTTCCTTTTTTTCCACCATTTTCTGGATGTTGTCTGTGAACACAAATGTATATGTGGTGATTTTCCCTGTGAATATAGATCTGTTGGGATTTAAGGGAAAGAGGTATTGGTTAATAGTCGTTTTAAATACATACTCGATATTATGTAAATTTTGTATTTATATGTTTAGAAGTTAAATTAAAACTAATAATTATTTCTTAGTTGCTGCAAGAGCACCAGAAGAAAAGCAGTAATTCTAAAGAAAGTTAGGTGTCTATGCTCCTCACCTTTCTCTGGCTATGTAAGAATTCATTTTTATTCAGTTTTAAACAAAAATCTATAAGCATTCTAAATGAGAAGGGAAAACAGAAGGAAGAGAAAAATGCAGGCTTCAGAACAAGACTCAGAAGGACAGAGATGGGACAGAGATTTTTAGAATTATCAGATAGGGAAGTTAAAATATCTATCACTCTATTAGAAACTCTAATGACAAAAATTAGATTTTGACAAAATATGGGCAATGAGAAAAGATAATTCCAAGGGAAAAATGTTAAAAAACAAAAACCCTGTTACAAAAGTGAAGAAGCCATTAATGAATTCATCAGTAATCTAGGCATGGTTGAGGCAAGATCAGTAAGTTTAAAGATGGGTCAATAGAAATGTTACAAATTCAAATGCATACAGAAAAATATTTAAAAATTACACAATGCTGAAAAACTGTGGGATAATTTGAAACAGTAGAATATAGACATAATTGAAATACCAAAATGAAAATACAGAGAGAAGGGGAAAGGGTAAGTACTTGAAGTCATAATGGCCAAGACATTTTCAAAATTAATGACAGACACTAAGCCACGGAATCCAAAAACTCAGGAATACCAACTAGAGTACACACTAATGAAATAAAATAAGAACTATATAAAATCATGCCCTATACAAATGGATAAAAACAAAGAGAAAAATCTTAAAGAAACCAAGAGAGCATGTGGTAGCCTTATCCATAGACAAACAAGGATAAGAATTATAAAAGTCTTATTAGAAACTGTGAAAGCAAGAAACAGTCACATAAATAGTTAAGTATTTGAAAGAAAAAAATCTAGAAATCTCTGTGAAGTGAAACTATATGTAAGAGTGATGAAGAAATAAAGACTTTTTCAGACAGACAAAAACTGAGGAAATTCATCACTGGCAGATTGCCTCTATGAAAAATCTTAAAAGATTTTATCCAGGCAGAAGGAAAATTACATAGGCCAAACATGTGGATCTACAAAGAAAGAAAAATCATTAAAGAAGGAATGTATGTAGGTAAAACATAATATTTTATTTTTAAATTTTTATTCATTATTACTATTTTTTGAGACAGGGTCTCACTCTGTTGCCCAGACTGAGATGCAGTAGAACAATCAACAGCTCACTACAGCTTCGACCTCCTGATCTGAAGTGATGGTCCTGGCTCAGCCTCCTAAGTAGCTAAGATCACAGGTATGTGCCACAACACCTGATGTTTTTTTAAATTTGTAGTAGAGATGAGGGCTTACTATGTTGCCCAGGCTGGTCTCAAACTCTTGGGCTTATGTGATATTCCCTCCTCAGCCTCCCAAAGTGCAGTGACTACAGGCATGAGATACCACGCCCAGCCTATTTTTTTAATCGATCTAAAAGATAACTATTTTAAAAAGTAATAGTAATAACACTATGTTGAGTGATTGTAGCATATTTATCAGTGAAATGAATGGCAGCAGTGTCATAAGAACTGGAGAAGCAGAATTTGGAATACTCTTGTTATCAGATTCCTGCAATATAACTGAAGGAATATAGTGTTATTTAAAAGTAGACTTAGATTTTAGGTTAGTTAAAACAATATATTGCAAACTCTTTGACAGCCTTCAAAAACTATTAAAAATAAATATAATTGATATTCTCAGAGAGGAGATATAACAGAATCATCTAAATGCTCAGTGAAAACTAGAGAAGGTAGTAGAGTAGGAACAAAAATGAAGAAACATTTAACAAATAGAAAACATTTGCAAGCATGCTCAGTATTAATTCCAGTATATGAATAATCACTATAAATGTGAAAGGTCTAAATACACCAAATAAAATGCAGAGATTGCTGGAATAGACAAAATTACAACTATATATTTTCTACAACAACTTCCTTTAAATATGAAGTTCTTTTTTTCCATTTTTTAAAAGAAGTGACGCTTGTCATCATCACTTAATTTTACTTTATGTGGTTAGGAAGACACAAAAAGGAGTCTACAACAGGCTGGTAAATGGATGGCATATATGTTCCTGCTTACAGTGCTTACACAGAAAAGCAAACCCTAGGTTTAATAGGGATGCAGCTGCTTGGTATATTATTACTTGTTGATATATTTGGTAATGTACATATACCTGTGCATTAGCTCATCTCTCTTCTAGAAATGGGAAGAAATGACAGCAAGAAGCACAATCCTAAGTATATTTAAGGGTATACTGTTTTGCACTCATAATTTTTTAATTCACTAATTCATTTTCCTTTTTTCACAAAAATCCTGTGTCCCTGATCTTGCAATTAAGGAAACACCACATTTGTACAAGTTGCACTGCATAGGTTCAGGAAGTACCATTTCCTTATTGCATCAATTTTTCCACAACTTGACATTAATTATCAGTATTCCAGTTATTTTACATGCCACACAATCATCACCAAGTGATTATTAAATGACAATCATCAGATAAATCCCAACTGAGTGACGTCTACCAAACATCTGGTCAATATTCCTCGAAATCATCAAAGTTACCGAAACCAAGGCAAATCTCACTGTCATGTGTAAGAGAAACGTGAAGTTTTATGGCTTCTTATGATCTAACCTGTTAAGTCCTGCAATTTCACTTTCACTCTAGTTTTTTGGTTAAGCCAGTCATCAAGGTTGGCCAAGATTAAAAAAGACAGCAATTAAAAACTTCTGCTCTGTGAGAGATCCTTTTAAGAAATTGAAATCACAAGCTACACACTATAGGAAATTATTTGCAAACTACGTAACTGACAACAGAACAGTATCTAGGATACATAAAAAACTCTCACAGACAATAGTAAAAAACAATTCAATGAGTAAATAATGAAAAGACATAAATCAAAGAAGCCATGCAGATGGAAAATACACATATAAAATATGTTCAACATTATTAGGCATTAAGAAAATGCAAATTAAAAAACCGCATGACGTATCACTACAACACCTGTTAGAATGGCTAAATGTAAAAATTTGGGTATCACATGCTGGGAAGGATGAAGGGAAACTGACTGACTCACAAATTGTTGCTGGTGGAAATATAAAGTTGTACAGCCTCTCTAGAAAATATTTTTGCGGTTTATTTAAAAAACTCAATATTCAACTAACCGGCAACCCAGCGATTTGATTCCTTGATATCTATTCCACAGAAATGAAAAGTTCGGTTCATACAGAACACTGCACATGAATATTTATAGCATCTTTATTCATAGGGGCCCCAAACTGAAAGCAACCTAGATTTCCTGCAACAGGCGGATGGTTAAACATGTTGTAATACATCCATACCATGAAATGCTACTCAGTAATAAAAGGAAAAGCAATAAGCTATGGAAGCCTGTAATAACTTGGATGAGGCTCCAAAGATTGATGCCGAGTGAAAAGAAAGCCAATCCGAAAAGGTCACAAATATATGATGCAATCTATGCAAAATTCTAGAAATGAGAATTGGGTATGGCCAAAACATGGGAACATGAGGGATCTTTGTGATGATGCCAATGTTCTGTATCTTTACTGTGATACCCTTATTCTGATATTGTATTGTAGTTTTTCAGGGTGTTACCATCGAAAGGAAACTGGGTAAAGGGTACACAGGTTTTCTCTGTATTATTTCTTAAAACTGCATGTGAATCCAAAATTGAATGGGCTGGGAACTAGTGGCTCACACCTGTAATCCCTGCACTCTGGGAGGCCGAGGCTGTAGAATGGCTTAAGCCCGGAAGTTTGAGATCACTCTGGGCAGCACGACCAGCCACCATCTCTAATAAATAAATGCATAAGTAAATAAATCAACTGGATGGGAAAAAAGACACAGCATCAGATACAAAGTTTAAAGAGTACAGAGCATATTTTTAAAAGAGATCAAAAATAACTATGTCTAAGGAATTTATTTCAGGAACATTGAAGACAGAAAGGAACTATAAAATATCTAAAACAAGAAAACTAAATTGGGAACAGATTATTGCTATTCTGACATGTTCTTTGCATGTTTGACCAGGAATGGTTATAGTTAAAGGGGAAGTTCAAATGTAGGAACACATTTACTGTGTTAACTTTTATTAACACATACAATAGAGCCATGTTTTAAGATGCCTCCATACAAGTATAAAATAACAGGGAATAAAGAAATGTTAGGAAACGTCTGAGATTAATAAGGGAGTAAAAGATTCAATACAGGAAAAATAAAGGAAAAATAAGGAATTGGTAACCTGCAGTACTGTATTTGTGGGAAAAAAAAATGTTCTTTTTTTGTCTGGGCATAGTGGCTCACACCTGTAATCCCAGCACTCTGGGAGGCCGAGGCAGGCGATCACAAGGTCAAGAGATCGAGACCATCCTGGCCAACATGATGAAACCCTGTCTCTACTAAAAATACAAAAATTAGCTTGGCGTGGTGGTGCGTGCCTGTAGTCCTAGCTACTAGGTAGGCTGAGGCAGGAGAATTGCTTGAACCCGGGAGACGGAGATTGCAGTGAGCCGAGATCATGCCACTGCACTCTAGCCTGGCAATAGAGCAAGACTCCGTCTCAAAAAAAAAAAAAAAAAAAAAGCCTTTTTTTTTCCTGTGGACTCAAATAAAAAAGAGAAGAGAAAATGGAGCATGTTCCAAAGTAAATTAACACTCAGTGTTCCCAAAGGAGTGTGTTTATGTGTAACCTAAAAGAAAATATCACAGAATTTTTAAAAAATCCAATATGAATGAAAAATGATTTGTAAAAAGTAATCAAGTATGTGAGCAGCTCAGATATGAGGTATAAAATATTGGTTATCTGGAATTGCAGGAAAGAGACAAAGGGCACAGTCATGAGAGCAAAATAAAAGGGAACGCCTAAGTGAAGAATGAATGAAAAATATCACAGGAGGTCAAAACACTATACAAAATGTGTTTTGGGCATATAAAGGACAAGAGGTCACCCTTAAGAAGCTTGCAGAGTAAAAATTATAAGAATAAATTATCGACAAATGAAATGGATATTGCTAAAATATTAAATTAATCCCTTGCTTTCTTGTCTCAGTTTTCACAAAGAAAATAAGGGACAAATGCTACAAACAGACATTAATTTCCCCTGGGAGAGAAAAGAACTATTACAGGAAATTGTGATCATGCCAGAACAGGTAATCAAAAATTGTGGTTGAAGCTGTGCACACAAAGAATACAAAAATATTCAATAGCCATTGGCCAGGTAGGTCTCACTAGTTTTATTTGAAAGATACTGAAAAAAAAAATAACCAAAAAAGCAAAAGGAGCAATGAAGAATAAACTTCCTCCACTGTCAGACTTTTCCTAAAATCTAATATTTAAAAATACAGACTACTTTTTTTTTAATTGAAAAGATAGGAGATCAGTATAAGGAGCCACTTTCTCTTCTGAAACTCAATTCTATTCCTACATAATGTATTCAGTAACAATCATTTTTATAATTATTTGTTATACTTCTGACAAATATATACTCCTGATTTTGGCATTATTTATTAGGAGAACGTTAGGGGGATGGACAGGACTATATATTCATGTAATTGTATTCCTAGAAATATAAGTTTATGTTATAAAAAATGACTGGAATAAGTAGGACTTCTATTTCAAAAGTGTAAAACAGCAATATGAAAAAAGGTCAAAATGTTTTATTTACTGTTTTTAAATACCATTTTATAAAATGAGAAAACACACATATACTTTTTTTTTCATTTAAGGCAAAGGCCTTAATACCCAGAAGTAATTTTGAAGCCAAGAGAAAATAGATTATAGATGTGATGATGGAGTATGAGAATGGAATGTAACCTTCATGCTGGATTTGTAAAGGAAGATGAAAAATTATCTTCCTGTAACAACATTGAAATTACTATTTGTCTTCAATTCTATACAAATTTATGTAATAGATACCACTACAGTACCTGGGTTCAAGATGAGATGAGTTTAAGATCATTTTATATATTCATTCATTCATTTATTCATTCACTGACTCAATAAATAAATATATGGCCTGCTGTGTATAATCACTTTTGCCAGTCAAGTGAACACAAGGACAAATAAGTTACAGTCTTTATATTTAAGAATCACATGATGGTGGAGTGATTCATACTTATAAAGTCACATGAAACAATCTGTTATAGGCAATTAGATACGGATGTATGAGACACAAATGAGGGCAGTTCCAATTTTGTTTATAGCAAGAAGAGCATCAGGAAAAGTGTGATAAGGTCAAAATAATTTGTAAGAAGAGGAAGAGTTGAGTAGGTGGGGATAGACCTGGTGGTAGCTTGTGAAGAATATTCTAGGCAGTGGAAGAATTGTAGATAATATACATGAATGTAAGACTCAGCAGAGTGCCTTCTAAGAACTGACAGTTGGGCAAATTAACCAGAAGAACCAAGTAAGAGGTAATGGGAGACTGAAAACTGAATGACAGAGATAATACTGAAAAGATGTTTTTGATTTCTGACTTATAAGATTCCACGCTTTAGTAATTTGATGTTAAAACTATTGAAGATTTTATGATCATTTGTCCTTTGTTAAAACTATTCCACACTGGGAAGCTCTGTGTGGTATAATAAGGATTTCTGATACTGATTTCTACTCTAGTAAATGTGATTATTGTTATAGCAATGATCTACTATAAGCTTGTTGCTTTTTTTTTTAAATGAGTGGCCATGTTAATTAATTGTTTTGGAGATGAATAGAGAGTTAAGTATTATTTTCTTTCTTAAACATCACTTTCAGGGAAAACACTAAGTAATGTATTCAAGGTCAATGTAAATAAAGAATTTTAGAATAATGATCTGGCTCTTAGAACATACATGACAGAGGAATTGTTTAGCAAAGTTCATCATTTTTTCCAAGGTTATCTTTGCCATTTAAATATTGATGACTATGCAAAAATAGACCACCTGTAAAGGAGATTCAGCACACCTGAAAATTAACATAATTTGAATGAAACTAAAATACTTACAAATGCAAGAAAGATCAAACGGTATTTAGTTGCCAATGCTCATGTTTACACCATTAAATGTTCTAAATATTCCAAAAGTCTGAATAAAATGTTTATCTAAAGTTGATAAAAATGGTAGGCACATTTAAAAACATGATTTCTATTCTAGATTTTCATTCTCAAATGAATCCATTTTTTATCACTTAGCAGTTCTAAGAGTTTGGAGCTAGAATTTGAAAAAATGTAATCGCAGCTAAATTTTTGAAAGGCTCAATAAAAACTAAAATCATAATCAATTATCAGGGAACATTATTAAAAATCTCATGTTCACTTGGAAAGAAAATATGCTATAATAAAATAATATTCAAAATGAGAAAATTGGGAAAGCAGCATTGTAGGCTTCAGATAGCAAAACAGAGAACAGACTATGAAGTATAGAATACAACTAATACTATTTTAAAATGTTATATCAGTAGGTATCTGGGTTGTCTATTTCTGTGTAACAAGTAACTCTAATACTTAGTGGCTTAAAACAACAATTTATTATTATCTTTCTTGATTCTGTGGGTTACGTGGCCTCAGATGGGCAGTGCACACTGAGGGTCTCTCTTGTGATTGCAGTTAAATGTTCATTGAGGCTGCAGCCATTTGAACCTTGGCTATATTTTAAAACCAAATCGGCTTACTCACATGGTTGGCATTAAATGATGATTGCTGGCTCGATGCTTAGGTGAGGCTGTCAACTAGAGCATCTTTATATGACCTCTCCAAGTGCCTTGGGGTTTTCACAGTAAGGCAGCTAAATTTGAAGAGTAATATTTCGAGAGTTAACATTCTTAGAGACCCTGGCAGAAGTTTTAAGGCTTCATATGACTCAGCTTCTGAGACCTTTAAACATCCCATCTACTGCATTTTATTGGTCAAACTAGTCACTAAGGGCAGTGTAGTTTCAAAGGGGAGCAATTAAAAGTCTCAAAGGGAGAAGTTTCAAATAATTGTAACTTATTTAATCTAGCCCTATGGTCAAAAGGTTATTTTTTATATTCTTACATGCAAAATGCACTCACCTTCTTCTAAAACACTCCCCAAAGTCTCATCTTATTATAGCATCAGGCTCAGACTCAAAGTTCAGGGTCTTGTTATCTAAATCATATCTTGGTCTGAATGAGGCCCCTAGGTGCGGTTCTTGAGTTTGGCACCTCTCAACCCAAAGTTCTTTGAACTATACAGACTAGTTACCTGATGCTTATATTAATACGTACAACATATAGTGGAGAGATATTGTAAAGAGGAAAATCAAGAATCGTATTTCTAAAAGCCCTTCCCCCAAACTGGAAGGGAGCCAAGGGACCAAAGAATGACTCAAACCAGTCCAGCTTGGTGAGTAGATGTGTCTATAGAACTTACATAGGAGGCACTCCAGGTTGGCAGCAGGATAGCTTTAGAGATCTGCCCTGCCTCCCATTTATAAGCTGCTTTTAAAGTAACTTTCTGGCTCTTTACCCACTGTGTGTGTGTGTGTGTGTGTGTGTGTGTGTGTGTGCGCGCGCGCGCGCGCGCGTGTGTGTGTGTTTGTGTGATGGGACTGTTTTCCTTGGTACATTATCTGATGCTCTCTGATATGTTTAGGTTCTCAGAGACACCTGCTCCTCAGCTGGGCACCATGGCCTGGCTCTCAGCCTGGCCTTCAGGGTTCAGGCAGCAGGCGTACACCCTTTAGTCACCTTGTGGGAGACCCATCCCACTACAGATGTAGATAGGATAACCTCAATAAATACTCTTATTCCAAAAGGAAGAGGATATGAAGTAAAAGCAATTCTCAAGTTCAGCTGGGCATTTGTCATCCATTTCTATATCCTGGAAAATTTTCCACACACCTGTTGGCTCTTCTGGGCTTTTGGTTTGCCCTATGTTGTTATCTTAGGTTTATATCCTATAATTCCAACTGAGTAGCTCTCTTCAGCCTATTCTGGTTATCTAATGCTGATTAGAAAATGCTCCAACCTTGAGCCATTCAAAATACCAGAATCTCAATGTTCTATAAGTAGATTTGGCTTGTGTGATAAAATCAGATTGGAGTCTCGCATAGGGTTATAGCTTGAAGTTTCAAATGTGATTGTGGTTATGTGGTGGCTAAGTCTGTAATCATCTAAAGGCTCAAAGTATTAGGAGGCTTCACATGGTCCACTCAACTGATGGGACTGTAATCTATGAGCTATTACAATTTGTCTATAATTCATTTGGTATGTGGTATACTACATATTTAAAGTGTATTTAAATTTGCCTATTACCTATTACTTTACCCTGAAGTTCTATTCAAAATTCTTCCATCCCTTCATCTATACATCATACTTCCTTTATTATATATGGATACCTCTTGCTATTCAAATTTCTTATATCCCAGATCTCATTTTTCAAAAGCCAGAAATAAAATATTTAAAAATAATTTTGTATCCATTGCTATTGAATGCTCACTATAGACATTTAGAAACCAAATAAATTGGACGGTGTGGTATACATATAATGAAATATATACATAAACATATATTAAACACACATAAATAGATATGATTAATCAGAAGAAAATTGATTTTCAGTGTGATTCATAACTAACCCCATGTAAAATTTATAAAATATCAACACAAATGATTTGAAGCAATGAAGTCTTATTATAACATGTTAAAGAATAAAAAGGAATATAATGTGTATGCAACTAACAATATCTACTTAACAATATATAAAACAAAAACATATAAATCAAAGAAGAAATAGACAACTTTACAATAGTTGGGCATTTCATCCTTCTTTCTTAGTAATTTATCAAATAAATAGAAAGTTAATAAGTATATTAAAGACCTGAAAATCCTTATGAAATAACTTGACCAAACAGACATTTATAGATGCCAAGAAAAGAAAAATATACATTCTTTTCAAGGGTACATGGAAAACTCACTAAGGTAGACCATTTTATGGGATATAAACAAACCTTCAAACATTGAATATAATTAAAACCATAAAATCATAGATGGAGAAAAATCATTCAATATAAGTCAGCATCTTTTCATAATAAAAATCCTCAACAGACTAGGCATCAAAGGAACATACCTCACAAAATCTATATATGACAAACCTACCGTGAACATCATACTAACAAGGAAAACGTTGAAAGCATTTTCCCTGAGAACTAGAACAAGACAAGAATACTCACTTTCACCACTCCTATTCAGCATGGTACTAGAAGTCCTTGCCAGAGTAATCAGGCAGAAGAAAAAAGTAAAAGGCATTCAAATTGAAAAAGGAGAAGTCAAATTATCTCTGTGTGCTTATGATATAATATTATACCTAGAAAAAACTAAAGACTCTTCAAAAGATTCCTAGAATTGATAAATGAATTCAATAAAGTTTCAGGATATGAAATGAATAACTGAAACATCAGTAACATTTATATACACCCATAACAATCATGCTGACAACCAAATTGAGAAGGCAATCTCATTTACAACAACTACAAAAAATAAAATAAAATAAAATAAAAAACCTAAGAACACATTTAACGAAGAAGGTGAAAGATCTCTATAAGGAAAACTATGAAACAGTGATGAAAGAAATTGTAGATAACACAGATAATATGGATTGGCTGTGTACCCACCCAAATCTCACCTTGAATTGTAATAATCTCCATGTGTCAAGGGCAGGGCAAGGTAGAGATATCTGAATCATGGGGGGCAGTTTCCCTCATACTGTTCTTGTGGTAGTGAATAAGTCTCATAAGATCTGAAGGGTTTTTTGTTTTGTTTTGTTTTATTTTTGTGAGATGGAGTGCAGTGGCACGATCTCAGTTCACTGCAACCTCCACCTCCTGGGTTCAAGCGATTCTCCTGCCTCAGCCTCCTGAATAGCTGGGATTACAAATGCACGCCACCATGCTCAGCTAATTTTTTTGTATTTTTAGTAGAGACAGGGTTTCACCATGTTGCCTAGGCTAGTCTCGAACTCCTAACCTCAAGTGATCTGCCCGCTGTGGACTCTCAAAGTGCTGGGATTACAGGCATGAGCCACCATGCCTGGCCTGATGGTTTTATAAATAGGAATTTCCCTGCACAACCTCTATTGTCTACTGCCATGTAAGACATGCCTTTGCTTCTCCTTTGCCTTCCACTATGATTGTGAGGACTGCCCAGCCATGCTGAACTGTGAGTCAATTAAACCTCTTTCCTTTAAAAATTATGCAGTCTCAGGTATGTCTCTATTAGCAGCATGAGAACAGACTAATACGACAGACAGACAAATGGGAAAACATCTCATGTCATGGATTGGAATAATCAATAGCATTTAAATGACTATACTTCTGAAAGCAATCTACACATTCAATGCACTTCCTGTCAAAATGCCAATGTTATGATTTCAGAGAATTAGAAAAAGTAATCCTAAAATTCACGTAGAACCAAAAACAGCCCAAACAGATCAAACAATCCTGAACAAAAAGAACAAAGCTGGAGGCATCACATTACCTGACTTCAAATTATATTACAAGGCTATAGTAAACAAAACAGCATGTCACTGGTATAAAAATAGATACACAGATCAATGGAACACACTTATAAAGCCAGAAATAAAACCACATACCTACAGCCAACTGACCTTTGAGAAAGTTAACAAAAACATATACTTTTCAATATATGGTGCTGGAAAAAATGAATTGCCATATACAGAAGAATGAAAATTGATCCTTATCTCTCACTATATATGAAAATAAACTCAAGATGGATTAAAAACTTATATGTAAGAACTGAAACTGTAAAAATACTTGAAGAAAAACTAGGGAAAACTCTTCTAGACATTGACCTGGGCAAAGAATTCATGACTAAGACCTCAAAAGCAAATGCAACAAAAACAGCAATTAACAAATGAAACTTAATAAGACTACAAAAAGCTTCTGCACAGCAAAATAAATAGTCATCAGTGTGAACAGACAACCTGCAGAATGGGAGAAAATATTTGTATACTGTGCATCCAACAAGGGACTAATATCCAGAATCTAATGGATCTCAAACAACCAAATAACAACAACAAAACAAATAACCCCAATAAAAAGTGGGAAAAGGACATGAACAGATAATTTTCAAAGGAAAATATATCAGTGGCCAAAAACCATACTAAAAATGCTAAACATGAATAATCCCCAGAGAGATGCAAATTAAAACCACAATGAGATATTATTTTATGCCAATTAGAGTGGCTATTTCTAAAAAGACAAAAAATCACAAATGTTAGCAAGGATGCAAAGAAAAGGGAACACTTTTACGCTGTTGGTGGGGATGTAAATTTGTACAACCTTTGTAGAAAACATATGGAGATATTCTTTGGAGATGTCTCAAAGAACTAAACATAGAACTACTATATGATTCAGTAATCCAACTACTGGATATCTACCCAAAAGAAAATAAATTATTTTATCAAAAAGATACCTGCAGTCATATGTTTATCAAAGCACTATTCACAATAGCAAAGATGTGGAATCAACCTGAGTGTCCATCAATGGGTGATTAAATTAAAAATGTGGGGTGTGGTATATAAAATTATATATGTGTTTCTATGCGTGTGAGTGTATACATACACACACATATACATACATTATATATACACATATATAAATACATATACATTCATTATATGTAAATGTATATATGTATATATACACAATGAAATACTACTCAGCCATACAAAGAATGTATGTACATGTATACATATATATGAGTATATGTGTATATATACATACTTATACATATAATGAATGTATATGTGTGTCCACATACATATACATATGATGTATGTATATGTATTTATATGCGTGTATGTATAATGCATGTATATATGTGTATATATTATATTTATAATAAATTAATATAATAGCATATATAAGAAAAAATAAAATAATAAATATAAATGAATAAATAAATATCATATAATAAATATGTAATATTATATATGTATATATACACACACAAACACACAATGAAATACTACTCAGCCATACAAAGGAATGAAATCATGTATCTTGCATGATGTATCATGTATCATGCAACAACGTGGATGTAACTAGAGGCCATTATTTTAAGTAAAATAACTCAGTACAAGAAAGTCAAATATTGCATGTTCTCACTTATAAGTAGTAGCTAAATAATGTATACATGTGGACACAGAGTGTGGGATAATAGATATTGGAAATTTGAAAAAGTGGGGTGTTGGGAGGGGAGTAAAGATGAGAAATTACTAAATGGGTACAATGTATGTTATTGGGGACAGGGTTACATTAAAATCGCAGACTTTGCCACTACACAATATATTCATGTAACAAAATATCACTTGTACCCCCTAAATTTATACAAAATCTATGTTTCTGACTGTAATAAAATTAACTAGAAATTAATAACAAAAAGATATTAACAAAATCTCCAAGTATTTGAAAATTTCATATAAACACACTATAAATAACCCACGCCCAAAGAGAAACATAAATTTAAAAATATTTTGAATTAAATAAAAATGAAATGACAGCATATCAACTTTTGTGGGATTCAACAAAAGCATTGCTTATGGTGAAACCTATAACACTAAATACTTATGTTAGAAAAGACCAAAAGTCCCAATTAAATTCCCTAAGTTTTCAGTTTAAGAAAATACAAAAGAAAACAAACTTAAACGCAAATCAAACAAAAAAATGAAGATAGCAGAAATCAATAAAATTAAAATTAGAAACAATAAAATAAAGAAAATGATGAGGAAACATGTTTTTCTAAGATCAATAAATTGATAATTCTAGCCACACTGAAGAAGAAAAATGAAAGAAAGAGATAATATATACAAATAACCAATATGAGAAAAGAGAGAGTAGATGTTACTAAAGATTCTCCTGGCGTTAAAGTATAATACAGAAATATTATGAACAACTTCATGTCCACAAATTCAACACCTAGGATGAAATGGATAAATTCCTTAAAAAACACAAAATTCTGAAGCTCATTAAAGAGGACATTTGCGGATCACGAGGTCAGGAGATCGAGACCACCCTGGGTAACACGATGAAACCCTGCCTCTAATAAAAAATGCAAAAAATTAGCTGGGCATTGTGGCAGGTGACCGTAGTCCCAGTTACTTGGGAGGCTACGGCCAGAGCATTGCTTGAACCCAGAAGGCGGGGGTTGCAGTGAGCAGAGATGGCACCACTGCACTCCAGCCTGGGTGATAGAGTGATATCCTGTCTCATAAATAAATAAATTATTTAATTAATTAAATAAAATAAACATTTTTTAAAAATCATGATAAATGTCTTAGCCAATGAAAATGATAAAAAACTTATATAGATTAGAAAGGAATACATAAGATGACTTCTTTACATAGAATTTCCCAAAGTCTACAAAAAATGTAATAGACCTAAAAGCAATTTTTGCAAGAATGCAGTATACAAGATCAATATGTAACAATCAATCATAGCTTTATATGCAGTCAGTGAACAACTAGAAATATTTAAATTAGCATTTAAAACCGAACCAAAACCATGAAATAATTAACATGCGTTCTCAAAAATATATGCACATTTGTATGCTGCAAAATATAACACATGTTGAGAGATAAAAAGAGCTACATAAATGTAGACTCAGATCTACATATTCAGCACAACTCCAGCCCAAATTATTGCATGTTTTTTCTATGACAATGGAAAAGCTAATTTTAAAATTTAGATGAAAATGCAAAGGAATAAGAATAGCCATAATATTTTCAAGTAAGACAAAAGTTGTGAGATTCATATTACAAGATTTCAAGACATACTACAAAGATATAACAATCAAGAAACTGTGGTATTGGTGAAAAAATAGGCCCATAAATCAATAGAACAAAGGAGAAAGCTAAGAGAAAGACCCAAATATGGTGAAATGATTTTCAGCAAAATTGCCAAGGTAATTATTGAAAAATTAAAGTCTTTTCACCAAATGATACTGGTAACATTCAGCATCTATATGCAAAAAAATAACAAACAAACCTATACTATGTGCTACATACAAAAAAATCAAAAAGAACAAAAATATGAATATAAACATCTAGAAGATAACAGGAGATAATATACTTATGCAAATATTTTGTCAAAGGACAGGAAAAAGGCACAAATCACAAAAAAATTAGACTTCATCAACATTAAAATATCTCCTCATGCAAAGATACTTTTCAAAAAAAGTGAAAAACAACTATATTACTGGGAGAAGATATTTGCAAAACATATATCTAAAAAAGACTCATCCATAAAATGTAAAGGCCTTTCAAACTCAATAACAAGAAAACAAACTATGAAGAAAACAGCAAAAGATTTGAAGAGGCATTTTCCAAAGCAATGATATTGCCAGGTTATATTGACACCTGGCAATATCAAGAGGTGGTGAGGGTGTAAGGCAGTTGCAAGTCTCATAAATTGCTAGTATGCAGAATGGTACAGCTACTTTGGATAATATGTTGGCAGTCTCCTATAAAGTTACCATATGATGCAGAAATATAACTCCTAGATATATTTATTCAATATAAATGAAAACATATGTCCAGACAAAGCCAGGTTCACAAATGTTTATAATGGTTTTATTTATAATCTCCAAAAACTCAAGGCAACCAAAATGTCCACACCAGGTGAATGGACAGAATGTGGTGCAGATACGTAGCAGAATTTTCCTAAGCACAATAATAAAATGAACGAATGGCCAATATGTTAAAGGAAAGAAACCATATTATAATGAATGCATGTTTGAATATTCCATGTATCGGCTATTCTGGAAAAGGTAAAACTATAGCTACAAAGAACAGATCAGCGGTTGCCAGGGGCTGTAGGTGGAGAGAGAGGATTGAATGTAAAGAGGCATGCGGGAATTTTGTGTGTTAGTGGGGTGGCGATGGAAAATCCTTTCTCTTAACTTTGGTAGTGTTCACATGACTGTGTATGTTTGTTAGAGCATGTAGAAGTGAACATCTAAAAAGAGATGAAACTTGTAGCCTGAAAATTATAGCTCAATTAACCAGATATTTAAAAAATAAATATTGAGTAAATAGTATAGAATGGAAATTTTTGGCTATACTGAGGCCAGGAAAGCAGTATACTTTTAAATACAGGCTAAATGATTTGTGGTATAGTAGATAATTCTGGTGACAGGAAGCTAAAATTATATTTTTGAAACTAGCACTTTCTAAATGAACCCTTTCATTCTATACAACTATAAATCAAGTTAAAAATCACAAGCTCAAAATCTGATGGAATTTATCTCAATTCCTAATTACAGGAGAATGATGGTCATATCCAATCTTTTCACTTTTACTAGCATACTTATATTCACAGGGTCTTTTACCTCTAGTAGAGAAGAACACTGCAGGTCTTTAGCAGTTTTTCACCAGTACACTGTAAAAAGAATGATGAGGCCAGGCACGGTGGCTCACGCCTGTAATACCAGCACTTTGGGAGGCCGAGGTGGGCCGATCACCAGGTCAGGAGATCGAGACCATCCTGGCTAACACGGTGAAACCCCATCTCTACTAAAAAAAAAGAAAAAAAAAAATTAGCTGGGTGTGGTGGCGAGTGCCTTTAGTCTCAGCTACTCGGGAGGCTGAGGCAGGAGAATGGCGTGAACCCAGGAGGCGGAGCTTGCGGTGAGCTGAGGTCGCGCCACTGACTCCAGCCTGGGTGACAGAGAGAGATTCCCTATCATAAAAAAAAAAGAAAAGAAAAAAGAAAAAGAATGATGAAAAGTTAGATATTAGTATAGAATTTTGAATTTAGGAACTCCATATTCTCAAAGTATTAAAAGAAATTAAACAATCATCTGTTGATCTCAGCATTGTCTACTTTTTGTTATTATTATTAGGCTTGTAATTTGGATATTTTAATAAGAATTGAAATGACAATTTACAAAATAAAATTAATTACTTTTCACAATTTGTTTTTCTTCTTTAAGTTCTGGAATACATGTGCAGAATGTGCAGGTTACATAGGTATACACATGCTATGGGGGTTTGCTGCACCCATCAACCCGTCATCTACATTAGGTATTTCTCCTAATGCTATCCTTCCCCTAGCCCCCCACCCCCTGACAGGCCCCAATGTGTGATGTTCCCCTCCCTGTGTTCATGAGTTCTCATTGTTCAACTCCCACTTACGAGTGAGAAGATGCGGTGTTTGGTTTTCTGTTCCTGTGTTAGTTTGCTGAGAATGATGGTTTCCAACTTCATTCATGTCTTTGCAAAGAACATGAACTCATCCTTTTTTATGGCTGAATAGTATTCCATGGTGTATATGTGCCACATTTTCTTTATCCAGTGTATCATTGATGGGCATTTGGGTTAGTTCCAAGTCTTTGCTATTGTGAATAGTGCTGCAATGCAATAGACATACGTGTGCATGTGTCTTTATAGTAAAATGATTTATAATCCTTTAGATATATACCCAGTAATGGGATTGCTGGGTCAAATGGTATTTCTGGTTCTAGATCCCTGAGGAATCACCACACTGTCTTGCACAATGATTGAACTAATTTACCCTCCCACCAACAGTGTAAAAGCATTCCTATTTCTCCACATACTCTCCAGCATCTGTTGTTTTCTCTTTTTAATGATCACCATTCCAACTGGCATGAGATGGTATCTCATTGCAGTTTTGATTTGCATTTCTTTAATGACCAGTGATAATGAACATTTTTTCATATGTTTGTTGGCTGCATAAATATCTTCTTTTGAGAAGTATCTGTTCATATCCTTCGCTCAATTTTGATGAATTTGTTTTTTTCTTGTAAATTTGTTTAAGTTCCTTGTAGATTCTGGATATTAGCCCTTTTCAGGTGGATAGGTTGCAAAAAATTTTCTACCATTCTGTAGGTTGCCTGTTCACTGTGATGACAGTTTCTTTTCCTATGCAGAAGCTCTTTAGTTTAATTAGATCCCATTTGTCAATTTTGGCTTTTGTTGCCATTGCTTTTGGTGTTTTAGTCATGAAGTCTTTGCTCATGCCTATGTCTTGAATAGTATTGCCTAGGTTTTCTTCTAGGATTTTTATGGTTTTAGGTTTTAGGTTTAAGTCTTTAATCCATCTTGAGTTTAATTTTTGTATAAGGTATAAGGAAGGGGTCCAGTTTCAGTTTTCTGCATATGGCTAGCCAGTTTTCCCAACACCATGTATTAAATAGGGGATCATTTTCCCATTGCTTGTTTTTCTCAGATTTGCCAAAGATTAAATGGTTGTCAATGTGTGGTGTTATTTCTCAGGCATCTGTTCTGTTCCATTGGTCTGTATCTCTGTTTTCGTACCAGTACCATGCTGTTTTGGTTACTGTAGCCTTGTAGAACAGTTTGAAGTCAGGTAGTGTGATGCCTCTAGCTTTGTTCTTTTTGCTTAGAATTGTCTTGGCAACACGGGGTATTTTTTGATTTCATATGAAATTTAAAGTAGTTTTTTCTAGTTCTGTGAAGAAAGTCAATGGTAGCTTGATGGAGATAGCATGGAATCTATAAATTACTTTGGGCAATATGTCAATTTTCATGATATTGATTCTTACTACCCATGAGCATGGAATGTTTTTCCATGTGTTTCTGTCCTCTCTTATTTCCTTGAGCAGTGGTTTGTAGTTCTTCTTGAAGAGTTCCTTCACATCTCTTGTAGGTTGTATTCCTAGTTATTTTATTCTCTTTGTAGCAATTGTGAATGGGATTTAACTCATGATTTGGCTCTTTATTTGTCTCTTATTGGTGTATAGGAATGCCTGTGATTTTTGCACATTGATTTTGTATCCTGAGACTTTGGTGAAGTTGCTTATCAGCTTAAGGAGATTTGGGGCTGAGACGGTGCGGTTTTCTACATATACAATCATATCATCTGCAAACAGAGAAAATTTGACTTCCTCTCTTCCAATTTGAATAACCTTTATATCCTTTTCTTGCCTGATTGCCCAGGCCAGAACATCCAGTATTATGTTGAATAGGAGTGGTGAGAGAGGGCATCCTTGTCTTGTGTTGGTTTTCAAAGGGAATGCTTCCAGTTTTTGCCTATTCCATATCATACTGGTTGTGGGTTTGTCATAAATAGCTCTTATTATTTTGAGATATGATCCATCAATACCTAGTTTATTGAGAGTTTTTAGCATGAAGGGGTGTTGAATTTATCGAAAGACTCCTCTGCATCTATTGAAATAATCATCTGGTTTTTGTCATTGGTCCTGTTTATGTGATGGATTACGTTTATTGATTTGCATATGTTGAACCAGCCTGGCATCCCAGGGATGAAGCCCACTTGATCATGGTGTATAAGCTTTTTGATGTGCGCTGGATTAGGTTTGCCGTTATTTTGTTGAGGACTTTTGCATCGATGTTCATCAGGGATATTGGCCTGAAATTTTCTTTTTTTGTTGTTTCTCTGCCAGGTTTCTGTATCAGGATGATGCTGGCCTCATAAAATGAGTTAGGGAGGAGTCCCTCTTTTTCAATTGTTTGGAATGGTATCAGAAGGAATGTTACCAGCTCCTCTTTGTACCTCTGGTAGTATTTGGCTGTGAATCTGTCTGGTCCTGGAGTTTTTTTGGTTGGTAGGCTATTAATTACTGCCTCAATTTCAGAACTTGGTATTGGTCTATTCAGGGCTTTGACTTCTTCCTGGTTTAGTCTTGGTCTATTCAGGGATTCAACTTCTTCCTGGTTTAGTCTTGGGAGGGTGTATGTGTCCAGGAATTTATCCATTTCTTCTGTATTTTCTAGTTTATTTGCATAGAGGTGTTTATAGTATTCTCTGATGGTAGTTTGTATTTCTGTGAGATCAGTGGTGATATTCCCTTTATTATTTTTTTTTTCTTTTTGAGATGGAGTTTCACTCTTGTTTCCCAGGCTGGAGTGCAATGGCATGATCTCGGCTCACTGCAACCTCTACCTCCCGGGTTCAAGCGATTGTCCTGTCTCAGCCTCCTGAGTAGCTGGGATTACAGGCACATGCCACCACACCCAGCTAATTTTTGTATTTTTAGTAGAGGTGGGGGTCCATCATATTGATCAGGCTGGTCTCAAACTCCTGACCTCAGGTGATCCACCCGCCTGAATCTCTGATATCCTTTCTTTTGCTTGATCGATTCAGCTATTTGATATTTGTGTATGCTTCAAAAAGTTCTCATGCTGTGTTTTTCAGTTCCACTGGTCATTTATGTCCTTCTCTGAACTGGTTATTGTAGTTAGCAATTCCTTTAACTGTTTTTCAAGGTTCTTAGCTTCATTGCATTGGGTTAGAACATGCTCCTTTAGCTTGGAAGAGTTTGTTATTACACACCTTCTGAAGCCTACTTCTGTCAATTCAACAAAATCATTTTCTGGCCAGTTTTGTTCCCTTGCTGGCGAGGAGTTGTGATTCTTTGGAGGAGAAGGTGTTCTGGTTTTTGGAATTCTCAGCCTTTTTGCTCTGGATTTTCCACATAATTGGAATTAAAACATTCTCAGCAAATGCAAAAGAACAGAAATCATAGCAAACAGTCTCTCAGACCACAGTGCAATCAAATTAGAACTATGGGTTAAGAAACTCACTCATCAGAGTGAACAGGCAACCTACAAAATGGGAAAAAATTTTTGCAACCTACTCATCTGACAAAGGGCTAATATCTAGAATCTACAATGAACTCAAACAAATTTACAAGAAAAAAACAAACAACCCCATCAAAAAGTGGGCAAAGGATATGAACAGACACTTCTCAAAAGAAGACATTTATGCAGCCAAAAGACACATGAAAAAATGCTCATCATCACTGGCCGTCAGAGAAATGCAAATCAAAACCACAATGAGATACCATCTCACACCAGTTAGAATGGCAATCATTAAAAAGTCAGGAAACAACAGGTGCTGGAGAGGATGTGGAGAAGTAGGAACACTTTTACACTGTTGGTGGGACTGTAAACTAGTTCAACCATTGTGGAAGTCAGTGTGGCGATTCCTCAGGGATCTAGAACTAGAAATACCATTTGACCCAGCCATCCCATTACTGGGTATATACCCAGAGGATTGTAAATCATACTGCTATAAAGACACATGCACACGTATGTTTATTGCAGCACTATTCACAATAGCAAAGGCTTGGAACCAACCTAAATGTCCAACAATGATAGACTGGATTAAGAAAATGTGGCACATATATACCATGGAATACTATGCAGTCATAAAAAATGAAGAGTTCATGTCCTTTGTAGGGACATGGATGAAACTGGAAACCATCATTCTCAGCAAACTATCGCAAGGACAAAAAACCAAACACCGTATTTTCTCACTCATAGGTGGGAATTGAACAATGAGAACACATGGACACAGGAAGGGGAACATCACACTCTGGGGACTGTTGTGGGGTGGGGGGAGGGGGAGGGATGGCATTAGGAGATATACCTAATGCTAAATGATGAGTTAATGGGTGCAGCACACTAACATGGCACATGTATACATATGTAACAAACCTGCACATTGTGCACATATACCCTAAAACTTATCAAAGTATAATAATAATAAATAAAAAAAGAAACAAAGAAAAAAAAAAAAGAAACTCACTCAAAACCACCCAACTGCATGGAAACTGAACACATGAGGCCCATATCTGATCTACAAATTTTCTTAAATAAGAAAAATATACATGCTTCTGTTAAGTAAGAGCTAGCTTTTTTAATTCAAGGATTTTGAGAGAGCCTTTTACTGTCATGAAAATGCAATCTGTAGATTCACTATTAAGGAGATAAATGTAATTACATAAAAACATAGAGAGTGATGAGAATAAAAAACTTCAAAGTTGATATTGTAGATTTTAGTCATCATAGTTGTTAACATAGCAAAATATGAAAGAAGTCCTTTTTACAAATTGCATTTATTAACAAATAAAAATTGTATATATTTATTGTGTACATATTTTAAATGTGTATAGACTGTAAAATGGCTAAATTGAGTTAATTAACACACGTTACCTCACATACTTATTCTTTGTGGTGAGAAGGCTTAATATCCACTCCCTTAGCAATTTTCAAGAGTACAATACATTGTTATTAAATATAGTCATGTTGTAAAGTATACCTCTTGAAACTATTTCTCTTATCTAACTGAAATTTGTATTCTTTACCAACAGCTCTACAACTGCTTCCCATCTCAACCTTATCTTCTGATAGAGACACTGCTCATTGCAATAGTAGCATAATTAATTAACAATAGTTATACAACAGCAAATATCACAGAATAAAAAACAACTCATTTATGAATATCCTGGATGTCACATAAATGAAATATTAGCTCTAGGCTTGGAGATTAAATTTCAAATGCAAAATGCCATGGGAGAAATAATGTTTTTTTGAACTCACACATAGATGTAAATTACTATAGATTTTTTTTTTTAACCCCTGAGAACAGGCTTTAAGACAGAATGACTACAAAGTAGAAGTCTAGAGGGAGCTGCTAGGGAAGCTGGTCATGATGAAGTATGCAAGTCTCAGCTACTGGGGTCTCAAAGGTTTCTAAAGACATACTACCTATTTTAATATTGTACATAGGAGGTCCTTTTATAAAATAACAATTGTACATTGATATCTCAACAAATGACAAATGTACATATTAAAAATCATCAGACATCTTAGTTGGACTCCCTGCTTTTAATCTCCCCTTCCATTAGATTCTATTTATTTCCGCTATATTTAATTTTATAAATTCCTGATTAAACTGTTGCTTCATACATAATTCTGTATAGAAGATCTATAGGAAAACTGTTTAAAACTCAATACATGATTTTTTATAAGTGGATCTTAACTTAATTTCTTAGGTGTGTTTCTTGCTTTCAGCCCCTTCCACTTTGTTTTCTATCTCATTACAACCTAGACTCATCACTGTCTCCCTTGCCATGTTTCTCTGCATGTCTGAATACTACTTACTTTTTGTGATCCTTGAGACAGCACACACTGAGTCTTCCCTCCAAAATGCTCTCTCTCTCTTTTTTTTTTTCTAAGTACAACTGACCCCTCCTTAAACAATAGTTCAAAAGTTCCCTGCTGAGTGGAACCTTTATACACCTTTGTGGCTTAATTTGCTCTATCTTTGGTGCATTAACTCTTTGTTCATAATTCTGTTGTAACTCCTGCAGCATTTTTATATATTTAATTATGTATGTTTCTTCCTTTGCCCCTTCAATAACACTTATATTTGCTCAACTAAGGGGAAAATTAATATGCCATATATTAATCATTTAATCCTACGATATAGCACAGTGGAACATATGGAGGCATTGAATAAGATATTACACTAATTAAACTGAACAAATGTGCTGTGAGCACTTAGACTAAATCTATTGTCAAATTTATGGAAAATGTTTTGATATTTGGAGTCATTAGTTGCCAGTATACACAATTAACGGGGTAGCCTTCTACACAATAGAGGTGATGCTTATCACTTATTTAATGTAAACTGTTTAGTAGATAACTATTAACATTAGATAAGCTAGTTTGTATACAGTACTAAACCCAAGAAAAGTATCTTTGTTCATCCATTTTCAGATTTAAATTTCATTTTTTCCTGAAAGCAGGCAACATATCTTATTTTGCATCTTCAGCACTTAGCAGGGTTATTACTGATAGTAGACACTCAGTTAAATATTTTTATATCTTAAACTAAATTCAAATATGATTTTATATGATATTATAGCATTTCTAAATAGTGGTTTCTAAAACCGAGTCAGAAAAGAAGTGAATGAATCCCAAGCGCCTCTTCCTACATGGTTGGTTATGCCAACTTTTGCAGTTCTACAAGTATTCATATAAGTGTGCTCTCACGTTTATGGTTGATTCAATTTATTATTTATTAATTGACTAAAATGCTAAGAAAAATATTCTTCTGGTAGTTCTAGTTTTCAATCTTATTAAATAATTATGACAGAGCATATCTGCAGATAAAAGAAAAATGGCAAAAGCAATAGAAAAATTAATATAAAAATTCTGAAATTATTCAAACAAAACACTATAACCAAACTTTAATAAAATAAACATTTTGCTAAATGTTTAGTAAACCATATTTAATAAAATAAACTTTTAAATTATAATAAATTTTGTTAAGGAATAATTATTAAAAGCAAAATCTCTATTCTCATACAAATGTAAATGTACACGTCAAGAATTTGATTTAATTTTATTAATGAATGAGAAAACCAGTAAACTGCTACAACTAGATCAAAGGCAAATACAAACGATGGATACATACTTAGGCAATCAGGAATACTGAGAAAAATTTACATAATAGATGCAAAATTAGTGAATAACCACAGAAGAATAATCAGCAGTATTTTATGGGACACAGTTTGCATTGCTAGGAACAAAAATCACTTGCAGTGTTATGTTTTCTATAATTTACAGAGTTGTAGCACAAAGATAATAAAAGGTAGTAATAACCTGGAAGAACATGCTAGACAGGACACCCAGTAGTCTTTTTTGCCACTGTAATGTCATTCACATATTTTCTTGATAAATATTTCTATAATACCATTTAGAATAACACTGCATTTGTTATTACATAATTTTATGGTTACATCATATATGTATATTCCTGAAAGGTCATGTCATTACATGGCTACATGTACACTTGCATGAATTTCAGAGACACTCAACAGATTTCAGAATATTACAAATAAAATAAAATTTTGAGAACTACTTGGAAGAGTTCCAAATTTTATGCCATAACTGTATAAAACAATTGGACTATTTCATATTTGTTGTGATAATGTTAGAGATAGAATTATTGGCAGTGTGAAATCAATTTTTAAAACATTTCAAATTGGAAAACATTTCTTTTACTCAGAAAAAAAACCAATTATTACTTTTATAAACTCTTGCAATCTAAGATTTGAAATTGTGTTATAAATGTATTTTAACTTTTTTGCCACATATGTTGGCAGGTGGTCACCTCCATCTGTGCCTAAAATGTTTTACTTGTCATATTTCAAAATAGGACAGGAAAGGAAGTGGATCAAGACAATGAATTGGTTTTGAAAAAAGTTTCGTATCTTAAATATAAATGGTTAATATATTTCCATCATTCTCAAGGGAAAAATCATGCCTGCAATAAAAGGAAAATATAAGATTTGCCAAGAAAAACTGAAGAGTATTGAAGTAATTGCTTGGGAAATGGGCCACTGAGTTGGAGAGCCTGATTAAAGAGCCGTGGTGCTTGGGTAGATTCCAGCTCAGCAGCCTAGCAGCTGCACATCTTGGGCAATCTGTTGTTGATTATTAGTGACAGAAAGCCAGGTATAATCATTGGTGTCCATTGTTATGAATGCATGAATCCAAATTCCAAGTCTTTTTATAATTGTATACAAAGTAGAATATGGTCTTCTAAAAGCACTCTTGATTTCCATTAGTATTCAAAAAACCTAGTAGCAATAAATTAAGGCTACATTTACCCATTTATTTTTTTCCTATTGAAGGATACAACCACATAATACCCAGAGATAACTGTGAGTTTTAAAACAGCTCTAAAAAGAGCTAAAATTCTTCAGTTTTATGCCATGATTCACTTTCCTGAGTAGCACAGAGAGAAGAAATACAAGAAGGACACGGTGATCTGGCTGAGTTGGCAAGGCAAAGACTACAGTCTAGGGAAGTTGTCACTGCTTCAAGGTAGAGGGCAAATTACCGAAAGGGAGGAACTTGAGCAATCTGCTTAAGAAATAACATGAGTCTGTTGAATACTAAATTGTACCTGTGTAGGGTAAAACATCAACATACTGGAAAAAAAAAATACCAGAGAGATGTAGCTGAACAATTCAAAGAGCTCACAAAGGGTTGGGAATTGTTCAAGTTATAATCCATAAAAATGGAGAGACCTTGTTCTTGTTACACACTTGAGAAGTCCAGGAGAAATCCTATAGTGTTAAGATCTTAATAGTAAGGCTAAATTTAACCTACAACAAAGGTTTTCTAAACCTCCCATTAAAAACAAAAACAAACAAACAAAAAAAACAAGCTGCAAAAGCATCTAAAGATGATCTGCAAGTAACAAACTTCCCAAACAATATTCAATTTAAATGAAGATAGCGACGTTCAAAGTCTAAATATATAACATTAACAGTGTCTGGTATTCAATACAAATTTTACTAGACAGAGAAAAAAGCAAAAAAAAAAAAACAAAAAACAAAACAAAACAAAACAAACATGAGAATTATAAATGGAAGAAATTCAAATCAAAAGTAGGACATCCAAGCTGGCCACAGTGGCTTATGCTTGAAATCCCAGCACTTTGGATGTCTGAAGAGGAAGGGTCACTTGAGCCCAGGAATTGAAGACCAGCCTGGGCAATATAGAGAGACTCTGTATCTACAAAAGTTTTTTTGAAAGAAGTATCTCAGCATGGTGGTATGTGCCTGTAGTCCCAGCTATTTGGGAAGCTGAAGCAAGAGGATCACTTGAACCCAGGAGTTCGAGACTAGCCTGGACAACACAGCAAGACCCTGTATCTACAGAAAAAAAAAAAACTAGCCAGGCATGGTTGTATGCACCTGTTGTACCAGCTCTCTGGGAGGCTGAAGTGGAAAGATTGCTCGATCCCAAGAGTGCAATGCAGCAGCGAACTATGATCATGCCACTGCACTCCCACCTGGGTGACAGAGACCTTGTCTCTAAAGGAAAAAGTAAATATGAAGAAAAACATAAAGATATATCAGAGCTATTGGTATTACAGAATGAATCCTTAAAACCTTTTATAAATGTAATAGTAGATTTAAAGGAAAACAAAAACTTAGTGTGTAAATTGCAGCTATAAATATAGGTAAATAGAAGATTCAAGAGATGAAAAATAAATATCTCAAGTTAAAAAAATTACTGGAAGGGCTTGAGAGAAGAGTAGGTACTACAGAAGGGAATAGCAATGACTTTGAAGATACAGCAACAACAAAACAAATATAAACAAAGAACAACAAATAAGCCTGAAATTGTTTGGCTGTATCCCGACCCAAATCTCATCTGAATTGTAGTTACCATAATCATGAGAGAGACTTGGTAAGGTATCCACATATATGCATCAGACCTCAGATTATGTGCAGAAGATAAAGAGGTGAAGGCACATATTAATACTATCGTCTTTTTGCCATACTTCACTGGCTGGACTCCTAGAAGACAAATTTAATTAATCCAATACTTATTTTAGCCATCTACCATATTCCAAGCAGTGTGACAAGCATTTGGAAAGGGCCATCATAAACAGTGTGCATTCCATGCCATGTACAAGGTCAGCTAATGCAATGGTGAATTATAGCTGAAATCCTCGGCATAATTTTTGTCCACTAGGAGGAAGAGTCATTGTCTTTTATTATTTCTATACCCTGAGTGGATCTATTTTAAAGTTGGGTTTTTTGGGGGGGTTCCTGAAAGTGTCTCCTTTTCTTATTCACACAAATACATCCAATGTGCTAGTAATGACACTATATAATATGAGCCAATTAATGATTGATTCCAATATAAATATTGTTGTGACATTCAGATGATTCTCTTTTCTGAATTTGTTTACAAAGCCTGGGAACTTAGCACTGTGTATCTTCCAAGAGAGTTTTTGTAATAGAGAGTTTATCCGTATAACATTAAGTATAATTAACACAGGATTGTCCAAGAGAAGTTTATTTATTTTTTACTACTTTCCGTACCACTGTAATAATCAGTTAAAAATCTCCAAAAAGGGAATTTACAAAGTTCAATAATTAGAAGAATTCCTTTAACTTAGGGCTTTGTGAAAATAATAGATGGACTTTTGTAAGAATTAATGAACCTCATTATGCAAAGAGAATGTTACATAGAAATCTACATGGAAAAGAATATATATATATATATATATATATTGCAATTTGGTAATTAGTCAGAACGTAATGCCCATTCTAGAAGGAATAATTAAAGTATTGCTAGAGGGAAGGGAAATAACATAAGGAATTAGGGTCCTGCCAAATCACTGAATTACCTGGTGGGGCAGAAGTTAAGAGACCATCCCTACCCTATTATGGTTAAGAGAACTCAACTATAACTACCGCAGTTACATTCAGAGACTAGGAGGCTGCAGCTGCTTCTGCTGTGTCCTGCACAGCTATTTTTTATACCCATGAAGCTAGGGATGAAAACATGGAACACTGAGTCTTGATGCTTCAATTGTCTCTAGAAATCTGTATCTATCACAGCAACAGGAATTGAAAACCAGCTTCCACTTTGTCTCACAACAGTCTGGGAAACAATGTTGTGTGTTTGTTTTACCTTTCCAATTAGAAAGGAAGAGGAATGCAAGCAGTGAGAGCCAATCTAAGGTGTCTACCCCATTTAGTATCCTGGATGCGGTAAGTTGAGGAGCAGTGCATGAAAGAAACAAGGCTACAAAAGGGCTTCTGATATATGTCCTGTAAGTGTTGCTAAATGAAAAGTTGTACTTCTATATCCTCATATTCATTTTTTATCAAACACAATTTAAGTATAATCTGCCGACTGCTTGCTCAGAACTATTGTTACTGACCAATCTATAGTCTTCATTGCCTTTAGACCCTTGCACAAAGTTTACTCCGAAATTTATTAATAGCTTATTGTAGTAGGCTTTATTTACTTTCACTCTATTCTATATGTTACTGTTTTTTTTTTTGCTTAGGTACAGAACTAACATTTTTATTCTGAACATTCATGCTTTTAACGCTATACTAATGTTAAATGTTCTGGTTTTGTTGGCTGGGGATGGAGGTAACAAAGAATGGGCCTTCTAAAAAGGGTTGGTCTTGAAATCTCCTGAAAACTCCCCAAAATCACTCAAAGGAGAGATTTCCTTATTTAATTGTGATCCAATTTAGCACAACATTCTTGCTATGCAGTTTTAATCTCCTATACATATAAAATGCATAAATTTAAAGTTCATTTTTTCATTTAAAGCATAACTCCTAATTTCATCACTGAGTTGACAAGGAAGTTCTGATGAAATAGGGTATTACTAGCTAAAAACATCAAAATATCTATAATTATGAAATTCTGAGAGAATCTGCTGAGAGGTACATTCCTCAATGCAAGCTAGAGAAGCGCTGGATTCAGATGTGAGTCCACTCTAGGGCTTGCCTGGAGGATGGCTTTCCTTTTGTTTCCATTAAAGGTCAAAAATTTTAAGTACTCTCTGTTCGGGCAAATAATGATACCTCTCTCTGAGTGAGGTTCTGGAATAATTATGTGCATTCATTCCATCAGAGCAATACTTCTGTATTGCTGAAGGCAACCCTGTAAGCAGCAATTACAAAGATTAGAAATGGAATTAAAGAACTCTTCGATTTTGAGAAATATATTTAGTGGATAATACTGCCTAACATTTCAAACATTTCTGAATACCCAAGATGCAAAAAACTAATATGTCTAATCTACTTTCTCTTACAAAACCTATTCTTTTCAATTTAGTTTCCTCTAAGACAATTTCCTTTTCATATTTAGTTCTTAGAATTATACCAATGGGGAACAATAAAGGCAGGAATTAAACTGATCACATACAAATGAAGCCTAATTTTCTATTGCATATTCTTAAAGTGGGCCTATTTTTGAGTTAGCCAATGTGCATGGGGTATGGAGCATGTAATCTTTTAATTTTTCTCCACTTTTTTCCTGCCACTGCCTCATCAAAGTTGTTTTTTAATGTCTGCACATCATGATCTGTGGGAATAGGCGTCAGAAAAAATAAAAAAGTTATTAAATTACCCAAGCTAGTTCTATTTCTCATCTAGTTTCACAGATTTAAGGCTGGATCATCAGTTAGGGAGACTTCCGCATTGTGAAGAGGGTCCTCTCACTCCTCCACTGCCTCTCAGCAAAAGTCCTGTGGACGCAAAATAATTCCACAGGGAGAAGCCTATTCTCAGTTTGGGAAGGTCTCCGGCAATTCAATGAAATTAAAAAACTTTTGTTCTCTGGAATCTGATCTACATAAGTGAACTGGCAAGGATTTAGTAAGCAAGATGTTCAAGTATTGACTTAGAAATAATCATTTACAAAGCAAATTAAGCCTACTTTTATTTTGTTCACAATGATTGCAGTGGAGGTGAGGGATTGCCACGTGGAACCTACTCCTGGATTTACCTCCTCTGTTTAAAGCCTCAAATATTAAAATAGTCTTAGGGGAATCAACTACTTTGTGGAAATTGTTTATATTTCCATTTGTCCCAATGACTTTCATTGCAAAAGAAAAAAAAGTACAGAATCGAAATAAGAATCATGCTTTGCATGTCTCTTTAACTCTCCCTCAATCTAAAATGTTGTTCAGCTTTTCCTTCCCTTTCATGACCTTGATATGTATTTCTTTAGGAACTTTTCGTTTTCGTATAGTTTTAGATTTCTAGAAGTTGCAAAGATAGGACAGAGATTTCTGGGTACGCTGTACCCAGTTTTCCTTAAGATTTTACATTAGGATGATACATTTGTCACACCTAGGGAACAAGTATTGATATATTATTTTTATCTAAAAGTCCATAGAGTTTCTAAATTTGTAATTAATGTTCGTTTTTTCATCCCAGGATATCTTCCAGTATACCACATTATACTTCATCATCATGTTTGCTAAGAGTCTTCTGAACTATGACAGTTTCTCACCTTTCCCATGTTTTTTATGGTCTTGATAGTTTGGAAGAATATTGGCCAAGTATTTTTGTAAAATTCTTCAATTGATTTTTCTCTGATGCTTTTCTGTGGCTTTACTGAAGTTTGACATGCCCTTTTGGTTGAATTCTATGTCCCTTTGATATACCTTCATTATTGTGTGTGTGTGTGTGTGAGTGTGTGTGTGTGTGGTTTTTTTTTTTTTTTTTTTTTTTCAGTACATTCCACCTTTTTTTCCACCAAAAGAAATCCCAGAACAGGCCACATTATATGCTTTCTGAGAGAATGAAGTGAGAACAACAAAACATCATCTCTAAGGTTGGTGTTCTTGCCAAAAATGCATGGTCTGAGCATAATTATAAGAAAGCACCACACAAGTTCAAATTAAGAGACACTACACAATAGGTTTACTGGACTCTTCAAAAATGTCAATGTCTGTTATTATCTAATGTAAAAAACCCAGCTCATTGAAGAAATGGCCGATTCAAGTACTGAGAGGGGGAATACTCAAAATAAACCTGGGGCTTTTTTGGCACAAAAAAGTGAACTGTGTTCATCACTGGTCATGTTAACTGTGATCATTTCATTTAGTTAGTTTGCGCTAGATTTCTCCAATAAGAGTCATTACTGGGGAAGAAATCTGTGGTTATGTATATACCGTATTTCTCATTAAACTTTTACTCTCAATTCAATTATGTATTGAGCCTTGCCTCAATTTGTTATTACCATGTAGGTTGACAAGTTTTGATTTTATAATTCCATCATTCCTTCGACATTTGTTGATGACTTGACATATGTTTTCACATGTTATTTATTAATTAATATATTTACATTTGTCAGTACAGACTCATGGCTTTCTGTTCTATTCCATGGGTTAGAATCATTGGCATCATTATTCATATACATGTGAAAATTATCCTAGCTAATGAAAGCCCTGCTTCTGTGTCTGACATTCCCTGCACAATTTTTAGCACCTTTGTTTCTTTGTTGTTCAGCAAGATGTTCCAGCTTCATTTTGTATTACTTTGCCTCATCCCTGGAATCATCCATTTCTTCAATGAGACCTGGTTCTATTTAGTGGAATATGATATACAGAAAACAAGATCTGGGGACCAGGCATACTCATTGCTACTAGGCTGTCATTAATTCTAAGCCCTTTAAGTAGACATAAGATCTACCTACATAAAATCTGTTATGATCTTAATGTTTGTGTCTGCCTCCCCGGTACCCAAATTCATTTGTTGAAACCTAATCTAACACGTTATGGTGTTAGAAAATGGGGATCATTTGAATCCGATTAAGTCATGAAGGCAGAGCCCTTGTAAATGGCATTAGTGCCCTTACAAAAGAGGCCCCAGAGAGCTGCCTTCCACCTTCCACCATGTGAGGACACAGAAAGCAGGACCCATCTATGAAACAGGAAATACACCCTCACAAGACATCCAATTTGTTGGCACCTTAATCTTAGATATCACAAGTTCCAGGACTTTGATAAATCAATATCTGTTATTTAAAAAACACCAAGTTTATGATATTGTATTATATCAGCCTGAAATAACTAACACAGCATCTCTTTTCTTTTTATAGTCAAATGTCACTAGCCAACCAATACATGTGGAAGGAATTATAGAATTAGAAAATCGCCATTTGTCAACCTTCATAGTAATTATTTGATTAAGGCAAGAAACATCAGCGGAAGTTAAACTTAGGGGGCAAAGTTTGATGACAAAATATGTATAGCATACACACACACACACACATATATGTAAAATATACAATAGATATAGATGAACATTATTTACTATATTTATATTTTAAACATCTGTCTGCATATACTGAAAACCATAAATTTATATTGATTCCTCCAATTCCATTTCAGTATCACAGGGTTTATTCTAGTTTTCCTATATATATATATCATGCACTCTCTTCTCCAACAGTGAGAATCTTGACTTCTTTATTTACATTATATGTGCTTATCTACTCAGCCCTGAAATATATAGTGTTTCATAAATTCTAATTCATAACATTGAGAAAAATAAACTTACTAAACAGTCTTACATTTCTTCACAATTCCTTTGCATATAGCAGAAAGTTTTGTAACAAAAATACTATGTTCAAATGCTAGAATCCTTTTTTTAAATTTCCTTCAGTGTAGTTGCATTATTCATGTTAAATGCAGTTAGATTCATTTCTTTATTTTTTTATTCTAAGTTTTCCTTTTTTTAATCCTTGTTTATTTTAATATCTGTTTTGTGCCCAGATTTCTTTTTAATGATCCTTATACTCATCAAGCAATTTTAATTTCAAATGCAATTTTTATTAAGTTGCTATCCTATAGAGTCAAAGACTTTATTTTTTTAATGAGTGTGTATGTGTGTTTGTGTTGTTGTTATCGTGGTTGTTGTTGTGAGACAGGGTCTTTCTCTGTTGCCCAGGCTGGAGTGCAGTGGCACAATCTTGGTTCAGAGCAACCTCTATCTCCCAGGCTCAAGTGATCCTCTCACCTCAGCCTCTTGAGTAGCTAGGACTACAGACCCACACCACCACACTCAGCTATTTTTTTTTTTTTAAGAAATGGAGTATTGCCATATTGCCGAGGCTGGTCTCAAACTCCTGGGCTCAAACTATCTGCCCGGCTCTGCCTCCCAAATTTCTGGGATTACAGGCATGAACCATCATACCCTGCCTAGCTTAAGACTTTTACAGCGAATATTAAGTTTACTATAGTGAGCTAAAGGTGCCAAGTTTCAAAAAACAGCAAACACCTTGAGAGCAAGTTCAAGATCAATTTATATTGAGGTGTGTCCTACCTATTTACTTGTTACAATGATTAAGCTTTTTCTCATTTTGAGGAGAATTGTATGTATAAGGAATTTCAGCTCTTAATTTATATTTGCTCTAAGTTCCATACTTTTAAGAATTAGAAGTGTAACAAGGCTATTTTTATATCTAGAAAATTCAGAGGAATGCCTTGCTTTTACTATAATTTCAAGTTTTAGGAGAAAGATTTTTTAGATATTCAGTTGAAAAACTTACCCCTGCCTTCTTAAACACTCAATCACTGCTTACACTAACACAACTGTGTTCCCCTAAGCATAGGAATATTGTCTTGACCAAACTGATTAAACCTTATGTTCACTAATATATTTTCTCTTAAGATCCAGAATCCTGGCCTCAGAATTATATGTGATTTCTTTCCCTTCAATGCTATCATTTTGAAAGAAAAATAATCTGTCCCATCTTTCCACTGAGAAACTAATAAGCCTTGACCTAAATTGAAGCTCCTAGAATTGAAATTAGATATAGGAGAACATTTAATAGAATCTTAGAGAAACCTTCAGTATCTTCCAGTCAAATTGTTTTCATTTTAGACATAAGGAAAACAAGGCTTGGGGAATTTAAATGGCTTACTCAATACTACGTACATAAGGATAAATCTATTGTTTAAGTACTGTTATATCAACTCCCTATCTAGCACTCTGGCCATTGGTCTATGCATTAATTGAGACAATTTTAAACATTTAAAGGAAGCACTGGAATAGTTTACAGAGTCCACATTTCTCAAAGACACCACAGTGAAACAGACACTCACTGAAACATTTTTTATCTCAATTCACTTTAAAGACAGAAGAATTAGACAGAACACTTCCAGAAGCCGAATATATATTTTATTCCCTTTTCAATTTTCCTTGGGATAGAGCAAAATATGCAGTACAAACTAAGCTCCAAATATCTGATTTTGAGAAAAATGACAGTCATAGACTACTAAGTTGAGTTATATTTATTTAAATATAATTAATGGAAAAACACCTATTTCTACAAAATTGCAATAGAGATTGGGGAATGATTTACTAGATCCTTAACTGATGATTGAAAATTGCCCAATCTTCCCATGCCTCAACTTCACCAACTGTAAAATGAATTAATAATTTTGTCCATCTGATAAAAGAATTCTGAGAATTAAATTAAAATATTTAATATACACAAAGTACTAAGTATTCTCCCTGGCCTACTGGGCTTGACATTTGCTTGCACTAGTAATACCTAATTGCTTTCATTACTATGGATAGTGTATTGGTCCAGGCTATAGACCTGCATTCAAGCCGCTACTCAATTAGTGCAAACTATGCCAACTTAAGTATAGTATTTTACCTCTCTGGGCTTATTCCCCATCTTTGAAACAGTATAATGGATCCTATTCCACAGGGTTGCTTTAAAGATAATGTGTTTATCTTTGGCTCTGTTTATATGATGGATTACATTTATTGATTTGTGTATGTTGAACCAGCCTTGCATCCCATGGATGAAGCCAACTTGATTGTGGTGCATAAGCTTTTTGATGTGCTGTTGGATTCGGTTTGCCAGTATTTTATTGAGAATTTTTGCATCGATGTTCATCAGGAATATTGGTCTAAAATTCTCTTTTTTGTGTGTGTCACTGCCAGGCTTTGGTATCAGGATGATGTTGGTCTCATAAAATAAGTTAGGGAGGATACTCTCTTTTTCTATTGATTGGAATAGTTTCAGAAGGAATGGTACCAGCTCCTTTTTGTACCTCTGGTAGAATTCAGCTGTGAATCCGTCTGGTCCTGGACTTTTTTTGGTTGGTAGGCTATTAATTATTGCCTCAACTTCAGAGCCTGTTATTGGTCTATTCAGGGATTCAGGGATTCAACTTCTTCCTGGTTGTCTTGGGAGGGTGTATGTGGCTAGGAGTTTATCCACTTCTTCTAGATTTTCCAGGTTATTTGCATAGAGCTGTTTATAGTATTCTCTGATGGTAGTTTATATTTCTGTGGGATCTTTTTTATTGCATCTATTTGATTCTTCTCTCTTTTCTTCTTTATTAGTCTTGCTAGCAGTCTATCAATTTTGTTGATCTTTCAAAAAACCAGCTCCTGGATTCATTGATTTTTTGAAGGGTTTTTTGTGTCTCTATCTCCTTCAGTTCTGCTCTGATCTTAGTTATTTCTTGCCTTCTGCTAGCTTTTGAATGTGTCTGCTCTTGCTTCTCTAGTTCTTTTAATTGTGATGTTAGGGTGTCAATTTTAGATCTTTCCTGCTTTCCCTTGTGGGCATTTAGTGCTATAAATTTCCTTCTACACACTGCTTTAAATGTGTCCCAGAGATTCTGCTGTGTTGTGTCTTTGTTCTCGTTGGTTTCGAAGAACATCTTTATTTCTGCCTTCATTTCATTATATACCCAGTAGTCATTCAGGAGCAGGTTGTTCAGTTTCCATGTAGGTGAGCAGTTTTGAGTGAGTTTCCAATCCTGAGTTCTAGTTTGATTGCACTGTGGTCTGAGAGACAGCTTGTTATAATTTCTGTTCTTTTACATTTGCTGAGGAGTGCTTTACTTCCAACTATGTGGTCAATTTTGGAATAAGTGCAATGTAGTGCTGAGAAGAGTGTATATTCTGTTGATTTGGGGTGGAGAGTTCTGTAGATGTCTATTAGGTCTGCTTGGTGCAGAGCTGAGTTCAATTCCTAGATATCCTTGTTAACTTTCTGTCTCGTTGATCTGTCTAATATTGACAGTGGGGTGTTAAAGTCTCCCATTATTATTGTGTGGGAGTCTAAGTCTCTTTGTAGGTCTCTAAGGACTTGCTTTATGAATCTGGGTGCTTCCGTATTGGGTACATATATATTTAGGATAGTTAGCTCTTCTTGTTGAATTGATGCCTTTACCATTACATAATGGCCTTCTTTGTCTCTTTTGATCTTCGTTGGTTTAAAGTCTCTTTTATCAGAGACCAGGATTGCAACCCCTGCTTTTTTTTTTTTTTTCCATTTGCTTGGTACATCTTCCTCCATCCCTTTATTTTGAGACCTTGTGTGTCTCTGCACGTGAGATGGGTCTCCTGAATACAGCACACTGATGTGTCTTGACTCTTTATCCAATTTGCAAGTCTTGTCTTTTAATTGGAGCATCTAGCCCATTTACATTTAAGGTTAGTAATGTTATGTGTGAATTTGATCCTGTCATTATGATGTTAGCTGGTTATTTTGCTCATTCGTTGATGCAGTTTCTTCCTAGCATCAACGGTCTTTACCATTTGGCATGTTTTTGCAGTGGCTGGTACCAGTTGTTCCTTTCCATGTTTAGTGCTTCCTTCAGGAGCATGATTATCTCAATAGATGCAGAAAAGGCCTTCGACAAAATTCAACAGCGCTTCATGCTAAAAACTCTCAATGAACTAGGTATTGATGGGACATATCTCAAAATAATAAGAGCTATTTATGAAAAACCCACAGCCAATATCACACTGAATGGGCAAAAACTGGAAGCATTCCCTTTGAAAACTGGCACAAGACAGGGATGCTCTCTCTCACCACTTAAATTCAACATAGTGTTGGAAGTTCTGGCCAGGGCTATCAGGCAGAAGAAAGAAATAAAGGGAATTCAGTTAAGAAAAGAGGAAGTCAAATTGTCCCTGTTTGCAGATGACATGATTGTGTATTTAGAAAACTGCAACATCTCAGCCCCAAGTCTCCTTAAGCTGATAAGCAACTTCAGCAAAGTCTCAGGATACAAAATCAGTGTGCAAAAATCACAAGCATTCCTACACACCAATAATGGACAAATTGAGAGCCAAATCATTAGTGAACTCCCATTTACAATTGCTTCAAAGAGAATAAAATACCTAAGAATACAACTTACAAGTAATGTGAAGGACCTCTTCAAGGAAAACTACAACTCACTCAATGCAACTACACTGCTCAATGAAATAAAAGAGGACACAGACAAATGGAAGAACACTCCATGCTCTTGGATAGGAAGAATCAATATCGTGAAAATGGTCATACTGCCCAAGGTAATTTATAGATTCAATGCCATCCCCAACAAGCTACCAATGACGTTCTTCACAGAATTGGAAAAAACTACTTTAAAGTTCATATGGCACCAAAAAAAGAGCCTGCATTGCCAAGACAATCATAAGCCAAAAGAACAAACCTGGAGGCATCATGCTACCTGACTTCACACTATTCTACAAGGCTGCAGTAACCAAAACAGCATGGTACTGGTACCAAAACAGAGATATAGACCAATGGAACAGAACAGAGCCCTCAGAAGTAACACCATACATTTACAACCATATAATTTTTGACAAACCTGACAAAAACAAGAAATGGGGAAAGGATTCCCTATTTAATAAATGGTGCTGGGAAAACTGGCTAGCCATATGTAGAAAGCTGAAACTGGATCCCTTCCTTACACCTTATATAAAATTAATTCAAGATGGATTAAAGACTTAAATGTTATACCTAAAACCTTAAAAACCCAAGAAAAAAACCTAGGCTATACCATTCAGGACATAGGCATGTTCAAAACTTCATGACTAAAACACCAAAAGCAATGGCAACAAAAGCCAAAATTGACAAATGGGATCTAATTAAACTAAAGAGCTTCTGCACAGCAAAAGAAACTACCATCAGAGTAATCAGGCAACCTACAGAATGGGAGAACATTTTTACAATCTACCCATCTGACAAAGGGCTAATATCCAGAATCTACAATGAACTCAAACAAATTTACAAGAAAAAAGCAAACAACCTCATCAACAAGTGGGCAAAGGATATGAACAGACACTTCTCAAAAGAAGACATTTATGCAGCCAACAGACACATGAAAAAATGCTCATAATCACTGGCCATCAGAGAAATGAAAATCAAAACCACAATGAGATACCGTCTCACACCAGCAAGAATGGCATTCATTAACAAGTCAGGAAACAACAGGTGCTGGAGAGGATGTGGAGAATTGGGAACACTTTTACATTGTTGGTGGGACTGTAAACTAGTTCAACCATTGTGGAAGACAGTGTGGCAATTCCTCAAGGATCTAGAACTAGAAATACCATTTGACCCAGCCATCCCATTACTGGGTGTATACCCAAAGGATTATAAACCATGCTGCTATAGACACATGCACATGTATGTTTATTGCGGCACTATTCACAATAGCAAGGACTTGGAACCAACCCATATGTCCATCAGTGATAGACTGGATTAAAAAAAATGTGGCACATATACACCATGGAATACTATGCAGCCATAAAAAAGGATGAGTTCACGTCCTTTGTAGGGACATGAATGAAGCTGGAAACCATCATTCTCAGCAAACTATCTCAAGGATGGAAAACCAAACACGGCATGTTCTCACTCATAGGTGGGAATTTAACAATGAGAACTCTTGGACAGAGGAAGGGAACATCACACACCGGGGCCTGTCGTGCGGTTGAGGGAAGGGGGAGGGATAACATTAGGAGATGTATCTAATGTAAATGACATGTTAATGGGTGCAGCACACCAACATGGCACAGGTATACATATGTAACAAGCCTGCACGTTGTGCACATGTACCCTAGAACTTAAAGTATAATAACAAAAAATAAAAAAAAGATAATGTATTTAAACCCAAAAAACTATAGGTAGTTTTCAGCCTGGTGCCTATGATATTCTCAGAGTTTATTAAATTGTGTCTTTCTCCTATATACTCACATCACCCATGTACAGATATTTATATAGAGAGTACAGTATCTTAATATTTAGTTCTAATTATTCAGTTGTGAGTAGGGCAAGGCCCCCTGAGATCTTCTAAAGAAGGTAATTGACACTTTCATAAAATGTCAAACCAAGAAACAGATGAGGTTAATAGTATATTCATCTTTCTAAAAGAAGAAAAAAATTATAATTTTGGAAATTAAAGTGTTATCAACTTAGCTTTGCTTTGAGAAACAAACGTAAACTTCATAATTTATGATGAGTATAAAAAGGACTCTGAGAAAATACTAGGGGACTGTCAGGTTAAATGAAACACTGAAGACCTTGGGAGATTCAAAATATCTATGAAGGAATTCCATTTATTATTTTGATGTTTTGGGAAATTTGTGTTGCTTGATCCACTATAAGAGTTTAAGAAATATTAGGAAGCAAAGAGGCAGTGTATTAGTCCATCTTCATGCTGCGGATAGAGACATACCTGAGACTGGGTAATTTATACAGGAAAAGCTGTTTAATGGATTTACAGTTCCAAGCAGCTGGGGAGGCCTCAGAATCATGGCAGAAGGCAAGGAGGATCAAGTCATGTTTTACATGGATGGCCGCAGGCAAAGAGAGGGCTCGTACAGGGAAACCAGTGTTTTTAAAACTGTCAGATCTCATGAGACTTATTCACTATCACAAGAAGAGCACAGGAAAGACCTGCCCCCATGATTCAGTTATCTCACACCAGGCCCCTCCCACAACATGTAGGAACTATGGGAGCTACCAGATGAGATTTGGGTGGGGACACAGAACCAAACCATATCAGGGAGGATGTCAGTAAAGAGAGACTAGGAGGCAGGAGGGAGAAATGGAGGTAGGTCTCTATGACATGCTTAGCAAGCTTTTTAACCATAAAGAATCATGATTGTTTAAATCATCATAGAAGCCAGAGGAATGAAACAAGGGTAGAAGACCAATTTATTAAATATTACCTATCAGCTACTATGCTAAGTATGAACTAACTCAATGTAACCCATTTAGGCTTTGTGCTACTAGGCTCAATAGAACATCACTGCTGCAACCAAGGACACTTATGAAAAAAAGTCAAATAAATATTTTAATGATAAATTAGTTACGTTGCAAAACTTTTCAGAAATATATATTCTTCAACTTTTATTCTCAATGTAGATTTCAAACACAGCTGCTAATAAAAACATTCACCCTAAATCCAAGATCTCTTAAGCTTGCTCACAAACAGTCCTCATAGGCTGCTTCTTTTGTTTCTCCTTCTAGCGCAATCTTATTATACAGGCCAACTTGGTTTTCCTGTGGGATTATTCGACTAAAGCCTAGACTCCTCCATCAGTTCAACAAAAGGGATCATTTCACACTTGCCTTCAAAAGCAAAAAAATAAAAACTCTGGCCAGGCGTGGTGGCTCGTGCCTGTAATCCTAGCACTTTCGGAGGCCGAGGTGGGTGGATTGTCTGAGCTCAGGAGTTCGAGACCATCCTGGGCAACACGGTGAAACCCTGTCTCTACTAAAATACAAAAAATTAGCCAGGCATGCCGGTGTGTGCCTGTAATCCCAGCTACTTGGGAGGCTGAGATAGGAGAATGGCTCGAACCCAGGAGGCAGATGTTGCAGTGAGATGAGATCAAACTACCACATTCCAGCCTGGGCAACAGAGCAAGACTCCATCTCATAAAAAGTAAAACATAAAAACTCTGTCTAATGTATGTATTTGTTTTTTTGTTACTTTCTTAAGTAAAGTGTATATCTCAATAAAAAAGTCATTTGTTTTGTTCCCAGCTATATCTCCAAATTTAGCACAATACCTAGTGTGAGTGAAAAGAGATTTGTGAAATGAAAACCTCTAAGTTATCTTCCTTTGTTTAATTTTGGTTTCTACACTTAGAAGAAAATGAGGATAGAAGGACACATGTAAAAATAAAAATCTTTTTTTTTTTGATAGGCTTTATGATTGAAAAAGGTAAGGAAGGTCCCCAAGAAAAGTACAAACATCTAATTTATCAAAGCAATACTAAAATATTCATTAAGTAAAATACTTTTTTTTTTTGAGACAGAGTCACTCTGCCACCAGGTTGTAATGCAATGGCGTAATCTCAGCTCACTGCAACCTCCAACTCCCTGGTTCAAGCGATTCTCCTGCCTCAGCCTCCCAAGTAGCTGGGATTACAGGCATGCGCCACCATGCTCATCTAATTTTTGTATTTTTAGTAGAGACAAGGTTTCACCATATTGGCCAGGATGGTCTTGACCTCCTGGACTTGTGATCCGCCCACCTTGGCCTCACAAAGTGCTGGGATTATAGGTGTGAGCCACCACACCTGGCCAAGTAAAATATTTATTTACTATTTAGTAAACTAGTGTTTACTCCACTCATTCATGCTTAGCATTGTGGCTAATAGGAAATGTTTAATACATTTCTCCTTATTCCCTTGTTTCATTCCTCTGGCTTCTACTATGTCTTAAACTAGTGTTTACTAGTGATTAGCATTGCCTATATTTCAGAATGCTTTGGAAGGTTATAACAGCTCATAATAGGCTAGAATTTATATGTGACACTTTCTTATAAACATGAAGCAATTATAAATGTGAGAGCAATTTGCATTAATATACTTGATATCAAAGGACAGTGTGTGCCAATATCAAATGAGTTGTATATTTAGCAAAGGCTAAGGATGCTCACAGGTAGAAATTATTATAGGCTAGTGTAGTCAGGAATACTAAATGGGACAGGTGATTAATTTACTGTTTCATGCTAAACTGTACCCTGATGGTGTTAGTGAAAATAATTTAATATTTTGTGATGTGCTATTAGAAGCACTGTCTCCTATTACTACTGCCCTCTATCTACTATACAAATTTATACTTGTTATTTAGTAATATGACTGATAGGAATAATAAAATATTATATGCTAGTTCCATTCATTTATTCAGCATTTAACAATTATGTGTTGGTGTGTAACAAAACACAATATAAAAGTCATTGTTCAAGTGCTCATTTCAAAGCAGTGAAGAGAACAAAAATATCCCCTATTTTCATGCAGCTCACATTCCCAGTGGGTGAGATATTTAATTTAAAAGTTAAGAATCATATAATATTATTATTTCTTATGCAGTGTTCCATTAAAAAAATAAACTGGTGAACAAGAAATACAGTACCCCGGAGGGAGTACTTTAGTAATACTAGTGTGTCATGGAACTCTTCTAAGGAACTACATTTTGTTCACATCTGAAAAATGAGAATGAATGAGACTCATGAACTGCTGTGGGAAAATAAATCCAGGTAAAAGAATGACAACTGCAACATTCTATCTGTAGAGAAAAAGCTGAGTTCTTCACTGAAAGGAAAAGGAAGCTGTTGTGGCCAGGCAATACTGGTTTAGTTGTGGAATGTTATGAGATGAGTCTAGGAATGTAGAAAGAAAGTGGGTCACATTGTGGATATGCAATCCATGAAAAACATAATAGATTTTATTCAAAGAGCAATGCAAAACAGTTGTAGAATTTTGTGCACAAATAAAACAGAGAAGTAACAGTATGATTTGTGCTACTGAAGATCATCTGGGCTGCCGAAGAATGGGTTCCATGAAGGATGGATTGGAATCAGGGAGGAGACAAGTGATTCTAGGAGACTCGAAGTGAGATGAGAGTGAGAAGGACTAAGATGAGGCATTGGAGACAGTAGTGATGGCTTAGAACCCTCAGGGTCCTGCTGAAGTCAACCTCATTCAGTAAGTATAGTTGCTATACAATGGGATGGAGCAGAATGGATATTGAGGGAATAACCACAATATCCACTACAGCATACATTTAAAAAAATTAGATAAAGGAGAAGTGTTTAAGTTACTACAAAAAAATATGATTAGTTGGATGGTAGAGGGATTTTGCATTAATATTAGTAAACTGTACTTTATAGCTGAATTTGATCATTCAACCACAAGATGGCCTGCTTTATAATGTAGAAACACTTGTCAGTATTTTACCAAATACTGGTGTTCAATGGAGCACAGTTATAGAGAATAGATTATATTTCTGAGGTGCAGTAAACAAATGGTTTAAATTTCCTTTCCAAATCCAGGATTCTGTAAAAACAATGTGGCATGATTTTTCTATCACTTAACATAGTCACATTGGATGTCTGAGAGGTCAGGCAGATAAGAGATTTTTAAACATTTAATGAACAGTTATCTAAACATTTTGTGACATAGCAGGTATTATAGAATTTGTCAATAATGTATCAAATATGGGGTATATTTGTCACTTGGTTTTCTCTCTTAAATCTGCCATACATCTGGTATTGGTAAAATTTCGGCTCTTGCATCTTAAGGAGTTATTTTATTGCCACGTATTCTGCATGGGAAGTACATTTCTAAGCTTCCTTTTGTTAATGTGTCTTATCTGAATATATAAAATCTTTTTGTCAATTAGTCAAGGTGGATGATCTAGGTTATAGGACACTGAATCCATACCCTTTCTTATTCTCTGCTCTACTTGAAGACCTTGAACTGTATATTTCCTTTCTCTGTCTCTCAAGTTCATGTCAGTGATTACAAGACAGTGTAGAACAATTAAAAGAAATCCAGTACAACAAAACCAAATCATGGCTTGTTTCAAAACAAGTGAGCTATTAATAACATCTTAAAATAAAATAACACTTACTTGTATTAACTAGCAAAAAAGCATTTTCCTCACTTCCATGCCATTCTACCAATGTCCTGAAGTAATTGAACCAGAGATTTGGAGGTAAGCCACATCAAAAATTACAGTTAACATGTAAACAATTATATATAGTTTTAATTCAGTTTTTTCAATATTCAGATATTACATCTGCAAGATGATAAGGAACTATCATACAATTTCACCAATGAAGATACAACAGATCAGAAAAGTAATTAACTTTGCATACACCGAAGAGGCGTTTCAGCTCCCCAGGATAGAAATTATGATCCCATAAGAAGGCTGATGCAGGGTTTGTATAGCCTGAATCTTATACAATTTGGGATATGTGTGTGGGAAAGCCCTGTATAGGAAAAATAATACAAGTTACTAGTATCAATATTTTCTTTCATTTTTTTCACCTACCTTCTTTATTGATATTTAGAAGTTTATATTCGAAGACAGGAGAAAAACTTTGCCTCTTTAACATCTCAAACATTTGGTAAGAGGTAGTGTATTTGTGCATTCTCACTCTGCTATAAAGAAATACTCAACACTGGGTAATTTATAAAGGAAAGACATTCAATGGACTCACAGTTCTGCATTGCTGGGGTGGCTTCAGGAAACTTAAAATCATTGGTGGAAGGCAAAGGAGAAGCAGGCACCTTTCTCACAGGGCAGCAGGATGGAGGGAGTGCCATCACGGGAAATGCCAGAAGTTTATAAATCCATCAGATCTAGTAAGATTCACTATGATGAGAACAGCATGGGGAAAATCGCTCCCATGATCCAATTATTAATACCTCCACCTGGTCCTGTCCTTGACACGTGGGGATTATGAAGATTATGGGGATTACAATTCAAGATGAGGTTTTAGGTGGGGACACAGCCAGACCATATCAGGTAGGCATCCTGGGGCTGTCCACATGAATGGACATGGTACACAGTTTAAATTATTAATATTTATATACACGTAATTTATATACATTATTACAACTTAGCCTCACAAGCAGGAAGAAATTGCTATTTTCCCCATTTTACAGATCAGGAGCTCAGAAAAGTCAGGGAATTTGAGAAAATTCACAAAATTACTATGAGGTGGGTTCAAGTCCGCACTGCCTGACTACAAATCTCTTGCTCCTGCACTCTACTGTTACATCTTGACACGAGTTACTAAAATGAAAGGGAGGCATATTCTACATGGAAGAAAATGGAATGAAACACTCAATTTCCAAATCTCAAATATTCTTTAGGACTTACAGCCTACACTTTTAGTCAGCAAGGAGCTTACACTTCCATTCCCTTCATGACATTACTGGGCCAAGCATGTCCTCTTGTAATCAAGACCTGATAATTCCCAAATTATTTTGGCTCCAGGTGTCCTTTTTTCATATTCTGTCATTTGATTTTTTCTGCAGTTACTTTTTATCTTGGAAAGCACAAGCATATTCTCTGTACTCTCAAATGACCCACATTCACATTCCTGTGGAATTTAGAGTTTTCCCACATATATATAATATATGTATATAATATATATCTTATTATTCAGATATTACATCTGCAAGATGATAAGGAACTATCATACAATTTCACCAATGAGGATACAACACATCAGAAAAGGTAATTATATGTATGAGAAAACTCTTAAGATATAGATAATATATAATATATTATCTATATCTTAAGAGTTTTCTTTTACATAATAGTAAAATTGTGAAAATCATATAAATTAAAATGAAGAGTATTATTATTTAATTCATAGTCCATATTTAATTATCATCACATTTCTAATATTGTGATTTATACTTTTATTTATGCTTTTATTCTGGTTGTCGATACAAGGCAAGATCATGCATTGCTTGTTTCTTCAGTGCATTTTAATCTAGCAAACTTCAGTCTTTCCTTTTTCTGGTATTTATAATGAATGAAAATTACTAATTTTGTAAAATTGAACACAGATTGTCTTTGATGTTCCCTCATAATAAGATTCATGATATGCACTTTTTGCAGAGAGACCACATTAGTGATGTGTCGTTGGTGCATAATAACACTTTTGCTGATTGATCAATTAATGGTGATGTTGTGTATTAGATCCTTTGGTTCATGTCTTTTCTGATAGGTTACTTTAGTGTATAGTTATCATTTTTCCCTTAGTAGCTAGTATCTTATGGATATACTATGCATATAGATGTATAGATAAGTATCTTCATCTATCATGTCTCTATTTTTCATAATTTAACTTTTCACTAAAAATTATATTTTGAAAGCTTCACAGTAATTCACAAAGATCATTCTTATTTTTTACAGGTGCACATTTCTCTAATATATTCAACTATTTTTTAGATGGGCAAATGAATTTTTGTTTCAATAATTTACTATCACAAATAATTCTGCAGATAATAACATTGTATATTTTCTGGAGGTGTGTATTCAGGATAAAGTCTTTGAAGTAGAATTGCTAGTAGACCAAAGGTAAATACACGTGTACATTTCAAATATTGGCAAATTTGCCTCTATAAAAATTCAGCTACTTTGCAGCCTCACAAAGACAATATTAGAGTACCTGATTCCCCAAAGCATTACTAACAAAATCAAGATTTTTAATTTTTGCCAATTTGTTGTAAGGTGTTATTATTCTCTTGTTGTTGAACAATTTGTTTTATCTTTGTTTCTCAGTGTATACTGTTCTTTCTTTATATATACTGTTGGTGTATGATGAGCTTCATGAATAAATTTATGTATTTCACTAAAATTTGGCTAATGTTCTATGATGTTTCTTTAATTATTTTTATTAATTTTAATCCTATTGTGTCTCTTCTCTTCTGGATTGTCAGTTGCATACATATTAAACTCTTGAAATTTTTCCACAGATTCTGCATTTCATTTTCTTTCTTCTTCTCTTTCTGGCTCAAATTGAGTAACTTCTATTGCTCTGCCTTCAAGATCATTGGTTTTTTCCTCTCCCATATTTTCTATGTTGTAACTCTTTTCAGATATTTAAATTTCATTATAGATATTTTTACTTGTAAAATCTTTTTATTCTTTTTAAATAATTTTTATTTTTCTATTTGCAGTTTCCTATTTTTTAATACATGGAGAACACATTTTCTTTTATAGTATTGCATGATTATTGTGGCTGCTTTAAAATACTTGCTGCTAACTTCAATATCTGGTTCACCTTAGTTAAGTATATTCTTAATATGTTGAATAATTTTGATCGTATCCTGTACACTGTGGATTCTATTATAAATCTACCAAAGTTTTATTTTTCTCTAATTTGTTTTGGTAGGCAATTAAGTTGCTTAAACTCAAATCTAACCTCTCATTTGGATGTCTGTTCAGACTTCAGTTCATCTCTTTCATTCTTAGCTGGGCTGTTTTTGGTCTGTCTCAGGCACGCATAATTTGCAAAAATTATAAAATGTGTAAAATCTGTTGAAACCTCAGAATAACAGTGAGAATGAAAAGTTCCCTTTTGGAACTTTCCTTTCACTTTCAAGCCATTGTGGATACTCCGCGTTTTGATTTTGAAGTCTTAAGGCTTAAATACCATGGTTTTTCCATTGGGAATTCAGAAGTCCAAAAAGTTGTGTCTATGGTTTGCCCTTAGAATAAAAGCCAGAAAAAGTGAGGGAACAACCTTTGCTTCGTTCCTCTTCTAAGTTAATTCTTTTTTGAATATGCCTGATTGTTCTCACTCTTTATGTTCTCAGATAATTCATTTTGCATTATTTCCTTGAAAGTGTGGATTTTCATTATTTTATTTGTTCTTCACGTTGATTTATAGTGATTTTATGGAGATGTTAGGATGTGGACAATTACTCGGGCTCTCGGAAGTCCTCTAATGGGTGCTTGTTTTCCCATCAATAATATGAAATTGCAGTCAAATACGCCTGTTATGTTTACTACTTGGCTACCAGAATCATGCATATGTTACGTATTATCTATGTTGCATAAATATTCAGGAAAAAACTCACTTCCTTAGTAAGTATCTTTAATATAATGTAAGTAATGTGTCTTCTGTTGTCTAATGTAACTGGGTTAGAAACCTAACTTTGCGACTCACTGGGTATACTTTCCTAGGCATGTGAACTTTCTGAACCTTATTCCTAATAATTATAAAATAGAAAAAATCATACTTTCCTTAGAAAGAAGGTAATGCATGTAAAACAGTATTGAACATATAAACTTTTCTCTCCTCAATTTTATATAAAATTGAAGTTCCATGAGGTGAGGTTAATGGCCCAAGGCCACGTGTTAGACCAAAATCAGGGTTAGGAGCCTAGTCTCATTTCTTATTTGGTCATTTTCAGGATCTCATGCTTTTCTTAGATTTTTATACTTTTTTTTTTTACTTCTAGAAAGAGCCAGCACTTTTTTTTAGCAGTCCTTTTCATATTGCTGTTATTTGCAAGTTGAAAGATTATGAATCTTAATGATGACATTAGTAATGTCAGGTCAAATCCTGTATCAGTGTTGACAAATCAGTAATGAAAATACATACAAATTCTCTAAATATTGTTGGTGCATAATGTTGACAGTCTTGGATATTTTTCTAAGTCCTTAACAATATTTGCCAACTATTTTTTTTATTGTCCTGTCCCTATCTGGATATTTATTTTAATTTTGATGTGATTATTCAACTAAAATATAACCTGTACTATACTCTATTTGTAAGTGAGTCCCAATACATTTTTCAATCCTGTGAGCAACAGACTTATTCCATAACGAGGGGAGTACCCTAGGACTTTGTCCTCATTTAAACATTTTCCTTTCTCCTCTGCCGGGCAATGCATGTAATAGTGACATTACAATGAAATCAAATTTGACCTTCTTAAAGCCAGAATACAAAAATATGTTCTTTCTTTCGCAGAGTAGTATCTATTGAGAACAGAGACATGAATGGTTGAGGCATATCTCTTTTCATGCTTTCTCAACAGTAGACAAGTAAAGCTTTCAAAAGATTCAAATGAATCCCCAGGGGCAGCCGTCTTCTAGTTAAAGTTGTGTTTTCTTTACTTCTCTAAAAATTTTCTCATTTGACCCCACTATCTAAAGACAATTTACATTGAGGTCAGGCTGATGCTGTAAGACAAGGCACAGAGCTGTCCGGGCTTCTCATTTCAGGCTGCCTCTTCGATTTAAACTCCAAGTGCTAGAGTCAGAGCCTCAGGTATAGCTCATTGTTTTGTTTTGTTTTCTTCTTCTGTCATCTAACTGTATTCTTTAAAAGGTACAAAGACCTTATTATGTTTCTTATATTAAGAAATAAAATCTCAAATATAGGCATTAGCTCTCTTTTACAAAAGAAATCCTTCAAGTTTAAAATATCAATTTAAAGATAATTGTTTTCTATGTTATGAAATTTAGATTTTCAGCAAAAGAATATCTTACTCCCAGCGTCAGGCATTTTTCATTGTAATAAAGGAATACCAGAGCATGGGTAATTTATTTTGGCTCACAGATTTGTAGGCTATACAGGAAGTGTGGTCCTGTCAGCTGCTTCTGGTGAGGGCCTTAGGTAGCTTAAAATCATGATTGAAAGCAAGGGGGAGCCATCATGTCACATGGCAAGAGATGGTGCAGAGAGATGCCAGACTCTTAAATAACAGTCCTCAAAATTACTTACAGAGTGAGAACTCACATGTTACCATGAAGACAGCACCAAGCCAGTGATGATGGATCCACCCCCATGATCCAAAACCTCCTTCTAGGTTCCGCTTCCAACATTGGTGGTCACATTTCAACATGAGATTTGGAGGGAACAAATATCAAAACCATATCACCCCCAAACATAACTTGGCTGCTTTTAAGTGGTGTTATGACATGATTTTGAATATCCCAAAGACAAAGTGAATTAAGCTGAATGATGATATTGATAGAAATGACATATGATTGTCACAATTATTTAAACAGGCATGAGCGGGACAGGGGAGGGCTCTCCCTTGACCCACTGGGAATGTCAGGTGACTGTTTGGCAATTATCATATTATCTATAAAAGTGATAAATTGGCAGCCTGAGCCAGGGAGGGGCCAATTCCTGATGGTGCACACCTGTGGTACTAAAGTGTTAATTGCATGCAGACACCAAGGAAAAGCAAATTCCTGGGCCTACACATGAAGAGACAAAATGGCAGAGTATGACCTTCTGGAGGCACACCACAGCAAAGGAAGAAAGCCTCAGATGGGCATGCCTACACTTCCTAAACACAGTGTGCGTGCTCACCTCCCAAGAGTAAGGAGGACACTGCACATGTGGGCGGCCCACCCTAAGGGAAAAATCATGGGAAAGAGGCCAGCCTATAAAGTCCCAGGATCATGGTTAAAAATTGCAATTGTCCTTCAAGTCATGTGCTAGGGTCTCTTTCAACTGTACTGTACTTTCTCTCCTGTTCTAAAGCCTTTTTAAATAAATTTCCACTCCTACTCTGAAACTTGGGCTTCTTTTTTTGCCGTATGCCCCTCAATTGAATTTCTTCTTCTGAGGAGGCAATAATTGAGGTTGCTGCAGACCCCAGATTTGCTGCTGGTAAGTTGGATACCTTCCACCGATAACATGATGAGTTATCCAATATTAAAGAATTTTCAACATCGAAAATAGTAGCGTTTGTATATACTAACAATAAACCATTTGAAAAAGAAATTAAGAAGTGACTCCCATTATCAGTAATTACAAAGAAATAATACTGAGGAGTAAATTTAATCAAGGAGATTAAAGATCTCTACACTGAAAATTGTAACACACTGATTAAAGAAATCAAAGAAGACACAAATAAATGGAAAGATACCCATGTTCATGGATTGGAAGAATTAATATTGTTATAAATGTCACTACTACCCAAAACAATCTATAAATTCAATGCAATCTCAATCATAATTACAATTATATTTTTCACAGAAAGAGAAAAACAATTCTAAAATTTGTCAATCAAAATTTATTAAACAATTAAATGTATTACTTGAAACTGAAAAGCTACCGGAAGAATGCATAGGGAAAAAATTCATGATGTTGGTCTTGGAAAGGATTTTTTGGATATGACCCTCAAAGAACAGACAACAACAACAAAATAGACAAATGGGATTGTATCAAACTAAAATGCTTCTGCACAGCAAAGAAAACAATAAACATGGTGAAAAAACAATGTAAGAAAAAGGAGAAAATATTTGCATACCATATTTTTGATAAATGGCTAATATTCAAAATATATAAAGAACTCAACTCAATAGGAAGAAAACAAATAACCTAATTAAACAATGGGCAAAAGATCTGAAGAGACATTTTTCAAAACAAGATTTGCAAATGGTCAACAGGTATATGAAAAGATATTAAACATCATTACTCATTGGAGAAATGCAAATTAAAACCACAATGAGATGCCACTTCATACCTGTTAGAAGGCAATTATTAAAAAGATGAAATACAGATTATGGTGAGGATGTGTAGAAAAGAAAACCCTTGACTATTGTTGGTGGGAATGTAAGTTAGCATAGCTATTATGAAAAACAGTATAGAGATTCCTCAAAAAATTAAAAATATAATTACCATATAATCCAGTAATTCTATTTTTCAGTGTATATGCACAGGCAATAAAAACATTATGTCAAAGAGATATGTGCACTCCTATGTTCGCTGTAGCATTATTTACAGTAGCTAAGATATGGCATCAACCTCAGTGTCCATGGATAGAAAAATGGATAAACAAAATGTAGTATACATACAAAATGGAATACCATTCAGTCTTATAAAATAATGAAATCCCATTATTTGCAACAACCTGGATGAAACTGGAAGACATTATATTAAGTGAAATAAGACAGGCACAGAAAGATAAATACTGTATGATGTCACTTATACTTGGGATTTTACAAAGCCAACTTATGAAAACAGAAAATACAGTGATGGTTACCAGAGGCTGGGGCCAGGGGCAAGGATGTCAGGAAACGGGGGCATGTTATTTAAAGGGTACAGAGTTTCAGTTAAACTCGAGGAATAAGTTCTGGGCATCTATTGTATGGCTTGGTGGCTACAGTTAGTAATACTATATTATGTACTTGCAAATTGCTAAGAGAATAGATTATAAATGTTCACACCACAAAAAAATAAGTATGTAATATGATGGAAATGTTAATGAAATTGATATAGTCATTTTGCAATGTATACATGTATCAAAATATCCTGTTATATACCAAGAATATATACAATATCATCTATCAATTAAAATAATAAAAATAAAATGAAATAAAATGATCAATAACCATTAGGATTTATTTCCTGTCCATTAAAAAAAGAGGAAAGAACAAATACCTAAAATAAGAAAAGAGGAGATGAAATAACTGAATGGGTATAAGTATAAAGACCCCATCCATCATTAAGTGACATTCTATTTACAATATTTTTTTAAATCTTCTTAAAATTATTATAGAATAAGCGATTACATCATCAGGCTAATTATAATTAAAAACGGCAATTCGTAGAGGAAAGCAAAGCACCAGAGCTACTTTGTCTCAGGGCAGTTCTCAAACTTGGAAAAGCTGAGCTTTAGATTTAATAGCCTTGAAAGATACAGATAAAAAAGTTGGGGGCCTGTTCAAAATGAGGAATCTAATAAGAAAAGCTTTCCTTGTAAACTGGAGCACCAAAACATTACACACCCTTACTTAAAGCTAAAACTGAGACAGCTGAGACATTTTCCCTTACATCAAATGCTAAAAGGGTCTCATATTAAGATCTTTCTTTGCTTTTTGTTTCCTCTTGTTCATATGAAATCTCATTCTAGGCATGGATTTGTTTTGTTTGTTGTTATTTTTATTTAACATGCTTGTATTCTTAAATCTGTACATTGATATCTTTCATCACTTGAAAATCCTCAGTCATGATCCCTTTAAATATTACAAGGGATGGCTTGTAATTACAACTTATTAGGGACAGATAATTTGTACATTTAAATAGGTGAGCAAAAACTATAAAAATATTTTATAAAAATTCTTATCAAGCTCTTAAAATAATATATTTAATCTGATTAAGGGTATCTACTGCAAAAGTCCTCTAAATATAACATTAATTAAACATATAGTAAAAGCTCTCCATGTATGACCAGCAACATGACAATATTCTAAAATATTGCTTTACAATATTTTAGAATACAACAATCAATAGATTGAATTTACAATACATTGAATTGTTTAGAATTGCAACAGTCAATATTCTAAAATATTGTTCTGGAATTCCTTATTTGTGCAATAAAGCAATTAGAAAAACTATAAGGACCATAAATGGAGTGCTGTTATTATTTGCAAGTAATATAATTGTATATATTTCATATAAGAGATAATCAGTTCTAAGTTATTAGAATTGTTAGGAGAGTTTAGCAGACTGGCAGATTTTAAAAGCCAACATCAATAAATTAATTGTGTCTCTATAGACTGGCACTAAAAATTTGTCAAAAATTTAAAAAATATTAATAAGATTTATATATTTTACAAAGAATAAAAATCAAATAGACAAGTATAACAATTGATATGCATAATCTCTTAGGGAGCAAATGAAAAGAAAGAATAAATAAGCTTCATTCAAAGACAATAAAGAATTCCTAAATTAATGGACAATTATACTATAGTCATAGATTGTAAAACTCAATACAATCAATTATTGATATGGTTTGGCTGTGTCCCCACTCAAATCTCATCTTGAATTCTAACTACCATGATTCCCACATGTCATAGGAGGAACCCGGTGGGAGGTGATTGAATTATGGTGATGGGTCTTTCCTGTGCTGTTCTTGTGATAGTGATTGAGTCTCACAAGATCTAATGGTTTTAAAAAGGAGAGTTTCCCTCTACAAGCTCTCTTCTCTCTTGTCTGCCACCATGTGAGTTTACCTTTAACCTTCTGCCATGATTGTGAGGCCTCCCTAGCCATGTATAAGTCCAATAAACTTCTTTCTTTTGTAAATTGCCCTGTCTTGGATGTCTTTATCAGCAGTGTGAAAATGGACTAATACAATTATGTAACAAAATTTGTGCTAAAATTTTATTCTTCAATGCAATTGATATATTAGAGACTAAGGCATATTTTCTGTTTGCTTTTGTTCAATTTCAAAAGTTAAAAACAATAGGTGACTGCGAAACTGCACCCAGATGAACAGAACCACATAGGAACACAGAAAACTCATACACACATCTCAAACCTGTACTGGCTATCTCAGTTTACCATGTTTGTTATAAGACACACTAATCTACACCTGGTGTTACAACTATCTGATTTCAAATAATCCTCCTCTCATCACTTCATAATACCTCACAAGTTGCAACCATTCCAATGTCTACTTTCACAAGTAAACATCAGGTGTCTTTCAAGATAAAGTGTCATATTTATTGTAGTCTATATGTATTTTAAACACATAACATGTAAAAATTTGCCACTATTTTATTAGATATCTATATCTTTATGTATGAATAATTTTTAAGTGTTTTTTTTCCCCAAAACACCATATTCCCCCAGCCCTTTGGTTAAGTGATTTTGCACAGAACAGAGATTTATAGAAACAAATATCCTGTATTATAGATGAACTGATACATTGGAAAGATTGTAAATCACACTATATTTTATGTACATTCAATGCAATTCTAATTAAAATCTCAGCAGGGTTTTCATGTGTGTGTGTGTGTGTGTGTGTGTGTGTGTGTGTGTGTGTGTGTGTGTAAGGGTCAGGAACCTGTTGAAAAAGAACAAGTAGGAAGCCCCTGTACCTGATATCAAGAGTTATTACTAGAGTGATTAAAATAAATAATTGATTTTCCAAATGCGGACAAAAATGCCAATATATCAGAATACAGAACCAAGAACTTAAGGCACACATATATGGATGCTTGACATGTGACATACCTCTTTAAATCAATGAGAAAAGGACAAGATTTATTATTATTCTCAGCGATGCTGATAAATTAGGTATTCATTTGAGATAAAAATGAAGTTTAACCTCATATTTTATACAAAATCAGTTCCTGAGGGATTGTGGCCTGAAATTTTGAGGGCAAATTTATGAAGACTTTAAGGATATTAGTAAAATATCTTTGAATTCTCAGTTAGGGAATATATTCCTAAATAAAATGCATAAAATACTAACCACATTCTTAACAGTACATTCTACTTCACTTAGATTAAGCATTTCCACTCATCAAAAACCACTATAAAGAGAGTGAAAACGTCATATAGTAAGAGGTATGATTTGGAATACATACTGACAAACAACTAGTCTCTAGCATAAATGAAGAACTTCCTCAAACTTTTAAGAAAAATGCAGAAAACCTCTAATCAGATACTTCATCGAATGATAAATCCACATGCAAAAATATTAATAGGAACTCAACTTTTTCTACTAATCAGGAAAAAACCAGTTGAAGCCACCTTGAAATATCATTTAATAACTCAAATATTGGCAAAAATTAACAATTAGGTATGTTTGAATTATTGGTATGGATTTAAAGTCTTGAGAGCTATCGGAGATGACCAGTCAGAAATTTAATTATATACTTTTATGTATACTTTGTCTGTAAATACCTAGTACATTTGAAAATATTCATACACTATGATCAGCATTTTAATTCTCAATAGTACACACACTTGCACATGTCTACTAGGAGATGCACAAATGATACCAATGTTTTCAGTCTTAGCCGGGTTAACATGGGTTTTGTTTGACATTTTTAAAATATTTAAAATATCTTATATATTATATATCAGATATATTATATTACTTAAAATTATTTTACATAGTATCGTACATATGATACATTTTATCATTGCAAATTTTTAGGGAAAATAATAGATTCTGATGTCAATGATAATAATATAGGCCTTATTGTTAAGTGTTATGCAAATAAAGTTTAAAACCTAGATTTAAAAAAATAATTTACACAGAAAAGTAAAATTTTCAAGTAAAAGTTGAAAAACACAAATGACCAAAACTGCCTCCAGAAAAGCTGAAAATCTGTACAAATTGCTCAAAGTAATCAAATAAATTAACTTTTTCCTAAGAAAATGCCAGGCCCAGACAAGTTCACATAAGAATTTTACCAACCATTTAAAGGACAGAAAGATCTTAATGCATTTTAAAGTATTCTAAATCATACAAAATAAACATTCTCAATTATTTGTATCATCTACCTAATATTAAATTCAAAACACAATCAAGAATGTCAAAAATAAAACTGGAGTCAGATTTTATCTAGGAATATTAGCAAACAATCAAGAGCAAATTTTAACAATACAAAAACATGACATGATGTTTACATTAGGAATGGTGCAATTATTACATCTTAGCATGTCTATTCATATTATTCTCCACTTCAGTAAATCAGAGAAGAAATCAAGATGATCAGCTTCATAAATAACTTTTCCAAAGGTATTTATAAAACGAAATAGTAATTATTGTGGGGGACCAAGAAGTAAATGGATATTTCCTTTGATTAAAATTATATTGACATTAATCCAAAGTTGACTAGATGCTTAAGGAATGGGGACAAAAATATAGTTAGACAAAAAGGAATCTAGTATTTGATAGCACAAGAGGGTGACTACAGTGAACAACAATTTATGTACATTTTTAAATAACTAAGAGACTATAATTGGAATGTTTGTAACACAAATAAATGACAAATGTTTGCAGTAAAGGATACCTCATTTACTCTGATGTGATTATTACACACAGGATGCCCATATCAAAATATCTCATGTACCGCATAAATATATATACCTATTATGTACTCATAAAAACTAAAATTTAAAATTAGGAAAACAAAGTTAACTATATGCTTAAGTAAGCTTCACCAGTAATATTTATGTTATTGTTAAAAAAGACCATACATTAACAGAATTATTTTATCAATGTATGAAATTACTGACATACAACTGGACAAGAGAAAATAAAGAAAATGTAAACAAGAAAGAAAGAAATATAATTATTTGTGTATTGGCAAAGTATATGATTGTACACATAAAAATGCTGTATATAATTATATGCTTCACATAAATTAAGAGGATTCTCTGAAAAACTGTTAGTAATGACAACTCAGTAAGGCACAGAAATTAATAGATTTTATAATACAAACCATAACAAGTTATAGTTTATAAACTAACAAAAAATGTAATATGTAATATCCCGTAATGCCTATGAATAAAAATGTTCCAGATATCCATAAATATAAATGTCTTTAATGCTAATGAGAGTCACAATAGGACCATTAAAAGAGGGAAAATGTTACCATACTCTTGTAAAGGAAGACACAATTTTATAAGTACTCAAAATCTACCTGAATTAACTTATAACACTCTATGGCCCAGCAAAAATATCAATAGGGACTTTTGTGGGAGAATGATATTAGCTGCTTCTACAGGCATATGGCATCATTAATACATAATAGAAGTCAGAATAATTATGAAAGGGAACAATAATAAGGGGGAACTGTGTATAATATATATTTAAATATAATTATATAAATTATATAAATATAATTTTAAAGTTAAAATAGTTAAACTATTATAACTATTTTAAAACTATTATTTAGCTATTTTAAAATATTTAAATTTAAATATTTAAAAACTATTTTAAAATAGTTTGACTATTTTAAAATAGCTACACTATTTTAACTATTTTAAAATAGTTACACTATTTTAACATAGTTACACTATTTTAACTATTTTAAAATAGTTACACTATTTTAACATAGTTACACTATTTTAACTATTTTAAACTATTTTAACTATTTTAAAGTTAACATAGTTAGTTAAAAGGATGAGGTTGGATAGACAGATCAATACAACAGAATGGAAAGTCCAGAGATAGGCTAAAATGTATTACAGAATTATTGTATGAAAAAGATTATATAGTAGGTAATTCGGTAAAATGCATATTACTAATAGAATATTTGCATAATTAGAAAGCTGTCAAAAATAAGTAAACAGAGTAATAGATAAAAAATACATAAAAATAAGTTTATGATGAAATATACACTTAAACTTCATAGTACTAGTAAAATAATAATATACTTTAAAGATCTCCAGCTGACGATGTTCTATTTAATGTGATATGAAACCCAGAAATAGTTAGAAAATGTATAGAGTTCGAGTGTCCATTTGAGATCTTTCTAGCTTTCTGAGTGGGCATTTAGTGCTAAAATATTCCTCTTGACACTGCTTTAGCTGTGTCCCAGAAATTCTGGTATTTGGTCTTTTTATTTTCATTGGTTTCAAAGAAATTCTTGATTTCTGCCTTAAATTCATTATTTACCCAGGGTCATTCAAGAGCAAGTTGTTCAATTTCCATGTAACTGTGTGGTTTTGACTGAATTTCTTAATCCTGATTTCTAATTTGATTGCACTGTGGTCTGAGAGACTATTGTTATGATTTCAGGTTTTTTTGTTTGTTTGTTTTTTTGCATTTGCTAAGGAGGGTTTTACTTCCAATTATGTGGTCTATTTCAGAATTAGTGCCATGAGGCACTGAGAAAAATGTATATTCTGTTGATTTGGGGTGGAGAGTTCTGTAGATGTTTATTAGGTCCACTTGGCCCAGAGCTGAGTTCAAGTCTTGAATATCCTTGTTAATTTCCTCTCTCATTCATCTGTCTAATATTGACAATGGGGTGTTAAAGTCTCCCACTACTATTATATAGGAGTCTAAGTCTCTTTGTAGGTCTCTGTGAACTTGCTTCATGAATCTGGGTGCCCCTGTATTGGGTGCATACATTTAGGATAGTTACCTTTTCTTGTTGAATTGATTTCTTTACCCTTCTTTGTCTCTTTTGATCTTTGTTGGTATAAAGTCTGTTTTTTTGGAGAGTAGGATTACAATCCCTGCTTTTTTTGCTTTCCATTTGCTTGGTAAATTTTCCTCCATTCCTTTATTTTGGGCCTATGTGTGTCTTTGAAGTGAGATGGGTCTCCTGAATACAGCACACTGATGGGTCTTGACTTTTTCTCCAATTTGCCAGTCTGTGTCTTTTAAAAGGGGCATTTAGCCCATTTACATTTAAGGTTAGTATTTTTATGTGCGAATTTGATCCAGTCTTCATGATTCTATCTGGTTATTTTGCACACTAGTTGATGCAGTTTCTTCAGAGTGTTATGGTCTTTATATTTTGGTGTGTTTTTCAGTGGCTGATACCAGTTTTTCCTTTCCATGTTTAGTTCTTTCTTCACAAGCTCTTGCAAGGCAGGCCTGGTGATGATGAAATCCCTCAGCATTTGCTTGTCTGGAAAGGATTTTATTTCTCCTTCACTTATGAAGCTTAGTTTGGCTGGATGTGAAATTCTGAGTTGAAAATTCTTTTCTTTAAGCATGTTGAATATTGGCCCCCAGTCTCTTCTTCTTGTAGGGTTTCTGCTGACAGGTCTGCTGTCAGTCTGATGGGCTTCCATTGTAGATGACCTGGCAATGGTCACGCCCTTTGTATGGAGGTGACACCATAACATCACAATTAAAAGAGATAGAGAAACAAGAGCAAACTATACTAAAGCAAGCAGAAGACAAAAAATAACTAAGATCAGAGCAGAATTGAAGGACATAGAAACATGAAAAACCCTCCAAAAAATCAATGAATCCAGGAGCTGTTTTTTCTAAATTAACAAAATAGATAGACTGCTATCTAGACGAATAAAGAAGAAAAGAGAGAAGATTCAAATAAGCACAATTGGAAATGATAAGGGGGAATCCTCCACTGACACAACAGAAATACAAACTACCATCAGAGAATACTATAAACACCTATATGCAAATAAACTAGAAAATCTAGAAGAAATGGACACATATACCCTCCCAAGACTAAACCAGGAAGAAGTCGAATCCTGAACAGACTAATAAGTTCTGAAATTGAGGCAGTAACTAACAGCCTACCAACCAAAAAAAGTCCAGGACCAGATGGATTCACCGCTAAATTCTATCAGAGGTAGAAAAAGGAGCTGGTACCATTCCTATTGAAACTATTCCAAACAAGTGAACAGGAAGGACTCCTCCCTAACTAATTGTATGAAGCCAGCATCATCCCGATGCCAAAACCTGGCAGAGACATAACAACAACAAAAGCTTCAGGTCAATATCCCTAATGAATGTTGATGTGAAAATCCACAATAAAATATTGGCAAACCAAATCCAGCAGCACATAAAAAACTTATCACTGTGATCAAGTCAGCTTCCTCTCTGGGATGTGAGGCTGGGTCAACATATGCAAATCAATAAACGTAATCCATCACATAAAAATAACCAAAGACAGAAACCTCATGATTATCTCAAAAAATTGCAGAAAACGCCTTTGAAAAAATTCAACATCCCTTCATGTTAAAAACTCTCAATAAACTAGGTATTGATGAACCATATCTCAAAATAATAAGAGCTACTTATGACAAACCCACAACCAATATCACATTGAATGGAAAAAAGCTGGAAGTATTCCTTCTGAAAACCGGTGCAAGGCAAGGACACCCTCTCTTACCACTCCTATTCAACATAGTACTGGAAATTCTGGCCAGGACAATCAGGCAAGAGAAGGAAATAAAGGGTATTCACATAGGAAGAGAGGAAGTCAAATTGTCTTTGTTTGCAGATGACATGATTGCATATTTAGAAAATCCCATTGTCTCAGCCCAAAATCTTAAGCTGATAAGCAACTTCAGCAAAGTCTAAGTATACAAAATTAATGTGCAAGAATCACAAGCATTCCTATACACAAATAAGAGACAAACAAAAAGCCAAATCATGAGTGAACTCCCATTCACAATTGCTTCAAAGAGAATAAAATATCTAGGAATACAGCTAACAAGGGATGTGAAGGACCTCTTCAAGGAGAACTACAAACCACCTCTCAAGGAAATAAGAGAGGACACAAACAAATGGAAAAGCATTCCATCCTCATGGATAGGAAGAATCAATATCTTGAAAATGGCCATACTGCCCAAAGTAAATTATAGAGTCAATGCTACCCCCATCAAGGTACCATTGACTTTCTTCACAGAATTAGAAAAAAAACTACTTTAAATTTCATATGGAATCAAAGAATACCCTGCATAGCCAAGACAATCCTAAGCAAAAAGAACAAAGCTACAGGAATCATGCTACATGACTTCAAACTATACTACAAGGTTGCAGTAACCAAAACAGCAGAGTACTCGTACCAAAACAGACATAGAGATCAATGGAACAGAACAGAGACCTCAGAAATAACACCATACATCTACAAACATCTGATCTTCAACAAACCTGACAAAAACAAGCAAGCAATGACGAAAAGATCTCCTATTCAATAAATCGTGCTGGAGAAACTGGCTAGCCATATGCAGAAAACAGAAACTCGACCCTTTCCATACTCCCTATACTAAAATTAACTCAAGAAGGACTAAAGACTTAAATATAAAACCCCAAACCATAGAAATCCTAGAAGAAAACCTAGGTGATACTATTTAGGACATAGGCATTGGCAAAGACATCATGATGAAAACACAAAAAGCAATTGCAACAAAGGCCAATATTGACAAGTGTAATCTAATGAAACCAAAGAGCTTCTGTACAGCAAGAGAAACTATCATCAGAGTGAATAGGCAACCTACAAAATAGGAGACAATTCTTGCACTCTACCCATCTACAAAAGTCTAATATCCAGAAGTTACAAGGAACTTAAACAAATTTACAAGAAAAAAACAAACAACTCCATCACAAAGTGGGCCAAGGATATGAACAGACATTTCTCAAAAGAAGACATTTATGCGGCCAACAAACATATGCAAAAAAAGTTCAACATCACTGATCATTGGAGAAAGGCAAATTGAAACGACAATGAGATACCATCTCACTCCAGTCAGAATGGTGACTATTAAAAAGTCAGGAGACAATAGATGCTGGTGAGGCTCCGGAGAAATAGAAATGCTGTTACACTGTTGGTGGGAATGTCAATTAGTTCAACCATTGTGGAAGATAGTATGGCGATTCCTCAAGGATCTAGAACCAGAAATACAATTTGACTCAGTAATGCCATTACTGGGTATACACCCAAAGGAATATAAATGATTCTACTATAAAGACACATGTACACATATGTTTATTGCAGCACTATTTAGCAAAGACATGGAACCAACCCAAATGTGCATCAATGATAGACTTGATAAAGAAAATGTGGTACATATATACCATGGAATACTATGCAGTCATAAAAAGGAATGAGATCATGTCCTTTTCAGGGACATGGATGAAGCTGGAAGCTATCATCCTCAGCAAACTAACACAGGAGCAGAAAACCAAACACCTCATGTTCTCACTCATAAGTGGGAGTTGAATAATGAGAACACACATGGACACAGAGAGGAGAACAACACAGACCAGGGACTGGGAGGTGAGGAACTAGGGGAGGGAATTTAGAGGATAGGTTGATGGGTGCAGCAAACCACCATGGCACATGTATGTCAATGTAACAAACCTGCAGGTTCTGCACAGGTATGCCAGAACTTGAAGTAAAATTTTAAAAAGTAAGAAAATGTACAGTGTTCATAATGATAAAAGTATGAGAAAAAACAAGTTAAAACATCGAATCACAAAGTTGAGGAATATTTGCAATTTATTACATGAAAAAGAATACATGTAAATTCACGTATGAGGAAATATCCATTAAACTATCCACGTAAAAATGAAATCAGCAAAAACAGGTAATAATATAGGAAGACGATGATAAACAGAAAAAGACTATTTCCTTAACCAGTTGGAAAGTGGTTCAACGATTCTCACAGTAGAATAAAGTCAAATTTAAAACACTGTGAGATACCTTTTATTCATTTATTTTTATTTACCTAATTTGGAATGATCTGTTAAAATATCATGAGAGTGATTATGAGAAAATTCATGTACTCTCATGTTTTCTCATAGTATATAAACTAGTATAACATCTATAAAGTGAAATTCAAGAGGAATTATAAGTTATAGATGCATCCACTCTTTGAACAGCCAATTCCAATTATAGAAATGTGTACTATACTTCTAATCACATGTGTGAAATGACATGGAGCATTGCTCTAAAATTTTAAAAACAAATTTCAAAAGCAACAGTAATCCATCAATAGCAAGCTGTTTAAATAATTTATGGTATATACACAATGGACTAATGTACAGCTGTAAAAACAAAGTTATAAGCCCACATGGGACAATCTTTAACATGTATTTTAAATGACTTTAAGTGAATAAACAAAAGTGTGAAATGGTGAATGTAATACTCAATCCTTTTGAGTAAAGTGGGATACATATGTATGTATATGGAGAGAGAAAGAGAGACTACATTAGAGACTATGCAAGAATACATAAGAAACTAGAAAATCCGAGCCTTCAAAAAGTAACACAGAATGGCTGGGCCCTACAGTAAGGAGGAGAATTTTCACAGTATATTGTCTCATATTTTCTTTTTTTTTTTTTTTGCCTCATGTTTTCTAAATTTTTTAAACACCAGAATAATATACCTTTTAAGTAATGTTTTGTCTATTAAACTCATATATAAAATCTAAAAGATGAAAGCAGTATAAGAAAAGGAAGGAGAAATTAGAAAATAAATGATAGAGGGTATAAAGATTTGCATCTTGCATTTGTCAAGCAACTCACAGCCGCAATTTGTTAGTAGATTTTTGGTTTTCAAAACACTTACATATATGCTTATTTGACAGTGTTATTGTCTTTTTGATTTTTTCAGATGATCAACTACACCCTAAAAAATGTCAAGTGACATACAATAATACACAGAAGTTAGTTTTGAAATGAAGATCTTGTGAGTTTACATGCCATGCTGCTTACAAACTATCTCATTTTTATAAATATGCATAATAACCCTTTCTTCTTATCATCATCTCCCTCCCATGCTTATAATGATTTGGGGCAAACATTAGGAGCTATCAGTGAATAAAAAAGTGATTAGGGGAATTAATGAATTAATGAATAAATGAATGTTCATTTAAGAAGCTTAAAGAGAAATTAAAAATTGAAATATGTCAAAATTTAGGAACAATTCAAAACTTAAAAGTAAGTCTGCTGGGAGTGTTACAATCTTTCCAAAGGTCAATTATGCCATTTCAAAAGTTTTCAAGTTAATGCTGGTTTCATCCAACAATTTTACTTGTGGAGTTTTCTCCTAAAAAAAAAGGAAATGAGCCAAAAAAATAAAGTGTTTTTTTTTATATAGACAGTTATATTTAATATGCCTATATTACTTGAAAAATAAACTAAAAGGTTATCTTTAATAGTATGGATTAAAGTAGATTCAATACCAAAATAAAATATGTAAAGAAAATTCTGGCTCTCCCTCTCCCTCTCCCTCTCCCTCTTTCCACGGTCTCCCTCTGATGCCGAGCGGAAGCTGGACTGTACTGCTGCCATCTCGGCTCACTGCAACCTCCCTGCCTGATTCTCCGGCCTCAGCCTGCCGAGTGCCTGCGATTGCAGGCGCGCACCGCCACGCCTGACTGGTTTTCGTATTTTTTGGGTGGAGACGGGGTTTCGCTGTGTTGGCCAGGCTGGTCTCCAGCTCCTAACCGCGAGTGATCCGCCAGCCTCGGCCTCCCGAGGTGCCGGGATTGCAGACGGAGTCTCCTTCACTCAGTGCTCAATGGTGCCCAGGCTGGAGTGCAGTGGCGTGATCTCGGCTCGCTACAACATCCACCTCCCAGCAGCCTGCCTTGGCCTCCCAAAGTGCCGAGATTGCAGCCTCTGCCCGGCCGCCACCCTGTCTGGGAAGTGAGGAGCGTCTCTGCCTGGCCGCCCATCGTCTGGGATGTGAGGAGCCCCTCTGCCTGGCTGCCCAGTCTGGAAAGTGAGGAGCGTCTCTGCCCAGCCGCCATCCCATCTAGGAAGTGAGGAGCGTCTCTGCCCTGCCGCCCATCGTCTGAGATGTGGGGAGCGCCTCTGCCCTGTCGCCCCATCCGGGATGTGAGGAGCGTCTCTGCCCGGCCGCCCCGTCTGAGAAGTGAGGAGACCCTCTGTGCCTGGCAACCGCCCTGTCTGAGAAGTGAGGAGCCCCTCTGCCCAGCAGCCGCCCCATCTGAGAAGTGAGGAGCCCCTCCGCCCGGCAGCCACCCCGTCTGGGAAGTGAGGAGCGTCTCCGCCCGGCAGCCACCCCGTCCGGGAGGGAGATGGGGGGTTCAGCCCCCCACCTGGCCAGCCGCCCCGTCCGGGAGGGAGGTGGGGGGATCAGCCCCCCGCCTGGCCAGCCGCCCCGTCCGGGAGGCGAGGGGCGCCTCTGCCTGGCCGCCCCTACTGGGAAGTGAGGAGCCCCTCTGCCCGGCCAGCCGCCCCGTCCGGGAGGGAGGTGGGGGGGGGTCAGCCCCCCGCCCGGCCAGCCGCCCCATCTGGGAGGTGAGGGGAGCCTCTGCCCTGCCGCCCCTACTGGGAAGTGAGGAGCCCCTCTGCCCGGCCACCACCCCGTCTGGGAGGTTTACCCAACAGCTCATTGAGAACGGGCCATGATGACAATGGCAGTTTTGTGGAATAGAAAGGGGGGAAAGGTGGGGAAAAGTTTGAGAAATCGGATGGTTGCCGTGTCTGTGTAGAAAGAGGTAGACATGGGAGACTTTTCATTTTGTTCTGTACTAAGAAAAATTCTTCTGCCTTGGGATCCTGTTGATCTGTGACCTTGCCCCCAACCCTGTGCTCTCTGAAACATGTGCTGTGTCCACTCAGGGTTGAATGGATTAAGGGTGGTGCAAGATGTGCTTTGTTAAACAGATGCTTGAAGGCAGCATGCTCGTTAAGAGTCATCACCACTCCCTAATCTCAAGTACCCAGGGACACAAACACTGCGGAGGGCTGCAGGGTCCTCTGCCTAGGAAAACCAGAGACCTTTGTTCACTTGTTTATCTGCTGACCTTCCCTCCACTGTTGTCCTGTGACCCTGCCAAATCCCCCTCTGCGAGAAACACCCAAGAATGATCAATAAAAAAATAAATAAATAAATAAATAAATAAATAAATAAATAAATAAAAAGAAAATTCTGGAGTTTTACTTTTTTTTTTTTTACTATTTTTTTCTAACCTGTTTCCTTTTACACTTGCTAAAATACTCATCGAGATATTCATCAAGTACACCTTTGCTTAGCCTCCTTCAAAATGGATGAGAGCTCAACATCAGTAACTTAGACTTACAATTCCTCAAATTTTAATGCATTTGATCACCAGTGTTTATTAAGTGTTGAGTGTGAAGCTCACTTGGTAGCCCAAAGATTTCACTGGGATCAGTCACTGTATTTGAAAACGTCATAACTCCACTTTGAGCTTTTTTAAGAGCAAAGTGTCATTGGCCCTACTTTCAGTCTCAGCACCTAAAGAGCTTACTATCAATTAAAGGATTCTCACTCCAAACCCACTAGAATCCTGCATCATGTTCCTGAAGCATGCATCTAAGAAGATTCCTAAGACATCCCAATTTACTGTTCTAAAATAGCCACTTCCCAGCAGAATCCTTTCCTCTCTGGCTTTGACAGTAAATTGGAAAGAAATCCTCCTTACACTCAAAGTTAGCAGAAACCTTAAAAAGAAAACCAACACGTTTCTGCTGGATAGAATGCCCTGTAATTGTGATTCAAGCTGTTATCCTCTTAAGATCTTGGTCATCATGCTCTGTGTCTCTTATTTCCCACCTCAACCAACCATCTGTTCCTAAATAAAACTTTACCAAGAAAAAGTGCATATATTGTGTCATATCGGTAACTAGCAATGAAGACAGATCTATATATTTTTAAAATGCCTAACAAAACATGTATTAAAACAACTAAATCTAGCTAATAGTTTATTTTTATTATATGGTGGTACAAATTGGGGTTCTTTCATGGCTATGTCACACGGACACTTCAAATATCACAAAAAGCCCAGCAGGTTGCTAATTGAGGTCTCAGTTCAATAATTACACAAAGCAGTAACATGTATAGAAAATTAAAAGCAGATTCTGTCCTTGGGAATTGTGAGATGACTGAACTCATTTGCTTCCACCTCTAAACTAGAGTGCCTTGCCATGACAAATTAAGTTGGGACCAACAGACACTATGTGATCAATGGGATCGAAATGAGTGACATTCAGTCACATCCTGCATCATTATATGCACATTTTAATAACATGAACGATGGCCTCACAGTACCGGCAAGACACAAAAAAATCCCTTTTTTAAAAATTATCAATTTTTTTAAAAGCGATCATGCTAAGTGACTGAAGTATGAACTCTTTGCTCTGCTTTGCTTATATAAAAGAGCCATTTTACCTACTCTGTGGTACCAAGTGATGCGTTTAATCTTGCGCATATTAAGTCCCATTGGCAGGGGAAAGCCAACTATCAAATAGTGAAGAAACACCTTGTCAGACGAACATTTCAAACACCTGAGCCAAAGTAAGTATGTTATTTAACTTTATATAAATATATATATTTATATAGATAGATTATATATATATATATATATATATATATATATATATATAATGATTATTGAATGTTTATGTGTCCCAAAATCTGTGGTACAATGTCCCACTTACAGATACGTATCTATATAGAGTGTTATTTTCTTTTAGCCCATAAATGACTTTAAGCCCATCATCAGAATTTAGATAATTAAATAAAAATTCAACTACTAAACATTGCTTTAATTTTATTGTTTTTTTTTTAAATCAGAGCTGGTACTCATCAACAGCCAAAATCCTTTTATTTTCTTCCTTCCTCAGAGTCTGAGAATGTGTCCATGATATACTGTTTTTGTCAGTCTGCTAAATTTTATAATGAAAACTTTCATTGTTCCTGTGTAAACAGTGTTACAATGGAGTAAACAGAAATGAAATATTCTATTACTTTTACTACTTGGTAGTGACAACAATTCTCATTCTTTATTTTTATTTACTCAAGAGTCATAGTGTTAAAGACACACATTTCATTTATAAAGAATCCATATCTTTCCCCAGTTGCCCTATTGGGCTTGTGAGACCAAGTTTAACAAATGAACAAAGAAAATTATGACAGAAAATTCCATTCATTAGGGCAAAATCAGTGTGAAAAGACTGAAATTTACAGATGGGCAAGATGTCTGATTAAATTTACAGGCAATGCAGATTGGCTACAGATGGTGAGGAATCTGGTCCAAAACTTAGAGTCCATGCAATTTTTGTTTTTACTTTTAAAATTCCATTTCTCAAATTCTTACTTTGCAAGGCAAAGTCCTCTCACACGAACCAGACCTCAGGACTTTTGTGTTTTACGATCTCATAAAAGTCATTTTGTATCCACGGAAAGACCACATGTGACATCATTATCACCTGGTGATTTGATTTTGTTTATGCTTCTTAAACCAATTACTTTTGTTACAGCCATAATTTGCTCCCGGAGGCAGAGGATCCTACTTCAACCTGGCAGTGAACTAATCCATTAAGATTTGACATTGAATAGGCTTTTGGAAGAATACTAGCATCACTAAGGGTAACCGGAAAGAAAATAGCCTATGTAAATGTGCAGGATTATAAAAATACTTAAATATAAGTAGCATAATATTTCTACAAGAAGATTAGCAGATCAAGTTCTAACCTAAAACTGGTAAAAACTACATTGACAAAAAAACCTCTATCTGAGCCTGGCCCCTAAATCGATGAAGCTAAACTTACATAGTTACTAAATTTGTCAAGATTCTACTAATGCATACATCTAAATGAAAGCTGAAATACTTAGTCAAGAGTCCAAATCTTTATTAACTCTAAAGCCAGCATAAAATTTAACAGAAGAAATGTAACATGTATTTAAAAATTTGAACTCTAGAGCTGAGTCCTTCGAGTTTATATCCTAGTTTTATGTTTTCTATGTTTATTAAATATATATGAACATGAGAACGTTATTTAAACCCTTTTTGTGCCCTATCCTTACCTTTAAAATAGTTTTCATCAATTAAAACCTTAGTTGCAATTTATAACCCATCTAGCTAAAGCAGTAAAGTATTTATTAAGGTAGAAACTAGAAAACTTTTTTTATTTGGGTCAGAGACTTAAAATTTTAGACTTTATGGGACAGATGGTCTCTGTTGCAAATACTTAGCATGGACATTCAATAAAACTTTATTTTCAAAATCAGGCATTATCAACCTCCATATTAAATGGTATTATGTACCTCAAAGAGTCTTGAAGATTTCTGAGCTACAGATGCAGGATCATAGCTATGAAGCCAGTTTTAATAGCAATCACCACTCACTCACAGGTTTACTAGCAAGATCCTACCACCCCTACCCACAGAAACCACAGCTTGCATCTTGGACACTGAGCACTACTATTAGAACCCCATCCACTAACATGTGATCTCTTTATTGTACTCTACATCAGGGGTCCCCAGCCCCTGGGCCACAGACGGGTGTCATTCTCCAACCTGTTAGGAACTGGGCCACAAGGAGTGGGTGAGCTGCTGGTGAACTAGCATTAGTGTTAGCATTATTGACTGACCTCTGTCTCTTATCAGATCAGCAGCGGCATCAGATTCTCATAGGATCACAAATCCTACTGTGAACTGAGCATGCTAGGGATCTAGGGTGCATGCTCCTTATGAGGATCTAATGCCTGATGATCTAAAGTGGAACAGTTTCAACCCAAAACCACTACCCCACCACATTAGAGGAAAAATTAAAGAGTCATCTTCTATGAAACTGGTCCCTGATGCCAAAAAGATTAGGGACTGCTGCTCTACATCTTTTCCCACAAAAATGTGTTCAATACAACCCCTTCCTTCTTCTTTCTATTGCTCTGAGAGTGCATCTAATTGCAGAAATGTAGGTAATATACTCTAAAAAAGGCTAGGAAAGGAAACTTTTGGATTTTATGCTGGGAAATTATGATTCATGTTGGGAAAAATTAACAAAATATTGAAAGATATTTAAAATATACTGTGACCACAAAATGACAATGTTTTACCAAACAGATACGTATAAAATATATCTAATAATGTTATAATGAAGCAGGATAATGCATATTTATTATTTAAAACAATACCTCCACTTGGTGCTCATAAATAGTATTATATGAATTTCAAAAATGTTTATATTTTTTCATAAAAATAAGCAAACAACACCTTATAGCATTATATTTTATAAATTGAGGTAAAATAAATTAGATCTTCAGCCTGGAATAAGCCTAATGCCCTCTGAGAAAAAGTACTGCTTTTCACACCACCACCAGCCCCAACTTACCTACAGCATTCTCTAGTCCATGTATCAGCAGTAGAAATGAATTACAAGATGACATATGACAAGATGACTAATAAGTAAAGATGGATGACAAGATAAAAATGGTACCTATTGTCTTTTAAAGATTTGAAGACAATGGAAAGCCATGGGAAAGTTATTTGTTCATTTTGTTCATTGGTAAATAATCTGCTTTACTTCTTTCCCTGACTCCATAACTCAGCTGCTCACCAAGCACAGTCAGAACTTTCACAGCATTCAAAGAAATCAACAAACTGAAAATGGAGGTGCTGGTGGAAGAGCTGATGTCCTGGGTATTACAACCCATGTTCTGCCATTAAGAGATGTGTTTCCCACATTTCTTTTTATCCCCTGCCTTATGTTCTACCTCTTTTCTTGACTTTGCCCATGTCAAGGACTTTCACTGGTCTTACTTCCCTAACTTTATCTTATGTATTTCACTTCTCAAAATCCTTCAGTGACTTTTCACTTCAAAGTAAAACAATGCCCTCGAAATCACGGGCCTGCTGACTTCTTAAATCTCATTTCCTGCTACTCTCACTGCATCAGTCCACTGCAGCCACATCAGCCTCCTCATGGAAGCAACTTTTCTCACCAAGGCACCTTTGCTTCAGGTTCTTTGCATCCTCTGTTTCTTTTCCTGACATGCTCTTCTCATAAGGCTCCCTCCTTTCTTTCAGTAATTTATTTAAATGTCGCTTTCTTATGCTTCTCCTCTCTGTCCCTTTTTTCTTTATTTTTAACCCTTTATCACTTCTTTACTCTCTCCCTAACTAGAATGAATGCTCTACAAAGGTAGGAATTTTTGCCTTTTTTGTTTCCTCTTGTGTCCCCTAGAAATGAGCCTGGCACAGAGGAAATTATAAAAAATACGTGTTGAATACATTCCTGAACACATGAATAAGTGTATTTTGACTGCTGAACTCATTTACTCATTATTTCAATGACTGATGTTTTGCTCTCCCTTCAGCCTGAGTCCTCTCTATTTTATTTTGCTTTCCTTAATGGCCCCTCACCTATCGCTTTTCTTATTAATTTCCTGCTTTTCCTTGCTTTTGCTAGTCTGTTGGACCTCTGGTAATGTATTATCTACTCAGGATTAAAAAAAATAGTGCATTCAATTTGAAGATCGCCGAATGCACAGACAAATGTGTTTCCATCTCATCATCACCAACCATTTTGCACATAATCGTAGACCTTTCTCTGTTATTCAGAATATTTTAGATGTCAGAAGATGAAATAGGAGGAATATTTGGATTCAAGTTCATGTAACTGAAACAGCAATATTAAAATGTCATTTTATGAGGTAATTAAACAACTTGCTGAATTCAACACAAGAGACAGAGATAATCCATACACTTCCCACCCTACCACACTCACTACCTTTCTTATAACAGAAATTTGCTTAAATCAATACATCATAAATATTCACCATATACTCAGGCCACAGAGTTAAAATATACAGGCAATTTGTTTTGCAGTAAAAACAGAGCAAAATCATTATATTCTACCTCTTTCACCTTATTTTCAAGTCCAGTTAAATTAATAAGTTGGAGTAAGCAAGATAGATGGCCTCCTTAGCATAAGAATCTTTGCACCTAGGTACAATTAAGTTCCTTCCAAAATGCTGCCATTTTGTACTATCAACTTGAACATTTGTCATAAAACACTTGAGATTATTATTTGAAAACATATTAATGGACTCCTGCTGATCATTCTTTCTCAAATTCTTACAGATGAACCCACAAATCCCCAAATGTTTTCTTTTCAATCCCAAAAATTGTTTAAATAGTCCCTGGATAGGTCAAATTATCCCCATGTCCTTTGTAAAAAAAAAAGAAAAATTCACTTTCAGTATCATAAAAAAATATTCTTTGAGGAAGGCCTGGCATTGGAGGGAAGTGACTGGAAAAATGCAACAGAATGTATCTGTCGAGAGAAAAAGGAAACAAAAAGAGTAGTGGGACCAAGGGAGTGCTTGCTGAGCACAGCTTTCAATGGCTTCATTTTAAAACCACGAGAGAAAACTGGGAATCAGATTTCTAAACACTTAAGTGACCCAACAAGATTATATTGTAGATGTAAATATCACATTATTTTTCCCCTTTTTTACCCTTCGTTTTTGTCTAAGCTATTTTTCCACAACTGTAATTTTCAATCTAAAATTCTTTGAAATTTCTGTCATAGCACTGCTTTGATATAAATGATACAACTAAGAGATACCCAGTAATTTCTATCCCATCTTAGTCTCTGTGATTCAAAATGATTTGATTTTCCTCTAAGCAGTGGATTTAAACTATTTTTTAAAATTAAATGCTGCTTCAAAGAAATGAAAAGACAAAATCTATTTTCTAATCTTTTCTAAAATAAGTTCAGACTAATTTCTGTACAAGCTCATTCTATACCTGAAAATGGCAGATAGGACAACTGGATTCCTAACTATATGTATTCAAAAATAACAATGTTTTAAAAAAAACTGTACATATGTAAAATTAAATAAAAATGTATATATTCAGAGGCAGGGTATATGAAACCTAAAGAAGCAATTTAAATATGCATGTATAGTCGTATCTTGATTTTAATTTTCTGGTAAATTAAGGAGCCCACTCATGCATGGAAGACTGTGTTATCTATCACTGCAACTATCCACAGCCCTGGCTTGCCTCATTTAGCTTTGTCTTCTGCTTTGTTTACATTCTTATTTCTTAAAGAATCACACTCATAGCTCTAATTTCTCAGAAACTGTGGTAAAACTCTATTCCCTAATTTTCTTCTTCAGCACTCCCTCCCCAAAAGCCCATGAGCACTTTATTTGGAAAAGCTTTGTTTTCTCATTTGAATTATAATTGTCAGAATTATTAAATACTTTCATTGACTAATTTCCTCCCTATGACATTGTATTCCTATGCCCTTCTTTCACAGCTATTTATACAAATGGTCTAAAAGGAATATACTTGTTTCATGCAAGTATATTCATTTCAAAGTTTGATAAACCAAAAGAACAGTGGACACAAAGCTGGTAAACTTGGTTTTAAAGCCTGGATTTGTCATTCACTGAGGGATTTTTGCCTAAGTACCTAAACTCTCTGAATTTTAGGCTACTCATTTGAGACCTGTGAAGGACAATAACTGCCCTACTCATATGGTAAGAATTCAACCAGTATCAAATGAGAAGTATGAAATAGCGGTAGGGGATGTGGAGGAGCAAAGTGGATGAGATACACACACACAGAGATACACACTATCTATCTATCTATCTAGCTATCTATCTATCTTCTATATTTCTGAAGAGAGAATAATTATCAAGTATTTTCCCAGAGAGCATGATTGATCATTTATCTACATTTACTAAGGCCTTATTCCCAAGATTTCAAGACTGATTAATCAAGACTGGCTATCAAGGAAGCCAAAACAGTCACTAAAATGGGTGTTTTAGAAATTGCCATGTTTTACAAATGGAAGAACATTCCATGCTTATGGGTAGGAAGAATCAAAATTGTGAAAATGGCCATACTGCCCAAGGTAATTTACAGATTCAATGCCATCCCCAGCAAGCTACCAATGACTTTCTTCACAGAATTGGAAAAAACTACTTTAAAGTTCATATGGAACCGAAAAAGAGCCCGCATCACCAAGTCAATCCTAAGCCAAAAGAACAAAGCCGGAGGCCTCACGCTACCTGACTTCAAACTATACTACAAGGCTACAGTAACCAAAACAGCATGGTACTGCTACTGAAACAGAGATATAGATCAATGGAACAGAACAGAGCTCTCAGAAACAATGCCGCATATCTACAACCATCTGATCTTTGACAAACCTGACAAAAACAAGCAATGGGGAAAGGATTCCCTATTTAATCCTACCAGTTAGAATGGCGATCATTAAAAAGTCAGGAAACAACAGGCGCTGGAGAGGATGTGGAGAAATAGGAACAATTTTACACTGTTGGTGGGACTGTAAAGTAGTTCAACCATTGTGGAAGTCAGTGTGGCGATTCCTCAGGGATCTAGAACTAGAAATACCATTTGACCTAGTCATCCCGTTACTGGGTATATACCCAAAGGATTATAAATCATGCTGCTATAAAGACACACACACACGTATGTTTATTGCAGCACTATTCACAATAGCAAAGACTTGGAACCAACCCAAATGTCCAACAATGATAGACTGGATTAAGAAAATGTGGCACATATACACCATGGAATACTATGCAGCCATAAAAAATGAAGAGTTCATGTCCTTTGTAGGGACATGGATGAAACTGGAAACCATCATTCTCAGCAAACTATCGCAAGGAGAAAAAACCAAACACCGCATGCTCTCACTCATAGGTGGGAATTGAACAACGAGAACACATGGACACAGGAAGGGGAACATCACACTCCAGGGACTGTTGTGGGGTGGGGGGAGGGGGGAGGGATAGCATTAGGAGATATACCTAATGTAAATGACGAGTTAATGGGTGCAGCACACCAACATGGCACATGTATACATATGTAACAAACCTGCACATTGTGCACATGTGCCCTAAAACTTAAAGTATAATAATAATAAAATAAAAAATAAAAATAATAAAAATAAAAATAAAAATCCATCTTGAATTAATTTTTGTATAAAGTGTAAGGAAGGGATCCAGTTTCGGCTTTCTACATATGGCTAGCCAGTTTTCCCAGCACCATTTATTAAATAGTTATCCTTCCCTGTAACATCAAGAACAATAAAAATAAACTCCATAAGAACCACACACTTGAAGAAAAGTTTCTTACAACTTCAAGAACTGGACATTGGACGGTTACAGGGAGACATGTTTCCAGAGATGACTGGGTTTGGTTTTTTGTCAGGAAAGAAAATGGAAACAGAACATTCATTCTCCACTGTATAAAAATAAGATCACTGGATAATGCCTTTAGAATAAATATAAAAATGAATTATTTTTACCTTTTATGGTGATAGAACCCACTGATTATTATGGGGATCAAGTTATTATGATAGGGATAATGGGCTAGCTGGGGAAACTTCTTCATGCTATTGTGAAGTGTGCATGAGGTGAGTTTGTTTCGGGCAGGAGGTTATTTAAATATCATGCAAAAGTTTATTTTCATTAATTGCTTCAGATACCATATCAATGACACCAGTATCACACAGTTCATACAGCACCACAAAATGAAACAAAATAAAATTTCAGACCATGCGGTCAAAAGATATATTGATTTCCCATTTTGCTATTAACATGATATATGGCTTCCATACATTATGGAATAAGTAATTCCATACAGTTTTTCTATATAGAAATAAAAGACACACATTTCACATCATAACAATGTGTAAGTACAGAAGAAACAAATGTCTCTTTCCCAATTATTAGAGTAGGTGCTTTAGGGAAATCCCCAAAAGAAACACCGACAAACAAGCAAACAAAAATTTTCTTCCATCTAGAATTTTACACTCATGGAAATTCAACTAGTCAAAAGTGTTTAGGAGGAAATATTTATATAGGTATGACTATAGATATGCATACGGATATGAGTACATACATGCATATGGATATAGTATACATATAGGCACCCCTCTAAGGTAAAGGAATTTAGATGGATAATATGAGAAATGCAGGAAAGATTGTTCAACAGTCACCTTCCCTCTGTGATTTTACTCATTTCGTAATTCAATTTTTTAAAAATTTGAACCCATTTTATAATTCAATTCAAAATACCTTTTGAATTGAACAAACGTTGCATTTTTTAAAAAAATTTATTTCTACTGTTATTGTATTATTATAGTAGCATTAATATTTTCAAGGACACTGAGTGAGAAGGTAAGTTAGAATGCAGCTGTATTAGTTTTCATCATGTAGGGCACTTTAAGTTTTTCCAGAGATCAGATATCCTGAAACCTCATTTTTAATGTTGTGTTCATAATTGTCTTTTCCACATGGCTAGGTTAGGGCCTGTTATAAGTCCAATAGCAAACTGCAAGGCATACATTATAAAATTTCAAAACTTAATAGACACTGTGATGTAGTTTTCATTTGAAAATAAATTCCTCTGAAAAGTAACTAAGGCATGAATAACCTTGTCATATTATGGTGTAGTTCACACTTGTTAAAAAAAAAAAAAGAAGATGAATAAGGTGCACTGTTTTATTAGCTTCCACTAGACATCTTTAAACATGATGAAGGACGTTTACACATCATGAGTTCAAGTCTCAGGCAATTCTGTGTTGGAAGAGTAATTTTTTCACTTACTAAAGCAAACACATCTGAATCACAGGGAGATATTGGCCTCCTCTGCTACAGTATCAGTGAGATTGATATTTACCAGACATTATGATAATAAAAAGCCTACAATTCTTTGTTCCGAACATGAGAATAGAAAGTTCATGCCAATTTTTCCAGCTTAAAGTGTCAAGTAGCAACTTAGATGAGAGACCAGCAAAGTGACTTTTCAAATATAGCAGTGAGCCAGACACCAGAGAGCCCTGTAACCCAAATAGTAGTTTATCTTTAGACACACTTCACATTTATCCTGGTATTCACTTTCTGCTTGACTCTGAGCCTAATTGCCAGTAACTTCACATATCTGAAAACACACATGGAAAATTGACCTTAAAATGATTATTGTGTTTTCTAAGAGAGTTAATGCTCCAAAGATGCAGGTCAGGTATACGGAAGCTTCTAGCCTGGGCAAGCAGGTCTTACTTAATGGGATTGGTAGAGAGCTTTATAATGTTACAGAGAGTTATTTGGAGAAGCACCATGCCCTTCCCCTTTAACTCTCAGTGTCTCTTTATGTGGTAATATATGTTTCCTTTTCTTAAGGAGTCACCTTATGGAAAGAAACCAGAAATATTAATTTTGCCATATCAGTTCTGATTTATCTTGTTTAATGTTAGGTCATTTCTCAACTTTTGGGATACAATATGTTCCACATCTCTGAATTTTTATATTTAAAAGCTGGTACAATGCAGGTTCAAAATAGGTACTCATTGAATGTTGGCCTATGCCATCCATTTGCACCTTTTGCTTTGAAATTTCCAGAAGATAGGGCAATCTTTCTATTGTGGCTTTCCTAGAGAGAAGCATATATTTCACTCCGTTATATATCCAGTACCATGAATGGGCCGATTCTTTTCTGTTAGATACATATGACAATGTGAAAGTAGGTGGCAATAAGACATCCTTTGAGAAGGCATTTGGGAGACATATAAACAACACTTTGTCTACAGTTCTAAAGTTTTGTTTCAGTAGGGTTTTAGCAGGTAACTGACAAGCATATTCTCTCGAGTCAGATGGAGGCTCTGAGAAGAGCACAATCTGTAAGAACATTTGAAGAGAAAACTTAGGTTACAGCACCTGAAGACCCAAGTAGCAAAACAATTGGGGAAAATGAAACTGTCCTGCTTAAAGATGCTGTACATCTATTCCCCATGCATTAAGAATTTACAGTTGGATTAGTCCTCATGAAATTATCCAAATTAAAAATACGTTATCAATGAGATTTCCAAACATTTTGTTAAAAGCAAAACTTGCTAAAACTCTTTATAACACACCTGAGTACAATGTTGCCTTACTAAAAACCATGGATGCTTGTAAATTCTTGGATGAGGGAGTAAAGTACTAGACACAACGTGTGAGGGTGGGAGAAAGAAAAGACAATCTTGATCCTTAACTAATATGGCATCAAAAGGAATGAGTTTGACTACTTCCTCATATAATCACTATGAACATCTTAATTTTCATAGCCACTATATAAGTAGGTGTTATTATTACCCCTATTTAATAAATGGGATGTTGAGGCTCAAAGAATTTTAGTAATTTTATATCAAGCAACATAGCTATAATAATTAGAGAAGCCTGGAATTCAAGTAATGCCTTTTGGTTTACTTTTCTTTGAACTTAGTCCATAACAAAAGGTTAACTATAAAAAGAAAAGTAACATTAATTTTACCACTCAGCATTCTCCCTGGTAGTCCCATTATCTTCTTCATGTCCACAAGGAATCCTACAGTACTTCACATAGCAAATGAAGAGACTAAAGCTGTCCTCTGAGGTCTAAGCCTAGCTTGACTGTGGAAGATGTGAACTGCCTTACAGATCCAGTAGAATAGGTGAGGAAGAATAATTCATCCTATGGAAACAGCTTAAATAATAGGCTTCTGTATTCCTATAACAGCTGTATAGACTCAGACTATAATTCTATTATACTTTAGTAGCTATATGATTCATTTTTTCTGTATGTATTCTCTTCCATTTGTTAGAGAAACAGCTGTTCATCCTCCAATAGTCACTAAAATGTCATCTTCTATACAGACCTCACTGTTTCTCTCAGAAAACTTTTAAGAAAGTGGTCTAGTTTTGTTCCTCTTGAATTTTACCATATCTTTATTATGATACTTGATACCCTGTACTATATTTGTTTGTGTGTTTATATGTCTACAATTTTACTCCATTCCGACTGACTTGAGAAATTACTCTGCAACGCATAGTAGCTACTCCTAAGATATAATTTCATCGATATAAAATAATCATGATATATTATATAAAGCATAAATTATTTACAAGTAATCAGTCTAGAAAAAATAAGACAAAATATTGACAATTGTAGCCACTGAGTAGGGTTATTTGGGTTAACAAATTGCCCCACTTTTACTTTTCTGGATTTTCTAATTTTTCAACACTGATTATCTTACACACTGAAAGTAAGAGATAGTTAAGATGCCTACATTATTTCAGTCAACCCTGTATGAAACTGCGTTCTGCTTTACCTCGTTCACTGAACACATAAATAAACAGAAACTTTGATACAATATAAATGGAGGAGAGAGTAGAAACTAAGATCAGAATAAGAAAAAAAATTAGGCTTGGCAAAAAGGTCAAAGCAACTGAGATTATTTAACTAGAGAGAAATTATTATTTCCCAATGATATAAAAGGTGAAGACATATGAAAATTACAAGTACCAGCTACTATTTATCAGCACTTAGGTTTGAATTTTTTTTAAAAGGGAAGAAAGACAGGAGAAGTAAAAAGTGACTTGAAACTCAAAAAGAATAGATTTAATTAATATATAAGGAAGAATTTTAAGTATTAAAATGGTTACGTACTATACCAGATTACAAACAGAATAAGGAAATAGTTTTTGAAGGCTTATAAAATTGGTCGGGAATAATTTTTAAATTGGCATGTGTGCAGGCAGTGGGATAGTTTGTCTGTTAAAGGTCTTTTACAGTGCTTTGCTTTTATAGTATGATGGATTTTGTAGGAATAACACCTATTTCTCATATGACACTAAGTGACTTATTTAAAACTTTCCAGAAGCCAAAAAGCCCTATCCCCAGTCCTCTACTGACATGTAGTTTTTATTTTCTAACTCTCCAAGGTGGAAAATAGATTTGTTAAATGTAGGGACTGGGATTTTGGCAATCCCATAAAGCTTCTGCGTTCTGAATTCCCAACTCAGATCAAATTCATTTTACGCTCCACTAAATGCATATCATCTCTGAGAAGCAATTTTCCTCTTTAAAAATCTAACCCTTCCTCTTTCTTTCTTCCTCTTTCGCTTCCCTACTGACAAGTTCAGTTTTAGCCAAAGATGAATTTTAGTCTGTGGTTTCTTATGAACTTAGATGATGACAATAAATTCGTTGTCATTTGTGGAAAAGGAAATTGAGAAGATGAGTAATTAGATGGTCCGAAAGATTTCCTCTCTAAACTTTACTGCACCTGGAAACATGCTAGATTTGCAAATCCTCTAGCCCCATTCCTGGTCTAACGAATTAGAAATCCTGGGGGAGGGGCCCAGAAACCTGTATTTTGACAAGCCCTCCAGGTGATTTTGATGCCAGCTGAAGTATGAGAAGTGTGTGTAGAGGAACTAGAATTCAAATTGGCAAGAATATATAGAATGCTCAAAAGTAGCTAAAGATTAGCCTTGCAAAATGAGATAGGACCAGAAAAAAAAATCATGTTGTTGTCAATTATATGAATGCCCACAAATGACCCTCAGAAAAATTATGAGGAAAGTGACAACCATTCATTTACATCACTTCATTGCAGAAGTTTTCCTTGACACCCTTCCCTGTAGCCATCCACTGACACTCTTTGTTATACCACATGTTTCATTTGTGTTGTAGCACTTATCATTATCTTATACTTTCTTACTTTTTTGTGTGCTTTGTCTTCTTTCACTATAATAATAGCTTCTTGAGGGCAGAGATCTTGTCTGTCTTGTTCTATATTGAATTTCCACTGCTTGGAACATTACTTATTATACAGTAGACACTTAATACATGTTTTTTTGAATGAATTAATTAATGTGTAAATCACTAGAGATGCTAGAGTGAGAAAGAAAGACCCAATCCTGACCTCATGAAGCTTACTAGCTGGATGACATTTCTGGTTTACATGACTGCATTTTAAATAACATTTAGATTACTAGAGGGTGACTGGAGGCAAGACTAAGAGAGGAATACTAATTTGGATGCTGTTGTTGTCATCAAAGTCAGAGCTAATGGTGACCTCTAGTAGAGAAATGCCAATGGGAGTCAAAAGAAATAGATAAATCTGAGACACATAAAAAGGATACAATCAGGAGCCTTCTGTGATTCGTAAAATGTAAGTGGCATGAGTCCAGGTATAAGGGGTTGGATTCTGACTTAAACTATGAAAGACCGGAACAGGAACACCGTTTGCAGAGAGGCGGAGCAGAGGAGACAGGTAAGTAGGGCTGCAAATATCATATAAAACATACTAATGCTAAAATATTATTTGTTGTTTATCTGAAATTCAAATTTAACTGGGTGGCTTGTATTTTTATTTGCTAATAAAATACAGCAGAAAATGAATGAAGAGCTTATTTGTGAAATTGCATGTAATAATCAACAGATTCCTTTACAGAGAATAAATGACAAACTGAACACTGAAAGCATTAAATTCAGATCACTGAATTATTTCATTGACAAATAAAAAGCATTGGGCTGACTTTAGTTTCTAAGAAGTGTGAGCTTGTTTATATTTTGCACAGGAAACTATGAAATACCTAGGGGACTGTTCTTGTTACTCATTATTAAAACATAATTGCCTCTCTGCATGTTAGTTGAAGAGGAATTGAGAGATTTTTGCCAATTACCCTATTGTCAAATTTTAGATATTGGGAAACTGTATATCTCAGCTTGAATTTCCTTCCTCAGTGAGTTTTTTGTTACAGTGAGATCCTTGAGAGAAAGGTAGGCAAGGGAGAGGAAACAGATTGATACTATCGTGATTCTGGTCACACAAATCCTTATATTCACATAATAGTTTGTAGTTTTGAAAATATTTTCACATCCATTTGATTTTATTTAAGTCTTCCGGTTACTGTGAATGTCATTAGGATGTGTCTCCATTTGAACAGATAAAGGACATTAAATTCTTTGAGATTTTATAGTTTTCTTGAGATCACACTTTTAGAAAGTAGAGGAGACAACATTCATACCTCATGCTTCTGTCCACAGTTCAGAATTCAGTTTTAAGCAGTGGTTAATGGGAAAAAACAACATAAATGTATCAAAATATGTACATACAAAGATGTGCTTTCCCAATGAAAGTAGTTGGTTATTTGAATATACACCTTGAAAGGGTGTATTGCAAGGTAGCTGTGGTTAAAAACTTTCCCGGAATTGCTTCTAAGAAAAACACTGTAGAGGTGCTAATCAGGGTGGAAGAACTCTTGGGCAGCTGCAGAGTGATGCTGGGACACCATTAACCTATCATAGCAACCAGTAGTAACTGCAGACTCAGTGAACATCTGCAGCAGTTAAAGTCAACATAAGCCGCCATTGCTGAAAGCTGACGTTGATTGGATAATTGATGGAAATGATCTTAAAAGGAGTAATCACAAACAGGAGAAACTGACGAAAACTGTTGGGAAAAGCTACCTATGGCAGAACACGCCACAGAAAGCAGATGGAGTTTCATGTAAAGGAAGATTACTCTTAAACTGCCAACTCTGCCCCATTCACCATCCCAGCACTATCCTTCATCCCGTCATTTCTGAAGGAGAAAAAGATTATTTTCTGTTTATCGGAGTGAAATTGGAGTTTATAAATATATTCTTATATCCATCATTAAGAAGGAAGAATAACAATTACCCACAACGTGATAAAACAGGTTGGAGGCAGTAGATTTCCATCACAGGGGTCCTGAAAGTCTACCAGTGTCCAGAACCCAGTGTCTCAGGGAACAGACACAGAGCCTCATTGCTGGTAAGCCTTCAAAATGTAACTCTGCAGGCCCTGAGACACTGGACTCTGTTTCCTTAGGCAATAAATAAAGGGTTAAGTTAGGCTAGGTTGCTTTCAAATCGTTTTGAAAAGCTTTAAAGATTTCTTAAGTGCCCAGGAGTCAATTTCCAGGCATGAGTTGACAGGAGGGCATAGGAGCCCCACTGCCCCCCACCCTACCCTTTGCAACTTCTTAAATCAGATCAGCTCTTCTATATTCATGTGGGGATTCTGCATACGAATTTGTTTGAAATACATTTCCTGTGGCTACAAAATTTGAAAATATCTAGACTAGGTCATTTCAAACTTTCCTTATAACTTTAAAATCTTCACTTATTAGCAAGAATGTTTTTATCTTTGTGCAAAATGTTTAAAGTTTAGTGTACCAGTGCATTCAATTGTATAACAGTTTATTCCTCTCTCTCTCTGCGCCTCCATTCTCGGCCTTTCCTACTGACTGTAAATTCTATCATTATTTCTTGATTATACATTTGTTTGGCATTTGTCTATCATTCCCAAAACAACCTCAGATTTGTAGAGAAGGTTCCAGCTGGAAAAATAAGCTTCCCATTCAGGCCCATCCTGTTTCTAATCTGCTGCTGTTGTAAGAAATTCTCTTTAGGGATTTCTTTACTTCCTATTGCTTTGCCTTTTCTGCTGTAAACCTCACAAATATTAATCTTTTCTGGTCCTCATTTTCCCTTACTGCCTAACTTTTTTTTCTTTTTTGGTCTGAAATGCCTGCCAGTACTTTTCACACTTCATCATGTGTCCAGGAATACTGGCCCTAGGTCAAAGCCAGAGGCTGCAACTTGACAAGATGTGTTGCAAGGTGGCTTTCCCTCCACACTGTCTGCAGCTGTCATCTTCTCTCAAGTCCCCAGACTGCAAATTAGTGAGTCAGCATGGGATCATGGTATGTTGCAATTCCTATTCATTAGACTGAGAAAAAGAAGCTTATAGGTTTTGCTGTGTTTTCTTGTTTCCGTATCTTAAAAAAAATAATAATTAACACATAAATCGGTATTTGTTTGCTGGTTTCTTTTGAGGGTACTCTGATTCATACAATCAGAAATCATAATAGAGGAGCTGAAAACTCCCTTTCCTGGAAAAAAAAAAGATTCACAAATAACACTTTGGCCATAAGAATTATATATTATCCTTTAAGGGAAAAAAGATCCATTGCACCAATATTGTTTAATTTTTTTCTTTGGATGATTGTGATAACCGTGGTAGTTCTAGGGCAGAAAAGAGTGAAGACTCTTAATTTAGAGGAAAAGCAAGCTAAATTTTTCCAGGCTTCTTTCAGTTTAAAAAAAAAATTAAATTCAAACCATGGTTTTCTATATTCTAGATACAATGTCCTAATAACATCATATTTGAAATTAAGGATGAGGTCATTGATATAGGGATTGCCCTTTGTGTTTAAAACTTTGTTTTAAAAACTTATTGGAATAAACCTTAGACATTGCTGGAACAAGAACATAATTGGCGTTCCTGAAAACAGAAATTTTTTTTACTTTTAATGATGATCTAGACCATGTCTAAAGTGAATAAACATCTGGGTCTTCCCATCATAAATTCTATATATAAAGTTGAGTCTCATAAGTCATATCTAAACATAAAAAGCTAGCATTTTCTTATATACTTTCAGCTTTTATCTGGCTATCATTTAGGATGAGACAATAAATATCTCCTATAAAATAAAATTCAGTCAAAAATTGTATACTGCTTACCATTTAAACCAATGCATGAGAGAAAAATGTGTGTAGTCCTATGGTCAAAGAAAATGTACATGAAAATTGGCTGTACATAAATACATAGATAATAGATTATAAACTATAGTGAGATAAGCATAGATAGTAATATAGTTTGGCTCCGTGTCCCCACCCAAATCCCATTTTGAACTGTACTCACATAGTCCCCACGTGTTGTGGGAGGGACCCAGTGGGAGATAATTAGAATCATGAGGGCAGTTGTCCCCATATTGTTCTTGTGTTACTAAATAAGTCTCAAGAGATCTGCTGGTTTTATTGGGGATTTCTGCTTTTCCTTCTTCCTCATTTTTCTCTTGCCAGCACCATGTAAGAAATGACTTCTGCCTCCCGCCATGATTCTGAGGCCTCCCATCCATGTGGGACTGCAAGTCCAATTAAACCTCTTTTTCTTCCTAGCGTTGGGTATGTAATTATCAGCAGCATGAAAACAGACTAATGCAGTAAATTTGTACCAGTAGAGAGGGATGCTGCTGAAAATAACCCTGAAAATGTGGAAATGACTTTGGAACTGGGTAACAGGTAGAGGCTGGAACAGTTTGCAGGGCTCAGAAAAAGACAGTAAAATGTGGGAAAGTCTGGAACTTCCTAGAGACTTGTTGAATGGCTTTGCCCAAAATTCTGATAGCAATATGGACAATAAAGTCCAGGCTTAGGTTGTCTCAGACAGAAATGAGGAACTTGTTGGGAACTGCAGCAAAGGTGACTCTGGTTATGTTTTGGCAAAGAGACTGGCGGCACCTCCCCCCTGCCCTACAGATTTGTGGAACTTTGAACTTGAGGAAGATAATTTAGGGTATCTGGCAGAAGAAATTTCTAAGCAGCAAAGCATTCAAGAGGTGACTTGGTGCGATTAAAGGCATTCAGTTTTAAAAGGGAAACAGAACATAAAAGTGGAAAATTTGCAGCCTGACAATGCAATAGAAAAGAAAATCCCATTTCCTGAGAAGAAATTCAAGCCGGCTGCAAATATTTGCATAAGTAACGAGGAGCTGAATCTTAATCCTCAAGACAATGGAAAAAAATGTCTCCAGGGCATGTCAGAGACCTTTGCAGCAGCAAAGATCTGGAGGTCTACGAGGAAAATAGGGTTTCCTTCCTAGCCCAGGGTCCCCATGCCGCGTGCAGTCTAGGGACTTGGTGTTTTCATCCTACCAGCTCCAGCCATGGCTGAAAAGGGCCAACGTAGAGGTTATGCTGTGGCTTCAGAGGGTGCAAGCCCCTAGCCTTGGCAGCTTCCATGTGGTGTTGACCGTGCGGGTACACAGAAGTCAAGAATTGGGGTTTGGGAACGTCTGCCAAGGTTTCAGAAGATGTAGGAAAATGCCTGGATGCCCAGGCAGAAGTTAGCTGCAGGGGTGGGGCTCTCATGGAGAACTTCTGCTAGGGCAGTGCAGAAAGGAAATGTGGGGCTGGAGCACCAACACAGAGTCCCTACTGGGGCACCACCTAGTGGAACTATGAGAAGAGGGCTACCGTCCTCCAGACCCCAGAATGGTAGAGCCACCTACAGCTTGCACCATGTGCATGGAAAAGCCACAGACACTCAATGCCAGCCCATGAAAGCAGCTGGGAGTGAGGCAGTATCCTGTATAGCCATAGGGGTGGAGCGACCCAAGACCATGGGAACCCATCTCTTGCATCAGCATAGCCTGTATGTGAGACCTGGAGTCAAAGGACATCATTTTGGAGCTTTAAAATTTGACTGCCCCACTGGATTTCAGACTTGCATGGATCCTGTAATTCATTTGTTTTGGCCAATTTCTCCCATTTGGAAGAGCTGTATTTACTGAAAACCTGTACCCCCATTGTATCTCAGAAGCAATTTTCTGTTTTTTTGATTTTACAGCCTCATAGGCAGAAGGGACTTGACTTGTCTCAGATGAGACTTTAAACAGTGAACTTTTGGGTTAAAGCTGAAATGAGTTAAGACTTTGGGGGATTGCTGGGAAGGCATGATTGGTTTTGAAATATGTGGACATGAGATTTGGAGGGGCAAAGGGCAGAATGATATGGTTTGGCTCTGTGTCACCACCCAAATCTCATCTTGAATTGTACTCACATAATTCCCACATGTTGTGGGAGGGACCCGGTGGGAGATAATTTGAATCATAAGGGTTGTTTTCCCCGTACTGTTCTCATGGTAGTGAGTCTCACGAGATCTGGTGGTTTTATCAGGGGTTCTGCCTTTGCATCGCCCTCATTTTTCTCTTGCCACCACCATGTAAGAAGTGTTTTTACCTCTCGCCATGATTCTGAGGCCTCCCCAGCCATGTGGAACTGTAAGTCCAATTAAACCTCTTTTTCTTCCCAGTCTTGGGTTTGTCTTACCAGCAGTGTGAAAACAGACTAAAACAGATAGATAGATGATCGATAGATAGATAGATAGATAGATAGATAGATAGATAGATAGATAGATAGATGGATAGATAGGATAGAATTCTAATGCACAAAAGAAAATGCAATCAATTTGCTTCATGTACTAAAAATATACTCAATAACTGTGGAACCATGGGACTAAGACTCTAAACCTAGGGTTTGATTCCTTGGTTCTGTTTTATAAGCTGAGTGATGGTAAATCATTTAACAACTGTTGGCTTAATCTTTCTGATATGGTTTGGATTTGCATCCCCATCCAAATCTCATGTCCAGTTGTAATTCCCAATTCTGGAAGAGGGGCCAGGTGGAAGGTGATTGGATCATGGGGGCAGATTTCCCCCTTGCTGTTCTCATAATACTGAGTGAATTCTCATGAGATATGCTTGTTTAAAAGTGTGTAGCACCTCCCCCTTCTCTCTCTTCCTCCTGCTCTGGCCATGTAAGACGTGCCTGCATCCCCTTTGCCTGCTGTAAGTTTCCTAAGGCCTCCCCAGCTGTGCTTCCTGTACAGCCTGTGGAACTGTGAATCAATTAAACCTCTTTTCTTTATAAATTACTCAGTCTTAGGTATTTCTTTATAGCAGTGTGCTTTCTCATCATCAAAATGGAGATAATGATATCTACTCCAATATTGTTATAAAGATTACATATGAATATAAAATTTTAGAAATATAAACTACAATAAAATTATTCTAATATTTTAAAACTCATTATATTTTATTGCCACCAGAATTTCATGATCTGAAAATTATTCACCTTGTGGTGTATTACAAAGCCACCACAAGGACCCTTTTTATTACTATCTTCATTTCTCATAACACTCATCAGATTAACTGATTATCATCTCCAGCAACCACTGCTTTGAAAAATCAGATGTCATACCTTTCTAGCACACTGTAAGAATCTCATAATTAAACTTGTGCTTAAAGAAAATGTGTGCACTTAACAAACCTATGTTGAAGTGAATAAATTATGCATCTTTATGTCCACACCCTACTTTGAGAAAGGAACTTCGATTAGTCAGCCTTTTGGCTCTTATAGACTTGTTTAGAAATACAGAGGAAGGAGTTTCATTATTAAACTGTCCAAAATGTTCCAAACAAAAAGCAGAGTGGTTAGAAAGTTGGAAGAAAGGCTGAAACACTGTCATTTTAACCCACTGTATGTAAGCTTGTCCAGGACACTGCTGAGATCACACCTGGTCGTGAGAACTCAGCAATAAAAGAAAAAATAAAAGACAGCATCTGGTTTCATGAGTCTAAAAACAGGAGAGATTTATAGGAAGAGGATCTATATATTTTTTACAACATCAAATCTGAGTAAACTGAGTTTCACTATATGTCTAACCCAATACTTTACTTTTCTGGGATTTTCAGAGTTGTGATAAGCATTGAGTGCATATCAATCTGTTACCATTACATAATCTTTGAAGTTTATTTAACATGTGCCATATGATAATAGCTAACATTGTAGATACGTGGAATACTGCTAGGAACATGAGATTTTCAGACTTTGAACATGAAATATCCAATAGGTCAGACACTGTGCTATCAGAGAGTGTGCTTAGGCTTGACATCAAAATATATTCCAGGAAGGCAATGCAGCCTCATATGCACAACACAATCAAGTGACACAAATTGAGATTTGTTGATAGATGTTTTATAATAGTTTTTACTCTTATCACAATTCTCCAGTTAACTTCATACTAGCAATAGGAAAGCAGTGTAAAATATAAGTGTTTACTTAAAACATCTCCTACATGATAGAAGTTAGGTCTGTGACTTTTGATGCTGGGGTTAAGAGAGAAATGCTCTTAATGCCAGCAAATGCTCATAACTGCATAAATCAAATGCTCATAACTGCAAAGCATATGCATAGATACACGTGTGGATAGGTGGCAAGAATAGTTTAAATTGTGCAGCATTAAAGAGAGGCCAATAAGAAGGCTAATTTAAAAATTGAAAATATTTGAAAGACAAATGGAAAGGAAAAGATGTTGCTGTATCTACAGAGAATTTCAAGTCACAGAGAAACAGCAAAATTTTGAATGGATATGAATTTCAAAATTTGTAAAAAATAAATGTTATAAGATACAGCAAAAGATAGAAATCTTGTTTCATTTTTCTGCATATAGATATTCAGTTTTCCCAGCACTATTTTATGGTTCCATACAAATTTTAGGATTTTTTTTCTATTTCTGTGAAGAATGTCATTGGTATTTTGATAGGGATTCCACTGAGTCTGTAGATCACTTTGGGTAATATGAACATTTTAACGATACTAATTTTCCAATCTGTGGGCATGGGATATCTTTCCATTTTTGATGTGTGTCCTCTTCAATTGCTTTCATCAGTGTTTTATGGTTTTCATTTTACAGATATGTCAATTATTTGGTGATTCTATTCCTAGATATTTTTTGTAGCTATTGTAAGTGGAATTGCTTCCTGATTTTGTTTTTAGTTTGTTCACTGTTGGCTATATAAATGATATTGAAAATTTTACTGTCTAAAGTTAATTCAGAAATTAAGCGTTAAGCTTTATAAAGAAAGAAATCAAACAGTTCTTCTTAAAATATTTGCCTCTATGGGGTCAGACACAGTCATATGTATAACTTTTATACATATATGTAGAGAGAGAAAGTGAGCACTTATTTTCATATATATAGAGAGCATTATACAGATGATAGATAGCACTTATATTGTCTGCATATGATTCTAGAGGATAAAGCAGTAAATAAAATAAAGCTAAAATTCTAGACTGGGAAACAGAGCCTGAAACAAGTGAGCAATTAAATATTTTTTTAATCTGGTAAAGGAAAATATTTGAAAGAAAATAAAATGGAATGCTATAATAGAATAATGGGGCTGCGAATTTGAAACGTATTATTCGGGAAATAGAGGAGGTCCCTGAGGAGGTGATATTTGAGGAAGATCAAAGGACCAATGTTGATGAGGTACAGAGAGTAAGTGAGTGGTCTAAGGTGACATTAAAGAAGTAAGGAGAGACTAGATCTCCCAGGCCCAGTGAAATTCTGGTAAGGGGTTGTTATGGATTGAACTATGTCCACTCTAATTCATAAGTGAAAGCCTTACCCCAGTGTAACTGTATTGGGAGATAGGGACTTTAAAGATGAAAAGTTAAATGAAGTCAGAAGCGTGGGGCCTTATAATCCAACATGACTGGTGTCACAACAAGAGGAAGAGACATCAGGGCACATGAGCACAGAAGGTTCCTGCAAGGACATAAGTGGGAAAGCTGTCATCTGCAAGCCAGAGGGAGACGACTTAGAAGAAACACACCCTGCTGGTTCCTTGATTTTGAAAATCCAGGATCCAGAACAGTTAGAAATTAAAATTCTATTGCTTAAGCCCCCTAGTTTGTGGCATTTTGTTATGGTAGGCCTAGCAAACTAATGTAGATGTTTAGGTTTTGATTCTAATACATGACAAAAACGTTCAAGTGTTTTAGGCAGGCCTATGGAATGAGTTAACAGATACTTTAAATAAGATCACTTAAGGTACTCAAGTACAGAATGGAGTGCAGGGAAGAGGGAGACCTGTTAGAGGGTTGACATTATTAACGATATGAACAAGAATAGTGTGGTGCAGATAGAGAGAAGTGGATATATGAAAACCATATTTTGGAGGTGGAATTGATAGGCCTGCTGCTTAAGGGAGGGAAGGGATGAGAGAAAAGATAAATCAAGGATCATATTCTGGTTTGGGTTGGGCACCTGGGTGAATGATTGTGGGACTTGCTGAAATGAGGAGTAAGTGAAGAGAATGAGGGGTGTAAGAGCTCTGTTTGGGATATGTTAACTAAAAGACCGATTCAAAATAGATTCTAAGAAAAGAGATGATAAAAATAAACCTGAAAGGAGATACTTATAAGGTAAGAACAAAAAACCAAGGGAATCACTCATCGTATCTTTGTAAAATTGTGGTACTTTTTTCCATATAACATTAATTTTAAGTAGATTTCCGTTTAGTGCTGATGTTCATCTAGAATCTATAAGAATTGGGGAAACAATTTACCCCAAAGCTTAGCTCTTATGAAAACAAAATAACCTATTTCTAAGCCACTTCTACTACAGAACAACCAGGACATTTGACATAAATATAGTATATTAGAAGTACCAAGTGGAATACTTTACTTCTTTTAGGATGGCAATATTCATATTTTTAGGTCCTACCCATATATTAGGTATGCAAATAAATTCTTGTTGATGACAATCTAAGTACATCTTTTAGATTTTGGACTAGGAAGATTTCCTAAAATATAAACACTTCTTGGCATAAAGTTTTCTTATTTGATATGTTGAGCAAAGTTTTATGAAGAGCAGTTTACAAATATTTTAAAATGACTCTGCCTATTTTCACTGAGTGCTTTTCATAATATTTTCACATTCAATGATTCCACTTCAATAACACACTTGACATTAAATGGTTGCATGGAACTGATGCATTTTAACATAACTTCTTATTCTAAGTGCTTTATTTTGTCAAGTTTATTTTCCCCTTATTAAAGTATTTTTCTTTCTGATTATATACTCATGGGAAAATACTAAGGAAATGCCTTTCTGTCAAGTGAACAATTTTGTATTTTCTAATCTCAAATTGCAGGGTTGTTTTCACTACTTCTTTCATTCTGGAAATACATTTTGCTAAATCTCACTAAGCCCACAATGATGTATAATTTCATTTGCAAGACACAGGCCCCTAAAAGTTATAAACTAGGGAATGCAGAAGATGGAGTTTGATTCTTCTGATCTCGATGCGTTTTATTAATTGTAATAGGAATCCCATGTCCCAATGATTGTACAATTACGCCCTTACAAAGAAAATATAAATAGCTAGCCATGTAGAAGAAGAGAATTCACCTGGATGAATGATCTTTAAAAAAACTGTGTCATATGTGAACACATATGATACACAGTGAATATTTTAATTTTCCAACCCATATGTTCAGGAAGCAAATTATGGACCTCTTGAGTAAGCCAGTGTATTGGAAAGTTACATATAAAGTTGTTATTGAATTTAAACATTAGGATTATTTTTATTGCTGTTTTACCTTAAGTCCGTTTTACAAATGTGAATAATGATAGGAATGAACCAGGAGTATCAAAAGTTGAAATAATATTTGTTTTACTTCATTAGTAGTAAATCTTTTTTTCAAGATTTGGAAGATAATATATTTTATTATAATCTACAAATTTGGCTAATTTTTTAATCTCATTGAGGTTTAAAATTTAGCCCACAACATTTATGTTTTTTCTGACTCAGAGACAATCAACATATTGTATATATGTGTGTTTGTGTGTATATTTTACTATATGGATGTTGATTGTATTTAAGAATAAGTAAACATAACATGCATACTGCAATTTAGAAAGTAAGAACAAATTCAAGAAGTAATCAGTTATCATTTTAACTTAGAACCTTTTGGGCAGTTTCCTCGAGGCAAGAAGTCTAATCTGTTTTTTTTTTTTAATCCATCTGTTACCAAATTCACATTTCTACACACTACAACTACCAGATAATAAGTCATCAGAATTTATTATGTGATCAGATTTACATAAATTTATTTATTTATGTGATCATAAAATTAGTTTAACAGCAAACAATTGTTAGCAAACAGGTAAAAATTAATTTAGAAATATGTTTTCATAATTAAGTTAGATCTCCTAAATACTGGAAATTTACAAAAAGATAAGCAATTGGAGACAATATAGAAAATTTAGGTAACATTGGCATATAGCTATATCAGTGAAAACATTATGTTGTATTAGTCTTTAGTCAAAATTAGATCAACTTTTAAAGTCTGTTTTGTAACAATTGTAATATACTTGTAATAATCATTGTAAATAGTTTTCCATGTCATTAAACGTTGCTCTGTAATAAATATGTTGATTATAGTCTACTGCATTATCTGAAAGGGTAAATTTTTAAATGGTACCCTAATGTTGGATAATGTAGATTTTATTTTTCAATCTTTAAATTTTGCTGCAATGAGTAGCCTTTTATCAACATCCTGGACCACATTCAAATTTTTTTTTTACTTTTTTTTGAGATGGTGTCTTGCTCTGTCACCCAGGCTGGAGTGCAGTGGTGGGATCTCGGCTCACTGCAAGCTCCGCCTCCCAGGTTCACACCATTCTCCTGCCTCAGCCTCCTGAGTAGCTGGGACTACAGGCACCCGCCACCAAGCCTGGCTAATTTTTTGTATTTTTTTTTTTAGTAGAGACAGGGTTTCACCGTGTTAGCCAGGATGGTCTCGATCTCCTGACCCTGTGATCCACCAGCCTCGGCCTCCCAAAGTGCTGAGATTACAGGTGTGAGCCACTGCACCCAGCCCATATTCAGATTTTTTGTCTCATGATTTATCTTAAAAAGTGGCCAGCCATGAATTGTCAAATAATTAAAATGTCTGAAATATTGTCAAAATCCCTTTAAGTAGTCTATCAATTTACAGTCTATTCAGTAATATACAGTAATGTCTATTTTTATTGTGCTGCATTTAATAAATTACACACTCAGGAAAACTATAATATAGACTAAAATTCATCCATAATGCATCATGTTCTTTTCTGTCAAATCAGCATATTTTTGTAGTTTCATACAAATGAAGCTCATCATTTTCTCTTGTGTTTACATAATTAAACTATGGCATTTGAATAATGAGTACATATATAAATATATAAATATATATAAATAATATTTTTAACTTATTTCTTCAACTTTAGTATCCTATTGGGTACAGTTTTGTGGTGGATACTGTGTTCTCAATTTTGTAATACAGCAGGAGATACCAGATATTATGCTTAGCTTGAAGAAATCAATTTCTATTCTCTATGACTAATACTTTATCATCTTGTACATTTTTGGTTATTCTTGCTTTTGTTAGATATTCTGATTCTGTTTCTTAAATATTCACAGTAGGAAAGCTTACAGAGTTTGGTAATATACAAGATTTCAACCTAGAGTACAATGTAACATCAATATAAAATTAGCTACCTCTGATTTAGCAATTTCAAGATAATTTCAGTTTTCCTATTCATTTGTTGAGAAAGTTTAAACTTCAGCAATTACAGAAACAAAGTTTCTTTCTTTGTAGATTTGGTAGCTAAAATAATGTACAGCTAAGAAAAGGCTGCATTTGAAAATAATTCTATGCATTATCTTCCCCAGTCTCTGGACCAATAAACACATTAATTTAACAGGTAGTCATTCATTTTATTGTGTTTTGTTTTGTTTTGTCTTTAAACTGAAATAGCCCACTTTACCCTTAGGCAGAACAGTTAGAAATGTCTTTTTCTCTTTGTATCTAAATTTCCTTTTAACATATACTCATCAGATCATGCTATTTTTGCTTCCACATAAGAGGATGTCAGATAAATGAAACTATTTTGTATCCCCCTTCAGCCTTTCTTTTCAGGCATAATATCTTCAAGTCTTCTTTGCTGCAAGGTGTGCCTCCTCAGTTATTTTATCGTATTACCCTCTTTTGCAAATATTGTATTAGCTCATTGAGGCCTCATTAATAGATACATAAGAATGAAATAACAGGAGATTAAGATGCAACTAAGTTTCTGCCGATTGCATATCATTAGGATTTTTTTTTTTTTTTTTTTTTTGAGACGGAGTCTCGCTCTGTCGCCCAGGCTGGAGTGCAGTGGCGCGATCTTGGCTCGCTGCAAGCTCCGCCTCCTGGGTTCACACCATTCTCCTGCCTCACCCTCCCGAGTAGCTGGGACTACAGGCGCCCGCCACCATGCCCGGCTAATTTTTTGTATTTTTAGTAGAGATGGGGTTTCACCGTGTTAGCCAAAATGGTCTTGATCTCCTGACCTCGTGATCCGCCCGTCTCGGCCTCCCAGGTGTGAGCCACGCGCGCCCGGCCAGAAAGTTGTTTTAAAGTCAGAACTTGTCAATTCAAACTAGATTGTATCCAGTGGAGATCTGTCTGTAATAATCCTGAGTAAATGGTCAGGATTGCCTTCATTTTTAATTAATATGCTCCCTTATACCCAAATGGGTGGCTATGAAAAGGTTACAGAAATAGGAAGTAAAATATTTAGAACATGCATAAATAAATAGAGAACCATTTACCTCATAAGAAACTGTTGCTTTATCAAAGAAGACAGATGATTCAACCAAGTCAGCAGAATTTTACCAATTGATTCATTTATTAAATCACAGCATTTTGTCATCACCAAGGTGGGAAGTGTACACTTATGACATTGGGAGACACAACCTATGAATGTAAGAAGTTTCCAATTCACATTTCTTGTAAAAGAAGGGTAGTTTTATTGGTAGTCTTTCTTATTTCATTTAGCCTTTAACCATGATGCCAGACAACACTTCCTTAAATACTACCTCACCCACTGGATTTCTTTTCTAAAAGCACATAACGGCCAATTGTTCACCATTTATTGGTGAGTTACATCTGAAATACCTCAGTTTAGTGCTTTATGGTCTAAATCAGTTCTTGCTTTCTACTCAACCAAAGTTATTAGTGCTTGCTATCATTGCTACTAGGAAAGCCTTACTTAGAATCCATGCCCTTCCTTGAATGCCAGAGCAGTGTCTACAAGCAAGAAGCCGGTACAGACTATAGAAAATTGTAACTGTTGGCAGCAAGATTCCCACTGGCATCTTGACTATAGCAAGTGAGTATCTCGAGCCCAATTTACATTTTTTCAACTGTACTTTCTTACCTGTTGCATCATTCATTCCCAGCTCAGAGTCATCTCATCTATGTAATGACCTCAAATCAGTTTCGAGTATGGAAGAAATGCCAAGACAGGTGAAAAAAGTGAGACTTCAAATGTAATTTTTATTTTTAATTAAAAAGTTTTTGCTCTCACAGTCATACTAGGTCAAACTTTGTGGTAATCAGCATATTTTTATATTCCTGCACTGTATGTAGAAGCTGTAAATATTTTCCAGTTGATCTTGAATACTTCTAAGAGCTTGACACCAAGGATCACAAAATTACCATAAATTGCAACAATCCCACTACTATCTAAGTATACCCAAACACACACACACACACACACACACACACACACACACACACACACCCTTCTATGTTGCCAAATTCCATAGTATGGCCTTCCTGTTACCTTCTACTTGAAACTTCAGAATCATCACTGAGTTACCCTCTTCTCCCTCAGATACCAGTAACGTACCAAAGCAAGTTGGATCTGCCTCCTTAACCTGTTCAATGCTTATTTATAGGATTTATTTAATATTTGAACTTATATTCCTTAAATGTGCAAAGTGCTACACAAATTACATATATATATATGAATCACTGACTATTACTTTGTCTATTTAAGACTGATTTCCCATTCATAATGATTAACTCTATAGTAGGTTTGCACTTCAGCAGTGTAGTTGGCAAAATACAATATACATATATATTAACCTTAGGATCAAAAACTATTTATTTTGAACCTAGAAGCCCTTGCTCCATTCAGACTCAAGGAATTCAAATTTAGCAGATTACTGAAGTATAATAATTCTGTCCATGACTTTAATAAAGTTATTTATTTGCCTTATTCTAACAAAATTTACTAAATTTCTGTTGAAGTAAAGTTTATATTTTCCAAAGGAGGCTGAGAATCATCAAGGTCAATTTAATGCATAAATGTTAACTTGCGCTACAGTTAAAATGTATTGTGCTAAAAAACTGCTTAATAAGTCAATTCTCTCAAGTTCTTTATATATGAATCCTTTTTATATTTATATATTTATAAATTTCAAACACAACCTAGAATTAAAGAGAAAGCAATTTGACAATCTCAATTTTTCGAAATAAATCTACAACCATCTGATTTTTGACTAACCTGACAAAAACGAGAAATGGGGAAAGGATTCCCTATTTAATAAATGGTGCTGGGAAAACTGGCTAGCCATATGGAGAAAGCTGAAACTGGATCCCTTCCTTACACCTTATACAAAAATTAATTCAAGATGGATTAAAGACTTAAATGTTAGACCTAAAACCATAAAAACCCTAGAAGAAAACCTAGGCATTACCATTCAGGACATAGGCATGGGCAAGGACTTCATGTCTAAAACACCAAAAGCAATGGCAACAAAAACCAAAATTGACAAATGGGATCTAATTAAACGAAAGAGCTTCTGCACAGCAAAAGAAACTACCATCAGAGTGAACAGGAAACCTACAGAATGAGAGAAAATTCTTGCAATCTACTCATCTGACAAAGGGCTAATATCCAGAATCGACAAAGAACTCAAACAAATTTACAAGAAAAAAACAAACAACCCCATCAAAAAGTGGGCAAAGGATATGAACAGACACTTCTCAAAAGAAGACATTTATGCAGCCAACAGACACATGAAAAAATGCTCATCATCACTGGCCATCAAAGAAATGCAAATGAAAACAACAATGAGATACCATCTCACCCCAGTTAGAATGACATTCATTAAAAAATCAGGAAACAACAGGTGCTGGAGAGGATGTGGAGAAATAGGAACACTTTTACAGTGTTGGTGGGACTGTAAACTAGTTCAACCAATGTGGAAGACAGTGTGGTGATTCCTCAAGGATCTAGAACTAGAAATACCATTAGACCCAGCCATCCCGTTACTAGGTATATACCCAAAGGTTTATAAATCATGCTGCTATAAAGACACATGCACATGTATGTTTCTTGCGGCACTATTCACAATAACAAAGACATGGAACCAACCCAAATGTCAATCAATGATAGACTGGATTAAGAAAATGTGGCACATATACACCATGGAATACTATGCAGCCATAAAAATGATGACTTCATGTCCTTTGTAGGGACATGGATGAAAGTGGAAACCATCATTCTCAGCAAACTATCACAAGGACAGAAAACCAAACACCGCATGTTCTCAGTCATAGGTGGGAATTGAACAATGAGAACACTTGGACACAGGAAGGGGAACATCACACACTGGGGCCTGTCGTGGGGTGAGGGGAGAGGGGAGGGATAGCATTAGGAGATATACCTAATGTAAATGACGAGTTAATGGGTGCAGCACACCAACATGGCACATGTATACATATGTAACAAACCAGCACGTTGTACACATGTACCCTAGAACTTAAAGTATAATAAAAAAAGCCAGATAATTAAAACGTTGTATAGAATACCGCTTTTCCTGATAGAATTAAATATAAAAACAAAGCAATCACATATTTTTGGTCAACCTATCGTTGATTTAGAACAATCCTGATATTCGATGCCTATGTTCTCTCTTTCTTTCCCTTCTTTATTTCTTCTTTCTTTCCTCCTCTCTCCTCCCCTCCCCTCCCTTCCTCTCCCTCTCCCTCTCTCTCCCCTTCTTGTTTTCTTGCTTTCTTGCTTTTCTTGCTTTCTTGCTTTTTGAGTGTGGGGTACAGACTAGGGTATAGAAACACAAGCATGGTCAAAGGTAAAGGGCATTAGAGTATCTCATGACCCTTACAAAGCCAGAAATTTCAAGTAATAATGTAATCATGGTAGTGTAGGAATATTTTTATATAAAATAATATCAGAGTGAGTAATTCTGATAATTATACATAGAGATGAGATTTCTGCACATTTTCAATCTTCTGAATTTCTGCAACTGTGCTGATCATTAAATAATTGCTTTTGTCATATGCTTTGCTTCCTTGTCACCTCTGAACTCAACTCTTTGACCTCTGGCATTCTGTTTGGTACCCTGATCATTTGGGTGCCTTGAGGTCAACCAGCTTTTCTGTATCACAGGGCTTTGTTTTTACTGGGGTAAGTCTTTTAGATCCACAAATGTAATTGACATCTCTCTCTAAAGACTTCTAAATCAAGGAAAACATTTTAAAACTAAACAAAACAAACTTTGCCAATATAACTAAAAATAGACAAAAAGCATTTTTCCATTCATTCCTCTTAATAGCTCAACCCTATTATATAGCTTTTGAAATACTTAATACATTTTCATCGTAAATGCAAAAAATAGACATGTGTGCTAAGAGGGAAAAAAGGAACACTTTCTTTAGTGTTCAAATGCCAGGCCCCAATTTCAGATTTGAAGATAACCCTAGGAATGCACTGACTGACATTAGTTATTAGAGCACCAGGCAGTGGTGAGTGGTATCAGCCAGATTCAAGCTTTGACCGACTGCAGAGTCCAATCTGTTAATTTTTTTTTAATCACAGATAGGCCCTTTCAAAGAACAGACTGACCTATGACCTGATGATATCCCATGGTCTGATTCATTCTTTGCAGATTCATATTGCTAGAATCATTTGAGTGACATATCACACTCCAGGTCAAGAGGTTTTTGTCAAATAACTCTCTTGGAAATTACTTAGGACTGCTAATATTTCCAATCCTTATATAAGCAGTTCATTTAGCATTATGTCAAATATTTCAGCTTCTTTTCTCTGGCTGATGTGTATCATTACGTTTAACTTCATAGATACTTCAAATAACAAAGGTATCTAATGTGTTTATAAAAAGGTTTTTGAAAGAATTCCTTATTTTCTACTTCTGTTCCACTCTAGCACATCGTGATCTACTGCCTGGAGGACTCTTCACTAAACTGCTATCACTGCTGTATCTCAGATTATGATCTGGATTATAACCTGTATTACTCTCCTCTTTATTGACACTATTATAAACAGACTTAGATTTATTACCATTGAATTATCACTAGCTTTTAGCATTTCACATCTCTTCTCCAGTTTATCCTAGCTGTTATTTCTGTCTATTCACTTTAAGGTATAGATTCCATGGTAGTTCTCCCTTAATGAGCAATTCCGAGTGTCACATATTATCTAACATTTACATTCATACACAGTAAACAATCAAATGACTTAAGGTTCAATTACTAATGACAAATTAAGTATTTAAAAGTAGGCAAATATCTAATATATTTCAACATTGAATTATTCCAATAATGCAATTTGGGATACTGCAGACCCATTTTAACCATTTCAAGTCAAACTCCCTCTTTAAGAAGAAATATTGGGTATTACTGAACTTCTTCCCAAAGTGTAATTTTTTTCATCCCCTCACTGTCAAATATTTGACCCGTGTCAGGAAATACACAACCACAGTCAGCCCAAATTTTCACCCATGCTCCTCTTCCCAACATGGAAGCCCCTCTTATACCGGAAAAATAAATGTTGTGAGAGAAATACAGCATAGGATAGTATTTACAGACACATACGTATGAAAAAATAATGTGATTTTTATAAACAGTGTTAGTTGTGATTTAGAATGCTACCAAATAAATATATTTTATATTAATATTTTAAAGTCATGAAATAAAGATATTCACTACCTCCTCACACTTCACAAACATCCCTGAGTTAGTACCGCTATCTAGTATCACCCTATACTACACCTACTCTATTTTCCATAAGTAATAAGTGGGGAAGGGATAGAACTGACAGCAAGCCACTTGACGAAGAAAGCAAGAAGGCATACAAGAAAAGTGAACAAAGTAGAAAACCAGCTGAAACGTTCAAAGAGAAATTTATAGAATGCTGATATTGTGCTGAGCACTGCGTTAAACATTTCACACATTATCAAATTTAATTTCCATGAGTAATAAGATATTATTATGTACAATGTATAAAAGAGGAAACTGAGGTTTCAAGATGTTGAACTACTTTTTCAACCTAAAATTAGGAAGTGAAAGGCTGGCTTATACTCTTAGAATTCACTAATATACTCCCTTGTCCATTTCAGGAAAGTCCGTGAGGTATAGGTGCTCAATAAATATTGATTTTCCTTTCATGACATAGTCTGCTAACATACATGCTTATTGTATAAAATTTTCTAATGCCTCTAAGCCACCTAAAAGTAAGTGCAATTTTATACATTGCTGCATGATTACATATCTGCCTTTCCACAACTCTAAATACCTCTGTAATATCTGAAATTAATACATGCAAAATGTAACACTAAGAAGTGTGAAACTTGTTAACTGAACTTTTTCTGCTTTAATTCACTTTGAAAACTTAATGTCAGTTGTCTTTAGCAAGATTCTCTACCAAGAGAAGCATATAAAATATGTTTTGCTAAGCAGTTAGAACTTAAATTCCCTTATGTTATTCTTGCTCAAAATTAGTTGCCCAATAAAATATGATGACTGCAATGGAGGTGCTATGCACACTTCTTTTATACTGAAGGGTTGAGGATAAAATCAGGCACAGGGATCTGTTCTTAAGAATATAAATTATATGTTTTCTGATCTACGGCAAATTCTATCAAAAGCCTTAGAAGCACAGGTATCAAATGATTAAAAAGGTCTTTATCAATAGGGCCAGAACCTACTTTCGTGGGGCCAACTCTCTTCCTACATCTTAATGACGCAGGAACCTTAACATTGCTTCAAAGCTCATAGGAGCCCATTTTCTGTATTTTGTGTTCTTAAAAGCATGGATTGTCTGAAATAATGTTGTTTCAAAGTTAGGAACTATGAGAGTTTTGCTGGTTATCAATAAGTATTAATTTAATACTAAATTTATTATTTTAGGAGTCCTTCAGTTTTCATCTAATTCAGATGCATTACTAATTAGTATCACTAATGCTTTTCCAGAACTCTTTTAGTGAGAAAAAAATTAAAAGTGAAGTACAATTTTATAATCATTCTCTCTTTTGATACGGGATCTGGCTCCATAATTCTTTTAACCATCATTAGCCATAGGTCTGCAGTCTTTAACAAATCACAATAAAAAAAGAGCATAAACTCTGGAAATAGAAACACCTGATATTTATTTCAAGCTTTTCTCTTAGCTAAGTAACAAGATAAAGTAAGTAAGTGGATAACCTTAGAAAAAGTAGTTACTTAGATAAATTTTACTTTATCTAAGTAAAATTTTTTCTTATGTATAAAAGTGGCAAAACAGGGCCGGGTATGGTGGCTCACGCCTGTAATCCCAGCACTTTGGGAGGCCGAGGCAGGCAGATCATGAGGTCAAGAGATCGAGACCATCCTGGCCAACATGATGAAACCCTGTATCTACTAAAAATACAAAAATTTGCTGGGCATAGTGGCATGTGCCTGTAGTCCCAGCTACTCAGGAGGCTGAGGCAGGAGAATCATTTGAACCTGGGAAGCGGAGGTTGCAGTGAGCCAAGATGGCACCACTGCACTCCAGTCTGGGTGACAGAGCAAGACTCCATCTCAAAAAAAAAAAAAAAAAAAAAGATGACAAAACAAAGCCCACCTCATAGTTTGGTTAATAATTTAAAAAAAAAAGGAAGTTGTGCATATGAACGTGTGTAATGCCTGGCACAGAAATAGTATTTCTGACTAACTCTCATTCTATCCTATATAAAAGCTCTTTGAATACTTGAAGAAGGATGCAATGTTACCGTATTTCTTCTAATCTTTAAATTTCTCAGGTTCTTCAATGATCACCAATATAACATGGTTCCTAGATTCCACATTAGTCTCTATGCATTCCAGAGTGACGATGAAATTGTAAAAATGTGAAGCCCAGAGCAGAACATAGTACTCCAAACATGGTATGACTAAAGCATATCACAGTGGGACTCTCTGTTCCTTTGCTGAACTGCAAAATGCTATAAATTCATACTTAATTTGCATTAACATTTTAACACTAGTATCACATTGAAATCCCAAGATTTCTATAAATTTTAAGCCTTACTTGTTCAACGTATATAACTGATTTTTAACTTAAATGCAGTATTACTACTTATTTAACTTATTTACTTCATTTAAACCATCATCTCAGCCCCTTAAAGTTATTTTTGATTTTTTTATTTCAACATAAAAAAGTGAGTTTCATCTTTTTGTCTTGCTTTATGTTTATAAAATATATTGACACTAATGTTGGCCATTCAATTTTCTGTTATAGACATCTCAAATGTGCCACTCCCAGCATTTCCCCTAGAACTTCTCCTTTTGTGTACTCTCTAAACGAGTGGTCCCCAACCCACAGGCCATGGACCAATATTAGGAATCAGGCCACACAGCAGGAGGTGAGCAGCGGGCAAAGGAGCAAAGCTTCATTTATATTTATAGCCATTCCCCTTCACTTGTGTTATTATGTGAGCTCTGCCTCCTGTCAGATCAGCAGTGGCATTAGATTCTCATAGGAGTGCAAACCCTATTGTGAACTGTGTATGCATGGGATCTAGGTTGCACACTCCATATGAATCTAATGCCTAACAATCTGTCACTCTCTCCCTTCAGCCCCAGATGGGACCATCTACATCTAGTTGTAGGAAAACAAGCTCAGGGCTTCCACTGATTCTACATCATGGTGAGCTGTATGATATTTTCATTATACTTTACCATGTAATAGAAATATAGTGCACAATAATGTAATATGCTTGAGTCATCCTGAAATCATCCCCTTGCTCTGTCTATGGAAAAATTGTCTTCCACAAAACTGGCCCCTGGTGCCAAAATGGTTGGGGACCGCTGCTCTAAACTGTTGCAAGTACCTCTACATTTAGCATCTTCATTATTCCACATGTTCCCATACTTGCTCAAAATATATTCTAAGGTTATTAGCAAATGTCTCACTGAAATCATGGTGCATGTCACCCGTTGAATAAATCATTATATTATTAGATATAAACAATAAAGCCCAGGAGATTTGTATGAAACACTTTCTCATTAATCAACCTACACTGTCACCTGGAGTTCACAAATGTTTAACAATTTGTTGTTTGTTGCTTTTTTTTTTTTTTTTGAGACAGGATCTCTATCACCCAGACTGGAGTGCAGTGGTGCAATCATGGCTCACTGCAGCCTTGACCTCCTGGGCTAAGGCAATCCTCTTGCCTCAGCCTCCCAAGTAGCTGGGGCACAGGTGTGCATATCCATGTCCAGCTAATTTTTTAATTTTTGTAGAGATGGGGTCTGACTATTTTGTCCAGGCTGGTTTCAAACTCATTTACTTAAGCAATTCTCCCACTTTGACCTCCTCAAGTACTGTGAAACAGGCAGGAGCCACTGTTCCTGGCCAATGTTTATCAATTAATTACCTTTGTAAAGATGCATTGTAGAATGTTTGCCAGGGATCAATATTAGGTTTAAAGCTTGGTGTCTAGGTTGTCTATTTACTAGTGGTCAAACCTTGGATTTATTACTTTACCTCTCCATAGATCTTTTTCAAATGAGAATAAATAGCCTTATATGTTTTGAGGGAACCAAAATTGTTCATTATGTAAATGATATAGAGGAGTGTATACAATAAAGATCTAATATATGTTAGCTAATACTATGTTTGAGAAATGGAGCTATAAATAGAATTTTTTCTTTATACTCTATTATAATTTATTAATAATTATAAACCATTTTTATAGGGCAAAGACAATTTTTAGAAATTAAGATGTAGCAAACACAAGAACACAGTCACAAAACAGTATATTAAATAAATTATGTCTAAAAGCTTCACATCATAAAAGACAGGATAGATTGAAATTGCATCCAATTAAAAGATCAATAGACACTTCACTGATCAATTCTTGCTGAAAAGAAGAACTTGCACAAAACTATAAATTGGAAAGTAAATTTAGAGCATAATTTGTGGAGGCTTTTGAATGTGAGGAGTTGTACGTTGTACTTAATTTGATGCAGTTAGGGAAGGAGCATACGTTTTGAACCCAATAATACATTTGCGAGACAAATATTCATGTCAGGACACAGGAGCAGGGATACCACATCACATGTTGCAGCAGCCCACAAGAGAGTAATTCACATCTATACTGGAAGTGTCAGTAATGAAAATTAGAGATCAACCTTCAGAGACATTTCAACTCAGACTCTGTATCTTGTCACATAAGGATAGCAGAGTAAGGGAGTCAAAATGTATAATACTTTTTAAACATTTATTAAGGAGTTTTCTAAGTGCCTTGCTAAGTGCTTTACATTGTTTGATACTTTAATCTTTATGAAACCCCTTTGATAGGGCTTACTGTTATCTTCTTCGTGTTACTTAAAAGGAAACGGAGTCCTGTGTTTTGGATGTGGTTTGTCACCTCCAAGACTCAAGTTGAGGCCTGGTTTACAGTGCACAAATGTTGGAAGCTGGGGCCTAGTAGGAGGTGTCTGGTTATGGGGTTGGATCCCTCAAGAATAGATCTATGCCATGTCTATTGAGTTCTTGTTCTCATGGGAATGAATTAGTTGTCATGAGAGTTGATCGCTATAAAGTGTACCCAGTTTATAGTGTGTGTTTCTTTGCATACATTTGCTCACCTTTCTGCTTCTCTGTCATGTTGTGACACAGTATGGGCCTTCATCAGAAGTTGAGCAGTTGCCAATACCATGCTCTTGGACTTTCCAGTCCCCAGCATCATAAGTCACGTAAGCTTCTTTTCTTTATTAGTCACCCAGTCTTGGGTATTCTGTTATAGCAACACAAAATGGACCAAGAAACAGACCGCTTGACAAATGTAGTATGTTGCTCTAGACTATGCAGCTAATAAGTGATAGAACTCAGAGGTAGCCCTGGACAATATGAATTAGGGGTCTAGAAACTGTGCTTAATAAATTATTCAGCGTATACTACTTCTTGACCCTAAGGAACCAGGCCTAGTGGCTAAATAAATCCAACAAAGAAGGGCATCACAGGTGCTGCTTTGAGTAGGATAGCATAAATTTGTTTTGCACATCTTGACTTTAAGATTTCAGTGCGCATCAAACCAGAATTTCCAATTTAGCAAATAAAAATACATGATATCCAATTTAATTTGAATTTCAGATAAACAATGAGTATTTTTTAGTATAAGTACATCCTGTGCAATATTTATCAAATGTTTATATTTAACAAGTCCTGTATTTTTTCTGGCAACCCTAGTTCAAAGTGAATATGTCTGATTGGTAGTTGGGAAATTAGCTCCAACGGTTTTAAGAAGAACAAGGATTAGAACTATAAAGTTAGGTGTTGTTAGTTACTAAATTGCACGTGTGTATAAAGGTCTTGCTGCCTGCCAGGTCCTGTGTTAGGTGCTGCAAAGAGGTGATAGTTGAAATAAATAGATAAAACCCGTGAATCAAAACATATAGCAAAAGCAAAGCAAGAAAGCAAATAGAGAAACACTGATTTTCAAAAACATTTTAATGGGTAAGAAATGGCCACAAAATCAGAGGAAGAAAAGATATAAGGCTTGAAGCACAGGCAGAGTTGATATTCCATAAAATCTAGTGAGCATGTTGGCAGAGCCAAATGCCTCATAATATTGATGAGGATGAGGCCCAAGAGAAGGTCATTACATTTGGAATTTATCTACTAAGGCAGACGGTTGCCTGAAGATAGTGACTCATTGTGCTGCTATGAACAAAATCTTGCAACATTAAATACATTTACACTGTAAGCACATTTTTTTCTCTCCATAAAAAAAAAATTATGAGATACTGGATCTGATTATATGACTATGAAGGAACAGATCTGTAGAAAGCCAAGGACAAAGATCAGTGATTTAAAAATAATTGCACTACGAGCAAATATTTAAATTAGTGTGTTTCTGTTTGTTTTAATGCAGATGGACAGACAGAAAAACTAATTAAAGTTGAGGAAGGCATAGTGACTACAGAGTAAAGAAACCTAAAACTTATCTATATTAGTTTTCTATTACTGCGTAACAAATATAATATATATTTAACATATATATAATATATGTAACAAAATAACAAATAAGAGGCTTAAAACAATTTCAATTTATAGCAATTTTAACTTCAACTTCTCTAACTTTAAATCCTTGAATGCAGGGGCTTTGTCTAATAAAATGCTCTCGTAAGACTCAACTGGAATCCTCATGTGCGTATTGGTAATATTTATTGGGAAAGGGAAGGGGATTTACCCTTTCTTTAGAAAAATCATGACACTATCATCAGAGATATTTTTAAACTATATCAGCATACCATATATGTTAAGTTAATTTCAATATTATTGTGTTATAAGAATTTTATCTTAAGTACAATAACAGCTGCTATGGCTCACCAGGTAAATACCTGAGATGTTTCCTGGCCACAAAGAATGAAATAAGCTGATATGAAGTGTCCACTTATTTGTGGTCTCCAATTTAAATTAGAGAAGGCAGGAAATAGTTTAAGAAAAGTAATTGTTACTATTTTGTGTTAGAGGAAAAATAACACAGTCTTAGAACTTTACAGGACTGGTTTTGATATAAGTTCAGATCTTTGTAAATATGTTTACTGTTATTTACAGGAGATGGTTTTAAAAGTTTAAGAAAATCCATACATAACTAGAATTTATAAGATAGATAAGTTAGTAATTAAAGTACTGCAAAATTATTTGTTTGAAGAATGGGTTCCAAAAAATCATTAAAAATTCCAACCCTCATTCTATGCTAAGTGTAAAATACTAATCATTGTTCTTATTAATATAATAAGTAATCATTATTTATCATATATGATTTACCAGATACAGGGCTGAAAATATGTGTGGTGTGGTGTGTATGTGTGTGTGTGAGAGAGAGAAAGAGAGAGAGAGAGAGAGAGAGAGAGATAGCTGTCATATCTATCTTATGAGATCAATGTTAACATTCTCATTTTACAGTTGATGGAACTAGAGCTAAGAATAATTTAAGTAACTTTCTTAAGTAGAGTCATGTGCCACTTAACGACAGGGAAATGTCCTGAGAAATGTACCATTAGATGATTTTGTCATTGTGCAAACATCACAGAATGAACTTACACAAACCTAGGTAGTATAGCCTACTACACACCAAGGCTATATGGTATAGCCTATGGCTCCTAGGCTATAGACCTGTGCAGCATGTTACTGTACTGAATACTGGAGGTAACTGTAACACAGTAGTATCTGTGTATCTAAGCATATCTAAACATAGAAAAGGTATAGTAAAAAAAAAATTACAATTTCATAATACACTGTTATATATATGGTCCATTGTTGTCCAAATATTGTTATGTGGCCTGTACAGAGCTAGTAAACTATGTTTCCTATTCCATGAATGTACATACCTAGTAAATAGTGGAATTAATTTAAAGTCTACATATGATTTCTGTTCAAAATTTTGTAGCATTCCATCCTTTGTATAGCAGATGGTGCCCTTTCATGATTATTGTTTTTAGCAATTCATAGCTCAGAAAAGAGAGTCAAAAATGTAATATATATGTATATGTATATATACTCACATTATTCATAGATGTGTATATTTTTGCATTGCTATATTTTGCATACTTCTCATATAAAACATTCTGTACTTATTTCAGGGTACTCAAAGTAGGTCTGCTCTACACTAATTAGTCTACTAGGAACATAAATTAGCAATGCTGTTCAGAGGATTGATAAAAAGAAAACAGATATATGTGAGCAGTATATAATTTTCTACATAAATGTTGTAAGTAATGTTAATAATAAAATGATCTTTATTTAAAAGAATGTATATATGGATTCACTGTTTACCTCACCTCAGCATTCATTGAGCACTTCCCACATACAAGACAATGTATTTGTCCCTGTGGAGGTCTGCTGCCTTCATTGAAGCTAAAAATCTAATGGGAAGTCAAAAACACTTATAAATTATTTTATGTACTTGGAAAAAGTAAAATAGTTCTGCAGGAGAGAGCAGTGACCTCCAGCTGAGTTTACTGGGGAAGGCATGGCAAAGATGATGATCTATCAGCTGGGTCTTAGAGGATTTCAGCAATGATGAAGAACATTCACAGTAGAATGATTTTTTTTTCAAATTCCCAGTAGATTTTTTTTTCAAAAATGCAGAATTAAGTGTAGGGCATTCATAGAATAATAAATAATTTGGTTTTTATGTAGATACGAAAGTCTGAGCGAGATGATAAAACTAAATGAATCAGATGAGTCAAAGTTGGGGAGAGCCTCAAAAATATCAGTTTGTCATGTTTATATGTTCCTAAGAGTAAGGGGAATACAGTAAACCTTTTCTTCAGTGGGAAAGTAAGGTAATCAGACTTATGTTTTACAAACTTAAATCCAGATATGAAGTAAAAAACAAACAAGTTAAATTGAATATAGAAATGGAATTGAATAGGCAGGAGGCTATTGAAAAGACTCATTGTAGTTATTTATATGATGCATATTATCTATTTTTTTAAATTTACAAATGAGGAGGTAGAGTCCCAGAGAATCTTAAGATGCATAGCTAGTATTGGGTGAGAGTCAAACCAGTTCTAACCTTCTAGTTCTGTTTGATTATTATATTGATATTTCTTTCTCTTCAAATCTTTATTTTGAGCAATTTCAAAGGTGTCTGAGTAACTTAACAGCTATGTTTAAATGTAGACATGAGGTTGTTATGGTATTACCCTAAAGGTTCAGAAATATACAGATTCGGACTTAACACTCACATTTTCTCCATGTGAGTTTCCTCAAGTAGGGAGTTAATATAACTTTCTCCCTAAGGCAAGTAAGTGTGGCCAAGTAAGAAAAAAGTGACTGCATTATTAATAGTTAAAACTGGCAGTCAATAGCCCCCTATGTAGAGATTTATAATTGAGGAATTAAAAATGTAACTTGGAGCTCAGCAGGGCTTCCTGTTCCTCCAGCTCACCATCTCACACTCTCCTCACAAACTGCAGATCAAGTCTTAAGTCCATCCAACCAATTGCAAGAAAGGAGATGGTATAAGTAAAAGAAAAGCTCTTGTCTTGAACTGCTTACCTCTTGGAAAATGTTAGAGCCCTGCACTCGGTCAACATTTAAGTCACAATAACATCATCCATTACCTGTTTGACCCAATTAATGTCTTGAGCTTCAAGCTATCACATTGACAATATCTTTCTTTGAAAATAAAAATATAGAGTAAGGAAAGGGCAGAATTTATGGGAGAGGGAATGATTGCCACTTTCTTCTACTTTTGTCATAGGAATATACTGAAACTAACTGTATTAGTCAGGGTTCTCAAGAGAGCCAATAAGTGTATGTTCTCAAGAGAGCCAATAAGTGTATGGGTGTGTATATATATATATATACATATACATACATATATATACACACACACATATATATACTCTGTATACATGTATATGTGTGTATATCTATATATATATATATATACACACGTGTGTGTACAGATGTGTGTGTATATATATTGTTTAACAGTGAGGATATATTCTGAAAAATGCGTAATTAAGTAATTTTTTTTGTATAGACATCATAGAGTGCACTTACACAAACCTAGATGGTATAGCCTACTATACATCCAGACTATATGGGATAGCCTATTACTCCTAAGCTACAAACACATACAGTATGTCACTGTACTGAATACTGTAGTCCATTGTCACACAATGGTAAGTATTTGTGCGTTTGAACATATCTAAACATAGAAAAGGTAGAGTAAAAATATGGTACTATAATCTTGTGGGACCACCATCATATGTGCAGCTCATCACTGACTGAAAGTTGTTATGAAGCACATCACTATATGTGTGTATATAAACAACTTTCATTATATGTGTGTGTATATATATATATATATATATATATATAAAACTTTCATTATATAAACAAGTGTGTGTGTGTGTGTGTGTGTGTGTGTGTATATATATATATATATATATATATATGGAGAGAGAGAGAGAGAGAGAAAGAATGAGAAATAGATTTGTTATAAGACATTGGCTAATGCAACTGTGAAGGCTGAGAATTTCCAAGATCTGTAAGCTGGAGATCCAAGAGAAGGTAGTTCCCGTATGAATGTCTGCAAGCTTGAGACCCAAGATGAGCCAAATTTTTCAGTTTGAATCAGAAGGCAAGGAAAGATCACTGTCCTAGTTCAAAGTAGTCAAGCAGAAGTAATTCCTTCTTATTTAGCCTATTTGTTTTATTCAGATGTTCAACTGACTGGATGAGGTCCACACTCATTAGGGAGGGCAACCTACTTTACTCAATCCATTCAAATATCAAGCTCATCAAAAACACCCTCACAGAAACACTTAGAATAAAGTTTGACTAAGTATCTCGGCATTCCATGGCCCAATCAAGTTGACACAAAAAATTAACCATCCAAACTTCTTTTTTGTTGTTGTTGTGGTTGTTGGCTTAAGCTAGACATCTGGGAGTCCTTATAGACTGATTCCTCTCCCTCACTCTGAAGTTAAATCTGTTGCTTACTTCATTGTATCTATTATTTTCAAATATCTCTTGAATCCAGTATACGCAGTCACCACCACTGCCATTGGAAAGGAAATCAACCTTTATTTTCACCCTACTGTATGTTAGAAACAATGCTCTTGAAGTTCCAATTTCATTAACAGCTTGATTTTTTTTCCCTGATACAAAACTCAAGAGACAACTATACCAGACACAGAAGGAAATAATGATTTTCATACTTTCTGAACTAAGTTCATTAATTCAATTGTTCGTGAAATTTTAATAGTCAATTTTTACCCTTCTTTATCTTTAAAATATAGTGGTTTTAGACATGTTCAAGCAACAGAGCACTTAGAGAAATAATATACCATGAGTGGAATATTATGACACATATTAGACCTAACCCTATTTGACTCTAAAATAAGAGATAAAATATATTTGAGTTTAAATGAATATCTTTGTATGACAGATTCTAATGTAGGTAGGCAGGAGCATGCTCCAAATATTTAACAAAAATGTATTATTGGGACCATTATATCAATTAAAACATTTCAAATTTATCATTTGTTAAATTTGGAACATGACCATTCTTCGATTGGAGTGACAGGAAAAGCTTAGTGTCACTTGCATCCTTCAGAACATATCATGAGATACTTTTTTGTACTACATCCCATGTGTACATTAAACATAAGTGAAAGGGAAAATGTGCCATCTAGAATTAACTTCTTAATTATATTATAAATCATAATCCTTTCAATTTCCAAGTTTCTGACACCAACGGCCATTTCCTAAAGATCATTCATGTGTTATTACATTAGTTAGTTGAGAAAATAGAAGCAGATAACACTTCACTGGATAGTGGCAGAGAAATTGACCAGTGAAATTTCATTCTAGAGCTACTGCACTCAGTCAAAAACAGCTTAAGCTAAGTGATTCTCAAATGCACCGATCTATGTTGGGTATTTCCCTTTACATTGCATAATGCCTTAGCCTATTTGGGATACATTCGAGCAGAGTCAAAGGAAAACTTGAAGTTTTCAAGCCAAGAGTCACTGAAATAAGATAGGAAATGCATCTGTTGATCCATCTTACTCTGCTACTACACTACTATTAGCCAGCCTTACACGCCTCAAGTCACAAGGAATTACTGTGATTTTGGCACAAAATTTTTAAAATTTTTAAAATTTTGTACCAAAATTTTAAATTTCAGCTCCACTTCACTATTTTTCTAAATTTCAGCTCCACTCCATTATTTCTTATTATGAACATTTATTAATATTCCAAAACTCTAAAACATTGCTTAAGCAGGATAAAGTGAAAGAATTTCTGGGTACAGGAATCACCTGAATAGAGAATTTAAGAGAGGTAGACTTAAATACAATAATTTCTTCACCAATGTTACAATGATCTTTATACCCAAACTAAAGGTTCTTACATTTTCCTTCAGAAACAATGATCTTTTTATTTTATTTGCATACTTCATAAAGATGCAAGATATGTGCATACTTCAGAAGCATAATAGGGACATAGCAACAAATATAGGCTTTGGAGACTCAATTACTTCATTACAGGTTAGAAAACTATAGCTTATAAAGTCAAAGAATATACCTATGGTGATACTCTTGCTTAGTTAGTGTTGGAACTAGAATAAAATCAAACTCACTTTAAGTCCATTTTAGTTTTCAAGGGGAACTCAAATAAGTCAATGCTCTTAAAGTGTGGTCTCTAGATGAGCAGCATGACTGTCAACACTGAAAACATGTTGGAAATGCAAATTCTAAAGCCCACTCCAGAAACTCTTGGGGTGATGGTACCTGAAAATGTATTTTAAGCCCTTCAAATGATTCCAACATAAGCTAAAGTTGAAAACTACTGAAATAGTCTCCAGATTCTGTGAAAGTATAAAAATATAAAGTTGCCAAATGTAAAATATTGATTTTCATAGTTTATATTGGGTTTATATGATTATTATATTCTTGACAGATAAGGGGGAAAATGCAGCAAGATTAAGTGGCTCACCAAAGATCATTTAAAATTAATTTAATCACTGTGGGTAGGACTGGATCATGTTATCTGGTTAACTATGCTCACTAAATAATGTTTCCTTCTTCTTCTCCATAGGCAATATAAACAGAATGGTTAAAGGATTTAAGAAGTGTTTGGGAAATAAAATCAACAGGAGTGAGTGACTGATGAGTTGAGAAAAGTGAAGGAGATGATGCCAGCGATGGGAATAATGAGTACCTTGGGGATGGAGATGAAGGAGCTTTTAATTTTTTGAACTTTGTTGTTTGGGGATGGAGAGTATCTCAAATTTAAGAGTTTATTGACAGATATACAGAGCATATGTTCCAGTCAGCCCTCAGAAATGTCAGTCTCCCTTCCATTGTCCTAATTTCTGCACTCATTGCCTCTCATTTGTCTGGACTAGCTTCCTCGCTAGTGTTCCTGCCTCCAGTTTTTATCATGTGTGATATGGCCTGCATATAATTTCAGATTAGCTTTTCTGATGCATAAACCTAATCACATCACCATCCCCTGCTCAAAATTCTTCCATCACATCCCAACACTTTCCCTCCCCTAGCAGGCAAAGTGTCCAAACTGCATTTGAAACCCTCTACTGTTTGGACATTTTTCATCTCCTAGCCATATCTGTTGCAACAATATAATGTGAGTTGTCTATTCTATGAAAATTATTGTAACTCAAATATATTTTTCCCTTAAATAAAGCCTATAGAGGAAGACAATGATTGGGATCAGTAATAGCTGTTGAAAAGCAAAAGCTCAACAGGTGATAATGAACAGGAGAGAAAGAGAATCTTAGGTCCTGGGATAGATATTCACATCAAGGGTCATCATTTTTCAGGTGTCAATGTGTCGGCTGATGCTGGGTGGTGCCGCATAAACCCTACTGGCTGATTCTACTCCTTATTTCATGTTTTAAGAAATTAATTGTTAAAAACATTTCAACTTTTATTTTCGATTCAGAGGGTACATATGCAGGTTTGTTGCATGGATATATTGTGTGATGCTGAGGTTTGGGATTCAGATGATCCCATAGCCCAAGTAGTGACCATAATACATAACAGGTAGTTTTTCAGCCCACACACCTTTTCTTTCTTCCCACATCCGGTAGTCCCCCAGTGTCTATTTTTCTTATCTGAATATCCAAATGTACTCAGTGTTTAGCTCCCACTTATAAGTGAGAACATGCAGTATTTGGTTTTCTGTTACTGCGTTATTTCACTTGAGATAATGGCCTCCAGCTGCATCCATGTTGCTGCAAAGGACATGATTCCACTTTTTTATGGCTGCATGGTATTCCATGGTGTATATATACCATTTTAAATTCAGCCTACCATTGACACACACCTAGGTTGATTCTATGTCTTTGCTATCCTGAATAGTGCATCTGAGTACATGTTGTCTTTTTGGTAGACTAACTTATTTTCCTTTGCATATATATCTACTAATGGGATGGCTGGGTTGAATGGTGGTTCCGTTTTAAGTATTTTGAGAAATCTTCAAGTTGCTTTCTAAAGTGGCTGAACTAATTTGCATTCCCATCAACAGTAAATAAGCATTTCCTTTTCTCTGCAGCCTCGCCAGCATCTGTTGTTTTTTGACTTTTTAATAATAGCCATTCTGACTGGTGTGAGATGACATCCCATTGTGGTTTTTATTTGCATTTCTCTGATGATTAGTGTTTATGAGCATTTTTTTCATATATTTGTTGGATGCTTGTATGTCTTCTTTTGAGAAGTATCTATTTATGACCTTTGACCATTTTTTAAAGAGGTAATTTGTTTTATACTTGCAGAATTGTTTAAGTTCCTTATAGATTCTGAATATTAGACCTTTGTCAGATGTACTGTTTGCAAATATTATCTCCCACCCTGTAGGTTGTCTGTTTACTCTATTGATTTTTGTTTTGTTTTGTTTTGCAGAAGCTCTTTAGTTTACTTAGGTCCCACTTGTCAATTTTGTTTTTGTGGCAATTGTTTTTGGGGACTTAGCCATAACTTCTTAGGAATTCTTGACATTAGCCAAGGCTGATGTCAAGAAGGGTATTTTCTTGGTTTTCTTCCAGAATTTTATAGTTTGAAATCTTACATTTAAATCTTTAATCCATCTCAAGTTAATTTCTGTAAACCATGAAAGGTAAGGGTCTAGTTTTATCTTTCTGCATTAGCCAGTTATCCCAGCACAATTGATTGAATATGGAATTCTTACCCATTGGTTAATTTTGTCAACTTTGTCAAAGATAAGATGGTTGAAGGTATGTGGCTTTATGTCTGGGTTCTCTATTTTGTTCCATTGGTCTATGCCAATGTTTTTGTACCAGTACCCAGCTGTTTTGGTTACTGTAGACTTCCAGTATAATTTGAAGTCAGGTAATGTGATGCCTACCCCTGGCTTTGTTCTTTTTGTTTAGAATTGCTTTGGCTATTTGGGCTATTTTTTGTTCCATAGGAATTTTATAATTTTTTTTTTTCTAATTCAATGAAGAATGATGTTGGCAGTTTCATAGAAATAGCATTGAATCTATAAATTGCTTTTGGACTGTATGGCCATTTTAACAACTTTTATTCTTCTGATCTATGAGTATGGGCTGTTCCTTTTTTTCCAGGATTAGATAGAGTCTAATAATAGTCCAATTCTAAAATAAAAGTTATTATAGGTAAGACCATGACATTTCCTAACACTTGATTTTAATACATTACGGTAATTTTCTAAAACAACTCAGAGGAACCCATATTTACATTAGGCAGAGTATTTATGAAAAAATCTGGCACCAGGTGTGTGTGTGTGTGTATATATATAATATATATATATACACACATATATATATATTATATATATACACACATATATATATTATATATATATACACACATATATATATTATATATATATACACACATATATATATTATATATATATATACACACACATATATATTATATATATATACACACATATATATATACACATACACACACATATATATACACGCACATATATATGCACATATATATACATATATACACGTGTGTGTATGTGGTGTGTATATATATGTGTGTGTGTGTGTGTGTGTGCATGTACGTATCTCAAGATTATATGTACTAAGAAACAGGTTGTATATCTTAATAGCAGTACTAGAGTAAAGAGTTTCAGGTTTGGATTTATAAATGATTTTCAACGTGTGGGGTTTGGAAAAGGAGCAGACATCTCGTTTTCAAAACCTGAAGTTTTTCTCAGGACTGAAGTCAAAATCATAACTGCCACAGAGGGAAAAGGGAAGTTTTTTGCACTTTAATTGTTCATCTGAGTCCAAAAGTCCAGTATCCCTGAGATAGGAACCACTCTAATAAGAAGGTAGTGAACAGGTTTCTCCCAAAGGAAGATTGTTTGTTGCTGAATTATGTCTACTGCCCTGATCATCAGGTATATACTTTGCATCTTCAAACTTAATGCTTGGCAGCACCAAGATATTTCAGTAATGGTTCATCATAAACCCAATATTCTCCATCTTTATGAAATAACCTTGTCTCCCACTGAATTTCTTTCTCTTTCCCTCTTTCCTTTCTTGGGGTTCTGCTCTTTTATTCAAGCCTGTGCTTTGCTTCAGTTGCTGATTTTTAAGTTGAAAGTGACATCCTTCCAAAGGCTGCGGGATTCTTACTTGTTCTGATCTTCTAGCTTCATCACTTTCTTCTTGATTACAGGCAACTTCTTGGTATCTGCAAAGGATGTATTTTCCCATGTTGCATATTTTGCATACATCAAACCATTCCATTCCCCTTCAGTTGAGCAAAAAGACTTCTTGTCACTTGGAGAAAAAAATCTCAGCAGTAATTTTGTGCTTCTTGCCCACATAGAAGGGTTTAGTATGGAAGATGATATTTGCACTCTAGCCTGTTTGGAACAATTAATACAACATTCTCCACCTAATTTCACCCAGGACCATGTGAGGATAGACCTTCCATAGCCATTGAGGAATGTGAGAATGTAATGTTCATCATAGTCTAGACATGAGACACAGCCCTGCCCTATGTTGTGAACACCAATTGACATCCCAAGGAATTTTGATTTGGCCCAGACATGAGCAGTGAATTGTATCTTCTTGTTAAAATACTCAACATAAAAGGCTGAAATGGGTGGATGATGGGAAATCTGGTCAGCCACGAATGTTACAGTATTTTTGGAAACCCAGGGAACTGGTCTTTCTGAAACTAGTTTTGTGTTCTCTTCAGTATCATTTGGTAGTGTCCAGTGACACTGAAAAATCTTGCCCAAAATGGGACTGTATGGCTTTTTGGCAACTGACCCTTTCCTTCTTGCATGAAAGGCTGAGAGGTATGATTTCACAACCAGAACCATTCTATCCTTGTGATCCTTCTAGTCACTAATGGACACAAACAGGTCCCAGTGTGCAAAAAGTCTGCCTACATTTCTAAAAGAGATGTTCTTTCAAGAATAAACCTTGGAAGAACTACCTTAGTAAGATCCATCCCAAGCCTAACCTGTGACAAGAGATGCATGATAACGCTCTTGTGCTCCCTGCGGACCCCGCCTACACATCATCATCTCTACTGTCATATGAATCAAAAAGGTCAGCATCACTTGTTCCATTGGACATGGAAGAATTAAGTGATTCTCTAGTATCTGGATGTTTTAGACTATTTCCTGAGCTGCTGCTGATGTAATTACCTACAAATCTTGATTGAACAATTAAAGTCTTTTGATGACAAGCTTCAAAACTACAAAGAAGATGAACAGAGAAAGAAAATGGAAACTCTCAAAGAAACAACAAATAGCATAGTAGAATCAGCTAAACACTGCATTGTGTTGCTGCACATTGCTAAAGGGTAATGCAGAAAAGCACGCAGATGGAATAAGTACTATTAATCCTGTAGATGCAATCTATCAACCTAGTCCTTTGGAACCTGTGATCAGCACGCCTTCCCAGATTGTTACTTCCAGAACCTGTTCAGTTGTGTAAGTCAAAACAGCAGCATCCATCTTCCCTACCAGTTGGACCTGTGTTGGCTACCTTGGGACAGCATAAGACTCTTACACCAAATAGTACAGGCAGTGGCCATTCACCACCGAATAGCAGTCTAACTTCTCCAAGCCATGTGAACTTGTCTCCAAATACAGTCCCAGAGTTCTCTTACTCCGCTAGTGAAGATGAATTTTATGATGCCGATGAATTCCATCAAACTGGCTTATCCCCAAAGCACTGGATAGATTCTTCTGGATCTGCCTCAGTCCTGATACACAGGAGCTTGGGTGTTTCTTCTTACATTTGTATCTTTTTTTAATTTCTTTCAGTGGAATTTTGTAGATCTCCTTGTAGCGATCTTTAACCTCCTTGGTTAGCTGTATTTCTAAGTACTTCATTTTTTTTTTCTCTCTATTGTAAATAGGGCTGTGTTCTTCATTTGGCTCTTAGCTAGAATATTATTGGTATATAGCAATTCAACTCATTTTGTACATTGGTTTTGTATCCTGAAACTTTGCTGAATATGTTTATTAGTTCTAGAAGCATTTCTGCAGAGTTTTTAGGATTTTCTAGATATAGTATAGAATCATATCACCGGCGAAAAGAGATAGTTTGACTTTTCATATTTGGATATCTTTTATTTATTTATCTTGCCTGATTGTTCTGGAGAACTAGACAGCCACAAAATAATAGTAACAGGCTTCAAGACTCTACTGACAGTGTTAGACAGCATCAAAGCAGAAACCTAACAAGTAAGTCCTGGACTTAAATTTGACACTCAACCAATTGGACCTGATGCTACTTTTCTTCCACCTATTGTATGGAATCAGTCTACCTCAGCTATAGTGCAAATTTTGGTGAGCTTACCAATCTTTTTTCAGCTGTAAGATTGACAGCAAAAGCTTGCCAATGTCCTCAACCATTTATTTCAGAAGACACAGACCACACAGTGCTTATATTAGAAATCATGCCCAGGAAATGATTTCTGAAAAATAATATTTTGATCAGATACATGTAAACAGATGATATGCAGAGCTGGCATGACTGGATCACAGAAGGCTGGAACAGTTGTAGAGGAAGTTAAATGAAAGTAAAATAATCAATTGTTTATGTTAGTGTTGCATGGAAGTAACAGTATTAAAGTTTTTCTCTTCATATTATGCACAGATTGAGCAGTAGCTGATAGTCTTAACCAATGAATCAATTAACTGGGGATACTTATTCGTACATTTTCAACTAAAACTTGTTGAATATCTCTCATATGTCAGAGGCAGTGTAGGCAGTAAGATATAGAGGTAATTAAGACCTAGTCATCTCTGTTTCAAGAAGATGAATTTCTAGAGGAAAAATCAGATAGATTACAATTCAAGGTGATATGTGTGAAAGTGAAAAACTGTACACATTCTGTGTGGGCACACAGCAAAGGGGAAATTAACTGCATGAAGTCAGAAAAGGGTTCACAGAGAAGGCAGCATTTTAACCCAGACCTATATAAACTGGCGTAGTGAAAGATAATGGGAGGTAGAGTTGAAGAGAATGGCAAAGCAGGAAAATAATATATGTTCTAGTCTTAGAGAATAGCATGTACAAAAGCATAGGGTGAGAAAATTATAGGTTATTTAGTGATAAATAGTTTTCAGATACAAATATAACTTGCCTTTCAGTTGAAATTGGAATTATAGGTGACTTGTTTTGTCTTTTTCTGTTCCCCTCTCTAATATTGACATGAAATACCTACACAGTATGAATAGCCTTCCAAATCAGGCTCTAATCTACTTATGCAAACCTATGTCTCTCCTTATCTGTTCTGAAAATACAGAGACACAAGCTCAAGTTGTATTTCTTAAGCATAAATGACTCTGTACCTCTCCTTTTCTGAGCTCATGATGATAAGGAGAGAGACTGTTTAATACCCTATTGCCATTGCTCTATTATTGATCTGGCTTTCCCTCTTTGCATCAATTTATAACCTCTTGCTACTCCAACAACACATCTCTTGAAGTCTACTTATTCCTACTACTAGGTAAAATAGCTGTCTCCTATGAATGTAGATTTGTTGTAATATTGGTTGCCCATTGAATTTCTTGGCACACATAAAAAATCAATTGACTATAAATCTATTGGTTTATTTCTATAAAATGTTTCAAAAATGGAAACATTGCTATCCATGTATATTCTAATTTCAATACTGCATTTGGGTTACTCTAGTTTTGTAGTAAGTTTTGAAATTGGAAAGAAGTCTTCCAAATTTGTTCTTTTTCAAGATTATTATAGTCACTTTGGTTTCTTTGCATTTTCATATGAATTTGAGAATAAGCTTGTCAATCTTTTTTAAAAAAGTTAGGAGGATTTCTTATGCACAGTTGATGGGAATGTAAATAAATACAGCCATTATGAAAAACAGTATGGAGCTTCCCCCAAAAAATTGAAAATGGAACTACCATATGATCTAGCAATCCATTACTCCATATATATCCAAAGGAAATGAAATCAGTATGTGGAAGATGTATCTGAACTCCCAAGTTTACTACAATGCAATTCACAATAGCCAAGATATGGAATCAATCTAAATGCCCATCTATAGATGAATAAAGAAAATGTAATACATGTATACATACATACACACACACACAATGTGAATACTGAATTTAATACTGTTCATTCATTAAAGGGAAGAAAATCAGGTCATTTGCAAAAATGTAGATAAAGCTAGAGGACATTATGTTAAGTGAAAAAAGTCAAAGTCAGGCACAGAAAGACAATCTCACTCATACGTGGAGACTAAAAAAGTTAGTGTCATAGAAGTAGAGAGTAGAATAGTAGTTATCAGAGTCTGTGGAAGGGTGAGGGAACCAGGAGAGTGGGGTCAACAGGCACAGTTACAGTTGAATAGGAAGAATACGTTTTGATGTTCTACATTGCACAGTAAGGTAACTACAGCTAATAACAGTGTTGTATATATATCAAGATAGCTAGAAGATTTTGAATGTTATCATCACAGAGAAATGATACATTTACAAAGTAATGAGTAAAATTATGCTGATTTAATCATTATAAAATGTATAACTGAATGGAAACATCACACTCTCCCTCCCTAATACGTGCAATTATCTGTCAGTTATAAAGGAATCACATTAATTTTAAAAATAAGGTGAATTTTTGGTAACGACTGTGATTAATTAGATAATTAATTTGGGGATAATTGCCATCTTTAATTTCTTTCAATATGTTTTGTAGTTTACATTGTACATATCTTGCACTTTCGTTAAATTTATTTCTAAGTATTTTATTTACTTTGATTCTACTGTAACATTGTTTTATAGTTTTTATTTTTAAATCAGTCATTGCTAGTGCAAAGAAATACACTATGCACAATTAATTTTTTATATACTGAGCTTATATTTAGCAACCATTTCAAATTATTTAGTATACTTAACAGTCATTTGTTTGGGGTTAGGGGAGGGTTTCTTTGGATGGTGTAGCCATGAAAGCCTCTGCTGGGTTAGCTTAGTGGTCAGCTAATGATTGAAACGACATTTTCTTGAATGCCTAGAACCAATAAGTTTCCCAATCTTTTGCTAAGGGACTCTGTGTTGGGCATGACTTCAAGACCCAACCAGGCAATTGAGAAGTGTCCTTTATTCTTCACCTTCTGCTTGCACCAAGTCTCAAAGTAAGCCAAAAGTGAGAACTTAGTGCCTTCTCTGTTACTTCTTCATATGCAGAAAGTCCTGGGCATGCACGCAGTCATACAAATACATATGGGCTTGTTTCCAGGAATATCTCTGAGCTTGCTCAAAGACAATATGAACATGTTATTTCCCAACTTTCACCAGCAAGTGTTTTGAATAGCCTGTTGTTGTCCCCAACTATTATCTATTGTCCCAGGAAACCAGAAATGTAAACAATTTATTCTCATTATTTTTGAAATATATTCCTGACTAAAAAGGATTTTTGTGGTATGTGAGATGATAGATCAAATAAAGACAGCCTTTTAAGTGGAATTTTGTGGAGAACTATAAAAAATGTCAGAGAACGACAATTATCTAAGAGTGAGACATTAAAAGATTTCCAGCCCCCTTTTACAGTCTCTGGAGGCTGCCATTCTACTGGTTTGCAATTCTCACTATGATGGTGGGCTGTTGATTTTCAAGGCTACAGTGGAGCTGGAGATAGGAGAATGAGAGTATTTCAAGTTAAATGCCGTAAAACTCACTTTTCTTACCAAGTTGCAGCATTTTTCTTAATTAAATACTTCCTTAATTGCTGGAAGCCTTTGGTTAACTCCCAGAGTTCTTAAAATGTTTATCCTAACAATTTTGAAAAAATTCTTTTAATGATATTATCTCCCTGATTTTTTTAATATGTTCATTTGCTTGGATTCCTTTTGCTCTGTATGTATGTGTGCACATGTGCAGGTAATGTTTGACAAATAAGAAATTTTAGTCATGTTTCTTGAGTTTACTTTGGGAGAAAATTTGCAAATTATTTCATAAAAAGTAAATTAATTCTATTTACATGTTTTGTATGACAGATATGCTTGATTTAAATTCTATTATATTGTTTTTATATCTGGCCTAATAATTTTTTGCATATTTTAATATAATATATGTGCCAAAATATTCATCACTTTAACCATTTGTAAGTATAAAATTCTGTTCATTAAATATCTTCACAATGCTGTGTAATCTTCACTATTTATACCCAACAGGTTTTCATCATTCCCCACAAAATCTTTGTAACCATTAAACAATCACTTTCTCTCTGCTTTCCTAATGACTATTCTACTTTCTGTCACTATGATTTTGACTACTCTAGGTAAGTCATACAAGAAGATTCATACAATATTTGTTATTTTTGTCTGGATTATTCCACTAAGCATAATGTTTTCAAAGTATATCCATGTTGTTGCATATATCAAAATTTTATTCATTTTTGTGGCTCAAAAATATTCCATTGTATGTATATACATACATTTTGTTTATCCATTAATATATTGCTGGACTCTTGAGTGATTTCTACTTTTTGACTATTGTTAAGAATGCTAGTATGAACTTGGGAATACAAATATGTTTGAGCCCCTTCTTTCAATACTTTTAGATAGATATGTTGAACTGGAATTGCAGGAATATGTGTAATTCTGTATTTAATCTTTAGAGAAACCACCAAACTGCTTTCTATTGTTGTGGTACCATTTCAAGTTCTCCTCAGGAAAACATGAGTATTCTAATTTCTTCACATCCTTGCCAACACTTGTTATTTTTCATTTTTCAAAATTATAATTTTCATAATAGGTGTGAAGTGTTATCTCACTATGACTTTAATTTGGATTTCCCTAATGACTAATGGTGCTGAGCTAATTTCTTTTTCATTTATTGGCCATTTGTATATCTTTGGGAAAATGTTAAAGTCCTTTGCTTATTTGTTTAATTTTACTTTAATTGATAAATAATAACTTTATGTATTTATGGAGCGCAATGTAATGTTTCAGAACCTGTATACGTTATGGAATGATTAAGTCAAGCTATAAACATAGCCATCAAGTCACACACTTTTTTTTAATGGCATGGAGTGACAATTTAAAATCGACTACTCTCTTATCAATTTTGAAACACACATGACATTATTATGAACTAAAGCCACCATGCTGTTCAATAGATCTCAAATACCTACTCCTTCTATATCACTGAAAATATACTTTCATCCTTTCATCCTTTCATCCATATCTCTCCATTCCCCACTCTTCACCTCCATCCTCTGGTAATGATCATTCTGGTCTTTACCTCTATAAGTTCAAAATTTTTTAGATTACACATGTAAGTGAGATCATGCAGTATTTGTCATTCCATGCTCAGTTTATTTCAATTAGCATAATGTCCTCCAGGTTCATTCATATTGTTCCAAATCACAAAATTTCCTTCTTTTTTAAGGCTGAATACTATTCCATTGTGTATAGATACAACATTTTATTCACTCGTTTGTTGATGAACACGTAGATTGATTCTATATCTTGACTATTATGAATTATACTTTTTTTTTTAGATGGAATTTTGCTCTTGTTGCCCAGGCTGGAGTGCAAATGGCGTGATCTCAGCTCACCACAACCTTCGCCTCCTGGGTTCAAGCGATTCTCCTGCCTCAGCCTCCCAAGTAGCTGGGATTAGAGGCATGTGCCACCACGCCTGGCTAATTTTGTATTTTTAGTAGAGACAGGGTTTCACCATGTTGGCCAGGCTAGTCTCAAACTCCTGACTTCAGGTAATCCGCCTGCCTCGGCCTCCCAAAGTGCTGGGATTACAGGTGTGAGCCACCATGCTCAGCCCTTATGAATTACGTTGTAATACACATAGCAGTGCAGATATCTCTTCAACATGCAGATTTCAATTTTTTGAATTGCTCGGTCAAATGTTAATATTATTTTCTGTTTTTTGAACAAATCTCTGTATTGTTTTTCATAATGGCTGTACTAATTTACATTGCCATCAACAATGTACAAGGTTTCCTTTTTTCCACATTTTCAACACTTATGTGTTGTCTTTTTGGTAATAGCCATTCTAACAGATGTGAGATGATACTACATTATTCTTTTAATTTGTAATTTCCTGATACTTTGTGATGTAGAGAATTTTTTATGTTTCTGTCAATCATTTGAATGTCTCCTTTTGAAATATGTCTATTCAAGTTCTTTTCCCACTTTTTAATCAGTTTATTTCTTTTCTTGCTATTGAGTTTCTTAATTTAGTTTATTGTTTATTTTTTTGGATATTAGGCCCTCATCAGATATATGGTTGTCAAATATATTCTTCCAATTTAGAGGTCTTTTTCTTCACTCTTAATTGCTTCCATTGCTGTGCTAAAGCATTTTTAGTTTGATGTAATCCCATTTGTTGAGTTTGCTTCTGTTTCTATGATTTTAATGTTACATAAAAAAAATTGCCTAGACTAATGTCATAGAGCATTTTCCCTATGTTTTCTCCCACTAGTTGTATGTTTTCAGGTCTTACTAAGTATTTAATTCATTTTCAGTTTATTTTAGCATGTGGTGTCACATAAGGATCCAATTTCATTTTTTGCATGTGGATATCCAATTTCTCTAACATTATTGAAAAGACCGTCTATCTCTTCTTTGTGTTATTTATAGTTATGTCAAAAAATGTATTATCTACAAATGCATAGGTTTATTTCTAGAATCTGTTACACCAGTCTATTTGTTTTTATATCAATATCATGCTGTTTTGATTATTATACCTTTGTCTTATATTTTGACCTCAGGTACTGTGATGCCTCCAACTTTCTTCTTTTTGCTCTAGATTGTGTATAGGGCCTTTTGCAGTTGTAAATTTTAAGATTGTTTTTCCATTTCTGTGAAAAGTGTCATAGAAACTTGATAGATATTCCATTAAATCTGTATATCACTTTGGGTAGTATGAATATTTTGATGATATTAATACTTTGAATCCATGAACACAGTATATTTTTCCACTTATTTGTGTTCTCTTTAATTTCTTTTTATCAATATTGTATAGTTTTCAAATATATAGGTCTTTCACTTCATTGGTTATATTTCTTTCTAAGCACTTTATTATTTTTGATGCTATTATAAATGGAATCACTTTCCTAATTTTTTTCAGATAGTTTATTGTTAGTATATAGAAGCACTACTGAATTTTGTATGATTTTGTATCCTGCAACTTTACTGAATTAATCAATTCTAAATAGTTTTTTCGTGGCGTCTTTGGTGTTTTCTATATATTAGATCATGCTGTCAGCTAAAGGAAGACAAGTTCCTTTTTTATTCTTGATGATTTTCTTTCTTTTTTTGCCTAATCGCTCTGACTATAACTTCCACTACAATGTTGAATTAGGGTGGAACATGTGGGCATCCTTGTCTTGTCTCAGACTTTGGATGAAAATCTTTCAGGTTTTCACTGTAGAATATAATGTTAGCTGTGGATTTGTCATATGTAGGCTTTATGGTGTTGATATACTTGTTTTGAGTTATACCACGAAAGGGTGTTGAATTTTGTCAAATGTTTAATTTGCATCTATTAGAACAAACACATAGTTTTAGTCTTCAGTTCTATTAATGTGTTGTGTAACATTTATAGGCTTATGTATTACTTAAAAAAATAGACTAATTAAATTAAGAGTAATTGAGCAAAGAGAGATTTGCAAATCAGGGAGCCACCAGAAGTAGAATAGTTCCAGAGCAGTTCTGGGGCTGCCACATGGTTTAGTAACATTTATGAACACAAAGGGAAAGTGATGTACCAAAAATGGAAATGAGGCACAGTGGCCACCTGTGACTGTCTGAAACTCAGCTGCTGTGATTAGCTGAGATTCCGCTCCTTGTTACAAGAATAGTTTGAAGTCTGTTTACACACCCAGTTAGGTTATAGTTAAATATGTATGAAGAAGCCCTTTGGCCAAATGTATATGTAAGGAAGCAGCTTTAGGCTAAACTTAATTTAACAGTTGTTCAGTCATTTTTGCATTCCAGGGATAAATCCTATTATATCATTGTGAATTTTTTATGTGCTATTGAATTAATTTTTCTAGTATTTTGTTGAGGATTTTTGCATGTATGTTTATTAGGGACGTTGGCCTGTAATTTTCTTTTCTTGCAGTGTCTTTGCCTCATTTTGATGTCAGGGTAATGCTGTCCTTGTAAAATGAATTTGGAAGTATTCTATTTTCTTGAATCTTTAGAAGAGTTTGATAGGTACTTGTATTTTTTAAATATCTGGTAGCATTTAGAATTTGGTAGAATTTTAAATATTTGGTAGAATTTAGTCATGATATCATCTGGTCCTGAACTTTGCTTTGATAACAGACTTTTTAATTACTGTTTATACATCTTCATGATTCAGTTTTTTTTTTTTTTTTTTTTTTTAGACAGGCTGGATTGCCCAGGCTGGATTGCAGTGGCCCAATCTCGGCTCACTGCAACCTCTGCCTCTCAGGTTCAAATGATTCTCTCACCTCAGCCTCCCGAGTAGCTGCCACACCTAGCTAATTTTTCGTATTTTTAGTAGAGTTGGGTTTCACCACGTTGGCCAGGCTGGTCTCAAACTCCTGACCTCAAGTGATCTGCCCACCTTGGCCTCCCAAAGTGCTGGGATCACAGGCGTGAGCCACTGCAACCCAGCCTCATGATTCAGTCTTGGTACGTTATACGTTTCTAGGAATATATCATTTTCCTCTAGGTTATCCAGTTTGTTGCTATAATTGTTCATTTTAGCCTCATGATATTTTGTATGTTTGTGGTAGCAATCTTTGTCCATTTTGACTGGGTCATTTGTTCTGTTTTTGTTGTTGAGTTGTAGGAGATGGTTATATATTCTGGGTGTTAAACGCTTATCAAATAAATAATTTGCAAATATTTTCTCACATTTAGTCTGTAGGTAGGTAGTCTTCATTTTTATGATAGTGTATTTTGATGCACAAAAGTTTTTATTTTTGATAAAGTCTAATTTGTCTATTTTTGAATTTGTTGCTTTGCCTGTGCTTTTTGGTGTCATATTCATAAATATAGTTTCAGCTCTAAAGTTTAGGTCTTGGATCCATTTTTAGTCACATGGCAGTCAATCTGCTTGACATCAGCAATTAGAAGCATCAATTCACAAGCAGAACTTGGGACCCTGAGATTTGGAGGACAACATCTGTATTTCTCACCCTGGCTCCATCAATCCATGGCAAATATGTGATTGCCATCCCCACAGCTGCCTTCCAAGGGGGTAAAGGATGAAGGATGGATAGCAATCATGCTAATGGTAGAAATGGACTGAAATTAACAGCAACATATAAGCAATGCTTTCCCCTGGAAGCTGCAAGTGTTCAAATAAGTTCCAGAGTTCCAAAATAGTCACTTCAGAAAAGTTCTGCTAATATAGTTATTGGCCAGGTGGAAATACAGATTCCTGATACTTCCTACTACACCGTCTTCACTGACTTACCGTGTACGTATTTGTAACGTGTTTTTACTAAATATTCTGGATTTAATTGAATATTTCTGTGGATATATCTGAGACCAGCCTACTTTGTATTCTTGTATTAATTATGTGGGTTGTGTGTACAACAACTCTCCCTGGAAAATACCATTTCCTTTCAGTTATTTAAGTTCAGTTTTATAATTTTAAAAATGACTATAATTTATTTTTCTAGTTTTTTCTTCTGGACTACTCCAATATTACAGATATCATATCTCCAATGGCTACTGTTTTCTCGTTTTTTTATTTTGCTTTTTTGTAATTCTATTTCCCTTCATTTGTTCATTTCGTATGCAATCTCTATCTCCCTACCATGTTTTCTGTTGTGCTTATTTTCCATTGAAATCCTTATATTTCATCTTTGTTTCTAAGAAGGCTTTTTTCCCTTTTATTTCTTATTTGTTTTCTCAGTTTCTGATTCACCTTCATTTCCTGTCAGGTTCTCACATTAGAATGTCGGATGGTCTCTTCACTCAAGTTGTTATGTTTGCTTTTGTGTTCTCCATTCAGAGCTGCAATTGATGATTTACACTTATTAACATTTATTTAAATTTTCCTCTGCTTTGTAGCAACATTTTTCATAACTATAAAGCAAAGGGAAAATATATATGTAGATCTGTAAGTATGAGGAAGATTTTGGTGTTTTACCACATATTTTATCTTCTCTGGATTTCATCCTTTGATATTATAATTACTTAACGTATGTTTCTTCTGTGTAGACAGGGCTCGTCTGCCTCTCAGAAACTTGCCAAGCATAGGAGGACTTCAGCCTCTAGTCCAGAGTTCTTCTGATCATCATCATCAAAATATATGTCTGTTTTTCAAGATGCCTTTACCTTAAGGTTCAAGATACCTTACTTTAAGGAGTATTTCTTTTACTGTTTTAGGCACATTTTAACTTTCCACATTCTTTTCTTTGCTGTTTCCTCTCCGCCTCTATACCTGCACTCAGTGTCAGTAATCTTATTTATAGCAATTCATCCTTCTAGCACCCTAGGTCTCTCTCTCTCTCTCTTTTTTCCCTTTCTTATTTGGCCACAAGATTCACTGACTCCTCTATTCTCCAGAGCAATTACTCTGTAATCCAAATTAGCTTCCCTACTTTTCTAGGCATTCAAGAAACCTCAAATTTCTGTCAGTAACCGAACCCTCTTACAAGGTGATTGGTGACCATCTAATGTTACTTCAGCATAGTCTGTTGAATTCCCAATACCCCTAGTTCTAAGCAATCAATGAGGAGTTGAACTAGATAGACATTACTCTCCATAAGAGGAAAGTTTTTTATAGATATCAAGCATTTCCTGTTTTCCTACATTTTTATATTTTGACACAATGTAGTAAAACAAAGACAAAATTAGAATGAAAAAAATAGACTTGATAATAAAGTTTTTTAAGTTTACAATTTATCAACAAACTTAAAGAAACAGATTTACACAAAAATTTAAGCACTGGAATTTTTTTAAGCACGTGACTTTTAACACAAAATTATTTGTATTAGTAACAAATTGAAAACAAACCCGAACATGATGGAAGACTACAGAAAAATAAACACCACATGTTCTCACTCGTAGGTGGGAATTAAACAATGAGAACATTTGGACAGAGGGTGGGGAACGTCACACACCAGGGCCTGACGTGGGGTCGGGGGAGGAGGGAGGAACAGCATTAGGAGATATACCTAATGTAAATGACGAGTTAATGGGTGCAGCACACCAACATGGCACATGTATACATATGTAACAAACCTGCATGTGCACATGTACCCTAGAACTTAAAGTATAATAATAATAATAATAAAAAGAAAAAAGCGAGGATGCTTGTCTTAATGGATACCAAGATTTACTGTTAGTTGTATAAAGCCCCATGGATAGATATTAAAAAAAAGAAAAAATAATAATGTAGGAAAGAACTTATGATATGCTATGGGAAAACAATAGATTACAAAACAATGTACCTAATAGCCTCAGAATTTTATTAAATGTATTCATCTTGAGTATTATATAAAAGTAAAAATGGTCCAAGATTACAGATGAGTTTTATTGTCTTCCCTATATTTTCTAAGTTTTATAATACATATATATCTCTCTTAAAAACCTGAAAAATATTAAATATAAAAACTACAATTACATAAAGAACAATTTTTAAAATACTGACATTATATGCACTATGAAAAAGAGTGATATTTTGAATAGAACGAGAAAACAGGCTCTGAAAACACGATTTCATTTATTATTTCATTTAAAAACAGGAGGCACCGGGGAAAAACACTAATTTTCATGTTCTCAGTTTGCCCCATGGATAATGTAAATATACATTTCCATAATGTAGAAATGGTAATAGCAATATGGAAATGGTTATATAAAACATGCCTGTCTTTTATACTTGAGGTAGATATATTATTTTCTTTCCTGTTCTTCATGCATTTATATTTCCTTTCATTTATGTAGTATCCTGGAATAAAGTACATTGGGAGTTATTGCTCAAAGGCACATTCACCCTTAGGTGTTGTAAAGAGAGGCAAAGTAGGCACCAGATTGCAGATGCAGAGCAAAGCTACATAAAAGAGCAAAACGTGTGATTATGGTGTGCTGTTTAAAAGACTGGAGAGAAAATTCCATCTGGAGAATGGCAACCTGAAGATGCTGTAGAAAGGGCAATCCCATGAGCTCAGCCTACTGTAAAATGTAAGACTTGGAAAGAGAAGACTACATATGAGCTTAACCAATTTAACTACAGAATCAAATAAAATGAGGGTAGCATGTTATATTTTCAAAAGGGCTTGATGAATACTGTTTATCTCTTTATTTATGTGAGAAAAAAATTTCAAACTCTAAAGAGCAGTTTCAGCAACTCTACAAGAGGCTATTGTAGTAAGGAGCAGTGCTAAAGATGCTTGTTAGAAAAACAAATTATAATCAGTGCAAAAACTTAATGGAGTGGGAAATAAATAGAGCAAAAAGCATTTCCTCAAAAATATCTTTAGATAATTTTTAAAGGAATCAGGATTTCAGTAGAATTTTTTTCCGGTACAGACACTAAACAGGCTTTTAATGACAGTTGCAATATTCAATGATGATCCTAAACATGCTGTGAAGATAAATTCCTTATCCCATAAAAAGTTCAATTCTCCCTGTGCTGGAGCTTTTCTGATGATATTACACTACAACCCAACATCTATGCACAGAGTTCAGTAGCTCGAATATGAATACTATTGCACTTATTAAAAAATAGTGACAGTTATTACAAAGGAATATGTTTTAAACAATACTTTGGATGTTGCCTATAGGGTATTCAGAACAATTTCCTGCTGGTTTCTGGTTTCAGGACAATTTCCTGGAGGCTTCAATTGTTTTAGCACTTTCCAGATTCCATTTCTTTGGGCAAAGGGAGAAATGGGGGAGAAAAATGGTACTTATTACAAGAGCAATCTTGAATGCTCAGCTGCAATTGAAAAGCCTAGTATGAAACAAGACTCTATGACTGTTTCAAAGTAAGGTAAGATTTATGTGTTGTTGAAGCTCTTGGTTAAGTACTAGATGAGTATTATGATATATTTCAGTCTCTTGTAAATTACATGATCTACCACACGAGCTTTCTGTCAGCACTTTTATTTATTGACCGCAATGTAAGAACCGTCACATGAAGCAAAAAGTCATCCACAACAGATAATGATTACATTTTTCTGAAATGATACAAATATTAACTCTTGGTTGAACCATGATGCTAGGTTTCTTCTCATTCCAGTTTTTCTTCCCTTTTTAAATAGATAACTAAGGTCAATTTCATTCTTTCTTCCTTCTGCTGCAACAGCTAGGATAATTGCTTATTTCACTCATTCCACTTAAGGGTTCACAAGAGGTTTCTATCTAGTTCCAGTAAAGAATGTGTTAGATTTCTTTATATCCCTCATATATTGCACTATTTAAGAAGCCAGAGAAGCCAGTGTACTAGCCTCTTACCTTCATAATACTGACGAAAGCCTGCATTTCATAAGCAAAGAGACACAGGGCTAGTGAATAGGAAAGCAGAGTTCTCTAGCCACTTTTGGCGAGTCATACCAGTGTTACCTTGATATGTTTGTTACTATCCTCAAATTTCATTTTTCTAATTTTTGAAGAGAGATGGTTTAGTAAAACTATTTCTAAGGTCCCTGATAGTTTTAGGATCTTTTATTTTAATTTTATTATTTTATTTTTCAATAGTGTAGATTAAGGAATATTAGGATTTTTATTTTAGTTACTATTACAAGCATATTTTCATTGTCATAAGACAGCTTGTCTTTCTCAGCAAAATCAAAATTACCATATCCTTGTTAGTTATTATTTATTAGGAATAATAAGCAGCAAAAAGAAACAATGAATAATTTTAGATCTTTAAATTTGGCTTTAGAGTACACTTACCTTTTGACCTGTTGATACTACAAATAAGAAAGAATATAAAACATTCAAAATCTCTTTTACCCGGCTAAAATTATCTAAATTTCTATTTGGGATATGATATTATAATGTAACAGATCTTTTGCTATTTGAAATTTTAAAAATCAAAGACTGGATAAAACTCTCCTCTTTATTCTCTTTATTTAAAGATCTGTTTGGTTTTTTCTTTTTGGTGGATTTCTTTTTTTTTTTTTGGACACTATGAGAAATAAAACAGCAGCATGAATGCTACTGCTCAGTTGCAGAGAAGTTATGAGAATATCAGAATATAGTTAAGAGGCATAATCAGACCTAATACACACCATCCTGTACACTATGCTTATTGCCCCACTTCTGAATCTGGGTGATTTGTATTGACTATCAGTCCCTTGTTCTTAGGAAGCAAAAATTCTAAAAAAAAAAAAAACAAAAAACAAAAAACTGAAGAGCACCTCTTCTTTAAAATATGCCTGACTTCAAATCTGCATCATTATTTACAAAAGGGCTGATGAATTGCCCTATACTACAGTATTTAAAACAAGACACATATTCAGGGCTTGATATTAATATGCTTCAAAATGTTGCAGCTGACAGGAGTCTTTGCAGGGAAATGGGACTCTCTTTGTATGACTAAGATTCTAATTCTTTGTGCCACTCACCTGATTGATGTTGCTCTTTTGTAGCCTATAAAAGATATTGGTCTCATGTTTGGAAAAATAAATAAATAAATCCACTCATCAACTTGTGTCAGGGGAGAAAACAAATAGAAATCCAAGCAAACGCTGAGTTTTCAGATGTCTGAAACTGGCACATCCCAGTCCTGGACTGGTACCAGTAGGACCCAACCTATTTTACCATATTTCCTTAGAACAGAGCTCAAGGGTGCAGCACACCAACATGGTACATGTATACATATGTAACAAACCTGCACGTTGTGTACATGTACCCTAAAACTTAAAGTATAATAATAAAAATGGTGTTATTCACACTTTCCAATCCCCTTCTCATATTCTTTCTTAAATCCATTCAAATAAAGCTTTAGTTCCAAATATCCACTCCAAACTGCTCTTTTCAAGCTTCCTATTTTTAAAACTAATGACTAGTTCTCTGTCCTCATCTTACTTAGATTGAACCATGAGAAACTGCTGATTTTGACCATGTTAGACCTACAATAACAGAAATTCCACGTGGTCCAATCTTATTTAACCTAAAAAACGCATTTGATTTAATGGCATCTCCCACTTTCTCGAGATATTTTCTTTACTTGGCTTCCAAAGCACCACATTCTACTGGTTTTTCTCCTACCTCATTGCATTCCTTCTTAGTCTTTTTTTCCAGCGTACTTTAATCTCTCCAACCTCTAATCATTACGTGTCCAGACTCAAACCACGAATGTATTCTCATCTTTATTTGCACATTCTGATTTGGTGTTCTTATCTGGTCTTCTACCTTTAAATATCACCTCTAGGCTGATAATTCCTAGCTCAGCTCTTGGCTGGAAGTTGAGATTTGTAAAGACAATTGAGGAATCTATTTGTATTGTAATATATAGAGAGAATTAACATGTTCAAAACTATACTTCTGACCTCATGCCCCAACACAAGCTGCTAAATCTGCCCTTCCTTCCACCAAAGCTTCCTACGTTAGGTAATAACAATTCAATTTGTCTAATTTTTAAGTCAAAATTCTTAGTTATCCTCTATCCCCCTCATTAAACTTTTTCACTTAACTTTATATTCAGTTAATCAACAAATACCATTAATTTTGCCTTCCAAATATATCCAATGTGATTATGTTTTATCACCTTTCCTGCTTCTACCTTGTTCCTAGTTACTATCTCTGTACTGAATTATAACAACCCTCTAAATTGATCTCTCTTTTCTCACAATTTCTCCTTTTACTTTTTCTCTGCACAGCCGCCAGAATGATCCTGTTTCAGCATAAATCAGAACACATCTGTTCAGAGTCCTTTGAGGGTTCCCCCCCTCACTTCTTTAAAAGCCCTGAATTGCCAAAGACCTGCCTGATAAAGCCCCTTTACACTTTCAGCTCTCAGCTCCTAATCCACTCAGCTCCAGCCACACATCATAAATGTATAATTATCAACAGTCACACCCTCTAACTAAGCAACTGGTTCTCAAACTTGATTATATATCAGAATCATCTACAGAGCATTTAAAATATGTTGTTGTTAATCCAACATGCAATGTCCAACCTAACTTCAGAGCCTTTGAACTTATGGTTCTCTCTATCCCAGATAGTCACATACCTTGCTCGCTTATCTGCTTCAGGCTTTCTCTAGAATCACCTTCTCCATGAGGCCATTTTAACCATCTTTTTGTTTTCCACATTGGCCATTCTACATATGAATACATTCCATATTGCTATTGCATGCTTTATATTGCTCATACTACTGATCACAACACAACCTTCCAAGTATTCTACTTTTATTTCTGCCTATATGCTACAGTAGTAGATGGTGTTAGAACATTGCCCATATTTCCTCAGCACTCCTTGTTCTTGCCCATGCCTACGCCATCCTATTAAAACACCCGCAGTTCCTTGTCTGAGGTTTATTTTCAACCTCACGAGACCAGCAGTACTGGGAGTTGGTAGAGCTGGAGAGTGAATACCCTGGCACTTTTGAGTGGGATAACACTTAATTGTATTCTATACTATCTCCCAAATTTCCCCCATGGAATCAGGTTTCAGCTTCCTACTTGATAACCTGCACCCATGACTAACTTACTTTCTCTGCCTCATTCCTCAATCTCCTTCAGTTGCTTTCTGAGATCATTTCCCAAATAAACTACTTTACTCAAATCCTTGTCTCAGGGTAAGCTTCTGGGAAAACCCTATCCAGGACAGATTCCAAGAATTCCTGGTCCTTTAAAGGAAAAAGGTTTTTTCTGTTTTATTTTTACTGGTCTATCTCCAATAACTAGGACAGAACCTGGCATGTAGTAGAGACTTCATACATATTTGTTGGATCAGCAAACCTCTATTATTAAACATTTCTTAACCCTAATCTGAGCAAAGGGAGGGCAATCACCTAATTTACAACTAACATCCTCATACTAAAATATATTTCTTGTTTCAACTGCCAGTGCTGCTGCTTCTGAAAAAGAAGTGAAGATTTTGTGAAATCAGTAAGTTAAGTTTAGGACAAAAAGAGAAATTTATTTTTAAAACAGGAATTACTTGCTACAGTGATTTCTAAATTTGGATACCCTGAATCCTGTGGCTGTAGTTTATGTTTCTGATTTGTGGATCCTAGTTTTCCTGAATCTAGGCTCAACTGACTTGGAGTAGAGCCCATAAATATATTTTTAATGTTCTATTGATGATACGGCCCAGTTTTGGAACCACTTGCTTAGCTAGAGAATGCCACTTTAAGTTATCAAGTATTTATACAATATGATACTTCAGAGGAGAAATATGTACTCCTCAAATATCCCCAGTTGTGTTTAAATAAGAATCAGAAACCTCCATTTAAAAAATGCTAACATTTAAAATGTCTATGAAAGTAATTTTTCATTATATGAAATATGTATTATCTTCCTATCAAGTTGCAGTCACTTTTACTTTCTTTAGCTTAAGAAGGAGAAAGAGAAGCTACTAAATATATGCAAAAAGAAACACTGTTCATGTGCATATGTGATTTATGATATCAATCATCCATACAAACACAGAAAAGGGAACACTATTCAAAATTTTTTGAGTAGTCTACATGTTACATTTTTTAATTATAGATTTCAAAAACTACAGATTCTAATATGTACCTGCCAAGCATAAATGAAATGAAAATCAAGTATATATTTTACACATTATATATCAACCACTTTTAAGCACTAGTGTAATTGTCATATTAAGGCTTAATTTACTTGCCTCTTACTGGACTGGAACAAGAGAAGAAAGGTAAGCAAGAAAACTTTGTCTTCTCTCAAATTCTTCAGTGTAATTATCCCAACTCCCAAACAAAGGAAAGTGGATTAGAGAACCATCTGTCATTGGTAGCAAATTAATGCTCATATAGAAGCAACAAAGATTTTACTCCTTTTGGGTCACCTCTTTGACAAATTTTAAAAAAAACTATGTAAAAGTACAGACTAAGCTGCCCAGTAGTGACCCTTGAGGAAAGCTATGTTTTGAATCCTAATGATAAAAAATATCATCAATACACTGATCTAGGGATTTTCTGTAATGAGACATTTAGGTCATTCTCTTGTATTACAGGGCAGTTGTTTCCCAGGAGAAGAAATGTTTGAGGTTTTCCTAAGAGTATATTTCTTTGTCAATAGAGTATGAATCTGTATATATATATATATAAAAGATAAAAGATACTTCTGATACACACACACACACACACACATTCACACACACCCCTTCAGAAAAGGCTTAAGGTATCTTAATTCACTTTGTTTTTTCATGTAGTGAAACTTTGCTAGGAGGGCAGATAAGAACATGTGATGAAAATGGTCTACCTCATGGTTCTATGGTAAAAAAAAAATGCTTCTGGAAATGTAACTTCGTTTCTTACCTCTATGATAAAACATAATAGAAAGAATATAAGTAGGAGAAGCAGGTGTCTTGGGTTAGGCTCCCTACTTTTGGTATGAATTACATGACTTTAGTTACTTATCTATCTTATATGTCATTCATTCATTCTTGAAATAAGGGACAGATATTTGCTAGGGAATGTGTTAGAGAATATAAAAAAAAATGGGAAAAGACATGGTCTCTAGATTTGGGGAGTTTTTAATCAGAAAATTACCCAAATACAAAATTATAATAGCATAATTATGTGGTCGCAAAAAATGTATTTTTAAGGATTTCTTCAGTAGGGAGAGACAGAAGTCCAACACAAAGTAGCTTAAACAATGGAGATAATTACTTGTTCCTAAAAATTTATAAGTCTAATGACATATCAATGGCTGGATTTAGATGAATATATGCCATAAAGACAGTTTAACTCTCATCACTTCTCGGTTTTCTCTTCCTCTATGATAGATCCACGCTTAGGTAAGACTGCTGCCCTCAGTTTCAAGTCTGTAAACTATCTCAGAAAAATACATAGATAAATTTTCTCTTCTCTATAGCTTAAAAAATAATCTCCATAATTAAGTTTAATTTGATTTGTTTGGTTAGTGCATCACAGCAAAAACCAATCACTGATGTAAGAGGGAGAGAATGTTCTGATTTGCCAGTCTTGTTTTCCTTTCTGTTATTGAAAGTGGAGAAGGGTAGTAACTCATGAAAAATTGTGGTGCTGTTTCTAGAGAAGGAGAGAAAATGACGCTTAGGCAAGAAAAATACATAAAAGACATGTCTACCTACATAGGAGTTTGAACAAATTGTAATGGAAGCATAATGGAAGAAGCACCTAAGATTTATTTGGGCACAACAGATGAGTAACAGTTGAAATTAGGCAAACTGTGGATATAAAGATGCAATGCTCATCACGCTCATGGTGCTAAAATCAGTTTAAAGCTGGGTATAGGCGTCAGGCACAGTGGCTCATGCCTGTAATCTCAGCACTTTGGGAAGCTGAACTGGGTGGATCGTTTGAGGTCAGGAGTTCGAGACCAGTCTGGTCAACATGGTAAAACCCCATCTCTACTAAAATACAAAAATTAGCCGGGTGTGGTGGTGCATGCCTGTAATCCCCACTACTCTGGAGGCTGTGGTGGGAGGATCACTAGAGCCCAGGAGGTTGGAGTGAGCTGAGACTGTGTAACTGCACTCTATCCTGGGTGACAGAGCAAGACCCAATCCCTGCACATAGCCCCGTCCCCCTCAAAAATAGCTTGGGATAGCATTTCCCTAATTGTTTTTCACAAACCCTCAAAACATACAAACTTCATCACATTTCCTGCCAACTCTTACCGTGAAACGTGATCCTTCGATTATGTAATCTATTCTCCCATCACCTGGTGATTGCATAGGTTAGGTCTTTACCATTTATTTCTTAAACCAGTGGCATCACACTTAAAATATTTGCCATATTTTCTGACAGCCTGGTATCTTTGAGGCACTATTCATATGTTTGGGGAATGTCCTGTTTTTTATTGGTGTCTCCTTACAGTAAATGTCACAACTTACTGGACTTCCTTCATACTACAAGTAGGCATGTGATAAAGGCTGGCCAATTATACACATCCCCAAATCAGGAAATGATTCATGCGAACACTCAAGTGCTATGAGGACCATATTTACTGTGAGATGAGAGTGTACATATCTGAATATTTGGAGGATCACTGGTGGAGATTCAGGAAAGCAGTGTACACTCGGAAGAGAGAACTGCCATATCTCTGCAGGCAAATATGGTACTGGGTCTTCTTTTGGGAAGCCCTGTAAGATGATTTGGCCAGTATTACTAGACGTAAAGACTTCGGGAATGATCCTTTCATAATATCAATAATTATATGACTTTAATAATATCCTGAGCGAATCTGAACTTACTTGCTTAAACTAGCTAGAATGACTGAATGATTGATTTTGCCACAAGGCACGTCCTTGGCTGATATATTGTTAACTGCAAATTATCAAAAACAATAGACTGCCAAGGTAATGGAAATCTTAGATGGAGACTGGCAAAGTTGGAGCTAAAATATCAGTAATAGTGGAAATGTAGTGTGGGTTATATAGGTACTTTCTGTATTATTTTCACAATGTTTTTGAAAAAAGGAAACCATTTAAAAGAAATAGTTCATTCTAAAACAAACTATACCTAAATAAGCCTAAAAGGGCTCTTTAAGTATGAAATAAAAATTGTTAGTGATTAAGAAAAAAATATATTACCTGTTGTCATTCAGAATGAATATTGGAGTTGAATATTGGCTGTGAGGGCAATAAATTTCCATAGAACAGAGTAAATGAAATGGGGAATTCTAGCATTATGTAATAAGCTGTATGGCTCTAATTACTTTGAAAAGCTTAGGGAGACAAGAAATTTAGGAAAATACTAAGTAATTTTTTGGCTTATGTAACAACTAGAGAATAACAAACATTTAAAATTGTGACTGAAAGAACTTTTATACTTTGTAGCCACAAGACTATGGGAGCAAGAATAATGATTGAAACTTGTAGACTGCCAAATCACAATGTCAGTTGAATATTAAAATTAAGATATGTGTCCGAAAAAAGTGGGAGAACATGCATTGAAATTTTCATATTTGGAAAGATTCAGAAGATATAACATATATATTCTAATTATGTAAATGGATATGCTGGAATTATATCAAGGAAGAAAACATATAATATACTTTAATCTTAATTTATATATATGGGGCTTAGATGTATTGCAGTTCTTAAGAGAATAGGTAAATTTGGTTATTTTGTTGTTTTGTTATTTATCATACTCTATGAGTTAAAACATATATAATTATAGTGTACAAAACTTGTTTACAGTTTGATACATTTTTACATATATATTCACTCAAATGACTCAGATAAAGACAGAACAGTCACCTAAGAAACTTTCTTAGGCCCTTTGCTAGTCATCTAATGTTTTGAATTTTATCACCATAAAGGAAGTTTTGCCTATTTTAAAATTTGATTTGTGGAAATAAAATCAGTAAGAATATATAAGTCCTGGACAACACTGATAAACATCTTGATTTAATTAATATTTGTAGAAAAACCTACCAACAATGATAGAATACACATTATTTTCAGGAATATTCACCAAAAGAGACCACACTCTGGCCCATAAAACAATCCTTAAGTAAAACAGATTTAAAATTACACAGTGTATAACTATAATGGAATTAGACCAGAAGTTAACAAAACATACATCTTTAAAATCCCCTATATACTGGAAATTAAACAATATGCCTAAAATGGCCTGTGATTCAAAGAGGAACTCATGAGGGATAATTGAACCTATTTTGTATTGTATGGAAATAAAATTAAGATATATCAATATTTACCGCTTGCTGATGAAATAGTGCTTAGGATGAAATTTACAGCACTACTTCTATTTGAAGAAAAGTATTGAAACAATTACCTAAACTTCTACTTTACAAGACAGTAAAGATAATAGCAAATTAAATGAAAAGGATACAAGAGTTAAAAATACTTAGTAGAAATCAATGAAATAGAATTTAGAAAACACAATAGAGAACATCAATACAACAAAAAAAGTTTTTCTTTGAAACAGTGATATATTTCTTGCCATTCAGGTAAAAATAAATATTTTCCAATACTGGTAATAAGGTTTGGGGTAATCATAAAGTTACTAAGGCAACAGAAAGATATTAAAAACTTATGTTAGGCCAGGCGCCATGGCTCACACCTGTAATCCCAGCACTTTGGGAGGCCGAGGTGGGCGGATCATGAGGTCAGGAGATCAAGACCATCCTGGCCAACACAGTGAAACCCTGTCTCTATTAAAAATACAAAAAATTAGCTGGGCGTGGTGGCAGACACCTGTAGTCCCAGCTACTCGGGAGGCTAAGGCAGGAGAATCGCTTGAACCCAGGAGGCAGAGGTTGCAGTGAGCCAAGATCGCGCCACTGCACTCCAGCCTGGGATACAGTGCGAGACTCTGTCTCAGGAAAAAAAAAAAAAAAAAAAGAAAAGAAAAAAAAAAGAACAGGAATTATGTCAATTATGTATACATATATTTGACAACTTTGATGAAATAAAGACAGTTCTTGAGTGGAACAACTACCAAAAGTCACTGCCATAGAAATAGATAACCAGAAGGATCTTACATCAAGTGATATAAATACATTCATACAAACCTTTTATCAAAGTAATCTACAGGTTCATATATCTTCACTGTTTTTCCAAACACGTAAGAAAGAAAAAATAGCAATACTATCCAAAATCTTCTAAAATTCAAAAGAAGACAATGTCCTACCTAATTTATTGAAGTCATCATTACCCTTTTACCAATAATAGGCTAACATACAAGAAGTAAAAAAAAAAAGCTAAAAGCCGGTATTCCTAATAAATATACCTGTTAGAGTTTTCAACTATTACTTGAAAATCTAATTTAGCAATATATAAAATATTTAAAATAACATGATCAAATAAATTTTATTCTGGTAATACAACACTGGTTCAGCATTTAAAATAAATTACACTTGAAGAAATGTTACTCATAGAGAGACTGAAGAATAAAAACAATATAATCAACTAAATACAGTAAAATGATTTGGCTAAATTCAACATCCATTCTTAATAAATCTCTAATTAGATTATAGATAAATAAATAATAAAATAGATTACAGATAAATAAATCTCTAAATAGATTAAGAAAGAAAGGAACTTCTTCAACCTAATAAAAGGTGTACAAAAAAGACCTAGAGATAGTATTGTACTTAGTGGTGAAAGGTTCAATGTTTTTCCCCAATGACTAAAGACAAGGGAAATATATCTAGCCTTATTATTCATATTCAACATCATAATAAGTATTGTAGCCAATATAATAAAGCAAGAAAAAATATCAAGATTGGAAAGGAAGAAATAAAGCCAGGGAATATTAAAAAAAAAAACACTGTTGAAATCAATAAGTGAATTAAGCAAGATGATAAAAGATCTATATAAATATTCAATAATATCTCAATATATTATTAATAGACAGTTTAAAATTAAAATTAAAAAATAATTTAAAATAAAAATAAAAACATATTGCAAAAATGCAATACGTATAGAACTATTACAAAAGTCTGTATTGAGAAAGCAATAAAACATTGACAAATAATTTTTTTTAAATAAAGATATACACCATGTTCATACATTTGAAAATTCATACTTGTTAAGATGCGACTACCTCTAACTTCCTGAACTGATTTATAGACACAGTGTAATCCCAATCAATATCATACCAGGATTCTTTTTTTTTTTTTTTAAGAAATTGACAAGCTGGTTCTAAATTTAGGAAAAGTAACAGAAAGCAGAAGAGCAAAATCAGAAGAATCACACTACTTAATTTCAAGACTTTTTATAAAGCTACAATATTCAGTACATTATGTTATGGGTGAATGCATACATATAAACCAACAGAAGAGAAGAGAGTCCAGACGTAGACCCAGACATACATGGTCCATTAATTTTCAACAAGATTCAAAGGTAATTTAATGATAAACAGATAGTCTTTTTGAAAAATTGTGCTAGACAATGGGACTCATATATGCTAAAAAATGAACTTGGTTCTTACGGTAGGCAGAATTTTGACCCTTTCTCTTTACCCCCTGGTGTTATGCCTATAAATATTTTCCATTACATGGCAAAAGGAAATTAATTTTGCAAATGGAATTAAGTTTGCTTTTCAATTGACCTTAAAATATGAAAATTACTGTAGATTATCCAGATGGGAACAATGTAATCACATGAACCCTTAAAAGTGGAAGAAGCAGCCAGGATATTTCAACAGAAAGATGCTATGATAGAAGAGAAGGTAGAAACAATGGAAGTGTCAAACAAAGAAAAAAAGGAAAGAAACAAAGAAGGGAAGAGGGAAGGAAGGAAGGAAGGAAAGAAGGAAAGACGGACAGAAGGATGGAAGGACAGAAAAGAAAGAAAGAAAGAAAGAAATCTAACAAAGCATAAGATGAGAGAGGAAAGAAAGCATATATTTATGCCTAGCACCACCAGATCCCAACGTCAGGTTACTGTTATCTCTTAAACATATTTGAATCTTGACTACTAAAATTAAGTAATATATCATTCAGTTCTAATATGTGTATAATGCATTATGTAATTGTAATAATTTTGTATTTTAGATGAAAATTAACATCTGCATCATACAATGAAAAATATATGCATTTAAAAGTTATCTATTCTAATTATAGATAATATAAATTAAATTTTTTAAAAATTTATTTGACATTTTGAGTAATTTTCTTTGAGTCATTTTCTTTCAGCAGTTATTACCAGTGTTATCAGACCATCTATTTGTTCTCATATCTTGTTCTCTATGTATTCACATACATAATAGTTAACATAGATGGATCTCTATTGAATATATTAAAATCTCTTATGTTCATATGATTAGATTTTTTTAATCTTTCTGTAAATTACTAATGTACACGCATACCTCAGAGATATTGTGAGCTCAGTTTCAGACCACTGCAACAAAACACATATCACAATAGTGGGTCACACGATTTTTTTGATTTATCAGTGCCTATAAAATTATGTTTATATCTTACTGCAGTGTATTTATTGTGCAATACCATTGTGTCTAAAAATGCATGTACCTTAATTTAAAACTACTTTATTATTAAAAAGTGCTAACTATCATCTGAGCCTTCAGCTAGATGTAGCCTTTTCACTGGTGGAAGGTCTTGCCTTGATGTTGATGGCTGCTGACTGATCAGAGTAGCGGTTGTTAAAGATTGGGGTGGCTGTTGCAATTTCTAAAGACAATGAAGTTTATTGCATTGGTTGACTTTTTCTTTCGTGAAAGATTTATCTGTAGCATGCAATGCTGATTGGTGCCATTTTACCCACAATGTAACTTCTTTCAAAATTGGAGTTAGTTCTCTTAAATCATGCTGCTGCTTTATCACTAAGTTTATCTAATATTCTAAATTTTTAGATTTCATTCCAACAATATTTATAGCACCTTACACAGAAGTAGGTTCCATCTCATAAAACCACTGCCTTTGCCTATTTATAAGAATCAACTCCTCATTTGCATTATTATGAGATTAAAGCAATTCCATAACATTTTCAGACTCCATTTGTAGTTCTCTTGCTATTTCTACCATATCTTCAGTTACTTCCACCACTGAAATCTTGAACTGTTCGAAGTCACCCAGGAAGGTTGGATCAGTTTCTTCCAAACTACTGCTAGTTCAATATTTTAACATTCTCACATGAATCATGAATATTCTTAATGGCATCTAAAAGAGTAAATCCTTTCAAAATCGTTTTCAGTTTACTTTGATTAGATCCATTAGGGGAATCACTGTCTGTGGCAGCTATAGCCTTATGAGATGTATTTCTGAAATAAGATTTGAAAACCATAATTACTGCTTGATCCATGGATTACAGAATGGATATTGTGTTAAAAGGCATGAAAACAACATTAATTTTCTTACATATCTCCATCAGAGCTCTTGAGTAACCAGGCACATTGTCAACAAGCAATAATATTTTGAAAGAAAACTTTTTATAGAATAGATCTCAACAGTGGATTTAAAATATTCAGTAAACCATGCTATAAACAGATTTGATGTTTCCATCAACAGATTTGTTGTTTCCAGTCTTCGTTGTTCTATTTGCAGAGCACTGACAGAGTAAATTTTGAATAACTCTTCAGGGCCTTAAGATTGTTGGGATAATAAATGAGCATTGGTTTTAACTTAACACCACCAGCTTCATTACCCCTACAAGAGAGTCAGCCTGTCCTTTCAAGCTCTGAAGCTAGGCATAGAATTTATGAAAGTCCTAGATGGTATCTTTTCCTAATATAATACTGTTTCATCTACATTTAAAATCTGTTGTTTAGTGTAGCCATCTTTGTCAATTATCTTAGCTAAATCTTCTGGATAACTTGCTACATCTTCTAGATTAGCACTTGCTGCTTCACCTTACATTTTTATATTATGAAGATGGCTTCTTTCCTTAAACTTCATGAATCAATCTCTGCTAGCTTCAAACTTTCCTTCTGGGCTTCCTCACCTTTCTCAGTCTTCACAGAATTGAAGAGAATTAGGGCCTTTTTCTGAATGACATTGCTTTTAGACAGCTTCCCCATCATTCTGTAGGGCATATTTCCAGAAAATTCCAACAGCACAACATGTCAGGGGCTTTATTGTCATCCAGGAAGCCAAAGTCCTGCTGTTTTCTGCAAGGAATGGATCTCATTGCAAATGGGAGGATGACTTTTTCCTTGCAGGTTTTACCATAGCACTAGAGGTTGCTTGTTATGTTTGACTATCTCTGGATTCTTTAACATTCACTTTACTTCTTACTAGTTAATCCTCATTACTCCAATGTCTTTTATACTTCACAATCTTTATATTAAATATTCCCTTTTCAAGTTACTATGCAGTTTTTGTCTTGTCTCTGGGTTGGACCCTGACTGTTATTCTCCTATAAACTATTACAGAGTATCATAGTATGAATGTAACATAGCTTAATTATTCCTTCACTAATGGACATTCAGGTTGTCTCCAATTTTTAATGATAAACAATGTCTATTTATGATTTCGGGGACCATGTGCAATTATTTCTAGAGGATAGATATCTAAAAGTAGACACACCATAGTAAATCATGTGCTATATAAATCAGCTATGGCTGCTGGAGACTAAAGTCTGACCTTTATTTTTCTCTTGCCCAAATTCCTAACTAAAGGGCCTGTGGAGTCACACCCTGCAAACTATAACATCTCATTAGATGGATTTTTATTAACCTTGTATAATGTGGTTTATTTTCTAAATGGACTCTGGTATAGCATCACATGACAGAGAACAGGTCCTGAAGGAAATGAAAATATTTTAACCCAAAATATATACCTTCTACATATTTTGAAATTGCTGCCACAGGGCCAACAGATTGAAATGTCATGGCAAAGCCCTGTTTTGTAGGGGATATTTGCATCTGCAGAGAATCACCATTAATGCAGCCAAGCCTTCTCTTTCTATGCCTTTCCTGGATATAGGAGAGATTAACTAAGACACCTGATAAAGGAGAGATTAACAAACACCTTAAAGTCTGAAAAGACACTTTTACCATCTATACTCTCTGAGGGCTGCTATTTATGAGACTTCATAGCCATAACAAGAACCTTGGCCTTCACGACCCCTTTATCTTAACTCAGGCATTCCTTTCTACTGACATTAAGTCTCTAAACAATAGCTTTACTCTCTCAATCAACTGTCAACTAAAGAATCCCTAAAACCCACCTATGATTTGTAAGAACCCCTACCAGTTCCCCCACATTTGGAGAAATCCTGCCTTTTCCACCATAACCAATGTATATCTTCCACATATTGATTTATTGATTGCATTAGTCTGTTCTCACGCTGCTAATACAGATGTACGCAAAATTGAGTAATTTATAAAGGGAAGATGTTTAATTGACTTCACATGGCTGGGGAGGCCTCATAATTGTGGCAGAAGGAAAGGAGGAACAGAGTCACATCTTACATGGTGGCAGGAAAGAGAGCTTGTGAAGGGGAACTCCCATTTATAAAACCATCAGATCTCATGAGACTTATTCACTACCACGAGGACAGTATGGGGAAACAGCCCCCATTATTCAATTATCTCCACCTGGCCTCACCCTGGACACATGGGGATTAAAGCAATTCAAAGAGAGATTTAGGTGGGGACACAACCAAACTATATCATTGATATATGATTTTACTTGAAATTCCTATATCCCTGAAATATATAATACCAAACTGTAACACAACCACATCAGGCACACTTACTCAGGACCTTTTGAGATTGTCACCCTGGGCCAGTCACTCATATTGGCTCAGAATAAACCTCTTTAAATATATTTTGGCAGAATTTGTTTTTTCTATCATCACTGCCATAACAACATACCACAAACTGGGTGGCTTGAACAACAAAAACATATGGTCTCACAATTCTGGAGATTAGAAGCCTGCAATCAAAGTATTGGCAGGTCTAGTGTCATCTAAGCTCTCCTTGGTTCGTAGACAGCTACCATCATACAAAGTCCTCACATAGTCTCTATCTGTATGGTCTCTCTTTCTCTCTGTATATTCTAATCTCCTTTCTTTTAACAACACCAATCATATTGCAGTAGGGCCCACCCCAAGTGCCTCATTCCAGTATAATTACTTCTTTAAAGATCTTGTCTCCAAATATAGTTACATTTTGAGGAACCAGGGGTTAGGGCTTTAACATGTGAAATTTGACCAATGCAATTCAGTTGATAACATGCTTTTTTTAAAAAAAAAAAATTGTGATATAATTCCAAACTGCATGGTCAACAAGAGCCAATTTATGTACTCATTAAAAGATTCCAGTTGGTAATTTTCTCACATTTTGACCAATACTGCATATTTCCAGCCCTTCAATTTTCTGACTCTTTTTTCATGTGGATTGTTGTAATTCTCAGCCAGGAACAGCTAAGAGAATTCAATATGTCTCATTCATTTTTTTCACCACATTTTTACTATTATCTTTCCTGAGTCCAACTGTAATCTAGGGTAAGATATTATGTATTTCAGGGCTTTATGACTTTCTTGAAAAGTGTATCTATTAGCAATTGCTCAAAATTCATTTTAGGTTCAATATATATCATCTATATTACTGAGCAATGTTTACTTCCCTTTAAAATACACTGAAAGATATTTCCTTCTATTCATTTACTTCTAAGAAAGAGTTTCTCATATCAGTTATAATACATCCCAGCTCTACTCTTCATAGTTGTGTTTAAGCAGCCTCCTGTGTGTTCTGCCTGTGATTCAGGTTTTATATTCTTTCTTTTTTGTGAGCCACGTATTGATTCAAGCTAAATAAATACTGCATTGTGAAGGCATATACACATTCAGATTTCTTGTATAAGACTATTACAAATCTTTCCTGGTTGCAACTTTGTAACTTTATTTTTTTATATTATGAGGACCACAAAATGTACATAACTTCATGTGATCTAAAAAATAAATCTTTGGTCTTCTCAAAGAAAAACACTTTCACAGACTCTGTATGACATTATTTTCAGACCTCTCAATAATTTATTTTACTTTGGGATACATCATATTTATACAATCCTCAATGAATTTTTGAAGACCAGTTTCTTGCTGTCATGGTCAATGACCTGGTTATTTCTTAATTTCTTCATTTCTCAATTAGATTTTTTAACGACTTTATTTCAGAATTTCCAATAGTATACCCATACTCATTTTCCTCTATTTGATCTTTTGCCAAATTTGTCTTTAAAAGAGGTGTGACCATTTTATGTGCCTGCATTTAAAATTATTAAGCTCCACCCAGACCCTAAGTCCTGATGGAATATAAGTTCATCCCAACTGGTACCAAATATTTTCTCCAAGTTCACCTTGAAATATCACTCCTTCCCTTATCTCTAGTACCATAAGATGAGTTTATGGCTTCCATAATACAATATGACTTTTGAAATGATACATTTATTTATTTAAAAAACACCACTTACAGAAAGTAATTTTCTAAGAAATTTATATTCATTCTTCCAGACCCTAATCAAATATTACCTTACTTCATAAACTCAAGGAAACTTAAGTCCTGCCTCTTCTGTGTTTCCACAGTGTCCTCTTTCTCTATTTATAATATTTGTTGCATATCTCAGTTGTATGTGTGTATATATAAACATATATGTATATATACGCATATATACATCTATATACATAGATGTATATATGCGTATATATACATATATATACGCATCTATATATAGACCTATATATACATATAGGTGTATATACGCATATATACATCTATATACATATATGTATACACACATATATACACATATACACACGTATACATCTATATACATATACACACACATATATACATACATATATGTATATACACACATATACATACATATATGTATATATACACATATACATACATATATGTATATATACATGTATATATGTATATATACCCACATATACCTTTTTTTAATTTATCATATATTTTTCCAAGTCAAAGACCATGATGTATTTCCAGTGCTGGTCACAGAGTAAGTACTCAGTGAGTCCTGAATGGATGAATAATACGGTCCAACTAATATTAAATATACCAAACTTCTCTCAAATATGTAATGAAGTCTTAGAGAGTACTTGCCCTTTAACTTATATTATAGGTTTCCTACTATTCTGATATAATAAGGCTGTCTCCTGATTTTCTGTAGGTCTTTGTGAGCATATTCTCTTTACCAGTAATTAAATAAAAGCATAAAACCCCTCTATCCTCGTAGAACAACACTTACCATTCCTCAATTTGTAATGTAGTGGAAAAAAATTATAAAAGATTTTTAGGAAATAACTTCTTGAGTTCAACTCGATGTTTTTCCTAATAATGCAACTATTTCTATAGATAGCTACATCGTGGTATTTAAGAGAAACACATTACATATAAGATTTTAAAAACATCTAAGTCAATGGCAGAGCATAAAAAATTAAAATTTGTTTTTAAAACCTACATATATCTTGGGAAAAATACATTTGCAATTTTTGTGAAATATTGGAAAAAATATAAAATTTTGCAAAATAAATTTGTGAAAGTGTACAACACATAAAGATATAACATCTCATTGAGTTTACAAACAACAAAAAATGTCGATTTATCATTGGCAATTGAGCAAATCGTTTAGTTATGCTATGAATGCATGGTTTCAATCCTCATCCTGCTAAAAAATGAATGTATAAATTCAGGAATTTATTACATGTGACTAACTTTCTTACTTCAGAGTACTTTTTTCTTTTTGCTGACACAGTCCTATTTTTAGCCACAAAATTGAAATTTTGTAAAACTGGAATTTGATTAGTTCTGTTTGACAGTTAATTAGGTGGGCAAATACAGTATATAAGATTAACCATTTGCAAAAGAACAAAGTTATGAAAATTAGATACATCTTTCTGAACAGTAGAAACCTAAGTGAATTGAAAGGAGCCATAGACATTTATGATTCATTTTAAGGTAGTGGTTTCCAAACTTTGTGTTCTATGAACTACTTATAGACTTTTCTTTAGGATCAGTTGAAAGATAAATTTAAGAGTCTTACAAATTGAGATACAAATAATCACCTTTATTATTGATAACACTGATAGTACTGGAAAATGTGACTTTGATGTTTTGCCTAAGTTGACTTGACAACACTTTATCCATAAGATAGACTTACTCATTCAACTAGATGGAGTACAAATCACAAGTTTCCCCTTTAAGAAATGGTACCTTTGAAGTCACAGCAAAAGGAAATTGTGTGCAATTCCAAACAGAAATGAAGTGGCATGCCCAGTTCCTTCTTTCAAACCCAAAAAGATGTCTCTCCTTCCTAACTGGAGTAGAGAAAGTGAAGAGGTTGAGAGATCGCAGAGATGTTGCTCTAGGGAAGTTCTATCCACACAGAAGCCAGATAACTAAAGGCCACACTAACCTTTATTTTTTTGTGTTTCTAAACATACTGAGAAGACCACAACAATCTACTATTCATATCACTTCATGATTATTGGAGGAGGAGTCCTAGCATCTGTTTCCTGAGTTGCCTTCTAAGACCTTCCAAGGTTCTGCAGATCCACCTTTTGCTACACTTGGCCATGTACCCTATGCTAGCATCTGCCATTCACATCTGAGTCTCCCTCCTTCCCCCACCTACCTCAAGTCACCTGGCTATCTCCAGGGGTGCAGATTGTAGTCTAATCCAGAAGGTTTCAAACAATCTGTGATGAAGCATGTGGGCTTTTTTAAATTCTATTTTGTACCTGATTAATTTTGTGAAATGCAATGGAAATGAATGACCAGAAAAATGACAATACTCAAATGTCACATCAATTTCAAAATACTAGTTTCTAAACATTTATTTTCAATTTCTGTCATTCACTGCTTGTGTTTCAGTACTGATTATGTGACCTTATTTTAACAAGCACTGGCCTAAGCCATGCATCTTTACCCAGCATTTGGCTAAGTTGCTCACCTTCCAGCATCTGCAATAATGGCACAATATTCATTTCTATAGCAGCCCTACAGCAGTTATGATACTCGACACTCAGAATGTCTTCCACGATTAGAACATAAAGAAGCAAATGAGTTGACCAAATGTAGGGGGTTTTATTTCTCATTCTTTCTCTCTGCTTTGACTCTTGCTCAAATATTTCTAATCTTTCTAGCAGATTATGACTTTTTTAAAGGACTTTGAATATTTTCTATTCCACATCTAGATAGATGATGTGCTAACCCTATTGCTCTGAAGTTTCTTCATATCAAATTATATTTTAAAAAGGATTCTACAAAAAGCATTCTATATTTGAGCGCCTAATGGTATATCCATTATTGTAACATCATACAGAATAATTTCTCCACCCTACAAACACTCTGCACTCTGCCTGTTAATTCCTCCTTCCTTCCTAGCTTCTGGCAACCACTGTTGGTTTTACAGTGGTTACGTAGCTGGAAACATATAGTTTGCAACCCTTAAGATGGGCTTCTTTCACTCAGTAATATGCACTTAAGTTTCTTCCATGACATTTCATGGCTTGATTGCTCATTTATTTAGCACTGAAAAATATTTCATTGTCTAGATGTATCACCGTTTATTTATCCATTCATCTATAGGTGGACATCTAGATTACTTCTAAGTTTTGGAAATTATGAATAAAGCTACTATTAACATCCATATGCAGTTTTGTTTGTTTGTTTGTTTTTTGTGTGTGTGCACATTAGTTTTTAAATACTTTGGGTTGATATTAAAAGGTACAATTGCTGGGTCATATGGTAAGAGCATGTTTAGTTTTACAAGAAACTGCAAAATTGTCTTCCAAAGTGTCTGTAGCATTCTGAGTTTGAGTTGCTCCACATTCTTGCCAGCATTTTATATTGTCAGTGTTTTGGATTTCTGTCATTCTAATAGGAGTATAGTGGTATGTCATTGCTATCTTAATTTGCATTTCTCTAATTATATAGGATATGGGCTTTTCATTTGCTATTCTGTATCTTCTTTGATGAGGTGTCTGTTAAAGTATTTATTTATTTTTTTTATTTTTTTGAGACGGAGTCTCACTCTGTTGCCCGGGCTGGAGTGCAGTGGCTCAATCTCAGCTCACTGCAACCTCCACCTCCTGGGTTCTAGTGATTCTCCTGCCTTAGCCTCCCGGATAGCTGGGATTACAGGTGTCCACCACCACACCCGGCTAATTTTTCCTTGTATTTTTAGTAGAGATGGGGTTTCATCATGTTGGTCAGGCTGGTCTCAAACTCCTGATGTCATGATCCGCCCACCTCGGCCTCCCAAAGTGCTGGGACTACAGGCGTGAGCCACTGCATCCAGCCATATATCATGTTTAAATTGTGTCATTTGTTCTCTTATTAAGTTTTAAGTGCTCTACGTATAGTTTGGATATCAGTCATTATCAGATATGACTGTGGCTTGTCATTTCATTCTCTTGATAAAGTCTTCTGCAAAAAATATAAGTTTAATAAAGTCCAGTTTATCAAACTTTTTTAATTCATTGTGCCTTTAGTGTTATATTTAAAAAGTCATCACCAAACTCAAGATCATCTAAATTTTCTTCTATATCACTTTCTAGTAATTTCATATTTGTGTGTTTTACATTGAAGTCTATGATTCCTTTTATATTAATTTTGATCAGGTATATAAGGTCAGTGTCTAGATTATTTTTTTCTTTGCATGTACTGTCCAGTTGGTCCAGCACCACATATTGCAATGACTATGTCTTAGTTGAATTTCCTTTGCTTCTTTGTCAATAGTTGACTACAGTTAGGTGTCTCATTTCTACTTTCTCCACTGTTTCATTTATCTGTTTGTCTACTCTTTCACCAGTTTTACCCTAATTTGATCACGTATATTTACAATAATTCTTGAAGTCAGATAACGTCAGTCCACAAACCTTGTCTTCTTTTAATTATTAATTAGTATGAGATGTCGGTTTCCAGATTTTCATTTTCCACTGTGTGTTTTTAGATACAAAATGAGTTTCTACAGATATAGTTGGATCTTGTTTTTCAAAAATATATTCTGCCAATATATTTTTTTAAATGTGGAATTTAATCTATTTATATTTAAATAGTTACTGACAGGGAAATATTTCACTTTGCTATTTTTAATTGGGTTTTGTTTGTCTTATAGCATTTTTGTCTTTCATTTTTGCTTTTATTGACTTTCTTTGTATTTAGTTGATTTATTGTATGGACATATTTGGATTCATTTCTCTTTTCCTCTTGTATGTATTCTACAAATATTCCTTTGCCTTTGCCATGAGGATTGTATTAGTTCATTCTCTTATTGTTATGAAGAAATACCTGAGAATGGGTAATTTATAAAGAGGTTTAATTAGTTCACAGTTCTTCAGGCTGTATAGGAAGCATGACTATACAGGAAACTTTCAGTCATAATGGAAAGATAAGCAGGCAGATCTTAGATGTCTAGAGCAGAAGGAATAGAGTAAAGGGGGAGGTGCTATACACTTTTAAACAATGAGATCTTGTGAGAACTCACTCACTATCATGAGAATAGCTAGGAGAAAAACTGCACCCATGATCTAATTACCTCCCACCCGGCCCCTCATCCAACATTGGGGATTATAATTCTGTATGAGATTTGGGCAAGGACAAAAATCCAAACCATATCATTCCTCCCTCCCCAGCCCCTACCTAATATCACATCCTTCTCATTTTGCAAAATACATTCACCCCTTCTCAACAGTCCCCCAAGTCTTAAATCATTTCAGCATTCACTTAAAATCCCACAGTCTAAATTCTCATCTGAGACAAGCAAGTCCTTTCTGCCTATGAGCCTGTAAAATCAAAAACAAATTAGTTTACTTCCAATATACAATGGGAGCACAGGTGTTAGGTAAATAGGCCTGTTCCAAAGAGGAGAAATCATCCAAAAGAGAGGGGATGTAGTCCCTATGCAATTTTGAAACACAGCAGGGTAGTCATAAATATTAAACTTCCAAAAGTATCTCCTTTGACTCCGTAGCACACATCCAGGCAACACTGATGCAAGGAGTGGGCTCCCAAGGCCTTTGGCAGATTCACTCCTGTGGCTCTGCAGAGTACAGCCCTTGTAGCTGCTTTCACAGGCTAGTGTTGAGTGCCTGTGGCTTTTCTAGTAACACAGTGCAAGTTGTCAGTGGATATACCATTCTGGGGTCTGGAGGATAGTGGCTTTCTTCTCATACCTCCAGTAGGCGCCCCAGAGGGGACTGTGTGTGGGGACTCCAACCCCATATTTTTCCTCTATTCTGCCCTAGTACAGGTTTTCCATGAGGGCTCCACTCCTGCAGCAGACTTCTACCTGGACATTCAGGCTTTTCAATACATGCTCTGAATCTAGGTGGAGGATCCAAAGCCTCAACTTTTGCCCTCTGCACACCTGCAGACTTAACACCACAGGGAGGATGCCAAGGCTTACAGCCTGAGCCCTCTGGAGCAATGACCTGAGACATATCTGGAACCCTTTTAGCCACAGCAAGAGCTGGAGCCACTAGGATGCAAGGAGCAGTGTCCCTGGGTTTCACAGGGCAGTAGCAGAGACCTGGGCCCTGCCCATGAAACCATTCTTCCCTCCATAGGCCTCTGGGTCTGTCATGGGATGGGCTGCCACAAGGCACTCTAAAATGTCTTCGAGAAATTTCCCCCATCGTATTAGCTATTAACTTTCAGCTCCTCTTTACTTATGCAAATTTCTGCAGCAGGCTTGAATTCTTCCCAAAAAATGGGTTTTTCTTCTCTACCACATGGTCAGGGTGCAGATTTTCCAAACTTTATGTTCTGCTTGCCTTTTAAATACAAGTTCCATTTTCAGATCATTTCTTTGCTCATGCATATAAGCATATGTTGTTAGAAGCAGCCAGGTCAACAATTGAACAATTTGCTGCATGGAAATTTCTTCCACCAGATACCCTCAACCATCACTGTGAAATTCAGTGTTCCCAATAAATTCCTCATATCCATCTGAAACCTCATCAGTCTGAATGAAAAACTGTTAAAAGCAGCAAGAGAAAAATGACTCATTACAAAGAAAAGCCCACAAAAAGATTATCAGTAACGTCTAGCTGAAAACCTGCAAGTCAAAAGGGAGTAGAATTATATATTTAAAGTTCTTAAGCAAAATAAAAGAAAACAAACAACAAAAATCCCTTGTAAATTAAGAATTTTAAGACACAGAGAACTAATCAAAAAATCACACAAACAAGTTAGAACACTGTAAATTAGGTTCACTTTGCTCTGTAAGGCTTATGAAAGGAATTTAAGGACCAGCCCAGTGCTTTTAATCCACTCCATGACACATAAGGAGGGAGGGAGGTATGAATGAGCAAAATGCCACGTGATTTCCCACCATTCAGAGTGTGACCCTTTCTTGATTGGATTTTCACCTGGCCACTGAAATCACTGATTGATTTCCAGAACTTCTAAAAAGTTATATCAGCCAGTCTGTAATTGTTTCTTGTTTCTTTGAAGAAAAGAAGAGCTTAGAGGTTTCTAGTTGGCCATCTTTTTAATACCTGTATCCAGAATGTCTAGCACCATAAGAAACATATACCAAGTAATTGTTACATGAAATGTAAGGAAGTTACAAACATTTAGTATCAGGACTAGAGTAACTGATCTATTGAGTATTTGCTTCCCAGTAGATTGCCATATCGGCCAAGGTCCATAATGAAAACTTACCTAACATGAGTTTTGATTTTATTAAGAATACAATTCAAGTGGTGACAAATGATTGCTACTGACATCTTCCTTAAAATTTCCAAGGACTGGAGTGTTCAGAAAAGATACTTGTTTTCTTTTGAAAGATAACTAACTATATTTTAACAGCAAATGTTTTGGTAATCTAGCTGGAAATTTAGATTTTATTACCAAATGGAAAGGTGTATGTGTTATCCCTTTCCATAAAACAAAGCAATAAGGGTAGCTGCCTATTTCTCTTATTGGTAAATTTGTTCAAGGAAACTGGAGACAACCAGCTGTAGAGATTCGTCTGCATCATAAATACAAACGAAAGTCTCAGGATAAGCAAGGGGTTCTCCTTCTACTTCTGCCCTCTCAGATTAAGCTAGTATGTTGTCACGAGTGTAATCAGTGATGCCGTTTACTACTTATAACAAAAAAATCTGTGGCCACTAATGGAAAGTGTTCTTTAATTTGCCATGATTAACTTTAGAAAATTAATCTTAAAATAGGAAGATATAACTGTGAATTAAAATAATGTTGTTTATGGATGATTACTTCTTGCAAGCTAAAAATCTTCATATTTCTCCTCAAAGCTTGTAGTTCAATGCTAGTTTTTATCCTGGGAGAATGGAAACAACAGGAGCAATTATATAACTGTCTGGATCAATACAAATAGTCAACACCATATAATTCATCCAAAAATAAACAGAATTTTTAAGCCAATTGCTCCTCAAATACAATGAGATTTTCATGTACCATTATCTATGAGTTTACAATGATAAATAATATATAATTATGTATATATATATATATAGTTGGTGCAAAAGTAATTGTGATTTTTGCCATTAAAAGTACTATATGTTATATGTATATGTATATTATATAGTATAAATGTAATATGATATATGGTCATACATAGGTGTATATGTGTGCATACGTGTGTGTGTGTGTGTGTGTATGGCAGAATAAATAGGGGTAATATTTAAAATATTTCACAAGTTCACTGGATATATACCAATTAAAACAAAAACTGATAATAGCACAGAAGAAGGATTATACAGGACCCCTGCTCACTAACTCTTTCTCCTTACAATGATGAATTATTCTGGGGAATGTTGAGGAGGAAGCAGGGAAGCACATAAGGGGCTTGAAGGCAGTTTAAATATCAAGACATTTCAATATTTAAAAAATAAACACAGCCAAACTGAATATTGACTAAATGTCTCCACATAATCATTTCCATTAACATTACTGCACAAATGCTAAAAATATTGTATGTATTGATACAGAGTAATATGCCATATGTTTTAAACAACTTGCTAAGTTGGCAACTAGGCCCTTCGATTTGTATGTTAGAGATAGAGAAACTAAGTCTCAGAGAGTTAAGACTATTTGCATTTTAAAGCATGATCACAGTTGTAGGAAGTAGCCTTTTGTACATGCTTTGTGGGAAAGTCTATTAGCCATTACTAAAGTTTGGTTAATTCAGCCAAACTTCAAAGATAGCTTAATTTTGTAAAATTACCATTGCTTTAAGAATCAGAAAATCTTGATGCTAGTATTTTCCTGTTACACCTTATCTGTTTACTGTGATTAAATATTTTGACCACTTTGAAACTCAGCTTTGGCATTTACCAGAACAATTGTATTAGATTTTATCACAAGGGTTTCTCATTATTTGCAAAGTAATCTTCCCAAAGACAGGGGAAAACCAAAGCTTTATCTCTTTGTTTACAAAAGGCTACTAAGGAGAGTAACACCTCTCCCAAACCCCTGGCAGTTAAAATATATGGTCAATTAGATATTCCCTCTAAAATTTTAAATTTGAGAATTTGACACAAAGACATAGGGTTCTACAGAGGATTATTTCTAATGACATCTAGGGCACATTGAAAATCTAGTGACATGGTGATCTGACCCAGGTTCAGCACCATTGCACCAAATGCTATGTTGAAAGCTGTAGATAGTGCTATGTTAGTATTCTAAGGTGAATATTCATATGACAATACTGGGGTCCCCTTAGTCTCTGCCTAAACCAATTCATCAACCATCTAATTCATTCCACGAGGTACCTGATAATATTTCATACAACTACTTTCTGTTTAAGTTATAAAAAGAAACTCTTTAAGCTGCCAAGAACTCGCTCAGTAGACCAGAAATAATGACTAAAAGACATCAGTGTCAGTACCAGAAGAACCAAATTTCAGGAAAATGATCAAGTCTGAGATTGGTTATTTGGAAGAAAGCTGCGGAAGTTGAGCTAGCTCTAAGTGAGTCATCCCTGTGTGTGCAATGGCAGAAGAGTAAAATGATCAATCGTGGACACCAGAAATAAGTGCTCGGTGAAGTGAAAACTTCAGAAGAAAATAATTCTTAAAGGGCATGAGAAAAATAAGCGCTGTGGCGGTAGTCGGTGAGAGGTGAGTTGTATCTATTTTTAGTGGTATCTAGACAGCTTAGAAGGAATAACACACATATTCTTAAATGCACAGTACATTAAAATTAAAGTGTAGGGAGTTTCAATGATTGTACTAACACATTGTTATATCCTATAGTGACATAGTTAAGAAAACTGAAAACTGAATGCAAAGTTTAACCCTGCACATGAACAACTTAAAATTGTAATCCTCTTCCAAGATATTTACTATGTAAAAGAAGACCATTTTTTTTAAAGCCCATTCATACTTCTCGTCATTGGACACAGACATATACCTAGGGTAGAATTCCAGTCCCATTCATACTTCTCTTCATTGGACACAGACATATACCTACAGTAGTATTCCAGTAAGTCTTAGAGTCTGATTATACAGTAAACCCTGGAGATAATGATTTACACAACAAAATAAAGAATTTTTTATTTGTATGTGGTAAAATCTGGAGATTATACATAAGAAATGACTTCCATTATTTTATACCAATAAAGTAAATCAATTCAGATTTGCTGAAACTTTTGATATGCAGGCACATTAAACAATTCAGATGTTGATGGCAGAGCTTGAAAGGGTGAGCAGTTTTCAGTTGTTTATTCCTCGGTAGATGGGCTGAAATCTGACTCAATGTTAACCTGTGCTACATAATTTTGGATGTGCAAAGTTGCTTCATAAAATGTCTAGTAAGAAACTAATTTAATATGTATTTATTAAATGCCTACTCTGTGACTGGCACTCTTTAGGTGCTGGCAAAACTGCAGTGAACAGAGCACTTATCTCTGCTCTCATGGAACTTAGATTTTTTTAGGCAGAGGACAAAAACAGACTCAAGTGAAAACATATTGAGCAGTGATAATTGTGACAAATGAACACTGGAAAAGGGCTTAAGGAGTTCTGGAAGGTTGTATTGTTACTTACATTTTAAATATTAGGAAATTAAGAAATCAAGTTCCTGAAAGTAGGTGTCTTGCCTAAAACTGCATATAAGGCCAATGTCAAAAAAAAAATCATGTGTAAATTATAGGTTCTCAGTTTCCTAAGCAAACTATTTGTCATTCTGTATCTGGCTGCCTTACAGGTTATCATTTATTTTATAAAATCTAATTAACCAGAACATTTTAATGTACAAACACACACACACACACAAACATACGCAAACACACTACATAAACATATTACTAAAGCAAGGTCTGTTTATTAACACACATATCCAGTAGGTAGCTATCCTGACTGTAGCTCATGGTATTATAACCATATATTCACTTATAATACCACCAACACAACCAACTGAAAACATTTTCATATAATGGAAGTTATCAGCCATCCTGAAAATGTAGGTCTTTCTTGAAAAGTTAATATTGTGAAAGCTTCCCTATTAGAAGTGAAAACACATGCATTCCAATCTCCATGCTGATACTTTAGTTAAAAAGCTGATTAATTCAAGTTTTCACAAATGGCTATGTAATTACCTACTGTACAAAGGAGTGACCTCATGATCATCCCTTGATTTATCCTATATTCCATGGAATTTTAAACTTAAATTCTAAATTCTAAATTAATAGACATGAGAATGTTTCTTCTGGAAGATGTGATTCTAAAAGAAAAAGAAGGAAATATTTTATATGTCTAACTTTTAACCAGGAATTGTGGGAGGTTTTCAATGTTTAAGAAACTGTTTAAGAAGTTTTCTTTATGATCAAAATATGTTTATTCTCTCAATTTCTGAACCAATAATTGGCTTGTCATTTTAAAGCCTTAACAAAGTTATTGTGGCAAAATATTTTCTTGAAAAATAATGCATCTAATTTTCGACTTCCTGTGGCCCTACTACTATCCTTGCTTCCCAAAACAAAGGTACGAATGATATAGAACGTTCTGCTCTTTATTTTTTGGGGCCTATATAAAATTGGCAAATGCATGAGAGAAGCAGCTGCAAAGGTGATGAGGGATTTGGGCTGCACAGCATGGTTCCTCTGTGGCAGATGGAATGTGTCCTCTTCTGCCTGACCCATCACTATCAGTTTAACAATAAGGCAACATCATAACAGTTATTAGAGTGATTGTCAGTTTCAACTCAGTTGCACTTGGCTTACAGGGTGACAGGTAACAACCATATAAAGCAAGTAGAAACTCAGCATTTATTTCTAAAGGTTTAGGCTGAAATCAGCACTTTCAATCACTTATGCAAGTTGAACCTTTGCCTCAGCTGACTAGTTGTTGAGTCTATTCTAACATAAATAACATAGAAATCTTAGTGTTCTCTTCAAAAATGTTAAGATTCAGAATACAAGTCCAGAATAGCCATGACCATACCTGGTAAAGGAAAGCTGTTTTATTAAATTGTTTCCAGATTTCAAGTTACCAAAGAACCCTTGTATTAGTGAAAAACAAAAGAGAATCTATATTTAAGGAAGAGATTTTAGATTTATGCACTTACTTAGAAATGCATCTAACACTACTGTGTATATTCTATATGTTTGTTATTAATTCTTTATTCATTTGGGGAGGTTGAATTGAAGGTATCATCATAAATCAAAGTAATTAGTAATTACAATAGTGTTTCTAATTCAGTCATGTGTCCCTTACAGTGGGGATACATTCTGAGTAATGCATTGTTAGGTGATTTTGTCATTGTGTGAACATCACAGAATGTGGTCGCACAAACCTAGATGGGATAGCCTACTACACACATATGCTATATGGTATATGGCCCTTAGGCTATAAACCCTATAAACCTGTACAGCACATTACTGTACTGAATACTGTAGGCAATTGGGACACAATAATACTTGTACATTTAAATACATCTAAACATAGAAAATGCATGGTTAAGTAATGATATAAAAGATTTGAACAATGATATACTGGTATAGATCATTTACCATGAATGCAGCTTGCAGGACTGGAAGTGACACTGGATGAGTCACTGAGTGAGTACTGAATGAATGCGAAGCCCTAGGACATTATAGTATTGTAGAATTTAGAAACATTGTACACTGAACCTACACTAAATTTACTTAAAACATTTTTATTTCTTCAATGATAAATTAACCTTAGCTTCATAAACTAAGGTTTACGAACTCCTTCATAAACTTTTATATTTGTTTGACTCTTTTATAATACTTCTTATGTACAGCTCTCCAAAAAAATATTTTCTTTCTTTTATTCTTAACATATAAGCTTTTTTCTTTTTAATATTTTTATCTTCTCTTTTACTTTTTAAACTTCTTTGTTAAAAACTAAGACACACACACACACTGGCCTAGGCCTACAACTGGTCAGGGTCATCAATATCGCTATCTTCCACCTCCACATCTTGCCTCACTGGAAGGTCTTCAGGGGCAATAACACACATGGAACTGTTTTCTCCTATGATAACAGTGTCTTCTTCTGGAATATCCCCTGAAGAACCCACCTAAGTCTATTTTGCACTTGACTTTTTTTTATAAGTAGAAGGAGTACACTCTAATATAACAACACAAACATAGTATAGTAAATATATAAACCAGTAACAGTCATTTATTATCATTATCATGTATTACATAGTCTACATAATTGTATGTGCCATACTTCATACAACTAGCAGCACAGTTGGTTTATTTATATCAGTATCACTGCAGGCATGTGAGTAAGGCCTTGTGCTATGATGCTACAACAGCTATGATGTCACTAGGTGACAGGAATTTTCAGCTCTTATATTATTATAAGACTGCTGTTGTATGGTCTTGACTGAAATATCCTTATGTGGTGCATAACTGTATATAGTGCATATTAAAAAATTCACAATATACCCATTATTTATTGAAGAAGTACTAACATTTCAGTAATAAATTAGGAATGGAGGTCAAATTCTTCCAAGTCCTGACCCAGGACTCCTACTCTTGGTCAGGAAGACAAAAATGGCCTCTCGATTCTGACTCAGGCATCTATCACTGTGATTCTGTTGTTCTGTCCTCCTCCCCTAAAATGCAGTTAACTCTGGATGCGGGCTGTGACAATGGGAATTGGTCAAGAGTTTAGCTCATTAGATGTAGAGAGGCCCTTTGCCTGGGAGTACAAAGAAGAGTCAGATGACCAGGTCTCCTAAGATATGGAAAACATTCATCGACCTCAGGACAAAATCTGTCTCTCTCTATTATGGCCTAAAAGGTGCAAGTGAGGACACAGTTTTTATACGGCTGGGCCCAACCCTCTTTACTCTTTGTGACTAACCTAAAACAGGACATAACTGACCCCTAATAATCTCTCTGTACTTAACATTGCCCTCATACCTGCCACCAAGACCACAAGAGTTAGTGATTTCTCAGCAAACACTTTGGGCATTCAGGAATTTCTTTTCATATTTCCATCCTGTAGCCACTTCCCATTAAGTCAGCCTGAAACTGAGAGGGAACAGAGAAAACTCACCTATGTCTGCAATGCCTGTTGTATCCCATTGTCTCACTTTATTTTTATTTTCAAGTTCCAACACGGATGGGTCATTATTTTAAGATGGAGTCAGAGGGAAATATTTGAAGTTAGGTCATAACTCAATTTAGCAGATTGGTTTAAAATCAGAAATAGCTTTCAGCAGCTAAAAAAAATGTTCAAAGTATTTCTGTACCTCAAAACAATTCCTCTTTAAGAATAAATTAATGGGAATATTTCATTTAAATACTTTCTGGTTAAATTTTCTTCATTTTTGTGTTAATATTATTGAAAAATATTAATTTTGTCTGCTAATTACTTTAAAACATAATCTGTTTTCATATGTACTATAAATTGAGTTTTATGTTTATATTTCTTGAATTTAAAATTTATTAAGTTTTTCAATTTCATTGATTATAGTAAAAAATAAATAATATTTTAAGTGAAATAATAAAAGTTATACAGGTATTTGAGAAATAGAGCAAATAAATGCAAAAATATCCTTGTGATACAATATCACAAACTATACTTTTTTTTAAAAGTCTAGGATGGTAAAGTCTAAGAAGAAGTCTAAGAAGAAAGTCTAAGAAGAAAGATTGTAAAGATAGATTTAGGTTTGAATTTCAGCATTGTTACTTACAAGCAGTGTGAAACTGGATAAATCAACTAACCTTTTTAAGCTTTGGCATTTTCATCTGTAAATGAAGATGATAGAACCCATGTTTACAGGATTTTTGCAACATTAAAGCAAGAAACAGTATTTGAAAAGCTTAGCAGAAGTGCAGAGAGCATAAAGAATATACAATAAAAGGTAGCAATTTTTATTAAATTCTGTTAGTGTATGAGGACTCAGTAATTGAATCTAGGAAGAAAGGGAATAACATTTACTGAGAGCCTACTAACATAGATGCTTCACACATTGTTTTATTATTATTATTATTATACTTTAGTTTTAGGGTACATGTGCACAAGGTGCAGGTTTGTTACATATGTATACATGTGCCATGTTGGTGTGCTGCACCCATTAACTCATCATTTAGCATTAGGTATATCTTCTAATGCTATCCCTCCCCACTCCCCCCACCAGACATTTATGCAACCAAAAAACACATGAAAAAATGCTCATCATCACTGGCCATCAGAGAAATGCAAATCAAAACCACAATGAGATAGCATCTCACACCAGTTAGAATGGCGATCATTAAAAAGTCAGGAAACAACAGGTGCTGGAGAGGATGTGGAGAAATAGGAACACTTTTACACTGTTGGTGGGACTGTAAACTAGTTCAACCACTGTGGAAGACAGTGTGGCGATTCCTCAGGGATCTAGAACTAGAAATACCATTTGACCCAGCCATCCCATTACTGGGTATATACCCAAAGGATTATAAATCATGGTGCTATAAAGACACATGCACACGTATGTTTATTGTGGCCCTATTCACAATAGCAAAGACTTGGAACCAACCCAAATGTCCAACAATGATAGACTGGATTAAGAAAATATGGCACATATACAGCATGGAATACTATGCAGCCGTAAAAAATGATGAGTTCATGTCCTTTGTAGGGACATGGATGAAGCTGGAAATCATCATTCTCAGCAAACTATCGCAAGGACAAAAAACCAAACACTGCATGTTCTCACTCATAGGTGGGAAATGAACAATGAGAACACATGGACACAGGAAGGGGAACATCACACACACATTGTTTAATTTATCCCCACAACAACCCTATGCAATAGGAATAATTACTAACTCTGTTTAATAAATGAGAAAACCAAGTTCAGATAGATAAATACCTCATCCATTGAGTGTGCTTGACTTGAAAATTCGTTCTTTTTCCACAATTACTCCATGCCGAGCAGCTCCAATACACCAGCCATCTTTGTGCACAGTTCTTAAAGAGAGTGAAGCTGCAGGTGTGTTTACTTGTCCATTGTGCAGGGCAAGTGACAGCAGTATGGGTGAATATGTTACAACTTTCTGTTTTCTATTTCAGAAAGCTCTCTGTCCCATTAATTTTAGGAGAAATATAATTCCAAAATCTACTTCTCAAATGAAATAAAAAAGGATATAGGTCCTCTTCAAGGCCCATCAGACAGAAGGCAGGTACATGGCCTAAACTCCGACGGTTTCAGGATTTTATGTCTTGAGGTAGGGGTGCACATTGTAGGTTTAAAGTTGGTTAATTATCTCAGAGGCAGAAATAGTGCCTGCAGACAGACCAAGTTCATTAGCTGTGAAACAATCTTCATGTTCCCCACTTGCTAACTTTTGTCCTTTCAATGTTCTCCTGTACCCCTGCCTCCTGTTGATTCTGTGTTCACCCTTTCATAACCACCCTTTCTCTTAGCCAGTTTCTTTCTGTTGCTTGCAATTAAGAGACCTAATTCTCCCATACTACTATCACTCATCTATTTCTATTTATCTTTCTATTCCTAGAGTGTCAGTACAGAATAGGGTTAAAGACCACAAAGCATGGAGCCAAATTCCAAGGGTTCAAATCCCACATTCACTGATTTCTTCATTACTAATTTCCTTATTGGTATTGACCTCCTAGGGTTGTTAACAAAAATTAAAGCGGTTATTATTTGTAAGGTTTTTAAAACCACATCTAGCACATAATATGCTTTATATATAAATTTACTACTATAATTTATGTTCTTATAGTGAAGTGAAGAACTTCTAACAGTAAAATTGTAAATCCAAAGAAACTTGTTCATTATTCATTCTTCTGTCTCCCATTTGCTTCTTCCAAAATTCCAGACACTTCCCAGATAGAGAAAGCACAATTGAAGGCTAAGCACCTGTCTTGCTGAATGATTTATAGGAGGGCAGTGCAACAATCTCACAAATGTGGAATTGCTTTTTGGCAGTGACTCAGTCTTACTTGACAATTACATAGTTGAAATAGCATGAATTTGGTACCTCCCCCCACACCATTAGAGAACATGTACTTTGTACTGCTTATTTGGACATAATTGTAGTAAGCCTTGCTTTCACGAACAAACCTGCCTGATGTCTGTAATTCTTGCTTTGTAGGGCTTCCAGCAGATCATCTCCATCACAGGCAGATTGTTCTGTGCAGGAACATTCAGTGGATTCCACAGCTGTGCAAAAATTAAGTTTGTACCCTGCTCTATGCACTGGCTGTCAAGAAAAAGAACAGTCTGACTTTTCCATGACCTTGTTTGGCTTTAAAGTTCCCAGACAGAGGGTTACTCAGTACTGTATTTGTGACTTCAGCCTTGAGCCAGATATGTTGTGCCTGTGGGGTGGGCACTGTTGTGTTTTGGGTCACCAGGCCAGCTGTAGCATTGACTTCAAAATCTTCAGAGCATGAATCCTATTTTCTTCCTTTTTCATTCTTTTATCAGCTTCTATCACCACCTGCTCACTGTAAACAGTGATTTCCCTTGCTTTTATTTGCCTGCTGGCCGATATGTATAGCCTTGACTGGTTTTCTTTTGGATCAGACTTTCCCTTATCTACTATGTTGCTGTTTTATTATTTATTGCCAGAAGTGTTCTGTCCAGATGTGCTTTGCAGATGAAAATATATCACATGAAAAATAGCATGTTCTAGTCATTCTTTTCAAATAATCATGATCTTTGTTTATAAGGAACTTCCCTGAAACTCCCAAATCACATCTGTGGAGTTCTTAAGCTAGATTTTAAGTAACAATGAACAGAGAGAGAAGCAAAAAAGATGAACGGAGATACATTTCTTGTATCAAACAAGCAGAGCTGAGTCATCAATTAAAGCACCCAGTAAAGTGCACAGCACAAAAAAGCATTGCAGTAAATATTTGCTGAAAGAAACAATGACAAAGGCTGCGGCTTCTTCTCAGAAACACATTAGAGGGTGGTAGAGTCTAAGGCATTCTAGTGTTTATTGTCTTAAATTGTATGTTTTAAATATCGTATGATAATTGCCAGTAATAATAGATACAAGATGCTAATTGCATAAAAATAACCGTTGAGGCTGAACAAAGCAAATGGTAGATGTTTACAATATTTATGAACAATAGTCTCTGTCTTTATGCTAGAATAAGATTGAAAAGGGAAAGGAAAATTGCAAGGTGAAGTATCATTTGGCTACAAGAAAGTCATTTGTCATTTTAATTGAGAATTTAGATTGTCAAACTCAATAAATGAAATGGTCAATTGATATAACTCCCATCTCTGATGCATAGCGTCAATATGTAGTGCCTAATTAGGTATTCTCAATGAAATTATTACTATAAAGTGTATTTTATAGAATGCACAGTGAAATTTTTGAAGCCTCCGTGGATTATTTCAGATTACCCTTGGACTTCTTGTTGCAAGCCAAATTTCCAAGCAAGAATCATGAAATGCTGAATGCTTTAGCAAAATGAACTTTGCCCCATGAAAGATGGTGTTACGTATGCTATAATTCTTACAGAGATACCGCATTTGAGAGCATTTCGGGAGATAATGAAGAAAGTATGCCTTGGGATACAACATTTATTCCTTTTCCAGTAGTGACCTTTATAGTGTATTTTAGGCATGACCACTGCCTTTTGATACTGCTCAGTGTTGCATACAGATACCTTTCCCTGCACCGTATTCTGAACAGGGAGATGTAAGGAATATTCAATGTTAGCTCATAAACATGGACTATATGGTGTAAAACATGGTGGAATAAATTACTGGTGATCATGGTCACTTTTATTTTTGAAGAGGCTTTTGTATAGATTTGTTAATTCTACTGAGTATAAATTCAAGTGTCATATATAAGACTGGTTTATCTTCCAATAACTGGTTTTATATTTTAAACGGTGCCCTTTTAAAATATGGATTTTTACCCTCAAACTCCAAATTACTCTAATATCTAAGTAGGAGAGAAAAGTGTGAAGAAAGTAACAGAAAAATCTATGTAATATATTCTCATTAACTGTATAATATGAATTCAATTTCATATCTTAAAGCAATTCATTTAAGGCATGAATACATTCAGGATACAAAGTTCCACTTATGAACCTAATGAATTTTAGTGACTGTATGTCCTTGTAAATAAAATCTCAATAAAAGCTAGCATAAACTTTGCTATTCTTTGGTATAGATCATTAATATCTAATGACAATAAGGTCAAAGTTGAAGGCTTAGGCATTATTACAAGTCAAATTCCAAGGCAAATTATTTATTTGATGACGTATGGTCCAACTTAAAATTCAACTGTCACTGAGGATTTCAGGGCAAAATTGTCATTCAGAATATGCAAATTACATGTAAGTCAAATGATTTCACATCTGTATCCCCTTTCAAAAAATATCTTATTGAAGCAAATATTATGGATTCTTTACTAGTATTAATCAAAGATAATATGGAATTTATAAAATGCAATTACAATATTGTCATTATGATTAGATTCTGTATATTTTGAGGGCCAGATAAATTAGCATGCTCATATAAATGTGACATTTTATTGTACAGAGAATAAAGTATGAAAGCAGGGTGATGAATTTTAAAAGGTTAAAATATCTGAATTTAGATACATATGGTGTTGTATCACAGATCAGGTTGATCATTGTGAGCTAGGCATTCACTTTGAGACCTTGATCTATATTTGTAAAATAGTTAATATAGTATTTCCTACAAGAGAGTGTTGTCAGAATTAAATAAGGCAGTATTATCTTTCTTATAATGAAGTCCAAGTGATTAAGTTTCCATAAAGTAAGATATTGATATCTTTTATTAGTAAAAATGTTAAGTCCTTTTTACCCCTTATACTACCCAAATAAGTTTAAATAACCTCTAAAGTTCCCTTGGATTAAATAAAATCTTATTTTACAAAAAGAGTAAGTAATATGATAAGTTCCAGCTAAATAAAATTCTAAGGTAGTCTTTACTTTCACTTGTAAAATGTTTTTCTATATACAGGTCTCCAACTCAGGCAAATACAGTCTCTGCAAAGTGGAACTCAAAATATTAACGAGTCACTGCAAGAAAGAATACAGTGTAAAGGAAATTTGGATGGGACTGCAAGTAAAATCAATGAAGTCTATCCAAATGTAGATCCTGGAGGTAATGGTATAGCTATCATACTTAATCATTTTAATATATCTTTATTGACTCATTGGTCTGTGTTTATTCTGTACTGCATTTCTGCCAGAAAGTCCATATTTTTTTCAGACCACATAATTATTCTAATATGTTTAAGTATGAAGAGTTATTTCTTTGTGCTATATTAGCTTGGGACCTAAACTGAATAATGAAGAAAGTGCTAATGCAAGCAAAATCCAAAATAAAAATATCTCTTTCACTGTTACAGGAATACAATCTGTGTCTCTTACATCAAGAAAGACTTAGTACTCTCCAAGAATACCATTTTGTACCAAGTTCAAACTGGAGGATCACAAGTCTTTACATGTGACTTAGGAAACAGGAAGAAGCAACCAAACCAATCTAAGTGAGGCTTCATTAAGGAACCCCAATTTCATTATGTTATGAGCCCTGATTTAGTCACTGGTGAGTTTTATAGAACTCAGCTATATTGTTACTTATGTAATCTATTTTCATTAAATCAACACATCTTTCAGATAATATGGGGAAGCATAAAACAGAGTTCTTATTCTCAAAGAGTTATAATTTAGTTGGATAATAAGCACAGTTAGGAAACATCAAGCCAAATTTATTAGATTAAAAAATAAAATGGGAAAAATGATATTGCAATTCAGTGGTTAATCATATCATGAAGTCATTTATGAGTTCAAAAAAATTTGAAAGCCTAAACTGTGACAGGGAGTTAGTACAATAAAAAAGCCTGCTGAGTGAGAATATTTAGCTATAGAAACAGATCTTTTATACAGACTGGAAGTATATTCTCTGCTATATTGAGATATAAGACATATCTACATACGATGTTTGAACTTTAAAAAAAGCATAAAATAGGAAGCATTCATTGAATAAATTCAGTTAAAAAATGGAAAAGAGATGGTAAGATAACGGCAATACTAGCTTCAGTATATTGAATGACTATATTAATAACTAATGTTTATTGAGTATTCACCATGTACCAGGCATTATACTCAGCACTTTCATATGAATTTATTTAATCCATGTATAATTTTAAAGTAGATATTGTTTTTAACCCAAATTTAATCATTGGGAAAATTAAGATATAAACATTTGAATAAGTTCCTTAACTCAAATAGCTCATAAGTTGTAAAATTGGGATTTGAATTCAGCAAATTGGACACCAGGGCTCAGAGTCACCTCCACCAGGTATAGTGATTTCCTCGCAAGTGAACACAAGGTTTAATAAAGGTTATCAGACTCAATGTACTTTAAACTACAAGTGGAAAATACTGTCTCATTTATTTATGTTTACTACCTTTTGTTGATTAATTCATAGACTCTTCCATGTTCTCACAACAGTGACAACAGCCCATATCTCAAATTGGTTGTAAAATGTGGTGCTAAACCTTGTATTATTTCAGATGATCTGTATTTATAAGAAATTATTATAGTAAAACTGGAAGAAGTTGAGAGAAGGATGCTGCTGCCAGAGAATATAGAGCAAGGGAGGAGGTAAAAGATTCAGAAAAAAAAAAGACAGAAACACTTGAAATGTGAAATTACCACAGCATAATTAGTGCTAGAATCTTTAAAAATATAACAGTAAGCACTATACCTAATTTTACTTTTCAGTCAATAATTATGATCTATGCTAATCTATGGAAACTATTACATATTTACATGCATATGCATCTATGTAATTGTGAATTGAATAAAAAGGCTTTTCTACTAATCTCTTTTTCTTCTACAGTCACCTCATCATATGATGAGAAAAATAGGAATGTTACACCTGATGCTATTTCAGTGATAGTACCCCAAAAGAGGGCACTTAGGGAAATAACTCCAAGTCAACAGAAATATATAGCATATATTCAGAGTGCTGGAAGGCTTAAGGTTCACTTATTCTGTCAAGATTTCAGGCATTCCTGGTTAAGGGTTTGGTCTCTCTTTTAAGCCACATTGTTGCAGATCTTTCCAGGGGATTGACACTGCCACTTACAGACTTTGCAGAAAGTGTTCCAATAAACACCATTTGGTATATATAATAGATAGCCTTTTCTTGTCACTAAACACCACCTTCAATTACTTCTCTGTTGTCTTTAAAGGCTTGTTTGCCCTCCCTTCCATCACTAATTAAGAGCTTAAGAGTAAAGTAGACAGAAAGAGTTGTAGGAGATGTTTTCTTTTTTGATAACAACATATTCTTCTTCAATGTCATATTGTTTATTAGAATCTGAAGTTCATGATGGAAGAAAGCTTACAATTAACTATGACCCACCTACAATTTACTTAGAAAACATGTTTAACCTATGTTTTCAGAGTCATGCAAAGTGGTTAATGGAGTATATGCATGGATAACCAATGTAGCAGTGCTTTGAAATTCTTAAAGATGATTGGAAATATAGTAGGGAGAATAAATCAAAGTTTATAATAATACATAATGTTTTTATAGAAGCATTAAAATATAGCAGGTGTACCAGAAAATATATTTGCTATAAGCATATGTCGGAAATTAGACAACAGAAGATGAAAGGGTTTGATTTTCTGAACTGACAATCAGCAAAAAAAGACTAGGGGAGTTTGAATTCTAATATGTCAGCATGAGAAACTCCATAAACCCATTCAGTTTCAGTGGTCTTAATATTTCCCGCTTGCTGGCTCTAAAGAGCCTGGGCAATCTGGACGAGGAAGATTCCATAGCACAGTGCAACAGCTTTACTAAGAAACAGTCAGACTGCTTCCTTAAACGGGTCCCTGATAGCGTGTCTTCTGAATAGGTGAGACCTCCCAAAAGGGGTTGCCAGAAACCTCATACAGGAGAGTTGTGGATGGCATCAGATAAGTGTGCCTCTGGCATGAAGTTTCTGGAGGAAGGAGCAGGCAGCAATCTGCTGTTCCACAGCCTCCACTTGTGATACCCACATGAACAGGGTCTGGAGTGGACCCTCAGCAAACTGCAGCAGACCTGCAGAAGAGGGGCCTGACTGTTAGAAGAAAAACAAACAGAAAGCAGAAACAACAACATCAACAATAAAGACCCCACAAAAACCCCATCCAAAGGTCAAGTCAACAGCCTCAAAGATCAAAGGTAGATAAATCCACAAAGATGAGAAAAAAACAATACAAAAACACTAAAAATTCCAAAAGCAAGGATGTCTCTTCTCCTCCAAATGATTGCTACACTTCTCCAGCAAGGGCTCAGAATGGTACTGAAATTGAGATGGATGAAATGACAGAAGTAGGTTTCAGAAAGTGGGTAATAACGAACTTCACTGAGCTTAAGGATTATGTTCTAACCCAACTCAAAAAAGCTAAGAACCATGATAAAAGATTATAGGAGCTGATAACTAGAATAACCAGTTTTGAGAGAAACCTGAACACCCCAATGGAGCTGAAAAACGCAGCACAAGAACTTCACAATGCAAACACAACTATCAATAGGCGTATCAAACAAGCAAATGAGAAAAGGCAGGCAGACAAGATTAGAGAAAAAAAGAACAAAAAGGAATGAACAAAACCTCCAAGAACTATGGGACTATGTAAAAAGACTGGATCTACGACTGATTGGAATACCTGAAAGAGATAAGGAGAATGGAACCAAGTTGTAAAACACACTTCAGGTTATCATCCAGGAGAACTTCTCCAAACTAGCAAGACAGACCAACATTCAAGTTCAGGATATCCAGAGAACTCCAATAGGATACTCCATGAGAAGATCTACCCCAAGACATATAATTATCAGATTCTCCAAGGTCAAAATGAAGGAAAAAATGCTAAGTCAGACAGAAAAGCCAGGTCACCTACAAAGAAAAGCACATCAGACTAACAGCAGACTTCTCAACAGAGACCCTACAAGCCAGAAGAGATTGGGGGCCAATATTTAACATACTTAAAAAAAAAGAATTTCCAACCCAGAATTTCCTATCTGGCCAAACTAAGCTTCATAAACAAAGAAGAAATAAAATCCTTCTTAGGCAAGAAAATGCTGAGGGATTTCATCATCACTAGGCCTGCCTTGTAAGTGCTCCTGAAGGAAGCAGTAAACATGGAAAGGAAAAACCATTACCAACCAATACAAAAAGACACTGAAGTACACAGACTAATGAGACTATGAAGCAACTACATTAACAAGTCTGAAAAATTAACCAGCTAGCATCATGACAACAAAATGAAATTCACACATAACAATATTAACACTAAATGTAAATAGGCTAAATGTCCCAATTAAAAGACAAAATGGCAAGCTGGATAAAAAGACAAGACCAGCCGGGCACAGTGGCTCATACCTGTAATACCAGCACTTTGGGAGGCCGAGGCGGGTGGATCACCAGGTCAGGAGCTTGAAACCAGCCTGGTCAATATGGTGAAATCCCATCTCTACTAAAAATACAAAAATTAGCCAGGCATGGTGGCATGTGCCTGTAGTCCCAGCTACACTGGAGGCTGAGGCAGGAGAATCACTTGAACCCAGGAGGCAGAGATTGCAGTGAGCGAAAATCATGCCACTTCACTCCAGCCTGAGGAACAGAGGGAGACTTCTTCTTAAAAACAAACAAACAAACAAAGGACCCATTATTGTGCTGTATTCAAGAGACATATCATATATGCAAAGACACACATAAGCTCAAAATAAAGGGATGGAGGCAACTTTACAAAGCAAATGGAAAGCAGAAAAAAGCAGGGGTTGAAATCCTATTTTCTGACAAAATAGACTTTAAGCCAACAAAGATCAAAATGACAAAGAAGGGCATTACATAATGGTAAAAGGATCAATTCAACAAGAAGGGTTCACTATCCTACATATATATTCACCCAATACAGGAACACCAAGATCCGTAAAACAAGTTCTTAAAGACCTAGAAACAGACTTAGACTCCCACACAATAATAGTGGGAGATTTTAATATCACACTGTCAGTATTAGACAGATCATTGAGGCAGAAATTTAACAAAGATATTCAGGACTTGAACTCAGCTCTGGACCATGTGGACCTGATAGATATCTACAGGACTCTCCACCCCAAAACAAGAGAATATACATTTTTCTTGGGGCCACATGGCACTTACTCCAAAACTGATCACATAATTGGAAGTAAAACACGCCTCAGCAAATGCAGAAGAACTGAAATCGTGTCAGTCTTCTCAGACCACAGCACAATCAAATTAGAACTCAAGATGAGAAATCCACTCAAAACCACACAACTACATGGAAATTGAACAACCTGCTCCTGAATGACTTCTGGGTAAATAATGAAATCGAGGCAGAAATCAAGACATTCTTTGAAACCAATGAGAACAATGAGACAATGTACCACAATCTCTGGGACGCAGCTAAAGCAGTGTTAAGAGGAGCTTTATAGCACTAAATGCCAGCTTCAAAAAGCTAGAAAGGTCTCAAATCAACACCCTAACATCACAACTAAAAAAACTAGAGAACCAAGAACAAACAAACCCCACAGCTAGCAGAAGACAAGAAATAACCAAGCACAGAGTGGAAATGAAGGAGATAGAGACATGAAAAACCCTTCTAAAAATCAACAAATCTGGGAGATGGTTTTTGGAAAAAAATCAATAAAATAGATATAAAACTATCTATCTATCTGTTGTCTTAGTTTATTTTTGTTGCTATAACAAATTGACACATTCTTGGGAATTTATAAAAAATAGAAATTTATGTATCACAGTTCTGGGTGCTGTGAAATTCAAGATCAAGATGCTAGCAGGTTTGGTATCTGGTGAGAGGCCCGTCTCTGCTTCCAAGATGATTCCTTTTTGCTACATCCTCCAGGGGGAACAAATGCTGTGCCTTCACAAAATGAAAGGGCAAATGAAGGCTTAAGCTAGTTTTCAAATTGTAGTAGACATGCCACTTTAATTTTTTTTTTTTTTACAAATTTCAGCTTATTCTATGCTTTTCTAAATCATGCATCTTTTCTCCTCTCTTCACTTAATTATTCTTTCAGCCTTATAGCTTATACCACCTCTGTGTTATTTAAACTATTATCTGTAATGTTCACAAGATACTTTCGGAAGAAAATAAAGCTGTCTGGTAATGTATTTCCCACTTCCTTTGTTAAAAAAAAAAAAAAATCACCCAGAATGTAAATATGTAAATTTGGTAGTTTTACTCTTCCATGCTGTTGGACTTCATCTTCCAGGACACTGAAAAGTATCATTTGAAAAATTTTGCCAAAAGCTCATTCTGCTCTCAGTCTTTGAGATTATAAAATTTGAATGAGGTTTTTGTGGTCTTAACCACATTAATAATCAGTTTCATAATGGAGAGCTTTATTTTGTACTGTCTCTGGGGGAAAAACAATTATTTTTATAAAATAATTAACTTTGTTTTGGGGGAGAAATTAAAGCACTTGATGGCTACATGCCACTATTTTACAACACACTGGGGACTAGAGAAGAATGAATTGATGTTCCCCAAAAATCTGTTTTTTCAAATGATCATCGTAACATTTCCTATACATACCTTTCTAATTATTTAAAATCATGACACTTTTAAATTTCATTATCCCCAGAAAAAGAAATTCATCCAAATGTCCTCTTAATTATTTACTATTATTACATTTTTTAGGCTTTATTTTCTAGTACAATGATAATGTGATGATATGTTAATTAACCACTTTTAAGCTATTCTTTTTATTTTTATTTTTTGGGAATATAAAAATCATTTCTATTGAAACATTCATGTTTGATAAATATAAACCACCACATGCTAAAGACATTGGAAAATTACATTAAAAGCTATTTAATATCAAATAATATTAAATGATCAATTTCTTTCTTTAAAAAAACCTTTAGAAATGTAAAAATCATTAAGAATACTATGGGATGTATACTAAAATCATAATTAACTTAGTATCTCAAAATTTTGAAATATACTTAAAAATGTTTTCCTCATTGTTTTCCTTTGACATTACTCATCAAACCACTTGCTGACCCTACAGTGAGAAATACTAAGCAATGATATTGTATTAGGTCATTCTTGCACTGCTCTGAAGAAATACCTGACACTGAGTATTTTATAAGAAAAGAGATTTAATTGGCTCATGGTTCTGCAGGCTGTACAGGAAGCATAGCTCCATCTGCTTCTGGGGAGGCCTCAAGGCACTTCTGATCATGGCAGAAAGCAAAAGGGGAAAAGGAACCTCACATGGGTAGTACAGAAGCAATAGCAAAAGAGTGGGAGGGAAGCTACTACACACTTTTGAACAACCAGATCTCTTATTAACTCAGAGCAAGAGCTCACTTATCACCAAGGAGATGACTGAAGCCATTCAAGAGGGATCCACCCCCACGATCCAAACACCTTCTACCAGTCCCCACCTCCAACACTGGTAGTTACATCTCAATATGAGATTTAGCCAGGGACAAATATCCAAACTGCATCAGATATAGAGAAAAGAATCAACTTGTATATACACAAGGCTCAAACACTAGAAGAAAACAGATAGAATCAAAACCCAGTCTATATATCAGGTAACTAGGCAGTGACAGCTGGATCAGCATACGTACACACAGATGGCAAATATCAGTGTGAGACTCTGAGGAGCCTTGGCAATTTGAAGAGAGGTGTTGCCCAAAGGGAATAAGAAAATACAATAGGGCAAATAAGAGAAGCCATTATTTGATTCAGATATCTTCTGTCAGTAATTCTTTTGAGGATCTGGGCCACTTTAATAAAATTTTGTCAGTGTAAAATATTTGACCTTCTTTACTGGGCCACTTATAAAATTTATTTTGTGGGCTCTGCAGACTGGATAAGATTTTTTTGAAAGTTACTGGCCTTTTATCAAGGTTATTTGTGGTGGGTTATAATCTCCTATACTGGAACCTGCTATTTCACTGGTTGTATATGTTCCCAGTCACACATTTTACACAAATAACATTTAAGGGCTTTTAAAGGCAGTGACTCTGACTTTAGCATTAATATGGTTTCCTCCATGAAAATATCTGTAGAGGAACATTAACAAGTGACATTGTTTTGACAAATGTATTTAATTGAAATTATTAAAGTGCAGTTACATTAATGTCTATTCAGCACTTCCAAAAATACATTATGAAAAATAAAAGACCTTAAAAGTCCTTCATTAAATAATATAGAGTCCTTGTAAGATATTATTGATCTCAGATTTGATAAGCTTTGTTCTAGATTTCAAATGATTTAGGATGAATAACATCTGAATAAATTTAGTGTGATTGCCTCAGTCTAACTTCTAGCATCATGTGTAATTGTGATGCATGCTTGCCTGTGCGCATGCCTATGAGAATTTTCATTATTCTATGTAATTTATTATAACATGATTTGATTATACAGCAACTAGTTACACAAGTCATTTAATGCCCTTGAAAATCTGTTTAATGTATACCATTCTGTTTGTAATTTTGTGTAGACTAATCATTGTCTTTAAGTTATATTAACGCTCTAAGCTGGACACCTGTAGTGAACTTGCTAACTGATAAAATTCTAAGGTATACATGGAAAGTAGCACTTATTTGTACTTATTTATGAGTAAAACTGATTTTCACTGAAGGAAATATTACTCAAAATAAATGACAAAACAGTGTAATAGAAATCTCAAAAATACCCTAATTTATGATTATTATTATTATTATTATTTATTTTATTTTTTTTTTTTTTTTTGAGACGGAGTCTCGCTCTGTCGCCCAGGCTGGAGTGCAGTGGCGGGATCTCGGCTCACTGCAAGCTCCGCCTCCCGGGTTCACGCCATTCTCCTGCCTCAGCCTCCCAAGTAGCTGGGACTACAGGCGCCCGCCACTACGCCCGGCTAATTTTTTGTATTTTTAGTAGAGACGGGGTTTCACCGTTTTAGCCGGGATGGTCTCGATCTCCTGACCTCGTGATCCGCCCGCCTCGGCCTCCCAAAGTGCTGGGATTACAGGCGTGAGCCACCGCGCCCGGCCTAATTTATGATTATTATTATGCTTCCTGGCTGACAATATAACTAAGATATGGTTTACAATTTTTCTTTCTTAAAAGGTGTGTTAGAAGAACAGAAAGATGTGTCATATGTAACAGGCACATGATCAAGTTACCAGAGGTAGTTAGGGTTGAGCAACGAAACAGAAGAAACCATATCAGCAAACACAAAGCTAGGTCTTAAATAGAAAAGTAGGATGAATCTGTAGGAGAGACAACATTTTACCTATATCTTCGAGGTGTTTCGGCTGGATCTGATAATTGAATTGACAAGAGAAAGATGAACAGGAAAAAAGCCTACAAATTTATTTAAAGTAAATTTTATGTGACATAGCGGTCTTCCTCAAGTAAATGAAGAACCAAAGATGCAGTTAGAGTTGAAAGCTTATCTACTGAATTGGAGAAATAGTAGTAAACTATGAAAATGTGACAAGGCAAAAGGGATTTGGCTAAGATAATTAATTGGGTATAGATGTGGCAAGAAAGATAAGGCTTAATTTAACAAGGTTTATACAGATTTCCCTCAGCCCCAACTTTATGTCCTGGAAGATGAGAATGATACTAGAATGATACTTTCCTTCTGGTAGAAAGAAGACATTTTCATATGGGAATTTCATCTCCTGCTTTTAAGAAATAGCTCAAAGGTCACAGTGATCTTCTTGTACCTGCTGGTTTTTAAGTACCTTTAACTCAAAATAGTCCATATGCCAGACTGGCATATGATGGGGTGGCATATGTTTAATTCTTTCAGATTCTTTTCTTTTAATATATAATAGAAAGAAAAGGGGAGTCCATGGTAGTGCCATCCTGTTACTCCTAATAAAATTTATCTACTTTCTTTTATTCTAGAGATTTTCATTCTCAGGACTGGCATTCTTAGGATTCTGCTATTCAATCTATTTTAATTTTATCTTTTATGTTTGATATCTTCTACAATGCTGACCATTCTTTTTAAATAATCTTTATATCTTTGTCTCTTAATTGTAACTCCTAACCCAAGTGAGAAACTTATTACCACAATCAATCACCATTCAATACAAAACCTAGTACAGAACTAATGTACAGCACTCACATTTGGAGTCATCTCAAAGATTAGAAACTTTCATTTCTTTTCTAACCTCTAGATGGATGCCGTTGGTTAGAGTGATCCATAGGCCAATAAGCTGTGGCCAGTGAACCATAGTTATATGATGCAAAATGAGAACAACTTTTCTTAGGTGTCAACAACTGCAGCCACTTTCTTCAAAAGGAAATTAGGAGTGCAGTAGACACTTAAGAGTCTCTTCAGTCTTTTTCTCTACACAAACAACACTTACCTATAACTGTTCCTCTCCATACTCACACTCTTTCTTGTTTATTCATTCAACAAAATGTATTCAGCGGTGTCTATTTGCCAAGCACTGAGCTGATTGCTGGAGCTATAGTACTAAAGAGTAATGATCCATTCCTTATCCTTATTAAGCTTACATTCTACCTGGAAGAACTGATAAATATATAACTAATAACATAGTAGATTACTGGCTTACAATTATCCTACATTTTATAAAGAAGATATACATAATGTTAGGGTGGTGTATAAAAGAAAGATTATGAGGCATGTGAAAAAAATATTTTTCTATGGAAGAAATTTTTAAGGAGAGTTCTGAAGAGTGAGTAGGGCTTAGGTAGTAACATTTTTTAACAGAACCAGATAGGAGCAAAAACCCTATATAAGCAAGAACAGTTGAAAGAAAGAACTGTTGAAATACATATAAGAAAGAACAGGTGGAATACCAAAATCATGAAAAATAAAAGAGAGATAATAAAGAGAGATACAGAGTGCACAAAATGTATGTTTGTGTGCTTTGAACAAAGTTAGCATACAAGGAGCTGAGATGAAAGATGCTAGGTAATCAGAAGCCAGAATGCTTGGAACCATCTAGATCTTGTTAATGTTAACTTTGGATTTCTTTGAAACCAACAGTAAGCCTTGATACAACGTCAAATAGGGAAGAGACTTGAACACATCTATACCTTTTAGAAATCACTATGAGAAAATTAAGCAGTCATACATTATTATTACTAATAAACAGTTTGTATTCAAACTGTTGTAATATTTTTTCAGAAATGTTATTTTTGATTATTATCCAACCCAGGAGCAGACATTGCTCTTACTAGCCATATCTTTATATTATATTTTAATTTGGAACAATTCCTCAGCATTTCTTTCCTTTTTTGCCAATGATATTTTTGAAAAGCATAGACCAGTTATTTTTTAGAATGTCCTTCAATTTGGGTTTGCTCCATGTTTTCTCATGCTTAGATTTAGGCAATCAAATTTGACAAAATTGATGTTTCCTTCTTGGTGTTTTATGTTAGGAGACACATGGTGGTGGGCTCTCTGGGTATTGGATGATGATGACTATTTGGTTATTTTGTCTATAAATAATTTTTTCTATAAATAAAAATTTTGTCTATAAATAAAAATTATTTGAAACTTAATATATTCTTTTATATTTGTCCAAAGACTTACCATTTAACTCCTTTCTGTAGATCTATCTTTTCATTCTAAGGAATATTGTAATGCTTTCTTTGTAGTGCAGATCTGCTGGTGACTAATTCCCATAGTTTATGTCAGTTGAAATTATCTTTTTCTTGCTTATGTTTATGAAATATAATAGTACTGGATAGAAAATTCTAGGTTGACAGATCTTTGGATTTATTTTGGCACTTTAAAGATGCTCTTATGTCATGCTCTGGCCTACATGGTTACTGATGAGTCAGCTCTCATTGTGTCATTATTCCTCTCTACGTATATTGCTTCTCTGGTTGCTTTCTAGGTATTTCTTTTTAACTATAATATATGTGTTGTCTTTTATCCTGCATTTTGTTGTATTTATCTTCTTTAAGATTTGCTGAAATTCTTGAACCCCTAAGTGTATATGGGGAGGAAGGAAGAGTGTTTAAATGAAATTCGAGAAAACTTCCCAAATTATTTCTTCAAATATTTGTTCCTGACCTAATATTTTTTCTTTTACTTCAATTACAGCTATGAGTAAGTATAACTACATACAATATCTAGGGGTTTTTTTCTCCCAATTACTGAGACTCTTTATCTTTTCAATACATGTATCTGCATTTCATATTGGTAATTTTTATGGAACTGTCTTCAAGTTACCTAGTCCTTTCTTCTGCCATTTCAGATTTTCTGTTAAGCCTAGCTGGCAATCTTTTAAATTTTAGATATTGTACTTTTTAAATCTGAAACTTTATCATTATGTTTTCAAAATATGAGCTAAGTTTTTGTTTCTATTGAATGATTTTCTTTTGATGAGAGGCTACTTTTCTGGTTACTGCAAATAATTGCTATTTTATTTTTTTATCCTGGACAATGCTGTAATACATCCTAGGATGTCTGGAATCTTTCATCTTTATCTGAAGAATGTTGTTTTTGCTGATGCCATCCTCTTAGTGAGCTGTTGACTTGGCTGGACTCAAACTTTATACTCTGTCTCCCTAGATGTTACTTTCTACCAGGCTCCTGGGAGTTTTTCTGTGAATGCACTTTGGGACCATACATGTATTTAGTTGGAGGGTTATCCAAATATCTAGCTGGAGAATATACATAGCTTATGATGAGGCTGCCCACTCTGTGGCTCCTTTCTTTTTGCATTCTGTCTCTTTCTGGATTCTCAAGAAGCCCCAAACTCTGTTGTCTGACTACTTGAGCCACGGTCCCTGATTGGTATTAGTTGAATTCTAGCACCCCTGTTTGTCCTAGCACCCCACTTGCTCTTTTGACTTGAGTTCTAGCAAAGAACTTGTTTTAGGGTGTGTTCCAATTTAAAATGTCAATAAACAGATATCTTATTGAGTGCAGGTACTTCTTTCAGTGGTTGGTTGCTTTTGGCTTTTTTCTGTTTTGAAAGTCCACCATTTTGAAAGTCATTTTTAATATTTTGTTTGTAGTTTTTGTCATACTTATCTGCAAGTAAGTCTGATGCAAGCTGTTCTACAATTACCTGTAGCAGAATTGCAGATTTAAACTTCCAAATAATCCCATCTAACTGTGATGTGGTAGATTTCAAAGGGGACCAGTAGTGAATACTGAAAGATGTTAGGAGACTACTGAAACAATCAATAAGAGAAGTGTCAGTAGCTTGGGCTAAAATTGTAGAATACATAATAAGAAGTTGACAGAATTCAAATATGTTTATTACATGTTATTGACAAGATTATTTCCTTCACATACCTAAATGAATTGATTCAGTAAGTATTTGCAGAAATGAAAGGACTAGTCACATTATATAAAGAAAGTCCTAGTTTTTGCAAAGTTTTAATCTTTGAAGGAAATATCATGTTACCTAAGATCTATAATGGTATAAAATTTTAATATGCAACACTGTGTCCTATGTCACTCTAAAACAGAGAAAATAGATCATTGCCAACTCAACTTTAAGATGACATTGATTGTAAGTTACATCCCAACTTTAGAGGTATTAAAACCTGTGGGGAGAAAAATGTCTCCTGGAATCAAGAAAATCCTGCATTTTACAAAATCTATTCTATAAAGGCTAGTGAAGACATTAACTTTTCTTTCTTCCTAACAGAACTTCAGTTTTGTTCCAAAAACTTAAATTATGCATCCCTATGACTCAGGAAAAGCTGATTTTTTTCATTTTATGTTAACTATGATGATTTAATCTCTCTTTCCAGGGATTGAGGCTTAATCTAGTGAATGTAAAACATTTCTCTGGAAACTCCTACTGATTTGGGGAATGGCTTAGACTAAACTGAATCAATCAACTTAAAGGGAGACTAGTTTTTGATTGGAGGAGGAGTGACACATCAGTTGAATGTGAGCTAGGAATTCTATTGCTCCAGTTGTAGCTAGCTAGCCATTTTGCAACCAGAAGGCAAACTGTTCTGAGGATCAAGTAAACACACATAGACAGGCAGAGCACAAAGAATCACAAAGAAATGGAGTCAGTATCCTGACCATACCAATACCTGAAGACCACCAGATTGCTGGGTTTATTGACAGTATGTTTCTTTATTTGTAAACCAGTTTAATTTAGAATTTCAATTATTGGCATCTGAAAGCACCCTAGCACATATGCTTTCGAAGTCAAAACCCAGCACCTCTATGTTCATGAATCACTGGTTTCTGAAATGTTTAACTGATACAGTATCTTTTCTCTTACTTTACCATTTCAGAAATTGAATCTGTCCTTTGCTTTCCTAGTAACTGTACCCAAACCTCATCCTAAATTTGCTGCTGCCACTCTCCTTCATTCTCCAACTAACTTTCTGTGACTGTAGCTGACTTATTGTCTTCCTCTGCTTCTCTGTTTATTGTTGACAGTTAACTACTACATTTCCTTGGTCTTGGTCTAGACAATATTGTTCCACTGAAGTTAGTTATTATTTATACACTGACCATATAACATACTAATTATAAAAGAGAAAAAAACAGGTGAAGAATGACAGTGTGTTCTCATAGTTCCTTTTCTTTTTCTAGGGCTAGGTCCAGCAATTTAATATTCTTTGTGAGAAGAGTGCCTTCAGATAATCTTTTCAGGACCTCAGAAAACATTTATCAATATTAAAACTTCTTTGTCAAAACTCTATTCCCTTTACTTACTCCACAATAGCATTTATTTCTGACTTAATTTCATTATTCACCCAAAAGTCACTCAGAAGCAGGTTAGTTTTTATGTAATTGTATGATTTTGAGTGAATTTCTTACTCTTGATTTTGAATTTGAATGTGCTGTGGTCCAAGAGACTGTTTGTTATGATTTGAATTCTTTTGCATTTGCTGAGGAGTGTTTTCTTCTGATTATGCACTTGACTTTAGAGTAAGTGCCATGTAGCAATGAGAAAAATGTATATTCCCTTGTTTTTGGGTGGAGAATTCTATAGATATCTATGAGGTCCATTTGATTCAGTTCTGGGTTCAAGTCTTAAATATCTTTGTTAATTTTCTCTCTTGATGATTTTTCTAATATTGTCAGTGGGGAGTGAAAGTCTCCCATTATTATTGTGTGAGAGTCTAACTCTGTTTGAAGATTTGTAAGAACTTGCCTTATGAATCTTTGTGCTACTGTATTGGGTGTACCTTCTTTGTCTTTGTTGGTTTAAACTCTATTTTGTCAGAAACTAGGATTGGAAACTCTTCTTTTTTCCTGTTTTTCTTTTGCTTGGTAGATTTTCCTCCATCCTTTTGTTTTGAGCCTATATGTGTCATTCCATGTGAGATAGGTCTCTTGAAGACAGCATACCAATTGGTCTTAGTTCTTTATCCAACTCGCCATTCGGTGTCTTTTATTCGGGGGTATTTAGCCCATTTACATTTAAGGTTAATATTAATATGTGAAAATTTGATCCTGTCATCATGATGTTAGCTGATTATTTTGCACACTTGTTTATGTGGTTGCTTTACAGTGTCACCTGTCTGTGTACTTCATTGTGTTTTTGTTGTGTCTGGTAATGGTCTTGTCTTTTCATTTTAGTGCTTCCTTCAGAAACTCTTGCAAGGCAGGTCTGGTGGTAACAAATTCCCTCAGCATTTGCTTGTGTGAAAGAATCTTATTTCTCCTTCGCTTATAAAGCTTAGTTTGGCCAGATACAAAATTTCAGGTTTGAACTTCCTTTTTAAAATAATATTGAATATTGATAACCCACTCTCTTTGGGGTTATAGGGTTTCAGCAGAGAGGTCCATTGTTAGTCTGATGAGCTTGCCTTTGTAGGTGACTTGGCCTTTATCTCTAGCTGCCTTTATCATTCTTTCATTTTGAACTTGGAGAATATTATAATTATATGTCTTGGGGATGATCTTCTCATGGAGTATTTTACTAGGGTTCTCTGAATTTCCTGAATTTGAATGTTGGCCTCTCTAGCTAGGTTGGAAAAGTTCTAACGGATGATATCCTGGAATATGTTTCCCAAGTTGCTTCCATTCTCCCCATCTCTTTCAAGTACACCAATCAGTCATAGATTCAGCCTCTTTACATAATCCCATGTTTCTCAGAGGTTTTCATTCTTTTTTCTTTGTTCGGTGTCTGCCTGACTTACTTTAGAAAGCCAGTCTTTGAGCACTGATATTCTTTCCTCCACTTGATCTACTCTTCTATTAATACTTTTGTGATTGCATTGTGAAGTTCTTGTAATATGTTTTTCTGTTCTATCAGGTCAGCTACATTATTCTCTATACTGTCTCTTTTGTCTGCCATCTTCTGCAATGTTTTATCATGATTTTTAGCTTCCTTGCATTCCATTACAATGTACTTCTTTATCTCAGTGAATTTTCTTCCTATTCATATTCTGAATTCTACATCTGTCATTTCAGCCATCTCAGCCTCAGCCTGGTTCTGAACCCTTGCTGGAGAGATGACATGGTCATATGGAGGAAAGAGGATACTCTGGGCTTTTTGAGTTTTCAGTTTCCTTGAGCTGATTCTTTCTATCCTTAGGGGCTTACCCATCTTCAATCTTTGAGGTTGCTGACCTTTGAATGGGTCTTTTTTTTTTTTTTTTTTAAACAGTCTGGCTACTTTTTCACAGGGTTGCTGTGGTATGCTGGGGGTCCACTTGGAGGTATCACCCTCTGCCTACCCCTTCATCTCCGGGTGGCCTAAAACCTTTGTCAGTCAGAGAACACCAGTAGAGGTAGCCAGAGACCCTGGTTGGGAGGCTCCACGCAGTGATGTGGAATGGGGTTGGGGACTCACTTATAAAAACAATTTGGATAGCTTCATCAGGTTTCTGTGCTGTGCTGGGGTACTGTTTTCACCCCCAGTTGGCTTAGACTCTCCAAATCCCAGAGGGTGGAACTGCTAAGTTGCCCAAACAGCAGAGATGGTGGCCCACCCCTCCCTCTGGGATTTCTGCCCAGGGAGTTTTTAAATCTTTGTAGGCCAGAGAACATCTTTGGGGGTGGCTGGAGGCCCAGGTTTGCAGGTTTCTTCCAGTGAGGAGAAATGGGATCAGGGACCTGCTTAAATAAGTGGTGTGGTCATGCTTTCATAGAGCAGCTGTGCTATGCTGGGGTACTGCTCTGCCCCTGGTTGGCTTGGGCTCTCCAGAGCCTGGAGGCTGGAAGAGCTAACTCTCCCAAACAGCAAAGATGGTGGCATGCCCCTCTCTCTGGGAGTGCTGTCCCTGGGACTTTTCAAATATCTATCAGCAGGAGAACACCAGCAGAAGTGGCTGGAGGTCCCAGTGGGGAGGTCCTGCCCAGTGAGGAGGAATAGATGTGGGGCCTACTTTAAAGAGCAAGCTAGCCACATTTTGGTAGAGCAGCTATGCTGTGCTGGAGGATCCTTTCCACTCCTGATCGGTTTAGACTCTCCAAAGCCTATAGGCTAGAATGGCTAAGTTGCCCAAACAGTGACTGAGCTCTGTCCCAGGTAGGGGCAACACTGCTACTGGTGGCTGGCTGCAACTCCAAGCCAGTGGGTCGTGTCCTGTGAGACAGACCTATGTCACATGGAAGCGGGGCCTGCAGAACATTGCTGCTTGCCCACCTGGATTCAGCCTCTTTCCTCGGGGTATGTATGGAGGTCTAACCTCCCACTTTGCTGGAGTTGCTATTACCTTTTCTTGGAAGCCCAAAAAGCCAGAGTATCTAAAGCTCCTGGGTCTCTACATGTGCTTGAGCAGCTGCTCTGTGTGACTGCACACAGCTCTGTGTGTCAGACTAGAAGCCCTTATGGAGTGGGTTCATGAGGGGATCTTATGACCCAAGGGATGCAAAGGTCCGTGGGAGAAGCGTGGTTTCCCGGGGTCACACGTTTACCCACCACTTCCTTGGGTGGGGAAGGTTCCCTTTCTCAATGTTACTTCCTGGATTCTGATGTTACCTGATCCATGGGTTATACTCTAAAACTACTTTTTCTTAATGGCATACATGTATTATGCAATTTCTTTATGGCAGAGGACATTTAAAAGTTCAGAGTTTTGAAACTCATAATTTTTGTTTATTTCCCTCAAAGCTGTCTCTAATATAAATTATAAATGGCTATCTTAAAAAATAAAACCCCAAGTATTCTAAGTATTCTGCCTTACTGCTGTGTTGTCTCCTTGCTGAACAATAAAGATAAAAATGCCTTAGCTATTATTGGAATGGGGAGGAGGGGCCACTATGTAATTCAAAGTATAGAAAAATACACATTTATTATTGTAAAAAAGTACTATGTCTCTGTACCAGTCTTTATTCCCAGTTGTTCTTTTTACCCTCAGTATTTCTTCTTGTAGTAAATTTGTAGTAACTTTTGTACTCTACATACACACACACACACACACACACACACACACATCTATATAAAATCATCTATGATTACATTTATCTCCCGAAACCACTACTTTCATCTAGTTATTTAACTGCTTTTTTCTTCTCCATTTTCTAGAAAACAGCCCAAAATCTTTAGTTTGGCATTCAAGTCCTGAGATACATTATCTCAACGTACATTCCTGTCCTAATTTCTCATAAGTTTTCCGTAAATAAATATTTATCTATCTTACAACCACCTATTCACTGTCTTTCTCCATTTATCTAAAAGTTGCTAAACTTGAAAATACCTCTTAAACCCTTTTCTCTGAAAAGGGTTTACATCCACTGAAAGATGATCTCTTTCCACTAGAAACAATGATAATGTTCTCCTGCATCACAACTATATCTCTTAGCTGTAGTTACATCTTGACTATTTCTGTTGCACTATTAATTGTCAATGTTTTCATAGTTTGTAAAGATAAAAATTCTCTGAATTGCATGGCCCAGGCCTTCTCTCATCTTATTGTCTACAGCAGTGGTCTCCAGCCTTTTGGCACCAGGGACTGGTTTCATGGAAGACAATTTTTCCAAGGAGGGAAGGCAGAGGGGGTTGTTTCTGGATAAAACTCTTCTATCTCAGATCATCAGGCATTAGTTCTCATAAAGAGCACTTGACCTAGATCCCTTACATGTGAGTTCAAAATAGGGTTCATGCTCCTATGAGAATCAAATGCCACCACTGATCTGACAGGAGGTGGAGCTCAGTTGTAATGCTCCTTTGCCTGCCGCACACCTCCTGCTGTACAGCCCGGTTCCTAACTGGCCACGGACCAGTACCCATCCACAGCCCAGGGGTTGGGGACCCCTGGTCTATAACATCCTTTGCACTGAGTGCCCAGTCAAATAATTGCTGTTTAATAGATTTGTCTGAGTCCTTGGTGAAGTTTACTACAACCTAACTAGAGAAACTTCATTTTTGTTCTTATTATTTTGGCCATTCAGTAAATCCTTTGAGATAAATAATTCCACTTTAAATCTGTGATATTTGAAAATAGAAAAAAGAATTTATAGTCAGTAAAATCATTATTTCATTTGTCATCCCAATGCAATGCAAAATAAGAGAAAAAAGAAAATATATATACCCATCTCTCAAAATTTCTAAAGAAAAAGACCAGTAAATTTTTACTAGTCATCTATAACTGAGGCCAAAAATATCTGCAAAGGATAAAATGTTTATATTCTGTTTGGAGAGTCTATTTAATCCCATATATCCTGATAATTACAACAATAACAGCCAAAAGAAAACCAATCTATAACAGCTATTTCAATTCTGAAATTTGTTGTGCTACCAGATCTTCAAGGTTATTAGTAAAATATTAATTGAATTTTATTTATTTATTATTATTATTATTTTTTTTTTTTGAGATGGAGTCTCACTCTGTCACCCAGGCTGGAGTGCAGTGGCACAATCTCGGCTCACTGCAACCTCTGCCTCCTGGGTTCATGCCATTCTCCTGCCTCAGCCTCCCGAGTTGCTGGGACTACAGACTCCCACCACCACGCCCAGCTATTTTTTGTATTTTTAGTAGAGACGGGGTTTCACTGTGTTGGCCAGGATGGTCTCGGTCTCCTGACCTTGTGATCCACCCATCTCAGCCTCCCAACGTGCTGGGATTACAGGCGTGAGCCACCGCGCCTGGCCTGAATTTTATTTAATAATTCATCATTCATATATTTTATTACATACGCATGGAACAATTTTGTTCTTTTCAGAAATAATGTTAAAGAGTCCAAAGATCAAGCTCTGGAAAAAGTCACATATATTATAACTGTGGAAATTATAAAATACTAATCAAAGCTTTTTCCTATGAGAGATTCAAGTCTAAAGAATTCTCATAAACATTTTTATTTCATATATTAAATTCATGTCATAAATATGCAATATATAGTTTCAAAATAATAAAATTAATTTTAACTATGTTAACTAAACACACACAAATAAATGCAAGTTATGTCAATCATTGTAAATTTGCAGCCCTGGGTTTATTATCATTGAATGTTTTATGATTATTGGCTAGAATATTTATATAAAAAAATCATACCTAGCTAATCATTAGAGTAATGTACTTATGCATCATAAAATCAATAGACACAAATGATAGGAGTCAATTTAAATACATTGAATTGGAGGTAATTTAAGTGTATCCAAAAGGAGGTATCTTAATATCTAAATATGTTAAGTCAGAGGTTCTTAAGAATATCCAAAAACATTAACCAATTACTTATTCACTTCCTGACAACTTAAAAACTTCTCATCCTGGCTTCTTTCAAGTCTTCTTTCTTCTCAATGTATGCTACACAACATGTGCTAAAATTCCAGCACATTAGACATGTTCCAAACTTCTCCCCCTGCTTTACGGGAAACAAATTCCTTATGTTATGGAATTTAAGATATTCTCTAATATGATCTTTAATGTAAATTCCAGACTTATCACCGCCTTTACCATTGCACAAGTCCAAGATGGATTTTTGTGCATTCCTTCCTTTTCCCTGCTTCTTTTTTAAGTAATTCTCTAGCTTCAAACTTAATTCTAACATATAATCAAGTAATATCCCTCTCCTCCTGACTTTGCCTTCAGTAACGCCTCGAATATACTTAGTGCAGTAATTTTTCATAAAATTAAAGAAGCAATTTATCAAGTTCCCAAAATAAAAATTGTTAAAATTTGTTTGGAATTTTATTAAATTTAAAAGTTGGTCTTTTGATGATTAATATCTGTAAAATATTAATTCCTGTTATCCACGATGGTACATGTCCCTATTTGTTTTCTTTAATATCTCATCATAAAATGTTTTATTTCTTCCTGCAGAAGTCTTATAGTTTATTAAATATGTTTTTGGATATTATGTTACTACTGTACAAAATATTTTTTCTTTAATATTCAGCAGTTGGTGTAAAAAATATGCTGTTACTGTATAAAAATGTATCATTTTTATATTTTAATCTTATATCCAGCCAGCTTGCTAAATGCTCTTATTACATTTAATAATATACGTATGGATTCTTTTAAATTTTCTAATTGAGAGGTCATAACATCTATAGCTACATAAGCTTCTGTTTCCTTCTAATACTTATGTTTTTAATCATAGTCTAGGACTGCTCACACAATGTTGACTAGAATAGTGATAACATCTGTCTTAACCAGGGTTAATCCAGAACAAAACAAGGATTTTAATTGCGGAAAAAATTTCAGGGAAGATAGGCAGAAAGCTAATGAGAGTAAAATATGTAAGGAGAGGAAGGCAATACAGAGGGTACTTCCGATTTTTGATTGCTCTCCATGATAAATGAGGCCATTTGCATCATCAAGGTTATATAAGATACTGTGTAGACTGAACTTCGCAACTATTCACTTGAGAAAAGAAAGAGGGGAGAATTTATTCACTGGCTCCTGTCTCACCCTGGTCAAGAATTGTCCATGAGGTATTCATTCACCTTCCCAGACCACATATGCATAAAAATCAGTTAGATTTCCCTTGTCTCTTAAGTCATGCTTTTAGAAACATCCAAGGCCGAAAGCGAAAATGCGAGGTGTAACCGAAGCAAAGTGCTATCAGTTTACACCTTAATGAAGCTGAATGCCATGAATATGACTTGAGTAAAAGGAGAGCCAAAAGGATGTGGGGCATGGAATAAGTAGCTAATATAATAGACATTTTTGTCTTAAAAGAAGATGTCTCTAATTTAGGACGGCTACTCATGGTTTTTTATACCCTTATTATATTAAGAAAATGGTCTTATATTATTAATTTGGTAATAATCTTCCTTGTAAATGGGTTTTAATTTTTTAAACTGCATGTATAGAGAATATTATATTATTTTCCCTTTAAATTAATCAATTTGTTGGATTGAATTTCTGGATTGTCTAATACTATATTGTCTTTTCATACCTGGAATAACACCAATATGGTTGTGGTGCAATATTTTTTCTGTACATTGTTGTGTTTGATTTCTTAATATGTTAATTTTTTTTTGCATCTATCATCATAAGTGAAATAGACATGCAATTGTTCTTTCTTACATAGTTTTCTCTAGATTTTTTACCAGGTTGATGAGGCCTCATAGAGTACATTGGAAAATATTCCTCCTTTAAAATTTCATGTCAGAGACTAAATAAACTTGGTATCATGTGCTTGAACACTTACAAGAACTCATCTTTAAAACCTTCTGAGCCTAGTGTTTGCTTGTGGGATTATTTTAAGCACTGTGTCAATTACTTGAATGCTTATATTATCCATGCTGTTTTTTTCTCCTTGGTTTAATTCTAGTAAGATATATTTTCTGCAAATTTCAATTTAATCAAAAGTATTCAAAATTATTGGCAAAAGTGTTGGCATATTACTTCTAGTGTTACAACTTTTATTCCTATCATTCTATATGTATATCTTTTTCTCTTAATTACTGTTGACAAAAGTTTGTCTCCCTTTAATTCTTTTTTCAAACAACTACTTAGGCTTTGGTGATCTCAGTAGTATTGGTTTATATTTTAATGAATTTTGCTAGATTTTTACTTCACTTGCTAATTTCTTTAAGTTTTATTTTTATTTTTCTACTTTATTATGATGGGCATTTAGCTTATGTATTTAGAAGTTTTCTAATTTTCTAAAAAAACTAAGTAGGCTATACATGTGTTTCGTAAAGCATTGGTTTGTTGTATCCTACTAGCTTTGATATATAATGTTTTCATTAAAATTCAGTTCTAGTCATTCCTTAGTATAATTTCTTCTTTATACCATGAGTTATTTAGCAATGTTTTTATATTATTCAAATGTGTGATATTTTAAACATTTATATTTTTGTCATTAACTTCTAATTTATATTGTGATCAAAGATTATAATCTTTATGATACCTGCCTTTGAAATTTTCTAAGGCTTTGCAAGTGTCTGTGAAAAATGTCTTTCATTAATTGTTACACGTAGAATATATATATATATATATTCCATGAATTTATTGATTATGGGCAAGTTTACTGATTTTGTTGTAAATATTTATATACCCCTTTTCATTTACATTTTTAACTGTTAGTAAACGACAGATGTGTGTTCAACCTACTGATAAAATTTTGGATTTATGAAATTATTTTTGTATTTCTCTCAGCTTATGCATCATATATTTCAAAATTACTTCATTACTAATACCTATAAATTCTTGGTAAATTGAAATTGCATCATTAGATAGTGACACTACCCTATATCATTATCTTAACTGTAATTTATCTAATATCAGTATGGCAATTTCCTTGTGCTAGTATATGAAATGAAATGAAAAACATGTGTTAAATGTCTTTATCTCTTCTCTTTGAATTTTTGTTTATCCTCATGTTTTAAGTGTCTTTTGTAATCAGTATATAGCAAAATTTTGAATGTTATTCTCAGTCTGTCAGAATTTGTCTTTGAACTGTTAAGGTTGTCCATATTTATTTATTGTAACTATTGATTTATTTAGAACTGTTACTGTCTTATTTTTGTATTATATCCTATTTTTGCAATGTCTATTTTAATTATTTCTTTTTTAAATTGATAACTGTATACCTCTTTTAATAAAATAGAAATCAGCATCGTTTTACATGTCTTGGTCTTTCTCACTTCCACTCCTGATTTAAGTATTACATGCAAAAATTTAATGAGTTTCTCAGTTACAATACTTCTGATACTGTACATTTCTAATATGATTTTTATCATGTTCTCATATTGAAGTGACAGTTTGAAATTCTTTTTTTTTCACCTAAATATCTTGTTATTTTGATCTGTGAACTCATTTTCCTCAGGAATATTAGCTTTTTTTTTCTTCTTCAGGCAATGAGAGTTAAGGAAGACCAAAACCCCAGTATTTGTCAGACTGATAAATCCAGAAGATGTGGAGTAGAAAAGCCCATGGGTAGAGCCGTCTAAGAAAACCAGATTCAATCATTCCTTTTCTTATAAAACAAACACTTTTATCAATTATTTTTCCTTCTCAGCCCAAGAAGTATTCATTAAATACTTGGAATATAGTTCCTAATGTTTAGAGTTTTGAAAGGGAAAAGATGGGAAATGGAGAAGCAATTGACTGAAGTCAGTAAGCCCTAGGGATTCTTTGATAGTTATTCCTAATACACCTGGACCCAGCTGTGTGGCACAGGCATTATTCGTCTCCAGGAAATGTCCTGGAAAAAATAAGAGCATAACTCCAATAATCCTCACTGTACTTAAACCTCAGCAGTGCTTGATTGCCTCCTGTCACAGGTCAAAGCTACTTCTTCCTACACACCAATTTAAAACCTCATCTCCCAGGGGTTTGTCAGTTTTCTCCCTTTTCCCTACTGATTCCTCCGAAGCTGAACTTGGGAGTGGAAGCCAGCAGCCATGCTAGTTCAACCACTTAGTCAAACTTGAACCCATATTCACTTTTCTTTGAGATGCTGTGTAGCATTATGATTTCCTCTGTTTACAGGGAAGATGTTTACACTTCATGCTTTCCTATTATCCTATCATGCCCAAGAAAACCCATTAACTTTCCCATCTTTTTTTCTACATTTAATATCTCACATTTATATGACTCACCAGGCCCTGTAGTAGTATGCTGATGAACACTCTCTGGAAAAACAACAACAACAACAAAAGCCTGACTTTTTGCATTTGCAGATCTCCATAGCTTATATACTGTTATCAAGGTTGATTTTAAGCTACCAACAATTTAGTAACTGGCTGGCAACATTAGAGGAACCTTCAGTGTTTGCATAGAAATAAAGTTCATATGGGTGGAGAGGTCAAGATGTGTTTTCTTTAGAATCATTTTCCTTGACATTTTTCTCCTGATGGTCCAACACTGTGTATTGTTCTCCTGCAACAGGGCTAAATATAGGTGACACAGATACAAATATTGCTCAAAGCAAAGATATTTCCTAGCTTCATCACCATAAATTCACAATAAACATCAGATGACAAAATCTACTATATTCATTGTCTAGAGCTGCTGTGAAAAAGTAACACAAATATGGTACTGTAAAACAACAGAAATTTATTATCTTGCAGTTACGGAGAACTCTAAAATCCAGGTGTTATCAGGGCCCTGCTCTCTCTGATGCTATGGGTAGAAGTCTTTCTAGCCTTTTCCTAGCTTCTGATGGTGGCAGGTGTTCACTGCTTGCAGCTGCATCACTGCAATCTTTGTCTCCATCGTCACCTGGCATTCTCTCTGTATGTCTCCACATCATCTTATAAGGACATCAGTCATATTGAATTAAGGGTCCAGCCTACACCAGGAGATCCAATTTTAGCTTAACTAATTATATCTATAATGATTCTACTTTTAAATAAGGTCATATTTTGACATACTGAGGCACAGGAATATTATATTTTTGAAGACACAAACCTACAACAACTAGTTTAACTTCCTTTTCATGATCTTTTTGGGTCATGTAGTATATGTTTCTCAGCACTGATTGCCCAAATTATCTGAGGAATTTATAAAATATACACACTTGGGTCATACAACAGAGCAATGAAATTAAAATTTCTCTGAATGGGGCTAGGACACCTCTATTTGTAAGAACACCCCTAGGTGATTATGATGCCCAAGTGCATGTAACAACACTGACAGAATGAGACAAAAGACCCCTTCAGGGGCCTGCCAGGTCCCCCAAATATGAAAATAAAGAAAAATATTTAGTTCCTTCAAAGGAAATTCCAGAAACTTAGCTCATCTTAAGAAGCAAATAAGGACCTTGATAAGTCAGAAGGTAACAGTAGTAAAAAAACAATAGCCAAGGAAGCTGAAATCACGGGGATGCTTGGTTCTTCTAAAGAAAGTAAAGATAACGTCTTAACATGTAGCTCTCAGTTGTTTTTCAGAAACCCAGACACCCACAGACTTGACCTGCTGTCACATAGACCTCAGATAAGGGGAAACTGAGGATTGAACTTTGGCTGCCATTCCTTGTTCTAAATTTCTTCCTAAGAAGCCTGAAGAAAGTCATACCATGAGCTAGAGCTAACGTTCTTTTCTACTGACCCCAAATTTTTAAGCAAAGCTTCTCTTCCTTAACCAATTGCAAATCAGAAAATCTTTGAATCTACCTATGACCTATAAGCCTCTGCTTTCAGATACCCTGGCCTTTTAAGCCAAAACCAATATGTAACCTCCATACATTGATTTACAGTTTTGCCTGTAACTTTTTTTTTTTTTTTTTTTCCCCAATTTACCCCTGCTTTTAGAAACCCTTACCTACAAGGCATCGGCGAGTTTGGGACTTAAGCATTTGCTGCCTGATCCTCCTTGCTTGGGCACTGCATACCAACACCTTCCTTTCTACAGCTGCAAACCTTCCTTTACATATCTGGTTCTACTGTGCCAGGTGAGTGGACCCCAGTTCAGCTCTTTAATAAGAAGGCACATATGAAATCCAATTAATCCCAGTCATGGCTACCAGCAGGTAATGCCTTAATGGATATATTATCAACTTCTATTCTACTGATTTGTGGCTTAGCATACACAGTACTACCCCCAATTTGTCTTTAGTTCTTATATGTATGAAAAATTATATCTTCAATTAAATTGATAAAATTATCAATATAGTTATATATGTGCACACACACATATACCCACTTCTTCTAGAATGTAACCTTCAAGAGGCCAGGAATTTTTATCTGTTGTGCTCTGTACTAGAAAGTTCCACACCAACGGGGAGATGGAAAGTGGTGGAAGTGAACAGCCTCCATGGGAAGGATTATCACTAGCATCGTTTAGAAATCTGGATACGTGAGGATGATAAAAAAAAGACTGACAATTGACTTCAATATTCCTTTTAAATTACCTCATGACAATGCATATCTTATCTTTTGCTTCCACCTATTCTCACATTTGCCACTGACTCCTGGCACATCATAGGTGCTCTATAAATGATCATTAACTGGGTCAATAAATGAGTATAAGGTGTTCAATAAATACTTGGTTAAAGGGTGGAAGGACGGATACAGAGATGAAAGAAAGGGTAAATGAATAAATATATCTTCACCTACCTAAGTAAAAGAGTGAAAGAGTAAACCCCTTCAACATACTTTGGCACTGTTCTTTAGACTCAGGGACTCTGATGTCTGATCCCATAAGCAAAGTTATGACTGGCTTTGGTAAGAGAAAAAAAAATCTCTAAACATGATAGTCCATAGGAAACTTCTCCATCCAACCCAGAAGTAAGATCACAGTATTAATACCAACTAAATGCAGGAAAAAGACACAGGAGGGAAAAAATTAATATCCAGTATAAAAAAAGTAATAAAAGGCAAAAGAAAAAGCTAACCCTGATCCTGAGTACACATAGGAATGAAGTCATAGGATATCTTTTTTCTTCAAGAAAAAAGAAAACACATAAAAGAGAATAAATGAGAAAGGGCAAATGTTATAAATAGTGGCAAACGTAGGAAAATGAAAGCAAGGGAAATGGAATATCATGGTGAAGGAGAGGAAGAAATAGAATCCTCAAGGAAGGAATAAAGACAGCTAGCAAAGAAGCAGATCGTTGGCCTCTGATTGTATTTCATTTATAACTGTTATTACATTTTATTATATTTCTCTGGCAGCAGTCCCACATCTCTTTATGTCTGAAGGAAGGGGGTGGCAGAAAAATGTTGCTCTGGAGACTTGAGATTTATTGCCTCATACACTTAGTGTTAGGCTGATTTTTTTTTTTTAAATTACATGCCACTGCCATGTTCAAAATAAAACTTAAGATAGACTGCATGCCATGTATCATTGTAAGGATTACTTTTATTCAGAGTGAAAAACTAATGAAATTCAGTTAAATCCTAAGCAAATCAGAAACCACTAAGGTAGACACCAGCTTCTATACTTTTTTTATTTTATCATAACTTGTGCCTCCAATGAATGATATGGAATTGAATGGGTGATTTCCTGAATTAAGAACACATTGCATGAAAAATAGGTAGATATTGCTACAGAAAGCCTAGGTTTTTGAATCTAGACAGACCTAGATTTATATCCCAGTGAACGTGGACAAGTTACTTAAACTATCTAAGCCTCAGTTTCCTTAGGTGTAAACATACATATTAATAGTAGTTATCTCATTATGGTTTTCCTGATGATTATATAGTGTAATCAGTGATTGTATAGTATATAAAGTGTGAAAAGTTTTTAGCATAGTAGCTGGTAAGTATTCAAAATAATGAGTAATTTTATCATTAAAGTCATGAACTTTTTCTTCATTTTAGTATTTGTTTCAAGAAAAAGTAATCAAATCTTAATGTTAATAAATTTACATTCAGAGTTAAATTAGCTAATGAAAGGAAATATGTAATTAGTCACTTCCTCTATTCTCCATAGTTACTTGGAAGAGAAGGTATATTCACTGTATTTTCCCATTTTCCGTATTCTTGATGCTCTAACATTTGGTGCTATGATTCCCAGAGAAACTACCCCCACCGCCAGGGCTAGCTAATTCCTAGAATTAGCAAAGAACTACCCTGCAAGGGCTGCTATGAATTACAAACCAACCAATCAAACCCGCACCGGCCCCCCTCCCCTACCCCGCCAGCCCTCTCCTTTATCACACTTTCACATATCAAGCCAGTATTTCCCCTGCCCAAGTCACCCTTGGGCCAGATACCAGAAAAGTCAGAACCACCCTTATAACTTACAACCCTCTGAAATTATTCAAACAGCCTAATTTTAAACTTTAGCATATCAACCCTGCCTTGTCATTTCTTCCTGTAAAAGCCCCAATAAAGGTTCTGGGCCATGTTCTCCCCTTTTGCTCCTTTGTCTCCTGAATGACCCTCTTCCTTCCCCTGTGACCCTTCATGGTCACATGAAGCATGTGACCCCTAGAAGGGGTCTTCTAAATTTAAGCATTTGCTGCCTGATCCTCCTTGCTTGGGCCCTGCAGACCAACACCTTCCTTTCTACAGCTGCAAACCTTGCTGTACATATCTGGTTCTACTGTGCCCGGTGAGTGGACCCCAGTTCAGCTCTTTAACAAGAAGGCACATATGAAATCCAATTAATCCCAGTCATGGCTACCAGCAGGTAATGCCTTAATGGATATATTATCAACTCCTATTCTACTGATTTGTGGCTTAGCATACACAGTACTACCCCCAATTTGTCTTTAGTTCTTATATGTATGAGAAATTATATCTTCAATTAAATTGATATAATTATGTGATTATATAATTATGTGACCCCTGCTTCTAGGGGTCTGTCAGTATAAACTTCTTCCTTTATGACAATCATTTTTATGTGTGCATGTCTTACTTGCTTAAAAGAAATGCTGGGTACATTTTAATGCAGAAATTAAAATATGCTTGTTCATCACTGTCTCATTCAGATAACCATTGCTCCAAAAGTATTCCCTTGTTTTGAAATTCATTCTATCATCTTATAACACCTTGTCTCCAACCTAAGATAAATCCAGTAGCTGCCAATGTTGACAGCCTTGTCCTAGCTTCTTCAATAACCTATGGTTTACACACCTTGCTTACACTAATCTTCCACTATTTTCCTTGACAAATTCCATCGCCTACTTAGTATTCTTTTTAAGTCTGTTGACATTTCTTTCTAAGTTCCCATCTTAGAAACTTCATCTCTATTTTAGCTACCCAGTAGAGAGCTTCAACTCAAATCATCATGCAGTCTTATTCAGTTTTCAAGTTTTGGAATCTTAAAATCCTCTACTCTGAAAACCAGTTCTTATACTGTATCTTCTTCAAATTCTTTCTTCTAGTGAGAACTTCCTCTTATACTCTGATTACTTGTCCTTTCTCACTTTTCTTATAGTGAATATTTACCACTCTTTGGCTTTCTATTCTTCCTTATACACTTGAATTTCATGATCAGTCATGTTATTGATGTACATCTCAAAATACCATATTTATCTATCCAAAAAATCTACCAGTCTTGATGCTTTAAAAAAGCCTCACTGCCTGCTGTTTAACCCTTAATTCTGAGCTTCCAAGTATTTTTATTGATCTAATTTGTACCAAATTAAAGAGCCGCTTCAACTGTGCTTTACTGTAACTGAGTAATTATTTATTATTTTTTGTTAGCTCTCTTGTTTACACAGTAACTGACTCAAAACTTTTCCATACATTGCAAACTCCAAGTCAAATTTGCACCTCCTTTATCCTCAATAGTAGTCATTGTCTCATAATCTATCAAGGCAAGACTTCTAAAGCTACCATCTTCAATCTCTCTTTTTCTAGATGATAGATAGACAGATATAAATTATAAATTCTCTTATTTTTCTTCTGATCTAGATAAAATTTTTCCCCCAGTCTCTCAAAATCCATACTCCAATTTAATCCACTTCCCTCACCCTCCAATGAAACCAGCATACCATCTAAGACCCTTTCAGTGTCAAGTGGTTAGAAACTCAAATTAAAATTACAAGAATGTATAGATACATTTAAGTGAAAAATCCCACAAGTAAAATTGGCTTTAGGAATGGCTAGATAAAAGGATCAAATGCTACCATGGGGACTGTGTTTTCCCCCACTTTCCTCTTGTGCATTCTGCTGCACTGACTTAATTCTCAGTTTCCAGATACAGGTAATAAGAAACTTCAGTATCACTTCAATCCATCATCAGATCTATGGGAAGAATAAGAATCTATTCCCTTGTTGGCACAAAAAACAAAACAAAACAAAAACTCTGAAATAGTCTCTCAATATCTCTGATACAAGTCTCAGTCATATAACGTTTCTAAGTCAATCTCTCTCTCCAGTTGAAGGAAGTGCTTAAATTGATCAGATCTGAATTCAGGAAGCCTAGAATTAAGGAAGGTGAGTGAGCAAGGGAGTACGAAGTCAATTGCACCATGGTCACATAGACCAAGAAGAGAGGGTTAATATTTCAAATAGAAATTGGGTTATGAGTTTGTAAAACAATATTAAATGTCTAAAAGACAACAAATAACTACTGTAGTTGGCTCTATTTCTTTCTCTCTATATATGTCCTTATACATATATGTCTTCTTTATACGGGAACAAATTATAGAAAAAAAGTCACTAGAAGCTATTTCCCTTGGACCAACCATCATAGTATAATCTGTTCTTTTACTTTAAAGCTTTTTGAAAATCCTGTCCATGTCATCTATTCTTTTGTGTCATGATTGTATCACTAAACTATTGCATTTTTATTTCTCCTGCCTTATATTCAAACTCATATTATCAAGTGTTAATAACTGCATTATTGCCCTCTCCCATAGGCCAATTAATGTAATGAGCTATGCAATTTTGGCTTTATCACACCTACCTCTTGAAATTCTGCCTTTTCTTAGTCACCAAGACATTGAAATACCTTTTATTTCATCAGTTCTCCTCTAAGTCTTCTCATCTCTCTTATTAACATCTTTTTTTACCTTTAACAACATTCAATGTTGATAATGATATAGGGAAAGCTTTCTTTTCTCTATTTTTTCAACTATTCTCTACAGTTTCATATCTCACTTTTTGGTTATGAATTTCCACCCACATTTTTAATTTCTCTTTTGTGTTCTCCACCTACCCCTCCAAATTTACAAATACCTTTTGACTTGATTTTCTTAATGTCTCTACCATGTCAAGCTCAATTTGTGCTATATCGATTACCTTCAAAGACAATTTTATCTATTATTAGTGGTGATACTATCATTATTATAGTTAAATTATAAATTCTTTAATCAAAGAACTCAGAACTCAATATATTCTGAAATAACAAGCGCTCAAAATATTTGCTAAATTGAATTTAATTCACTTTTAATCTTCTCATATTTATTATTTTGTCAAGTGTGGTACAGTCTTTGGCTAATGTATCATTTATATTTATTCCTATTGCTCCATTTCATAGATACATTTATATTTTCTGACCTCCTCATATCTCTATTTAATATTTTTTTTCATGGTCTCCAACTTCATTTTCCCTACCATTTCTAATATGGATGCCACAGCCAGTTAATTTTTCAAGAAAGAAGTTATAATTATGACATATCCCCAACCAAACAACATATACAATCAAAAACCTTCAACTCTATCCACTTATCACATGAAGTCTATTCATAGCAGTCTCAGATTTCAGTCCCTAAGTGATAATTATCACTATTATCCTAACAAACCTGTACTATGTACTATTTCTCAAACCCCATATTCTTTAATTTTTTGGATGATGTTTACTTTATTTTCTTGCTTAGATAGCTGTGAGTGAAAACTTCATCATCAGCTCAGAAAATTTTGTTAACACCTCTATTAGAGTACTTACCCTTTTATGCATTATATTTTAGATATTTTTGTACATGTTATCTATTCTCCTTCAATGCCATTCTTTTGAGGGCAGAACCCATTTCTGATTTATCACTGTATGCTCCATAGCATCTAACTGAAGGCCTCAAAGACACAAAAGCTTACAAATATGTGCGAAGAGGAAATTTATATTTGTGATTTCAGATATTCCCTTTTGAAAATACAGCTGCTTATTTTTTAAAAGTTATATTTTACTAAAAATATTATTAAATAATATTGTGATGAATCCCTCATTTTTGGATTTTGTTTATTTTATTATTAAATCTAGTCATTCTCCAGTTCTTCTCCCAAGGGAAATTTTGGCACAACCTATATATATGATGGAGATAACCTTTCACTATAATTTCCTGTAAGAACTGTCCACTTTCTCCCTAGGGAAATTTTTTTCCCCTTTAATTCAGCTGTTAAAGGGAGGAACACATGAATTCTGGATCTTAATAATGCCAGGCTAGCAGTTTAACCACAGAACCCAGAAGTCTCCAGCCTCACAATATGGTATGTAGGTGTTTTCTGGCTCCCGAAGAAAAAAGCCCAAATGGTCAAAATCAGTTATCTCAGCTTCCCTTAGTCAAGTCAGCTGCCTTCTATTCTGTTTGTTCAGCTGAGAATCATTTTCTTTTAAAATGAAACTTCAAGTAACCACAGGCTGAGGAATATTCCCCAGAGATTCCTCTGCAGAAGATTTCACACAGGGTCCAAGAGCATCCCAAAGCTAAGCTAATTCAGGGACTGCCCACAGGCTATTTTCTCACTGGCATTTTGCTAGCTGCAGTACTTAAGAGGAAGACAATGTTAGAAACCCTGGGGGTTTAATCTTGAGGCATGCTAGCTTTTCAGGGTTTTAGACTTTGAAGGAAATGAAGCAAAAACCAAAAAGGACCCTGCAAATCAAAATGGCCTGACTTTAGAGGGAAATCCCAACTGTTAGGCCAATACAGAATATCTCTAGCTGTATCCCAGAGACCACCAAAGGAAAGGTGAGGGCATAACAGCAGGAAGTCCTGGGCACAGAAACATTTAGGGATTGTGGGAGTATGTTTGGAAAAGATCTTCTCTGATGCTCCTCATTTCCAGATGAGGCAGTGACAAACATCTCTTGAAAATCAGGTTTTCAGGATGCCGATAAGGATATTGAGAGTTAAAGATATAGGTTAGATTTCAGAAACACACTGAAATTAAAAAGTAAACCAAGGCTAAGGAAGCAAGTAAAATCTCAGATACCACTTACCGATGGTACCAAGGTTTTCCTGCTCTGGTAAGCTGTGAGTTATGTCCAGGCAAATTCATGCTTTATCCGTCTTTGTACCCATAGTCACTGGCACGGTGCCTGCAGCAGAGTACATATCAACAGTTTATTTTCAATTTGCAGGTGAATAAAAATGAATGAATGAATAATTTGCTCAGGGCCTGATAGAGCCTGTTACATAGCTAACAAAACAATAAGATGAGACCAGACAATGTTTTTGGTTCACCCATTTTCTGCAGGAAACCGTTAGCATAATCCTTAACATTTGCTCTGTGCTAAAGGAAGATGAAGGCGGTTTAGAAAACAAATTTAAATTAGTTGCAACATTTCTTAAAGCATATTCTCATTATTTCAGCTAATTAGTTTAAAAATTTGACAGAAAATAGAATTATTCTGCACATGTAAAGTTCCATACCCACAGGCTGCTCAGGCTGTGTACTATATTATTTCTAATGTTAGAGTTGCACTGGCTACAGCCTTCTTCTGCTGTATGTGTTTATTTTTCAGTTCTATTTTCATACATACAAAAGAGTCTCATTGAGATATACAAAATATTGAAAGAATAATAAATTGTATTGACTATATAACTACACCTCCACTTTACAAATAAAACATCAATACTCGAAGGCCCTGTGTTTATCTTTGTGATTGTCTCTGGGATGCATTCTCCTCCCTTCCCAGCAAACATAACCATTATCCTAAACATTATGATAGCTAATTTTTTGCGTTTTTCATGGTTTTAGTTAAGTGTGTCTGTGTGCGTATGTTTGTGTATATGTGCATATAAGAAATGTATGTTTATGTATCTATGTATATATGTTTGAATTTGAACTTTATATAAACAAAATAATGTAGTAAAAACTCTGAAATTGTTTTTCACACCCCAAAATTTTAGGAAAATTCATCCATGTTTAGTGTGTATCCACAGTTTATTAATTTTATCTGCTATATATTTTATTATGTGAATATACCACTATTCATCATTATTTACTTATTTTTTATTATACTTTAAGTTCTAGGGTTCATGTGCACAACGTGCAGGTTTGTTACATATGTATACACATGCCATGTTGGTGTGCTGCACCCATTAACTGGTCATTTACGTTAGGTATATCTCCTAATGCTATCCCTCCCCCCTCTCCCCACCCCACAACAGGCCCCAGTGTGTGATGTTCCCCACCCTGTGTCCAAGTGTTCTCATTGTTCAATTCCCACCTATGAGTGAGAACACGTGGTGTTTGGTTTTTTGTCCTTGCGATAGTTTGCTCAGAATGATGGTTTCCAGCCAAGACAATCTTAAGCCAAAAGAACAAAGCTGGAGGCATCACGCTACCTGACTTCAAACTATACTACAAGGCTACAGTAACCAAAACAGCATGCATGGTACTGGCACCAAAACAGAGATATAGACCAGTGGAACAGAACAGAGCTCTTAGAAATAATACCACACATCTACAACCATCTGATCTTTGACAAACCTGACAAAAACAAGAAATGGGGAAAGTATTCCCTATTTAATAAATGGTGCTGGGAAAACTGGCTAGCCATATGCAGAAAGCTGAAACTGGATCCCTTCCTTACACCTTATACAAAAATTAATTCAAGATGGATTAAAGACTTAAATGTTAGACCTCAAACCATAAAAACCCTAGTAGAAAACCTAGGCAATACCATTCAGGCCATAGGCATGGGCAAGGACTTCATGACTGAAACACCAACAGCAATGGCAACAAAAGCCAAAACTGACAAATGGGATCTAATTAAACTAAAGAGCTTTTGCACAGCAAAAGAAACTACCATCAGAGTGACCACTATTCTCAATTTTTTCTTATTAGGCATAGCATTAATTTCTGTAACTTTTTTTTTCTTAAAGATGCCTTTAAACATGTTTTTATATAAATCTTTCCTGAACCTGCCAAAAGTCTATTCCTGGGACTGGTAATTCTGCATCATCAGTGTGTGCACAGTCAACAATACCAGGGAAGCTTTCCAGAGTAGCCTATGAACATCCATGATATTCGACATTCTTGAGATTTCAAGACTTTTTTTCCTAATCCTTTTGGATGTGTAGTAAAATTTCACTGTGGTTTTAGTTAGCAATTCCCCTATTACTAATTAGGTTGAGCATATTTACATATTTATTGGTTATCTTTCATATTCCATAAAACTCTGTTCATATCTTTGACCCATTTTTTACTGAGCTGTTCTTCTTTGATATATTTATATATATATATACACACATATATATAATTATATATACACACACATATATATAATTATATATACATATATATACACACACACAGAGTCTTAAAATACAGCTATCTATATCTTATCTCTATATATTCTAGATATTTCTTTTTTTTCAATTAAACATATTACAACTATCTTTTCTATAGTTTTTGGCTCCATATTCCTTTTTAATATTATCTTTTGATAAATGAAAGTTCTTAGTTTTATTGATTGATAATTTTTCAATTATTATTTTAATAGACTCTAAGTGTGTCTTGCTGAAGAAATCCTTGTCTAACCCCTAATAAAAGAGACTATTTTCTACATTTCCTTTCTTTTAATTCAAATTTTGTCTTTGACATTTATCTTTACTCTACCTGGAATTGATTTTTTAATATAGAATAATGTAGATAGTCAGTTTTATACTTTTCCTTATAGATAATTGGATTAATTGCATCAACAATTGCTTACTCAATAGTTTCATCTTTCCCTACTGACCTTCAATGCCAATGCCATCTCTGTCTCATGTCAGTTTTCTTATATCCATGAGACAGTGTTTGGAAACTTTGTTCTCTAATTTTGGGCTAATTTGTTGTCTTTCTCCACAGCTATAAAACATAGACTCAATTAGTCTAACTTTTTAATAGGTCTGGAATTCTGTAAGGATCTCTCTCTCTCTCATACACACACATGCACGTGCGCACTCACACACACACTCATTCTCACACGTCCCATGGTGCTCTGCAATCATGGTGTTTTTGAGGCTTGTCTTGGCTTTTTCTGGTTCTTTCCTCTTCCACATATATTTTAGAATTAATGCATCAACATCCAGAAAATACATCTGCTGGTATTTGATTAGAAAACAATCAAAATTATGAGTCATTATCAGGATAATTTATATTTTTAAAATATTATATTTTAATTAAAAATGGTATAGGTGTCTCTAGACTTTTTGCATACATTTAACATGTTATAAACATTTCCATAACAGCCTTGCATGCTTTCTATTATGCTTTTTCTATACATGATATGATTGTTCCTATTATAAATAGTACCTGTCTGCAATGTATTGACTACATGATGCTATAGTATTAAAGTGCAAGCTTTGTTTGTATATTAATATTTTAAATCTAGGTATTAATTTTTTAAATCTAGCATCCTTGTTAAATCCTACCAATGCAAATACATTTTTCCTAGGTATTCTTATTTATCACTTGTAGATACTTTCTTTCTTCTTTTCAAATCATTTTATCTTTTTATTATTTTTCTTGCTATAGTTCACTGGCTGAGATTTATAGGAATTCTTAACTGGAGCATGACAGACCCATAGCGAGTTGGTAGATAATAGAGCATTTCAATATAACTGGTTTTCTTTTTAATTTGAATTTACTTTATGTATTAGCAAACTGTTCCTAGTTGGGTATGGTGGCTCATGCCCGTAATCCCACCATTTTGGGAGGCCAAGGAGGAATGGCATGAAGCCAGAAGTTCAGGACCAGCCTGAGCAACAGAGCAATACCCTGTCTCCACAGAGTATTTTTAAAAGAAGTTGAGCATGGTGGTGCACACCTGTAGTCCCAGCTGCTAGGGAGGCTGAGGTGGCAGTATCACTTGAGCCCACGAAGTTGACATTACAGTGAGCCATAATTGCACCACTACACTCCAGCCTGGGCAATAGAGCAAGACCCTATCTCTAAAAATAAAAATAAAAGGATAAAGGATTTTCTGCTTTGTTTTGGATAGATTTAGGTTTCAAGTTTGTTTATTTGTACATGTTTTTACCTTCAATTCTCCTTCACCACACAAAGTTTCAAAATATAGATATTATATGTGACATTTATGTACAGTGATTTTCCTAGTTACATAATGTACATTCAATGAACAAAGTTTATGAGTATTTAGTATATTTACTATTTTCCCAAATAACATAATAAACTGAATTAACTATGCCATTAACTTATATGCTTTCTTTGTTCAACATTTCTCTGCAACTGTTTTTTTTTTTAGTAATTCAGGCTGAATTCTTGATGACTTTTTACTTTTAGTTCAGCTTCTGGTACAGTAATTCTTAATCTATGTCTAATCTTCCTTTTAATCCTTTCATTGAGCTTTTGATTTTAATTAGAATATTTTTCACTGAAATATTGTATTCAGATATATAATATCTAACTATAATTTTCAAATTACTCTTGTGATAGGCTTTGATATTACTCATAATTTCATTTACTTTTTATTTCTCTAAACATATAACATATTCTCATTTTTTCATACAGTAATTCCAAAATCACACGTTTGTATTTTCACTTTAGAGTTTCTAATTTTTTTGTTTTATTATGCGTTTGTGTTGTTTTTGAGTTTAAGATTATACTCATTAAAACTTTATGGGATTTCTCTGAGGTCTTGGTTGTGGGGTATTTGACAGAGAAGATTTATTTTAGTTTCTACTAGGTACCTAGGGCCCTTATCATCCAAGTCTACTTTAAATTTCTAGTCTTTTTTCCCCTCTGGCCATGTGAGTAGTTTGAATCCATGTTCCAAACCTTTGTTGTTTTCTTTTACATTTGTTTTAATTGTTGGAGACAGGAATATTTCCTTGCTCTTCCTCATTTCTTGCTTACTGTTTTACTAGTCCAGAATTTCACTTGGAGTTATTCCCATTCAAGTTCTTGATTTTATACAGGGGTCTCCAAACTAACTTCTCATACAGTGAATCGCATCTTTTTACAGCCGAAGTCTGAGAACACTGGAGATTATCAGATGCCTTTAGGCAGCCATCTGCTTTGGGGCTTGCTTACTTCTCAGGTTTACACTTTTCTTATATTTTTGACACGTGATAATTTCCTTTATTGTGTTACTCACTCATCCATGCACTGTAATTGTTCATTTTAAATCATACTCAATATGTTTTGTATTAGAATTTTAACATCTTGAATATATTACTGTGACTAAGAATAGATTTGTTTTAATGTGTAAAACCGAGGTATATTTATGAATATATTTACATAGTTCATATTTGGAAGCACCTATATTATATACATATGTATTCATATAGACTACAAAACTGTATAATAAATTAATCCAAAATTATTTGACATTTTGATAAAATACTTTTTGTAAGTTTGCTTATGTTCCTTTGTTTATGGATTTTAATATAAAAAAAGGTCAAAACACTCACAGGAAACTTTTCAGAGGATTATCATTTTGTTATTCATTTCTTTCTTTGACAGTTTTAATGGAAATGTAATTTGTAATCTACTGTATCCATATCTAATGTGATAGGAGTGACTGGCAGAGCTAATGTAGAGCAGGTAGTGAGAGAAGGTTATTCTAATGAGTAGTTGAGCCGATATCTTAAGGAATCATGTAGATGGAAATCTAAGGAAAACCTAAGGAAGATAGAGCAGCAAAGACCTTATGGAGAAGAGAGCTCAGGAGTTAAGAGAAATGGAGAGATTGATTTTCTGGTATACAGTGATTGAAGGAAAGAGTGGAATGTGATGATAGGTCCTCATAGGTCAGCAAGGGCCAGATTCACATAGGGCATTTAAGTCCACAGAAATGCTTTTGGATTTAATTATAATGACTGAAGAAAGTAAGTGTTGGTTGTTGAGCTCTCATAAAGCTACACTTCTTCATCCTTCTAATTTTATGGTTTGTTTAAATTTTGATTTTGTCATTATAAAATTCACACCACATCATTTTGAATTCCATGCTAGGTAGACCTTATGGAGAAATCACCACAGTACTATACAAGACTGAATACTTAGAAGGGCTATGCAGCCTATGCTCCTACTTTCCTGGATGTTCTCTCTTGGACTTTACTGTAAGCCAGACCAAAGCAAAGTCAGGCAGTCAGGAAATAACTTGTGCATGCAACAGTTACAGGGAGTTTCAAGTGGACTGGAGTTGAGGATGAGACTGTTAATGATGCCAACACATAGAACTTGGCAAAACTCACAAAAAGAATATAATCCAATTGTGTCTAACATCCAATATGGACTGTGAATAGGCCAGTAATGAGACCTCTCAAGCAAAAATGGACTATGTCTAAAAACAAATAGACTGGTACATGATATTATTCTAGCAATATGCCAAAAAGCATGAATCTATTTATTTTATAGATACTTAGGTATTCACTATTACTCTAGCACAAATATATCCTATTCCTGGCCTTAAATTGCTCTTTGTTTTGCATAAAATTGGTTTCCCAAGTTTCAAGGACAGAATTTCTTCCACTCAGGCACTCCAGTTTTTATATTCCAGTTTCTGTTCAGCCCTCCAGAAATAAGAACTGTTATTTTTCTCTGCAGTTCTGAGTTGGGTTTCTTATATGCCAGATGAAAATATTAGTGGAATTGAGAATGATGGTACTTTGAAAAAATGATAACGTGGAACTTTATCCAGTTTGAAGGAAGGAGGAGGAAAATTACATACTAATATATGCTATACTCTTTTTGTCACAGCTGATATAGAGTGATTAAGTCTAACAGGAGACGTTCGTGTTGAAGTCTAATTTATGACAAAATTCCATCTTTCATACAGAGATAGTAAAGTTCCTGTTAGGTGTCAAAATAGAAAAGTGTTATTCAAATGAAACCTATTTGAAGGAATTATTCCAAATATACTGGCCAGATTTTTAAATCACTTTTAATATTTAATTTTGTTAACTATTTTCTATTTTCATGTCCTTCATCTTATTTAATTGATAATAGATGTATGGAAAGGCAAGACACTATACCACACATGAAGGAGGACAGAATCTCAGTAGAGTCATTAAGCCTGACATTTATTCAATTCTTTAATAGAATAATTTTAAAACCAAAATTGTAAATATATGAGCAAGGTCACTATTTTAGCTAATACCTCAGGAAGTTCCATTAGCTGAAGATACACTATGATTAGTCTTACAGTGTGAAAAGGGATGTGATACTCAAAAAGTAGTATCAGAAATTCAGGAGAAGCATTTATCATTTAAAAATATATATTCGAAATTATTGTTTTATTTTGGTTTCATGCACTATTAAGTAACATTAAACGGGGGTCAAAACTTTATGTGCATCAGTTTAAGGTTTTTATATTAATCAAAAAAGCATGGGTAAAAATAATAATTAGGAACTGCCTTTGAGTAACTTCAAAATTATAGTAATCTATAATATATTTAAGTCATACACAAGATTCCTTGCAAAATCTGACCTCCCTAGAGAGATAAACCTAGAGAAAAGATGTATAAGGCAATGTGAGAACATCCAATAAGTTATATACATCTGAGAGAATTAGAGCCCAATGACTCATTTTTTTCTGTCTATAGTTTCTTCAGAGTACTATTTTACTTGAGCTTTTATTCACATATCAACAGAAATGGCAATTTGCCAGTGATCTCATTTGTTTCATGTAAATACAAATCAGGTAAACCAAACACTAGAGAAAATCCCTTGCTTTGTAAACTGTGTGCATGCACATAATGCCTTTCATTTTCATAAAAAGCAATAAACATTACTAATTAAACTCTGGTAGGGCATTATGGAATGGTGGCTCATATCTTTAAATATGGAGATTACTCACCTAGTAAAAGAGATGAACCTACATTTTATGATTATAGAATCAGATCATTTTACGAAAGGGTCCTTATACCAGACTTACACCTTTACATAGATTGATATTTTTAGATATATATTCTTAATTGAACTAAATATGCATCCCAGTGTCTTCATGTTAATTTTGCTTAGATTGCTGATTAAAATGCAGAGCAATCTTAGCTTTCTGTTCTTGCCTGTGTTTTTTGTCTGTTTTTAAAAGAGATAAGAAGACCAGTTGAGGGTAAAATATGTACATTGAAAAGGGAAGAACATATTTCAGAAAACGTATAAACATACGATTTATCAAATATTCAGTTGGAGTGGCAATGAGGTTCTACAGCAAAATTTGGGTGTGAGGAAATAGCACTACAATCCAAAATTCCTTCTGTAAAAGTGTATCTATAAAGATGGGAATAGACATCCATTTCTGGAAATATGGCTTCCTACATGGTCAAACCAAACTCCTTGCTGAAAATGAAAACACCAGAAAAAATAATAAAAATGTTAAAAGCCTCATAGATAGTGAAGAATTATCATATCAAATCTAAGTGAAGGTAGGACTCCAGAAAGAAATGACAACAGTAAAACCATGTTGTTAGGTAATTTGCCAATCCTGGATAATTGAAACTCTAGTTCACCTATGTCAGAGGGCTATGGGAAGAAGAAAAAAAAAATATAGGGCTTACTGATGCTGGGGAATCTCAGCAGGTCAACATTCTGCCCTGAATGTTGAATGAAACTGATGCCCAAAATGCATACATTTGGTGATAAACTAGAAATAATTTATTAAAATAAAACTATAATAAATATTTCTTTGCCACTTTCCAGAGAAAGAAAAAATGTTGTAATGTCACTTGGGAACAAATGTGATTCTTCATTCCAATGAATGAAAAGAAACAGAGCTAAACAAAAAACTACCTTAAGCCTTAAATTCATTTGAATTGAATTGTTCTAATAATGTTTTCATAAGCACTTTATAGAAACAAAGCTGACTAACTCTAGAGAAACATACTTTCATTCTTTTTGTAAATGATTCATCCATTTTGTAAATGACTATAAAAATTAATTTTCTAAAGAGTATGAGCAATCATTCTCAAAAAATTATGAAACAAAGGACTGTGAGCAAGAACCACCCAAAAAAATAAAGAGGAGAAATTAATATGCTAATATTCAGATCCAGAAGGACCAGGCACAGAATATAATGATGCTTACTGTATATTAAAAAAATTGGAAATTCTTTAAATAAATCTTACACAAAAATTATCAACAATCCATTTAAAGTCCTAAACACAATTTTTACTAAAAAATATAATAACTGAGATTTAACTCAATACATGGATTTAACAGTGGCTTTAAAATAGTTTAGGAAAAGAGTGAGTTATTTCTTAAAAATGAAAAAGAGATAAGAATGCAACCAGAGTGGAATGCAAACAGACTAAAAGATATGAAAAGTAGAATAATTTAAGAGATATCCTGTCTAGATAAGAGTACTCTGTGTGTGTGTGTGTGTGTGTGTGTGTGTGTGTTTGTGTGTGTATAAATAATTTGGTCATGAGACATATGTGAAATAGAGAATAGAGACATGAAGTATTTGAGAACATAACATGCAGGAATTTATTACAATGGATGAAACAAGCTCACTGATAAAAGGCTAAAATCAGAGACAAAAATAAATATACAAATATCATCATAATAAATACTACATAATAACAAGACAAAAAAGCAAAGCAGATGACATTTTATATTTAGAAAACCCCATCATCTCAGCCCAAAACTCCTCAAGCTGATAAGCAACTTCAGGAAAGTCTCAGGATACTAAATCAATGTGCAAAAATCACAAGCATTCCTATACACCAAGAATTGAAAAGCAGAGAGCCAAATCATGAGTGAACTCCCATTCACAATTGCTACAAAGAGAAAAAAAATACCTAGGAATACGACTTACAAGGGATGTGAAGGACCTCTTCAAGGAGAACTACAAAACACTGCTCAGGGAAATAAGAGAGGACACAAACAAATGGAGAAACATCCCATGCTCATGGGTAGAAAGAATCAATATCGTGAAAATGGCCATACCGCCCAAAGTAATTTATGAATTCAATGCTATTCCCATCAAGCTACCAGTGACTTTCTTTGCAGAATTAGAAAAAAAATACTTTAAATTTCATATGGAACCAAAAAAGAATCCGAATAGCCAAGAATATTCTAAGTGAAAAGAACAAAGCTGGAGGCATCTCATTACCTGACTTCGAACTATACTGCAAGGCTACAGTAACCAAAAGAGCATGGTACTGTTACCAAAACAGATATATAGTCCAAGAGAACAGAACAGAGACCTCAGAAATAACACCATACATCTACAATCATCTGATGTTTGACAACCCTGACAAAAACAAGCAATGGGGAAAGGATTGCCTATTTAATAAATGGTGCTGGGACAACTGGCTAGACGTATGCAGAAAACAGAAACTGGACCCCTTCCTTACACCTTATACAAAAATTAACTCAAGATGGATTAAAGACTTAAATATTAGACCTCAAACCATACCAAAAGGCCAAAACAATTAAGATTTCAAATAACAAAAGTGAATACTTTTAAAACCTGAGTGTAGGGAAAGATTTTTTAATTGTAACTGTAATTTTTTCAGGCTTTTTATTTTGTGTGTGTGTGTGTGTGTGTGTGTGTATGTGTGGTGTGATGTAGTTTTTTTGTTTCTCTTCCTTTTTTTTTATGATTTCAACTTTTATTTTAGGTTCAAGGGATACATGTGCAGATTTGTTGTTGAGTATATTGTGTGATGCTGAGGTTTGGTGTATGGTTGATCCTGTTATCCAAGTAGCTAGCATAGAACACAATACTTAGTTTTTCAACCCTTGCTTCCCTTCTTCTCCCCTGTCTAGTAGTCCCCAATGTACATTGTTGCCATCTTTATGTTCATGAATACCCTATGTTTAGTTCTCATAAGTGAGAACATGAGGTATTTGGTTTTCTGTTCCTGAAATAATTTACTTAGGATAATGGCCTTCGGCTGCGTCCATGTTGCTACAAAGGACAATGTGACTCTTTTCTATGGTTGTGTAGCATTCTATGGGGTATATGTACCACATTTCCTCATCCAATTCACCATTAATGAGCACTTGGTTTGATTCCATGTCTTTGATATTTTAAATAATGCTGTGATGAAAATTCAAGTACATGCATCATTTTGGTAGAACAATTTATTTTCTTTTGGATAGATAACGAGTAATGAGATTGTTGGGTCAAATGGTAGTGCTAAGTTCTTTGAGAAAGCTCCAAACTTCTTCCACAGTTGCTGAACTAATTTACATTTCCATCAATAGTGTATAAATGTTCCCTTTTTTCCAGACTCACCAGAATATGTTTTTTTTTTTTTTTAACTTTTTGGTAATAGCCATTCTGACTGGTGAGAGACGGTACCTCATTGTGATTTTGATGCATTTCTCTTATGATTAATGATGTTGAGAATTTTTTCATATGTTTGTTGGCTGTTTGTATGTATTATTTTGAGAAGCATCTGTCCATGTATTTTGTTCACTTATTACTGGGGTTATTTGGTTTTTGCTTGTCGAATTTCTTAAGTTCCTTACAGATTTGGATATTAAACCCTTGTCTAAGAGAAACCAAACTGACTGTGAGAGTAAGCATATACTGGCAGAGGTAGAAACACACATCAAATCAGCTATTATAAATACAAACAAAATTTATATTTACATGTCATATAAATTTAAATCTTAAAAGTAAACATATAAAATTAAAGATTACTATATAATTCAACGGTAGAATTGAGTTATCATAAAAATAATCGGCAAATTTGAAGACAGATGGACAGAGATTAAACAATCTGAGAAACAGAGGAAAAAAAGAAAAGTGAATGGAACCTTTGACAAATCCGGACACCATTAATTGCACCTAGATACATATAATGGGAGTACCCATTATATGGGAGCAAAGAGAAAAAAGGAAGATGAAAAATTATTTAAATAAATGATGAAAGGAAATTTCTCAAAATGGATGATATATACTAATATTCACATTAAAGAAGCTCAAGGGACACCAAGTAGGAGAAACATAAAATAATCCACAACCAAACACAGTACAAACAAAATTGAAACCCAAAGGCAAAGAGAAAATGTTCCAAGTAGGAAGAGAAAAATGACTCCTCACAGACAACAGAAATTTAATAAGATAATATACTAATTCATCACTTGAAACACTGGAGGCCAGAAGGAAGAAAATTGACATATTCAAAGTGCTAAAAGAAAATGAACAAACAAAAAAACCCATAACAACAACAACTGCCCACCAACGATGTTACAACCAGAAAAAAATATGTTTCAAAGGCCCTGGTGAAATATAAATATTCCCAGATAAATACAAACTGAGATAAAAAGCTTGTAGCAGACCTATCTTAAAATGGAAGTTTTTTTAGTATTAAAGCATGTTACTCAGGCTATACTTTGCTTACTACATCTAGTGAAACTATGCCTCAGGAATGATAGAGAAATGAAGATAATTCTTGACATTTTAAGTTAAGAAATCAGGAGCAGAAAAGCTTTTCATAAGCAGATATTCCCTTATTTTCCAATAACTGCATGAATTTCTCTAAACTGAAAGGAAATAATACAAGAGAGTTTCTTGAGGTATCTAGAAAGAAGAAGAAACAGTAAGCAAAGATAATCTCTGACTTATAGTGGTTTGCTTTACCATTTTTCAACTCTACAATGATGTGAATTGCATTCAGTAGAAACTACGTCAGTACAGTACTCAATAAATTACATGAGATATTCTATACCTTATTATAAAATAGTGTTTATGTCAGGTGATTTTTCCGACCTGTAGGCTAATGTAAATGCTTTAAGTACATTTAAGATAAGCTAGGCTGGGCCATGATGTTTGGTAGTTAAGGTGTATTAAATACATTTTGCCTTATGATATTTTCAATTTATGATAGGTTCTTCAGGAGGTAACTCCATTAGTTGAGAAGCATCTATATAGGCAAATACAATAGAATTTTTCTCACCTCTTGAGTTTCCTAAAGTATAGTTGATATATGAAGCAAAAATTATAACATTATCTGATATAGTTCCAAAGGTAGGAAGAGAAATTAACACAATTAAACTATAAATTAGTGAAAGTAGAGATAAAATGGGGATAATATTTATATTTCTCATTTTAACTGATAATATGCCAGTACCAATAGAAATGAAAAATTTATATTGCAATAAATCATGTATCTGTAATCTACTGCCAACAGCAATCACACAAAAATCTATACAAAAATATGCATTCAAAAATTATAGAGATAAATAAGAGTGACATTCTAAAAATATTCATGTATCCCAGTGTAAGGCAGGACAAAGAAAACATAGAAAGTAAAAACAGACAGCATATGGAAAACAGAAAAAAAATGGCCAACTTAACCCCTAACATATCAATAGGTATATTAAATGTAAATGATTTAAATACATCAATGAAAAGACAGATTGAAAGAGTGAATAAAACATGATCCAACTATATGCCGTCTATAAGAAACATACTCCAAATATAATGCTATAGGCAAAGTAAAAATAAAAGTATGGAAAAATATAAAGCATACAGATATCAACCATAAGAAGGAATAAGTACCTGTATTAATATAAACCAAAGTGAATGGCAAAGAAAATTACCGGTGAATGAGGACATTATATAATTACAGATGAGTCAATTCACAAAGAAGAGATGCCTGTGTATGTACCAAACAACAGAGCTGAAAACATGTGAATCAAAAAATGATAGACTTTAAATAATAAAAAGACAAATCCAAAATTATGGTTGGAGATGTCTATGTCCTTCTTTTAACTATTGTTAGAGCAGCCACATGTATTAACAGAGATATAATAGAAAAGTAAAAAAAAGTCACCTACATGAACTTCTAATGATTCATAGACTATTCAAACCCACAACAGCAGAATATACATACTATTCAAGGGCCTACAAAATATTAACTAGGATGGATTATATGCTGATTTATTAATTGAGCCTAAAAAAATTAAATGAATTAAGAGAACACAGACTATGTTCTTTGACTACAATAGAAGCAAAATAGAAATCACTAATAAAAAGTTAACAGAAAAACCTTCAAATACTTGCAAATCAAATATGTATATATTTAAATAATGCATAACTTAGGAAATCTCAAAAGAAATAATAAAATGAATTTAATTTATTTATTTAATGAATGGATGGGTAGGAAGGAGGGAGGAAGTGAGGGAGGGAAGGAGGGAAGAAGGATATCTGTTCTTATTTATAGTTGACATGGTTACTTACATAGGAAATTCCAAGGAATCTACAACAAAATCAAGAACCAAAATGGAAATTCAACAAAGGTGCAAGAAATAAGATAAATATAAATAATAAATTCAAATAGATGTGTATGTATATATACATATATGTCTCATTTTAGCTAGTAATATGACAGTACCAGTAGAAACAAAAACTTACATTATAATAAATATGTATCTATAATCTACTGACAACAGCAATCATACACACACTATATATATGTGTGTGTATATATGTGTGTGTATATATATATACACATGTATATATAATATATAATATATATAAATAATATATAAATAAGGATAGATGCAATGCTGATAGATTTAATGATTCAGCAGAGTGAAAACAAATTCCCCCCAAATACGTATTCCAATGTAATGCAGTTCATATAAAAATTTCTGTAAGGTATTTTGTTTACCTATAGACAACATTATCATAAACTTTATATAAAAAGGCAAATGATATAGAATATCTAAACCCATTTTGAAGAAGAATGAAATGGGAAGAATAAGTCTACCTGATTTTAAGATGTATCCTGTACCAATGGTAATCAAATCTTTGTGGTATTAATGAATAAATTGACATGATCTCCAGATCAGTGGAGTAAAATACAGAACCTCTCATAAAAGACTCATAAAAATTGCCTAATTAATTTTTGAAAAAGATGCAAAAACAATTCAATGAAGGAACATATCTTTTAAACAAATGGTGCTGGTGCAATTTTATATCCATATGCCAAAAAAAAAGGCTTTCTAAATTCACACCTTATATAAAAATTAACCTAAAATGGATCATGGATTTTAGCATAAAGTAAAAACCAAAAAGCCTTTTGAAAAGTGATAGACATCCTTGGAATGGCAAAGAGGTCTTAGCCTTGGCACAAAAAGCACAATGCAGAAGAGAAAATTTGGTAAATTGGATTTCATCAAAATTAAAAACATTTACTTTGTGCAAAACCCTACTTAAAAAAAAAAAACAGAACTGGAGCAAACTATTTAACTACTTGCAAAACATCTATGTGATAAGGGACTAGAATCCAAAATACATAATCAGCACACAAAATCAATTGTAAAAGAAAAAAAATCCATGTATTAAATGGATAGAAGATATGAATAGATACTTTACAGAAGAGAATACATAGATGACAAATAATCCCCTGAAAAGATATTCAGCATCATTAGTCATCAAGAAAGTGCTAAATAAAACCATAATAAGATGTTACTAAATACCTATCCTAATGACTTAAATGAAAAATACCAACAACATGAAATGCTAGTGAAGATGTGGAGGAACTCTATGATATTAAATTGTATCTCAATAAAGATGCTTAACAAAGAAAGGAAGGAAAGATTGATAATATTTAAATTACCTTTATTATAAAACTCTATAGGCAGTAAAAACACAAGTCAAAGAGTGGGATGTGATATTTTTAACATAGGAAGGAACAAAGGACTACTATGCATAATATATCAAATATACTAAGAATAGGTAAGAAAAAAACAGCACAAAATAAAAATAGGCAACATGCATTTGACACAACAAGAAATTATAATGGGATAAACAAAGAGTTACTTAACTTTAATAATAATGGATTTGCAAATTAAAACTGATCAAAATAAATTTTATTGTTAACATAATCTCAAAAATTGAAGTCTTACAAAATGCCTTTTGGAAAAAGGTAAAGCCATGAATGTTCTTACACATTATTGGTGGGCATGTAAAGCCATCTGTTGCACTTTTTGCAGGGAGGCAATAATCTCAAGATATTTAAGAGAATAGCTGTTTCCTATATATAGTAACCATTTCATACATCCATATGCTAAAATTTTATATGAGGATTAAAGGAGTAGATATTTGTAAAGCACATAAAACAGTGTCTGATGTTCATTAGGCATGTAACAAATATTAGCTCTTACTATTTATCCTTAAATGTGGTTGCGGTTGTGCCTGTTAAGGATCTCAGAGTGTATGGTATTGCCTTCCATCTCTGAATTCTGAAAATATTTTTTTAAAGTAAATATTGAAGCATAAAGAACATTTTTCTTAATGGTAGCACTCAGGTTAGAGGATGTGGTTTATGTCTTGTGCAAGTAGGCCCACTAGTAATGAAGTCCAGAAAGAAGACAAGCTGTTTTCCAAGTTACGGCACTGTCAAACTTGGGTAAGCATCTCTCTATACAGTGGCCCCAGTCTTTTTGGCAGCAAGGACAGGTTTTATGGAAGACACTGTTTCCATGGATGAGGGCGGGGCAGAGGGATGGTTAGGGGATGATTCAAGCACATTACATTTATCATTAGATTCTCATAAGGAGCACACAACCTAGATCCTTCACATGTGCAATTCACAACAGGATTTGCGCTCCTATGAGGGTCTGATGCCGCTGATCTGACAGGAGGCAGAGGTCAGGGGGTAATGCTCTTTCTCCAGCTGCTCACCTCCTACTGTGCAGCCCAGGTCCTAAAAGGCCATGGATTGGTACTGGTCCATGGTCTGGGGGTTGGGGACCCCTGCTCTATAAGACACTCAACAAGAAGCAGCAAAGGGAAATGCAACTTCTGCACAGTTCACTTGAAAGAGGGAAGTGGAGGAAGCTAAGCCAAAACTGCTGTTTTTTCCCAAATTTATTACTGATTTGAGTCAGACCCAAATAACTCAGTACAATCTAAGAGAGGCCAGGAGCAGGCTGAGGTTCCTATGAAACCAGAGCTTCTTCCTCTAAAAGTAATTGCTTTATTTTTTGTTTGGTGCTGTGTTGGTGTTGTTGAATGTAGGCATTTACCAGGTTTTCTGCTTGGTGATGGAATACTAGAAACTTCTGATAGCCCTTTTTGTTTTTAACTAAAGGGGAAAGGAATAAAATATCTGATTCTGTTAGTGCAGGACTCCTGGGGTTGACAAATGTTAACTTAATCAAACACACTGTAATCACAACATATTCATGACCTGATCTTAGTAGGAATACTTAGAGCAGAGTAGGTACTCAATCTATCAGCAGTAATTGACAGGTTCTATTTTGGGTTTTCATAATATCTGAAACTTTCTGTATTAGCTTGCTGTGTTAGCAGTTGCTATGTTAGACAGTAAGCACAGTGACTTCTCAGCACATTTCTTTTTGATTCAATAAGTGATTATTGGATAAATGATAGCAATCTAAACCTGAAAGTTTAAAAGAGAGTAATATAAGATGAAAAATAGGATAAGACAAAATTATGTCTACTAACACTTCTAGTTCAGATTTTTAGAATGCATATGTTTCATTGCTGTGGTTTATCAATTTCCCTATTTCATTGTCTCTTATACATATGAATGATTTACTGACAGGAACAAAAAATGTAATGATTCCGCACAGCACCTCATAAGGGCCTAAGTAAAACTGCGACACCATTAATAATTATAGTCAGTATCTCTTCACTTCCTTTTAGGTACCCCATCCCACAGTCCTCAAATTTCATGGAGTATTCAGAGATGGTCCCCATTTCCAGAAAAACGTTAATGTTCTACTCCAAAGTTGTCTGTTGCTTAAACTATCATCTTTGTGCCCTGCTCTCTGATAGGATGCCTCACCAACAGTGTAATTGTGTGGTAGTTTAAAATAATAGACTTTAAATAAATGCTCTATCTAGTCCAGGTAGTACTTGCCCTTTAAACAGGGTCTTCAAGCTTTTAAGCCAGAGAAAACTGGAATTTAAAGATACAAGCTGGAAGAAATAGGAGATAACTGGGTCAAGGGGCTTTCCTGATATTTCCTATATCACATCCTTGTCAGCAGCTTCTTACTTTATCTAAAATGAAAGTTGGATCTGAAGAGACTAAGTCCTTTTTGAAAACAATTTTAGGCAGGTAAGAGACAAATAAAAAAATTTGATTCATAAATCACCTATTACTAATTCACCTGTTAATAACTCTAAGAGTTTAATAAAAAGTGAAAATAATAAGATCAAAATATATACAAAATTCAGCTTCATAATATGTCATCCAAAAGAATGTCACATATATTCATTTGTATCAAGCTAAAAGCTTGCCTGCCTATTAAGACAACACACTATAAATAGCAGGTGAACGTGATTAGGGCAGAAAATCCTAAACAAATGAGATCAATAGTTATATATATTTAAGCTGCACTTCTTGCTTTAGATAAATTGTTCTTATCCTAATTAGTAAGATTATTGAGAAGAAACAGTTTATCACATGACTCAGTACAGCTTGAGAGGGTTAATACTTTCAGAATGAACAATTCAACTTGTGAAAAAGGTGACACTTTGAATATCAACTGGTAACCAATATTTTGATGAACCATATTCAGCCAAAATGTTCGCAACACATTTTGTTTGCCTCATTTTGCTAGGTACTTCATTTAGAGAAGAATGTGATACAACCTCTATCCTTAGAAAACTCACTTGCTAACAAGAAAACTTTCTTCTAAAACAGCTGTGGCTCCCCCATCACTGATGCCACAGCCACTCAAAACCTCTTTATACTTCTTTTCAATACTTTAAGTGTAGTTATGAAAAGCTATCTGTCTAAGTGTTGTGGGGACTGACCATCTTCAGGCAAGACTGTGTCATCCAGTTAGGGAAAAATCTAACCTGGAGAAGGACAGTATAAGGTATTTACCTGTTGTGTAACTGAAGGCATTAGTCTTAAGGTAGAGAGATTCTCACTAAAAGTAGTACGAAATTGACTCCAAATTGTAGTCTTAAGTTTTCCTTGCAGACTGGAGAGGAAACTATAGAATTACTGGACAGAAGAGTAGAAAGTAATGTGTCAATTACTGAGTGTGAGGTGGGAGAGAGATGTTTGGTATGCATTTCTTCTAAGCCTAAGCTTATGACAAGAATAGCAAACGCCCACATGCCTGGGCTATTTTTAACCAACTACAAATAATATGCCAAGGATATAATGTCTTTTTAAAAAAGAATGTTCTACTCCCTCCCAGATGGTTTTATAGAAATATAGATGTTATGCAATTATCACCATGGTAACCCCATATCTTGCCTCAAGAAATCAACATGTCACTTATTCCTAACATTCACTTGTCTTTTCTGAGAACAGAATTTTGTTCAATGTATCTCTCTTTTGTAGCACTACCAGAACTCTTTGATTCCTGTTTATATTACACACACACGCACACACAACATTAAACTCAAGGCCATAGTGAGGGTTTCATGATAAGAGGATACCATATAAACATACTTCATTCTCAAATAAAGGAATTGTCTATTCTGGAATCTCACTCAAATTTACAAAGAGCAGTCAAGAACTGATTTTCAGAACTGGTAAATCAATGTACAATTGTAATGTTCAACAAATATGAGTTTCAGGAACATAATTGCTTATATATTAAGGAAATACTATTACAAGTTCATTGTAGAAAGCAAATGTGGCACCATTTACAAGATTAGCTGACAGAAGCTGCACATGAAAACATCTGTTTATGTTCATGGGGATTTCTTGTTAGCTGAGCCCAGGGCTCATGTGATGTGCTTTGAGAAAGCTGTATTCCTTGGAATGTGTCTTCTGTAGATGCAATAGTTGTACCTTGTCTTTTCTCTGATTATATAGAGAAGTAAGTATTCAGGTAGGATTATTCAGCCTAGATCAGATGACTATGTCAAGCTTGCCTCTCACCAGTGGTTTCTCCACTCTGCATCCATTAGCCTATACTCATTCTTGCCCTTCTCTCACCATTCAGCGGTATATTAGTTAACTAATAATGCATAACAATTATCCTAAAACACAGTAGCTTGAAATAACTAATATTTATTATCTCACATTTTCTCTGAGTCAGGAATCTGGGCATGGCTTGGCTGGTGTCTCTGACTCAGGAAATTTCACAAGGCTGTGTGCTGTCATAAATGGCTACAGTCACCTCATGGCTCAGATGGGGGAAGTATTCACTTCCAAGCTCACTCAAGTAGCTACTGGTAGTCTTCAGGCCTTCACTGGATGTTGAGCAGAGACTCCAGTACTTTGCTATGTGGACTTTTTATATGGCTAGTGACAACATGGTGGTTTGGTTCCATAGAATCACAGGAGTGAGAGATAGAGAAGATAGAATATGAAGATAGAATAGAGAAAAGGATATAATAAATGGCATGATAACATTTTTGCCATGCTGTGTTTGTTAAAAATGAGGCACTAAGTCCAGCTTACACTCAAGGGGAGAGGGTTACACAGGCTGTGGACACTAGGAGGCAGAAATCATTGAAAGCCATTTTAAAGACTGCCTACCACAGATGGATTCTGAGATTGCAAATATAAATGGACATTCCATTTTAAATTTATCTCCCACAAAATAAGGTAAGAGTGAGGATTTAGTAAGGAAATTATAAAATGTATTCTGGTGCTTAAACATAAATGATTTAGAAGTTATCTGATGTTCATTTTAATCTTGCTATCGCTATCCTCAGTACAAGCAGTGAAGTTAACTAAGATTTTGTGCTTGCATATGGTGATTCTCATGCGCAGAGAAAATTATATCTCAGAGTCTGTTGTGTGGGTAATAGAAGGATTTAGAGTCAGAATTGTCTTAGATTCTAAAAATACTTGATCTCCCTATATAAAGTAAAATTTATTTCTTTATCTGAAAGTGTGAGCTTCTACAGAAAAGATGCATATAAAGCAGAAAGGGAGGAAGCAGAAATGTGCCTGCTTAGTCAAATGAATTCAGTCAACATAGTTAATCAATAGGGCTACTGATGCCACGGATTAATCATTTTTTTAATCCTTTCCCTAAAGCTTGTGAATTTCTCTTTTGGTCTCCATTCTAGCTTTCCCAAGGGATCATAGCCTAAATGGCCTTTAGGCTTTACTTCCGTGGTAAATATTAATTGGAGCCCTCAGAGAATATATAAGGAAGATTGAATTCATTTCTTAAAAGCTCATACTTCATCTGCAGCTCTCCTCTACTGTGCTAGAGAAATTATATATTAGCCAGAGATGGACTGCCTCTTTTCCAGAAACATAAAGAAGTCTAGAAGGTTTTATTTAGTGCAAATATCTAGGACATCTCCTCTGGCCTGGGTCTGTCCTGGTGACCTTTACATATTCATTTTTTAAGCTGCATTATGCCCTGAAAAGTAACTGTATCCTTGAAAATCTGAATCTGCATGTTGGAGACTTTTATTAGGACAGAAGTCCCAGTGAACAAGATTCAGCATCTGTAGGTATACCACTGATTCATTTTCTGCTAAGCAGCTCACTGTTCTAAGAATTAACAGGCTTCATTCTAAAACACACTGCCAATATGGGCCACTTCTTCCTCATTTTCCAAGTCCTATAACCAATGTTCATTTCCTTGATTCTATCCCACGTGTTATTCCTCCACTAAAACAATTCTGCTCTTTTCCACATAAATATGTTTTTACTCTGGAACAAAGTCAATGTCAGCTCTTTAAAGTATTGCATTTCTCTTGAGTCCAGGAGTTCAAGACCAGCTTGGGCAACATGGCAAAACCCCATCTCTACAAAAAATACAAAAATTAGCTGGGCATGGTGCTGTTCATCTGAAGTCCCAGCTACTTGGGAGGCTGAGGTAGAATAATTGCTTGAGCCCTGGAGGTTGCGGCTGCAGTGAGTTTTGATCTCATCACTGTACTCCAGCCTGGGCAACAGACCAAGATCTTGTCTCAAAAAAAAAACAAAAAAACAAAAATAATATTGCTTTTTTCAAAACATCACTGGTTGCAGTCAGGAAGGGAAGGGAGTCAAAACTGACCATTATTTTTAGTAATTTTTATAGCCTTATTTCAATAGCAATATAAACAAAATATAAAGGATTATTTTAATAAATTTTGCTATCATATGTACTAAAGTATCCCATCCTATCATAGTGACTGGACACTTCCATCAAGTGTCACATTTTTCAGGAAGGTATGCAAGATTTCAGGTTATTCTCCACCTAAGAGAGTCAGACCAATACCTGCTGGGCAACAGGAATCCTGGCTTGTCCTTGAATATAGCGCATGTAACAGTCCCTCTTGAACCTCTTCTAAGGTAAGTGACCTATAATCTTGCAAGTCTGGCTGACTCCCAAACAGGATAAAACACTGAATTTTGAGAAAGAAATAAATAGGAGGGAGACTTAGAAGGAACTGTAAGGGAGACTCTAGAGTTGTTGGCACTTGCTCAAAATTGGAGGCAGCCCAGGCATTTGCTTTTTGATTTATAGTTAAAATGAATCCATAAATATGCCTTATAGAGTAATTCTGTCAGAAATGTACGTGGCTATTAGTTAACCTTACAAGCACTCTTTCATGGCCCAGCTAAAAAAAAATCAATTATATTTGTCACTATAGCACTATCCTATTATAATACAGTTTATCAAAAAAGAAATTTGTTAATTCCAACCTAGGCAGAGTTATTCATGCCTTCCAATATTGTTATGTACCACTTGTCATAATGTATTATAAGCATTGCTTAACCCTATTTTTCTTATTATTGTACATTCTATAGAGCTGAAAAGGTAGCAAACATGCTTTGAGCATCACAGAAACCCCGGTTCCTAATTCAAAGTAGCCGTTCAATAAATATTTCTTAATATATGATCAGAGGGAAGAATAATATGATGTATAAAGGCTAGGGGATGTACCGTGTTTGCAGTCTGCTCCTTCAAGACTTCTACACATTAGAACAAGGCCACGAAAAAGACATTGCAAATAGAGACATTTATTTCCTGCCCTTTTTAGAATTGTATAAAATATTCTATATTTACAATAATATAATTTTATCCTGAACAAAGTCGTTAGTTTTATGAGAGTTAGAATATAGGCTGGATTCAGGTTCTAGATCTACCACTTAGTAAATGTTTGACCTTGGGTGAGATCAAACTTAACCACTTTAAGCCTCAATTTTCCTACCTCTAAAATGCAGATTATTACAGTAGCTAACTCACAAGGATGTCCTGAAAATTAATAAGGACACATTTTTTACAGCCATTAGCATAGTGCCTGTGACAGGTTAACCCTTCAATATATAACAGAGCAATAACAATAAGAACAACATCACTTGATTTATTTATTGGTTGAGATATTAGACCTGTTTGTAGGAACATTAAATGGAGTCCTTTATTTTCCTACAGCAAAGTTTTACGTATTATATTATGAGACTTTTAATTAATGGGATTACAGAAACCCTAGGAAAGCATCAAAATAAAAAAACCCTAATAAGCTCTCAAAATAAGTATAACATTTGAAAAACATAAGATCTAAAAGAGAAATATGAATTAAAATCAGTGTTGATGTCTCAGGCTTTATTATAACTCTAGGAATAGTTTTGAAATTATGGTATTTATATATATTCTATCTTAAAAGTAGTTAGAGGAATAAGATATACTGGTTTGAAATTGTGGTCTAAATCACATAAGATAATTTAACTAATCAATTAGTAATCATTGTTCAAAAGCTTGGAAAGCTGTTTATTAAATTTTATATATTTAACAATTGATCATTACACTGAAAAAAATTGTATCACCACTTCACTTTGTGGCCATATCTGTGTTTATGTTGCCTATTTCTACGAAGAAAACAGCAAAGCTTGAACGGGACATGAAATACGAAGTCAGTAGTGGAAAAGGACTCAAAAGTTATACTCACGTTATAACAATTCTGCTCTTGTAGTTTCTGACTGGCTTGAGACATTTTTAGTAAAAAGGATAGCCCCACATGGGATGAAGACGCCCTGCCCGTAAGTTTGACTGATTAGAAAATATGTTGTGTTCCTCTTTTCCTAATTGAATACCCTTTATTTCTTTCTCCTGCCTGATTGCCCTGGCCAGAACTTCGAACACTATGTTGAATAGGAGTGGTGAGAGAGGGCATCCCTGTCTTGTCCCTGTTTGCAGATGACATGATTGTATATTTAGAAAACCCCATCATCTCATCTCAAAATCTCCTTAAGCTGATAAGCAACTTCAGCAGTCTCAGGATACAAAATCAATGTGCAAAAACCAACAAGCATTCTTATACACCAGTAACAGACAGAGAGCAAAATCAGGAGTGAACTCCCATTCACAATTGCTTCAAAGAGAATAAAATACCTAGGAATCCAACTTAGAACGGATGTGAAGGAGGTCTTCAAGGAGAACTACAAACCACTGCTCAATAAAATAAAAGAGGACACAAACAAATGGAAGAACATTCCATGCTCATGGATAGGAAGAATCAATATTGTGAAAATGGCCATACCGCCCAAGGAAATTTGCAGATTCAATGCCATCCCCAACAAGCTACCAATGACTTTCTTCACAGAATTGGAAAAAACTACTTTAAAGTTCATATGGAACCAAAAAAGAGCACGCATTTCGAAGTCAATCCTAAGCCAGAAGAACAAAGCTGGAGGCATCACACTACCTGACTTCAAACTATACTACAAGGCTACAGTAACCAAAACAGCATGGTACTGGTACCGAAACAGAGATATAGACCAATGGAACAGAACAGAAGCCTCAGAAATAATACCACACATCTACAACCATCAGATCTTTGACAAACCTGACAAAAACAAGAAATGGGGAAAGGATTCCCTATTTAATAAATGGTGCTGGGAAAACTGGCCAGCCATATGTAGAAAGCTGAAACTGGATCCCTTCCTTACACCCTATACAAAAATTCAAGATGGATTAAAGACTTAAATGTTAGACTTAAAACCATAAGAACCCTAGAAGAAAACCTAGGCAATACCATTCAGGACATAGGCATGGGCAAGGACTTCATGTCTAAAACACCAAAAGCAATGGCAACAAAAGCCAAAATTGACAAATGGGATCTAATTAAGCTAAAGAGCTTCTGCACAGCAAAAGAAACTACCATCAGAGTGAACAGGCAACGTACAGAATGGGAGAAAATATTTGCAATCTACTCATCTGACAAAGGGCTAATATCCAGAATCTACAAAGAACTTAAACAAATGTACAAGAAAAAAACAACCCCATAAAAAAGTGGGCAAATGGTATGAACAGACACTTCTCAAAAGAAGACATTTATGCAGCCAACAGACACATGAAAAAATGCTCATCATCACTGGCCATCAGAGAAATGCAAATCAAAACCACAATGAGATACCATCTCACAGCAGTTAGAATGGCAATCATTAAAAAGTCAGGAAACAACAGGTCCTGGAGAAGATGTGGAGAAATAGGAAAACTTTTAAACTGTTGTTGGGTGGGATTGTATACTAGTTCAACCATTGTGGAAGTCAGTGTGGCGATTCCTCAGGGATCTAGAACTAGAAATACCATTTGACCCAGCCATCCCATTACTGGGTATATACCCAAAGGATTATAAATCATGCTGCTATAAAGACACATGCACACGTATGTTTATTGCAGCACTATTCACAATAGCAAAGACTTGGAACCAACCCAAATGTCCATCAATGATAGACTGGATTAAGAAAATGTGGCACATATACACCATGGAATACTATGCAGCCATAAAAAAGGATGAGTTCATGTCCTTTGCAGGGACATGGATGAAGCTGGAAACCATCATTCTCAGCAAACTATCGCAAGGACAAAAATTCAAACACCGCGTGTTCTCACTCATAGGTGGGAATTGAACAATGAGAGCATTTGGACACAGGAAAGGGAACATCACACACTGGGGCCTGTCATGGGTTGGGGGGAGCGGGGAGGGATAGCATTAGGAGATATACCTAATGTAAATGACGAGTTAATGGGTGCAGCAGGTGCAGCACACCAACATGGCACATGTATACATATGTAACAAACCTGCACATTGTGCATATGTACCCTAGAACTTTAAGTATAATAAAAAAAAGAAAATATGTTGTATATTATCTAAGTGCAATGTCTTATTTGTTATAGTAATACTTCTTCTAGACCAAATTGAAAATATTGTAATTAGCAGCATGACAAAGATAATAGCTGTTATTCCCTGAAGACCTACTAGGTTCCAGGCATACCTCTGCAAGAAGAGTTTATTATTTACATTATCTTGTGTGCCAAGTAAACTAACATTAAGCAGTTTATGTAATGTTCCCAAAGTCACCCAGGTAATAAGTGGCAAAGTGAGGATGTGACAATAGCTTTTTCTGCCTCCAAAGTCAATGCTCTCAATTGTCTAATCACTTAACCTATGAACACCACAAGGATGATATAACATTCCCAGGTACCCCAAATAAAGTTTCTCTCATTTGCATATGCTTAAGAATCTCTGTGGGTTTTGCTTCATATTTATGTATGTGAAGTTAATTGCTGAAAAATGTTTAGCTTACTTAATTGGGGTATACTCTTAAGATTAAATTTAACTCCACATTTGCAAAACTGATACCAGCTTTAAGAAACCCTATTCTTTAGCTGTACCAAATTACTACTCATTCTGCCAAATTATTATGCTTTGATCTTGTCTTAGCCCATCTGGTTTCTCCTACTGGAATCCTTTATCTACTTTGAAGATATGTCCATTTATTTTATTTTTTAAGGCTCAGGGCGAGCATTTCCTACTCTATAGAGTTTTCTAAGAACTCCTTATACTACTGCAAGTTGTATGGCCTTCCTTTGCATCCCAGTCCACCTTATACACACCTCAACTCTACTATTATCTCATACTTTATAATAATTTTTTACCTATTGATTTTTCCCCTTGCCACACTACACTGTAATCTCTTGAGGAGATAATTTCATCTCTCCTAAATCTTTCTGATGCTCAGCATAGTGTTTGACACAAAATATAGTCTCCATAACTATTACTGAATAAATCATCACAATTAATAAACATTCTCATATTTTGATTTCCTTCTGCTTTTACAAATGGTTTCTCTATAGTTAAAAAACTATGTATACTACATTTCAACATCCTGTGGCATTCTCTAATATATCACATAATGTTGTGACATTATCTAACACCTGACTTGAATCATTTCTAAGGTCTCCAGTCCTCCCATGGAAATCTACATTTTATATTTAAGATTCAGGGAAGCACAAGCTTTTATTAAAAGAAGCCCCTCAAAATAAGTACCACCTTATTTTCTTTTAATAACCAGTCACCAAGGAAAGTTATCATACTAGCTTAATTTTTCAAGCTTCCTGATAGTATTGATCCAAGCATGGCCAGATGGTTTCTTACAAATAAACTCCAGGTGGAATGATATTAGTTTATTTTTAATCATTCCTGTTCTAAATATACTTCTTTTTTCTTCCACAGAACAAAGAATTGATTCAATGCCAGACTGTCTGGAGCCAGTAGAACTGAAGAAAATGATGACTACTAGGGAATAGATTTTAATATGTGTAATATGGTTTAGTTGACCACAATTATTAACAATCAACATATCATAGAAACAATATATTGTTTTCCCTAATAATCAGGCCTGGGTCTACAGAGTTGTACTGAGAACAGGATTAGTGTAGCTGATGATATATGAAGAGTTATCTTTGTCACACAGCCTGAAAGATTATTAAATGTCTACTTGGTCAAGCACTTAAAGCATGCATTCTTTAGCTATCCTTTTCTCTCTTAATTTCTTTTATAAAATTCAGGAGATGTTCTGATCTCTGAGAATGTAAAACTTACAAGTGCAAATTTAAACCTCCAAATTGATGATAATCTTTTGGTGGATATAGGCACAGAAATAAACAAAAACAAAAATAAAAAAAAATTATGTGTCAACAAATGCTTATTTGTCTATAGGTAGATTTTGCCAGCCCAGAAATAGTTTCCTAGGTTTCAGCGAGGAGTTGGTATTTGAACAAAGAAGGTGATTACAATGTGATTCCTTTCTAATTTCTAAGAGTACAGTGTTCTATAATTGCTCAATCAATGAATGAGATAACCCAGCACATTATAGCATCAGATGAAAGAACTTTTCATTAGAGATAGAGGGGTCAGAAAAGAAAGATATTCCAGGAAAGGGAGCATCTCCTCTATGTCCTGCAGGAGGAGTTGGAGCCAACCAGGTAGGCATGGTAGAAAATAGCATTTCAAGCAAAATGGTGGCTCTTATGGGAAAGAAAAGTGGGGCCTCTGGGCAGCAGCCAGACTTCAGACTTGTCTGACACATCTCAGACATTATGTTTCCCATGTGCCACCTAACACCATATACTGCATTCTATAAGTCAATGCTTTTGCTTAATATTGCAGCTAGTGCCAAATATGGAAACACTAGAAAATAGGGAGCTAGCTCGACTTTTTATTATTTTGCTGACTTCTAGCAAAAGGCAATTTCCTAAGTTTCTCTATCTGCAAGATGGTGATAAATATGATAGCATTTCTTTCATATGCCCTTTTAAGGTGGCTAAAATTAAAACATAATTTATGTGAAAGGGCTAAGAAAATTACCATTAAATATTAATATTTTCTGGATTCAAAATTAAGATGAGGAATTAGAACTAAAAAAAGCATCAAATAAAAGGGAAGGTGATTAGTGAAGAAATTGTGTAAATGGTATCCTGAGAAACCATATACATTTAATATTAACAAGATATGTGTATATATACGTGTGTGTGTGTGTGTGTGGATATGTGTGGAGATTTTATATATATATATATATTTATATATATTTATACATATATTTATATACACGTACATATATATATATAGTTACCAATCTAAGATGAGTAATCTTTGTGTCTGAACCCTATATTAAAATGTAACCTCAATTTACTATAACAAAATTGGGCAAAGGAAGAAATTTACCTTAAAATTAAGATTTTTCTTAAGTTAATTTTGTTTTCCTTCTAGTTTTTTTCAGAGCTTTTCACTGTCACAGTAGCCTTTGTCAGACAGTAAGTTATTCACACATAATTTGTCATGTGTTGGAAAAAAAAACACAGATGCTTTTGAATGATGCATTCTTACTTTTATAGTCAATAATATTTATCTCAGAAACAGCAAAACTGGTAAAAACAAGAAAAAAAGTCCATTAATACTTGTACCAATAAAAGGGAGTATTAAGGTTGGATAATATAAACCACATAAGGAATAGTAGGTTATCAGAGGTTATCTTTTATGTTACAAAATGAATAAAAAATAAATAGAGAGAATAGAGAGTAAAAGAGACTCCATGTCTTCAAATAAATTTAAAGAGAGGAAAAGACTCACTAGAATTGTCCAAGAGTTCAGCAATTTCCAAAGATATGTTTATTTTCCATGGAAATTTGGCTTGTAAATAACAGATATAAGTGTTATTTTAAAATCAGGTACAGAGCTACAGAAAGTGTTTTTAAGAGACTGAAGAAACTAACGTAAATTCATATTTGTAAAATTTGAGGCCGGTGACCTGAAATGCTTCATTAAAGTAATCAAGATTCAAGAAAATGCTGTCTTGTGGTGAGGTCTGCTGAGACTACATTCCCAGCACCATGCTCCACGCACTTCCAATTCTCCTCTGTGTGTTCACTTAGGCTAGAGGGGCCCGTGGGGTGGGTGACTTGATTATTTTCCTAAGGTTGTATTTCTACCCCTCTTCACTGCAAGAAATATGAGAGACTTTGAAATAATTTCACAAACAATCTTAGATTATACAATCTCCCATAATATCTCCTTCTCCCTAAAATTTTATCTGTATAGAAAACTCTTTGGTGCAGAAGAAAATGTTATTAAAAATATGTAAGCATTAAAGCAGTCCTTCTTGAAATGTAATTGGAAATACAAAGATGAATGTTTGATGCCCAGCTCTGAGTTTTCTTTACCTTTTGTAAATAAAAGAATTAAATGTTTTTTATTTGCATCATAACAGCCAGTAATCCGTTTAGTGATCCGCTACTGTGTGCCAGGTGGTATGCTATGCTTTAAATGAATTACCTTATTTAATTTCTGATAAATCCTATGAAATAGGTACTATCATTATCCCAATTATACAAATGAAGAATGTGAGACTTGGAGAAATTAAGTAACTTGACCTTAGTGTCACTGCTAACCAATAATGGAGACTTTAGAACCCTGACACTCTTACTTCAAAGCCAATGTAAACCTATATGGTTTGCTGCCTTTATGAGATGTTGTTACTGCACTTTAGCTCCAGGCCACTGATCCAGTCCATCCTATTGGCTGAGGTTAGTAAAAGCTCTCTCAGGTAACAGGAGAACCACCTAGATGAAAAGAGTGCTGTACCAGTACATTGTTCTTTCTCTTAGGTCTGCAATGTGTTTACTTTTAAGTTCTTTTGTAGGACCAGCTCATTAAGTGCACTTCAAAATGAGCTGTCTTCAGATTATGAAAGACTTACACAGATCCTCTGAATTCTTTTCCTCCAAAAAATGCATAGACTATCTAAGATAATTATGCCTTTCTCTCACGTTCCACAATCCTTAAGTTATTTCCTGAAATAAGTTGATGGGACTTTTTTTTCTATGTCAATGACATTTTGAAGCTACAATGATCTCAGTTGCAGCTCTCAAGGAGTTCTGTGTGTTAACATAATCCTTTGAAGATAAAAAAAAAAAAAGAAACATGAGAACTTGTATTTGTTATGCAGTTCTTTCTTAAACTAACCTTCAAAACCACTCATTTGGCCTAATAAATTATACCTTTTAGTTTGAATCATTTTAACCCACTTATGCCTGAGGTTACAATTTTTTTGAATATTTGCTATCAGACCTTGGTGATGACCCTGAGCAGTGGGCTATAAATAACTCCCGCGTGCTAAGCATTCCAGTAATGGAACACTAGGCATAGTTTAGGAAATTCCACTTTTCAAAGCTCTATTATCTCTGCCTATTTTCTATTAATAGCTGCCATTTATTGAGTTCTTCCAAACTACAGAAAATGTTGCCAAAAATCGACCTACATTAACTCATCTAATCAACGGTATTACATGAGTGTGATGATCCCCATTTCACAGAAGAAGAATCTGTAGCAAATGAGACTCTTGTCTCACTTACGGTCAAACAGCTGAGACTTGGTTCTTTTGCTCATTATCCTCTCATTCTAAAGCACATGTTTCTGATTACTCTTATCACATTACCCCTCTACCTCTGTCCATTTGACTCCTTCAATATTTTTGTTAGGAAAATATAAGTGCATACTAATCATTTCTTTATAAAACATAGTAGCATTTGTTGCCTTTTTAAAATAATTTAACTTTCTAATATAATAGAGAACTGGCTCACTACCATTTATTTGGATAAAATTGGCTGAAAATTAATCTAGAGTTAAAATTATTGAATTTGAAGTGAAAAATATTGTGAAATACGCTCCCATTATCCCATTTCATTTTGCATGTTAGAGAGTTGACATAGCTTCAGATAAATTAAAGGGAAATCCTGGTGTCACACCCAGAGTACCCAAAGAGGGAAGGTGAAGGAAGAGCACCAGTGCCTCTGCATAATCACAATTACATTTGAAAATGTTACTTTTAAGTATGTTGACAAAACCCAGAGACTGTTAGTGGCTCTCTCCTTCCAGACCTGCAGAGGTCTACTGAGAATAGACCCTTTTTGTTAAGTAATGGAAAGGACAATTCACACTCTTTAAAACTATTAACAGACACCTAAGCCACTGACCCAAGTGCCTTGTCAAAGAGGACTAATTAATCCCACATTTGGAAAACATATTTAAAAAATTGAATGCCAACAATCTTGTGTATATATGATGTCTGATGTTACTAACAAGCAGATAGGGGTTAGTAAAATAATCATTGAAAATATAGTTAAATTTAAAATGATTTCTGACATTAAGGGCCACATTTCTCATAAAAAGTGCTCTTTTAATTGTTGAAGATCTCTTGGGGCTATTTTTATACGTCTAATCTTTTCTTAGGACTCTAGACCCATTTTTCCCACTATCTAAAACACAGATGTCACTGCTTCCTACAGACTTATATATAGACCTATATATATGAAGCTAACTATTAATTTTTCCTCAAACCAGCAACTTTTCATAATTTTTGTGTTCTTCGTATAGAATAATCATATTTCATAAATGTAAGCTATTTAAATTATTTTTAAGTCTTCCTTTTTGTCTATATTCTTTCTTTTTTTATGTACATGCACTCAGTATTCAGCAAATACCTGTTCATTTCTTAATATGTGCCCCACACTGTTGTATGGCTGTTTTGCGGCTACAGTAGGGAAAAAAACAAAACAAACAAGCCCCCCAATTCCTTATTGAACACATTGTAGTTGAGAAAGTGAGACAAATCAAGAAATAAAATATGTAGAATATCAGCTGGTGATAAAAACTATGGAGAAAAATAAATCAGTGTTTAGTCTGTTCTCGCGCTGCTGATAAAGACATACCCGAGACTTAATTTATAAAAGAAAGAAATTTAATTGACTCACAGTTCCACATGGCTGCGGAGGCCTCACAATCACGGTGGAAGGCAAATGAAGAACAAAGTCACATGTCGCATAACACAAGGCAAGAGAGCTTGGTAAGGGAGCTCCCTTTTATAAAACCATCAGATCTTGTGAGACTTATTCACCACCACAAGAATAGTATGGAGGAAACCACGCCCATGATTCAATTATCTCCACCTGGTCCCACCCTTGACACGTGGGGATTATTACAATTCAAGGTGAGATTTGGGCTGGGCAGGGACAGAGCGAAACCATAACAATCACGAAAAGGGGATAAGGTGGTAGAGGAAACTTTACAGACCAGGCTCCTTATAAGGACAATAAGTCATACTAGATTATGACTTCACCTTCAGGGCCTTATTTAACCAAAATTACTTCTTTAAAGGCCCTATTTCTAAATACAATCACATAAGCAGTTAGGGCTTCAACATGAAGGTTGTGGGGGCATAATTCATTTCATAAAATTTCTCACTGTAAGAATGGAGTATTATTCAACATTTTAGCCTGTATGTCTTGACATTGAATAAAAAGGAAGCAATTGGTTGACTTAGTTTATAGAATAGGTTCTAGCACTCTCCTTTTCAGAAGTTTCAGCAGTTAATTTTTACCTATAAAAACTAAATTATTTAACCAAGCCTCTAACCTATTTAGCCATGTTCCTGGCCTGCCTTGGCTCCTATTATACACTTTCAAATAAACTACATTCTAACCATATTGAATTGGTTTCTATTCCAACTCAATCAGATGTGATTTCAGCTTTGTATTTTGGTCAAGTTTTTCTCTGAGCCTGGGATATCACCCCTCTGACTTCCAGCATGGCCACTCTTGTTTATGATTCTGAGCCAATTTCAATGTTTTATTTTTTTTCCCATGGAGTTTTTCTTTGTATTTAATCCATTCACCTATTGTAATTAATCATTTCTTTTTCTGGGCTCCCATACAGTAGTGTTAGAGAATGTATTTCATCCCTTTGTAATTGTAATTAGTTGCATGTATAATTGTCTTCCTCAGAGAAACATTTTATTTATCAACAATTTTATTTTCTTTCTTGCTTCTCCTAGGTCTCAGGGAAAAGGAAATTCAGTTCATATTAAAACTGGAAAATTCCATACAATTTTTAAATTAAAAATTACAAAATAATTTTTAAATGCAGAAATTCCGGAAAAGAAGAAGGAGAAGAAGAAATAGCTTTGGTCTGTCATAAAGTGAAATGGGATCTTGATTGAATTTTTTTCTCTCGACACTCTGAAGGACTTGGAAGAGGGAAGGTACTATTGGAAAGGATTTTGAATAAAGTTTAATTCCTGACTCAAATATGTAGAGAGTTCTTCTTTCCTTTGCTTCTTTGCTGCTTATATTACATTTACCAAAGAAACAAAAAAACAGCAATCTCTTTCGAACCATTGAGAAGAGTCCAGGGCATGGTTTATGAGTAGAATCTGAACAAAAAACAAATATTCTTATAGGTAATAATTTTCAGATTTATAAGAAAAATTTATTTTATAAGAAAAATATATGGACTAAGTTAAGAAATTAAATATGTTTCTTTCAAATCTTCATCAGTATGCAGTACATTTTGTTATTCATTTATGTATAGTCTCTAATATTTTTTTTTTAAGTGATGCTAATTTTTATATATTTTAGTAGAGGTGGGTTTTCGCCATGTTGGCCAGGCTGGTCTCGAACTCCTGACCTCAAATGATCTGCCTGCCTCGGCCTCCCAAAGTGCTGGGATTACAGGCCTGAGCCATTGTGCCTGGCCAATTTGGCTTAGCTTTTTATTTTTTATTTTTTTCTTTTATTATTATTATTATTATTATTATACTTTAAGTTTTAGGGTACATGTGCACAATGTGCAGGTTAGTTACATATGTATACATGTGCCATGCTGGTGTGCTGCACCCATTAACTCGTCATTTAGCATTAGGTATATCACCTAATGCTATCCCTCCCCACTCCCCCCACCCCACAACAGGCCCCAGTGTGTGATGTTCCCCTTCCTGTGTCCATGTGTTCTCATTGTTCAATTCCCACCTATGAGTGAGAATATGCGGTGTTTGGTTTTTTGTTCTTGCGATAGTTTACTGAGAATGATGATTTCCAATTTCATCCATGTCCCCACAAAGGACATGAACTCATCATTTTTTATGGCTGCATAGTATTCCATGGTGTATATGTGCCACATTTTCTTAATCCAGTCTATCATTGTTGGACATTTGGGTTGGTTCCAAGTCTTTGCTATTGTGAATAGTGCTGCAATAAACATACATGTGCATGTGTCTTTATAGCAGCATGATTTATAGTCCTTTGGGTATATACCCAGTAATGGGATGGCTGGGTCAAATGGTATTTCTAGTTCTAGATCCCTGAGGAATCGCCACACTGACTTCCACAATGGTTGAACTAGTTTACAGTCCCACCAACAGTGTAAAAGTGTTCCTGTTTCTCCACATCCTCTCCAGCACCTGTTGTTTCCTGACTTTTTAATGATTGCCATTCTAACTGGTGTGAGATAGTATCTCATTGTGGTTTTGATTTGCATAATGAAGTCTAATCAAATAGAGAGAAATATCAAAGGCAAGTGAGTTCCAGAAAGTCTTTTCTTTTTATGTGAAGAGGACCATACAAGAACATATATATGTGTATATATATGTTATATATATAACATATATAGTTATATATGTTATATGTATTATGATATATATCATATATTATATAACATGATATATAACATATATGTTATATATGATATATATAACACTATATACAACATATATGATATATATTATCTATGATATATATCATAACATATATATCATATATAACATATATAAAACATGATATGTATAACATATGTTATATATATAAAACAAAAGGGATAAATTAAATAATTAGTAATTCAGTACTTACGACATTTAAGGCACACTGCTAGTTTCTTGGATGAAAATGGAATGTGTGATGATACCCCTAAATTATTCTAGTTGGATCTGTCCTCAAAGTTAATCCAGTTAAATGTTTTATGAAACTTCTGTTTTTGTGGTTGCCACTTTTTTTAGGTGAAAACAAAATTTAAGAAATACATCATGAATATTTCCTGAAACTTCTCTAGCTGAGCTTTAAAACTTCCTATCCCTGTCAAATACACCCTGTACTTTCTATTTCCTTTGGTATTTCTTCCATAGGCTCTGTTCTTCCTTTCCCCAACTCTCCATTCTTCCATCCTGCATATTTACTACACATCAGAATGAAAGCCAATCTGTACGTTTTTAATATGTTCTACCTGCTAGTACATTCTAAGTCTTTTGCACATATCATCAGCCAAATTATATCATCAATATGCCATATTATATATTGATGATGGCTTTGGTGGGTTAAAGTATAGGAGTATTGCTCAATTCATTGTCTACCCTTACAGCTCAAGTGGTTTATGTTTTCTTTAACACCAAGAATTTTAACTAGACTTATTTATTTCTCTTAAAATAAATGTGGCTGAAATAGTTTTGACACCAAATTACTCATCTTAAACTAAGACTTAGTTAATTCTAGGTCTTCCATTTTAACTGATGTTGTTTGTTCTAAGTAAGAATCAGAGAGTTCCAATAGGGACTGAGAGCATAATTATAAACAATCAAGGGTGAAGCCCACTGTCCTGGCAAGAGCTAGGCCATCTTATAAATTCACTGTTCATTAGATCCACTCCCCTTACCAAACAAGACTGATTCACATTTGTCCCTCCCTTTCAAACCTTCTGAGCTCCCTCACATCATGGGTATTGTGTAGTGCTGGTGGAGTGGGCATGGGGAGGCAGTTCTACGTCTGTTTCAACTGCTTAATCTTATCTAGGGAGTCAGGACATGAGAATGTTTCAGATTAAAACATTTTTTATGATCAAATTTTATTTATCAGTACAAAATTATTTCTAGGCTGTTATAGATTTTATATCAGTGATTGAAACTCACATGCCTAAAGAAGATAGGTACGTAACAAAAATGTATGAAGTAGAGCATACTCAAGGAAATAGGTGACTGGGACAAGGGCAAAGTGGAGGGTGTGTGTCTCAAATAGGCACTTAAATTCAAATTTGTCTCTAGTTTTCAATTGCTGTGTAGGTAAAAATGGAGACTAACAGTCATCCCAAATTTTGAATGAGAGTTCATATTTATTATTCTGACCATGAGGCAACATGAAATATTTTAAATTATTTACTCTAGGATAGCTTTAAATTTACAGAAACATTGTAAGAATAGCACGGAGAGTACCCGTATATCTTAAACCCAGTTGACATCATTACTAACATCATACTTTACCATGGCACATCTGTCAAAACTGATAAACCAACATTGATAGTTATTCACTAAAATCAATATATTATTCAGATTTCCTTCGTTGTTACCTAATATTTTTTGTTATTCCAGCATTCTATTAGGATTTCATATTATATTTGTCTTTTCTCCTTAGACTGCTTTAGACTAAGATGTTTTCTCTGTTTTTTTTGTTTTTTTGAGGAATACAGATAAAATATTTTGTAGAATATACTTCAGATTCATTTGTCACATTTTTCTTATTGTTAGACTGGCTTTATGGTTTCTTTCGGGGAAGAACGCAGCCAGCTTCCAAAATGGTGAGAAAATAAAATTTCTGTTGTGTAAGCCAATCTCAGTTATTTTGTTATGATACCCGAGCTGATTAAAACATTGTTTTCTTTTAGATAAATTAAGAACGTTTAAAAGATAAAATGCTTTATTTTACCTTCATTTATTTTCTTTCTGATGCTCTTTTTTGTGTATATGCAAGTTTTTAATATCTTCTTTTCATTCATAAATAACTTACTTTAATATTTCTTGTACAGAAGATCTGCAGGCAATGAAGCCCCTGGGTTCTTGTTCATCTGAGAGTTCTCTATTTCTTCTTCACTTTTGAAGGATAATTTCGCTGGATCTGAAATTTGAGTTTGGTGTTTTTTTGTCTTTCATACATTAAATAGTTTATTTCCCTATTTTCCTGCTGTTTGTTTTCTGATGAGAGTAATAGTTAATCTTGTTACTCTATACTTAAACTATTTTTTTCTTCTTCTGGCTGATTTCAATATTTGTTGCCTTTGTTTACTTCAGTTTGAATATAATTTGCTTAGGTGTTTTCTTGTGGAAGGAGAGGGTAGCGGAATGGTAAGTAGATGAATCAGTTTGATATAATCTGAATTTTCTGAATCTATGATTTGGTATTTTCAATAATTGGAGGAAGCTTTCAGTCATTACTACTTTAAATATTTCTTCTGCTTCATTCTCTCTTTCTTCTCTTTCTGGTATTCCGGTTACCTGTATCACACCTTTTATCCTGCAGTTCTTACATATTCTGATCTATTTTTTCTTGTCTTTTTTTGTTTCACTCTTTTTAATCTGTGCTTTTTAATTTGCAAAATTTCTGTTGGCCTATATTTAAGTTCATTGAGTAATTCCCCAGATGTGTGGAATCTAATGATAATCCTGTTGAATGTATTCTTCATTTCTGTGATTATTTTTGTAATTTACAACATTTCCTTTTTTTTTCCATCATTCCTCTTTTTCTGATTACAGTGTCCATCTGGTCTTGTACGTTGTATGTGTGTGTGTTTTCCTATTAAAAGTTGTTTGATCTTAACCACAATTATTTTAAATATCCTATCTATCTGATAATTTCAATATTTTTGTTATATCTGAGACTGATTCTGATACTGGCTTTGTCTCTTTAGACTGTGTTTTTTTCTCGTCTTTTGGTATGGATAATTTTTTTGTTGAAAGCCAAGCATGCTACAGAAGTGAAGTAAATAGGCCTTCAATGTGAGGATTTATGTTAATGTGGCTAGTTGAGCTCTGTTTAATGTCTCACAGAAGTACCCGAGGCTTCAAACTCCTCTCCTGTTCTTGCGTTTGTACTCCTTGACTTTGAGTTTCCCTTTGTAATGATGCTTAAAGAAGATCTGAGACTTGCAGCTCTTTCAGCCATAATTCATTATTATTACTATTATTATTATATTTGAAGCTTTCTGTTGTCATGGAAGCATGCGAATAAGAGGCATATTTCTATAATCTTCTAATGAAGTGTTAGTCTCAGCGGACCAATGTTTCAGGGATATGGCCATCAAAAGTATTCTAGTCTATCTTCCAAGGTCATTTTTTGTTTGCTTGTTTTGCTTGCTTTTCCCTACTGTCTCTTCTGGTTGCAGTACACTAATCTACTGTCTTGAAGCCTTTTCCCCTGTTGTCTACCCTCGCCTTTACCCTGTTAGGTGAGGTGGAAGTTAGGAGAGGGCTGGAGTGTGAAGGAATCTCCTTCCCCTAGCTTGAATCAAGTTTCAGCATATGCTCTGGAAAATTCCTTCCTCAGGATGCTAGGTCTTTGTTAAGAGAAGACACTGGATGGGTTTCATGAGAGCATTTTTTTTCCCTATTCCTGCCAGGGCCAGGAGGTGATCTTTCTCAGTTCCTCACAGTGGGAACCTCGAGGGTTTCCTGGAGTGAAAGCCTGTGAAAATATGTGGTTTACCTTATGACTAAGATCCCCAGGTGTTTCTCATTCTCATGATAGTCTGCGCTCAACCTTCAGCACATCATCAAAACTAGCACTTAGCTGCCTCTAACCATCTAAGAGATTTAACAGCTTTTGTTCCAGGTGAGCAAGCCTCAGCTGTCTCTCTCTGTAAGTGCTTCTTTCTCCAGATTTTGGGAGATGCAGTTTGCCTTGTAACTGCAGTTCCTGGGTAATTTCAAGGTAAGATTTTTGCTCAGGTTTTTCTTGTTGTAAGGGTGGTAGTGATGGACAGTTCTTTAGATGTTGGACCTGAAACTGGAAACCCCAGGCTACCAATTTTTGATTGAATTGTTTTTGCCATCTGAACCCCGAGCAGTGCTATCACCTGTGTTTCTTCTATCAACTAGCAAAGGGATAAGAACACTGGAAAAACCTATTGCTCTTATGACAATAACAAACATACACAAAATGCAGATTGTCTAACTTCAGCTGTCCTATTGCCGATGTTGAGAAAACAGAACTCAAAAAAAATCCATATTTTATTAATGTAATGAGTCTCAAAACTCAATTGCACTACAATTGGAACCTATGGGAAAAAAATAAAAATAGTACTTTCAGTCTGTTATGAACCTATTCTTACTTAAAATGCCACTTTCTATTTAATTAGAGAATTAAGAAATTTGGGGCCAGGCACCGTGGCTCACGCCTGTATCCCAACACTTTGGGAGGCCAAGGTGGGCAGATCATCTGAAGTCAGGAGTTCGAGACCAGCCTTGGCAACATGGTGAAACCCTGTCTCTACTAAAAATATGTAAATTAGCTGGGCGTGGTGGTGCATGCCTGTAATCCCAGCTACTAAGGAGGCTGAGACATGAGAATCAATTGAACCCAGGAGGCAGAGGTTGCAGTGAGCCAAGATCACACCACTGCAGTCCAGCCTGGACAGAGCAAGACTCTGTCTCAAAAAAAAAAAAAAAAGAAAGAAAAGAAAATTAAGAAATTTCATTTAATCCCATTTGATAAACTTAGCCTGCTAAGTAGTTTAAATAATCCCTCTAGGTAATATTATTATATGATTAAAATTTATCAGTTCTTTCTCTAGGACCCTGATGCTTTCATTAAGATGACATGTAGGCCAGGTGCAGTGGCTCACTCCTATAATCCCAGCACTTTGGGAGGCCAAGGCAAGCAAATCACCTAAGGTCAGGAGTTCAACACCAGCCTGACCAACGCGGTGAAACCCCGTCCCTCTAATCCCAACTACTCAGGAGGCTGAGGCAGGAGAAGCACTTGAATCCACTTGAATCTGGGAGGTGGAGGTTGCAGTGAACCAAGATCATGCCACTGCACTCCAGCCTGGGTGACAGGGCAAGACTCTGTCTCAAAAAAAAAAAAAAAAAAAAAGACATCTAGCTTTTTATGAAAGAGTTGTGGTTTATGAAATTTTATGGCTTATTTTATAGTTGAGAGGGACAAGATCTTCAGATTCTTCTGATATCCTTTTACTGTATTCTGTATTTTTCTGGTCACTGAGAGCATTAATGATCTCCATGCTTGAAATTTGGGGTTTACATCCCATAGTCTTTCTAATGTTGTTTCATCAGAGAATGGTGATACTTCATTTGAAGGTCTTACTTTAGTTCCTGCTGGCTGCAAATCCTTGCATAGCTTCTTTACTTTATCAAACCTGTGGGCCCACTGGTCTCTGGGGTAGTGGTGCCTCTTCCCACCAGGGCAGAATCCATGGAATCTTCTTGGCTTTCATGTCAGTTTTCATGTCACTGGGAACTGAAAAAAGCTCTGAAATGCCAAATTTAGATGGCTGTATCCCAGTTTGGTGTTATAGCTGCTAGAGAAATAATTTGTTTCCAGAATCGTAATCTAGTGACAGCGGCTAAAAATACTTCTGCAATAGTACTGCTGTCGTTTATCCTTAGCATCTTCATATTCCCTGAGTCTAAGCCAGTATAAGGAAACAAAATAGAGATGCATTTAACTCTCTAGATCTCTGTCTTCCTTTCCATAATCTATTTGGCCAGAAAGGTTGATTCATTTCTATATAATTACTTTTTCTTCCATTCTGGCTAATGCAATAATCTGAGAACTTCAATATTTGATATTTAAAATGCAATTTGGGAATTTTGAAAAATCTTATTTTGTATAAAACTTGGAGAATTGTTTTATTGAATTATAATTTTAAATACAAGTCACAAATATGTTTTTGTTTGTTTTATTTGTATTCCTTATTTTTGCATTTCTAAACTCTCCTTAGTTAGATGTAAGCCAAGACCTGAGAAGGATAAAGAATGTGTATTACAAAATTTAAAGGAGAACATTGCATTTTTTACTTTCAAATGATTACCCTCATTAAACCAGCAAGTCTCTGGGTTAGGATTGCTCATGTTCACTCAAGGAATAAGGAAGATGGCAAAATCGGAACCTAGGGCTGAGCATAGATCATGGGCTATTTTCTCCTTGCTCCTTAAGATTTTATAATCTTTGTGGGGTTCTCATCTGCAAATTCAGGAAAGAGAAAATTCCTATGTGCCTTCATAGCACGCATTTCACATTCATATGGCAAACTTTATTAATTGCATACTGTGTGCCAAGCACAGCGCTAGTCACTGGGACTACAACTGTGAGAAGGGCAGAAGAGGTTTGAGAACGTAGGGAGCTAATAATCTTCCAGGAGATGCAGGGACATTGACACAAAATTAAATCTGTTTTTATAAATGTTATCGTAAAGAGAGGACAGTTTTTTCTTTATATTTGATTTTGCAACAATCTTTCAGCATTTATTTATTTTTTCTATCTTATACCTCTGGTATTTTGGGGATTGTCTTATTTATATACAAGTCTTTTGTCCCTTAAGGGCCAAGAATAAGACCTTTTCCTAAATATACAGCCAGCAGAATTGAAATAACATTTTGTTGACAGTCAAAAAAACTAAAATTTGACTCTCAGCTCAGTTGCTTTAATAGTTGAATGACCTGAGGCCCATCCTTTGACCTCTCTAGACTTAGTTATACTCGTCTATAAATTGAAGTGATAATAACCACTTACAGAGTTATTATGGTAAATGAGTTAATATATGTGACTAACATTTTTAAGTGTACACAGATCTATAGAGAAATAGGCATTAAAAATTTACTTTGCAAGTATTTAACATCTGGTATTCAATTACACACTGCTAAGCATTGAAAACAGATTGTGTCTAAACATTGAAAGCCTTTTTTACATAAAAATATTAACGATAAATGCAGTTTATCTAGCAAATTTCCTATTAATGGAAGCAAACTTAGATTCGACACAAAATAAAGATTTTGCTATTCCAGTCATGACTTCATATCCACAAAAGAAGTCCTTAAAACATCACATCCTTCAGGCAATTCAACACTCAACTCACTTTTTGGATGTCATAAATTTCATCTAGGAAAATTTATAAGATGGCTAGTCTCCAAGATATTGGAATTAAATAAACTGTTGAGACTTACAGAAAGAAAACAAGGTTTTAAGGACATACAAAGGTTTTGATAACATATAAAACATTTTTCAAAGACAGTGGTGATGGTAAAGGAAAACTATAAATACGATAAGGCCAGAAGCAAGACGTAATAGTGAAACAGCTTATACAGTTTTAGAAGATTGCAACATCAGATAATATGTCAAAAATGCACCACCACACATTTATTTAAATGAACTAAGGGGGATGTTTGTATTAATAGCTACCCTGCCAAGGAATGCAGAAAGCCAAAATCAAACAATATAACTCAGGCTTATCCACAAAGAGCCTAAAATGGGTCAGGTGAATATCCAGAAACTTACTTAGAAATTCACCGTGGAATGTGTTGGTCACTTCAAATTTCTTAATGAAACTCAAGTAAAGTAATTTGCAAGTACATTTGAATGAGTAAATAAAGCAAAGTCATATACATATATCACTCTTACTAGCAGTCCTGGTAACTCCCACCTGTTTGTTATTGGAGTAGGGGTGGCAATAAGCTGCTGTTTTATAAATTTAAGGAGTCTCAGGGGTCATATCACCAGTTCCAAAAAATAAACGAATTATGAGATTAACAGTAAAATGTCCATTTTAATGAAAATCCTATGCTAATTCAAATGAGGACCCTACTGTTGAAGAAACATTTGCTCTTCACACATAAACATGAAATATACCCTAACTCATTTATGAGCTGCAGTCTTGAATCCAGGCACAATATATCACTATGACACCATTGTTGTGCAATTGCAAGAAGGCTAGCCAGGGATCCTGCTTAGTCTCTGACTGCAACAGTTACCCACCCAAGGATTGCACTTAGTTTCTGTAGTCTTCATTAAGCAATCAAGCTAACCTACCACATACTCCCTAATAAAAATATGAGCCAATGCCAATCATATGGCTATCTAGTCAGAAATAGCGAAACAATTCTTAAATCTCTGTATTCCTGGATGAATCTTTTGAGTTAAAACTTGAGAAAAGTAAAAATAACTGTGTTAAGTTAGAACACCAATTATGTAAGTATGAGGTGAGGAGGTCAGAGTTAAGGACAAAAAAAAAAAAATGGAAAGGAAATCTAGGGTATTTAGTTGATATAAGTTCCTAATCAATCAACCATATGATATGGCTCCTCCAACAAAGAAACTAGTCAGTTGGATAAATGCCTGAAACATCAAATTATAAAATATTTTCATCTCATTTTTCAGAAGAGGAAATAAGGGCATGAAATTTAAGTAACTTGTACTGAATCGCAAATCTACTGCTATGGCTAGAAATGGAGCCGGATCTGACTCCAAAGGCTATATATATATATTTTTTTTGTGTGTGTGAAATAACACTGATGAGGAAATTCAAAACCATAATACATGAGAAATAAAGAATTACTAGAACTGTAGATTTTTTTTTCCTTGGCATTGGAAAGCATGAAGAGTGGTGAAAATGAGAAAAAGTCTTGATTGTGTACTTCAGATATCTGATGATTTATTAATGACAAAAAGATAATAGAGAAACAAATAAGTAAAATTTAAGGAAAGCAAGATATTTATTGAATTAGAAAAATCTGAAGAAATGAATGGACTACTTACCTGGTAATGAATTTCCCTACAAGAAATGTGTTGAAGTAGAAGACTAAATGTTTACCAAAAGAATTATTACAGAGAGAATTTAAGTATTGTGAAATGGCCATGTCAGATGATATTAAACTCTGGCCTCAAAATTTTTGATTCTATGATACTATGAAAACACACATAAAATATAGGAAAGTATCCAGGCTAGCCTGTCAGGGCTTTGTCCTGGCTCCTTCGCTTGATCTAAGTGAACCTAAGAATGGCTACCAAGAAGTAGGGAAACCAGGGAAAGGACAGAATGTTAGTTGCCTTCGACAGAGCAGCCTCAGTTTTAGAATGAGAGAACGCCATGGTGCATGATGCTTTGGTTCCCAAGAGACACTCAGTGATATGATTCAGGCAAGTGCATCATGTTACTCGCCTTGATACCTACCTAATGACCTGCTTCCCCAGAGGACCAAATAACAGCTTATCATTGGCCTAATAATACTCTCCTCTGAGGTCTCCTACCTCTGCTTCCCTCCATTACTGATTGGCTGCATGACCCTGATCAAGTTACAGCTGTCTCCTGGGTGCACTGAGCAGCACTAGCAGTCTTTCAATCTAATTTACTGTAGAAATAAAAAGTAACTCAGAAATGATCTATAGAAGTAGCGACAATGCACAGGAGACTTAACAAACTCCAGAGCATGGTGCTTGCAGCAGAAGAGATATCCAGGTCAGTAATTTAACAACAAACTCCAAAAATAAAAATGCAAATGTTCATCTTATCACTTATATATTAGGTAATTCAGGTGTGCATTATAGAGTGCTAAGTTGTCATAAGGACTCATGTGAGGTCTTTTCATGGTCTTTGATGATGGGATCATCTCATGTACACAAAGTACCACTAACGAGGTCCTGGATATTTGATGAGGAATATTTTCCAGAGTGGAAGAAGGTAGATCTGTAACAGTTCTATACTGGGCACTATCATAGGCTATTTACATGTATTATTACCAAAAATCTTCACAATGACTGTAGTAGTAGGTACAATTGTCCCAATTATATACATGGGGAAAATGCCATCAGTGATAGATGATTGTCTGTTCCAGTTCAAATCTTATTCATTATGCTATTTCAGGCATGTGATTTAACATTATTGATATGCAGTTTTTAATATATAATATGTGTATAGTAATAATGTATACATTTTATTACATCTGTATTCTAATACACAAAATGTGTAAAATAGTTAGCATATTATTATGGTAATAATAACAAAGAATTATAATGCAATAAAGCACCATGATAACATAACCTAAACATGCTTTGCAATAGCCCATCATTTCTTTCACCCAAACCTGGTTCTCAAATGGAGGCAGGCAAAAGTTTTTATACCTGGTGAAAATGTGATTGGGATAAAGAAATTAGAAGGGAGGGAATAGGTAAAAAAAAAAAAAAAAGAAGGGAAACAAGGAAGTAAAATGTGGGTCCTCATGTCACCAGTAATCTACTAATCTCTTGACCTAGTGTCTTTCAATAGAGTGAGAGAAACAGGTGTCAATTAACTGGGAAGTTTTGGAAGTCCCAAACATTTAGAAAACTCCAAGTCCTTCCCATTCATTTTTAAGGTACAGCTAAAAAATATCAGCAGGTACACTAAACAGCAGTTGGAACTGGGAAATATTTGGGTCACAAAGGCCACACTGGAATTTCTAATTGCCAGCTGTGCAGATTAACTACAGTTATTTCATTAACCTTCTAATAACCAATCCTTAATTTTACTTGAATGAGATTTTTTTGGGACAAAATCTATCAAATCATGACAGTGTTTTCCTTTAATAATAACCAGTATTATATACTGAGATTTTTCTCTATTCCTATCACTGCCTTAATCACTATTTGTTACATATTAATAACATGAATTCTCACTTAATAACCCTAATCTTGTGACATTGGTACCATTATTATCCCTCATTCGCACATGAGGGAATTGAGGCTTAGAGAGGCTAAGCCAAAACTAGTCAACAAGGTTACACATTGTTTTGGTTATCAACTGAAGTGTGACAACCACTCAGAAATTTAATAGCTTGAAAACATCCATCATTCTATTTGCTCTATATTCTACCAGTCAGAGATTTGCAGGATCTCTGGATTCTACCACAGATTGGACTGGAACGAGTAGAGGCACCATGGGGCAGCACTACAGGGCTGGACATGAGGGTGGGGGCATCACAAGGTCTAGGGTGTCATTTGGAGGTGGCTTCAATGGCTGGGGCTGGATAGGACAGCTGGGTGAGCCATATGTCTGTTATTTATTTTGTTTATTGTAATTGTTTATTGTCTAGGTCCCTTGCTATTTATCCACAATTCTGGCATGAGTCCTGCATGGTGATCTCATGCTTGCAAACGAGTTTTCCAAAAGACAAGTCAATTAAAAAAGTGTTTATTAAGTCTCTGCTTGCATCACTTTTGTTAACATCTCACTGGCCACAACGAGTCACATGAAAAAGTACTGTGACTGTGGGAGAGGATTAAACAATGTCTAGAAGACAAGAGATACAATACTGGCACTTTAGAGAGCTTTGAGACCCACCAGAAAGTACATTTGGACTAGGCTTACGTTTGCATGTGTGTGTGGAGGGGAGAAGGTTTGTCATTGGAGACTAGAGCGGGAGAAAAATAGAACTACATAATTTCAGAGAGACACCATCTATCTAGTTCAGCCTTTCATTTTACATGTAAATAAATTGGAGCCACAATAGAAAAGTGCCAGGCTAGGCACATAAATCTAACTATTGTCAAAGACTAGATTCAGAATGCAGATGACACCAAAATCCAAAGGAGAAGCTCTAATGGAGAGTTTGCAGCATGCGGTAATAGTGAAGAATGTGAGTAGAATGCATGGGCTGAACACAGCTGAAGTGGAGATTAAAAGAGCCAATCAGTGGACAGTCTGAGAGTCCAATCCTGTGAAGTTGCTTTTAAGTAACCCACTTGAGAATTAATTTGCATTGTCCCTTGCCTGCACTGGTCAAGCTGAAACACCATATCCCTTTCACACATCACTGCCTAATATCTTTCTACTTATTATTTCCTTGGAGTACTTGAACTCTGCTGTTCGTCTACATATCTACATCAGAATATCTATGTTGTGGTGTAAGCTCCTAAAAAGCAAAAGGTAAATTATCTTAAATACAGCGTAAAGTAAAATTAAGTATGTAATAAAGGCTTTGGGATTATGAAAATGAGGAAATATGTATGGTGCCTTAAATTCATCTAGGGAATCATATCTACAGCATCTCCTGTGTAGCATATTTTGTGCTATTTAATACAGAGTTTACATTTAATCAACATAAAACTATAAAGTAAGTATGTTTTGAATCCTTCGTTTTTTCCACAAATGAGGAAACTAAAGGTGAAGATGGCTAAATGGCTTTCCCACTTGTCATACAGCTAGTAAATGAAACATCATAGATTTAAAATTTGACCATTATCCTTGTGCTACTTTTTCTTTAGTGCAACTAAACCATGGTCCCAAGTAATATAGGATAGGATATGCAAAACCCAGCAAGGTGTGAATGCAGTGTCAGACTTTTACACTTAACATAATTTTGTAAAAATTACGTAACCTCTATGAGTTTGAGTATTTTCATTTGAGAAATGAGAGTTGGACAAGATTATTTCTTACATGCACTTCACCTCCAGAATGTTTATAGCATTCACGGAAAATTGCCAAGGCAATGATATTCAATGCAGCGCCATCTGGTGTTTACCGATGAGATTAGCTGACAGTTCTTGTTAAATGAAAAGAAAAAGAAAAAGAAAAAGAAAAAACAGCAAAATAACTCCAAAATATATAAGTGATAAATATGCACTATGTACCCAAGATACATCCCACTGCAGATTTTATTCATTTTCTTGTATAATGTTTATAAAGTATGTGTTAAAATATCAAAAGCATTACACTAACTGGATTCTTGTACAATGTCACATACAGAGATAGACACTGCCTTCACATATAAATGGAGTAGATTATACCTGCACATTTCACATTCACAATAAAATAAGTAATAGGTCCCATCATTGCATAGAAACACCTAATTTCTATGCAATTAGGGTTAAATACATTTTAATCCCATGTAGCTACATGCATTTGACAGTAACCAGCACTGTTGTATTTGAACTGTGTAATTATACACTGGATCTCTCAGAGGCAGAAAATGTATAATTATGAAGTTCCCTACAGTATTAAAAAAACACAACTGTGTGGTGCTAGGGAGAAATCACAATGGGGATACACTGCCTGTGATTCCACATCCCTAACTTCAGTGTCTACTTAACTTCCAATACAGTGTAATTAGGCATGGGTTGAGTTGGAAGATGAACCATATCTAATATATTAACAGCATCTCTTATTCACAAATAGCTAAAGAGCATTCCACCAGTCATGCCAACAGCTTCCCTTACACATAACACAAGCAATTTGCCATTCCACCTAGAGTCACCACTATTATATTTTTTGCTTTCAAAACAAGATTCTGAAAATATTTCCCCAAGCCACTCAAAATGCAGCCTTTGTATGGGTATTATATAGAGTTCCTAGATGCATGAAACATAATTTCACAGGGGAGTTAAAGTGATGAGGTATGCTCAGTAAGTAAAAAGGAATGCAAACTAAACAGGGCTATATGTTGGATTTCTTGTCTGCTTTCTCGATAGATGAGCGCTACAGAGACTTTCTAAAGGACATGGCTAAAGGATTTGGCTTATATTTTGAAATTCTTATGGCACTTAATTATAAAGTCCTTCACTTAAATTTGCTTAAAAGTTAATTAAATATCTATAGAATTTGGGAGAAGAGTCTTTATAGCAACTTGCATGAAAACCTTAATGCATACAGGCTTCACATGAGCCAATGAGATGATATGCTAAGAAAGTGTCTTGGGCAGTATTAGTGAGTGCAATGTCTACCTTAGGAAATAGCAGCCCCACAATGCCACGATAAAGAGTCTAAATGTCCTAGAGAAGGTAGGGAAATGAAATCAAGTAAAACCAAAAACTGAAAGAACATATGTTTAATTTAGTCTTAGAGGGAAGTCATATAATGATCAAATTAAAAATTTCAGATAGTTAAAAGTAGTATGTAAAGTGAAAAAAGGGATGCAATAGAAAATATGCAGAAAGCAGAAACTGAAATAAAGTGAGAAAGGTATAACTTTTCTAATAAAGTGAGAGTTGAGGTGGAAGATCAATAATAAGAGAGAGGCAGCTTTGCAGGAGTCTCAAGAAAAAATTCTAGGTATGAACAAAAACAAGTGCAAAGTTCCTGGGACAAACAATGAAAGAACCAGAGAATCTGGAGTAGAAGAACAGGAGAATTGTAAGCAGTGACCACTTTCATACTGGGTGTAAAAACAAGATTAACGTTGTTCGGGAATAAAACTGGAAAAGGGTGAAAGAATTAAAGCATCCTAACTATGAAGTCAAGTTATATGTGAAAATGGATCATGTAATGGAATCCAATTTATTCTCCTATATTTTAAACCAGCTGTTAATGATTCTAATTTAAAGATCTTATGCTACACAGCAATTATCATTGTATGCACAAGTTTTGTAGGTATTTGTCTTTTATGTCATTTCTATACAATTAAATGAGCATTAATAAGATAAAAAACATTTCAGAGTATTAAAAGCTATTTATGGATTCATACATGATTAGTTTATTGCTGATTTTAAAATAAATCAAAATGTTTAGACTCTGACTATTAAGATGTACAAGAGAGTTGATTTTTCTAATTTTTTTTAAGTTAGTCATAGAAGGAGATTCTATTGTTTCTTTCTATAGAAGGTATGGTCTTTCTTAGGAAGAATATACTATAAAGTTTGTGAATACTAACCATGACTGCCATTCACAAAACGTAAGAACTTGGAGAAGTCATTGAATCTCTCTAAGCCTGTTGCTTCATATGTAAAAATGAGATTGCAATATATGGCTTATATCTTTATCATAATTTTCTCCAGTCTAACATTCTGTGATTATGTTTATATGCCATCCTAGGAAAATCTCTGTATATTCTTTCCCTTACAGTAGAATTTTATTCTTGTAATAGACTATTCCTATAATATACATGATGTATATTAAAAATATATATTCTTATAATACAGTTTTAAAATGTGAATATTCTGATGTGTTTTTCCAATCTTAATGTACTTTACCAACATGGTCTCTCCTGTCTACCACACATTCCCCATTTTATTTTAGATAATATTGTTATTTTCTCATCACACCTAAATTTCTACTACTTTTTATTATTATTTATTAAACTTTAAGTTCCAGTATACATGTGCAGAACTATGCAGGTTTGTTAAGTAGGTATACATGTGCCATGGTGGTTTGCTGTACCCATCAACCCACCATCTAGGTTTTAAGCCTCACATGCATTAGGTATTTGTCCTAATGCTCTCCCTCCCCTTACCCCCAACCCCCTGACAGGCCCTGGTATGTGATGTTCCCCTCCCTGTGTCCATGTGTTCTCATTGTTCAGCTCCCACTTATGAGTGAGAACATGCGGTGTTTGGTTTTCTGTTCCTGTGTTAGTTTGCTGAAAATGATGGTTTCCAGATTCATCCATGTCCCTGCAAAGGACATGAACTCATTTTATTTTTATGAATGCATAGTATTCCATGGTGTATATGTGCCCCATTTTCTTTATCCAGTCTATGATTGATGGATATTAGGGTTGGTTCCAAGTCTTTGCTATTGTGAATAGCACTGCAATAAACATATGTGTGCATATGTCTTTATAGTAGAATGATTTATAATCCTTTAGGTATATACCCAGTAATTAGATTGCTGGATCAAATTGTGTTTCTGGTTCTAGATCCTGAGGAATTGCCACAGTCTTCCACAACGGTTGAACTAATTTATACTCCCACAAATAGTGCAAAAGCATTCCTATTTCTCCGTATCCTCTCCAGCATCTGTTGTTTCCTGACTTCTTAATGATCATCATTCTAACTGGCGTGAGATGGTATCTAGTTGTGTGTGTGTTTTTTTTTTTTTTGCATTGCTCTAATGACCAGTGATGTTGAGCTATTTTTCATATGTTGGTTGGCCACATAAATGTCTTCTTTTGAGAAGTGTCTGTTTATATCATTTGCCCACTTTTTGATGGAGTTGTTTTTTTCTTCTAAATTTGTTTAAGTTCCTTGCAGATTCTGGATATTTGACCTTTGTCAGATGGATAGATTGAAAAAATCTCCTCACGTTTTGTAGGTTGCCTGTTCAATCTGATGATAGTTCCTTTGCTGTGCAGAAACTCTTTAGTTTAATCAGATCCCATTTGCCAGTTTTGGCTTTTGTTGCCATTGCTTGTAATGTTCTAGTCATGAAGTCTTTGCCTATGCCTATGCCCTGAGTGGTATTAACTAGGTTTTCTTGTAGGGTTTTTATGGTTTTAGGTTTTATGTTTAAGCCCTTAATCCATCTTGAGTTAATTTTTGTATAAGATGTAAGGAAGGAGTCCAATTTCGGTTTTCTCCATATGGCTAGCCAGTTTCCCGAGCACCACTTATTAAATAGGCAATTCTTCCCCCATTGCTTGTTTTTGTCAAGTTTGTCAAAGATCAGATGATTGTAGATGTGTAGTATTATTTCGGAGGCCTCTGTTCTGTTCCATTGGTCAATATGTCTGTTTTGGTACCAGTACCATGCTGTTTTGTTTGCTGTAAGCTTGTAGCATAGTTTCAAGTCAGGTAGCATGATGCTTCCAGCTTTTTACTTTTTGCTTAGGATTGTGTTGGCTATATGGGGTATTTTTTATGTGAAATTTAAAGCAATCTTTTCAGCTCTGTGAAGAAAGTCAATGGTAGGTTGATGGGGATAGCATTGAATCTATAGATTACTTTGGGCAGTGTGGTCATTTTCACGATATTGGTTCTTCCTTTCCATGAGCATGGAATGTTTTTCTATTTGTTTGTGTCCTCTCTTATTTTTTGAGCAGTGGTTTGTTGTTATCCTTGAAGAGGTCCTTCACATCCCTTGTAAATTGTATTCCTAGGTATTTTATTCTCTTTGTATCAATTGTGAATGGGAGTTCACTCATGATTTGGCTCTCTGCTTTTCTATTCTTGGTGTATAGGAATTCTTGTGATATTTGCACATTGATTTAGTATCCTGAGACTTTCCTGAAGTTGCTTATCAGCTTAAGGAGTTTTGGGCTGAGCTGATGGGGTTTTCTAAATATGCAATCATGTCATCTGCTAACAGATACAATTTGACTTCCTTTCTTCCTATTTGAATACCCTTTATTTTTTTCTCTTGCCTGATTGCCCTGGCCAGAACTTCCAATACTATGTTGAATAGTAGTAGTGAGAGAGGGTATCCTTGTCTTGTGCTGATTTTCAAAGAGAATGCTGCTAGCTTTTGCCCGTTCAATATGATATTGGCTGTGGGTTTGTCATAAATAGCTCTTATTATTTTTAGATATGTTCCATCAATACCTAGTTTATTGAGAGTTTTTAGCATGAAGTTGTGTTGAATTTTACTGAAGGTCTTTTCTGCATCTATTGAGATAATCATGCAGTTTTTGTCTTTGGTTATGTTTATGTGATTGTTTATGTTTGTTGATTTGCATATGTTGAACCAGCCTTGCATCCCAAGGATGAAGCTGACTTGATCGTGGTGGATAAGCTTTTGGATATGCTGCTGGATTCAGTTTGCCAGTATTTTATTGAGGATTATCACATCAATGTTCATCAGGGATGAACAGGCCAATGCCTGAAATTTTCTTTTTTTGTTGTGTCTCGGCCAGGTTTTGGTATCAGGATGATGCTGGCCTCATAGAGTGAGTTAGGGAGGATTCTCTCTTTTTCTGTTGTTTGGGATAGTTTCAGAAGGAATGGTACTGACTCCTCTTTCTACCTCTGGTAGAATTCGGCTGTGAATCCATCTGGTCCTGGGCTTTTTTTGGTTGGTAGGCTATTAATTACTGCTTCAATTTCAGAACTTGTTATTGGTTTATTCAGGGATTCGACTTCTTCCTGCTTTAGTCTTGGGAGGGTGTATGTGTCCAGGAATTTATTCACTTCTTCTAGGTTGTCTGATTTATTTGCGTAGAGGTGTTTATAGTAATCTCTGATTGTAGTTTGTATTTCTATGGTATCAGTGGTGATATCCCCTTTATCATTTTCTATTGTGTCTATTTGATTCTTTTCTCTTTTCTTCTTTATTAGTCTGGCTAGTGGTCTATCTATTTTGTTAATCTTTTCAAAAAAATTGCTCCTGGATTCACTGATTTTTTGAAGGGTGTTTTTGTGTCTCTATCTCCTGCAGTTCTGCTCTGATCTTAATTATTTCTTGTCTTCTGCTAGCTTTTGAATTTGTTTACTCTTGTTCCCTTAAGTCCTACTGATCAGAAACTTAAAAAAATTAATTGTGGTAAAGTATACATAACATGAAATACAACATTTAAGCCTTTTTTTTTTTTTTTTTTTTTTTTTTTTTTTTGAGACGAAGACTTGCTCTGTGGCCCAGGCTGGAGTTCAATGGCTTGATCTCGGCTCACTGCAGCCTCTGCATCCTGGGTTTCATCCAGCTATTCTCCTGCCTCAGCCTCCTGGGTAGCTGGCATTACAGGCGCACACTGCCACGCCCAGCATTTAAGCCACTTTTAAGTGAACAGTTCAGTGACATTAAGTACATTCACCCTTTTGTGCAACCATCATCACTCTCTATCTCCAGAACTTTTTTATCTTGCAAAATAAACTCTGCATCCATTAAACAATAATTCTTCTTGTCAGAAACTTTAAATGTTTACCCTCAGAGTGGCAAATAGAAGAGGTCCATAAAAATCAATTGTGAAGGACTTATTCTCTCCCAATCCAATCATAAGACCTCATTCAGGAGTAAATACAATAAACAAGAAGAGTACCCAACCTCTTAAAATTTATAGTTTAGAAGAAAGAATCGAGATTAACTTATTCCCCGGCTTTCTTTTTGGTCACCACTGCCTAGAGAAATACGGGGAGCAGACCATAAAGCCATATGGACTGTGTGCATCATTTTCTGGCTGTGCTTAACTTAATGTTCCTCCCTATCTTTGCACACTGGTCTGCCAAGGACCAGATGGCACAACCCTGTGCAAAGAGGTGCATCTTTCCTCAAGGAAGTTGTTTGTTCTTACATGGAGCACATACATTTAACTTAATTCAGTAGTAAAAAAAAAAAAAAAAAAATTCTGGAATCACAGGCTGTTTGGAAACTACAACCATCTCTGAAATTCTTCTCCACTTAAATCAGAAGAGAGGAGAGGGGAATAAACTGGAAGAAAAGAAAGGGAACATGATGAGAATATTTATTTAAAGACTATTTTAGAATATATATACATATATATGTATATATATATATCCTTATCCATAGATCTTTGTGAATGTTGCATTTTTATTCCAACTTTGTATATAGTTGCATATCTGTAGCCCTTTAATTTGTCCAAGGGTGACATGCCTATTAGAGTTGGGGTTCAAACTGACACCAGAGACACTTACATTTGCTCTGAAGTCTAGGAAAGTTGTCTGGGGAGGTTCTTCTAGCACTTTGTCATGTTCATGGGAGGATCATGTCACTGCTACATAGCATGACATCAACTAAAACATGAAGGACATGCTGCTCAATGATAGATTTAGGGACAAAACTAGATAGATTTTTTAAATGTGCTCTCTGCTTCTGATGTGGCAAAATTCTTGACGATTACCATGTCACAAATTTTAGCCTTTTCTACTTTAAGAAGCATAAAATACATATAACTTAGTTGGCTCTTTCATTACATTTAATGAAAATTTTGCTATTAAAAACTCAACTCTGGATATTAGACCTTTGACAGGGATGCTCTCTCTCACCACTCCTATTCTACATAGTGTGGGAAGTTCTGGCCAGGGCAATCAGGCAGGAGAAAGAAATAAAGGGTATTCAGTTAGGAAAAGAGGAAATCAAATTGTCCCTGTTTGCAGATGACATGATTGTATATCTAGAAAACCCCATCATCTCAGCCCAAAATCTCCTTAAGCTGATAAGCAACCTCAGCAAAGTCTCAAGATACAAAATCAATGTGCAAAATCACAAGCATTCTTATACACCATTGACAGAGAGCCAAATCTTGAGTGAACTCCCATTCACAATTGCTTCAAAGATAATAAAATACCTAGGAATCCAGCTTACAAGGGATGTGAAGGACCTCTTCAAGGAGAACTACAAACCACTGCTCAATGAAATAAAAGAGGACACAAACAAATGGAAGAACATTCCATGCTCATGGATAAGAAGAATCAATATCATGAAAATGGCCATACTGCCCGAGGTAATTTATAGATTCAATGCCATCCCCATCAAGCTACCAATGACTTTCTTCACAGAATTGGAAAAAAACTACTTTAAAGTTCATATGGAACCAAAAAAGAGCCCGCATTGCCAAGTCAATCCCAAGCCAAAAGAACAAAGCTGGAGGCACATCACACTACCTGACTTCAAACTATACTACAAGGCTACAGTAACCAAAACAGCATGGTACTGGTACCAAAACAGAGATATAGATCAATGGGACAGAACAGAGCCCTCAGAAATAATACCACACATCTACAACTATCTGATCTTTGACAAACCTGACAAAAACAAGAAATGGGGAAAGGATTCCCTATTTAACAAATGGTGCTGGGAAAACTGGCTAGCCATATGTAGAAAGCTGAAACTGGATCCCTTTCTTGCACCTTATACAAAAATTAATTCAAGATGGATTAAAGACTTAAATCCTAAAACCATAAAACCCTAGAAGAAAACCTAGGCAATACCATTCAGGACATAGGCATGGGCAAAGACTTCATGTCTAAAACACCAAAAGCAATGGCAACAAAAGCCAAAATTGACAAATGGGATCTAATTAAGCTAAAGAGCTTCTGCACAGCAAAAGAAACTACCTTCAGAGTGAACACGCAACCTACAGAATGGGAGAAAATTTTTGCAATCTACTCATCTGACAAAGAACTCCAAAAAATTTGCAAGAAAAAAACAACCTCATCAAAAAGTGGGCGAAGGATATGAACAAACACTTCTCAAAAGAAGACATTTATGCAGCCAAAAAACACATGAAAAAATGCTCATCATCACTGGCCATCAGAGAAATGCAAATCAAAACCACAATGAGATACCATCTCACACCAGTTAGAATGGCGATCATTAAAAAGTCAGGAAACAACAGGTGCTGGAGAGGATGTGGAGAAATAGGAACACTTTTACACTGTTGGTGGGACTGTAAACTAGTTCAACCATTGTGGAAGACAGTGTGGTGATTCCTCAGGGATCTAGAACTGGAAATACCATTTGACCCAGCCAACCCATTACTGTGTATATACCCAAAGGAATATAAATCCTGCTGCTATAAAGACACATGCACACGTATGTTTATTGCAGCACTACTCACAAGAGCAAAGACTTGGAACCAACCCAAATGTTCAACAATGATAGACTGGATTAAGAAAATGTGGCACATATTCACCATGGAATACTATGCAGCCATAAAAAATGATGAGTTCATGTCCTTTGTAGGGACATGGATGAAGCTGGAAACCATCATTCTCAGCAATTTATCACAAGGACAAAAAACGAAACACTGCATGTTCTCACTCATAGGTGCGAATTGAAAAATGAGAACACTTGGACACAGGAAGGGGAACATCACACACTGGGGCCTGATGTGGGGTGGGAGGAGGGGGGAGGGATAGCATTAGGAGATATACCTAATGTAAATGACCAGTTAATGGGTGCAGCACACCAACATGGCACATGTATACATATGTAACAAACCTGCACGTTGTGCACATGTACCCTAGAACTTAAAGTATAATAAATATATATAATACACACACACACACACACACACACACACATATATATATATATATATAAAAGGACCCCAATCTTAAAAAAAAAAAAAAGAAAACTCAACTCTTGGAAACTAGCATATCCTAGTTTAAATAAAAATAAATTATCATTAGATGTTCTTGTGTTATGTATTACCTTAGTACTTCATCTATTTACTCTTCACTGTGCTAGGCAATCCAACTCTCTCGTCAACACCCTGAGGAAAGAATGATATGTCCCAGGAGATATGTGGATATGTGTGTTTGTAGTAGGGGGTGTAGGTATGAACTGAAACAGACTTGGAGAGAAGTCTGTCTTCTCATAAAAAATTGAAAACTATTTGATTTTTGACCATGAAATTTCCCTACAGACAGGGAGAACATTTAAACTCTGAAATCACACAGGACTGCAAGAAACTTGTCTGGATAACAGCCAAGGATTTTGGGATGAGACACATCTCTGAGACATTAAGTCAGACCAAATGTATTCTTTTCATGGAAGAAGAACAGAAAAGAAATAAAATTAGATAGTCTGGTTTCAATACTTGGTAACATGTTCTTCAATTTTTTGGTGGGAGTGCTGTAAGGGAAATTTTGTTTAAGATCAAGATCTACTACAGATAGGAAACTTAAAATTAATTTTTTTCTAATAAAAAGATGAAGAATATGTTATTGTAGGGTGAATGCTGAGCCAAGCATAAATAATGTCTGAGTTTCTCTTTCAAGAATACTCTTTTTTTAGAAATAGCTATTTGGTACATTATGGACACATGCTGGTAGAGGCTATTAGCCAAAAGCCCCAGATTTATTCACTGTAACCTTTTAAAAATAACGTACCAAATGTTCATTATTTGTATGTAGGTTGAATGGGAACGGGTATGAAACAGTTTAAATAAACTCTTGAGCTGTTGATCAAAGGAAAGTGTTTAATGGTGTCACACTGAAAGTGTCATGTCATCTTCCCATAGGAAAGACATTTTAAGGCCAGACTCTAGTCAGAAATTCTATCATATCTTTAATGAAAGAATAGCAAAATACTTTTTTCCTCTGAATCACAGCTGGAGCAGAACATAAAGAAAACATAAAAGAATGGAGAGCACAGAGAGTGACCATAAGCCACAGCATCTCATAAATGGGATGAGAGAACAATTTTTAGATACAGAAAATAATTTATAGAAGGCATTTTGCAATGCCCATTGGAGAGGAGCAGATTTCTTTTTACCAAACAACTAATAAAAGCTTGAGAAATTCAATAGAAATAATCATATGGTGTCTGATAAAAGAGTGGTATCGTAGCATAGAACTCCATGAGGTAACCACAGTTTAAGAATGTGCAAGAGATTTAGCAGAAACTAAAGGAAGAGAATATAAAGACCAGAAATAAACAGAGAATATTCTCTAAATCACATTGGCTAACCATTTTTATATTGAGAAAGAATTGGAAACTTATACTCTGAACTCACTATAAAAACATTTATTGTTCGTGTTATACAAGCATGTTTTCACTGACTATACTGGAAGCAATTTATGGTTTTCACTCTGTAGTTTTGGCCCTTTTACAAGAATAGCCTTTGGTTGACTTCATAAAGATACAGATTAAAAACAACATTTCTATTCTGAAGGATAGCAGGGTCAGGAAAGCAATTATATCAGTCAAGTTACTGTGATCAGAGTATGCAAAAAAGGTAAGAAATCTTTCTAACTTGATATGGTAAATCAGTCTTATTTCTGCCAGTATTTAAGCAGCAAATATTTGAAAAAGGCATATATATATATATATATATATATACCTTTTTATACATTTATACCGTATGTATATACATACATACATATATATAGATATATATATACATATATAGATATACATACATATATATATATATCTATATATCTATATATAGATATATATATATGTCTTTGCCTTTGAGGTTCTTTTACAATCCAGAATGGAGTTGGCAAATATTTAACCATTTTTTCTAATCACTTCTATATTGCATTTAATGCTCACAATTTCTCTTTTCTTTAGGCCTTTATTATCTATTCCAATCTTTCCTCTTTGTGTTACTTTTCTATTCTTCAAACTCTTCCTTTTATTGTGAGTCAAGCTAACGCAATAAATAACTTGAAGCACTGATATGCATGAACAAAGACTGGTTACTGACATTATGACTTTACTATTTAAAAATATGTTTCACTAATACAGCTCAATAAAACACCTCCTCTGTAACTAATAGAAATAATTCCAATTTATTACTACTTCTTACAGCAATTTGCTGTACACCAGAGAATATAGTATATCTTAAGTAGTACTAGAAGAAAACAGACTGCAAGGAAATTTCAGATAAAAAATACCATGTGCAATTGGTGAAATTTAGTGAAGAAGGACTGTTCACAGGGGGCGAAATTTAGTGAAGAAGGACTGTTCACAGGGGGTTACTTTTGAGATGACTCCTGAATAATGATAGAAATTCAACAAGAAGAGATATTGGAAGGTATTTGGGGAAAGGGAAATGAAGATGGATAGTTAGACAGACTAGAGAAAATACTCAAGGATGGGAAAATGCAGAAAGATATTTGGAAATCGTTCAAAGAATATGATGTGGGTAGCAGAAAGAATTGGGTGTTATACAAGTTGCACCATAATGGTCAAACTAAAGTTTAGAAAGCAGGCAGTGGCTTGATCAGAGCTGTGCTTTAGGTGAAGTGAACCTTACATAGGCTTACAGTTAACTAGTGGGAAGTTATCAGAAGTGTGGGTGAGAAACAGTTAAGAATCTAAGCTATAGTGGAAATATTAGGAATCCAATGAAGGAGACAGAAAATCCATAGAACTTGGGAATTTGGGTAAGTGAGAAATATGGAATCAGAGAATATCCTGTGGTTCTGAAATTGGATGCCTGGAAAAATTGGAAGCCAGGAACAGAAAAAGGTTATTTTGTTCGATTTTAATCATGTTGTGTCTGAGGACTATTAGAGATAGCCAATTAATGGTAAAGCTTTTTCACGAGCAAAAGTCGTCTCTGTTTCAGAATTTATGGTAATAATAAAATGTCTGAGCTACTGTTATTTCCCAAACAATTAATTCTTAAAGAGAAGATCCATGTTCTATTACTGCAGCAAGAACCACAAGACTAGCAAGAGCCTGGGAAACGTTTAAGCCTGCACTCACACCTAGTGTTCCAAACTGCCTCTGCAAATTTCCCAGCATGGGTGGTGAGTATTGGGAAAGGTAGGATTAGAATGACTGAAGAGACTTTTCTATAACAACTACTAGTTGAACAAAGTTGAGTAAATTATTTATCCTCTCTGTTTCTTAGATTTCATGTCTGTAAAGTGAAATACTTAAAAAATGATTAGTGATACACACCCAACTACTTATATAGGGTTGTTGTAAGAATTAAGTGAGGTTAATGTTCCTAAAAGTGTGAATCACTATAAATTATGTGAATCTTTATAAATTATGTGGTGTGATGGCACTGGTAGTAACCATGTAATGGTAGTAGATACTGATGGTGTTGCTGCTGTAATGACTACAACCATTTCCACTAAAACAATGATTGCTGCTTCCATTATTGCTACCATTATTGAGACCATTTTTTAATGAATGGGATCTTCACTTCTCTCAAGAGATGGTCAACTGGCCATTTTATTATCTCTATCTCCTCCAGAGTCCATAACAAAACAACAGTAAAGGAACAAAAATGATATAAACCAGAGGAGGTAGGACATAATGTGGTGACTGGTGGCAAAAAAAAAAAAAAATAATACATTAAATTAAAAGGTAGAAACCAATCAAAGAGTGGTCACTGACTCTACAAAGAGTAATAAGACAGGGCACCAGTTTGGGGAAAGTGGTTTTGAATTAATTTTTTCTGAGAATTCCCAGGAAGTTATAAGAATCAGGGAAAGGCTGTGGTGAAGAGTGGCACTAAAATCAGAGATCATTTGAAAATCTCCATACTGAATATTTGACCCCGCCCTTTCCCCACCCAGTGTAAGGAATATCTGCAGTCAAATGTCCACTCCACACGCAGAATTTCTAAGCCCTTTTTTGGAGATACTTATTTACAAGAGCAAGATTCAAAATCGCAGATAAGAGGGAAAGTGAAGATGATGCACGCAGTTTAAAACAAGGAAGTAAAATGAACCTTTGGAAACTGAATGGTGAGACTTGCGCCTCCTGCTGAGAGCCTAAGTAACAACAGTGGCTGCCAGATACTTCCCTGGGAAGGTTTTTGGAAACATCATCTCTAGATAAACTGAAGATCTTCAAAAAAATAACATCTGCCTATTAATATTTTAGAAGAGAGTGCCCTAACAAAAAGCTAGCTGTCCACCCAGTTAGTGGATCTGGCCTCCTATTCTTCAGCCCATTAGTACACAAAGGACTTCCAAACTGATAATTTTAAAGCCTCCTTTTAAAGGGACAATTAAAGTTTACTGATACTTGAAAAGAAACGTCAAAATTAAAGGCAGAAAAAATAGATAAAAAGTAATATTTCAGTCTTGAGGAAAGAGAACTCTGGAAAGCAATAAAATTAAAAACTTTAAATAATTACTCTCCACAACGAGGAGTTAATTCATGTAAAAATCAAAAATGCCATGGAAACAAAAATCAGAAAAAATCCCTTCAAATTTAAAATATTGCAAAAATATCCAACTTAAAGTTTTAAAGATAAATTTGAGAATATCTTTTAGAAAGTGGAACAAAAAAACATAACGCTAGAAAATATGAAACAAAATTTACTTAGAAAATCGAATCTAGGAAGGACAATTTCTGACTTTAGAAGTCCCAGAAAGCACAGATGGAGAAAATAAAAGAAAACAAATTATCGAAGAAAATTTCATTGAACTAAAGAACATGAGTCTACCAACTGCCTGATACAATCAATGAAAAAGGCCAGTTGTCATGAAATTTTCAAACATTGGTGATAAGGAGATTTTAAAGTCTTCTAAAGAGAGGGAGAGAATGCCACATACATAAGATAAAAACTATAACAGCTTCAGATATATCAGTAACAACTATGGATTACAGAAATTAATGGTCTTTAAAATTCTGAAGGCAAATGATCTCCAATCTTAAATATTATATGAAGTCAAAATACCCCCCACAACGTGATGGTAGAATATTTTCTTATTTTTTTTCCATGACAGGACTCAGATATAGCTTTTTGCACTCTTCATTAGGTGCAAAAAACTGCTTCAGAAAGCAAAACAGTTTTCTCAAGAAAAAATTACGAAAAAGAAGTCTCCATTAAAAATGCAGATTTAACAGAATAATACAGCACTAGAAACAAAAATAAGAGTGTGTGGATAGCATACTATGAAAGTGGAAAAAGGTAAATTACTACCTCCAAGAAGACCAGATAGGAAAAAGGGACTATCATTACAATACCCCGTGGTTTTGTAATAGTTTTAACACGGTTATAGTGGCATAAAAATGAATTTAACAAAAAATGATGTTGTAATGATAAGAAGACAATAGAATTCTAGATATTTATCTAGCATAAAAATGTACTCTTGCTTAACTTGAGGTGATCAATCTTCCTGGGTTAACTTCCAGGTCAGTCCCCAGAAAGGAAGGATATTATGAGAGGTGATAATAAAAGGGAATCCCTTTATTATTGTTATTATCATAATTATAATTGTTAGCAGTAATAAATAAATAAAGATAAAGCTTTCCTTTATCTTTCTAAGTCTATGTATTATAAAATTGTTTTATGAAACCAGAATTGTGTTTTTGCTCAAAACACAGAAAGTTCAGTGGTAGGAACCTTCTGCTAACATTATGGATAATGTATGTCCCTATAGTACACATTACCAAATGTAGCAACCCTCAAGAAATACAAGGGGTAGACTCTCTTTAACAATTGAGCATCACCATAATTCAGGCAGGGGCTTTTAGAGGTCAGTTGGAACCTCTTAATTGAGCATTATAGAACATGGAAACTACCATTACTCTCATATACACTGTGTCTTCATGAAGTTTTATTGTGATCTTTAAATCCTGCCGTGATAGAAATGTATGTTCAAACATGCTTTGTTCCAAAGAGTCACAGTCTACCTAGAGTCAAATTACAGCCTTGTACATTTAAGACTGCAGAGACTGTTAACCACGTCACTTCATTTCACTAGAGAGCAGGGAGAAACACTACTAAAATGAACCAAAGCAAAGGTCTAATGAGACACTGACATTTAAGGAGGAAAGATTTGTTTCATAAGACCACGATCCATGCTCCGTGGACCCTGTTCAGAGGGAGGTTTGCAGCCAAGTAAAATGTGAGGGTTAGATGCTGTGTCCTTGATACCATCGAATCAGCAGGAGAGAACGGCTGGCTGGCTAGTTTAAATTGTGCATGCTTCAGCAAATTTTCAGAGCCAATTACAAAATATATGATTCCCTTGTCATCATGTGTACATTCAAGACACGTTCATCACTAATTCACAGATCAACTAAAATAAAGAGAGTGAATGGCAATGAGTGCAAAAGATCTCTATCCCATGGTGATAACACAGGACTCCGGGGAAGTATTCTTCCAAAGATTCCTTCCATCCAATTTTATACAGATATTCATGGTCTTTCTTTAGTTTCAGTGTCTTTTATAATTTCTGCCTTTCCATTTGAACCAGAACATGCACCTCACATCTGTTTCCTGACATTCCTAGAAGAGTCTATAATGCAAGTTCTAAATATATCTGGAGCTGACCATGCTTTCAAATGCTAAACACCTTAATATCTCCTGTTCTCAAATTTTAAATTATATGCTTCAATATTTTTATGTTTCGACTAAACCTATGCAAAATTTATTTACTCTAAATTGAATATGGGAAATGCTCAATATCAAAGTTGGTTTCCACACAGCTGAATCTTCTGAGAGATAAAGCCATGAAATATAAGCTATGATGTTCATTTTCAGTGATGATTTACGTGCAGAATGCGAAGAGTTGGGGTGTTAGAGTTTTGATGTCATAAGAGAAAAAACAAAAACATATACAAAGGTATAAGACATTACAGGCTGTCCAGACAAAATATGTGTGCGTGTCTGTGTGTGTTTGTGTATAACATATGGACCTTTGCCCACTTAAATTCCCACAAAAATAAAAAAGCTCTGTCGGCTTTTTATTTACTAAAGTAAGTTTGGGCAGACTGTCAACATTTTTGTTATTTAGGCCTGTGACTTACATACAAAAATGAAACATTCTGGAAGGCAACAAAACCATTTCTGGAATCCCATATGCTTTAAAACATCCATTTATTAATACAATAATATATAAAAACAAGGAGTCTAAGTTATTATAAAAGCACCCTCCTTTCCATTGTGTAAAGTATGTGTGCATAATCCTAAATGTTCAAATACAAATTGAGTAATCTGTAAAACAAAAATATCCAGACATTTGACTGATCATTTACTGCCGCTATAAACATGTTTGAAATCAAAAGTTATGTTAATGTTTTTTTCTTTTAAGATGAAAGCCAAGGTGAATGGTGTCCTTTTACTGATTTTTTTAAGAAAATAAATAATCTCAACACTCAACATAATCATTAATCTTAGAATAGCAGTGCATTTTGTTATTGCATCACTAGCAATTTATCAGATCATACAAAAAAAAAAGTCAAATAACACAACTCTATTCACCAAAAACTCAGAGCACCTGCATGGAAAATAAGGCATTCACTCATTCAATTGGTTGTGGTAATGATACATTATATTTAGGTACTTATAAACCCATATCTCTCTCACCATCTATAGACATATGTTAATATTATTTGCTCTCATCAGCAAAGCGCTATAATGGCAAACAATGTGATTTATACAATAGTTGTGTTTTTTCATGAGAGGAGGGAAATATTTGTTAATGCCTGGGGGGATGAAAGGCTTTTTAAGCTCATTGGCCTGGCCATGTTATTTTACATAGATTTTGACAAATAATATTATAGTGACAAACATTTACAAAGCATGCAACTAAATAACTTGCCAAAAGAGCAATAAATATATAAATATATTTACTTATCTTAAATCTGAGAAAAATAACTATGATTATTATTATGGCATAAAAATGAAATAAATGTTATTGAAAATTACTATAACTGGCAGATAATGATCATTATAACATAATCTTTGCTATCTACATTGAATAAAATGGGTTGAACCCATATTTCTTACTTGCCTCTATAAATGAGCCAAATCATAATTCAAAACTTCCAACATCTTTATAGTCACATAAATACATCAACATATGTATTTGTATATATAATTTCTTCATGCACACATATGATTATTAATAGTTTTCATAGCATATAAAAATACATATTTCACTGATGTCACTGTATTCTCCAGTAGCAAGAAAACCTGGTTTGATCCTAAGATCAATATGAGAAATGGGGCTTATTTTGTCAGTCATTCAGGAAGGTCTGATATTCGGAGTCCTGTGCCTCCTTTACACAGGTGGTGATCTTCTCTCTGCTTATCATATACCCAAGCCCATTGAGTAGGACTTTTTTCTCCTTTTTTCTGACTCATTACATGTTTGCAATACTGCTCTGGTTCTTCCACAACAAAACTATGGGATCAGTCAATCCCATATTTACCCATTTATTATGCTGTTTGTGGTCAAATGAATAAACTTTACTGTAACTAAATATGTGATGACAGATGAAAGAGAAACCACAGCATCTACTCAGATAAGATAAAATGTAGGACTGTTGCCATTTAGAAATAAAGCTTACTGAAAGTAAAACAATAAGATTGTATTTGAATAATTTGTATCTGAATTTTTCCATTTAGCAACTTGAAATTGTATGGAATCTAATGTGCAGATAGCTAATCTTAGATCCTCATATATATGTACATATGAGTATATATATATATACACATATATGAGTATATATATATATATATGTACACATATATGAGTATATACTAGAGAGGGAAGGCAGAGAGGTGGTGAGAGATAAGGGGGAGGGAGGGAGGGAGGCAGGGAGGAAGAGAGAGAGAGAGAAGGAAGAAGAAGAGGAAGAAGAGGAAGAAGAAGAAAGAAGAAGAAGAAGAAGAAGAAGAAGAAGAAGAAGAAGAAGAAGAAGAAGAAGAAGAAGAAGAAGAAGAAGAAGAAGGAAGCAGCAGCAGCAATGTATTATGGAAATTGTCTCACTTGATTATGAAGGCTGTGAAGTCCCATGACAGGTGTACTGTTCTTTCATTGCTATAAAGGAATACCTGAGTCTGGGTAATTTATTTAAAAAAAGATGTTTAATTGGCTCACCATTCTGCAGGAGGTACATAAAGCATAGTGCCAACATCTGCTTCTGGTGAGGGCCTCAGGAACCTTGCAATCATGAGGGAAGGCAAAGGAGAACCAGCATGTCACATGTGGACAGCAGGAGCAAAAGAGAGGGGAGGAGGTGACATGCTCCTTTAAACAACCAGATTTTGTGTGAACTACCAGAACAAGAACTCACTCATCATCAAGAGTATGGGGATCTGCCCCATAATCCAAACACCTTCCACCAGGCCCCACTTCCAAAATTGGGGATCACATTTCAACATGAGATTTGGAGGGGACAGCCATCCAGATTATATCAATAGGCCATCTACAAGCAGAGGAAGCAGGAAAGCTGCTAGTGTGGATCAGCCTAAGCCTAAGGCGTTTCAACCATGGAAACCAATGGTGTAACTTTCATTCCAGGCCAAAGGCCCAAGATCCTGAAGGGACTGCTGGTATGAGCCCCTGAGTCCAAAGGCCAGAGAACCTGGAGTTCTGATGTCCAAGGGCAGAAGAAAGTAGGCAATTCAGCTCTGAAAGTGAGAGCAAGAATTTGCCCTTTCTCTGCCTTTTTTTTTTCTTTTCCTATCTGAGAATCCAGCTGATTGGATGGTGTCTGCCCACACTGAGGGCCAGTGTTCCCCACTAAGACCCCTGACTCAAATGCCAATTTCTTCTGGAAGCATCCTCAAAGATGCACTTGAGGTAGTCCAATCATTTTAATAAATGCAAAAGCCCCTGGGTTTCCCTTTCAGCAGAAAAGGGTTGGGCTCAGTACCTACTGAAGGATTGAGAATAAATAATCCTTTTCCAGCTATCTATGTATTCCATAATCCAGTCAAGATGACACCGGAAATTAACCATCAACCATTCTTTTGTTTTTTAATCTTTAAGGAAATCCTTCCTTATACTTAAGCCCCTCATATGTTATATTTTTCTGCTTTCTTTTTGTCATCCTATGTAAAAAGAGAAAATTAGAGTTATATATTTCTCAGTGAGCTTCCTTAAAAATGATAATTATATACTTTCTCTTTCTTTTCCTCTCCTCTTTCTTTCCAGTATCAATCCGTGTTCAACTAGAGGGGCAGAAGGAGCAGGAGATATATACTAAGAGATTTTTTTGCAAGAAATGGGTGCATGTGATTGTGGGGCTGTTTAGGGAAGTGTAAGCATATAAGGCAGGCCATCAAGAGGGCAGGCTGGAGCTTTGGGGCAGGAGCTGAAGCTGCTGTTCACAGGAAAAATCTTTTATTTTCAGGGAAACCTCAGCCCTGCTCTTAAGGTCTTTCAACTGATTAAATCAGGTCCACCAAGAAAATCTAGTATAATCGCTCTTGCTTGAAGTAAGCTGATTATGAACTTTTATCACATCACAAAATTATTCACAGCATCACCTAGATTAGTGTTTGATTGAATAGTTGGGAACTGTAGCCCCCTCTAGTTAACACATGAAAATGGGCATTACACTTCCCTTCCCTATACTTCCATTCTTTCTCTTCCCTTAGTAAAATATAGGTTAAGTACCCCTTATCCTAAATGTTTATTATCAAAGGTGATTCAGATTTCAGATTTCTTTTGAATTTTAGAATGTTTCTTATACATAATGAGATATCTTGGGTTTGGGAACCAAGTCTAAGAACAAAATGCATTTATTTTTATATACCTTTTATACATAGCCTGCAGGTAATTTTATGCAATATTTGAAATAATTTATACATAAAACAGTCTTGACTAAGTTTTGACTGTGACCCATGTGACTGTGACCCATCATGTTGAGAGGTGACAGCATGCTGGCAGTCCTCACAGCCCTGGCTCTCTCTCAGCGCCTCCTCTGCCTGGGCTCCTACTTTGGTGGCACTCGAGGAGCCCTTCATCCCACCGCTGCACTGTGGGAGCCCCTTTCTGAGCTGGCCAAGGCCCAAGCCCACTCCCTCAGCTTGCAGGGAGGTGTGGAGGGAGAGTCAGGAGCAGGAATCGGGGCTGCGCGCGGCGCTTGCGGGCCAGCTGGAGTTCCGGGTGGGCGTGGGCTTGGCGGGCCCCGCACTCGGAACAGCCGGCCCGCCCTGCCGGCCCCCGGCAATGAGGGGCTTAGCACCCGGGCCAGTGGCTGCAGAGGATGTACTGGGTCCCCCAGCAGTGCCAGCCCCCCGACGCTGTGCTCGATTTCTCACGGGGCCTTAGCTGCCTTCCCGCAGGGCAGGGCTCAGGACCTGCAGCCCGCGATGCCTGAGCCTCCCACCCCCTCCGTGGGCTCCTGTGCGGCCGAGCCTCCCCTATGAGTGCTGCCCCCTGCTCCATGGCGCCCAGTCCCATCGACCACCCAAGGGCTGAGGAGTGCGGGCGCAGGGCGCGGGCCTGGCAGGCAGCTCCACCTGCAGCCCCGGTGCAGGATCCACTGGGTGAAGCCAGCTGGGCTCCTGAGTCTGGTGGGGACGTGGAGAACCTTTATGTCTAGCTCAGGGATTGTGAATACACCAATGGACACTCTGTATCCAGCTGCTCTGGTGGGGCCTTGGAGAACCTTTATGTCTAGCTCAGGGATTGTAAATACACCAATCAGCACTCTGTATCTAGCTCAAGGTTTGTAAACACGCCAATCAGCACCCTGTGTCTAGCTCAGGGTTTGTGAGTACACCAATCGACACTCTGTATCTAGCTGCTCTGGTGGGGTCTTGGAGAATCTGTGTGTAGATACTCTGTATCTAATCTGATGGGGACGTGGAGAACCTTTGTGTCTAGCTCAGGGATTGTAAACGCACCAATCAGTGCCCTGTCAAAACAGGCCACTCGGCTCTACCAATCAGCAGGTTGTGGGTGGGGCCGATAAGAGAATAAAAGCAGGCTGCCCCAGCTAGCAGTGGCAACCCGCTGGAGTCCCCTTCCACACTGTGGAAGCTTTGTTCTTTTGCTCTTTGTAATAAATCTTGCTACTGCTCACTCTTTGGGTCCACACTGCTTTTATGAGCTGTAACACTCAGCCAAGGATCTGCAGCTTCACTCCTGAAGCCAGCGAGACCACGAACCCACCGGGAGGAACGAACAACTCCAGACGTGCTGCCTTAAGAGCTGTAACACTCATTGCCAAGGTCTGCAGCTTCAGTCCTGAGCCAGCGAGACCACGAACCCACCAGAAGGAAGAAACTCCGAACACATCCGAACATCAGAAGGAACAAACTCCAGACACGCCACCTTAAGAGCTGTAACACTCACCGCGAGGGTCCGTGGCTTCATTCTTGAAGTCAGTGAGACCAAGAACCCACCAATTCCGGACACAATGTGACTGTAACCCATGACATGAGATCAGGTATAAATTTTCCATTTGGTCCTCAAAAAGTTTCCCAGGGAATAGTGCTTTTCAAGTAGCTCAGATTTTGAATTTTTGGATTAAGGATGTTCAAGCTGTATTGGGTACAGAATGTTTTGGTTGGATTTGAATAAGATAGATATCTACACAGTGACGCAGGATTGGGAGCTATAATAGTGTAGTATGAGGTATCAGAGCCCCAAAGGGCATCCTTATAGGAGAATGGCAGAAGCAGTGATTAACAGTGTGGTATCAGAGCCTGAGCAGAGTGATGAGGCATCTATGTAGAAAGTGGCTGTGGGAAGGGAGGCCTACTTGGGATGAAAAGGACATCTATAAAGGACAGGCAGATAGGGCAGTGTTCTGTTATGAGATGCCCAGAATCCTCAGCGGAAAGAAGAGTATGTCTCTGTGAAGGACGGTGGAAGTAGTGGCCAAATAAAGAAATTTTTGTGTGTATGTTAATGTATATGTATGTGTGCGTGTGTGTGTGTGTGTATATATGTGTGTGTATATATATGTGTGTATATATGTATGTGTATATATATACACACACGCACACATATACACACGCACACATACATATAGGTGTGCGTGTGTGTGTGTGCATAATATATATTTTCCCTAATTTCATCTACACATTTGGCCTGGGAGCAGCAATATTTCAGTATCTCAGTAGCAATGAGCACACTCAGATCCCAGATTTTGGAGTCAAATATCACTCTCCACCCACAAATCTGCAGCTCCTGGAGGAAATAGCACCTCCAGGACTGGGGCAGGGTAAGTATGAGATGAGCCTGTAATATCTTATTATGCCAACAAATAAGGAAGTTCTCAAAGAATGATAGGCAAATTTGAAAAGAATATAGAAGCCACTTTCTTTCTACTGAGCTCCCAGTGGGTAAATATGGGAAAATTGGGGTATTAAAATAAATAATAAAAGTAATGAACGATTATTTATTGAATAAAAATATCTGTATGCATAAATAAATAAAGTTAATGGAGAAAAGGATATGATGATAGTCTCAAATATCTCTATTCAAAATGCTTATTATTTACAAAGAAAACCAGATTAATTTCACATAGGAGAAGTCTGGCAGATACTGCCTTAAGTGATCAAAGGGAACATCACGGGTAATGAGACAAGTTGAAATCGTGAACCACTTCAGAGAATGCAATAAGAGATGGCATCACTACTTTAATATTTTCGCTAAAGATGAATAACCTGAATTTAATAATGAGGGCATATCAGACAAATGTAAACTGAAAGACGTCTCACAAAATAGTTGGTCTACAACATCCCAAAGTATTAAAATGCTGAAATTCAAGAAAAGACAGGGGAACTACTTCAGATTAAAGAAGCCTGAAAAGACAGAATACTCATTTTATTCTTTCAGTCACTTTGAGCAGAATACAGGATGAATACTTTTATTTTACTTAGATATCAGGGGATCTGGCCATCACTAAAATAAAAGACTTGACTAAGATAACGTAGTACATATCAAATGTCTATGAAAAAAGGTTTCTAGTTTGAGAGGATTCTGCCAATTATACATCTATTCAGTTCTTTGAAAATGCAGGGAACCAGCAACTATTCTTAAGTGTTATTTTTGGTATATCCCATGGAACAGTGCTTTTGGAACATTGATGGGCATACAAAACACTCAGGTAGCTTATTAAAATGTCAGTGCCAATTCTGATTCTGTATGTCAAAGGTGAAACCTAGTGTTCTAAGTTTGTAACGAGCTTCCAGATAATGTTGATGCATCTGGTTCACAACCCACACTTTGAGTCTCAAGGTTCTTGACTAATATAAGGCATGGGCCTGGTAGGATCATTCTGTAAATGATTAGAATAATACTGTACACACTGGTACTAGACTCACATGCCTAAAACAACTTATTTAAATCTATCACAAATGGAAATAAAGGTGTATTTTTATAGGTTTAATTCCTTGAGAAAATTATATGTTCATGCTACTTTTAAGCTGGCTATATGCAGACACTCAAAGTTGCTGTGATAGCTGTGTGCATGCCTTTAAATGCCAGTAAAACCAATTAATCCTTTTTAATGGCTGATCAAAGTTCTCAATCCACTGTTCCTTTCTCAGAAAATTTAATCTTGTAATCTCCAATTGATTGGATGCATTATGGTTCATGTTTTGTCTGCCTCTGAAACAGCATAAATGGGCTTCTGCCAGAGACGGCTATTAGATTAAATGGACAATTAATGTGATTCCTTGTGCCAACTCCTGTGAAGTTTAGCCAAAAGTCTAAAGTGACACAGACAAAACATTTACTGTAAAATGGAAGTGACATGGAGGAAAAGTCCTGGATATTTGTTATCTGGAAAGAAACTACACTATATTCAAGGAATATAGCTTCTTCTAAAATCTTTGTGACTAAAAATTATAACCAGCTGGCACCAGGAGTGCCTTCTAAGAGATGAAAGTGCTTTGATCTAAGAGAATAAATCTTTGAATTTGAATAAGTGAGTACATTAGAATCTTATTTTTCAAGGGTATTGTTTCACATGCCATGTGTGCACCTGTTTTCCCAGAATCTTCCATGAGAAGGGAATTCCCCACTCTTTTATAACCTAGCTTTGCTCTAGAAATGTCACAATTAATAGACTATCAAAGTAATTTCATCAAATTATTACCAAAGATTTATCACACACACACACACACACACACACTTAAATGGGGACTTTTTAAAAAGTAACATTCAAAGTTTGCACCCTCCACTCAAAATGAAGACAAGTACAGTTATCAAATATAATACACCTTAGTTATCCAGAGCTTTCACCAATCTACATAAAAATCTTAGACAAATCATTTAGAAAAAAAATCTCATAGTTACCCTATAATTTAGCCAAGAAGGTTTTATTAAGACATGGTAATTACACAAATAAGAATCAAATAGGTTAAAAAAAACCTGTCTAGGAAAAGAAAGAGAAGGAATACAGCAGTAAACTTATGCCATCATAAAAGAATAAGTGAAATTTGATTTAGCAAAGCACAACCAGAGGTAGAACAGAGAAATGACATGTTTTCTATCACGGAAAATAATAGTTCATGTTTTCTCTATAATTGTTTCTCAACCTTTTAAGTTTACCAATATTCTAGTTTTGCATTAATAAGTCCTATTTACTAGAAATAAATTTGTTTTAAAATAAATCAATACAATAGATGAAAAAGACCATGATATGTTTTGGGTATTTGTCACCTCCAAATCTTATCTTGAAATGTGATTCCCAGTGTTGAAGGTGGGGCCTGGTAGGAGGTGTTTGGATCATGGGGGTGGATTCTTCATGAATGGCTCGATGGCCCTTCCCAAAGTAATGATTCCATGTGAGATTTGGTTGTTTAAAAGAGCCTGGCACTCCCTCCCTTTCTCTCTTCCTCCCTCTTTCTCCATGTAACAAAACTGCTCCCCCTTTGGCTTCCATCAGGATTGTAAGTTTCCTGAGGCCTTACCAGGAGCAGATGCCAATAACGTGCTTCTCATATAGCCTGAAGAACTGTGAGCCAAAATAAACCTTTTTAAAAATAAGTTACCCAGCCTCAGGCATTCCTTCATAGCAACACAAATCAAGTAACAAGGAAAATTGGTAATGTGGAGTGGGGTGTTGCTATAAAGATACCTAAACATGTGGAAGAAGCTTTGGAACTGTGTAACAAGAAGAGGTTGAAAGAGTCTGAGGTCTCAGAAGATGACAGGAAGACAATGGAACGATGGAAAGTTTTGAACTTCTTAAGTACTGGTTAAATGCTTGAGACAAAAATGCTGATAGAAATATGGACCTAATTTTTCAGTTAACACTACATTTATATAGTCCTTCAAATTTATTTTTTCTATGCAATTTTTGTCAACTTTTGGTGTCAAAATTATGTTTGTGCTATAGTAACCTTCCATTACTTATATGTTCTGAAATGGTTAAAATAGTAAAGAAAGCATCCATTTCTTGAAGTCTTGGCTGAACTTGCCTAAAACTTGCATTAATTAAAAACTTTCAATGAAAATAGAGAATCATTTTTAATACAGTATTGAATTACTTTCACAGTTATTGGCCAATTAATGGTCTGTATTTCATAGGTCAATTTTCTTACTTCTATTTGTAATTTATATTTAAATTGCCACAACTTGTGATATATTTTCTTTCACCATTTGACCATATATATACTTTTTTCACCGAAAATGCCTTGCCTTGCTCTCTGATTTTTATATCAGGAATTGGAAAACTTTTTCCTAAAAGTCTAGACAGTAAATATTTTAGGCCTTATGAGCCAAAAAGCAAAATTAAACATATTGTGCATAGGTACGTATATAACCAATAATATACAACTATTTAAAAATATAAAAGCCAGTCTTTGCTGGTGAACCTTCAGAAGAAAGAAAGAGGGAATGGAAGGAAGAAAAACAGATGGTGCCAGCAGACTATAGTTTGCCAACCTCTGCTTATGCCATTTATATTAGTTTAGCAAATTTTTAGTTTGGGCAAGCAAGTAAAATAGAGCAAAAAAAAATTAGGGGTTTGATATTTACTGAGCAATTATAAAGGGTTCATCCTTTATGAGAGGGGCTTGGATGTTTCAAGAAAAGCCTTTCTAGTTTATTTTTAATTTTTCAGACATACATACATATATATGTCTTCATAAATAATTTATTTAGTCTGTATCATTATTATTTGCTTCCTCCCTATTTTTCCTCATTCTTCAAAAGTCTTAACAACATAATTTACACATTTTCATGTTTTCCTGTAGGTTCACATACTCATATAATAATATATACATTTGCATCTATAAAAAGTTTACTTACCATTGTTTTTTATAAAAATAGACACAATTATATTTATTTTTCCTGCTTTTTGGCTAAAAGAATTCAATAACACTTCATACAAATGTACTGGGAGAGTTCTAGTTCATCGTTTCTAATGATTCTGCAATTTTCCATGTTGTGTTGCTTAACTCAGATATTCAGTAGATAAGAGGTACTTACTATGTTTCCATTTATATTTTATTTTTTAGGTTTTTGTTTTCTTTGACATGTAATGTGGCATAAGTTTATATTTATATATCTATCATGACTTATTGTATGAGATATAGTCTGATGAGAATTAACACTTGAGGAAGATATTTATTTATAATTTTATTAGATGTTCCTTGTTTACCTTCTAATAAATTGAAGCAATTCACATTTCCAGAAGAAGTATATGAGTATCCTTTTCTCTGCATCCTGCCAGTAGGTATTAGAACACTTTTAAATTTGTGTCAGTGTATTTAGTATAAAACAGTATTTTAATATACTTTTATAATAGATTTGAAAAAAATATTCTCATCAAACTATCTCAAGGACAAAAAACCAAACACTGCATGTTCTCACTCATAGGTGGGAATTGAACAATGAGAACACATGGACACAGGAAGGGGAACATCACACACCGGGGCCTGTTGTGGGGTGGGGGGAGTGGGGAGGGATAGCATTGGGAGATATACCTAATGTAAATGATGAGTTAATGGGTGCAGCACACCAACATGGCACATGTATACATATGTAACTAACCTGCATGTTGTGCACATGTACCCTAAAACTTAAGGATAATAAAAAAAAAGAAAAAATCAACTAAAAGAAAAAAAAAACATAAAGGCAGTTAAAAGTAATGTAAGAAATTCTTGAAACTCAAGACAATAACTAAAACTCAATTTTGGAAAGTTAACAGAAGAGAAAATACAACTATCAATTATAAAAGAAAACACACAAACTAAAAAGGGAAAGGAAACAAACTTAAAATGGGCATTATGTATTATGATCTATTTCTGAATTCCCTCTTCTATTTCTATTGATTATTAGAGCGGTACTACTGTTCTTTAAATTTTTCTTGACTAATTTCATCAATTTTTCTTTCTTATAAAAGTTAATATTCTAATTGGAGCTGTAGTAAATGTATATGCTCTTTATATAAAAATGATGTATTTATCATATGAAGTCATCCTGTCCAAGAAGATGGTATATGCTTATGATCATTTGTATGTTGTCTTATTTAATAATAACTCATGGTTTATTTTTATAAAATTTCTGTACAATTCTTATTTCTAAAAGTTTTAAAATTTTGTTTATTCTTGTCAACAGAACTTTTGTACAAATATTTAACTTGTATGTAGCCCCCTTACAGATTTTTAAAAATTAATCCTAGTAGCATGCTACAACTTCCTCAGTGTTTTAGTCATGCAATAACATCATTGCCAAAAGTAGACATTATATGTTACATTCCTTTTTCAATTTTTATAATAGCTTTTACACTTTTGACTCATTACATTCATAAGGCAATGTTAAATAATAATGGTGACAGCAGGTGAGCTCTTTATAGTTTTATTGATATAGATTCAGTGTTTCACCATTGTTCAATGAATGGCATGGAGTTTGAAAAGTAGTAATTATAAGACTGTAGTAGTTACTTCCATTTATATTTTACTTAAAGTATTATTTAAAATAACAGCTAAATAATATAAAATTCATTTGCAGTATCTACTCATACAACCAAATTGTTTTCTTCTTTAATTGGTTGTTATAATGATGAAGACAGATTCCTGGTATTGAATTATGTTTCCTGCAATAACCCCACATTTCCACAGCATATTATTCTTATTAAGATGGGAATGAATTGTATTTTATGATACCTTATCTATTTTATGATACTTTACTTAAATTGGTTATCTATATACATGTAAAGCATTGTTCTTTAGGTTTGTCTTTTTGTGTGCTATTTGTCAGATTTTATTTCTAAAGGTATTCTGACATTTTAAGGTGATCTTGAAAATTTCCCATTTGCTTTTACAGCTTAAAAATGTTTTCACAATATGAATGTCATCTGCTCTTTAAAGGTGACCAAAAACTTTGTAGTAAACTCTTCTAATCCTATTGTATTTTTTTTTTTTTTTGACATGGAGTCTCACTCTGTTGCCCAGGCTGGAGTGCAGCTGCACCATCTCGGCTCGCTGCAAGCTCCACCTCCTGGGTTCACACCATTCTCCTGCCTCAGCCTCCCAAGTAGCTGGGACTACAGGCACCCACCACCATGCCCGGCTAATTTTTTTTTTTGTATTTTTGGTAGAGATGGGGTTTCTCTGTGTTAGCTTGGCTGGTCTGGATCTCCTGACCTCATGATCCGCCCGCCTAGACACTCCCAAATTGCTGGGATTACAGGCGTGAGCCACTGCTCCTGGCCCTAATCCTATTGTCTTTTTAACAATACGGTTTAATCACTTTAGATTCTTATCTATAAATTTTCTATTGTACATTTCTACTTCTTTTGTATTCATTTTTATAATTTATATTTATATTTATATTTATATTTATAATTTAAATAATATATAAATTTATAATTTATAAATATTTATATTTATAATTTAAATTTTATAATTTATATTTTTCTTGGAAATCATTCATTTATCTACATCTTAAAATAAAATGTCTTAGAGTTGTAAATGTATTTTCATAAAATTTTAATCCTCTCCTTTATCTATATTTTCCATCTAATCTTTTCTATTTTTGCTTTCTTTTCTTAATAAGATTAATAATCACATATTTACTGACTTTTTAATTTTGTAAAAATATTATGAAGTAGTTGTCTTTAGCTTATAGATGAGATATGAATTTATTCCCACCAAAATGAAATATATATTTTAAATTACAAAATCTTTTTTTCTGTGCAGGAAAATTGGCATTTTATAGTGCTGCTAAACTTATCAATTAAGATCGTATTTTGATTGCCAATTGGACAAGTGAGAAAAATTATGACAATGCTGTCTTACTTCCAAGATTCTTACTTCTAAGAATTTTACCTAAGGAAATATTCAAATTTATGCAGAAATATTTCACTAACTTGAAATGCTCACTGCAACATAATATCAAATCTTTGAATTAAAAAACAATGGTACATTAATAGAATGAAGAGCATATAAAGAAAGTATGCAGTACTTAAAAACCTGCTGTCACATTACTGACATGGAAAAATATTTACAAAAAAAACTAAAAGGAAAATTTTACATCTAACCTGATAATTTAAAAAACTGCAAAGGGATCCATACAAAAAATATCTGAAATGTTCATGTTAATTCAAAGGGTTAACATTCTCAATTTCTGTTGTGTTATTTTTATTTACTTATTTATATTTTCTAAAATAATTATATGCTTATGCAAGAGAATATAAAAATTTTATTTACATATTTCAAATAAATATCATAGTTTTGATAATATTATAAGCAACAATGCTTTTGACTTCTCAAACCTTCTGATGTAGCGAATTATTTCAATGAGTCAGAAGAGCTTCTAGGACATTTATGCTATCAATGTCCAGTCACATTTGCCTGGACTAAAAGACCCAAAACAATGCTGCCAGCAGAGTATATGATTCCCATGATATCCCAGGTAAAATTTCTCCCAGTGAATGACTTTTATCCACATCTATCCTCAAATAATACAGTTTTAATATAGATTCTTGTAGAATCACCACTATTGGATTGTAATCTCTATAAAGCCAAATAACATGTTTCTGTCACGTTTGTATCTTCTACTGTACGTATCATAATGATTTCAATAATGTAAGTAATAGATTTTGTGGCAGAATGGATAAGTAAATGACAGTTAGTGAGAAGACTTCTGCTACTTTTTATGTTTCATGGAGTGTATGTCTTTGCTTGTGATCCCAAGAAACAAAGCCTAAGGCAAGGGGAAAATGTCAATGCAATTTCAGAGCAACAAGAAGAAAAGAGAACTGAGGCATGGGAAGCAATGCAAGGTAATACCTATGTTGGCTATTCCTCTTCCACAAGCTTCAAAAATGAATTAATAAAAAAATACATCATTCAGCCACTTGGGATGTCTTATGCAAATCACATAGAGGAACAGCTCTTCAGAACAATATATTGGAAGAAATAAGGGAGAAAGAAGGATTTTATCTGACTGTGTGTCTGTCTCGTTTCTCTCCTTACTCAAAGTTTGTTCTCAGAGAGGTAATCCTACAAAGTTTCCTTCCCCTGACAACACACACTTCCAAATTGTCTAAGTTTTTGGCAGCATCTAAGAAAGTCAGATCCCATGTCATTTCTGAAAGTGCAGGAAGAAACCTCAAGTTCCAGGAATGGGGCTGGTGGACTGTGAGATACACACCTCATGGGCCATCTTGGGATCAATAGAGCTTTGCAGGGGGAGTAAGTGACCAAGTAAAGAGTATGGAAGGCAGTTTGACATGGAAGGCAGTTTGACAAAGAGAATTTGAGGAGAGGCATAAGATTTATCCAATACAAGGTCATATCTAATTTCTCTGGAATATAAATAAATCATTACTTTGTTCAAGATTACAAAGAAGTAATGTCAGTAGTTCAATGCTATTGTGAAGTGTTATTCAAATAGGAAAAAATTAAAATTGCCCTATGTGAGTAAAACTAAAACAATTCACAATGTATTTATGCAAAAATCTGCAAATAATTAATACTCAATGCTTACTATGGTCCAGCTGTGTGTCAGATGTTAGATTTTACTTTTTTAAAATTATCACATGGGGCAGGGCGCAGTTGGGAGGCTTAAGCAGGCAGATCCCTTGAGCTCAGCAGTTGGAGATTAGCCTGGGCAACATGGTGAAACTCTGTCTCTACAAAAAACACACAAAAAATGGCTGGGTGTGGTGGTGTGTGCCTGTCATCCCAGCTACTTGGGAGGCTGAGGCAGGAGGATCATTTCAGCCTGGGAGGCAGAGGTTGTAGTGAGCCAAGAATGTGCCACTGCACTCCAGCCTGGGCAACAGAGCAAGACACTGTCTGAAAAAAAAAATCACATGGTACACACAAAATTCATAAAACTAGATGTTATAAAACTAAATTGAAAGATTAGAAAACAGGTTTGGAAATTTTGATTTGTTCTGAATCACATAGTATGTAATACAGGTAAAATTTAAGCCCAGGGTACCACCCAGGTCACTTAATGTACTACACCAAAATTGCATCAGGGCACATTACTACAAGGCTGCAATTGTGAATTCCTTGAATATGACAAACAGAATGATGACCAAGAAGGATCAGTCATCCATCAGCACCAAAGCCAACAGAATCCCAGAGTGAAAACGCACCATCCACAGATAAGTCTGAGTTTGACACTACATCTAAATTTTATAACAAATGTATGAGAGTGATTGAGACTTCAGATCTTTAACTTGAAGATCAGAGAGTTATATAATAAATAAACTCAATTCCATTCTTGCTTTATACACATGTATCTGGGAGCCTGAATAGTGTACCAGCCCTTGTTGAGACAGAGTGCCTCACATATTGCATAAATCTAGTTTTTGGGTCTGCAAGGTGGGGCAAAGCCTGGACAATAGTTAATTCACCAAAGAATGATGAAAAAAGAAAACATACCTTGTAGATAGGCTTTTCCCTGATATATAAATATGTCTAGATATTTATTTGATGTCCTTTATATTTGGACATTTAGCTTATGCTTTTCAGATTTTAATTGCTATCTTGCCAAAATACATATTACTGAGTCTCAAAACTTGCTTTTTATTTTTCCCCAAAATATCCTATTTAACAAGAAGCAAAGCTAAAACCATAATTCTGTGTTTGAACCTCTATTATGACTTAAGATGTGGAACTTTTTTACTTCACATTGAATGTACCCAAATAATCTTTGATTATGGTCACTAGGTATAGGTAATTAGGATCTGATCCTACCAACCCAAGGCTTTCCATTTAAACATATACAAGTTGAAAACTTATTTGCCCAATTAGCGATCTAATTCCATTTTATGTGGCCCTGGATGTATCTGAGCAACCATCCCTTTCAAGGTAAAAGCATGTTTCATTTACCTCTTTCAATACAAAGTATGTTACTGTGAGAATCAAGAATTGGTAGGGCAAATTCTGTTGTCTGAACCACTAGCTTGTATTATCCACCTCTCAGACTTTTATTTCTCTCTCAGTCATCTTTCAGATTTCAATGAGACTTTGATACCAAATGTATGTAAACTTTTTTCACATTAAAATTATACAAATATTTGATGTAATAAAACCTTGTTACTATGATATTTTAAGAAATTGAAACCTTAAAACCTTACTGGAGATATAAAAGTAGTCTGCAGTGCCTTTTAATAGATTCTATTGAGAGTAGAGCAGGATTTGTATCTAGAAGAAATGTGCTTTGTCACACTAAGGAAAAAAAATGTTTTGTTTTGTTTTGTTTTAATTCACATCTCACCCAGGTTTCAAATTCTTTGTTAGAGGGCCAATTTGCTTTTTATTAGCTGAAAATTCTACAGGAGATACTGGTGACCTAAGTGAAGTTGCTTAGCTAAGTGTCAAGCTAATGAGATTCTGTTATCGTGGTTTTCTCTTGTTGTTATGTTTTCTTTGAAGGGAAAACATGTTCAGGGCTTCTGAACACTAAGATAAAATTTTGGATTGTACCACTCTTCAGTCTGATGCCAAACTTCCAATGGAATCCAAAATCACATATTCTGAATTTTATTCACAGAGTTTATCCAACTAGAATAATCCTTCATTTTGGTATACTAAATTGACTTATAATTTCCTGATTAAAGCTGTTATGTTACTTGATTAAAACATTACAATAAAAACAGGGGTTTTTTTTGTTGTTTTTTTTCTGAGACATAAAAGCAAAACTTTCACCTGGAATGCTAAGGTCAGTTGTTCTGCTGTGTAGAATTTTTAACCATTTCACTCATATTTATTCCATAGGTCACAAAAGCTACAGTAGCATTTCCTAACTCTGTTTAAAGCTGGTACACAATGAAAATTCTCTACCAGAATCCAGAAATTAAAAAGATGGTACAAACAGAGGAATAGAAAGAAAGACTCCACTTGAAAATGGTCTTGCCAAGAAAGAAGCAGGAGGGAAAGAGTCATCCTTGACACCTATTCCTCAAACCAGCAAGACTAGGTGTAAGTAACCTTTGGAATTATATAATTTCCTTTCCAACTACAAGGCACTACTAATTTTGAGAACATGGCCATCTGCTATACAACCTATACTATGGTCTGAATGTTCATGCCCCCCTAAAGTTTCTATGCTAATTTTAATCACCAATGTTATGGAATTAGGAGGTAGAGCCTTTGGGGACTGATTAGGGAATTAGGGTAGGGCTGTCATCAGTGGGATTAGTGACCCTGTACAGGGGCCGCAGACAGCTGGCTTGCCTCTTCCACTGTTTGAGGACACAGCTAGAAGTGGCTATCTATGAAAAAAGAAATAGGCACTCACCAGACACCAAATCTGCTGATGCCTGGACCTTGAACTTCTCAGCCTCCAGAACCATAGGAAATAAATTTCTTGAAGTTTATAACCCATTCATTCTAAGGTATTTTGTTATAGTGGTTTGACTGGACTAAGACAACCTAACTAAATTAAATATTTTTTACACATTTTTATATTATCAAATTGAATGCTGAAAAGAAAGAATATTCTCATTCCTTTTTCCTGCCAACAACTTTTCAAAAAAGGGAGGATTCTTCTCATTACTTGTGGCTTACTGACTTACAATTATTTCTTAATTGACTTTTGATAACCATGTTGAATATTTAATGCTATACTATCATTAGCAAATTTATTATTAATCTAAATCATACAATTGTGGCAATTAAGTTGGCTGCATTTTAAGCACTTGCTTCATTGATCTTTAATTACACTTACAGGAACTGCACAGAACAGGAAAGTTGCTAAGCGGCACAACTCCATTTTGTTGTCCTAAAATTTGTGAACATGGCATGAAAATTTGTAAAGCAGAACCTAAATTTTCAGTGGCTTATTATTTATATATTGTACAAATTTTCCTTTTCTCTTGATAATTCATTTTTAGTTTATTCATTACTAAATATTTAATGCATATCTACTGTGTCCCATGCAATGTACTAGATGCTGGGTTTAAAATGATGAATAAGGTGAATAAGTTATCTGCCTTTATGGAACTTGTATCATTGAGCAGAAAATAGATAAGAAGTTAAAATAAATAAGCAACGTCATTCAAATTGGTAGTAAGAGTATTAAGGGGAAAACAAAAGAAGTGAAAATAAGTTGAGACTTGAAGGATGGAAAGTACTAAGCCATCGAAGTTGCCAAAAGAAACAACAGCTTCATCTAGGCCACATCTTTCCCTCTGAATCCTTCACCATAAACCAGAGAAGCTGGACGTTGTAGTTCAAATCCCAACTCTATCTCTTACTAGCTGTGTGAAATTGGGCCAGTGACTTAACTTCATTTTGCCTCAGTTTTTAAAACTTTCAAATGAAGATGAGTTCAGAGGGTCATTTTGAAAATTAAATGTGTTAATTTATATGAAGCAATTAGAACAGTAACTGGTACACTGAGAGCACTTTATAAATAACATATATTTTTATTACCATTTGTACTATTATCATTTTATGAATTTTTAGAAACCCCTCTTAGCAGCAGTATTAACCTTGTTCCTCACCCTAATTTAACTACAAAAATTGGGCAGTAAGATAAAAGGGTGGAAACTGACATTTGCTGTAGGTTTTCTCTGTACCAATTACGATGCTACTAATTTTATGTAGAATAGTTCAATTAACTCTCACAAAAAAATAAATAAATAAAACTGTCTAGGCAGGTGCAATTATGCCCACTAGATTGTAAGTTTCATGATAGCAGCTACTGAGTCTGTCTTGTAACTAACTTTATGATGGTTAATCTTATGTGTCATCTTGACTAGGCATGGTGCCTAGTTGTTTGGTCAAACACCAGTCTTGATGTTGCTGTATTGTTGTTGCTTAAGATATTTTTACATGAGATTAACATTGAAACCAGTAGACTTTGAGTAAAGCAGATCATACTCTCCGTAATAAGAATAGTCCTCATCCAATCAGTTGAAGGCCTTAAGAGAAAGGACTGAGGTGCCCGGAAAAAAAAAAAAAAACAAATCTGCCTTCAGACTGTCTTCAGACTCAGGCTGCAACATCAGATTTTATGAAATTCCAGTCTGCCAACCTGCCCTGAAGATTTCAGCATTGCCAGTCCCTACAATCATGTTAGCCAATTATTTAAAATAAATCTTTCTTTCTATATATATATTTCTAAGATAGATATATAGAGAGATTATATGTAATGTAGATATACATAGAAAGACAGAGATAGAGAGATCTATCTATGTATACACATATATATTTATACATACATCTATCTATACATACATATATGGAGATATATATAGATATAGATATAGATATATAGATAGACAGATAGATAGATAGACACACACACACACATCCTATCAGTCTGTTTCTCTGGAGAACATTGATTAATACAAGTTCCTAGCAATATTTGTTGTACATGAAAGTTAATCAGTAAATATTTGTTGAATAAAAGCATGAACACATATTGGCAACAGCAATTAAATGAATTAATGAATGAATGAGAGGATTAGAAAGTTTGAATGAATTTTTGACTCATATATCTGAACATAGTAAAACTAGAATTCAGACCAATATTTATCTAAATCCAAAGCCATGGCATATCCTCTATTTGAAAATTTCATCTTTTATTAGACCCTAAAAATAAAAAAGCAATACCATCATTATTACAGGTAGGTTAATATCTCCTACTCATCCATATAATTTTCCATACATATCTTATTAGACAGTAAAATAACTACTCAAACTCAAGTCCTCTGATTCTAGCATTTTAAAAACGTTTTTGACTATACTAAGTTACTCGAAATTATTCTCAGTTCTTTCTTCTCCATATTGGGAAAGCTTATTACTCTACTTTTTCCAAAACAAGTCATTTCAGTTGGACCACCACTGAATGGCCTTATGATCTTAGGCATGTGGATCAAATTCTCTGAGCCTCTGGACATTTATAATAATTTCTTTAAAACTGTCTCTATGCACAAAATATTTCATTTGAAAATATGTCAAATTCTCTTTGGATAAAAAAAGTCCAAGTTGTTAGGCCTGCCATAAAAGAATTCTATGACCTGTCTGCTTCTCTTTCTATGTCTCTGGCCATGTCTCACTCAACTTATCATCTTCAATGATAAAAAAAAGTCCTCAAGTTTCTGCAAACAGCATGCTGTTTTTGTTGGTTTGTTTGTTGTCAGACAGGGTCCTGCTCTGTCGCCTAGGCTCTAATGCAGTGGCACGAACACGGCTCACTGCAGCCTTGACCTTCTGGGCTCCAGAAATCATCTTACCTTAGCCTCCTAAGTAGCTGGGACTACAGGCATGCACCACCATGCCCAGCTGATTTTTTACTTTTTTGTAGAGATGAAGTTTGACCATGTTTCTCAGGCTGGTCTCGAGCTCTTGGGTTTAAGTGATCCTCCTGTGTCAGCCTCCCAAAGTGCCAGGATTACTGATAGAAGACACTGCACCCAGCTGCTGTTTTTACCTCCCTTCTTTTTTTTACACTTTATCTGTGCCTAGAATGTTAAATTTAGAGGTCTTATTGTTGCATTGCATGTTTATTTCTTAAAACTTCTGACGGTACTATGTGCTTAGATTTGTGTTCCTTTACTTCCACATAAATGTGTGCACCTCACAAACGATTATGTTATACTGAATTTATTAATCTATATATTTAAATGTTAGATATTATTTATAAGAAATTTGAGTGTAGCGACAATATCCAGTGTATCTATATGCATGGACTACAAAGCACAATGTTAGACATATAGCAATTTAAACATTATTAATTCAACCAAAATAACATTATATTGGCTCGTGTGAAGATTATATATCTTTATCTAGAACAAAAAAAAAACAAAGTTTTAGTACATCCACTTTCATGTGAGATTCAATAGATAGTGACAGACTAGTGTTCCTCTAAGAACAACCAGAAAAATTATGTAAAATGGAAATTATCTGCTTAAGGTTACCAAAAAAGCCTCTACTACAACACGAGCAAGATAATATGCAAATGAGGGAAAGAAACTAGGAGAGGTAAGCTATAGCCACTGGTAGTTGGAGATCATGTGCTAATTCTGGAATCAAGTAAGAGATTCTGAATCCATGTCACACATCAGAAGTGGCAAACTATGATCTGTGAACTAAATGAGGCTGACTGCATATTTTCTATGGCCTACAAATTAAAAATGTTTCTTTACATTGTTGGGTGGTTGAAAAAAACATGAAGGAAGAATACTTCATGAAAATTCTATGAAATTCAGATTTCAGTATCTTTCAATAAAGTTTTGTTAGAATATAACCAGCTAATAACACGTTTAAACATTGTCTATGGCTGTGTTCAGGCTACAACTATACAGTTCAGTAGTTATAACCGTGACTGTAAGCCCACAAAGCCCAACATATTTACCATTTGGTCTTTTACAGAAAGAGGTTGGCAATCTCTAGTTTATGCTTTCAGAAGGCTTCAGATGCACAATAATTATTTTGATAGAAACTTAGGAATTCTCCTACCTACAACCTGATTTGCCTCTAGGTCATTTGTAATATTTTGTGATAACGTATGTGGAAGACTTTAAAACTAGTGGAAAATCTTTATTAAGCAGGGCAAAAGTTTTGACAGTATTGAACACCAAAGGTTAGAATGTGGAGTCCACTGGCAAGGGGAGGAGGAATAGCCATGGAGAGCACAGCACATTCTTAGCTATAAAGCTGGAAGACAGCCAGAGATATACTGGTGTCTTAAGAAACCTGAAGCCAAGCCCCAGCCCAGTACAGTATCTGACTAGATTAAGATGAGCACCTATCATTCTATTGGCCTTTTTAAGGTAAGACACACCCTCTCAGGATAATAAAAACATCATTAGAAGCCTATGTAATTTTTTTAACGATGTCTGCCCTGCAATCAAAACTTAAATATACCAAAAAATGTCATGTGATTTAAAATAATAAAAAAAAACAGAAAATAGTTGAAGAATCAGAGATGATCTAGATATTGATATTAGATAACAAAGACTAACTGAAATGTTTATAGTAAAGTAAATGGGAGAATACAAAAAAAAGATGAAAAAATTGATGAGACTATATAGAGTTTCACCAAATAATTAAAATCTATGTAATATAATAAAATGTGAAGTCTACAAATGAGAAATATCTGAAATTGAGAACATATTATATGGGATTAAGAGGACATATTTTTAAAAAATGCAATAATTTATGAACTAGAAGACAAGTCAAAGAAAATTTCCAAACTGAAATTTAAGAGTAAAACAAATGTAAAATACAATAAATAGCATCAGAGATACATAAATAATACATAAAGGTCAAACATAAGTTTACTTTTTAATTCCAAAAGTAAAAAGGAGAGACAATGAGGCCAAGGAGTACTTTTAAAACTGATGAAAAAATCAACCTATTGATTCAAAAAGCTCTACAAATCCCACGCAAAATAAATGAAAATAAAACTACACTTATGTTCATTATGGTAAATTGCTATGAACCAAAGAGAAATTTTTAAATGCAACACAAATTATGCACTTTTCTTTATATGTGTTATATTTCAATAAAAAGGTTTAAAAATTATAGAGAAAAAATAGGTATTTTATCTCCAACAAAGCAAAAAGCCTGTTCAGTGGATTCTTCAACAGGAATTATAAAAACTGTAAAATATGTAATGATAGCTGTAAAGTCCCAGAAGAAAATAGCTTCCAGTCTAGAACGCTGTGCCCAGTGAAAATACTCTGCAGAGACAAATGTAGAATTAAGATGTTTTCTGACCCAACAAAACAATGAGGGGATTGGTGACCAATAAGTCATGTACTAAAAAACACATTACAGAAAATTTTTCATGTGCTAAGAATATGATCACAGGGAAAAACACTGAGTTAAAGGAAGATGTGAGAAGCAAAGAAAAGGGAAATACATGGGAAAATATAAATGAACATTCCAATAAATTTTGACTACACAAAACTATAATTGTAATGCCTTATGGGATGAAAATATATAAAAAATAAAAATATGTGACAACATTAACACATAAGGGATATAGGTAAATGCAGTTAAAGTATTCTAAGTTTCCTGTATTACTAGGGAAACTTTAAAATAATAATTTATATTGTACTTGAATGAGTCAAGGATACATATTTAATCTCAATGTAAGCATTGAAAACTGTACCTGTACAAATTGGTTACATATGCACTGGGGAAAAAATGTGAAGTAAAAATATTTTATTAATCTAAGGGAAGTAAATAATAAAGAAAAAGAATTATGAAACACCTAGGTCAAATGAAATCAATAAATAAAAATCCAACTAGATTGATATTTACATTAAATATAAATGGACTAAATATTTCAAGTTAAAAACTAATATTTTCAGACTAGATTTACAAATAGAACAAATAAAAACAAGCTACCAAAAATTTATCTTCTGCTTATAAGATGTACTAATATATATATGTATATATACTAATATCAAAGTAGAATAATGCAAAACTAATTTCTAAGACAAAAATAGTGATATTTCATTACAATAAGGGTGACAATCCAATAGAAATGTGTCATAATTCTAGGTAGGTATGCACAATCACACAGATTCAATATGTATAAAAAAATTAAAATGAGAAACAGACAAATTCACAGTTATGATGGAAATATTATAAAACCTTCATTAATTGCTAATAGACAAACAAGCAGCAAGAATATGGAATATTTAAAAATCACAATTAAATGGTAATTATGTATACGTATATATCATCAACATATGCATAAAAGAGACTCTAACAATGACAGAATAAACTAGATATAGTATTATTTTGTCTCCAATTCCTACATCAAAATAACTAAATCAAGGGGGAAGGTATAAAGCAATTTTTGCTTATAGTAAAATTTTACTCAAGGACATGCTTAGACATAGGTCTACTAAATGCACTCAAATAACACAATTTGTAATCTCTCTCATCATAAGAAACATCTTCATTTGCATTTTAACAGCTAACATAAAAAGGTGAACCTATGCCCCCAAAATCTTGCCTGTAGGATAACAAGCACTGTATTCTTTTCTGGCTCCATTACTATAGTTTGAGCTAGGTACAATAATATCTCTAATAAACATGTAATTCAGTTCACATTTTTCTCATCATCTTGTGAATAGTTTAATAAATTTTAAATTATAAGCAGACTCCAAGTCCATATATTATTGGGTTAAAATCCTGGACATTGGAGTCTGACAGATCTAAATTTAAATTCAATTTTGCAACTGGATAACTCGCTCTTGGGCAAATTAGCTAACCTCACCGCAGAATGAAAATAATAATGCCTTTATCATAATGTGATGAAAATTAAATGAAGTAATTTACATAAAATGCTTAGCAGACTGTTCAGCATTTTGTAAATTCAGGGACAACTGTAGCTTATTGTTATCCTTTTCATTGGTTTAGGGCTTGGCAAAACTCATTGTCTTATAGTCTTATATCATTAAATCTCCTTAGGTAGTGCAACTTGGTTATGGAGGGGAGAGTAAGCTGAGTAGGTATGTGAGAGGTACAGCAGAGGATCAAGAAATGTTGGACATTATTTTTAAAAATAAAGCAAACAAGATTGTTGCATAGAAATTGAAAAATGAAGTTATAAAAAGTTATAGTTAATTTAAGCAGCTATAATTATAAAAGTAGAACACTTCATGAAGTCATAGAATGTATTAAAATTTAATTGATACTCATTTTCCAGACTGAACATAGGATATGAATATTAATCTTTCTAAAATATACTATATCCTATTTGGTCAATTTTTACATGGAACAATGTTTTAGTAGACACTGGCAACATCTAGTTCTCAGGCTTTCCTTTATCTACGTTGTCATTATTGAGCAATCTCTCTTCTAATTAAGTTTTTTTATTTGTTTGTTTTACTTCAGATGGGCTTATAACTTTAATCAGCTTTAGATAAAGTGTTATGGGTATCAGAGGCATTGTCTACCTTCAATAAGAAAATGTATATGTTTATTCTTATTCATAATAAACTGAATTAATTGTCTTAATCTTAGAGAGCATCATTTTCACTTTTATTTCCAAGCTCTCTTAGACAAGGATCACTTTATGTGTACATTCACACCTCCCTAAAATCTCAATCCTGTTTGCAGAAATGGGCTATCAATCATATTAATCAAAGCATTTGCAAGTAAAAAAGGAAAAAAAATTGGTATTATACTTATTTCAAGTGCAAAAAGCTAACCAATAGCTTATTGCCTTCATTGTAGAGTTTTGATAGTATAAAATATATATAGATTCACTTTTTTTCTAAAGCCCATTTATTGTATCTCTATGTGTATATTACCTTTTGGACCAACACAAATGATGGATTGAATAATTTTAACTAAAGCCTCAGGTTAACACTCAATAAAATTCTCTGGTTACATTTTTCCACCACTTAACTGTGAATTGAGAATGGCCAAATCATATATAAATATCTGTATCTCCAGCCTAAAATAGTGATGACTGAATAAAAACTGCCCAGCAAAACATTTTAAATGGAAAACTTTCAGGAGACAGAAAATACTTTATTGCCACCTTTATTACTGTCTACTTTTAAGCAATGTGTACTGTTTTATAACACTAGCCAAACATTTTTTTTTTTTTTTTTACATCTCACATCATTTTCTTTTTCTACCTCTCACCCTCACACTGCATTTGCAGAGCTGAAGAAGCAATTAGGAATCAGGCCATTAAAAATTCAGTGGTTTTTCCAGAAACTATCAGAAGAGGGAGAGTGTGAGCCTGAAACTTTATCAACCAGCTAATTCAATTTCCTGTCATTGGTCAACTGGGCACTTAGTAATTTCTCCCAAAATTAGAAAATAAAAAACAAACAAAAGAACGTCACTAGCAGTACTGCATCATTTGGCTACTAATAAGTTATTAATTCGCTCACTTTCTCATATAGCATAGCAACAATATTAATTTATTTCATTTTATTTTATGGGAAGGGTACATGTGCAGGGTGTGCAGGTTTGTTACATAGGTAAACATGTGTCATGGTGGTTTGCTGCACCTATCGACCCATCACCTAAGTATTAAGCCCAGCATGCATTAGCTATTTTTTCTGTTGTGCTGCTTCCCGTCGTCCACAGGCCCCAGTATGTGTTGTTCCCCTCCCTGTGTCTATATGTTCTCACTGCAACAACATTTTAAAATCAGATTTTCAAAATCTTCCATAATAAAAATAACTATTAAATATAGAAAATCTGGGCTAAGCACAGATTTCATTCAGTTCATTCAGTGTTCCCTACCTTGTGGCTATAATAAAACAGGGACAATGCTACCATTTTAATTTGACACATAGTCATTTTCAGATAAATATACTTGTAAAATGGAAGTGATGATAATGATACCTATCTCACAAGATATTTTTAAAGATCAAATGAAATAATAATGATAAATGTGCTTTGCAAAATATAAAGTGTTAGAAAAATAGTAATTATCATCATCAGTGTCATTATTGTTAGTACCATAATTATATACAAGTGAAGTAACCTGTCATCTATGTGATACAGTTTAAAGACACCTTGAAGACACAATGATAAGATAAATTGCCCTAATAGTCTCTGAATTCTTACTATTCATTTGCTATCTACTTAGAAATAAACAAACACACACCATTTGGAAGAAGATGAATTTGTTATTCATTCACATGCTAGTATGAATTATTCACATGCGAGTATGAATTCATTGAATTGGATCATTTTAGTCTTAACTATTACGTTTGTATCTGAGATGTAGCAGAAAATGAGGAGAGGCAATTTTATGGCATGAAACAGTGAGAGATGCATGAGACCTGGTTAATATCCTGTAGAGGACAGCATTCTGTTAGTGGAACAGATGAGAACCCTGTGTAGATAAGAAGAACAGCAACACATGTAATAAAAGAAAAAACTTGTATGGCCTTTTAAATGTTTCTCCAAGTGTTAAAGAAAGAGGCAACTAAGCTAGGGAAAAAAGGGCACCACTGCTTCGACAAAGAAGCACTTATTTTTACTCTTAGTTTGCCCTAACAAGGAAGGCAAATGGTATGACCCAAAGAATTCACTACCACCACCATGAATTTTGCTGCAGTAGATAATCAGGATATTTTCTAACAATACTTATAAAATTAGAGGAAGACATAGTTAAGAATATTGCAAACAAAAAGGAACATTGTGTTTTAGCTAACTATGTGGTATTATGTGTCAAGTTTGTAAAAAGAAGTTCACAGAAAAATATTGCAAATATGCTTTATAACAAAAAAAAAAATGAGGTATTAAGAAAACTTTCTGCCTTGCTTTTCATCTTAAGCTTTGGTTGTGATGAGAGCTTTTGGCACCACACCTGAAGACAGACACCAACAAATAGGACGTTGTTTTTAGTAGACTTTTTCTATCGTGAGGAAAGTAAAGACCATGTTATACAAGAAACAGTTAAAGAAAAGTACATTATATAGTATGGAGAAATGAAGTCATGACAAAGGAAGACAGAGGGATTTACTGTGTTTAAGAAGAGATATTCAATAAGGCAAATGTAAGGAATTATATCTTCATCCACCATTAACTCATACAACAGGAGTATCTCTCCAGGAAAAACGGACCACTGAGCATACTTTATGGAGCATACATTAGGAAGAAATGGCACAGGAGATCTGCCCATGAAAAGAGGAAAGCTTTAAAGACAATAATTGCAAACAAATCTTATCAATTAGATATAAGAAATAATTATCTGAGGTAAGACTTCTGGAACGGTGATTGAGGAGTCCAGTAGACCCTCTCTCTAAATCAGATCAATTTAATCTTAACTACTAGCTGAAAATAACCTTTCTGAATTGTGGGAAGAAAGGAGGAGAGGCAATTTTATAGTATGAATAAGTGAAAGAAAAGCATGATATGATTACAACAATTTATGTTAGAAAAACATAAAATCTCTAGAAATTTTCCTAAGAGCATATATAAAGTGGAGAAACATTTTTTGAAGAATATCTACAAAATCTAGCTAAAAACAGCAAGTCTGTGGCATATCAGCTACTAGCCACTTACTCCACACACCTAGCCCAGTGTGGCAGAAGCTCTGCTCTTGCCTGGTGTACCAATAAGACCAGGTTCTACCTCCCTAAGTTCCCAGCATAATGCTCAAGTTTTTGTTCTTGTTTTTGTTGTTGTTGTTGTTTCCTGGAAGAAACAGACTGCCAGCATTTCTTACTCTCCTGCTTCCTTCCACCAGCTTCCTCTTACCAAAAACCCTGTTTTAGGCAAATGCAGCCAAGAAGTCTGAGTTTCACTTCCCCCAATGAGCCTGCAATTATATATAAAGTGGAAGATCTATGCCAGGCGAAAGATGCCAATCATACTGGGTTTGTGAAATATATAGACTATATAACAATTACAGCATCAGAAAAGGGGAGAGGGAAGATAACTATACAGAAATAAATTTTTTATACCTCACAGAAATTAACATAAATTTGAAGATTCTTATAAGTAATAATTTATACTGTAAACTGTAGAGCAACCACTAAGAAAACACTCAAAAATATTCAGAAATCATTAAAAAGTAAAATGTCAGCTAAGAAAATAGTCATTTTCTGCAAAAAAAAAAACAGAAAATATCTACAGAAAAAGATACAAAATAGATAGAAAAAAACCTTGCAAAATGGCAGATGTAAATACAACCATATCAATAACATCAAAAGTGAATGAACTAAACAATAGAGGCAAAACAAAGAAAAGGAAGAGATTGTAAAATCATATTTTAAAATAATATAAGTAGCACCCAACATATGATATCTACAGAAGACACATTTCAGGCTTAAAGATACAAAGAGGTTAAAGTAAGGAATAAAGATATATCATGTAAACAATAACCATAAAATAGCTGGAGTGGCTATATCGATGCCTGACAAAATAGACTTTGAAACAAAGTTTTCTTCGAAATAAAGTAGGACATTTTATTATGAAAAAGAGTCCATTCATCAAAAAACATTAAAAAGTATAGATATATGTGCACCTAACAGAACCCCCAAATATAAGAAGTAATAGGGGGACAAAATTGAAGGAAGAAATAGACACATCAACAATAAGATTTGGAGACCTTAATATGCCCCCTTCCAATAATAGACAGAACACCTATGCAGAAGATAAATGAAATAGAAATCTTAAAATCTATGATAAACCAATGAGGACCTAACAGACATCTACAGAATTTCCACCCAACCATGGAAGACACAGTCTTCTCAAGTGTATGCACATGATGTAACATCTCCAGTTTAGACCAAACACTAGTCTATAAAACAAGCCTCAAAATTTTAAAACGATTGAAGTAATACAAAGTTTGCTCACCACAATGGAATTAAATTAAAAATCAATAATGAAAGGACATTTTGGAAAGTTTAACATTGTAAAATCAGTTAAAAGAAAAAAGAATAGACATTACAATGGAAAATGGTGAGATAGAGAATACTAAAACTGTAGAGAAAATAAATAAGGCAAAAAGTATATTTTAAAAAGGCATTAATAATATTGACAAACACCATCTAATACCATATTAATTGTGAAAGACTAAACCCTTTTAGTCTCAAATCTTGAACAATACAAGAATGCCTGTTTCGCTATTTTTATTAGATAGTGTACTGAAAGTTCTAGCCTGGGCAATTAGGCAAGGAACAGAAATAAAAGTCATGCAGACTGGAAAAGATGAGGTAAAACTATACGTATTTGCAAATGACAAGATCTCATATGTAGGGGTGAAGAATCCACTGCTAGGGTGAGAAGGGGGGAAATCTGTGATAACTAATAAATGAGTTTGGTAAGCTTATAATATAATTTTACAAAAATAATTGTATTTCTATGAACTCACAAAAAGAATATGACAAATTGAGAAAATTATCTTGTTGACAATGATATCAAAAAGAATTGGAGTAATAAATTTAACAAAAAATGTTAAACTTTTACATTCAAAACTTGAAAATATTATTCAAAGAAATCACAGAAGACCTTAATAGATGTAGCTGCATTCCATTTTCATGGATTAGATAGCAATATTGTCCAAATTTATTTACAGATTCAACACAATCCCTGCCAAATACCAGCTGCTTTTGTTTTGGCTAAAATTAACAATTATATTCTAAAATTCGTATAGAAGTTCTAGCAAACATTGAAGTCCAAATAATCTCAAAAATGAGAAAATTGGAAGACTCAGAATTCTACTTTCTACAACTTACTATAAAGCTATATTAATCAAAACAATGTGGTACTAGAAAAAGAAGAGACATGTAGATTAACTAAATATGGACTCCTACATAAACTTTTATATCTATAAATAGACAATTGATTTTCAAGGGTTTTGAGACAATTTAGTGGGAAAATAATTGTCTTTACAATAAATTTCCCTGGAAAAACTAAATATCTACATGCAACAACAACAAATGAAACTGGATCCCTTTCTTACATCACACACAAAAATTAACTCAAACAATCAGTGGCTTAAATATAAGATAAATTATAAAACTCTTAAAAGGACATGATCTAGTTTGACTATATGTCCCTGCCAAACCTCATATTGAATTATAATCGCCGATATTGGAGGAGGGGCCTGGTGGGAGGTGTTTGGATCATGGAAGTTCATTCCCTCATAAATGGCTTAGCTCCATCCCCTTGTTGATGAGTGAGTTCACATGAGATCTGGTTGTTTAAAGCTGTGTGGTAACCCCCACTCCTCTCTCTCTTGCTCCTTCTGTGGCCATATGATGTGTCTGCTCCCACTTCACTTTCATTGTGAGTAAAAGTTGCTGGGGCCTCCCCAGAAGCTGAGCAGATGCCAGAAACATGCTTGTACAGTCTGCAGAACCATGCATCAATTAAATCTCTTTTCTTTATAAATTTTTCAGCATCAGATATTTCTTTATAGTGACACAAGAACAGCCTAACACAGAACACACAGGAGGAAATCTTTACAATCTTGGATTAGGCAAAGGCTTCATTGACTTGACAACAAAAACACAAGCGACAAAAGAAAAAAAATTAAAATTAGGACTTCACAAAAATTAAAAAGTTTTATTCTGAAATGATTCTATTAATAAAGCTATAAGCCAACCCACAGATTAAGAAAAAGATTATGTCACATATCTGACATAGGGTTTGTGTCAAGAATATGTAAGTATCTCTTGCAAGTCAGTAATAAAAATATAAAGATGCTGAGCATCATAAGTCATTAGGTAAATGCAGGGTCAAACTACAATAATATTTTATACCCACTAAGATCATGGAAATAAAAGATAGACAAATAAGCCATGAAGAGAAAGACAAATAGCACATGATGAATCAAAAGGGTTGATCTCATAGAAGTGGAGACTAGAATGGTGGTCATCAGGGGCTGGAGCATTAGAGGTGGGGGATATGTGGGTGAGATGTTGGTCAAAGGACACAAAATTTTAGGTCAACAAAATAAATAAGTTAAACAAATCTATTGTACGACATAGTGACTATAGTTAATAATATATTCTTTAAAAATGCTGAGTAAATTTTAAATGTTTTCACTACAAAATGGTAACTGTGAACTAATACATATGTTAATTACCCAGATTTACCTATTCAAAATGTGTTTCATCATCGTGTGCATAAGTACATATAATTTTATCTGTCATGTTTTTAAAATAAAAACTAATGTATAAAAGGCAATTATAACACATTGGGGAGGATGAGGAGAAATTGGAGCCCTCAAACTACTGCTGGTGAGAATATAAAATGTTGCAATCCTGTGAAAATAGATTTGGCCATTTCTCCACATGTTAACCACATAGTTATATGACTCAGCATTCCAACCCTAGGTATATACCCAAGATAAATGTAAACATAATGTCCACACAAAAATGTAAACATGAACATCTATGGATTATTAACAGCCCAAAAGTGGAAAAAAATTAAATGTCCATCAACAACAAGATGTGGAATAGAGATACATGCTACAATATGGATGCATCTTGAAAACATTATTATAGGTGAAAAATGCCACTTATAAAAAAATCACACATTATATAATTTTATTTACAAAAAACTGTCCAGAATGAGCAAATCTATAAATATAGAAAACAGATTATTTGTTCTTCAGCTCAGAGGGGAGCGGGGGCATGACTGCTAATGGGTACGGGGTTTCATTTTGGTGTGATGAAAATGCAGAAAAAATAGAATGTGATTAATAGCTACATAACTGTGTATGCAATAAAATCTACTGAATTCAACTGTACACTTTAAATAGAGGAATTGTATGGAATGTGAATTGTATCTCAATAATGCTACTTTTAAGAAGAGTCACAATGAATTAGGTTAAACAAATGAAAATCTAAAACAAGAGCACATGTTAAGACTAGTTTTAATGACCTACAATCAGCAGAATGGAATATCTATTATTTCACATTCACTCAGGGTATTATAAATTCTTATCATTCCTACTAAAATATTATATCCTTTTATTCTCTTTTTGGTTATTTTAAATAATTACTAAATTAAAAATTGTTTTAAGTTACCTTGTTTCAATTCAGAACTTAGCCATAGGCAGGTGAACTTGAAGCATATTTCATGTGTAAGTCTCTGTTATAAGAGGATAATCTTAAGGGGACTTAAGTTGGGTTCCAATAATTTAACTTAAAAAGTTGTTCTCTCAAACAAATTCCAGTGTATTAAGTTGTTCAAATGTCATAGAGAGAAGGTACGTATCATAGAAAGTAATGTATCTATATGCTGGGAGGTGAACGTGATAAACTATTCTGAATACTATACGTAGTTGCTCTGATATCTAAAATTAATCTAATTACTACAGACTAATGGAACAATCAAGGGAGGTTTTCTTTTTCAAATCATATATGATGATATCACTTAAATGCTATTTAATATTTCTTATACAAAAATGTGGTCAGCAAGTTTATTTTGTATTACCATTTCAGGAAAACTGTAAGTTGTTCACATTAACTTGTATGTAACCTCTAATTAGGAAATAAGAACTGTGTTCTAAGTAATTTCCAATATACCTTGGAATAAGACATAGTATAAATTATAAATCAGCAAATAATTTTACCTTGGTATAGTCATTTTCACACTTGTGACTACAGAGAGTTAATGTATTTGATAGAGAAGTTCAACATTCTTTTTTTCATATTTTAATCTAGATTCTAAACTGCTAGAAGATATGGACTATTTATTTCTTGTTCTCTTTATCCTTGAGTCTACCATGTGTCAGCTAAATAATTAATTTTTAAAAATTAAAAGAAAACTATTCAATATAAAAATTTATCCACAATGGAATGTGCTTCCTTGAGTAGTCATGACCTCTTCCATACTGGAAGATAAAATGCTGGATTGGTCAGCCCTTTGCTAGGTACTTGTAAGGAAGGAATCAATCACCTACAGGAAGTTCAGACTACATTAACTCCCTCCCAGTCCTGTGATTTTGTGGAACTAAGTGTATAACACAGTTATTTAGACACACATTTATGTATTTTTTTATTTCTTATTTTTTCCCCAATGCCTTTGCCAGTAAAAATATGCATCATAAGATCATCTAGTATCCTATCTAGAAGATTTGAAATAATGTACATAAAAAGTCCACTGTTCTTATAAAGAGCACTATCAGTTAAAGAAACACAAGTTAGCTGATTCTTTATTACAAAGTTTGAAACATGGGTTGAGGAGAGAGATTTGGGTAGAATGAGATTTCCTAATACAGTTTTTTTTTTTTTTTTTTTTTTTTTTTGAGACGGAGTCTCGCTCTGTCGCCCAGGCCGGACTGCGGACTGCAGTGGCGCAATCTCGGCTCACTGCAAGCTCCGCTTCCCGGGTTCACGCCATTCTCCTGCCTCAGCCTCCCGAGTAGCTGGGACTACAGGCGCCCGCCACCGCGCCCGGCTAATTTTTTGTATTTTTAGTAGAGACGGGGTTTCACCTTGTTAGCCAGGATGGTCTCGATCTCCTGACCTCATGATCCACCCGCCTCGGCCTCCCAAAGTGCTGGGATTACAGGCGTGAGCCACCGCGCCCGGCCCCTAATACAGTTTTAATAGCTGTGTTTGCAACTATATTTCACCATGCAATTTCAAAATCTCAATGTAATGTGTAATTAATTTCATGAAAAGCATTATTATTAATTGAAATAATTTGTACTCTGTAATTTTGCCAGGAGACATAACATGCATATACTTAAATATGTCAGAGGTGAATAGTTACACATTATATATTCATGAGTATTGCATTCCTGTGTTGGCAACAATGGTATTGTACATAATGCATGGGAGCCCAGAAAGACGATTAAGATTTTAAGGAATTAGCCTACAGGTTATCAAGAAATTTATAGAGTAACCTTATGCAATTCAGTGTGGGGGAGTGGACAGATGATTATTTTCAAATAATCTTTAAGAAAGTGAGTTCCCTTTCAACAGAATTGAAAACTAAATGAACCCAGTATGTTATGTTTGAATTGAATGCCAAGCACAACCCATTTATATGAAGAGTAAATGCTTGTATAATCTTTATTATCATTTACAAAAGAGTTGTGAAATATATTACCTTCTTTGAAATCCCCAACAACTCTCTAAGGCTGATTGGTCAAGTATCATTATATTCACTTTAGAGATAAGGAAACTGTGGCTTAGAAAATGGTACTTTTCCTCAAGTTCACAATGCTAATTATTAACAAAGACAAGACATGAACCTAGATTCCCTGCACCATCTAGCCTGGTGCCTGGAAAAGAGTAGGTCCCTGCTGAATGTATGTTGACCACATTTACTGAAAAGTTGGTTATAAGTTAGAGCACTCTGTCCACTTCACATCCCACTGTGTTAAAATGGCTTTGTACGCGAAAGTGGTGTCCTCTGGAATACTTCATTTAAAAGAGCTGATGACTTCAGGTTTGGCTAACTAGGTAACAGAAGTATCTTATCATGAATTCAAACAATCAGGAGTTTCAAATATGTTTGTTGGTTTTAAATTAGTGGGTCATCCTCATTTAGTGAGAGTGAGGAAGTTTCTGCAGCAAAGACTTACTAAATTGTACCATAATATCTTCTACTGTCCATTATATAGACATTATGAGAAAGTCAACAGATGTCACTGCGAAAAAGAGAAAGAATGGTTACCATTTCTCAGTGCTTGTCAGCACAAACCACAATGACTCACTTTCATGTTTTTTTTTGAAAAAGGGTCACTTGGGTCACCATGTGCTGGCATATTAACTTAATTTCTGCCAAAGAAAGAGTCCATACAGAATCTGTAATTTCTTTTGAGTAGATACAAATCAAAATCTTTTTGATAGAGAGATTCTGGCATGCAATCTTGATATGTGAAATATGAGGCAGAAAACCTGGAGGTCTGCTGTTCTGAAGGCTGGAAGACATTTCTCTCTACTGAACCCCACTGTCCAAGTAGCGGTCACCCAGGCCTTTGGCCTCTCTGAGCCTCTCTGAGCCTGCCCTGATCCTTGCCCCACATTTCTGTCTTTTGAATTCTTCCTTACCTGAATTTTATTATCATTCCCTTCCCCATCTCAATACCTCACCATGGCTCAGGTCAGTTTAGGTCTAGAGTGACAGAATGTAGAGAATTATTTTAGTCACAGATTCTGAGATTGGTGGAGATGACAAGGAGCCAACTATTTCAACTAGTAGGTTTGCAGGAAGAGCTGGAGGGAGACACAAATCAAGAGGCAATGAGAGATTGTAGCCCCTGGGAAGTAAGAGTCATCAACTGAAAATTAGTACCAATCCTTGTATCTAATATGTCAGTGAAGTTAACCCCGCAGCTCTGCTTTGGGCTAAAGTCTCCTTTTTTTGTGGTCTAATAAAATAGTATCCTGTGTTTCAGTCTATGTTGACAGTGCCTTATAGTGATAAAGAGGGACAGGTTCTACAGTCAGCCACACCTTGTTTTAAATCCAACTCCACCACTAACCTTGATACTTTGGGCAAGTACTTAAATCCTCTAAGCCTTATTTTTATGCCTTTGTAAATTAGAAATAATCATACTTTATGCACAGACTTGGTGAGTAAGACAATGCAAATAAAATATTTATCTGGTATTTATATGTATGTTGATATACCAGATACGATACACATCAAAAAAAGTAAATATGCAATATGTAATAGACTTTTTTATTATTATACATACTGGCAAACTGTTCACCAAATCAGTTTCCTTCTCCCCCAGAGCACAGAACAAGACTATTTTCTTCCTATGATAGGCTGAATGATGGCTCTGAAAGATGTTCATATCCTAACTCAAGACTCTGTAAAGATGTTATGTTACACGGTAAAAGGGACTTGATATATGTGGTTAAATTAAGGATCTTACATTGGAGAGATTAGCCTTTGTGATTAACTTGGGGCCACTGTACTCAGATAGGCTCTTATAAAAATGAGGAAGGAGAATAACAAGTAATAGAAGATATGACCTTGGAAGCAAGAGTTTGCAGTGATGCCACAAAGAAATCATGAGCGAAGGAATTCAGGCACCCTCTAGAAGCTGAAAAAGGCAAGAGAATGGATTCTCCTCTTCAAGTCTTGATTTTGCCCAGTGAAACTGATTTCAGACTTCTAACTTCTGAAATGGTAAGAAAATTAATTTGTACTCTTTTAAGCCACTAAATTTGTGGTGATTTGTTACAATGGCAATAGAAAATTAACACGCCTAGCCAACATTGTGGAGGGCCATATGAACAAGATCTGACAATGGACAGGAGTGAAATGAATATACCTAACAACAAATCTGGCCCCATAATTCCTTACAAAGTCTTCACCCTCTTTTTTTCTCTGTCCACCAGATGGAAGCCAAGAACATAAAGGTCCTTGGGGATGAGAGGTCTGCAGGAGGAAAGAAGCGTTAGGACCTAAATCGACCTATGGAAGACCACCTGCTAATATCCCACTTTACTGAAATGATCTTTCTGCCTATCTTTACTGTGAGACAAAACATATAAATGAAAGAGGATATACCTTATTCTTGTGTTCTTAATGGTTAACATTATGTTTGGTGCCTACCTAGAAAGTATCTCCTAAGGGATTATCAAGACCTTGTAAGCTATGCAAAAGAAAGGAGGCAAGAGGTCAGAAGTGAAGATAGCAAAGGCAGATTGAAAAGCAGAGGGCAGGGCAGGTACAATTTTTCAACACACAAGCTGAGAACAAAGTCAGGGTCAGGAGTTAACCTGTAATGGATATCGGCCTATGGACTATAGGCTCATTTACATGGAGAGAACAAAACCAGTCATCCACTACACAATGGGTGACCATGGCAAAGTAGGAATGAGAGGAAACCCTTATGAATTTGGGACCTCTATTCAAAGTTAGTAAATATAGCACGTTTATTAATCTCTTGATCAGAAATAACTTAGCCTTGCCTAAGTTATTCATTTTTTCATACATGCTATTTTGATAGTGTTTGGATAAATAAAGCCATGAGATGCTTTCTGCCCTGGTTTACATGGGAAAGCAATATACAAAGGTTCACACTAGAATTAAAACAAAGATTATCCCCCGAAATAATGGAATAAAACAAGGCAACCATCAGCTCAAAGACTTTTATTGTCCCAAGTAGGGTCTGAGATTTATAGAGAATATTTGCTTTTCCTATTTTCAATCTACTTAAGTTCTGTATTATTTGAAGAGCAACCCAATTATTTTTAACCTAAATGCTTCTCTGATCTGGAACAAAGTTTTGCTTTTACCAGACAGTTCTCAGGCCTTGCAATAGGCAAGATCATCGTCACTGTAGTCCCAAGATACAGTCTCTTTCTCAGTGATGCATAAAAGGATTTTCCTCCCTTCAAATGATAATTAAATTAAAAACAAAGTTGGAAAGGCAGCTTTGAACTGCTCTGATGAAAAAGGTCACTCACTGATCAGCAATCTGTTAGCACAGCTGTGTTGAGAAGAGACTTTTGAGCCATGTCTTCTACAAGTGGGTTCTTCATGTCAAGTGAGAAGGCCGTTGATTTTGCTTCTTTTAAACACTTTTGTAAGTGACTCTCAGAAGCCAGCAAACATACAGGCATTTGGTGAGTTTGGAGAGACTTAGGTAAAATACCAAATTATTTTGTCAAGAAAATCCACAAGAGGAAAGCAACACTGAATCTACAATCAGGAAAACAAACAAACAAAAAACCTGTGGCAGTGAGCTAATTTATGTCCTTTCTATTAGAAGTGTCATGTGTCAGTTTGCTCGTTTCCTTGATCATTGTACCACCAGAGGGGAGGGAGTTTCATGAAGTGGTTATGCTTAACAAGTGTTACTCCTAGAAATTGCATGTGGCCAAATCATATTTTATATTCAGTGAACTGATATTTTCCAATCTAAAAAATCTACATGGCAATGACCAAGGGATTTTAGCATTGTTTAAAGAAAAGAAAACCTTATGCCCATGGCAATAATAAATGGACACTTCTCTTCTCAACTTCTTGGATGCTACAGCCAGTAAACAAACAGGCATTTGGAGAGTTTGTAGGGACAGACAGATAATCTAAGTTTGGTTTTAGACAGATAACAACCTAAGTGTAGCTAATGTCAGGTTTTGAGTAGCAATTGCTCTTCTGTAGCTCAGGAATTGGAAAATAGTGTCGTTTTAAAGTTTCTTCATAGGATAATAATTTTCCCATTGGAAAATCTCAGATTCAAACCTGTCCCTAATCACTTCCTTTAAATTCCAGTAAGAAAAAGAATAAACTGAACCTAGTGCGGAGACTGGAAATTGATTTGTTAGTCATTTTCAAATATGGCATATCATGTTGGCATTCACTTCTTTTAATAAATATAAAATGACTCATTAATCTCACTGTAGAAAAAATACAGATGAGATTTCTTTTATCATAACATTTACTGTACATAGAAGTTTGATGACTAGTAAAATGATAACAACATTAACATTCACTGAGCAATGTTTACATGGCAATGACTGAATCCATTCTATATTTCTTGAAAAGGATGTGGGTTGTGTATCTCAGCAAATATCGGGGTTTTTAGGTGCTTTTCTATGTCCTTTATATGCCTCATTTAATCTTCACAACAATCCTTTGAAGCAATTATTTAGATAATTTTATGTGACCTTTGAAGACTTTGAAGTATAAACTTGATATATCTTATTTAATAGAAGGTTTTCTTCATAATCTCCTTATCTTCCCTGACAGGTTTTCCTAACTTCAAATCTGGAGAAGAGACAAGAGATTCATTCCCTTTCTTCCTAGAGATTCTTATGCCAAGTAGTGCAGAGATTCTTATGAAAATTATTAAAAAGTTAGCCTTCATCAAATCACAAAAGATGAATATGTTGAATGGGTGGCTACTTACATTTTTGTAACTAGGAGGAGTCATTCAAGTGGTTCTTAAATGAAGAATTAAATCTTGCTTAAAGCTTTACTAATGAAAACAAATATGTCTGTTATTGTTGATTGTTTACAAAAAGTGTCCTAGCAACATGAGAATTTTTTCCAAAAAACATAAATGAAGAACTACATGAAGTTATACACTTATTGACTTAATTTTGTTAATAAAATAAAACCTTACACAATTGGGACTTTGCAGGAAAAATTCAGCTTATTCTATTCTTCCAATAACGTATCTGGAGTAAACAAATCCCATTATTTTGACATCTCTTTTAGTTATTGACAGCCTATTGGAAAACAGCTCAACAGTTTCACTTCTCTGACTCACATAAAGGGCATGTCATGAGATTTCCTAAGAAAAGGTCTAATCTCGGTTAGGTGAATTTTGGGGTTTGTATTGGGTACAGTATTATTTGGTAATAAAGATCACAGGGTAAAAGTCTCTTTATCTTTGACTCGCTGCACAAGTCAAAGACATCTAGCTTTCTTTTTCCTTATGAAACATTTTATTTTCCTAAATTGTAGCTAGACTCTGAACAATAGGCTGCCTTGCCTGGTAAGTCTGCAATGGGTAGATCCTAGATGGTCTTAGGGCAAATAATGTGTAGTAAGCTTTAGATTAGTGTTTACTCACATCAAAGAAGCAAGAATAGGTTTTGTGCTTTGAGGTTGAAATGTATCAAACTGACTTTGGATAACTTGAAAATACCTTACAAAGGGAAAGGGAATTTCTAGCATAAGATTTATGTCAAGTTTGGTACTATAATGCCAGGTGATAATAGCTTCACTTTTGCTCTGTGTACATGTGTATTTTCTAAATTCTAAAATATCAGTGATTTTAAGATATACCTTCAATTCAAGAATACCTTTTCAGGATACAGAAAATGCCACAATAAATACAATAAATTTTGTTTCTAGTGGTGGTTTATTATTGTAAACTAATCAAACAATAATGGGGCATAACTAGGCGGCATTCCCCCTACCCCTGTTTTCTTTTTAAATTATTAGGAGGGCTTGATGTGGATGTTAATGCTTGAAGTGAGTCATTTGCAGAGCTACTCTTAGTTATGCAGCTGTTAGGTGAATAGACTCACAATCCAAAGGACAGCTTGCAGTGGAACTCTTGGCATAATGAAGGCTTTCCTGCAATATTCCCCTCCCCCGAGGATCCTTAGCTCTTATCACTAGAGAGAGGCACGTTAGCACTTAACACCTCATCTCCCATAGTGTAGCCAGGGAGGTCTAATGAAGAGGAGCAGGTGATCCTGAACAAAGTCCTCTGTTATAGAGGTCACAGGAGAATGTATTAGAAGGAAGTAGTTAAATAGGCATGAAAACTTCCTCAGCTTTGCAGAGGAGGGCCAGCCCTTCCATAGATGTGACTGAGCAAATGACTATGGGCAATTCAAACAAGCTCAGCAAGTTGCCCTTGGGCATCAGGGAAGACTTCAATGCAGCTGTAGTCTCTGACGGACTAAACTTCAAAAGTGAGTCTGGCTACCATGACTGAAGCAATTGGGCTAGAATCCTGCAAAGATTTTCCAGTTATCTTTCTCTGTCCTGTATCCATTCCTACCCTGTAGCTGCCAAATGGACAGGACATTAGATTGATACCTGTAAGTCTCTTAAGGGATGGATACAGTGAGGGGGCAAGCTGAGCCTCACAATGAAGCCCCACTAATAAGCACATGAAAATATTTGGGAAATGAAGTAGAACAGTAAAACATATGACTGTGTCTGTGTATGTCTGCTTCACAGAATTTCTGCATACAAAATCATTTTAATACACCATTGTTGGTGTAATATATTGGAAGATACATTAAACAATAATTATAGATAAAAATTTAAGTTAAAATTAATCTGAGGGTGGTATTACCAAAGCAAATAATACTGAAAAAGTCACAATTAGATAATTACATAAGCACACATCAACAGATAATGGCAGTTACAGATACTGTAAATCACACCCAAGTCTCAGCCTGGTGATGGTCACATTTAGTCATCAATAATAATAAATAATAATACATTAAAAATAGACCTAAGTATGTTACATTTTTATTATGTGTCCAAGAATTGTAATGTCTATCAAAATTTTTGTGAAACAACAGTAGTAACAGTAACAACAACAGTTTGTGAGAGCTTCATTCCCAACATGGTTAGTAATTGCCTTATATTTTCATTCTTATCCTTACAGCAATCCTTCAAGGGAGGAATTATTTCTCTAAAAGTGGATCTTATTCATTCATTTATCAACATATTTATTCAACAAATATGTAATGCTGTTATTTGCAGATCCTTCTGTGAATACTAGAGTTTCAACACTAAGCAAAAGAAATAAAAATCATTAATGTCATAAATAAATAAACACACAAACTAGGGACAGTCACAATCAAATGCCGAGCCACCACCAGAATTAGAGGACAGAGTTAGGATGGGGACAAATTCCATTTAAATATGATGCTCAAGGGCGATGTTAAACCTTAATGATGTGAAGGATCTAGCATAAATATCATGGGGAAGGGAATTCCAGATAGGGCAAACAGCAGAGGCAAATGTCCTGAAATGAGAGTGAATTCTGTGTCTTCATGATGCATCAACAATGCTAAGTTGCTGGGAACAGAGTGGTCAGATCAAAAGTAGAAAGAAATGAGGAGAGAAAGATAGGCCAGGGCCAGTGTCTTGTAGGCAATCATAAAGGGTATGGAATTTTAATTTGAGCCAAGGGATGGCTTTCGGCAAAGGAATTATGTGATCTAATTTTAAGAGGTTCACTCTGGCTGTGGAGGACTATGGAGATAAATTTTGTGGACAATAGACTGTAAAGGGTACATGAATGAAATGGAGGAGACCATGTACAGGCTGTGGCCCAGGTGAAAAAAATTAATGCCTTTTACTAGAGTTTTTCTCTATGGAGCTTATGAGGAAAGGTAAAGTCCAGGATAGATATTGAACACAAATTATGAAGCACAGGGATAAGAATTAGATGTGTCATAAATAAGTCAATGGTGAGTACTGATGTGGGTTCCTAGACAAGTTGTGAGTTATGGTAATAGTTATTCATATGCATAAGGGGAAGGAAAGTAGGAGGAAAATAAGTAGGAGTACTAGTAATTAGCAAATTAAGTATTGCTGAAGATGACCCAGAACTAGTGGAGGTTGGACTTGGACCTGGTTAAATCAGATTCCAAAGCCTATCCTCTTTGTGTTCAGTATCCTATAGTAAATTCCAAAGATGAGAAAATTACTCATGTGTTTCCTCTCCAAAATAACTGAAAATTCACTGCTTAGCTTAGTTGCTTTCCAGGACTTTGATAAATCTACTGCACTACATCTCAATATGAGAATTCCTGGGGAAAGTGGAAAGGAGACGCTGACCCTCTTGAACAACTGACAATGGATTGCAGATTAGATAAAACTATATTTAATTACTAGGAAGATACTGACACTAAAACATAGTAATGCTATTTATAGCTCAGCTGCTGTAGGGAATGTGGGAAACAATGTGCAAAACCATTTTCAACTACCTTACTTTCTTTGAATGCACTGTCAAAGCATATTTTCCATAGTTCCTTGAGGCTACTGTAACAAAAAGTTGTAATTTCTAACCCAGGAGCAGTAAGGCAGATATCAAAAAGAACAAAGTAACACAGTCAAAGCAATAATAAAAAATGTGGCAACTACAACCTGTGGCTTAACTGTGTGGCTCCTTCTTTAAGGAGCTCAAGCAAACATAGAAGAACTCCAAAGCGCAGTTAAACAGGAAGCATTTGCCCCTGCTGCTCCTAAGGTTGTTACTGTTGACAGACTAGACCTAGGTCAGTTCAAAACCTCCTGGAATTTGTTCAGCATTCTTGGCACTAAGGCAGTACTGATGGAACAGAAGTTACCTACCGGTATGGCAGCCTTTATCCATTATCCATGAAAGGTACTGTCAGATGCCCTGAGGCTTTAGAGAGAAGTAAAACCATATGTTCACTGCTGCTAGGGTGAGTGTAGAAAGCCATAGCCCTTGAGCCATACTGATGATGTTAGTTGGATAAAATGATGGCACCATAAGGTCTTTCTTTGTGAATTTTAATAAGTTAAATGTTCAGAAACATAAGGTTACGCACCCCCTAAGACTCCAGACTCACTAATCTATTTATGTTTCCCAGCATTGCTGGAAAGTGCTGTCAGGTGCGGGTGGATGCACTTCTTGAAGACTGAGGTAACAGATGATTTCTACGGTCTTTACGCTGACATTTATTTGCTGGTAATAAGACAGTGTTCAGGCTAGGTGATGCTCCAGCTTCTCAGCAGATGGTAGAAATTTACAGAAGAATAAACAGGATTTTTTTTTTCAGTGTCTGGGTTTTAAATAAAAGGCTGTGCCCATACAGGATTTTGGAGGCAGGCAGATATACATTCAAATCCCTGCTCTTCCTCTTATTTTTATTTTATTATTATTATTATTATACTTTAAGTTTTAGGGTACATGTGCACAATGTGCAGGTTAGTTACATATGTATACATGTGCCATGCTGGTGTGCTGCACCCATTAACTCGTCATTTAGCATTAGGTATATCTCCTAATGCTATCCCTCCCCCCTCCCCCCACCCCACAGCAGTCCCCAGAGTGTGATGTTCCCCTTCCTGTGTCCATGCGTTCTCACTGTTCAATTCCCATCTATGAGTGAGAACATGCAGTGTTTGGTTTTTTGTCCTTGCGATAGTTTACTGAGAATGATGATTTCCAATTTCATTCATGTCCCTACGAAGGACATGAACTCATCATTTTTTATGGCTGCATAGTATTCCATGGTGTATATGTGCCACATTTTCTTAATCCAGTCTATCATTGTTGGACATTTGGGTTGGTTCCAAGTCTTTGCTATTGTGAATAGTGCCACAATAAACATACATGTGCATGTGTCTTTATAGCAGCATGATTTATAGTCCTTTGGGTATATACCCAGTGATGGGTTGGCTGGGTCAAATGGTATTTCTAGTTCTAGATCCCTGAGGAATCGCCACACTGACTTCCACAATGGTTGAACTAGTTTACAGTCCCACCAACAGTGTAAAAGTGTTCCTATTTCTCCACATCCTCTCCAGCACCTGTTGTTTCCTGACTTTTTAATGATTGCCATTCTAACTGGTGTGAGATGGTATCTCATTGTGGTTTTGATTTGCATTTCTCTGATGGCCAGTGATGATGAGCATTTTTTCATGTGTCTTTTGGCTGCATAAATGTCTTCTTTTGAGAAGTGTCTGTTCATGTCCTTCGCCCACTTTTTGATGGGGTTGTTTGTTTTTTTCTTGTAAATTTGTTTGAGTTCATTGTAGCTTCTGGATATTAGCCCTTTGTCAGATGAGTAGGTTGCGAAAATTTTCTCCCATTTTGTATGTTGCCTGTTCACTCTGATGGTAGTTTCTTTTGCTGTGTAGAAGCTCTTTAATGAGATCCCATTTGTCAATTTTGGCTTTTGTTGTCATTGCTTTTGGTGTTTTAGACATGAAGTCCTTGCCCATGCCTATGTCCTGAATGATAGCTGCAAGACTGCAGACAAGTTATTTAACATCTCTATATTTCTGTTTCACCATCAGAAACATGGAACAATTAATATCTACATCTCATGGTAATTGTAAGGATTCAAAAAACTAATGGATGATGTACTTAGTACAGTGCTGAAAGTATAACAAGTACTAGGTAACTCTCTCTGCCTGTTGCCTCTGTGAGGATTTTTAACTATGTGGACTTCTTCAACTTGTGTTTTAAATGGAAAGTAAATAGAAGCTGTGATGTGTTTGTGAACCACTGAAATGCTCAAAGCTTAAACATTATTTCTCTGATTCCATCTTGCTAAACCATGCAAACATGATTTAAATCTCCTACAAATACTAGTCATGGGATTACAGGGACCTGGAAAAACATCTTAGCAGACTGTCTGATCTGGCATATAGCAAAATGTCTGGGACACTGTCCTCACTATCGTTCTAAGAGACAGTGTCCCACGCAATTTAAGAATTATAAATAGCTGCCCCAGCTCCAGCTACCATCGGCCTAAAAGGAAAAGCAACATCAAGGAAGCTTCCTGGGAGTGCAGACACAATGGGGGTGAAGGGATGTATTGAAAGAGTCCATTGAAGTCCTCCAATGTTTATGCAGCATCACTTACTGATCACCTAGTGTGCACCAAGCATTGTAGAGGATGTTCACAATAGAAGGTAGCATAGCTTACTGTAAATATTACAGGCACTAGAGTAAAATACATAAGAAAGACATCCCAGCTCTGTCACTGGGAATTATATACAAAAGTTATATTGGAAAGCCAAAAATGGAATTTGTTCTCACTATATTAATAATGGATTGTTTACAGATAAGTCAGGCATATTTTTATGTAACTCATTTTATTTATATCTGGCAGGCATTGAAACATTGTGCTCCTAAGAACAGACTTGAGGCTTTTTTTTTTTTTTTTACCTCTGTTGACACAACAAGAAAAGACCAGATTTTTAACCCTGTAAACTGTATGTTAGTAAATAGAAACATAGACCTGACCCTACTACTCCCATTGCCAGGGCAAAGTGTGAACCCTTAGCATAGTGTATAGGGTTTCTTATTATTTGACAGCCATCAATGTATATTGTATTTTCTGCAACCACTATATACCATGAATATAACCTGTCTAATACATAAAAAATTCCATTTTCCCCAGAATGTACCATGTTTTCTTTTACTATCTCTTTACTTCTGTTGTTCACCCTATCTGCAGTGACATAACTCTACCTTGCTTTTTTCCTGACTAGAAGACAACTGTCACACTTCAAAACCAAAGTTAATTTCTACTTTTCCTCCACGAAAATTGTCTAGTCTTCCCCAAATTCAATATTCCCTATTCTGGGCTTCCAAATCATTTTGTGTAGAACTATATAGTAGGCAAAGATTTTCTTTTTGTTATTTGGGTTTTAGAAATAACTACTCTAATTATCATCCTTACTAAACAACCAGCTATTATGTACCTTTGTATACTTATCCATACTTGTTGAACCATTAATAATGTGCCATGTGATTTACTAAGCATGTTACATGCTGAATCTCCAGCCCCTACAGTAATCCAGTGAATTTGGTATCATTTTCCATTTCACAGATGCAACAACTGAAGCTCAAAGGATTGAAATGACCTTTTGGCTTAAAAAACTAACTTTCTGTATTAGTCAGGGTTCCCCAGAGAAACAGAACCAATAGAAATATATAGATATACAAAAAAGGCATTAATTATTAGAGACTGTCTACAAAATTATGGAGACTGAGACGTCTCACAATCTGCAGTCTGGGGTGGTGGTGGGTAGGGGTGGCTTGCGTTGTAAGTTGATCCAGGACCATAGTCCAGGACCATTTATGTCCAGGGATAGGAGAATATGAGATGGTTGTCCCAGCTCAAGAAAAGGGAGGAAAGAGGGTAAATTTGCCCTGCCTCTGCCTTTTTTGTTTTATTCAAGTCCTCAACAAATTAGATGATGCCTCCCCAAATTGGTGAGGAAGATCTTTACTGAGTCCACTGATTCAAATGTTAATGTCTTCTGGAAACAGCCTCAAAGACACACCTAGAGATATTGTTTTAGCAGCTATGTGGTCATCTCTTAGCCCAGCCAAGTAGACACATAAACTTAATCATCACTGTTTCTCAGGTAGAAGGAGATGTTACACAGAGAAAGATTCTTCCAATTAGGGCTTCTTAATCTCTACCAAGCCATCCTCTTTAGTTATAATATTTCTGGTCATATTTCTGACTATCTGATCATATTTCAACATAACATGAGAGACACACTAGGACACAGCATTAGAACACATGATGTAATGTATGCAACAGTGTTTGGATAGTGTTATCTAGTAGGGGAGCTATAAATAATAGTACCTTTTCTTTCTTTGCAGGTGTCCTCCCTGAGCATGAACTGGAATGACCAGTATAGCCTACTTTGGTTATAGGTAACAACAACAGCAACAACAACAAACAACAACAAAAACACACACAGGCCCATATTATATATTCACTACAAAAAGGACCATATTATATATTCATCTACAAAATGTGTGCCCTACACTTGTAGGGACAAAAAATCCCCACCCTACCTGACTCCATCCCTAATTATGAAAAGACATATGCTTCAAGAAACAAGATCTATGGCAAACTTTTTTTTTTTAATCCCTTGGCTACATGACTAAGACCTGTTCACCTTCCTCCTCGATGAGTAGCTTGAAAGGTCCTGGCAAAATCATACAGCCTCCTCTGTTAAGTGGAGCCGACTCCTGAAAGAGCACTCCTTATAAATTGTCTTGTCCATATGTTTCTGGAGGATGTGCCATCTGGGATTAGAGTGCTCATATTTTATGAAGCAGGAAACCAAAAATATGTTCACAATTTAACAGTCTCAATTTGATGAGAAAGTGGAGTTGAATTTACAACAAATTTATACCATCTCAATATGTGAACCCACTGTGTGCCAGACATCATATTAAGCACTCTTTTGAGTGGAAATTAATTAAGAGACAATTGTTTTGGCTTTTGAGAAATGGACAATTCAAAGAAAGACTTAGAGTGAACCTGGCTCTGTTCAACCTGCCAGTAGCATACAAAAAATAAATTTATAACAAAATATCCTAAAAACAGATTTCATCACCCATGCTAGTCCAGTGGATTTGTAGCAGATGTCTGCATCGTTACACTGGAAAAGAATCTGAGGTTTGAGAAAAAGGGGTGTCATTACAACGTCTGCCAAGAGCAGGCACATGTGGTGGCAAATATGCCCTAGTCTTGTCTTCTTCGTTGGAACTGAAAGAAGAAATGGCCATGCTAGAGCATTATTTACAAGTAATGATGCTTACTTCATCCAGCTTTATTAATTTAAAAACATGCGTGAAGAACCAACTAAATGCCAAATACCATAGAGTAAAAATGACCAGGACCCGGTTCTTGCCCTCAGTGTGCTTGTCAGGACTCCCTCCTCTACCCTTTCTTAGCATCTTTACGTATTACATCCTATGGTGGCACTTATAATACTATGTAATTTCTTATTTACTTGGTCATATTATTCTCATTAGTGTGTTCAGACTACAAGTCTCAACCCATTGTTAGATCATTAAATTAAAAGCAGTAGGTTGTGACAGTCATTCTTCTGGTTATAATTAACAGAATGGAATAAAAATAGAATGAAATGGAATAGAAAGTATTAGAGTGCTTCACACATATATGTATTATATTCATGTATGTACATACCTATACATATATATGACTGCATAGGCTGGACTTAATATAAATTGTATTTGTCAAATTGTATCATAATTAGAACACTCGAAAGCCACCAATTTATCTAAAATGTTTAAAACAAGAGTGTAAAATATATTTCAAAAACAGAAGAAATGTGGATTAACAATGATAGTAATAATAAACACATAGAGTGTAAATATGCTATTTAAACATATGTAGTTTAAATATGCTTTTTGTAGGTGTAGCTCTAGAATTTATATCCTTATCCATTAGAGAAAGAGGAACTGACAGCAGCTCTTCCGGTACTACCGATCTGCCTGCATTTCCCCACTACCAGCTCCCACTCTACCTGCATGTACCTCCATCATGTCACTCATTAGAGTGTGTCCAGTTCATTAGCTTGCCTATGTGTCTTGCTATTAGACTGAGGGCACCTGAATGCCAGAGACTGTTTTAACTGTTTTCTAAAATGAGGCAGAAAGCTCTGATCTGAATGTTTGTGTCCCTCCAAAATTTAACCCCTATTATGGTGGTATTAAGAGGTGGGGCATTTTAGTATGTGATTAAATCATGAGGGCTCCACCCTCATAAATGAGATTAATGCCCTTATAAAAGAGGCTTCCGAGAACCACCTGGCCCTTCCACCTCCTCTACCAGGTCAGGACACAGCATTTGTCCCTCTTTGTACTCTTCTGTCATGTGAGAATGCAGCAAGAAAATGTCATCTTGGGAGCAGAGAGCATTCAACAGACATCAAATTTGCTGGCAACTTGATCTTAGATATCTCAGCTTCCAGAACTGTGAGAAATACATTTCTGTTCTTTATAAGTTGCTTAGTCCCAGCTATTTTCTTATAGCAGCACAGACTAAGATTAATAATAATTATTATATAATAGACACATATGTAGGTTTGAGGACATGCTATTCTTTAGTCTGGCTCCAGAATAGATATCTTTATCCATTAAAGAAAGAGGATTGACACCAGTTCTTCTGGGTTGACAGATCTGCCTACTGCTAGATCTGCCTACATTTCCCAACCACCAACTACTTTACCCTGCCTGTGCTGCCAGCACATCGCTCTTCATAGTGTGTCCAGTTTGTCAGTCTGTCTGCACTTCCCCATTAGACTGAGGGCACTTGAAGAGCAGATAATGCCTTGGCCATTTTTGAATGCCCAGAATTTAGCTTAAAGACAGGCATCTGGTAGGTGCTCGCTGAATGTGTGTTGACACACACAGGCCTATAAGAAACATGGTTAAAAAAAAAAAAGAATTTTGCTCTTCTGTCATGCCAAAAGTAACTCAGACAAACCACAGGATGACAGATTGTTTAGAATGTACCAGAATGATTGCATGAACAATAAAACTCCTAGCAGGAGAGTAAGGATAAGAATGGGATTTCTTATGAAATTATTAAATGCTTATTGAGAGTTCACTTAGACTTGCCATAAGTTTCTGAGCAAAATTTTGAAGTGATATTCTACACTGTGCCTAAACTAGACTCTATTTATTGCTGAATATAGAATATCTTATTAGAACAAAAACTAGAAGCTTAACACAAAAAAAGTTATAAGGAATGTAAAATTCAGGTGTTGAGGTAGAAATTAAATGGAGAGAAGTGATCTACCTTAACATATTTCAGAGAAAGAACTGGCATGATGTAATGATGAAGTAGGCAAGGGCTCCCACATGTTTATGACATTACAATAGATTACTTACAGATATCTCCAAAAAGAAGTAATCTTCTCAGGAATGTGGTGACAGTGATGTTGCAGTCAGTATTAGATTTATTGTGGCCAAAATGCCATTGGCGTTCTATAATCCCTGGACTCTGTAGAACTTATAGCCAACCTGGGGAAACAAAATTGAAATGCTGGAGACTATGAGTTCTGATTCTGGCTGAAATCACCATATACATCTCTGGTGCAAACCCCATATGAGCTAAATTCAAGTTCTAAGTTCAAGGCAAATAAAAATTATAAATAAGATGAAAGAATACTGAATTCTGGATAAAATACAAGAAATTAATTCCCAGATTTCACCTAACATAGTCATCTAAATTGCTGCTTTGTATTTTTTTTTACAAGTTCCTTATTTCCCCAATAGTTTATTGGAAAACAGGTGGTGTTTGGTTACATGAGGAAATTCTGTAGTGGTGATTTGTGAGATTTTGGTGCACCCATCACCCGGGCAGTATACACTGCACCAAATTTGTACTCTTTTATCCCTCACTCCCTTCCCACCATTTCTTCCTGAGTCCCCAAAGTCCACTGTGTCATTCTTATTCCTTTTCATCCTCATAGCTTAGCTCCCACTTATGAGTGAGAACATAAAATATTTGGTTTTCCATTCCTGAATTACTTCATTTAGAATAATAGTCTCCAATCTTATCCAGGGCTATGAATGCCATTAATTCATTCCTATTTATGACTGAGTAGTATTCCATCATATATATATGTATGTGTGTGTATATATATATATACACACACACACACACACACAGAGATACATACATACATACATACCACGGATTCTTTATCCACTTGTTGATGAGCATTTGGTCATTTGGGCTGGTTCTACATTTTTACAATTGCAAATTGTGCTGCTATAAACATGCATGCATGTGCATTTGTCAATGACTTTTTAATCTTTTAACTTTTTATTTTTTATTATACTTTAAGTCCTATGTGCACAATATGCAGGTTTGTTACATTTGTATACATGTGCCGTGTTGGTTTGCTGCACCCATTAACTCATCATTTACATTAGGTTTTTCTCCTAATGCTATCCCTCCCCCTGCCCCCCACCCCACGACAGGCCCCTGTGTGTGATGTTCCCCGCCGTGTGTCCAAGTGTTCTCATTGTTCAGTTCACACCTATGAGTGAGAACATACGGTGTTTGGTTTTCTGTCCTTGTGATAGTTTGCTCAGAAAGATGGTTTCCAGCTTCATCCATGTCACTGCAAAGGACATGAACTCATCCTTTTTTATAGATGCATAGTATTGCATGGTATATATGTGCCACATTTTCTTAATCCAGTCTATCCTTGATGGACATTTGGGTTGGTTCCAAGTCTTTGCTATTGTGAATAGTGCTGCAATAAACATATGTGTGCATGTTTCTTTATAGTAGCATGATTTGTAATCCTTTAGGTGTATATCCAGTAATGGGATGGCTGGGTCAAATGGTATTTCTAGTTCTAGATCCTTGAGGGATCTCCACACTCTTTTCCACAATGGCTGAACTAGTTTACACTCTCACCAGCAGTGTAAAAGCATTCCTATTTCTCCACATCATCTCCAGCATCTGTTGTTTCCTGCCTTTTTAATGATCACCATTCTAACTAGTGTAAGATGGTATCTCATTGTGGTTTTGATTTGCATTTCTCTGATGACCAGTGATGATGAGCATTTTTTCATGTGTCTGTGGGCTGCATAAATGTCTTCTTTTGAGAAGTGTCTGTTCACATCCTTTGCCCACTCTTTGATGGGTTGTTTCTTTCTTGTAAATTTGTTTAAGTTCTTTGTAGATTCTGGACATTAGCCCTTTGTCAGATTGCAAAAATTTTCTCCCATTCTGTAGGTTGCCTGTTCACTCTGATGGTAGTTTTTTTTTTTTGCTGTGCAGAAGCTCTTTAGTTTATTTAGATCCAATTTGTCAATTCTAGCTTTTGTTGCCATTGCTTTTGGTGTTTTAGTCATGAAGTCCTTGCCTATGCCTATGGCCTGAATGGTATTGCCTAGGTTTTCTTCCAGGGTTTTTATGGTTTGAGGTCTAACATTTAAGTCTTTAATCCATCTTGAATTTTTGTATAAGGTGTAAGGAAGGGATCCAGTTTCAGCTTTCTACATATGGCTAGCCAGTTTTCCCAGCACCATTTACTAAATAGGGAATCCTTTCCCCATTTCTTGTTTTTGTCAGGTTTGTCAAAGATCAGATGGTTGTAGATGTGTGGTGTTATTTCTGAGGCCTCTATCCTGTTCCATTGGTCTATATCTCTGTTTTGGTACCAGTACCATGCTGTTTTGGTTACTGTGCCTTGTAGTATAGTTTGAAGTCAGGTAGCATGATGCCTCCAGCTTTTTTTTTTTGCTTAGGATTATCTTGGCAATGCGGGCTTGTTTTTTTTTTTTTTTGGTTCCGTATGAACTTTAAAGTAGTTTTTTCAAATTCTGTGAAGAAAGTCATTGATAGCTTGATGGGGATGGCATTGAATCTATAAATTACTTTGGGAAGTATGGCCATTTTCACAATATTGATTCATCCTATTTATGAGCATGGAATATCCTTCCATTTCTTTGTATCATATTTTATTTCATTGAGCAGTGGTTTGTAGTTCTCCTTGAAGAGGTCCTTCACATCCCTTGTAAGTTTGATTCCTAGGTATTTTATTCTCTTTGTAGCAATTGTGAATGGGAGTTCACTCATGATTTGGCTCTCTGTTAATGGTGTATAGGAATGCTTGTGATTTTGTACATTGATTTTGTATCCTGAGACTTTCGCTGAAGTTGCTTATCAGCTTAAGGAGATTTTGGGCTGAGACTATGGGGTTTTCTAATTATACAATCATGTCATCTGCAAACAGGGACAATTTGACTTCCTCTTTTCCTAATTGAATACCCTATATTTCTTTCTCTTGCCTGACTTATCTGGCTAGAACTTCCAACACTATGTTGAATAGGAGTGGTGAGAGTGGTCATCCCTGTCTTGTGCCAGTTTTCAAAGAGAATGCTTCCAGTTTTTGCCCATTCAGTATGTTATTGGCTGTGGGTTTGTCATAAATAGCTCTTATTATTTTGAGATACATTCCATCAATACCTAGATTATTGAGAGTTGTCAGCATGAAGCGCTATTGAATTTTGTCAAAGGCCTTTTCTGCATCTATTGAGATAATCATGGGGTTTTTTTTCTTTGGTTATGTGTATGTGATGGATTATGTTTATTGATTTGTATATGTTGAACCAGCCTTGCATCCCAGGGATGAAGCCAACTTGATCGTGGTGGATAAACTTTTTGATGTGCTGCTGGATTTGGTTTGCCGGTATTTTATTAAGGATTTCTGCATCAATATTCATCAGGGATATTGGTCTAAAATTCTCTTTTTTGTTGTGTCTCTGCCAGACTTTAGTATCAGGATGATGCTGGCCTCATAAAATGAGTTAGAGAGGATTCCCTCTTTTTCTATTGATTGGAATAGTTTCAGAAGGAATGGTACCAGCTCCTCTTTATACCTCTGGTAGAATCCGGCTGTGAATCCATCTGGTTCTGGACTATTTTTTCATTGGTAGGCTATTAATTATTGCCTCAATTTCAGAGCCTGTTATTGGTCTATTCAGAGATTCAACTTCTTCCTGGTTTAGTCTTGGGAGGGTGTATGTGTAGAGGAATTTATCCATTTCTTCAAGATTTTCTAGTTTATTTGTGTAGAGCTGTTTATAGTATTCTCTGATGGTAGTTTGTATTTCTGTGTGATCGGTGGTGATATCCCTTTTATCATTTTTTATTGCATCTATTTGATTCTTCTCTCTTTTCTTCTTTATTATTCTTGCTACTGGTCTATCAATTTTGTTGATCTTTTCAAAAAACAGCTCCTGGATTCATTGATTTTTTGAAGGTTTTTTTGTTTCTCTATCTCTTTCAATTCTGCTCTGATTTTAGTTATTTCTTGCCTTCTACTAGCTTTTGAATGTGTTTGCTCTTGCTTCTCTAGTTCTTTTAACTGTGATGTTAGGGTGTCAATTTTAGTTCTTTTCTGCTTTCTCTTGTGAGCATTTAGTGCTATAAATTTCCCTCTACACACTGCTTTAAAAGTTTCCCAGAGATTCTGCTATGTTGTGTCTTTTTTCTCATTGGTTTCAAACAACATCTTTATTTCTGCCTTCATTTCATTATGTACCCAGTAGTCATTCAGAAACAGGTTGTTCACTTTCCATGTAGTTGTGTGGCTTTGAGTGAGTTTCTTTATCCTGAGTTCTAATTTGATTGCACTGTGGTCTGAGAGGCAGTGTATTGTGATTTCTGTTCTTTTATATTTGCTGAGGAGTGCTTTACTTCCAACTATGTGGTCAATTTTGGAATAAGTGCAATGTGGTGCTGAGAAGAATGTATGTTCTGTTGGTTTGGGGTGGAGAGTTCTGTAGATGTCTATTAGGTCTGCTTGGTGCAGAGCTGACTTCAAGTCCTGGGTATCCTTGTTAAACTTCTGTCTCCTTAATCTGTCTAATATTGACAGTGGGGTGTTAAAGTCTCCCATTATTATTGTGTGGGAGTCTAAGTCTCTTTGTAGGTCTCTCGACTTGCTTTATGAATCTAGGTGCTCCTGTATTGGGTACATATATATTTAGGATAGTTAGCTCTTCTTGTTGAATTGATCCCTTTACCATTATGTAATGGCCTTCTTTTTTCTCTTTTGATCTTTGTTGGTTTAAAGTCTGTTTTATCAGAGACAAGGATTGCAACCCCTGCTTTTTTTTTTGTTTTGTTTTGCTTTCCATTTGCTTGGTAGAACTTCCTCCATCCCTTTATTTTGAGCCTATGTGTGTCTCTGCACGTGAGATGGGTCTCCTGAATACAGTACACTGATGGGTCTTGTCTCTTTATCCAATTTGCCAGTCTGTGTCTTTTAATTGGGGCATTCAGCCCATTTACATTTTAGATTAATACTGTTACATGTGAATTTGATCCTGTCATTATGATGTTAGCTGGTTATTTTGCCCATTAGTTGATGCAGTTTCTTCCTAGCCTCGATGGTCTTTACAATTTGGCATGTTTTTGCAGTGACTGGTACTGGTTGTTCCTTTTCATGTTTAGTGCTTCCTTCAGGAGCTCTTGTAAGGCAGGCCTGGTGGTGACAAAATCTCTTAGCAATTGTTTGTCTGTAAAGTATTTTATTTTTCCTTCACTTATGAAGCTTAGTTTGGCTGGATATGAAATTATGGGTTGAAAATTCTTTTCTTTAAGAATGTTGAATATTGGTCCCCACTCTCTTCTGGCTTCTAGAGTTCCTGCCAACAGATCCGCTGTTAGTCTGATGGGCTTCCCTTTGTGTGTAACCCGACCTTTCTCTCTGGCTGCCCTTAATATTTTTTCCTTCATTTCAACTTTGGTGAATCTGACAATTATGTGTCTTGGAGTTGCTCTTCTCAAGGAGTATCTTTGTGGTGTTCTCTGTATTTCCTGACTTTGAATGTTGGTCTGACATGCTAGGTTGGGGAAGTTCTCCTGGATAATATCCTGCAGAGTGTTTCCCAACTTGGTTCCATTCTCCCCATCACTTTCAGGTACACCAATCAGACGTAGATTTGGTCTTTTCACATAGTCTCATATTTCTTGGAGGCTTTGTTCATTTCTTTTTACTCTTTTTTCTCTAAACTTCTCTTCTCACTTCATTTCATTCATTTGATGTTCAATCACTGATACCTTTTCTTCCAGTTGATCGAATCAGCTACTGAAGCTTGTGCATTCGTCATGCAGTTCTTGTGCCATGGCTTTGAGCTCCATCAGGTCATTTAAGGACTTCTCTACACTGGTTATTCTAGTTAGCCATTCGTCTAATCTTTTTTCAAGGTCTTTAACTTCTTTGCGATGGGTTCAAACTTCCTCCTTTAGCTCGGAGAAGTTTGATCATCTGAAGCCTTCTTCTCTCAAATTGTCAAAGTCATTCTCCATCCAGCTTTGTTCTGTTGCTTTCAAGGAGCTGCATTCCTTTGGAGGGGGAGAGGCACTCTGATTTTTAGCATTTTCAGCTTTTCTGTTCTCTTTTTTCCCCATCTTTGTGGTTTTATCTACCTTTGGCCTTTGATGATGGTGATGTACAGGTGGGGTTTTGGTGTGGATGTCCTTTCTGTTTGTCAGTTTTCCTTCTAACAGTCAGGACCCTCAGCTACAGATCTGTTGGAGTTTGCTAGAGGTCCACTCCAGGCAGACCCTGTTTGCTTGGGTATCACCAGTGGAGGCTGCAGAACAGCAAATATTGCAGAACAGCAAATATTACTGTCTGATCCTTCCTCTGGAAGCATTGTCCCAGAGGGGCACCCACCTGTATGAGGTGTCAGTCAGCCCCTACTGGGAAGTGTCTCCCAGTTAGTCTACATGGGGCTCAGGGACCCACTTGAGTAGGCAGTCTGTCTGTACTCAGAGCTCAAACACCATGCTGGGAGAAACACTGTTTTCTTCAGAGCTGTCAGACAGGGACATTTAAGTCTGCAGAAGTTTCTGCTGCCTTTTGTTCAGCTATACCCTGCCCCCAGAGGTGCGGTCTACAAAGGCAGCAGGTCTTGCAGAGCTGCAGTGGGCTCAACCCAGTTTGAGCTTCCCTGGCCACTTTGTTTACCTACTTAAGCCTCAGCAGTGGTGGATGCCCCTCCCCCTGCCGGGCTGCTGTCTCACAGGTCGATCTCAGACTGCTGTGCTAGCATTGAGCAAGGCTCTGTGGGCATGGGACCAACTGAGCCAGGTGCAGGATATAATCTCCTGGTGTCCCATTTGCTAAGACAGTTGGAAAACTGCAGTATTTGGGCAGGAGTGTCCCAATTGTCCAGTTATAGTCTGTCATGGCTTCCCTTGGCTAGGAAAGGGAAATCCTCTGACCCCATGTGCTTCCCAGGTGAGGCGATGCCCCACCCTGCTTCAGCTCACACTCCATGGGCTGCACCCACTGTCCAACCAGTCCCAGTGAGATGAACCAGGTACCTAAATTGGAAATGCAGAAATCACTGGTCTTCTGCGTCATTCACACTGGGAGCTGCAGACTGGATCTGTTCTTGTTTGCGCATATGACTTATTTTCCTCCAGGTAGATACCCAGTAGTGGGATTGTGGGATCAAATGGTAGTTCTACTTTAGGTCTTTAAGGAATCTCCACACTGTTTTCCATAGTGATTGTACTAGTTTACATTCCCACCAGCAGTGTAGAAGTGTTCCCTGTTCACCACATCCAAGCCAACATCTATTTTTTCTAAATTTTTTGATTATGGCCATTCTTTCAGGAGTAAGGTGGTATCACATTGCGGTTTTGATTTGTAGTTTCTGATCATCAGTGATGCTGAGCAATTTTTCATATGTTTCTTGGCCATTTGTGTATCTTTTGAGAACTGTCTATTCTTGTCCTTAGCCCAGTTTTTGATAGGATTGTTTTTCTTGTAAATTTTTTTGAATGTATTGTTTGTATTTTTAATAATTACAATTATTTCTGTAAACATTATATTAAAATGCAAGAGTACCATGTCACTTCTCTGTACCAACTTATAATGGAATATCACCATCACAAACTGCAGGTAAGGAAGTGTAGACAAACTTGTTGGCATAAGACCTATATTTATGCACTACTTATCATATGCCAAATATTGTATATCACTTTGTATAAGTTATTTTGCCCATATAATTATGCACCTTACAGGTGGGTTACAGAGAGCTGAAGAAATCTGCCTAAGGGTACAAACAAAAAAATCAACAAAGGCCAGACTGAAAGTCAGATCCAAAGTATATCAGTCAAATCCAAAGTATATTGACGCTTTTTCCACTACATCACACTGCTTGGAACATTCTTATGTTATTTTGTTAATACACCCAACTTTTATCAGCTTATTATTAATAACTTCTTTTACAGACAAGAAAGCAGAGGCACAGAGAGAAGAAATGATTCCTCTAAGATTATACCACTACAAAGAAGTAGAACAGATTTAAATACAGATGTTTGACTCCAAAAACTGATGCCCTTAAAACTACTGAAGTTATTCACTATTGGTACAATTTATTTAGAGCATCATCCTTAGCAAATTTGAGACTATATGACTTGACCAATTCATGTAACCTCTGACTGTTCATTTCCTCCCCTTCCCTACTTTTTAAATCAGGCTATTGGTAAGATTATGAGAAAGAAAGTATGAAAATTTGCTTATAAATAGAGAAGCAGTGTATGTAGCTATATGTTGGAGTTGCTCTACTTTAAACAAACACACGCAGAGTGGTTCAAGAGGTAAGTGTTGTGTCATTATTTAAGGCTTAATTTTGTTTAGCATTATCTTGATATGAGCTTTTTATAAAACTTACTAAATTATTCTCTACCTGTGTCTATCTCCTTTATAAAACATCTTTATTCAAAGTTTGCCAATTAATAAAATTTGGGGAGGGAACACAGTCTAACAAGTAAAAAAATGAAACACATTTTTTTTAAGAAATGTAATTTTCTTGCTACTCCACATATTGAAAGTAAACTATTGATAAGTTAAACTCCAGTCTGGACTCTTTTAATTTATAGGACACGTCGCCTGGTGTTACTAATCCTTATCTGGAAAGAAGCAGTTTATACAATCTCGTTTTTGAAATGCATAAAATGCTATGCAAGGTTTGCTTCATTATTATACCATATAAAATGCTGAAGTATATATTTTCCTCATATTTAATGTATAGGTAACTTTCACAACAGATTGGGCCCAAAATTGCAAATTATATATTAGTAGCCTCTGAATTAATTAGGTTTAGATGTCTGTGTTTTATAAAGGTAAAGACTGAGGTAACACTCTGAAGAAGAGAGGTCATTAAATTATTGCTTTCTTCTTAACTAATAAAGACAGTAAATTTCTTTCAATATTTTCTGGTTATATGACAAAGATGCAAGTATTTTATTTAAAAAGAAACTTTCTTTGCTTTCTTAGATCCTTATACTATGCCCAGTGAAAGTTGTTGAGTAGGCACCAACCACCAATCCCATTTTTCCAACTAGCGAGTTGGAATCTCGCACTGATCTTTTGTAAGGTGGCTTCCATTTGCTCCCCACTCACTGTTGTGGAAAACTTCCTCTTCCCTCAACAACGGCCTCTCTCAGAGGCTATTCCAAATTAGAGTATGGTATTTTGTAAGGTGGATTCAATGAACGGGGCTTGTGATGCTCTCCCAATTCTTAAAATAGATAGCTTTTAAAAAGTCATTTTCTGGAGGCCAAAGCTATAGGATTAATCTCTCCTGAAATCCATAAGAAGTAGAATCAGAAACATATCAATTTAGGAAGTAACACTTCTTTGTCCATAATACAAACTTCACAACATATACAAAATTTTTAAGTAAAATCAGAAAACTTTCTTTCCTTGCTCCTCAAACACTAATATTGAATGCCTATACCCACTCTCCCATTACTCGGTAGGCATTTTTATTTAAGCAGAGGTACAGAGAAAATCAAGTTTCCAAATAGGTTCAGGAGTCATTTCATTAATAAAAATCAAGGACCCAAAATAATTGTTCTCTAATGTCTTTTGTTTTGTTTTGTTTTGTTTTTGTTTTTGTTTTTGTAACAGGCAACAGTCTATTTTAAAATAAATAAAATCAAACATATTTTTAGAACACTTACTTTTCACAACAGTTTTTGGATATGTCTAATTTAATCTTCTCAATAACCATGTAAAAATAAGACATAGTTATTACCCTCATTTTTCAGATACAGCAGGATAAATAATGGGTCACAGTCACAGAGTCAGGAAGTGGTAGAGCCACTAGATAGAAGCTGCCTTTAAAGTTCTAGATTCAGGATTGTGGCCACTTACGCTAATTAAAAAATCACTTACTACTCTGGGATTCGGTGCAGTTCAAATATGGAGAAAAAGAAACAAAAACAAGATAAATACCTCTGGGAGGGAGCAATATTTTCCTACCCCAGGGCAATGGCAGGCCTTCATTAAATTCTCTCATGTGTCTGTGCTTGGACAGCTAAGACGATCCCACAAATTCTGCCTCCTAGGGCAAAGAGAATAAGCCTGCAGGATGCAGTATTGATAGCAGAGACCTGAAACTTCTATACTAGAGGGAAATATGGGTTAAAGCATTAAGGGCTATGTAAAGATCAAGAAGTCTGATATCTATTCTTCTGATATATTGAAAGTAAGGTGACCTCCACCAAACCCTATATCAGAAATAAATGTAAGTACAGTTGGGTAGAAATGGATATACACATTTATTAAGGACTGCCTAAACTATATTAGTGATAAGACTGTAATAGCACTCTTCTTAAATTTGGAGGCTAGGATAGGGACCTTATAAAAATATATATATTGGAAGACATACAACTTTTCTTTAGAAAACTGTACACATGCATTTTAACAAACACTATTTCCTAGAGTCCTGAAGTATTTATAGATTTTCCTCTGTCAACTTAAATATATCCATGGACTACACAAACTTGAAATTAGGAGCCACTGACCTATAGTCTGATAATCAATGAATCTAAGCTAGGTCCTCAGAACAAGAAGGCAGACATTTAGGCAGCATGATGTTAAAACCATAAGCCAATTAATTTAATTTCATTAAAAATCAGTTAATTCAGTGAGGGAAAAAGATCTACAGTTTATTTGGTTAAAAAAAATCAACATTTAAATTTGTTCATGTCTCTAGCCATAGTTTTATCCCTTTTTCTTCATTTTCCTCATAGTCAATTGGTCAGAAGTTAAACGACTACACTTATATTTAACCTGTTTCCTGCCCTATCTTACCCAGTACACTATACTTCTTGAACTACTAGAGACTGAATCAAAGGCAGGACAGAGAACAGTAACACAGGAGATTCTGTGACATCAAATGGTTTCACAAATAAATCACTCACGTTAATGGACTAACAGAGTTCTATCTTTGCTCACAATTTAAACCTCTCTGTATCTAGAGCAGTAGCTGCTACTTCAGTGTGTATTCAATAACTGTCAATGAACACCATGTTGGCTCCAAGATTCCTCCAAAAGGTGGGCACTTTCAGGATCCTCCTTTGCTGATTGCTTCAACATAGCTCCAGGGTGTAGCAAAATATGTCTTTGCAATTTGCATTTCTCTAATTAGTGAGTTTTCACATTTAGCTACCTCAATAGCAACCAGCTGCCACTTGTGTTTCCTGTATGTATGACACCTCATGACACCACCGAGTCTTCTCTCTGAATCCTCAATTAGCGAAAAAGCCTGCATCTTTGTTAGCCTGTGGGGGGATAGATATGCATATCTTCTTTTTTTGCTTTCCCTTAGATAAACTTGGAATTAATTTCCAAAGTGGGAAAAGAAAAAAAAAAAAGACATATGAGAACTGTTATTTCCTAATTCCTCCAACCCAAGATGGAAGGAATCAGGTAGTCCAATGTGGTGTGCTGAAGATATTTTGGATAAAAAGCAGAAATGAATAGAACCAGGAATAGCTTTAAAATGAATCATCAGTAGAGAGCATGAGGGTATTGCTGTAAACTTTGGTAAATACAAAGCATGTGTTTTGGTCAAGGCCAGTATCACTTTGTCTCACTCTGATTTTCTCCCAAAATGCAAAAAAAAAAAAAAAAAAAAAAAAAGTGATTATCTTGCAATTATGGTGAAAAACATCAGGGAATAATACCTATGTAGATCACGAAAAAACCATGAGTGATGATGTATTCCTCACGCCTGACTTTCTTATACTCTAGCATGACATTTCAGATCAAAATCTAAAGTTTTTATAAGTAGTGCATATACTGCTGGATTCAATTTTACTCAGCTGGGTACAATGACTTCAGATACAAATAAGCAAGCACTGGGAAAAGCTTCCGATGGCTGTTAAATTAAATCTAAATTTAATTCATTTAATTAAAGGAAGTATCATATGGAAACACCATCTTTGTTTCCCCTACCATGAAAAACCAGTGACATCATGAATATTAACAATGCCAGGGGCTTAAGATATTATTTTATATATTATTTATTATAGTTCTTATATTATGGAAACAGTGTCTAAGTCAAATAACTTGATTTTTGAAATGACAGATTATATAAGAAGCAAATGTGATGTAAACATCATCCAGCCTCCATTCAACAAGTTTTAGTATTTAGTATGTACACAGTACTATGCTACATGCTGAAGAAATAGAAATAAGACATAGAACTTCACAAAGAGTTTAAGGGAGGAGACAGACTTGTAACAAAGAATTAGCAAAAGTCTACAAGATTATTATTTATTTCAATGTTATAGACAAGAAAAGTGGAGTTTGAGAGGTCACACAACAGGAGAGTAAACATTCAGATTTGTCTTACTTCAGAATCTTTTTTTTTTAACCTGTTCTTTAGAAGTGCAGGAGTTTTATGATAAAATGTTTGAGAAAAAAAGACAGAGAGAGAGAACATGTAGGGTGTGTGTGTGTGTGTGTGTGTGTGTGTGTGGTGTGTGTCTGATGAGCAGCAGTGGGAGGGAATTACAGAATTACAGCATTTTAAACCAGCTTTTCATAATCCCACTATAGTGAGCTTTCCAATAACCTCTATTAGAAAGTAAATACCGGAAGCAAGCATTTGCTCCACCAACACTGACCTCTAACCAGAACCATTTGCAAAGGTACAAATAAAATCATATAAGTCAGTGCTCATTACCTTGAGCATGATTGTGTGTATGTGTGTGTGAGGGGGTGTGTGTGTGAGGGGGTGTGCGTGTGTATGTACGTGCCTGAGCATGCATGTGTATGAGAAGTTTTTATTGATCCTATATAGGCTACAAACAGGCAAAGAACTCATCTGTTAAAAGCTTTTAAAAGCTTGTTCTATCTCATCTCACCTAGCTGTTCATCCTAAGAACTACAATTTTGACAGGAGAATATAAGCAGCCATTAGCAGCACAGCCTATCCTTTTATAATTTGGGGTATGTACCATTCTGGGATGGTCAGAGACATTCTGCAGTTTCAACTGATGTTGTAGAATGAACTCTGTTCATGAGTAGAGAGATGTCATTTTTATAAACCCAGAATGGTGGGAAGAGTGTGGTGGGCTAACCAGAGAATTGGATATGTAATGGGATGGATATTTAGTAAGGGTAGGACTTGTCCCTACAGAGACAGTCCAAATTATATTTCTTTATCCAAAGTAGGGAGCTATTCATAATCAAGGAGAATAATCTAAATTCAGCCATAACATTTTAAGGAAGTAAACTGATATGTTAACTGTCTATGATATTTTTCTCAACAGGGTATCTGACTTGAGGATTTTTCAAGCTCCTATAGCACATAGTTTCACTTAATAATGAGAATTGAAACAAAAATGTTTAATAATATTTTAATTTACATGTTTTTGAAGTTGTCATTTTCCAAGGATCTCTGTGATCATGAATTTTGGGGAGATGCTATTCAATCCAGACAGTATACCCTCTGCACCCCATCAATTCATCCACATCCCATCTGTAAAATACATTAATCCCATCCCAACATACTCAGTTAAACCCACTAAAACATTAACTCTAAGTCCAAAATCTCAATTATCAACTCAGAGTTTCAAAATCTCATCTAAGTCATCCAACACATGTAGGGATGAAACCCTGGGTCTGATCTACCCTGGGATAAAATTTTTCTCTACCTGTGGACCTGTGAAATTGAAAAACAAGTTCTCTATTTCCAAAATACAGTGGTGGAAGAGACATGGATGCCATTTACATAATAAAAGCAAGAAAATAAAAGGAATAAAGGAGTCACTAGTATTAAAGTAAGTCCAAAACCCAGCAAGAAAATTTTCATTAGGTTTCAAGACCTAAGAACAATCTCTGTGGCTTCATGATCTGTCCTGGGGACCAGGGCAGCAGTCCCACCTTCTATCACTGAGGTGGCAGTTTTACCCTCTAAGACTTGCAAGGCAGTGGCAACCCTGCCTTCTGAATAGCCCATTCTATGTTTGCAGATCCTGAAAGTCTGATAATCCTCCTTCATATTTCCCTATTTCCAATCTGTTATCTTCAAGGTAGGTTTGTTTCTGCCGTTATTCTCAAAATCCTTTCCAGCCTTCTGGGAATGTAAAAGTGATCCACACCATTACACATGAGGGCTCTCCAGAGATCCTTTCTATGTAGCCCCATCTCTATTCCTGACTTTTACTGGTATTGGTCATTGACTCTATAATCACATGCCTAATGTCTTCAGGAAAATATTGTACAGCCATACACTTAGTGTTATCTCCAGAAAGTGTGCAACTTTTACAATATGGATAGGCTGAAGATTTTCCAAATCATCAAACCTTTTCTTCCCTGTGACATACCCTACCTAAATTTATCTCTTTTCTCTCACATTTTACTGTAAGTAGCAAAGAGAAACCAGACAACACCCTCCCTAATTGGCTTGGAAATCTCCTCAGATAAATATCCAGATTCCTCACTTATAAGTCTGACTTTCCATTCAACAGTATAACACAATTAAGCCAACATTTTTGCCACTTTATAACATCATTGCCTTTACTCCAGTTTCCAGTTTCCAATATCATGTTTCTCATTGCTCATTTTCTTGTGTGACCTCACCAGAAGCATCTTTGATGTTCATATTTCCACCAACTTTCTGTTCGTGGTACATGTATCCTCTAAAGTGATAGAAAATTCTTCTAATGTGCTCCTCACAGCTATCTCAGTTCTCATCAGAATCATATTTAACATCTTTAAACATTTTTAATCATCTTTAACAATATCTACCAGCCATTTATCTAAGGAATCTGGGCTTTTTCTATCAAGTACTTTAGCCTCTGCCCAATTCTAAAGCCATTTCACATTTTTAGGTAGTTGATACAGCAGCTCCTGCTTCTCAGTATCAAAATCTATATTAGTTTCTCAAACTGTTGTAACAGAGTTTCACAAACTGAGTGGCCAAAATAACAAGTGTATTCTGCTCCAGTCCCAGAAATAAGAAGTCAGAAATCAAGGTGTTGGTAAGGCCATACTTTCTCTGAAAACTCTAAGGGAGGTTCCTTCCTTTTCTCTCCTATCTTCTGGTGGTTGCCGGAAATCCTTGGCTTCCTTGGCTTATACCTGCATGATTCAAATTTCTGCCCCCATCTTCACATGGTCATATTTCCTCTGTGAGTGTTTGTGTTTCTTCACACAGCCTCTTAATAAGAATACTAGTCATTAGATCTAGCATTCGTCCTAATGAAGTATGACTTCATCTTACTTAACTAATTACATTTGCAAAGACCTTATTTCCAATTAAGATCAATTATGAGAGAGTGGGGTGGACATATTTTTTTTCTTTTGGGTAGTGATGAACTGTTCAACTCAGTACACAGGACGATTTGGCAAGAAAAACTAATAAAAAGCATCTAAATTGAAAATTAAAATGTAAAAGTATTTGGAGATGACTTGATTGTATATTTAGAAAATTCTAAGAAACCCACAGAAAGACTTTTGACTTAAAAAGCAAATTTAGAAATAGTGTAGGATACAAGATCAAGATCAAAATGCAAGTGTCAATGAACAGTCTAAAATGAAATAAAAAATAGTTCTGTTTTTAAAAGTATAAAAAAGGATAAAATATTTAGGGATATACCTAACCAAAAATTTCAAGATTTGTACATTGAAACTATAAAACATTGTTGAAAGGTTCTAAAGAACATTTAAATGAATTAAAAACATGCTGTGTCCATAAATTGGAAGATTATAAATTGTTAAGATGGCATTCCGCCACATATTTATCTGCAAATTCAACACAATCCCATAAAAATCACAGTTTTCTTTTTATTTTTCTAATATTGACAATCTAATTCCCAAATATATAAAAATGTAAGGGACTCAGAATAGTTGTATGCATCTAGAAAAGGGAGAAGAAAATTGGACATTCTCATTTTCTGATTTCAAAACTTAGAAAAAGCTACAGTAATCAATACAGTGTGGTACTGGCATAAGAATAAATACATGCATTTTTAAAATCCCATTCTTACCCATTACCTTTGTTATGCTTGTTATCTCAGTGGTATATTCCATCCCATTGAGATACATATATATACATGCATATATTATATACATAATACATATATACACAAATATATCAATAATTTATATATTTATAAAGGGAGAGAGAGAGAAATGAGATAGAATTGCAAGCCCAGAAATAACGCTTTACATTTATGGTCAATTGACTTTTGACAAGGGTACTAAGGCAATTCAATGAGAAAAATATATTCAACAAACTGTACTCGAACAACAGGGTAAACACCTGATAAAGAGTAAGTTGGACTCCAACCCATGCCAAGCGAAAAAGAAACTCAAGGCTGGGCGCAGTGGCTCACGCCTGTAATCCCAGCACTTTGGGAGGCCGACGCGGAAGGATCATGAGGTCGGGAAATCGAGACCATCCTGGCTAACACGGTGAAACCCCGTCTCTACTAAAAATACAAAAAAAAAAAATTAGCCGGGCATGGTGGCAGGCGCCTGTAGTCCCAGCTACTCAGGAGGCTGAGGCAGGAGAATGGCGTGAACCCGGGAGGCGGGGCTTGCGGTGAGCCGAGATCACGCCACTGCACTCCAGCCTGGGTGACTGAGCGAGACTCCGTCTCAAACAAATAAACAAACAAACAAAAAACTCAAAATTGATCTAAGATCTAAAAGTGTGGGCTAAACTATAAAACTCTATGAAGAAAATGTAGGTGTAAATCTTTGTGACCTGATGTTAGGCATGTTGGTTCCTAAAGTGACACCAAAAGGACAAGGAACAAAAAAAAATTAGTTGTGTTGTACTTTAAAATGTAAAACTTTTGACCTGCAAACAATACCATCAAACAAGTGAACAGACAGTCCACATAATGGGAGAAAGCATTTTCAAGTCACCTGATAAGAGGTTTGGGTCAGGGATATAAGGACCCATTACAACTCCATAATAAAAAGTGAACAAAGAGGATATAAATAAAAATTTCCCCCAAAATATATACAAATGGCAAACAAAGACAGGAAAACGTGCTGAACATCAGTAGTCATCAGAGAAAGGCAAGTCAAAACCACATTAAGAGAACTTCTTCATAACCACTAGGATGGTTATAATAAAAAAGGCAATAAAAAGTGTGGATGAGGATGTGGAGAAATTGGACGTCCCATGCATTGCTATTGAAAATATAATATTGTGCTGCTATTTTAGAAACCAGTTTGGCAGTTCTTCAAATGTTGTCATGGAGTTGCCACATGATGCAGCAATTCTACTCTTAAGCATATATCCAAATCACAGCATGTATCCACCCAAAAACTTGTGCACAAATATTTACAGCAGCCTACTTATAATAGCAAAAACATAGAAACTATCCAATTGTTCATCGGCTGATAATGGATAAAATAATATTTGGTATATTAATAAAGCAAAAACTTACTTCTCAATAAAATGGAATAAAACATGGGTAACATGCCACAACATGGATGAACCTTGAGAACATTACGCTAAGTGAAATAAACCAACCACAAAACATTAAATATCGTGTGATTTCATTTATGTGAAATGTTCCAAATAGGCAAATCCACAGAAACAGAAAATGGAGTAATGGTTTCCAGGGTTTCTTTTAGGGGTGATGGAAATAGTGTAAAAGTAGATTGTAGCAATGGTTTTATAATTTTGTAAATATGCTAGAAACCAATTTGTACACTGAGAAAATTTTATAGAATGTGAGTTATATCTAAATTAATCTGTTAAAAAAACTATTAGAATGAGAAAGCTTTAGTCATGTAGAATTTTGTAAAATGTTCATAGGTTAAAGGCCACATTTGCCATAAAGAGTAATCTTCGATGATTCTGTTTTAGAGTAAAACTCTAAGTCTGTTAAAATAATTGCTCTTATAGTCTATGCTGTACATTGAATATTTAATATATTTGTTCTGTAGTAATTTTCCCACTTCCTTTTCTGATCAATTTATCTATTTTTCTTAGAATGTGCTAAATCTCTCAAGTTGGCCTAATTTACAAATTTCCTGTACTATTTACACTATTCTAAGAGAAAGTCAAGCTGCTAATTAAGTTGGATCTAATACAAGTCTCATGACACCAACCCACTCACCCCAACAAGGTACATTTATATTCTTTTTATTGTTAGTCTTTGATCAATTTGCTCTCTGACATCTCTCTATGAAAATGACTTTATTTTTAGAAAATAGGAGCATAGAAAATGTCTCTATTGATTAGTACATAGAAAGATGAATAGGCATCTTTTGAAAATTTCAAAATTAATTCCCAGCCTGTCTCCAGTCCTCTCAAATCATATTAGTTTTAGTGCATTTAGTAGATAATTTGTATTTTACCATCAATATTTTAGAAATATGAGATTGGATGGGAATTTAAGGTTTTAGCTGTATGTGACATCCAGGAACATAATTTAAAATTGGTTCTTTTTGAGAAAAGACATTTATCCTAATTCTTTGTGACCCATTTTTTTTCTCCCATGGAAAAGAATGACCTGTGCATACTTTGAACGGCATCAGAAAACCTTCCAGTCCCACTCTGCCCTCCCATCTATGACTCATTTCTAGTAGATTAGATTAGTGGGGAGTGGTAGTGGTAATGAAATTAGACTACTAATACTCCAAACCCAACCTATGGAGTCATGTGATATAAAGTGTGGATCAACAGAATTCAGCAAATAGGGATTACAATGTGATATCCACCTTATAATCTAAAGTTCAGGTTTCCTAATAAAGCTGTATTGGATAATACTGCAATTCCTTCCTCACTGAATTGAATCTATCAATCTATCCATCTAATCAAATGCAGTACAACTGCAGAAGTGAAACTTCTCTAATACAGTCTGTGTCTGGTGCAAGGTGGGTAGGGATACTGATGGCCAACTGTAATAAGCAGGAATAGGAAAAATGAATTTACTCCAAATCAGTGCCAATAGATCCAAGACAGAAATAGCAAGATCTGAAAGGCCAGGACACAGTTTACCTCTGCTCCAATTTCATCAATCAGAAATATCATTCTTCCTTCATGAATGGGAGAAATTTAATGAAAATAGAAGAAGACTGGAGGTGTCTTCCAATACTATTTCCTTCTTGGTGGTGAGGAAGGAAATTCTCACATCCATCTACTTCCTTGGAAAAAACTGTATGTTAATCAGGGGGTCCCTCCTTTTCCCCAACAACTGAACAGTCTACTGGACAGGCACTGGTCAACTCTTTGGTCAATGGTGTCTGCCTCATTCCAGTGCCTTAAAGTGCAGACTGTTATATAGTTATGTGTCTGGTAAACTATGGAATCTTTCCTGTCTCTCTAACAATCAGAATCTTCTTTCTTGCTCTACTGATTTTGGAATCTCTCCCTTTATCTGATATCAAGATATTAACTCTCTTGGTCTCTGTCTCTCACTTACTTTTTATTTTCTCTCCTGCCTCAGCTTCACACCACTTTTCCAGGGACACATTTCAGTTAATTCTTACCCCAGGTAAGACCTCTGGGACTTCAACGCCAATCCAGAGCCTGATCATGCTTATCCAGGAGAGAAGAAGGAAAATGAGTTTCATCGAGATTCAAATTCAAATTGTTTATTTTTTCCTAAGATGGCAGATTGGAAGCAGTATTAGCATGCCTCTCTCATTTAAAAAGACAAAATAGCGTGTAGAGATTCACACTGCTTTTTTTTTTTTTTTTTTTAAAGAAGCAATGCAGGGATTTAACAGGAAAGCTGAAAGAATCCAAAGACCCTTTGAAAGAAGCAGTGGGCAGCAGCCTACACCATGAGCCAGGCAAAAAACTGTAAGTCCTCAGAGTGTGAGTTGGGAGAGACTGCCTCCAGGATATACACCTCTCCATTGGGGAACCTAGAAATCCAAGTCACAGGGGAAGGCCCTTAATCTTACCCAGTGCTGGCAATGATATAGGCAGTGGTGAGGAATATAAAAGGAGAAACAGCAGTGAGAAGAGCCTTGTGTGCATTCCCAGTCTCCAGCATGGATCAAGGGAAGCCATTTCTTATTCTGTGTCACAGGGGACTTCACAGAATTCTACCAACTAACTCAGGCAGTGGTCATAGGTTAAAAGAAACTCCCACCTGAATTTTGCAATATGACCTCAAGGGGGGATGAAGTCCCTTGGCCAGAACTGAATCAGGGGTAGTGTGAGTGGAAGTGTGCTGCAGCCATGAGTGCAAGAGCTGGGGTGCCCCAGCTTTGTGGTTAGACTGGGAGGGGTGTGGCCTGAAAGCTGGGATAGCTACTTCCCTGAGGAAGGCTTATGGCCTGAGGCAGTTTTGAGTTCTAATCGAAAATGACCTGGAACTTAACTCACTGCTGCTAGCAGAATACTGCAGATGTGAGATCTGCCTTACCAAGTATCTGGGAGCTGGTTGGGGGTTACCGGCACCTGCTACTTTCCACTCCCTCTGCAACATTTTCTCTGCAGCAGAAGCCAGAGAAACACCTCTCAACTCCCAGAGGGGACACTGCTTGACCCACATGTTGGGAGCCAGAGGACAGATCTGCCTCACCCAGCCCCCACCTGGGTTTGTTCCTCTGCCTCCCCTAGTAGCTCAACACAAAGGACAGAAACTTTTGGGAGCTTTATGGCCCTGCCCATCACCTGAGAAACAAGAGTATCTCCCCTGGATAACATAAGGCAAGTATGTATCCTACCATTACTACTGCAGCTGGTATTTTTCCAGCTGCAGTAGGAAGGTGCAAGTACCACCTCTTGGCTAGAGGTCAACCGACACAGTCCATTACAGCATCTCCAGGTAAAATAACGTAGCACTCAGGAAGGATAAAAATTGTGTATGGCCTTGGTTATTACCATTGCCCACCCTACCCTGGCTAATGAGAAGGTCTGAAGTCTGTCCACACGACTAGTTCATTACTATCACAACCAGCATTTGAGAAAGCCAACACACCAAAGCTATCCCTAATTAAGGAATCTCAGAGTCTGTATCACTCCCCTGCCACACCCATCAGAGCTGCTGCTGGGAGACTTGGTGACAATCTACATCAGTGGATCCCTTGCAGACATTCCCCAGCACCAACCTGGAGTGTGGTAACCCCACTGGGCAGCTAGACCCAGAGGAGCAGCAGTATTCACAGTAGCTTGGTTCTCAGGGATCCCTACTCCTAGAGGAAGGAGAGTGCACCACATCAAGAGAACACCCTATAGGATGAAAGAATCCAGATGGCAGTCCTTGAGTCCCAAATCTTTCAGCTGGTGGGAAGTTTCTTTCAACAGAGGCACAGGTGTAGTACAGAGTTCAGCAAGGAGAATCTGCAGCTCTACCGCAAGAGTCAGGCAGCGCTGGTGCTTGTCAAGGGTCTTGGAGAAGGTGACTTATTTTGCCTTTCATCCACCACTACAGACACAGCTGGGGCTTCTCTCACAGGAAGCAGATAGATAGATAAGCATATATATGCATATACAGATATAAATATATATAAGCATATATATAAGCATATATAGATATAAATATATATAAGCATATATATATATATATATATATATATATATATATATATATATATCTTACAGGAAGAATGGGTGCATATATAGACAGCCTTTCTGGACTGTGGTGATTACATCCCCATCACAGGTGCACCCTCCAGGTTCAGGCTTGCACAAGGGGAAATGTCACAATTCCTCTCTGCTTGGAACATAAATATCCAGCAGATGAAAAGAGGTGGCTGTCTGATCTGAATAGCTGGAATACTGGGTCAGGAGTGTTTCTGGGAAGTGGATAGGTTTCCTGCTGACCTGGCAAGGGAACTGAGGTGGCTCCTACTCTCCCCTCTGTTAAGACTTCAGTGCATTTCACTGACAGCTTCTCTAACCACCTCTGTCAAAGCTGGGACTTCTGCCCATCATTGGATATTGCATTCACCCACTGGGTTTAGCCATAACCAGTTTCTACTTGAAGACATCTCCAGATGTTTAGGCTTGAATCCTGAACTATTCAATCCAGTAAATAAAATACTAGGGGAAATATAAATATATAAAAAATACATACCATGGGAGAATGAGATAAGCTTCAAAAGAACTTATGTAAAGTCTTCAACCCTTAAAGCACCAAGAGCTGAATGAGGCTATAATAAACTATAAACATAAAAGTCACATCATTAAGGGGAAAAAGGAATGATAAAAAATACCGTCAAATAAAAAATAATTTCAAAAATAAGAAGTCTATGCAAATGAGAAGGAACCAGAAACATAATTTTCATAATATGACAGATCTGTAGCACTCCCAAAAGATCACCCTTAGCCCTCCAGCAGTCAATCCAAACCAAGATTAAGTCATTGAAATACCAGATAAAGAATTCAAATGGTTAATTATTAAGCTGCTCAAGAAGATACCAGAGAAAGATGAAAGCCTATATAAAAAAATTTAAAAAATCAAAAATGAATGAAAATTTTTCTAAAAAGATAGATGTCATAAGGAAAAACCAATCAGAACTGCTGGAAATGAAATGAATTACAAGATGTATTGGAAGTGTTAATAATAAAGTAGAACAAGTAAAAGAAAGAATGTCAGTGCTCAAAGACAGGGCTTTTTAATTAACCCAATCAGATAAAAATAAAGCAAAATGAATCAAAAGAAATGAACAAAGTCTCCAAGAATCTGTAAGATGGCCAACCCTAAGAATAATCGGTATTCCTGAGGGAGACGAGAAAGCAAAATGTTTGGAAAATTTATTTGAGGAAATGATCGAGATAAACTTCCCTGGCCTTGCTAGAGATTTAGATATCCAAATACAAGAAGTGCACAGAATTCCTGGGAGATTAGTTGCAAAAAAGTCATCACCAAGGTGTATAGTTATCAAGCTATGTAAAGTCAATATAAAGGAAAAATTCTAATAGCAATTAGACAAAAGCATCAGATAACTCATAAAGGAAAACCTATCAGACTAACAGCAGTCTTCTCAGCACAAACCGTAGAAGCCAGAAGAAATTGGGGTATTATCCTTAGCCTCCTTCATACAGAATAACTGTCAGTGAATAACTTTGTATCCAGAAAAATTAAGTTTCATAAATGAAGGAGAAATAAAATTATTTACAGATAAATGCTGAGAGAATTTGTCACTACCACAGTACCCTTACAAAAAATTCTAAGAAGTTATAAATCTTGACATAAACGTCTTATATGCACCAAAACAGAACTTTTCAAAGGCACAAAACTCAGAGGGCCTATAAAACAATTACACAATGAAAACAAATAAGTATATAGGTAACAATGAACAGGATTAATTGAAGAGTACCACACATCTTAATAACTTTGTTGAATATAATTGGCCTAAATGCTCCACTTATGTAATATAGATTGTTAGAATGGATTAAAAAATGACAAACCAAATATATGCTGTCTTCAAGAGACTCATCTAACAAAGAAAGATTCATATAAACTCAAGGTACAGGGGTAGAAAAACAGATTCCATGCAAATGAACACCAAACGCAAGCAGGAATAGCTATTCTTATATCAGATGAAACAGGCCTTAAAGCAGCAACAGAAAAAAAAGACAAAGAATGTCATTTTATATTGATGGAAGAATCAGTCCAACAAGATGACATTACAAATCTAAATTCATATGCACCTAACATTGGAGCTTCCAGATTTATAAAATGATTACTACTAGACCTAAGAAATGAGATCGACAGCAACACAATAATAGTGGAGGACTTCAATATACTACTGATAGTGCTAGTCAGATCATCAGCAAAAAATGTCAACAAAGAAACAATAGCCTAATGTACACTCTAAAATAAATGAACTTGACAGATGTTTACATAACATTCTACCTAAGAACAGCAGAATATACATTGTTCTTATCATGACACAGAACATTCTCTTAACTAGACCATATGATAGGCCACAAAACAACTCTCAATGAATTTTAAAAATTGAAATCATATCAAGTACATAAAGAGATTAATCTAGATATCTACTTTAAAAGGAACCTCCAAGACAAAACAAACATGTAAAAATTAAACGATCTGCTCCTGAATTATTTCATGGTTAATCATGAAATCAAGATGAAAATTTAAAAATTCTTTGAAATGAATAATAATAGTGTCACAAGTTATCAAATCCTCTGGGACCCAGCAAAAGCAGTGCTAAGAAGAAAGTTTACAGTGCTAAATGCCTACATTAAAAAGTCTAAAGGATCACAAATTGACAACCTAATACTGTACTTCAGAGAAACAAGGACAAACTAAACCCAAAGCTAGCAAAAGAAAACAAATAACAAATATCAGAGCAGAAATAAGTGAAATTAAAACAGAAAACACACAAAAGATCAATGAAACAGAAAGATGGTTCTTTGAAGAGATAGAAATAATTGATAAGCCATTAGCTATATTAACCAAGAAATCATTCAAATAAGCTCAATTAGAAATGAACTTGTAGACATTACCACCAATACCACATAAATAATAAAGATGGTTTGTGACTACCATGAACATCTCTATGCACACAAAGTAGAACACCTAGAAGAAATGGACAAATTCATGGAAACATACAACCCTCCTAGATTAAGTCAGGAAGAAATATAAATCCTGAGTAAACCAGTAACAAGCAGTAAGATTGAATCAGTAATAAAAAATTTGCCATCGAAAAAAGAACAGAGGCCCAGATGGATTCACAGGTGAATCCTACTAGACATTCAAAGAAGAATTAGTACCAATTCTACTGAAACTATTCCAAAAGATTGAGAAAGAGGTAATCCTCCCTAAGTCATTACTTGAAACCAGTATCACCCTGATACACAAACCAGGAAAGAACATATCAAAGAAGGAAAACTACAGGCCAATACCTTGGATGAACATAGATGCAGATATCTTCAACAAAATACCAGCTAACCCAATCCAATAGCACATCAAAAATAATAATAATAATACATCATGATCAGGTGGGTTTCATCCCAGGGATGCAGGGATGGCTTAACATATGCAAGTCAATAAATGTGATACATCACATAAATAGAATTAAAAACAAAAACCATATGATCATCTCAATAGATGCAGAAAAAGCATTTGAAAAAATCCAGCATCCATTTAAAATAAAAGCCCTAAAAAAACTAGGCATAGAAGTGACATACCTCAAAATAATAAAATCTGTATATAAGAAACCCACTGCCAACATCATACTGAATGGGGAAAAGTTGAAAACATTCTCCCTGAGAACTGGAACAAGATAAGGAGGCTCACTTGCACCCCTCTATTCAACATAGTGCTAGAAGTTCTAGCCAGAGTAATCAAGCAAGAGAAGGTAAAAAAGAGAATCCAAATTGGAAAAGAGGAAGTCAAACTATCACTGCTCATGGATGATGTGATTTTTTACCTAGAAAACCCTAATGACATTTCCAAAAACTCCAAGATTTGACAAATAAATTTAGTGAAGTCTCAGGTTACAAAATCAAGGTACCCAAATCTGCTATACACCAGAAATGGCCAAACTGAGAATCAAATTAAGAACTCAATCTCTTTTTGCAATGGCTGCAAAAATAAAATAAAATAAAATACCTAGAAATTTACTTAACCAAGGAGTTAAAAGGTCTGTACAAGGAGAACTAAAAAACACTATGAGAGAAATCACAGATGGCACAAACAAATGGAAACACATTCCATGCCCATGGATGGGAAGAATCAATATTGTGAAAATGACCATGCTGCCCAAAGCAATATACAGATTGAATGCAATTCCATCAAAATACCAACATCATTCTTCACAGAATTAGGGATAATATCCTAAAATACATATGGAATCAAAAAAAGAGCCAGAATAGCCAAAGCAATCCTAAGCATAAAGAACAAACCTAGAGACATAATGTTACCAGACTTCATATTATACTTCAAGGCTAAAATTACCAAAACAGCATGATACTGGTATAAAAATAGGCATATAGACAACTGTAACAGAATGGAGAACCCAGAAATAAAGCCAAATACTTACAGCCCACTGATCTTCAATAAAGCATGCAAGAATATAAATTGGGGAAAGACACCCTATTTAGCAAATGGTGGTGGGAAAACTGGCTAGCCACATGTAGAAGAAGGAAACTGGATTCCTCTCATCTAATAAAAACAACTCAAGATGTACCAAATACTTAAATCTAGTATCTGAAACCATAAAAATTATATAAGTAGCCTTGGAAAACACTCTTCTGGACATGTCCAGAAAAGCAATTCATCATGAAGACCTCAAAAGCTAATGCAACAAAAACAAAAGTAGATAAATGGGACCTAACTAAGCTAAAAAGCTTCTGCACAGTAAAAAAAAAAAAAAAAAAAAAAAAATCATCTGAGTAAATAAACATCTTACAGAATGGGAGAATATATTTGCATATCCTGCATCCAACAAAAGACTAGTATCCAGAAACTACAAGGAACTCAAACAAACCAACAAGAAAAAAAAACAAAAAAAACACATCATCCCATGAAAAAGTGGGCAAATTACACGACCAGTCATTTCTCCAAAGAAAATATACAAATGACCAACAAATGTGTGAAAACATTCTCAACATCACTAATCATCAGGGAATGCAAATTAAAACTACAATGAGATTCCACTTTATTCCTGCTAGAGTGGCCATTGTTAAAAAGTCAAAACCCAATATATGTTGGCATAGATGTGATGAAAAGGGAATGCTTATATACTGCTGATTGGAAAGTAAATTACTACTACCTCTCTGGAAAACAGTATGGAGATTCCTTAAAGAACTAACAGTAGATATACCATTTCATCCAGCAATTTCAGTGCTGGCTATCTTCCCAAAGGAAAAGAAGTCATTATATAATGCTATATAACATTATATAACAAAGACACATTCACACATATGTTTATTGCGGCACAATTTACAATTGCAAAGATGTAGAACCAACCTAACTGCCCATCGACCAGTGAGTGGATAAAGGAAATGTGATGTAATAATAAAAGGAACAAAATACTATATTTTGCAGCAACTTGGATGGAGCTGGAGGTCATTGTTTTAAGTGAAATAACTCGGGAAAGGAAAACCAAATACCATATGTTCTCACATATAAGTGGGAGATAAGCTATGTGCACACAAAGACATACAGATTGATGTAAGGGACTTTGAGATTCAACAGGGGGAGAGGAGAGAAGGGGAGTGTGGGATTTAAAAACTGCATATTACAAACAATGTACACTACTCAGGTGACAGGTGCACTAAACCTCATAATTCACCACTATATAATTTATCCATGTATCCAAAAGCTACTTGTATCCCAAAAGCCACTGAAATAAAAATATTTAAATAAGATTTTAAAAAATTAATGTTTATCGGGCATCCACTGTATCTCAGACAACTCTTAGCCTTTTTCAACATCCCTATAAAACTTTTATTCAAAAGCATAGATTATAATAGATAATACTTGTTGTTTTTCATATATCAGTCTTACTCTAAATAATTTACATGTTAACACACTTAATCCTTATGCTAAATTCATGAGGTAAGTGCTATTTTAATTTTTATGTTAATAGTAAGGAAACAGAAGCAAAAAGGTTAAAAACCCTTTCAATATTATAGCTAGTAAATAACACAGCTGAAAATGGAACCCAAGCAAGTTTCTCCAGATGGGAAGGTTATGGTTATATGGATGAAATAACTTGACCAGCTTCACAATTGACAAAGAGTGGCACCAAAATTTAAACCCAAGACTTTCACCAATATTTTTTTCTATTGTATCTTTTTTTGCATAATAAGCCAAAAATAAGAAAAAAGAAAATAATTAGATAATATTTTTGCTTAGCAATACAAACATCTAAGTCATAGATTAAAAATTAGTTTGTACTGAATATAAATAATTCATAGGTTGTAGTTATAATTCATTCATTCACTCACTCAATAAATAGTACAGCCTATTATTACTATTATTTTTATACTTTAAGTTTGGGATGTATGTGCATAATGTGCAGGTTTGTTACATAAGTATACACAGCCTATGATTAAATCACAATGATCATATCAACCACCTCTACAAACATCTAGCAACTTTAACTACACTGAGACACTTGGCATTAGAGAGTTAATAGTGTGATACTAAATAGTAATAATAATATTTAAATTCTTAATTTGGATTGTCAAGGCATAAGGATGAAATGTTTTCAGCATAAACAGCCCTTACATGGAGAAACCAGAAGGTCTTCTCAGAAAGTAGTCAAGTCATTGGCTGACACACACACTGCAGAACCCATTTATTTGCCTGATACCAGCCTGTAAAATGCAAACTTAACCTCTTGATCTCCTTGATGTTAAAGGACATTTCCCTCCAACTCCTCACAAAAATAATGCTCAAATTTTCATACTACAGCTAGAAAAAAAATGCACTTTTACACTGGTAACATAGAAGCTAGAATTCTCTCAGGTTCTATTTGAGGCTTACAACTCATGATTCTCGACTCCTTCCAAATACTCACCCACTCAATGCTGCCAGAATGGAGCCGGAGAGAAAAATGAGATAGATTTACCTGTAGTCACTTATTTAGACCTTCCACATTGTGTTGTATGCCCAAAAGCAAAAGTTGAGCAGCTGCATTTCTTAATTGTATTTTTTCAGTTTATTTATGCCAATGCCATGTAGAAATGTATTTCTAAGATCAAGATCTTAAGTAAAATATCACCTATATTACCCATTCTGTTAATGTATCTGATTTTCCTTAGCACTTACCATGGAGGGACTGATGACATCAAGTCTTGTCATTCAGTTATTCACCCACTTATTCATACTTTTAATCTTAAAATTACTAGATTATCATTTTTAACTCCTTCTATGCACAATTCAATACCCTATTCCTCAAAATCCACTGGTAGTTACCAAACGTTTAGGGAAGAAAGCCTCGAATCTTGCATTGCATTAAAGAATCTTCATAATCTAGTGCCTGAACATGTTTCTGCAAAAGCTTTGGCCATCAGTCTTATCCCATTTTGAAGTCCCTCTCATCCCTAGTTAAATGTTCAATGCCAGACTTCAGGACTTTCCCTGTTGACCATGGTTCCTTACAAATAGGCATTCTTCATCTTAAGTCACTTGAGGCTCTATTGGATGAAAGGTCTTGTAGGGCATCTGCTTCACTTTTATGCATTCTATTCCAGTTATCATATTGTCTTATACATATACTTTTTTAAAAAATATAAATGGTTACTTATTGATTTAATTTAAACAGTTTTTTAATTTTATTTATTTATTTATTTATTTTTTGAGACGGAGTCTCGCTCTGTCACCCAAGCTGGAGTGCAGTGGCGTGATCTCGGCTCACTGCAAGCTCCGCCTCCTGGGTTCACACCATTCTCCTGCCTCAGCCTCCTGAGTAGCTGGGACTACAGGTGCCCGCCACCACACCCGGCTAATTTTTTTTTTGTATTTTTAGTAGAGATGGGGTTTCACCGTGTTAGCCAGGATGGTCTCGATCTCCTGACCTCGTGATCTGTCTGCCTTGGCCTCCCAAAGTGCTGAGATTACAGATGTAAGCCACCATGCCCGGCTGATTTAAACAGGTTTAAATGCAAGATGGGTATGGGAATATAGAAGATGTTTACTATCTGTTACTAGTCATTGGCTTCTAGACGGTGGAAAAAAATAAATATACTACCTTTCCTTAAATTTCCTTTCCACTATCTACCTGAACAAGAGGAGCGTATGAGAAGCAAGGAAGAATAAAGTATAACACTAAGTTGCCTATGATTATGATTCATGAAATGTTAGAGATGTTATATATTACACAGGCATAGAAAATCATGAATAGGAAAGGTTGGGGAAGTTAAATTTAAAGTTGGAACTTGAGGCAAACTTTAAAAGCTATAGAGAAAGAAAGACTGAGAGAAGAATGCGTTTTGGCTGGAAAATCCAGAGGAAATGATTTGCCAGCCAATTTTCTTTTTTTTTAATTTTTTTATTTATTTTATTATTATTAAACTTTAAGTTTTAGGGTACATGTGCACAATGTGCAGGTTAGTTACATATGTGTACATGTGCCATGCTGGTGTGCTGCACCCATTAACTCGTCATTTAACATTAGGTATATCTCCTAATGCTATCCCTCCCCACTCCCCCCACCCCACAACAGTCCCCAGAGTGTGATGTTCCCCTTCCTATGTTCATGTGTTCTCATTGTTCAATTCCCACCTATGAGTGAGAACATGCGGTGTTTGGTTTTTTGTCCTTGCGACAGTTTACTGAAAATGATGATTTCCAATTTCATCCATGTCCCTACAAAGGACATGAACTCATCATTTTTTATGGTTGCATAGTATTCCATGGTGCATATGTGCCACATTTTCTTAATCCAGTCTATCATTGTTGGACATTTGGGTTGGTTCCAAGTCTTTGCTATTGTGAATAGTGGCGCAATAAACATATGTGTGTGTGTGTCTTTATAGCAGCATGATTTATAGTCCTTTGGGTATATACCCAGTAATGGGATGGCTGGGTCAAATGGTATTTCTAGTTCTAGATCTCTGAGGAATCGCCACACTGACTTCCACAATGGTTGAACTAGTTTACAGTCCCACCAACAGTGTAAAAGTGTTCCTATTTCTCCACATCCTCTCCAACACCTGTTGTTTCCTGACTTTTTAATGATCGCCATTCTAACTGGTGTGAGATGGTATCTCATTGTGGTTTTGATTTGCATTTCCCTGATGGCCAGTGATGGTGAGTATTTTTTCATGTGTTTTTTGGCTGCATAAATATCTTCTTTTGAGAAGTGTCTGTTCATGTTCTTCACCCACTTTTTGATGGGGTTGTTTTTTCTTGTAAATTTGTTTGAGTTCATTGTAGATTCTAGATATTAGCCCTTTGTCAGATGAGTAGGTTGCGAAAATTTTCTCCCATTTTGTAGGTTGCCTGTTCACTCTGATGGTAGTTTCTTTTGCTGTGCAGAAGCTCTTTAGTTTAATGACATCCCATTTGTCAATTTTGGCTTTTGTTGCCATTGCTTTTGGTGTTTTAGACATGAAGTCCTTGCCCATGCCTATGTCCTGAATGGTAATGCCTAGGTTTTCTTCTAGGGTTTTTATGGTTTTAGGTCTAATGTTTAAGTCTTTTATCCATCTTGAATTAATTTTTGTATAAGGTGTAAGGAAGGGATCCAGTTTCAGCTTTCTACATATGGCTGGACAGTTTTCCCAGCACCATTTATTAAATAGGGAATCCTTTCCCCATTGCTTGTTTTTCTCAGGTTTGTCAAAGATCAGATAGTTGTAGATATGTGGCGTTATTTCTGAGGGCTCCGTTCTGTTCAAGGCAAGGCAAACAACTGCTAGCCTGAACTCTCAACCTGGTTTTAAAATGATAGCTCTCCTTTCTGTCAGTAATTCTAATTTGAAACTAGTTCATAATGACAATTAACTTGATGCTTCAGTCAATTTCATAAAATGCCAACCACTTCCTCTAACAATTATTTCTTTCTAATCTCTACACCCTCTTACTAAAAAATCTGCTCATGTCCTCTTATTAGAAGTCAATTTTCATTATTCCTGCTGAGGGGTACTAAGATTCATTACTCTATACCCCTGGTATTGACTGATTAGAACACAGTTGGGGCCAAGCCAAACAAAACAGATTCTCTTTGTCCTGGATTCTTAAGGGGTTTAAAACAGGGATTCCATGTAATATTGTGTCAAGGATAACCATATGTCCACCAAAGGGGAGAAAGTAACCTCTTGAGACAAGGAAAAGAATGAAGCAGACATGCAAAGAGAAGCAGAGATAAGAAACCATGTACTCTCAAAAACACAGAGGAGGTAACCATTGGGGTGCTGTCTTCAGGCATATGGGAGATTCGTCTTTCTCTTGGAACCTGTGCTTTAGCCCATATGTATATTTCCTTTTGTTCCCCATTTAAGTAACCATTCCACCACACCAGGCCTCTAATCTCTTCATCCTACCACCTTTTTATTACCTCTCAACTATCTTGGTTTCCTCTCATTTCACTCTCTGTTCTGCATAAATTTCAAGGTCAATCATTAAAAGTGAACTCCTGGCTTATTTCTCACAGGGTCTTTCACCTCTCCAACTTTGCCTTTCTCTAACTTTGCCAAACAAATTTTGCTGAAACTTAAGCCCTATTTAAATCCAATTATTTAGCTATTCCATGTTTATATCATGCAGATAAAAGTGGCTAGATAAAAACTCGGAGATATTCTATATGAACCTATTTAAATATAGTGATCTCTGCTATCAAGTGGGCCTTAATGCTGCCTGATGATCTAATTACATTTCCCTGGGCCATTCGCTCTTGCAACTTTAATATGATAATTTCATACCTTTGTCTTCTGAAGTTTCTGGTCTTCATTCTCCCATTTCTCATTCTCACTCTCATATAATGATTCTGATTTTCACAACTGGAAAAAAACAAAATAAACAATTACAGAATAATTTCACAACCTGAAAAAAATAAGAAAAAATTGCAAAACAATTTCCATAAACTCCCACTCCCACCTCTCACAACTGTGCATGTGTTCTTCTTATCAAGACAGATGTAATTTCTGCAATTCTTTTTAAGATACAGGTTTCATTTGTGTAATGTATCCCATGTCTGCTCAAAAATCAAGGTCTAATGGCTTGGGTTAGTGTACATTTATATGAAGTTCTTTCTCCATCCATTCTTCTGCCTTGAATTCCAGAATCACATATCTATCTTCCCTACTCAATATCTCCTATTTCTTGCCATAAAATAAAGTTCTCTTTTATACCTCTCTTTCTTTTGTAGTCTACATTCACTTTATTAGCAAAATCTTTTACAAATCAAAACAAACAGAATGCCAGCAGTTCTCTAGTTTCCATTGCTCTGAACTGCCATCATTTCTTGCCAGAATTACTGAAATACCTTTCTGATTTGTCCCTCTGCTTATGCCTTTGCCCTCTGAAGTTTATTCTCAGCAGCCTTAAGAGTGATACTTTTAAAATATAAGTCAGATGATGGCAATATTTGTCTTAAAACCCTCCAGTATTTCTTCACTGTGCTCACAGTAAAATTCAATGTACTTCTATTAACCTACAAGCTTTTTTGTGACCCAGATCTTGTCACTTCTTTGACCTCATTCCCTACCACTCACTCTCCGAGGTATTCAGCTCCAACCATGCTACAGCACTGCTGCTGCTTCTGGATCCTATCAGGAATTCACCTGCCTCATGTTTATTAAATTTGCTTTTCTCTCTGACTAGACTTGCCTTCCCCTATATATCTACCTGGGTGACCTCCTCACCTCCTACAGAATTTTGGTCAAATGTCTTTTCTCAGAGACTACTTCCTGTCAATGCTTCCTAAATTAGAAGTAGATTTGCCAACCATTCCGATTTGCCTCAGAGTATCCCAATTTTAGGATTAAAAGTTTCACACCCCAGTAACAACCTCGGTTCCAGGCAAACCATGAGAGTTGGTCACTTTAATAGCACTCACCCTCATTCATCCATCCATCAGCTATCCACTTTCACTTTTTTCTTTTTTTCAGTAGCACATTTCACCATTTTGTGTACCAAATATTTATTTGCCTATCCCATTCTGTTATTGTAGTTTCCACAAAAGTAGAGCTTTTAGTATGTTTTGTCTACTTTTGTATTCCCTGCAGCTGAGAATAGTGCCTGTAATACACCTTAACGATTTGAAATATTATTTTAAATGAATAAACAGGTAATTGAATAAAAGAAGAAATAGTTCCCATAATTCCCTGTGTTTGGTTAAATTAGATTAATTAGACTTATCTTCCTTGCAACCAAATACTCTCAGATTCTACCAACCTCCTTTGTTTGGAGCCAGAATCTAAATTTGTTCTTATGTCTGTGCTATCAGTGCTGAACTTCTCTGGACCAAATATCTCTTTAGCTTTGGTTCAGTTTATCTTTGACCCCCTTCTCTATGAAGAGATTTCCCATTGCACAACCAAGACCTGAGCAATTACATGGCAGTGAATAGATAAGCCTTACTCAAATAAACGGGAAAGAGAGAGAGACCATTAAAGGATGATTGTGTCCCCCCAGATTCATATGCTGGAGTCCTAGCCCCCAATACCTCAGAATGTGACTGTCTTTGGAGATAGGACCTTTAAGAGATAATTATGGTAAAATGAGGTCATATGAGTAGGCTATAATCCAATGTGACTAGTGTCCTTATAAGAAGGGGAGTTTGGTCACAGACTCAAAGATACCTATATGAAGACAACAGAAAGGAATGACCATCTATAAGCCAAGAAGGGAGTCCTCAGTAGAAACCAACCTGGTTGACACCTTGATATCAAACATCCAGAAATGTGAAAACATGAAATTCGGTTGTTGAAGCCACCCAGTCTATGATACTTTGTTTTAGCAGCCATTGTAAACCAATACAGGTACTCAACTGGAAACAGTGGCTTGGAAGAAACTTAGGTATATAGGTTCTAAAAGTAGAAAATCCAAGGCTAAATCTTACCAGTGATATTTTCACACTATGATACACAAAAGTCTCCAGATATATTTAAAGCACAGTTTGGCTAGTAGAATAAGAGATCTGACATCTCAAGAATTGGTCCAAGTCCTGGTTTTGTGTTTTCATAACCCTTCAGAGCCAATAATCTACTTTAATCATTATTTCTTTTTCATTCATTTTATCACAATAGTGAAGTAACATTACCAATGTTCAGAGTTGTTGAGACTATCAGATATGGCACATAATGAAAAAAGGCTTAACATAAATATTGAAAGCAACTATAACAATAATAGGTACCAATATATGAATTTTTTAAATTGTTGATTTAAGTGTCATTTAATTTCTATGACAGTGTTTGATTAATAACCATTGTGATGCTTTAATAAATAATTTGTTTCATTTGAAAGCATCTAAATTAGTTCTACTCAGGCATTATCTCCAGCTTCCCACTCATTAATAATAGGATAAGTATTTAAATGTTTTATTATACACCTAGTAAATTAACTCACCTGTAAGTGTGCAGCAATCTGAATGTATAGGATAGAAAATCAACGGAACAGAGTTCTCATGGTTATACCTAGCCAGGTCAGATCTAATTTTATGAAAGCCAATTGTGAATTTAAGCTTCTTCAATGGACTTAAACATACATTCCTACTTTCCCCCGGGTTTACATTGATGTCCAGTTGTTATTGTACTAATTTTACATAAATAAAAAACTAAAAAACAGAAGGGTTTAGTCATTTGTGTACCAAGGACTTACTGTTAGAACCTAAATCCCAGGTTTGTTCTATTCTTCCTTTACCAATGGAATCATTCTAAAAAATCTTTGCTTTGGAATTTTCTTTCAGACTCTCTATATTTTTCCACTGATATTTTATTGCATCATTTTTTCTCTTTATCTCATCTGTCTTGTATTACTCCTTTAAATTCCAACATTTGCTTCTATTATTTAATTCATGCTAAGTGGATGAGAGGAAAGGCTTTAATAATACATAAAAAAGATCTGAAATGCAGAAGTGTGGAAGGTAAGAGAAAGGAATAACCTGACATTTGCCAGATATTAAATTATATTCTTTACATGTGTTACATCACCTTTACTTCCAAAAGAACCACAGAGTAGGTGTCATTTTCATCAACTTGTTCTTGCTGCCTCTCAGAAAGTAGGCTTCTGAGAAGTTAAAAAGTAGTAAGAGATGAAACAGCCATTTCTATCAGGTCAGGGTGACTCCTAAGACTATATTCTCCCCACTACACTAAGCCCGCCCTCGAGTAAAATGTTACTACATCACACCTATCCTAGTCTCTTGTGTGCTTCCTTTGGCAGCATGTACCCTCCTAGGAATTCCTTTCTAAGCCTTTAAGTCTTTCCAAGTCAACATTCTTTCAGAAGAGATTAGTTACTCAGGGCTCCTCCATGTTCCCTTCTCTCTAATCTCCCCTGCTGAGGTCTCTGAAGTTAGTATCACACATGCGAATGTTTCCACCAGTAAACCTTTTATCTCTTTTGATCTGTGGCATCAGATCTTTGGGGCATGCCTTGTGGACCCATTCAACTATCCCCCCACAGTGTAAAAGAACCATTTATATCAGTTTCTTTCTCCTCTTCTTAGCTTTATAAACAGCTCTATGCTCTTAATTTAAAAATATGTATTAACACCTTAGGTTACTTAATTATCGTTCTTATCTCTACTTTCCAGTCAGCCCTAAAGCTCCTTAAAGCATCGGTATTACCTGACCCCAAATAAATCATTGGTTTGTAAAATGTGAGGCTGTATTTTTAACTATTTTCCAATTTTGTCCACGGATTCCATTATTCTATTCTGCAAATGTAATTTAAATTGTTTTACATCTCTTTAACCTAAATGTATCCAGTTATCTCCTTCTTCATTCATCATACTCAAAAGAGGTTTTTAAAAAAGTGGCAAAAACAGGAAGAAATACAACTTGCCAAATAACACTAGTGTTTCCTTTCTACAGAGAAATTCATTTAGTGCATTCAACTTCCAGAGATAAGTGAAACAACAGTTTTGGCCTTAAGGAGTTCAAATCTATTATGCAAAACAAATCATTACACAGAATATGGAGAGGAAATCGAATGGCTATCATAGACAAGTTGCTTTAGGAGCACATTGGGGAAACAGATAACTTTGCCCAGATCACTTTTATGAGACTTCACATAAATTATGACTTTAGTACAGTCATTAAAGATAAAATAAGAAGCAGAGAGGAAGTCAGAAAAAGGTGATTTACTAAGATTCATTTGGGATATAACACAAGTTTTCTGTTGGATGAGAGGAAGTACAAGGTTTGGATTCAAAGAGATGGAATTCCAGATCACTTAATTACTGTACAACCTGTGAATATTTTGAAAAACTACTTAATCTCTACACCATGATTTCCTCATTTTAAAAAGAGTGATTCTTTCTACTTTGAGTTGATTAATATTAATCAGGGAAATATGTATTAAGGTTTCAATATATAGTGGTATTCATCCAAAGATAGAGTTCTTCCTCCAGGACCAAATGCAATGAACAGCTCCCCTGGAATATAGGAGCCCCAAAGTGAGAAATCATGCAGAGCCAAGTCTTCTGTGCACTAATACTGCAGTGTGAGTGGCAGAGCAAGAGTCCATGGGCAAAGATTGGGAATCTGGACTCTTTCCTTAGCTGATTGAATTTGGGCAAGTTATTCATCTCCTCTAAACCCTGTTTCTCATTTATAAAGTATGAATCTCCACGGAATTGTCATGGTTATTATTATGAGAGAACACACACACACACACACACACACACACACACAGATATACATAAATTCAAGCACAAAGAAATACTTTTCCCTACCTACAAATGTTCTCTATCTTTTCACTACGTGACCTTAGTTTCCCTTTTGTATAGTTGCAGTAATAAACTTCTCTCCTTTTCAGTACTTCACCCAGCCTTTCCTTATGTATGCAGACAAATTTTTGAGGAACGCTTTCTTTGGCCGATGGTCTTCTAGGTTCCACTTGCTCACCATTTATGTTTGATCCTCCTATCTATTTGAACTACCAACTAATTTATCACACATGCTGCCGTTACACTGAAATAAGATCATCAGGGCAAGAACTTTGTACACCTTCGTTGCATTCTATAAATCAACATCTTAGTTTAGTATCCCAAATAAAAAGTTACATATGGATTTTTTAGGGCAAAATGAACATATAGTCACATGTAGTTTTTATTTGAATTTGTTTCTAGACTTTACCTACTGTTACTTGGTACAATTTGTTCAAAGCATGTCTGAATAAATAATATTCTAAAAATTCACTATTTAAACATGTGCAAGTCTTCCTTTGAGCTGAATTCTCCAATTGTAATTCTCCAATTGTAATATTAGGATAATGATACCATGAGGTCCTCAAAGTTAGGGGCTATGCCTCCTATATATTTATATTATCATAACCCAGAAGATCATAGATGAATATTAGGCAATATATATGGAGGCAAAATAACATTTTCTGAATTACTTATACACATCTAGGGGTTGTCCTGTAGTTTAAATAAAAAAAAACACTAACATTAATTTAAAATTTCAAAATAACCACTATTGTAAGTAGTTTACATATGTTGTGTCAAACATTAAATAAATGTTTGAAATAATACTATTATTATCACCTTTTTATAAGTTAAAAATACTTTAAAATCATATAGTGATTTTCCCAAGATTCCACTGTTAGCACCAGAGTCAAGATCTAAACCAAAAACTGACACGAAAGAAGCTACAAAATTTAATGATGATGCTAAATGGCAAATGAGATAATAAAACTAAATTATTAATGCCCAAATTTAGAGCTCCATCCCAGACTTCTCCCCAGAATTTCAGATTTACATATTGACTCATCATTTCCACTTGGATATTTAAAATACATCTCAAAATAATATGTCCCAAAGTGAACCCTTGCCATTACCACATTCACATCAGCTCCTCCTCTGGTGAATAACATTCCAATCCCCCCATTGTTGAGGTGGAAAATGTGGATTTGTCACTTTCCTCTCTCATCCTATATTCAAGTCATCAGTTACTCCAAATAGCTTTACCTTCAAAATATTTCCTTATTTTGATTACTTTGCATGCTTTTACCACTATTGCCCTAGTCCAATCTACCTTTTTTATAACCTATTGCCATAGTTTTCTGGTCTTTTTGCTTTTTCCCTTGCTTCCCTGCACTATATTATCAATTAAATAAAGATCCCATCAAATTAGAAATTAATACCCTCACTAATTCCATACTAAGGGATACCATGAAGCATTAAAAAGGAATGAAAATATCTCTATATACTGAAAAGAAATAATTTCCAAGATATAGGGTTAAGTGAGAAAAGTAAAGTACAGACCAGTATTTATAGTATTATGAAGGTGGCATGGATATTTGTATGTGCTTGCTTCAATTTCAAAAAGAACAATTGATGTATAAATGAACAAAAAGTTACCCAAAGAAAGACCAGAGATCAGGATGGAAATATCAGAGATAGATAGAAACAAAATTGCTCTAAATATACTTTGTTATATTTATTTGACTTCGGAAAAATCTAAATGTTGCACAATTTCAAAATTAAAATTGGATCAAAGATTTTAAAAAGCAATCTGTAGGAGAGAAAATAGAAATCAATGAACCTAACTATCAAATTGGTGACACAATTACATAAAAAATAATTTTCCAAGTGACCTCAAAACACAGTACTTTGTCTATACACAGTATTTTGGATATACTTGCAAAGTGAAGTATATCCAAAGGACAAACAGAGATGGAAGGAAATCTCAAGTTTAACTCAGTGGTCTCATTTGGAGTATTAATATTAGAATTTTTATAACTATTTTAAACATTATAGGATAAAGAAAAGTAGACAGTATTTATATAATTTAGAAAAATTAATTTCTAGTTAAGAGGAAAGAGTTGTAAGTCTAAAATAAGTAAGGTAGAAATAAACTATTTTACCTTTATTTTGATACAACAGTATGAATTCTGATTTTTTTCTCTCCAAAGATGTATTCTCTAATTCTAGCTACTGAAAATACCAATAAGCAAAAATGAAGCCACAGCAATGAATATATCTGCTGTCTTGACAGTGGTTTCTACCATTTCTCAGTAATAGAACTCAGCTTGTTGGGAGAGTTGACTAATTCCTAGATGGGGTAGGAAATGTATAAGATGCGAAGAAGCACTTTGTTGTGCTAGAAAGTAAACAAGCTCAAAGATAAGTAAGGTTATGTTAAAAAGACAAGAGTCAAACTAAAGGGATTCCCAGACAAAAGCGAACATTTTGAACACCAAAAACAGTAATGAATACAATAGATTGAAGCATACTGAATATATAAAATCGACGAATTCATATTAATATTCCAAAGAGACAGATACATATATTTGTTTTATATGTATGTATGTGTGTGTGTGTGTGTGTGTGTGTGTGTGTGTGTGTATAGAGAGAGAGAGAGAGACAGAGAGAAAGAGAGAAATATCATTGCTAGTAAATAGGAAACAAATTTCTTCCTCTGAAAATTCTCATTCAAGAAAAAGGCTTCAGTATTTATCTTGTCTTTCTCATGCAAAGCGTATTTAAGAGAAAAATAACACTTGATATTTAGAGAAAATTATTTTACACATAATTCCTGCTGATAAATACGGAAAGAATGACAGGATTCGAAAATTGCCATTTAGTAAATCCTAAGGAAATAATTGATTCGGGCAAAAATTATCAATGAATAAGATGAGCTGTCGATGGAGGATTTTACAATGAAGAAATCAGACTGTCACCCTAGAACACACAGACCAATCATAGGCTCACTAATATTGGGCAACCAGACACTCTGTGTCTCCTACTGTGATTTAATCTGTACTATAAAGCCTTTTTCTTTTGAAAAACATCTAATCAAGACCTCCTAGCTAATTTCTAGTATACACAAATACAGACAAAGAAGCAACAATTCAAGGGATATCACCAAAAGTAAACAGAAAAATCCTGCATATGGGACAAGATGCATTTAAAAAATCAACGACATGTTGAAGATATGATGGTGGAGGGGAGAAAGACACTTTCAAACTAAAAGATACGTAAAAGAAATAATAATTGAATACAGTGTGTGTAACAAGTTTGAAACTTCAGTTCAATGTGGTAACATACTGTGTTTAAAAGAGAAATCTGAATATGGACCAAGTAGTATGTAACGCTAAGGAAAGATTCATTGTGTTGAGTGGAATAATGACTGTGTCTATGTAAGAAAATGTCTATAATTTTTGAAGTTACAGTTTCAGCAAGTAGTAGTGATATGAGATCTGGGATTTTCATTTCAACAAAAACAAGGTAGGGTGCGGTGGCTCACACCTGGAATCCCGGCACTTTGGGAGGCCAAGGCAGGTGGATCACTTGAGCCCAGAAGTTCAAGACCAGCCTGGGCAACATAGCGAAACCCTGTCTCTGCAAAAATCACAAAAATTAGCCGGGTTTAGTGGTACATGCCTGTAGTCCCTGCTACTTGGGAGGCTGAGGTAGGAGGATTGTTTGAGCCCAGGAGGTCGAGGTTATAGTGAGCCATGGTCACATCACTGCACTCCAGCCTGGGTGATAAAGCAAGACCCTGTCTCGAAATAATAATAATATATTAAAAAATGAAAACAATAAAAAATAAATATATAAAAATAACACAAAACCTGGGATGGATAAATTGTGAGCATGGTAAATTTTTAATAATTATTAAATGTGTGTGATGGGTATATGTGTGTTTATCATACTATTCTCTCCACTTCTGTGCATGTTTGAATATTTTCATATAAAATGCATAAAAATTCTAGAATATTAAATATTAGATGCTATCATCTACTTGCTCAAAACTCTCTGATAACTTTGTGTTAGGATAAAAAGGAAATCCCACGTTCTTACTAGGCGTTGTATAATCTGGCCCTTGACTTCCTTTCTCACCTTCTCTCTCACACTCCTTCACTGATTCTCCCTCCTCCAGCCACTCTGGTCTCCTCGTTTATCTTCAAACAATTACCCACGGATTCATCTTTTTCATGCTTTCCTTTCTTAAACGCTCTTCTCTTAGTGTATTGTTGATTCCACTTGATTCTGACCTTTATTCCAAAATCACCTCCTCAGTGCCCTGTCTCAGTTGTCTTTCCAAAACAAACGTTGTATCAAGCAATTATTTTGTATTTACTTAACAGCACCTAGATTAATCCGTTTTTCTAGCCACCCCATGGTCTGGAACTGCATACATTGCAGGTGCTACATACATATTAATTGAATTAATATGTGGATTTAAAAATATGCCAAATGCTATTATATCATCAAATAAGAAGGAATAAGAAGGAATGATTGTTTCTTAACAATGATGAACTCTGGGTAATAATGTTTGAAAGGTTTCTCTGTCTGGGACAAAGAACTATGCTATAAATAGGCTTTGCTCAAATCAGAATTTGACTTTTGAGGACAACCTTTAATTTTACCTGGCATTATTTACTATTTGTTCATTCAAAACTGGTCACATCAGGAGGGCATTCTGCTTCTAATATTTACATTTTACGTCTTTTGAAAGGCAGAGAAACTGACATTTAAATAAGTTTAAATGAAATTGATAGCACTTATTTTTTTCCAAATAAGGTACACAGGATTTGAAAGCAGATTCCCAGAGACCCTAGTTCTATTTTGCTCCTTGTTTCTTTCTTTCTGTTTTTCATTGTCCTTCAGCTCCAAGGAGTGATGTTGCTGCTTCTTTTAAAAGGCACCTAATCACTAACCAGATTTTCAGTACTGACGTGGTTAGGAATAGAAAAGGTGACACATTTTTGCCTGCAAAATAACAATGGCTCCCATTCAAGGAACCAGGTTAATGTCCTGAAAAATGGACATTGCATATTCTTGGGGTTTTGGGTATTCTAATATAAGCAACATTCTGATTTAAAAGCGAACATATATTTTAAACAAAGTGAATAGCAACTTTTTGAGCCCTAGAATCAGTGCATGTCCCTAGATGCACACCATTCAAAGGGCTGCAGTTATCTATGTCAAGGCAGCTGGGAAACTGGACCTGCAACATATAGTGTTCTTTCCAAAATGAAAAGATATTATAATAAAAATTGTGTGTGGCATTTAGAAGTTCTTCTTAAGTAACCTAATGATTCTTGAAATAGATAGATCAGAAAGCTCAAGTAACGATGAATGCACAAACATGATCTCTTAGCTTCAACTGCTTGTAAGGCCTGGTATTCCATACAGCATTATGATTGCTTTGCATTTCTCATCATTTGTCACACGCCCTATAAATCAATAGAAGAGATTTTCTGTAACAGGGGTTAAGAAACTTGCTCTCACCGATTGAATTACTCTATGAGAATCTATTCTTAAGCTATTATAAAACCAAGTTAATAACATTGACTAAATGACAACTGAATATGAGGCAACTTTGTGATTCGTATTATTATAACCCATTTTCTTTTGGGAAAAATGCTTCTCAGCTCCTTTTATATATTCTCTGAGAAGATAATACATTTTCTCAAATTAAAATGAATGAAAGATGTAGCTGTGACACTTCTTTCTCATTTTTTTAAATTAAATTGCCATATTGCTAAAGTTCTAATTCCCTTTAATTAAGTAACCATTAAAAAAATTGAAGTTGACTATTCAAAAAATTCTAGCAGTTGTAAAACTGGTTCTTTAATCTAGAGATCAGCTCTAATGGCCACATCATTACCATCATTTGTATTAATTTGCCATTTAAAATTAGAGGAATGTCCACTAAAGTTAAGTTCTGAGTAACACAGACCCTCCTTTATCTGCTACTGTGAAAGTGACAGTTGGAATTGCAAAGAGATTGTCAATTTTTTTCTTTGAAAGCAGTTAGCATATGGTGCCCAAAGATTTTTATGGATTTTGGTCTCATCAAAAGTAGCACCAAAGTTACAAAAATATTTATTGGTCCACAAATAAATGTCTGTCTGTGATGACGCCAGTCAGCTTACCTGCCACAATTACCTAAAATCTGTTGACAACCAATCTGTGGACTAGCATGGCCTACTCCTACAGCCGTTCAAGGCCACCTCATTCCTTGTAAATATAACCAAAGAGGATGCACAAAAGGTTCAGAGTCCTCCGCAACATTAGGCTCTGTCTGGCAATAGTTAGAGATTGGAGAAAGGAAAGACACCTAGTGTTTCATCAAAGTCTTGATTTCTCTTCTTTTGTATAACTTTATTCAGAAACAGATAAGCAAATTATTTAGTATGGATTATATAGCTGCATGGAAAAGACAGATTTTCAAATTCACTTTTATTGATTGTCAGTAGGTCAGGAGTTTTAAAATGGATTTACATGAATGTCTGCTGAAATGGATGACAGAGAGAGACCCTATCACCCATCATGGACTGATACAGGATTGCTGCTTGTAATGAATTGAGGGGATTTCCTTTCTCGTGTTCTAATATGTATTAATATTTCATATATAAAATCTAATGTAGTACTGTGTAAGAGCTGGCTTTTAGAGTCAGACTGAGTTTGAATAGTGGTTCTACTACTTTCTTTTTTTTCCAAGTAAAAATTTTTTTATTCTTTTATTTTTTATTTATTTTTATTTTTTATTTTTTTTGAGATGGAGTCTCGCTCTGTCACCCATGGTGGAGTGCAGTGGCGCGATCGCGGTTCACTGCAAGCTCCACTTCCAGGGTTCATGCCATTCTCCTGCCTCAGCCTCCCAAGTAGCTGGGACCACAGGCGCCCGCCACCACGCCCTGCTAATTTTTGTATTTTTAGTAGAGACGGGGTTTCACTGCGTTAGCCAGGATGGTCTCGATCTCCTGACCTTCTGATCCACCCATCTTGGCCTCCCAAAGTGCTGGGATTACAGGCGTGAGCCACCGTGCCTGGCCTTTTTAAAATTTTTTTTAATTTTATTATTATTGTACTTTAAGTTTTAGGGTACATGTGCACAACGTACAGGTTTGTTACATATGTATACATGTGCCATATTGGTGTGCTGCACCGATTAACTCGTCATTTAACATTAGGTATATCTCCTAATACTATCCCTCCCGCCCACCCCACAACAGTCCCTGGTGTGGCCATCATTAAAAAGTCAGGAAACAACAGGTGCTGGAGAGGATGTGGAGAAATAGGAACACTTTTACACTGTTGGTGGGACTGTAAACTAGTTCAACCATTGTGGAAGTCAGTGTGGCGATTCCTCAGGGATCTAGAATTAGAAATACCATTTGACCCAGCCATCCCATTACTAGGTATATACCCAAAGGTTCTACTGCTTTCTAGTGGTGTGTCTTAGGCCCTAACATCTCCAAGCTCTAAGTTTTCTCATTTGCAAAATGGGCATTGTAAAAGTGCAAATAACTGTATATGATTGTTGCAGAAATTAAATAAATTCATATAAATCTGTTAGCACAATAGTATATAATTGCTTAATAAAATGGAGCTGCTTGTTCTTTGTATATATAAAATATATCTGAGAAAAACATATTTCATCTATATTTATTCACATATTTTTCTAATAGGTGGAAGGTGAGAAGAAATCCTGCCTTATTATCAAAAAGAAGTCCCATGCATTCTCCTCCATAATGTCTTCATCAACTATCCCAGGGAGAAACAAGCAATTATTGCATCTGCAAGAATTCTTAGATAGGATATGTCACCTTTTTTTCTGGTAATACTTCACCTCTTTTACTTATAGTTATGAGTCTCAGGGATATAGACCTTACTCTCACCTCCAGCAGTGGTTTAAGGGTAAATAAAACAAACTGAACATGAGATCTACCTTCTTACATTTGTAAGTGCATGACACATTATTATTGACTGTAAGTACTATATTGTACAGGGTGATCTCTGGAGCTTGCTCACTGTTGCTTAAAAATATATGCCTGCTGATTAGTCATGCCCATTTAGTCCTTTTCCTGACCCTGATAACCATCATTTCACTTTTTGATTCTATGATTTTTGACTATCTTAGATACCTCATATAAGTGGAATTACACCATCTTTGTCTTTCTATGACCAGCCTATTTTACTTAAAATGTCTTCAAGTTTCATTCATGTTGTCACAAATAGTATTCACAATCTTTATCCATTCATCTGTCGAGGGACATTTAGGTTGTTTACACATCTTGATTATTGTGAGTATGCTGCAGTCAACATTGGAATGCTGCAATAAACATAAGGATCTTTTTCGAGATCCTGATTTAATTCTGTTGCATAAATATCCAGAGATAGGATTGCTGGATCACATGGAGTTCTATTTTTAATTTTTAAAGGGACCTATATACTGTGTTCCATAGTAACTACACCATTTTACACTTCCACCAGACATGTTCAATGATTCCAAATTCTTCACATCCTTGCCAACATTTGTTTTTTGTTTTTTTGTTTGTTTTTTTTTTTTTGATAATAGCCATCCAGACAGGCTTGAAGTAATATCTCATTGTGGTTTTAACTTGCATTTCATTACTGACATTGAGCAAAAATTTTGTTTACTGTTTGGCCATTTGTATGTCTTTTTTGGAGAAACGTCTATTCAAGCCCTTAGCCCATTTTTTTTATTCATCATTAATTTTATTTACTATTTAGTTGTAGAAGCTCCTTATATGTTTCACTCAGATTAATCCCTTATAAAATAGGTAGTTTGTAAATATTTGCTTCCATTTGTAGGTTACCTTTTTATTCTGTTGAATGTTTCCCTTGCTGTGCAGAGCTTTTTAGTTTGATAGAGACATTTATTTTTGTTTTTGTTGCCTGTGTTTTCAGTGTCATATCCCTGAAGCTATTGCTAATACCAATATAGTAAAGATTTCCCCTGTGTTTTCTTCTAGGAGTTTTATACTTTTGGTCTTTAACATATGGTGAGATGATTTGAGTGCTAATGTTATTTAGGGTAACCCATTCCCCCTACTTACACATGAATCAAAAGTGACCACACGACCCATTTTCTGAAACCTGTAAGGAAATTTCCTTTGCTTCTAACATAGAATCATATGAAGAAATAAGTCCTTATTTTTCTAGATGGTGGTCTAGCCATCAAACTTGGGACCATCTTGCTCTTAGCCTGAGAATAAAGATAACTCTGAGGACATTGCACAAAGATGTTTGTGTTAATTCGGTTCATCTGGCCTAGGTGTGCTCACTGACTGATGTCAAGAGGATTCATAGTGAATCAGTAGCCAATTATTATACGCTCAAATTCACAGATTTTTGCAAAGCCTTCACACACCACAAATCATCAATTAATATTGAACACACAGTCGGTAATAAAAAAGGGGCTAACAAACTACAGTGATGGCTCAGGGGACCAGCATGCCAACAGAAGCGTCAAGTGTGACAAGAAATTCTTCAGACACCGATCGACAGGGGAGTCATTTCTTCCAGAACCTCTGGTGGCAGATGCCAAGTTGGGAGAAGATTTCAAAGTTCTCAGGGTCAGAGACTCCAAAGGGGTCTCAGACAGGATCAGTTCCTCCTTGCTGCTTTTAGGATTCTCTGCAGTTGTGTATATTCTCATTATCTTAGCCACTTTTCTGGATTTACTTTCTATCGGTTGTTTCAGGTCTTCTGTGGGACTGGGCAACAGCAGATGTTATCTTCTCATTTTGGTGCATTACATATGTGTTTACTGCTATGAAGGGTAAACAACTTCACTGTGGGCCTAATGCCTCTTGATATGAGTGACTCCATTTTGAGATATTAAGATCACAACTCATTGTGATATACTAAAGATTAAAATAAACAGGGTATTTAATGACATAAATAGGCTACTTGATATATCTGTCCTGGACCTCACCCTATCAAAGATAATGTGTCTCCTTACAATTTGTGTCCATTTCAGCTAGACTTTCTATTCTAATTTAAATATTAGTCATTTGGCACTTATCATATGCTGTCTTACATCTTTTTATTTATAACTTCTACCCCCCTCCATCCTAACTGCCACCATCACTAGATTGTAAAATCTTTGGGAAAACAAATTGGCATGATAAATACATATAGGCTTAGAAGTTGAATAGGTCTGGGTAAATATCTCCTCTCCACCACTTTTACGATGTAAAATCTTGAAAATGTTATATAAGCTTTCTAAGCCTCAGTTTTTTCATCTCTAAATTAGAAGGAAATAATATTCAGTAAACAAAGCTTTGTGAGCACTAGATGATGCAAAGGTAAAATGCCTACTAGTGTTTGGTCCTGAATTGGCACTGAAAAAAATAGCACTTCTGTTTTGCCTCTCCCTTACAATTTTCACTTTTCCTTGCCTCCATCCTTGTAGATACTCAAATGTGCCTTGCAGCTACCACTGTTGTTTCTAATTTTTACATAGAGTAGGACTGCAATAATTGCACTACTAATTTCAGAGCAACGTTCTGTGTGATATGTGAAGCTTCCTATCAACTAGGCCAATGTGGTCCAGAGTAAGAATTCAGTTTCAAACATCTCAAAACGTCATGTTCAGTTTTCTCGTTGCTTCTGAATCCTCCTAGCAATTAAGACCCAGTTTCCATAATTTCTCCTTGGTGGAAATTTTTTCAGCTCCTTAATTCACAATTCTCTTGCCTGCCTTGGAATTCTGGAGTGGCTACATTTCCAGTTACATACAACCTAGCAACTGTTGTCTCAGTTAATTAGATATTTCTTAACATGTGCACAGCTTAAATTCACAATTAGAAAAGTTTGAAGATGCATTTTCACTTTGCTTTTTATTTCCTGATTATATTTAGTACCAATGGATTATTTACTCAGCAATAATTGTTATGTGTATAGAATGTTGCTGTTATCCTGTATTACACACTGAACTTCCTGTGTGGAAAGCAAGTTGGTAGAGTTGTTACTATTTAGTAAATGAAACCATTGAGACAATAAGCAACTTCTACATGGTTATACGTCTAACTAGAATCCCAGGTGTTCACCTGGGAACTTGGTGTTCTTGATAATGCATAGGCTAAGCTGCACACATACCACATTCCTACGCATCCTTTGTTCCCACCCCAAGAAGCGTAACAGAATGCAAGAATGATGTTGAATCAATTCTAATTATTTTCAGCCAACAATTCATAAACTGTAGTACTGTATTCCTAACAAATTACTTATGACTTACCTTACAAGTGACTTCAACATTGCAATGTCTCACTGCACCTGTTTTGAAAACCACTGGTCTAGAAAGTATCAGCAAGAGACATGTATTTATGTCATGAGTTGGAAGGAGGTGCTAATTTCTGCCATCTGGAAGGCCACGCATTACTTTCCTTACTTTGCCATTCTTGGCATTCCTTTTTTTTTTTTTTTTTGAGTGATTATTTGAAAGCCAGTTATCCAGTGATAAGAATAGTCTGAAGGTCCATGTTAGATTATAGGGGAATACAATGATAATCAAATTTAAGCAGTTTTTGATCAAAAATCCCTCTTGATGTAATAAGCATAAAATTTGCTCCAGCTCAGCAGAGGATTTTGCTTATCTTAATAATGCAAGGTCTTTATTGCATTATTTTCTATTCACAATTAGAAAAGTTTGAAGATGCATTTTCACTTTGCTTTTTATTTCCTGATTATATTTATACCAACGGATTATTTACTCAGCAATAATTGTTATGTGTATAGAATGTTGCTGTTATCCTGTATTACACACTGAACTTCCTGTGTGGAAAGCAAGTTGGTAGAGTTGTTACTATTTAGTAAATGAAAACATTGAGACAATAAGCAACTTCTACATGGTTATACGTCTAACTAGAATCCCAGGTGATGAACAGAGGACCCACCTCCACACGGGCTTTCATGGTTCCCGCAGCATAGGCAGAGGACAGGGCATGTTGCACAATGACTCTTCATGCTTCTGCATGTGTAACAGCCACAGTGCTGCTCACATTGCATAGGCTAAAGCAAGTCATGTGGATTCACCTAATATCAAAGTTCCATGGAGGTTCAGTTATACATATGAGTGGAAGGAAACTCTAGTATTGTGAACATCCCTAATGAATATCTGGAAGGCATGCTTAGTATCAATACCACTCCTGTTAAAAGTTGTACAGATGACAAGAGGGACAATATCCCTTGTACAGATGACAAGAGGGACAATATAAAGGTGATAATCATAACCAATAGCCTTGGCTATGATAATATAAAATATTCGGCACATATATATGTGCGCATATATATATATATATATATATATAAAATATATGTATTTCTACCTCCTGACTAGGCCATGCCTATAATCCCAGCACTTTAGGAGGCCAAAGTGGGTATATCACTAGAGCTCAGGAGTTTGAGACCAGCCTGGGAAACATGGCGAAACCCCATCTCTACCAAAAAAAAAAAAAAATAGACAGGTGTGGTGGCACATGCTTGTAGTCCCAGCTACTTGAGGGGCTGAGGCAGGAGCATTGTTTGAACCCTGGAGGTTGAGGATACAGTAGGCTGAGACCACGCCACTGTACTCTAGCCTGGGTGACAAAGTGAGACCCTGTCTCAAAAAAAAAAAAAATATATATATATATATATATATACCTTTTGTTAGATACTTTATCAGACATACATTCACGTGTGTGCATGCATACACACACACAATCTTTAGTTGCTCTATGGTCCCTTATAAATTGCAACTTTATCTCACTCATTTTACATCCTTTCTATTTCACTCAGTATTTGTAACTACAACAACTTTCTTTCAGTTTCTTGGGCATACTCAGCTACTTTTTACTTTAGAGACTTTACATATTATGTGTTCTCAGAATGCTTTTTACAAACACATTTATCTAACTGGTCACTGTTCATTCTTCAAGGACAAACTTTGTGTTGTTTTCTGTAGATTCCTTTAGCTTCTAAAACTAGATTATGTTGCTCTGTTTAACATTTTTATTGAAACCTGTTTTTTTCATAGCACCCATTATAACTGTTATTATGTGAGTATCCAACATTCTGTCTCTTCCTACACTTTAAAAAAATGTACCACAGCAAGTCAATATCTAGTAAAATACATAGCACAAAATTACATGCTAAATAATTAACTGAACTAAGATTTCTTGGCCACCCATGAGTACTACATCTTGTGGAGTAAAATCCAATATAGATCTTTGTTCTCTACCCCTTCCCCTACTTTTGGGTGTTTTGAAGAAACCATCTATGCAATTAGAACCAGCTCTTTGGAGGTACTAAAGGCTAAGCTTCCTCTTGAACCTGGTGACAGGAATTTCAGGTGATTAGGGCTTTATATTGCATTTCGCGAGAATAACTTTCAAATGATTTATATTCTCAAGCTCTCAGAATAGACACAACAGGATTACATTTCCCTGTTCTTTTTTCACTCTCCTGATGTTTGGCAAATGATTCGGCATATCACCATAACTACCAACTCCCCTGTCTCTTTCTTGGCTAGGCGCTGAGCTGTGTTCACTTTAAAATCTAATCCCAGGATTTATAAGTCCCTGACCTCTTCATACACATTTCATTCTGCTGATCTCACAAAATCCGGTTTGGGATGGGTTGCTTGGCTCCTTGATTTTCTTCTCTGGAGAATGTCCTTGTTACACTGTAACTCCCAAACCTGAGTATGGACAGCTTGGAATCTGTGCTTCCCTCTAAATTCTAAATTTATTGTGCAAATCGGTATGCTAAACAAATTCAAATATAGCAATGTGGTGAGCCTTCATTAGCTAGCACAGGACAGACCGTACTTCTTCCCTGCTTCCTCTGAAAAATGCAGAGGAGAACTAAATTTAATGTGCAATGTTCCTGGCATCGATTTCCCATCTAGCCTACTTCCCTCGTCCATTTTGTTTCTTTGCTGTTTTACCTAATGCCACTAAATTAATTTTCCTTGGGTTGAATTTGTTAACCCAATCACAAACAATAAAGAACAGAAATTTGCCTATGCATACAGATTAGGTAATGCAAACCTCTCATTGTCCTGAAAGTCCAAAATCTAACCTAGCACCACAAGTCCCCAATTACAATGCCTGTTTACCTCTGACAACATAGACCTTGCTTAAAGTGTGTAGTTCACTGCTCAGTTCTTCTCTAAAGTCCACATTCCTTTCTCTGTCACTGGTTTGGTTTTCTCCTCTGGTCCTGCCTATTTATTGCGGCCATGGCTCAAGAGAGAAAATCGTAAACTCAAATGTTAATTTATTCATTTAATATGAGAAAAAATGCAACTTGTGGAAAACATCCATCTATTTCCACTTTGGAGAAATACCTGCCCGGCAGCCAGGACCTCTCCCTGGTCGGGGTGTAGAGAGCCTGCAAATCTATGACTCTGTGGCTCCCCTTCATATGAGCTCCGTGAGGGCTGTAACTACATTCCTTTAGTTTCATTATAGCTAAACGTTACTCTGGCTAAGCATATATAATTTTTAAAGTGACTCACATATAATAACTGATATTTGTTTTTATAGTTTACTTTCTTTGAACTATATTAGTTTTTTGACCTTTCAGATTCTTATATGGGTAGGTGAGGGCTGAAGTGAGAATACATGGGGATAAAACTGACAGCTTCTGGGTATTTTACTTTCCTCTTTGTATTGGTTTTCTTAGAACGTCTATCCACTCCGTCCTATATTATTGTAATAGCCTCCTAAACTACAGTGACCTTCTATATTAGTTCATTTTCACACTGCTATAAAGAAATATGTGAGACTGGATAATTTATAGAGGAAAGAGGTTTAATTGACTCACAGTTTCGCATTGCTGGGGAGGCCTCAGTAAACTTATAGTCATAATGGAAGGAGAAGCAAGCACCGTCTTCACAGGGCTGCAAGAGAAAGAGTGTATGCAAAAGCAAGGAAAACCGCCATATAAAACCATCTGATCTTATGAGAACTCACTCACTATCACGAGAACAGCATGGGGGAAACCACCCCCATGATCCAATCACCTCCCTCCCGGTGTCTCCCTCAACATGTGGGGATTGTTGGGCTTACAATTAGAGATGAGATTGGGGTGGGGACACAGAGCCAAACCATATTACCTTCGTTGCTCTGATCTATCCTACAAAAAAATATTGATTTTGTGCCGCATCACCATGATCCAGTCATTTTCTTGCTCATAAGTCCTTTCTAGATGACCTTTGTTTATTGCATTGGTTCACAAACTACTGTTCTGGACCAGCAGCATTGGCATCACCTGAGAACAGCATTGGCATCACCTGTTAGAAATTAAAATTCTCAGGCCCCACTTCTTTTTTACTGAATAAGAAACTCATGAGTGCGGACCAGAAATATGTGTTTCAACAAGCCGTTGAGGTGACTCTGATGCTGGAAACTCCTAGACCATTGAATAATCGAAATCCCTAAAAATGCTATTTTTATGGATTGATATCGTGTCTCCAAGACACGATATCAACCCACATGCCAGCTTTATTTTATAAACCCAATTGCACATTTTCTAAGTCTCAGTAAAACCACAAATCTTACTACTTTTAAAATATGCATTATAATATCTCATGTCACATATTTTTCTTACACTGTTCCCTCTTTAAAAGATTTCCTTATCACACCTCTCTTCCAACCACCGGTAACAATAACTCTGCTGCAATCCTCTTTATTTTTCAAAGCCCTGTCTGAAAAAGTACCCTGCTTTTTAAACATTTCCCAATTTCCTATCAAAAAATAGGATACTTTCCTCTTTTGAGTCTTCAGAATAACTTCATTTCATCACTTTAATGCCTGCATCACAACATAATTTCTAACATATTTTAATTGTGAATGTGATGACTGATGACTGGCAACCTCTTTCACCATTTGGCTAGAAGGCTTTGGCAGGTAAGGACTAGATCCTATTCACTTTGATTCTACTGCAGTTTCTTTTCTTTTTTTTTTTTTTTTTTTTTTTTTTTGAGACAGAGTCTCGCTTTGTCGCCCAGGCCGGACTGCGGACTGCAGTGGCGCAATCTCGGCTCACTGCAAGCTCCGCTTCCCGGGTTCACGCTACTGTAGTTTCTTGTACATAGTGGTATTCAGCATGGGTAGATTAGTTAAAAGAAGCAAATACCTTTTTTTCTATAAAGAACAATGCCCTTTAAGCCTCTTTTTGCCGACTTTAAATCAAGTGCTTCCCTAGAAACCCTCTAGTTTCCAGCTGAGTAACATTATCTAGCGATGGTACTATGGAATTAACTCTTGACTTTAACTTGGATAGACTTTCATTCAAGTCCCAGACTCACAGCCCCACCCTGGTGACTTCAGGCAAGTCCCTTATCTCTTTGCACTTCATATGTATGATGGGGCTACTATTACTTGCCTTATAGGATTGTATGAGGGCTATACTCCATGCAATGCACACATATCTTATAAACAAAAACTACTAGCATAAAATGTGTACATAAGCCACAATAACTTAACAATTATCTAAATCTACATAGCTTATATATTATCAAGACAAAATTGAAAATTAAATATTATTTTTGTACTTTATTTCCATCTTCTGTGTAGAAAAAAAAAATACCTTAGGTTAAAGAAAATTGAAAGGACAGGCTTCCTAATATGCCCCCGTTCTGATCTAGAGGCTAGTTCTTCCCTCCTGGGTTCTCACCTAGAAGCTAGCCTATTTGTCCAGTGCCACATACTCACCTTGCTCTTACGCTAAACTAATCAATTTTTTCTCTTCACTGAATTGCTCTATGATTTCCATGGTTACCTGCCATGTTTTGATGAAGTAGTCCTTCAAAATATTGGAACAGATAAAATAGAATTTGGAACACATTAATGAATAGACTGCTTCAGTAACTTACATGACAATCAACATCAATTTTTAGTTAACTTAAATAAACCCTCAAGGGGAAATACATTATTTCTCTGTATGTGTGTGCATGTGCATGTTTATATAAAAAGCCTTAGGAGAATCTACTCTGTCAAAGCCTGTGACAGTCCTAACTTTAATGTCCTATAGAGCTTCTTACTATATTATACTATGGCCTCTGCAAGTCATCAGTTGAAATTAATTAGTGAGGATTCTCTCCCAATTACATCATGGTGATTGTATTGCATTCTGTTTTTCCTAATACATTCAGACATTTCTGGGATGTTGATTAGTTCTGCCTTCCATCACTTTTCTTACAGCATTTGTGTCAACAAAATTATGAAGTATAGGTTTGGAAGTTACTTAATTTTCTTTTAGCACTTTAATTCACAGCTGGTTGTGGCTGTATGCAGTAACCATAATTTTACATATTTGATCCATCAGATACATATTGTAGTTCACTACTATGCAAGTGAAAAGTAAAGTTCTGTTCTTGAAACTTGGCCTCTCTTGTATGGCAAATCTAAGAATAGGAGGATTATAGAAGCCTAAAGGATTTTAAGTTGTGTGTATGTGTGTGTGTGTGTGTGTGTGTGTGTGTGCTGTACACACACACATATTTTTGTATTACCACTGGAGTTACTTCAATTTTGTGACACTGAAGACTGAAACAGAAATGTCAGCTTATGCTCTGGGACAGGTAGCTATGGTGGCATAAGAAAATCACCCTACAATTTGGAGACTTTAAATAACAACTATTTATTATTATTATTAATATGTCTGCAGGTTTGGGTGAATTGGTTGATATAGGCTGGCTTCACCTGAATGGCTCTGCCTCTAGCTATGGATCTGGATGAACTTGGCTTCTTGCTGAGGTTTCAGTTCAGGTATGCTTCATGTCTGGCCATGTGGGCCCAGAATGAGGAGGGGCAAATCTTCAGATTTTTCAAGCACTTTTCAAGATGAAAAGCAAATGGAAAGCAGGAACATGAGGTTTCTTAAGATCTGGGCTCAAAGGTGTAACACTGTTACTTTTACCTTATTGTATTAGCTCAAGCAAGGTACATGGGGAAACCCAAAGTCAAGGAATAGGGAGATTCATTCTCTGCTCCTTCAGTGCGAGAAACTACAAAGACTCATGGCAAAGAGCATGGATAAAGGGAGGGTTGAGGAGCTGGGACCAGCAATGAAATCTATCACCTGTTCTCATATGTTGATTTGATAATGATAAATAGTGAATTTGTCTAAACATATTATGTCTTGCTCCTAAATATGGTTGTCTTTTTGTTTCATATAACCAATAGCCTCTGAAAATAGATCTTAAAAGTTTTTTTAGTTAAAAAATGGCTACAATCTTGTATTGGTGAAATGAAGATAAATCTTATGGCACATTTATCCCTGTTCACTATTTGATGGCAGATATCATACCTTATGTTTTTTTCTAGAAGTTTGGCCCTAATGGTGAGAGATTAGAATTCAAATCTATGAATAGGTATAGTCTTATTTTAATGTATTACATAACAACAGAGATGTGTGATTTCAAGTATTAGTCCTACAACCTACCAGGTATGTGACCTTGACTGTTTAAACTCTCTGGTTTCAGAGGATTCATTTGTAAAATAAGTATTACGATACACACTTGGAAAGTTACTACAAGGATTAATGAGATAATTTGATAAAGCAGCTGGCACAATACCTGGCATGTGGTAGTATTCAATAAAGATAAATGTTCTTAGATTGAAGCAAATGTTACCTATCATGAGAAACTATGAAAACTCTATACTAATATGAATGTAGCAGGTGCACATTCTGAAGCCATGTACTGAAGTATATAATAAAATTTCCTTCCATTCTCAATAACTTACTTTGTTAAGTCATTTATTCTACAAATGCATTTTGAGTGACTTCTATGTGCCAGATGCTATGTTCCAGGCATTGGTCATACAACAAAGAATAAAACAGACAAAAATATGGCCCTCAAAGCAGAGGAAACAGGTAGTAAACAATAAATAATTGTAAGCATATAACAATAAATAATAATAAAATAATACATATCTAACACACACACATAATATATAGTTTCCCCCCCACATGCCCCAAGAAATCAGTACATGATTTGTGTGACTACCTGCCATTTGATAAAATAGCCCTTCCAAATATTTGAACAGATAAAATAGAACTTGACACATGTTAGTGAATAGACTGCTTTGATGCCTACATGACAAATTTTAATTAACTTGAACCTTCAATGGAAATTATATATATATATATATATATATATATATATATATATATATATATATATATATATATTCTTGCTGATGTTTGGATCAGGTTTGCTTTATGTCTTAGTATATATATATATATATATATGAGAAAAAATGAAATAGAAAAGAAATATATAAAATTGTTGTGACTTACATGTAATTAGATAAATTGACTAGAGGAAAATTAACTTCTTGTTTCCTACCAAAGGATTGGATTAAGGGTTCCCAATGTGATGTTCATGGATCTCTCAGAGGATACATCAGTGGTTTTCAATAGCTCTAGGAAGCCTCTAAAATTGAATGCAAGATTTTGAATGCTTGTCTCCTCCCCAGCCCTGGGGAGAGATTACATAGCTTTCATGAGATATTCAAAAGGTTTCTTAAGAAGGATTCATTTAGGCAAAAGTAATAGAAGGGAATCACTTTCAGGGGGTAGGTTATGAGGTTAATTCTTAGTTTAGTGTTCTATGTCTGATCATATAATAGGCAACCTACCCTGTTCCCCAATCATTCCCCTGCAGGAGGGTTTACATAAAAAATCATAGAGGCTTTCAACTCACCTGTAATAAGGGCTTACAATTGCAGGGTTCTTCCTGCACAGGAGACCTTACCTCTACCCTCAAGGAAAGATTGGCACTCAAAAATAATTGGAATTCAATTTTATCAGTGCCAAAGTTATAAACAAGGAGTTACAGACCTTTTGTTTATTCAACTTACAAATGCTGATCCTAATTTTTTCACAAGTTCTTAGGTAATACAATATATGTAAGTATTGTTTATGCTTTCTACAATAAGAGTGTCCAAATAAGTCTTGGACTAAATTCATAACAGCTCACATTTATATTGAACCGTATTATTTACAATTTCTTTAGATATATTGCCTTAAGTGGAAACCATGACAAGAAAATCCAAAAAGTTCCACAAGATGCATGTCAAAATCATGAATTTAAGAGATAGGAAATACCTCCGAGATTATGTAGTCAAATCTGAATATTTTTTAAAAAGTAGCTTTGTTACACTTTACCTGTACTTTCAGCATTTAGATGTCCTTTGTATAGTAGTTTAAAATGGTTAAAAGCCCGATGAATTCTGCTGCTAGACTGATGTGATCAAAGCAGTTTTCATATCCATTTACCACATTCTCTAGCGTGAAAAGTACTGTATTATTATTTAGGATAGTTTCTCTTTTCATAAGCTCTTCTTCTCAAATGACTATTAATATCTCCAGGTTATTCTTATCCTGAAATCTCAGACATCTGAGACACTGATTTCTTTTCTTTGATAATTTTCTGAGTATTTTCTTTTATCCAGATTGGTCTGTTTTTATTCCTGCTACAATCATTATGAAGGGAGTCTTTAAACATATAATAATTTTTTTGACTAGCCTGTGCCATCACCCATTCTAGTACCTCATCCTACTTAATTACACTTAGAAAATCTGACAGCCTTTCAAGTTTAATATTTTTATCAAAATTCAGGGCTTTATCCATCCCAGGCTTTCTTAGTTTTATTGGAAAAGGGATGGGAGAGAAAAAGCAATGGGTGAGATAACTGTGCCTTCTTTTAAGAGACCCAGTCTCTCAAGTATTGCTCATTTTAGAGCCTATTGAATTTACAGGTGCAGCAAGCAAAATTAGGAGCGAATATTTGAAACCTAGGAAAATCTCAGAAAAAAAATCAAGGAAAAAAGAGTGGAGATCCTTCTACATGCTTTTACCAGGCTAATATGTTTTATGTCCATTTTTCTTTCATTTCAAGGGCAGCATTTAGTTTTCTAGACTGATATGATATCTCACCTTGAATTGTAGTTTCCATAATCCCCACGTGTCGTGGGAGGAACCTGTTGGTAGGTAGTTTAATCATGGGGGCGGTTTCCCCCATGTTGTTCTAGTGATAGTAAGTGAATCTGATGGTCTTATACGAAGATTTTCCCCCTCTGCTGGACACTTCCCTCTCATGCCACCCTGTGAACAAGGACATGTTTGCTTCACCTTTTGCCATGATTGTAAGTTTCCTGAGGCCTTCCCAGCCATACAGAACTGAGTCAATTAAACCTCTTTCCTTTATAAATTACCCAGTCTCAGACAGTTCTTCTTAGCAGCATGAGAATGGACTAATACAGAAATAACTCTATTTATCTTTGAGTTTAATATTTATTTGCAATACTCAGAAGGATGCTCTTATGCAAAGGTTGACAGCCCAATAACTAATGCATCTAATCCAGCAATAATATCAGGTGATTTTAGAGTAATAATTATAATACTGACAACAATGATAATAGCGATGCTATATGCCAAGCACTAGGCTAAGCTTGTTATAATAATTATCTATCTAATCTTTACTAAAACATGAGATAGATACTGTTAAGAATGCTGTCATGCATAAGCCTCTGGAATTTTAGTTTTTCTGATGTAATCAAATTTAATCACAACTGATACGTTTTACATGAAGCCACCTAGAACTGAAAATACCAACACACGAATTTGTCATGGATACATTGTAATATACATCCTAAATAGTGTCTATTAGCTTGTTACTATCACTGTAAAATGTTCGATATTCACTTGTTAAATTTTCAAATTTTAAAATATGAAAAATATTATATTGTGAGAAAATAATGTTAAATTCTCAATTTTAAAATATGAAAAATAATATATTGTGAGAAAAACTTCAGGTTGGATATACAAAGCATATTAACATGATCATCCCTGATGTAATGGGATAGAAAGGAGTTTCGTTCTCATTTGTATCTTTTTTCCCTCATTTTTTATTATAAACATGGATTAATGGTGTAAATTTATGTATTTACATATTCACTTATTTATTTTTAAGGAAAATACTTCTAAGTAAGCCGAACCTAGGATATGACCTAGAATATGAAGAATCAGTCCCATGCAGTGGTTATGAGTATGACTTCTGAGGCCATGCTACCTAAATTTGAATCCCAGCTTTGCTTTTTGACTTGGTTCATTTTACTTCATCTTTCTGTGTCTCAGTTGCTTATTCACTGAGGTTAGTGAAACTATTAATACCTATCTTAGGATTCTTATGAGCTAAAATTAGATAAATTAAGCATGGAAAGTGTGTGGTACATACAGATTGCACTATAAAATCAACTGTCATTATAACCTATAGACAGTGGGTTCCAGTGCAAAGAAAGCTCAAAATTTCCTTCTTACCTCTTGTCTCTTTCCCATCTACTTCAAAGTAGCATCTCTGTAAGACTGTCAAAACATGTCAGATATTCGGCATTAAAGCTGCATTATATTGATATTAGATACTGAATTGCTAAGAAGTGCAGCCTTGCAAGTATTGCTAAGAAGAAAACATGTTAAATCACCCATGGTTTTATACAGTGAAAATCAACCCAGCCTTACAAACAGAAGTTACGGAATTCAGTTTCAAAGCTGCCCTTGTTTAGCTGGGAAATGGAAAGCAAGTCATGTTATCTCAAGACATTTCAGTACCCTTATCACTCAGGAAAGTAATTCCTGGGTCAAAGGGTTATATTTGCATCATTTTTGTAGGTATTTACAAAGCAAAATCTTAGATCCCAAGATAGGAATATATTTCTTTAAAAAATATAAAAATCACAAATCATAATAGTAAAGACTGCTACATTTGATCATTTGAATAAAAAATATTGTGTTTTACAAATGACACCAGAAGTGAAATAAAACATCAAGCTACAGATATGGTAAACTGCATAGCCAACCAAAGATTGAATACAACATAAGTGAAGAGTTTTTCACATAAATAATAAATAGATGAATATCACAGTTTTTAAAAAATGGGCAAAGCTTGTGAATAAGCATTCTGTAAAGAACCCAATTTGTCATTTTAACACAGGTATTATTAGTAATTTCACAAATATTCAAGTTTGAACATTAATAGAAAATAATACCATTTCCAGTTAGTTTTTTAATTAATAAAACTGATGTCACCAAATTTTAGTGAGGAACTGGGAAAAGGGTTGCTCAGTCACTGCTGATGGTAGTTGCTACACGTTGTAGAGCAAATTTACAACATGTGAAGCAGAAAATACCCACAAACCATCGACCTAATTGTTGTGCTTCAATGAAAATTGAGCATGAAAAGATACACACAAGGATGCTCACTCTATCTCTCTGTAACAAATAAAAAATTATCTCTTTCTCAAAAGAATTAATATATACCATATGTTTGATTTATAGAATGGAATATTATAAATGAATTAAAACATGAACTATACTACCAATGATGCTAGCCTGGGTAAATTCATAATATTGAGTGGGGAAAAAACAAATTTCAAATAAATAAGTAAAATATTGCTTTGCATGTAAAAATTTGTTATAAAATATTATTTTCTATATATAAAGACATGTTAATATAATGAAAGTATAAAAACAAGCCTAAGAATGATAGACATCAACTTCATGATTGTAGTCACTTCTATACATAGCTAGATTGAATTATGCCTGGTTTGCTGAGAGGTATCTTTTTTGTTGTTGTTTTATTCATATAACCATAAATTTTTCAAGTGCTTTTTTGGTCACTTGTAAGGATAATAATGTAGTATTTTTTTCCCTTCAGTTACAAATGAAATTAATTGCTCTAACACGAATTTCCCAAAGTTAAATAGTCCTCATATTTCTGTGTTAAGATCAAGTTGGTACTGAAGGGTATTTGTGTGTGTTTGAGCGGTTGAACTATTAACTTTCTTCTGTTACAGGCTGTTGGCTTAGATTTTCTAAAATTTTAAGAGAGATTTCTGCATTAACATTAATAAATGAGATGACTTGTGCTTTTTCTTTTTTTTCAATTACCTTTATCTAGGTATGGTAGCACATTGATGAAAGGTTCCTTCTTTTACTTTTCTATTCTGTGAAATACTTTATATCAAATAAAGGGTCATATTCTTTGAAATTTTGATAGCATTGACCTATGAAACTCTTTGGTTAAAAATAAAATGGATAGACAAAATACAGTATATTCATATCAAATCATACTCAGAATAAAAAGGAACAAATGGTGGATACATGTAACAATGGATGAATCTCAAATATATTGATGGTGAGAGGAAGAAATCTTGTACAACAAAGTACATAAAGTGTGATTCTATTTATATTAAATATTCTATGGTGGGAAAAAATCAAGAAGGTTGTTACCACTGGGGAAGCGGAGATGGGTATTTATTGGGAAGAGTCATAAACAAACTTCCTGACCTGATGGTACAGTTAATATTCTATATCCTGTTGGGAGCTGGGTTTCACAGTTGTATTCATTTGTCAAAACTCAGTTTAAAAATGATGCATTTTATTGTGTGTACATTTTACATCAAAATTTAAAAAGTCAAAAATTGAATTCTGATTAATATTTATTCTGACATATTTAGGATGAAGTATACTGATGTCTGGAATTTACTTTGACATGCATCAAAAAACAAAAGGTGTTTGTACCCAAAGGTAGAAGAATGAATAGATGGATGGTCTATTAGTCTGTTTTCAAACTGCTCTAAAGAACTGTCTGAGACTGAGTAATTTATACAGGAAAGGGGTTTAATTGAATCATAGCTCAGCATGGCTGGGGAGACCTTGGGTAACTTACAGTCATGGTGGAAGGCGAAGAGGAAGCAAGGCACTTTCTTTACAAGGCGGCAGGAAGGAGAAGTACTGAACAAAGGGGAGGAGCCCCTTATAAAACTATCAGATATCAGGAGAACTCACTCACTATTACGAGAACAGCATGGGGGAAACCACCCCCATAATTCAATTACCTTGACTTGGTCTCTCCCTTGACCCATGGGGGTTATGAGGAGTATGAGAATTACAATTCAAGATGAGATTTGGGTGGGGACACAAAGCCTAACCATATCAGATAGATATGTGAAAAAAGCAAGTACTGTAAATGTTAATGGAGGAATATAGGTGACAGGACTATAAGTGTATCCTCTAAGATTTTGGTGTGCCATTTCTATCTTGAAAGTTTCAAAACTTTCACAATAAAATGGGGCAAAAATCTTTCTATTTTGAAAGTATTAAAACTTTTACAATAAAATGGGGGCAAAAAAAATCTTGGCATTTTTAAACTCCCCACAGTAGTAGAGCTTCAATATTGATTTGACACTCTGGTATTAGCTGTCTTTTTCTGTGTGCATCCCTGAAAACTTCCATTTCTTTGTTTCAAAGACAGCTACATGTTTTAAAAGACCTTTGAATTTCTTTTTACAAGAAGCGTGAACGAATTCTGCAGTCTGAGGAATTTTCAGATAATGTAGCCTCTCATATTTCTGAAAAGAAACAATATTAAAGATTTAATTTTAATTTTTTTTTTACATTTTACTTTAAATTCTGGGTACATGTGCAGAATGTACAGGTTTGTCACATAGGTATACATGTGCCATGGTGGTTTGCTGCACCTGTCAATACGTCACCTAGGTTTTAAGCCTCACATACATTAACTATTTGTCCTGATGGTCTCCCTTCCCCCACCAAAGTGGTCTTAAATGTACACATTGTGTAACCTCGATTTGGTGTATTCATTATATGCTACCCTATTGTTGGAAGTTAACAAGGCTATAGCCCCCTTTCAAAAAAAGTATTAACTTACCTTTGTAGGTCCTCTCCACTAATAAATTTTCTTGCAGGCTGGATTTCCAGTGTGTGTCTTTACTATTTACTGTTTCCAGACACTGAAAGGATATCTTTGATGCTAATGTTAATATAGTAATCTTCCCTTAACCGTGGCTTTGCTTTCTGCAGCTGTAGTTACTTGCAGTCAACTGTGGTCTGAATATATTGAATGGAAAATTCAGAAATAAACAATTCATACGTTTTAAATTGTGAAACATTCCAAACAGCATGATAAAATCTTACACTGTCCCACTCTGTCCCATCCAAGACATGAATCATCCCTGTGTCCAAGGTATCTATATTGTATACACTACCTGCCTGGTAATCAGTAAGTAACTCTTATTTTACATAATGCAGTTGGCCCTGGCCCTATGTTTCTGCAGGTTCCACCTCTGTGCATTCAACCAATTACAGATCAAAAATATTTGAACAAAAAAGTACAATAAAAATAGCAATACAAAAATAAAAGCAATATAAATAAAAACAATACAGGATAACAACTATTTTTACAATATTTACATTTACATTTCATTATATAATTAAGATATGATTTAAAGTATATGGCGGGAAGTCCATAGGTTATATCCAAAATACAACACCATTTTCTAACAGGGACTTTAGCATCTGCAGATTTTGGTATCTGTAGAGGTCCTGAAACCAATCTCCAAAATATACTGTGAGGGCCCACCATAATGGCCCCAAAGCTTAAGAGTAGTAACAATGGCATATTGTTATAATTGTTCTATTTTATTAGTAGTTATTGTTCATCTCTTACAGTGCCTAATTTAAAAATTAAACTTTATCACAGGTATTTATGTACAGGAAAAAGCATCATATGTATAGAGTTTAGTATTATCCAAGGTTTTAGACATCCAGCTGGGGTCTCCAAACATATACCTTGTGGATCAGTTGGGGGCACTACTGTATTTATGTTTATCTGGACCACTCCATACGGGTAAAGTAAAACCCATGTGAAATATCAGACTTTGATTTTGATTTCTCTGGGAAAGTTGTTGTTTTTGTGTTTTTTTCCTTACACCATAATATGTGGTGATAAACTGACTTTCTTATCATTTTCCTGTGCATGTGTGTCTGCCATTTCTACTTGATCCTTTCACTGAGATATAATCCTTCATAGATTCTAGATTTATGCAAGTGTTTTAATATTAGCTCACCAAGTTGGAGGCCCAAATACATTTTCCTAACTTTTAAATTCAATGTACTGGCAATGACAGCCTCCCACAGGGCCAGCTCAGAATCAATTCCTGCACTGACCACCCCGTGTTTCAGTTCTCAGTACATTACTGGCAATTGGTGACTTTTGTCCTTTGTTTGAAGATCAATGATGCTTTATAATTAATGCTATAAAATATAACTTTTAGGAAATTAGTCATTTTAAATGTTTTTCAAAGAAAAGCTGTGTATTACCTTGATTCATCATCTTTTCAGATCTACAAGGCCCAGTCCCTCTTTAACCAATTCCATTGTGGCCTCTGTCCCAGTCATTCTACAGAAAATACTTCTGTGAAGAGTACTGATGATGCTTAGAAAACTACACCACACACAGGGTGGTGTTTTGGTGTGCTGAGTACTTTGCATTGAAGGACATTGGAAGGGCCTCAGAAGCAAAGTTTATTCCTAAAATTCTCTGATCTTTCTTTTTTTTGAGCTTTCTTTTTAATTTTTTTTTTTATTTTACTTTAAGTTCTGGGATACATGTGCTGAACGTGCAGCTTTGTTACATAGGTATACATGTGCCATGGTGGTTTACTGTACCTATCAGCCTGTCATCTAGGTTTTAAGCTCTGCATGCATTGGGTATCTGTCCTAATGCTCTCCCTCCCCTTTCCCTCAAGCCCCCCTACAGGCCCCGGTGTGTGATGTTCCCCTCACTGTGCCCATGTGTTCTCATTGTTCGGCTCCCACTTATGAATGAGAACATGCGTTGTGTGGTTTTCTGTTCCTGTGTTAGTTTGCTGAGGATGATGGTTTCCAGCTTCATCTATGTCCCTGCAAAGGAAATGAATTCATTTTTTGTGGCTGCATAGTATTCCATGGTGTCTATGTGCCACATTTTCTTTATCCAGTCTATCATTGATGGGCATTTGGATTGGTTCCAAGTCTTTGCTATTGTAAATAGTGGCACAATAAACATACGTGTGAATGTGTCTTTATAGTAGAATGATTTCTAATCCTTTGGGTGTGTACCCAGTAATGGGATTGCTGGTTCTTCTGCTTCCTTTCTTCTCCCACCACAGGCCATAGAAACTAGAATCCCTCTTTCACAAGGCAGGTCATAGGAACCAGAAACCCTCCCCCACAAAGCTAGCCATAAACCTAGAAATATTAATTTATCCTTCGCCTGCCTTTTATGTAAGAAGTGGTCATAAAAAATTATCGGATCTACCCTTGTCCCATAGTAGTTTATAAAAACCTTATTTCAGAGGTGTCCTGTAATATACACAGGAGAAAGGAATGCCACACAAAGGCATCAAGACTAATCAAAATATACAGGTGTTGCTAGGTTTCCCCACTCAGTCTACTATTATTAGAACATTCTCTTTTGTCAAATTACAGTTCTACGCAGCTGTTCCCTCCTCATTGAATCTAAGCATAAAAATGGACAGTTTTCTCCTGGATCTTTGTGTCTTCCTTTTTGAAGGCTCCCACTGAAACGAAGTCGTTCGCTTGGGGTGATACCTGAAGTTCCTTGTCTCACAGCCATGGAAAACTAAGACACAGACACACAAAGAGTGAGGCTGACAGCGGGACTTTAATAGGCAAAAGAAAGAAAACAGCTCTCTCTGCTGCAGAGAGGGGTCCCAAACAGGTTGCCATTTCCGAGGTGAAACACAAGCTTTTTAGAGATGAGCTCGAAAAGGCAGTGTCTGATTGACATAAAGAACAAAAGATTGGTTGTACCAGGTCTGCCATTTGCATAAGGTGTGAAAAACTGTTTAGGATTAGGTGTGCCATTTGCATAGGGTGCAAAAAACTGGCCACCCCCACCTTAAACTTTTATATGCAGATGTGTTCTCTGCCTGGCTGGCACCATGTTGCCCATTTCTTTACTGTCCATGTGGTAACAAAAAAAGGGAAGATGGAGTCTCCATGATGGGCATGCCTGGCCCCCAGGTACCCCTTTTCTATTAGCACAGATGCTGGCATTTCCCTATGCAAGCTTCCATCTTGCTTATCTATGTTTGCAGCTCAATTTTTCAAGTTTCTCTTTGTTAGAAAAAAAATAATTTTGTGGGCTGCTTTGTGTTAAAGGGGAAGCTCTGCTAAGCACTCTTTTACCCTCACTATCTGCCTAAATAATTTCTTTCTAGTTCCTGTATCACCATGTCACCTAAAACTGTGACTAAATAAATTTGTTATACTTTTCTTTTCTTAACATGTTATAGAAATGCCGGCAGTGCCCCTTGCAATGAGTGAGAAAAGGTATTACACCGTTATACCCCTACAGTCTCGGGTTGATTGATGCTATGGTCATTTTCTTCGCTCATCTGGCCACTGAGTAACATTCTACTGAGTAGACAGAAATGACCATGCTCTCCTTCTTGAGACACTTTCATCTCTAAGCCTTTGTGATATCCCTTCTCTTTGTTTTTCTTTCACTTCACTCTGGCTGGCCTTTCTCAGTATCTTTTGCTGACTTTTTTATCTTTCCCACTTCTGAATGCTGAATGGTTCCAGGACTCATTCCTGGACCTTTTCTTTTTATTTGTCTGTACTCTTTTTAGGTGATTTGAATAAGCTAACTCACGAATATTGTATCTAGCCCTGTCCTCCTTCTTAGATCCAACTCACCAACCATCAAATTTATACCCATATTTATATATGTATAAATAAATTCTAAGCAATTTAGTTATACATATTTTCACTGAAACTTTTGCTGCATACTCCCAATCTTATTAGATGACAATCTATTAGGAGTCATCCTTAATTCATCCTTTTCTTGTACTTCCCACATACCATTCACGCACTGCCATGTTCTTTTTTGCCTACATCCAAGATATTTTATGTCCAGAATCACATGCTTCTCCTCATCTCCACAGACATCCTGCTGGTCTAGGTAACAACACCTTTTATCTGAATTACTGCAACGGATTGCTAACTGCTTTATTGCTGCTATCTTTTCTCCAGTCCACTCTCCACACAAGAGCATGAGTGAATATATACATCCAAAAATTAGCTTATGTCATTCCAATGTTTTTATGTTCTTCAAATCATTATTTATTGAAATGAGAGAAAAATATCCATGGTCTACTCCACTGTCTCTGGTTTCATGTCATGCTACCCCTCCTCTCTCTTTTATGATGCTTCAGGCATGCAGGTCTTATATTGCAGAAATATACCACCTAGCTTTTCTCTGCTTTAGGGATCTCACAGTGGTTGATCCCTTTTACTAGAGTACTCTCTTCTATCTCCTTAAGTAGTTGGCTTCTTCTCGTGCTTTATGTTTTAGATCAAATTTTACATGTGTGCCTCTATCTATAAAGTTGTGCTCTAAAAATTAGTGACTTCTAAGAAGATTACCTACCTCTCCCTGACTGATCAGTTCTGCATAACAATTGATTTTTAGAGAAGCAACACTTTATCAAGTTATACAATATAAAGTTGAATATTCTTTCCAAGAGTCTTCTATTTGCATAGTTAAGAAAATTGACTTTTTTGATCCCCTCGAAACAAAAAAATTGCTACCTAACGATGACTTTTCTTGTTTACTTCCTGGTGTTTCTTATCTGGGAACATTCAGTACTTTGGGTGCAGCAATCCTTCTTTGTATGGGACTGCCACACACATGACAGCATCTAGCTTCCTGTCACCAACACAAATAGTGTCTCCTAGTTGTTATGGTATGTTAAGACCCCTACACATTTCTACCTGTCCCCTATGGAGGTAGTAGTGCCCCCTGTTTGAGAACTGAAGAAGAGGCTAATAGATCCTGTAAAAGAAAAAAAAAAAAAAGAAAGAAAAAAAAAGAATTTTACCTCTATAAACACCCTCTATGTGTTAAAATACATGGAGGCTCAGAAAAAAACTAATAATTTGCCTAATGAGCAAATGGTCAATGAAATATCAAAGATTTGCCAGACTCCAACTTCCCCCTATATTAGATTACCTCTGCACAAATCCCCATAATATAAAGCAAATGTTAAAAGCCAAAAGATGATTATAATCAAAAGGTCATGGGTATTACATGAGCATGAGATATGAGAGTGAAATAACAATTGATTCCAGGGTTCAGGCAAGGCTTCCTAGAAAAAGGGGAATTTAACAGGATTCTTTAAGAAAAATGTCTAAGAGTATAGTTGGTAGAAGGGTGTCAATCAGGCAGAGAGAATATCACAAGCAAAAAGAAATATGGGAAATATCCATGTTAGGTTCTGAGAATAATAAATTATCCAAGTTGACTATTGTAGGCAAGGGAGTACTGGAAGCTTTCTGAAATATTGACTGGAGCCATGTTATGTAAAACCTTCAGGAATTTGTACTTGATTCACTAGGCAATAGGGACCCTTTGAATATCTCGGATATAGCAATGGGCTGACCAAAGGGAAGAGAGAAGTCAGAGGAGAAAAGAATTAGGCAACACCTGAACACTAATCACCTTGACTCCCCTAGAGGTAACTGTCTTACTGCTTACCCCTCACTTTACCTCTGCAGGTGAGATGCTCAAGAGACCAGGCATTGGACTCAGGCAGAATATATTTGAATTCCTGTTTATTCACTTCGTTGCTGTGTAACGAATTCTAAGCAATTTATGTAACCCTTTCTCAATCCCAATTTATTTATCTGTAGAATGGAGTTTGTGAGAGTTATATGATAATTTAATATACTGATGGGCACATAAAAATCACCCATTAAACTACTGCTATTATTATAAGTATTAATGTTAGGTTATTTGTTTCCTAGAGAAAACAAATATTTCTTTTCTAGATGGCAGAATCCATTAATGATTTTAGATCTGTGGAGCATGCAAGAATTCAAGGCTTTGAATATGAATGCTATGATGCCACCTCAGAGATAAATAAGATGTTGCCAATAATTGAGACCTAATACAGTGTCTATGTGTACTTACGTACACACACACATGTTGGAGTGCACCTATCAACTAACTACAGTACAGTCTGGCTTTTTTATGCTCTTCAGTGCTGCCTGAGTTGAAATACATCCACAAAAACCTCAGAGTCACTGTTGAAACCATGAACCAACCCCGATAGAACATTCTCTACATATTACCTTTCCTGAATGCTCTTGACAACTATCAGGAAAGCTAATAGCAAAGTAAGCTCTGTTCTGTTTCTTCCACAGCCTCAGTTATGTAGCCAGATGTTCTAAGCTAAGCCATTTTAAGGAAGAAGAAATGAAGTAGAAGGCTGATCAATTATACAGTAAACTTAGGCTAAAGATTTGTGTAAGTTTTCTTCACCAGTCAAATTTAGGTACTGAACTCTCTAGATTATACTCATTATCCAAATTCCACTTAAGTTTTTCCAAAATAATCTTGGGCTAGGTTCTACCTAAAATGTAAGATAAGCAGAGGATAATTAATAACTATAAGGCCTCAATTATACTCCATGTCTTTTGCTTAAACAACTTTGTGTTTCTCATTTAATACCTAAGTATCCACACATGCTTAATGAGATAAATCGACTTAAAGTAAGGGATGTTCCTAGCCCTGTGCTAAGTGCTTTAGGAGGTCATGTGGCTATTGATCCCTGGAGCTATTTTTCAAATACAGATCTCTTTACCCCCACTATGCCACACTGACTCTCCATTTTTCCTCAAGTGGGATCTCATTTATTCATTTCAAAATCAACAGAATAGTATTTACCTTATAGGGGATATTTGAAGAATAAGAAAATAAATGTGAAAAAATTTAACTATTAAGCCTGACCTATATTTGAAAGTGAACTTGTTATATATCAAATTTCCAAGTAACTAAAAATGCTTTTCAAAATATTTCTAGTAAAAATGATTTACTCCCTCACACATCATTCTCACCCCTTTCCAAATGTTGTCTACTTCTGTTTCTTATTTATTTTCACATTGTGAAACATTGCACAAAGAGAGGATGCTGATAAGTACTACTAAATCTCAAAACTATTACTATCTATTAACAATCAAGGACTTAGCTGCTATTATTGAGCACCTACTATATATCAGATGCTTAGCCCTTATTGTCTAAAGCCTGCAATGTGGATGCTATCTTTTTTTCAGATGAAGAAATTGAATCTCAGGGAAGAAAGTGCCATTCTTTTATACAATGTTACTGGTAATTGTTACCAGGTCCGCCTAGCTGCAAAGCCAGACTCTTTTCATTGTACTTGTTGCCTCCCCATGTCTGTTTTAAAACATTGACTAGAGCCATGTTATGTAAAACCTTCAGGAATTTGTACTTGATTCACTAGGCAATAGGGACCCTTTGAATATTTCGGGTGTAGCAATGGGCTGCCCAAAGGGAAAAGAGAAGTCAGAGGAGAAAAGAATTAGGCAACACTTGAACACTAATCACCTTGACTCCCTAGAGGTAACTGTTTTACTGCTTACCCCTCACTTTACCTCTGCAGGTGAGATGCTCGAGAGATCAGGCATTGGACTGGTCTCTTCACTTCTTTCATAACTAGGGCCTAACCTTATTCCAGGTTATTCCAAAAACTTTGTACTATGCATCACCAGGCTTGGAACAGCTTCTTTTTCACTATACTGACTACTTTCCTGCTTGCATCCATCATCATTGAAGTCTTAATGCAGATCCCAATGAGATCCATATAACAGGCCAGTAAATACTTTCTTCTTCTATTATGAGCTTCATAGATGGCAGAGGCACTTGGTGAGGAAAATATCCTTAGAAAACAAATTGCTTCCAAAACACTGACACTCATCCATTTAATAGAAATTATTGTATATCAAATATACAAGTCACTAAGAATGCCTTCAAAATATTTATCCAAAAAATGACTTACTCCCTCACACATTGTCCTCACCCCTTTCCAAATGTTATCTATTCTTTCATCTTGAATAACTCATTGTATATTCAGGTTAACACTATCTCCTATGATACCTGACATTTCTCTCATGGTAGCTCTTATTTCACTATTGGATCAGCTTCTCTGCTTGTTTAAATCCACCCCCATAATTTAAGCTCTGCAAAAGCAGTGCCTATGTCTGTCTTATTTGAGTTATAACACTAGTAACTCAGATTTTCTGACTTCTTTCTGTTTTTGAAATGAATAATCACAGTCTCACAGATTACCGAAAGCCCTAAATGGTATTTGCATAACGGCATTTCCTAACTCAAACTTACTAAATCTAGGTCATAAACGTTCCTGTTTCTTATATGCTGAGCTCCTTCCATCTGACAAATTATAGCTACAGCCAGGAAGATATCCAAAAGAACATGTTCTATCCCAATAGTCACATATAGTGCTGTCTTATGTCTACCATTTACATCTATTAAGTGAGAAGAATAGTCATTCCTAATAGAGTAGACTTCAAAGAAGACCAGCTCGTTGTGGTCTAACTAGGGAGTCTGAATTTACACTAAGTAAATTCCATGTCTATTCTGATTTTCTGTTCTTAAGGCAGTATACATTATTATATAACAAACAGAAAGAACTAGATGAAGAATCTCTCAACAATAATTCTCTATGTTGTTTTATAAAACACATTCTTTGCTCTTCTCCTAACAGAAGAATTTCTCTTTTCTTTTAGCATTTGTATATTTTCCATCTTTTAAAACTATTAATTACATGCCTTAATTCTGCTCCTTTCAGAATTTGACCAGGTATCTCTGGCCAGCCAATTGGCAAACCATTTCCCATTGGATATGATCACTGATGCAAGAATGACACAATGTCTGGAGGTCTTGGGGTTCGTTTTTGCTGCCACATTGCCATGGGGACACAGTCTGTAAAATAAAATAAAAGATAACAAAACAATAGAGTCAAGATGGAAAGAAAGGGTGAGAACTGATAACTTTTTTGAACATACAGAATAATTATGCTTGATTCCGGAAAGCTCCATGAACAGTTTTGTGAACTAGTTATGGTAGTAAATTTTTTTCATGTTTAATTGGGTTTCTGTCACTTTCTAGCCAAAAATATAAACTAATCTTCCTGTCTTTCCTTTTACCATACTTATGTTAAAATGCTGTCCAGCTATTCAACCTTAGGTCTTTATTCCCTGGATTCAGTTAAATATGGGATAATGTCAAAGGGAAAATACTTTTATAATACTTGTCCCAGGATTTGGGGCCAAAGAGGATAAAGAGATTAGCAACCATGGTTCTATCCTTAAAGAGCTTCCAAACTAAAGAAGAAAACCAGACTTACCTGTGTAACCTAAACAGAGAAACATATGAGAATTTCAAGGGAACATATTATAGATCATGAGTGATAGAGAATCTAGCACCAGGAGCGTTGCCATTCAATACTTAGGAAGAGCAATGAGCTCCTTGCCTTGCAAATATGTTCTTATTGCCTCTTTATGAACTGATAATCATCTATAAGGAACTGAAGATTTTTTTCAATAAAAATTCAAAATACTTCAGCAAGAAAATATCATCTAGCTTTTGAATTTATTTTTTATTTTAGTGAAAGATTAAAAAATAATTTCCTCCTCTGACCAACTATGGTCAAGTGATAGGTTTTGCCTGAAATATTCAGTTGGAAGGGATTTTGAGGACACAAATACTATGAGTTATAAAAAGTATCAAGATTGATGATAATGTCTGGAAATGGATAACAATTGTTATGGTAATATTTGTTATTCTTGCCTTTGTGTGAATGAATTTGTCAACTTGACTTCAGAGAACAAGTTTTGATTAATGAAGTGAAAAACACAGTGAGAGGCCACTCTGGACAGACAAACCTAAATAAAGAGAGGAAGACAGTAAAGTTAAAATATATGAATACAGAAACACTGTATTTCATAATTTTTTTCTTAGGCAAAATATTTGCTTAATTTCACAATTCTGAAAAGGAAAAAAATCTTTAAAAAGGAAAAAATGTTAAAAAAAGAATGATTTATATTTTTAGGTATAAGAGAAGGCATGTACTTACTTTTGTAAGACCATATTTCCTTTTCCTTCCCCATCTCTCTCATTCTAATTTTCTGGCAAATGTATACCTTCCTTTTCTCTTTCAATTTCTTGTGAGTCTTCTGAAGAAAACTTGAATATAAACTGCTCCTGGCTCAAAAAAAATTCCCCCAGTCAACTTGGATTCTAAAGCAGAAAACCAAAAATTAGCAAGTTTTTGACTGTGAATAAAGGATAAAGTAACATTGACCGGAACACATGTTTGAATACTTACTTCATTGTAGCTTTACATTCTCTTCCTTTGTCAAAAATTACTGCTTTTATGATACCAGCCAGGTAGCTTTAATTTTTTAAATAAAGTTCTTGCTGATAGAACCATAAAAAATTACAAAAACAAAATACTGGATGAATTAAAGAGAGCAATTTTTGTAATTGATTTTGTAAAGGTAAAATGATTACCCCAATCATCTCTCAATAATTAATCATCTTATAATCTGACACATCCTTGTCTACTAAAGGAATGAGGCAAACTTTTTAATTCAGAACAGCAACTACTCATTTATACAAGAACACTATGAAAACACTGTTGTTATGACAAAAATATTTATATTCTTCCCCAAAATAGCTCTAGGAAATAGTTGTGATAAAAAATAAGGCCATATGCATTTTTCTAAGATTCCCTTTTATGATGTCTGCCAAAACTTACATAAGTTTCAAGAAGTCCCAAATTCTCTTGGTCATATATATTTTGTATTAATTTTTCTAGCCAAGGTATCTGATGAAATCATTCTTTTCCTACACCCCCTAGTTGAAAATAGAAATATAAAGAAACATAACAATGCAAGTAATTAGAGTAAACAGACCAATAAGTATGTACAGTATCAAATTAAATATTTTATGTGACCATAATGAAAATTAAGTCTACATAAATACAATAGCAAAATTAGGAGTGTAGAATTTTTCTGGGTGAAAAAAAAATCATTGCTTATTTAATTTATTATGATTTTCTTCAGCTCCTGTGGCTAACCAAATTACATATAGTATCCTCTTAATTTTATTTAGCAATATACCTGGGGAAGCCAGGTTTGATTTTCTAAATAAAATAACAATATTGCTTTACAATTTTTTTAAAAAGCAACTAATACATATAAGAAATGATAGATTTGCCTTTTGGTAATTGTTATTTATTTATTTTTTTGTTGCTATAAAAAGTTACAACAAACTTAATGGCTTAAAACTATATGAATTTATAATCCTGCAGACTTGTAAATCTGAGGTTTGACAGGGATATCACTGGGCTAAAAGCCAGGTGTTAGGATGGATGGGTTCTTTTCTGGAGGCTGTAGAGAAAAATCTGTCTTCTTGCCTTTTCCAGATTTCAGATGGAGCCCACATTCTTCAGTTCATGGCCACTTCCTCCATTTTCAAAACCAGTGAAAGCAAATCTATTACTTATCACATAATCCTGATGTTCTTCTATTGTCACATCTCCTTCTGACTGACTCTCTCTTCTGCCCCCCTCTTCCACTTTGAATGACCTTTCTGGTTACACTGGTTTTACTCACACAATCCAGGATAATTCTATTTTATGGTCAGCAGATTAGCAACCTTAATAACATCTTCAACTTTAATTCATCTTTATCATGTTAACTAACATATTCATAGGTTCTAGGGATTAGAACATGGACATCAGTTGCAGAGAGCATGATTTTGTCTATCACAAGAGCCATCATAAGAATAGTTTATTCAGGCAAGAATCATCAGTGAATGCTTAAACTAGTGGGAGCAAGTTGCCGAAGGAACAGGATACTAAGGTATCTCCTCTCAGCATACTTTAATTATACGGTGGAAAATAGTAGCTTTAAAGTGGAGTAACCTGGCAGATACCAACAAAACTCAAATTAACCAACCAGCAATTAGACATACGAACATCATTGTCTCTGTTTATAGAAAATATATACTGAAGCAATTAAGGATAAAATAAAATTTTGTCTTCAATTTATTCCCAATTAATAGAGAAGACAATTATTCATATTATATGTGTGTATATATAATACAACATATGATATTAGCAGTCACAGAATCTGAGCGAAGAATATATGTGTACTATTCCTGTAATAATTCCACAAGTCAAAATTATATTAAAATAAAAAGTAAAAACACATCTGACAAACGACTAATATCCAGAATCTACAAGTAATTCAAACAATTAGCAAGAAAAAAACAAACAATCCCATCAAAAAGCGGGCTAAGGACATGAATAGACAATTCTCAAAAGAAGATATACAAATGTCCAACAGACATATGAATAAATGCTCAACATCACTAACGATCAGGGAAATGCAAAATAAAACCACAACGCAAAACCACCTTACTCCTGCAAGAATGACCATAATCAAAAAATAAACAACAACCACCAAAAATAGATGTTGGCGTGGATGCAGTGAAAAGGGAAAACTTCTACACTGCTGATGGAAATGTAAACTAGTACAACCATTATATAAAACAGTATAGAGATTACTTAAAGAACTAAAAATGGAACTACAGTTTGATCTGGCAATTCCACTACTATCTACCTAGAGGAAAAGAAGTCATTATATGACAAAGTTACCTGCACACACATGTTTATAGAAGCACAATTTGCAATTGCAAAATCGGGAACCAGCCCAAATGCCCATCAATCAATCAGTGGACAAAGAAATTGTGGTATATATGATGAAATACTACTCAGCCATAACAAGAAATGAATTAATGGCATTTGCAATCTGGATGGAACTGGAGACTACTATTTTAATTCAAACAACTCAGAATGGAAAACCAAACATTGTATCATCTCACTCATAAGTGGGAGTTAAGCTATGAAGATGCAGAGGCAAAAGAATGATACAATGGATTTTGGGGACTCAAGGGGAAAAGGTGGGAGGTGTGTGAGGGATAAAAGGCTACAAATTGGGTTCAGTGTATGCTTCTCAGGTGATGAGTGAACCAAAATCTCACAAATCACCACTAAAAAACTTAATCATGTAACCAAATACCACCTATTCCCCAAAAACCTATGGAAATAAAAAATTAAAAATAAAATAAAATGTATTTAGAGTGTAGATTTGCTGGCACTTGTTAATAGATTAGATGTGTGATTAAAGAAATAAAAAAAATTGGGAACCTAAAAGTTGTATGAATAATTGTATGTTTACTGAGATTAGAAGTACTGCAGATAAGGCATCTTTCAAGGAAAAATAAGTATTTGAATATTCAGCATATAGCTGTATGGGTGGTATTTGAAGACACAGGACTAAGTGAGACAATTTAAGCAGAGTTTTAGAGGCAGATGAGAAGTAGCTGAGAACCAAGTTCTAGGGAACAATAGCACTGAAAAGTTTAGAAACAGGGGGAGGAACAAAAGTTCCTAATGAGAAAGATTGAATGGTCAAGAGGAGAAAAAACAGAAGAGGATAACAACTTGGAAACCAAGAGAAGAAAAATTTTCCCCCAGATAAGGGACTGATCTAAACGTTACTGAGAGATTGAGTAAAATAAAGATTGAGATTAACAACTAGATTTGGCAGTATTACATTTCATGGTGACCTTGACAAGTGAGGTTTCAGGAAAGTAGTGGAGTTGAAGGACTAATTGGTGTGCATCCAAGAAAGAAAATATGGAAATAGAGAAAATAGAAAACAGAAAAAAAGATAATATTTGGGGGAGATTTATTATGTAGGAGAAAACAGACATGAATCAGTGACAGTCCGCTTGGGCTATTAGAACAGAACGCCACAGACTGAGTGGCTTAAACAACAGACATTTGTTTTCTCAGAATTCTGCAGGCTATGAGTCCAGAAACAAAGTGCTGTCAGGTTGGTTTCTGGTGTGTCCTCTCTTTCTAGCTTGGACCTGGCTTCTTTTTCACTGTGTCCTCACATAACCTCCCCTGTGCACTCATAAAAATAAAGAGATCTCTGGCATTTCTTCCTCTTCTTAGAAGAATACCAGTCCTACCCTTTTGACCTCAATTAACCTTAACAAGCTCACTAAAGGCCCTATCTCCAAATGAGCTCACATTGGTGGTTAGGGCTTCAACATATAGATTTTGGGAGAGCACAATTCCATAATACAGGTAGGATATGAGGAATTAAGGAAACATTATGTTTTGCTTTGTTTTTAAGTTGGGTGTTATTTAAACTTTTTTTTTTAATTTATTTTAAGTTCTGGGATACATGTGCTGAACGTGCAGGTTTGTTACATAGGTATATATGTGCCATGGTGGTTTGCTGCACCTATCAACCCATCATCTAGGTTTTAAGCCCTGCGTGCATTAGGTATTTGTCCTAATGGTCTCCTTCCCTTTGCCCTCTACTCCCCAACAGGCCCTGGTGTGTAACGTTCCCCTCCCTGTGTCCATGTGTTCTCATTGTTCAACTCCCACTTATGAGTGAGAACATGCGGTATTTGGTTTCCTTTTCCTGTGTTAGTTTGCTTAGAATGATGGCTTCCAGCTTCATCTATGTCCCAGCAAAGAACATGAACTCATTCTTTTTTATGGCTGCATAGTACTCCATGGTGTATATGTGCCACATTTTCTTTATCCAGTCTATCATTGGTGGGCATTTTGGTTGGTTCCAAGTCTTTGCTATTGTAAATAGTGCTGCAATAAATATATGTGTGTATGTGTCTTTATAGTAGAATTATTTATACTCCTAAACTTCTTTTTAATGATGACAATGACCAAATAGAGACAGAACACTGATAATGCAGGATAGAAGGAGACAACTAGAAAAAAGCATCCACTTCACCAAGGCCCACTGTACAAGGGAACAGTTTGAACTAAGATAGGAACAGTTCATTTGTTCTATAGAAGGGAAAGCAGAGTTTATGGGAACAGTTGTAAGTAAGTAGGTCAGCATATTTGGTGGTAAGAAGGTAAGGAGATTATTTTCTGATTATATTTTTTCATGAAATAAAAAGTGAGAGGACAGGATTACAGTTAAGACTTTTTTAAAAATGAACAAAATTAGAGAAGACAAAAGAAAGTATAAAATGGCCTTCTCAGGAGGTAGATAATGAATTGGCTGGTGAAATATAGCAGTATTCCTAATGAAGGCCAGGGCATACTTCACTTTTATGGTCATAAATGTAAAGTGGCATCAGTCAGTGGGCATCCATATTCAGCTGTGCTCTGCTGATTTCGAGTATAATTAGATTTAACTACGGTGGGATTTTACAAAGGGAGAACCAAAAAAGGAGATAGGGCGTGAGTTGAGGTTTAATCTAGGGAGTAGATATGGTGGCAGACGAACAGAGTTTAATCTATATGAAAAGAGAAAAAGAACCTGAGGGACTAGAGAGTGAAAAAGTGGAAGGGGCTAATTGATTTCAGGTCAAGTTGCAAGTTAAATAATCATTAAAATTGGAGAACTGGAAAGATAGGTGGTAGAGACAGTGGGTGGGGAGCTAGCATATCAAGATTTTTGGCAGTGGTATTTTTAATAATAAGAGCCAGGGAATGACCATGGAGTAGGTGGCTGGGTGGGATAAACAAAGAGATAATAAGAAACTGAATATGAAGGAGCTGAGAAGCTGAAGTGTTGGATTAGTGGATGGTAAGATCATAATAGATACAATGAAGAAGGAACAGCCTCAAGTGAAGTGTCGAAATCTCTTATGAGTGAGGGCGTGACTATGAGGGTCATAGGTAACTAAAATATCTAATATCATCAACTTCAAAAGAGCCAATATTTTACATATACATGTATCTCTCTGTTTTTATAGAAAGGTTAATTAACAATGGCCTAGACATAGCAACAGGAAGCAATATGAAGCCCTACCTCACCTCTGACCCTCTGTTCATACGGGAAGTGAGAAAAGACAAACAAACAAGCACCTTTCTCTCAAGAGGACTGCAGGGAAAGCAATGTGTTCTGGGCACAGCAAAGTTAGAAAAAGATGAAGGAAATATATATGCTACCTGTAAGCCCTGTGCTTTGAGTTCTGAAAACTGAAAACTTTCTAGACTTGGAAATTTTACCATTCTCTAAATTGGCACTCCACGGAAGCAGAAAGAGTGCATTCTAACCAGTACATTTTTGCTGCGGAATATCCTTTTCTTTCTAACCTAGTAGACTATAGAGGGCGACTCTACTATCAGCCTATTTGTCTTGCTGTGTGATGGAGATTCCCCCCATCCCCCCAGTTTACTTTGTGGGAATCGTTTATAAATGCATCCTGGGAACAATTTTGATTAAATCCAAATAAATGATAAATAGCATGCTTAAGTCCATTTATATTTATTTCTCCTTTGTTAACTGTGTTGGCAACACCTCAAAATTTAGTGCTATCTGCAAATTTCATTAGCAGGCAATTTATTCCCCCCTGGAGATGATTAATAAAGATGGAAAATAAAACCTGACCTCATGCCAAAGCTCCCGCAGCCCCCCTGCTAGCCACTTCCTCACAACTGGACGCGCTCCCATTTATCATCACCTTCCTCTGCACTGGCTCAGCCAGGCTGCCAAATGATGTGACAGTGTTCATGTCCAAGCCAACCTGAAACAGGTTAGAATACTAACTTTTCTGAGACACAGCATTAAATGCTTCAACTATTCCCCAAATAAAACACAGACCGCATTTCCAAAGTTACTAGCTTTGTCCTCCTGCAAACAGATACATGTTTGGCATCATTTACTATTTTATAAGCCCATGTAGCCATATTAAGGAGTCCATTGTTCTCTGGGTGTTTATAGATTCCCTTTCAATATCTGGGACTTAAAGAAAAAAAGTAAATACTGACATCACACATATCACATAACTCCAACAACTCTCTTCTGTTTGAAGTTTTGCAACCTGTCTGCTTTTTCTCAATGTCTGGCATAATTCCAATCCTTAATGATATTTCAAATATTCCTCTAAGTAGTTTAACAAATGTCGGCCCACTTTTCCTGCTCCTAAGTGATTGTGAGATAGACTATTCTGATATTAATATTCTCTGAGTTTAACTTTAAATGTAACCATGGGATTAAGTAGATTTGGGTTGCTTTTACTTTTTCCCCCCGTTCATATCCTTTGTTGAAGAATTATTGCATAATTGATATAATCATTTGGACAATTAGTCTGATTTGGCGATTAAAACTTAAAACGTTAGATTAACTTTTATTTTTAAAGTCTGTTACTTCTTATAAATAGTATAGTCTGTAAATTTATATAAGTCAAAATTCAATTTGAACTTTTACCCTGCAAATCTGATTAAAAAATCAGTTTGCCATAGAAAACACTTTAATAGCTGGGATTTTGGTTTAATTTTTTTTTTAGCTTTTTTTGTTTGTTTGTTTTACATATTTCAACATCAGAGTAAAATTTTACTATTATATATATATATAATACATTATATAATATATATGTGTAATATATATTATATAATGTATTTTATATATATATAAAGGAAAAAATGAGATCAAATCCAGTCTTAGAAAATATTTGAAACCTCTAGTCATTTTATGTAAACACTCAAACTATTTCATCAGACTATTTTGTAAAATGCCTAAAATATCTGCTTTAAGGAAAACATAATTATTGATAAATAGCTTTTCAAATTCTCATTGGCAGCATATATTTAACAATTTTGGTAGAGATTGAAAGAATTTGAATGTTGTATCATCTGTGAAATTTAATGCAGTTTTAAATAAATTAATCACCTAAAGAATACTAGAGTGAATACTTTATATGTCCCCAGAGCACTGTAGAAACACCTTGTTATACTATAAATATATGTATTGGACGTCCCTACTGCTTGTTGGAATGTAACTAGATTTTTCCAGGTAATTGAGAATTTTAAAAATCTGTCATTTTAGCTAACAGACTAGCAGTTAGAATATTTACTATATATATACTGTTGTACGTGAGTGTTTTAATACATTCTCTTCATTTTTTTCATAGGCTAAAACCACTAGCATGCTGGAAGTAGGGGTATTAGTTACCTAATTAGTCATCATTCAGTTCCCAACAGTTACAAAATTGCAAGGGAAAACCAAAGTCATCATGACATGAAAAAGTTTACTAAATAGTTGACTACTTGTATAATTAAGTTTTCATAAATATACCTTCATACTTGAAATAACACTAATGTTGAGCTGATAGAAAGGTTTTTATTTGGTTTTTAGGCAATGATATCTCAGTGAAGTCTCGTCAAAGTAAAAAGAATACTTCTGTGGTCAGTGTTAGTTTCCTGCAATGAATTACCAGGAAATAGAAAGATTTGGGGATGAAAAGTCAGGCAGAGGTTATTGAAGGTGAGTCATGGTAGCCATGACTGAAAGTAAAGCTTAAAGTTCAAACATGAAGCATTTAGGTAGCATGCAGAGAAGTTGGACTTTTTGTGATAGAGACTGTGACGCTATTGAAGGACTTAAGCAAAATTCTATACACAGAGTTGGACTACAGAATGATTTATCTGCCACAGCATGGAGGCTTGACGGCAAAAGGAACAGATTTAAGGCAGGGAAACTTGTTAAATGAATATCGCAAAAGGCCACGGCAGAAGTAATTAATATACTAAACAAATATTTACTGAGCTTCTATCTGCCCAACACACTTCAAGGTGATCAGAACACAAAGTAAACAAAAGAGAACACAATCCCTGATCTCATGGAACTTACATTGGAGCAGTAGGAGACAGACTATAAACAAAACAATAATAATTAAACTGTACAATGCAGTGGGAGGTGTTAAGTGATTTGGAAAAAATAAACAGTGAGAGAGGATCAGGAACATGGGCACAGTTACAATTTTCAATAAGGCAGTCACAGTGGGCCTCATCGTGAAGGTGACATCTGAGGGAAATCTTGAGTGAGTAAGTGACATGAATATCTGGGAAAAACGTGTTCCAGGCAGAGAAAAGAGCTAGGAAAAGACCTTATGTTACACCTGTGTCCAGCACATTCAAGACAGTATCTAAAAGTCAGTGCAGCTGGAGTAAAGTGAATAAAGAGAAATAGGAAGTGGAATTGGAGGGAATGGGTTTTGGGATCAGTTAAGGTTTTTCAGGACACTCTATAAACTGTCTTTTGCCCTGAGAGCAATGAGCTAGCACAGGGTTTGAGCAGAGGAGTGACACGATGTTATTTTAGTCTTAAATAAATAATTATGTTTTCAACAAATAATTATGATTTATATCTTTAAAATAGAATCTAAGAAAGGGGGCACACAAGTTAAAAGCCAGGATACCTATTGCAATAATAAAAGGTTGAAATATCAAAGTGACTTGGTCTATGGTGTTAGCAGTGCAAAGGATAAGTGGTAAGAAAGACCCGGATGGGAATGGAATAAATAGATATAGAAATGTCTAAACCGAGTGAAGATTGATAGGTCTTAGTAACTGTAAATACGAGTGAAGATAAGGGAAAATTTAATCACTATTCTTAGGTTTTGAGTCAGCATAACTGACAGTATGGTGTTGCCCTTAATGGAAATAGGTAAGTTAGGAGGTGAAGTTAGTTTAAAGGAAGAACAGGTGGTTTTAATCATATTAAATATGAGAAGTTAGTGAATTCTATTATGTCATATAAATCAAATACAGAAATTTAAAAATTACATATTAGTGTGTGTATGCATATATATGCTTATACACTATTATGCATGTAATTATATTATAAATTTATAAATTATATATATATAAATTATGGACATATTCATTTGTGGGATCCAAAGCATATACATTTGAGAGGCCATCTTTAAGAAAAATAAAGCGATATGACAAATATTTGGTTTGGGATCTTGGAAGTGGCTCATAAAATTGAGAGGTGCAGAAGTTTAAATTTCATAATAAATTCATTTCTGGTGATACTATAGAAGGCTCAAATTTCCAAAGGAGTTAGAACTGAATATCACTTTTGGAGATAATAGGAAAAGATACTCTTTAAATGTAGAGAAGGTGAAAGAAGAATCAAGATAAAACAGCATCATAAAAGTTAAGGTTTGCAGCTTCAGGAAATAGAAGTGACTGGATGACCAAATATTTGTAAATATCTGACAGGCAACATGCTAGATGCTGGAAGCCTGTGACCACAGGATATGGTGATGTGGAGCCTTTTTCCATAGGCTCTACCAGATTGCAAAGGGTGGCAGCAAGTCATCCAGAAGCCAAAAAAGATAAAGAACACTCAATTGAGAAACATAGCCACATGATTAAATGATTTTCTTAATTTTCATAAGTATAAACCTGTCATCAAGCTAATCACAGCTTTAGTGGCTGAGTATGAAAATATACTAACTCTGTACATACATTACATTCTTACCCATGGGAGGAAACTTAGCATATCTGAGGACCAAGGACTCTCTAATATCCTTAGAGATCTTTACGCTTAACTGCATCTATGTGTCTTTGAATAATTCCTTTGAATTTATGCATAACCTCTTTTTTTTTCAGCCAGCATATTTATTTCTCACTAAGAGCTCAAGAAAGTTAAAAAAATCCTCTATTGTTTTTATGTAAGCAATTACAACATTTTCACTAAGTGTAAATTCTATTAATTGTCTAAATTCTCTAATTGTCTAAAGTGCTTGGCTTATAAAAATGAAATATATATCTTAAAGCTATAATATGCGATTGTATTGATTTTCTTGTATTTTAGCAGCGGTTGGATAACTTTACAGATACTTTTGTCTGTGCTTGTGTTTTAATGTGGGGTAATTTAGCAGTTATTTTTCCATGTACAAATCAATCAAAATACATATTACATTGTAAAGTCTAAAGCAAAGTGGTGAGAAGTTAAATAATTTAGCCACAGGTCTTAGTTGCAGAGCTCAAAAAAATTAAAATATATATGATTCCAAACATTATAATCTTTAATCCAAACCTTCTCACTTTTATATTCTAATGAATCTTTTCCCCCGATCTGCCACCTTTTCTGTCACTAGACGGTCCTTATATATTATACATGCTTAATTGCCTCTCATTTAGTGACAAAAGATAGTCCCTTGACCCCATGTCATCTCTAAACACTATTTAACCTCCTCTTTCCTTTTCACAGACCATTTTATTGAGTTTTTATCCTTACAGTTTCTACTTCCTTTCTTGTCTGCCATTTATGCATAAACTTAATACAGTCTGATTTTCATTCCCCTATCACAAATAGAACATTTTTTTTTTTTTGAGACAGATTCTCGCTCTGTCCCCCAGGCTGGAGTGCAATGGTGCTATCTCTGCTCACTGCAACCTCCGCCTCCTGGGTTCAAGTGACTCTCCTGCCTCAGCCTCCTGAGTACCTGGGATTGCAGGCATGCGCTACCATGCCAGGCTAATTTTTGTATTTTTAGCAGAGACAGGGTTTCACCATGTTGGCCAGGCTGGCCTCGAGCTCCTGACCTCATGATCAGCCCACCTGGGCCTCCCAAGGTGCTGGGATTACAGGTGTGAGCCACAGTGCCTGGCCATAGAACACTATTTTATAAGTATATTCAATGATCACTTGCTAGTTCTTATTCATATGCTTGGGACAAAAAAAAATTTTTTCTTCTCTCATTAAATTATGTCATTACAATTACAAGTATCATAAAAGTTTGGAACTAAATACAATCAACTCTTAATAGGCATTCAATATGATATGGCTGTAAGTCAGTTTATTTCCCCAGATGGTGAGAGTCCGTTAACAGGGTGGGTAAGTTTAGAGTGTCTTACTTGTAGGCATTCCTATTTTTTCTGTCCCAGTTTATCAGAAGTTTACACTTGCTTTACTTGGCTCACTGATCTAGGTACAAGGAATAGAAGTCCAGAAAGTCTAACGTTAAGTGGGCAAGAGAAGGAGGTAAACACTCTGTAAAGGAAAGAAAGGAAAGATGGACTAAGGTCAAAGAAATGGGCCAAGAGGAATATGTTTTTTGTTTTTTTTTCTCCAGCAGCACCACTTAAGATAGGACTTTTATTAAGTGCTTTTGGGGGAATATAATTTATTACACAGTATATAAACCTTCAAATTAAATTCCCCTTTGTTCCAAGTTTATGACCCGGAACGTCAGCTGCCTTTTTTTAAATTTTATTTTACTTTAAGTTCTGGGATACACGTGCTGAACGTGCAGGTTTGTTACACAGTTATACATGTGCCATGGTGGTTTGCTGCACCTATCAACTCGCCATCTAGGTTTTAAGCCCTGAATGTCTTAGATATTTGTCCTAATGCTATCCCTCCCCCAGACCCACACATCCCAAGAGGCCCTGGTGTGTGATGTTCCTCTCCCTGCGTCCATGTGTTCTCATTGTTCGACTCTCAATTATGAGTGAGAAAATGCGGTGTCTGGTTTTCTGTTCCTGTGTCAGTTTGCTGAGGATCATGGCTTCAGGCTTCATCCATGCCCCTGCAAAGGACAGGAACTCATTCTTTTTTACGGGTGCATAGTATTCCATGGTGTATACGTACCACATTTTCTTTATCCAGTCTATCATTGATGGGCATTTGGGTTGGTTCCAACTCTTTGCTATTGTGAATAGTGCTGCAATAAACATATGTGTGCATGTGTCTTTATAGTAGAATGATTTATAATCCTTTGGGTATACATCCAGTAATGGGAGTGCTGGGTCAAATGGTATTTCTGGTTCTAGATCCTTGAGGAATCGCCACACTGTCTTCCACCACGAATGAACTAATTTACACTCCCACCAACAGTGTAAAATCATTCCCATTTCTCCATATCCTCACCAGGATCTCTTGTTTCCAGACTTTTTAATAATTGTCATTCTAACTGGTGTGAGATGGTATCTCATTGTGTTTTTCGTTTGCATTTCTCTAATGACCAGTGATGATGAACTTTCCTTCATATGTTTGTTGGTCACATAAATGTCTTCTTTTGGGAAGTGTCCATCCATATCCTTTGCCCACTTTTTGATGGGTTTTTTTTTTTGTAAATTTGCTTAAGTTCCTTGTAGACTCTGGATATTAGACCTTCCTATGCACTAATAATAGACAAGCAGAGAGACAAATCATGAGTGAACTCCCATTCACAATTGCTACAAAGAAAATAAAATACCTAGGAATACAACTTACAAGAGACGTGAATGACCTCTTCAGGGAGAACTACAAACCACTGCTCAAGAAAGTAAGAGAGGACAGAAACAAATGGAAAAAAATTCCTTGCTCCTGGATAGGATGAATCAATATTGTGAAAATGGCTATACTACCCAAAGTAATTTATAGATTCAATGCTCTTCCCATAAGCTACGAGTGACTTTCTTTGCAGAATTAGAAAAAAATAGTATAAATTTCATATAGAACCAAAAAAAGAGCCTGTATAGCCAAGATTATCCTAAGCAAAAAGAACAAAGCTGGAAGCATGATGCTACCTAACTTCAAACTATACTACAAGGCTACAGTAACCAAAACAGCATGGTACTGGTACCAAAACAGATATACAGACCAATGGAAAAGAACAGAGGCCTCAGAAATAATACCACACATCTGCAACCATCTGATCTTCAAAAAACCTGACAAAAACAAGCAGTGGAGAAAGGATTCCCTGTTTAATTAATGGTGCTGGGAAAACTGGCTAGCTATATGCAGAAAACAGAAACTGGACACCTTCCTTACACCTTACACAAAAATCAACTCAAGATGGATTAAATACTAAATGTGAAACTTAAAACTATGAAAACCTAGAAGAAAACCTAGGCAATACCATTCAGGACATAGATATGCGCAAAGACTTCATGACTAAAACACTTCTGCTCAGCAAAAGAAACTATCATCAGTGAACAGGCAACCTACAGAATGGGAGAAAATTTTTGCAATCTATCCACCTGACAAAGGCCAAGAGGAATTATATAAATATATTGTGACATACTGTATATATATATACATCTATGTATGTGTGTGTGTGTGTATATATATATATACACACACACATATATACGTATATATGTCTATGTATATATATGCGGTATGTCACATATATAGTGACATACATACTGTATATATACACATGTACACACATATGTATGTATATATGTATATGTGTGTGTATATATATGTGTGTGTGTGTGTGTATACTGATTCAAGTATGTCATCTTTTCTTTCACATTCAGATCATTAGAAATGCTTTTTCCACTGCCTGGACCACTCTCCTCTCTCTTCTACCTGGAATGGTTAATTCCTATTTTTCCTCGGGCTCTAACTTGATCTTTGAAAAATATCTTGCTGTCTAGAACATAATTAATTTCCTGAGAGACAGTGAACATGAACATTTTGAAAACGTTGCCCAAATGTACTATTCATTCCACACCTCATTGAAAATTTCTGTTCTAGAAAGACCATGGGAAATGCATGGTGCTTCCAAAGACAGCAGTGATGGACTTCTAGGTAAAGTGAATCATGGTACTTACCCTCCTACTGTTAGCACCAGTGACTCCAAATGGATCCCCCAAATTAAATCATATGTAACTAAACATAGCTCCTTGTTGTGGAAGGGTTTTGTAAGTTTAGGTGCATCGGCAGTTACATACATTGGTTTTATTTTGTGAAGGTTTTTGCTTTACTTGACATTTTACTGTCTACAGAGTTGCTGTCAAAAATATCCATGCTAAAACTACGATGTGCATTTGCATGATGGCTAACTGTTATTTATCTCATTTGAGAAACTAATTAAATACCCTGCTTCTCTGAATTCTGAGTAATTAATGAAGTGTTTAGGAATTAGCAGCTGGAGGTAGAACACTGATTTTTTCCTCTATCATTGTCCACAGTAAGTGCTTAAAATAAGCAACCATCATTCATTATTTGCTCCATTTTAGAGCTTTAATTTTAATAAATACTAAACACATAGGAAAATAAAGTGCCTCAGTTGTGTTTGTTTTAACTTTTGTTTTACTTTAATTTTTAAAATTCCTGGTTTAATAAAGATTTGCATTATCACATGAGAGGAATTCTATATTGGTGGATAACTGAATAGATACCATCATCATAATGTGCTGAACTGGCAGACTATGTACCATAGCAAACTGAGAGATTTGCCTTCTTCTGTCATAGATTGACATCAGAAGTGGACACTTTCTGTATCTAAGTTGTTAGTTCTCAAAATTCTCTGTATATGCTGGCTGAAAATAAAGGCAAAATCAAGTCACATCGCAAAAGCATTATCTTAGATGTATATGGATCTTTCTAATTTATAAGAACTCTAAATTCTCAGTGTGCCCACTAGAATTCAGTATGACTGGTGTTTAAAAACTGTGCATATCCATCTCCATTTTCTGTGTCTGCAAAATTCCTGCATTTCAAGTCTCATTTCCTATCAAGATCCCATACCTAACTCACTCACTTTCTTAAGTGAATCACTGCTCCCAATCCTTTCTTAAAAGGTTGTGTTCATGACATAACTGTTGTGAGACTTCTTTTAGAAATTAATTTTAATTTTGCTTGTTGTGGTCTATCCAAAGAGATTTTGCTCATGAATATCCTCATTTGAAAAATCTTACAAAAGTGCTCAATTGTAAGGGAAACCATGAATAAGGCAATTTTCTACTGTCCTCTGCAAACCACTTTGGGCCTAGGAGTGTTACACTTTTTTAAAAATCATATCACTGTCCAAAATATGTTGTAGATCTTGTGAATTCTAAGTGTTCAAAGATATTTCCATAGCAGAGAACACTAAGCAGGGAACACTTCCAAATGGCAGCTGCCTAATTTCTATTTTTATATATAAGTGAAACAATACAGCACTCCCCCTCACCAATAAAAAAAAGGTTGAGTTGAAGAGAGCAATGACCCAAAGATACCAGAAGTCCAACAAAACTGATAAAGTGCTCTAATTGACACAAGGTGCCTAAACGTTTATGTTAATATTAACCTCTTAGCATAAAACCTCAGCTCTGCAAATGTCACTGCTTTCTAAGGTTCAGGAAAGTTCAACACACAAAAAAAGTAGATTGTGTTTTAGAAATAAAAGGCATCATAAATTACCTATGATTGAAGAACCTTTTTCTCTGTCTTGAAAATTGCTGAAGCTCCTCCCTTCAAGGAACTGCAGTTGGCTTCCTGTCCTTCACTTGATCTGATGTTAATTATATACCTGTCAGCCTACCTACTCTATTTAGAAAGCAAGTTGCACATTTTTCCAACAACCCACCACTTAGTTCTCTTCCAATTTTTAAATAGTGCTGACTGGTACTTTTTAATTAAGATTTGACAGTTGAAATTTGCATTCCAAAAGCTCATTGAATTTTATGGAATTAGCTTGCCTATTTTATCCTACACACACACCCCACAGTAATTTCTAGGCCATTTTTTTCAACATATAAACAAGCTTTCCTTTTTCTGGGTTTCAATAGCATAAATTCTGTAGACTGTAGAAAATTTCACTTTTAAACTATTGTAAATTAGCATTTGCCATTTGATGTTCTGTTAATGTAGTGTAATTTGGCATGGCAGGGAATTTGTGTAACTGTTAAAACATTCTTCCCTATTCATTATTAATTTATATTAACTACAAGCAAAGGAATTCACTGGAGCTTACTGGACTTTAATCTCATAACTCTGTGGCTGATGCTGAGATTTTGGTACGTTTAAGTGATAGAAACTACATAAGTAGAGTGTTAAATTTTTGGTTCACAGAAGAAAAACCTAGTTCAGCACAAAATTATATTAGTGTCCACTTGTTATTACTAGCCACAGTCATATTTTTAAATAACATGTATCCCAGACAGAAGCTTATTTATGAACATAAATGAGCTTATTTTCTAAATAGTTTAGCAGCATATAAAATGAACATCAACTAGCAAATATATTACTTACCTGTTATGTGGATAGTAAAAATGACTTTCCAAACCTACAGGATTAAAAATATGTTAAGTTATATAGAAAAATATTATGTTATATATACAAAATACTGCAATGCTACATATGACAGAATTAAATATATTTTGGGGGGAATGCATTTGTGTTATTTACGTAAAAGGAGAGTTATCTCTAAATTGTATATAAACATATAGTTCTACTTATGACTTAAAGAAAGTGAATTAAAATCACTAAGCTGTTAGTCAAACAGATTTTGCAAATCATGATGGAGTGGATTTATCTCAAATCACAGAAATTTTTTTTTTGCCCCAATCTACCAGATTCCAGTAATGGTAGGAAGACTGGATTTGTATAGAAAAAGAAATTTTGTTTTCTAAATCAACTTTATTTATATCAGGTGAAATTATTCAATACAGGTCAAAATATTGTTCCTAATATGCAAACTTGACATCAAGACAAATATCTTAGGTGTGCCATTCCAACATAATTATCAAACATAAACACATTCTACATGAAATTCTGAAGATGTTATTGAACAATAAAATTTTCCTAGAGCATTTTGAGCAGATTTAGAGTCTACATAACATAATATTCAAAATGTCCAGAATACATTACAAAAATTTTTACATACAAAGAACCAGAAACACCTCAAGCTAAAATGCAATCAACAGATGGTAGCCTTGAGAAAATGTTAATGGTGAATTATCAATGTATTAGTCTATTAGGGATGCCATAGGAAAATACTAAAGACTGGGTGTTATAAATAACATGATATATTTTTTTAAAGTTCTGGAGGCTAGAAATCTAAGACCAAAGAATCAAAGTTGTTGAATAGTGAGGCTTCTCTTGCTATCTTATAGGTGGCTGCCTTTTTGCTATGTCCTCATGACACAGGATTTTTTGGTGCTGTTTTGCCAGCTGGAGACCTAGGTGGCCAGCAATGCCCTTGCCTGGGCCTTGCTCAGCTCTGGGCCCCCAGCTGGAAGCACTCTGCCCACTTAGCCTGAATCACTCCACTTGGCTTGCACTCTGGCCCATATCTCATGCTTGCTGCAGGATCCATGCTCAGCCTGCAGCTGGGCTGGTCATGTCATGTCCTGCTTCTGCCTTCGGCACCAGTGGCTGGACAAGGTGAATGCGATGGTGCCTGAAAAACTCAGAGATACCAGTGATCCCAAAGCCCAAAATGGGTGCTACAGGATGATATAGCTTTAGTTTGGGGAGCCCTGAGGTCTACGACCCCAGAAGGTTCAAAGCTCCCTTCTTTTTCCTGCCACTAGCAGAATGGTGAATGGGGGATGGGGGCCATGTTTCAGCCCATTTGTTTTACAGTGCATTCATTCCCTCTGCCCTGCTCTGGCCAATGGCTCCAGTGCTGGCTCAGCCTCACTGCTACTTCCTGTCCCATGGGGCAGCTGCCTGGCACCAGCGGAGGGTGGAGAGCTACAGTGTTACAGCCTTTTTTGTACCTGAGTTCTGTGGGTCCTGAGTACTTGTCCCACGTCCAAGGAGAATGAGGTTACTGACAACCGAAGGGTGAGCAGGGTGGAGAGTTCTATTGAGTGACAGCTCTTAGTGGAGAGGAGACCCATAGGGGATAACCCACTACCCAAAGTTAAGTAGCTCTCAAAATGTAGCTGAAATAGGGGCTTTTATGTGCTCAGAATGAGGGAGTGCATGCTAATTGGTTTTTGAGTATGCAAAAAAGGCTAAAAAACATACCACTCAAAGATGGGCACAACAGTGTAAAAAAACAATTAGGGAAGGATAAGTATGTATAAAATAGGTGAAGGGTGGGGATCAATCAGAGGAAAGTGTGCCAAACAGGAAGAGAGGTTCTCAATCTGATCAATGGATTTATGTGAGATTTGTAGCTTGATTTTCAGGCCTTAAACTGTCTTTGATATGAAGGTATGGTTTCACTGGGGACTCATCCCTGTCTGCATAGGGTTTGTCTGCCTCCTGCCTCTATCACAAACATGGCCTTTCTTCTGTGTGCACACAGAGAGATAGATATCTCTGATGGCTCCTCCTTTTCTCATAAAGACACTAGTCATTTTAGACTAGGGACCCACAATTATAACCATTTATTTTCCTCCTTAATTGCTTCCCTAAAGGCCTTATCTCCAAATACAGTCAAAAAGGGGGTTAGGATTTCAACATATGAAGTTTATGGGGAGACAGTTCAGTCTATAATAATCAAGCAAAAGCCTTAAAACAGCTATAAAGACTATGCATCATGAAGTAAAGGTAAACATGCTGGAAATAATTGGGAAAACATGTTAAAAAGTATAATTTATAAAATTTAAAAACTCACAGGCAAAGTTTAAATGATAAAATAGAAATGACAAAAAAATCTGTCAAATTGAAAGTAGATCGAGATTTTCCCAAACTAAAGAATATGAAAAAAATTTAAAATGAATAAATAAAGCTAAAGAATTGTGACATTTTTGTCATTAATGTCTCAGAGTGAGAGAAAAATTTGGTATAATATAAAATTTTGAAAAAAAAATGGTTGAAAGCTTCTCAAACTTACTGAGATTTAAAATTTTAAGAAGCTCAAAACATACAAAACAAAATAAAATCAAAATAAAATCAAAATAAAATCAAAGTAAAGCACTACAGAAAACTGACACGCTACATATTGGGAAAACAATTTTAGTACTATGTATTTTTCACACAAAATCCAAAAGTTTCAGAACAATAGTATCTTCAAAGGGCTTATATATAAAAAAAGAAAGTGTCAACCCAGAATTCTATATCTAGAGAAAATATTCTTTCAGAATGAAGGAAAAATGAAGACATCTTTAGACAAAAGAAAATTAAGAAAATATGTAGTCAGCAGTCTTGTTCTAGAAAAAATGCTGAAAAAGCTTTTTCATGATGAAGAAAAATGATACAAGAGAAAACATGGAATACCAAGAAAAAAAGAAGAGCAAGAAACATGCTAAATATCTGAAAAAATATCAAGGTCTCTCTTTCTCTTCTTATTTAAAATGTACATGAATTCAGAATGTATACATGGTAACATTTTCTGGTAACATTTTCAAGGTATGTAAATGCAATACATATGATAATTTTTAGCATAGGAGGCAGAAAATGTATAAAGAGGCCTGTAGGATTCTAAGTTAAACTATATTTTACTGATAACATTGATAAAGTATTATCTCTAAATAGAATGTAGAAATATGAATATACATATTGTAATCCTTACATCAATGATAAAAGAAATAAAAAAGTCCAAAACCTAATGTTAGTACTACAAATATTCAAATAATCTAACAAGTCATTAAAGCAGAACAACTAAAATCAGAGGAGGGGAATAAAAAAATAAAAATTTTAATTATATCAATAATTAAATTAAATATTTTAAGTAAAACAATTAAAATAGAGATGGTAGGTTGGATTAAATTAATATATATCTATCTATAAACCTATTTTAATATAGGGGTAAATTAAAAGAATGAAAAAATATAACATGAAAACAATAATCCAAAGACAGTTGAAGTGGCTAAATTATTATCAGATAAAGTAGACTTCATAAGAAAGATGATTACCAGAAAGAGAGTTATGTTGTATAATAATAACAGATTAAATTCAACAAGAAGACCTACCAGTCATAAGTGTGTATATATCTAGCATCAGAACTTCAGAATTTGTGATACAAGAAAACAGTAGAACTCAAAGGAGAAACAGACAAATACACATAGTTGAAGGCTTCATCACTCCTTTTAGTAACAGACAGTTCATGTAGAAAGAACATCAACAAAGATAAAAACACATGAACAGAACTTCCAGCCACCTTGACTTAATTAATATTTGTAGAACAATCCATCCACAGAATATACTTTTTTCTCAAATGCATCTGGAATATTGACCAACATAGACAACATTCTGGGTCATAAAACAAACCTTAGCAAATTTAAATACATTTAAATTATGGAAAATATCTTCTCTGACTATGATATAATTTAATTAGAAATCAATAAAATAAAGATATCTAAGGATTTTCCAATATTTGAACATTAAAACACACGCTTCTAAAAATCTCATGTGTCAGAGGGTTTTTCAAATGATATTAGAAAATATTTTGAACTGAATGATAATAGAACATATCAACATTTATGAGGTGAAGCTCAAACAGTACTTAAAGGAATATTTACAGCATTAACTGCTTATGTTAGTAAAAAAAGAAAAGTCTCAAATCAACAATCTAGGCTTAAAAGCTAGCAGACAAGTAACTCGAATAAAGCAGAGAGAGAGAAATAAGGAACAGAAATCAATTAAATTTGAAACTAAAAAAATTATAGAGAAAATCAATGAAACAAAACAGTTTATTTTAAGATTTATAAAATTCATAAACCTCTAACCAGCAAAGAAAAAAAGAGAGGACACCAATTACAAATTTTAGGAACAAAATAGAGGATATCAGTACAGACCTTACAGACATGACAAAGATGATAGAGGAATTTTATGCCCATAAATTCTATGTCCATAAATTTAATATAGATGACATGGACCAATTTCTTGAAAGATACAAGCTATGAAAATTCACTCAAAAATTAATAGTCTGGATAATCTTGTACTTATTAAATAAATTACATCCATACTTAAAATATTTTATCAAAGAAAACTCCAGGCCCAGATTATTTTATTTGTAAATTCTACCAAATTTTTAAGTAAGAAATAACACCAATTATGCCTACACTATTCCGGAAAATAGAAAAGGATCATATAATTTCCAACCTATTTTATAAATCCAGTATTTTCTTTCCACTAATGTCAAATACATTACAAGAAAAGGACAGCAATGACAGATCCACATCCTTCATGAGTATAAACATATATCTTCTCAAGTTAATATTAGTAAATCAATCTAGCAATATAAAAAGGTTAATGTTTGGATCAAATGAAGTTTTCTCAGGAAGAAAAGGCTGTTTAAAAATTCAAAACCTATCAATGTAATTTACTATATGAACCAATTAAATATATATATGATCATCTCATTATGCATAAATATGATTTAACAAAATTCAACATTCATTCATGATTTAAAAACCACTCAGTAAACTAAGAATGAAGAGAATTTCTTTAATCTTATAAAACATATCTCATAAAATACAACAGGTTATAGCTAGCATGACATTTAATAGTTAAATGCTGAATGTTATTCCCTTAAGACTGAGAAAAGGCAAGAATATAATTTTTCACAGCTCCTACTCAACATGACAAGAAAAAGAATTAAAATTCATAGAGGCTAGACAGAAATAAATAAAACTCTCTTTATTTGTAGAAGACATGTCTATCTACACAGAAAATCCCATGGAATCTACTGAAAATACTCATAGAATTAGTATACCTAAGTTGCAAGATACATGATCAATATAGAAAAACTATTTTCCTATATACTATAATAAACAATTGGAAACTGAAATATGGAAAGCCTACTATTTAAAGCAGCATCAAAAGCATTAACTACTAAGACATAAATCCAACAAAATAGGTGCAGGATATGAATACTGAAAATTACAAAGCAAGGATAAAAAAGAATCAAGATCTGAGTAAACTGAAAGAATTATTGTGTCCACAATTTGGAAGACCCAATATTTTAAAGATGTTAATCTCTTGGGGGTCCAGGTGTGGAGGCTCAAACCTGTAATCTCAGCACTTTGGGAGGCCAAGGAGGGAGAATCACTTGAGGTCAGGAGTTTGAGACCAGCCTGGCCAACATGGTGAAACCCTGTCTCTACTAAAAGTGCAAAAATTATCCAGGGCTGGTGGTGCCTGCCTGTAATCCCAGCTACTCGGGAGGCTGAGACACAAGAATCACTTGAACCTGGGAAGCAGAAGTTGCAGTGAACCAAGATTGCACCACTGCATTCCAGCCTAGGGGAGAGAGTGACATTCTGTCACAAAAAAATAAAAAGAAAAAAAGAAAAATCTCTTGGCTTCTTCAGAGAAACAAGACTAATAAAATACACACAGAGACACACATAAACACACATACATATATACACACATGTGTGTATACACCCACACATATATATACCTATACATATATACACACACATATATATACATACACACACATACATATATATATATATATATGAGAGAGAGCGAGGCAGAGAGGCAGAGAGAGAGTGATGTTAAGGAATTAGTTCATGCAATTATGGAAGCTGGCAAGTCCAAAACCTCCATGGTGGGCCAGCAGGGAAGAGAGATTGTTGTGGTTCAAGCCCTTAGGTTATCTGCTGGCAGACTTCCTTCTTCCTTTGTAGAGATTATACTTTTATGCTATTCAGGCCTTCAACTGATTGAATGAGGCCTACACACATTATGTAAAACAATCTGCTTCATTGAAAGTCCACTAATTTAAATGTTAATCTTACCTAAAAACAGCTTCAAAGAAACTTTCAGAATAATGATATACCAAACATCTGGGTCCCATAACCCATCCAATTGACATATAAAATAAACTATCATGTCTCCCAAACTACTCTACAGATTTAATACAATCTTAATCATTTTCCCAGTAGCTTTTTAAATCACAAGATTGTTGTAAAATTTACATGGGATCAAAGAACCTACATTACTCAAAATAAGTTTGAAAACAAAGTTATTTTGGAGGATATGTTACATCATCTAAAGATTTAATGTAAATCTACATATTAATTTGGACAATGTAGTATTTGCAAAAGGATAAATACATATTTCAATGAGTCATAATAGAGTTCACCAATAGAACCACATAAATGCAAGTCATTGAGTTTTAATAAAGGAGCAAAAGCAATTCAATGGAGAAAGAAGAATCTTTCTTTTTTTTTTTTTTTGAGACGGAGTCTCGCTGTCGCCCAGGCTGGAGTGCAGTGGTGCGATCTCGGCTCACTGCAGGCTCCGCCCCCTGGGGTTCACGCCATTCCCCTGCCTCAGCCCCCGGAGTAGCTTGGACTACAGGCGCCCGCTACCTCACCCAGCTAATTTTATGTATTTTTAGTAGAAACGGGGTTTCACTGTGTTAACCAGGATGGTCTCGATCTCCTGACCTCGTGATCCACCCGCCTCGGCCTCCCAAAGTGCTGGGATTACAGGCGTGAGCCACCGCACCGGGCCGAAAGAAGAGTCTTTTCATCAAATTGTACTGGAGCAATTTGACGGCAACATGCAAAAGAAGGAGAAGAAGAAAAAAAACTAGAAAAATCCATACTTCCTACCTTACACAAAAATTTAACCCCAAATTGATTATAGATCTATGTGTAAAACCTAAAAATTTCTAATGTCTCAAATAAAATATAAGATAAAATATCTGTGACTTCATGTAGAACAAATATTTCTTAGATATAACACCAAAATCATAATCCATAAGAGAAAAAAAGTATATAAATTGGACTTCATCAAAATTAAAAAGTACTTCATAAAATCATAGTTAAGAGAATGAAAACGGAAAGGGAAGGCCACAAAATATGAGAAAATATTTGTAAAACATACATCGGACAAAGGACTTTTTACCAGAATATACAAAAAGTACTTAAAACTCAATAATAAAAAGAAAACAAATTTAAAGATAAAGATTTGAACATAAACATCAAAGAAAATATATGGATGGCAAATAAACACATAAAAAGACATTCAATATAGTCATTAAAGAAAAGCAAATTACAGACATGCGTCACTTAATGACAGTGTTATGTTCTAAGAAATGCCCTGTTGAATGATTTTGTCATTTTGTAAACATCATAGACTATGATTACACAAACCTAGATGGTGTAGCCTACTACAAACCTATGCAACGTGGTATACTCTATTGCTTCTAGGCTACAAACCTGTACAGCATATCATTATACTGAATATTATAAGCAATGGTAATACAATAGTGTTTGTGTATCTAAAAATAAAAAGGTGCAGTAAATATGTGGTATTACAATCTTATAATGCCATTTACCACCGGTAAGTGATTTCACTTACATATGGCATCACCATTATGTAAGTGGTTCATCATTGACTGAAATGTTGTTATGCTGTGCGTGATTGTACATCCATAAGGATATGCCAATAAAACCTATTAGAATGAATAATATTAAAGAAAAAAATAACTCGACAAAACTAAGTGCTAGGAAGGAATCTCCCCTACTGGTGCAAATGCAAAATGCTACAGGCACATAAGAAAATAGTTTGTCCTGTTGGACTAATCCTTATATCATTATATAATGTTCCTCTCTGTCTTTTTTTTGAGACGGAGTCTCCCTCTCGCCCAGTGGCTGGAGTGCAGTGCCTCAATCTCGGCTCACTGCAAGCTCCACCTCCCGGATTCACGCCATTCTCCTGCCTCAGCCTCTTGAGTAGCTGGGACTACAGGCACCCACCACCACTCCCGGCTAATTTTTTGTATTTTTTTTTAGTAGAGACGGGGTTTCACCGTGTTAGCCAAGATGGTCTGGATCTCCTGACCTCGTGATCTGCCCACCTCGGCCTCCCAAAGTGCTGGGATTACAGGCGTGAGCAACTGCACCTGGCCCCTCTCTGTCTTTTTTAACTGTTGTTGCTTTAGAGTCTGTTTTGTCTGATATAAGAGTAGCAACTCCTGCTCTCTTTTGGTTTCTCCAAAAGGAGCCCTCAAAACTATACAAACACATGGAAATTAAATAATCTGCTCCAGAATTATCCTTGGGGCAGAAATGAACTCAAGATAGAAATTAAAAAAATATTTGAACTGAAAGATAATGGTGACACAACCGATCAAAATCTCTTGGATACAGCCAAATAGGTGTGTATTAGTCTGTCTCACGCTGCTAATAAAGACATACCCAAGACTGGATAATTTATAAAAGAACGAGGTTTAATAAACTCACAGTTCCACATGGCTTGGGAGGCCTCACAATCATGGTGGAAGACAAAGGAAGAGCAAAGGGACATCTTGCATGATGTCAAGCAAGAGAGCTGTGCAGGGGAGCTCCCATTTATTAAACCATCAGATCTCAAGAGACTTATTCACCATCACAAGAAGAGCAAGGAAAAGACCCGCCCCCATGATTCAATTGCCTTTCACCTGGCCCCTCCCACGACATATGGGGATTATGAGAACTACAATTCAGTATGAGATTTGGGTGGGGACACAAAGCCTAACCACATTAAGGTGCTAAGAGGAAAGTTCATAGCATTAAACACCTACAACCAAAAGTCTGAAAGAGTACAAATAGACAATCTAAGGTCACACCTCACAGAACTAGAGAAACAAAACAAACCAAAACCCAGCAGAAGAAAAGAAATAACAAAGATCAGAGCAGAACTAAATGAAATTGGAACAAACAAATATATAAAAAATAAATAAAACAAAAAGCTGGTTCTTTGAAATGATAAGCAAAATCGATAGACCTTCAGCAAGATTAACCAAGAAAAGAAGAGAAAGATACAAATAAGCTCAATTTAAAATAAAACGGGAGATATTGCAACCGATACCACAGGAATACAAAAGATAATTCAAGGCTACTGTGAACACCTTTATGTGCATTAACTAGAAAACCTACAGGAGATGGAAAAATTCCTGGAAATATACAACCCTCATAGGTTAAATCAGGAAGAAATAGAAACTCTGAACAGACCAATAACAAGTGGCAAAATTAAAACAGTAATAAAAAAATGCCAAAATAAAAAAGTCCAGAACCAGATGGATTCAGAATTGAATTCTATCAGACATTCAAAGAAGAATTGGTCTCATCCTACTGAAACTATTCCAAAAGATAGAGAAAGAGGGAATCTTCCCTAAATAATTTTATGAAACCAGTATTACCCTAATACCAAAACCAGGAAAGAACATAAAAAAGAAAACTACAGAACAATATCCCTGGTAAACATAGATGCAAAAATCAACAAACTACTAGCTAATCAAATCCAACAGCATATCAAAAAGATAATCCACCATAACCAAGTGGGTTTCATACCAGGAATGCAGGGATGGTTTAACATACACAAGTCAATAAATATTATACACCACATAAACAGAGGTAAAAACAAAAACTATATGATCATTTCAATAGATGCAGTAGAAGCATTTGACAAAATCCAGCATCTCTTTATAATTAAAACCCTCAGCAAAATAGGCAGAGATGGGACATACCTTAAGATAATAAGAGCCATCTATGACAAACCCACAGAAAACATTACACTGAATGGGGAAAAGTTGAAAGTATTTCCCCTGAGAACTGGAACGAGACTAGCATGCCCACTTTTAACATTTCTATTCAGTATAGTACTGGAAGTCCTAGCCAAAGCAATCAGACAAAAGAAAGAAATAAAGGGCTTCCAAATTGATAAAGTGGAAGTCAAACTGTTGCTGTTTGTGAATGATATGATTGTATACCTTCAAAATACTAAAGACTCATCTAAAAAGCTCCTAGATCTGATAAATGAATTCATTGAAGTTTCAGGATACAGAATCAATGTAAACAACTCAGTAGCACTGTTATACACCAACAGCCACCAAGCTGAGAAACAAATCAAGAATACAACCTCTTTTAAAACAGTTGCAAAAAAAATATTTAGAAATATACCTAACCAAAGAGGTGAAAGATCTGTACAAGGAAAACTACAAAACACTGCTGACAGAAATCATAGACAACACAAACAAATGGAAAACATTCTGTGCTCATGGATAGATGGAATCAATATTGTGAAAATGATCATACTGCCAAAAGCAATCTGTAAATTCATGCAATTCCCATCAAAATACCATCACCATCCTTCACAGCATGAGAAACAAAAATCCTAAAATTCATATGGAACCAAAAAAGAGCCTGATTAACCAAACCAAGACTAAGCAAAAAGGACAAATCTGGGGGCATGACATTACCCAACTTCAAACTATACTATAAGGCTATAGTTAACAAAAGAGCATGGTACTGGTATAAAAACAGGCATGTAGACCAATGGAACAGAATAGAGAACCTAGAAATAAAGCCAAACACTTATAGCCAACTGATCTTTGACAAAGCAAACAAAAACATACAGTGGGGAAAGGACACCCTATTCAACAGATGGTGCTAGGATAATTGGCAAGCCACATGTAGAAGAATGAAACTGGATCCTCATCTCTCACCTTACAGAAAAATCAACTCAACATGGATGAAAGATTTAAATCTAAGACCTGAAACTATACAAATTCTAGAAGATAGCATCTAGACATAGTCCTAGGAAAACAATTCATGGCCAATAACCCAAAATCAAATGCAACATAAGCAAAGATAAATAAGTGGGACTTAAACGTAAAAGTTTCTGCATGGCAAAAGAAATAATTATCAGAATAAACAGAAAACTTGCAGAGTGGGAGAAAATATTCACAAACTGTGCATCCAACAAAGGACTAATATCCAGAATCTACAAGGAATCCAAACAAATCAGCAAGCAAAACCCGAACATTTCCATCAAAAAGTGGGCTAAGGACATGAATGGACAATTCTTTAAAGAAGATATACAAATGACAAACAAACATAAAAAAATGCTCAAAATTACTAATCATCAGAGAAATGCAAATTAAAACCACAATGTGATACCGCCTTACTCCTGCAGGAATGGCCATAATCAAAAAATCAAAAACTAATAAATGTTGGCATGGATGTGGTGAAAGGGAACACTTTTACACTGCTGTTGGGAATGTAAACTAGTACAACCACAATGGAAAACACCATGGAGATTCCTTAAAGAACTAAAAGTAGAACTGCCATTTGATCCAGCAATCCCACTGCTGGTTATCCACCCAGAGGAAAAGAAGTCATTTTATGAAAAATATGCTTGCACAGACACATTTATGGCAGCACAATTTGCAATTGCAAAATCATGGAACCAGCCTAATTGTCCATCATCCAAGGAGCCGAGTGGATAAAGACAATGTATATATCACAAAAATATATATATCACAATATATAATACATATCACAAAATATGTATATCTATATACCATAAAATACTACTCAGCCTAAAAAGGAATGAAATAATGGCATTTGCAGCAGCCTGGATAGAGTTGAAGACCATTATTCTAAGAGAAGTAACTCAAGTATGGAAAGCCAAATATTGTATGTTCTCACTTATAAGTGGGAGCTAAGCTATGATAACACAAATGCATTATGATAATATAATGGACTCTGGGGTCTTGGGGGAAAGGGTCGGAGTGGTGTGATGGATAAAAGGCTGCACATTGGGTGCAGTGTACACTGCTTGGGTGATGGGTGCACTAAAATCTGAGAAATCACCACTAAAGAACTTATCCATGTCACCAAACACCACCAGTCCTCCAAAAACTATCAAAATAATAATTTTAAAAACCAGTTTGTCATTCTTTTAAAACTCTAAAACTTTACCTATGATACAGTAATCCCATTCTAGATCTTTGCCTAAGAAAAATGACCTGTACATGAATGTTTGTCATAGCTTTACTCATAATCACCCCAAAGTGAAAATGACCCAAGTATACTTCAGCTATGAATGAATAAATCAAATGTAGCACAGTCATACATATTCATCAATAGAAAAGAAGCTACTGATAAATGCAAAATATGGATGTTCTATAAGTAAAATAAGCTAGAATAAAAAGGCTACATGTTGCATGATTCCCTTTGTATACTACCTGTAAAAGTAAATTTATGGCAAAAGGAAATAGATCTGTCGTTGCCAGAGGCTGAGGTTTGGGAAAGGGATTAACTCAAGGGCACACCACAAGGATTTGTGGTAGCAGTTACAACCATTGGATAAATTTGTTAAAACCATAGAACTGTACCCCCCAAAATATACATTTTACTCTTTTAAAATAAGAAATTAAATATATTATAATAGGAAATAAATCAATGATAGAATCTGTCCTCCAGATAGTTATTCCAATTTAATTGGTCTAGAGGTGTGCTTGGGCATTAGTATTTTGTTTTTATATTAACTCTGATTTCTTGATTTTCACAAGAATTCAATGGGGAGTTGCTACCATTTCATTCTCCTTCATGAAATCTAGATTGGAACCACAAAGTCCATGAGTCCATGTCTGGAAGCCAAGAGCACAAATATCAAAAGTTTAAGGATGTGATTTCTATGGGACCACTGAGACTTTCTGGGCTGGAACCCAGAAGACCTATGTTTGTAATTCTGGCTCTGTCACCTACTTGCTATTTGTTCTTGGGCAAGAGAAATGGAATCTTGGTAGTATACTTAGCTTTAGTTATAACATGATGGGTTTGAACAAATGAGCTCTACACTCTCTTTCACCTCTGTCATGCTAAGATACAAGAGCTAAAAATTCTAGACTGGTCTTTCATTTGCTTTCAGTATAGTAACTAATTCTTCTGAGCCTCAAATTCTCTGTGTATTAAATTGGAAAAGACAATGTAATCAAAAAATTAGTGAGTAGAGGAAAAACCATACACTGCCTCTATCTGTGATCTTACCAGCCAATAAAACAGAAACTTCGATTTTCTTAGGCATAATCAGCATAAACTACTAACCACCCCCTCTCCCATTTTTACACCTTCTACCCACAGGAGTAGAAATTATTTATCTGTTTGCTAAAATGGCAAGAGATTGACAGTCATTCATATTTCTCTACCGAGGAAAAAAGGCATATGCCCAAGGTCACTCACAAAGGGAAGCTTTCTCTGAAGGGCTGTCTGCCCTCATCTACATATGCCTCAGGTCAGTCCTCCTCTCAGCTCAGTGCTCACCTAATTCTCCCTACAGGCAGATCCCAGATTTGAAGTTGAAAGTAAAAGTTGGGGAGTATGAGGAAGCCCATTTTGGTCACAAAGAGCTATGGGCTAGTTAATGTTTAATAACTGCCTTTCTGCCTTTCTGGCCGGGACAGAGGATGGGAAGGGGCAATACATTGTAATTTTATCCTTTTTTAATATTCAAAGGGTAAGTATTCTTACCGTGGTAGATTTCAAACTACCACAGTGATGTCAACGCATGCAAAGTTGGAAAGAGATGTGCATAATTGGATTTTGCTCTTGCAAATCAGCAGCTCCAGCATACCCCTGGTGACAGACACATATCTAAGACATGTAGCCTAGTCAAATTTCACAAGCAATAAAGCTGATAGTTGGAAACAAATTACATTAATATCATTTCTTACTAATCAGATTTTCAAATACAAAAAACCTTGAAAATATAGCCTCTTGGTAAGGTTTGTCTCATAATTGTTGCTGGGAGTGCAAACTATTATTCACTCCTATTGAAGTGACAGTGTCTATAGAGAATATACACGTTTGCTCTAAAGTAATCAAATTCCTTAACTAATCAGTAGATACCAAAACACAGAATGGGAAATTGCTGGCCAGCAGAAATTCACACTACTCAAAGTATGACAGATCATTTTTTAGCTATAAATGGAAAAAGTTACTTTTAAAATAGGAAAAGCATGTAGCAGATACCACCTTAATTAAAAGATCAAATTGATGTTTCCATTTATGGGAGAAACTGATATTATGTATGCATTGGACTGAGAAGGACACCTCTGTCTTTATAGTATTGCTGCTAAAGAAAGATAAGAATAATTAGAATAGTGTTCCTGTTGCATCTGGGTTTTCTTTAAGCCATTAAGGATCTTATTTGGCCAACTGGTTTTTTTTTAATTGCCTTTCTGAATGTAATATTTTTATTGTGATCATGTAGGAGAATAATCCTTGTCCTTAGGAGATACATACTGAAATATTTAGGGGGAAGTGTTATGATGTCTTCAACATTCTCTAAAGTGGTTCCAAAATAATAGTCTAAACCTATATGAATGAATGGTAAAGTGAATGAGAGATATAAAACAAGTAATTTGTTAATGATTAGCAAAACTAAGCAAATAATATACATACTGCTGTTCATTGAACTATTATATTCAATCCTGACACTGTATAATAAATGTTTTCAAAATAAAAATGAAAAATAAAAAATTGGATATGAAGTTAAATATATATATATTTACAAGTATGTTTTTTATGGTGTTGATGCAACACAGTGTTGCAAACCAATTCAATTTTAATTTTAGGAATGTGGTTAATTAAATTTGTGATATCTATATGATAGGTACAGAAGTTAAACTGATGATATACATTGTTCATTTACAGAGGTTGCCTTTGGGTGTTGGGATTCAACCAATTTGATTCTTTTTCTTTTCCCTTATCTCTTTTCTCTGGCTTTCTTTTTGTTTAAGTTTTGTTTCATTGCAAAATTTAAACATTAAAATATATCAAATACAGCAAAGCTTAAGCAATTTTTTTTTTTTTTTTTTTTTTTTTTTTGTAGAGATGGGGTTTCACTGTGTTAGCCAGGATGGTCTCCATCTCCTGACCTCGTGATCTGCCCTCCTCGGCCTCTCAAAGTGCTGGGATTACAGGCGTGAGCCACCATGCCCAGCCAAGTAATATTCTTTTAAAAGACAAAAATGTAGGTTCTCAATTGATATCTACTAGATATGTGAGAATACACTAGATATGTGAAAATCTGAAAAAGAGATTTTTCAAATCTCTTTAAAAAATGTTCTATCACTTCTGGAATGTAAATGCTTCTCAGTGATTTTTTCCACAAGTCTATTTCTTGGGGAATTTTTTTTTCTTCATAGCTGTAATATTTTGATATGTGATATGTAAAGAGTTTCTTAATTATTATGCATTTTGTAATTATTGCATGCACCTATAACCAGGTTTTTTAGAATTGTGTTTTGGAGGCATGGTGGTATTTTACTAATGAAAATAGTATGTAGGTATTTTAAAAATAATTTTTGTAAATAAAGGAGCAAGTGAATTTTTAAGTATCAGAATATTACTCCCCTTTTCTTTTTACATATATATATATGTACAACTTACACTCTTTTGCCATATTTTTGTACATTGATTCTCAAATGCCATCAAGAGTCACATATAAAAGCAACAGTGAAAACAGTACCACAATGGATGGAATGTGTTGATGATTATTAACTGCATAAAAATTACATTGACTGCTATCCCTCAGCAATTCGCTCACACTCACTGCATGAATACTTTGCCATTATTTTTTTCTTAATATGATTTTTTGCTTATTACAATTATTTTTACTGAAAACTACTATATATTTACTTTACTGAATATTACTTTCCACAAAATATTCAATTGTCATTGACCATCCTATAGAAGTTCAAGTTTCTTCTTAAAAGTTTTCTCTCTCATTTAATTTTAAAAATATAATGATTCTGTGACACTAGATACTTCAAAAACCCCAGTCAGAAACAATCTTTGGTAGATCTAAGTCTATATTTTGGGGGTAAAAATATGCCCTGACCTCTTTGCGCCTCTTGTGATGAATTGAGGACATGGTGTGTCATACTGTTATCTTGGGCACACCTCTGTTTTCAAACTTTCTAAATCCCTGAATTATTTTTAAAGCATCAGAAAGGTTAAAATTCAAAATCTTTGAAATGGTCCTCTGAGAGATAAGTCCCGTATACCCTTAGTGCCCTGTACAGTAATCTCCTTTATGCTATTTGGGCTCACTAGAAATAGAATCATCGTCATTATAAAGCCTCCCAAGATCAGGAGGCACAGTGTGGAAGCAAGGCCATTAATGCAGAGCTCATGTGTCTGCCACTGATGGCTCTTATAACTTCTTTTCTTTCAGTGCCCCAAGCAGCAGGTGTTGCAACAGCTGTTTTGCTTCCTCTGCTGGAAGCACCGAGCTCCAGGATGATTCCCAGTGGCATCATTTTAGAGCTCAGAGTACATGTCTGTCTATGTTCCACGGTCTGAGCAACAGGATCATTAAAATCCATTAGAAGCCAGTGACATGGGGTTCCCAGCAGACCATAGTTTCTCATTTGCTTGTGAAGGCTGAAACATGAGAACCAACATGCAACCAGGGCTTGCAAAGCCCTGGCAGATCTAAATTTTACTTTTCAAGGTATTGCTGATGGTAAAAATCTTCCAAGAGCTCTCAGGGCATAGTGCAAGAAACTCTGGGCTTGGATTCCAAACAGCAAGGGTTAAATTGACTCAGATCCAAGCCACTCCAAGGAAAATATTCAGTGTTATTATCTCTGATATATTTGTTGCAAAAATTAGAAAGATGAAAACAGTTTGGCATGTTTATTACAATGTTAATACATATGAGTATAATAAAATAAGAGTGTACTTTTATTTAAGAAAAACATTTAAATATATTTGGTAACTTAGAGGAAGAGGAGATGCCATGGTGAGTTACAGTTAGGGGCATCCTGTTGGATGCTGGGCAGAACAAAGTGCAAGACAGGCCTCCTAGTGTTTCTGGCTTCTGTCACCAAGATTTTTAACAGAAGTAAGTGAGTATGGGGTACGAGTTGAAATAAGAACGAAAAATTTTAAGACAGTTTTCATTCTCTGGCACTTAGTGGTCTGCCTGGCCCCACGGTAGGTATTTAAGGCGCATTTCCTCATCTTCATGATACCCCTAAGGGATAGGTATTGTTAAACACCTTTTATGGAAGAAGTGACCCATGTCTGGAAAAAATAACTTTTTCAAGTTCTTACCTCATTAAGTGGCAGAACTGAAGTAGGTCTCTGTCACTGACTCTACATTCTGTGCTCTGTTATCTAGTAGGTGAGGGACACTATTGTCACTGATAGTGGAGGTTCTCCGAACAGTTCTGAAGATCTTTAAATGGTTTGTGAAATGGTACTCAATTCAAAGCATAAAGTAGTGAAAATAATCTATTTTAAGCAAACCACAGATTTTGATGATAATAATAGCTAGAATTGCGAATGCTTACTATGCTAGATGCTATGCTGAGTTATTATATATACTTCCTTAATTCTCACAGTCCACAAAATTTAATGTGAGAGACATGGAAATGAGTAACTCAGATTTCCCTTCAATCAAGGACCAGCTGCCCCAGTTGTAGGGAGTGAGATCGGCAGACAATCTCCAGCTGTCATCTCTTTCAGGTTGATCTCAGATGCAAACAGCCCAAAATCACACACTACCAAGGTAGCCTACATTCAGTAACTGAGCAAGGTAAGTGTATTGATTCTTTAAGCCCTAGATGCGACACTCTGATGGACAATTGTCTCTCCAGAGCCCCAACCTAGTTGGTCAAGACTGTGAGGCCTGATCTCAGTTTGTTTTCTTCATCTGCCCAATCCTGGCTCCCAATCTCTCCCCACCTATTTTTTGGTTATAGTTGTTGACTGTTACTAAGCACCTTAAATCTCAAACTTTGACTTAGCATCTGCTTCTAGGGATCCCAACATGCCACAACTAACGATGCTCAAAATATTTTTGGAGTTTATATTTGGAATTGCCTCTACAAGTCACAGAAGAAATTCTTTTTTCCAACTTGACTTCACTTGGTTATAATAATGGTATTATTCAAGTTAAATGACAAAGTAGTTTGATATGTTAACTTTGAACAATGGTTGCTCATTTTTAATTACAACATCAAATGTTTATTCAATCAAGAGACATTTATTAAGCATCTCTTATGTAACAGAGATTATTCTAGACACTGGGGGTTCAAAGGCAAATCAAGACTGCCCTTGGGGATATATAGGCAAATAGAGCAAAAAGTGAGGCATTTAAAAGCATGTGAAATACTTGAGAGAATTTTGTGGGAGGGTTTGGGAGAGAAGTTCTCCATCCCCATCGAGATAAAATGTGAATTTTAAAGGATTAGTAGATGTGAAATACATAACACAAACTTAAAAGATTTTAGCTTAGGCTCTGAATATACTTCTAAATTTGAATTTTACAACTATATTTGAAACAGTGAAAGCCTAATTAGAATAAGCATATTGTCTCTCTTTTTTTCAATTTTGATTGGCATTTCCTTTTTATTTCTTCTAAAAAACAAACAAACAAACAAACATGGGATACATGTGCAGAATATGCAGGTTTGTTACATAAGCATATGCGTGCCATGGTGATTTGCTGCACCTATTGACCCATCCTCTAAGTTCCCTCCCCTCACCCCCCACTCCCCACAGGCCCTGGTGTGTGTTGTTCCCCTGTTCCCATGTGTTCTCATTGTTCAACTCTCACTTATGAGTGAGAACGTGCAGTGTTTGGTTTTCTGTTCCTGTGTTAGTTTGCTAAGGATGATGGCTTCCAGCTTCATCTATGTCCCTGCAAAGGACATGATCTCATCCTTTTTATGGGTGCATAGTGTTCCATGGTGCATATGTACCACATTTCCTTTATCCAGTCTATCATTGATGGGCATTTGGGTTGGTTCCATGTCTTTGCTATTGTAAATACTGCTGCAATAAACATATGTGTGCATGTGTCTTTACAGTAGAATGATTTATATTCCTTTGGGTATATACTGCTGGGTCAAATGCTATTTCTGGTTTTAGATCCTTGAGGAATCACCATACTCTCTTCCACAATGGTTGAATTAATTTACATTCCCACCAACAGGGAAAAAGCATTCCTATTTCTCCACAGCCTTGCCAGCATCTATTGTTTCCTGACTTTTTAATAATGGCAATTATTAATTATTATATCGCCATTCTGACACGTGAGATGCTATCTCATTGTGGTTTTGATTTGCATTTCTCTGATGATGGGTGACGTTGAGCTTTTTTTTTCTATTTTCATGTTTGTTGGTCGCATAAATGTCTTCTTTTTAGAAGTGTCTGTTCATATCCTTTGCCCACTTTTTGATGGGATTGTTTTTTTATTGTAAATTTGTTTAAGTTCCTTGTACATTCTGGGTATTAGACCTTTGTCAGATGTGTAGATTGCAAAAATTTTCTCCCATTCTGTAGATTGCCTGTTCACTTAGATGATAGTTTCTTTTGCTGAGAATAAGCACATTGTCTCTTAAAGTGACTGTTTTTAAAGAGAAAGTACTTTTTTGCAAATACACATTTTTATATATTTAGGCTTCTTTAGAACACCCATTAATATATGTATCCTATATTTTAGTTTGTTAACTATTTACTACTTTAAGTTGCTTACTTGTTTCGCTGTACTTGTTTGTCTTCCTAGCTAAATAATGAAGTCAATTGGGGTATTTCTTGTCTGTGAAGGGTAACATGTACAAGTAAGAGAACTATATTAAAGGAGACAGGACCTGAGCTGACCCTTAGTAGCTGTCATCATATTCCCCTGTGCTAATTAGGGGTTGGAGAATGACACCATGATCCGTTCAGCCCATTAGTTAGAGTTTCCTTTTAAAGATAAGTTTTTTAGGTTCTGTGAACAGTGACAGCCCATGGCCTCTGATCATTCCACCATACATCTTTGCTGTGAATTTCTTTTCTTTCCCTTTGTCCCTCTTCCTCAGTACATGCCCTTCCTAGTGAAAGAAGCCAGCTTTTAGAATTATTCTTTTTTCAAGTCGGAGGGGAGCAGATTAAAATATCAACTTTGACTTCCTATCTCTTCCACCCCACCCCCTCTTCTCAAACTTATAATTGCATCCTCTATTCTTGGAGAGTGTACTGACAGTAGTTTTATGACCCAGGATTTTTCAATTTCTTATCCAAAGCCAACTTCATCTCAAGTTTCCAAATTTATGGGCACAGGAGATGACATATGGGATTAAACTCTTGATAGATTTTCAACAATGACCTGCCTTTGGCAGTAGGCAAGGCTTTCTGAATCTGGAGGAAATGTGGGGAAAACATGCTGTCATGGTGCAGTGGGGTATCTTGCTTCCTTTTCAGGCCATTCTCTTTGACCCTTCCTGCTCTTTATCCCTCACCACCCTCCACTCAAACAACCACTAACCCTGATGAACAATTTACACTAAGAAGTAGACTCACTCATTCTTTTTTTGAATAGCCTCAATTGTTAAGAGTTAGGAAACTTTGAAGCTCTCATAAAAAAATTAACAGTGACCGACAGAAAATAAAATGAAACACTTTAGACTGCCGAACCTGACTAAATGGCCATCTGCTTTCCTCAGTGCTTTCTGGGTTTTGTTGTTGTTCTAGATATTTTATTGTTTGAAGAATTACCTCTCTCCACCTGTGCATTCCTCCAACATCCTCTCTAGGGTTGTCTTCTGATAAAGACAAATTGCATTGTTTTTCTTCATTTTGCTTCTCATGGTTTTATCTTGGAGATTCCAAAAATCTCTTTCTTTTACATGGTAATACTTATTTGGCTCATTTGCCATAATCTGTGAAGCATACCTTCTCTAAATGTATTCATTATTCTTTCCTGGCCTTTATCCAGTTTTCCTGATTGGCTTCAGGAGAACTTTACTCTTAAAAGTGCGTCAGGAATGGTAAAATCACATCAACAAACAGTAGTATAAACAGATGCCTCACATTTAGGAGATTATTTTATAACACTCTTTTCAGCCCAGTATATTTTAAGCATTTATACTTATTATCTCACGTTGAATATTATACACAGAATTTCTGAATCTGTCATCTCACTCGGGATTAGAAGAACCAATTTATTATTTGAGGGCTCAGAGGTAACTAAAATGTTACCCAAATTTTTAAAAATAAGTTTTATCTGGTAGTAATAAATATGGTATTTTTTATGCAAGTAGCATCCTTAATTTACTTCTTTTTGAGAGCAGAAGCACAGTGTTAATTTATTCTATGATTTTGAGAATTTCTTTTGAAATAAATTATTTTCTCTGCTACTGTATTACTACACCTAACACAAATTCATACATTTCATCATTATTAGCCTAGGATAACTAAGTTTAAAAGCATATTTAAATGCATATATATTTTGAAAATATGTCTTGGATGTTGATTCACATTCAGCATGGCTAGACATATAGATTTTAGATCATACATCTTAGCTTCAAAATGATTTTGTTTTTTCTGTAGTAGTTTAATTCTGAGGAGACAAAGTCTTCGCCTTTGATAGGTAAGAAAGCTTTTGTTTTTGTTGGATTGTTGCTTAGTTTCTTTTTATCTTGGATGAATGCTTGCAAAATTCTTTTTGATTTTTAACACCTGAAATTCGTCAATGCCAGCTTTGCATATCTGGGTGTTTGTTGTTTTATAAACATCACATGAGTCTGATCTACAGATTCAGGTCCTTCAGTTCAGCTAATCTTTTCTATTAGTATACTTTTGTTCTGTTTACTTCTTGGTTGCAAGTTGGGTGTCAGTTATCTAGAAGAGTTCCCTTTCATCACTATCATTGTCTTTGTCCTCTGAATTCTGAGAGAATTTTTAAATCATGTTTTAAATATCCGAAAGTTTTTTTCTAAATATTGTTGATTGGCTTTATGTAGTCTAGATTCTACTCATATTTTCAATTCTGTTGTGACACCATTTCTTAAAATTTTCTTCTTAAATTGATAATTAGCTCATGCAATATGTTATTAACATCCAATTTTTATTACATTTTAAATATTTATTTTTAATTATAAAAAAACACACAACATAACATTATCCTCTTAACCATTTCTAAGTGTAGATTTAGTACCATAAGTATATTCACATTGTTGTACAACACAGCTCCAGAAATATTTCTTTTTTTTTTTTCTTCAACTTTTATTTTAAGCTCTGGGGTACATATGCAGGACATGTAGCCTTGCTACATAGGTATATGTGTGCCATGGTTATTTGCTGCACAGATTAACCCACCATCTAAGTATTAAGCCCAGCATCCCTTAGCTATTCTTCTTGATGCTTTCCCTCCCCGAACCCCAACCTCTGTCAGGTCCCAGTGTATGTTGTTCCCCTCCATGTAGCCATGTGTTCTCACGATTCAGCTCGCACTTATATGTGACAATATGTGGTATTTGGTTCTCTGTTCCCACGTTAGTTTGCCGAGGATAACAGTATACAGCTCCATCCATGTCTCTGCAAAGGACGTGATCTCATTCCTTTTTATGGCTGCATAGCATTCTAGGGTGTATATGTATCACACTTTTTTATCCAGTCTATCACTGATGGGCATTTGGGTTGCTTCCATGTCTTTGCCATTGTGAATAGCGCTGCAGTGAACATATGTGTGCATGTATCTTTATGATAGAATAATTTATATTCTTTGGGTATATACCCAGTAATGGGATTGCTAGGTCAAATGGTATTTCTGTGTCTAGATCTTTGAAGAATCCACATTGACTTCCACAATGGTTGGGCTAATTTATACTCTTAGCAACAGAGTAAAAGCATTTCTTTTTCTCCACAACCTTGCAAGCATCTGTTCTTTCTGGACTTCTTAATAATCACCATTCTGACTGGCATAAGACAGTATATTGTTGTGATTTGTACTTTTCTAATGATTAGCGATGTTGAGCTTTTTTTCATGTTTGTTGGCCACATGAATGTCTTCTTTTGAGAAGTGTCTCTTCATGTACTTTGCCCATTCTTTGATGGGAATAATTTAGTGTTTTTTTTTTTGTAAATTTGTTTAAATTCCATGTAGACTCTGTATATTAGACCTCTGTCAGATGGATAGATTGCAAAATTTTTCTCCCATGCTGTAGGTCGTCTTTTCACTGTGATGATAGTTTCTTTTGCTGTGCAGAAGCTCTTTAGTTTAATTAGATCTCATTTTTAAATTTTTTCTTTTGTTGCAATGCTTTTGGTGTTTTTGTCATGAAATCTTTGTCCGTGCCTCTGTCCTGAATGGCACTGCCTAGATTTTCTTCCGGGGTTTTTATAATTTGGGGTTTTACATTTAAATCTTGAAACCATCTTGAGTTAATTTTTATATAAAATATAAGGAAGGGATCCAGTTTTAATTTTCTGCATATGGTTAGCCAGCTTTCTCACCACTATTTATTGAATAGGGAATCCTTTCCTCATTGCTGGTTTTTGTCAGCTTTGTTAAATATCAGATGGTTTTAAGAGTGTGGTTTTATTTCTGATTTATCTACTCTGTTCCACTGTTGTATGTGTGTGTTTTTCTATGAGTACCATGCTGTTTTGGTTACTATCCCCTTGTAGTATAGTTTGAAGTTGGGTAGTGTGATGCCTCCAGCTTTGTACTTTTTGCTTGGGATTGTCTTGGCTATTTGGGCTTTTTTTTTGGTTCCATATGAATTTTAAAATAGTTTTTTCTAATTCCATGAAGAATGTCAGTGGTATTTTAATTAGAATAGCGTTGTGTCTATAAATTATTTTGAGCAGTATAGCCATTTTAAAGACATCGATTCTTCCTATCCATGAGCATGGAATGTTTTTCCATTTGTTTGTATCCTCTCTGATTTCCTTGAACAGTGGATATAGTTCTCCTTGAAGAGGTTCTTCACTTCCCTTGTTAGCTGTATTCCTAGATATTTTATTCTTTTTGTAGTAATTGTGAATGGGAGCTCATTCATGATTTGGCTTTCTACTTGCCTGTTGCTGGTTTATAGGAATGATAGCAATTTTTGCACATTAATTTTGTATCCTGAGACTTTGCTGAAGTTGCTTATCAGATTAAGAAGATTTTGGGCTGAGGCAATGGGATTTTCTAGAATATAGGAACTTGTCATCTGCAAACAAAGATAATTTGGTTTCCTCTCTCCCTATGTGAATACCTTTCTTTCTTTCTCTTGTCTGATTGCCCTGGTCAGAACTTCTAATACGATGTTGAATAGGAGTGGTGAGAGAGGGCATCCTTGTCTTGTTCCGCTTTTCAATGGGAATGCTTTCAGCTTTTCCTCAATTCAGTATCATATTGCTGTGGATTAGTCATATATGGCTCTTATTATTTTTATGTATATTCCTTCAATATCTAGTTTATTGAGAGTTTTTAACATGAAGGATGTTGAATTTTATCAAAGGTCCTTTCTGCATCTATTGAGATGATCATGTGGTTTTTGTCTCTGGTTCTGTTTATGTAATGAATCACATTTCTTGATTTGTGTGTGTTGAACCAGCCATGCATCCTGGTGATGAAGCCAACTTGATCATAATGGATAAGCTTTATGATGTGCTGCTGGATTTGATTCATTTGTGTTTTATTAAGGATTTTCGCATCAATGTTCATCAGGAATATTGGCCTGAAGTTTTTGTTGTTGTTGTCGTTGTATCTCTGCCAGGTTTTGGTATTGGGATGATGCTTGCCTCATAAAATAAATTTGGGAGGAGTTCTTTCTTTTTGGTTTTTTTTTGGACTGGTTTTAGTAGGAATGGTACCAGCTCTTCTTGATACCTCTGGTAGAATTTAACTATAAATCTGTCTGGACTTTGACTTTTTTGTTTAGGAAGCTATTTATTACTGCCTCAACTGCAGAACTCATTACTGGTCTACTGAGGCATTCAATTTCTTCCTGGTTTAGTCTCAGGAAGGTGTATGTTTCTAAGAATGTATCAGTTTCTTCTAGATTTTCTAGTTTGTGCATAGAGGTGTTTATAGTATTCTTTGAAGGTTGTTTGTATTTTTGTGGGGCTAGTGATAATATCCTCCTTTTCATTTCTAATTGTGTGTATATTATTCTTCTCTTATTAGTTAGCTAGTAGTCTATTTTATTATTTTTTAAAAAAGAAAAACAGCTCCTGGATTTATTGAGTTTTTGAAGGATTTTTTTGTGTTTCTATCTCTTTCAGTTCCACTCTGATCTTGGTTATTTATTGTCTTCTGTTAGCTTTGGGGTTTGTTTGCTCTTGGTTCTCTAGTTCTTTTATGTATGTTGATAGGTTGTTAATTTGATATCTTTCTAGCTTTTAGATGTGGGCATTTAGTGCTATTAAATTTCCCTCTTAACACTGCATTAGCTGCATCCCAGTGATTCTGGTAGGTTGTCAATTTGTTCTCATTAGTTTGAAAGAAGTTCTTGATTTCTGTCTTAATTTCGTAATTTACCTAGGAGTCATTCAGGAGCAGGTTGTTCAATTTCCATGTAGTTGTGTGGTTTTGAGTGAATTTCTTAGTCTTGAGTTCTAATTTGATTGTGTTGTGGTCTGAGAGACTGTTTGCTATGACTTCTGTTCTTCTGCATTTGCTGAGGAATGTTTTACTTCTGATTATGTGATCAATTTTAGAGTAAGTGACATATGGTGCAAAGAAGAATGTATATTCTGCTGTTTTGAGGTAGAGAGTTCTGTAGATATCTATTATGGATGCTTGATCCAGCACTGAGTTCAAGTCTGGAATATCTTTGTAAATTTTCTGTCTCAAAGATCTGTATAGTATTATCAGTAGGGTGTTAAAATACTCCACTATTGTTGTGTGGAAGTCAAAATATTTTTGTAGGTCTCTAAGAATTTGCTTTATGAACCTCAGTGTTCCTGTATTGGGTGCATATATATTCAACTTCTTGTTGATTTGAACCCTTTACCATTACATAATGTCCTTTTTCATCTTTTTGTAATCTTTGTTAGTTTAAAATCTGTTTTGTAAGAAACCAGGACTGCAACCCCTACTTTTTTCTGTTTTCCATTTACTTGGTAAATTTTCTTCCATATCTTTATTTTGAGCCTATGTGTATCTTTGCACATGAGATGGGTTTCTTGAAGACAGCATACTGACGGGGCTTCACTCTTTATCCAGCTTGCCATTCTGTGTCTTTTAGTTGGGCATTTAGTCCATTTACATTTAAGGTTAATATTCTTATGTGTGAATTTGATCCTGTGATCATGACGCTGGCTGGTCATTTTGCAGACTTGTTTATGTGGTTGCTTCATAGTGTCACTGGTCTGTGTACTTCAATGTGTTTTTGTAGTGGTTAGTAACAGTTTTTTCTTTTCATATTTAGTCCTTCCTCTGGGAGTTCTTGTAAGGCAGGCCTGGTGGTGACAAATTCCCTCAGCATTTGTTTGTCTGAAAAGAATCTTATTTCTCCTTCACTTATGAAGTTTTATTTGGCCTAATATAAAATTCTGGGTTGGAAATTATTTTCTTTAAGACTGTTGAATATTGGCTCCCAATCAGTTCTGGCTTTTAGAGTTTCTACTGAGAGGTCTGCTGTTAGTCTGATGGGTTTACCTTTCTAGGTGACCTGGCTTTTCTTACTGTGTGCCCTTAGGATTTTTTCTTTCATTTCAACCTTGGAGAATCTGAGGATTATGTGTCTTGGGGTTTATAATCTTGTAGAGTATCTTACTGGGTTTTCTGCATTTCCTGAATTTGAATGTTGGCCTGTCTTACTAGGTGGAGATATTCTCCTCCATGATATCCTGCAGTATGTTTTCCAATGTGGTTCCATTCTCCCTGTGTTTTTTAGGTAACCAAATCAGTTGTAAGTTTGGTCTTTTTTCATAGTCCTAAATTTCTTGGAGGTTGTGTTCATTCCTTTTCATTTTTCTTCTCTATTATTGTCTGACTGTCTTATTTCAGAAAAATAGTCTTCAAGCTTTGAGATTATTTTCTCCACTTGGTCTATTCTACTATTGATACTTGTGATTGTATTGTGAATTTCTTGTGTTGGGTTTTTCAGCTCCATCAGGTAAGTTATGCTCCTTTCTAATTGGCTATTTTGGTTATTAGCTCTTGTATTGTTTTATCATGATTTTCAGCTTCTTTGCATTGGCTTACAACATGATCCTTTAGCTCAGAGAAGTTTGTTGTTACCCACCTTCTGAAGCCTACTTCTGTCACTTCAGCCATCTCAGCCTCCACCCAGTTCTGTGCCCTTGTTGGAGAGGTATTACAGTAATTTGGAGAAGAAGAGGCACTCTGGCTTCTTGAGTTTTCAGTGTTTTCACATTGATTCTTTTTCATCTTTTGGGGCTTATCTACCTATGATTTTTGAGGTTGCTGACCTTTGAATGGGGTTTTTTTGGGGTCTTCTTTGTTGATGTTGTTGTTGCTTCTTTCTAATTGTTTGTTTTTATTGTAACAGTCATGTCACTCTTCTGTAGGGCTGCTGCAGTATGCTGGGAGATCACTCCAGAACTGTTGCCTTGGTTTTCCCTTACCTGGAGGTATCACCAGTGAAGGTTGCAAAACAGCAAAGATGACAGCCTGCTCCTTCCTCTGGGCACTCTGTCCCAGAGGGCACTGACGTTTTGCTGGCCCACATGCTCCTGTAAGTGGTGCCTGAAGACCCCTGTTGGGGGGGCTCACCCAGTCAGGAGGGACAGGATCAGGAACACGCTTAAAGAAGCAGTCTGGTTGCTTTTTGGTAGAGCAGATGTGCTGGGCTGGGGAGAAACCTTCCTTGTCCAGACTGCCTGGACTCTCCAGAGCCAGCAGGCTGGAAGGGCTGAGTTGACTGAACCACAGGGTTGGTAGCTGCCCCTCCCACCATGGTCTCTGTCTCAGGAAGAGATTAGAGTTCTGTCAATATAACCCTGGCTAGAATTGTTGAAGTTCCCACACGGAGGCCCTGCCCAGAGAGGAGGGATAAATGGGAGTCCCACTTAAAGAAGCAGTCTTGTCACAATGTGGCACAGCAGTTGTGCCACATTGTGGGGGACTCCTCCTCATTTGGACAGCCTGAACTCCCTGGAGCTAGCTGGCTAGAATGGCTGAGTCAACCTAACCACAGAAATGGCAGCTGCCCCCACCCCAGGAAACTCATCTGTCTCAGGCTATCTCCAGCCTACTGAACTGGCCGGCTGGAATTCCAAGCCAGGGGGTCTTAACTTGTGAGGTGCCATGGAAGTGAGTCCCACAGAACAACATTGCTTGGCTCCCTGGATTCCTTCCCAGGGGACTGTACGGATGGAATTCTTGTCGTGATGGGATTCCTGGGACCAGAAAATGTAAAAGTCCTGGTGGTATGGGGATCTCCTGATCTTCGGGTTGCAAAGATCAATGGGAGAAGTGTGGTTTCCTGGCAGGGCTGCACCATCACTCAGCAATTCCTTTGGCTGGGTGTGAGTGTTCCTTTGGCTCCGTGCCGCACCCTGCTTTCCTTTGTTCTCCATGGGTTGAGTCCATTGCCTAGTTAGCCCCAATGTGAGAATCTGGATAGTTCAGTTGAAAGTGCCAAATTCCTCACCGTTTTCATACCTCTCTGTGAGTGCTACAGACTACAGTTGCTTCTAATCAGACATCTTTGCCCCTCCGAAATTTTTCATCTTGCACAACTGAAACTCTATATCCAATTAATGACAATTCTCCATTTATCCCTTCTCCTAGTGTCTGAGTTCATTTGTGTTGCTATGAAAGAGTACTTGAGGCTGGGTAAATTATACAGAAAAGAGGTTGATTTACCCCTTAGTTCTCTGCAGGTACAAGAATCTTGTCATCAGCAACTGTTTAGCTTGTGGTGAGAAGTGCAGGCTGCTTCCACTCATGGTAGAAAGCAAAGGGGAATCAGCATGAGCAGAAATAACATGGTGAAAGGGGAAGTAAGAGAAAGGGAGGGAGGGAGAGAGAGAGAAGATGCCAAGCCCTTCTTAACAACCACCCCTTGAGGAAACTAACAGAGCAAGAGCTCACTCATTTCTGTGAGTATGGCACCAAGATGTTCATGAGGAATCCACCCCCATGAGACAAACACCTCCCACTAGGTCCTACCTTCCAACATTGGGAATCAACTTCCAACATGAAGTCTGAAGGGTCAAATATCCAAACTATAGCACTCAGCCCATAGCAACCACGATTCTACTATTTCTATGAATTTGACTAATCTGGATAGCCCATATAAATGGAATTATATAGTATTTGTCTTTTTGTGACTGGCCTATTTTACTTAATATAATGTCCTCAAGGTTTGTCTATGCTGTAGCATGTGTTAGAATTTCTTTCCTTTAAGGCTAAATAATATTCTATTGTATGTTTATGCCAAATTTGTTTACTATTCATCCATTGATGGACATTTCATTTACTTCTACCCTGGGCCTGTTATGAATAGTGCTGTTATGAACGTGGATGTGTTATTTTATTTTAATTTTTTTGAAAATTGAAATTGCTTTCACAAACATTTCTAGTTAGCAAAATAGTTAAAAACATGCCTAACATATTTTGAATATATATATTTAATGTTGCAGCTTTTTTGAAAAAAGTAACCCCACTTTATTTACCCGTTTATTTTTCTTTGAATAAAGATAGGTCTATCCAATTTGCTATGTGAGAAGATTCTCAGCAAGTCCCTTTCCTATGACATAAACAGCATTTGACACTACTTTTAAAAAGGTTTATAACACTATAAGATGACTATAATTAATAATCTCCTATATTTTCAAAAAGCTAGAAGAAAAGATATTTATATATGCCATAAATATGTACAGTTATTATGTGTCAATTAAAAATAAATTTCAAAAGTAAGCTCTAGTGGGGCTGATTTATATATGCAAATTAACTTCATCATTCAGTAGCATGAGATTGTTGGTAGAGAAGCACAGAAATTTGTCTCTGTAAATTTTTTCCCTTTGTTTATTAAAATGGCTGAAGGATGAACTTGTTTTCAATACCTTTTCCTGTATTGACTCCCTTCAGGCATCTGATATGATTATTTCTAGTCTTCTTTCCTAAAATGTACTTGCCAATATTTGAAATATTGACCAACACCAATTTGTGCAGATACTCTGTATTTTTAGAAAATACTCCCTGTATTGAAGTTAAATAAAAATATCTTATTCATATTTTAATTAAATATGTACTTGCCCTCTGAACAACACAGTTTAGGTCAACCTAAACTCCGTATTTCAAATAAAAAGTACATAAATGTAGAAGCCAGTTTTAGCTACTTAGAGTGATAATGAAGTTTCTTGGCATGAGATAATTTTATGATTGGTAAAGTAGAACCTCCAAACAATTAAGACTTTTTCATAAATAGCTGGAACATCTTAGAAATGGATAAGAACTGTTTTACAGCTTTAAGGTACAAATACCCTGTAATTCCTTAGTTTACTTCAAGCTAAATTAATATGGTCTAGAGAGTTCACTTGTCAAATAGAGAGAAGGTCCATTGCCACAGGGTGTCACTATTGAATACTAGTCCTCCACCATCTGACCTGCTGATTGATACGAGCTGCAGGCAAGCCTCTCTGGCCTGGTTCCCGAGGCACATAGGCATTGTCTTTTACAGAAGGCTATTTGGTGGAAATTGTGCTTTTTGAATGTGTGTTCACCCAGCTGTCCCCGCTGTATTCCCCAGACCCTGATATTTAGTGCCCTCTCGCATCTGAAACATACAGCCATTCTCCTTACGGGTCAGATTAGTTGCCTGTGTGTCCTTTAAGGGCTTACATAATTTTCCACTTTCTCAGAGTCTAGCAACTCAACCAGGATACAGTTGACTGCTTTCCTTATCAGCACCAGTAGATTAAGAGGAGTGATTCCATTTACACTCAAGCAACAGATGGCTCTACATCTTCCTCCAAGAAAGTCTTAAATTATTTTCCGAGTTAATCCATCTCTTCCGTCTGACCCTCAAACAGAAAAATTTAATATTGCCCCTTGCTGCAGGGAACTTGAGCACCTTGAAGAAGAATCCTTCTCTGGTGGAAAAAAAAAAAAAAGAAATCTCTTTTTTCTTTACTGGGGTGTCTGTGTGTGTGTGTGTGTGTGTGTGTGTGTGTCTGTGTGAAGGGATAACTTCCATGTCTAACAAGAATATTTGCTCAAGATCTCCCCATCACTTTTCCAGCTGTAGAAGAAAAAATAAAATGTGTGAAAAGACAGGCTGATGCATACTTACTTGTGTATATGAGATGATTACTTTTGTACAGAAGTAAGTACCACATGCTATTTGAGGAACTTGGCAAAATTATCCTTTTGAAATATATCTCACTGATTGATTTCCTACAGAATGTTTATGATTTATTTACATTATTTAAGTCACAGTACCTTTTTAAAGAGAACTCCTTTAGAATGAAGGTACCCTTGTACTAATAGTAGTAGTGTCAGTAATAGTTGAACAAAGTTTGTTATTTTTTTTTTCTGGACAGTAGGGATCCATTATTTCTGATGAAGTCATACCCTAGAATCAAAGGATCATCATTTAATATAATAGAGGTCATGGGATACTTTTCATGCCTTGCCAGGGGACAACTTACAAAAGGGGGCCAAAGTGTATTAATTTAATCCAGTATCTAATATGTGCATAGAATGAGTGGAATTAAACATTTTTCATACATAATCTCATTTAAACATCTCAGTAGTCCCACGGGCAGATAATAGTATTCCAAATAACAAGTTAGGAAAAGAAGTCCCAAAGACATTGAGTAGCCTGCCATGGTCCACATGACTTGTAATTGGTGGAGGCAGGGTTCAAAACACTGGTCAGACTGATCACCTAGCTCATGTCCTCCATCACATGCTACACTATTTACCATGAGAAATATTTCTTTTAATAACAATTACTAAGGATTCTTATTCCTTGGTGGTTTATAAACTGCTTCTACATAACTAATTAAACTTTCCCAACTGCTTGAGATATCTATAACTATTATGGTCTTCACTTCACAGATAAAGAAATAAAAAAGTTCTGAGAAATTAAGTAACTTGACTGAGATCCCTTAGCCAGTAGAGTGGAAGACCAAGGTCCAGCCGCTGCCAAAGCCTTTGTATATGCACACTTGAATAGACCAAGTCCCACGTGAGACCTCCTTAAAAAGAGGGGGCTTCGCAAAAGAATTGGATCCCTCAGGCTATGCCAACCAGATATGGTTAAATGGTAATTGTATAAAATTAAGTAGCTAGGAAATAATTCTGATTACAATTGATGTATCAATTGTTTAATGTAACTTCCTTTTTTTTTTTTTTTTTTTTTTTGAGACAGAGTTTTGCTCCTGTTGCCCAGGCTGGAGTGCAATGGTGTGATCTCAGCTCACTGCAACCTCTGCCTCCCGGGTTCAAGCCATTCTCCTGCCTCAGCTTCCCGAGTAGCTGGGATTACAGGCACCACTGCCATGCCTGGCTAATTTTTTATATTTTTAGTAGAGCTGGGGTTTCACCTTGTTGGCCAGGCTGGTCTCGAACTCCAGACCTCAGGTGATCCACCCACCTTGGCCTCCGAAAGTGTTGGGATTACAGGTGTGAGCCACCGCACCCAGCCTAGTGTAACTTACTTTTTAACAGACCGATGATATGTATAGACCACCAAACAACAAAATGAAGTATTCGGCAACATGAAACAACCATGGATATTCTGTCAAACAGGAAATAATAAGATAAACATGAAACTATCTCTTCAGAACCATGAAAACAAAGGAATTGTTGCTATGAAATATACCCCGGGTTTTTTACAACTTAAATCTCAATTCTTGACCAGTATTTTGGGACAGCATGATGCTCTTTCTGATCTAGTTTTGTCCATTAACCAAAGGGTTCTATAAAATTATTTTAACTTTTTCTTTTTTTGGTTTTGTGGCTAAAATTGTTATAAACTTGTCATGCTTTCAAAGCAATGGCAATCCACTAAACTACAAGTGCTCTGGAGCTATTTCCTAGTTTAGAGGGCAGGTCAGTGGATCATTATTCTTGAAGTCATATAGCATGCTTCATTAGCTTGGAAAACGATAGCCACTACAGCACTTGCACTCCTCCTCTTGAGCAAATAAAAGGAGAAAATGAGGCATACGCTTTTCTCTATGGTTGAACAGTAGCTGAAGCAATGGAACATCATGGACAACAGAACTAGAAAATTTAGTTTACATTTTATGGGGATTTAATAGACATTTAGTAAGCTATGCCACCTTCCCAGCTCTACCACTAACACCCTACATGCAAAGAGAAACAAAAACAAGCACGTGTGTATTGCCAAATACACACGGATTTAAAGGGAAATCAGGAGAACATGCAACAGGGATAGTCCTTGATCCTACAGGGCCTTTTATTTCAGTCAGCAAATCCATTCTGTAAGGTTTATGAAGGGTCTAATTTTCCCTTCAAATTCACGTTTCCTGATTGAAAGAGTCAGAAGGAAATTTCCATGCCATAACACTGAACAGATCTCCAAATATGAAGACACTTGCTTTCTTCTCCAAACCCCTCTAATTGACTCCCTATAAGTCTGCTCCTGACCTCCATGTTGCCAAGCCAATTGACACCTTTCTGACCTTCTTTTGCACACTTAGCACCATGCCATTCTCCTTGTTTTCCTTCAATCCTTCTAACAGTTAATGTTCAGCTGACATTGCCAGTTCTTTTCAACACAAATAATAAACCAGAATCACTCAGGATGTGTTCATGGACTCAAATTCTCATCTGTAATCCTGGCTATTTCCTCCATCCTTGTAAATCCATCATTTGTATGATTCACAGCTGTCTCAAACTGAATTCTTAGTCTCCCACAAGCCTTCCTCTATTGTTTTCCTCCTATTTTGATCATCTCAGTAAGTGGCAACTTCATCAATCCATTTGCCAAATTCTGAAAACAATGTTATTTCCTAACATATTCTCCTCATTATATCTCACATCCATTCCACATGTCTCTTCTACAAGCAATTCATGTTTTTTAATATAACCAGTTTTCTTCATTTCCCTTGCACCTACATTGTTACACTTCTAGTCTGAGAGATTGCAAAAGGCTCCCATTTGGACATAATGCTTCAATTCCTTCTTAATTTTGCATCCTGAAATTTTTTTTATAAAGTATAATTTATAACACTTCCACTCTTCCCCACATTAAAACTCCTCCGGACAGTAAACCTCTTTTTTTTTTCATTCTTACCCTGGATACCTCCAAGTCACCTTTCCTTTCTCAGATCAAATCTTGCATCTCCAAAAAGACCTTTTGCTGGTCTGAAAATATAAATTAAATCTCTCTCATCATAGTGTAAATGTAAATTATGATTTATTTACATTATTTAAGGCACAGTATCTCTTTAAAGAGACCACTTTTAGAATGAAGGTACCCTTGTACTAATAGTAGTGCTATCAGTAATAGTTGAACAAAGTTTGTTATTTTTTTTTCTGGACAGTAGGGCTCCATTATTTCTGATGGAGTCATAACCTAGAATCAAAGGAGCATCATTTATTATACTTACTAGAGATCATAGTGGGATGCTTTTCATGCCTTGCCAGGGGCCAACCTGGCATAGAACCTTTATGACACTTAAATACAATATAAAATTAAGTTGAATATCTTGAAATTTAAGCTCAAGACTAAAGCTGAAGATAGAACTGAATCATCTCTTCTAAGGAGAGTTGCAGTACTTATCAAAAGGTGCTCATACTAATTTTTCAATCATCAACTCTTATCACGAAACACTACTGGAAAAAAAAAAGAGAAGAAAATAAATAAAAGAAAGAAAAAATATTTTAAAATTCACTGAGCAGATATTCCTTTCTTTGTTTACAAAGAAGCAGAAATTTTGCCCTCACCTCACTTTAAGTAAAATGAAGGGTTAAAAGACCATTTAATCACATCTAAGATTAATACAAATAGTTACTCTGAAGGCACTGACCACTGCAATGCAACTAAAAAATATAACAATTTAAATATATTACTATGCTTTAAGAAACAAATTTTAATGGTGAATACATTTTTTAAAATACCAAGAAGAGTATGAGCTTAAATCAGAGTTATAGGGTGGTTATTAGAAAGCCAAAGTGAAAGTCTGTGCTTCTATATGAATTCTAGTCCTAGAAAATTAGCCTTGGAACCTCAGAAACACAAGTGAGTGAAACCTTACACTTCTACAGAGGAATAGAGCAGGATGTTCAAGTGGTACTGTATTAATTGTTCCTTCCTGGAAGAAGCCAACAAAATCTTTGGAGAAAAGCATCCCACAACAGAGGAAACCAATGGCTCAATTACAACATCTCTAGTCACTGAACACATTCACTCTTCATAATGCCTCTCTCATAGCTAGACAATGGAGGATCCAGAAGCAAGAGAGTAAACTGAAAAAGATATATAGATGAGCAAAGATGGGGGAAATATTGTGTTGTATATGCTGTTGAACGTAAGATTTTTAAATGGATGTGAGATTTTGCTGGGACTAGATTTTTCAATGTCAAAAATGAGATGATTCCTCTTCCTTAAAAAACCCTGAAACTTATGCATCTGCCTGAGACACTCTTAATGACTGGAGAAGGGAATTCAACAGAGTATGTTTAAAGTCAGGAGCAGGAGAAGAATAAAACTTTATCTTAGTTATGCCAAACCAAGTTCTGTCCATTTAATAAGCTGTTACATATATTCCTGAGTATTTTTCTTTAATATTCACCTGTCTTGTTAGATTATGTATTAGTTCATTCTAACACTGCTATAAAAAAACTGCCTGAAACTGGGAAATTTATTTTTTTAAAAAAGTTTAATTTACTCAGTTTCACATGGTTAGAGCGGCCTCAGGAAACTTACAATCATGGTAGAAGGTGAAGGAGAAGCCAGCACCTTCTTCACAAGGTGGCGAGAGAGAGAGAGAGAGAGACAGTAAGTGCCACTTTTAAAGCATCAGATCTCGTGAGAACTCACTATCATGAGAACTGAGAACACCAGTGAGGAAACTTCCCCCATGATCCAATCACATCTCACTAGCATCCTCCCTTGACATATGGGGATTACAATTTGAGATGAGCCAAACCATATCACTCTACTTCTGGTCCCTCCAAAATCTTATGTTCTTCTCACATTTCAAAACACAATCCTGCCTTTCCAATAATTCCCCAAAGTCTTAATTCATTCTAGCATTAACTCAAAAGTCCAAGTCCAAAGTCTCATCTGAGACCTGGCAAGGTTCTTCTGCCTATTAGTCTGTAAAATAAAAAACAAGTTAGTTAATTCCAACATACAATGGATGTATTAGTCCGTTTTTATGCTTCTGATAAAGACATACTTGAGACTGGGCAATTTGTAAAAGAAAGTGGTTCAACTGGACTTACAGTTCCATGTGCCTGGGGAGGCCTCACAATCATGTTGGAAGGCAAGGAGGAGCAAGTCACGTCTTACGTGGATGGTGGCAGGCAAAGAGAGAGATTGTGCAGAAAAACTCTCGTTTTTAAGATCATCAGATCTTGTGAGACCTATTCACTATCATGAGAACAGAACGGGAAATGCCCACCTCCATAATTCAATCATCTCCCACCAGGTCATTCCCACAACACATGGGAATTATGGGAGCTACAAGATAAGATTTGGGTGGGGACACAGAGCAAAACCATATCAATGGGGATACAGGAATTGGGTAAATGTTTCTATTCCAAATGGGAGAAATTGACCAAAACAAAGGAGCTACAGGCCCATGCAACTCTGAAACTCAGCAGGGCACTCAATAAATTGTAAAGCTCCAAAATAATCTCCTTTGATTCCATGTCTCACATCCAGGAGACGCTGATGCAAGGTGTGGGCTCCCAAGGCTTGGGCAGCTTCACCGCTGTGGCTCTTCAGGGTACAGTCCCCATGGGGTGACCACTTTCATGGTCTGGCTTTGAGTGACTAAGGCTTTTCCAAGCACATGGTTCAAGCTGTTGGTAGATCTACCATTCTGGTATCTGAAGGATGATAGGCCTCTTTTTACAGCTCCACTAGGCAATGCCCCAGTGGAGACTCTGTGGGGGGCTCCAACCCCACATTTCCCTTCTTCATTACTCTAGTAGAGGTGCTCCATGAGAGCTCTGTTCCTGCAGCAGACTTCTTTCTTGACATCCAGGCATCTTCATACATCCTATGAAATCTAGGCAGAGGTTCCCAAACCTCAACTCTTGTCTTCCTGCAAGCCTGAAGGCCCAACACCATATGGAAGCTGCCAAGACTTGGGGCTTACACCCTCTGAAGTCATGGCCTGAGGTGTACCTTGGCCTCGATTAGCCATATCTGGAACTAGAGTGTCTAGGACACTGAACGCCATGCCCCGAGGCTGCACAGAGCAGTGGGAGTCCTGGTCCTGGTTCACAAAATCACTTTTTCCTCTAAGGTCTCTGGGCCTGTGATGGGAGGGGCTGCCATGAAGATCTCCGAAATGCCCTGGAGATATTTTCCTCATTGTCTTGGCTATTAACATTTAGCTCCCTGTCACTTATGCAATTTTCTGCAGCTGCCTTGAATTTCTCACCATAAAATGGATTTTTTCCTTTCTACTGCATTGTCAGTCTGCAAATTTTCCACACTTTTATGCCCTAGTTCACTTTTACACATAAGTTCCAATTTCAGATCATCACTTTGTGAATGCATATGACTATATGCTTTCAGAAAAAGCCAGGTTACATCTTGAATGCTTTGCTGCTTAGAAATTTCTTCTGCCAGATACCCTAAATCATCTCTTTGAAGTTAAAAGTTCCACAGATCTCTAGGGCAAGGACACAATGCCACCAGTCCTTTGCTAAAGCATGGCAAGAGTGGCTTTTGTTTCAGTTCCTGATAAGTTCCTCGTCTCCATCTGAGACAACCTCAGCTTGGACTTCATTGTCCATACCACTATCAGCATTTTGGTAAAAACCATTCAACAAGTCTCTAGGAAGTTCCAAACTTTCTCATATCTTCCTGTCTTCTCCTGAGCCTTCCAAACTGTTCCAACCTCTGCCCATTACCCAGTTCCAAAGTAGCTTCCACATTTTCAGATTATCTTTATATTAGTACCCCACTATCCCGGCACTGATTTTCTGTATTAGTTCATTCTCACACTGCTATAAAGAACTACCTGAGACTCTGTAATTTATTAAAAAAAAAAAGGTTTAATTGACTCACAGTTCCACATGGCTGGGGAGGCCTCTTGTAACTTACAATCATGGTGGAAAGTGAAGGAGAAGCAAGCACCTTCTTCACATAGTGGCAGGAGAAAGAGAGAGTAAAGGGGGAAGTACCACTTTTAAACCATCAGATCTCATGAGAACTCACTCACTGTCATAAGAAGAGCAAGGGGGAACCATCCCCATGATCCAGTCACATCCCACCAGGTCCCTCCCTCAACATGTGGGGATTACAATTCAAGATGAGATTTGGGTGGAGACACATAGCAAAACTATATCAGATTACAATTTCCCATAAGAGTGGAAGTCATGCTTGACATCTTCATCAAAAAATATTGAGTTGGTTATCATTTTTTGATACTTCCATCTCAGATATCAATATGTTAGTAAAGATGGCCCAAGAAAACTATTAGAAAAAAAAGGTGGCCTTAAGTCAAATTCTGATAAAAGTGGCTTTTCTCATTTCTACTTCTCCAATTAGTTAAAGAAGATGCCTGACAAAACAGTAATATAATTTAAGAATTAAAAAATTGAGATATGGGTTGTTTTCTCTCTAATATTTTGAAAGTTAAGTGGTAATCTTGACTCACTTATAGAAGTTAAGTCATTTGAACAAACCTACAGTTTAGTCACTTATTGCTGTATGTCACACTAACTCCAAATCTTATGCCTTAGAATGATAATGATTTATCAATGTTCATGCTTCTGTATATTGGGAAAAGCTCAGCTGGGTCGTCCTGCTATTCTCATTTGGGGTCTCATGTAGTTACAGCCAGATGTCAACTGGGGCTTCAATATCCTCATGGTTTTCCAATATAACTAAATAGACTTGAGCTTCTTTGAAGAGAGGGTGGATTTTATGGACTACCACCCCCAGTATTCAAGGGCTTATGAAGACTCTGCTGGTGTCCCACTTGCTAACATTCCAGTGAACAAACCAAGTCACAAAGCCAAGCACAGAGTTAATGTAAGCAGGGATTACTCAAGGATCTAGATATCAGGACATATGTTCATGGGAGACGATGAAGAAAACATCACAACCCAGTTACACAAAGAGTCAGAGGCAGAGGTAAATTTGACCTTGGGTTTCCCTGACTCCAAATCTATAACTTCACAATAGCACAATGGCTTCTCAGTTATTATATGCTACTTTCTCATTATTACTTGAAAATCTAGGAATAATAGGGGAGAGTAAAAAGATGAAAACTATTTTTCCCTAGGCTATCACTGCTTTCTACATTTCCTACAATTCTGCTTTCTTGACCAGTGGCTTGCATACGACTCCAAGGTAATTTTTCTTAAAATTTTAGTGATTATGTTCTCCTTTCATATAGTTATTTTGTGTCTATTTTTATTCTCCAAGATTCTACTAATAGAATAGACAAGAAGTCATATTTCCCTAGATCCACGTCCACTATCATGTACATCCTCTATATTACATAAACTTGTGCATGCACATGTTTGTAAACTTACACACACAGACACAACGTTGATACCCAAATAATTATTTTGTTAGCAAATTTCTACATTTCATGAATATATGGTTATAATACTGTATTTCTCTTTTACAAAGGGACTAGATATGTTAAACTTAATGCTTAGAATACTACTGCACAAGGTTATTTCCATAACTAGTTTTAATTAAAGCATCCTCACTGAAATGATTTAAATGTACTCTGTTATAAATTACTGTAAGGATGGTAAAAGTTCACACAAGCAAGACAGTTCAGAGCCACTCATAAAGGCACCATTTGTATATAAAATAATGAAGAAAGAAAATGGTGGGGAGGGCCAAGATGGCTGACTAGAAGCAGCTAGTGCACACTGCTGTCACAGTGAGAAGAAAAATTGGTGATTAAATAGTATATTTTCAACAGAAACATGCAGGTGGACACATTGTGAGTGTCCTATGTGGAGCCCTATGTGGAGTCTGGCAGAACCACTGCTCAGGCACAGATGGAGTCCCAGGAGCCTTGGATCCCTGGGCATCCCAGCATTAGTGGCTGCAGCTCTGGCAAAGGGGGAGGCTAGGATTTCTTATATGCCACCAAGAAAGGGGCTGAATCCAGGGGACTGAGCAGAGATGGTCTGTAGACCTCCTGTCCACTGCACCTTGCAAGAAAAGTCCCACTGCCCTGGGACTCCAGCCATCCCTCCCTGGGGCTCCAGCCATCCCTCCCTGGGGCTCTCAGGCCAGTAGCAGCTCTACACCTCCCTTGGACAGAGCTCCCAGAGGGAGGGGTGAGCCACCAACTTTCCTATCTTGCAGTCTTCACCACTGCTATCTTTAGGCTCTGGAGAGTCTGAGGTGACAAGGGACAGGTACAAACCTCCAGCACAGTACAGCTACCCCATGAAAAAGTGGCCAGGCTGTTTTTAACATGGGTCCCTGATCCCATTTCTCCTCACTGGGTGGTCAGCACCTCCATACCTGGTACTCCATCCAACCTCCGCTTGGGTTTTTGGGCTGGCTGCATCTCTGCACTGGCTTTGGAGAGTCCCCAGGGACTAGGGACTAGTGCTGACCCCCAGCACAGTGCAGCTGCCCCACAGAAGAGTGGCCAGACTGTTCTCCATGCAGGTCCCTGTCCTCACTTCTCCTCCTAGGCAAAACCTCCTGACCTGGGACTTCAGCATGACTAACACGCCCCTGGTTAATATTTCAATCAGAGGCAGCAAGACATTTCTCAGGGGAGGAAATCCCAGAATCAATTGACAATGCTTCTGCCTTTGTAGCTGCACTTGTACCACCCTAACTGCCCTTGGGCTGGGAAAGAACAAAAGGCCTAGTCACTATCCTGGCACCCCCATGCAGCAGCCACCAAATGGAGAGGAATCCAACTCCTCTTCCCTGGAACCCCCACCCCCCAACTCGTCACCAGGCAGGGCAACAAGCTCAGGACCACAGAACAGCTGCCCCACCCACGGATGAACACAACAACTGGTAGAGGCTCTGAGTTTCCCTGGAGAGAGGCTCCCAGAGGCAATAAACAGCCCCTCAGCCACTGCCACAGGAGTGGTTCTGCCCCTGATGCACTCAGCCTGGGAAAGAAACAAGGCACCGGAGGGCTTCATCCAAGCGAACAGCATGCCACAGCCACCTACCAACAGGATCCCAGTCTCTCCTCTCTGTGAGCCCTTAACCCCTGCTTCCCAACAAGCAGAACCCCTAGCTTGAGCCAGCAGTAGAGCTGCCCTGTCCCCTGGCTGAACACGCCCAGTAGCAGTGGCTCCTAATTTATTGGAAGTAGCGCTCCCAGGGGCGACAAAAAGCCCTCTGACGCTGCCTCTGCAGTGGAACTGCCGTTTCTGTCCTTGGACTGAGGAAGGAGCAAAGATCCTGAGTGCTTTATCTACACCTCCAGCAAGCTGCAATTGCCCTAAGGAGAGGAGGTAAGTTTGTCTCCCATGAGTTCCACCCACTCCCCATGCTCACCACCAGGCAATTAAAAAAAAAACTATTTTAAAATTCATATGAAAGCAAAAAATGTGCCCTAATAGCCAAGGCAATCCTAAGCAAAAAGAACAAAGCTGGAGGCATCATGTTACCTGATTTCAAACTATAATACAGGGCTACCATAGCCAAACCAGCATGGTACTGGTACAAAAACAGATACGTAGACCGATCAAAGAGAATAAACACATAGACCAATCAAACAGAGAGCACAGAAATAGGCCACACACCAACAACCATCTGATCTTCGACAAAGCTGACAAAAAAAAGCCATGGAGAAAGACTTCCTATTCAAGAAATGGTGCTGGGATAACTGGCTAGCCCTATGCAGAGGATTGAAACTGGTCCCTTCCTTCCATCACATATCCAAAGATCAATTTAAGATGGATTAAAGACATAAATGCAAAACCTAAAACTATAAAAAACCCTGGAAGATAACCTAGGATATACCATTTTGGACATAGGAACTGACAAATATTTCATGACAAAGATGCTAAAAACAATTACAACATAAGCAAAAATTAACAAATGGGATCTAATTAAACTAAAGAGCTTCTGCACAGCAAAAGAAACTATCAACAGAGTAAACAGGCAACCTACAGAATGGAGAAAATTTTTGCAAATTATGCTTCTGACAATGGTCTAATATCCAGCATCTATAAAAAACTTAAACAAATGTACAAGCAAAAAGACACCCATTAAAAAGTGGGCAAAGTGGCCAGGCGTGGTATCTCATGCTTGTAATCCCAGCACTTTGGGAGGCTGAGGTAGGCAGATCACCTGAGGTCAGGAGTTTGAGACCAGCCTGACCAACATGGAGAAACCCTATCTCTACTAAACATAAAAAATTAGCCAGGCATGGTGGTGCATGCCTGTAATCCAAGCTACTCCAGAGGCTGAGGCAGGAGAATCACTTGTACCTGGGAGGTGGAGGTTGCAGTGAGCCGAAATTGTGCCATTGCACTCCAGGCTGGGCAACAAGAGTAAAACTTCATCTCAAAAAAAAAAAAAAAAAAAAAGGCGAAGCAGATGAAAAGATTCTTTTCAAAAGAAGACATACATGCAGCCAACAATCATGTGAAAATTACTCAACATCTCTGATCATTAGAAAAATCAAAACCACAATGAGATACCATCTTACAACAGTCAGAATTGCTATTATTAAGAAAATAAAAAATAACAGATGCTAGCAATATTGTGGAAGATAGAGAATGCTTATACACTGCTGGTGGGAGTGTAAATTAGATCAACCATTGTGGAAAGCAGTGTGGCTATTCCTCAAAGAACTAAAAACAGAAATACCATTAGACTCAGCAATCTCTTTATTGGGTATATACCCAAAGGTATATAAATTATTCTATCATAAAGACACATGCACTTGTATATTCATTTCAGCACTATTCACAACAGCCAAGACATGAAATCAACTTAAATACCCATCAACAGTAAACTGGATAAAGAAAATGTGGTACATATATGCCATAGATTCTATGCAATCATTAAAAAAAGAACAAGATCATATCCTTTGCTGCAATATAGATGGAGCTGGAGATCATTATCCTTAGCAAACTAATGTAGAAACAGAAGACCGAATACCACGAGTTCTCACTCATAAATGGGATCTAATGATGAGAACACATGGACACAAAGAGGGGTAGAACAGACAACGGGGCTTACTTGAGGTTGGAGGGTGGAAGGAGGGAGAGGATCAGAAAACGTATCTATTGGACACTATACTTTGTACCTAGATGACAAAATAAACTGTACTCCAAACCTCCATGACACAAGTTGTCCTATAAAACAAACCTGCATATGCACCCTGAACCCTAAAATGTTAAAGGAAATATAAAGAAAATGGTAAAGAGTTAATTTCTCCCAGCACTTTGGGAGGCCGAGGCGGGCGGATCATGAGGTCAGGAAATCGAGATCATCCTGGCTAACATGGTGAAACCCCATCTCTACTAAAAATAGAAAAAATTAGCCGGGCGCGGTGGCGGGCGCCTGTAGTCCCAGCTACTGGGGAGGCTGAGGCAGGAGAATGGCGTGAACCCGGGAGGCGGAGCTTGCAGTGAGCTGAGATCGCGCCCCTGCACTCCAGCCTGGGAGACAGAGTGAGACTCTGTCTAAAAAAAAAAAATAAATAAATAAAAAAGATTGTATTTCACCAGAATCTAGCCAGCGACATGATATATTTATATTTTAGCATACTCGAAGTTTGGAAAATGGGAAAATGAGAGAATTCTGGCAAGATTTTATAGTCATTATATTTTTTTTCCAGTGTGAAAGACGTTAATGGAAACAAAGAGGTATGGACCAAATTTTAAAGTTGAAATGATACTCAACTTCATGAATGTGTCACATTAAGAATAATTTCAACTTGGCTTTAATTTCTATGCACTTAGCTTTAATGCCCATTGAAATTACAGAAGCATAGTTTTCTCTATCCATTTTCATTTCTTTTAGATTGATATTCCCATTGTGCCACTGATTATAATAATTACATAGATATATGTTTTAATCTATGACCCTTTCATATCAAAGATCATGCAATATGCTTCTTAAAATAATAATTACATAACAAAGAAGTCTGCTACAACACCTTTAGATTGCATGATAGTTGATAGTTACTAATGAAGTAATTAACATTAGAGCACCTCCTTTGTTATATAACATTGAGTTAGTGAAACAGTTTACCTAGTCTCCAGTGCTGCAGGTATACAAGTTACATTTGTGAGCAGAGTATCTGCTAGGCAAGCTTTCATTATTTTTTCTAATATTCCCAGCTCTGCCCCTGGGAGTGTGTTTCTGGCATATGTTAGAAACTCAAAAAACTTAGCTGATCTATTTTTTTAAAAAAATTTTACAATGTTTTTTAAACATTCCTGGGGAAAAATCATTTCAATGGTAGGAAACAGAAGATCTGCACATTTCAGAGATGGTCCAGTTATGTTCTATGTATGAGACAAAAGGTTCCGATATTTAATCAGGAAATGACTTTATGGCCTTTCTTGACTATGGGCAACATAATTTTAGAAAAGCTAGAAAGAAATGAAGCCTGATAACATCACTGCTTTTGTTTATCCACAAAGCTATTTTATGAATGTCAGTTAAATAACTCATTTTATATAAGATGATATCCCACATAAAGAGCACTGCCTAAGTGAGAATTGTGCTTGTCAGCTTTGCAACCTGCCTTCTACTGGTAACACCTGGTGAAACAGACATATTATCAGCTTAATATCTCAAGAAAAAACAATTTTATTAACTGATAAACCGATTATAGGCAGATGTCTATGATTACCTATTAAAGAGACCATTGAATTTCTTTAGTTAAGAGACTAAAAACATCATCAATCGCTCTGGAAGTATTCAAGTATGTTAGTGATGGACAAGAAGGGTCATAAATAAAGGCCAAATGAACCTACCTATCAGAGTTTAGTCATGTCAACAAGAAAGTCATTAAAATAGCCCCTGTTTGAAACTTCAGAAAATTAAGAGTTTTCCTGGACCTGTTTGTCAATTTATAAAAATATTCAAATATTTCTGCTCTGTATTTTGGCCTCCAGATTCTAAAATGGCATTGTGACCCAAAACATTTTTTTTCCTGCAATTTAGATTTTCCCACTACTAAGATAGTTACTTTAATTCTGGTTATTTTAAAATATTTCCTGAATAATCAATTTAAAAAATCCTAATATCATAAATCCTGCACACAAAGCTAAATTTTAACGTAGTTTAAAATACATATTTTACTTTTTCACAGACTTCTTAATGTTTTTGATTTCTTATTTGGGTAAAGATTTAGGATTTTTTTAAAAAATTTACCATCCAGTTTTATTCTATTCTGCTACTGTCAATAAAGGCATTTTAGCTTAATCTTTTTCATATCTCACTCATAGTGTGTTAACATGGCACTGGAATATTTTGATTATTGAATTAAACATTTGTGATAAGAAAATTGTAGTAATTCTACAAACATGTATGCATGTTTATCACAGAAACTTCTCCCTTTGCCTTGTCCTCTGACCATATCCGCATTACCATCTCCTCACTTATTCTGGGCAGAATAACCCTCGGATATTTTTTTCATCAGCATCTGACTAAAACTCACCAGTTTTCCTTACACTACAAAGTGTGCTTCTTTGGCATGCTATTAGTCTCCTTTTTTAGATTTCATCACACCTATTTGAAGTCGGTAGTTGCCCTCATGAGGAGAAAAAGGACCATATTTGTCAATTGCCTCTAAGAAACAGGGGCTCAAAAAAAGCCTAAAAAGGCTTTACTGTCTCTGACCAACACTGGGGAGGATGAGATAAAATAATAACTTTTCTCTTCATGACACACCTCTTTTATGCTTTTCTTACATCGCACCCCTCTTCAGACAACCTGAAATTCAAATTAATAAGACAGATGTGACATCATCCTGGCATTTCTCTCTTCATCTAAAAGTTCACCACTCCAGTAGGAAAATGGCTAATTAATTTGGCCACTTGACAGATTAAGATTAATTACACAAAATGTAAAGCTGTTTGTTACCAAGCAAACAAACCCTCTCAAGCAATAGCTTATTTTACACCAACCTAGAAAAAAAAACCTATTTTGACTTTTAAAAATAGATACTGAACAAAGGTAGAATAATTTACTGTACAAAATCATTGGGGAAAGTGTCTTCAAATGCTATTCTAATACCATGATTTTTATAATAAAAGCCTTTCTCCATGTTGTTGTTTTAAAACTCTATAGCTATTATTTATTTTTCACAACCATCACTTTTTATCTCAATAGTACTATGATTATAGTGCTTTAATGAAGACTTTTTATACTTCAGCATAGCATAATTGCTATTTCTCAAGTCATATTCTTCTTAAAAAGATAGTGATTTCTTTTAAAATAAAGGCTTTCTCTGATCAAATTAATTATTACATATCAGGGGAATATTATCCTTTCTTTTTTCAGGTCAATGTAGAGTTGTTGAATTCAGATGCAAAAAATAACTAACTTTCTGACCATCCATCCACCTGAGTATTCTGAAGAAGGCACTATTGTAAATTTTAGAAAGGACATCAGCTTTCCAAATTTCCTCTCATTTCTGCTTCACTCTGGAAGAAGAGCCTCCAGACATAGGTAGCCTGTTGACTTAAGATCTTAGTGATTTGATTTGCTTTTGGAGCTCACCAAAGACCTGCAGGTTATTTCTTTGCCTAGTAGGAGGAACATCAGGTTTCTATCATTTTATTTTGTCACTTGCAAAAGATAGAAAATACATCTATGTCAAAATAACTGACTAGTGCTCTTCAAAAATGTTAAAGTCATAAAAGGTGTGGAAAGCCTGAGGGACTGTCACAGATTGGAGGAGATTAAATGCAAGATGGGATCTTGGAACAGAAAAAATATTTTAATCAAAACACCAATGAAAAATCAGAGTAAATTATGTAGTTCATAGCACTATACAGATAATAATTTCTTGGTCTTGATAGTTGTATGATGGCTGTATTAGATCTTAACATCATAAGAATTTGGATGAGGATATATAAGAACTCTATGATGTTGTCACTTTTGCATAAGTCTAAAATTCATTTAGGACAAAAAACCAAACACCGCATGTTCTCACTCATACGTGGGAATTGAACAATGAGAACACATGGACACAGGAAGGGGAACATCACACACCGGGGCCTTTATGGGGTGGGTGAAGGGGGGAGGGATAGCATTAGGAGATATACCTAATGTAAATGATGAGTTAATGGGTGCAGCACACCAACACGGCACATGTATACATATGTAACAAACCTGCACGTTGTGCACATGTACCCTAAAACTTAAAGTATAATAAAAATTAAAAAAAGTTAATTTAAAAAAAATGGCAAAATATATTTTTTCAGAATGAGCATTTCTCAGTATTATTATAACATCTTTTTCTAAAGTCAGTTTAAATTACTTTTTAATGGATAAAAATTATAGTTTTATTTTACTCTGTACAAATGCTTGATTTACAAGAATGTGCTCTCGAGAGGAGATCTATTTCAGCAATGCAACATAAAATAGATTTGTGAATTTGTTTTTTTAAACTTCAGATATTACTAAAAATCTAGTTTCACACTGATATTTCAAAAAACATGGAATTGTCATTTTTACAGTTATTTTATTTGATATGAAATATTCTAGAAGGTGAGAAAAAGAACAGTAGCAATGGCTTTCAGGACTTTGCCTCTCTAACCTTCTCTCAGTGGGATAGAGGAAAATGGGTAGAAACTGGCCAGTTGGCTGACCAGAACTTTGTCAACGAAAAAAGCTAGAGGGCATTTCCTGCTGGTGGCAACTGTCACTGGGGATGGGCTGCTAAGGATTCTTATTCCTCAAAATGTCACAGTAAGGAAATTACCTAATTAATCCCCCAGACTCAAGAATCTGCCCTTGAGACCCACTAAGATGCTATAAAAGTAAGAGTCTCTATACAGAGACTGGCAATTTGTTCTCTAAAGAGACAACCAGTAAATATTTTAGGCTTACAGGCCATGGGGTCTCTGTTGCAACTACTTATCTTTGCCATTGCAGACTGAAGTAGCAATAAACCTAAGGAAACACATGGTTGTGGCTGTATCCCAATAAGACTTTACTTACAAAATAATGTGGTGGGCTAGATTTGACCCTTTGGCTATAGTTAACTGTACCCGGCTCTATTTCATATTCTCTTTCATACAAAAATACATCTCACCACATGGAAATTCTGAGTAAGCTGTAAAACCAAAACACTTCTTGCAGATTTTTAAAAATCACTGTAGCCAGAAAAGTTGTCTAGAAAATCTTCTGAGACAAAATTAGACGAAAAGTCATGGAAACATTATCTGAGCACTTCTTTACATACCCTCTATTGTAACGTGCCTCTGTTATGCCATAAGTGAAATTAAAGGATAGTTTTGTGTAACAGTAAAAGCACTGACTTTTTAAACAAGCCAACTTGTACTCCAGTTCTGATTATCACTTACTAGTTGGGCAAGTTCTTAAAATCTTTGACCTTTCATTTATCTTATCTATAAAACAAAAATAAAATATATTTCTTAAGGGGTAAGAATCATGTCAATACATAAACGGCTTGTATATGAACTAAGGACCTGCATTTTTTGGAATCAACTTGAGGTAACTTTTAAGAAAAATTATTCCAGCATTTCTAAAGTCATAAAATACTGTCAGCCTTCTATATCTGTGGATTCTGCCTCTGTAGATTCGACCAAACACAGATCAAATATATTTGGAAAAAATAAAAATAAAAAATAACAATACAGTAATAGAAAATAATACAAGTATAAAAAGCAACACAGCCTAACAACAACTTATATATAGTTTAAATTGTGTTAGGCATTATAAGTAATCTAGAGATGATTTAAAGTGTACAGGAGGACATGTGTAGGTTATATGCAAATACGTTCTGTATAAGGAACTTAAGAGTCTGCAGAATTTGGTATCCACTGGGGGTCCCGGAATGATTTCCCTGACACATACTGAGGAAAGGCTGTAATGCAATCTCTATTTTAATCTCTTAGAGAAAACTGAAGGCAATCCACTTAATAATATTCAGGAACTCTTCCTACCAGCCCCTTTTTTCTCTTCCACAATTCGCTTACATATAGCAAATGGCTTGGAGCTTCCCTCATAATAAATCTCCAAAACTCTCCCAGGTTATTTTTCTCTTCCCTCCTTTTCTCCCAACTCTTTCTTATGGACGTTGATTTTACTTCTCTGACTTTTATTTTTTTTCCCTGATCTATACATTTCTTTCTACCATATTATTAAATTTGCTTATTTTCTATGTTAATTGATTAATGTTGATATCTCTGTTGAAGAAAAACTTCATGAGGAAATGGTTTCTCTTTTGTTCACTTGATACATCTTACAAGCTCAGAATGGTGTCTAGCCATGGAATAGGTACTTAACAAATATTTGTTGAATAAATAAATGAAGAATACATTCTTCTAATTTTATATTGTAGCAGCCTTTGGAGTCAATTTGGGAAAGAAATTCTTCTTCTGTTGGAAGGGGAATAGGAAAGAACAGAAATTTAAATTGGAAAATTCAAATTTATTTTGGGGTCACTGAGACAACTTTTATGCTACAATATGTTAACTTCAGTGTTAACATACACTATTTGACATATAGAAGCCTCAAACATAGGAGTTTTTCTAACAGTGTATATTTTTATTACATAGATTTATGTCATTTTTTAGTCTTTTTATAAAAATTTTACTTATCTAGCACATCACTACTGCATAGCTATGTAAAACTTTAGTCTGACTTTTTTTTTTCTTCTGGCCATGGTGGAATTATAAGGATCTGGTTTACCCTCCTACCAGAAACAAGTGAAAAACAAGACTAAATGTATGAAACAATAGATTTTAAGTCATTGAATACCAGGTAAGTAGGGACAGTGATCCTTGAGAGACAGGAGAAGCCCTGACAAGTTAAGCCCTAAGATTGCCCTAACTTGCCACCTAGAGAAGGTTTGCAAGAAATGGCAGAGAACAGAAGAGCCCAGTTGGAGCCAGTAGTCAATTTCCCTGAGTTCAGGAGATTGAACTAGGAGTCCAGGGAGACCAAGTATGTTGGGCAGAGTAACAGAAAGGATAAGGTGTACAGAGAGAGAACTCTGGAGACTTGAAGAAGTTATCCCTAGAGTCTTTAGCTGAGGATTTATCAATGTATTCATGTGAGAAAACTACCCAAGAAAGAACTATTTGAAAGGATTAGGGGAAACAATTGCCAGGTCTCACATATGAGGAATGGTGCCTATTCCAGTCAGCCATACTGGAAAAAGTTACATAATTATAAGGCATTGCATATAGTGTTTAAAAAAGTTCTGTCTCAGTAGTGGGGCAAATTTAGTCCTAGACTAAAATGTTTCTGCAATTCTCCCTAAAAAAATCTTAAAAGGCAAGAACAAAAAAGATCAAGTTTTCATGTAACTAAATTGTATCCCAGATAAAAAGTTTAATGTTTATTGAGATGAAAAAAGGCCTAGTGCCCAACAATTTAACATTTGTAATATTTATTATAAATTAAAATTACTATTTATGCAAGGAAGCATGAAAATAGGACCTATAATTAGGAGAAAAATCAACCACTTGAAATCTACCCACAAATGAAACAGATAAAAGGATCAGAAGAAAGAAAAACATTAAAATAGTTATTATAACTGTACTCCATTTGTTCAAGAAGCTAAATGACAGATTGAGTACATTAAGGCAAGACATGGAAAATATTAAGAAAAAATCCAAATCAAACTTCAAGAAGTGAAACTAAATGTTTAAATGAAAAATTTACTGGGTGGGATTAATGGCAGATTATATATTACAAAATAAAACATTAGTAAACAAAAAGGTATAGCAATAAAAATTGTCTAAAAGGAAACAAAGAGATGAAAAAGAGAGTAAGAAAAAATGATCAGTTATCTGTAGAACAAGTTTAAACATCCTATCAATGAACTAATCGAGTCCCTGAAAGAGAAAAGGAGAAAAGGGGAAAAGGGGATGGGAAAATATATAAAGAAATAATACATAAATTTCCAGATTTGATGAAAATTATAAAGTGACAGATTCAAGAAGCTCAATCAACACAAACAATAAATATGAATAAAACTATACAAAGGCATACTATAGCCAAATTATATAAAACCAGATAAGATCTTAAAAGCAAACTTAAAAGGAGGACTTTTTTGTAAATATGGAAGCTTAAAAATTTAATCACCAGCAAACTTGCACTACAAAAAAAAAAAAAAAAAAAAAAGGAGACTTCCAAGCAGAAGGAAAGTGATACCAGATAGAAATCTGGATAAATATTGGGTAAATATAAAAACCATTTATCTTATGATTTAAATATTTTCAAACTAAACTTCATAATCCCTTGTTAATTTGGATTCTTCTTTTTAACACATCTTTGTGTTTTTTTCCGACTTTAGAATTCTGAGCTACTCAGAAAACAATTTAATGTGAGATTGCTCCATTCCATGTGACTAAAAATCATCTGAAAAAAATATTTTGTGGATAAAACATTAATGAAATTTGTTAGTTTGAGATACAAATGAGGCATCACTTACCATACCTTACTTAGGTCACTCTGGCTATTACCCAGTCTGATTGTCTTCCTTCCAATAAATACAATTTTAATTAGCCCATGTTCATCTTATTAGATTACTTTAGGTTCATGAATTTCTTCAGAGAACAGCTTTGTCTCTACTTGTTTTATTATTATTGGGGCTGATTATACATCCTAACATAAGGAAACTGTGAAGCTAATTAACATTCTACTCCCCTTATTAATCAAACTATAATTGAGGTGGCCATACTGAACCAGACAACAACACTAACCTTTAAATTTCATCCTCTGATCCACATTCCCACATGAAGTCTTTCCATTTTTCATTAGTTTTTTTCTGTTTACATCTTGAAGACACTTTTATATTTCTGTGACAGGCTCCATAAAAAGCCAGTTTGCATTTTAATTTTAGCATTGTATTTTGATACATCGGGGAAAAAACAAATAACAAATACTATATGGAAAGAAGTCACAAAAGCATAGATGAGAGCTGATCTCTAATAAGACAACAAGATATCAAGGTCATGGAAATGTTTAGACTTCCAGGCTCTGATTGACATATAGTATCGTCTCACATTGCCTAAGGCATTAAAACTTCGGGACTGCACAATCTGAAGTGATCAGCAAAAATCATTGAACAGAGCATTAGCCACAATTCATAGAAAACATTCTTCCAAAGGTATTTTACACAAAATACTTCTTTATTATTTGCTATTTATCAGTCATTGAACAAAACATTTTGTACACCAACAATGTATTGGTCTTTGTGCTAAGCACTATGGAGTCAAGCATGAATGAGATACAAATTTTCCCTGAAGGAGCTCCCAGTTTTCAAGGGAAATTTAAACAAATTGTCTTATAAGGAGGACAATGAAAACACATTTAATAAGTGCTATAAATCATTTATGCACTCCATGGTTTCACAAATACCTATTATTTGCTATGAGTTGAATTATAACCCATCATATTTAATACCCTGAAGTTCTAAGTACCTCAGAATATGACCTTATTTGAAGATATGGTCTTTACAGTGGTCATCATGTTAAGGTGAGTGTATTAAGGTTGCCCCTAATCCAATATGGTTGATGTCCTTATACATCATTTGTGAGCAAAGCAGCAATCCTGGAACAGATTCTTCTCTCACAGTCCTCAGAAGGAGCCAACCCTCCAAAGACCTTGATCTGAAACATCTATCCTCCGGAATAGTGAGATTATAAATTTTGTTTTTCAAGTCACCAAGTTTAGCTACTTTGTTATAGCAGCACTAATAAACTAATACATATGCATTAAAACTATGTGATGGAGCTACCTGGACTGGGGGTGGTGGAGAAGACAACATGCCTTTAGAAAATTTAGACTTAATGAATAAAACAGTTTAATAAGAAATTATAATACAGAATAATAACTATTATAATAAATATCAGCAGAGAGTGCTACTGGAGCACAGGATAAATTAAATCATGCTAACATGATTGGAGTTATATATCAAGTGATATATTACTGGAGTGACATAACAAGAACCAATTGAAGTCAACTAGAAAAGGACAGGAAAGAATGGTCTAAACAAAGAATACTACCTATTCAAAGGTGCAGAGGAGTGAAAGAATGCAGCACTCCTCTGCATTCACAGAAAAGGCATAGATGATCATTTGGTGATTGGGTGTGTACATCTTCTTTCCCTTACCACAATTATTATTTTCTCTAAATTTTTAAAACTTAGAAGGTATGACAATATAAGTTATCCCAGAACTTGTGGCAAATAAGTTATATGTTTATATTTGTGCAGCACCAACCTGTCAGATCTTATTACTTATCCACATTACGGTATATGATTTCTGCTCAGTAACCCAGGTGCAACCAACTCTATGGCCTTATCTCTCTGCTATCATGCTAACACCTGGAGTGACATATCAAGGATCAATAGAAGTAATTTCTATCAGATTACTCTGCTTTAGGAAATATCCCATGTCTATGTTTTTGCTTATTACGTCATTCTTAGAGTTCTCATTCACCTCTCTGCTATTGTAATTGAGCTAACTCCTTCTTCAGCTCAATCTTGTTTGTGATTTTCTCCAACAACATGTATCTACAATAATCATTATCTCCAGTGCATTTCTAAAGAACTTAAAATAACGTAATTTATAATAAACCATACAGTTCACTGGTTTCTAGTATTTATCTCAGAGATAGAGCTGTATATATAGAAATAGACATTTAGACATACAGATATAAACATAGAGGTACAGATAATAGATGCAGATATATCTGTTGCTATATCATATTGTCTCTAACTAGATTGCAAACTTCTTAAAGTCTGAATTAGTCTGTTCTTATGCTGCTGATAAAGACACACCTGAAACTGGGTAATTTATAAAGAAAATTAGGTTTAATGGACTCACAGCTCCACATGAGGAACTGGGGAGACCTCTCAATTATGGCAGAAGGCAAAAGGCACGTCTTACATGGCAGCAGGGAAGAGAGAAAGCTTGTGCAAGGAATCTTCCCTCTACAAAACCATCAAATCTTGTGAGACTTATTCACTATCATGAGAACAGCATGGGAAAGACCCGCCCCCATGATTCAACTACTTCCCACTGGGTCTCTCCCAAGACACATGGGAATTGTGGGAGCTACAATTCAAGATGAGATTTGGGTGGGGACACAGCCACACCATATCAATGTCCCGTCTGATTATCCTTCACAAGCTACTTATGCCTGACCTTAGGCCATCTTGCTTTGATGTTGATGGTTTTCTGTGGTTAAATGGTCAACAATAACTGCATACATACACACACATATATATATGTATGTAACAAATATATATTTATATAAATAAAATAAATTATTCAACATTTTTATTTGTCATTCACTCATATTTTTACCAGAATAAAACATAAAGCTATTTGCTAATGATCTTCAAGGCTATTTCATTTTTTGTTGACTCATAAAAACATCTTGGTGACTCATGAAAAGTCTCATGAAATGTCTGAATCACTCAGCAAGTGGTTCTTCATAGACAAAGAAAATCTGCCATCTGAGAAACAAAATATATAAACGAAGTATATAATAGCAGTGCTCAAGATCAATTTCTGCATGAACTATAGTAACTAGGAAATTCACCACTTATATCCTTTAGGGAACAGTCTTTAAGAAAGAACTTAGTGGGATTTAGTTTGTGAGATGTACCAAGTTTCATGACATAAGAATTTAAGATAAAGATACATAAAATAATTCTAATGCTAGTGTGTCAATCTTCAAAAATGTTATTTTCATAATATAAACCTGGAGACATCCTCTGTAAATATTTTGATTTTAAAATTATTTTTATTGGGCAGGTGCAGTGGCTCATGCCTGTAATTTCAGCACTTTGGGAGGCCGAGGGGGGCGGATCACCTTAGGTCAGGAGTTCGAGACCAACCTGGCCAACATGGTGAAACCCCCATCTCTACTAAAAATACAAAGTTAGCTGGGCACTCCTATTTCATGCAATCTACATAACATGTTTTGTGGGTGTTTGTATTAGGTGCCCATAACTGGGAAAAATATAACTCAGACTCTGCATAATGAAAACACTGGAATAAAGTGTTGACTTAACTAAAACTGAAAAAGAAAATCACTAGAAATGGTGAAATAAACAAAGGAAACTTCAGTTTTGGCTTGATTTATATATATTATTACAATAATTTTCTACTTGCAGTTTGCTATTTTCAATATGACAGTTCAAATAGAAGATAAATTATTCATTCCCGTACTTTCTTTTAATTTATTTGAGATAACAAATCGAATTATGGAATAAGGAAATGTACTGACTTCTGCATGTCTAAATAAATTTTTCAGGACTAGCATTAGGCTTTGCTTATAGTAGATACTTTAGTCATTACCTCTTCAATTGAATCATTTCTGCCTGCTTTTTTCTTAGGCAACCTCTTGTAGAGATTGAAGTCTACTGCCACCTGAAAGAACCCCCTCTTTAATAAGGGCTTATTGGAATGGCCTCCAAACAGCCTGTGTTCAGGCTAGGCACATACAAGAAAAGTCTTACTTCCTCTGAAAAACAGGAATACACCTTTCTTGGTTAATGAGAACCAAGTAAATTTCTGTGTGACTTCTAGAATTCTCAGGTGGCTCCACAAACCTCAATTAAGCATAGCTTCTGTGGGCCACTGTGCTAGATGCTAGAGACATCAAAGGTTGGTAAGTATACTACTGGACTCATAGAGTTAATTATCTTGTAAGGAAATAAGCCAACATAAAACCATAATAGTGGGGTTTAAAATCAATAGTGCTTTACAGTAGTAGCTAATACTACTGGTGCTAGTGAGCGTAAGAATAGTAAAATAAAGTTGAGAGAATAAGAAAAAATTTAAGCAAGAATAATACAGAAATAGAGCAATTTATTTAAAGGGTTTTGGCTATTTGATTACCAAAAATGTCATCCAGAGAGTTCTGTTCATTTAGATAGCTGAGAGTGGAAATGACCAAATTCTAGGAAGCTCAACTGAGGAAAGTATAATTTACTTTTTCCTTTCTCTTTTTATCTTATTCTTGTTGCACTCATTTTCAGTCATGATGAATCCTACAACTATAATTCATTTCGTAGAACTGATTATGATTCCCTTATCATTTTAAAGAATAAAAATAGACCATCTGTTTAAATAGCACTGCCACTTCAGTTATCATGGGGCAATTGCATTTCCTCCATTGGTAAATTCACTGTTAACTCTCAGTGAGGAAATGAAAGTGACCAATAGCCATTTTTTTGTTTGTTTTTTGACTTGGAGTTTTGCTCTTGTCACCCAGGCTGAAGTCCAAAGGCGTGATCTCTGCTCACTGCAACTTCTGCCTCCCGGGTTCAAGCTATTCTCCCACCTCAGCCTCCTGAGTATCTGGGATTACAGGCGCCCACTACCATGCCCGGCTAATTTTTGTGCTTTTAGTAGAGATGGGATTTCACCATGTTGGCCAGGCGGGTCTCAAACTCCTAACCTCAGGTGACCCACCCACCTCGACTTCCCAAAGTGCTGGGATTACAGGCGTGAGCCACCACACCCAGCCCCCAGTAGCCTCTTAATGCAGTCTTATTAATCAGAAGAAGATGATGGGTCTTTCTGTAAACAAATCAAATGTAATGAGAGTTTGCATTTGAAGAAAAGACTGCCAGATTCCAACTATGCATTCTTACTGCTTTCTTATATCAGCTTCTACTATGTTAGACTGTCTCTAGAACAATCATATCAGAAAAAAAATTTATGAAAAAATAAATTTCTACCTCTATAAACAAATTCTGTAGTGTATATTATGCCTCTTATTATCATGTAATTTAATTTTTATAATTGCACTCAATATGTATACTGCCTTCCAAAATATATATTTATTTCAGCTATATCATTCATTCTCAATTTGTGCATAGCTTTTGCATGTCATTCTAATGTCAATATAATATTCCTTTAATTTAACATAGGACTGTCTACATAACAATTTTGTCAGAATTGTTTATTTGGACCTTTTTTTAGTTTTCAGTAAAAATATATAATGTAGCTATAAGCATTTTTGCACAAATAGGCTTTTCTTCACCCTTAGATTTTTCCCATAGGATAGTTTCTGAAAATAATAGTAGTATTAGGTAAAAGAAGATCATTTTTATTACTTATGTCATGAGTTATCAACTTGCTCTTCCAAACTATTGCACTAACTTACAGTGCCATCAGTTGTGTATAAATCTACTTGCTCCCAACAACCATGTTCATATTAAGTTTCTGTCAATTAAAAATATTTTTTCTTATATAACAGGGCTGACATAATATCTCCTAATTGTGTCCTTTAGCATTTTACTAATTTGTTGGTGAGTTGACTTTTAAAAATGTACTCTTTTAGTGTTCACAGCTCATTGTACTGTCTATCAGTGCCTGGCATATAGAAAGTGATAATGAGTGTTTGTAGAATGATTGAAAAACAAATGAGTAGTTCTTTGACCATTTATCAACTAGAGTAGTGTTTTATAAATTTGATCCAAATCTAACCCCCACATATTTTCAAAATTAAACGTGTTTGTTATAACTTTGAGAAGAGTATATCCCATTATCTTTCTTTTATAATTATTACGTTATATACATATAATATTTAATTTTTATATGTAATGAGCGATACACATGTTTTATTATGTCAATGGTCAATGACTATTTCTTCTTCACCCTTGAAATATAAAATGTCATTTTCTTACTGCAATTGGGATAAGTATAAATTTTATATTATTCTAGTGTTTTATTGTTTGTAAAATATTTAAATCTGTAATGTATTCAGAATATATTGAAAAGCATTATATTAGATTTAATTGGATATATTTTTTCATGATTGTCATATTTTCCTAATATTGTTTACTAAATATCATTTTAGAAACTTGTCTTTAAAACTTATCAAAAAACACTCACATAATGATTAAAACTTAAGTACATGTGTTATAAAATATGATTTATTTTATTGAAATTTACATTGAAACAACTTAGTTTTTAATGTGTAAATTGAAAGTATACAACATGATGCTTTGATATGCATACTGAAATGATTACTACAGGTAAGTAATGTAACATATCCATCACTTTCCATAGTTAGGGTTTGTGTGTGTATGTGCATGTGTGTGTATGTGTGTGCTAAGAACACTTAAAATCTACTCTCAGCAAATTTGTGACATAGAATACAGTATTAGTGACTGTAGTCCTCCTCCTATACATTAGATCTAAAGACTTAATTATTCTACAAAACTACAAGTTTAACCTCCATCTCCCCATTTCCTTCCCTACCCTGCCCCTGGTGATCACTTTTCGGTTCTCTGTTTCTATGAAGTTGACCTTTTCTTTTTAAGATTCTACATGTAAGTGAGAACTATTCCAATACAAAGTATTTTTATTTCCACAAACATGTCTGCTCTTGTTTCACTCCTTACTAGCTGTGTAACCCTGGCTAAGTCAGTTAATGTTTTTAACTCTCATCTATAATATGAAGAGAATAATAGAACTTGCTTAATAGGATTGTTATAAGAATTGGAAGAGATGATGCAAATAATATTACTCACTGCTTAATACAGTAAGTAGGTGGCTTTCAGATAGAGCATAGTGTTAGTAGTTATCTCTGCTTCAGCAATATCATTTAAATCTTCAAGCAAGTTCAATAAACCATTACCCTTTTGTTGTATTTTTCATCATATTTCTATATCTCATATGCTTTAACATAATGTGGGCTATTCACTATGAATAACATATAAATTTCTTTTTAAATTAATTTTATTAAAATATAAACTCCTTATATCATTATATAAATCAACATTTTCACACCTGTGTAGTGGTCAATAATCAAGAAGCACAATACATTGCTTAAGCATCACTTTGTTATTGAGCATTTAAGTTGTTCAATGGTTCACTATTAAGGTAAATCTTCAGTGATACTCCTTGCACACATATCCTTGTCTCCATCTCTTACTTCCTTGGGATAAATTGCTACAAGGAGAATTACTGAGTTAGATTTCCTAACACATACTGAATTACTCTCAAGAAAACTTCATCTGATTTATGATATAAACAGAAGTTCCTGTCTCACTATAACTTTGCCTGCCTGCATTAAATACATATGGTTTTGTTTTGGTTTTTCTGTGTGTGTTTTTTTTTTTGAGACAGAGTCTTGCTCTGTCACCAGGCTGGAGTGCAGTGGCGCGATCTCGGCTCACTGCAACCTCTGGGTTCAAGCGATTCTCCTGTGTCAGCCTCCCAAGTAGCTGGGACTACAGGTGCGCACCACCACCCCTGGCTAATTTTTGTACTTTTGGTAGAGAGGGGATTTCACCACATTGGCCAGGATGGTCTTGATCTCCTGACCTCATGATCCGCCTGCCTCAGCCTCCCAAAGTGCTGGGATTAAAGGTGTGAGTCATGATGCCTGGCCACATTAAGTGTATTTTTAAAATCTCTGCCAGTTTGCTAATATAAAAATGGTATCTCATTGATGTTTTAATTTGAATTTGACTCCTAGTGAGTGTCAATATTCTTGTGTACTTATTAACCATTTGATTTTCCTCTTATGCAAAGAGCTCCTATAGGCAACTAGTGAGGATTTGTGTTTGTCTTTTTCTCTTGTAATAATTCTTTAAATATAAAAAATATTCTAGAGTTTGTCTTCAATTGATTTTACGATACATTTTAATACAGAGATCCTATCATTTCTAATGAACCCAAATCTATCAACATTTCCTTAGAATTTCTATAAATTGATTGATGTTTTTAATGTCTTTTTATATCTAAAATTCTTTCACTTGAATCTTCAACTGGTTTATTCATTTATTTTTATACATATAATTTTATATTAAGAGGGCAATTTATTTTTATGTATTATGTAATATGAGGATCTAATTTAATTTTTCTCATTTTTTTCACTGACTGCTTCTTTTTCTACTCTCTTAAGACGATACTTTTGTAATTTAGAGACACATTTTATAACTGTGTCCTCTTATATATGCTACAGTTTGAATGTGTTTCATAAAATTCATATGTTGAAACTTAAATGCCAATTTAAGGTCATTAAGAGGTGTGGCCTTTAGGGGGTGATTAAATCATGAGGGCTGAGCTCTCATGGTTGAGACTGAGACTCTTTAAAACAACATGAGGGAGTGGGTTTACTCCCTTCTGCTCTTCTGCCATGTAAGAACATAGTATTTGCCCCTACTGCCATGAGAGGATGTCGCAAGAAGACCTCTCTGGACGCCTAATGCCAGTCCCTTGATGTTGGATTTCTCAGCCTTCAGAACTGTAAGAAACACATTTTTGTTCTTTGTAAGTTACCTAGTTTGTGGTATATTCTTATAGCAGCACATAAAAACTAAAGCAATATGTTAATCATAAAAATATCTGAAAAAAACAGTTAAAGAACAGAATCAATTTTTCTGTAATCTTATAAGACCTATGATAGTCTATCTAACAATGCTGGTATATCTTTTTCTAAATATACAGATGTAGTTATAGACCTATTTTGCCCACAAATACAGTACAATAATGTGCATTTTAAGCTTTTTATTCTTCATTGGATAAGTATTTATTTTCCTTCTATTCTGTTTCAGGCATTGTGCTAAGTGCTAGGAATACAATCAATGATGGGTTGATAGAAACTACTCTCATAAAACTTATCAACAAAAACTAACAGTTAAAAATAATTTTAAAATTACATAAACAGTGTATTATTGCATTTCTGGTAATTGGAACAAAGGAAGAAAAGAGAATACCTCAAGAGAATGTAATAGAAGAACCTTAGATTTTTCTGAGTATTCCAGGAAGGTGTCTCTGTATTTAAGCCCTAAAGGATGAGCAAAGTTAGATAAACCTTTCTAGGCTATGGTGGTTTCTTTAAGACCTTAGCAAAAAATTAAACTAAAAGCTAAGAAACAAAAAGAAACGTCACTGAACTTTTGTCAGTGCCCTGGCAGGGAATATTGATCCATTGATTAAGATTGCCAGTTATAGTTTTAGGTATATTTGTAGATATACCAAAAAGACCTGACTTTTAAACTGTTATACCTAATAAACTACTTGGAAAAAACATTTTGTGGTATTTAATTTAAAATTTGGAAAAGAGGTACTTGCTTTACAAAGGATTTTAAGTATTTTTAAATATATTTTTAGATCTCTAGAAGCATTTAAAATAGAATTTGATTTACAAAAATATAATGAATTTGAAACTCCTTGAAACCATATTTCTAGTATAAATAAGGTAATTCTACATCCAATATTTATAAAAATATCTTTTATGTTGCTTTTATCTCATTCTACCATGTTTGGCATTCTAAATTGTGCTCATGTTTTAAGAAACATCAATACCAGCAAAGAAACCTATATAACCAGAATATTGTTATAGCAATAAAAATAAAACATGCCTTCTGGTAATATGTGGTCAGAATTTATGTGGTAGTGGAAAGAGTAGTGGCCTTAAAATAAAGTAATCCAGTTTTGAGTCTCAGCCACCTTGCCACTTATTACCTGAGTGTCCTTAGGGAAGTCATCTTACTTTTCTGAATAAATTATTTTATTACTTAAGATACTCACCTAGTCCACAGCAACACTGTGAATTTTACATGAGATTTATAAAGGCAGTTTGCAAAGCATTCAGCTATTTGTATTTTTTTTTTTTTTTTTTTTTTTTTGAGACGGAGTGATCTCACTTTGTCGCCCAGGCTAGAGTTCAGTGGCACAATCTAGGCTCACTGCCAGTTCCGCCTCCCGGGTTAACGCCATTCTCCTGCCTCAGCCTCCGGAGTAGCTGGGACTACAGGTGCCCGCCACCATGCCCGGGTAATTTTTTGTAATTTTAGTAGAGACGGGGTTTCACCGTGTTAGCCAGGATGGTCTCGATCTCCTGACCTTGTGATCCGCCCACCTCAGCCTCCCAAAGTGCTGGGATTACAGACGTGAGCCACCATGCCCGGCTAGCTATTTGCATTTTTATGTTCTCTATGCTTTATGATTAACTTATACTGGCCATATACTTTTTAGTACAATTGTTCGCCAAATATTTGGGAATTAGACTTGTTATCTTTAGTGAGATCAACAGCTACAAACCCCAATTTCAAAGTTTAATTGTATGCCCTGTGAATTAAATCCAAGTCACTTTTGGTAAAAGTGCTATTTTTATTTAGAACTGTATATGCAATCTTGATACTGCTTAGTAGAAAAGGTGCTGTAAAGGCAACCAAACAAATAGACATTTTACCCCCTCCGTGGTTCACAATTATGGAAACACCTGGGCCAAAAAAGAACTTTCTATTGATTCACTATGATAATTCATGAGACTCAAGGGCCCTCCATATTTTAATCCTTCCCAGAAAGTAGAGTTATGATCTTCAAGTGACTACAGAGTAAAGCAAGAATGAACTCACTTAAAAAATACATCATACAATAATAGTTTTGAAAGAAACACTGCTCATAGTGAACAGCTGTGTTACTTGACTTTAAAATATTTGTATGTGTCCTGTTAACCCAGTTTCTTTAGGAGTGCAAGGTGGAGCTTTGATTATGCTAGGAAATTAAGAGAAGCTTCTGCTGGATTGATGGTTTAAACTTCTATTGATCTAGGAAATTATTTTTCTAAAACAGTTAAATATTGTTTCTTTATGACATATCTCAGTGAATAGCTAATGTATCTCAGGAATGTACAAATGCTCAGATTTGTACATTGTTGATATTTAAAATAACCTAACTGCAGAAGTAGATAAATTACCACGTTTATCAAAATCTCAAATACATTAAGCCAAATGAATAATGCATCATGAATTTTTGCTTATGTATATTAAGATTTTAGACCATGAGAATTACAATCTTCATATAATACATTGCAGGATTTAGAAATTCGAAGATTTAAAAAAAATAATATTACTACTTACTTGTATATTAGACATATCTTAGGTACAGAATAAATAACCAAATTCTCAAGAACCCTCTTTAGATCCATTTTTTTCCTAAGTCTGTTTAAAATTTTATTTAGTGACATTGTTTCAAGCTATTACTATGTGGGAGACACTCAGACACTGTTCTGACTTCTTTCATTTATTATCTCTTCAATTATTATCACAACCCTGTCAACTGGGTAGTTAGGATCTCTATTTTACAGATGACATATTAAGGTTATAAAGATTAAGTAATTTGTGTGGGCACAATGGCTCACACCCATAATCCCAGCACTTTGGGAGACTGAGGCAGGTGGATCACTTACGCCCAGAAGTTTGAGACTAGCCTGGGCAACATGACAAAACACTTTATCTACAAAATAAAATAAAATAAGTAATTTACTCAATGTATAAAAATGGGATTCATAACCAGATCTGACTCAAAGTCTAAACTATTTTGTCTATGCTGCCTGATGCAAGAAATGAGAAATAAAGATGCAATGTGCTAAAAATAAAGAAAAGAACCTCAAATAATTGCTGGGAATAGTCCTTTTTCAGACAAGTCATTTTACTGATAAGTCACTATAGTTTCTCTAAAAGAAGAAAAGATGAGTTATTGTTACAAGCTGTTGTACTCAGTACTTAAAAGATTATGCAGCAGTAATACTTACAGATAAGAAATTAGATTAATCTGAGATTCTCAAGCCAATAAAATCACTAGTAGAAAGTATTTATTCTTGATTAAAATCTGTAAATAGTTTACCCTGAACTGTATCATGGGTATTTTATTATAATAAGTACATATCATGAAAGCTGGTGAGAGACTACAAATAGCTTTGCCACTAGGATTTTAGTTGCCATGGAAGTCACCTAGTGAAGCCTCAGGTTTGTTCCATGCGGGAAATAATGGAAGATGCACTAATGCCAATAGTAAAACTACCCAGCTTCCACTCATGGATTTGAAGGTTATTGAAGGATGCCAGGATGGAGGCAGTTCAGTCATTATATTCCTCATCTTTAGGATTTCAATTTGTTTTTTTTTTTAATTATTTGTATTTCTTTGTCAAACTTTTTATTTTGTTTATTCTTTTCCAAATTTTATTTAATTTTTATCCATATGTTTTCATAGTTCAGTGAACTTCGAGAGGATTATTTTGAATTCTTTGTCTATCATTTCACAGATCTCCCTTTCTTTAGGGTCCATTGTTGGATTATTGTTAGTTCCTTTTGGAAGTGTTGTGATTTCCCGAGACATTGTAATCCTTGTCTCCTTCTTGATGTCTATATATTTGAGGAGACATTACTTTTTCTGTCTTTTACAGGTATTCTTTGGCAGAGATAGACCTTTACTATTTACCCTGTGACTCTGCATGAGCCAGCTGTTAACCACCCTAGTCAGACAGAGCTTGCTTTAGGTTTCTCTAGATACTGGTTCATTGCCTTTGCTCTAAGTTCTGGTGGGGAGGCTGGCTAAACTCTGCAATTAGACTGAGCCGCTGGATGGGCACTCCAATTGCCTCTGAATGGGTTGGGCAACAAAATACACTCCCTGGCCAGATTTTATTGTTATTTTAGTTCAAAAGTTTAACAGGATTTTGGGAGGGGCCCTGAGGTTAGGTAGAGTTGTTGATTGAGATGAATGAGACCAGTTGCTATGCTCAGTAGAAATGCATGGTTAATTTTTGTCTTCCTGCCTAGGTGGTGCCTTTGGGTGGACATTAAAGCTAAAGTAATTACTGTTTCTTGGGGGTGGTAGATCTATCTCCTGTTCTTTGAAATTTCCTGCATTGGTCATTTATCTTCCTGGGAAGGCCTTGGGCTGGGCTTTGCGGCCAAGCAGAGGCAGTTAGACTCCTAAGTGTGGTGTAACTAGCTTCCACCCTTTAACTAAATTTGCTGTAGTTGTCATTTCCTTCCATGGTTGGGTCCTTGGGGTAGAGTCTGAGGCTAGTCCTAAAGGCTGGCTGCCTGGGGATTAAAGCCCAGTAGAACTTCCACCACTTCTAGGAGTGACCAGCTCAGTTTTGCAGGTGAGCTATGCTATTAACTGATACCTCTGATTGAGTGTTACTGCTCACAGGTACATAGAGCTACCATGAAGATCTGTCTACTGGCCATTATGGGCTATCTTTCCACCTGATTCCAGGTGAACTAGACATGCCATTTCTCTTAGCATGGCTCGTTTGGTGAGACCAGAGTGGGCTCCATGGAAAGCATCTTGGAATACTAAAAAAATTGAATGTTTGCCTCTGGTTCTCTTTTCCCTTGGCAGAAATCATCATCCCTGGGGAATCCTCTGTGTGGCATGATGCTGACTCGGAGGGGGAAGGGGGAAGGTTGTCATAATGAAGCTGTTTGTTTTGCCCTTTCCATGTGGTTTTGTGAACTATGTAGGTGATTCAGGCTTATTCACAAATTTGGAGGTTTCCACCAACGTAATTCTTGGGTCATTTTGTAAGTATATACTTCAATGCTTAAGGAACAGTCAAAGTCTTTCCAAAAGGCATTGTACCATTTTATATTCCTACCACATTCTTGTTAATACTTGCTATAGTCTATTCTACTACTTGTGTATTAGTACACCAGTGAGATTTGATTTTGATTTCTACTGTGAGACAAAGTATCAAACATAAGAAGTCACATTTGCTAATTTCTGCTTGCCAGCACAAATTCATAAGCCCCTGACTGTGTGACAATGTGCTGCTCTCCGAATGGATGCTTTGAAGACAAAACAGGATAAAGCACATGTCCCTCTCTGCCACATCTCTTGCCTTATATTCCTCAAAAGAAAAATGACCCTAGTTCTTGCCTTTTCCTACAAATAAGATAATGTATTATGGGGTTTGTGATTATGCTTCTGTAATCTATAGCCAGATGAACACTTATACCCAAACCGTGATGTGATTTAAGGTAACTTCTGAGCAAGTGTAATATGATTTTTTAAAGGTACTGAACTCCCACCACCTGCATAGAAGCAGTGGGCTGAAATATATTATAGAGCAGTCTGATAGAAGCACTCTAAAGAGCTACTTCCAGGCAGTAGGTCTCAGTCTGCCCACATATATTTTGAGTTATTTTCTAACCCAAAGTAGAAAAAATAAGTTCTATATTTTTGTGATAGAAATGTTTTAGTTTTAACATAGAAATTTTACTCTCTAAAAGTTTACTCTTAGGTCCTATGATTCATTTTCATTTTAATTTTAGTGTACATGTGAATTAAGAGTTGAAATTACATTTTCTCCATATGGATAACCCATTGATCTGGCACCATTTGTTGCAGATACTCTTCAACATTGAATTACCTTGATATCTTGTTGAAAAATAATTAACCATATATATGCAGTCTCATTTTCTGACATTTTATAATCTGTTTTTTACTATTATTTTAAGGTCAGGGGTACATGTGCAGGTTTGTTATATTATAGGTGAACTCATGTCATGGGGGTTTGTTGTACAGATTATTTCATCACCCAGGTGTTAAGCCTAGTAGCAATTATTTATTTTCCTGAGCCTCTCCCTCCTCCTAACCTCCACCCTCAAGTAGGTCCCAGTGTCTGTTGTCCCCTTCTTTGCATTCATGTGTTCTCCTACTTACAAGTAAGAACATGTAGTATTTGGTTTTCTGTTCCTGTGTTAATTTGCTAAGGATGATGGCCTCCAGCTCCATTCATGTTCCTGCAAAGGATATGATCTTATTCTTTTTTATGGATGCATAGTGTTACATGGTGTATTTGTATAACGTTTTTCTTCATGCAGTCTACTACTGTTGGATATTTATGTTGATTCCATGTCTTTGATATTGTAAATAGTGCTGCCATAAATATTCACATGCATGTGTCTTTACGGTAGAATGATTTATATTCCTATGGGTATATGCCAGTAATTGGATTGCTGGGTTGAATGGTATTTCTGTTTTTAGGTCTTTGAAAAATTGCCACACTGTTTTTCACAATGGTTGAACTAATTTACATGCCAACTACCTGTGTATAAGCGTTCCTTTTCTCTGCAACCTCACCAGCAACTATTATTTTTTGACTTTTTAATAATAGTCATTCTGACTGGTATAAGATAGCATCTCATTGTGATTTTGATTTGCATTTCTCTAATGATCAGTGATGTTGAGCTTTTTTTCATAAGATTACACATGCATGTCTTCTTTTGAAAAGTGTCTGTTCATGTCCTTTGCCCACATTTTAATAGTGTTGTTTGTTTTTTGGCTTGTACATTTGTTTAAGTTCCTTGTAGATGCTGAGTATTAGACCTTTGTCTGATGTATAGTTGCAAAAATATTTTCCCATTCTGTACACTGTCTGTTTAATCTGTTGATAGTTTCTTTTGCTGAGCAGAAGCTCTTTAGTTTAATTAGATCCCACTTGTCAATTTTTGCTTTTATTGCGAATGATTTTGGCATCTTCATCACAAAATTTTTGCTCATTCCAATGTCTAGAATGGTATTGCTTACGTTGTCTTCTAAGGCATTGTATCTAAAAGTTCTAATTCTCAGGGTTTGTTTTTACCCATAAAGATGCAATAGTAACTACGACAGACACTAGTAGGTTTTTGTTTTGTTTTATTTTTGTTTCTTAGACAAGGTCTGGCTCTGTCACCCAGGCTGGAGTGCTGTGGTGCAATCTCGGCTCACTGAAACCTCTGCCTCCTGAGTTCAAGCAATCCTACCTCAGCCTCCCAAGTAGCTGGTACTATAGGCGTGCCACAGGGTGTCCAGATAGTAAATTATGTAAATTATATAAATATATTCAAATAATGTTTTTTAAAATAACTGTATCCCTAGCAAACAGCTTGACTGCAATTTTATGCAAGATCTTGACCTAGAACTGCCCAAATAAACTTTTCCCAGATCCCTAACCCATAGTGACTATGAAATTATGAATGTTTACAGTTTCAACCCTGGAAATTTGCTGTAATTTGTTACCCAGAATCATTGTAAGTAGAATTTCCTCTACTTGATGAAGGAGATCTATGAAAAGCATATAGTTAATAGCACATGTAAGAAAATTCAATGCTTTCTCCCTACATGAGGAACAAAGCAAGTGTCTCTACTCTTACCACTTTAATTCAACAGGAGACTTATATGGTTTTTTTCTACTTTCTCTGGCTATAATCAGTGCAATAATGTAAGAAAAAGAAATTTTTAAATCTACATTGTAAAAAAAAGTCAAACTCTATTCAAAGTTTATTTTCTCTGTAGAGAATCTTAAGAAATATTTCAATAAGCCTGTAAACTTAATAAGTGAGTTGATCAAAGTTGTAGGATGCAAGATTGACCTACAAAAGTCACCTATATTTCTATTACTAATAATGAAGAAAAAAAGTTGACATTTTGAAAATATTATTTATAAGAGCATCAAAAATATAAAATACTTAAGGATAAATGAGACACAAGGTATTCAGACTAGTACACTGGAAATCTCAAAACATTGCTGGGGGAAATTAAAGAGGACTTAAAGAGGTTGAAGGATATATAGTGTTCCTGGATTGAGAGACTTAATATTTTTAAGGTCCTGTTAAGATATAATTTTTCCCTTAATTACTTTATAAACACAATGGATTCTCAGTCAAAATCCCAGTAGATTTTTTTTTTTGGCAGAAATTGACAGACTCTTCTAAAACTCATATGGGTATTGAAAGGACCAACAAAAGCAAAAACAACTTAGTAACAGAGAAATAATGATAGAGGATTTACACTACTTAACTAAAAAACTTACATAGAGCTTCTGAAATCCAAAATTCAAACAGTGTGGTATTGGCATGTAAGACAGAAAAAAGGATCAACAGAACAGAATAAAATACAGAGGAATACATACATACACACACACACACACACACACACACACACTCAATTGATTTTGACAAATGTACAAAGACAATTCTCTGAAGAATAGTCTTTTAAATGTGGTTTCAGAATTATTGGATATCCATAAGCAAAACAATAAACATCAATCTATACCTTACAAATACAAAAAAAAATCAAAATGTATTGGAGTCCTAAATGTAAATCCTGTAGTTCAAATACTTCAAAAGTAAAACATAAGAGAAAAATGTAATCATGGGCTAGCTAATGGTTTCTTGGACATGACATTGAAAGTGTGATCTATAAAGAAAAAATATATAAATTGACCTTCATCAAACTCAGAAACTACTTTTCTTTGCAGACACTGTTAAGAGAATAAAAAGACAAGTGGCAAACTGGTAAATTACACATTTACAAATCACATGTCTAATAAAATAGTTATGAATATTTAATAAATTATCAAAACTTAGTAAGGAAACACACAACTCTATAAAAGATGAGCAAAAGATTTGAGTAGACACTTTACTAAAGTTATACAGATTGCCAATATGCATGTGAAAATAAACTGAACAACTTTAGTGATAAGGGAAATTCAAATTAAAACAAAAACGAAGAAATACTGAAAAACTATCATAATACCTAAAATTAGAGGGAGCCAAGATGGCAAACTAGATGCAGTCAGGAAGATTATCTCCCACCAATTAACCAGGGCTTCCAGAAGACTGACACATTATGAGCAGATCTTCGAAGGAAAGGTATTGAGAGTGGACGGGAGGAAGATGTAGACTCTGGGCTCAAAGAGGAGGAAGCTAAAAACCTTGCAAGGGGCTGCTGAGCACTGGGACTCATTCCTGGCCCCCAGTGGCTTCTGGTGAAAGAGTGAAAGGTGTCAGGGGCAGGATTCCAGCCTGAGCCTGTGTAGAGCCCAAAGGGTGTGGGAATGGTTGCATGGAGGATGGCCAGGGCCACCCATCCCCTAAAGCTCACCATGCCCCTCTTGGTGGTTTTGGTCTTTGGTGACTGTGTGATCTTGCTCATGAAAATGGGCCAATCTGATCTGAGTGTTCCCCTGTCTGCTGGATTTCCCTGAGGCCCCAGTCTGGTTGTTCTTGGGGGCCATCATCCGAGGTCCTTCACCAGCTGACGACACCTAACTATCAGAGAGCACCACAAAACCAGTCTCCACTAACATGTACCCATCCACGTGCAACCCCTTCCCAACACAGCCTTCTCTCACATGCACTCACCCAGAGTGCCCCCCATACTGGTTTGCCAGCATATATACCTTGGAGGATCTTGCCTCCTCTCCCCTGCTGGCACACATGCCTGCTGCTGATGTGAGACTATATGCATGGCCACTCCCACCTCGGTGTCACCAGCACCCTTTCCCACTTTCCCCAACAATGCACAGCCTCTCTGCCACACTACCACTGATGCTGGTACACATGAGCGAGCACCAATTCCACTGCCACTGCCCTGATGAAGCACTTTGACCAGCACGCCTCATCAAAGTGTTGTTGCCTGTGGACTGCGAACACCCCAGCCCCTCCAGCACAGCAGGTTTCTAACCCTGGGGGGCCAGAGAACAAAGCTGAGTATCTAGTACAAGTCCTGCAGAGTTAAAGCATCCAGCCCAAGAGTGCTGAGTTGAGCCTTGCCCCTCTGAAATCTTCCAGAAATGAAGCCAGTTAACTGGACCCAACTTACACCACAATCAAATCCTAAAAAGGGTCAAAGAATAGAAAAGGAAAAAACTCTACTCAGGAGGCATAAACTTCAAAAATTAAAGGAAAATTAGCCCATATAGATGAGAAAGAACCAGTGCAAGAACTCTGGCAACTCAAAAAGCCTGAACTCCTTCTTACCTCCAAATGACCACACTATTTCCCTGGCAATAGTGCTTAATCAGGCTAAAGTGGCTGAAAAGACAGACATAGAATTCAGAATCTGGATACAGATAAAGATTGTCGAGATTCAGGAGAAAGCCAAAACTCAATTCCAGTAATCTAAGGAATACAATTAAAATAATACAGGAGTTGATAGGCAAAATGGCAATTTTAGGAAAGAACAAAACTGATCTAATACAGCTGAAAAATCACTTCAAAAACTCTATAATACAAATTGCAAATATTAAGAGCAGAATCAATCAAGCAGAGGAAGGAATCTCAGAGCTCAAAAACTTGTTCTCTGAAAGAACTCAGTAAGAAAAAAATAAAGAAAAAAGAATGAAAAAAAAACCTCAGAGAAATATGGGATTATGCAAAGAGACTAAATGTATGACTCATTGGTGTCCCTGAAAGGGAGGGTTACAAAGCAAGAAACTTGGAAAACATAACTGAACATATTAGCCATGAAAATTTCCCTAACCCTGCTAAAGAAGATAACATTCAAATTCAGGAAATGCAGAGGACACCTGCAAGATACTATACAAGAAGATCACCCCCAAGACACATAGTCGTCAGATTTTCCAAGGTCAAAATGAAAGAAAAAATATATTAAAGGCAGCTAGAGAAAAGGGTCAGCTCACCTACAAAGGGAAATTCACCAGGCTAATGTCAGACATTTCAGCAAAAACTCTACAAGCCAGAAGAGATTGGGAGCATTATTATAAAGCATTATTAATGAAAAGAAATTCCCATCTAAAATTTCATATTCTGCCAAACTAAGCGTTATGAGTGAATAAGAAATAAGATCCTTTTCAGACAAGCGAATGCTAATGAAATCAATTACCTGCCTTAAAAAAGTTCATTAGGAAAGTGCTAAACACAGAAAGGAAAGACTATTACCAGCCACTACAAAAACAAACTTAAGTACATAGACTATCGGCATTACAAAGCAACTACTCAATCAAGTCTGCATAATAACCAACTAACAACACAATGACAGGATAAAATCCGCACATATCAATATTATCTTTGAATGTAAATGGGCTAAATGCCCCACTTAAAAGGCAGAGTGACAAGCTGGATAAAAAAAAGAAGACCCAATGGTATACTGTCTTCAAACGATCCATGTCATATGCAATAACATCCATAGGCTCAGGGTCAAGGGATAAAAAGAAATCTATGAAGCAAATGGAAAATAGAAAAAAGTAGAGGTTGCTATTTCAATTTCAAGCAAAACAGACTTTAAACCAACAAGGACCACAAAAGACAAAGAAGGGTGTTACATAATGGTAAAGGAATCAATTCAACCAGATGACCTAACTGTCCTGAATATATATGTACACAACACAAAAGCACTCAGATTCATAAAACAAGTTCTTAGAGACTTCTGAAGAGACTTGGATAATCACACAATAATAGTAGGACACTTCAACACCCCACTGACAGTATTAGATGAAGACTAACGAGATATTTGAGACCTGAACTTGACATTGGAACAAATTTGTCTAACAGGTATCTACAGAACTCTCTACTTCAAACAACAGATTATATATTCTTCTCATCTGTACATGGCACATACTCTAAAGTCTGCCACGCAATTGGCCATTAAACAATGCTCAGCAAACTAACAAAAAAAAAGAGAAATCATACTGACCCATCCTTGGACTACAGCACTATAAAAATAGAAATCGATACTAAGAAGATCACTCAGAACAGTAAAATTACAAGGAAATTAAACAACCTACTCCTGAGTGGCATTTTAATAAACAATAAAATTAAAATTAAGGGAGAAATCAATAATTTTTTTGAAATTAATGAAAACAAAGATACAACATACCAGAATCTCTGGGATACAGCTAAAACAATCTTAAGAGAAAACTTTATATTAATAGTTCTAAACACTCATATAAAAAAGAAAGATTCACATTAACAACCTAACATCATCACTAGAGAAACTAGGAAAATAATTGTAAACCAACTACAAAGCTAGAAGACAAGATATAACCAAAATCAGAGCTGAATTGAGTAAAATTGAGATGCCAAAAAAAAAACATACAGAAGATCAACAAAACCAGACTTTGGTTTTTTGAAAGAATAGATAAGATTTATGACAGCTAGCTAGACTAATAAAGAAAAAGACAGAAGATCCAAATAAACACAATTAGAAATGACAAAGGGAACATCATCACTGACTCCAGAGAAATGCAAAAGAATCCTCAGAGACTATTAGAACACCTCTATGCACATAAACTAGAAAACCTGTAAGAATTGGATAAATTCTTGGAAGCATACAATCTCCCAAGATTAAAACAGGAAGAAACTGAAATTCTGAACATATCAATAACAAGTTCCAAAACTGAATTAATAATAAACAGCCTACCAGACAGAAAAATGTCCAGTGCCAGATGGATTCACAGACAAATTCTACCAGATGTATAAAGAAAAGTTGATACCAATCCTACTGATACTATTCAAAAAATGGAGGAGGAGGGACTCCTCCCTAACTCATTCTACAAGGTTAGCATCATTTAGATACCAAAACCTGGCAGAGACACTACAGAAAATTAAAACCTTAGGGCAATATCCTTGAAGAACGTTGATACAAAAATCCCCAACAAAATACTAGCAAACTGAATCCAGAATCACATTAAAAGTGAATCCATCATGATCTTGTAGTCCTTATCCCTGGGATGCAAGGTTGGTTCAACATATGCAAATCAATAAGTGTGATTTATCACATAGGCAGAACTAACAACAACAAAAGAAGGTCATCTCAATAGATATAGAAAATGCTTTCAATAAAATTCAACATTCCTTTATGTTAAAGAAACCTCAACAAACTAGGCATTTTGAGGAACATGCCTCAAATAATGAGCCATCTATAACAAACCCACTGCCAGCATCATACTGAATGAGTAACAGCTGGAAGCATTCCCCCTGAGAATTGGAACAAGATAAGGATGCTCACTCTCACCACTCCTATTCAACATATTACTGGAAGTCCTAGCCAGACCAATCAGGCAAGATAAATAAATAAAAGGCATTCAAACAGGAAGAGAGGAAGTCAAACTATCTCTGTTTGCAGATGACATGAGTTTATACCTGGAAAACCCCATAGTCTTTGCCTAAAGGCTCCTAGATCTAATAAACAACTTCAGCAAAGTTTCAGGATACAAAAATCAATGTACAAAAATTAGAATTTCTATACACTACAACATCCAATCTGATAGACAAATGAAGAATGTAGTCCCATCCACAATAATCATATGAAAATAACTAGAAATACAGCTAATCAGGATGGTGAAAATTTTTTACAATGAAAATTACAAGACACTGTTGAAAAAAATAAGAGATGACAGAAATAAATGGGAAAAAAAATCCATGCTAATGGATAGGAAGAATCAATATGTTTAAAATGGCCATACTTCCCAAAGCAACTTACAGATTCAATGCTATTCCTATCAAACTATCAGTGATATTTTTCACTTAATTAGAAAAAAAATCTAACATTCATATGGAACCATATAACTATAAAAATGCTAGAAGAAAACCTACAAATATTCCTGATATAGGCTCTAGCAAAGATTTCATGACAAAGATTCAAAAGAAATTGCTATATGAACAAAAATCAACAAATGGGATTAATTAAATTAACGAGCTTCTGCCAGCAAAAGAAACTATTAACAAAGTAAACAGATAATATTTAGAATAGGAGAAAATATTTGCAAACTCTGCATCCAAAAAAGGTCTAATATCCAGAATCTGTAAGGAATTTAAACAAATTAACCAAGCAAGAATTAAACAACTCCATTAAAAAGTGGGCAAAGGACATAAACAAACAGTTTTAAAAAGAAAACATACACATGGCCGGCAAGCCTACAAAAAAATGCTCAACATCACTGATCATAAGAGAAACGTAAATCAAAAACAGAATGAGATGCCATCTCACAGCAGTCAGAATGGTTATTATTAAAAAGTCAAAAAATAACAGGTGCTGGTGAAGTTGTAAAGAAAAGGGAATATTTATATCTGCTGGTAGAAATCTGAATTAGCCAGTGTTCAAAGCAGTTTGGCTTAAACTGCTACCATTTGATCCAGTAATTCTATTATTTGTACATCGTCAAAGAAATAGAAATTGTTCTACCATAAAGACGTGCACGCATATGTTTATCAAAGCACTATTCACAGTAACAAAGACATGCAATCAACCTAAATGCCCATCAGTAGTGGACTGGATAAAGAAAATGTGGTATATGTACACCATGGAATACTACACAGCCATAAAAGAGAATACTGTATGTTCTCACTTTTAAGTGAGAGCTAAACATTGAGGACACACGTTCACAAAGAAAGAAGTGGTAGACACTGGGGCCTACTTGAGGGTGAAGGGTGGAGGGTGAGGACTGAAAAACTACCTATTAGTTGATATGCTTATTACCTGAGTGATGAAATAATCAATATATCAAACCCCCATGATGTATAATTTATCTATATAACAAACCTACTCATGTATCGTTAAACCTAAAATAAGCTTAAAAAATAGAAAGGAAAAAAAAAGATGAATGAAAATGCATTCAAAGACTAACACAAAAATAATTTAAGTGAAAAAGACTGACCAGATCATGTATTGGTAAGGATATAGAGGAACTTCAACTCTCAAACTCCATTGATTGGGATAAAAATAATATAAGCACTTTGAAAAACAATTTGGTACTTTTAAAATATTTAAATACATATCTGACGTGATATACACACTATCACTCGTCAATTTCACTTCTCAACATGTATATAAGAGAAAAATCGTCAAAATTCATGTGTAAGAATGTTCATAGCAGCATGATTCATAATAGCCATATGTCAACAGGATAACTGACATATAAATTTTCTTAATAAAATCCAATAAGGTTGAATAAAACAGTCAAAAGAATTAACAAATCCAACACATAGATAAATCTCGCAAACATAATGCTGTTCAAATTAAACCAGAAAAATGCACATATTGTATAATTAAATTTATACAAAGTTTAAAAATAGATGTAACTAATCTATGGGGTTAGAAATCCAGATACTGTTACCTTGGTGATTTGCAGGAAGATAGTGACTGGGAGGAGACATGAAGGGGACTTCTCTGGTATAGGTAACATTCTGTTTCTTCATCTGGATGCACATTACACAGATCCATACATTTCAAAACAAAACTTATTGGTGTGTAACTAGCTTATAACAAATGTAAATATTTAAATCATACCACTTAATAAGTTTTGACATATGTACAGACCAATGAGACTATCACTACACTCAAGTTAGTGAATGTACTCTTCTCTCCTACTTTTCCCCTCCATTTTAAAGATAAGCATTTACTGATTTTCTTTCCATCACTATAGAGAATCATTTGCATTTTGTAAAGTTTTATGTAAATGTAATCATTGAGTATGTATTCTTTTCTGACTAGATTCTTATCTTCAGTATAATTAAGATTTACCTATGTTGTTGCATGCATCAATACTTTATTGTTTTGTAGCAGGAGGAGCCACAGACAAAACCTCTCAGACACTGAGTTGTAGAAGGAGGGGCTTTATTCAGCTGGGAGCATTGGCAAGCTACTGCCTTAAAAATCTGAGCTCCCCGAATGCACAATTTCTGTCCTTTTTAAGGGCTCACAACACTAAAGATTTCACATGAAGGGGTCGTGATTGATTTGAGCAAGCAGGTGGTACGTGACAGGGGCTGCATGTACTGGTGGTCAGAGAGAAACAGAACAGGGCAGGGAGTTTCACAATGTTCTTCTATACAATGTCTGGAATCTATGAATAACATCAGTTTCTAAGTTATGAGTTGATTTTTAACTACTGGGTTTAGGCCAGGCAGGCCCAGGCCTGGATTCAGGCCTGGCACCGGGCTGCCTGTCTTTGGTTTTACTTCCTTGTTGTTTTTTCTAAAACAGGTACTGAGTATAAAACAATATAAAACAATATGAGAGGGTCTCTCTCTCCCCTCAGTTTTATTGCTAAATAGTACAAGGTATACTAGGTACATTATATACTAGCATTTTGTATATTAGTACTATATTAATATAATAGTATGTATGTATGGACCACAGTGGTTTATACTTTCATCTGCTGATAAACCTTTGGAGAGTTTCCAGTTTGGTCTATTACTTAAAATAAAAAGCTGGTATGAACATGTGTGTACACATCTTTGTATGGATGTATATTTCGTTTTTTCTTGGGTAATTCACATTCTGAAAATTCAACTTGCAGTGTGCTTATAATTCATGTGACCCTATGTATGTTTTATTTTAATTAAAGTTTTATTTTTAAAAATAAAAGGCTTTATGTGAGGGAAATCAGAATATTTCACATAGAAGTAGCAAAAAAGACATACTTAAAAAAATTCCAGAATTAGAAAATAAGAACAAAAATAGCTGAGTATAAAAGTGAAAACTATTTCATTTCAATGGGCATTTTCTATAAAAAATAAAAATTATGCTTTTGTCTGTTAAAATTATAGCAAAATATTTTAATGTCTCCAGTAAAGAATATTCTACAGTTTTATACCAAACAAACATAACAAAAATACACTAGACAAGCCACAATTAGATACCCTGTTATATAATTTCCGTTGACTCTAGCCTTTTAGTCATTTCTGCCAAGCACCCTGATGTGTGAGTAAAGCCATCTGGATCCTCCAGACCAGCCAATGGCCAGCAGAATAACCCCATGTCATGTCTGCGATGTTACATGTAATGAAAAATTCACCCCCTTGAATACGGTCCAAATTCCTAACCCATGGCACACTGAGATAGAATAAAATGATTACCAATTTAAGATACCAAATTTTGGAGTAGCTTATTGTAGTAGATTTGAAACAAAATACTTAGACTGGATTTGTGAGATGCCTTGAAAAGGACTGCAGGAAACCTGAGAGAGAAGAGGAATTGATGCTTCTCATAGCAGAATATTGAAATCACTTGAGGAATTTATTTTTCTTATTTTTTTAAATTTTTAATTTTTTTCAATAAGTTATTGGGGTACAGGTGGTATTTGGTTACATGGGTATGTACTTTAGTGGTGATTTGTGAGAATTTGGTGCACCCGTCACCCAAGCAGTATACACTACACCATATTTGTAGTCTTTTATCCCTCGCCCCCTCTCACTCTTCCCCCCAAGTCCCCAAAGTCCACTGTGTCATTCTTAAGCCTTTGCATCTTAAGCTATAAAGCTTAGCTCTCACATATCAGTGAGAACATACAATTTTTTTTTCCATTCCTGAGTTACTTCTCTTAGAATAATAGTCTCTAGTCTAATCCAGGTCACTGCAAATGCTGTTAATTCATTCCTTTCTATGGCTGAGTAGTATTCCATCATATATATATATATATACCATAGTTTCTTTATCCACTCGTTGATTGATGGGCATTTGGGTTGGCTCTCCACAATTGTGCAATTGTGAATTATGCTGCTATAAACAAGCATATGCAAGTATCTTTTTCATATAATGACTTCTTTTCCTCTGGGTAGATACCCAGTAGTGAGATTGCCGGATCAAATGGTAGTTCTACTTTTAGTTATTTAAGCAATCTGTACACTGTTTTCCATAGTGGATATACTAGTTTATGTTCCCACCAGCAGTATAGAAATGTTCCCTGATCACCACATCCATGCCAACATCTACTGATTTTTGATTTTTTGATTATGGCCATTCTTGCAGGAGTAAAGTCATATCGCATTATGGTTTTGATTTGCATTTCCCTGATCGTTAGTGATGTTGAGCATTTGTTCATATGTTGGTTGGCCATTTGTATATCTTCTCTTTTGAGAATTGTCTATTCATGTCCTCAGCCCACATTTTGATAGGATTGTTTGTTTTTTTTCTTACTGATTTGTTTGAGTTCATTTTAGTTTCTGGATATTAATCCTTTGTCAGATGTATAGATTGTGAAAATATTCTCCCACTCTGTGGGTTGCCTGTTTACTCTGATGACTGTTCCTTTTGCCATGCAAAAGCTCTTTAGTTTAATTAGGTCCCAGATATTTATCTTTGTTTTTATTGCATTTGCTTTTGGGTTCTTGGTCATGAAATTCTTGCTTAAGCCAATGTCTAGAAGGGTTTTTCCAACGTTATCTTCTAGGATTTTTATAGTTTCAGGTCTTAGGTTTAAGTCCTTAATCCATCTTGAGTTGACTTTTGTATAAGATGACAAATGATTATCCAGTTTCATTCTCCTACATGTAGCTAGCCAATTATCCCAGCACCATTTGTTGAAAAGGATGTCCTTTCCTCACTTTATGTTTTTGTTTGCTTTGTTGAAGATCAGTTGGCTATACCTATTTGGGTTTATTTCTGGGTTCTCTATCCTGTTCCATTGGTCTATATGTCTATTTTTATGCCAGTACCATGCTGTTTTGGTGACTAGGGCCTTATAGCATAGTGTGATATCAGGTAGCATGATGCCTCCAGATTTGTTCTTTTTGCTTAGTCTTGCTTTGGCTAGGTGGGCTCTTTTTTGGTTCCATATGAATTTTAGAATTGTTTTTTTCTAATTCTGTGAAGAATGATGGTGAATATTTTGATGGGAATTGCATCGAATTAGTAGATTGCTTTTGGCAGTATGGTCATTTTCACAATATTGATTCTACCTATCCATGAGCATGGGATGTGTTTTCATTTGTTTTTGTCATCTATGATTTCTTTCAGCAGTGTTTTGTAGTTTTCTTTGTAGGGGTCTTTTGACTCCTTGGTTAGCTATATTCCTAAGTATTTTTTCTTTTTTTTTTTTTTTTTGAGATGGAGTTTTGCTCTGTCACCCAGGCTGGAGTGCAGTGGCACAATCTCAGCTCACTGCAAGCTCCGCCTCCCAGGTTCACGCCATTCTCCTGCCTCAGCCTCCCAAGTAGCTGGGACTACAGGCACTCACCACCATGCCTGGCTAATTTTTTTGTATTTTTATTAGAGACAGGGTTTCACCGTGTTAGCCAGGATGGTCTTGATTTCCTGACCTCATGATCCGCTCACCTTGGCCTCCCAAAGTGCTGGGATGAGCCACTGTGCCTGGCCGGGGTTGAGTTCTTGATTTGATTCTCTGCTTGGTCGCTGTTGGTGTATGGAAGAGCTACTGATTTGTTTACATTAATCTTGTATCCAGAAACTTTGCTGAACTCTTTTATCAGTTCTAGGAGCTTTCTGGAGGAGCCTTTAGGGTTTTCAATGTAAACAACCATATCGACAACAAACAGTGACAGTTTGACGTCCTTTTAACCAATGTGGATGACCTTTATGTCTTTCTATTGTCTGACTGCTCTGGCTAGAGGAGTTGTGAGAGTGGGTATCCTTGTCTTGTTCCAGTTCTCAGAGGGAATGCTTTCAAGTTTTCCCCATTCAGTATTAGGTTGTCTGTGGGTTTGCCATAGATGGCTTTTATCACATTATGTCCCTTGTATACTGATTTTGCTGAGAGTTTAAATCATAAAGTGATGCTGGATTTTGTCTAATGCTCCTTCTGCATGTATTGAGATGATCATGCGATTTTTGTTTTTTATTCTTTTTATGTGGTGTATCACATTTATTGACTTGTGGATGTTACAACATCCCTGCTTCCCTGGTATGAAACCCACTTGATCATGGTGGATTATCTTTTTGATGTTGTTGGATTTGGTTAGCTAGTATTCCATTAAGGATTTTAGCATCAATGTTCATCAAGGATATCAGTCTGTAGTTTTCTTTTTTGGTTATGTTCTTCCTAGTTTTGGTAGTAGGGTGATGCTGGCTTCATAGAATTAATTAGGGAGGGTTTCTTCTTTCTCTATCTTGTGGAATAGTGTCAGAAAGGATGGGTATCAATTCTTTGAATGTCTGGTAGAATTCTGCTGTGAATCTGTCTGGTTCTGAACATGTTTTTGTTGGTAATTTTTTTTTTTTTTTTTGAGATGGAGCCTGGCTCTGTCCGCCAGGCTGGAGTGCAGTGGCATGATCTCAGCTCACTGCAAGCTCTGCCTTCCATTCGGATGTTCGCGCCATTCTCCTGCCTCAGCCTCCCGAGTAGCTGGGACTGCAGGTGCCCGCTACTGCGCCCGGCTAATTTTTTGTATTTTCAATAAAGACAAGGTTTCACCATGTTAGCCAGGATGGTTTTGATCTCCTGACCTCGTGATCTGCCCGCCTCGGCCTCCCAAAGTGCTGGGATTACAGGCGTGAGCCACTGCACCCGGCCAATTGGTAATTTTTAAATTATCATTTCAATCTTGCTGCTAGTTGTTGGTCTGTTCAGGGTATCTAATTCTTCCTGATTCAAGCTAGAAGGGTTGTATTTTTCCAGAATTTATCCATTTCTTCTAGGCTTTTTTATTTATATGCATAACGGTGTTCATAGTAGTCTGGAATGATCTTTTGTGGTGTCAGTTATAACATCTCCTGTTTCATTTCTTAGTGAGGTTATTTGGATTTTCTCTCTTTTTTTCTTGGTTAATCTTGCTAACGGTCTATCAATTTTATTTATCTTTTCAAAGGACCAGCCTTTTATTTCAGTTTTTTATTGAGCTTTTTGTTTCAGTTTCATTTAGTTCTTCTCTGATGTTGGTTAATCCTACATTCTGCTGTGTTTGGGTTTGATTTGTTCTTGTTTTACTAGTTCTTTGAGGTGTGGCCTTCGAATGTCAGTTTGTGCTCTTTCAGCCTTTTTGATGTAGGCATTTAGGGCTATGAATTTTCCTCTTAGCACCACCTTTGCTGTATCCCAGAGGTTTTGGTAGGTTTTATCATTATTGTTACTCACTTCAAATAATTTTTTAATTTCCATCTTGATTTTGTTTTTGACCCAATGCTCATTCAGGAGCAGGTTGCTTAATTTCCATGTATTTGCAGGATTTTGAAGGTTCCTCCTTTTGGAGTTGATTTCCAGTTTCATTCTGCTGCGGTCTGAGAGAGTGCTTGATTTAATTTCAATTTTCTTAAATTCCCTGAGGCTCATTTATGGTCTATTATATGGTTTGTCTTGGAGAAAGTTCCATGTGATGTTGAATGGAATGTGTATTCTGTGGTTGTTGGATAAAATGTTCTGTATATATCTGTTAAGTCCATTTGTTGCAAGGCATAGTTTAAATCCTTGAAGTCCCCCACTATTATTGGGTTGTTGTCTATCTCATTTCTTAGGTCTATTAGTAATTGTTTTATAAATTTGGGAGCTCCAGTGTTAGGTGCATTTATGTTTAGGATTGTGATATTTTCCTGTTGGACAAGACCTTTTACCATTGCATAATGTCCCTCTTTGTCTCTTTTAACTGATGTTGCTTTGAAGTTTTTTTTGTCTGATACAAGAATAGCTACTCCCACTCGCTTTTGGTGTCCATTTCCATGAAATGCCTTTTTTCACCCCTTTACTTTATGTGAGTCTTTATGTGATAGGTGAGTCTCCTGAAGGCAGCAGATAGTCAGTTGGTGAATTTTTATCCATTCTGTGTTTCTGTATCTTTTAAGTGGAGCATTTAGGCCTTTACATTCAATGTTAGTATTAAAATGTGAGGCACTGTTGCATTCACCATGCTATTTGTTGCCTGTGTACTTTGGTTTTGTTTTATGTTCTTGCTTTTTAAATTGAATTTTTGTTTTATAAGTCCTGCGTGATTTATCCTTTAAAGAGGTTCTGTTTTGATGTGTTTCCAGGATTTGTTTCAAGATTTAGAGCTCCTTTTAGCAGTTCTTGTAGTGGTGGCTTGGTAGTGGTGAATTCTCTCAGCATTTGTTTATCTCAAAAAGACTGTATCTTTCCTTCATATATGATGCTTAGTTTTTCTGGATACAAATTTCTTGGCTGATAATTGTTTTGCTTGAGAAGCCTTAAGATAGGGCCTCAATCCCTTCTAGCTTGTAGGGTTTCTGCTGAGATATCTGCTGCTAATCTGATAGGATTTCCTTTATAGGCTCCCTGGTCTTGCAGCTCTTAAGATTCTTTCCTTCATCTTAACTTTGGATAACCTGATGAAAATGTGTTTAGGCGATGATATTTTTGCAAAGAATTTCCTAGGTGCTCTTTGTGATTCTTGTATTTGGATGTCTATGTCTCTAGCAAAGCCAGAGAAGTTCTTCTCGATTATCCCCCCAGATATGTTTTCCAAACTTTTAGAATTCTCTTCTTCCTCACGAACACCGATTATTCTTAGGTTTGGTCGTTTAACATAATCTCAGACTTCTTGGATGCTTTGTTCATATTTTCTTATTCTTTTTCTTTTGTCTTTGTTGGATTGGGTTAGTTCGAAGACCTTGTCATTGAGCTCTGAATTTCTTTTTTCTACTTGTTCAATTCTATTGCTGGGACTTTCCAGAGCATTTTGCATTTCTATAAGTGTGTTCAACGTTTCCTGAATTTTATGTTATTTTTTCTTTAAGCTATTTATTTCCTTGAATATTTCTCCCTTCACTTCTTGTGGCGTTTTTTGGATTTCCTTGTGTTGGGCTTCACATATCTCTGGTGCCTCCCTGATTAACTTAATAACTAACCTCCTGAATTTTTTTTTTCAGGTAAATCAGGGATTTCTTCTTAGTTTGGAGCTATTGCTGGCGAAGTAGTGTGATTTTGGGGGGGTGTTGAAGAGCCCTGTTTTGTCATATTACCAGGGTTGGTTTTCTGGTTCCTTCTCATTTGGTTAGGCCCTGTCAGAGGGAAGGTCTGAGGCTGAAGGCTGTTGTTCGGATTCTTTTGTCCCACAGGGTGTTCCTGTTATAAAATAAAGTTTTGGTGCCACAAAAGAAATAGCACTTGAATATAAAATTTTATTTTTAATTATCAGCAAGGCAAGTTACTTCTATAGAAGGGTACATCCTTACAGATGGAGCAATGGTGAGTGCACACTTAGACAAGGGAGGGGAAGGGGTTCTTATCCCTAACACATGTGGCCCCTCCTGCTGTGTCATTCCCCTATTGGCTAGGGTTAGACCACACAGGCTAAATGAATTCTGATTGGCTAAATTTAAAGAGAGTAATGGGGTGAGTGGTTTGGCAGGAAAAATTGTTATGATAGAGCAGGTAATTGGAATGAGTCAGGGTAGAGCAGGCAATCAGAATGAGTCAGGGTGGAGCAGGTAATCAAAATGAGTCAGGCTGGAGCAGGTAATCGAAAAAGGTTGCTTTATAAGGGAGTTAAGTTTAAAAGTAGAAGGCAAAAAATTGAACATACTGACATATTGATCCTTTGAAAAGAAATTTAGAACTCATATCAACATTCCCTTGATGTAGTACTCTCCTCCTTTTCCTATGGATGTGGCTTTCTATGAGATGAACTGGAGTAATTGCTATTTCTCTTCTGGGTCTACCCACCCAGCAGGTCTACCCAGCTCTGAGCTGGTATTGGGGGTTGTCTGCACAGGGTCCTATGACGTGAACCATCTATGGGTCTCTCAGCTGTGGATGCCAGCACCTGTTCCAGTGGAGGTGGCAGGGGGGTGCAATAAACTCTATGAGAGATCTTAGCTTTGGTGGTTTAATACTCTATTTTTGTGCTGATTGGCCTCCTGCCAGGAGGTGGTGCTATCCAGAGAGCATCAGCTGTGGTAGTATGAAAAGGAACCACTGGTAGGTGGGGTCCTAGAACTTCGAAGATTATGTTCCCTACTCAGGGTAAGTAGGGAAGGACCATCAGGTTGAGGCAGGGCTAGGTGTGTCTGAGCTCACACTCTTCTTGGGCGGGTCTTACTAGGGCTGCTGTGGGGGATGTGGGTGAGGTTCCCAGGTCACTAGAGTTGTGTACCTCGGAGGATTATAGCTGCCTCTGCTGAGTCATGCAGGTTGTCAGGGAAGTGGGGGAAAGCTGACAGTCACAGGCCTCACCCAGCTCCCATGCAATCCAAAGGGCTGGTCTCACTCCCACCAAGCCCCCTCCTAACAGCCCTGAGCCTGTTTCCAGATGGTGGGTGAATGGGGCTTGAAAACCTGCTCCAGGCTAGCCACCTCCCAGCTGTGAAAGAAAAGGGCTTGGTTCTTCCCCAACCTGTGGAGTCTGCATACCAGATTTGCGCGCCTTCCCGCAAGTTCTGGCCAGGAGGTTTCTCATCCCTTTCAAATTGTCACACAGTTCAGCTAGAGAATTCCTTCTCCCTGTGGAGTTTTACCCCACCCCCGCCCCAGCCCTCTGCTCCTCGATAGATTCCTGTGGTGCCAGGCAGAAATGGCCTGCTTGGGAACCCAGCAAGCTCCTTCCTCTTTCTGCTCCTTCCTCTACCCCTGAATTCACTTGGCTTTCTAAATTGACTCAGCTCTTAGGTAAGGTAGGAAACTTCTCCCACAAACAAACCTTCAGTTTCTCCAATAAGGGTGTGTGTTCGGGAGAGGAGGCTCTCCCTTACCCACCTCTGTAGATAGTGCACTCACAGTATTTGAGATGTCTTCTAGGTCCTCCAGGAGCCATCCAATTCCTTCAGAGGGTTTGTGGGTCCTTTCGGGATTGCTGGTTTGTTCTTGCAGTCAATCTGGAGATAAAAATCACAATGAGAACCTCCGCATGATACTGCCCTGTCAGGAGCTGCAATCTAGTCCTGCCTCCGGTCTGCCATGATGATCTAATTCTCTCTCTCTCTCTCTCTCTCTTTTTTTTTTTTTTTAATGTGGATTCCTGGCTTCCACTCTCAAATGTGTGATTTAATTGATAGGGGGTATGGCCAGGGCGTGAGGATTTTTAAAAGCTTCTGAGGTGATATTACTAATCAGCCTATGTTTGCCATCACCAGTGTAGAATATATTAATTTCTCATCTTTGAGGAAGAATAAGAATATATATATTATTTTCTTATTTTGACAATCAGAGAATATAGATTCAACAATGTTTTGAAAACAAAGAAAACTCTTGATAAGTTCAAAAATCCCTGTGAAAATATAAAAAAGCATGCTTTTTATTAAAAATTATAGAAAAATATGAAGAGTACAAATATTTAACTAAAGTAAAATAAAACGTGTTAAAACCAAAATATATTTCTTTAAAATGTTATTGGTAAATGACAAAGATTCTCATAATAAATGATAAAAACAATAATGCATCAAAGAAATACCTAGCACATCTTTTTCTTTTGCAAATAGGGGAAAAGAGAAAAAAAAGCATTGATTTTTAACAATTTAGAAAATTTGGTAAAAATCAGAGTATTATTTATAATAAATGAAAGTTACAAAATGAAATATTGCTCCCTAAATAACAAAGAAAAAAGAAACAGAGTCTTGAATACATCTTGATTTTGTCCAAAGAAGTAGACAAAAAATAAGTGATAATAAAAAATTTGAATATTCAGGCTAGTAAGTTTAAATTAATAGATAATACATTAAACTTTATATGTAAATGACTTCAACTGACCTTTATAAACCTCAAGTCAGATATACTGAAGTCATATTTTAAACCTTCCTTATACCCTACACCCTATCAACCACCAAGCAAAATGACTTCTACAACCCAGACATCTTTCAAATGTACCTGCTTCTTTCCACTTCAAAGTTATGAGCCACTAACTGCCACCACTGTAGTCAGCTCTTGCACGAACTACTTATTGCTTATGCATTCTCTCTGGTCCCTCTGCATTTTGATTTGCTCCTTGCCAAATTATTCAACATACTGAAGCCAAAATGATGTTTGAAATGAGCAACTCCTATGCTAGCATCTCACTGCCATTTTCCCATGATGCAGTTACTGACACAAACATACATATATGACATTTTTGTGTGTATGTTTTTCTTCGAGTGAAAAAAACAAGAGCTAGATTGATTTTCACTATATTTTAAAAATAAGTGTTCTGATACTCTGACTTGAAAAAATAGGCTTCATGAGATATACAGAACTCATTGTTAGGAAGCCCCTGAGGGCTTAAAATATAAACAGTCATTCTCCACGGCAGCTTGGAGCATTGATTTGCTATTGAACTAATGCTACATATTGACTTGTGAATACACAACTCTAGGGTGTGAAGCAGCAGGTTTATGGCTCTGCTCAGCAATTCCACTTACATTGTATGTCTGTGAATATAAGTTAAAATATTTGAATGGATCAAAATCTACCAAATATAGCAGGTAAACCAATGTTTGAATTTTAGAGTATATTCATATCATAATATGTACACACAGTGAGTGCATTAAATGTTACAGAAACCATCCTGTGGGAAACAAGAGAGATTTATTCTTGCCCTCATGGGATGTGCAATCTAGGATGACAGGTTAATTATAAACAAATAATTCTATATACAACTTCTTAAATTACAACAGTTAAGAAAGGCCCTCTTTTATTGAAATCCTGATTCTCAGCGGTACTCTGCTAATGTAATTGCTGCATAAGAAATCATGGCATGGTCATTATTGTATTTGTTGTTGATGCTTAGGTGGTACCAAGGATTCTGGGCTTTCAAAAAAGAATGTTATAATTAGCTCTTTCTTAGCCTTATTATACCTTGTATCTCTGCATTTGACCCACAGTGATACGTCACATGGTACCATCAGAACAAAAAATGCTTAAGAGTTACATTCTGAAGAAAGCGAACTTTGTTCCAGCACTTTCCAAAGGAAATTATCTAAAATTTTAGAACTAGAAGAGACATTCCAATTCTAATTATCTTTTCCTCCCCTTTCATGAAGTAAATGAAGCCAAAATAAGTGAAATGGCTTGCCAAAGCTCACTGAGCTATTATGTAGCAGTGTCTCTTGATTCTACCACAATAAAATGAAAATCAGGTGCGTTTACTTTTAGAGAGCAAGAGTGTGAAAATCAGATAACTACTTCTGAGAATCTCTAAATTAATCTTAACTCTTTAGTCTGTTCACTCCATAAATAAATATTTCCTGAGCAACTACCAAGGAAAATTCTATGAAGGCTACGAGTTGAATAAGACTTGCTCTATGCCTTTCAGGAGATTAAAATGTAGTTCAAAAGATAAATCAAGCAAATAAATTGTTTTAATAAACTTGTAATTGAGTAATTAACACACAGCTTGTCACCACTGTAAACTTGGGCTCTTTTTTATTTAGTATCGTTATCAGTTAAATGAGATAAAATATGTAAAAGCACCTAAAATCGTAGATAATTATCAAATGTTTTTTAAAGTTGTTAACTTCTACAAAACCATTAAAAAATAAAACAAAAAACAGTCTTGGTAAAAGATCAAAGAAGTAGGTACCTATTCATTTTAAGTAAAATGCAGAGTTGAACTTTTTCTCTGGATAGTTAAGCAGAATGATACAGAAATCTATGTGATCTGGTCCATTTCAGCCTTTGAGGCAGCAGTTTCCCCTCCCATTGAAGTCTCAAAGCCCCAACCTTCATTGTTTATGATTCAGCTGATGGACAGGGCCTGAGCTCCCACAGTAATGCACTGATTGCTATTTGCTTCTGGAAATAAATGTGGCTTAACTGAGCTTTATTTATTGATTAGTTGGAATGGACCCAGACTGCCAATGAAGTCTATAGGAGGAAACAAAGTATGTCTGCTTTGAGAAAGATGTTAAAAATGCCCCTCTAGCTGTGTTGGTGCTGAAACACATCTTCCAATGCCAGGGATGTTTTGGGATGTCTCCCTTTTTTTTCTATTTAAGCAAGACTATAGGGTTGTGACAAGAAGAGGGCAAATAATACTTGATACCAAACAAATAAATGCATTCAGCAAACTCTGTCTCACAACTTTGGAGGCAGGGGGAATAATGCCGCAGATGGCAAATTGCCTGACAGGTATAGAAGCTGACAAGGGATCCAACCTTCAATGATTATACAGAATTATTTTCTCTTTAACGCAAAATTCCCAACCCAGAACTTCACTTTATATTATTATTTGCTGTAAGGCTACTGTCAGCTTCAGGGCAGAACTGTTTCTGAGACTGCAGTGAGCCGCTTAGCCACAGCAGCTGCTTTCAAAACTGGAAGATAACATAAAAGTGAGGAATAACTCCATGTGATTAGGGGAAGAGCTGTGGGTTAGTTTAAGAGAAAGAACAATCTATGTCAGGAAACCTTACATCTATCTCTCTATTTTAAATGTTCCTAAGTGGACAGTAGACAAAACAATAACAGCAGCATTAATAACCATCATATATTGAATTTCTTAAGTGTGAAAAGCTTTATATCAATTATTTCTGATTCTCACACAACTCTGTGAGATAGGATTTTTCCCATTTTGTACATGAGAAAACTGGAGCTCAAAGAAGTTAAATGACTTGCCTCCAGCTATGACGTGGTAGATCCCATATGTAAACATAGCCTGTCTCATTCCGAAGCTAATGATCCTTTCAAACATCATATTTTTCACAAACATTACTCCTTTCAATGCACACCAAACTTAGGGTAGTTACTACCTCTCAGTGGAAAAGGAAGAGTATAAAGTTTCAGCTACAATAAGTATAGAGTTTTATTTCTTAAAGGTAATAATATAAAGCAAATATGGCACAATGTTAACATTGAAATTGATTTTTGTTAATTTTTTCCATAGTTTTATGTGGGTTTGAAGTATTTCATTTAAAAAATTGCTCCCACTAATAAATTATAAAGTTGAACTTCTTAGCTAATGAAATTTTGCCAGGAATCCAAAACATTACTCATAAAATCAAAATAGGATGGCTTCAATAAGAAATTAAACCCCCTCTTTCCTCTTCCTACCAATAGAGATTAATGACTGTCATGAATACAGTCAGTTCCCTTTACAGAGAATAAAGACTTTTTTTGATAATAATTACTACACGTTAGAAAGTTCTTACTTTGAACAATAGTGAGAGATCATAAAGAACACCTGAAAGCTGAAACCATGTGAATGGATCTTAACAATCAATGAGAAAAGTTATCATTTAAATATGTTGTTCCTCAACCTTTTAAAGTTTTGCAAAACATTTAAAACTCTCTTACTGTTGATTACAAATATATAAAGATTTTTAACCTAAAAATATATTTAGCACGTTCTAGTTTAAGCTATTAAAACATTGAGAATTAATATATTTATTTCTTTGTGAAAATCTGATCAAATTTATTTGAACAGTGCTTGCCTTCTTCTTAGAGAATAACTTAACAATATGGGATAAACATCTTTTCTACACCTTGGTGAACTGTCATACTTTTTTCTAAGTTTGTATCAGCCTCCAACATGTGATCTTTCACATTTTCAATGTAAAAAAAAAATCTCCTAGAATTCCCTTAATGTGACGTTTTTGTCAGTGTCACGTTCTGAGAAATCTTCACCCTTATTGTAACTATCATATTCATCATTTTTGTTGATAAATTCATCTTTACTCAGTTCCTCTTGAAGCATATGTAAACTTTCTGAATAGCAGCAGTATAAATATCACCAGTCAGCTACTTATTCTATAACTTCATTTATATTCCATTTGAATTTCACTTCCAGCATTATGACTTTTTATTTCTTTGCTGCACTTTCATCTTTGTTGACCAATTTCCTCTTTCAATTGTGTATTTTTGTAAAATTTCATGTGGGTTTGCCACTGAGAGTCAAGGAGGCAGTACAACTGTATGCTTTGCTGTCTGTGTGTGAACTGCATAACCAATGTGTTGTGACCAGTTACTGGCTGACCCAGAAAAAGGGTGATGTGATTGGTCACTGGGTATGTGTACAACTGGTATATAGATAGTGACCTGTAAACTGGACACCTGGCAATTATTCAGTTACTCACATTTATAATAATACACTGTTCTAATTGAAATTTGAGCCATGTTATTGGGGGCACTGATTATTTAGCTAATTCTGTACCTATAATTTATGCATTCTGGAAGCATGCAAAGGGAGGCCTGCCCATATTCTTACTGGAAAATAATATTTCTTATGAAACACAGTAGTGGTATATAGGACATGGGTATAGTCTGAGCATTCCACTCTAAGCAGAAGAATTTTATCATTGACATTGCACAGAATTTCCAACAGGTGGTGATAATAAAAAGCAGATTAACTAAGTTGCTTTGAATATTTAACACAATATATTCATTTTTTGCTAGTACTAAGTGTGGGTCACTCCCACTGCCCTCTACCTTGGCATGCTACTGAAACATGGTAACCCAAAATGTCACAACAGTTGAAGCCAAGGCTGGAGACCATTCATGTCAGGGTTATTATTTTTCTGTGCATCAATTTCTACATCTATATAAAGAAGAAATTAATACTTTCTCATCTTATGAGCTTACTGGTGGGGATAAAATACAATTATATATATATAAACATTTGCTTTAGTATATTAAATGAAGTACAGAAATGTGTGGTGAGAAGGCCTAGATTCAAGACCCAATCTGCAGCTTATTTACAGGGCAACTTTGGAGAATGCAGTCAGCTTTATGAGTTCCAACTTTCAGTTTTGAAAAAATAAATGTAGAATTAGTATCTAACTCACAAGATCACTTTTACACCAAATGAGTGCTTTGTTAAAAGCAAAACACCAAAGAAAAGTTCATTGCTCTTATGGTGTAATTGTTATAATAAGACATCTTCCATTCACTCTTACTGTGCAATACTTTCTTTTCAATACTCTCTAGTGGAACGCTAATACTAGATGAAGATTATCTGGGACCACTGTACTGAAGTATGGTCCCCAGACCAGCAGCATCAGGAACACCTGGAAACTAGTTATAAATGCAAACAATTGGGTTCTGCACGTCTAAATTTCTACCAAATCTGAAACTCTGGAGATTGAGCCCAGAAATTTGCATTTTATCTAGCCCTCCTGATGATTCCTTCACATGCTGAAATTTGAGAACCACTGCTTTGGGACAGCTTTGGTTCTAAGACTTGTCTGCATATTGGTATCAACTAGAATGCTTTAAACAACATTGAGTAATACAGCCATATTTTTGGAACCAAAATATGGAACCAAAGCAGAAGGCAAAACTTAAGTACATAAAATGACAAGATAACAAACGCTAAATCTCAATTTGCCTAATTGCATAATTATGAACATATCAGGGTACAGACATGGTGAAAACTTCTTTAGCTTCTTCAGAGAAGTCGAGATTCAGGATATCCTAGAAGACAGGACAAATTATTTAAGTAAAAAGAAATAGATTTATATGGGTAAAAAGATCATTGACACAATAGCGCTATGAAATCACTCTTGAAAGAAAGTTGCAAGGATGTGAAATGTATAAAGATAAGCCTACTAGCCCAAAGGAATACAATAGTTGATTGAATTTATTCTGTATTGGTGAAGAGGGATTCTCTCTTTCTTTCTTTTTTTTTTTTTTTTTTTATACAAAGATGCTTATAAAGCAACAATCTAGAAAACGTAGTATTTTTCTCCAACAGATGTTGAACATTTTGGTATTATTCCAGGTATGTGAAGATGGTTTAATATTTTAAAATCAATTAATGTTATTCACCATATTAACAAGAGAAATAAAAAATACATGAACATTTCACATTTTTTCAGAAAATGCATTTGAAAAAATTGAAAACTTAATCATAATATAAAAACTTTCAGAATACTAGAAATACAGGGGAAATTCTTCTAAGACATAAGAAGCATCCTCAAAAATCCTACAACTAAAATCATATATAATTGTGAAAGTCTGAATATTTCCTCCCCAAGATCAAGAAAAATGCAAAGATGTCTACTCTCACTAGTGCTATTTAACATACTAATAGAAGTTCTGATGAGCGTCATAATGCATGAAAAAGAAATAAAAGGCTTAGAGATCAGAAAGAAAGAAATAAAACATTCCCTATCTGCAGTTGATGTATCTATGTAGAAAATCCCAAGCAATCTACAAAAAAGATCACAAAATGTTACAATAAATTCTAGCCAGGGTTTTAAGACAAATAAAGATAAATGAAATGTATAATACTTGAAAATAAAGAGGTAAATATGATCCCTATGTGCACAAAATACAATTTCTATAAAAATGTCAGGATAAGACAATAAAATTTAGTGCATTCAGCAGTTTTTCTGGTACAAGTTCAACCTTCAAATAATGATAGCATTTTTATAATTCAGCAATAGGTAATTAGAAAATGTTATAATAATAAAATTTTCGTATTTACCAGTTGTAAGTCTAATAAAAGATATAAAGGCATTATTCAAGAACAGAAAAATACCTGACAAAATGAAGATACAGATTATGTTTGTGGAAAAAATAATTTAGTGTCACAAAGACAAAATTATTTCTAAACTAACCTATAAAATTAATGCAATTATAATCAACATTTTAATGTTTTCCATTTTTTTGTTATAGACCCCACCATAAACTTATTTAGAAATTGGGGAGATATATATATGTAATTATATATTACATATATTATATATATTATATATGTCATATTTATAATATATAATATATATTACATAAATTTATATGTAATATATATTATATTACATATATTATATATTACATATATTATATATAATATACATATATATTATATATAATATATGTAATATATATCATATATTATATGTACATATATGTACATATAATATATTATATATTATATATTATATATGTAATATATTATGCTATATTTAATATATGTAATATATAACATATATTATGTTATGTATTATATATGTATGTAATATATATGTTATATATGTAATATATATAATATATGTAATATACATATATAATTATATATATTATATATTATGGATATTATATATATTATATAATATTATATATAATATACAATATATATATTATATATATAATTTGGAAGAAGAACAAGATAGTAGGATTTACCTTACTAAATCAGAATAATGACTCAGAAAGAGAGATATATTTATATATAAATGTGATTTAGGATAGTAGCATTAAGAATTAGTAGGAAATCCTAGGTTACTCAGCCAATGGTATTGGTTAGCACTGTGTAAAATATTAGCCATACACTGAAAATAATGTATGTCAGATGGGCTTAAATATTTAATATTTAAATTTTAATACTTTAAATTTTAACAAGTAAATATAAGACAACATTTTTATGACCTCAAGACGGAAAAATATGTCTTAAAGAATTTATGAAAAGCATGTTATATAAAAGAAATAATGATAAATATGAGTGCATTTAACTTTCTGTGTGCAAAAAAACAATTTAAAAGTTTTCAAAATCAAGTCATAAAACATATTTGGAAAGAAAATTACAAAGGAAGAGTAAGCATCAATAATTATTTTAAAATACTGGTAGTACTAATTATGAAAAGGTATATAATTTAGTGAAATATTGGCGAGGACTATAAAAATGCAATTTATATAAAAGGAAACAAGAATAGCCAAGAAATGGATTAAAATATTTTAATTTCACTCTAACCAGAAAATGCAAATTAAGCAAAGTGAGATTTTCGAAAGAAATACATGACAGATTGACAAAATTTAAATATTGGAACATTCAATTAATGGAGATATGAAAAAGTAAGAAATCATATAACACCCTGTTGGGATAATAATAAAATCTCTTTGGAAGCAATTGGTGAGTAAAAGATAAAATAGAAGAATATGTGTTCTTAGAGTAGCCTCTCTACCTGTAGAAGTGTGAAGAAGTTCTAACACATCTTCGTGGAAATATAAACAGAACTGTTCATATAATTGATAATAAAAAATAGAAAAAACTCGAATGCTCATTAGAAAGAAAATGAATAAATGATGTCATATTCATACCTGCAATAAAATGGAGTTATCTGTATCTGTACAGATAATTTCCATCAACATTATTTAAAATGAAAGTCTAATATCAGTTTTATAAATTATATAAACATTCATTCAAAAGAAATTATCAACATGCAATGTAAAATGTCATATTGTATATTTTTATATGTAAATACGTAGAAGTTATATGTTGCCATAAGCATTGCCTCTCCCTCTCTGTGATGAACAAAATGAATATAAGGTACTAAATTTCTCAGAGAAAAACAGGAATAATATCAAGGTGAGTATCTTGCGTGTTTCACTTTGATCTGTAGTATTTCGCTTCTTAAGAAATTAATCTGAAGTAAACCTTATAAATGTTAATATTTTAAAAATTGAATAGGATAAGTGTGATTATTTGGCTTATTACTCTCTATTCTGTGTTTTATATATTTCATAATAAAATATATTAAAAGAGAAAAAATGATAATTTAAATCTCTACCATGAACATGTTTCTTTAAAATATGTTTTCAACATGTATACCATATCCTTTCTTCCTCCTGCAAAAGTTCACCATGATTAGGAAGTGTGAGACTGAAAAGAAAAATTTCCTTTTTTTTCTAGAGGCAATTAAATTTAACACCTGGCCGCCTGTTAATCAAAGCATTGAGATCACTTATTCTCTTGACAGATCTTTCTTCTTCTTCAGGTTTCCCATTTCACACAGCAGAGAATCAGCTTTGCTGAAATTCACAACTAATTTCCAGAGTATAAAAGAACTACTTTGTCCAAAATGCCATATAACCACATTTTCTAATGCACCACAAAAAACAAAAAAACACTACTTTTTCACTACAGCTTCGCTGCAAAAATACATATAAACCCAATATATGAAAAGTGTGATAAGCAAATTACCTTTCTTAAACAAACTAAACACATATTTCAGCTCTAGGATTTAATTTTTAATACTGCACCTATCCCACACAACCCATAAAGTTTTTACAATAAATTTTGGATTCTAAATTCATAAAAGCAGGCTAGAGGTATTAGTGGGATCTCTGGGTTTTTACTCCCTTCTATTCTTTTATCCTTTCTGTCACAAAGTCTAAAAGTAAGGACTTTCTTCAGTATGGGTTATATCAACTTTACCAGTCTCAAGCTAGAAGAAACCTCAGAGAATTTGATGATGAAGACATCATTGTGAAGATGAGCTAAATCCTAGAGAAAGCAAATGGTTTGCTCTAGGACATACTTCCAGAGCAGACAAGAGCCAGGGCTATAATCCAAATAAATCTCCTGGTCCAAGAACTGCTCGTGACATGACAGTTCGTACGGTCGGGGTCTTTCAATACTCACAGCTATCACCATAAACCAAAATAAGTGATCTTATCTCATTTTTAAACTTCTAGATGGTCTGCCTAACTTCAGGCTCTGCTTCAATATTATTTTCGTGTTATTTTATTATGTTTTTATTATAGAATAGGCTCCTCTGTTAAACTCTCACGGTCCTCTGTAATCTTGCCCTAACTTTATTTCCTTCTTTTCCGTATTCTCCTTCATTTTATATTAAATATCCTCTTTAGAAAGGATTAAATCATGTGTGACTTTCAATTATATTGACTGTATTTTCTCTTAAATTCATAAAGTCCTACCCATTATTCTAGACACATATTAATTCCTATCCAATCTATAAAATTTTCTCAGACTACATTCAACCATAATTTTACTATCACTTGATTACCATACTTACATTCTATTTTGCAAAATTAACTATTTAATTGTTTACTGATTATCTCAAATGTATTGTTGGTTTCATCACCAATTATTTTCCAAACTCCCTTAAACCTAGTAATATATCATATGTTTGCTTTGTAATCTCCACAGTCTAACACAATGGTAATTGATGATCCATAACAAGTGCTCAGAAACTACTTGTAATTGACTAAACTTAATTTATAAATTCAAATTACAGATGATGACTAGTACATGAAGTAGACAGTATATTGCTAAATGATTTGGATTGGCTGCCTGCAATGTACCAGATCATGAGGGTCAATTGTTTGCCCCACATAGCTCCCAGAAAGGGCAGCACACATGACCACACATTTTCACTGAACAGGGCTGGAATATACAATCCATGGACACTGTAGATTTTTCCACTTGGGAAGTTTAAATGGAAGACAAAGGTATTAACCCCATAGTGGAATGATTCTTTATTGATAAAAATCCATGCAGTTTTGAGACCAGAGTTTACGTTAAGACAAATCATAACCATATTCAATATATAGTTTTAGGAAAGATGATACAAAGAGTGAGCAGAGAAGCTGGTTTCCAAAAAGGAGAACGCAATAAACAAGGTGATCAAAAAGGGAGGCACGGAGGGAGGGAGGGAGAGAGGGAGGAAGGGAGGGAGGGAGGAAGGAAGGAAGGAAGGAAGGAAGGAAGGAAGGAAGGAAGGAAGGAAGGAAGGAAGGAAGGGAGACCACGGTATGTGTGGGGGGGTGTGTGAACGTGTGCATGCATATGTGTAAGAGAAAGATAGATAACCTGAGAAAGATGAGTTCCTGACAATCTATTTCCAATCTCATAAGACCCAGTTACACATTGTTACTTGTTCTTCATGTTAATGAGATTGCTTGTCAATTTCACGTAATAATTAAAATTTCCCTCCACCCACATTTCAGCAAATTTTATTGGGTTTATTTTCCTTGTAATTCATATTCTAATTTATCTTTATTTCTGTGAATTGAAAACTAAATTTGAAGTCTTATTTTCTTAGCTAAAATCTGATATTTAGCTGGATCTTCAGTCAATGACCCTCAATATTTTATGATTCTACATTTGTTTGCAGCTAATCCTTTACTCCATCCATCTCTTTACTATACCTTACCTCTGTGTAGTTAATAAAGAAGAAAATAAACAGAAATCGAAGAAAAAAATGTTATGCTACTTGATATCCGTTTGCGTTTCTGAGGAAAATATTCTATTTATCTTACAATTATTTAAATTTTACTCATTGAAATAATTTTATTAAAATTAATTGGGTAGAATAATTTCCAATTCAGGTCTTTTATCAAACCATTCTAAACAGCAGGTTTAATTGTCGTCAACTGGTGCATTTAGAAGCAGCATTCACTACATAAGACGTTAGTCATTTCTGGTGTTTTGTTTATTAATACTATGTCAGTAATACACTAACATCAGTTTCTAAAATAATATTAACACACATTGGCTCAAATTAATATGCTTATCTGTGTCGTTTTGAAATTAAAGTCTTCACATGTTAATAGAGGAGACATAAACTGGACCAAAGAATGGAAGACAGTACAAGAGACACTTATTGATAACATATTAAATATGAGTGTGTATAAGCATGTATTATTTATAAATGTAGATATATTTGCATGCATATATGGGTGTATTTAATCATGTTTAATGTGTGAGTATAGATGTGCACATATATGCACATACACAAAATCTTACTGGCTTTTGTAACTTCTTATACTCCTATTATTTCAAAAAGGCCAGCATCTTCCAAAAAAAAGTAGGTGAAAACACTTTATAAAGAATAAAAAACTATGTATACATATATGAGAACTATGTATAAATATATATAGCTATGATGATAAAGAAGAAGGGGATAATTATGAGGAGGACGAAGAAAAATACAAAGAATATCTGCTTTGGGTCATGGGAGAAGATAGCTCCCTTTACATATGATCAATTTATCAAAAAGTAAAGATTGCTTTTCCATGAACTAAAATCTTGAGCAGAGCTACTGTCAAGAGAAAATGACTTGATACTCTCTTGACATATCAGCGTGAACTGTAAAACAGATAGATAGATGGTATCTGAGACCTGGGAGAAGAGGGACTGACTGTCTCACTAATAACTCCATTGCCTCTTCAAGCAAAAAGTTTAATAAAATATCTTTTGAGACTACATGTATTCTAACTTTTGAGTGTAGTCTGGTCCTTTTGAAATATTACATTTAACAGATTTTCTTAATTTTAACCCAGTAACCTCTTACTGTTGCAGAATCCCATCCAGGATTACATATTACATTTAGTTATTATGTCTCCTCGGGCTACTCTTGGTTCTAACGGTTTCTCGGACTTCCCTTGGTTTTGATGTCCTTGACAATTTCGAGGAGTACTGGTTGGTATTTTGTAGGATGCCCATGAAGTGGAGCTTATGTGATTGGTTTTCTCATTATTAGATTGGGGCTTTGGGTTTTTAGAGTTAGACCACAGGGGTAATGTGCCACTTTCATCAAATTATATAAACTGTATCAACTATCAACATGATTTATCACTCTTGGTTTTGGCCCTGATTATCTGGCTCAGGTAGTGTTTGTCAGGTAACTCCTATGTAAAGCTACTCCTTTTGTTTATTTGTTGCTTTTCCTACTTTTCATGCTAGATTCTGTAGAAAGAATCACTATGGCCAAGCTACACTTATAATGTGGGAAATTTTGATTTATCTGCTTATGGTCAGAATATGGACATACATTATTTGGACTCATGCACAGATTCATCTCTTCTTCTTTATTTAGTTATTTATTCAACCATGTATTAATACAAATATGAAGTCATGCATATTTATTTTATATTCTGGATTACAATCCAATATTAATTTGTTTTGTTGTTCAAGTTATTTCCACTTTGGTCTTTAACTCACTTATGCCTAGTGTTCCATTATTGGAACGCTAAGCATGTGGGAGTTATTTGTATCCTACTGCTCAAGGTCATCACCAAAGTCTGATTTTTCACTCACGCAAAAATTCAAAAAATTACAACCTCCAGCATAAATGGGTTAAAAGCTCTTTCAGTTGGCCCCTGTGTCCCGCTGACACACCCCATAATTGTTAACATTTTCTTCCCAGAACTTTCTTATTTCCAACCATATCTTTTAATGGCTTGATAGCTCATTCATTTTTATCACTGAATAATACATTTTTTTAATTATACTTTAAGTTTTAGGGTACATGTGCACAATGTGCAGGTTTGTTACATATGTATACATGTGCCATGCTGGTGTGCTGCACCCATTAACTTGTCATTTAACATTAGGTATAACTCCTAAGCTATCCCTCCCCCCACCCCCCACCCCACAACAGGCCCTGGTGTGTGATGTTCCCCTTCCTGTGTCCAAGTGTTCTCATTGTTCAATTCCCACCTATGAGTGAGAACATGCAGTGTTTGGTTCTTTGTCCTTGCGATAGTTTGCTGAGAATGATGGTTTCCAGCTTCATCCATGTCCCTACAAAGGACATGAACTCAACATTTTTTATGGCTGTATAGTATTCCATGGTGTATATGTGCCATATTTTCTTAATCCAATCTATCCTTGTTGGACATTTGGGTTGGTTCCAAGTCTTTGCTATTGTGAATAATGCCGCAATAAACATACGTGTCCATGTGTCTTTATAGCAGCATGTTTTATAATCCTTTGGGTATATACCCAGTAATGGGATGGCTGGGTCTAATGGCATTTCTAGTTCTAGATTCCTGAGGAATCACCATACTGACTTCCACAATGGTTGAACTAGTTTACAGTCCCACCAACAGTGTAAAAGTGTTCCTTTTTCTCCACACCCTCTCCAGCACCTGTTGTTTCCTGACTTTTTAATGATTGCCATTCTAACTAGGGTGAGATGGTATCTCATTGTAGTTTTGATTTGCATTTCTCTGATGGTCAGTGATGATGAGCATTTTTTCATGTGTCTTTTGGCTGCATAAATGTCTTCTTTTGAGAAGTGTCTGTTCATATCCTTCACCCACTTTTTGATGGGGTTGTTTGTTTTTTTCTTGTAAATTTGTTTGAGTTCATTGTAGATTCTGGATATTAGCCCTTTGTCAGATGAGTCGATTGCAAAAATTTTCTCCCATTCTGTAGGTTGCCTGTTCACTCTGATGGTAGTTTCTTTTGCTGTACAGAAGCTCTTTAGGTTAATTAGATCCCATTTGTCAATTTTGGCTTTTGTTGCCATTGCTGAACAAAGCTGGAGGCATCACACTACCTGACTTCAAACTATACTACAAGGCACAGTAACCAAAACAGCATGGTAGTGGTACCAAAACAGAGATATAGATCAATGGAACAGAAGAGAGCCCTCAGAAATAATGCCACATATCTACAACTATCTGATCTTTGACAAACCTGACAAAAACAAGAAATGGGGAAAGGATTCCCTATTTAATAAATGGTGCTGGGAAAACTGGCTAGCCGTATGTAGAAAGCTGAAACTGGATCCCTTCCTTACACCTTATATAAAAATTAATTCAAGATGGATTAAAGACTTAAATGTTAGACCTAAAACCATAAAAACCCTAGAAGAAAACCTAGGCAATACCATTCAGGACATAGGCATGGGCAAGGACTTCATGTCTAAAACACTGAATAATATTTCATTGTATGAATGCAGCACAGTTTATTTATTCATTTCTCTTATTGAAGGACACCTTAGTTGTTTGCAGTTTTTGGTGATAATAAATAAAACAGCTATAAGTACTTCCAGTGAAGTTTAAGTTTTCAAATCAGTCAGGCAAGTAGGCAAGTACTTAGGAACATGATTACTACAGCATGCCACTTTTCAATTTTAATCTTTAATACATAATATAAAAGTAATGATTATTACATAAAAATGAAAAATAGAAAATTGTATAAAAAGGTAGAAATCTGCAATTCTGTTTTCCCAAATACCTGTGATACCAGTGAAAAACTGTTATAAATTTCTTTCTGATTTTCATACAAGTTAAAATGCAAATAATATATTATTTTGCACAACTTAATTTTTGTTTGTTCGTGTATCAGTAGGCCATCAACTTCTCCTCATGTCAATTTACATGGCTTCCTTCATTCTTTCCAAAGGCTGAAATGTATTCAGTTACAAGCTGAAACAGAAATTGCTAAGTTCCTCCTAGGGTGAATGCCATTAAGCTTTGGTACTTCATAATTTCAATTTTTAAAAATTATGTAATTTTTATCATATAAAACTCTATGCTTACATTAATCTATTTCTACATGCTATATTCTTAAAATTAGAATTTCTAGTTAATTAAATAGAATTTCTAGTTAATTAAATACATTTCAAAGTTTATATATGCTGTGTGTATTAGTCCATTTTTATGCTGCTCATAAAGACATACCTGAGACTGGGCAATTTACAAAAAAAGAGGTCTATTGGACTTATAGTTCCACATGGCTGGGGAGGCCTCACAATCATGGCAGAAGGTGAAAGGCAAGGAGGAGCTAGTCACATTTTACATGGATGGTGGCAGGCAAAGAGAGAGAGATTTTGCAGGGAAATTCCCCCTATAATACCATCATATCTCATGAGACTTATTTGCTATCATGAGTACAATGCTGGGAAACACTTGTCCCCATGATTCAGTTACCCCCCACCAAGTCCCTCCCACAACAGGTGGGAATTCAAGATGAGATTTGGGTGGGGACACGGCCAAACCATATCATTCCACCCCGGCCCCTACCAAATCTCATGTCCTCATATTTCAAAACAAATCATGCCTTCCCAACAGTCCCCCAAAGTCTTAGCTCATTTCAGCATTAACTCAAAAGTCCACAGTCCAAAGTCTTATCTGTGACAAGGCAAGTCCCTTCTACCTGCGAGCCTGTAAAATCAAAACAAATTAGTTACTTCATAGATACAATGGGGGTAAAAACATTGGGTAAATATAGCCATTCCAAATGGGAGCAATTGGCCAAAATAAAGGGGCTACCGGCCCCATGCAAGTCTGAAATGCAGCAAGGCAGTCAAATCTTAAAGCTCCAAAATGATCTCCTTTGACTCCATGTTTGATATCCAGGTCATGCTGATCCAAGAGATGGGTTCCCATGGTCTTGTGCAGTTCTGTCCCTGTGACATTGCAGGGTACATCCTCCCTCCTGGCTGCTTTCACTTCCTGGGATTGAGTGTCAGCAGCTTTTCCAGTGGATCTACCATTCTGGGTTCTGGAGGATGATGGCCCTTTTCTCACAGTTCCACTAGTTGATGCCCCAGTAGGGACTCTGTGTGGGGGCTCCAACCCCACATTTCCCTTCTGCACTGACCTAGCAGAGGTTCCCCATGAGGGCCCTGCCCCTACAGCAAACATCTGCCTAGGCATCCAGGCATTTCCATACATCCTCTGAAATCCAGGCAGGGGATCCCAAACCTCAATTCTTGACTTCTGTGCACTTGCAGGCTCAATACCACATGGAAGCTTCCAAGGTTATGGACTTGCACCCTCTCAAGCCATGACCTGAGCTCTATGTTGGCCCCTTTCAGCCACAGCTGGAGTGGTTGGGACACAGGACACCAAGTACCTAGGCTGCACACAGCATGGGGACCCTGGGCTTGGCACACAAAACCACTTTTTCCTCTGAGGCCTCCAGGCCTGTGATGGGAGGGGCTGCTGTGAAGACCTCTGACATGACCTGGAGACATTTTCCCCATTGTCTTGGGGATTAGTCTTCAGTTCCTCTTTACGTATGCAAATTTCTGCAGCTGGTTTGAATTTCTGCTCAGAAAATGGGATTTTCTTTTATATCAGATTATCAGGCTGCAAATTTTCTGAACTTTTGATTTGCTTCCCTTATAAAACTGAATGCCTTTAACAGCACCCAAGTCACCTCTTGAATGCTTTGCTGCTTAGAAATTTCTTCCACCAGATACCCTAAATCATCTCTCTCAAGTTCATAGTTCCACAAATCTCTAGGGCAGGGGCAGAATACCACCAGTCTCTTTGTTAAAACATAACAATAGTCACCTTTACTCCAGTTCCCAACAAGTTTGTCATTTCCATCTGAGACCACCTCAGTCTGGATTTCATTGTTTATATCATTATCAGCATTTTGGTCAAAGTGATTCAATAAGTTTCTAGGTAGTTCCAAACTTTCCCACATTTTCCTGTCTTCTTCTGAGCCCTCCAAACTGTTCCAACCTTTGCCTGTTACCCAGTTCCAAAGTCACTTTCACATTTTATTTTATCTTTTAAGCAGCACCTTTGTCCTGATACCTATTTACTGTATTAGTCCATTTTCACACTGCTTATAAAGACATAAGTTGATACTGGGCAATTTACAAAATAAAGAGGTTTATTTGACTTACAGTTCCACGTGGCTGGGGAAGCCTCACAATCATGGTGGAAGGTGACAGGCAAAGAGGAGCAAGCTACATCTTATATGGCTGGTGGGGGGCAAAGAAAGCAAGATTGTGCAGGGAAATTCTCCCATATAATACCATCAGATCTCATGAGACTTATTCACTATCATGAGAACAGTACTGGGAAAGATTTGCCCCCATGATTCAATTACCTCCAACTGGGTACTTCCCACAACATGTGGGAATTCAAGATGAGATTTGAGTGGGGACACAGCCAAATCATGTTACCATCCAAATAGCTTTCAAAAAGGGTCCCAATCTACATGGAGGTTTTTAAGTGTAAGTCATTATCTTAAAAACCTGTAAGCACATTCTTTGTCTTAAGAGGACAATGGTAACAAAAATGTATAAACTGAAATCACATTTTACCTATTATGTATATATAGATGGAATTGTTTAGCAAACATGTATAAATAAAAAATAATTTTTCTTTTTCTGTGTAGCTCTTTAAAAATTGAATTTTAAAAGGAAAAATGTGTTAAGGTCTGTGAAGGGTGAATTGTGTTCCCCTTAAATTTATACATTGAAACCCTAACCATCAGAACCTCAGAATGTGACTATATTTTGACACAGGATCATCAAAGAGGTAATTAAGTTAAAATGAGGTCATTAGGGTAAGCCCTAATTCCATTTGACTGCTGTCCTTATAAAAAGAGAAGATCTTGACACACAAAGGTACCTAGAGATGTACACACAGAGGAATGTTGTTTAAATCACCTAGTCTGTGCTATTTTGATATGTAAGACCTAGCAAATTAATACGAGATTTGAAATGACTAAAACACCGTGAAAGTAATTTCTGAAGTTTTATATCTTAAAGTTCTATAGCAAAGACTTATTTTCACATTTTCAAGATAGTAAATTTTTGAAAGAATTGTTGAGTTTGTCAGGCAGCCAGTTTTCAGCTGATGAATAAAAGTCAGTAAATCACTTGGAAACACAATCCATTGATGATTCCGTTATAAAATTGTAGTTTTCTAGAGTATGAGACAATGTCAGGTGAAGTGAAGTTAGTGTCTCAGTGATCTCTAAGGCCCTCAATAACCCAGCCTCAGATTCGGCATTTATCCACTCTCTAACTCTCCTTCTTTTAAAAAAGATCACAATGCTTACCTGTTTCTGTGTAGCTTTCATAGCCACCCACATCCACAGCCCCGCCACCACCTCCGCTTCTACCACCTCCTCATTAATGTTGAGCTTGGCTATGTGGCATGATTTTATCCAACTGAATTTTGGCAGATATACACCCCAACAAAACACAAGCTTTTAGAGGCACCTCACATTTTTGCTATGTCTCTTTTCTCCCTCTGCCATGAAAACCTTCTGTCTCAGGTAGATGTTCCTTTAGACTGAGGTTAGGAATGAGATCACACAGGGAGCATTTCTAAGGGGGCAGACCCACAGCTGTAAGCTGGGCTCATGCCTCTAGTCCCAAGACTTTAAGAGGTCAAAGCAGGCAGATGGTTTGAGATAAGGAATTTGAGACCAGACTGGGCAACATGGTGAAACCCTGTCTCTACAAAAAATAAAAACAATTAGCCAGACATGGTAGCTCATGCCTATAGTCAGAGCTACTTGGGAAGCTGAGGCAGGAGGATCCCTTGAGCCCAGGAATTCGAGGCTGCAGTGAACCAAGATCATGCCACTGCACTCCAGCCTGGGTGACAAGAGTGAGACCCTGTCTCAAAGAAAAAAAAAAAAAAAAAGAGAAAAAGAAAGAAAGAAAGAAAAGAAATAAACGTACACTAGATTTTCAGTTGCTAAGATTTTGAGATTGTTATTGCAGCAAGGCTAATTAATAAAACAAACTTAATAGATTAAGTGATTTTTTCTAATATAAGAAATTAAATCATAATATTTAATAACTTAATAAAAGTGTATAAATCACTTACTAGGGAAGGTGAAGAATACAAAGATGATTAAAGTTGTCTTTAAGAAGTCAGATAAGTAAATAACTAGGTAGAATTCAAATGTGAGTAAATCAAGTGCTATCGTAGCTAAAAATTTATTAGGGGAACAAAATGAGGAGAATACATTAATACCAATTTTGGAAATTATCTTAAAATATCTTGTTTGAAAGTAAAACAAATAAATTAATTTCCAATCAAGGTATATTGTCTAAGGATTAATATTTAACAGTATGATTTAAGATTCTCAGGCTTAGAATTCAATATACAGCATCAATATCACTGTTTCTTTAAGGAGAACACATTTCCCTACCAGAAGATACAGAATTGGAAGTTGTTGTTCTGGGTAGTTTGCCTGTATTATTTTTTAATCCATATTGCACTCCTATAAGGTAGGTAATATCATCCTTATATAACAGAATGTAAAAGTGAAGTCCAACTTTATCAATGATAATCTGCCATAATTGGTGAAGCCGGAATGATATTTATCTAGCCTCAAAATATACTCTTATAATAGCCACAGTATATTTCACTATTGAGGATTAGAGAATGCTGCCTAAGGAAATCCTAACATATATTTGATTGCCCTTTGTTTAGCTCTGACCTCCATCAGAACAAACATCTGCAGAACTGTGATTTTGGTCACTTTGTACCTGCTCTTGTATGTCTTCTTTTCTGATTCTCATAATTCTTGCTCCTTTAACTAGAGTTTGTCTATATTTTCCCTCTAAATGTAGCATTGCTCTCAATGTCTTCTAAACAAATGCAGTGTCAAGTGTGTCTCTTTATCCAATCTTTATAATCCATATTAAATTCTTTTTGGAAATAGGATAAAACTTGATGTATGGTACACAGATGAGAGATAGATAAATGACAGATAGATAATAAACAAATAAATTTCTAATGATGGATAGATTAGATGAAAGTACACTAGCACTAAATTTTTTATTATAACTACCTCCTGTACATATTTGTTGTATCATTGTTGGCTTCATAACTGAAGAATGATGATGGCAAATCACAGTAAATTATGACATTTTTAATAGAAGGGACCTGTTTTTGGTCATCTTAACATATTTTATCACCCAGGCAAAAGATTATCTACTACATGTATAGCATTGTAATAAGGATTGGCTACATAAAGACAAGTAATATATGAAAATTGTGCTGACAAATGAGCTGGAGATCTAGCTCTACAATATACAGCTCAATGGATAATATCTGCTTAGGTATACAATGAAAGTAAAAGAGAAAGGAGAGTTTTCCTTTCAATGACTTTCTTCCTTTTGTCTATACAAATATTATTTTTATAACTTTATATTCTATTATTTTAAAAATGTCCAAAATTGTTTAGGTTTCAGTTATCACTGAACCTAAAGTAAAACTCCCAATAGTAATTTGTTAAACTGACATTGGTAGAAGTGGAAATTAGCACAACTCATTGACAATATCTGCTAAAGCTGAATGTACACTTAGCCTCCGACCCAGGGTTTCTGCTCATAATATAAGAGAAATGAGTATAATTTTCTAGGAATAGACAAGTACAACAATGTTTATAGAAGCACTATTCATCACAATCTCACTGGAAATAACAAAAATGCCCTCCAACTGTAAAATGGACAAATAAATGATAGCATATTCACAGCAATGGAATTAACAAACTACAAGATGTATGTACATGAGTAAATCTTCCAAATGAAACATTGAGCTAAAGGAGCTAGAAGCAAAAAAATACCTTCTCCATGATTTCATTCATATAAAATTTAAAAACAGACAAAATTAATCTGTTGTGTTAGAAGTCAGAGTAGCAGTTAACACTGGGGAAAGAAGTGTTTGGATGGGGAGATGAGAAGACTTCTGGGGTGCTGGGAAAGTTGTTTCTCATCTGCTTTCTGGTAACATGGATGTGTTCATTTTGTGAACATTTATGCAGCTCTACCCTTATGCTTTGTGATTTTTAAATCTATGCTACACAGCAATAATTAATTTGATAAATGAATTTTTGTCTAATGCTATAAAATTTGTTGCAGAGAAACCAGAGAAAATGATAATAGGAGAATAAGTCACAGAAGAAAATGCAAAAATAATAACTCAGATATTACAATATGTAAAAAGCTGTTATGTGTGTCTACTGTGATAGAAGTAAATGGGAATGTGTGTGGCAACACAACAATAGTCAATAGATACAGGAATAGATTTCTTCAGGCTACTGTGGCATTTTCTCTGAGAACTTTAAAGAACTTACACACCATCAGCAGTACAGAAGGCTTGAAAGTGCAGATTGAGAACACTGTACCCGGCTGCCTTGAGCATGCTTAGCCCCTTCTAATCACTGACATTAGGTAGAGCTGGGTCTGGGTAGCACTCTGATAAGATGCTTAAATTACAGGAATCAAGCAGCTTACTTTACAAGATTCCTTCACTCCTGAGATGTCAGCTTCTGTAGCAGTAGGTTTCCTTTGTACTCAGAAGACAGACAAAGGTGGCTATTTGGCTATTTTCTCTTAAATTGAGTCCTAACCCATAGAAATGAGGCTAAAAAAAAGTGGCTGACAAGACTTTGCAAATTATATGAATTAGGTTAATAATGCAGCAACATGGATTACATAATTGAATGGGATCATGTGGAATGTTCTCTGAGAATGTGGTTCTCTCTGAATGTGGGTCTCAGAATGTGCAGTCTCTAGAATATGGGTCTGCAACCTCCTGAAAGGCCTAGAGCCTCTGACTTCTGCATATTTTTACACATTGCATAAGTTTTCAGATCTTTGATAAGATTAATAGACAATCCTTGAAAACTCACCTTTGTAACTAAGAGGCTATAACTCAGAGATTTTGCTTTAATTTTCTCTTTAGGGTTGCTCTGTCTTTTGCTTCCTGCAATCCCCCATGCATTCAGAAAACAGTACAGGAAGAAAAAAGAAATACTAATGAGGTATACTTCTCAAAGGGTGATGTACTCAGAAACACATAAATCCTATAACTAAATAATTTAACATGTGAGTGAAGTGAGAAACAGTCTTAATACATTCATGAGAGTCACACAAAAAAATGACGAACAATGCTAGGATTTTCTTCCCAAATACGTCAAAAAACAACCCATTTCTATTTTTACCACTCCACACTGCCACCCAAAGGAAGTTTTATCACTGCGTGGTACTCACACCGATGTTCCCAGGAACAGAAAATTAAATTAGAGCCCATTTAAAACTGCCAAAAAGAGTGCAGCAAATCATCCACTTAGTAAAAAGGCACATATGCCTTCTGATCAAGAAAAGGATATATTTATGACAGAGTATCTATACTCACAAAATATGTGCCTCTTATTTTTTTATTCAGAAATTCATTTGAACATAAGCTGCTATGTTGATATGTAGGCAGTTGCATTCTTCTGATTAATTGTACATATCTTGCATGAAATCAATTTCTTTGTTTTGATGATGATTTTATTTAAAAGGAAACATATATGAGCTGTAACTACTAGGTTTTTTTTTTTTTTTAATAGAAACGAGTCCCGTTTGGCAAATAGGAACAAACAGGCTCTATTAATACCTCAACTCTAGGAAGTCACTCCTAAGTCACAGAAAAGCTGCACAAAAGCAGTAGGTACCCAAGTTGAGGTTGAGTTCCTACCTTCAACAAAGCTGCCATTTAAAGATCCTGTATGATCCAGCCTGTAGAATTTAGGTCAGCACTGCTATTTCCTAGCCTTCTTCTACTGTTAGACTTACATAGTACTGAAAACAGCTCTGCCTTTTTATTTAAACTTAAAAAGACCAAACCTGTGACAAGAAATCACAATCTTAGAGGAAAGGTAATGCAAAACTATTTGTTTTAAGAAAATTGCAGAGATTAATTAAATTAGTGTGGCTGAATAGCGCTCTCATTGATTTGCTATTAGGGGTGTGTGTGTGTGTGTGTGTGTGTGTGTGTGCGTGCGCATCTGTCTATATGGCATATACAGGTAAGCAATGATTCCAGACAACAATAAAATAATAACTGTTACCATTTATTGGGTACTGCGTACCAAGTCCATGACAAACATAGATTTTATGTCATTCAGATTTGGACATGAAGTTTAACTATTCCTGCAAGCTCTTTGGTTATGGGTAATTTTCTCAATTTCCATGAGATTTAATTTACTCTTTCTTAACATAGGCATAATAATACACTTCTTGGGTGGTTATTGCAAGGTAAGCGAAGAGCTCACCTTACATAAATTATTACCCGTTTCCTGGCCCTTTTCTTATTCTATAATGGTTATTTGTGTTATTTTTGTTTCCCTGCTATAGTACACTTTTTCTGAAGTAAAGACTGTGAAGTTTTTTTTTCATTTTTCTTTCTTAACAGCTTGTCATTTGCCTGATATATATTTATTGAAGAAAACAGAAGAGAAAAAGTCTTCTGATTTAATTGCTGCTACTAAAGAACATTCACAAGGTGACAATGGACTCTGAACAGACTTTAATGTTCTATCCAGTACACTAGAAGCATGAACATGAAGAATACCTCATCAATATCCCTTTTTTCAGATATGTCGTCAGGATAACATGAAATAATGTTTGTAAAATGCTTATCTCAGTGTCTGTTGTACCGCAGGCCCTTAACAAATGGATTTGCTTTTCTCTCTCTCATGAGAAGGCTCCATGCCCATCTCCACATTGGTGTTTTTACTTTTATTTTTCCATGTGACATAAAAGTCAGTCCCTCTCTCTAAAGCAGACCTTATCCCAGCTTCCCAAAGAGACGTTGTGAGAAGCTGCCTATTTATCTGAACTCCTACACCATTTATCTCCAGAGCGTGGACGGAGCATATGTGTGGCAGGGGGTTGATACTTGGCTCTCTGTCCTAGCCTGCTTGCTGTACACCTTTGGATAATTTATCTGTTTATCTGTGACTCAATCTGATTTTTCCTGCTTTTTGATGCAGTCTAAAATTCTAAAAGTCTTAGGGTGCCTATGTTATTCATTTTTTCATATGTACTGATTTTATTTCTAATTATCTGCTTCTTAATCGTCAGATTCTGGGTCATATTTACTTATATGTGCCCTTCACAATGCCAAACTGATTGATACTTTAAAAATACTACTGATTGATTCAATGGGAAGAGCAGCTCTGTGACTTGGTGAGAAGTTCATCAACTCTACTGGTGGCCTTGGCATTAGATAGAGGTGCTGGTCCCAACATCATGGATAACCTCAAAATGGGGGTCGTAATATCGGAACAGAGATCTTGGAGCCCCGAGAAACTCAGGCATAGAGAGTGTAGGGTAGCTCTTTAGAGTCCTCATTCCGGGACTTCTATGGAAAAAATAAGGTTAAGTCTTTTGAGATATTTGGAAACTAGTCTTTAAGAACAAGTTTGCCTCAGCATTTCACAAGCTTCATGACTTTGCTCAAGTCACATCACTTCCCTAAAATTCAATTTCCACATACATAAAATGTCATAATATGTCTTTCTTCAGCAAAGATCGAAAAAGAAAATATACAGAAAACACACATGAAAACTGTAAATCACAAAATACAAACTATAAACTTAAGCAGTTACATGATTTTTCAGCCAAGGCCTAGTATCTACATAAAATATGAGTACTGAAAATACCACTAGGCTAAAGGGTTTCAATTCCAGGAATAATGATGTTAATGTTACCAGATAAAAATTAACTTTGCAGTCAAAGTGCTTAATAAAACATGTATATTATATAATAAATATTTTAGAGTGAAAATAATTCACCATACTATTTTAAAGGAAAAAACGCTGTAACATGTTTAATAGTTTGCAGCTGACATTGTGAAATTGGAATTCAGTGTTCACTAACGGTAATTATGGGAAAACTAACTAAATTAACTGTGTTACACATTTTCATGCTTGAGAGAAAGTCACGAGGACATTATTTACTTCCCTTCAAAGTGAAGTTTTCGTGGGATCTAAATGAACACGCATACATTCACATGAGAATATGCACACACACATACACACAGAAACACAGAAAAGCTAAAGCAGACAACTTCAGATTTATAGACTTTTTAACCTTGCAGATAACAATGTGGTCAAAGTTCTCAAAAGCAGCCTTTGTAGTATTTTAGGTAATGAAATCCCAGGCATTGAAAAAATTCTCATAATTAAGGAAGACCTGGGCATGAGTTGGGCTCTGCCTCAGTAGTGCTTATGGCATGAGGTGGGGGCCAAGGCTGAGTGAAATTTGAATTTAACACCCAGAAACCATTCCTGTTGTTAAAGAGTAGCTGGGCATCACTTATTGGATGAAAAGCCCAGTTGGAGCAGCAGTTTTTATCCATCTTCATGGAAAGGAAGTGCAATCCAGTAAGCAGAGCCTGTATCAGAATCTTCTAGGTCCAAATTCATGCAGAATAATAATTCCAGGTGGTCAGTTAATTTAAAATATTCTATTCAATGGATATTTACTACATGCTTACAATGGATAAAGGATGAGGAAAAACAGATATAGCCTTGCCATTATGGATCTTACAGTCCAGTAGGAGAAATGAATATTAATTTCATAATCACACAAATAAGTGTATAAATGAAAAATAGGGTAATTGTTATAAAAAGAAGTAAATACTTTTATGACAATTTATAGGCAAGAAATTAGGCCTTGTGTGTGTATGGAGAAGGGGTCAGATAGACTTCCCTGAGGAAATTATTTATTTAATTAATAAGGGTGAGAAAATGTTGAATGTTATTACAAACAACCCCGATTAATAATGGCTAAGCCTACACACATCTAAGAGGAACATCCCTTGTTGAGAAGCATTATTTTGGGGCAGCAGTCCTCCATAAAGCCTCCCTGGCAGCCATGCTTCTTCAATCTACTCCTTCTGCCACCTTCCACAGTGGCACCCACAAAAGGGAAAGGGAGAGACCGTAGGAAGAACACACACACACTATGAGTTGCCTCTGCCCAAGAAGGGCATTGGGTAATTCAGATAAAACTGAATTTAGCGTTAAATGTGTTTTAACCATATTACCTTAGGATAACTATGATGAAGCCATACAGAAAACAGAAGAAACCAAAAGGCCCAGTGTTATTACTCAATGTAAGACTACTTGAGGGGAGCACCTGAGACAGATAGGTGGCAGAGGGAGAATGTGGAACCGTGGGCAAGTGCGTTTATTATAATTTCCAGGGGAAGGAATGGCCAAGACAGGGTAAATGGGCTTACGGTTAGTTAGCTATGTTTGAAAGTAGTACCCTCATGAAATTCATGGTCACCGTGACTGTTAAAGCATCAAATTTAGGGCTGTCTAATGTCTCCAGAAGTTTTCGGGTGAAGCAGGGTTTACTTGAGAAGAGCTAGTAACCATTTTGTAGATTTTAAAGCATTAGTTTGCAGGAACTAATTATGGTTAATACAAGTGATAATAACTCCAGGATACACATGTCTAACACTGATTATTTCACTCAGCTCCAGGCTAATGGATTCACATTTCTTTAAGACAATAACAGACACTGAAAAAAGTAAAATATTCAGAAATAGCTCTTGATTCTTACCAACCACCTTAATCTATTTCTTTCCTATTCTGTTCTATATTAGTATGTATCATCCATATACACCTCTTGTTTAAGCCTAAAACATAAGTATTTGCTTTGATTTTTGCCTTTTTCTCAACCACCATAGGTAATCCACCAGTAAATGGCATCAGATCTACCCCAAAATGTATCTCAAACCCATTTGCTCCATTTTATTCTGAAGGTCTTCACTGCTGTTATTCTACTTCATATCACTGGTCCCAGCAACATTACTTGTTTGCCTCAGATTACAGCTGAAATTAAATTGAAACTCATTGATGTGGTGTACAAAGCCCTACACATTCTAGTCCTTGCCTACTTCTCCAACTTGATCATCCTCACTAGTTCACGTTGCACCATCCTTTCTGGCCATTTCTGTGCCTTAAATATTCAATCCCTCTCCCCCTGAAGGGTTTTTGCATTTGCTGTGCTCTGACTGGAAATGCTTTCTGACTGGAAATGGTTTCTTTCCCCCAACACTCATCATTTGGCTTGGTATTTCCATCGAAATATCGGAGAGATTTCCTATAACTAACCTAGCAATGATAAGCCCCACTCCCATATCTATCACTACAGTTACTGTCTAAGTTTGAATTCCCTGTAAAAAGAGACTGAGACTGAGACAATGATTTGCATGCAGGTAATTTACCCAGTAGCTATCTCAAGAAGAAAGAAGAAAAAAAGGAAGAAAGAAGAAAGAAGGAGGAGGAGGAGGAGAAAGAGGAGAAGGAGGAGGGAGGAGAGGAAGAGGAAGAGGAAGAGGAAGAAAGAAGAAAGAAGAAAGAAGGAGGAGGAAGGGGAGGAAGGAGAGGGGGAGGAGGGGGAGGAGGAGAAGAAATAAATAAGGAAAAGGAGGGGGAGATAGAGAAAAAAGAAAAGCTGTCAAATGTGTTTTACCGAGTCGATATCATCTGGGGCGCATGGGATTTAATTCCTCTGGAGATTCCTAGAGAAATAGTGTAGTATAAGCCTCACAAATTTTTTGTCTGCAAGAAAGAAGGTTGGACATTTATCTCCAAACTTCCATCCATCAAAAGTTGAGGGTTTTCCTATGGATATTAATTCTCCTGTTTTACCTATATCCTGGTGAAAGACCTCCCTGGTTTTTAAGAAAGCCCTGGCAGGGGGGTGGGGGGCGGGGGCGGGGGAAGGCAGAGAAACAAAAATCTTATTCAGATATGCTGGTGTCATATCTGAGAATTTTCCATCAAACTTGATGCTGAATTCAGAGGTAAGCTGAAGGAAAGGTGATGCAAAGCAGCAAAAGTGCTGGCCACATTATCACTATGACTACTTAAAACTTTTTTTGATAAATCATAGGAAGTATGGACAATTAAAGGCAGACTAGTGACATGATCTGATATATATATATTTTGTTTTTGTTTGTCTGTTTGCTTATTATACTTTAAGTTCTAGGGTACATGTGCACAACGTGCAGGTTTGTTACATTTGTATACATGTGCCATGTTGGTGGCTGCACCCATTAACTCATCATTTACATTAAGTATATCTCCTAATGCTATCCCTTCCCCCCCTTCCCCCGACCCCACGACAGGCCCCGGTGTGTGATGTTATTCACCCTGTGTCCAAGTGTTCTCGTTGTTCAATTCCCACCTATGAGTGAGAACATGTGGTGTTTGGTTTTCTGTCCTTGTGATAGTTTGCTCAGAATGATGGTTTCCAGCTTTATCCATGTCCCTACAAAGGACATGAACTCAGACACGATCTGATATTTAAAAATGATTGAACCTAGTTTGGATTAACTATTATTTTGATTCATAACATAATCTTGCTTGGTTACCTGCATGACCTACTTTCATCTAGTTATTTAATGACTTCTTTGTAATAATATTATAAATAACCATACATTAACCATCCAAAATAGGAGTTAAAATCTTGACAAAACTATGGACTCCACCACCAATTTATGTTCCACACTCTCAACCCCTATGCAGATACGCGCTATCACGAATCCAGTGTTTTTAACTACTCCCTGTCCTCTGCCATCTCTATGAACTCCTAAAATGTATGCATACATTTAGATTCATTGTTTTTACCCATATAGAAGTTATATCATGATTGAAATACTTTGAAACTTGTATCTTAATTTATTACCAGATTTTTAAAAGACATCCTTGTCACTATAGATCATTTTTTTCTGATAGCTATATAATATTTCATTGTGTGAATATAACATCCATTATCCTTTCGAGGGTCACTTGAGTACTTAAAGCATTTTACTATTGTGCACAGTTCTGCAACATACATCCTTATATTCCTATTTCCTGTTAATTATGTGCAGGAGTTCCTCCTGAGCCTATACCTAACAGTGAAACTGCTGAGTTACAAGATACATGATATTTAATTTTAAGAGGTAATGCCAAACTATTTTCCAATATGGTTGCACCAGTTTATACTTCTCACAGCAATGTTTGAGAAATCCTGTAGGTCCACATTTTCTCCGACTCTTAAGTTACCTGTAGATTAATTTAAATAGTCTCATCAATGCTTTCTGATCTTACTTCTAATCTGTTTTTATCTGAAGTTTTAAACTATCTCCACCTATGTTTTCTGTAAGTGTTAAAAATGTATTATGTGATATTGAAGTTATTTGTTCTTCTGGTGTTTATCTTTTCAAATAGTTGATGAATTAGATCTAATTTTGTCTTCTTCTATACTTATTATCACTTTTGCCAGTTTCATTTATTGAACAATACTTTCTACACTGCTTTTTCATGCTACCTGTCTTTTATACAAAAATTTCATGGCAAGAGGCTTTGATTCTAGGCTTTCTGTTTCTTGTCCACTTTTTTCTATCCTTCTGCTAACACCATATTATGTTTAGATAATTTCATAATAAATACTGATGTCTGTTATGTCGTGTTCTCCCTTCTTGCTTTTCTTCCTCAGAAATGTCCTAGGTAGTCTTGATCTTAATTATCCTTATAAATTTTAGTACCATCAAGTTTCATTTAAAAAACCCAATTGAGATTTTGATTAGATTTTATCTATAAATCAATTTGGGAAAAGCCAACATCTTTATCATATTGTCTTCCATTCAATGAACATGGCATGTCTCTCCATGTATTTCAGTCTCTTGTAATATCTCTTAAGGAAAGTTTATATGTTTTTCTGTAGAAATTTTAAACAACTTTTGTTAAATTGATCTCTATATACTTCATATTTAAAGAATATGTTGATATATGTTTGTATTTAAAGAATATGTTGATATATATTTGTATTACATGTACATTTTATTCTGTACCAATATTAACATATTCTTTTCTTTTCCTTTGACTCTCTATATGTTTTAAGACAATGTTACCTTTTACTCAGGTATTTGATCACTTTTACTTCATATGTCTTTTCATAAATATACTAAGTTGATCTTCTTTTTAAGAATTTAATTCCAAAATATTTCTAATGTAGATGTTTGTCCAAAAAAATTCTGAGACCTTGTATGCCTAAAATATTTTATGCCCTCATATTGTTAGTTCAAATTTTCTTACATTCAGTGGCTTGTGTGGGTAAAGAGGCTATTCTATTATATTCAAACATAAAAATTTGGCTTACAAATTCAAAATAATAATATGTCTATTATAATCAGCTCAGAGGAATAAGCTTTGGGGTATAGAGACCCCCAAATCAGAAAACCACAATTAATCACTCTCCACCTCATAAAACATTTTCTTAGGTCAAATCTTTACTCTTTGCCCTGTAGAAAAAAATATCATTAGGAGAAGGTGCTATTTAAATTATAATTCTTCAGTCTTAAGAATTTGGAAAGGGGGAGTTAGAGAATAAATTATTACCAGGTCAGTTATTTGCCAGCAGTTTTTTCCCAGCTCCTCACAAGCACAGGGCTCTGAGCTACCCTGATTTTTCTCTTGGGAACACATGGACAAGAGACCTGTGTAAGCAGGTGTAGATGTAGACATAGTTTATTATAAAGGAAAATGGAGGGAAGGGATGGTAGAGAGAAACAAATGCAGAATGCCTACATTTCCCCTCCCCTAGCCTAATTGGACTGTTTCCTGTTCCAAGACAGTGGCATCACTCTCTCCATCAACCTGCATTGCCACTGCCTCTCCCTCCATCCACCTTTCTCCATCATAGAAACATACCAATTCACAATAGCATTTGTCTATGTAATTCCTGGTTGCTTTTTCTTTCTAAAAGGTTTTTTCAATTTTCTGTCTCTTGCTTTTCTTTCTAGAGTTGATATGGTTCAGAATCCTGATTGTACCTGGAGTCCAGTTATCTGATTTTATATCTTAAATGCTGACCTTGGCTCCTGTGTGGACAATTTATTGTGGTCTGGCAGCTGAAAGAAAATGGCAGCTTGAGCCAGGGTGGTAATAGTGGAGATCAAGAAGCAGGTGTTATGCATTTTGAAGTTATTGCATTACTCTACGGAAGTCAAAATGGGAACTATGAAAAACACTAAGCCAAATAGTATAATGTGTTAACCAGTTCTAGGTTAGATATTTTTTCAATAGGATGACAGAGAAGGCACCTCTGAGAAGAACAGAAGTAAATTCCAAGAAGAAGGAAGTAAATAGCAAGAAAAAGTACCTAGAGAAAGAGCTTAAGTTTATCTCGATTAAGGTGGTCATTATGAAATTGTAGAAAAATGTAGATTCAGGATATACTTGGGAGATGTCACCAGCATGAATCACTGGTGGATTTAAACTGAAAAAAAATGGAAAGCAAAGAATTTTAGATGACTCTAGGTTCTAAGTGAGACTTATCTGAAATGTTTGTGTTCAATGTATTTACTCGTTTACTATTTATTTTTTCATTAGTATTTAATTATTTATTCATTTTTTAGAGGAATAAAAACTCTTTAAGAAGAAGTCTTTGTTATGACTTTTACTATTCTACTCTCAGCACCTAGAAGAGTGCTTGGAATACAGAAAGAGCTTAACTGCATTTGTTGAGTGAATAAATGATGCAACCACCCCCTGCAATTCTTCCCAGATAACACAAATAAGACTATTTCTGCCCTCATGGCACATTTTCTATTTATTTATCTAACATCACATTTGCCAAGTTATATTGATATCATCTATTGCTGTAAGTATATTCCTTAGTAGATTGTAAAATTATTGATGACAGGGTCAAGTATTTTTTATTTCCCTAGCACCTAATCATTTGTTAATTTGTTGGATAAATATTTCTTGGGGACCTATTATGTGTCAAGCACTTCTCATGTCAAAGGAATGCAGCAGTGAAGAACCCCAATGATAACTGCCTTGGAGCAAACTGCATTTTCACACGGGGAAGAGAAACCCATATAAGTAGGAAACGTTAAGAGCTACATTTAGGATATGGGTCTCAACTCATCCAATGTCACTTAGAGGGCACTAAGTACAGTTTATCAAGCTGCTTAGACTTGAAACAATGGAGGAAATGAGCAATTGGCAAATGCTATGGAGGATATTAAATGAATCTTTCACTAACATTGATAATGGTTATCAATTGACCAGTTAAAGAAGGAAATGAGATAGTCAAGGACTAAGAGTAAGATTTCCTAAGAACCAAAGTAATATAAAAGATAAAGAAAAAGTTTTGCCAAGATATATAATAGAAGGTGACCCTTGAGTGGACTTACCAAAGGTCAAAGTATAAAAAGGTGAGGAAAGTAACCTCTCATTAAAGCAGGGACTTGACCATTACAGTTAGATAAAAGTGTAAGTAAAACAATAAAGTCTAGACAGGAGACAAGATTGGATGCCCAGAATCCTGGGGAGACAACTCTAGAAAAGAGAGAAGATAAATACATTAGACATAAAGGAAACTAGAACAAAATATATGAGAAGCGAGGAGCAATGTTAGTAGGTAATAAAAATCTGTCACTTTGAGAATTCTGGTGGGGACCCAAATGAAAAATAAATTTGGCTTTGGTGACTTTTCTAAGGGTGATATATTGAAACTATTGCCAGAAGACAAAGAGAAAGCAAGCAAAATACAGTTAATTGGCATAAAACAGCATAGCAAATTTTTAGTCCATCATTGATTTTTCACAGGACTCTGATAACCACAATCTTATTAATTCACAAGTTCTGTCACCAAAATCCAATGACTACTATTGTTACTATGCATTGGAAAGAAATTACTGTCTGTTAATAATTATTTTTCAGTACAGTATTTTCTAAAAATGTTTATTTATTGCTGATTACTATCATATTATCTGCCTAATTCCAAAAGTAAATAATGGTTTTCTGTTAAAAATAATTTACAGTGCAACCAAATAATTTTAAAAAGCACAAATACAAGAAATTATAGAAAGTAATAAAAAATCATTAGATCACAAGTCCTAGACTAGGAGAAGCTATTGAAAATTGGAATTGGGTAGATGGGGAAGCTTAGTAGCAACTAAAACTTATTCTAAGAAGAAAAATTACAGAGTCAAACTTAACCTTGAACATGTCTTAAAAATATTCCTGGATGACCAGAACCCGGATTCTATAAGGTCAAAATTTAATATTTATTTTTCTCTTCCCTAGCTCTCATTTTTTTAAACACCTTAGCTGAAAAACTTTTCCTGTACTCCATCTTGGCCACTATTCACATTAATATTATCCAAACTCCAAAAGCTACTTATCAGCTATCCCCTTTCCAGCCACTTTCCCTAATGCTCCCACCACTCATACCCTAACTTCCTACCTTAACCGATTACATTCTACAATCCCTTCTGTAATCATTATAGTAGAATAAATACTTATTCTATCCACTTATTTCCAACTGTTATATCTATGTGTGTATGTGTAGAGTTTGCCTGGGGATATAGAATTGGGACGTATGTACAGTATTAATGTTGCCACTATGACCATAGCATGTAAACTGACCACGTGCCTATTTAATTAAGTCCTGCTGTTAATTCCTAGGATTTTCCATAGTTAACTTTATTTTCTCCTTTGACTTCTGACCATTCAAATTATTTTTCTTTTCTAATAACTAGATTACCTTAGATCTCTCAGACATTTTATTTTTTCTTTCCCCAGACAAATCATTTGCATAGTTGATGGTTTAAATAAATTTCACCTGACCCCCGCAAAAGGAGAGGCAAGGTAGGAGTGTAGTGTCAGAAGCACTTAAAATTAAGAAAATAAGTAGGACAATGCACAGAAACAAGAAGTCTATGATGTATTGAGGAGAGCATTGGCACAATGAACTTAAGGAATCTACTCCTTTACACAGAGATCTACATTCTCTGATTGTATGAAGAGCTTAGCACTAAGCCACACATATTCTTCTTGTCCCATAAAACGGGACAGTTCTGTCGAAGTAACTGATCATTATTATTGGAAATAAGCATCCATTTTACTCAATACGAGAAAAGCAATTAAAATATTTGCTAACCCAACATTGCATCCTATCAGAAGACAAAAATGCTTGCCTTAAATATTAAGGATATTTTATATTCTTAATATTTAAGGAAATGAGCATCAGAAAAAAAAAAGAAACATAAAGGGAATGAGTTGCAGGGTAAAGTGAGTAATACGAATTGTTATTGAGGATTGTGCAACTATCATTCACCTTCAGTGCTATTTAGTTCTTTTCAAATCAAATAATAAACTGGCAAAATCAAAGTTTTATTTATTTATTTATTTATTTATTTATTTAATTTTTATTTATTTTATTTTATTTTTTGACACGGAGTCTCGCCCAGGCTGGAGTGTGGTGGCGCGATCTTGGCTCACTACAAGCTCCACCTCCCAGGTTCATGCCATTCTCTTGCCTCAGCCTCCTGAGTAGCTGGGACTACAGGTGCCCGCCACCCCACCCAGCAAATTTTTTGTATTTTTTAGTAGAGACGGGGTTTCACTGTGTAAGCCAGGATGGTCTCGATCTTCTGACCTCCTGATACTCCCTCCTCGGCCTCCCAAAGTGCCAGGATTACAGGCGTGAGCCACCGCGCTTGGCTATTTATTTATTTTTGAGACGGAGTCTCATTCTGTCGCCCAGATTGGAGTACAGTGGCGTGATCTGGATCACTGCAGCCTCCACCTCCCGGGTTCAAGCCATTCTTCTGCCTCAGCCTCACCAGCAGGTGGGACTACAAGCGCGCAACACCATGCCCGGCTAATTTTTTTGTATTTTTAGTAGAGACGGGGTTTCATTATATTGGCCAGGCTGGTCTCAAACTCCTGACCTCATGATCCGCCTGCCACGGACTCCAAAAGTGCTGGGATTACAGGCATGAGCTGCCGTGCCCAGCCAATTATTTTTTTCTGCTGGTTTTAACTTCAGCTAAAAATTGAGCATTTATTTACTTATTATACTCAATCACTGGAGTCTCTGAAATACCAAAGCTACCATGGAGGAATAAAAACATAATCTAAGGAGTTATGAGTATTTTGTCCCTTTGCCCTCTTTCTGCTGTTGATTTTAGAATCTACAAAACTGAAATTGACATACAAATCAATTATATTTGAAGCATTCTCTACTAGTGTTACTCAGAAAAAAACTGTATCTTCTTCAGTAAATTACTTAAATGTTATTCACCAGGAAAGTAAAACAATTCATTTTCCCATAAAATTACTCTTGATAAAGACTAAACAGTAAAGCATACGCAGTTCGTATTCCTAAATAAAATATACAATGTTTTTGAATTTTTATTCTCAAAGTTGCATACTTGGTATTATCTTGCCAATGCCTCTATCAGTGAGACAATTTATATCTACCAGTTTTCACCTGTAATTCAGAAATCCCTCCTACTCTATATCATGGAGACTGCTCTTTTATAGAATATATTCTTTGGATTATCTGATTTCCTAGGTGACCTGTTGATATGTCTACCTCCAACAGCTACATATTTTCATTGATTATATGTTTAAACCATATGTTCTCATTTTCATTCAGGTATCTTTCTTTTAAAAATAAATACTGGAGAGTGGAGAGGAGGTATAGCAAAATGGCAGAATAGAAGACTCCACTGATCATACCCCAACAAGGACACCAATTTAACATCTATCTACACAGAAAAAACACCTTCATAAGAACCAAAAACCAGGAGAGCACTCATAGTACCTGATTTTAACTTCATATTGCTGAAAGAGGCATTGAAAACATAGTAAAAATAGTCCTGAATCACCAACACCAAACCACTCTTTCCCAACTCCCTGGCAGCAGCAACCAGGGAGGTGCAGAGAACATCTTAGGGCCCTGGGGGAGGGAGAGCACAGCAATTGTAAGGCATTAAACTCAATGCTGTCCTATTAGAAGAGAAAGAAAAAACAGATCAAACTCAGCTAACTCCTACCTGCAGAGGGAGCATTTAAAACAGCCTTAGCAAGAGGGGAATCATACCACAAACCTCACCACAGAGGGCTAAATTGCTCTGGGTCTCTAAGTAATAAATTGTAAGGCAGTCTAGGTCATAAGGACTGCAACTCTTAGGTGAGTCCTCTTGCTAAACTAGGACAAGAGACAGTGGACTGTGCGGGGCATGCAACCTCCTGAAATACCAGCTGGGTTGGCGAAGGGAATGCTGGAAACACACCTTCGAACCCCAGGTGGCCCAGCTCAGGGCTTCAGAATAGACCCTTTGCTTTCACTTGAGGAGTGGAGCAGGAAAAGTGGGGAGGACTTTGTCTTGCATTTTAGATACCAACTCAGCCACAGCAGGATGGGGCACCAGTCAGATTTGGGAGGCGCCTCTTTTAAGAGCTAGTCCTGGATGACATTTCTAGACATATCCTGGGCCAGAAAAGAAACCACTGACTTGAAGGAAAGGACCTAGTCCTAACAGCATGTACTGCCTGTTAACTGAAGAGCCCTTGTGCTCTGAATAACCAGCAGCAATACCAGGTGCTATGTTGAGGGCATTGGGTGAGCCTCTGAGACTTAGATAAATATCTAAGAACAAGAAGGTTACAAAACACCATTCAGATTTAACCCAAGGAAAACTACCTCATGGCATATAATAATCAAATTCTCAAACATAACAGATAATAGAAAGAATCCTAAGAGAAACAAGAGAAAGAAAACAAATAACATACAACAGAGCTCCAATATGTCTGGCAGCAGACTTTTCAGGGGAAAGCTTACAGGTCAGGAGAGAATGGCATGACATTTTTAAAGTGCTGAAGAAAAAAGAAAAAAAAAACCTTTACCCTAGAATAATAAATCTGGTGAAAACATCCTTCAAACATGAAGGAGAAATAAGAACTTTCACAGACAAACAAAAGCTGAGGGATTTCATTAATACCAGACTTTTCCTACAAGAAATGCTAAAGACAGTACTTCAATCAGAAATAAAAAGACATTAATGAGTAATACATAATCTCCTGAAGGTATAAAACTCATTGGTAATAGTAAGTACACAGAAAATCATAGAATATGATAACAGTGTAATTTTGGTGTATAAACTACTTTTATCCTAAGTAGAATGACTGTATGATAAACCAATCAAAAACAATAACTACAACAACTTTTCAATACACAATAGTACAATAAGATATAAACAGAAACAACAAAAAGTTAAAAAGTAGGGGAACAAAATTAAGGGGTAATTTTTCATTAGCTTTCTTTTTGCTTGTCCATTTATGCAATGTTAGGTTGTTATTACACTAAAATAATGGCTTCCATAATAGTGTTTGCAAGCCTCATAGTAATCTCAAACCAAAAAACCTACAACAGATATACAAAAAGTAAAAAGCAAGTAGGTAAATTATATCACCAGAGAAAATCACCTTCACTAAAGAAAGACAGGAAAGAAACAAAGAAGGAAAATAAGGCTGCAAAACAACCAGAATAAGTGGCAAAATGGCAAGAGTAAGTCCTTACTTATCAATAATAACATTAAATGTAAATGGACTAAACTCTCCAATCAAAAGACATAGAATGGCTGAATAGATTTTAAAAAAACAAGACCTATTGATCTGTTGCCTAAAAGAAACATACTTCACCCATAAACAGACACACAGACTGAAAATAAAGGGATGGAAAAAAGACATTCCGTGTCAATGGAAACCAAAAAAGAGCAGAAGTATCTACACTTATATTAGACAGAATATGTTTCAAGACTAAAACTGTAAGAAGACACAAAGAAGGTCATTATATAATGATAAAGGGCTCAATTCAGCAAGATGATATACAAATTTTAAATATATATGCAGCCAACACTAGAGCACCCAGACATGTAAAGTAAATATTATTAAGCTAAAACAAGAGGTAGGCCCCAATAAAATCATAGCTGGAGAATTCACCACCTCACTTTCAGCATTGGACAGATTTTCCAGACAGAAAATCAACAAAGAAACATTGGAATTAATTTAGACTATAAACCAAATGGATCTAATAGATGTTTACAGAACATCTCATCCAATGGCTGCAGAATACATAATCTCTTCCTCAGCTCATGGATCATTCTCAAGGATAGATCATACGTTGGGTTACCAAACAAGTCTCAAAACTCCTTGAATGTTTTATTCAAGGAGTTGAGATAATATCAAGCATCTTCTCTGAACACAATGGAATAAAACTAGAAATTACTAAAAGAGGAATTTTTGAAACTATACAAGTACATGAAAATTAAACTATTTGATCCTGAATGACCAGTGGGTCAATGAAGAAATTAGGAAAAAAATTGAAAAAATAATTGAAACAAATGAAAATGGAAACACAACATACCAAAACCCATGGGATACAGCAAAAGCAGTACTAAGAGGAAAGTTTACAGACATAAGTGCCTACATCAAAAAAGAGGAAAAACTTGGAACAAACAATCTAACAAATACATCTTAAAGAGTGAGAAAAGCAAGACAAACCAAACCCAAAATTAGCTGAAGAAAAGAAATAATAAGGATCAGAGTAGAAATAAGTAAAATTGAAATGAAGAAAACGCTACAAAAGATCAATAAAACACTACAAAAGATCAATGAAACAAGGTGGTTTTTTGAGAAATTAAATGAAATTTACAAATCTTTAGCCAGACTAAGAAAAAATAAAGACAAGATACAAATGAATAAAATCATAAAGGAAAAATCTGACATTACAGCTCATACTGTGAAAATACAAATAATTATTAGGGGCTACTATAGTATCCATGTGCCAATATATTGGAAAATATAGAAGAAATGGAGAAATTTCTAGACACATACAAATTTCAAATTTTATCCCAATACATCTAACATAGAAGGAGGTTGACAGTCTTTAAAGAAATATTCCTGAATTAAATAATCAACTGAAATAACAAAAACAGAATTCCAAATATTTTAAAATTTGGGGGGAAATAGGTATATTTAATGTTTTTAAAAGTATGAAGCTTTTCTTAATACTAATAACCAAAATCTTAGTAAGCTGTTTGAAGTATTTTGGAATTATGATAGATTTTTTAAGATTAAATATGCAGAAGTTTACATACAGAATATATTAGAATGAACTTAAAATCATTGATGTTGTTAAAGCCAACAGATTTTGTAACACCCTAACATTATCATTTTGCCTAAACAAGTTCATATCTTTTCTGCTTTCTGTGAGAGCAGGCAAATATTTAAAATATGTATCAAACACTGGGCCACTCTAGATTGTATATTATCCAGATACGTATTTTGTTGGACCAGATTAGTGTTTGTTTGAATAAGTTACAAACAATTCTCTATCAAGAGATTTTGCATAAAAATCTGAATTTTAAATATATTTTTACAATCAGAAGATTTTACCACATTGGTCTGCATTCTTATGTGGCAATAATTGCAGGCTCCAAGGGCAGCTGTTCACTTTAGGAAGTGCAAGTACTGTCCAGAACCTAATCTACCCATATACCTGACACATTCATGTATGTGGCTGACCACTGTAGGCATTTCCATTGTGATCCTGTAATAAGGTGTTTAATACACATCAAGATACTTGCTGCTTTTAGACCACATTGAGAAACTACTGCTTTCCTTTCTCTTTCAAGGTTGGCAGTGAGAGGGCTTTGGGAAAATTCCACCTGACATATAAGGAATAGACATTAAGGGATCAGGTATAATGTTTTTAGTAGATCTGAGGGATCTCTCTCTCTCTCTTTCTCTCTGTCTCTCTCTCTGTCTCTCTCTCTGTGTGTGTGTGTGTGTGTGTCTGTCTGTCCGTCTGTCTCTCTCTCTCTCTCTCTCTCTCTGTATTTCGTAAGACTTTTAGTAGGCAGTGGAATCATAAATAGATGCAGACTCGGGGTGAAAGAAGTCTAGGCACAAGGTGGTTTCTAGTCTTCTAATCTGATTCAATGTAGCTCACACAAGCTTTTAAAAAATATCTTCAAGTTGTAGGGAGTGTTTAGTCTGGAATCTGCCTCCATATTTGTATAAAGATTACATAGGTGATGGCAGAACAAGATTCACAATTCTTTATCCAAGCCAAATTTCATCATTCTGGCGCAATGTAAAGTTGGTCAATTTATGTAGATATATGCACATAATACTCATAAGTGTGACTGATGGTGATAATTCAGAATTATTTATTGTTAATATCCACTTCATCTGAATTACACATCCCTATAATGAAGAATATTGAAGAAGATACCTGGTTCTGTCAACTTTTCTCAAGAGAATAGTAAATTTGGTAGGAAAATAACATAGTGTTTACAAGCAGACTAGAACAGCATTTTCATCTGAGACAATGAATAAGTAAATATGTTTTATACTAAAACAAAAAAGAAGTATGAGAAAATCCTGGGGCAGAAAATTTAAGAAAGTGACAGTTGAGATAAATTAACTTCAAAAGGGGAAGAAAACTGGCATAATATATGCCAGCCACTTTACATGAGACATCTCATTTAATCATCACAACATTTCTGGGAGGAAAGTATCATCACCATTTTAGAGATGCACACAGAAATTAAAGTGATTGACCCATGGTCATCAAGCCATTACATTAAACAAATGAAATGCAAATATTTAATTGCCTGACTCTTGAATGTGTTCTTCTTCCAGTATACTATGATGGAGCAAGCAATAAAGTGGCATTATCAAGAGAGTGTTTTCCTATAAATGAGTAAATTAAGAAATTGCTGTATGTGAATGAATGAAATTTTCTCTAATTTATGTGACAATGAACACTATTTTTAGTCTTAAAAATTCACTGAATAAACTTGACTTTTGCTTATATACTCCAAAATTTCTCAATTTACAGAAGTGGAAATGGGTAAATTTCTGCTTATCTAACACTCAGAAAAGAAGGCAAGTACTCTGGCCATTGGTAGTGGAACAGATGTAAGAATTTAAGTTATCAGATTTGCTTTGAAAAGTGCTTTCTGTATAATGGTTGGCTTTAAAGTCATGAGCACCTTTTATATCTTTATCTGAAACTATACTAGAAAGACCAGACTAGATATGGTTAGAATTAAAGATTGTCAAGAAAAAGAGAAATTTTTTGAAGTCTCAAATTGTTTTCTATAACTTATAATATAAAATTAGAATATTCCGTTACTTTTCTTGTTTCATATTAGAACTCTGACCAGTCTTACCTATTAGGAGGAATTTATTTGAAATTCAAGAGTTTTTGTCTACAGAAAAAAAGATACACAAATTTGTTGGAGACAGAAGATTATTAATTGGAGTCTGTATTAATGACATAAATTGTAGGTATAATTTACTATGTTTAGAATAAAACAAAATAATTTAAGTCACAAAAGAAAAATATAAAATAATAGAATAAATATATATTTAAAGAAAGGGGAGATGTAAAGAATTACTGAGAAATGCATAGCAGTTGATTCATGGACATCAACTCCCCAGTTTCTTGGTAATTAAGGGAAAATAAGTCCAACTAATCAATGTATCTTAGTCATTTGTTTGCTTATAGAATTTGCCTACCTCTTCCTTTAATTTCTGTGATTCAACTAGCCTCTAGTTCTACCCATGAGTTCTACCCTATAAACTTATTATTTCTCCTATATAAGGGAAAATCATGAATAGGAATGGAAAAATGTGGAACGAAACCTTCCAGGATTCAGATACAGTGCAACTGATATGGTTTGGCTCTGTGTCCTCACCCAAATCTTACCTTGAATTGTAATCCCCATAATCCTCACATGTCAATGGCAGGACCAGGTGGAGGTAGTTGAATCATGGGGACATTTTCCTTCATGCTGTTCTCGTGATAATGAGTGACTCTCATGAGATCTGATTGTTTTTGTAAGCGTCTGGCATTTCCCCTGCTTAAACTTGTCCTTCCTGCCACCTTTTGAAGAAGGTACCTTGTTTCCCCTTTGCCTTTCACCATGATTGTAAATTTCCTGGGCTCTTGCTGGCCATACTGAATGGTGAGTCAATTAAGCTTCTTTCCTTTATAAATGACCTAGTCTCAAGTATGTTTTTATCAGCAGTGTGAGAATGAACTAACACAATACATTGGTACTGGGAGTGGGGTGCTGCTATAAGGATACCTGAAAATGTGGAAGTGACTATGGAACTGGGTAACAGGCAGAGGCTGGAAAAGTTTGCAGGGCCCAGAAGAACACGAGAAAATGTGGCAAAGTTTGAAACTTCCTAGAGACTTGGAAAGCTCAGAAGACAGGAAGATGTGGGAAAGTTTGGAACTTCCTTGAGACTTGTTAAATGGCTTTGACCAAAATGCTGATAGTGATATGGACAATAAGGTCCAAGCTGAGGTACTCTCAGATAGAGATGAGAAACTTCTTGGGAACTACTGTAAAGTCACTCTTGCTATGTTTTAACAAAGAGACTGCTGGCATTTTGCCCCTGCTCTAAAGATTTGTGGAAGGTTGAACATGAGATAGATGAGTTAGGATATCTGGTGGAAGAAATGTCTAAGCGGTGAAGCATTCAAGAGGAAGTATAGCTTAAAAGTTGGGAAAATTTTTAGCCTGATGCAATGGAAAAGAAAAATCCATTTTCTGGGAAGAAATTCAAGCCAGCTGCAGAAATTTGCATAAGTAACTAGGATCCCAATGTTAATCACCAAGACAATGGGGAAAATGTCTCCATGGCATGTCAGAGACCTTCACGGCAGCCCCTCCCATCACAGGCCTGGAGGTCTGGAAGAGAAAAATAGATTCCTGGGCCAGGCCCAGAGTCCCTCTGCTCTGTACAGCCTGGGGACATGGTGTCCTGCCTGGATGCTGCTTCAGCTCCAGCTGTAGCTAAAAGGGGCCAATGCTCAGGCCATTGCTTCAGAGATTGCAAGAACCAAGCCTTGGCAGCTTCCAGGCAGTGTTGAGCCTGTGGGTATAGAGAAGTTTGCTGCAGGAGTGGAGACCTCATGGAGAATCTCTGGTAGGGCTTGAGGAAGGAAAATGTGGGGTTGGATCTTCCACACAGAGTCCCCACTAGGACACTGCCTAGTGGAGCTGTGAGAAGAGGGCCACCATCCTCCAGACCCCAATATGGTAGATCTACCAACAGCTTACTCTGTGTGCCTGTAAAAGCTGAAGACACTCAACATCAGCCTACGAAAGCAGCTTCAAAGGGAGCTGTACCCTGCAAAGCCACAGGGGTGGAGCTACCCAAATTTAGGGGAGCACACCTCTTGCATTAGCATAACCTGAATGTGAGACATGGAGTCAAAGAAGATCATTTTGGAACTTTTAGGTTTGATGACTGCTCTTTTGGATTTTGGAGTTGCAAGGGGCCTGTGGCCCCTTTGTTTTGGCCAATTTTCCCCACTGAATGTGGGTGTATTTACCCAATGCCTGTACCCCCATTGTATCTAGGAAGTAATTATCTTGCTTTTGATTTTACAGGCTCATAGGCAGAAGGGACTTGTTTTTTCTTAAATGAAACTTAGAACTTGGATTTTTGGGTTAATGCTGGAATCAGTTAAGACTGTGGGGGACTGTTGGAAGGGCATGATCGTGTTTTTAAATGTGAGGACATGAAATTTGGGAGGGGCCAGAGGTGGAATTATATGGTTTGTCTCTGTGTCCCACCCAAATCTCACCTTGAATTCTAATCCCCATAATCCCCATGTTGAGGGTGGGACCAGGTGAAGGTAATAGAACAATAGGGGCAGTTTCCTGTATGCTGTTCTCATAATCAGTGAGTCTCACAACATCTGATGGTTTTGTAATCATCTGGCATTTCCCTTGCTTGCACTTCTCCTTCCTGCTGCCTTGTGAAGAAGGTGCCTTGCTTCTTCTCCACCTTCCTCAATGATTATAAATTTCCTGTAGTCTCCCAGCCATGCAGAACTGTGAGTCAAATAACCTCTTTTCTTTATAAATTACCCAGTCTTGAGTATGTCTTCATTAGCAGCATGAGAACAGACTAATATAGCAATTAAAGAAGAGAAAAAGAAAGAATCTACCACTAGAAGTAAAATATCAGCTCAATATCTTTCCTCTTTTATTCCATTATCAGAACATGAATTTTCTTGTTTCAGATCAGAAATAAATTGGAGAGAATGGTTATTCCATTAAAAAAAAAAATCCCAGACTTGGAAAGAAGGCAAAACCATTATGGTGTATCTTAGATGACATACTAGAGCTTTGTCTTAAAAAATATACTAAAATAGTGCACTATGGAGTAAGATAACTACTTAACTTACATTATGTTATTTATTTGAGCCAAGGCTCTAAAACATTAGATGCTAACTTTTAGAAGATGGATGAGTTACAGATAATTTGAATCTTATAAAAATGTAAGTGATTTATGTCTGGGATAAATATAACTCAAAATTTTAGATTTATTTTTCCATAAGAATTCTATTTGCTTGGCTTGTTCTTGAACAGACAAGTCAAACATCACCATTTTGGGGAATGTTTAACCAGTCTGAAATCTAAGGATCTCCTAATTTGCCCATTGGAAATGCCTTCAACTTTCTTCTCATTGCCTTCTTCTGAATAGTTATATGAAAATAATACAAAACCTTATTTTATTTAGGTCAAAGTGATTTGATTTTTTTCATTATTAAGATACCTGATTCCAACTTATAAAATAAGCTTGTATTGGCTCCTTGCACATGTTGAACCCTATACAAGATGATAAGATACAAAGATGAGCTAAACTTTCAGACATCAAGGATTTCTCAATCAAATGAAGAAGACAGACAAAGAAATCAACAAAATCAGATTAAAGGCTATGCAACATGTGTAGAAAAGGGCCTATAAGTGAGTCTGGGAATCAGGAATACATTTCCAAAAGTGGTGACATTTAACTGGTCTGTTGAAGAATGAGTAGGAATAAGCCAAGCAATGCAAATTCTTATGGAATGAAAATTCCAGGCTGTGGGAAAAGTGTGAATATAATACTAAAATACTTGCTCAGAGAAAAGAAAGTAGATCAAAATGTGATGAAAATGTTTTGAATAGCTGAGGTCAGAAAGACAGCCCAGGATGAAATCCTAAAATGCCTCATATGTTATGGTAAACTATGAACTATGGTTGAACTATGAACATATCATAAAGGATATATGCAACAACATGCTGTGAACAGATGAATATTTCAGAAAATTTACCCTGACGGCCATGAGGATAAATTATTTGAAGAAGGCAAAATTAGAGATAGAGAAACCAAGTAAGAAACTTCCAAAGTAATTCAAGAAAAGTAAGGGAGCTTGACATGGAAGATACTGGACAGTCGTCTTAGAGATTTTTAAGAGTAAAAATAATCAGTTCTTACTGGTTGATAAGATAGAGGAATGAGGGGAACTAGGAGTCTATGATCGCTGTCAAAGCTGATTCATAGGCTTATGTGGATAGCTACACTTCATCAAGTCAGAAGGACTGCAAGGTGATGAACACTTGGTATATTGGTTTTTCTATTGTTATGTAACAAATTAGCACAATTTAGATGAAAACAATACAAGTTTATTACCTCACAGTTTTGTAGGTCAGGCGTATGTCATATTTTAGCTTCGTTCTCTGTTTAGAATCTCACGAGGCTGAAATTAAGATGTTGGCTAGCTGTATCCCCATCTTGAGGCTTGAGTAGGAAAAAAAAATCATCAACAAGCTCCCTTATGTTGTTGGTACAATTCATTTTCTTGAAGCCATATGACTGACTCTGTTCTCTTGTTGTCAACTGGGGAATGCTCTCAGCTCCTAGAGCAGTTTGCTTCTTCAAGGCCATCAGGAGCGTGTCTGCTGCTGCATTGAATCTCTCTCCCTTCTCTCACAGTTGTAATTATGTCAGCCTCACCAATAATCACCTTTTTTTGACTAACTCTACTGATTAGTGAACTTAATTACATCCCTTCTGCCATACAAGGTAACATGGTTGCAGAAGTGATATCCCATTGTTCACAAGTAATTCTCATGCTGAAGGGGAGGGGATTACACACAGTGTTTAAATCAGGAGGAAGAAATCTTGGACAGCATGTTAGAATTTTCCCTTTCACTTTGGGGAGAAAGATAATGAATGAGAATCAAAACCTACCAGAAGATGTGATTTCCTAGGAAGAAGACAAATGAAAAAAGAGGCAGAGATAAGATAGTGCATAAAAATAGAAAAAATCAACGATTAGACATGACACACAATTTAATCAATCCTATGGTACTCATGGTTTTAAATATTCATTGTTTAAAATTTACATCTATAGAAACCTCCTAAGTTTTAAGTTTTATACAACTTTCTTCAAAAATAAAAGTAGCAACAAATATACCTAACAAAGGCAATATAAAGAAAATAAAATTATCTCTCCATTTCGAATTGCACTACCCCTTTTCTTTTTACTTTTAAATAAGCTTTTTCTAACACTCTTATCATTTTTTTCTACATTCTGTTGGAGCTACTCCAAGCTTCCCGCATTACACTACAGTTGTGAGACCCTCAACTGTCATAACAGTACAATAAGTGCCTGATAGCTTCTAAGTATAGAGAATTGTCTCACAGTTTCTATAGAAAATTCTCTTATTTATACACCCTGGAATTTCAACCTCATTTTAAACAACAGCACTGTTATGCACTTGCTAACCTGTACCAACTGCCTTTCTAAACATTTCTTCACTGTTATTTTTATAATAATGTTTTTACCTAAGTCAGCATTTACATAACTGAAAACATTTACTGAAGCAGTGGCTTTCTAAAGCTATACTTACAGAGATAAATTCAGTTTGGACTCAAGGAGAGACAAATTCATAGAGATAAATTTATTGGACTTGAGGAGATCTAAAAGAGGTCATATAGATCATCCTCCTGTTTCTAGGCAACCCAAAAAAAGATAACCATCTTGTTTCAGAAATCTCTCCATAAAAGGAAGTTCCACAGTCTTTTCTCCAGCAACCTTTTCTTGTGTCTAATTACCATTACAGTTAGGAACTTCTTGTTCTAATCTCTCTGGACATGTAGAACAGCTGGTAACCACACTCCTTATAATGACTGTTCATAAATCTTCAGATCTGTTTAAGTCATATTCATTATCTTTCTCCAGACCAACTGTATTCCATGTTTAGTAGTTAATTTTATATATTTTCAATATTCAACGACCAGGTTTGTTGCATATTCATTAATGATTTCAATTTCCCGACTTCTTATGTATTTAGAAGAAATAAATACAAATTTAAGACGAATTAAGATGATACAAGTGCCATGAAAATCAATTGTTTTCCTAATTATCTGTCTTTTTAGTGACTCAAATATACAAGGTCACATTCACAAACTGTTTAAGGAAGGCAACTGTATATGCTCATCCTGATAACTGTATTCACTTCTTTTCTACAGTACTCCTTCTGCAAAGGATCTGAGTTGCAAACAAATATGGTCAATGTGACACTGGGATTTACCACTTCTCCTATGCTCTCTTTAGATTTTGAGTAAGTAATCAGTAAGTTAAAATAAGATGGCTTCATTCCAATATTATCCAATCTGATCTTGAATATGCATTTAAGAGACACTATACTTTTAGTTTACCTCTCTGTACAATAAAATTTTATCATTTTTGTGCTTTCTATTTTTGTCAATATTGTAACTTTTTACACATAATAATCATTGTAGCCTATTATCAGCTCTTCATAGAAGTTATTACATTGACAGCCACATCTCAGCTTAAACAAATATTATTTTTGGGGGGCTTGGTATCAACACCATCCATTTCTCATATTAACTCTGAACAAGAGAGCAAAATACTAAAATTCAGTCTATCATGGTTCTTTTTTTTTCTGTAATCAGATACTAACATTCTCATCAATATGAGACAGGGAAAAAAGCATAACAAAATTAATACTGTATTTTTGCTTAGGCACAGGATTAGGATTTACAATTCTAAAGTTCAAATCCTTCTTTCAAAATAGAAAGTTGCAAGTGATATCAGCAAGATGAGATAGGAGTTCTCTACCTTGACTTCCCTGTTCCCCTCCATTTACGTGCAAAACTAACTAGCAGTTATCCACATGAGAGAACATGTTCACGAATACCCAAGAACTCAGGAGTAAGGCTGAGATATTATCTTGGATTTTAGAACAGATAAAAGGTGCATGCTAAAGGTAAGAGGAACTGTTTCTCTTTGACTGCATTACCCATCCCACAAGCCAGCACAGTGCCACATACAGAGGATTTCCCTGGGCTCAGACTTTTTACTCTGGGAAATGAAAGTTGGAGGCAGACATTCAGCTTCCCCATCATTCTGAAACTCTTCACAGGAGGCTCACTGCTGTCTCATTCTACAGGAAACATAGGGAGCACCAGCAGGACTATAACATCAGTTATAAAAAAATAATGGGAATGGAGCTAATGGGAATGGAGCTCATAGTATCCAGAGCATTAATATTGATGGTTGCTCTGCATTCCCACTAACAGAGAAGCCATATAAGAGAGACTAGCGAAAAGCCTCATGCTGCAGGAAGAGTGATCCATAGATCTGCCAGGTTCAAGTCACTAGCCAGCTTTTCCATAAGCTGAAGTACTCTCTTTAAGCTTCCCTCTGACCAGGAAAAATATCAGATCATTATTTACCTATGAACAGAGCATCTGGCCCTGCCTAATCCTTGTAGAAAAGAGGTGATCCAAAAAACAAAGCCTTAGTAAGTTCATTGAGCCTTCCCCAGGCCTGAAGACAAGTGCAGATCAGAGTTTACCCAGGAAGGTAACATCTGGGTCTACCCAACATCAGTGGCTAAGTGACAAATACATCAAGCCTTGGTGTTGTTTAAAATCTATTATATGTTAGGAGGTAAGCTCAAATTCATGCCTTTGAGCTTGGCATGTCCATGGAGCATGGCCTCTGGTCCTGTCTACCTCATGTAGCCAAGCACTGACCCCCAGAGACCTCACACAGCCTTGAAACCAAGCAGGTGTCTCTGCCCAACGAAGGATTCCAAACTGTATTGGCTAGCAAGAGAAGACTACCTGGAACCCTACTTGATCAGAGATTATTATGGATCCAAGCCAGCAGCTCTGCCAGACTGTAGAGGCCAACTAGTGATGTCACTGGATTGTGGCGCATAGCCAGAAGTAGCATCTGACTTGAGAGCACAAGAAGCAACCCAGTCCAGCTGGCAAGATCAACACCAAGGTCTGCCTGTTTGAGGTTACTACCAGCTGGTCCATCCAGAATTCCTGGCTAGATAAAATGGTGAAGGTCTATTACCACCAAAGAACATCTGAAAAGGCCAAAAAAGATGGCTGTCTCCTCCAACGTGCAGACACCAACACAAGGATACAAGGATTTTGAAAAATCAGGAAAATATGACGCCAGCAAAAAGACCCTAATAAAGCTTCAATAATGATCTCAAGAAGAAATGGAGATCTATAGTGACTGATGGAAAATTTAGAATTATTCTCTTAAAGAAGTTTAGAAATATCCAGAAAAATATGGATTACAAAATTAAATTTGCAAAATAATTGATGAACAAAATAAATTTGACAAAAAAATAGAAACAAAAAGTTCTAGAGGTAAAAAACCAGCAACTTCACTGGAAAGTATTATCAGCAGACTTTATCAAGCAGAAGAAAGAGTCAGTAAATTCAAGCATAGAATATTTGAAATTATGCAGTTTAAGGGAGAACACAAAGAATTAAAAAGGACTATGGAAATTATGGAATACCATCAAGCTGGCTAAGCTTTAAATAGTAGGAATTAAAGAAGGAAAAAAGAGAGGAAAAGACCCAGAAAGCCTATTTAGGGAAATGATGGCTGAAAGTTTTCCAAACCTGGGGAAAGATAACAAAATCCAGGAACAGAAAGATCTGAGGCCTCTAATCAAATTCAACTCAATGAGGGGTTCAACAAGACGCATTATAATAAAACTATTTTAAAAATCAAAGACAAAAAAGACTACTGAAAGCAGCAAGTGATAAACTTACCACATTCAAGGGAGCCCCAGTATGACTTTCAGTGAATTTCTAAGCAGAAACCCCACGGTCCAGGGAAGAGGGAGGATATATTCAAAGTGCTGAAGAAAAGAATGAACTTCCAACCAAGAATTCTTGACCCTTCAAAGCTGTACTTCAGAAATGAGGGGAAATATTTTCCCAGACAAACAAAAGCTAATGGGGCTCATCGCCACAATATCTGCATCTCAGGAATTGCTAAAGTGAAATTATTTAAGCTATGATTAAAGGCTACTAATTAATAACAAAAATCAGATAAGAGTAAAAAACTCAACGATATTAATAATACATAATCACACTGAATTCTTAAATAGTGAATTCTTAAATAGGGATACATAAAGCAATATTATCCCTACTATGAGAGATAAAAGACATAGCTATTAAAAATGATTGTAGCTACAGAGAATTGTTCAGAAATATAACTTAGCCAAAAATATGTAAATTTTGATATCAAAATTATAAAAGATGGGGGACAGTGAAAGTGAAAGCAACAGTAGAATAAACATTTTTTTCACACACACTTGGAACATTCTTCAGGCTAGGTCATCTGTTAGACCAAAACAAGTCTTAACAAATTTAAAAAGACTGAAATATCAAGTATCTTTGATTCACAATGGCATGAAACTAGAAATAAATAAAGGAAGAAATCTTGAAGGATACATAAATGTGTGAAAATTAAAACAGCATGCTTCTTAACAACTAATGTGTCATATACATTTAAAATAAATTTTTAAAAAATACCTGGGCAAATGAATTTGGAAACACAACATACCTAGATTTATGGGATGTAGTGAAAGAAGTCGTACAAGGGAAATTTATAGTGACAAATGCCTATATCAAAAAGAATGACCTCAAACAATCTAATTTTATAATTTAAGGAACTAGAAAAAAAAATACTGAGCCCACGTTACCAGAAAAAAGGAAATAACAAAAGATAAGAGTAGAAATAAATGAAATAGAAACTAGAAAAAGAACAGAAAAAATAATGGTGAAACTAAGCATTGGTTTGTTAAAAAGGTAAACAGAATAACTCTTAGCTAGACTTAAAAAAAGAGAGAGAGAGAGAGAAGACTCGAGTAAATAATATCAAAATGAAAGGCTGGGCGTGGTGGCTCATGTCTGTAATCCCAGCACTTTGGGAGGCCAAGGTGGGAGGATCGCCTTAGTCCAGGAATATGAAACTAACCTGGACAACATAGAGAGACCCTATCTCTACAAAAAATTAAAATATCAATCACATGTAATGGCATGTGCTGTGGTTCCAGTTACTCAGCAGGCTGAAGTGAGGGAATGGCTTGAGCCCAGGAGGTCGAGACTGCAGTCAGCCAAGACCATACCACCGCACATCAGCCTGGCTGACAGAGCAAGACCTTGACCTCCGCCTCCAAAAAAATAAAAAAGAAAAAGAAAGAAAGAGGAAACATTACATGTGATACCACAAAAATACAAAAATCAGAAGAACCTACTATGAACAATTATATGCCAACAAATTGACAACTCTAGAATAAATGGATAAATTCATAGATACAGCCTACAAAGACTGAATTATAAATGAACAGGAAATAGAAACAGACCAGTAATGAGTAAAGAGATTGAATCAAAAATAAATCTTCCATCTAACAAAAGCCCTACACCAGATAGCTTACTGCTAAAGTCTACTAAAAATTTAAAGAATTAATACTGATTCTTCCCAAATTCTTTCATAAAATCAAAGTGAGGAAAATACTATTTTATTTCATTTTATTCTTTTTTTCCATATCTATATCTATCTGTCTGTCTATCTATCTATCTATCTATCTATCTATATATATATAACTTAAGTTCTGGGATACATGTGCAGAACCTGCAGGTTTGTATACATACCTGTATACATAGGTATACACGTGCCCTGTTGGTTTGCTGCACCCATCAACCTGTAACCTACATTAGGTATTTCTCCTAATGCTATTACTGCCCTAGCCCCTCACCTCCCAACAAGCCACAGTGTGTGAAGTTCCCCTCCCAGTGTCCATGGGTTTTCATTGTTCAACTCCCACTTATGAGTGAGAACATGCAGTGTTTGGTTTTCTGCTCCTGTGTTAATTTGCTAAGAATGATGGTTTCCAGCTTCACCCATGTCCCTGCAAAGGCCATGAACTCATCCCTTTTTATGGCTGCATAGTATTCCATGGTGTATATGTTCCACATTTTCTTTATCCAGGCTAATATTGATGGGCATTTGGGTTGGTTCCAACTCTCTGCTATTGTGAATAGTGCTGCAATAAACATACATGTGCATGTGTCTTTATAGTAGATGATTTACAACCTTTTGGGTATATATCCAGGAATGGGATTGCTGGGTCAAATGGTATTTCTGATTCTAGATCCTTGAGGAATCACCACACTGTCTTCCACAATGGTTGAACTAATTTACACTTCCACCAACAGTGAAAAAGCGTTCCTATTTCTCCACATCCTCACTAGCATCTGTTATTTCCTGACTTTTTAATGATCGCCATTCTTACTGGCGTGAGATGGTATCTCATTGTTGTTTTGATTTCCATTTCTCTAATGACCAGTGATGACGAGCTTTTTTTCATATGTTTGTTGGCCGCATAAATGTCTTCTTTTGAGAAGGGTCTTTTCACATCCTTTACCCACTTTTTGATAGGGTTGTTTGGTTTTTTCTTTTACATTTGTTTAAGTTCCTTGTAGATTCTGGATATTAGCCCTTTGTCAGATGGACAGATTGTAAAAATTTTCTCCCATTCTGTGGGTTGCCTGTTCTGTCTGATGATTGTTTCTTTTGCTGTGCAGAAGCCCTTTAGTTTAATTAGATGCCATTTGTCAATTTCGGTTTTTGTTGCCATTGCTTTTGGTGTTTTAGTCATGAAGTTCTTGCCCATCCCTGTGTCCTGAATGGTATTGCCTAGGTTTTCTTCTAGGGTTTTTATGGTTTTAGGTCTTGCATTTAAGTCTTTAATCCATCTTGAGTTAATTTTTGTATGAGGTTGTAAGGAAGGGGTCCAGTTTCAGTTTTCTGCATATGGCTAGCCAGTTTCCCCAACACCATTTATTAAATAGCAAATCCTTTTCCCATTGCTTGTTTTTGTCAGGTTTGTCAAACCCAGTGTATCACTCTGAAACCAAAGCCAGATAAGGGCACTACAAGAAAGCAAACAAACAAACAAACAATACAAAACAAAACAAAAATCCACTACAGCTTGAAATTCTTCATGAACAAAAATCTTCAACAAAATTAGGGAGCCAAATTAAAGAACATCTTGAAGGAATCATTCACCATGATTATGAGGGGTTTATCCTTGGGATAGAAAGATGGTTCAACACACACAAATCAATAAATGTGATACACCACATTAACAAAATAAAGGAGAAAAATTATATGATCATCTCAATAGATGCAGAAAAAGCACTTGACAAAATTCAGCATCTCTTCATGATCAAAACACTTAACATATTAGGTATAGAGGGAATGAATGTCAATACAATAAAAACCATATACAACAAACATGCAGCCAAAATCATTCTCAACAGGAAAATTAAAAGTGTTTCCTCTTAGATCAAGGAAAGAGACAAGGCTGCCCATTGTTGCCACTTCTTTTTGACATATAACTGAAAGTTCTAGCAGGGAAATTAGGCAAAAATAAAATAAAATAAAATAAAATAAAATAAAATAAAATAAAATAAAAGGCATCACAATAAGAAAGGGAAAAGTAAAATTATCTCTATTTTCAGATGACATGATCTGATATGTAGAAAATCCTAAAGACTCTAGCAAGAAACTGTTAGAAATGGCATTCAGTAAATTTGCAGAATACAAAATCAACATAGAAAAATCAGTAGTGTTTCTATGTACTAAAAATAAACTATCTGAAAGGGAAATTAAGGAAATAATTTCATTTACAAATACAAATAAATATAATAAAATACTTAAGTATAAATTTAACCAAGGAAGTGAAAGACTTGTATGCTGAAAACAATAAAACTCTGATAAAATAATTTTTAAAATAATAAATAAATGGAAAGATATCCCATGTTGATGGTTTGAAATAATTCATATTGTGAAATATCCATACTACTCAAAGAGATCTAAAGATTTAATGCAATCCCTATCAAAATTCCAATGTTATTTTTCACATAAAATTTTTTAAAAATTATTAAATTTGTCCGGAACCTCAAAAGAGCTCAAATGACACAACAATCGTGAGCAAAAAGAACAAAGCTGACAGAATCACACTGCCAGATTTCAAAACATATTAAAGCAATTACAATAAATACTGCAAGGTAGTGGCATGAAAACAGACACATTGACCAATAGAACAGGATAGAAAGTCTAGAAATGAACCCACATATCTATGGCCAATTGATTTTTCACAAACATATCAATATTACACAATGAGAAAATATAGTCTCTTCAATAAATAATAGTGTTTGGGGAAAATTGTCCATCCACATGCAAAATAATAAAATTGGATTCTTATACCATACAAAAACTCAATACAAAGTGGATTAACGACTTGTTCTTATAATATTCAGCTTTAAATAAAGGAAAAGAATTATGTCATTTGCAATAACAGAGATGAACCTGGAGGCCATTATGATATGAGAAATAAGCCAGGCACAGAAATACAATTACCACATGATCTCATATGTGAAATCAAAAAAAGTTTAACTCGTAGGAGTTCAGAGTAGAATGATGGTTACCAGAGGTTGGAGGATTAGGGGGAGGGAGGGAGGGAATGTGGAGTTGTTGATCAAAGGGTACAAAGTCTCAAATAAAAAGAATAAGTTTTGAGATCTACTGCAAAGCAAGGTGACTATAGTTAATAAATATATATTGTATATTTCAAAACAACTAAGAGTAAATTGAAAATGTCTTACCATAAAAAATTATAGGGGAGCAAGATAATGGATATATTAACTATTTGGTTTAATTATTACACATTTCATATATATATATATATATATATATATATATATATATATATATACACACACACGCATATATCCAAACATCATTGTACCCATAAATGTATTTAATTATGATTTGTCAATTAAAATAACATTAACAAAAATATTTTAAAAACTTTATTTTAAAGGTAAAAAAAGAAAAAATGTAAAGTTGTATATTTTGAATGAACCATGGATATCAGAGTAATATTATTTTCTGTTGTCCTTTTTTTGCATTAATTTGCATATTCTTGAATACTAGTGTGTGAACATGAAAATATACGTACACACACAGACACATATATACATACATATTATATATTGAGTTATTATCTTGTTGATTTGCTAGAGCTTTATCTGTGTTATAGATGTTTGTTTTATGTGGCATCTATGTCGTAAAAATGCTTTCCAAATCTTTTCAATTTTCTATTGATTTTGCTTATAGCACCTTTTGCCAAAGTTTTAATTTTATACACATAAATATGGATTTTTTTATTACAGATTCTGAATTTCTTGTTTGTTCAAGAAAATCCCTTCCATGTTATATGATGTGTGTGATCTAGATTTTCTTCAAACATATCTATCTAGATCTACAAAACCTAGAATTTAGAATGGTGCATGATTTAAAATAGGCATATAATTTTATTTTCTTTTGATAGATGATCATTTATTAAACAAGTCATCATTTTCCCATTGAGTTGAAATATTATCTCAATCATATTTTAAGTACTCAAATATATAAAAGTAATTTCTGGAGTCTCTATTGTGTTGCATTATTTCATGTTTTGTTTCTTCTGCTATTGCTGTTGTTTTCTGCTGATTCCCATGCCTATATAATATTAATTTGATTGTAATGTATTTATAAAGTGTTTCAATATTGAAAAAAACAAGTTCCCTTTCATTTCTCCCTTCTGCTTTGAATACATTTCTTAGTTGTTCTTCAGCATTTGTTCTTCCAAATCTTCAAGTGATTTTAAATACATTTAAAATAATTTGATATATTTCAAAGATAATATTTCTTCCCTAGAAAATCTCTTTTCTAATTGGCAGATAACTAAATGTGTATATTAATTTTGACTGAATAGACATTTAAATATTCTTATCCATTAACATAAATATTTTAGTTGCTTTAATAAAATTATGTATTTTTTATCTATCCTTCCCATTTCATTCATTGTTAAATATATATTATCTTTGTCACTGTTCTGAATAGATTTTTCTCCATGTCTATTTTTCTTGGTTTTTACTTTAATAAAAAATCACCTTTGATTTTTGGTTATTCTTTTTATGTGCAATCACATTGGAAATTTGTTTATTATTTCAAACAGCTTTAAACTACAGTTGCTTGGATTTTGTAGGCATAAAATATGTCAGTAAAAATAGATCATTTTACTGTCTCAGTTTTTTTTCTTAAAATGATGATAATAGTACCTACTTTATAACATCTCTATGAGGAATAAATGAATTAAAATACATAAAACATTTTGAAAAGCACTTAGCATATTAGTACTTAATGAATGTTAGCTATTAATAGTAATGATAAGCATTCCTGTCTAGTTTCTTATTTTAGTTAAAATGACTTACATGTATTTCCATGTACGAGGATATTCTAGTGCCCATTGCTTTTCTCCTTCTTGGCCAGATACAGAAATACTATGTACTTTGATTTTAAGCTTGTTTTAAATGCCAGTGTTCTGAAAGAAAAAAGAAAGGGGTTGTCTAGTATCAATTAGATCTGGTTGCGAATCAAAATTTAGTATCTCTACAATTTTGGTCGAGCTACTTAAGCTCTAAATTTGAAGCTCTGTTTTTATACACACAAACTGGGGCTAGATGCTCCTCATATTTCTAGGTTTTTTGAGTATTAAATGAGATCATAATCACAAAATACTGACTACCGTCTGGTAAAAAGTAGATGTTCAGCTCATTTTAATACTTCCCTTTCCCTTCATTTCCATCATTTTAGGAAGGCCTTTTGTATGTATACAACTTTCAAATGATCAGTAAAAATATTGTATTGCCTTTTACTACCAGCACTTAATCATGATCATCAGCCCTTACCTGACTGAATAAAAACAAACAACACCCTTTAATTTATTACCTAAACATATTTCTATATCTTAATATAACACCTGCAATAGACAAATTAGATCCAATCAACTTCTGAGAGCCTATGCTTAAGAAACGTCAGACCATAGAACTATACACAGGGTTTTTGACAGATTCTCTAAAATAAAAAATACATTAGAGGCTAGCATTGATGGTGGTACCAATACTTTTAGTAATAGAATAATCCAAGCATTTAAAATCCAGTTCTCCAAAATCCCATGTTTGCACATTTAGGATGCATGTTTAAATAATATATTATTTTAAAATTATATTTATACACAAAGAAATGTTCATTCATCACAAATGAAAAGGCAACTCAAAACCAGAGTGCCAGAGTTAGCATCTTTTAAATAAGCATCTCTATTCCATATACTGAGAGTAGGATTACAATCACTAAATCACCTTGTCTCTGGGAACAAATATGAACTACAAACTAATGAGGAAAGCATTTTTGGTTAATTAGAATCAATAGTATCATTATTTAATTAAACTATATTGATTGCATTATACAGAGGGCAGCCTTTTGCAATGATATGGCCTTATGCAATAAACCTTTGCCTTACAAAAACATGCCAGGGGCAAGTTTCCTTTGACATGGACTATCCCCTTTCTACACATGCCAATATGATAGCATTTTACATTTATAAAGTCAGAACTGAAGGGATGTCCAAACACTTATTATATGATATTTGATGCTGCAATGTGTTATTGAAGTTTCTTGTGGACTGACACCAAAGTCTGTTTATGAGAAAGATATTGTCTAGTCATAAAGAGCTTAATTTATTCTGGCTATAATTTAAAAATATGATGAAGACTTACTTTATTATATAGTAAGATTTTTAAAATAAAACTTTACCTTTAATTATCTCAACATTTTTAAAAAGTATGATTTTTGCCCAAATTCCCCACTGTTGCAAGCCTTGTGAAGGCAGAAATTGTGTCTATTTTGCTCATCATGGCTTATCTTTTGCTGAACACATGCTTAGTATAAAATTAGTATGCAATGAATATTAGTTAGTTAGAAAGTTATTTTCTTCAAGATCCCATCTGAGGGATGTGGACAGACAGGATCTAACAGCCAGGAAGCCAACAGAAATCTTTAAATGCCGTGTTACTATGCTCACATTTTGCTTGATTACATGGAAATCATAAGGATCGCTCCTGTTATTAAAGACCTACTGCATTGTCATCCTAAGTCTACCACTTAGTTTTGCACTATTCACCATTCCCACTTTCAGAAAATCCTTTCTTACATGTGTTCTAAATATCTCATGGTATAGTTTTAAGTATATTTCCTAATGTTCTCTCAGTGTTGGAAATGGAGGATAGCTGAGCATTAAACCTATATCTGTTTTGAAACCATTGACATGAAATCATCTTAGAAAGAGGAAGAAGTTACCATCATGTCTTAATATGTTACATTTCTTTGGAAGTAAATCAGGAAATTATGCATGTACAAAAACAGGACAAAACAAACACGAGAACACTTTAAGAGGACTCATTTTCTTCAGAAGATGAAAAAAATTATCCCAAATCCTTTATAATTTCCCCATAAGCTTCATGTTGCAATTGTTTGAACTGAGTTTTCAATAAATGAAATTTCACTAAGAATAACTGAATGCCAGATTTGAATTGACTCCAGGTCAGGTACTGTGAGAAAATCCAAAGAAATGGAAGTATAGCAGCAAAGTTGAGAAGTAACAGAGATAGGAATTTAAAAGTCAAAAGACCAATGCCAAAGTCCTGGCAAGAGTTGCTACTTGCAAAGCATATGACTTTGAGCATAATATTTGACTTCATGAGTTTCAGGTATTTTATTTATAAAATGGGGATAACAAAAAACTTATTGGTTTATTTTTTGTAAGGATTAATTGGAATATTGTGCTAAAGGTGCTTAGTACATCGCCTGGTATGTTGTTAATCTTAGCTATTCTTATTAGCCGTGATTCCTTTCCTCAAAAACATTATTTGGAGATACAACCCTGTTCGAACGGCCCTCAGTTTGAAGATATTTCTATTATACCTCTCAGGTTGTTATGCAGCTACTTGTTCCATTTCATTTCATAAACCTACTATATCCACAATTGGGTGGGGTGGCTATACCTTATAGATCAGCAGGGAAACATGTACAAATGCAGTTTGTACCACTTTAAGCTAAGGTGAGCAGTTCATTACCAAAGTTAGTAGCATGTACCAAGAAATTTTAGTTGGTCAAGGCCTAGAGTTATGATGTAGGTAAGTTATTGGTTAATGAATGTGACATCAGCAAAACTGTCTAGCTAGGTTGTTTGGACCCTCAGCTGTCTTCAGGGCATAAGGGGAGCAGGAGGTTGATAGCATGAATTTGCCTTTTCCCTCAAACCTGAAAAACAAGGAGGTAATGCTTATAAACAGTTGTCCCTTAACACTGAGAGACAACTGAGGTTAGTGGGTAAGGAAGCATGGCAAGGTATGAAAGTGCAAGTGTTGTAGCTTGGTTTAATTTATTAAAATGCACCCAGGTAGGGGCATTGCTGGAATTTGGCCTATAGGCCAAATTATTTCATTTGAGCTAATGAACCAAAAACCCCAATTTTAAGATGTAATAACCCTGATAATGCCATCTGCTACTTGGGATAAATGAGAGTGTCTGTAGTTACTCTCTTAATGGCGGCTACGCAAGATAGAGTTCAGTGGCATCAGGAGCAGGACATAGTTATGCACTGATGCCAGAAAGCACATTCCACACTACAAGGCCCATGCCATAAATAAGAAGGTGGCACCATCTGACATAATATTTGCAGGGCTCCTTTGAGATTACTCCCATGAAATTGTGTTTCAAATCAAATGAGAGTATTCCTGCTATTTTGTGGGTGAAGAAGGAAAGATGAAGAAAACCCACTGCTATGGGTGAAATGTTTGTTCTCTCCAAAACTCATATTAAAATTTAATTGCCATTTTAACAATATTAAGAGTGGACTTTGAAGTGGTGATTAGGCCATGAGAGCTCCTCCTTTATGAGTAGATTAGTGGCATTTTGGTGAGAGTGGAATCCTTATAAAAGGGTGAGTTCAGCCTCCTTTTCTCTCTTTCTTTCTTTCTCTCTCTCACTTTCACATTTTCCCCTATGCGATGGCACAGGAAGAAGTCCTCACATGATGCTACTGCCTTAATCTTGGGCTTCCCAGCCTCCAGAACTATGAAAAAATAAATTTTAAATCTTTATTAATTACCAAGTCTGTGGTATTCAGTTACAGCAGTAAAAAATGAACTAAGATACCCACCCTAAATGTGTTTTTCTTGCCCCCAAAGAAGAATAATATCTAATATTGCCATATTCAAAAGCCAAATCACACCTTGGCTCAAAAAACTGAGATTTTGGGGTCCTGGATTTTATTCCCAAGATCTTCCCACCAGGTAAGTTTCCATGTCATCTCTCATGTGTCTATACTATTACTTCTAGTAAACCAAACTTTATGATTGCAAATCAGGAGAATAAAATAATAATGACAAAGTATTCTGATTTTAATTAATACATGTTGATATACATGCTTTAAAAATGTATTCTCCAGTGAGTTTTAATAATTGGCAACATCTGAATTTTATTGAGATCCCTACAATAGGCAAAGCTCTTAGAGAGTTTGAGGTCACATAATAATGAGCTAACATAACACATAGATAGCAAACTCCATCTTTCATAAAACTCACGAAAAATGCAAATATAAAACTTAACACACCGCAGTCTTGCAGCCACCACTGGTGATTTTCACTTCAGACCTTTTGATGACAAGTTCTCACCATTACAGAGAACACAACAGGAATAAATCATTTATGTCCAAATGTTTCACACCCTTCTCATCACAGACAGATTTATATCATTTTAGGTGCCAAATGATAAATTTACACAAACTCTTGTTATTGAAGGAAAAAAAAAACAAAGTAACTACTGAAGAATATTCAGTTATATAGTTTTCTGAATTATCTCTCAGGGATCACAAATCTTTTGAAGAAACTGACTCATATAACTGTCGATGGTGAGCATCCTAGGAAAAATAAGGAAAAATACATGATAAGTAACAATGTCTACTTTGATGATGATGTCCCAATCTGCATCATGGTTGAAGGTCTAATACCCTGAATATAAATATATTTGCTTTTATTTGCAAGAAGTAAAGTATTGTTCAAGAAACGCTTCTTATTTCTTACTGCTTTGTGTAAGGCATTATTCAAGATGTTGCAGGGATATCAAGGAGGCCTTCTAAATGTTAAATATGAATAATTAGATTGAGGAGGTTACAAATAGGAGTTTATGTATTTAGAAATGATTTAATTGGGCTCAGCATATTGACAGATGTGATCATCAGGAATACATCAAAGATAATACCTTAGCAAGATGAGTTGACAGAGATCCTGAGAGTATTTCCACTTTTGTGGAACAGGGACTACCAAACAAATAACCTTTTCCTGTTGGAGTCTTTAGGTTTCCCCAAATATAAGATTATATCATCTGCAAACAAGAATAATTTGACTTCTTCGATTTCAATTTGGATGCTTTATGTCTATCCCCTGTCTGATTACTCTAGCTAGAACTTCCAGTAGTATGTTGAATAACAGTGGTGAAAGTGGGCAACCTTGTCACATTCCAGATCTTAGGGGAAAAGTTTTCAGTTCTTTCCCATTTAGTATGATACTAGCTGTGGGTCTGTAGTACATGGCTTTTATTATGTTGAGGTATGTTCCTTATATGCCCAGGGTTTTTTTTCTTTTTTTCTTTTTTTTTTTTTTTTTTTTTGAGACAGAGTCTCCCTCTGTCACCCAGGCTGGAGTGCAGTGGTGCGATCTTGGCTCACTGCAAACTCCTCCTCCTGGGTTGACGCCATTCTCCTGCCGCAGCCTCCCGAGTAGCTGGGACTACTGGCACCCACCACCACGCTCGTATAATTTTTTGTATTTTTAGTAGAGACCGGGTTTCACCATGTTAGCCAGGATGGTCTCGATCTCCTGACCTCGTGATCCGCCCGCGTTGGCCTCCCAGAGGGCTGGGATTACAGGCGTGAGCCACCATGCCCTGCCATATGCCCAGTTTTTTGAAGGTTTTTATCATGAAGGGATGTTTAATTTTTTTCAAATGCTTTTTCCAAATACCTTTCTTAATAGTAATTTCTTTCATTGGTCAACAGTTACCAAAAAAAATTTAACGTTACATATCTTTGGAAGTGAGTGGGAAATTACGGATATATAAACAAGACAAAACAAGTTGAACATTTTAAGAGCATACTTTCTCTTTAGTACACTAGAGTATCCGAGATTCTTCATCATTTCTCAAAAGCTTCATCTTGCAATTGTCTAAAATGAGTCTTCAATAAATGCAATTCAGTCGATAGTAACTGGATACCAGGTTTGAACTGGCTCCAGGTTATTTACTATGAGGAAATACAAAGAAACGAAAGGAAAACAGCAAAGTATAGTAGTGATTGGCATAGGAGATTAGTCTCCTACTTAGATGATGCCTTTTAGGCCATTATTAATAATTAAGATGGCACACTTTTATTATAGTTCAATTTTTAGAATGTAGGTATATGTCTATATTTTAATTTCTAGGAAACATTTGGTTGTTAGGAATATGCTTTAGAAATATTGATCCATTACATGTGCTAAGGAGGGGAAATTCATAACTTCTAAATGTTACAAAAAGATTTATGACTGCATCAAATTTTTTTATATAGTCCAGAGAATATTTTGAAGTTATCAAGCACACCTTTTGTTTTATGCTGCTGTTGTGCCAGAAAAGTTTGGTAAAACTTCTGTCTTTCCCTTGAACAGATAACGTGACCAATCTTACTAGCAGAACCATGGCCAATCCCTTCTCTATGCACTGTACTTTGTCAATAACAATAATATCTATAAAGTCTGCTTGTGCTAGGAATACACTCCTTTCTCCTCATCTGGATGAAATGTAGGTATTTTAGTTTTACTTTCTCCATTCATATGAGTAGGGAAGGAATATTTTCTTTTAAATATAACTCTAGAACACTAGGTAATCACATTGTTATTTGAAATAATGAATTAAACTATCTACTAAACAGTAAACTGGATAGAAAATGAAAACAATTAGCTTATAATGCTGTGTTTTATGACTATTGGGTTAAAAAAAAACTACTGTAAGCATTTATTTGTAAATGGGGTATATTGTACCTTATTTTCTAACTCACTGAAACATCTGCAACATCTTTATGGATCAAGAAAATTACAAAATAAGTACATTATTTGTGAGATGAGACTATAGACATTTCGTAAATAGAATATGAAGTGTATGAATGCATGTATATATGAAACTATTTAAAGCATAACTGTATAATTACAACACTTCTTATCTGAAAGTAAAACACATCATTTGTTTATATTTACTAGCCACCTTCTTTGAGGTTTTTTGTTTCTTTGTTTGTGATAGAGTTTTGCTCTGTCGCCCAGACTGGAGTGCAGTAGCGTGCTCTCGGCTCACTGCAACCGCCAACTCCCACGTTCAAGCAATTCTCCTGCCTCAAAGTAGCTGGGATTACAGGCGCCCGCTACCACGTCCAGCTAATTTTTTCTATTTTTAGTAGAGATGGGGTTTCACCATGTTGACCAGGCTGGTCTCGAACTCCTGACCTCAGGTGATCCACCAACCTCGGCCTCCCAAGTGCTGGGATTACAGGCATGAGCCACTGTGCCTGGCCTGAGCTTTAATTCCTTTTTCAATTATAGCTCACTGGAGGTTTCTGGGTAAAATGTTATTTTTCTCACCTTATAAACAACTTGTCTTACTTTGCAAATTTATCTTAATAAGAGATTGAGTTTTAATATTATTCATCATTATTTTTGTGTCAACAAGCATCAACAAACAATGTAGGCAAAAAACAACATGCAGATCCTTAACAGTCTGTAATATTTTGAAAATTTCAGGGTAATATTAAGAACACATGAGAAAAAAGCTGGAGATTTCCCATTCATTATACTTGTCATAATGATACTGTCATTTTTATGTTATTGCTGTTGTTGTTTTGGCGCATATAACACACCACACTGCAAACTTATTCAAGGATGGAACTATTAATATTTCTTAAGGATTTATGTTAAAGGGTTGTACCTAGTACAGTATGTTTCACATAGAAGGTGATGTAAAATGGCTTATTGAGCTTATTGATAAATGTTACTTATAATATTTTTGAGTTTTTGTTAGTTTTAAATAATAGCTTTCAACCTAATTAATATTAAAATAAATATCATAAAGACAGTTATGAATACTATGCATTATGTATGTATTTAAATTGTATGAATCAGCCTAAATTCTTTTTTTTTTTTTTTTTTTTTTTTTTGAGATGGAGTCTTGCTCTGTCACCCAGGCTGGAGTGTGCAGTGGCCCAATCTCAGCTCACTGCAACCTCCGCCTCCTGGGTTCACACCATTCTCCTGCCTCAACCTCCTGAGTAGCTGGGACTACAGGCACCTGCCATCACGCCTGGCTAATTTTTTGTATTTTTAGTAGAGACGGGGTTTCACCATGTTAGCCAGGATGGTCTCGATCTCCTGACCTCGTGATCCGCCTGCCTCAGCCTCCCAAAGTGCTGAGATTACAGGCGTGAGTCACCACGCCAGGCCATGTCAGCTCTAAATTCTAATATTCCAGACAAACAAGAATCATTAAGAACTCTGTTTCCATTATTTGCATAGGTACTCTTATTTTCATTAAGATTCCATGCACTGATTAACTCTGCTAGTGGCTAACAGCAAAATAAAATGTTTGGATTTCTAAGTTTATTTGAATTTCATTTGGCACAAACCCAGACATGCAGCATACATCTTTTTTTTTTTCATTTTATCTTTTGGTCTGGAACATACAACTGAAGCACAGGGTGTTCATATAAATGTATAATCAGAATCAAGTTTAAACTATTAATTATCCTTTCCTGAAACAAACAACTGGAATTCAGTATTCATCTGGACTCAACTCAATTCAGTGTACAAACACTGAGAATCAACAATGGGCAAATCACTGTTGCAAAAGTGGTGGGAGATAAAACATTGAGCAAGAATTTCCAATCTCCAGGAGTTTACCTTCTAATAAAATAAACATTTATACCAACACACACACACACACACACACACACACACACACACACATTGTTCAGTCCTAAGTCAAACTTAAGGTTGAACTATTTTTCTAAAAATTGGAAGGGTGTTGTTTTATCAGATCATAGTTGACATCCAGTTGGTGGGGAATTTTTAGATACTTCACAAATGTACTGTTTAAATGTGTTATTTGTTGTAATCATTAAATCCCAGTTACTCTTTCTTCACTTTTGTGCTCTCTTGCTCTTGCTCTCACTCTTGCTCTCTCTCTTTTTCAAACTCACTGTCATTCACACTATGGGAAGATGAAGAAGGCATTCATTGAGTATGAATATTAATACAGAGAGGCAGTGCCACCAGTTAAGATGCCTCAAGGGAAAGTGATTGAAGAGGTGAGTAAAACAATAGAAATGTACATAATATGGAAGTGTTTTGTCTAACTCTTCATTTTCTTCTACTTTCTTTGCTTCTGAGTTGTATTTTACTGAGTGTGCTCTTTTTTTTTTTCCATTGTGCTAACCTGGAGAAGTTTTTTGTGCTAATTAAGCAACAGCTATTGAAATGTGTGCAACTTTCATTAAAGTTTTTAGAATACACTAATTTTAGAAAATGTGTAGATTTTACAGCTTTAAAAATAATTTGCTAAATGAATTGACATGCGTGTCGTTTCACAACATTTATATGCATGGAAAAATTGCTTGTAAATTTGATGATTTTTCTTTGGCTTCATTTTGTAATAGGTGTCTTGAAAGCAGTTTTTCTATTATTTCTCTATAACATCACAATACATTTCTTTGCTTCACTTCCCACCATCCCTATCCTAAGAAGTAACTGAGAATTTTTAGCACTATAGAAACTATAGAGATCACCCAGTTCCAAAATTTGCAGTCTTTTGCCATTAAGAACACCTTTCATTATTTTCATCTATGAAAGTCACTTCTAAGAGAATACTGCCTACCAAACAGTGCATTAATAATTTTTTCAGATTTTTGTCAAAAAATTCTGAAACAAATAATTAAGTGCAGTATATATAAACTGAGCTAATATTACATCAGGCAAGAATAAATGAAATATTTTTATGTTAGACTATGTAGTATAAAAATGTTTAAATATAATTACTAATAAGTTTTTTTAAAGCATTGCTAGTATTTTGAAATCCTTCATTAATTGTTACAAAGAGAACCCTGATGTATAGAAAACCTCAGCTGCAGAACTTCTGATCCATCTGTCCAACTCATCTGTCCAAAAATTAGAAGTTCCCAGATTAAAATATAATCTGGGAACTCAAGTAAGTGACATAACTCTGGAAAATGATCTTACAAGGCATGATATTGTTATATTTAAATTTTTTTAAGTATAACACATTCAGAAATTAAACAAACATAAATGTATGTTGGTGCATTGAGACAGAAGGAATGCCTTTGTAACCACCAACTATTATCAATAAACAGAATATTTCTAGTACTTCATTTATGCCCCTTCCAATCACTCCCTCACCCAGGATCAGAAGGCATGTGTACTCTCAACTTTAGTGGATAATGTAAAACTATTTTCCAAAATCATTATACCCATTTAAACTCTGACAAATGGAATATGATATTTATCTTCACATCAAATATTTACTCATACATGGTATTATGGGTGTATTTAATTACAACACAGAATAAGAACTTATTATGAGTTAATTTATATTTCCAATATTACAAATACAGTTTGTAACTTTTCGTATGTTCAGTGGACCCATTTTTAAGTGCTTCTCCCAGATATACATGCCACAAAAAAGGTGTTTATGCACCAAGAGGTATGCATTGGAATGTTAATGGAAAGATTCATAGCCAAATGTGAGAAATTACCAACAAGTCCATCAACATTAGAATAATTATGGTGAGTCCATGCAACAGAACACTATAGATAAATAAAATGAATAAAGATAATGTAGCAAAAGAATACAGTCTTTTGCCCATTTTTGTATTGGGTTGTTTGTTTCTTTACTGATTTGTAGGCATTCTGTATGTATTCTGAATGAAAGCCTTTTGTCAGTTTACATGTTGCAAGTATCTTCTCCCATTGTATGGCTTTCTTTTTCACTCATTAATGATATCTCTTGATGGACATAAACTTGTCATTTTAATGTAGTCCACCTAATCAATCTATTCTTCGTGGTTATGACATTTTGATTGTGGCTTAAAATCTCCCCCATCCCCAGATCTCTTTTATTGTCTTATCAAAGCCTTATTATTTTGCCCCAGTGTGCCAGACCATTTTCCCTAGTTTCCCAGAGCAAAGTTACGGACAGCCCCCATCTTCAAGATCCAGCCCACCACACTGCTATGCTGATGCTGACAAATCAAGAGGTGCATTAAGATCCTCTGCCTCATGATTCAGATCATCTGGGAATTGTCACCTGCCAAGCCCAGAAACAAATGCATCTGCTATGAATCCTTCTCTCACATTGCACCCTATTCGTTTGTAGTAGCATTGAACTGATGCTGTTTTTTCTTATTCCTTGGGCACATATTATTTCTTCTCTTTAGAATCCTTTGCTCTAAATTATCAAATTAGAAATCCTACCAATTCTTAGTGTTAGTCTCCTCCATGTTCCCAACAAAATAATCAGATTCTATCCTAAGTAAGCAGATCCCTACCCAGCAGGCCCTCAAACATTTTATCACAAATACAGTATTTTATAGTCACATGGTATTTTAAACTCATGTCCCCCTTTGTCTCAAACCTCTCAATGATTTCCCATTACCCTTAAGGTAAAATCTAAAAGAAATCTGCACAATTTGCAACGCTCTGCATGATCTGATCCAGGACTATTTTACCAGCATAACTTTTTGTTGCTCTTCCCCTTGTTATCCGTACTCTAGCTGTCATGGACTTCTTTCTGTTCCCTGAAAAAGTCAAATGCTGTCTCACTTCCTGGTCCTTGCACATGGGCTTTCTTCTGTCTGGAATGTTCTCCCAATCTAATATGGTCCCACTGGTTTAATTATAAATCTTGAAGTCAATTCTTGCTGGAGTCTTTCCATATTCTCATGACCACATAAGTCCTGCTCCTCTCAAGACTATGACAGATCTACCTATAATACTTTCTCATAATCTATATTTTCCTTTATCACAATACTTACTTTTGTCATTAATTATTTTATTTATATATTTATTTTTTTGAGGCAGAGTCTCACTCTGTTACCCTGGCAGGAGTGCAGTGGAGTGATCTTGTCTTATTACAACTTCTGCCTCCCCAGTTTAAGCAATTATCGTGCCTTAGCCTACCAAGTAGTTGGGATTACAGGTGTGTGCCACCACGCCTGGCTAATTTTTGTAATTTTAGTAGAGACAGCGTTTCACCATGTTGGCCAGGCTGGTCTTGAACTCCTGACCTCAGGTGATCTGCCCACTGTGGCCTTCCAAAGTGCTGGGATTACAGGCATGAGCCACCATGCCCAGCTGTCATTAATTATTAAATGTCTGTGTTCCCTGATTCTCTGAGTCTTAAGCTGTGCTACTAATATCATTATTAAAAAGGTAATTCCAAGATTATAAGGAAATAAATACTAAAAATGATCTGTAATCTGTACAAAAAAAGTCTCCTTTTTAGTTTTTAAGTTCGGGGTATATTTGCATATTTGTTATATAGGTAAACTCGTGTCCTGGTGGTTTGTTGTACAGATTTCATCACCCTGGTATTAAGTCTAGTACCAATTAGTTAATTTTCCTGATCATCTCCCTCCTTTCCATCCTCCACCCTCCAGTAGGCTTCTGTGTCTGTTGTTCCTTTCTATTTGTTTGTCCATGTGTTCTCATTATTTAGCTCCCACTTATAAGTGAAACTATGTGGTATTTTGTCTTCTGTTCCTGTGTTAGTTTGCTAAGGATGATAACCTCTAATTCCATCCATGTTACAGCGAAGGACATGATCTCGTTCTTTTTCATGGCTGCATAGTATTCCATGGTGTATATGTACCACCTTTTTTACAAATTCAGTCTACCATTAGTGGGTAGTCTTTGTTGCTAGTTACATCAAGCTCTGGAGGATAAGGACTATCTTGTGTTTCCATTTTATTCCCTTGATACTTAGCATAGTAGGTATTCAGTAAGAATTTGCTAATGTATTAATTGATTTTTTCAAATAGAAATATTAAAATAGGTAACAGTCTGGAAAAATCACAAAATGAAATAAACATCCTCCATTCCATTCCATACTACTCATTAAAAGAAAGCTTGGAAAGAACAAAGGATGGAAGGATGGAAGGAAGAAAGAAAGGGAGAGAAGGGAAAAAAAGACAAAAGAAGGGAGACTGCAACTATGGACTACCAGCCTTTTTAAGTCACGTGTTGCACACATCACAAGAGGCAGAGCAAAAACAGAAAACAGCATTTTAAATTAGTCTGCTCTCTACCTTCTAATTTTCAACCATTAAAATAGATAGCCTGGCCTTAATATACTCAAGTCTCCCTTTACACTCAAGAAATCAATGTAGCATTTCAGTGAGCCATTAGAGAACTCTTGGGTTTCACACAGTCTAGGAAATAAAGTCTCCAGGCCAGAACTTACATAGGTAAGGATGTGGCTCATTTTTCAGAATCCAGAACAAACTTCATCATCAAATAACTATCTTTCCCTTCAGCTTTATCTTAATATGAATCATAACAAACAGTCTTCTTATTGTGATATGACACTTACAAAGCCATTTCTTGAACAGAGTCTTAGAGCACTACAATAACCAGAGAGGAGGTAAGGTGTTACTATCTCCATCTTATAAAGCTAGAGCCTCGAGTTATTTAAATAGCCAAGAACATATAGATAAGTGAAAGAAAATTTGACTGACTTCAAATCCAGTGATCTCTGCACAAAGCCATGATCATAATTTTGTTTCTGCTATACTATTTGTCCACTGATTTTCTGTAATGTTATTTAATTATTTCTAAAAAAGAAATTATCATCTTAAAATCAATAGATACTACCAAAATCTTAGGAAATGAACTAAAAAATTATTTTCCAAACAGTGAGCAGAAACCAAAGATTGGTAACAATATAGCTAATGCTTACTGAGTGTCTAGCCATTGTTCTGAATAACTGAAATGTACTATCTCCTTGAATCCTCTTAACCCTATGTTAGCTATTATTGCAAGTTCCACACTGCACATCAGGAAACTCAGGCATGAAAATTCAATAACTTCACCAAAGTCACACAGTGAGTAAATAATAGAGCCAGGATACAGGCCCAGACCAAAATATTTACCCTTTCTCTTGGAAGGGTACCACATCCCACAAAGAACCTTCATGTGGCTTCAAACATATAGCAAGCTCAGAGTTCACAGCCATATGAAGAGTTACTTTTCAAGAACCTTGTTGTGACATTTCCAAAGGCTATAAGACTATGCCCAACAGAGTTTCAGTATGAGGTCAGTCCTTTGGTACTTCAATTTTATCAGATTTATTATCCATGGGCATTTTTTCTCCCAAGCACATAATTTCTCCTAATGAGAAAGAGACAAGAAAAACAAATTGTGAGTCCCATACCAGAAAAACAATTGTTTTGGAATAAGTGAGTTTAAAGAGGTATCTTTGAAGCACTTTAGCCTTTAAAAAAAGCACATGAGGGGCAATAATACCTATTTCTTAGGTTTATGAAGATTCGCATTTAACCCTCAAAGCAAAACAGCTACTAATCCACATATACAACCAGTAGCAGACAACAGCATAAAAGAATGGAACAAGCATTGGACATTGAATAAAATGGCACAGTTATAGTCACATTAGTTTCCTGCCATGATGCCATGAAAAATGGAGATAATGCCTACTTTGCCTTATTCAGGTGTTGTAAGAACTAAGTCAATTAAAGGACTATATAAACACTATATAATGTTAGCAGTATCTGTAGCAATATTTGAAGGGTCAAAATTTATAGCAAATGAAAAGCAAGATTCAAGTTCATCTGAAATGATTATGGATCAAAGTGAAATCTTAACACATTCAGATTGTTAATGTAAACTAAGCCAACTGACTGACAGCTGAACTTAGTGATCACAGGTAATTGTCGCACACAGCTGTGCTCAGTGGCAGGACCAGATGCACCTGGCAGCTCAATCGCTCTCCAGTAGTTTTTTTTTTTTTTTCAATTTTTCTAGCACATACATCATTAGTAGTTTTGTCTAAATAGGGCCAGAGATAGAGAGCAGAACTGCCAACAGAAGGCACACATCAACACTTTAGAAGTAAAAATTAAATGAGGGGCAGAGGGTCAAGATGCTAGAAATCAGAATGTTTCATTTCAAATTCTTCTTATATTACAGTCTCCATCCATGTCTATAAGAGCTCACCCTTTCCACCAAGTCTAGCTCTCTGATATCCACTTTTCCTCTATTAGCTTAATTGGAGGCCTCTCAAGAAAAACAAGATGCACTGACAACACTTAAGCTTCTTGCAACCCCTAGCAGAGGCAGGGGTAAAGATGATGACAGTAGTGGCAGAAGTTGCAAAGAAACACAATAATATTAGAGAGAGAAAGGGCAAGTATCATGCTCATGCTTTAATTTCCTTAGTGTCTGCTGACCGCCAATGTATTTTCTTGCCTTGGGGAACATCTGTTAGGCTGAAAGCTTGAAATTATTCCCACCATTCCATGGATGGGATTGCAGCCAAATGTTTCCATGACATTGACAGGAAATCCAGAATTCCAAAGCTCACCAAAGACCATTCATACCTTCTTTTGGGAAGCCATGCTAATGGATTCCTAGGCAAAAATCATGTTAACTCTACTCCAAGAGGGTGACTAACTCTCCTCCTGGCCAATAAAATCCCATTATAAAGAGGAAAAATATTTTTCTTAACAATTGTCATTCTTGTAACATTTGTAAAACTTGTCATGTTTGAGAATTCATTGTTCTTGCCTGCTTTCATGTGTCTTTCTAACCTCAAAGAGGGCTAGGGTTTAGTTATTTGGAAAGACAATGTCACTCTGGGTACCCCATGTGCCTACAGGCTGAAATGGCTCATCCTCTGCGGAGTGGAGAAATTCCTTTATCAAGTCACAGGATAGTACACATTCTATTCAACACCAAATTTTGATTCCTATTACCTTTCTACTTCTATTTATAGCTAGATAAGTGTGAACATTCACCACTGGAAAAAACTACCTAGAGTAGAATACTGAAATGCAAGAACAATATACCAAAGAAATGCATGCACCATCAAAGGAAAACCTAGAAGAGATCAGAACCAGAAGCTGGGTGCAAAGAAAATTATCAGTCTAGAGTTAAACCACCATTTCTTATTTTAGTCATTCTGACACACATGTAGTAATATCTCATTGTGGTTATAATTTGTTATTTTTGGCTAATGATGTTGAACTCATCATCATGTGCTTATCTACCATTGTATATTCTCTTTGGTGAAATGTCACTTCATGACTTTTGCGTATTTTCTAAAACTTCATGACTTTAGCCTATTTTCTAAAACTTATTATTGTTGAGTTGTTAAAGTACTTATATCCTAGAGAGTAATTCTTTAAAATAATTTTTAAAGTACTTATATCCTAGAGAGTAATTCTTTGTTGAATAAGTGACTTGAAAATATTTTCTCCCACTCTGTAGCTTGTCTACTTCTACTTGTCAATTTTTTTTTCTTTTATCAATTATGCTTTTGATGCCAAGGCTAAAAACTGTTTGCATAGACCTAAATTGACCAAATTTACTTTTTTTTTCCTGAAGACACAGTTTTATATTTTACATTTAAGTCGGTGTTTTATTTAATTTTGATCAGGTATAATGTTTAGGTGAAGTTTACTTTTACCCTCTGGATGTCCAATTGTTCCAGCATCATTTGTTAGAAAGAATGTCTTTCCTCTATTAAATTGATTTTTCATCTTTGTCAAAAATTCACTGGGCATATATGTGTGGGATCTCTATTCTGCTCTATAAATATATGTGGGTGTACCCCCCCACCAGACCATGCTGTCTAAGTTACTGTAGGAAATTTAATAAATATTCAGGTTAAGAAGACTGATTTCTTTATTCTTTCTCAAACTTGCGTTAATTTTAGTTTTTTGACTTTCCATTTAAACTTTAGAATAGTATTGTGTACAAAACATCTTGCAGAGATTTTGATAAGAATTGAGGTAAAATTGCATATCAATTTGGGAAGAATTGATGTTTCACATCTTTCTTATCTTTAGCCTTCAAGTCCATGATCTTGGAATGTGTAATTTATATCTTTTGTTAATTCTTCCATCAACTTTATGTAACTTTCAACAACAAATTCTGTATTTTTTTAGATTTATCCATAATTCTTTCTTGTTTTTGGCAACTTTAAATTGTATTACATTTTTTAAATTGGTAAACAGCTGGGCGTGGTGGCTCACGCCTCTAATCTCAGCACTTTGGGAGGCCAAGGCAGGCAGATCACTTGAGGTCAGGAGTTCGAGACCAGTCTGGCCAAAAGAGTAAAACCCCGTCTCTACTAAAAATACAAAAATTAGCCAGGGGTGACGGGGGCATCTGTAATCCCAGCTACTTGGGAGGCTGAGGCAGGAGAATCATTTGAACCTGGGAAGCAGATGTTGCAGTGAGCAGAAATCATGCCACTGCACTCCAGCCTGGGCGACAGAGCAAGACTCCATCTCGGTGGGAAAAAAAATGGTAAACACATGCTTATTGCATCACTGCAAATATATAAAAATATGATTGATTTTTGTATGTTTATCTTGTATCCTACAACTTTGCTGAACTCACTAGTTCTAGGGGTTTTTGTTTGTTTGTTTGTTTTTTATTCTTTGGGATTTCCTATATAGACAAGTAAGTCTTCTATGCAAGATGGTTTTATTTCTTCCTTATCTATCTGTATTTCTCTGTTTCCTTTTTTGATTATTGGACTCACTAGAACATCCAGCACTGTATTGAATAAGAATAATGAGATCAAACATCCAGGTCTTATGCCCAATTTTAAAAGGACAGCATTCATCATTAAGGAAAACATTAGTGAAAGTTTGTAAAAACATATTCCTTATCAATTTGAGAGAGATTCCCTTCAATTTCTACTATTTCTAAAAATTCTTAGAGTTTTTATCATGAGTAGGTGGTGAATTTTGTTAGATACTCTCTACATCCTCTACATACTCTACATACATTCTCTACATTTACATTTACATACACATACACATTTCTCTACATATACATTCACATATTCATATACATTTCCACATAATTGTGTGATTAGTTTTATTCAGCCTCTTAATATAGTGAATTTTATCAATTAACTTCTTTTTTTTTTTTTTTTTTTTTTTTTTTTTTTGAGGCTGAGTCTCCCCGTGTTGCCCAGATTGGAGTGCAATAGTGTAATCTCAGCTCACTGCAACATTTGCCTCCTGAATTCATGCAATTCTCCTGACTCAGCCTCCTGAGTAACTGGGACTACAGGCATGCACCACCATGCCCAGTAATTTTTGTATTTGTAGTAGAGACGGGTTTCACCACGTTGGCCAGGCTGGTCTTGAACTCCTGACGTCAAATGATCTGCTGCCTCGGCCTCTGAAAGTGCTGGGATTACAGGCATGAGCTACTGTGCCTGGCTTCAATTAACTCTGAATATTGAACCAGCTTTCATTAGTGAATAAATTCCAATTGGTCACTATTTATAATTATACATATATATATATATATATAGAGAGAGAGAGAGAGAGAGAGAGAGAGAGTGCTAAATTTCATTTGTTAATATTTTATTAAATCATTTTTCACCTATATTTATAATTAATATTGTTCTGTAGTTTTCTTACTTTGTACTGTCTTCTTCTGGCTTTGATATGAAGATAGGTTTTATAAAATCAACTGGAAAATGTCCATTCTTCTATTTTCCAGAAGAAAATATGTAGGATTACTGATCATTCTTTTTTAAACACTTGAGAGACTTTTTCAGGAAAACCATGTAGGCCTAGAGGTTTCATTTTTGAAAGTACAAAAATAATACATTCATTTTCATAAACGAATGACATAACCATCTATTTTATATTGTTTGAGTTTTGGTGTTTTGTGTTTTTTTAGGAATTGTACCATTTATGTGTGTAGTTTCTCATAGTATTTATTTGTTATGTTTCTGATATTTGCACATTTATACTGATATCCCATGTTTCATTCTCAGTGTTAGAAATTTGTGTCTTCTTTTTGTCTTCATCATTCTCATTAGAGGCTTGTCAATTTTGTTAATATTTGCAAAAAATGGCTTCTTGCTTAATTGATTTTCTGCGTTGTTTTTCTGTTTTTAATTTTACTGAATTCTACTTTTATCTTTATCACTTCCTTCTTGCTACAGATATTTTCTTCTTCTTTTTCTAGGTACTAAAGGGATAGCATTGATTATTGATTTTGAATTTTCTTTTTTTTATAATATATGCATTCAGTGCTACAAACTTCCTCTTAGCACTGCTCTAGATTTCTCCCACAAATTTGAAAAATTGCACTTTTGTTTTTATTCTATGTATTACATTTTTAAAAAATTTTCCTTGAGACCCCCTCTTTGACTTGTGAATGATTAACAAGTGTGCTGTTTAGTTTCCAAGTATTTAGAGATTTAGCTGTTATCTCTCTATTACTGATGTGCTTTGAATCTATGGTAGTCAGAAAGTATACTTTGTGAAAAGAAGATTTAGTTTATTTGTTATATTTATTATTTATGATTGAAGCATATTATACATCGAGAAAAGTTTACATATAATATTTGTACAGTTTGATTAATTCTCATAAACTGAAAACATTTATAGGAACCCAAGTGAGAAGCAGCCCTCCTTAATCTGTTCACTTAACCCCTTCCATTTACGACTCCCAAAGTTCAACCGCTTTCCTAACTTTTAAATGTCAAATATTTTTGTAAATACTCTTTATCAGCCTAAAGCAGTACTACAGTTTTACTAGCATTGTAGAGTTTCTGTTTTTATTATTGTGTAAAATACAACATAGATTAGTCCCCTTCTGGATGGGATATGTTTAAGACCCTCAGTGGATACCTGAAACCACAGACAGTAGTGAACCCTATAAATATCATGCTTTTTTTCTATACATCCAAACCTGTGAAAAAGTTTAATTTGTAAATTAAGTATAGAAAGAGAGCAACAATAATGATAAAATAGAATAATTATAATACAATTATGACAATATGCTTTCATAAAAGTAATGTGACCTCTGTCACTTTCTCTCTAAGTATCTTAATATTTTTGGACCATGGTTGACCACAGGTAACAAATTATAGACAGAAAACTGCAGATAAGGGGGGACTACTGTAATATTTATCTTTTTTAACCAATACCTATGATGGCAATCATTATACATGTGTTTTATATTCCACGAAACTCTCTATTTTGGTATATGTTTCATGAGCACTCAAAAATTGTGAATTCTGTTGCTATTGGATGAAGTGTTCTACACATTTTTATGAAATCTTCTTGCTGATGTTGAGTTCTATATCCTTGCTGATTTTCTGTCTAGCTGTTCTATGAATTGTTGAGAGAGGGGTTTTGATGTCTCCAATTCTAACTGTGGATTTATCTGTTTCTCCTTTCAGCTCTATTTGTTTTTATTTATGTTTCAGCTCTGCTGATTGGTGCATACACAGTATTGCTATAACTTCATTGAGTAACCCATTTATCTTCTACAATTCCCCCTCTCTCATTGAAAATATTCTCTCTGAAGTCTATATGATATTAATATAGCTATTGCTGCTTTCCTTTGGTTACAATTTTCATAATACATCTTTATGCATTCTTTCATTTTCAGCCTACTTACAGCCTTATATTTGAAGTTTTTGTTTGTTTGTTTGTTTGTTTGTTTGTTTGTTTTTGAGACAATGTCTCGCTCTGTTGCCCAGGCTGGAGTGCAGTGGCACGATCTTGGCTCACTGCAAGCTCTGACTCCCGGGTCCACGCCATCCATTCTCCTGCCTCAGCCTCCCGAGTAGCTGAGACTACAGGCGCCCGCCACCACGCCCGGCTAATTTTTTGTATTTTTAGTAGAGATCAGGTTTCACCATGTTAGCCAGGATGGTCTGGATCTCTTGACCTCGTGATCCACCTGCCTCAGCCTCCCAAAGTGCTGGGATTACAGGTGTGAGCCACTGCGTCTGGCCAAGTTTTTTATAAGACAGCACATAGTTGTATTATGTTTATTTTTTTAACTCCCTCTTCCAGTCTCTGGATTATAATCGGTTTACATAGAAAATTTATATTTAACGTAATTATTGATGTATTTGGGCTTAAGCCTGGCATTTTTTGTTTTCTGTTTGTTTTCTGCTTTTTGTTTCTCTTGTTTTCTTTTTCCTGCCTTCATCTGAGTTAGCTGAACATTTTTACAATTCCATTTTGATCCATAGTGTTTTTGAGTATATCTCGTGGTAATACATCATATATGCATAATTGGCCCACTTATGTCATTATTTTACCTGTTCAAATGAAATATAACTTTAACTCCTTTAAGTCTTTTTTTCTTTCCCCCATTTATTATTTTATTAGATATTTTCTCTGCATGAATTTAGAACCACATCGGACTGTGTAATAATTTTTGCTTCAAAGAGGAGAAAGCTCATTGTATGTACCTATTTTTGTGGTACCAGTTTCTTTTTTCTTTTCTGTTGTTTGAAGGTTTATACTTTTATAAATTCATTTCTGTTGGGAATATTTCTTTAGCCATTCTTTTATAGTAGTACTATCGATGACAAATTCTTTGTTTTTCTTCATCCGAAAATGTCTTGATTTCCCCTTTATTCCTGAGGGATATTTTCACTGTATACAAAAATTGAGTTGACAGTTATTTTATTTCAGTTCTTGAAAAACATTATGCCACTTTCTCTGGCCTCCAGTTTCTGAGGAGAAATCCACTGCCTTTTGAATTGTTGTACCCTACAAACAAGATGTTATTTTTCTCTGGCTGCACACAAGATATTTATTTGTTTTCAGGTTTTACAGTTTAATTATGATGTGTCTTAGCATAAATATCTTCTGATTTATATTTTTGTGGCTCACTCAGTTTCTTGAATCTGTAGCTTTGTATGTCTTGTCAAACTTGGGAGATTTTCGGCCATTTTGATTTTCATCCTTATCCTTCTTTTTTCTCTCTACTTCTTGCTGCTGGGGAAATGGATATTAGATCTATTGTTATAGTCCCTGTGACTCTGTTCATTTTCTTCTCCTCTATTTTCACTCTGTTGGTCCGATCAAACTATCTTCCAATGCACTGATTCTTTTCTCTAACTCCATGGTTACACTGTTGAGACCATCCACTGAGCTTTGTATTTTGATCATTCTATTTTCTGGCTCTAAAATTTCCACTTATTCTTCTTTATATCTTCTATTTCTTTGCTGACATTTTCTGTTCCTTCCTAAGGCTTTCCCATTTTCCATTTGTTCTAATCTTGTTTATAACTGTTCATTGAAGCATTTCTATCATGGCTGCTTTAAATTATTTGCCAGATAATTGTAACATCTCTGTTACTTCATTTCTCTATTGGCTTCTATTGTGTCTTATCATTCCATTTGAAATTGTCATAGATCTTATTATAACAAGTGATTTTTATAGAAACCTGAACATTTTTGTATTATGTTATGAAACTCTAGATATAACTAGATATCTGACTTTCTCTGATACTGCTCAATCAGGAGAAGGGTAAGTATCAACTTGTTTCTGCAGGATCGAAGTAGAATTCCAAGACTCTCATTGACATCTGAGGAAAGGGAGAGTCCTTTTACTGACAGGCTGAGTAGGCCTTGTTTCCCATGTGGTTTATATTGACATTATTCTAGGGGTGGCTGCATTATCTCTGAATGATGGTGAAAATTCTCACTCCCACTGGATCTCCTCTGATACCACCTAGTAGGGAAGAGGAGCGATGCCTCATTACTACAAGGCAAGAGTACAAATCCAGTCTGTCCACATGAAGTCCACTAACAATGTGGAAGAAAGGAACCTTGTTACCAGTGAGTGGGAAAAGATGAAAGTCCCGTGTCTCTACTTGATCTCCTCTGACAACATCTGGCAAGATTAACTAGTATCTTGTTACAACCTCAGAAGGGTAGATAGACGTCGAGGCTCCCCACTGTCTTTGCTGACATGGCTGAGATGGAGCCAGAGTTGTTCTCTAGTGCTTGGCTACAATACAGAAGATGCTGTCTGATCTTTTCTGTCTTACTAGGTTGCCCTTTTCTTGATCCTTTTACTAAAAAGAGTAGGCTTTTGTTTGGGCTTTTTGTTTGTTTGTTCATTTGTGTTTGTTGATGTTTTCACATCGCAAATTTTGTCAACTCCAAGTCTGGAATATGAGTGGCAAAAAGAAAACCCAGGGAACTCACTATATGTCATTACCTGGGTCCCGAGATTTCTAGCTGCTCTTTCATCCTAACAATTTTCAGGTTCTTCTCATGTTTGTTTTATGTATAATGTCCAGGATTTTTAGTTGTAGTTAACAGAAGGAATAGGAAAAAGTACATCTACTTCATCTCCCCTGACACAGAATTCCTCTCTTTTTTATTTAGAATTACATTTTATAAATAGATAAAATGTATTAGCATTTGAATTTCTTTATCTTTATTTCCTTTTATAGCTTATAACATTGTTTAACAACATAGTTTAATATAGTTAATATAGTTTAATAATTCTCCATATGGTTACCATCTCTAGCAATAAAAACACTGCTTGTTAATTAATGGTAGTATTGTAATTGGACTTATTAATTCAAAAATAATAAAAAGAAAATCATTTTTAGAAAAAAATTAGATGTAAAAGGTAAAACCTATACAAAGATATAGCAAAAATTTACCAAGTTATAACTCAAACTACATGTTTTGAAAACACTGATCTCTTTGAAGGTCCTTTGTCTTATTGCTCATAACAGGGTTTCAGTTGCTTTGGTGTCAATAGGTACATAGTGGGACTTGAACTGGGTTTCCCTGTTTCAGACCTCGGTCTATTAAGTCTTAACTTTGTCACTGTAACCTTAACATTCAAAGACCTAATATTCAAGAATCTCTTTTGTTTCTGGATATCCCAGGATTATTGGAGAAATACTTTACATTTTATTGTCAGACATGCCAAGACATGCTGTGTCCCCTGGTAATATTTTTTTGCAGTTTCTGATTTTCACTCTCTAGGGGTGTCTGCAGTTCTGGAACAATTAAGGTCAACCTGGCACATAAACTGAAACATGTCTTGCAAACATGAGGTACATGTGGTGATCACAGCAAAATTCCACATTGATTTCTGACCTAATGACCTCCAAAGAGTGTCCCTGATCTCCCATGGGTGAAGTTTCACTAGGGAATGTTTGATTATACTGTGAGATTAAAGAAAATTCAAGTGGTTGGATAGCTCCCTATTCAGTACATATTTGGGAAGTCTTGAAAACGTGTTATTTTTTAAAGTTGGTTATAAATTAGCTCTCTAAATTGCTTCCAGATCAGTCTTTTCAGGCAAAGCATTAAAATGATGATTCTATCAGCCAAAACACTAATTTTTGTTTCGATCACACATACTATTATAAATTCTCCTTACCCTAATATAGAATAAGAAGACGTCAATTCAACCAATCATCCTTTCTCTCGGTCAGCAGATGTGCTGTCTAGATTAGGAGCTGCTGTCAGCAATTTAGCCACATAATTTAGCTCAGATTTTTTAAGAGATCAGTTGTGTGTCTCTGTGAAAAGATTTTGGCATAAATTTCAAAAATAGTCTTCTTCAGAACTCTGAATATAATATCAAATGAATGTAGGATATTCAAGTTAAACAGAAGTTAATTTTCTGACAGGAAAGTATTTTATATTTTTTCAGATTAGAAAATAAATTGTTTGATTATCCTATTTCAAATATATGCAATATTTATCTCTGAGTCTTCTTTGAGGACTCTGGAAAGTAAGTAATAGCAAGCAGATTGAAGACAAAGACCAGAATTCAGCATACTGCCAAATTAGTGCTGAGAATGCCTTTTTGGTTTTGGTGTTTTAACCCAGATACCCTTCAATATCCTGAACCTAGATGCAGTGAAATTCTGAAATCTAAAGTGGGCACAGGGTGCAGATGGAGATGTCTACAAGACATCTCTCTAATTCTGACTCAAGGACTAATAAAAGAAACATGTAATGTTCAAATGGAGTACAGAAAACACTTTTTTTGTATTTTTCCCTGGTTTTTGGGCTATTCTTTTGCACTCTATCCCCTAGTAAAAACTTCAGCAGTGGCAACAGAAACTCACAGGAGCCAAAACTATGAAATAGGTGAGCTTTCCTTCACCATCATTGAAACTGTGGTCTGAAGAAGCTGCAGTGATCACATGTTGCTTTTTTTCCTCACTCTGTCCTATCTCTGCTTTGTCGTAGAGGCAGGTATACTTGTAAAAGGGCACAGGAGAGAGGAATGAAAAAGGCCCAGCTTTCTGGCCATGTGATTCAAAATGGGAGACCCAGAGAACCAGAAGTTTCTGGAGACCACAAAGAGGGAGGATTTGAGGAAAGCAGTACTATGCAAGTATGTATTAACTTCTGGGTTACTATGAAGCTGTGTATGTGTAGATCTGACATTAGTGAAAATATCAAACAATTTAAGAATTAAGAGAGAGACCACATCCCAGGTGGGAAACAGATCCAAATAACACTATAAATGCTTTAAAAAACTGAATTTATTATAAAACAATAACTGATAGAAAATGGACTAGAACTAGCAGTCTGAACCTAACCAAGTAGATTCCCTGCTAAAACAAACATATCAGCATTGTCCATAACATTTAAACAAGACTTATACACTCATAATATTATATTCATAATGACTAGGATGTGATTCAAAGCTTCTAAGCAAAGAATGTCAACTCTCAAGGAAAAAGAGAATCAACAAACATCAATACCAAGATAACATAGATCTTGAAGTTATCAGAGAAAGACTTCAAAGTAGGTCCTATAAAATTATCTCAATAAGCAATCATAAACATTAATGAAATGAATAGAAAAATAAAATTATCAGAAAAAAATTAAAAGAACAAGAAGGAGGAAGAGAAAGAGGAGAAAAAATAAAGAAGAACAAAATGGAAATTTTACAACTAAATATAAAACAATTGAAATTTTAACATCACTAAATGGATTCAATAACAGAATGGAGATGACAGAGAAAGGAGTTCATGAAATGAGGACACATGGAGAACAGATCAGGGATTGCCTTAAGGTTAGTGGTTGGGTGAATGAATACACTATGGGTGGTTTTGTGGGGGATGATGGGATATTTCTGTATAGTTACAAGGCTAGTAATCACACTAATTGTTCAACACTAATTGTTTAACATGTAACACGTGTTCAAATTTGCTGAACTGTATACCACAAAAGCCTATTCCACCATATGACAATTTAAATGGTATTTTAAGTTGTGCATGATAATTTGACAAATGAAGAAGTGAATACATTTAAATTTGTTTGTTAAATGTAAAGGATATTCTTGTCCAGTAGCACACATTTCGTGCTTCCAGGGTAGTTTGCTTTATTTAAGATTTAATCAAGATCACTTTTCATTCTATGCGGTTATACCATGGCTTCTTGATGGTCTACTAAGCTGGTAAAACTCAGAAAATGCATCAGCTTCTCCTCGAAGCACCTCAGGAATCTTCTTTGGGTCTCTTCAGCAAATTTACCCAGCCCCTCATTTAGGTTACCTCTTTGTCCTCTAGACACTTTTATCACAGCAACCGTAGTAATTTTTTTGTTAAACTATAAATCTCATCAAGGAAAAAATCATGTCTTAAATACCTTTCATCATCATTTTGTAGCAAAGACTTTGGTATATATTAGATATAGAATAAATAGGTGTTGAATAAATAAAGTGTCTAAATTAGTTTTACAATATCTTAATTACAACTTACCAAGGAGTATTTCATCCCTTCTATATTAAAGTTGCAATCTATAACTATTTATCTCTAGACAAAGAAAGGAAAGAACCACTTTGATGATATATCAAACCACTGATCTGTTTATTGCCTTTTAGTGTAAATCACCTTCTCTATATATTATATATGTGAAATTCATTTATATCCTATACTCTACACTAATAAAATACCCTTTATTTAAATCTACTGGATACTAATTAGCATGCAAGAGAAACTTTAGACAAGTTAATACTAGATTATTTTTCTAAAATGGAGATCATGGAAACATTTATGTTGAGAACATGTAAAATATGTTATGTTTTCTAGAATGGAACCATTATGCCTAAAGCTTGAAATAGTCTTACTCTGTAATACATAAGGGGAAAGTGCAGTCAGAATGAGCAAACCTTAGCATAGTCACAATGGTCCCAAGAAAACATATTGATATCTAGCCTACATCAATTGCCAATATTGTCTTTTCTCCCAATAAGAATAGAAAAGTAGAGAAAAGGTAAACAGTCTTAAGCTTTGAAATCAATAATCTGTGTTTTAATAATAGAAGTTAATTACTATACTACCCTAAAGCAACAGTTCATCAGCCACCCAGAGAAGCCCACCAACCATATGAAGGTGGATGGTTGTGTATAAACATTGCAAATGTGACAAACCCCTCTGACTTTGGATATCAAATCTATAAAGGTGGAAATTCATGTCAATGGTATGATGTTATGGATCAACTGTAGACAAGTGACTACTAGGGCCTCATCTCTCACTGAATCAGAAAAACCTTGCCTGTTTTCTAAATAATAAGAATACTTCAGTTCTTATCTGTAAAAGGGAAAACGATGATGGATGAGGAGAGAAAGAAACAATTGAAAGAGGGATTTGAGAAGAACTAAAGAGCAAGAGTCCCTGATACTTCCAAGAAGACTTAACTGAAAGAGGGCTCTGGGGAAGTAAACGGAACTGCAGCAAGTAAATTAATAAGCAAGTTGTAGTGCATTATGACAGACTAGATCCTTGATGTCCCTGGCATTAAGATAATATGCAGAGCAGAGATGCATGGTCTGTGATTATGCAGGAGTACCTCAGCTACCATGAGTACTCTGCAGTGATAATATCGGCATAAAAATGACAAGATAAGAAAATACTAATGATAGATTTATCCTGTTCTCTGAGAAAGTCACAGAGTTGGATGATTTCTAAAATGTTAAGCAGGACATTTCTAATAATGTCTCTGTGCAAATATTCCTGAAACCCAAATGTGACTTCTAGTCCTGTGTCTACATTTTGAAGTGTAAAGAGAATAGACAATCTCGAATTGCCCTTTAATCCCAGAACTAAACAGAAGCTTCTGCAACATGAGGACATTGAAAATAAGATGAAACTCATCCACATAAGAGATGGGGTTGGGGCAGGGGGCAGGGGGGTGGCATTCCAAGATGGCTGAATAGGAACAGCTCTGGTCTGCAACTCCCAGCATGATCAATGCAGAAGATGGGTGATTTCTCCATTTCCAACTGAGCCTCCACTGGTGATACCCAGGCAAACAGGGTCTGGAGTGGACCTCCAGCAAACTCCAACAGACCTGCAGCTGAGGGACCTGACTGTTAGAAGGAAAACTAACAAATAGAAAGGAATAGCATCAACATCAACAAAAAGTTTATCTACTCTAAAACCCCATCTGTAGGTCACCAACATCAAAGACCAAAGGTAGATAAAACCACAAAGATGGGGAGAAACCAGAGCAGAAAAGCCGAAAATCCTAAAAATCAGAGCGCTTCTTCTCCTCCAAAGGATCACAGCTCCTTGCCAGCAATGGAACAAAGCTGGGTGGAGAATGACTTTGACAAGTTGACAGAAGTAGGCTTCAGAAGGTCGGTAATAACAAACTTCTCAGAGCTAAAGGAGGATGTTCAAACCCATTGCAAGGAAGCTAAAAACCTTGAAAAAAGATTAGATGAATGGCTAACTAGAATAAACAGTGTAGATAAGATTTTAAATGACCTGATGGAGCTGAAAACTATGGCATGAGAACTTCATGATGCATACACAAGCTTCAATAGCCAATTCAATCAAGTGGAAGAAAGGGTATCAGTGATTGAAGATCAAATTAATGAAATAGTGAGAAGACATGGTTAGAGAAAAAAGAGTAAAAATAAATGAACAAAGCCTCCAAGAAATATGGGACTATGTGAAAAGAACAAATCTACATTCGATTGGTGTATCTGAAAGTGATGGGGAGAATGGAACCAAGATGGAAAATGCTCTTCAGGATATTATCCAGGAGAAATTCCCCAACCTAGCAAGGCAGGCCAACATTCAAATTCAGGAAATGCAGAGAACACCACAAAGATACTCCTCGAGAAAAGCAACCCCAAAACACATATATGTCAGATTCACCAAGGTTGAAATGAAGAAAAAAGTGTTAAGGGCAGCCAGAGAGAAAGGTTGAGTTACCCACAAAGGGAAGCCCGTCAGACTAACAGCGGATCTCTTGGCAGGAACCCTACAAGCCAGAAGAGAGTGGGCACCAATATTCAACATACTAAAGAAAATAATTTTCAACCCAGAATTTCATATCCAGCCAAACTGAGCTTCATAAGTGAAGGAGAAATAAAATCCTTTACAAGCAAATTCTGAGAGATTTTGTCACCACCAGGCCTGCTTTACAAGAGCTCCTGAAGGAAGGACTAAACATGGAAAGAAACAACCGGTACCACCCACTGCTAAAACATGCCAAATGGTAAAGACCATCAATGCTATGAAGAAACTGTATCAATTAATGGGCAAAATAACCAGTGAACATCATAATGACAGGATTAAATTCACACATAACAATATTAACGTTAAATGTAAATGGGCTAAATGCCCCAATTAAAAGATAAAGGCTGGCAAATTGGATAAAGAGTCAAGACCCATCAGTGTGCTGTATTCAGGAGACCCATCTCACATGCAAAGATGCACACAGGCTCAAAATAAAGGGATGGAGGAAGATCTACCAAGCAAATGGAAAGCAAAAAAAAAGCAGGGGTTGCAATCCTCACCTCTGATAAAACAGACTTTAAACCAACAAAGATCAAAAGAGACAAAGAAGGCCATTACAAAATGGTAAAGGGATCAATGCAACAAGAAGAGCTAACTATGCTAAATATATATGCACCCAATACAGAAGCACCCAGATTAATAAAGCACATCCTTAGAGACCTACAAAAAGACTTAGACTAGCACACAATAATAATGGGAGACTTTAACACCCCACTGTCAATATTAGACAGATCAACGAGACAGAAGGTTAACAAGGATATTCAGGACTTGAACTCAGCTCTGCAACAAGTAGACCTAATAGACATCTACAGAATTCTCCTCCTCAAATCAACAGAATATACATTCTTCTCAGCACCACACTGCACTTATTCTAAAATTGACCACATAATTGGAAGTAAAGCACTTCTCAGCAAATGTAAAAGAACAGAAATCACAACAAACTGTCTCTCAGACCACACTGCAATCAAATTAGAACTCAGGATTAAGAAACTCACTCAACACTGCACAACTACATGGAAACTGTACAACATGCTCCTGAATGACTAATGGGTAAATAACGAAATGAAGGCAGAAATAAAGATGTTCTTTGAAACCAATGAGAACAAAGACACAACGTACCAGAATCTCTAGGACACATTTAAAGCAGTGTGTAGAGAGAAATTTATAGCACTAAATGCCCACAAGAGAAAGCAGGAAAGATCTAAAATCGGCACCCTAACATCACAATTAAAAGAACTACATATGGCTAGCCAGTTTTCCCAGCACCATTTATTAAATAGGGAATGCTTTCCCCATTGCTTGTTTTTCTCAGGTTTGTCAAAGATCAGATAGTTGTAGATACGCGGCGTTATTTCTGAGGGCTCTGTTCTGTTCCATTGATCTATATCTCTGTTTTGGTACCAGTACCATGCTGTTTTGGTTACTGTAGCCTTGTAGTATACTTTGAAGTCAGGTAGTGTGATGCCTCCAGCTTTGTTCTTTTGGCTTAGGATTGACTTGGCAATGCGGGCTCTTTTTTGGTTCCATATGAACTTTAAAGTAGTTTTTCCAATTCTGTGAAGAAAGTCATTGGCAGCTTGATGGGGATGGCATTGAATCTGTAAATTACCTTGGGCAGTATGGCCATTTTCACGATATTGATTCTTCCTACCCATGAGCATGTAATGTTCTTCCATTTGTTTGTATCCTCTTTTATTTCCTCGAGCAGTGGTTTGTAGTTCTCCTTGCCTTATACAAAAATCAATTCAAGATGGATTAAAGACTTAAACGTTAGACCTAAAACCATAAAAACCCTAGAAGAAAACCTAGGCATTACCATTCAGGACATAGGCATGGGCAAGGACTTCATGTCTAAAACACCAAAAGCAATGGCAACAAAAGACAAAATTGACAAATGGGATCTAATTAAACTAAAGAGCTTCTGCACAGCAAAAGAAACTACCATCAGAGTGAACAGGCAACCTAAAAAATGGGAGAAAATTTTCACAACCTACTCATCTGACAAAGGGCTAATATCCAGAATCTACAATGAACTCAAACAAATTTACAAGAAAAAAACAAACAACCCCATCAAAAAGTGGGCGAAGGACATGAACAGACACTTCTCAAAAGAAGACATTTATGCAGCCAAAAAACACATGAAAAAATGCTCACCATCACTGGCCATCAGAGAAATGCAAATCAAAACCACAATGAGATACCATCTCACACCAGTTAGAATGGCAATCATTAAAAAGTCAGGAAACAACAGCTGCTGGAGAGGATGTGGAGAAATAGGAACACTTTTACACTGTTGGTGGGACTGTAAACTAGTTCAACCATTGTGGAAGTCAGTGTGGCGACTCCTCAGGGATCTAGAACTGGAAATACCATTTGACCCTGCCATCCCATTACTGGGTATATACCCAAAGGACTATAAATCATGCTGCTATAAAGACACATGCACACGTATGTTTATTGCGGCATTATTCACAATAGCAAAGACTTGGAACCAACCCAAATGTCCAACAATGATAGACTGGATTAAGAAAATGTGGCACATATACACCATGGAATACTATGCAGCCATAAAAAATGATGAGTTCATGTCCTTTGTAGGGACATGGATGAAATTGGAAATCATCATTCTCAGTAAACTATCGCAAGAACAAAAAACCAAACACCGCATATTCTCATTCATAGGTAGGAACTGAACAATGAGAACACATGGACACAGGAAGGGGAATATCACACTCTGGGGACTGTTGTGGGGTGGTGGGAGTTGGGAGGGATAGCATCGGGAGATATACCTAATGCTAAATGACAAGTTAGTGGGTGCAGCGCACCAGCATGGCACATGTATACATATGTAACTAACCTGCACAATATGCACATGTACCCTAAAACTTAAAAGTATAAAAAAAAAAGAACTAGAGAAGCAAAAGCAAACAAATTCAAAAGCTAGAAGAAGGCAAAAAATAACTAAGATCAGAGCAGAACTGAAAGAGATAGAGACACAAAAAACCCTTCAAAAAAATCAATGAATCCAGGAGATGGTTTTCTGAAAAGATCAATAAAATTGATAGACCACTAGCAAGACTAATAAAGAACAAAAGAGAGAAGAATCAAATAGACACAATAAAAAATGATAACGGGGATATCACCACCGATCCCACAGAAATACAAACTACCATCAGAGACTACTATAAACACCTCTATGCAAATAAACTAGAAAATCTGGAAGAAATGGATAAATTCCTGGACACATACACTCTTCCAAGACTAAACCAGGAAGAGGTTGAATCTCTGAATAGACCAATAACAGACTCTGAAATTGAGGCATAATTAATAGCCTACCAACCAAAAAAAGTTCAAGACCAGATGGATTCACAGCCGAATTCTACCAGAGATACAAAGTGGAGCTGGTACCATTCCTTCTGAAACTATTCCAATCAATAGAAAAAGAGGGAATCATCCCTAACTCATTTTATGAGGCCAAAATCATCCTGATACCAAAGCCTGGCAGAGACACAACAAAAAAAGAGAATTTTAGACCAATATCCCTGATGAAGATCGATGCAAAAATCCTCAATGAAATACTGGCAAACCGAATCCAGCAGCACATCAAAAAGCTTATCCACCTCAATCAAGTTGGCTTCATCTCTGGGATGCAAGGCTGGTTCAACATACACAAATCAATAAATGTAATCCATCACATAAACAGAAACAATGACAAAAACCACATGATTATCTCAATAGATGCAGGAAAGGTCTTAGACAAAACTCAACAGCCCTTCATGCTAAAAACTCCCAATAAACTAGGTATTGATGGGACATATCTCAAAATAATAAGAGCTATTTATGACAAACCCACAGCCAATGGTGTACTGAATGGGCCAAAACTGGAAGCATTCCATTTGAAAACTGGCACAAGACAAGGACGCCCTCTCTCACCACTCCTATTCAACGTAGTGTTGGAAGTTCTGGTCAGGGCAATCAGGCAAGAGAAAGAAATAAAGGGTATTCAATTATGAAATGAGGAAGTCAAATTGCCCCTGTTTGCAAATGACATGATTGTATATTTAGAAAACTCATTATCTCAGCCCCAAATCTCCTTAAGCTGATAAGCAACTTCAGCAGTCTCAGGATACAAAATCAGTGTGCAAAATCACAAGCATTCCTATACACTAATAATGGACAGAGAGCCAAATCATGAGTGAACTCCCATTCATAATTGCTACAAAGAGAATAAAATACCTAGGAATCCAACTTACAAGGGATGTGAAGGACCTCTTCAAGGAGAACTACAAACCACTGCTAAATGAAATAAAAGAAGACACAAACAAATAGAAGAATGTTCCATGCTTATGGATAGGAAGAATCAATATCATGAAAATGGCCATACTGCCCAAAGTAATTTATAAATTCAGTGCCATCCCCATCAAGCTACAAATGACTTTCTTCACAGAATTGGAAAAACTACTCTGAAGTTCATATGGAACCAAAACAGAGCCCGCATTGCCAAGACAATCCTAAGCAAAAATAACAAAACAGGCAACATGCTACCTGACTTCAAACTATACTACAAGGCTACAGTAACCAAAACAGCATGGTAGTAGTACCAAAACAGAGAGATAGACCAATGGAACAGAACAGAGCCCTCAGAAATAATACCACACGTCTACAACCATCTGATCTTTGACAAACGTGACAAAAACAAGAAATAGGGAAAGGATTTCCTATTTAATAAATGGTGCTGGGAAAACTGGCTAGCCATATGTAGAAAGCTGAAACTGGATCCCTTCCTTACACCTTATACAAAAATTAATTCAAGATGGATTAAAGACTTAAATGTTAGACCTAAAACCATAAAAACCCTAGAAGAAAACCTAGGCAATACCATTCAGGACATAGGGATGGGCAAAAACTTCACGACTAAAACTTCATAAAAGCAATGGCAACAATAGCCAAAATAGACAAATGGGATCTAATTAAACTAAAGAGCTTCTGCACGGCAAAAGAAACTACCATAAGAGTGAACAGGCAACCTACAGAATGGGAGAAAATTTTTGCAATCTACCCATCTGAAAAAGAGCTAATGTCCAGAATCTACAAAGAACTCAAACAAATTTACAAGAAAAAAAAACAACCCCATCAAAAAGTGGGCAAAGGATATGAACAGACACTTCTCAAAAGAAGACATCTATGTATCCAACACACACAGGAAAAAATGCTCATCATCACTAGTCATCAGAGAAATGCAAATCAAAACCACAATGAGAAACCATCTCACACCAGTTAGAATGGCGATCAGTAAAAATGCGAGAAACAACAGATGCTGGTGAAGATGTGGAGAAATAAGAACTCTTTTACACTGTTGGTGGGAGTGTAAATTGGTTCAAACATTGTGGAAGACAGTGCAGTGATTCCTCAAGGATCTAGAACTAGAAAGAACCAGAATTACCATTTGACCCAGCAATCCTATTACTGGGTATATACCCGAAGTATTATAAATCATGCTACTATAAAGACACATGCACACGTATGTTTATTGCAGCACCATTCCCAATAGCAAAGACTTGGAAACAACCCAAATGTCCATCAGTGATAGACTAGATTAAGAAAATGTGACACATATACACAATGGAATACTATGCAGCCATAAAAAAGGATGAGTTCATGTCCTTTGCAGGGACATGGATGAAGCTGAAGATGATCACTCTCAGAAAACTATTACAAGGACAGAAAACCAAACACCGCATGCTCTCACTCATAGGTGGGAATTGAACAATGAGATCACTTGGGCACAGGGCAGGGAACATCACAAAATGGGGTCTGTCTGGGGGTGGGGGATGGGGGAGGGATAGCATTAGGAGAAATACCTAATGTAAATGATGAGTTGATGGGTGTAACAAATCAACATGGCACATGTATACCTATGTATGAAACCTGCACATTGTGCACATGTACCCTATTTATTTGTTGTTTATTATACTTTAAGTATAATAAATATAATATACTTTAAGTGGGTAAAAAAAATAGAGACAGGGTTTCACCATGTTGGCCAGGCTGTTCTCAAACTCCTGGTCTCAAGTGATCCACCTGCCTCAGGCTCCCAAGGGGATTACAGACATGAGCCACCATACCTGGCCGAGTAAAGTTTTAGGGAACAAATTGAGGAGGGAAAACGGCAACTTTTCATGAGACCTGGGAAAGAAAATAGATAGAAAGAGTGGATCAGATGAGATTTCTATGGGACCTTGGTCATCCCATCCCCATAGTAATATATACCAAGGAAGAGCCAGAGTGAGGTCCTTTGTTAATTCAGACCTTTTGGTTGCAAGTAATAGAAACCTAATCTAAACTAGTTTAAGGGCTGGGCATGGTGGGGCGTGCCTGTAGTCCAAGCTACTCAGGAGGCTGAGGCAGGAGGATCGCTTGAGCTGGGGAATTTGAGACTAGCCTAGGCAACACAGTGAGACTCCCACTTCTAAAAATAAAGAAAATAGCTTAAGGAATCAATCGACAAACAAATGTATCAGATTACATTTATACACATATATTTACCTAACTGGAAATTCCAAAGCATTCAGCATGATATGCTTTGGTCATCAGGACTGTTTTTCTCCATATGTTCTCTGTGTTAGTTTTATTTTCTACTATTCCTAAAAACCTATAGCAGTCTCATCTGCAGGATGAGAAATTCCCCCAAAGGACTCTGATTCACCCTCATGAGAGCACACCTGGACCTGTCCCTGGCTTCTGGGGCTTGGAGGGGTCTGTTATTGGGAGACTTGGGAAGGCAACTGGGCAGGAGAAAGCAGATATGTACTACACCTGAGAGTCCTCTCCTCAATGCGGTGCTTTGTTGATCTCCAGTTTAGGAATCTCCACATCCTACCCCACAGACTCAGTTGCCCCCAAACTGAATGACACCTTGTTCCTTGCCCTCCCACAGATTACTGACTCTCCAGATTATCTCTGTAGAGCCAAGCCACTCGGTAAGTGGTAGATTTAGCAAGATATTGCTCTGAGAACACTAAGTACTTGATTTGTCTCTACTGACAAACTTGATCATTTCTTGTTTTCACCAAGGGGAAGCCATTTCTAAATATCTACTTCTAGAAATTAGCACAGTAGTGCAGGAAAGGTCTGATCAGGAAGGGACTCATGTTAACATTATCTCACTGCTTCATTTCAAGAGCAAGAAAACCTCTGAAGCAATGACTGGGTAGGGGGATAAATGCAACATGCTATTCTGCCATGTATGATAATCATTGAGAACTTGTTTTGTCTTTCCCAGTCATTTGTAAACTTGTTGTAAGTTCAATTTTGTGCTCTGTTACGTGGTATTACATAGAAGGGGGTCAATAAATATGTGTCTACTGAAAAAAAAGATAATAGACAATCTCATGGGTTATTAAGCAAAACTCTTAACCTAAAAATTAAAATGACTTTGATATTCAAGCTTGGGAATTCATTCCCCTCTGTTTTCACTTACCTTCATTATGTGTATTGTCTCTCATGGATATCTGGTCTATTTGTATCCCACTCTGCTGTAGAGTCCTTTATGTCTTTTTATTTTATTTTATTTTATTTTATTTTATTTTATTTTTTGAGATGGAATTCCACTCTTGTTGCCCAGGCTGGAGTGCAATGGTGCAATCTCAGCTCAATTCAACTGCCACCTCCCGGGTTCAAGTGATTCTCCTGCCTTAGCCTCCCGAGTAGCTGGATTACAAATGCATGCTACCAGGCCCAGCTACCTTTTTGTATTTTTAGTAGAGATGAGGTTTCACCATGTTGGCCAGGCTGATCTCAAACTCCTGACCTCAGGTGATCCACCTGCCTTGGCCTCCCAAAGTGCTGGGATTACAGGCGTGAACCACCACGCCAGGACTTATGTCTTTTCTAAAAAGTATGATAGTCTTACACATAAGTGCTCATGAATGAATGTATGACTTTGGCATCAAGATCATATGTCACAAGAAGATAAGCCAAGCAGAATCAAATCAGAGAGAATGCACAGAACCACAAAATATTCATGAAAGGCATGCTCTTGGGGGTTAAAATAACTTCCTCATTATACAGATGCTAAATAAAAGCTCAGACAGTATTAGTTTCCTGTGCAGCATACTAAAACTAGTGGAAGATGAAAATCAAGACTTGAAGGCAGTTTCTCACTCTTTTGAAACCTACAGCTATAAGTTCTCTGTTTCAAGACCTTGTACAATGTTTCACAGGTTTATTGCTTTTCCGGCAGAAGACAACTCCAAAAATTCTAACGAACAGTATTTTCTCTTCAAGCTAACTCATACTCAGAAAATGGATGCCTAAAATAAGGGGAATATTGCTCTCTAGAGAGAATTGGTAGAAGCTGCTCTGCACATAAACTGTCTAAGAAATGAATAAAGCAGACAGAAAAAGAAAGGAAAGACTTTCTGCACCTGCCTTTTTGTTCTGAATGTTCCCCAAACTACTTCCTGCCAATATCTTAGAGTGGGAGGGTAGATAGTAACATTGAAGTACCAGCACACTGTCTGGTAAATATGTGCATCTTCACTTCAAGCTTACTTTCTGTGCATTGTCCCTGTATTCCATCGTTCCTGTATTCCAAGTCCTGGGTTTTGTCCAAACTTTGTCCTCCGTTACAACTTCTTGAAGCCACTTATCACAGTAATTCTAAGAATTCTAAAAGTTCTATGACAGCAGCCTATTTTCTTTTCGGCTAGAGAAATCAGAGCAAGGAAACATTTTTTTTTTTTTTTTGCTTAAACTTCCCTCACCAATTTTCACTTCAATAAGAAAAGACACCCTTGGCAGATGTCCCCCTTATTGGTAATCTAAAAACTTCATTGCAGGCTGAAAAAAACACTTTGGAGAAATAAAAACGTGGCAGTGTTTGTTGTTTGTTGGGCAGGGTGGACCCTCCAGTAATTGATTTCTAGATGTGCTTGGTAAACGATTAGTCAGAAGAGAAGAGGTTTAGAAGGCAGCACCACAATAATCTCAGATATGAGATCTCAGCTGCTCTAGGTACCTGCTATTAGTTATCTTTGTGAATGGAGCTGTAAAGAGAAAAGGGAACTCCTCAAGCAGCACTACCTATGGAGACATTGGGAACACTGTGGTTATAGTTGCATTACTAGTAAAGTATATTATCTCAAGCAGTCATGTTAAGTGTGTTATCTGAAGAGATGAAGCATACAAATGGGTATAGAAATGTTAACCAGAGAACCTTGTGTTCTATGAGCTGAGTTTATCTATAAACATTTGTTTTGCATTAATTCTCCTGCAGAGAGCTAAAAAGAAAACAAACTGGAATGTGTTTAGAAAGAATGTGTCTGTCCTTTCTAGTTTTCCCAAGTTCCCACCTCTTCTACTGTCTTACAACTAGCCTGCTGCTCTCATTTATGCTAACTGCCTAGTCCCTGGTTGAACTCAATCTGTTAGGAATTTGTGATCCCTATTTTAGGCAAATCAATAAATGACAAAATTTAAAAGGGTAACACCAGAGATCAGAAGTAATCTGCAACCACAACTCTCCCAACCCTCCCTTCTTGACTTTTCATATCTATTTACTTTATTTATACCTCACTACTTCCACACACCCACATACACCTATTTCTCTAGGTAAAATTCACAATTTCAACCATTTGATTGTCACCCAACACTAAACCTAATTAAGCTCAGTGCTTTTGTTGTCTTTTATTTTTATGTATATCAATTTATGGGGTACACGTACAATTTTCCTACATGCATAGGTATCATAGGGGTCAAGTTGAAACTGCCTTTGCAAAATTATGACGGAGACAGTGAAAGAGATCTAACTTAATCGACTTCGTCTGCCTTTAACCTCCAGGCTATCTTTGTTCATTCCTGGGAGTAGGCTGAACTAACTTTGGGAGAAATTTAGTTCACAGTTTACAGTTTAAAACAAAGACTGTAACAGCCCTTTCCCAAAGCAGACCTACTTCTTGCCTGGAGACTAGATTGCCTCTATAGGACTAACATTCACCACAAGATTAGAAATTATGTTTTAGGAGTCATGCAGCTGGAGGCTATAAGATTTTGACCCTCCCTAAACTGTTCCTAAGATCAGTGCTTGAGATATTTTGCAGACCCTGCACTTGATGGATCAGCTGGCACCACCTAGATTGATAAACTGGCTCATCTGATCTTGGAGCTCCCAGACGCAGGAACTGACTCAGTGCAGGAAGACAGCTTCAACTCCCTATGATTTCATCCCTGACCAATCAGCACTCTTGGCTCACTGGCTTCCCCTCACTCACCAAGTTGTTTTTAAAAATTGTGCTTCCAGGATGCTTGGGGTGACTGATTCGAGCAATAATAAAACTCCCGTCTTCTGCATAACTGACTCTTCCTGAATTACTCTTTCTCTATTGCAATTCTTCTGTTGTGATGAATCTGCTCTGTCTAGGCAACAGGCAAGGTGAACCCCTTGGGCAGTTACAAAATAAGATCTTTTAAGGTATCAATCATTCGAATAACGTACATTGTAATCATTAACTAATTTATTATTATCTACCCTCCTGTCACCTTCTCACCCTTCCAAGTCTCCATTGTCTATTATTCCACTCTCTACATCCACTGTACACATGTTTTAGGACCCACTTATGAGAACATGTAATAATTGACTTTCTCTTTTTTTGGTGTGGGGCTGGGCTCACTCTGTCGCCCAAACTGGAATGCAGTGTCTCGGTCTCAGCTCACTGCAACCTCCACCTCCCAGGTTCAAGCGATTCTTGTGCCTCAGCCTCCTGAGTAGCTGGAATTACAAGCGTGCACCACCACTCCTGGAGATGGCGTTTCACCAGGTTGGCCAGGCTGCTCTCGAACTCTTGGCCTCAAGTGATCCACCTGCCTTGGCCTGCCAAAGTCCTGGAATTACAGGCATGATACCAGATAACTGAGTTTCTTTATCTGATTGGTTTCACATAAAATACTGACTTCCAGTTCCATCCATGTTGCTGGAAAAGACATAATTTCGTTCTTTTTTATGAGCAAATAGTATTTCATAGTGTGCATATACAACAGTTTCTTTATCAATTTAAGTGCTGATGAACACTTAGGTTGATTCTATGTCTTTGCTATTGTGAATAGTGCCCCAACAATCATGAGCACCCTTATCTTTTTGATGTATTGATTTCTGTTCCTTGGGTAGATACTCAGCAGTGGGATTGCTGGATCAAATGATAGTTCTAGTTCTAGTTCTTTGAAAACCTCCATACTATTCTCTGTAGAGGTTGTCCTAATTTACATTCCTACCAAATGTATATAAGCATTCCCTTTTCTCTTCATTCTTGCCAAAATCTGGTTTTTTTTTTTTTTTGTCTCTTTAATAATTGTCATTCTGACTGAGTTAAGTTGTATCTCATTGTGATTTTAATTTGCATTTCTCTGATTATTAGTGATGTTGAACATTTTTTATATACCTGTTAGACACTTGTATGTCTTCTTTTGAAAAATATCTGTTCACGTTCTTTGCCTACTTTCTAATGGGATTATTTGTTTTGTGTTTTGTGTTTATCATGAAGTTGTTTGACTTAAGTTTTATATTCTAGATGACAATCTCCTGTCAGATACATTGTCCACAAATATTTTCTCCCATTCCACAGGTTGTCTGTTCACTCATTGATTATTTCTTTTGCTATGCAGAAGTCTTTTATAATAATTAAGTTGCCCGTGTCTATTTTTATTTATGCTGCCTGTGCTTTTCAGGTCTTAGTTGTAAATTTACTGCCTAGACCATTGTCCAGAAGAGTTTTCCCTAGGTATTTTTCTAGCATTTTTACAGTTTCAGGTCTCATGTCTCAGACTTTATTCCATCCTGGGTTGATTTTTGTACATAGTATGAGGAGTCCAGTTTTATTTTTCTTATTTATCATCCATAGGCTATCAAATTTTCTCAGTACCATTCATTGAAAAGGCTGTCCTGTCCCCAAGTTCTGGTTGGCTGTGTCAAAGATCAGTTGGCTATAAATAGGTGGCTTTAATTCTGGGTTCCCTATTCTGTTCTAATAATCTATGTGTCTATTTTTACACTATTACTATGGTATTTTGGTTACTATAGCTCTGCAGTATAATATGAAGTCAAGTAATGTGATGTCTGTAGCTTTGTTTTTATTGATTAAGATGTTTTTGGGTTATTCAGGGTCTTTTTTGTTGCATATGAATTTTAGGATGATTTTTTTTCTAATTCTGTGAAAAATGATGTGGGGTATTTTTATAGAGATCATATTGAATCTGTGATTGTTTTGGTAGTATGGCCATTTTAATGGTCCACAATTTTTGTTTGTTTTCTTTTTTAATGTGTCCTTGTTTGGTTTGGTATCGGGGTGATATGGCCTTACAGAGTGAGTGATGCAGAATACCCTCCTTCTTATTTTTTGGAACAGTTTCAGGTGGATTAGTATTAGTTCTTCTTTGCATGTTTGGTAGAATTTGGCTGTGAATCCATCTGGTCCTCGGCTTTTCTCTATTGGAGAATTTTTATTACTGATTCAATCTCACTGCTCATTATTGATCTGTTTAATTTTCTACTTCTTTCCCACACAAGCTTGAAAAGTTGTATTTTTCCAAGAATATATCCATTTTCTCTGGATTTTCAGTTTGTGAGCATGTAGTTTATAAAAACTTCGGATGAGCTTTTGTATTTCTGTGGCATCAGTTTTCATGTCGCTTTTCTCATGTTTTAGTATGTTTATTTGGATCTTCTCTTTTCTTTATGTGGTTAGTCTAGTTAGCGGTTTATCAAGTCTGTTTATTTTTTATGAAGAATCAGCTTTTCATTTCATTTAGTCTTTGATTTAGTTTTTTAATCTCTATTTTATTTAGTTCTGCTCTTACCATTGTTAATTCTTCCATCTGCTATTTTTAGGTTTGGTTTATTTTTGCTTTCCTAATTCCTTAGGTGCATCATTATATTGCTAATTTGTAATTTTTCTACATTTTTTATATAGGCATTTAATGCTATAAAAATCCCTCTTAGCACTTCTTTTGCTGTGTCCCACTGGATTTGGTATTTTTTTTTTCATTTTCATTCATTTTAAAAAACATTGATATATTTGTCTTAATTTTTGTGGCCCAATGATCATTCAGTAGCATGCTGTTTAAATTTCATTTGTTTAGATAGTTTCCAAAGCTTCTCTTGGTATTGATTTCAAGTTTTATTCCACTGTGGTCTAAGAATATGCTTCATATAGCTTCAATTTTTAAAATTTGTTGATATTTGTTTAGTGGCCTGGCATATGGTCTATCTTAGAGAATGTTTCAAGTACTGATGAAAAGATTGTGTATTCTACAGTTGTCAGATATATCGTTCTATAAATGCTGGTTGCATCAATTTTTGATCTAAAGTCTATTTTAAGTCCAATTTTTTGTTGATTTTCTCTCTATGTGACATCTCTAATGGTCTGAATGGGCTATTAGAGTTCACTCTCCCCTATTATGGTATTTATGTCTATATTTCCGTTTAGGTCTAATACCATTAGTTGTATAAATCTGGATGCTCCATTGTGGGTGCATATAAATTTAGCATTTATATATCCTCTTGCTGGACCAATCCCTTTATCATTATATAATGACATTTTTGTCTTTTTTAATTGTTTTTGACTTAAAGTCTGTTTTATCTAATATAAGTATACATGCTATTGCTTGCTTTTTTTTTTTCCATTTTCATGAATACATTTTTCACACTTTGACTTTCTGTCTATATGTCTTTACTGGTAAAGTGAGTTTTTTATAGCAGTATATAGTTGGAGCATTTTTTATCCATTCAGCCAATCTAAATCTTTTAAGTGTAGCATATAATACACTTGCATTCAGGGTTAACATTAATATGCGAGCTTTTGTTATTGCCATATTGTTAATTTTTTTATTTGGTTTATATCTTCTTTGTTTTTTTCTTTTTTCAGTTTGTTATTGTGGTTTAGTGGAATTCTGTAGTGATGTCAAGTGATGTCATTTGATTTCTTTCTCATTCTCCATTGTGTGATTTATTTATTAGTGAGTTTTATACTGTTCTGTGTTTTCACAGTTGTGAATGCCATTCTTTCATTTCCAAGTTTAGAATTTCCTTGACCATTTCTTGTCAAACCTGTTTAGTGTTGACGAATTCTCTGAGCATTTGCTTGTCTGGGAAATACTTTAGTTCTCCTTTATGTATGAAGGTTAACCTTGCTGGATATAAAATTGTTGTTGGATAGTTTTTGCATGTGTTTTTTTTTGTTTGTTTGTTTTGTTTTGTTTTGTTTTTGTAATTTTATCATGTTCAATATGTTATCCCATTCTCTTCTAGCCTGTATGGTTTCTGCTGAAAGTCTGCTGTTAGTCTGATGAGGTTTCCTCTATAGGTGACTAAACACTCGTCTCTTGCTGATTTAAGAACTCTTTGTCTGGTTATGATATGGAGTGTGGAAATCTTTTTTGCATGGTATTTTCTGGGAATCTCCGAACCTCCTATATCTGGATGTCTAATTCTCTTGCTTTACTTGAGAAGTTTTCATCTTTGATTTTGTTAAGTACACTTTTTAAGCCGTTTTATCTCTCTTCACCCTCAGGTATACTGACAGTCCGTAAAATTGTTCACTTCATGTAGTCCCAAAGGCTTTGAAGGCTCTGTTCATTTTTTTAATGATTTCTTCTTTATTTTTGTCTGACCAGATTTTTCAAAAGACCTGCCTTTATGTTCTGAAATTCTTCCTTCTGCTTGGTCTGGTCTATTGTTGAAGCCTTCAAACATTTTGTATTTCATTCAGTGAATTTTTCAGTTCCAGAATTTGTTTGGTCTTTTATTTTAAGATATCCATCTCCTTGGTAAAATTCTCATTTATGTCCTAAATTGATTTTCTTATTTATTTGAATTGGTTTTCATATTTCTCTTGCATCTCATTGAACTTCTCTAAAATCTATATTTTGAATTCTTTATCTAGATTATGAGAATTTCTTTTGGGTTAAAATCTATTGCTAGAGGATTATCGTTTTCTTTGGGGTGTCATAGTCCCTTGTTTTTTTATATTTCCTGTTTTTTAATGTCGACTTCTGTGCCTCTGGTTAAAAAAAAAAGTCACTTATTTTTGAATTTACTTTAAACTGGGGGTGGGGTTGGGGGGGATGGGAGGCTTTTTACTGAAGTTGTGACTATGATGTTGGTTGAGTAGAGCCTTATGGCTTTGCTTCTGCATGACCAAAGCAGTGAAGTCTCTGTATGATTTCTTCAGTTACATATCATTAATGGTGTCTGTGGTTGTCTTGGTGTGTTATTGGTGAAGCCTGTGGTGAAGTGCTGGGGACTGGAATGCCAGATGTGCATGTCTTCAGATTTTAGTGATAGCAGTGGTGCGATAAGCATGTTTATCCATGTCCCCTAGGGCAGGGTATGTTGACATCTGTATTGGCTGATACAGGTATGATCTAGGAAGTTGATCCTTAGGCCTCTCAATGGCTTTCTTATATGTCAGTTTTAATAACAATGTACTGGACAGGTGAGTGGGGGCTCAAGTTCCTAGGCAGCTAGCATGGCATGGGAAATGGAAATAGCAATGGTGATGAGATGCTCTTCTGGGTTCCAAGCACTGTGCATTCATGTTTGCACAGGTTGCAATGGGCTGTTTGGGCTGGCCTGCAGGCCAGTAAGTGGTTTTCACAGGTAAAAGCTTGCTGAAGTGCTAGCAGTATTGTGATTCTACCCAACCTCTCTCCCTAAGGAGGAGTGCTTGGGTGTCGCAGGTGATGGATTGAGTTGTGGAATCCCCAGGAACCAGGATGTCATACTATGACTTAGAAGGAGTAAAGCCAGATGGAGTTGTACCAGCCATACTTGTGCTCAAGCCACCCAATGGTAAGTGCATGCATCAGCTATGGTGAGTGAGAGCAATGTGATCCTCAGCCACTGGCAGAATGCTAGGGTAAGTGTTGAGGTCCTGCCATGGGGAAGGTTGGTCTAGTCCTAGCAGCCACATCGTTGGCTGGCTGGTGGTGGACTTATGTCAAAGTCCTGGTCAGGGCTTAGTCCATTGTCCTTGCTATTGCAGCCAACCTGGCTTTTCTGTAAGACCTTGCACTTCATGCTTAGATTACAACTCAACCCCAGGCCACAGAAGCCCCCACCCAGCTCAAGACCAAGCTTCCCAGGCAACTCTTATCTTGCTCAAGTCCAAGGGGCAGTGCCCACTTCTAGGGACAGTGATTGTAACCCATACCATGCTTGCTTCTCAATGTTGATTGCAGGACTCCATCCACCAATCACACCTCAATTCTACACAAAGAAGCCTGCATTTCCCTTATGCTGAGGTCTGAAGCTACTAGTTTCCAGGACTGTCTACAATTTAAGAGTTAGGACCAAGAATGGCATCTTGCTCTACCCACTTAGACTTTAGAATGGGAGTGGGACCCACAGCATGTTTCCTCTCTGGGACAGTTTATTTTCACAGTCTCCCATCTACTCCCTAAGTTAGATTCGGGTCTTGGGAGGGTCAAGGTGCTCTCTCATGACCTGAATTCTACAATTCTCCAGTAAGAAAGTGGAACTCAGATTCACTCAACTTCTCCTGCTTCCTGGCCTGTCCTGGCCATGCAGGCTGCCTGTTTTCCCTCTTCTTCCTAGTTGTGGGTGTTTCCTGTTATTTTCTGTTGAACTTTCTTGTTTCTTCTTAGGTAATGTAATCAAAGTGGGATTGCCTACACACTACTTTGGTTCTTCTATGTGGGTGAGGCATGCTTGAAATGTTTCTAGACAGACATCTTAAAACAAAAACAAAAAACAGCACAATACTTTAATTGCTGTGGCTCTTCTGGGTAAGAAGTGAAAGAATCTTTTCATTTTTCTTACACCAGTTAGAAATAGTCAGTAATTTTACATAGAATTTGCTGAGAAATAAAGTCATAAAACAAAAAGAAAAATATATGATGGTAGAAATTGTGGCAACAAAGAACTAATTCTCCAACTTAAAATATTGCCTTATTAAATGGTTTGTTCATCCCACATCCTTCATGAACAATAACTCTTAGCCAGCACTCTGCATTAGAATAATAGAAGAATGAGATAAGCAATTTTGTTAGTGTGATGTTTAAGAGGAGATTACCATAGTCTAGGTGTAGTTTACTTTGGCCAAAATTACTTCTTACACAAAATTCCTATTTTAGCTTCAACTCTGTCTGAAAAATTCACTAGAAACCCTTTAGCTTTTCATTCCCTACTTTCTGGAGAGGTTGTCTTCCCTAGTCAGGTTCCTCAGTAAAACAAATTATAGGTAGTGGATGAAAAAAGAGAGCCCCCATCCAATTCTCATGAGCTTAAGAAGACAGGAATAAGCAACAAAAGATCTGATTTCCCACCCCCTCAACCACATCAATCATTTTCCAATGATGGTGTTTTATGCCATAGTAGTTTCTAAGAAAATATGTGAGAGAAAAAATAAATTCTAAATATCTGAATGTTTATATTATTTAATTTACTTGGTACTGTGCCACTGATATGGTTTGCCTCTGTGTCCCAACCCAAATCTCATGTCAAATTGTAATCCTCATTTGTCAAGGGAGGAGCCCTCTGGGAGGAGATTGGATAATGGGAGAGGTTTTCCCCTAGCTGTTCTCATGAGAGTGAGTTCTCACAAGATCTGATGGTTTAAAACTGTTTGGTACTTCCCCCTTCACTGTCTCTCTCATCTTGATGAGAAGACATACTTCCTTCCCCTTCACCTTCCACCATGATCACAAGTTTCCTGAGGTCTCCTAGTCATGCTTCTTGTACAGCATGCAGAATTGTGGGTCAATTATGTCTCTTTTCTTCATAAACTACCCAGTCTAAGGTAGTTATTTATAGCAGTGTGAGAATGGACTAATACAGTCATGTAGTAGCACTGGTATTTTCTAAGTTCTAGAGATAGTACAATGAAAGATAATTACCAGTCCTTGAGACTCTTTGAATTCAGTGTTGAAGATCAGGAAACCAAGTGTTATAAAGATAATTACTAATCTCTATTGGAACACAAAAGAATCATGCCAGACTCAGACTGAAAAAAAATAAGTGGATTACTGGCAGAGTGGCTGGGTCTTACAGGGTGAACCAGGTATACAAAGTTCCCCACATCATTTTGCATGCTGCAGGGAACTTTCCCACAGAAAATTCCATAGTACTAATGTCAAAAATGGAATACTAGGTTGATAGTCTTGGGTCAGACTAAAGGAGGCACTTAAAACTTTCAGGTATGCCAAGGTAAGCAGTTAATGATAAATGTAGTTTAATATACCGTTAAATCTGTATGTATCAAGCCATCAGCACCCACAGGTTAACCCTCAAGATAAATGACACATCTGAATCCTAAACTTGAAAGGTTTTAGCCAGCTAAGATATATCCAAGAAGCTGTATCAGTTAAAAACCCTCTTGCCTTTGGGCTTGGAGTACCACTATTGACACATTTACCACTCAGGTACACATGATATGACTACTAGCGAAAGACATATAATACATCTGTTTAAATATATAGGTATGTCCCTTACATAGTATCATTTATAATAGGAATAATTTTAATAGGCTGTTCCTAAGATATGAAAACATTAATGTGTTACTGTCTGTATTAGGATTTGTCAGAGAAACAGAACTAATAGGTTATATCTGTCTGTCTGTCTATGTAATCTATCTAAAAGGAGATTTATTATAAGGTATTAGCTGACAATTACAAAGGCTGACAAGTCCCCAGTCTGCTGTCTGCAAGCTGGAGACCAACGAAAGCCAGTGGTGAATTTCTGTCCAAGTGTGAAGGCCTGAGAAACAGGATAAATTGACATCTAAGTGTAGGAGAAGACTGTTGTCCCAATTCAAGTAGGCAGGCAGAAAGAAAAAAAAGGTGCATTTCTCCTTCTCTGCCTGTTCTTTGTTTATTTGTTTGTTTGTTTGTTTTATTCAGGCCTTAAATGGATTGGGTGAGGCTCACCCACCTTGGGGAGGGCAATGTTCTTTTCTGAGCCCGCTGATTCAAATGTTAATCTTGTCTGGAAACACCATCACAGACATACTCAGAACTCATGGTTAACCAGATATCTGGGTATCCCTTGACCCAGTCAAGTTGACACATTAAATAAACTGTTATGGTGCCTACAGCCAGGATAGCTGGACTGAATAAAGAGCCTCTAATCTCTGAATCTGTGCATAATGTCACCTTATAAGCAGTGGAATAAATTGTGTATCAGATAAAGTTTAGCTAAGCAGACAACTGGTTCTGCAAATAATGTTCATGGCAGACAATCTACTTATAATGCAAAACACCAATATAATAAAAAAAGTACTGTGGCCAGAATAAAATGAAGCAAACATTAATAATAATCAGGATAAACTCTGAAGGTGACTCACGTTTAATCTCCAGAGGCTATCTTCAGTGAGCTGGCTAAGCCTGTCCACCATTTAAGTCATGATTTTGAATGCTTGTCTTTTGCCAAACACATTTGTAAATAAATATATGTAGCAGTCGTGGATCCTGACTCAAGAAGCTTACAGGATAATATGACTAACATGACATATACATAGATGATTTAAATAGACAGTAGATTGTGATGGTTAATATTGAGTTCAACTTAATTGGATTGAAGGATGCAGGAATTGTTTCTGGGTCTGTCTGTGAGGGTGTTGTCGAAGGAGATTAACATCTGAGTGAATGAACTGGGAAAGGCAGACCCACCATCAATCTGAGTGGGCACAATCTAATCAGCTGCCAGTGCGGCCAGAATAAAAGCAGCCAGAAGAATGTGAAAAGACTAGACCAGCTTGGCCTCTGAGCCTACATCTTTCTCCTGGGCTGAATGCTTCCTGCCCTCAAACATCAGACTCCAAGTTCTTCAGCTTTGCTAGTCAGACTGGCTTCCTTGCTCCTCAGCTTGCAGATGGACAATTGTGGAGACTCACCTTGTGATTGTGTGAGTTAATACTCCTTAATAAACTCCCCTTTATATATACCTCTATCCTATTAATTCTGTCCCTCTAGAGAACCCTAACTAATACGAATTTTGGTACCAGGAGTGGTTCTAGAGAAATAGAATATTAAGGATGGAGTTCTTTCATTGGTTTTGGGGTTTCTGGAGTTGGCTGATTAATATGACTGGACCCCAAAATGCTAAGGACTCTACTTCTAATGGTATGGAAAACTCTGACCATCCTTGGCGTGAACTGTTTAGAGAGTTATGCAAAATAAATGCATTTGATATTCCCTATTCACCGCTTGTGAGAGGAATGGAGTTTAATGACTCTATGCATAATACCTTTGACCATATATGGAGAACCAAGGAATATGATGAAGCTGGTTGGTTGCTCCTAAGTTCATTGGACAAAGCGATGAAAGAAAATGATGAACTCAGGGATTCTAATTCACAGATTCAGAAGCAGATACTGAGCCTTCAATCTTCTAAGATCATCCTGAGTGAGACTCTTATCTCCTATAGAGAAAGAGCTGAAATTGTGGAAAATAGAACACAAGCTCTTATCTTGGGAGTGGCTGACCTGCAATGAAACATGCATGCACAGCCTCACCAGGTGTCTACTGTTTAAGTGAGGCCATTGATTAGAACAGAATGGGACCCTGCAACTTGGAATGGGGATGTATGGGATGACCCTGATGAAGCTGGGGACACTGAGCTTATAATGTCTGATGAGACATTTTTGTCAGAAGAAACACCTTCCCCATCCCAAGCAGAAACAGCTTCCCCACACCCCTCCCTGACCCATGCTGCTATCAACCTTTCCACCTTTGTCTGAAAAGATAAACCCTGTGCTGCCTGAGGCAACAGTGATGGCCTCCCCTGAGGCAGTTGCTAGGCAAGAGGAAGGTGATTATCCTCAAGAGCCACCCCCAACAATGCTGTTTGCTTCTAGAGCTATAACTGAAGTCCCAGCTGGCCCCTAGAGGTGAGGTTCAGAGTGTGATCCATGAGGAGGTATGCTACACTCCAAAAGAATTGCTTGTGTTTTCTGATTTATATAAGCAGAAATCTGGAGAACAGGCATGGGAATGGATATTAAGGGTGTGGGATAATAATGGAAGGAACATAGAGTTGGATTGGTCTGAATTTATTGATTTGGGCTGAATTTATTAATTTCTCAAGCAGGGATTCTGCATTTAATATTGTAGCTCGATGAGTTAAAAAAAGGTTCTAATCGTTTATTTGCTTAGTTAGCTGAAACATGGATTAAAAGATGGCCCACTGTGAGAAAGCTGGAAATGCCTGATCTCCCTTTGTTTAATGTAGAGGAAGGATCCAAAGGCTTAGGGAGATTGCGGTGCTGGAGTGGATTAGTCACTTTAGACTTATTCATCCCAGCTGGGAGGGTCCAGAAGACATACCCTTGACCAATGCTTTGCGAAATAGATTTGTGAGGGGAGCACCTGCATCTTTGAAGAGCTCTGTGATTGCTCTTCTCTGTATGCCAGATCTAACAGAGGGAACTGTGGTTACTCAACTACAAAATTTAAATTCAGTGGGAATAATTGGATCCCAAGGTGGTAGGGGCCAAGTGGCAGCACTCAGCCTTCAAAGGCAAGGTGGGCAGCAGAGGCAAAGCAGCAATCAGAATAGTCTGACTCTTGTAGAGCTCTGACATTGGCTTATTAATCACGGTGTTCCTAGAAGTAAAATTGATAGGAAAACTACTGCATTCTTACTTAATTTATATAAGCAGAAAACTTCAGGTCAAGTGGAAAAAAGACTTATTTGAATTATAAAAACAGAGAATCATGGCCCCTCAATCAATTTCCAGACTTGAGCCAGTTTTCAGACCCAGAACCCCTGGAATGAAGGAGAGGCTGGGTCCCCTTGAGAAAGAACCACACTATACTACCGACAATTTATCCTGTTAATCTTTCTCTGATCCTTCCCCAAGGAGACCTCTGGCATTTTACCAGGGTAACTGTGCACTGGGGAAAGGGAAATGATCAGACATTTTGGAGATTACTGGACACTGGCTCTGAGCTGATGTTGATTCCAGGGAACCCAAAACACTAATGTGGTCCTCCAGTTAAAGTCTTGTTGAGGTCAGGTAATTAATGGAGTTTTAGCTCAGGCCTGACTTACAGTGGGTCCAGGGGGTCCCCAGACTCATCCTGTGGTCATTTCCCCAGTGTCAGAATGTGTGATTGGCAGAGACATACTTAGCAGCTGGCAGAACCCCCACATTGGCTCCCTGACTGGTAGGGTGAGGGCTATTACGGTGGGAAAGGCCAAATGGAAACCATTAGAGCTGTCTCCACCTAGAAAAATAGTAAATAAAAACCAATATGGCATCTCTGGAGGGACTGTGGAGATTAGTGCCACCATGGAGGATTTTAAAGATGCAGCGGTGGTGATACCCACCATATCCCTGTTCAACTCTCCTATTTTGCCTATGCAGAAGGCATAGGATCTTGAGGAATGACAGTAGATTATTGCAAGCTTAACCAAGTGGTGACTACAATTGCAGCTGCTATACCAGATGTAGTTTCATTGCTTCAGCAAATTAACACATCTCCTGGTATCTGGTATGCAGCCATTGATTTGGCAAATGCCTTTTTCTCCATTCCTGTCCATAAGGCCTCCCCAAGGAGCAATTTGCCTTCAGCTGGCAAGGCCAGAAATATACTTTTACTGTCCTACCTCAGAGTATATCAACTCTCTTTTTGTCATAATCTTGTTCAAAGAGACTTTGATCATGTTTTGCTTCCACAAGGTATCGCACTGGTCCATTACATTGATGACATTATGCTGATTGGATCCAGTGAGTGAGAAGTAGCAAACACAGTGGACTTATTGGTGAGACTTTTGCATGCCAGAGGATGGAAAGTAAATTCAACTACAATTCAGGGACCTTCTACCTCAGTAAAATTTCTAGGAGTCCAGTAGCATGCAGCCTGTCAAAATATTCCTTCTAAGGTGAAGGATAAGATGCTGCATTTGGCCCCTCCTACAATCAAGAAAGAGGCACAATGCCTAGTGGCCCTATTTGGATTTTGGAGGCGAAACATTTCTCATTTGGGTGTGTTACTCCAGCCCATTTATTGAGTAACCTAAAAAGGTGCCAGTTTTGAGTGGAGTCCAGAACAGGAGAAGGCTCTGCAACAGGTCCAGACTGCTGTGCAAGCTGCTCTGCCACTTGGGCCATATGACCCATCAGATCCAATGGTGTTTGAGGTGTCAGTGGCAGATGGGAATGCTGTTTGGAGCCTTTGGCAGGCCCCCATAGGTGAATTACAGTGGAGGACTCTAGAATTTTGGAGCAAGGCCTTGCCATCTTCTGCAGATAACTACTCTCCTTTTGGGAGACAGCTCTTGGCCTGTTACTGGGCTTTGGTGGAAACTGAACATTTGACTGTGGATCATCAAGTCACCAGTGACCTGAACTGCCTATCATGAACTGGGTGCTTTCTGACCCATATAGCCATAAAGGGGCTGTGCACAGCAGCATTTCAGCCTCAAATGGAAGTGGTATATACGTGACTGGGCTTGAGGAGGTCCTGAAGGCACAAGTGAGTTACCTGAGGAAGTGGCTCAAATGCTCATGGTCTCCACTCCTGCCACCCTGCCTTCTCTCCCCAGGCCTGTACCAATGGCCTCATGGGGATTTCCCTATGATCAGTTGACAGAGAAAAAGAAGGCTGGGGCCTGGTTCACAGATGGTTCTGCACAATATGCAGGCACCACCCAAAAATGGATAGCTGCAGCACTACAGCCACTTTCTACAACACCTCTGAAGGACAGCAGTGAATGGGGAATCTTCCTAGTGGGCAGAACTTCCAGCAGTGAGCCTGGTTGTACGCTTTTCATGGAAGGAGAAATGGCCAGATGTGCAATTATATACTGATTAATGGGCTATTGCCAATGGTTTGGCTGGATGGTCAGAGACTTGGAGGAAGTATGACTGGAAAATTGGTGACAAAGAAATTTTGGGAAGACGTATGTGGATGGACCTTTCTGAGTGGTTAAGAACTGTGAAGATATGTATATCCCATGTGAGTGCTCACCGGTGGGTAACCTCAGCAGAGGAGGATTTTAATAAGCAAATTGATAGGATGATTCATTCTATGGACACCACTCAGCCTCTTTCCCGAGCCACCCCTGTCAGCTCCCAATGGGCCCAGTGGCCATGGTGGCAGGCATGGAGGTTACACATGGGCTCAGCAACATGGACTTCCACTCACTAAGGCTGACCTGGCTATGGCCACTGCTGAGTGCCCAATTTGCCAGCAGCAGAGAGCAACACTGAGCCCTCAATGTGACACCATTCCTCTGGGTGATCAGACAGCTACCTGGTGGCAGGTTGATTATATTGGACTTCTTCCATCATGGAAATGGCAGCTGTTTGTCCTCACTGGGACAGACAATTAGTCTGGATATGGGTTTTCCTATCCTCTATGCAATGCTTCTGCCAAGACTACCATCCGTGGACCCATAGGAAGCCTTATCCTCCATTATTGTATTCCACACAGCATTCCCTCTGACGAAGGCACTCACTTAATGGCTAAAGAAGTGCAGCAGTGGGCTCATGTTCATGGAACTCACTGGTCTTACCATGTTCCCCGTTATCCTGAAGCAGCTGGAATGATAGAACAGTGGAATGACCTTTTGATGTCATAGTTACAGCACCAATTAGGTGACAACACTTTGCAGAGCTGAGGCAAAGTTCTCCAGAAGGCTATGTATGCTCTGAATTAGCACCCAATATATGGTACTGTTTCTCCTATAGCCAGGATTCACGGGTCCAGGAGTCAAGGGGTGAAAGTAGAAGTGGAAGCGGTACCACTCACCATAATTGCTAGTGATCCACTACGAAAATTTTTGTTTCCTGTCCCCAGGACATTATGTTCTGCTGGTCTAGAGGTCTTAGTTCTTGAGGGAGGAATGCTGTCACCGGGGGACACAACAATGATTCCATTAAACTGGAAGTTAGGATTGCCACCTGGACACTTTGGTCTCCCCCTACCTTTAAGTCAACAGGCTAAAAAGGGAGTTACAGTGTTGGTTAAGTTGATTGACCCAGACTACCAAAATGAAATCAGTCTACTACTCTACAATGTAGGCAAGGAGAGTTGCTTGGAATACAGGAGATCCATTAGGAAATCTCTTAATATTACCATGCCCTGTGATTAAGGGCAGTGGGAAACTAAAACAGTCCAATTCAGACAGGACTACAAATGGTCCAGACCCTTCAGGAATGAAGGTTTGGGTCACTCCATCAGTTAAAAAAAAACATGACCTGCTGAGGTACTTATTGAAGGCAAAGGGAATGCAGAAAGTAGAAGAAGGTAGTCATTAATACCAGCTACAAACATGTGATCAGTTGCAGAAAAAAGGACTGTAATTGTCATAACTATTTCCTTCTTATTTTGTTATGAATATGTTTGTGCATGTATACACTTGTACTAAGAAAATATCTTCATTTGATTTCCTTTTTCCTTTATCATGTGACATAAGATTTACTGACTTCATATCAGCATTTAAGTGTTGTTAACTTTATGTAATAGCATTTGGGTTGGGAATTTGTGCATTTCCAGTTATGCAAAGGATAGTTGTATTATGTTAGGGATAATTATGATCTTATTATTATCTTTATTTGAAGATTATGTATGATTTCAGAAGATGTGTATGGGTTCAAGTGAACAAGGAGTGAACTTGTGATTGTTAATACTGGGTGTCAATTTAATTGGATTGAAGGATGCAAAGTATTATTGCTGGGTGTGTCTCTGAGGGTGTTGCTGAAGGAGATTAACATTTGAGTCAGTGGACTGGGTAAGGTAGACCCACCATCAATCTGGGTGGGCACTTGTGATTGTTAATACTGGGTGTCAATTTAATTGGATTGAAGGATGCAAAGTATTGTTGCCGGATGTGTCTCTGAGGGTGTTGCTGAAGGAGATTAACATTTGAGTCAGTGGACTGGGTAAGGCAGACCCACCATCAATCTGGGTGGGCACAATTTAATCAGCTGCTAGTGTGGCCAGAATGAAAGCAGGCAGAAGAACGTGAAAACACTAGACTGGTTTCGCCTCTGAGCCTACATCTTTTTCCCATGCTGGATGCTTCCTGTCCTCGAACATCAAACACCAAGTTTTTCAGCTTTGGGAGTTGGACTGGCTTCCTTGCTCCTCAGCTCGCAGATGGCCTATTGTGGAACCTCACCTTGTGATCATGAGTTAATACTCCTTAATAAACTTCTTTTTATATATACATCTATCCTATTAATTTAGTCCCTCTAGAGAACCCTGACTAATATATAGATCATAGTAAGTGTCACAGCACATATGTACTGTTATGGGAGGTGTTGTGAAGGAAGAAAGATTTTTTCCAGATGACACATCTAGAAAGACTTCTTAATGAAAGTTTATTTTTTTTTTGCTGCACTCCAGACTTGCATATCCACCTGGCTTCTGATATTTTCTACTTTTATGTCCCATTATGCTCAAAATAGAATCCAGCACATTTTGCCCCAAATTTGTTTCTTTTTTCAAGTACCCAGCTAACTCAATGACACCATCCATCAAACCCACCAAGCTAATGTCCTGGCAGTCATAATGAATCTCTCTCTCTCTCTCTTTCTCTCTCTCTCACACATGCCACCATTGCATTTCATCAGTCGTTTAGTCCTGTGCATACTATGTGTTTAATATTTTTGGAGTCACTCCTTTCCATTTGCACACCCAGTATTGTAATAATGTTCTGATTATTGCTCTTATAGATTCCTGCAATGGTCTTTAATTAGTTTTAGAAGTCTAATCTGCCATTTCTCTGCTTAAAATCCCACAAAAACTGCGTATTTCAAGATAAAGTTAAAACTCTTCAGGTCCCTTATAATCTAGCACCTCCTAAAGTACCTGTTGTATAGTAGGCACTCAATATTTTTAAAATAATAATTGAATAAATGGACTATTGGACAGACTGGATAGATTTTAACCTAGAAATAAGAGGACATTTGGACATGCTGATGGAGTAAATAGAATTCCAACTAGAGAGAATGTGCTCAGAGGATCTGACCTAGGGGACTAATTGAAAGAACTTAGGGCACTATGTCCAGGGACACTTTCTGTCCTTGATAGCCTATTTCCAATGAGAGCAGGAAAATAATTTCAAAAATACCATTGCACCCTCTCCAGAGATAAACAAGCAAGGTCAAGATATAATTAGAAACCACTTACAATCATGCAGAAAAATAATGGTAGTGGAACTGACTTGATTCATTGTTCTTACTTGCTTAAGAAAAAGATGAAAGAGAACAAGAGAAGGATGATGAAGAACAGAGTGAGAGAGAGAGAGAGCAAAGAAAAAGGGTGGGAGGAAAGGAGGAAGGAAATAAAAAAAGAAAATCTTATCTTTTATAAAGTTGCTTTCTGTTTTTCATATTCCAAATACATTAGAAAAATATAGACTGAAACTGTTCAGCCCAATGCTAAATTTTAATTGAAATTAACTGAAATTTAATTCTCATGAGATATCATCTTAGACAGAAAACTTGTTTAAAAATATTTTTTTAGAGTTGGGTGTGGTGGCTCACACCTATAATCCCAGCAACTTAGGAGGCTGGGAGGCAGGAGGGTCTCTTGAACCATAAAGTTTGAGGCTGCAGTGGGCAAGATTGTACCACTGCACTGTATCCAAGGTGACGGAGCAAGATCCTGACTCAACAAAATAAAATAAAATAAAATAAAATAAAATAAAATAAACCCTCTCTCTTATACTATGAGTAAAATAGTAAAATATACCTTTAAAATAATTTTATATCTTGAATTCATATACCTGTATATATAATCTCATGAAATTAAAAAAAAAAAAAAACCAGGCTAGTATTCTGTTCACCGAATCTGTGTATGTCGCCAAAAGTTCTAAAATGAAGGTTGAAGAGTTAGATGTAATTCTTCAAACTAGCCAATTTTATACTTTACTATTTGAAGTCAGGAAAAGGGATGATCCAGGGTAATGCTAGGTCCTTCTGCTACCAAACTTAGACCTTGATCTAGAAAAGCCACTCTTAACCATTTTGTATATTGAGACTATGCAAAATATTTTATCTTTAAAACAATTTCAATGAGGCCGGGAGCTGTGGCTCACCCCTGTAATCTCAGTACCTTGGGAGGCCGAGGCGGGCAGATCATTTGAGGTTAGGAGTTAGAGACCAGCCCGGCCAACATGATGAAACCCCATCTTCACTAAAAACATGAAAATTAGCTGGGTGTGGGGGCGGGCACCTGTAATCCCAGCAACCCGGGAGGCTGAGGTAGGAAAATCACTTGAGCCCGGGAGGTGGAGTTTGCAGTGAGCCGAGACTGTGCCACTATACTCCAGTATGGGCGACAAAACAAGACTGTCTCAAAAAAAAAAAAAAAAAAAAAAAAATCCAATGCAAATAACAAACAAGAGTTTTAAAAATATGGCTAAGTTTTCCCTTTTGCTTATTCCTCTTTTCTCAAACTTTTGAGGTAGGGGAAGGAATATTCCAGAAGTATAATACTAAACCTATTTTTAAATATATGTTACTCATAGAACTATTAACAATTTTTGTGAAATAATTAATTGGTCTCCAAAAAAATGGTAAATTATCTCTACTTATTAGAGATAGTTACTGTCTCTAAATAAGATATTAAGTAAATAATATGTACTTATTATTTCTAACTCTTGAATTTCCATTACTCCCACAGTAGAGAAGACTCTGGAGGCTCTCACTTATCCTATAGATACTCTGATAACCTTTCAAATTACTTTCCTGGTGGTGACCAGAAAATTAAGCTTTCCTCAAGAGGCCACTTTTCTCCCCATATTTATGCGCATTACAATTGCAAAGATGTCTTTTCCACCAGGGACATTTATTTACTGACTTATTTAATGCAATGTGTCAGCAAAAAACAAAAAGAGTTCACATATTTTGTGGTTACATCTTGGCTATAGTAATGTTGTGTTTGTTGTAATTGATGTTGTTGCTTTGGTTTGTTTTCTTAACCTTTATCATTTTTATTCTGGTCAAAATAATACATTTTCTCATTTATACAATCAAATTGTCCTGAGAGGCTCATAATGAAAAGCAGCAGTTCAAGTGATAGACCTCCAACTCCCTCACCAGTGAAAATTGCACTCAATTGCTCAGGCTCTTCTGATATTTATCTTCCCTTTTCTCAATAATCTACTGATTTCTTGATTTTTGTCAATTTAGAAATTATTAGCAACCCCCTGTGTAAATATGAGGATTTAATTATGTTATACACTGCACATCTAGTATAGTTAGATGACTGTTTTTAGAAATGTCAATGTTTATATGAAGATGATATATATATAAATTATTATATATATTGTGTATATAAATCATTATATATTATATATAAATTATTATATATTATATATAAACTATATCTAATATATAAATTATTATTCACAGAAATGAAAAGTAATGCTAAATATCTATATAAATAACTTTAATTTTTTCCTACACTCCATCAGATACCATTTACCTCTCCTCTGACTCCATTTTTCAACCAAATACTACATTATATTAGATCTTTCATTGTGTTTCTTTTCCATCATGGAAACCTTTTCCCAGATCATACCCAACTGGTCCCTGGGCCTTCTGTGAGCTGCCTTCCAAAGACTTCTCCTTAACTTCCTCCTGAGATGGATAACTTGTTTCTCAGACACCATAATTTCTCTTTCTTTATTCTCTAGTTTACTTGCTAGTTTCCTGAAGCATTTATTTAAAAAGTGAATGAAAATGAAAGTTTTTGTGATCTGACATGAATATGATTTCATTCTATAATTACACTTGACTGATTTTTTCGAGTATGAAATCCTAGGTTGAAGATAATTTTCCATCAGAATTTCTGTTTTCTTTGTCTTCTATTCTCTATTTCCAGATGTCACATTAATAAGATACTGAACTTTCTAGGTAGATCTTCTGGGTCTACCTGTCTTTGCCTCATCTTTTCTCCAACACTACACTTTGGGTCTATATTGTAAATGATTTATTTGCCCTCATCTTTCAATTCTTCCATTGATTTTCTATTGTACTCTTCATTTCCAAGAGCTATTTATTTTTAATTTGCAGGTGCTTTTCTGTTTTTTTTTTTTTTAACTTATGCAACATTTTCTTCTATCTCTCCTAGTATATCTATTATAGCTAGGTTTTTATTTGTGAACTTAAGGGTGCCCTGGGAAGAAGCAGACAATTTTATTCTTATTTTACTGTTTTATTTTATTTATTTATTTTGAAATGGAGTCTCTCTCTGTGGCCCAGGCTGCAGTGCAGTGACACAATCTCTGCTCTGCCTCTGAGGTTCAAGTGATTCTCATGCCTCAACATTATGAGTAGCTGGGATTACAGGTGTGTGCCACTATGTCTGACTAATTTTTTTTTTTTCATCTTCTTAGTAGAGATGGGGTTTCACCATATTGGCCAGGCTGTTTTCAAACTCCTGACTTCAAGTGATCCTCCTACCTCAGCCTTCCAAAGTGCTGGAATTACAGGCGTGAGCCACCGTGCCCAGCCCCAGCAGACCATTTTCTAAGGAAATGGCTGTATATGATGATATTTTCCCCAGCACTGTTTACTTTCTCTAGAGAAGTAAATCCTAGTTTTGCCTGAGGATTTATATTTACTACCAATGTGTTCTGTCCACAAACTGGGGAAGACAGACATTTAAAATTACTTCCTGGCCCAGCTCCCAAACTCCTGCTTGGTAAGGGTAAAAAAAGAGCCCTGGCTGCTGGTGACAGGGCCACATCACTGCTCAGGGTTGTGCCTTTTGCCCAGTGCCCATGTTGTTTCCATCCAGTACCTCATCTTCACCCTTCACCATGTTCTCCTCTTGTTTGTATATTTCACTAGGCACAGTTTAAGCCCTAGCTTAATCTTGCTGTCTTCAACTTTTTTGTGTTGCAACTTCCACAAATTGATGGATATCTCTAATTTATCCCTATTTTCTATCTTCTCTTTGTTCTCGAAAATACACACACATACACATGCACACACACACACACACAGAGAGAGAGAGAGAGAGAGAATCATTTTAGTTTTCCCTTAGGAAAAGATGAGATCAATGTATATGATCTTCTTACAATCAGAAATTTCTTTGCTGTGTTTCAAGTTTATGAAAAGTATTTCTTTTAATTCTTGTTAAACTACTGTATCTCTCTAACCCAATTACATACTTGTTCCAACTCAATAAAATACCAGAGAAAAATTTTTCTAAGAGACATTTAACATTTTTCCTATTGATAACCAAATTTATTTTCATTGCCTATTTTTAGTTATTGAACTCTGTTTCATTATAATATTAAAACTTTAAACATGTCCCTTTCAATACACATGGCAATACAATGCCTTAAATGGAGAAAGGATTATAGTAATTTATAATGATCAACCAGGTATCATCTGTTATAGTGAGTATTTCTAAAACAACATCAATTAGGGGCTTGATGACCCCCACTTTACAGGAGGCTTTCTTTGAACACAAAAATTTTTCCTAAATTACTAAAACTTATAGTCTGGAGTGTGCAATGAAATTATAACACAGTAGTTTGATATTAGCATTTATTGTTGTGTTTGAAATGTACACGCATGATAGGTTTTAAACTGCTATTTGTACTCGGATAGCTGAGGCTCTGTATGAACTCAGCTGTCCTCACTAATAGAGAGCACCTAGGAGCCATCTCTCAGGGACAGTCTGAGGCAAGAGATTACACATTTAGGCAATGTGGCTTATATTATTTCTGCCAAAGCCTCCTAGGAAATGTTGTTCCTTGCCTGAATACACAAGAAAGTACATACTCTTCAGGAACTGGCAAGCTACCAGAACAAATTCATCCCCCTTTTGTCTGTTGTCAGTGTACACCTCATCCTTCCTGGCATGTTGAAAAACAGTAGGGCTTTACTCTCCCCTCTGGCTAGGGTTCATTCGGGTTCATTCTCTTGTTTCCCCCACTCCGTTTATTAAGAATAGCATATATCACTAAAACATACTTTAGTTTTACTCATTGCATCAGTGAGTGTCCAGTTAAGAAAAATGGAGACCAACCCAGCTATTTTAATGATAACGAAAGTCGTAATACAGAGAATTGTTTAAATAAGTATTGAAGGATTGAAAGGGAGAGAACATAAAGCTAACACAGAAATAGTAACTATGGAAACTGCTACTATCTTTAAGACTGTTGAAATGATGAAGGTTACTGTAATTTAGAAGCTTGAAGCCTTTATTGAGCTGGGTCTCAGATCCCTGAGAAGGGACCACATCACTGCTACTTTTGATACTCAGGAGTTCTGAGGAGCACTCCTTTCCCCAAGCTGGGACTCAGTCTCCTGAGGAGGACCTGAGGCCTGGCTGCTGAGCTGAAGATTAAAACTAACTGCTGCTACTGAATCCAATAGCTGCAGCCAGGGTGGAAAACAATAGTTGGAGTAATGGAAACAGGAATAGGAATCAAACAAAAAAGAAGTCTCTTCTCTCTCTCCTTTCTTCCAATCTCCTTTTGATGTTCCCTCCAGTGAAGCCCAATAGAGAGCAACCTGACCAAGAAGAAAAGTAGTCTGCAGACTCCCAGTATCACAAAGCAAAGTATGGAAGGGTGAGCTTAGAGCAGACAGGCAAGAGCTTAATAACCATCAAATCTACAACCGTGTAAAAACTCCTCTTTCAGGACAAAGGGAACTGACTTCTAGTATAACTACTAGAAGTAGTTACCTACGCAATAAGTCCTTAAAAAGACTAATGCATAATTTCAGTCTTATACTAAACTTTACAAACACTATACTCATGCCCTCCAAATTTGGGCAATTCAAGACATTTTCTTTGCCTTACTAATTTAAAAAATCCAGGGTAATGCTAGAAATGATTTCAATGGCTCCATTATCAGACTGATGAATTACTGAACAATGATTATGGTCTCCCACTCTCATTCTCAGGTGAGCAGAGCCACGGTCCTAGTTCTTTGTGTTCTACTCAATTCCTACAGATGGTTGCTACCTTACTTACCCTCTGGACTGAGTTTTCTTCAGCATACTAAGTATACACAAAGTATTACTTGCATTACTTGAGATCTTTAAAGAGAAATTTTTTTAGGTTCTTTCAAAGAGTTCAAAGCAAAAGTAATCTATTTTGTGCTTCCTTTGGCTCAAGTCTTCTCAAGAAGGACTTTTGCCTTCCATTTGTTTACCAATTTCTACTTTTATTCTTCTGCCTTTCTAACATGATGCAAATTTTCTTCAAGATACTGATGTAGTCAGGTTAAAACTACATTTTCAGCCTTTTCTTTTCAATGAAGAATCGTTATGTGTCATCATTTGAAGGCAGATATCTGATTTCCTGTGCTAGTCCAGGAAATATTTTCTTACTTTCCTCTTTTTTTTAGGTTCCTGCCTGGAACACAAATGGAAGGCTGGAGCTAGAGCTTCCATCTTATAATGGTGAGATGAGCAGGAGAGAGAAACTGGTATTGAAAAAAAAAATTAAAGAGTAAGAAGATGGAAAAAACATGTCTGCCCTGGACAACCAACATTTGTTGCCGTGTGATAAAAATAAGCTTCCATACTTCTTTGATAGGAAACTTGAACCTTCATAATTGATACACCATCAAAAATATTGCATCAATATTATTCTAATTCAACCATTTATAGTGGAACTTCTACTGTGTGTAAAGTACTACCCTTAGCAATATAGATATTACAAGATGAAAAATAACTACAAGAGTTTACTGACCTTAGGGACCATATAATATACTGGAGAAAGCAAACATATAAAAATACAATTACGATAAAATGTTTATTACCAAAACACACGTATCGTTTTTGTAGTTTTGGCCCCTTGAGGTCCTGAATGGTTACAGTCTATGCTAGGTCCCAAATTCCCTGGAGGGTTTGATGGTGGCATAATGCCTGCCACACCTGGGGAAAGGTAGGCATTTATCTACTGGCCAATCCCAATCCAGAAACATTTAAACAAAGGACTTAAAAAAATCATTCCAAGCTAGCTAAGCTTATATGGCATAAAACCATGATGCCCAGTTAATAAGTAATGGAGCTGGGATTCAGACCCGGTCAGTCTGTTTCCAACTCTGTACTTCCAAATATACTACTACATTATTACTCACATGGCTATTGCAAGGGAAGACCCTTGCCTGGTTATGATGTCATATTTTTCTTGTGAGTTCTCAGTATCTTATGTTCATCTGCCCATAAACAGAGCAACATTTACAAATAAAAGAGGATTTATTCTGCTTTTGCTCCAAGAATATAGCTTAAGATTTTTTCTCCATGTCCAACATGAACAGATCAAATGAATAGCAAATATACAAAAACTCCAACATATTGATGGGGGAAAGGTGAAGGTAGTATGTTTTAAGATAAAAGACAGTGCGGGTTATAGCTCTGATAAATAGATAATGAAATACAGGATTACAGAGAGCTGATACAAGGCTAGAGAATAAAAACTAGAGAATAAAATATTAACCAAACCAGATGTAACTTCAAACACCAACTACTTAATCATAAATTCCAGTGTAGTCCCATATCTGGTTGAGGGCTCCTGCAACACAAATGGAAATTAAATGCTTGCTATAATCGAGATATAAGCTGTGGGGCATGGAAGAGAAAGTAACTTATCCTGAATGAGAGGTCAGCTTCAAGAAGCAAAACGCATTCGAGTCTAGCCTTTGAGCACAGGTAAGATTTAAACAGAGAAGATACGTGTATTGAGGCAGTCAAAAGATAAACTGGCCTTGAAGCATTCAGCAAAATATTTATACTTTCAATGTTCCATGCACTGTGCTAAAAATGAGATTAGTAGTACAGAAAAGAAAAGACAGGTTCACGCAACAGATGATACTTGTATGGGTTTGTAATGTAGGGTGGCAAGCATGAAATAGAAGCAGATGAGTTTGGAAACATAAAGTGACATCAGATTATGGTTAATGGATTTTCTAGTCAATGCAAACATTTTCTCTTTCGTGGGTTGAATTCAAAAAATAAAATGTGTAAAGATTTTTGAAAGTTCACAATAAGCCAAGTAACACTGTATAACAGAAGAAAACTGCCACTGCCAAACCCTTTTCTTTCTTTAGAAATGCACTTGTATGCAGCAATGCATCTATAATATGAACCATTCCTATTTCCATTGAAATAAGGAGAGAAGCACCACCTTTTATGAAATTTATAGTTTAAAATTCGATAAATACAATGATCACAATATTACATGTTCTCTCTTAGCCAAAAAGCAAAGCCAAAGTTTTGTCTGCAAGATTGGCTTATATTTTATTTATTGGAAAACACATTGACTTCTCCCATTCCCAAACTTCTATGGTATTAAATACTATTCAGCTCATTGCTCAATCTTTCTGGAGTCTTCTCTGTTTTCTTTTTCTATGCATTTCACTTACTTATGGAATTTAACTTTCATAAAATTATAGTAAACGGTTCCCGTTGACTGCATTCTGAACATGCACAGCTACATTTTAGGGGTCTGTATGTCATGGTTCATACGGTCTATAGTTTATTGTTGTTCTTTGATTCCAGTACTAATTATGTTTTGTAAGTCCTGACTGAGGGTGGCTTGCAGAAGCAAATGACCAATAATGTGTGATAAAAGCACTGGGGAGAAACACTGAGCAATTTCAATTGAGGGCTTGACTTGGCTGGTCCCATTCTTACAGAGAGAACAGCAGAATTTGAGAAACACTGGCTACTATGTTTACTTTACTTCCATTTTTAACCCTCCTGGACCAAAGTTATAGAGGAGAAATATTCGAAGAGAGTGTAGGGGTAAAGAAGTGAAATAAGTTAGAAATTGTTTATGGTTCTCACATGTACCCTAAAAAATATGCTTCTATAAGCTAGCAGAGATGTCATATCAGTGAAGTCTCATCTATAGAGTTATTCTTTTTGAATTAAGACAATATGCAAAGTATAAAAATGTATTATACAATAAGGTAACACTTGCACTTATTATATTAGAATATATTCTTTTATTCAACTTAGAGAATGGGGACTTAAGGAGAGGACAAATATCAGACAGAAGTTTGGGGCAGGGGTGATGGAAGGAAGGGATATATGTCCAGAGCATGAGAAGGGGCCAGAGTTGAGATTCAGGGTTAATAGGACTGTGGGAATTTTGGAAAGTCAGCGAGGTCAGAGTAATAAATGTGGACCTAATGTTTCCCTATTTGTTCTTTAGTCTAATGATGTAATAGTAAGAGACATGTTTCTGGAGTCAAATTTGGATTGGTATGTAGTCTCTGGAAGGGACTTACTAGCTGTGTGACAATGGAGAACTGACACCATGATTTCTACTTCCTGGGATCCATGCATATATAATCCCCTCTCTTTTAATGTGGGAGGGGACAATGGCTTGCTTCTAATCAAGGTAATATAATAAAGGTGATGGGATGTACTTCCATGAGAGCATTACTAAGATTGTATCCCATCTTGCTAGGAGAATACCTCTCCCTTCCAGGATTTGAAGAAGCAAGTGGTCTTGTTAGAAAGGCCCACATGGCGAGGAAGTGAGGGTGACTGCTGTCCAACAGCAAGAAAATGAGATCCTCGGCTCACCTAGCCATGAAGGGCTGAATGCTGACATCAGCCACATAAGCTTGGAAGTGGATTATCCCAGAGTTGAGTCTCTGATGAGACTGCAGCACCAGCCAACACCTTTATTTCAGCCTAGTGAGGCCCTGAAGGAGGGGATTCACTAAGCTATGCCCTGACTTTTGAGTCACAGAAGTTGTGAGTTAATAAATGTGTGTTGTTTTCAGCTGTTAAGCATGTGGTTAATATTGTTATATGCAGCAATAGAAAAACAGTGATCTTGTGGTATGTTACTTAACATCTCTAAGCCAAAGGATTTTTTCATCTCCTTATAATGTTCCTCAGTGTAGGCTATTTGCATATCATCAAAGTGAGGTCCATTTAAAAAAATCTACACATTACTAACACCATGAGGTTCAAGATTGCAGCTCTCTGACTCAAGTTCACGAAGAATAAAGTACACTGGATTCAGAGTACCATTTTTTCAAGTGTTTCTCAGAATACTAATTTTACCGGATATTTATACTTGTTACAAGAAAAGTGTGTCTAGTGAAAAGTAAGTTTTAAAAAAGCAGGCTAGCTACAGTTAATTGGATTCCTTTATTTCAGCTTTTCAGATTCTCTAGTGTGCATTGAGAATATCTGAAAGGGGATGGAAACTAAGAACTTGACCAAAAATAGTCTGAGAAAGTACTCAATGAAAAGACATTAATTTCCTAAGGAAACCATTTGGCATCTGTTTCAACAGAAAGATAAATGGGTGACCTAGGTCCCCAAAGCTTACTATATAGAACACATCTACAGAAATTTCAGAATTTGTGTAATGCAAAAAAATTTCTCTACATTAATGTCGACCATCCTTAACTGCTCCCAAGGCTGAGCACACTAACAAAGCTATAATACCAACCTGATGCTACCAAGGAAAGCGGTCCCAGGATACAATTTCAAAGCCACAATTTTAGTTGCACATAGCTGACGTAGCACTTAATGTAAAAGGTGGAGCCTTGAATGTCACCTCTCACATCCCAGGACTAGCCACTCCATTCTTCTAAAACTGCCTGGGACATCTAACAATGGTGGGCAGAAAATCTGATGGCTGCATTTCATAAATGATAGTTGCATAATCCAGCAGAGTCCTGTAGTATCTGGGAGGTCATGTGAAATCATCTGAATGAGAAGGTACATTTTCAGGTAGACTTAAGAGGATCAACCCCCAGTGATTACCATTGGTAATCAAACTTGGCCCTCTTTTAACCTTGCCTCTTCTAAGCTGATTAACTTTGCCCTGAGGATAAAAGCATCTCTGAGTAACTTTCCCTGTCAAGTTTACTCCATAAACACAAAATAATTTGAATAACCCAGATTTAAAATGTATCCAACAAAAGCATATATATTATTTCTCCTTATAAGCATATACATTACTTTTTCTCATTGTAATCTCATTATTCACAATTAAAAAGCATAAAGAAGAAGTGGTAAAATTACTTTGTAATCCCACAAGGTAGAGATATTTTTATAGATTAGATCAATGTTTAATGATATAAGCTTTTTCCTAAGTCATTAAATATCACTTAAAGGATAAATTTTTACGTGTGCATAGTATTCCATTAGGAATAAATCTGAGGATTATATTTGGTATTTAGAATTTAGTTAACCATCCTCCTACTGCATACAACTTAGACTATGTCTGATTATTATATTGCTATAAATAACCCTATCAATGTTGTCTTTCTCCTGAAAATTTGTCTGTACCTTTTATTATTTATTTTGGATAGTTTCCCATGAGTGGATTTTCAAGGAAAAGGACTTAAGTTTTATAAAATTATTTTAATTTTTAAAATTATTGTTTTTAATTGACAAATCATAATTGTATACATTTATGCGGTACAATATGATGTTTTGATAAGTGTATACAATATGGAATGATTAAATGCAACTAATTAACATGGCCATCACTTCAGTTACCTGTTGTTTTCGGAAGTGAGATGTTTGAAATTTACTCTGTTATTTTGATGTATGCAATACATCATTACTAACTATATGCTTGCTGCTGTGCAATGTATCTCAAAAACTATTCTTCCTGTATAACTGAAACTAGGTACCCTTTGAGTAATATTTCCCCATTCTCTCTTTTCCATTTGCCTCAGCCTCTGGTAACCAGCATTCTGTTCTCTTCTTCTACCAGTTAGACTTGTTTTCGAATCCCAATGTAAGTGGGATCGTGTGGCATTTGTCTTTCTGTGCATACCTGACTTCTTTCACTTAACATAGTGTCCTCCACGTTGTTGCAAATGGCAGGATTTCCTTCCTTTTTAAGGATTAAAGATAACAAGGAATAGCAAAAAATGTGAAGAAAGAGTACAACCAGTATATTGAAGAGATACCTGCACTTCCATGTTCACTGCAGCATTATTAAGAAAGCCAAGACAAAAGAATCAACCTAAGTGTCTATCAACAGATGAATGAATGAAAAAACAAAAGTGGTATATATACACAAAGAACATGAGCCTTTTGAAGGGTCTTTGTATGTGGATATATAAATATATACTAAGTAGTATATATTATATGTAATATATATTTATACTACATATAGTATTTACCAATCTCTGTATATATTATATATATTTATCAAACTATTAACAGAATGTTGCCAATTTACCCTCTATTACTAAAGTATGCAAATATTCCTTTCACTGAGATCGAAACAGCAAGGGATAGTTTCCCCAATTTAAGATGATATATACATAAATAAATAATCTTAAATTTGCCCCAAATTTAATTTTTAGATTACTAGTAAAATTAAACATAGGTTTATGTTTACCGGCCATTGATATTTCTTCTAACTGGATCAACCTTTTGTTTCTTGTATTTTCATTAATTATCATGTACAGACTTGATACTTGGAACATAATTTTGCTTCAAAGAGTATTCCAGGCTTATCAATTACCTTTACATTTTAATATGATAAAGTTTATATTATTATACATACATAATATTTTTATACACATTTAAAACATTCTTCTTATTACTTCGAAAACAGGCATGTCTAAATTTTCTTTTTTTAATTTTTAATTATTACAAATACATGCTAGTTGCCCATATTTATGGGGTACATGTGATATTTTGATACAAGCATACAATGTGTAAGGATCAAATCAGAGTAACTGGGGTCCCTGAAGCATTTATGATCTGTGTTAGAAACATTTCAATTCTACTCTTCTAGTTATTTTGAAATGTACAATAAGTTATTGTTAACCATAGTTGTTTCATTGTACTACCCAAAAGCTATATTTTATTTCTTCTGTTATTTTTGTACCATTAACCATCCCCTCGTTTTTTCTCTCTCCCCACCGCCCTTCCCAGCCCCTGGTAACCATCATTTTACAATCTTCATGAGTTCATTTTTTTCTTCTGACTCCCACATGTTAGTGAGAACATGCCATATTCGTCTTACTGTGCCAGGCTTATTTCATTTAACATAATTTCCCCCAGTTCCATCCGTGTTGTCACAAATGACGGATTTCATTCTTTTCAGGGCTCAATAATATTCCATTATGTATAAATAGCACATTTTTTTAATCCATTCATCCACTGATGGACACTTAGGTTGCTTCCAAATCTTGGCTATTGTGAATTGTGCTGCAATAAACATGGGAGTGTAGACATCTCATCAACATACTCATTTTCTTTCTTTTTGATAAATACCCAGCAATGGCATTGCTGCATCATGTAGTAGTTCTCTTTTTAGTTTTTTGAGAGACCTGTATACTGTTCTCCATCACGGCCATACTAATTTACTCTCCCACCAACAATGTGTGAATGTCCCTCTTTTTCTACATCCTCACCAGCATTAATTATTGCCTGTCTTTGGGGTAAAGGTTATTTTAACTGGGGAGAGATGACATCTCATTGTAGTTTCCATTTGTATTTATCTGACGATTAGTGACATTGAGTATTTTTTAGTATACTTGTTTTTCATTTGTACGTATTCTTTGAAGAAATGTCAGTTCAAATAATTTACCTATTTTTAACAAGATTATTTGATTTTTTAAAAATTGGGTTGCTTGAGCTGCTCATATTTTCTGGTTATTAATCCTTTGTCAGATGAGTAGTTTGCAAATATTTTCTCCCATCTGTGGGTGATCTTTTGACTTTGTTGATTGTTTCCTTTGCTGTAGAGCTTTTTAGCTTGATGTAAGCTCAATTGTCTATTTTTGCTGTGGTTGCTTATGCTTTTGCAGTCTTACCAAAGAAATCCTTGCCAAGAAAGATGCCCTGTAGTGTTCCATCAAAGCTTTTTCCTATTCATTTTACAATTTCAGGTCTTATATTTAAGTATTTAATTCATTTTGATTTGAATTTTGTATGTAGTGAAAGAACTAGGCCTAGTTTCATTCTTTTGCATATAGATATCCAGTTTTCCCACTACCATCTATTGGAGAGTTTGTCCCTTTCCCAGTGTAGGTTCTTGGCTCCTTTGTCAAAACTAAGTTGACTGTAAATGTGTGGAATTACGTATTGGTTCTTTATTCTACTCCATTTGCATGTGTTTCTATGTCAGTACAATACTGTTTTAGTTATTATAGCTTTATATTATAATTTTAAGTTAGGTAATACAATGCCTCCAGTGTTGTTCTTTTTGCTCAAGATTTTTTTTTCCCTATTTGGAGTCCTTTGTGATTCCACATGAGTTTTAAAATTATTTTTTCTGTTTCTGTGAAATATGTTATTGATATTTTGATAGGGATTGCATTGACTCTGTAGATTGCTTTGGGTTGTATGGACATTTTAACAATATTGACTTTCCTAATCCATGAACATGGAATATTTTTCTATTTTTTGAGTCCCCTTCAACATTTGTAATTAAGCTTTTAAGATTTTCATTGTAGAGATCTTTCACTTCTTTGGTTAGGTTTACGCCTAGGTATTTTATTTTACGTGTAGCCTTTGTAAATGATATTACTTTCTTCGTTTCTTTTTCAGATGATTCATTGTTGGCATTAGAAATGCTAGAGATTTTTGTATGTTGATTTTGTATCCTGCAATTTTACTGGATTTATCAGTTCTAATAGTTCTTAGGTGAAATCTTTAGGATTTCCTAAACACAAGATCAACAATACAAAGAGGAACGATACAAACAGGAACAATTTGACTTTCCAGTGCTATGGATTTCCAGTACTATGTTAAGTAACAGTGATAAAAATGGGCATTCTTTTCATGTTCCAGTTCTTGTTTTTTTGTTTGTTTGTTTTGTGTGTGTGTGTTTTTTTTGTTTTTTTTTTTTTTGAGTCAGAGTCTCACTCTGTTTCCCAGGCTGGAGTGCAGTGGCACAATCTCGGCTCACTGAAACCTCGGCCTCCCAGGTTCAAGCGATTCTCCTGCCTCAGCCTCTCAAGTGAGATTATAGGCACGTACCCCCACACCTGGCTAATTTTTGTATTTTTAGTAGAGACGGAGTTTTGCAATGTTGGCCAGGCTGATCTTGAACTCCTGACCTCAGGTGATCTGCCCACCTCAGCCTCTCAAAGTGATGGGATTACAGGTGTGAGCCACTGTGCCCGGCTTATGTTCCAGTTCTTAGAGGAAAGGCTTTCAGCTTTTCTTCATTCTATATGATATTCGTGGTGGATTTGTCATATATGGCCTTCATCATGTTGAGGTATGTTCCTTCTATACCTAGCTTTTGGATAATTTCTTTTTTCTTTAATAATGAAGAGATGTGAGATTCTATCAAATGCTTTTCTAGTGTCCATTGAAATGATCATATGGTTTTCATCCTTCATGCTGTTGATGGGAAGTAGCATGTTTATTAATTCATGTATGTCGAATCATCCTTGCATCCCTGGGATAAATCCCACTTGATTATGATAATGGTCTTTTTAATGTGTTGTTGAATTGTGTTTGCTAGTATTTTGTTGAGAATTTTTGCAGCTAAGTTCATCAGAGATATTCAGCTATAGTTTTTTGTTTTTGTGGTTATGTCTGTGTCTGGTTTCAGAAAATAGATCTAAAGACAAAAACTATAGAAAGAGATGCAGAGGGTTATTATATAATAAAAAAGGGATCTTTGCAGCAGGAGGATATAACCATTGTAAATACATATACACCCAATACTGGAGCACTCAGATGTATAAAGAAAATATTATTAGAGCTAAAGAGAGAGATAGACCCCAGCTACAATAATAGCTGTGGATTTCAACACTCCATTTTTATTATTGGAAAGATCTTCTAGACAGAAAATCAACAAAGAATTATCAGATTTAATGTTATATTATCAGATGAAATGTTAGAGAACATTTTATCTAGCAGTTGTAGAATACACAATTTTCTCCTCAATACATGGAACAGTCTTAGAGATAAACCAAATATTAGGCCACAAAACAAGTCTCAAGAAATTCAAAAAAATCCAAGTCACATCAAATATCTTTACTGATCACAGTGGAATAAAGCTAGAAGTCAATAACAAGAGGAACTCTGGAATACAAACACATGGAAATTAAACGATATACTCCAAATGACCATTGGGTCAATGAAGAAATTAAGAAGAAATTTTTAAAAATACTTGAAACACCATCCTGGCTAACACAGTGAAACCCCGTCTCTACTAAAAATACAAAAAATTAGCCAGGCAAGGTGGTGGGCACCTGTAGTCCCAGCTACTCGGGAGGCTGAGGCAGGAGAATGGCATGACCCCAGGAGCCGGAGCTTGCAGTGAGCTGAGATCATGCCACTGCACTCCAGCCTGGGCGATAGAGCAAGAGTACTTCTCAAAAAAAAAAAAAAAAAACTTGAAACAAATGAAAATGGAAACATAACACATCAAAACCTGTGGGATATAGGAAAAACAATACTAAGAGGGAAGCTTATATAGCAATACATGCCTACATTTAAAAAGGAGAAAAATTTCAAATAAGTAACCTAGCAATGCATCTGAAAGAACTAGAAAAGCAAGAGCAAACCAGATCCAAAATTAGTAGAAGAAAAGAAACAGTAAAGATCAGAGCAGAAATGAATAAAATGGAAACTAAAAACAAAAGTAAAAGATGATAATAAAAGTTAGTTTTTTGAAAGTATAAAATTGACCAACTTTAGCCAAATTAAGAAAGAAGGAAAGACCCACATAAGTAGTGAGAGATCAAAGAGGAGACTCATAATTGATACCACAGAAATTCAAAGGATTATTAGAAATTCTTATGAGGAACTATGTGCCAATAAATTTGGTAAACATAGAAGAGATGGATTAATTCCTAGACATATAAAATCTACCACGATTGAGCCATGAAGAAATCCAAAACCTGAATGGTCCTATAGCAAATAATGAGATAGGAAAAGGTCACAAAAATGTCCTTTCCAAGAAAAACCTTGTGAACTTGATGGCCGAACTGCTAAACTCTAACAAACATTTGAAGAATAATTAATATCAATCTTGTTCAAACTATTCCAAAAAACTGAGGAAGATAAAATACTTCCAAAGTCATTCTAAGTTTTATTTTATTAACTACTTTATTTCTTCTACACTCAAAAGTTCTTTGGTAATACTATGTCTGTTAATACTAGATCTGTTAAAAATATGCTTATAGTTTCTTTTACTTTTTCAGTTCTTCACTATTTTATCTTTTATATTTTACTTTTTAATATACCTGAAATTCATGTTTCTTGACAATGTATAATTGGCGACTCTATCTTGAATTTTTTTTTTTTTTTTAAGATGGATTCTCACTCTGTTGCCCAGGCTGGAGTGCAGTGGCGCAATATTGGCTCACTGCAATCTCTGCCTCCTGGGTGCAAGCAATTCTCCCACCTCAGCCTTCTGAGTAGCTGGGATTACAGCTGTGTGCCACCACACCAAGCTCATTATTTTGTATTTTTAGTAGAGATGGGGTTCCACCATGTTGGCCAGGTTGGTCCCAAACTCCTGACCTCAAGTGATCCGCCTGCCTTTGCTTCCCAAAGTGCTGGGATTACAGGTATGAACACACCATGCCCAGACTATCTTGATTTTTTAGTAAAGCACTCAGCAGTAGTGAGGATTGGTGAATAGGACATATTCATCTACCAGTTTCAGGAGTATAAAATCTTATATCTATACTTAAAAGAAGTTTTGAAACATATGTTTGGAACCTTAAAGTATCTATGTATTTTATAATGCAATTTTATGCCTAGTAATATATTACAAAGAATTAACACACATTGTGTGTTAGTCACACAATGTTGTTCTTTATAACATATTACCTATTTTGTAATTGCATAGAGCTTAAATGTCCAACAGACAGGCATATTAAAGCTACATAAAAATAACAAGAATGTTCAATTGTTAAAAACAATGCTTTCAAAGAATATCATTTTGTAGTTTTATGCCTAATGACAATACTTTCAGAGATTTCACTATTTTCATAGACAGTCTCATAATATTCTTATAAAGGAGATATGACCAGCTACCTGACACATAGTAAGGGCTCTCTAAGTAGTAACTATTATTATTATTATTGACTTTAAAAAATCTATCGTCTTCACGTGCAACTCAAAAATTTCTATCAGGAATACTATTTTTCCCCAAATACTTTCCACAACATTTGTCAAAATGGCTAGAACCTATTTAAGACTCATTTCTTTATGATTTGATCTTTCAATTTCAAAAATTCTCAACCAACATACAAAATAAAATAAAATAAAATAAAATAAAATAAAATAAAATAAAATAAAATAAAAGCAATGCCTCATTCAGGAACCCATATATCCCACTCTCCTGCCCTATCTTTCTCAACCTACCTAGTTGTCTGCCAGGGAAGTAATCTTTATGAAAAAAAATTGAAGAACGGCAAAAAGGCAGGAAGAAAGCATTAGATTATTTGAGCAGTTGTTATTGATATACATTTTTATTAAAACCAAAATATCTGTATGAATTTGTTAAAAGATGGAATAGATCATACAGGCATTCTCCTACATAATTTGGGACATTTGGTTAGAAAAAAATGAGAAGTATAAGTTTAAGAGGCTTCCAGCTGCTGTCTTAGCTGAACTTGCCTATCGTGTTCTCCAGCTGAGCTGAAAGTCAAAGACAGAGGTTAAGGTAGAGCAGTAAACCAAGGAGGGCACTAGAGCACAGGGGAGAATGCTGACAGAGGCTTCCTATCATTCACAATCTCTTCAACTTGCAAATAGGCATCAAACCAAATTCCAGTTAGCTTCCACTGTGCCTAGCAGAGTGCTAAAGACCTAGAGGCTGCTCCTGAAGTGGTAACCTGAAGAATGAATTGCTATTTATAAAGAAAGCATGTAATTAAGTACTTTAGCTTCCAAGCACAATAAGCTACTTTTCAATGGACAGATAATAGCTGCCAAGTGATTGTTCCCTCCACACACACCCCCATCCCTTGAAACCCCTCACACCCCCTGCCAAAATTTACCTGTAACACCTGCTAGAAAAAACACATTTTTGAAGCATGTTTTAAATCTTCAAAACAGATATATTCTGGACATTTAAATGCTCTTTTTTACTTTTTACTTTTTTGGTTGCATACACACACCACATAAAAATAAGTTCAAGCAATTAAGCCTAATAAAAAGGCCTTTTCAAGAAAAAAATAGATAATTGAAAACACAGCAAGCTATTTATTTTGTTTTATTTTGCTTTAATTATAAGGATAAATACTTTTGTTTCAATCTTTATTACAGAGAATAGAATCACTAAGTCGAAGATGTTTCTATGAGTCTGACAACATGTATTTAAGAAAACTTTTATAAAATAGTAATAATCTTCCCTGTGTTTGATTTTTCTAAAGGAGGTTAATGATGATGATTACACAATCATGATAGTGAAGCCACCAGTCCTCCTCTACACACCATCAGCACTTTAATGGCAAATCGATTTGTAACCAGTTAATAGTTGTAAAGTTTATTGCACGTCTCTGTTGACTTCTCAAGTATATAGGCTATTAAAAATAGGGCATGGGTCTTCTGAACTATAGAAGTATTAAATTGATACTAACAGAATGCCAAGATGTGATAAAACATTCATATATATATGTGTGTGTGTGTATGTATATATGAAGGTTTTATATATATAATCTTCAGTCAAAGAGACTGTCTTGAATAAAATTTATATGAGAAAAATATCTCTTTTTAAATATATTGGCCCATTTGTAATCTGAAGCATAGAAAGGACAAGCAACTTGATCAATGTACCACAGTTATTAAGATGCAGGAATGGGATTTAAACAGAGATATGTCATACTTCTAGTTCATATATTTAAACTCTACCTTATGAATAGTTATATATAAATGTACAAGCATAAACCATCTTTCTTCTTTTTTCTTGCTGTTATTTTAAACTTCTTCAACAGGCAAGCTGTTTTCTTACTCCTGGATGAAATCTCAGACTAATCTGAGTCTTTCCAGTCATAAATGTTAAACATTTCTCAGGATGCCTCTCGTCCAAACAATAGTTTTATGCCATTAATCAAAATGTTCAATATGGTATAATCATCAAATCTTGAAACTTAGCCAGCTCTTTCCTTATTGCCTCTGGTCTATGAGATACAGCAATCTGGGCCTGGTCCTCAGAAGAAGTACACCTGCCTTACAAGGCACCGCCACTCTTCTTTCACTACCAGCCGCAAGGCTGAGGCACCGTCTACTGTTTCTGAGTTTTTCATGTATGAGTCAAACACCAGTCCCATATATTCCTCCAAGCTTCCTGGTTCAAATATTGAGATCAACTTTTAGTTTTTTAAGGAGTCTCCACACTGTTTTCCATAGCGGCTGCCCTAGTTTACATTCCCACTAGCAGTGTAGAAGTGTTCCACACCAACATCTACTACTTTTTGATTCTTTGATTATGGTCATTCTTACAGGAATAAGGTGGTATTGCATTGTGGTATTGATTTGCATTTCCCTGATCATTAGTGATGTTGAGCATTTTTTTCATGTTTCTTGGTCATTTGTATATCTTCTTTTGAGATTGTCTATTCATGTCCTTAGCCCACTCTTTGATGGGATTGATTTGTTTTTTTCTTACTGATTTGCATGAGTTTGTTATAGATTCTGGATATTAGTCCTTTGTCAGATGTATAGACTATGAAGATTTTCTCCTACTCTGTGGCTTGTCTCTTTAATCTGCTGACTCTTCCTTTTGCCGTGCAAAAGCTCTTTAGCTTAACTAGGTCTCAGCTATTAGTAGAACTACCATTTGATCTGTGAATCCCACTACTGGGTATCTATCCAGAGGGAAAAAAAATCAGTAATCGAAAAAGATACTTGCACATGCATGTTTATAGCAGCACAATTCACAATTGCAAAATCGTGGAACCAACCCCAATGCCCATCAATCAATGAGTGTATAAAGAAACTCTGATAAAAGTTTCTTTACCCTACTCAGCCATATAAAGGAATGAATTAAGAGTATTGGCAGTGACCTGGATGAGATTGGAGACTATGATTCTAAGTGAAGTAACTCAGGAATGGAAAACCAAACATTGTATATTCTCACTGATATGTGGAAGCTAAGCTCCTTTGCATGAGGATGCAAAGGCTTAAGAATGATACAATGGACTTTGGGGACTTGGGGGGAAGAGTGGGCGGGGGGCAATGGATAAATGACAACAAATATGGTGCAGTGTATACTGCTTGGGTGATGGGGCACCAGCTTCTCACGAATTTCCACTTAAGAACTTACTTATGTAACCAAATACCACCTGAACTCCAATAACTTACAGAAAAATAAAATTAAAAAACAATTGAGCTCATCGATTATTTTTTCAACATATATTTGCTCAGTATCTACCATTTGGGAGCCATTGCTATTGAACCATGAACAAGACAGACAAAAATATTAGTTCTTATAAATAGGTTAATCAAACCAGGACATTTTTGAGAGTAAAAGTGAAGTGAAAGTGAAAGAGAATGTTCTTTATAATTGTATCATGACATCAGGCATAAACCAACCAGAACACATGGTCACCTACAGACAGGAAATTACACGACATGTGATTAATGTTATTTTTAACTGTACTATAGGCTAAGAGAGATGGAAAGAGCCAGGATGAGTATAGAGCTTGTCATTTTAAACATGGCAGTCAGGGAAAGTCTCACTGTAGAGGGAATATCTGAACAAACACTCTTAGGAGGGAAGGGAGTGAGCCATGTGGATAAAAGAGATAAGAGCATGCAGGAATTAAATGAAGGGTCCATTGTGGGTGTGTGCTTCCCATGTTTAAGGCAAAGGGCAGGAAAGCAGAGTGACTAAGGAACTTCAAGTGAACAAGGGAAGGGCTTGGATCAGTGAGGCAAGAGAGAGAGGCAAATATTTAAGGCTTCATAGGTATATGTAGATTGTTGGCTTCTGCTCTGAGTGAGATAGAAGCACATGGTTTTTGAGCAAAACAATGACATATTCTGACATGTTTTAAAAGGGCCTAATTGGCTTTTGTGTTGATATAAATTATGTGAGTAAGTTTGGAATCAGAAAAATCAGATGAGGCTTTTGCAGGAACCCAGGTGAGAGATGATAATGGCAGTCTTGGGGAGGCAGCATGATGAGGAGAAATGATCAGATACTGGCTATCTTTTGTATATGTTTCTATCAGAATATCCTTATGGAATACAGGCAGGATATGCAAGGGAAAATGAAGACAAACTTGGAGGGATATCATTGATGGTTTCCTCAAAGTTCCTCTCAGTTTATTTGAAATGAGAAGGGATACTTTGCAGGGTATGGGAGAGAGAAGGGAAAACACCACCACACTCTAGCAAATTTCTTCAAATAGATTTCCCCTCTAAACCTCTTTAACTTTAATCATTTTATAATGGTGAAGAAGATATTGGGATGAGGGTCATAATATTGACGCTGTGAAAGTACTACGCAGATGCAGTGGCACCTAATTTTGGAATACAAGAGTATTAGTCCACTATTATTTGATTATCGTCCTTTTGGTAACTCAGCTAAATAGACAAATACATAAGCATGTAAACATGTACAAATGCACACACAGACACACACACACAACAAAATCAAGATCATATCTCTGATATAAATTTTAATGCTTTTTATTTGTACCATCATGTCATTAAATACTTTTGAAAGCCTGAGTCTTTCACTGTTGCATTATTGTATAATGTTGCTGAAATACATATTTAATTATTTTCCCTCCATTAGGCATTTAGAATTCTATATTTTGCTATGATAAACTTTCCTGTGTATTAATCTCTGTATCCATATCTGAATATTTTCTTAAGAATTCTTTCTAGACATAATATTAGACCAATACAAAACATTATTATAGTGCTTGATACAGTTTACATAACTAATGTTCAGAAAAGTAATTCCAATTTATATTCTCAACAGCAATATATTAGTAGTTTATTTCATTGTCATATTAGCATCACTGGGTATTATCTTTTCTTAAAACTTGGCATTTGCTTGCATTTTTTTTTCATATTCAAGCTGGTTCACTGAGGTATAGCAATGAAAACCTACAGCTGTATGGTATGTTATTATAAGTTAAAATATATATTAAGTAGAGCTAATAGGTAAGTAAACTTAAAATATGTATAGATGTAGCAATGTATAAAGATAGGTACAATACATATATCATTTTTAATATCCTTTCCAGACTTAAAATTCCATGCTCCATGATATATTAAGGAAAAAGTATAAACTGTTCATCTCAGATAAAATCCTATATGATGCTAATTCTTGACAAAGGCCAAGATTTAAGTATAGCTAGGCACAGTCATGTTGTTCATTTTAAAGCAAGATCAACTCTCCATTAAGAAATGTAATTTCTGATCAGATTTCAATGAATTTAGTTTTATTTATCTTCCTTGGAGGAAAACCTAACATTTCAAATATAGGTAAAAACCAGACAAAATGAGGAAATAATTACTGACATACTCAGAGGAATAGTTAGAGATAGCTGAAGGATTTGGAATTTTAACCATCTAGATTAAAAAAACAAAGGCATTGGAGAGGGATTCCTCTTTCTTTTTTGAAAAAAATCACTGAAAAATTACCAATACTATAGTATTATTACTATTATTATTATTTCTCAAAACCTTATCAATTCTGGTCTTTCCTGGTCTTTGGAGACTTCCTCATATCAATGGCTATTCATTTGCCACAAGTACTTATTTCTGCTGATTGGAGGTATATTCTTTTGTTTCCAGGGGATTTAGTTTCCACTGTTGCACTAAGGTCCACATTTCCCCACTTTTCATAGCTTATTTTTTTCTTCTAGAAGAATATTTTTTTAAATAATATGATACATCAAGGTGAAGCAGTGACATTTTAAACAAACAAGGATACATGAAATCTTTCCATAGAATTGGGTGGGAGGGTAATTTGCTTTAGTTCACTGTCACTCTGGATGCTAGGAATAAGAACCATCATCATTTTTTTCCTCTGTGAGCATCAAGTAGGAAGAGGAGAAATTTTAGTTATAAGTTAGTAAAGTGTTAGGATTTAAATTTTATTTAGAAATTAAAACTTCTCCAGGGAAATACTTTTCATTTGTTTTGTTCGGCATCTTGCGGAAGTCCTGAATTCAGAGATGCTATTACATTTACCAAGTTTGCTTCTTCGGGTCAGTTGCAATGTGGTTTAGAAGGAATTTATTTTTTCCTATCCTCCCCATAGATTTCTCAATAGAATAATTTTCTAAGGGATACCTGGTTCATTTTGGGAATTTTTGGAAATTTTTCTTATTGTTTTTTTAAAATATTCACAATCTAAAATTTCTGACAAAATTTAAAATACACTACCAGAACCAGCATTGTATAATAATGATTTATTACTATGTAATAAACAACCACCTTTAGACTGGCCATGAAAATAAAACCAACACAAATATAGTAGATCCCCATTTTCTAAAGAAATATATCTTTATTGACTTTTTCCATTTTCTTACAAAGCAGTTAAAAACTCATTCTTACCCTCACATGCTATTTAATGCTGTGATGGCTGCCTCCTTATGAGACTGTTAGTGGAGCTCTAGTAAGTTTCCTCAAACAAGTCTTGTAAGTGCAATGCTTCTTACGAAGTCATTATCAGGACTAAAAGAACATACCGTGAACCTGGAGATGTATAGGGACCTTCTGCACAAGCTCTGTGTTAAGATTGACAATAATAGTGGGAACATTTTCATTTTAGTCTTTTATAACAGTCGACCACAGGCATTTAAGTCAGCCAAAGGATATTGTTACCTTAAAGCACTATTTTATTTATATATTTATCTAGTGCATCTACATCTTATAGCTTATTTTTAATAAGCAATTATTTTTAAAAGGCTGTCAATTAATTAGAGCTTATTATGTGATCAATATATAAAATGGGTTCAATAAGTGCATCACCAGAAATACTTTGTCTCAAGCATTATTGCCCTCATTTTAAACACAAGTCATTTGAGACTTTAATAAAAGAATTATATACTAGTTTTAATTAATTGAGAAAGTAGGCTGAGGTCCCAACATTGAAGTCAAATTATGTGTCCTCAGTCACACAGCTAGTCATGGGAAGCATGCGATCTATATCTGTTCCAGGGTTGAAAATATAACGTCACATTGCAAATCGCCTCCCATTAAATTATTTCTCTGTGAGTTCTGATGCCTGTGAAATGTCAATTTTAACATTTTAAATCAGGAAATCTAGAAATTATCTGGGTAAGAAACAGGAATTACAACATTTTAGGTGGGAATTTTTGCCTACACTTAACTGAATCTAAAAGTAGATTTGGAGTGGGGATGAAGGGTACATCTCAACTGAATTTTGTTACTGTCATGTTTTATATGTTTTATTTTGAGTGTGAATAAGATGCCTATTATCTGAAAATTATATAAATTCAAGAGCCATTAAATCAGACACATCATTCATTCACAGATCTATTTGATAATATTTATTGAACACTGTGTAAATACAATTAGGTGCAAGAAAATGTGCCAGGTGCTATCGAAATTACAAAGATGGAAAATATAAATCCTGATCTTAAGGAATTTGAAATCTACTAGTGGAGACAAAGCATGTACAAATGATGAGCTCTAAAGCAGAATATACATTTAAGTACAAAGCTGATAGTTCTGAAGTGTGGTTGTCAACAAAGTGGTTAGGGGAAAAAAATATAGAAAACATAGCAATTAAATTGAGGACAGAAAAAAAAAAAAACTTTTTTGGCCACCTAAAACATGCCAGGGATTGTATTTAGGGTTTTAACAGTTTTTCTGAAAAATTTAATATTCTAGAATACTTTCAAGTATGTAAACTAAGACCCGTTATACAAAGATGGGAAGGACCAGAACATGGAGGAACTCAATGCTGCGCAGATGGTGTTGGTGCTTGGCATTATCCTTCACAATCTATAATTTCTGAATGTTCTGATGACTTCCAACTGCCAGCGCATATGCATCTCGGTGCCTGGGACCTTTATTTGAAACTAATGATGGCTACTCTATGGCTGGCTGAAAACACCAGGGACTAACATGTCTACAACTAAAAGTGTCATTTTCATTACAATTACATTCACTTAATTGTGTTTTTTTATAATTACAATTAAGTGAATGTAATTGTAGCTATAAACAAAATTCCACTCCCTTTGATGAAAAGTGAATATCCCATAATACTAAAGTGCCTTAATAAAATAACTTATGCATTTTCTATTATAGCAGAAAGGAACACCTAAGATCTGGTATTATATAGTATTTTACAATGATAAGTTTATTTACTTATTTTACTATATGTTTTAAAGTCTAGATCAAAATATTAGATATAATACTAATATGACAATCTTATGCCTTTGCTATTTTGCCTCCATCTTGGTCACACAGCACACATTTGTAACCATTTTCCCAATAGCCTTACATTACTACTGAAAAGAAACAAAGCTATTGTTTTAGAATGTAACAAGTTTTACAATGGAATCATGTAGAACTGCTGTTTCCATTACTGTTATTGGTCACAATAGAAACTAACCCAGTGAAGATTTCTTGAAGGATTATGATTTATTTAGCAAAGCCTTTGGGGCTGGCTAGTCTATATGTATATGGAAGAACTTTTGTCCTCTGGAGTTTACAATCTTAGTAAGGCAACTCACAGAAATAAATAATCAGAGAATAATAATAAATCATAACAATAATAAAGAATTTAATAAATATTATTGCTAATACTTGTTAAAGAAAAATATTGTTGATATTTGCTAAACACAGTGTAAAGTTTAGCTTTAACTTGCCTCCTTACATATTTTAAGTTCAGACTAAAGATTTCTCCAAACATTGTGAACTATGACCTAGTTGGATGTATGAAAAGACTAACCTATTCCTACACCAATTACTGAATTTCAGCCAATTCAAGACAGTTAAATGTTCAAATGCCGAGCTGTAACCAATTCTGCTGTTTCTACACCTCACTTCTGTTGGCTGTACATCACTTTTATTTTCTGTCCAGAAATCCTCTCAAACCACATGGGAGTGCCCCAGTTGCTCTGAATTTGTTCTGGTTGTGGTGGGGAAGGCTGCCTGATTCATGCATTCTTCTTTCCTCAGTTAATCTCTGTTAAATGTAATTTGTCCAAACTTTTTCCTTTCAAAACCAGTAAGAAATACTTTATTCAGTAGGGGGGACTATTGTGCTAGGTGTAGGGGCCACTGCAATTGGGTCTTGCAGAGTAGGGAGAGATTGGGCACAACTGTAACTCCAACAACGACAAGTGGAGATTTATAACCAAGGAGTAGGGTAGGATTCAGTGAATGGAAAATTACTAAAAGGAAAGGTTGGATTAAAGGGGATTCTTGTTAGACTGAATCAACAGAATTCTTGCTGAAGACAGGCAGTCAGGATAGTAAAATATTGAGGATGGTCAGATAATAAGTGCAGGGGATTTAGTCACAATGACTTAGCAAGACTCTTGCTCGACCTAGATTCTACAAGGACAAAGAGAGAGATCCAAGATCAGGCCCACGTCAGAAAGAGGACTCTGATGTGTTACAATGCCTACATGCTGCTCTACCAATCATCCTTCCTTCCTAAGAGGGATGCAAGGGAGACAAACACATGAGAAATAATGCAATGTAAAGCACAGTGACACTCATTGTGTGCCTGGATTGAGACAGGCAGTCTAGATTTGAAGCACAAACTGTTTATACTCTCTAACAAATCTAAACCTAATCCTTACATTTTCAGGCCAGTGTTTGGAAGAAAAGACACTGAGGAGAGAAGTATGCCACAAGGATGAGCAGAAGCAGGCCCCGCATCATCTCAGCTCCCAGAGCATGAGTGGGAGAGAAAAAGGAGAAAGCCGACTGCATGTGAGGACACAGGGACAGTTGCGGCCCAATTAGGAGTCTGGGATATGACCAGTCAATAACAGGTCCTCACACGACTGAGTGGTGGGAGAGGGAGGAAACTTGAGAGCTTCACCAGTGAATCTTGCAAGAGACATGTATTGGGCAATTTCATCTGGAAATTTGAGTGATGTCCTAATTTAAAAAGAGGTGTTCTTCAATTCACTTTGGAGGACGGGTAAGAATGAAGGATACCAGATAGGAGAAACACACATATATACACACATGCACACAATGGCATTTCATAGGAATTAATCATGCTCATTTTTAAATTTTCTTGGCAACACCATAATCCAAGTCAGAAAGCCAGAGCCATCCTCACTATCTTCTCTCATCACTACTCAATCAACTCCTAGATCCTGTGGGTTCTACCTTGTATAATTCCTCCACTCCATCTCCTCCTCTCCTTGCCCAGTTCCTTAACTCTGCCCTTATCTTGTCTCACTGGGATTATCATAACACACTATTAGCCCTTACCATAGTTTCTGACACACAGTCGATGTTTCAGCTATGACTTTTGTGTCCATTTTTTGGAAAGTAAAATATATTTTCCACTTAATACTAACATAAACTTTATTCCTAATGAATATTTTCTAGCAATGTTCTTTTTCTATCAAAACATTTAAATTATGAATAAAATATGGTGCATATACTTTCCAAGGAATTGTTGCTGTGGAAGAAAAGGTGTCTTCAGAGACCAAAAATGAATAAAGACCTGGTATCCATAGTGGTAAGAAAGTAGTGAAATGGCAGACAGGAATTCAGCAAGTTGGGATATATAGAGCCAAATGGAATTCAGAAGAAAGACTTTGACCCATAAAAGGTAGGGAACTGTAACCCACATGCAAAGCTTGGATCTATGAATGATTATACTCTCAGTGAAAGAGTGATTAGAAAAAAACAATTCTTCCCCATTCCTCCCCATCCCAATGAACAAAAATAGATAGCAAAGGAATTTATCTGATCTGGTTCTAGTTTTGGGATAAGGAAAATACTAAGATTGCAAATACACCAACTGGCATTTGAGTACACTTAAGGTTCAAAATCACACTATGTTCATGGTCTGAAAAACCACAAGCATATAAAGTAATTAAAAATAGTCTCAGAATAGTTTGTTTTGGCAGAAATAACTCAAAGCCTCTCATAAAAATAATTTCTAAAAACTTCTATACAGGAAAGACTTCAGCAGATTTGCACCAGTAATGTCACAAGTATAATCTTATTTTCAAAAATCACAACTAAGTCAGTAGGAAAAGCCAACACAAATGAGATCCAAAAGTAGTAAAAAAGCCAAACCAAACTTAAATACTGAAAGTATATAAAATTTACCTCAATATTGAAAATGCATCAAGTATTAAAATACTGGAATACAGAATATAAAAGAATATTTCAACATAATTTCAGAAATAACAAAGAAAATTAAAATTGTCAGCCAAAGAAAATAATATAAAATTTATAAATTTATAAATTATTCATGATTATTTGAAAAAGTAGCAATTGGGTGTAGAAGTAAAAAATCTAATTGTTTCAATTAAAAGATAAATGAATATCCAGTCCTAGTTATTCCATAAGAAAAACTGAAATCTATGCACAGCAAAAGATTTATACATTAATGTTCATGGCATTCCATCTCCATCAAAAGGAGAATCACTAAATAAATCGTGGTATATAAAAAAATAGAATACTACTCTGCAATAAAAGGCACTAAACTACTGAAATATGCAAAAAGATGAGTAAAACTTGAAAACACAGAGTTGAGCTTAAGCTAGACATAAAGGTATACATTTTGTATATTTCCATCTATACCAAGTACAAAAACAGATAAAATAATATATTATGATAAAAATCAGATCAGTTGTGGGCAGATTTAGAGGGCATAATTGAAAAGAAGGACTAGACAACTTTCTGGTGGATGGAACTTTTATATTTAAATTGTGGTGGTATTTACATAGTTTTTATAATTGTCAGTACTAACCTATCTGTTCTTTTTATTTATCTAAATTATGCCTAAAAAATACATTTGGGGGCAATTTTTAAAACCACTGAAGAGCAATTATTGAACGTTCAATAAGCCCTACTCTATTTTAAACATAGATTAACTTTGTTGATCCAATAAGGTAAGGATCATTATCACCCCACCAACCCCCAGTTTTCCGATGAGGAGACTGAAGCACATAGAAATTAAGTATCAATTTGTACAAACTTTCATAGCTAGTAAGTAAATGAGGAAGGATTCTAACCTAAGAAATTGGACTTCCTAGCTCATACCTGGAGATGCCTCCTGTACTAATCCCAAGCCATCCTCAGACTAAATAAATCAGAATATCTGAGGTCAGATTCAAGTCAACAGTGAAAACTACTGCCGTAAGGAAACTTGCAGACTTATACCCTGGAACATTTACAAGAATGTTTGTAGAACATTTGTTTGTGTGAACCCATAACTGGAAACAACTAGAAAAAAGAAGTTGAAGAATAATGCATTCTATTTATATAATGTAAGACTTTTGAGTAGTGAAAATAAATGTCCTACAGCTATTCTCATGGATTTGGATCTCACAAAATATAATATAGAATGAAAACAGCAAGTTGCAGAAGATTATATGTGGTTATGATGTCATTTATATTAATTTCATAAACATTTAAACCTGTCAATATATTGAGTAGGTGGAATAAAACTACAAAGAAAAGCAAGAGCATTACAAATTTTAAAAATTTAAAACAGTTGTTGCTTCAGGGAGTCTGGGTAGAGAAATAGAGAGGGTAAGTACATGGGATCTGCAACTATATTAGGATTATTTTATTGCTTAAATTCAGTCATAGGTATAGGTGCTTTCTTTATATTATTCTTTGTACTTCATATATATCAAAATACATTCTTTTTTTATTATTAAATATGTATGCACAAAATTTACAGTAGGAAATATAACCATTGTAATAGCACCCAGAAGGGACTAGGTATTTTTTGAAAAAATTGAACTTGCACTATACAGGCACACTTCAAAGAACAGATAACATATTGTAATTCATAGACTCTAGGCTGAATTTTATTTAACTAAAGAACTGCACACTGCACTCATTTATTATTTCCAGTTTAAAATGAGGAATACTCAAAAATAGTTTTTAAAAAGCAAATATTCCTACTTTAGTTCCTTGGAATTAAAACTGCCATTATGTTGCTTTATTCAACACAAATTTATGGAGAGTTAAAAACATAATTCTTGCAGATTATTGCTTAGGTAATGTGATCAACTTATAGAGTAGTTGATGTAATAACTAACACTTGCACGATGCTTATCATGGGTCAGCCACTATTCTATTGCTTTGCATACATTAATGCATTTAATCTTAGAACATGCTTATTATCCTCATATCCTAATCTTAGATAATGCTTATAATCCTAATTATGTAGTGGTCCAACTAAGGGACAGAGAGTTTATGTAACTTGCTCATGGTAACACCTCTGGTTGGCAATAGAGCTAAAATTTAAATCCAGGCCTTCAGGCTCTGTATCTGGGCTTTCAATCTCCAAGCAATACCAAGTAAGAGTTATTGATAAAGGCAGTGAGATATAATCACGTGCCTCCAAAGTACTGGAAGAAAGCAAACATTTAAGTAATTGTATGTTATCAACAACAGATTCCACCTGCATTGAAAGGTGAAGGTCATGCACAATAAGTAATTGACCTGCTGTAAGGAGAGCAGAGAAGATAGCAGAAAGGAGACCCTAGAGTATACAATCCATGCACCTTCCCAATGGGGGCCTACACTGAACCAAGGAAGGGACTGAGTGCTATATTTTTTCAGACCTTAAAATCTGAGACTCTCTTTTCTTAGCAAAATAAAAAAAAAAAATTGGCTTGGTGTGAAGTTATGGGTTCTCTGTTTCTTCTCTATCTCCAAATTCTGTTGTCATTGTTCTAACATTTAATGTTTCAAGAGACATCTGAGTTAAACTTCTTATTTTTCTCTTTAGTACTGGTTTCTCTTTTGTAGGTTTTCTTTGTAATTATATTTCAAAAGTCTTTGTGAAATAAGTCTACATATGATTTCTTTACGTTGACTTTGTTTGACAAAATGAGTATACATTTGCATATTACACATCTTTCCAAGTCTGAAAGTGTTCTTTATTCATGTTTCATAATTGATTTATTTCTGATTATTCTGATTATAAACTGAGGAAAATATGTAATTCTTAAGTTGAATCCTGTTTTACTTGTTTTATGTCTTCTAATTATCATTTTCTTTTTTTTTTTTTCATCTCCTGAATTCTAGGCAAGTTCATGTTTCACATCATTGATTCAGTTTTCCAAGGTAAATCTTCTTTGACTCCACTGAAAATGTTATTTTTGTTATTACATTTTTGGTTTTCTTATAAGTCCTCAATATCTTATCTATTTTTCTGTTTTCTAATCACAATGGTCTCCTCTTTATGATTTTCTGAAAATTTTTCAAATGAGTCATATATTACGATATCCTATTGAGAGCTCTATATGTTTCTCAAGAATTTTTGCTGGTTCAGGTAAGTTGCAAAGGTCTTGTCGTACTCTGAATGTTTAGGATGATAGTACTTTTCTCTTGTTTTTCAATATTTTCCTGTAGACTATTTTTTCTTCCCTGAGGGTGAAGTGGGAATAATCTATTCTAACAAAAGAGAGCTCACATTTGCTTCCCACTGTGTCAGATTTGAATTATAAGTTATTTGGCAAGTCAATTTGAATAGTTATTGGTGAAATTACCAAGATCTCATGGGTTTTCATTGACTTTGGCTCTGTGGCACTAAAATGGCTTAGTCCTTTGTATTAGTCTGTTCTCACATTCCTCTGAAGAAATACCCTAGACTGGGTAATTTATGAAGAGAAGAGGTTTAATTGACTCACATTTCTGCGTGGCTGGGGAGGCTTCAGACATGGTGGAAGACATCTCTTGCATCAACGTGACCTGGATGTGAAGCATGGAGTCAAAGGAGAACATTTTGGAACTTTAAGGTTTAATGACTGCCCTGTTGGATTTCAGACTTGTGTGGGACCTGTAGCCCCTTTGTTGTGGCCAATTTCTCCCATTTGGAATGGGTGTTTTTACCCAATACCTGTATCCCCATTGTATCTAGGAAGTAACTAGTTTGCTTTTGATTTTACAGGCTCATAGGCAGAGGGGACTAGCCTTGTTGCAGATGACACTTTGGAGTTGGACATTTGGGTTAACGCTGGAATGAGTTAAGACTTTGTTGGCACGATTGTATTTTGAAATGTGAGGACATGTGATTTGGGAGGGGCCAAGGGTGGAATTACATGGTTTGGCTCTGTGTCCCCACCCAACTCTCACCTTGAATAGTAATCCCCATAATCCCCATGTGTTGTGAGAGGAACCTGGTGGCAGGTAACTGAATCATGAGGGCAGTTTCCCCCATGCTGTTCTCATGATACTGAATGAGTTCTCATGAGATCTGATGGTTTTATAAGCATCTGACATTTCCCCTGCTGGCACTCATTCTCTCTCCTGCTGCCCTGGGAAGAGGTGCCTTCTACCATGATTTTAAATTTCCTGAGGCTTCCCCAGGCATGTGAAACCATGAGGCAATTAAACCTCTTTTCTTTATAAATGTTAAATGAGGTACCCCTTCATACTATGAACACAATAAATATATGGAAAATAAAATCTGTAGGCTAACAGGGCCATGTTCTGATCTTGACTCTTGATATTTTAGTTATGGGAACCATACCTCTTAAGGTGAATGGGTAACCATGAGGACTCAACACTCCCCCAGTACAGCCAAAAAACATAAAAAAGAGATATTGCTGCAGAGAAGAGAGCAGCACTCTGTCTCCCTCAAAGCATTGCTGCCAATCAATAAAGTTGTTACTCAACTCAGAATCTGCCATTGTATTCAGGAAAAAGAAAATAGAAAAGGAAACAAAACATATTTCTACATATTTTGAGGCAGGTGGACTCATTTTATGCTCATGAATTAAAATTTGTAATCCATTCCCGTAGTTCTTGTAGCAAGTAGACATTTATTTCAAATTCTAACAATAAGTTGACTGTGCAAGCAATAGTTAAGTTGTAAGTTTTCATCTGACTCTGTGGATATATTTTAGTATAAAATGTGGAGATATTGTACCTGATATTGTTATCCACATAGCATCGAATCATTTCTGGCCTCATTACTATGGGACTTAAATAACACAGGCTCCCTCAACCCCACCCTACCCCATACCTATGTTATTCGGCTGGATGGTGAGTTACAGCTTCCTACCCTTTCTAACTTACCAATAACTGGGGAAAGAGGATCTTATTCTTGTGTTTGTTATTTATTGATGTTTCATGGTGTCATAGAATTGAGATTATAACATTGTTAATCAGGAATTTCAAAAACTAAACATTAAAGGAGACACTAAAGGGCCATTTCATCTACTTTACAATAAACTACACTTTCAGAGGAAATCTCAACCAAGACTGAAATATATAAAAGACATTCCTGGCCGGGTGCGGTGGCTAACGCCTGTAATTCCAGCACTTTGGGAGGCCGAGGCGGGCAGATCACTAGGTCAGGAGATCGAGACCATCCTGGCTAGCACAGTGAAACCCCGTCTCTACCAAATATACAAAAAATTAGCCAGGCGTGGTGGCGGGTGCCTGTAGTCCCAGCTACTCGGGAGGCTGAGGCGGGAGAATGTTTTGAACCCAGGAGACGGAGCTTGCAGTGAGTCAAGATCGCGCCACTGCACTCCAGCCTGGGCGACAGAGAGAAACTCCATCTCAAAAAAAAAAAAAAAAAAAAAAAAAAAGACATTCCATTGCATGCTATTAGTAAATATCAGTTTATTTTCTCTTTATTCCTTTGGTGCTTGTCTAAACCGATAGGCTTTGAGGAGTATCTTAAAAAGTTTCAAGTGTCATTTTTATAACCTGGACATTTCATGAATGAAAACAAATATCATCTAGTTAAGTAATTACCTGTGCTTGTGTCCCTTTTTAAAATAAAAAGAATATTTGGGATAGTTCATTGATTTTATTCTGTCATTAATGATGAATGCAACTCATTTCAGTAAACATTTTCAATAGGTAGCTTAGGCAGACAACCAAAGCAGTCATACTGCATTCTGAGCAGAGAAGAAAAAGGGTTAGGGTGAATGGAAGCCAACATCTCAGAGAGAAATGTTATACCAGCCACTGCTTAGCATGGAAGGGAACCTAGTCGTCCTGAGGGACAGCAAAGAACACTGGAAACAAAAGCACAAGTTTGCCCAGGGCCACACATGCATCACCTAAACCATTACAGGGCATCAATAACAGTGAGCCAACAAATGCCATCTCACAGCTCACCTTCACGAGGTTTTCCTTTCCCATTAGTGTAAATCTCTCATGTTAAAAACTGCAACTTCATTGTCCTTTCCCAAACTCAATTTGAGGTAAATATCACATCCCCAACATTTGTAAAATAAGCTGTCTTGTTGTGGGAAGAAAACAAGTGTCACAGAATCATAGGAAGTGATCTCAGCCCAACAGCCTCAAGTTCACAGAAAGAGAATCAAACACTTCTGGCCAAGACTATGCATCAGTTCACAGAGTAGCTCATGGCAGAGCCACCAGTAAGATATGTAGTAACAATGGGGACATTGCTGACATAGCAAACGGTGCATCTGGTTTCACCATCTTGAAGAACTGTGCACCATTTACCTGAGCAGGGCATTTAGGCCTGCTGCTATGTCTGTGACTTCTTACTGTGACTTGTATTTCGTACTCTATAAAGCAAAGGAGTGTTTTTATTTTCTTTTTAGTTTTTGTTTTGTTTGTTTTTTATCAAGCTTGGTAAAGTTATTAGCTGCTTAAGTTTGTCCTAATGTAAGTTCAATGTGTCCTTCTATAAAGTTAAGATGTTCCACTGAATACACTCAGCTTCTAGGAAAATAGATGTTTCTTAAGAGTTACACATTTCCTCTAAGTGTGAAACTAGCTTAACGTTAACTAATTAAGGTGTCAACTTTCACAATAAAGGCCAAGCTTAATAATGAAAGACTTTTGCATTCCAACTAACTAGCCTATTTCAGACTTTACCAGAGATCAGTGCTGAGCCAACAGCTTTCTAAAACAACAACAACAACAAAATTCACTAGACTCACTAAAAGCAAAACATGGGGGAAAAACTCAAAATTAGCATTTCTATAAAAGAAAGATACATTTTTAGCTCTTATAGAAAATAGTTCTGGAATGTGCTTAAAAGGAGAGCACCATGTTTGGGTTGTGAAGTCCCTCTTTGGACTTCAAGAAACATTCCAGAATTCACATAAAAAACTTTACTAACAATTTTTTTTGGAGAATTCTAAGTATAACGCATGAAGTGTGCTGTAAATACTCTGAGCAAACATCCATCCTATATGGTAGTATTTTTATTTTTCAAAAATTAAAACATGCACCATTTAAGATACAAGAAAAAGTTAACGCTTATCCAAATGTGAAGTTGGACGGATCTCTGCTTCATTTTTTCACCCATGGAAGCATGTAGTTAGGATTGAACCAGGGTTATTGAATTTATTCAACTGACCATGCTAGCCATGGTTCTAGGGATTACAAATACAGCAGTGAACAAGACAGATAAGGATACTGCTTCATAGAATCTACATCTTATGGGGAAAAAAAAAGAGCAACTGAGAAAAAGTTAGATGGTAAAGTGCTAGGAAGAAACAGAAACAGGGTAATATAACACAGAGTGACTGGGGGCTCCTTTAGTGTGGATGCTTAGAGAAGACCTCTCTCAGACTGTGGCACTTCACGTGGCCTAAATGAGAAGGAATAAGCCATGTGAGGGTGTGACTGAAGAACATTCCTGGGAGGAACAAGTGCAAAGAACTAAAGGCAGAAATCAATTTAGCATTTTAGGGCCCAGGAAGGCATATTACTTAAACCCAGTGAGAAGGAAAGAGTAGCCTGTGAAGAGGTCAGAGTGGTGGGCAGGCCGGTGCCCCACCGTACAGGGCCCCCGTAGTGGTGTGCTGGCTCATGTTTAACAACCTGCTCACCAGATTTTTAGAGCTCACCCATTTCAATGTTCATAGTGTAAAAAGTCATCTATACCATGGATTATTTCAAGCTATCAAATGTTTCAAAGCTGGCTCACAAAATTTCTGAAAATGTAACAGTGGTATGAGTCAATCTTGTAGAGTAAGGACACTGGATTGTATTTGTCTGGAGGAAACTCAAAGATTTTTCTTCAGGTTTTACCTGTCTACTTTCCATTGAAGGGACAAGAGGAAAATATTCAACCGACTTCTCATAGGATAAACATATGCAGGAGCAATTCTAACTTTTCTCTGCCTGCTCGAGAAAATATGATTGGTGTGTCTGGGAACAGGAACCAGGCATGAAATGTAGTGACCCTCCCAGGCACTCTCTTTTTCACATCTGTGTGACCACAAGTAGAGAGCATGCGAACCTGTGCATGCAAGCAGAAAAATGTATGCAGTTGCCTTTGTCTGAAAAGAGATAAGCCTGCAATTCTGGAGGATAAGTTCAGGGATGAGAAGTCACAAGTCCACTGGCACCTCACAACCCAGACATGTTCTCCAGTTATCATCACCACTAAAGGTGATACTTGGATCTCCATCTCTCTGTTGTGTAGACCTCTCAGTTCTAAAGACAATGAGGAAGGAGTGTCATTTTTCACCATTAGATCACACCGGGATTTGCTGAAGAGCAAAATGAACTTCAGCATGAGAATGATCTAATCTGATTTACACTTTACATAAACAAAATGTTAGGTCAGAGAGAATGCCAGAGAAAAAATGAAAAATAAAAGTTATCTCTAAACAGCACTTAACAGACTATAGGATGAAAAGAAACCACCATTTAAAAGATGAGGGAATAGTGTTTCCAGCAGAGAGCAAACATCTTCTGGTGGGAAAGAGCTTGGCAAATTCTAGCCACTGACAGAGGCCAGTATGATTGGCCCAAATGGCTGAAGGAGATATTGGTACTTAATGAGGTAAGAGTTGGGTGGGGCATTGTCAGGGTTGTGTTAACACATTTAGCACCTTTGTGCAAATTGGAAAAATGTACCTCCTCTGAGCAGATAAATTGGAAAAAAATGTTCTCTATGGGCAGGAAAATTAAAACAAGGTACTCCATCTACTTTGTTGTTATAACCCTAATTCCTGGGACAGAACTTGGGTAGCAGCAAGCTGGCTGAGGATATTCAAACTGCGCCACATACCATATGGAAAGGAGGGAGACTTTTTATTATAGGTACTGGAGAACGTGGATGAAGAGTTTGAGGAGGTGATTGAAACAACAGAATATACCCATTGAGAACACCCATCTGCTTGAGTTTCAATTTGGCTCCTGTACTTAAAGTACATATTAACCTTCTCTGTAAAATGGAGTGAGAACAGGGCCAAATTAATGAGATTGTTATTAATAATCAATGAATAATATATGTAAACACTCACAACAGTGCTTTACACAAAGTGTGTCATTTATAAATGTTTGCTAAGATTATCCTCTGAATTATATGTTTAAAAGATTATCTGGCTACTGTGTTGAGGATAAACTTTAAGGGACACAGAGTAGAAGTCAGAAGACCAACAGGAAATCCCTTGTATTAGTCCAAGAGAAAGATGGTGGTCCTGGGACCAGAGTGGTGTTAATGGAGATATAATTATGTAATATATGATGTTCAAATATGGTAGCAGACATTATATAGACCATTTTATTCATGAATATTTTATATGTATCTCAGAAGATGAAAAATCATATTAAACATAGGCATAATACCATTTTCATGTCTTAAAAGATTAACAGTAATTTCTCACTGTCATCAAATATCAAATATGACTTCAAATATCCCAAATTGTCTCATGATTTTTACAGGTACTGAAGATGCAATCAAAATCCATGCATTGCAGTTATTTGCCATGTCTCTTAAGTGTCTTTTTTACCTAGAGATTGCCTCCCTGTCAGCCAGCCTCTCTTTCTCTCTACACACACACACACACACACACACACACACACACACACACTTCCCCCCTCCCCTTACTTTACTTGGTGGAGCAAGAAAAGAATTCTTATTAGGAGTGTTTTAAAGTCTGGATTTTGCTATTGAGTCCCTATACCGTCATTCAATGTTTATCTTTCCCATGTTTTTCACATTTATCAGTACTTTCAGCAACATTCTTGATCACTTTGGGTTGATTTCTTTTTCAGCAGCGTGTCATAGGAGGTGTGTATTTCCATAAGAAAATACACACATACACCTAAGACTTATATATTTTTTCTTAACACCGTCTGTTTTATTTGCTCTCTAGTAGATGCCTCAGGAAAATCTTATAGTAATATGATTTCCTAAGATATTAAATGCTCATAGCATACTTTATGGAGCTTTTAAATTTAAAGTTTAGTTTGGATGACTGTAAAATTCTAAGCTCATATTTTCCTTCTTTGCTTATATTTCTATTTTGGCATAATATATTGCTGTTGAAAGGTTTGATGACAATTAAATTTCTTCCCTTTATAAGCGACTTTATTTTTTTTCCTAGATGCAAAGGGATTTCTTTTTTTTTTAATTTATTTTTTAAGCCTTCCAGTTTTACTAGGGCATGTCTTGGCATTACCTGCCCCAGTTAGATTTTTTCCAGGTGTGTTGTGTCCCATTTTATTAAAGTATGATTTTATGTCTTTATTTCAAAAAAGTATTTTTGATTATAGTATTTAGCTTTTGTCCGCTCATTGCTTTGCTTTTCTCTTCTAGGGGCAGCTACCTTATGTATAAAGAGTTTTCTTTGCTCATCTTCTCTATTAGTCTCTCTTGAAATAATTTCATCTCTTTTTAAAAAAGTTTTCTCCTTTTATATAAATATTATTTTAAACATGTTCTCCTTTCCCTCTTTTACTTCTCATAAGACATTTTTCTGAGTATTTATTTGCTCTTCCATTAGTTTAGGCTTCATCTCTGGAGCAGCTTTTTCTTTCATTTCTACCTCCTTTCTGAGTTCTGAAATTCTGTCTCCAGTCACCTCATATCTGAGTAATTCCATTTATTATTTTTATGTTGCTTGTGTACAGTTTCTATTACTTTTTAATTTGTTTTAGTTTGTTTTAGCATATTAGTTCACTGTGTCTGACAGTATTTGTCTGTTTTGTGGACCTGACTCCTGAAATGCCTTAATTGTCTGTAGAGGCTGATTCTACTTCTTTCTCTCTCTCATGTTCTCACTGTCACGCTATTTCATTTTCTAAAAACTTAACATATGGGATTCTTCTGCCACCCTTTTGATTCTGATGGCTTTGTGAGACGAGTTTTCCTTTATTTTTAATAGGAGCGTGTGGGCCACATTCTCTTTTCATAGCTCTAGAGGCCCCTCTCCTGTTATGTTCATTAAGTGTTCAGAAATAGGGCCTTGCCCCTTCTGAAATCTGCATCTGCTGTTTCCTCTCCCACTTTTATCTCTTTTATCTTATTCTTATCTTTTCTTCTCTTGTAGCATTCATGTTCTGTTATCAATTTAGGCTCTATTTCTGGCCATTTCTCCTTACTTTGCAGTTTTATCCTGGAAAATTGCTTTGGCTTATTCTTAGGGTCTAAACTGCTCCAGTGCTGTCAAACTCTCACTCTCACCAGTAAGTTTAAGCCGGCAAGTTTCTTTCCCAGACTCAGCTGCTGTTTTCAGGTTGAACTAGACATATTCCACTGAGAACGTATGGGAAATTTGAGAATTCCCTGGCTTTTGGTGTTGTCAGATCCCTTTGCCCTTCTCCTGTTACTGCGCACACAGTTACTGATAACTCATGAGATGCCGTGGCTGTAAGTGGTTTTTCCATGTCCCCATATGCTTATATTTTGAAGGTTTTAGAGATACCCTATATGTAGGAGACTTGAAAGAGATTTGATAACCATGCCACAAACCCACAATCTCCTCCTGTACCCATTTCCAATCATCAGGGCTATTCAGAAAAACTCCAAAGAAGCTTTATTAACCCCACTGTATAGAGTTAATGGAGAAACTAAAGCTTGGAGAAATTAAGAAACTTAAATACACTGTCAAAACCAGAAAAGGGCAAAGGCAAAATCTGAACCCAGGTCCACTTGACTTTCAAATTCATGTTTTCCCACCATGAAAATATTGTTTCTCTTAGCATTTGAAGTAAGACTGCACTAGATTTCTCAGTTTCTTGGTATAGAGAGAGGTGAGGATGACCAAAAAGATATGCTGAGCAATGGGGGCTGGGGACTGGGTCATAAGACAAGGCTATTCAGGCTGTGGCTCCTCCTTACATCACCATGGCTGAACTAAACTTCCTCATATGCAAAAAGAACTCTAACACAAGACTTAGCATCCATCTGAGAATACATACATTATAAAGTTGAAAAAGAAAGTATTTAACAACTTGAGTAATTAAGACAGATTCTATCTGGATGGTTTGCGTACAGCCCTGAGCAGAGCACAGAGTGCAATGCATGTTCTGTTCTAGATGTTGTTTGTTTGGTAAGATTGTAATTCTATCATGGCGTAAGCTCACTACTTCTATCATTTAAGACCAGTGAGTTTAGGCTGAGTGGGTCCAGGTTTAAGAAGAGACAGACTATGTCCTCATTGACTTTGGGAAAGAAATGGATAGCTGATTGGACCCCTCATTTGTCTAAAGGAGATCACACAAGTCATACATGAGAGAACAAGAACAACACACTATTTTTCCTCTGCTAAGGAAAAGCCAAAGTGAAAAAGTTGATCAGAGTAAGAATTACTTAGTTATGATAGTAATAGGTAACCGTGAGCGCATATGGCAATCAGAATGAAGATCTACTGCAGGAACTGATTCCTGCATCAGGAGAGAATTTAGCGTGCATAAAGGTATCAAATAGCAGTCAGGGATTCTATCTGGAATACAGATTAAACATAGAAAATTTGGATTACATGGAAAATCCACCAAGTCACATGTTGTAAACATTTACTGGTATTATTTTTTAATTCTCTTTTAGTTAGAAAAAAAGTTGGAAAGTTTTGTACCCACTTTAATCTACTCCCATTAATGTCAGATTAATTATTTATATTTAATTTGTTAGAAGTTCAATATTTAATTTAAAAAATCACTAAATGTATTGGTGGCATTTTAATAAATAATATCTAATAACTATTAAAGATTACTCAAAATGTACAAGATATTTAATTTCACAACACAACCCTTTTGTGGTCTCATAAACTGAAACACAATATTGCCTGTAAGCAAACTCAAAACTCTGACATATTCACAGCATAATCTATGTCCTTGACTCCTTCTGCACCGTTGGTGCCTGTTAGAATCTATGACTTGGAGAAATTTTTAAGGAAAGAATATCTGAAGGAAGGACAGCTCAACTGCCAAAGGTAGAAACAGCATGCTACCTGCACATTCATATCTTAGTTCCAACAGAAGTTTGAAGCGACTGTATAGGATGGTTAGAAATTAGTTATATTATATTACACACTAGTAAACACGGCATCTCCCATTGTCCCATCTCGCTGACTTCCCTTATTTCTCCATAGAGCTACTGCGAAACAAGCTTTTTTTTCCCTACTACATTCTTTTCCGACCGTAGTTTGTGTATAAATTCTACTTTCCTTAAAGACTTAGCCAAAATATAATTCTTTATTGAACAAAATTAATTCCCTCTCTTCTTGCACACCACTCCTACACACAGCACCTGGCAGATACCTATTTTTTAATAATTAACTGATTCTACTGTCCTTATTTACATATGTCTCTCTCGCTAAATTATAAGCTCTTCTCCCAAAGTAACATTTTCCAATCATTGCTGTATCCCTTGCTAATTCCTGGTACAGAGATTGCATTCGTCATCCTTTCTATTTATCTCCTTAAGTGAAAATGTTCTTGGGTGAGGTGTTTTCATTCATTCTTCAAGCTGTCTACTTGAAATTCTTACCTGAATGTCTAATTAGGTGCTCAAAAGAGCATAATTCTCCTACTCACCTCTTCTGTCCAACTTGGTCTTTTGCATTTCAATAAGTAGCCCTACTCCATAGAAATCTAGGAATTATGTTTAGTCCTTGTCTTTTCCTCAACCCAGCACCTAATCTTTCAGAAAGTTCTGTTGGTTCAGATACCAAAATAAACTTTGAATCCATTACTACCTATATCATGCTAGTCCAAGCCACTATCCTCTTTCCCATGGAATACTACCATAGTCTCCAAAATGACAATCATCAGTCTTTTATCTTCTTCTAATCTATTCTCTTCAAATAACCAAAGGATCTTTTAAAAATGTAAATATGATTATATCATCCTTCTTTTTAAGTTTTTTGAAAGCAGTATCTTTTTATATCACTTATATTAAAATTTTACCTGCATTACAGATAAGGCTGCCAGATTTAGCAAATTATAATAGAGGACACTCAGTTAATTTGAATTGAAGATTAACAATAAATTTTTCTTAATATAATTATGTTCTGTGCATTATTTGAGACATACTTATACAAAAAGATACAAATTGTTATCTGGAATTAAAATTTAACTGAGCATCCAGTACTTTTTATAGCAACCCTAGTTATAAGGCCCAATAAAGTCAGGGTTCTGACTGACTTTCTCACTTTATTTAATATTATTTTTCCCTTATTCACTATGCAAAATTCACATTAACATTCTGACAGTTTTTATAATATTCTAAGTTCTTACCTACCACACTGGTAATGCAAATTTAGTTTTCTCTGCTTATAACATTTTCCCCTAGTCTTTTTGATTCCTGGCTCCTTCTGATCACTCAAGTGTCAAGTTTAAATTTCATTCCTCATAGGCCCTTTCTGATCACCTTATTTAATAAGAGTCCCTTTCAATTTTTGGTGGTAGCACATGGAAAATACTCAATGTTAGCTACTACTATCATTCTTGTTGTTATTCCAATTCTATGATTAACCTAGTTTACCACTGAGTCTTTTATACAACATACAGATCCATAACACATTCAGCGAAGTTTCCATTTAAGAAGAATGGTGAAAAATAAATATGTTTAATAAGAAGTAGTTTGAGAACAAGGTGGATGTGAAGAATACCTATATTTCTCTATATATATTCCTGAGTAGACAAGAAACAAAGTCAAGAACAGGTAGGAGAGTAAGGTAGTAGATGGGACTTGACTCCAGAGGTAGGGCCCTGACACTGGAAAAGATCCAGGACTAGCTAAAACCAGGCCAGGGTGAAAGCAGCTTTCAATCAGACATGCCCACCAGTGTGCCATGGCAATTTACCATTGCCATGGCAACACCTGGGAGTTACCACTCCTTTCCATAGCAATGACCCAATGACCCAAAAGTTACTACCCCTTACCTAGAAATTTCTGCATAAACAGCCCCTTAATCCACATGCAATTACAAGTGGGTATAAATATGACTGCTGAACTGCCCTGAGCTGCTACTCTCTGCCTACAGGGTATCCCTGCTTTATGGGAGCAGCCACAGAGCTGTAAAACTGCCTCTTCAATAAAGCTGTTTTCTTCTACCTCTGGCTTACACTTGAGTTCTTTCCTGGGCAAAGCCAAGAACTCCCGTAGGCTAAGCTCCACTTTGGAGCTCACCCACCCTGCATCAAAAGGACTATCTGGTGCCTGAGCTTTTAGTACACTTCTAAGATTGAAGTTAGTAGCACTAAAGAAAAAGTTAAAAGGAAGGAAAAAAAATAAGTGACCAAAAGGCATTAGTATATGGATGGGCAAACATTGTAGGGCCACCAAGATCTGCACATCTGACTTCTACTAACTCACTGGATGGTCATCAGGGTAGCCTTTCTGATGCAGAGAACCTGAGGTTTAGCAAATAACTACTGAAAACTCTGAACTATTCTTGTAAGAAATCTAAAACACAGACCTCATATTAAGTAAATCCAAGGAAATTTTGAATGCATTCTATTTTCTTAATTGTATTCAAAATAAACCCCAGAACCCAGATGCTTTGGTATAATCTCAAAGTTAAATAAATTGCTTTTGCAGATACACGGGTAGTGATTTTAAGAGCAATCTTCCTGCAGCACAAAGTATGTTTTTTTCTTTTAAAAAAAGAAAGAAAACAAATAAAATGTCATTATGAGATGCTAATTGTTGGAAAAATTTGGGTTTTGAAAACCAATCTTTTCTTCCCAGAATGGAGAGAGAAGAAAAGCTTTTAAAAACCACTCCAAACTATTTTTGTTCCCTCATACCAAAACACAAAGAGGCTTGTTCATTTTCAATTGAATTAAAAATAAAGTCACAGGGATTGAGGAACAATATATCAACTTTCTGTTCAAAATGCATGTTTTTACTATTAGATGTAGTGTCATAAACATGATGCCATTGTAACTGAAATCAAGCTTTAAATATTCTGCCAAATGCATGTTTTTCAGTCGTGCAAATAGTGTCCTTTTGAAACATGTATTTATAACTTACTCTGAAAAAAATATTCAAAAGAATTCTTTTATTCTTTTTTAGGTCCACTGTTTGTATAACTAACCTCATCTCAGGAATATTATTGAACTAAACATAAATGTGGCTTTCATTTGATGAGCTATGGACAATTATACTGCAAATTCCAATGGCTGATCTTGAGCAGACAGATCTACTGGGAGAAAAATGGGATAATGTCAAACAGATATTTTTTATCTCAAGTAATCAAACAGCATTTACAGTTTCTGAAGTTCTTTCAAAATCAGACATTTAAATGCAATCATATAATAGAAGGAGAAAGATAGTACAGAGTGAACCTCAAAGTAGCAGTTAAAAACACAGGCAGAAATCCTGTTCATTATTAACTGGATGTCTGAGGATATAATACTTCCTACACACTCCTTTCAAATTATACCCTTTATGTCTATGGAAGATAGTCATAATTGCCTGAGAAATTTAGTGAAACTATCCAGTTAGATAATACCAGCAATCATGTGGCTTGGAAATATTTTCAATGGTGTAAATTTATAATCAAATGATGGGTATCATAACTGGCACAATAAGAACCACTCATACATCTATATATCTATCAGTTATTTGTCCATAACTAAGACTATTTTTAAGGCAATTCACTAATAACTGAATATAAAGAACTTGTAGCTATCAGAATATAATTAGAAAATACTGAATTATATATGTAAACTTGCAGGTGTATTCATATGCATCCAACCATGCATTAAATTAAACTGCACAGGAAAATGTTTGAATTTGCAATCATGCACATCATCTGGTAGCATGCCATTAAAACTGATGATTTATTTTACATATGTGAAGGATTCATAATTACTTCAATGGCCTAAAATGCACACTCGTAATTTGAATTACTTGAAATCTCCTATTATATCCATAATATAAAAAATTATAAAATAAAATATTATCAACTATGCTATGTCTTGTAATGCAAGCATGACTGACAGTCCTCTTCACAATCACTATGTGAAAAGAGCTTTTATCACAAAATCAGGCAAGATAATGAACATCGAAAGCAGGTTTCCCTAGCTTCATATCCAGGCATTAGCAATATGAACTTGGGCATAAGATTTAGCATCACTGTGACCCAATTAACTTGTGTGTAAAATAAAAATGACAACTTACCTCATGCAATATCTTTGAGGAATAAATGTGGAAACAAGTAAATACCACTGGCATTTGCCACATGCTCAACACATGTTAGTTTCCTTTAACCAATTTAGAATGAAGCAAGGGTGTCACCTTCTGCAAAATGAGGAGCCAGGTTTGACTTCTTTAAAGGACATTGACAGTCAATACAATCTTGGTTTTGCATATAGTATGATTCTAATCAACATTCCAGACACTTCCAAAATGAACAGCTATCCTTCTTTCTCAATTATAATGCTCCAGGAATTGCATTAAAGCCTGCAAAAAGACTGAGCTGATAAAGACGTAAATTGGCTTAATAAACCCTTTCTTATCAGTTGAAAATACTATTACATTGAAATAATGCTTCAGACATTATTTGCGGCTCATAAAAGTCACATGTAGATTGCGGCAGCTTTCTCTGCATATTATACCTCCTTACCAACAGCATCATTGTCTTCTCCATCATCAACTAACCATTACATGTTCAGGGCACAGCGTTGGATGCCAGACATCTGTTTCACATCAATGTGGAATGTTGAGGTTATCATTTATTTATAATAACATATCAAGTACAATCTAAACTACATAACCTCACTATTTTATTATTTCTCGGTCAGTCTATGGAGCACACTACAGACCACCAGACTCTTGGAGATACTGCCTCACTGACACCAGATTCTCCTTGTCTATATTAACTCTCAATTTATGGTTCACCTTACAGAGAAAAAGTAGCTGCTTTTTCCCATCTATGATGCCATATTTAATAGCACAGACCAACAAAGACCAATACGAGGGCCTCATAGGCTAGATTATCATGTGAAAGCATTTAATGTAGAATTCCTTAATTTGGAAGGTTATGCTCTACTTTCTGTAGTTTTCCCTGACATTCCCTGGACTAGATAGGTATTCCTATTATGAGCTTCTACGCAAGATTGAGATTTCCTATGATCTCCCTCTAATAAGTGATTTTAACTCTTGGTTTAACTGTTGTTCTTCACCATCAGGCTGTATTCTTTGCGGAGGCATGGGGTTTACCTATCTTGTTCTTCATTGTACGCTAAAGAGCTGGCATTTTTCTTGGTTTATAATCATTGCTCAAGCATAGTTGTGAAATACATTAGAAATACAATACTTTTTCTCAAATGATTTCTCAATGATTAGAAATATCATTTCTCACACTTAGGATAATGTTTTAACCCATGTGATTATTTTACAAACACACACACAAGCTTATTACTAGAATGTTTTATGTCTTCCTATGTGCAGGAATATACCTGCACAAGTGCAAAGCCTGATATAGAGAAAGAATATCATTAATAATTTTGAATAAATTAATTGGTTAATAAACTGATCTTTATTATTTTTATTCCTTTTTTATTTTCATGGCTACATACTAGGTGAAAATATTTATGTGGTATATGAGATACTTTGATATGGGCAATGAGTACTTATCACACCAAGGAAATGGGTACAAAAATATATTGTTAGAAAGAATGAATAAGACTTAATATAGAATTTTTTATAGAATTGCTTGAGCTCCTTATGTATCCTGGTTATTAATCCCTTGACAGATGGGTAGTTTGCAGATACGTTCTCCCATTCTGTGTGTTGTTTCTTGACTTTGTTGATTGTTTCCTTCACTGTGCAGAAGCTTTTCAACTTTATGTGATCCCATTTGTCCATTTTTGCTTTGGTTGCCTGTGCTTGTGGAGTATTACTCAAAAAAATTTTGCCCAGACCAATGTCCTGGAGAGCTTCCTTGGTGTTTTCTTGTAGAAGTTTCATAGTTTGAGGTCTTAGATTTAAGTCTTTAATACATTTTGGTTTCATTATTGTACATAGTGAGAGATAGGGATCTAGTCTCTTTCTTTGGCATATAGTTAGCCAGATTTTCCAAGACCATTTCTTAAAGAGACTGTCACTTTTCCAGTGTATTTTCTTGGCACCTTTCCTTCAGGGTGGCAAGCTCTCTCAGGCCCTCAGATCCCCCAGAGATGCTGTCTGGGAGCCAGGTATTGAAGTAAAAAACCTTAGAAGTTTAATTAAAGTTCTATTGTACTGTGGCTAAACTGGCACTCAAACCACAAGACATTTCTTCCCCATGCTTCCTCCCCTTTCCATAGGCAGAGGAGCCTGTCCCTGTGTCAACCACCACCAGCAACTCACAAGAGGCTGTGCCAGGCTGCCACCATTGATCACTTAAAGGCCAAGGGCTCTTCAGTCAGCTGTGAGGAATGCTGCCAGGCCTGGACTCACCCTTCAGGGGCAGTGGGCTCCCCACTGGCCCAGGGCAGGACCAGAAATGCTGACCAAGAGCCTATGCCTCGAGTCAAGGACCCCATGAGTCTGCTTGGTGCGCCACTCAACTTTGGCAAGCTGATACCTAAGATGCAAGATGGAGTCCCCTTTACTTTTCCCCCTGCTTTTTTCAAACAGAAGGAATCTTTCACCATAGCCACTACAGCTGGGAATGTGCTGGGTCTCATCTGAAGGCAGCATGTCTCAGATCCTAACACCCACAGCATATTACCTGAGCATTGCTTTTGGTTATTCAGGGTCCGGAAATTCTTTCGTCAGAAGATAATGATTCTTGCCAGGTCTCTGCTGTGACAGGGTAGGACTGAGTTCAATGTAACGTCACTTAGTCACTGCTCTCTCCCTCTCCCAAACATATGATTTCTCTGCACTGCACAGCCACTACTGGGGTGATGGGGAGAGGTGATGTAATCACTCCCTTAGCTGCCCTGGCTGGTGTCTTGGTAGTTTCTACCCCACTGGCTCTGAGCCCAGCTCAGCACTAGAACCTGCCTAGGACTTGCAGTCCTTGTGGCTAGACTGCCCCTCAGGTTCATTTAGGGCCCCACAGCACTCTAGCCTGCAGTAGTAAGGCTTGCTGGCACTCAAGCTCTCACCACTGGGATGGGCAATTCCCCTCTGGCTAGGGCTGGTTCAAATGCTCTCTGCATGGACAGACATTAACTGAGTAAAACCTGGTTCTGCTTTCCACTGTGACAGGGCAGCACTGAGTTCATTGCAAAGTCTCACAATCACTGTACTCTTCCTCTGCCAAGCACACAGATTCTCCACAGTGTGCAGCTATTGCTAGGGCATGGGGGAGGGGTGGTATCTGCAATTCAAGACTGTCTTTCCAGCCCTCTTCAATGTCTCTTTCAGCAATATTAAGTTAAAACCAGGTACTGTGATTGCTCACCTGATTTTTGGTTCTTGTGATGGTGCTTTTTGTACTTAATTGTTAAAATTTGGTGTTCCTGCAGGGTGGGTGGGGGGGTGAATGGTGTAGACTTCTATTCGGCCATATTGCTCTGCTGCTCATTTGTTTTGTTTTTTTGTTTGTTTGTTTGTTTGTTTGTTTTGAGACGGAGTCTCGCTCTGTCGCCCAGGCTGGAGTGCAGTGGCACAATCTCGGCTCCCTGCAAGCTCCGCCTCCCAGGTTCATGCCATTCTCCTTCCTCAGCCTCCCAAGTAGCTGGGACTACAGGTGCCCGCCACCAAGCCCGGCTAATTGTTTTGTATATTTAGTAGAGATGGGGTTTCACCGTGTTAGCCAGAATGGTCTCGAACTCCGGACCTTGTGATCTGCCCGCTTCAGCCTCCCAAAATGCTGGGATTACGGGAGTGAGCCACCACACCCAGCCTCATTTGTATATTTTAATGAAACTTTATTATCAGTAAAAGCCCCTATGTCATGCAATAGATTTCCATTTTGTTCTTGACTAAAGTTAGAGGTTTCCAGTGGTCAGAATGACTTTTTTTTTTCATAATTTACATTACATAGTCCATAAAACTTGAAACTATAAAGGTATGAGGTTACTCTACGTCAATGTATTTTAAAGGTGAGTTTGGGCTTACTTTGTTTCTTGTTAAATGTTTATGGAATATTAGCTTCATACTTAGCATTCTCCTGTTAAAGTAGATACCGTACATGATTTAAAATAAACATTTCTACTTAAGTGCCATGTATTAATACTTTTGTTCTTAGTAGTCTTCTATTAAAATGCAAGTATTCTAAGACATCTCCTATATCTTCAAGGGTCATTTCACGTTTTGTTTTGCTTTTCCTTCCAAGTGGATTTTATTTTCTCATAGGCCTACGTTAAAAGAAACCAGAGATTCATAACAGGTGTCATAGTTCATAGAGTCACATTAAGAAAGCACAGAAAGAATATCCTTCCCTGGTTTAAGAGGCCATTTGTGTAAGTTTCTATTTGTTCAGACATTAAGAACAACCAGGTTATCTTAATGTTTTTTAGTTGACCACAGGCACTATGATAAGAATTTATGCTCAGATTATTTTTTTTACCTTGAGCTCCAGATCTTTTATGGCCATTTTTACATACTCCATCTGGTTCTGAAATCCAAAACAGCCTTCTATATTTGAACACAGGAATTTGTGTTGAAAGTATTTCCTGCTAAGACCATGTGTGAGACGAAATATCCAGCCCAAAGATTAGAGTCCATCAGGCCCAGTAGCGTGAGGAATCAACAACCTGACCCACAGAAATGGTAGAAAAATCAAAAGAAGCTGACTTAGCTAAGCTCTAAAGTAGTTCTGAGAAGTTGCCAAAGGAAATTTATGAAAAATAAATTTCTGTAAATTATTTATGTCTGCTTTCTTCGATATGCCTATGCAGTTTTAACACAACACAATACTTCATCACTGAAATCTGTAGCTTCTATACTATTTTAAAGGGTTATCTTAACTCTGCTGGGTTAAAGTAATAAGATACCTTCTGTTAAGCAAGTTAGATGATCATTCTAGGACCTACAAGTTAAATCTGTCTAACTCAAGGAGTAATTAACCTAAAAAACAGAAAAAGCAAACTTTGAAAAAATGTCCAAAGTCCTTTGAGGAAACATTCTTTGATTACATGTAGATAACCATGAAGCTCTTCTTGCTAGTTATGTTAAACATAATCTAGTAGTCACCCCCCAAATACCTTATTTTGTGCTATGAGATCTGTGATTTGTATTGAAAAAAATAAAGTGTTCGGGGTACAGGGGACCAAAATAGCAGATTCCAGTGAGTGGGATCTGAAACATTTCTTTATAACCAACTCTCCTTTTTTTTTTTTTAAGTTATGGTTTAAGCTAGGCAAAGCTAAGCACCTGATGCTTACTAACCAACTAGGAACTGTAGATTAATATTAGTTTACCTTTCTTTATACTCAAATATTTTGTGTGTTACCACGAACAGTATGTCTGTTTAATACCACATTTATACAATTATCATTCCCAAAATCCTTAGTAGAAACCCTACACATGTATGCAAAGGTCAGTTCCTGCCAATTATTAAATTTTCCACTGATTCTCTTGAGGCATTCAAAAAGACCATCCACTGGTTGTATTCTCAAACCTGAAAGGCAACATCCAACCTCAAGGAGGCAATAGTAAACTCTTCGAGCAATTCCTACCACTCTGGTGCCATTGCACTGGGCTCCTGGTTCCTAAAACATCCTCTAAAGGTTTCTTCTGTTATTTATCTTTTACTGTTTTTTCTCTCTCTCCTGTTATTGCATTATTTTCTTCTCCTTTTACCCTTTTCTGTATTTGCAAACCAGCTTCTTACCCCACCATTCACTTGGTTCATAAAAATGCTTGAGCCCTATAAGTCTTAGTTTATAAAGAGTTTCTTCATTTGCTTTGGTAAAGTGCCTACTGGCATTTGTTAACTTTTGAGTCTAATTATGTGGCAGTTTACTGGCTTTTATTGAATGTGCTTGGTTAATCTTATTTTAGCTTTATTAGGTAGTAAATTTGTTAATTTGGCACAACCTTTTGCTTTCTTGGCTTGGCATCCTGGGTTAATAATTGCTTCCCTATAATCAATGGATTTACTCATTTACTAATAAATGCCCCTTTAACCTCCTAATTGTAGATCTTCATCTTTATTTAAAAGCCAATTTGGAAAAATGGCTTCCTTGCCTCTTTAAATTTGGACGCTTAGTAGAAAATGGCATTTCCTTCATCTAATAAGCATTACTGAGTGCGTAGCTTGTTTTTACCATTGTGCTAAGTACTATGGAGGAAACAAGGCAGCCTCAGACAAAATCTACCTTCAAAGGAAACCTTAAGCTCTCATTCTCAATGCTTCATTGGTGCTATGCCCTGTATCTGAAGTATTTTAGCTCTCTGCGGTGCCTACTTTGTCAACCTGGCAGATGTATCTATTCATCCCTCTCCACCTTCAAGGATCAAGTTCATATCTTACCTTTAGTGTTGTGTACCCTCCACCCAGGGAAGGTCAAATTAATTTTCTCTCATAAACTATATTCCCAAACCATTTTCTAAATACCATTGACCATACTGAATAATAGTTATGCATTAGGTATAGGTCCTCATGCATCAATCTCTTTCAGTACATAAAATATCTTAACTGCAGAAACTGTGTTTCTGTGAATTTCAGCATTCCCAGGGCTTAGTTCAGAGAAAATACATACCTCTGTAAGTCAGAATTCCAGAGGCTAAAACTCCAGATTCATAAAATTTACAGTAAAGCTTCCACTACATTGGAGGAAGAAAGGAAGCATGATCATTGGACTTTAAAGCAGCTCCTGGTGGCACATAGCCCACACTGAATAAATGATGGCTATATTTTAATGATCAGCCAAGTAAGACTGGACCAGGAGGTTAAAAGAGATCTGGATCCAACACCCTTGGGTACTTTGACCTGAGTTAAGTTAACTTTTCTGGGTGTTAATTTTTTATGAATATCAAAAAAAGGAATAGAATTAATACTTTCTAAGGGTAACTTGCAGTGAAGAGACCCTCTGATTCCATTATATGGGATTGGTAAGGTATACAAACATCTACATAAAATACAACAAGTCTTAGTAAATGTAAAAATTTCCTGATGTAGGGAACATACATTAGATAAATTTAGCAAGGAAAGAGTTTGGATCACTTTAGACAAAAAGTCAATCACAGTTATTGTAAAATTATCTAGATGATCCAAAGTGATGGACTGCAACTATAAACTGCATATGCGACATGAACAGTCATTAACCTTCCTCAAGCAGACAGGTCCCCTAGTGTATTAACACTGACATAAGTGATCCTGAAGTGAGCATTTACATCAACTGTTATTCCTAGAACATTCCTAGACAGTCATCGCCAGGTGTGTTGACTTCAAAGTCACTAGATATTACATTGCATCAGACTGAGCAAGAGAAAAAGTAGGTTCATGGTAAGGATATAGAGTGTAATCATCTTTTCTCCATAAGATTTTCCGAAAAAGAAAAAAAAAATTATAGGCAGATTAATTATCAAAATTGTTCTAATATAAAGTTATAGTTGATGAGAAAAGTAGTGAGAAATGAGTCATAGTGTCTAAAGGAATAGGAAACCTTTTCTAGATGAACTGGAAGATCAAAATACCTTCGAGAAATTACAGTTACTCAGGCAAATGTGAAAATCAGTATTCTCTTTTGGTAATGTCATAAGTCCAAATTTTGAGGCCAGAATCTGAATGAAGCTAGAGAAATATTCTGGGAAGACAAATAGCTTTACAATTGTGATTCAGACGAAATCCTAGAAGAAATGATGATGGCATTTTGTCTTCATAGCTCAGGCTGGGTCTCCATGAAATGAACGTATGGAAGTTAAATTTTGAAAGAGGCTTTTCCTTCCATGCACTAGCAATTTATACCTGAAAACACCCATGACCATGGGCTCAGAAGCTGTTCTAAAGATGGTCCAAGAGGTCACTGGGAAATTAAGTCAGCAAGCAGCTAATTGTTCTGTTCATTATCCAACTAGGAGCACAACAAAACTACAATTCATTTTCTGCAGTCTTTAAAGAAAGCAAGAGTCATGAACTGCCATTATCATAAAACAAAATTAAACATGCAGTGCAACTGCAAACAAAGAGAAAAAGAGATTCTTCAATAGGCCACAAATACCTTTTAGCACTTCCTTTGTTCCTAGTAGGCAAGAATTGGCAGCACTACTTTGACCACTAACCGACAGAAGTTTGCATAAGAGATTAAAATACTTTTGGCCAGGCGCGGTGGCTCACGCTTGTAATCCCAGCTCTTTGGGAGGCCGAGGCAGGTAGATCATGAGGTCAGGAGATCGAGACCATCCTGGCTAACACGGTGAAACCCTGTCTCCACTAAAAATACAAAAAATTAGCTGGGTGTGGTGACGGGTGCCTGTAGTCCCAGCTACTTGGGAGGCTGAGGCAGGAGAATGGCATGAACCCAGGAGGCAGAGCTTTCAGTGAGCTGAGATCGCGCCACTGCACTCCAACCTGGGCGACAGAGTGAGACTCCATCTCAAAAAAATAAATAAATAAAATATTTTCTTACTGGGACACCTCAAATAAGAATTAATTTCATATGTGAAGAGTCTTTCTACTACAAAATGTTTCCCCAATGCGCTACATATCTTAGTCCCTTGAGTACTTTTTTGAAGACACAGATTTCCGGGTCCCACTTCAGAACAACTGAATAAAATCTCTGAAACTAGGACCCAGAAATCTGTATGTTTCAATGTTTTCCAGGACTTTGAAGCCAGCAAGTTCAGCACCGGCTCAGCACCAGAGCTCTGGTGACTGCTACTGATCTATTACATTAAATATAAAATGCAAAAGAGCTATGGTTGATTAAGACAATGTTCATTTTATTTCCCATCTATATGTGTGTCCAAACCACCCTACTCTAACATAAAGAATAAGAATGAATTTCTACTAAGTTACAGAAATAAAAAAGTTCATGTAAAATTCTCAAAGATTTGGAGCTCTGTTTTAGAGAAAATTAAAATTGGAGACACACTGCACATGAGCAAAACAATAAGATGATTGACTAGAGCAAAATATAAAATATAGTCAAAAAATGTAACAATTCGCATGAAAAACAGAAGCGAACATAACCAACAAAAAGTAAAATAAAATGCTACAAAGGACACTTTGTCCATAGTTTCACCCTATCATGCCAACTCTTGTATTGCATCCTTGGATGTCTGCCTTTGTTGGGGTAGAAGAGCAATTAAGTAGGCTGTCTAATAGAATGGTGTTTGAATTGGAAGCATGGATTACTTCTTTAAATAAATAATACTCTATGCTTATTATGTGCCATGCTCCATGCTGAGTGATGGGTATAGACTAGTGGTTTCAACTAGGAGCAATTTTTTTTCTTTCTGGGGGCATTTGGGAATGTCTGAAGAACTTTTTGCTTGCCCTAGCTATGGGTAGTGGAGGGTGGGATGCTACTGACATCTAATTGGTAAGATCAGGGATCCTGCTAAACATCCTACAGTGCAGAAGATGAGCCCATACAGCAAAGACTTACTTGGCCCTAAATGTCAGTAGTGCTAAGGTTGAGAAATCCTGGTATAGGCTGAATAATAAGCAGATATGTTATTTTCCCTTAAGAAATTTATTTAAAATAGATCTTAAATAAACAAAAAAATATAGCAAAATATTGTCAAAAGTGCTTTGAAGAAAAGAACAGAAATTAGTAGCACAGACAGGTAACACTAGAACTAGTTGTTCATCTCGTCAACAAAAAAGGGACAGAGTCCAACAGATGACAGGTATGCAAATTTTTGTTGAATTAATATAACCCTTTCTATTATCCATTAATTATAACAGCCTATAATATGAAGATATGTTTCTTCTAACTCTTTTTAACCACCTTTTTCTTTGACTGCTATCAGCCTGTGTGAGAGTGGCATACCTAAAATGTCCTTTGAACTTCACCCCAACTCCAGCTTCAGCAGTCATTCCTCTGTCTTGAACCATTAGGCTGCTATTACAAAATACCATAGACTGGTTAGCTTATAAACAAAATAAATTTGTTTCTCAGCGTTCTGGAGGCTGGGAAGTCTAAGATCAAAGTGCTGGCAGATTCAGTGTCTGGTGAGGGCCTGCTTTTGGCTTCATAGATGGTGTCATATTGCTGTGTCCTCACATGGTGAAATAGGCTAGCCAGGTGGCTGGGGTTTCTTTTATAAGGGCGCTAAGGCATCACCTCCAGATACCATCACCTTGGGGGATAAGATTTCAATGTAAGAATGGGGATGAGGGGACAAACATTCAGACAACAACACCCCCAATATCTTCCTTGACTTGCTGCTCATGCCTCTCTACAGCACAAATGGGGCTTTGGCCATGTAATGTGGTCTTTTCAGAGTAAAGGTCAGTGGCTGAGAGTTGGTGAGGGAGATATTCTCTGATGACATTAAGGTGATATATGGCATGTATAATGACACTAGCAGAAGAGACAGTCAATTACATGGCAGATGTCTGTGTTCACATAGGGGCCTTTAGCACCTTCATCCAAAGATGACCTTTGGACATCTTCTCACACTTTTTCTGGGCAGAACACTATCATTTTCCTACAAATGAACTGCATCTTCACTGTGGGTCTGAACTTTCTGGCTCTGGGGGGTGCAGGTCTCAGCAACCAAAGCCAGTGGTACTCAATTCTGTAACATTGGCTGGGATTTTTGAAAAAGAAGCATTTTATTTTCATTGTCATTGCTGACAGGAAAACATAGAAGCCTGGATTTGCTGGTAATTGTCTTTCTAAAAAGAAAGGAGTGGCTTCCTGAAAATAGGACCATCCAGAGGGAAATAAAGCAGGGCACTGTATCAATGACATTATTTAACTCCCAGCATCCAGCAATGCCTAATGCCAGATAACCTGGGTGAATGTGTCAATTTGACTTAAATCATGATATAAGTAAAATTGGACACATGTAGTCTTTAGCTAAGCTCCAATCAAGCTTATAGACAAGTAAGATATAGTCTTGCCATTTATAATTTCACATTTATTAGGGGAAAAAATGTTGGTTGTGATCATCTACCATGTTTTAGTCGCTATCCCTAGATATTGCATATCTTCGTTTTATTGGATACTATGCTTAGTATCTCCCCCGAGGTAACAGAATAAGTAAATGGCCAAACAGAATTCGAACCCAACTATTTCTGATTCTGGAGCTCTACTTTGCTCTATGTTATGTTGTACTTTTGTAGCTATCATAAAAATATTTAATTGCAATAAGATTAATACATCTCCACTGGTACACAGAAGGGAAAATTTAACTCTTATTGTGAAAATGTTTCACAGACCAAGTGTTGAAGGTTAACAGGGTGTAGAGGGGAGGAAATTTGAAAAAGTATCTTTTAAGGAGACTATGTGGTGTTTACTGGCGCTTTGGGCCAGGCATTGTTCTAAGACTTTTACTGTATTAACTCATTTATCTTCTCAGTAACCCTATCAAGTGATCACTCTTATTATCAGCATTTTTCAAGATAACATAGGGCATGGAAAGGTGAAGTAATTTACCCCATGAGCCTTTTGCAGGACTAGGATCTGAACTCAGAAAGTCTAGCTCCAGAGCTCACAGCTTTAACTGCTTCACTCTATTGCCTCCCATATGACTGTTCACAAGTGATAATAAGTGATAGGGTCATCAAACCATGACAAAAAATAAATATGATGATTGGATATCAGTTCAATATTTGCTTATATACAAATCCAACTGATTTTTAAATTGCTCACAGATGGCTTATATAAATTTATTTTTCTGAATACTTCATTTTGGATTTCTAATTCTACACACTGTAGATTGCACATGTTTTGATAGAATAAGGACAATTATAAGAGTTAATATCACGTAGCTAAAGCTTAATGCTTCAATAAGGAACAAAGTCAACTCTTTGACAAGGAGTTTCAGTTCTGTCAAATGAAAATGTAAGATAGGGTTTTTCTTAAGTAATATTATATATATATATATATGTCTGTGTATACATCATGAGTATATACAAGCATATACATATTTATATATAAATAGATATATACAGATATATACACACAGAGATGTAATTTCCATTACCCTTTTATATAAATAGACTACATTTGAAAAATGAGAAACAAGTTCTAATGATTTCAGTTGAATATGCTTTTCCTCAAAATATCGCACAGAAATAGTTATACTGCATATAAAAGCCCTATAGACAAATTCCAATCGAAAGAACTAAAATTTTCACATTTAATTAACTCTGCTATTCCTATAACACAAAAGTTTTACAAATAAATAAATAGGTATAAATAAAATAAAATGCAAATTAATGTAATTATAATATTTGGAATTTATTAAGAGAGAGTATTGGGTGCTATAAGTGGCTGTATCACTGTAAGAAAAAAGGCAAAAAAATATGATGCTTGTTCTGACTAGTTATCTAATAAGCATTAGTAATTAGGATAAGAAACTGCATCAAAATGCAAACTGTGTGTCTACCTTCCTGCAGCGATTCTACTATGCAGGACTTACATGTAGAAATTTGCTCAAGTACAAAAAGGTATATGTGCATGTATGTTACATGTACATGTGCTGTTGTAGCACTGCTTTAATAGTACCATATTGGAAAGATTACCAAATTATGTTTCATTTTGATGCTAATTATGTAAATAAACTATGTAAGAAATTTAAATGGCATACAATATAGTAAAAATAATGTTACATGTCTGCATACAGGGAATCAGAAAGATATCCACAATATATTCATCACAAGGAAAAAATCAAAGTACAGAATAATATGTATTTTTTGAACCTATTTATATAACAATCTACTCATGAATCTAAATGTTTATAGATGGATAGGGCAATAACTGGGAAAGATATGTTAGAAGTGATCTAGTTTGAATACTAGAATGTTAGGTAATTTTTACATCTCCATACTCCTCTCACATTTGTGCTTACATTGATCATATAATTGAGTATTTTTATTTAGTAAATATGATGTAAAACTTCTTTTGAAAGATGCAAAACTTTGATTTTTTTGTGCCTGAAGTGAAATTGTATTGATTTTGATACAGGGAGAAAAGAACAAACGTCTCTTAAGTAGCTATTCTGTGCTTAGGTACTAGCCCATGATCATTTCATATGCTATCACAGTCAGACTTCACATCAATATTCTGAGAAGTGGAGGATTACACCTACATTAAAATGAGGAAATTAATGCTAAGAGAACTCCAGTAAATTAGTCAAGTTCACACAGCTGGTAAGTAGGCAAAGATACCAAAATTCAAACCCAAGTTACATTCTCTTACCAATATACCACACAGAGAAGGAAATATATAAAACCGAACTAAACCTAATCATAAAGCTGTTTTTTTCTATCACTTGATTTGTTTGTTTTTTATTTCAGCTTACCAATTATTCTGAAAGACTATGAAGAAATGTATATGGTTACTGTAAGTTAAGATTTTTAAATATTATATGCAATAATAATAATAACCAGCACTTATTAACCAGGTCTTTTTCAGAACACTTATACGTTTTAACTCGTTAATTTTTACAACCAGCTTATGAGTTATGTATTATGTATAATAACTATTCGTGCTGCATATTAAGGAAACTGTGGCATAGAGTGGTTAAGTAACCCACCAGGTCACACAGAAAGGAAGTATTAAAGCCAGGATTCCATCCCAAGTAGTTAAACGTCATAGCCTGCACTCATAACCCTGTGCTCAATTCATACAACCAGGTAAGTTCTGACCCTTTGGCAGGAGTCATTTTTAAGAGCTATGTGTTTATCTCATTATGCTACCATTGTTCAAAATAAGTTTAAAATATCTCTTTAGAAATGACCCTCAGGGAGCTGGGTGGCGTGGCAAGTACCTGTAGTCCCAGCTCCTCTGGAGGCTGAGATGGGAGGACTGCTTGAGGCCAGGAGTCGAAGTCCAGCCTGAGCAAAATAGAGAGACACCATATCTAAAACAAACAAACAAATCAAAAGAGAAATGACCTTCAGGGTTATTTTACTAGCTGCATAATGTCTCCTGGGTATATACAGGGTCTTTTGTGCAGACTGATGATTTGGAGTTCTTTCTTACTTCTCCTTTCCATTATATGCAATAATGATAATAATAACCAGCACTTATTAACCAGGTATTTTTCAGAACACTTATACGTTTTAACTCGTTAATTTTTACAACCAGCTTATGAGTTATGTATTATGTATAATAACTATTCATGCTGCATATTAAGGAAACTGTGGCATAGAGTGGTTAAGTAACCCACCAGGTCTCACATAATATATAAGAGTGAAAGCACCATGGGTAGAGGTAATCTGCTGTTGCTGCTGGCTTTTCACCGCTAGTCCGTGGATGTATGGGCTGAGCAGGGGGGAAGGAACCTCACATGCAAAGTCAGAAAATAATAGGCCTGAGGTTAGTTCATTTGCCCACTGCCTGCTAGCCTACTGAGTCATCATGTGTGACCTGGGAAGAATGAAAACTGTAGAATGTCACAAATTGAAGACTACCTATGACCAAGCAGAAAATACCAATTTACATGTGAAAAGATTATCCTCTGTTGACACTTCAAAACAAGACAGTAATTGTTCCGCTAAAGACTGTGTGCACTTAGGAGGCATTAGCAGCCATTAATAAGTAACACTCTCCTTGTATTTCTCCTGTACACTGAAATTTCACACCAGGAAGCAACACTTAGCTCCTTCAAATAAATTCCCATCTAATTTGGAACTTAGACCAATAAATATTTAGACTGTATATTTTAGGATAAATGTAAAGAAGATTTTAGGACATACATATTATAATTCTGTGTAATGCTCATATATTAAAGTCACAAAAGGTAAAAAAAAATAATAAAACAATTTTAGATTTCTGAGTTTAAAAAATGTATAAGCCCTACCTTATCAGTGGTTTTACTTTCAGTGATTTCTATTACTTGCAGTAGAGTACAAGATATTTTGAAAGTGACCACATTCTCATAACTTGTATTATAGTATATTATTATAATTGTTCTATTTTACATTATTTAATGTTGATCTCTTACCATGCCTAATTTATAATTTATAAATTAAACATTTTATAGGTATGTATGGATAGGAAAAAACACTATATATATATTATATATATTTATATATATATATAAATATATATAATATATATATAGGGTTTTCTACTATCTGTGGTTTCAGACATCCACTGGGCTCTTGGAATAAATGCCCCATTGGTAAGTGGACACCACTGTACTCTAAATGAATCATTAAGTCATATTTGATGTTTTCATATGACAACAATATTGAAATCTGTAATAAAAATTTTCTATACATACTGATAGCCACAAAAGGACATATCTCCAGAATGAACTCCTATCAGAAAAAGACATTCTCAAATGCATTTCCCTTTAGTATTAATCTAGTAAGTACTCATGGTGTCCTGCTGTGCCTAGTGGGCTGGAAGCCAGGGCTGACTTCTCTAGGGGGAGTGAAAGAAGTATGGGCAATTTTTGACACTCTGTAGATTGGACCATGGGACTCAAAACACCAGAAGCTTGCCTAGGGATGCAAAATTAAAATGAAGGAAGCAATTACAGAACTGCAGAAAAAGTATGTAATTAACCTTAGTACTCCTTCTCTCCATTTGACTTATTACCCAAATGGTTAGCCAGATTGAGCTAATGTTATTTTAACCAGAAATGTTGAATATATCAATCCTATAGCATGACTAAAAATCTATTCTTTTCTTAAAGGCATTACAAATCATTTTCTGATTAATGAATTTTTTAAAGGGTAATATAAAGGAATTTGCCAAACTCACTACATTCTGATGAACTAACTAGTATAAAAATTATTAGATCAGAGGAAAAAAAAGTCAAATGATTTCATTTATCATCTGCTTTATATATAAAGCTTACTTCTTTCTGCATACATATATATGAGTGTGTGTGTGTGTTTGTGTTTAGACAAGGTCATGTGTCTCGTAACAATGAAGGTATCTTCTGAGAAATGCACAAACCTACATGCTATAACTTACAACACACCAAGGCTATACGGTATGGCCTATGGCCCTTAGGCTGCAAATCTATATAGCATATTACTATACTGAATCCTGCAGGCAACTGTAACACAATGGTATTTGTTTGTCTAATCATAGACGGGGGAGACTGGCCAAGATGGCCCATTAGAAGAAGCCAGTGTGTGCTGCTCTCACAGAAAGAAATAGAAGGGGTAAGTAAATACAGCAGCTTCAACTGAAACATCCAGGTACACACACTGGGATTCATCAAGAACACAATCCAACCCAAGGAGAATGGAGAAAAGCAAGGCAGGATGACTGCCCACGTGAGAGAGACACAGAGCCAGGGGGGCTTCCCTACCCAGGGAAGCAATGAGTGAGTGACCAAGTGACCCTGGGGACCCATGCTTCTCCCATTGATCTTTGCAACCCTCAGGTCAGGAGATCCCCACATGAACCCAATCCACTAGGGCCTGCAGCCTGACACAAAGACATACATGGTGTCTTGGCAGAGCAGCCACTCAGGCACAAGCACAGCCCTGGGAGCTATAGATACCCAAACTTCCTGGCAAAAGCAGTCACAGCTCTGGCAAAGTGGGAGGTTAGACACCAAAGGGGCTGAATCCAGGAGGCTGAGTGCTTACAGTCTGCAGGCCCTGCTTCTACGGCACTGCTCAGGATAAGACCCCCTGGCTTGGAACTCCAGCCAGCCACCAGTAGCAGCATTACACCTCCCTGAGATGGAGCACCCAGAGGAAGAGGTGAGCTGCTATCTCTGTGGTTTTGCAGCCTTAGCTATTGTTGCCTTCAGTGAAGCTACCCTATGGAAAAGTGTCCAGACTTCTTTTTTATGTGGGTTCCTGACCCTGCTTCTCCTCACTGGCTGGGACCTCCCAACTTGGGTCACCAACTACCCTCACCAGTGTTTTCCAGCTGGCAATGGTTCTGAGCCTCCTTGGGACAGAGGTCCCAGGGGGAGGGACTGGCCACCATCTTTGCTGATTCACAGCCTTAGCTATTGTTACCTTCATGCTCTAGGGATTCCAAAGAGACTAGGGACTGAAGCAGTCCCCTGGCACAGCAGCTCTATGGAGAAGTGGCCAGACAGCTTTTTCACACAAGTCCTTGATTCCATTTTACTTCACTGGGTGACATCTCCCAACCAAGGTCTGAAACTACCCCTATTGGTGTGTTCAGGCTGGCAACAGGTCTGTACCTCCCTGGGATGGAGCTGTCAGAGGGAAGGGCAGGCCGACATTGTTGCTGTTTTACAGCCTTCACTGCACAGGTGCTGGAGAATTCAAGGTGACTAGAGACTGGAGCAGACTCCCAGCATACTGAACAGTCCTACAGAAAAGTGGCCAAACTCTTTGTTATGTGGGTCCCCAATCTCATATCTCCTTATTGGCAGGTCCTCCCAGCCTGGGTCTGCAGCCACACTCACCATGGCTATGGAGCCAGTAACATCTCTGCAACTCCCTGAGACAGAGCTCACAGTAGGAGGGGCGGGTTTCCATCTTTGCTGTCTTACAGCCTTTGCCCTTGCTGTCTTGACTCTGGAGAATCCAAGGGGACCAGGGACTTGTCCAGACTCCCAGCACAGGCCCACCTCATGGAAAAGTGACCAGTCTGTTCTCCGCACAGTTCCCTTTCCCCATTTCTCCTCATTGGTCAGGGCCACCTGACCTGAGACTGAAGCACAACCACCCTGCTCCCACCTGAACACTTCAATCAGAGTGAGCCCAGCAGTTAAAAGAACGCTCACATGCAGAGATGAGAAAGAACCAACACCAGAATGCCAGCAACTCAAATGGGCAGAGTGTCTTATGTCCTTCAAACAACATCAGTTCAACAACAGGTTTCTTAACCAGGCTAAGTTAGCTGAAATGAGAGAAATAGATTTCAGAATATGGATAGGAACAAAAATCATTGAGGTTCAGAACAGCAAAATCCAATCCGAGGAAACTAAGAACCACAATAAAATGATACAGGAGCTGACAGATAAAATAGCCAGTATGAAAAAGAACCTAACTGATCTAATAGAGCTGAAAAAATATTTCACAGTGTAATCACAAGTATTAACAGCAGAAGAGACCAAGCTGAGGAAAGTGTCTCAGAGCGTGAAGACTAGTTCTCTGAAATTGACAGCTAGACAAAGATAAAGAAAAACAAATAAAAAGGAATTTTTAAAAACTTTGAGAAATATGGGATTATGTAACAAGGCCAAATCTACAAAACACTGGCATCCCTGAAAGGAACAGAGAGAAAGCAAACAAATTGAACAACATATTTTAGGATATCCTCCATGAAAACTTCCTCAACCTCACTAGAGACCAATAGTCAAATTCAGGAAATAGAGTGAACCCTTGATGTATTCTACAAAAGACGATCATCTCCAAATCACATAATCATTGGGTATTTCAAGGTCAAAATGAAAAAAGAATGTTAAAGGCAGCTAGAGAGAAAGGGCAGGTCACCGACAAAGAGAATCCTGTCAGTCTAACAACGGACGTCTCAGCAGCAAACCCAGAAGCCAGAAAAAATTGTGGGCCTATATTCAACATTTTTCAAGAAAAAAATCTTCAACCAAGAACGTCATATCTGGCCAAACTAAGCTTCCTCAGTGAAGGAGAAATAAGATCCTTTTCAGATAAGCAAATTCTGAGAGAATTCATTACCATCAGAGTGCCTTACAAAATATCTTAAAAGGAGCACTAAATACAGAAAGGAAAAAGCATTACCAGCCAATACAAAAATACACTTAATTACCCAGACCAGTGACACTATAAAGCAGACACATAAATAAGTTTGCATAATAACCAGCTAACAATACAATGACAGGATCAAATCCACACATATCAATACTATCCTTGAATGTAAATGGGTTAAAGGCCCCATTTAAAAGGCACAGAGTGGCAAGCTGGATAAAAAAGCAAGACTGAATGGTAAGCTGTCTTCAAGAGACCCATCTCACACACAATGACACCCATAGGCTCAAAATAAAGGTATGTTGGAAAATTTATCAAGCATATGGAAATCACAAAAAAAGTAGAGGTGGCAATCCTAATTTCAGACAAAACAGACTTTAAAATAACAAAGTTCAAAAAAGACAAAGAAGGGTGTGACATAATTGTAAAGGTTTTAATTCAACAAGAAGATGTAACTATCCTAAATATACATGCGTCCAACACAGGAGCACGCAGATTGATAAAGCAAGTTCTTAGAGACCTACAAAGAGACTTAGACTTCCACATAATAATTGTGGAAGACTTCAACACTCCACTAATAGTGTTAAACAGACCATTAAGGCAGAAAACTAACAAAGATATTCAGGACTTGAACTCAACGTTGGACCAAATGGAAATGACCTCTACAGAACTCTCTACTTTAAAATAACAGAAAATACATTCTTCTAATCACCACATGGCACATACTTTAAGATCAACCACACAATCAGACATAAAAACATCCTCAGCAAATTAAAAAATAAATATATATACACACACACACACATATATATATATACACCAAACACATTCTCAGACCACAGCACAATAAAAATAGAAATCGAGACTAAAAACAATTACTCAAAACCATACAATTATACGGAAATTAAGCAACCTACTCCTGAATGAGTCTTGAGTAAATAATGAAATTAAGGCAGAAATCAAGAAATACTTTGAAACTAATGAGAACAAAGACACAACATACCAGAGTCTCTGGGACACAGCTAAAACAGTGTTAAAAGGGAAATTTATAGCTCTAAATGCCTACAACGAAAAGTTTTAAAGACCTCAAATTAACAACCTAACATCACAGCTAAAAAAAAAAAAAAAAAAAAAAAAATAGATAAGCAAGAGGATACCAACCCCAAAGCTAGCAGAAGACAGGAAACAAACAAATTCAGAGCTGAACTAAAGGAGATTGAGACACGAAAAGCCATTGCAAAGATCAATGAATCCAAGAGTTGTTTTTTGAAAACATTAATAAGATATATAGGCCATTAGCTAGACTAGTAAAGCAGAAAAAAAGAGAAGATTCAAATAAACAGAGTTATAAACAACAAAGGGGCTGTTAACTCTGACCCCCACAAACAGTGTAGCATAAATTAAGAACAACAACAACAAAACCGTCAGAGACTACCATAAACAGCTTTATGCACATAAACTAGAAAATCTAGAAGAAATGGATAAATTTCTAGACACATACACTCTCCCAAGGCTGAACCAGGAAGATATTGAATACTTAAAGAGACCAATAACGAGCTCCAAAATAGAATCAGTAATAAATAGCCAACCAACCGAAGAAAAACCAGAAACAAATGGAGTCACAGCCAAATTCCACTAGATGTACAAAGAATAGTGGATAATATTCCTATTGAAATTATTCCAAAAACTGAGGAGAAGGGATTCCTTCCTAACTCACTCTATGAGACAAGCATCATCCTGATACCAAAACCTTGCAGAAAGACAGCCAAAACAGAAAACTTTAGGCCAATATCCTGATGAACACTGATGCAAAAAATCCTCAACAAAATACTTGCAAACCAAATCCAGCAGTGCATCAAAAAGCGAATTCACCACAATCAAGTCGGCTTTTTTCCATGGGATGCAAGGTTGGTTCAACATATGCAAATCAATAAATGTAATTCATCACATAAACAGAACTGGAGAGAAAAAAAACCCACTTGATTATCTCAATAGATACAAAAAAGACATTCAATAAAATTCAACATCTTTTCATGGTAAAAACTCAGTAAACTAGGAATTGATGGAACTTACTTGAAAATAATAAGAGCCATCTATGACAAAACCACAGCCAACATCAACTGAATGGGCAAAAGCTGGAAGCATTTCCTTTGAAAACCAAGAGAAGACAAGAATGCCCTCTCTCGCCACTCCTATTCAACATACCATTGGGTGACTTGGCCAGAGCAATCAGTCAAGAGAAAGACATAAAGAGCATCCTAATAGAAAGAGAGGAAGTCAAACTATCCCTGTTTGCAGATGGCGTTGTTCTATATCTAACAAACTCCATGATCTCAGCCCAAAAGATCCTGTAACTGACAAACAACTTTAGCAAAGTTTCAGGATACAAAATCAATGTACAAAAAACACTGGCATTCCTATATACCAACAACAGCAAGGCCAAGAGCCAAAGTAGAAACACAATCCCATTCACAATAGCCACAGAAGGAATAAAATACCTAGGAATACAGCTAACCAGGGAGATGAAAGATTTATACAATGAGAATTACAAAACACTGCTCAAAGAAGTCCGAGATGACACAAACAAATGGAACAACATTCCATGTTCGTGGATAGAAAGAATCAATATCATTACAAGGGCCAGACTGCCCAAAGCAATGTACAGAGTCACTGCTATTACTGCCAAACTACCAATGACATTATTCACATACTAGAAAAAAAAAACTGTTTTAAAATTCATATGGAACCAAAAAAGAGCCTTAATAGCAAAGGAAATCTTAAGCAAAAAGAGCAAAGCTGGAGATAACACATTACCCAATGTCCACCTGTACTACAGGGCTACAGTAACCAAAACTGCATGGTGCTGATACAAAAACAGACACATAGACCAGTGGAATGAAATTAAGAGCCCAGACATATGGCCCCAGACCTATAACCATCTGATCTTCAACAAAGCTGACCAAAAGAAGAAACAGGGAAAAGACTCCCTGTTCAATAAATGGTGCTGGATAAGTGGCTGGTCACATGCAGAAGATTGAAACTGGACCCCCCCCTTACACCATATACAAAAATCAATTCAAGATGGATTAAAGACTTAAATGTGAAACCCAAAAGTGTAAGAACCTTGGAAGACCACCACCTACGCAATGCCATTTTCGGCAAAGGAACTGGCAAAGATTTCATGAAGATGCCAAAAGCAATCACAACGAAAGCAAAAATTGACAAATGGGATCTAATTAAACTAAAGAGCTTTTTAACAGCAGAAGAAACTATCAAAGGTTACACTGACAGTGTACAGAAGAGGATAAAGTATTTGTAAACTATGCATCTGATGAAGGTCTAATATGCAGTATCTATAAGGAATTTAAATTTACAGGTTTGATGCTAGGAGGTTGAGGCTGCAGTGAGCTATGATCATGCAACTGCACTCCACCCACCAGCCTGGGCAACAAACAAAAGACCCTATCTCTAAAAACATAATAATAACAATTTTTTTCAAAATACAGTACTATAATCTTGTGATACCATGATTGTACACACCCACACATATATGTATGTATGTGTGTGTGTGTATACATATACACACTACTATTGTCTGAATGTTTGTGTCTCCCCAAAATTTCTATGTTGGAATCCTAATCCCCATGGAGATTGTGTTAGGAGAATAGGAGGTGGGGCTTTGGGGAAATAATTAAGTAATGAATTGGGGAAATTATTAAGTCATGATGGTGGAGCACTTATAATTGCGATTAGTGCCCTTTCAAAAGAGGTCACAGAGAGCTAGCTAGCTACCTTCCACTATGGGAGGAGACGATAAGAAGGTGTTATGTATGACAAAATGGGCCCTAGCCAAACATTGAGTCAGCCAGTACCTTTATTTCAGATCACCAGGCCTCTAGAACTACAAGAAATAAATTTATGTTATTTATGAGCTACCTAGTATACCATTGAGGCTAGTATTTGTTATAGCAGCCTGAATGGGCTAAGATATATAAGATATATATCTATATCTACATATTGATATACATACATATATATATATATGTATATATATATGTATGTATATCCTTGAATAGTAGGAACCATATCTTACTCATGATTGCATCTTCCAAGGTCTACTTAGTATAATATAATGTTTGATTAACTGAATTAAATTGATTTCCCTTTGATTATGCTCATTTTCACATACTCCATTGAGCTTCACTTCAGTCCAATGTGATTAGTCAGGTAACCTCTGTGTTCCTGATCCTGTGCTGGACCATGCTGTGGTGGGGAAAAGAAGGGTGACTTCATAAAAAGCACATTACTCCAAAATATGGTGCCTTGACATGTTGACTATTTTATGCTAAAGGAATTTGGGAAGTAGCAGGTGCAGGAATGACTCTCTGGCCTCCCCACTCCTCCCCTGAAGCAGGTCATGAGACTCTCTTGTGAGAGGTGCCCTTTCTATACCTGTAGAAAAGGAACGTCCTTATTTCCAAAAATAGACACCCATCAAGAGGAATCTGAACATACAGGCCTTGCTAAGTTTTCCCCAATTTATTGCTCTTAGCTTATACCCTTTTTTCCTGTCACATTTTCCTGCAACTTTCCACTTTTCATCAAATCTAGTATAAAAACGCTTGGACTTAATTGTTTCTTTTAGTCTTCATTTCCTTATGAAGACTCCAGTGTCATGTAAAAATTATATTAAATAAATTTGTATGTTTTCCTTTTATTCACCCATCTTTTGTTAAACTAATTTATACAGTCTCAGTCAGGGAACCTAGGAATGTAAAAGACAAGATATTTTTCCTTTTCTACAGGGGTTAGGAGAGGACAAAGTAACTGTCCCTAAAAAGTACAGCATGTGAATTATGTAACCTAGTCAAACACAGAGAAGTCAGAGAACCACAAAAGTCAATGTGCCAGGATTGAGGAAAACTGTAAACAGAAGAATATCGATCATTAAGAGGCACAGGTTCCAGCCCTAGATTTGCCACTAAACAGCTGTAGGAGAGCTTTGAGTTACTAGCTTGTCCTCTCAAGATCTCACTTCCCATCTCCCAAAAACATATATGAGCAAACCCATGAACCTCTAAATTGGGCAAGTTTTTCTGAATCATATCTGCTTCATATGTATATTTATCTAGCAACAATACCTGCACTAGACGCACTAGTTAGATGCTTAACTGCAAGCAATAAAAATTAACACTTAATGATTTGAGTTGAAAAAAAGAAAAAGAAATTTAAGTGAATGCTTTGGGCACCTGACAGAGTAAGTCACCAACAGGCCGAGAAGACCTAAATAAGAAAATGGGCAAAAAACAGAAAGAAAGAAAAGACTATGACAGATGAACCACAGCTCAAATAATGCCACAGAACCTGCTGCTACTACTGACCCTGGAATTCCATGGCTTGTATGACTGTGCGCCTTCAGTGGGGGCAGAACAGTGCTGCTGACTCTGAGAGTGCTGCGGGTGCTGCCGCTCCCACTGCAAGAGGCTTCTCCACTGGCCCAATTTCTTGGAAGATGGAGCCCCACAAAGGGGCCAAGCCTAGGTCAGAGTCCACAGGAGCTGTAAATCTGGTGGGAGGTTATTTATTGGGAAGTATACACTTCCTTCTCCATCCAGCGCCTCAACTTAATGATAGAAAATTATCCAAACACAGAAGACAGTTCTTGTCCTGGGAAGACAATAAAATGAGCCTCATTCAAACATGAAGAACTCAACTTAATTTCTCACACTTACCCACACAAAGAACATCATTCAGATATGGTGGAGTATTTGAGCCAACTTTAAATGAATGTTGAGTACAAAACCATATTCTTAGCACATTGCAATGTGATTCTTTTTGTTCCATCAGAACAATGTATGCATAATTTTCTCATCAATACATTTCACATTTTAGTGTGGTTAGTAATGTATTCTGTCTTACCCCAACAAGACTATGTGTTGGTACACACCTTATTCTTCTTTGTGTTCTTGCCAAATTTTAGCGATAACATACATATTTTGCTTTGTGTGGTTTTGTTTATGGGAGATTTTAGAAAAAAAATGTATTTAAAGGATATATAATAGTCAGTTTAATTTTGTTAATGGGTAAAGAATTTATGAAATCAATAAGAAAATTACCAATACTTCAATAAATAATATAGCAAAGGACAAACACGGGCACTTCACCAATAAAGAAATATAACTGAATAAAAAAATGGGAAAATGTCAATAATAAAAGAAATAGAAAATAACATGAAAACCTTTTTTACTTTCAAATTTGCAAAAATTTTCCAACTCATAATATATAGCATTTATAATATACAATATAATATTGGTCAAGGATTAAGAGAAAGTAGCAGTTTCATATATTTTACAGGGGCATACATTTATAATATTTAAGACAAAATTTCTAATATATATTCATATAGTCTGGCTGTGTCCCTAACCAACTCTCATCTTCAATTGTATCTCCGAGAACTCCCACATCCTGTGGGAGGGACCCATGGTTGGGGCGGGGGAGGGGGGGTAATTGAATCATGGGGGCAAGTCTTTCCTCTGCTATTCTCATGATAGTGAATAAGTCTCACGAGATCTGATGGGTTTATCAGTGTTTCAACTTTTGCTTTTTCCTCATTTTTCTCTTGCAGCTGCCATGTAAGAGTGCCTTTCACCTTCCACCATGATTCTGAGGCATCCCCAGCCATGTGCAACTGTAAGCCCAATTAAACCTCTTTTTCTTCTCAGTCTTGGGTATATCTTTATCAGCAGCATGAAAATGGGCTTATACAGTAAATAGGTACCAGTAGGGTGGGGCGTTGCTGAAAAGATTCCCAAAAATGTGGAAGTGACTTTGGAGCTGGGCAACAGGCAGAGGTTGGAACAGTTTGGAGGGCTCAGAAGAAGACAGAAAAATGTGGGAAAGTTTGGAACCTCCTAGAGACTTGTTGAATGGCTTTGACAAAAATGCTGATAATGATATGAACAATAAGGTCCAAGCTGAGGTGGTCTCAGATGGTGATGAGGAACTTGGTGGGAACTGGATCAAAGGTGACTCTTGTTGTTTTAGCAAAAAGACTGGCAGAATTTTGCCCCTGCCCTAGAGATTTGTGGAAATTTGAACTTGAGAGAGATGATTTAGGGTATCTGGCGGAATAAATTTCTAAGTAGCAAAGCATTCATAAGGTGACTTGGGTGCTTGTTAAAAGCGTTACATTTTAAAAGGGAAGCAGGACATCAAAGTTCAGAAACTTTGCAGCCTGATGATGCAGTAGAAAAGAAAAACCCATTTTTTGAGGAGGAATTCAAGCCAGCTGCAGAAATTTGCATAAGTAGCAAGGAGCCTAATATTAATTCCCACGATCATGAGGAAAATGTCTCTAGGCCATGTCAGAGACCTCCATGGCAGCCCCTCCCATCACAGACCCAGAGGCCCAAGAGGAAAAAGTGGTTTCATGAGCTGGGCCCAAGGTCCCCATGCTGTTTGCAGCCTAGGGACATGGTGTCCTATGTCCCAGCCACTCCAGCTGTGACTGAAAGGGACCAACATAGAGCTCAGACTGTGGCTTCAGAGGGTGGAGGCCCCAAGCGTTGGCAACTTCCACATGGTGTTGAGCCTGCAGAGGTGCATGGAAGTCAAGAATTGAGGTTTGGGAACCTCCTCCTAGATTTCAAAATATGTATGGAAACACCTGGATTCCCAGGCAAAAGTTTGCTGCAAGGGGGGAGCCCTCATGGAGAACCTCTGCTAGGGCAGTGCCAAAGGGAAATGTGGGGTCAGACCCCCCACACAGAATCCCTACTGGGGCACTGCTTAGTGGAGGTTTGAGATGAAGGCCATCATCCTCCAGATCCCAGAAAGGTACATCCATTAGCAGCTTGCACTGTGCACCTGGAAAAGCCACAGACATTCAATGCCAGCTCAGGAAAGCAGCCAGGAGGGAAGCTGTACCCTGCAAAGCCAGAGGGACAGAGCTGCCCAAAACCATGGGGACGCACCTCTTGCATCAGCATGACCTGGATGTGAAACCTGGAGTCAAAGGAGATCATTTTGGAGCTTTAAAACTTGACTGCCCCTCTGGATTTCGGACTTGCATGGGCCCTGTAACCCCTTTGTTTTGGCCAATTTCTCTCATTTGGAACAACTGTATTTACCCAACACCTGTATCCCCATTGTATCTAGGAAGTAACTAGCTTGCTTTTGATTTTACAGGCTCATAGGCAGAAGGGACTTGCTTTGTCTCAGATGAGACTTTGGACTTTTGACTTTTGGATTGTTGCTGAATGAGTTGACTTTGGGAGATTGTTGGGAGGCATGATTGTTTTTGAAATGTGGGGACATGAGATTCAGAGAGGCCAGGGGTGGAATGATGCAGTTTGGCTGTGTCCCCACCCAAATCTCAACTTGAATTTTATCTCCCAGAATTCCCACATGTTGTGGGAGGGACCCAGGAGGAAGTAATGGAATAATGGGGGCCAGTCTTTCCTGTGTTATTCTCATGATTGTGAATAAGTCTCACAAGATCTGATGGGTTTAACAGGGATTTCTGCTTTTGCTTCTTCCTCATTTTTCTCTTGCAGCCGCCAAGTAAGAAGTGCCTTTCACTTCCTGCCATGATTCTGAGGCCTCCCCAGCCATGTGGAACTGTAAGGCCAATTAAACCTCTTTTTCTTCCCAGTCTCAGGTATATCTTTATCAGCAGCATGAAAATGGACTAATACATATACCATGAGTCTTACAATTTTAATATCTATTGACTTGGAAATAACCTTTCCAATTATTTATGCCAACAGAAAATGCAGAATAAAACATTAAAATATTCACTAGAGCATCATTTATCATAATATAATATTAAGATAGAAATATTGACTTATAATGGTATTATGCCACCATTGAAAATGATGCTTCTGAAACATTCATACTGACATGGAAAATGTTGCCACATGTATTTTGTATAGGCAGGCATTGCAACAAATGGCACTTCTTACGATTTGTTCTTTACATGTCTGTCTCTTTCATGAAACCACAGTCTCTTCAAAGTCTAGTATCTTATGCTATTTATCTTTTAATCAATAGTACCTAGAACATTGTTACCTAATTTCAGTGCCATATATTATTAAATAATAAAATAAATAAATAAATAAATAAATAAGTGAGCAAATAAATACGTATATATCTTATTTACAAAACTGTTTCCCTGAATCGTCTCTACGTCTGTTACTTGGTATATTTTGTGACATATAACATTGCAATAGAAGACAATTAATATTATGCAGAACCTATGCTCTAAAATCCTTTTGGAAATTCAGTGCCTCATTTGAGTAAAAAGCATTCTTTTTCTCTTTTATTCAGAAGGTATAAAGCTAGATACCACGAGTCCCTGATAAGCTACAATACTGACTGGATTTTTAAAGGGCCTCTATAATATAAGCGAACAGGTCATTTCCAAAGTCCTTGGACCATATGATAAAAATTACACACACACACACACACACACACACACACACAAACAACAACAACAACAACACCTGTCAAGCTATCAGTGCCTGCCTCTCATGAACCCCTAGCTCATTCCTACTAGCTCTGAATATTGTCTGCAGAGGATGCCAGAGAATGAAGAATTGCCAAGCCTGTAAAGTGAGCACTGACACTGACGACTTTCAGATATAAAGGAATGTTCGATGGCACCCACTGGAATTACGTTCATGTGTGTTGTACCAGTTGTTTAATCTTCAGATCAGGCAAATGATAATACCAAATAAACGAGGTCAATTGCCAGAATAAGCATGTGTTTCCAAGACCACATAATGACTAGGACATGTGTTGGTATCAAGAAATTTTCATTGAAAATGTAATCATTCTCAGACTCTCAAAAATAACTAAAATACTCTGACCCCCATAGGTAGCACAGGGATTTACCTACATATTATATCAATTATTCATGAAATGTTTTATTCATAAAGAGTTTGTTCCAAGGTTATTTATAGATATAAATAGGAAAATTTCATAGAAGGCACATACCTAACTCTATCACAAGATTCTTATGTCAGACACATGGGCTCGTAATGTATAATGTTGCCTGGGTTATGAAAATAAATGGGGGTTTAAAGGGATGCAGAGTTGGAGAACTGAGTCCGGTGAGTGAAAGCATAGGCTTCAGAGTCAGAGACAGAGTTCAGCTCATTGCACTGGGCTTATTAACTGAAAGTCCTCAGTTATTTAATCACTCTTGTTGCTGTTTACTCACTTATAGATAGCAATGATGACAATGATGAGGATGATAATGCTTATCTCATAGATGCATTGTGAGAATTAAATGAGCTTCAAGCACTTGGCACATTTTGTAGCTTGTGCCAAATACTGGTAAAGACAATTTAATTAGGTAAAATTACAAGAGCATATTAAATGGTTAGTTTTGTATGTCAACTTGACTGGGCTAAGGGATACCCAGGTAGCTGGTAAATCATTTCTGGGCATGTCTGTGAGTGTGTTTCTAGAATAAATTAGTATTTGAGTCAGTAGACTGAGTAAAGACTATCGCCCTCATCAATGTGAGCAGGCATCATCCAATCCAATCCATTGAGGGCCTTAATAGAATAAAAGGTGAAGAAAGGGTAAATTCTCCCCTTTCTTGAGCTAGGGCCTCCATCTTCTCCCATCCTCAGACATCAGAGTTCTTGGTTCTCTGGCCTTCAGACTCTGGGAATTGTATCTGCAGCCTACCCATACATACTCCTTCTTCTTTCAACTTTTGGCTTCAGAATGAATTACACCACCAGCTTTCTTGGTTCTCCAGCTTCTAGACAGTATATCATGGGACTTCTAGGCCTCCATAATCACATGAGCTAATTCCCATAATAAATTTCCTCTTCTATATTTATCTATATTCTACTAGTTCTACTTCTTAAGAAAACCCAGACCGATAATACACAGTGAGTTGGTTATTATTAATATGTCAATAGCACCTGATCACAATAGAAAAGACTTGCCAAACTGAAAAGTAAAATGGGTTTATTTATATATTATTTTTCTGATACAGCCTCATTAAGAGATCAGGGAGCTTTACTTAACACAAATTGCCAGCAAGTTAAAGTTAAGAAGAATAAGTACTAAGAATCTCAGGATTATCTTTCAAAATGCTAATCATCATAGAAATATCACAATGTAAGTGAAAGAGAAAATTTTCTTCCAGGGCACTCAGGTCTGGTTACTTGCTTATCATGGGGGAAGAGAGAAAGGCAGTAGTTCAAGTGGTCCTTCGAATTCATTCCCAGTAAACGTCAGGCACCAGAGAGAAAAGTAGAAATAGGACACAGCTGTAGGGTGTCTTCAAGACATAAGAATAAGATCCTAAACAACAATCAGCAAGGAATGGTGAATTATTACAATATGTGTTTTGCCTAGAGTCCTAAATAGAAATTCTAACCAGAATTCCATATATCATGGTAATAAATCTCAGAAAACATAATTTTTGTAAAAACATCATGACAAAAGACATCTCAAAAGTTTTTAGTGACCTTACAAACATTATTAAAATAAACTTCCCTGACATTTAAGTTCAATTTTCCTAAATATAGCATTTTAAAGGTATTGTACCTTCAAACATTAGTTTCTTCAAACATTTTTGTTACTCCTTTAGTTTTTTATGTATTTATTTTTATTCTTTAGTTTTTTGCAAACACATGAAATGGAGAGGATAAGTTACTTCTTAATGTGGTAGCATTTTGTCACACTTTATATACTGCTAGAAATTGCTAAAATCTATCCCCAGCTTTTGTGAAAGACCACTTTTCTCATAATGCCATGACTAGGACAAGAAAGTGAAATTTTTGTTAAAATTATCATTAAGATCTATGAATAGCTGGCAAGAGAGACTGTGTAACAGAGATGCAGAGTTTGCAGTCTATACTTTAGTATCCTCATCCATAAAACAGGAATAATGTAGCATATGTTTACAAATCAAAGGCTATTCTAGGCCCTGTAAATAATTTTATTTACAGAATTAATCTATTAGGTAAATAATATTACCACCCCCATTCTGTAGATGAGAAAATTGATATAGAAAAAAGACAAGTCACATGCTTAGTAAGTAGCAGAGCCAGAATTCAAACCCAGGATTCTTAAACCTGCCTTCTTAGCCACAGTGCTATATTTTGGAGTATTACAAAGGAAATTATCAAAAGACATACTGTATACAGAGATATATAAACCTTTCAAAACATCAAAGAATTTAAAACAACTCTAAAATTAGGCATTTCAAATGATAACATTCTCCAATCTATGACAAATTTCCAATAGAAATCGACATTGTTTTTCGTAACTCTGTAATATTCTCTTGTGTTTTGAAAGAAGCTGAGATGGAAATCAGTACTGGCATAAGGATTTGTGACAAGATCAATGTGTAATTATGTCTTTGGTATAAAACTCTCCTGGGGAAAACTACTTTTAAATCTTCCTAAGAGACTTAGCTCAAGCTTATGGGTGATTGGTGATCAGTCACATTAGGAAGAGAAAGGAAGTAGTGACAAGACACAGCACACCACAGAAGCATCTTTCTGAGGAATGCCCTATTTCAGCCAATGTGGCAGGAAGTCTCAGGTCAAAAGGAGAATCAGATCATTTTTTTTCCATTTTGCTAGTGATTAAACCAGTTGAGCATAAGCTTGTAAGAAGACTCAATCTCTGCTAGCTTTTGAATGTGTAAACCCTTCAAAAAATTAATGAATCCAGGAGCTGATTTTTTGAAAGGATCAACAAAATTGATAGATCACTAGCAAAACTAATAAAGAAAAAAAGAGAGAAGAATCAAATAGACACAATAAAAAATGATGAAGGGGATATCACCACCGATCCCACAGAAATACAAACTACCATCAGAGATTACTACAAACACCTCTACACAAATAAACTAGAAAATCTAGAAGAAATGGATAAATTCCTCGACACATACACTCTCCCAAGACTAAACCAGGAAGAAGTTGAATCTCTGAATAGACCAATAACAGGAGCTGAAATTGTGGCAATAATCAATAGCTTACCAACCAAAAAGAGTCCAGGACCAGATGGATTCACAGCTGAATTCTACCAGAGGTACAAGGAGGAACTGGTACCATTCCTTCTGAAACTATTCCAATCAATAGAAAAAGAGGGAATCCTCCCTAACTCATTTTATGAGGCCAGCATCATCCTGATACCAAAGCCAGGCAGAGACACAACCAAAAAAGAGAATTTTAGACAAATATCCTTGATGAACATTGATGCAAAAATCCTCAATAAAATACTGGCAAACCGAATCCAGCAGCACATCAAAAAGCTTATCCACCATGATCAAGTGGGCTTCATCCCTGGGATGCAAGGCTGGTTCAATATATGCAAATCAATAAATGTAATCCAGCATATAAACAGAACCAAAGACAAAAACCACATGATTATCTCAATAGATGCAGAAAAGGCCTTTGACAAAATTCAACAACCCTTCATGCTAAAAACTCTCAATAAATTAGGTATTGATGGGACATATCTCAAAATAATAAGAGCTATCTATGACAAACCCACAGCCAATATCATACTGAATGGGCAAAAACTGGAAGCATTCCCTTTGAAAACTGGCACAAGACAGGGATGCCCTCTCTCACCACTCCTACTCAACATAGTGTTGGAAGTTCTGGCCAGGGCAGTTAGGCAGGAGAAGGAAATAAAAGGTATTCAATTAGGAAAAGAGGAAGTCAAATTGTCCCTGTTTGCAGACGACATGATTGTATATCTAGAAAACCCCATTGTCTCAGCCCAAAATCTCCTTAAGCTGATAAACAACTTCAGCAAAGTCTCAGGATACAAACTCAATGTACAAAAATCACAAGCATTCTTATACACCAATAACAGACAGAGAGCCAAATCATGAGTGAACTCCCATTCACAATTGCTTCAAAGAGAATAAAATACCTAGGAATCCAACTTACAAGGGACATGAAGGACCTCTTCAAGGAGAACTACAAACCACTGCTCAATGACATAAAAGAGGATACAAACAAATGGAAGAACATTCCATGCTCATGGGTAGGAAGAATCAATATCATTAAAATGGCCATACTGCCCAAGGTAATTTATAGATTCAATGCCATCCCCATCAAGCTACCAATGACTTTCTTCACAGTATTGGAAAAAACTACTTTAAAGTTCATATGGAACCAAAAAAGAGCCCGCATCGCCAAGTCAATCCTAAGCCAAAAGAACAAAGCTGGAGGCATCACATTACCTGACTTCAAACTATACTACAAGGCTACAGTAACCAAAACAGCATGGTACTGGTACCAAAACAGAGATATAGATCAATGGAACAGAACAGAGCCCTCAGAAATAACGCCGCATATCTACAACTATCTGATCTTTGACAAACCTGAGAAAAACAAGCAATGGGGAAAGGATTCCCTATTTAATAAATGGTGCTGGGAAAACTGGCTAGCCATATGTAGAAAGCTGAAACTGGATCCCTTCCTTACACCTTATACAAATGTCAATTCAAGATGGATTAAAGACTTAAACGTTAGACCTAAAACCATCAAAACCCTAGAAGAAAACCTAGGCATTACCATTCAGGACATAGGCATGGGCAAGGACTTCATGTCTAAAACACCAAAAGCAATGGCAACAAAAGCCAAAATTGACAAATGGGATCTCATTAAACTAAAGTGCTTCTGCACATCAAAAGAAACTACCATCAGAGTGAACAGGCAACTTACAAAATGGGAGAAAATTTTCGCAACCTACTCATCTGACAAAGGGCTAATATCCAGAATCTACAATGAACTCAAACAAATTTACAAGAAAAAAACAAACAACCCCATCAAAAAGTGGGCGAAGGACATGAACAGACACTTCTCAAAAGAAGACATTTATGCAGCCAAAAAACACATGAAAAAATGTTCATCATCACTGGCCATCAGAGAAATGCAAATCAAAACCACAATGAGATACCATCTCACACCAATTAGAATGGCAATCATTAAAAAGTCAGAGAACAACAGGTGCTGGAGAGGATGTGGAGAAATAGGAACACTTTTACACTGTTGGTGGGACTGTAAACTAGTTCAACCATTGTGGAAGTCAGTGCGGCGATTCCTCAGGGATCTAGAACTAGAAATACCATTTGACCCAGCCATCCCATTACTGGGTATATACCCAAGGGAATATAAATCATGCTGCTATAAAGACACATGCACATGTATGTTTATTGCGGCATTATTCACAATAGCAAAGACTTGGAACCAAGCCAAATGCCCATCAATGATAGACTGGATTAAGAAAATGTGGCACATATACACCATGGAATACTATGCAGCCACAAAAAATGATGAGTTCATGTCTTTTGTAGGGACATGGATGAAATTGGAAATCATCAATCTCAGTAAACTATTACAAGAACAAAAAACCAAACACCGCATATTCTCACTCATAGGTGGGAATGGAACAATGAGAACATATGGACACAGGAAGGGGAACATCACACTCTGGGGACTGTGGTGGGGTGGGGGGACGGGGGAGGGATAGCATTGGGAGATATACCTAATGCTAGATGAGGAGTTAGTGGGTGCAGCGCACCAGCATGGCACATGTATACATATGTAACTAACCTGCACATTGTGCACATGTACCCTAAAACTTACAGTATAATAATAAAAAAAAAGAAGACTCAATCTCGCTGAAGAATGTTTATATATTTTGTGTGTGTGTTTCAAGCTAAGAATGGATGGCATGCTGAAGATGATCTTATCAGTCATCCAATCTCTATCGGCATAACTATCTTCTACTTCAGAGGACAACAGCCTGAAAAATATAAATAGGAATCTGTTTCATTTTCAATTAGGAGTATAAATGAATACAGGAATTGAAAGCACACATGGCAATAAATGAAAATAATAGTTGGCTCAGGGGCCCCACCACATTCCTCACCATTCACAGTGATAATTTATAATGTAAATAGTGCCGTTCAGAATCGTAAAACATGGCAGCAGTGCTGGGCACTGTTCTCATCACTTATTATGTGTCAACTCTTTTAATTCTCAAATGATTCTATGAAGAAGAGAATACTGTGTACCCATTTTACGAACTTTAATAGGTCAAAGTCCTACTTTACACAATAAGCAGGGGAGCCATATTTCAAAGCAAGGCTTTCTGACCCTAGAACTTACTTGTAAACATCACTCTCTGCTGCCTCTAAGAAAAAAAATAAGGGAAACAGGGTCTAACTAGTAACAACCACACTTAACAGTATAGTCCAAGATGGACTAAAAAATAATACACGAGATATAGGCAAAAGTTTCCTCATTTCTCAGGTCAAAACGGTTCCACTTAGATTGTGGGTTTGTTTATATTTTATGTTCTAATAATATGAACCTATTAATATGAATCTCATTCCTAAGAAAAGTAATAATTAGATAAGTATATTTTAATATGACTAGAGTTTAAGCTATGCCCATCTTATTGAAAAATGCTGTTTTTTGTCTCTCTCAGACACAAGCAGTTCCAGCTGGTGTTTTTGTCGTTCCCTAACCCAGTCTTAAAGCAAGGCCCACTGAAGCTCCCACTGTCCAGAAAGAGTCCATAACCCTAAAAACAATGAGCTACTAGATTTTATTAAAGAGAGAGTGTATGGGGAGAGAAAGAAGCATTTGGCACAGAACATCATGTAACACAATGTCTTAAATATTCCATTTTTCTCTTCTCCCAAGTGTCTCTGGACTCAAAATTGAATTATTCCTTCTTCACCTACCCCTGTGAGCAACCCCAAACAGTCCTAAACCAGCTTTCCAGGAAGTAGAATTTTTCTCCAATATTAATCTCTCACTAAATTCTTACCTAGTGTATTTTATTTTATTTTATTTTATTTTATTTTATTTTATTTTATTGTTATTATTATACTTTAAGTTTTAGGATACATGTGCACAACGTGCAGGTTTGTTACATATGTATACACTCCTACCTATTATTGCATCTGTGTGTAAATGTGGTTAAGAAATTCCAATGAACAGGTAAAGACAGCAATCACACTAGAGTGTTTTGAGTAATTAACAGGAAGATGAAGAATAAGAGGAAATGACGAAAATGTAATATTAGAAAACAACACTGAATAAAGAAAACTTTTTACCCATGAAACAACCACGGAACTTAAACCAAAGCATCAACGAAAGTGTTAAATTTGGCTTAGTTAAGAGATAAAACATTTCAAAGACGAAAGAATTAGGGTTGTTTTTGTTTTAATCAGTAAAGCAAATCTATTGATTCATTAGATGTCTATTAGGTATCTAGCTCAGGCTTATATTATGAACAATTACTGCCACTCCCAACTCCAACCAGCACACGCACACACACGCACACACACACGCCAATACACCAATATATCAAGTGCATGAATCTGTCACATAATAATACAAATAGAATAATTAAATCACTACTAGTTTATGGCAGAACAACAGTACTTTCAACTGCTGGTTGGCTAAGAACAGATTTTTCCCTTGGAGAAAAATGATATTGCTTCCAGATGGAACAGAGATGTGGCCAAAAGAGTTGTCTCTCTTCCTTGGTATTATCCACAGTCTTGAAAATAGCTACATCTACAATTTATGACACAGAGTAGAGGCACAACAATTTCTATTCACTTCAAATAAAAAATATCAGAGTTTTGTCCTTTCAGGCTTAGACTCAGGAAATATTCATTAGAAAGAAAAATATTTGAGAGTTTGAGAAAGAAAAAAATTGAGACTCATCAGTTAGAAAATTGTCCTGAAATAATATTTGTCTCCTCCTTGCATCATAGGGAGTCTAATTGAAATTAATGGGTTACAATAATTTAAGTCATTCATTCAGAAATTTTCACTGAGCACCAATTATGCACAATGCACCACAAAGCAGGTAAGTGAATAGAGGATGTAATTTGACACCACGCATTGTTATGACAGAGAGAGGCAAACTACTGCCTGTTTTTATAAGTAAGGCTTGGAACATAACCATGCCTATTTGTTTATGTTTTATCTATGACTGCTTTTGTGCCTCAAGAGTAGGTTTAAATTATTGTGACAGAGATCATATGCCAAGAATGCTAAAAAAATGTACTATCTGGCCCTTTATTGGAAATGGAACAAAATATTTCAATGTTTGTTTTCTATGTGCTTCTTTGGAATATATTTTGAAAGTAGAGCAAGAAGGACTCAGTGAAGAATTGGATGAGGCAGATGAAGAAAAAAGAAAAATCAAGAGTGGTTCAAATTTTTGACTTAAGCCATTAGGTGGAGCACGGTACGATTTAATGAGACAGGGAAAATTGGAGGGAAAGTAAAATTTCTTGTGCGAGGAAGAGGGGATGATATAAATCAATAGTTTTGTTTTCAGATATCATGGTCTATAGAGAGTAGTATTTATTCATAGTACTGTATGATATTCTACCATATGAATAGATCACTATTTGTTTATATATATTCTACTATTGATAGCAATTTTAACTTTTTTGGTTTTGTGGTTATGATAAATAATGCTTCCATACATTACTTTTCATGTCTTTCCATGAACACGGTATATATGCTTCTGCAGGTACGGTCATTCCCAGAAATGGAATTACATTGCCATAGGGTGTACCTATCTTTAATGTATTAGACAAAGCTAAATTCTTTTTCAAAAGAGCTGGGCATGCTGGCCCATGCCTGTAATCCCAGCATTTTGGGAGGCTGAAGTGGGTGGATCACTTAAGGTCAGGAGTTTGAGACCAGCTTAGCCAATATGTGAAAACCCCATCTCTACTAAAAATACAAAATTAGCCGGGCATGGTGATGGGTGCCTGTAATCCCAGCTACTCAGAGGGCTGAGTCAGGGGAATCACTTGAACCTGAGATGCAGAGGTTGCAGTGAGCTGAGATCGCACCACTGCCCTCCAGCCTGGGTGACAGAGCAAGACTCCGTCTCAAATAATAATAATAATAATAATAATAATAATAATAATAATAATGTAATCATACCACCAAAAGTATATGAGAGTCCCTTTGCTCACATACTAATCAATGCTTGGTATTATTTTTCATTATAATTGTAGCCATTTTGATGATTAAGAAGTAGTATTTAATTGTGGTATAATCTGAATTTTCCTATGCTTTTTACAAGCTTGTAGTAGACAGAGAAAGAAATTGAGTAAGAGGGAGATGTACTTTTAGAGTCAAAATCATGATGCAATGCTTATAGCAGAAAGATAATGGATAGCAAGAGGCTGAAGCTGAAAGAAAAAAAAAAGATTGGATGGAACAAAGGCTTCAGGAGATAAGAGAAGAAGTCTCAAATTGAAGGAAAAGGATTATCCTAGAGCAAGAAAACATCCTAAGATGGGAGTGAAGATGGTCAAGGCAGGGAATAGAAGCAAAGACAGGGAGGGGCAACATAAAATTGCAGGATTTCCTGACTTGAGTTTTCTGTTTTATTTTTAGGAATTATTAAACTGCCTGCTCAGAGTCAGTATTGAGGTAGATAATAGATATAATTGAAATAAAATAGCTACTATAAGAAACTGGAGAGAGAGCTCAGTACCGTTTTATATCCAGGACATAATATGCACCTAAACAATTTGAATATATTTATAATAGAACTTATGAAACAAAACTTAAACTGTTAATATGTCTACATATTTCTCCCACTATACTGTAAATTCCTTTAAGGCCGAAGCTATATTTCCCTTTGTATAACCAGGTTCTATTAACAGTTCTGCTATCCAGTAGTTATCTAATACATTTTTTGAAAGAAAAAATGTTTATAAAATATAGAAAGTTCTATATTAAATCTCTTCTTTAATTAGCCTTGACATCCCTGGACATTTCCCAAGAAGGGATAAGGAAATGCTACCAAGAATGCACTTGCTTGAGATACTAAAGAGATTCCTTTGACTTGAGTGAAATCTGGGCACCCAGGCATTGGAGCTGAACTAAATCAAAAGAGGACATTGTTCTTCAAATTGCCATCAAAGGTAATGCAGGGACTGTTCTACAGTTAAATGAGAGAAGAGGACATGATAGGTAGTTGAGAGGATTCATCCATGAACATTTATAAATGCCGTCTGGGTACATTCAGACTTATTTTGTGGAACTAGCAGAAATGGATTTTACAGATTAGATAAGAGAAGGCCCCGAAAATCCTTTTTTAAAAAACGTACATATTATCAACTTATTTTTTACTTTCAGGCTCATTTTTTGACACTTTTCAAGTTGCATAAATTATGAAAGGGCTCCTGAAGAAGAAAACTAGCATGTACATGCTAAGCACTTTACAGAACTCATTGTAGACTTTCTGCTTTCTCTTCAACTCTATATGCCATCCATCAGAAAACAGTGTAAGCTCTAATTAAAATATAATCAGAATTTAACCATGTGCCACAGTGTCTTCCATTCCAAGACATCATCTGGTTTCCGGATTAACGCAACAGCCTCTGCTCTTTCCTGGCTTTGACTCTTGTCCTTCTACAGTCTATTCATGATAGAGTAGCCAGAGTAATCCTTTAATATTTAAGTCTGATTAGGTCCCCTTCCCTAATCATAACCCTCTAATGCCTTCTAATTGCACTTGAAATAAAATCCATGACCCTTGTAATGGTATATGACACTCAAAAGATGCATCCCCTCTTCCTTCTTTTGTCCCTTCTCCACTTGTCACTATATTCTGTCCTACTGGCTTCCTAGCTTGGAGTCCTTCAGGTTCCAAACCCAGGGCCCTCACTCTGCTTGAACTTCTCTTTTCTCACATGTTATTCTTATTTCTCTTTCTTCACAATGCAGGTGACTGCTTCAATGTCATTTCCCAGAGATGCCCTCCCTGGCCACTCCGTCTTAAACAGCAATTCCTATCACTTTCTGGTCCATTATTGGGCTTTATTTTTCTTTATAACACATCACTATCTAACATAATATTATAGAAAATCTGTTTATTTCTGTTTATCTCACTAAAATGTGAAGGCCATGAGGGCAGAGATTTTCCTTGTTTCTCTTTTTTTTCTAACGCCCTGTATGGCAGAGTAAGTATGTAAAATTATTCAATGGATGAATCAATTGTTCTCATTTAATCTTTACCCAAAGAAGTTCCAATTTTACTAGTAAAAGGAAACATGTTAGGCCAGGTGTTGTCCCTCACACCTGTAATCTCAGCACTTTGGGAGGCCAAAGCAGGAGGATCCCTTGAGCCCTTGAGTTCGAGATCAGCCTGTGTAACATAGTGAGACCCTGTCTCTGAAAAAAGAAAAAGAAAAGAAAACAAAAGAAAAGTAACAAGGGAAGGGAAGGGAAAAGAAACCATATCAGGAAGGTTGAATAACTTTTGAAGGTCACTAATTTGAAAGTTCAGTCTAATATTTAAACCTAAATAAATCTCTTTGATTATAAAACCAATAATTTTGAGATTTATTTCATAATAAATGTTCATTCAAGTGTCTATGTAGATACATTGTATGTCATCCAAATGAGTTTTTCTCTTTTGAAAAACCAATCTTATGGGTATTCAGTTGTGGTAACATGTTGAATGTAAAAATAACTCCCTGTGTTTAATTATAACTAATAACTGCATGTATTCTATTTCAAAGTAGCTTCAACCTTGCTATAAAAATATACCCTCAGTCTAGTCTCCAGCTGGACCTTAACGATGCCACCAACATATTAATAATATTCTTTATAATTCCATAATTTCATTTATACATTTATACATCTCAAATCAACTCTATGCAAGGCACTGCACAATACTTGATGGGAGATACAGAAGTGAAGCAGAACTAGTTTTCCCTAAAATCTCTTGATAAGAAAGATAAGGCAGGTGCATAAACATCTGTAGCACAAGATATGGTGTAATGAGACATTTTTGTACTTAGACTCCCTTGTATAGGAGCCCAGTTATTCTAACGTGTTTCTATGGCCTTCTCATTTACACCTCATTTATCAGAATGCACCATAAACCACATTATTTTACCTCATTTCAAGATCTTCTTCATTCAAAATAGGAGTGTATGACACAGGCTATATATATTACCTTCTAAAAATAGATCTTCATAATTAGACTAAACGCATTGTCTTTTTATGCCTTTTTCCCACCTCAAGGACTTCATAGCACTAATATACAGATATTTATATACTTGCCACAAATATTTCATATATAGGTAAGCATGGAGCAATATAACTTCACAAGTTGTGTCTTCCACTTACCTTTGAAAAATTATATACAGAACATCTTACAAAATGATTTTAAAGAGTCTAATTTTTCAAGAAATCTAAATTGACAATACATTCTAATGATTAAATGACCCTTTTCTGCCTGCTGACAAGATATTGGAAGTGCAGTTAACTTGAACGCATCAATACATAAACAATAACTAAGATATACAAATAACTTCAGTACAGTAGAATTGCTATGTTATTCTGTCCACAAACATCACAAGCAAATTTAATACCGGGTGTTCAAATAGCATTGACATAATATTTTAATGTTTTATTTGTTTGAATTTAGAAATATAATTCATAGAAAAGCTTATATCACAGAGATTTACCTTCATTGTGACTTATAAATTCTCTTAAGAAAATAAATTGTCCAAAATCAACAATGACTCATTTTCAAGCTAAGAGTTAGGTTCTAGGCTGCTGATTCTTATATTCTTGTATTCTATTTCAAATGGACACAGTGGCAGGAGTACGGGGCTTATAGCAGGAAGCCCCGTATGTGAGTCTTACCAATTGGCAACTCCAATAGTTTATAGAACCAGAGCAAATAGACTGGCTTGACAGAGTGGTAAGATAACATTTCCTTTGGTTAACATCAATGAAGCTTTCCAGCTCACGTTCAAAATCTAGAACACTTAGTTTGATAAAAATGTCACTAACGTAGACCATGGGAAAAAATCAGACTGAATCCATATAGTAATATTCCATGACATTAAAAAAAATTACAGGAGCTTAGTTAGGAAACAACATATTTCTCTGGTTTGTATGTGTAAATGTCAGAAAATAGGTATTTAAGGGCTTCCACAGTTCAGGAAATTTCTCTGAGTAAATACAACATACAAGTCTGGACATACAATATTTCTAATATACAAGAAGTAGAAAGTTCCTAAGAATGGTGAATCATAATAACACAGAGAGAAATTCAACCAGAGAACCTTGTTTTATTGACTAGGAAGAAACAAAGCAAGGGTTACAATAAATGAATCACAGTCCGTATGTTCCCTCACCCTCTGTCATTTATTCAGCACAGAGAAACTACATTTATTCCACACATAGGACATATGTAGCCCCTCCCAAAGAAAAATATTCATTATATTAAGAAGATAAACATTTTACTATCTCTTTGGTTATTTGCAAGACCACCCTGCCAACATCAGAGTTAGCTTTTAAGAAAATCATGCAGAGCAACACAGAGCAGAAATAATATTTCTTTCTTTTCTTCCACTTCTCCATCCAATCCTTGCTCCACCTCATCTTTTAAGTAATCCTTGCTGTACATAACAATAAATTAAGAAATAAGCATGTGACTAAGGCATATATGTCCTAATGGCTGCTCATTAGCTATACAAAAAACTCACCTGAAGCATTGAAAATGAACGCTCAAAAATGGGTACAATTATAGGCTTTATGTTATATACATTTTACCACAGACACACACACACACACACACACACACACACAAACTTACAAGGTGTTGTTGCAAGTTATCACTTTCCTTCCTACACTGAGGAAAAAGGGGGGAAGGGAGATGGTTTTTCTTAGCCTAGTAACATATCCTTCATTTTTTGTGTTATTTATTTCTATTACAGAATAATCTCCCTTATGATTGACACATTCTTTCTTTAGATATGTTAATACCTTAATGCTTACAACAGTCTAGTTTAGCTGGCCTGGAAATCTTCCCTTTCAGAGGACGCTCAGAGGACATTATTATTCATGTTTTAAAGTTATTTGGGGATATTGCACCATTACTCCAATGCATCACCTGCTTTTACATTAGAGCATATTTTTGGTAATTTAACTTCTTATATATAACTTTCTGACTGTATTCATTAAGAACATGGATTCCAGACCCAGATTTCCCAGGGTTGAATTCTAACATATTCACATATTAGCTGTGTGATCCTGGACGAAGATTTTGATCTTTCTGTTTCTCATTTTCACAGCTGCAACACAAAGATAGTAACATCCTCCTGATAGTTTTGTCATGAGAATAAATTACTTAATACATGCAAAAAACTTGAAACAGTGTTTGGCACATCACATATTATTTATTGATTTTTGACAATGGCTGGACACTAAGAATACAATGGAAAAAACTAGAGATACAGTACTTCTCTCAATAGAATATATGAAGCTTATATTCTATTCAAAGGGACAGACCTAAAACTCCAATCAGAAAGGCAAAGAAAATAACTGAATGTTACAATAGGGCTTATGAAGGGAAGAAGAAAAGGAGCTGTGATAGAGAGAGATAAAAGGAAATTTGTTAAGATAGAGTGGTCGGGGAAATCTTCCCTAAAGGGAAAATAATCTAAAAGGTAAAGGATTACTCCTGAGGAGGCTGGAGGGGAGAACATTCCTGAAAGGGAGTAACAGCACATACAAAGGGTGCGGGGTAGTGAAGAGCTTGGTGTTTGAGGAACTGAAAGAAGTCAAGGTGTTGGGAAAGGTAGAATGCTCTGTTTGGTGTTAGTTCATAAAACCAGTCATCTGCAAGTATCAATGAAAAATTTCTTATGTTCATGAGCTGTGTAGCCCATGCCTGATACTCAGTAGTTTCTTATGCTGTTCTTTTTTTTTTCATATTTCAAGACAGAATTTAGCAAGTTCTCAAATGGAGGGAAAAATATACAATCATAGGCTTACAGAACAAAAAAAAAATTTTGAAAATTTACTGTTTTGACATGTATTCCAAAATAACCTAACATCCAAAGTTCCTAGTGACTCTACAGTTTTAGTCCTAACCCTGTATTTGCATTTATAAAAGACTCTGAATCTGAATAAAAGTGGCAAGACTGCACATGTGACACCATAAATGGCACATAAAGCCAGATGTCAATGATCCTGTGTGAAAAGCAGAGGGAGAGAGTCTCAGATAGAGCCAGTGAAAGAAGAAAATAAAGAACAAAAGTACAAATGGTCTGAAACCATAGGCTGCCAAAACCATGCAGGTATGAAGAAACCTAATGATTTAAGAAAAGAAGAGAAAAACATACATTCCTGAAGGGCCAGAGAAGGTCATCTGTCCTGGATTTCCATCACCACATTATTCTTTGATATGAATGTTCCAGTTGTAACTCTAGCATATTTTCATGTGAGTAATGTAACCTGAAGTTTCTTGCAGAAGAAATTCTGACAGATGGAGCCAACTTCAATGCATAAGGTAACCCCAAAAGCAACATCTGGTTGAGCACCAGAAGTTAGTAAACTCCGAAGTATCTCATAGGTGGATTGCTTATCTGATGAGGTCACAAGGAAAACACAAATGTATAGGAGGAAGCACAGCTGCAACAACCACAGGAACTGCTCTGATACAGTGTTTCTCATCCTTATGATCAGGCACAGGTTCTTGCCTTAACATCACAGGCAGAAGTGTCAGCCACTTCCTAAAATAAAAGCAATCAGCAATGCCAGAAACCAATTTTACAACAAACTTTCATTGAAGTGGAGAATGTTGATAGTCAGATATTGATAGAGTGATAATTTTTGGGACATTATAGAAGAAGAAACCTGGCAAAGGGAGTATCCATCTTCAAATTCACAAATTCATTCTTTCAACAGATCATTATCAACTGGCCTACTACATGCAAGTCATAACTGGGGATACAGCAGTGATATCCTCATGGTCCTTAGATGATTTCAGCCGATATTTTCAAGTGCCTTCTCTGTGTCAGATACCATGCTAGAGTCTCAGGACACACAGTTAAAACTCACAGTTGCTGCCTTTAAGGAACTCACAGTCTAGTTGGAAAGGCATGCAATTCAGGAAGTAAAGCATAAACAGTGCTACAATAAAGAATTGCACAGAGTGCTAGGGAGCCCTGTCTGGGGAAACGCATGTTAAGAAAATCTTTCAGGTCACATGAAGACTGAACTGAGTCTTCAATGATGAGGAAGACTGACCCAAGCTGAAACAAAAAGAAATTACGTTCCGAAAAAGCTAATTTACATGAATAAAGTCACGGAACTATGAAATATAGTAATAGCTAATATTTATTGCATTTTTACAATGTATATGTCAGGCATAAAATGAGTACTTTATAAATGAATAGGATAATATATTAAACTCATTTTTCAAATGAAGAAACTGAGGCTTAGGGAAATTAGGTCCCTTAAAGTAAACTTAAACACTTACTTAGTAAACTAGAGCTAGGATGTGGTTCTATACATGAAACTCCAGAGCTAGAGCTCTAGATCGCTGTGCTTGAATGTCTGGTATGTCTGCAGAGTATGTTTGAATTGGGAAATACAAGGGTAAAATTGGGCAGAAGCCAGATTTTGCAAAAACGTGTAGTACTTACTAAAGGCTTGGATTTAAATTTGAAGGTAAATCACCAATAAAATATTTTAAACAGAAAAGGATCACAATTAGATTAATGTTTAAATTTATTTTTACTTTAACTATAGTTTATAGAATAGATTTCAGGAGACAAAATCAAAGGCAGAGGGAACAAAGTAGGACACTAGAATAGTACAGAGAGAGATGGCGATGTCCTGAAATAGGGGAGTGACAGATGGGTAGGAGACAGATATGAGAAATGGGATGGGGCATTACTTTGAGGTGAAGGGTGAGAGAGAGAAGAAAAAAAGTGTCTACCCCAGATTGACTGGGAAAATGTGGCTGTCCTTACCCAAGATTTAAAGACGGGAGGTAGAGCAAGCTTTTCTGTTTTGCACAATTTGAGGTTGACACTCTCATGAGGCATTCAAGTGGAAATTTCTAGCAATTTGAACACGAGTTAGACGTTCAGATTAATTCTGAAGACAAGTTAGCTGACTTTAACCACCAGAACAATCATTTAAGAGAAATGTTAGTAGAGTAATCCAAAATGCAGCATGTTCAATTTCAAGGCCAGCTTCTGCCATTTACTAACCATGTAAACTTAAATCAATCATTCGGACTTTCTGGTCCATAGTTTACTTTCCTTTAAAATAAAGCAGACAGTACTATGTGGCCTCTAAAGCCCATTCCAATTCTAAAAGTTCTAATATATTTTTCAATGTGTTTTTATTTTGATCTTACACCTTAAAGAGTTGACCATCTAATGAGTGACAATGAAATGCTGGAAAGAGATGAGGGAGATGGATCAATGTCATAATAAGAAGGGAAGAGGATTTAAATGAGAATAAGTTAAATTTGAGTAAAACTTTATTATCTTATTTATTCTACAAATATATATTGAGTTCATGCTATGTGCCAAGCGCTATATTATTCTCCATAATTAAAATAAACATGTACTGTCTTTGAAAACCTATATGTCCTTGAGGAAGTCGCTTAATCGTGTTTTTATTTTAGGTGTAAACTAAAGCTAATAATAACTCCACTGCTATTATGCTAATCAAGTGCCATAATGTACTGAAGAGTCCTTTATAAACTTGATACAATTGATATGTTAACATTATTCTCCTGTAAGAATCTCACTATTCCCAGTCTCAGAGCATCATACTCTGCATACTGAGAGCATTAAAAAACTATATTTCATCAAATCTTCATGGACTATGATTCACCGTTATTATATTCGTTACTAAGAAAGAAAAACTCTGCCAGTTAAGCTATGGCACAATGATGGGATGTCATCAATTATAAAATTTACCCTGACTTCATAAAGGTTAAAATATGAAAAAACAAATAAATTGTATAAAACTTGTGAGTTAGCAGCCAACTAGCTGAGTACATAATTAGCATGGAGATAACATGACCTTAGGAAAAGGATGTAGCAGACTAATTTAATTAGTTATTATCATTAAAAAAATAAACTCTCTAAATAAGGAAGCAAGAATAGACACAATTTGTGGGATTTCATCAAGCATTTGTTTACTTCTCAAATGATATTTTCAGCAGTAATCTGTGCAGATGTAGTCCAGACCATGCTATTCTGACATGATTTGTTGAATGGTCTGATGTTCCTTTTATACAGACATTCATTGAAAAGGTGTCATATACAGGCACTGTGCATGGATTTTAGGTGCAAATAGGACAATATTCACAATCCCCACACAAGAACCTCAAAACTTGGATTGACTCTAAAGATTGGTTATTGAATGAATAGGGCTACTTTGAAAAGAATTTTTAGAAGGATAAATGGAGGCAGAGACCATCTGGTATTTGTGTTGCTTGAAAATTTTATCAGTGTTATCAATAAAGTATGCCTTCATTAAGTTTGCAGATAGTGAGAATTTCAGAAAAGTAATTAAACTGTAAAAGAATGAAACTAAATGCAAAGCAGACTTGAGAGAGTAATTATCTATTCAAACTTGTTAATAGTCAATAGCTGGTAGTATAAGATGATATAGTCTGGGAATGAAAAACAGCCATCTAAATACAGAATTAGAAACAATATGCAAAATAACCTAGATGGGTCTAGATACTGGAAAAATAGAGAACAAGAGTTCTTTGCTATAGCACCTGCTTTAAAAAACCTGGAGAAATCATGGGAGAAAAAGAAAGGCTAAAGGGAAATCTTAAGGGGGTGGAAGGGTTATGAACTAATGTCTAGAGATAACCCAAAGGGAGAACCCACCCCTGAGTTCAGGGCAAGAAGGATTATTATGAGAAGCAGTGGCACAAACAAACAATGACTTTCATAGGGTCACAAATAGAAAATGCAGCACACATTACCCATCACAGAGAGAAGAACTTCAATGATTGAAAAAGTAGCTATAAAATTATCAATTAAAGGTGTGACTCTACTACAAGTAATGAGGTAAATATAAACATTCATTCTCATATTCCTGTAGCCATTTGTCATTCATTATATATCAATGTTTCCCAAAGTGCATTCCACTGAAGGATAGTTCCATAGGGTGACATTATATTGGTGTGAGAGTGTGGAGAATTAAGTTATATAAATATGTTTGGGAAACATCAGGTTAAACAATGGCAAACAAGTTACTTCATGAAGAAATTCTTATAAATTTTATGAGATTATATGCGTGTCTCCAACTTAGTCTCTAACTGAAACCTATGATACAACTTTTTTTTCCCCTCACAAAGCATATTAAGGAGCACTTCGAGTGCTACACTGGTCAATTAAGAAAATTCCAGGCCCGGCGCGGTGGCTCACACCTGTAATCCCAGCATTTTGGGAGGCCGAGGCAGGTGGATCACGAAGTCAGGAGATCGAGACCATCTGGCTAACATGGTGAAACCCTGTCTCTACTAAAAATACAAAAGAAAAATAAAAGAAAATTAGCTGGGCGTGGTGGCGGGCGCCTGTAGTCCCGGCTACTTGGGAGGCTGAGGCAGGAGAATGGCATGAACCCAGGAGGCAGAGCTTGCATTGAGCCCAGATCATGCCACTGCACTCCAGCCTGGGCCACAGAGCGAGACTCCATCTCAAAACAAACAAACAAACAAAAAACAAACAACAACAACAAAAAATAAAATTCCAGTGCAGGTGAATCTCTACCATAAGAGAGGCTTGAGAAGATATTCTCCTAAAACCATAGAATTTATTTTTTCTAAAAAATAATATAAAATCATTATTTTTTCAAGCCATGAAGGTTTGGAGAAGAATCTTCTTAAGGAAACAGAAGGAAGGCTGCATTATTAAGAAGTCCTAAAGACTAAGCCAAACAAAGGACTGCTAAAGTAGAAGTCATTTTTACTTGTTGTAGATATAAGAATTTTCCAACAACAACAAGTTAAACACTTTAGAATCTAGGCACACTTATAATTCCCTAGGAACCTGATGGCTTTAGTAGACTGTAAACTCTTTTTATTTATTTTCTTTTAAGGAGCTACTTCATAGACATCACACTTAATTCCAAGTGTAAGATTAAATCACAACCTTCCAGCTGAACTTTAATCTACAGACTTTGTCTTCTCAAATGGAGCAGGCATAAAATTTTCTTTATTGGTGTATCAGGTAGCTCTTCTAGGGGGTGATGAACACGGGCTTTAGGGCTCACTTGAGCGGAATACTATGTCAGGGGCTGCTGCCTGCTTCTGTTTGTAAAGCATTAGAGCAGAGATAAGAATTGTGTGTGATACACATCTTGCAAAGCCACCATTTGGGTCCTCCCACAGATTTAAAAACTGTATCTGGTGAAATGATATGGTATATAAACAATATGTCTCTTCCAAAGTCAGGCAAATTAATATTAGAGTCTAAAAAATAAATGTTTTGTTAATTTAGGTCTTCAAACAATACTTTGACAGATTCTAGCTGCCCTGCTCTTCTTTGCCTAGCACAGTTATTTTCTTATACAACATTCAAAGAGGCCATGTTCACACTCAAAGGATGAAATTCTTTGTTTATATAATAATCTATTTTTTTTATTGATTCCTACTATATATGTCAGCTACTTTATTGGTTTTTCATTTAATCAAAATACTAATCCTATGAATTATTATTGCCATCCTAACATAAAGTGTTACAGTTTGGAAGGGGTTAAATCAAATGCCCAAACTTACAGTCTTGATAAATGGCTAAGCTGTGTATATAATAAAATTACATCTTTTTCACTTTAAAGTCTATTCTGTTTTGGTCTGAGCAATGGATCTTCAGAATATCAGCACTCTGCTGCTTTGCATGCTTAGCTTGTTGGTTTGGATGGACAAATACATGATATTAATGAGCCCTAAGTCACAGACTATCAAGATTGCTACTGCTTTCACAAATGGCCTATGAAAAGATCAATAGATCAATAGGTGAGCAGCCAAGGGCAGCTGTGACTGAAAACCAAAAACAACCCTGGGTGTACAGGCATTCCTGATCATCACTACACATACCTTTAAGCATTTTATAGTGATTTTTGCTGGAAGGTTATTTGCAACTACAACCTGTAGTCAATTGACCCAATATAAAGATGCCAAAGCTACATGTGTAGGGTTAAATATTCCTATCTTCATGTTTTGTGTTTCCTCTCAAATAGCCTATTCTGCCCAGTCCCAAGGAATCTTTAGCATTCTTACATAATCTTTCTTCTACTACTTACATATATGTCACCTTTTTAAAATGATCATTATTGTATACCATATTATTATATATAAAATGTACATATATATATTATTATATAAAATAATCCCTATGTATATATTCACACTCATTCTGGATCCATGCCCTTGTTATTCCTTCCTCCACATAGCATTTCAACCCAAGATAGCTTATCTTGCTACATTCTTCACTCTATGATTATGGTTTTCTTTATGTTTTATCATACTTACAGTTCCTAGAAAGAGCCTATAAAAAATATTCTCTGACCTATATCTTGAAGGGGGTGTACAATTATTCATGGTTTATCTGATTCCCCCAATCCCTAATACTTCTCTCTCATACACTTACAAGATTCTGAGAGGTAGATACTTAATAAAAGTTTTTATTCTCATAAAATCCTCATCTTGGGCTGTAAACCTTTTTTATAAAGATGCCTAGGAGACTAACAAGGTACTGAAGCAATGTGTTAATTCAGCCATAATTTGCTAATTAAGAAAAGAAATTTTTAAAAATTCAGGATGCCTCTGTAAAGACAATGTTCAGTTCAACAATAAGAATATAGAAGAAGCTCTGCTAAACTGTTTATCACAGTCTTCTTTTCATTGAAGTGTCAGGTTACAACATTAAAACACTGTCTCCCAAGTAATTCCATTAAGCAAAAGTCACTGTGTGTGGTTGCGAGATTATTATGTAATTACCTCTATGCATTTAGCATTCATTATCATGAAGAGATTAATCTGTGCAATCAACATTTGTTTAGACACACTGTTTTGTCAGTACTTGGGTGGCAAATGTCACTAAGCTAAATAAAAGCATCTCTTATATATGCTTGTGCAATAGGAAAGACACTCGGGAAGTTAATTCTGTCCCGTTACTGATTTTGAATGTCAGCTCTGACAGCCACAATAACAATTGGTTCAGGTAATGTTGACAGCTGGTGAGGACAGGCTAGATCAAGAAATGCATTGCAGATTCAGATTCTTACCACTGTAGTCCTTGAGTTAGGAAACTCAGGTGACTGATGTGTAATTCAGTAAGTGCTAAAGTGAGTTATGGCACACTTTTGTTAAATTGGTTCAGATTTTTGGATGACACAAAATAGCAAAATATAATCCTCTCATGTCATCTAGACACCTTGATAAAGCTCTTCAATGCAATATCTTAAACCACGAGATAAAAGCAGAACAACTGATAAAATGTTTTCAAAGACTGTCATCATAGACCATTTACATGGAGAAATGACACCAAATTTCATGCTATACTACACCAGAAATCAGCAAACATTTCCTCTAAAAGGCAAGATAGTAAATATAAACAGCCATTTAGTCTTTGTCACAACTACTCAGTTTTGCAATGGTAGCATGAAAGTAGCCATTTACAAATACATAATAAAATTAGCATGGCTGAGTTCCAATAATATACAATAAATAAAATAATTTAGGCAAAACAGGCAGTGAGACAAATTTGACTTGCAGGCCACAGGCTGTTGACCCTGTGCTACATTATGATCTGTCAGAAGGCTGCTGGTTGTTATGAAAACAGCAGTATTCCCTTAGCACAGGTGATCATATGAGAGAGATCCTTCTGGTAACCTTTGAAAGACTCTTAAGCTATGAGTCTATCTGGGTTTAGACTCGAGTGATACAAGACTAAGATCAGCCTTGATAAGGACAAGGAATCAGAGAGGCAACCATGCATCACATGAATGACTCATCATGTGTGCCCATCAGAGACCCTCCTTCCAATTTAAAAAAGAAAATCTAATCACCTAATACTTTAGCTTAAATATTTTGTCCAGGCCAGTATTCTATTTAAAGGTTTATATTTCTATGGAGTAGGGAAAACTACTGAAGAACAAATTAAGACTTCTAATTCTGGTCCAGGCTCAGTGATAAATAAGAATGTGACATTGTTTATTTCACTTTATATATTTGAACTTGTTTTTTCTGTATGATAATGACATTGAATTGATTATTACTAATGCTTCATCCAGGTCTACTATTCTATGATATATACACTCAAGTTTCATTATTCTCAGTAGTTATGTTCTACAACGTTGCCCTGAACACTGAATTACCAAATACCAAATCATTTCTTCAAAGGAAAAATAGGGATGGGTCCCTACAAGTGTGTGTTTATGACATTGTTGTCAAGCTATCAATATACAACATTATTTTATTTGTGTCTCTGAAGACACCATACGTAATAGACGGTATTAATTCATTAGCATTGAACTCATGGTCAACAGCACTAAAACTCATGCCTGAACAAAGCTTCTCCAACATACATATTTTCTCTGTGAGGCATATTGCAACCTTCTTGCACCTTAGAACACTAGTCAGTGCTTCAGCACTACGCTTGAGCACCATTTTAAACAGTGAAATCAACAAAAAGCACAAAATGTGAGAAATGTAGCACTAAATAGACGGTAAAAAGGACACTCATGTATAATACGAGAGCTGAAATAGACAGAGCTCTGCTGTGTTCCATTTCAGCTGGAAATATGCACTCCAGAAACTCAAATTTTTTGCCAGTCTGTGCGTGTCTGTGAATGACTCGTAAGTGCCATTAGTATTGATTACGGTATTACAATAAATTTCATAAGTAGATGAGTTTACAAATACAGAATCTGCAAGTAAGAATTGACTATATTATGAGTAAAGTGATTGCATATCTCTGTGCTCCAATAACATTATTTTGTTTCCTTTTACTCTTCATAGAATTTCATCTACTATCCCTCCTCAGGACTCTTCCATATTCAGCCTGTCTGGATCTCAAGCCATGTGCCCTCAGCCTCTGTGCCTAGATGAATATAGCAATCTTCAGTTTCTTGTCATTTTTGAAGTTAGTCCTTCTTCCAAACTGATTCCAGAGTTATCTTGCTAAAAGCAAATCTGAGCATACTGCTTCAATGCTTAGCTATTCCTGTGAACTCCTCATTGACCATAGAATAAAACCCTGAAGTTCAAACTTTCGGTTCACTGTGTAGCACCTGCACAACTTAGTCTAAACATAACTCATCTTCTGCCTCCACTCTCCTTATATTTTACATATTAACCACACTTACATTCTTCTTTATCCATCCTTGTTTTTTCATAGGCCTTTATTTGCTTATAGCTCAAAGTCCACCAACTCTGTGAATTCATTTTTTTGATTACCTTAGGGGGAAACAAAAGAGTAACTTACAGCATTGAAATTTGCTCTTTACAAGAAGATTATGCACACATCTTATCTCCTTAGGGACAAAGAAGTTTTCCTATAAATATTTTATGTTCTGAGACCTCAGCCTGAGACCATGGCATAGCAGATACTCAATAAAACAGTGTAACACATACAGAAGGAGTATGCATTTATTATTCACTGAAAATACTTACATACTACCTACTCTTTATCAGGTACCATTCTAGGCGTTAGGGATACCACATGAATAAGACAAAAACGGTAGTATTTGAGGCTCAGGGGCCAGTTATTTAATCCCTTCAAGTCTCAATGTTTTTTCATCTATTAAGTGGGAGTAAAAAATATTTCTACTGCATAAGTCTGATGTGAGGATTAACTGAGATAATAAAGAAGCAGATACAATACTCAACATTGTGCTTAAAAATAGTAAGCACTCAATACATGTTAATTTTATAGGTTTAATATGGAATACATTATCAGCTATTTCCAGTGGTATACAGTAAAAATTCCTACAATGGTTCTTAAAATCTACTAAATTCTGACTTAGAGTTATTTTAGATCTCACTTCATATTCCATAATTATATGCTGAAACTTCCCTTTTTGAAAGTTTTTCCCAATTATTGAGGTAAGATGTCCTTTCTCTTGGTGAAATACATAATATCCTGCAGATATTTATGATCAAGCCTAGTCTATTATCTGGCTGTAAACTGCAGAAAACATGACTATATTAGCTTTAAAATATATATGTTTATTTTTTTCATAAAACTAAAATCTAGAGGAAAGTGGCTACTGACATTGGTGCAATAAATCTCATTAAATTAGGACAAATGTATCTGTGATTCTCTTGGCCTTCCTCTTATGATTTCTAGATGACTGCAGCAGGTGAGGCTATCATGAGTGCATTCAAGGCAAGAAAGGAAAGGAGGGAAAGAAAAGGGGACAATATCTGCATCAGGAAAATCAGTCTTCTCAGAAAACCAGTTTAATCCCATCTACATTTCACTGAAAACAATTATAGCTCTTAACCACCCCTCTGAATCCAAAGAAGACTGGAATAGCAAGGATTTTTATTTGACTCATTCATTACCATCTCAAACATTTGATTTCTGTTGGTTTGGAACAAGAGGGAAAAATAAATATTGTAGGCACTAGCACTGTTCACCCCACAAAGGAAACAGCCTAGGGTAGGTTTCACAAACCCAAAAAAGGTTAGTGAGTAATCAAGAAATATGGGCCTCTCAACACATTTTGTAATAAATGCATAATTATATTTCTTTCTAAGTTACCATTATAAAAAGTAAAATATAAACTATCTTTTTGTATTATGGGAGGCATATCACAGCCTTCTTGCACTTAAGAACAATATTTGTGTAAGTAAAAAAAGGGTTGACTCACTTCTAATGTTTTCTAAATATTGTTTTTCCTTCATTTCCTCTAGGACATTAGTTCTCAAGCCTCATATTTCAAAATAGAGAAGAGTCCCTGAAAAACATAACTTATCCCACAAATATCATCACTTCAAAGGAAACTAGGTGTGAGAGATAGACAGAGTGGAGCATGGAGAATGCATCATGGAGGTGCTAGAAGAGACTGGATGAACCTACCTATAAGGCCTGCTAGCCAAGGTGCTAACACCCATAGCTGTCATTAGATCAATATATAGAGTAGCAATAACCTATAGGTTTCAGCACTTAGGTCAATACAAGTATATTAGCAACAGTGGCCTGGAGCATTGTATTGAGAAGGAGTTTGAAGCTACATCTGGAATCAGAGGGAAAGATCCAACTAATTATTTTGCAGTATCTCTTGTGAGTAAAGAAGGAAGTACAAGAGTACCAAGTATGTGCTGTACTTCATATAAATTAATGTATTCAAGACTGTTAAAATTGGAATTGAAAGATTGCCTTGTGCAATTATCTCCCTTTGAATATGAAGTAATATACATTAGACTAGAACCTGGTCCCCTGCCTTCACTTCCTAGTGAATTCCAGGGAGATTTCAGACACCAAGTGTGAAAAATAATTGGGAATCTCAAACCATTGTCATCTCTTGACAAGAAACCACATACACCACTACCACTCCTTCCCACATCATGAAAAGTGAAGTAACAGATAAACCTCAAGGACGAAATGGTTTTTAGAAATGGAAATAATTATTCATTTGCTTAAAGTTCAGTTGGTTGCAGGGGAATAAGGATGTTCTGCTCCTTGGAGTTATTAAGGTATGCAGGCTCTTTTATCTTGTTTAGCCTTCCTCTAGGCACCTGGAATGCTCTCATCCAGTTCCAGATGGAGAAGAGGTGAAGGATCACTTAGATGGTTTTCAAGGACCAAGTCAACGAGGAACATATATCACTTCCAATAGAATTTCATTTGCTAAGACTTCAGTCCAATGACCACACACAATTACAAGAGAGGATAAGAAATGTAGTCTAGCTGTATTACCCAGAAGGATAGGAAATAGGGACTACAGAAACAATTAGCCAGACTGCCACAGAAGTCAATCACCCTATAGAACCTCAACTAGGAAATAGCCACTGATGGGTTGCTGTTGCTTATCTGTGTGTATTTCCCACCAGTCTTTTCATATAGGTTAGGGGTCATAAAGAAAACAGATTTAAAAGAAGACACATATATTTGTCTTGAATTTTTTTATAGAGTCTACCTTTATTTCACATTTAAAAGGGGAAATAATTTATTGGCAGTCAACTTGAGAGCAAAAATTTAAATTTGTTATAAATGTATTTCTCTACTTTAAATTTTGCTTTTGAAATAATTGCACATTCATACGAAGTTGAAAAAATAGTAGAGGTCGGTCCCATGAATATTTCATCCATGTTTTCCTTAATGGTTACAGACTATATAATTATAGTACAGGAGCAAAACCAGGAAACTGACATTGGTACAACAGGCTGGACTGCAACGGGCGTTCCATCTCCCCGTTAGGACACCACTGATACCTCCCTGGGTCAGTGGTAGGAGTGTCCTCTAACTGTTTTCCATGTAATTTCCACAGATGTACCTTTACCATGGGGCCATGGTGAAAACCCTGACTCTCCCCTAGCCCTTTCCTGACAGTACTCCAGCAGGCCGAGAGAGAAACTACTCACTTTGCCAGCCTCCCCACATGCTCTCCACACTTACATCCTTGGGGAGGGAGTTTAGTACCACATGGCAGCATTGTGTTGAGAAAGGGTTTGAGGATACAACTGGATTAAAGATGAGGAAGACTCATGTAATTTTTTTTTCTTAGCTATGGTGTTACAGCCTGGCAAGAGTGGATTTCTACGTTCTTCATTTCATCTTTGCTGGTGCATGTAGAGTGGGGCCAAAGTTTTCTCTGTGGTGTTTAGCAGCAGTAGAACAGTTATTGTCTAAAAGTTTTATTTCCCTTTCTGGTCCTTCAGCTAGAAAAATCAGACTTTTGTTGGGCTTTTTGCATGTCTGCACCCATTGGAGTTTCTGGATTTTGCTTTTTTGAGCTCTAAGATTAACATACAGGATACCAAAAGAAAGCCTAGAGAACATACCACCACGTTGTCTCTTGGGTCCCAATGTCCCTGGCTGGTCTGCCTTCTTTTCACCACCTTTTAGAGTTTTTTGTTTGTTTATACGTAATGTTCAGGGATTTCAGCTATACTTAGCAGGAGAAAAAGAGAAAAGGACATCTAACCCATCTTCCTAGAAGCTGAAGTTTCCCTTCTCTTGAATTTTTTTTTTTTTTTAATTTCACAATGATAGTCACCATGAGAAAAGCTACAGATCTGGAGATGCCATGTAAAACTCTCCTAGGTTTCAGCACAGCCTGGGCATCTGTTCTTTAGGGAAGCACTTTTCTCCTATGAAAATGCTTACAAATTAAAGTTATTAAGCACTTTTTCTGCACAGATTTCATGACTTATATAAAATAATGCAATATCTTTATGTGCTTATCTTTATAGAAACCCAGCTGTCTATACATACTATAATGAAATTTTCACTTGTAATAGGTGTTCAATAAATCTTGAATGAATGTTCAAATAAATTATTCCATTAGTGAACTACAACTAATTTATATAAACCCAAAAATAGATAACAAAACTTTTTCTGATAGATATTTAAGCCATTAATTTTTCTCAACCCATCAGAAAGGGTATGCAGTTGACAGGGTATTTACACTCCCTACTACCACCAAAATGATATCAAGAACTAGGTGGCTTTGCTTCACAAAATATGCTTGAGGCTACATGTCATAATAAAATAACAATAGGATCTGTTAGTGAGAAATCATAGGAGAAAATTTCTAAACTGGGAAAAACTTGGATCACAGCAGAAAAGAAGACAATGTGCATTAATAATAAATTCAGGTAAAGGCACTCAATAGAGCAAGGAAGCACTAGTCATTCTAGAACTTTCACTCTGTTTCTCCAGCACTGTGCTTTTTAAACGTCAAATACAAGGTTAAAATGACAGTTGTCAGCTGAGAAGAATTACAGACCTGCAAAACCACTCACTCAATTCCAATGATTTAGCCCTCTTCCCTCAGGGAGAAGTCTAAGTAAACAACACACTGTTAACATTTACCTGACATTTTCTCTGTCTTCACCTTGATTGGTAATTCTGCAGTAATTCATGTTCCCTTGGGCACACCTCTTGGGATCAACATAATTCTCAGAAATCTTGAGAGAAAGAGAGAGAAAATAGACAACTTCCTCATGCCTCCAGCCTTTGCTAAGATTCTGCTAACTAACTGACCTCACTCTTACCTTGGGATAAGAAGACTAAACATGTCAGGGAAGGATAGGCCAACACAAGCAGACTAGTGGAGTCTCAGAGTTCACGAGACCCAGTTGACAAAATCATACAATTGCCCTGACTTGCTGTGGCCAATTTTTTTTCTGATGGGAACAAGTAGCCTGTGTCTTATCTGGACAGAAAATTACATCACCATGTTCTTTTACTTAGAAATCTAAACATGTGGGAATCCCTCAGCACTTATCTTAATTATTCCCATGAGAATGGCAAGCTGATCAGTGAACAAAGTATTCCTGAGAAGCTCTGTCAGAAACCACTTGACTTGGGATGAAAAGCATTGTCTTAGGTGCTTCTGCCTGCTCCACATCACTATCTTTAAACCAGGCCTACCTCTTCACAAACCCACACTGCTGCTGCGAACTGCTCTCAAGAATAGTCTTGGAAGCTGTACCTTTCTGCTGCTTTCGTTCTGACTCTGAACTCCAATGCATGTCACCTAGCTTCGAAGCTTGTAACTGCTTTGTCTCCCATTTCTGACACCTTACTCATTCTACAGATTGACAGCTGACCTTGATTTCCTTGCTTTTGACCCTATGTCTCTGTAAGAACTTGAAACTTAGCCTGTTTCTAGTTCTTTCTGCAACTGACCTTTTTGGGTAAAAACCTACCAGAGTAAGCTCTTAAATTTTTAACAAGGGTCAGTGCTCTAATCAGACTTTCTGCCCTCTCTAGGATGAGTCAAAATATATTTAATGAAAACAATTACCTGAAAAAGGTAGTATCTCCACTAATAAGCTTATATTTTTATAACATTGTTCTGTATCATGTTTTGCCATTAATTGAGTTCTTTAAAATACTAAAAACAACATGAATAAATTACTAAACATCCAAAATTTTTTAAATGTTGACTTTTTTTATTTCCAATTTAAAACATAGAAGAAAAAAATTGAAGTTTCCTCTATTTCTCTACTCATTTCCATTCTACTCCTATCCTCTCCAAAGGCAATTGCTTTCATTAAGAGAGGTAATCTGTTACATGTATGCATGCATATTTGTAAATAAAAACATGTAGCATTACTTTCAATGTTTTTAATAAGATAATATACATTATGTTTTATTCTAAAATGTGATGTTTTAATTTAACATTATGTCTTCAATAACTGTCCATCAATCTATCAAGACATCTATCTATTATCTATTAATCATTTGTTCAAATCAATGGACACTATTCTATCATATGACTAAATAATATATCCTGTACCTATTCATCTACTGAGAGTTACTGAAGAAGTTTCCAAATTTTATTCTTACAAACAATGCTTCAATGGATATTATAGCACTCTTCTGTACCTACGCTCCATATGTGCTGACTTTTCTATATTTGCATTTATCCAACTGTGCATTAAACCTATTGGAGTGTTATCAAGTCAATTTACCATATCAAGACCATGATGAAAAGAAATCCATCTAACTCTTCTGAAGAGCCCACTGAAGAGAGAGAGTCCCATCTATTCCAGCCATTTCAATTGAGGTGCTGGACATAGGACCAAAGCCAACTTTGATCATCCAGCCCAACCAACTTCCATATAATGCTTTTCCATGAGTGACCTAGAAGGCCAAGAAATAAACTTCCTTCTGAGGCCAGCCTAGAATACAGAATCATTAACAAATAAATGTTTTTTATTTTAATCTGTGAAGTTTTAGGTGGTTGCATTAACTCTTACACATAATAAAAGTAGGAACATTGTAACAGTCAGTATGGGCTATGCAATTCTGCAGAATAAAAAATTCCTAAATCTTAGTGGTTTGTAAAATTGAAAGCCTATTTATCAATCAGTCTATATGTCCATTCTGAATTGACTATGTGCTCTGTTCTACAACAAACACCTCACTCCAGTGTACAGGTGGAGAAAGTAAGCACCATCTTAAAAGCTTCTAGTTGCCTTGGCAGAGAGAAAAAAAATACAGAAAATCTTGCACTGGCAATTAAATGCTTTAGCACAAAAATGAAACACATCACTCGTTTGTAACTCATTAGCCAAAATTTTTCACATGACACAATACTTGGTGAACTACGTTATGTCCAAGTATGTCTTCTTTGATGTAATGTAATTTTTTTTACTGTGTGTTGTGATTTTTTAAAAGTTTTAACAGAAAAGCAGCTCTAAGGTATATTTCTCAGAGTGAAATTAATAGGTCATAGAGCAGGCACATTTTTACCTTTCCCAGATGTTATTAAAATGCTTCTCAAAGTGGATATACCAATTTATACTCTGGAGTCATGCAATGCAGCCTGGCCTACCAGTGCTCTCTGAGAGTTCTCATTCCCTCATATTCAACTAAAACTTAGTATTGTTAAATTTTAAATTCAGGCAGTTTGATAGTTTTAAAATATCTTGTTTTCCTTTTCATGTATATGCCCTTAATTATTAGTGGAGTAGCATTTCATATATTTATTAGTTATTCCACTTCAATTTTCTGTAATTTTCTGTAATTTGTCTGCTCACATCCTCTGCTTATTTTTACCGAATTCTTTGTCATTTTTATTGGAGTTTCTTATGTATTCTCGATACTAATAGTCTTATTCCACAAGGGTATAATGCTTTCTTTGATTTTATACCAAGATTTCATTCATGTAAATCCTATGGTTTAAGTGTACCAAAAAATAGAACAATGGGTGCAGCTTTTCCTAGCAGGAGGCAGGAAGACGATACATTATTGATGTAATTTTAAAACAATAATTTAAAATATTTTTAAAACAATTATAATTTTTAAAAAAAAATTTATTTGAAAGAATTTGATAAATTTGTGCATCTGTGAATATACATGAAAGTACCTCATTGCTTAAATTCTAAAATTCCTAATAAGTATGATGTCTGAGAAGACAAATTTCCCTTCCCTGTTTTTCTTAAATAAGTCTTATTCTTGACCTTTTACTCATCTATACTGATTTTGGCATCAGTTTCTCTAGGTCCACAAAAATAATGCTTGTTGAGGTTTTGATTGCATTGAATGTAGAATTTGGATAATTGTTCTCTTCTCATTTATCAAGTATTTTCATCCATGGATCATTTATCTTTTCTTTTTTTTCTGTTTTCTTCAATGCCCGTGGTATTATTTTCTTTCTTTCTCCAAAATAAGTCCCAGTGCCTTGTTATAGAAATTCTTTAACTCCATAGCCTTTCTGTTATTATAAATGGGATTTTTCCTATTATTTATTATTAGTGGCATATAGGATTGCCATTGATATTTGTATAATGAGTTTATGCCAGAAACATTGCTGAACTCTATTTCTGAAGTTTGTCTACACATTCCACTGTGTCTGAACTGTATCTTCCTTTCAGTTCTGTGTTTTTATTTTTCTTGTCTAACTGCAATGCCTAACTACTTCATTACCATTAATAGTAATGGTAATAGCAGGCCATTTTCTGATTTTAAAGAAAATGCTTCTTATGTTTCACCATTGAAAATGACCATTGCTATAGACTATGTTAAATACTCATTATCAGGTTAAGGATATTTCCTTCTAACCCAGATTTGTTAAGACTTTTATTATTAATAGATTTTGAAATGATTGTTTTTATATATGTATTAAAATAAGATAATGTTAAGGTAGAAAGTTAAAATACTAAATTTTCTTACATTAATAATATTTCTGTATTCTGTCTTATTTGGTTTGGGCTGCTATAACAAAATACCATAGATGGGTGGCTTATAAACAACAGAAATTTATTTCTCACAATTCTGGAGTCTGGAAGTAATGATTAAGGTACCAGCATGGTAGGGTTCCAATGAGGGCTCCCCTTCTGGGTTGCAGACTACCAACTTCTAGTATTATCACAAGTTGGAAAGAAGGTGAGAGAGTTCTCCAGAATCCTAATCTCATCCATAAGGATTCCACCCTTATGACCTAATTACCTTCCAAAGGCCCCTTCTCTTAACACCATCACATTGGGGTTAGAATTTTAACATACAAATTTGGGGGGAACACAAACATTCAGTCTATTACCCACTCCTTGTATAAACCCAATTTCAATATATTTTTACTTTTTTTAGGATTTTACATCTATGCTTGTTGAGTGAGTTTGAACTGTATTTTTCTTACTTGCACTCTACTTGTTTAGTTCTGCCCTGAAGATTTTATGAGTCTGATAAAAAACAATAAGGAGTGTTCACATATTTTTATTCACTAAAAGTATTTACATTACACTGAGATTTTTTTTTTTCTTAAAGTTTAGTAGAACACTTCTGTTCATGTTAAAATTAACTTTTAAAAATATCAAAATATATGCTTTTGTGCAATCTTTTTCATTATTGATGTATAACTTAATGGCTTTAGGGTCAGAAAATACAAATATCACACCAATATTTTTGTTTCCTACACTTTGTTTCCATAAAGCAAGCTTTATGGCACAGAACATGACATATAGTTTTTTGTTATATTTAAGAAAAATGTGTGAAATATTCTTGGGTTAAATGTTTTTTCTACATCTTTTAAAGTTTTTTGATCTAATTTTCTTTACACTTATGAATGATTCTATCTACTTTATCTATCCATCACCTGAGAGAGCTATGCTTAAATATCCCAATATTAGAAAACAAATGGTAGATTTATTTTATCTTTATATACCTGTCAATTTTTGCTTTCTATATTTGGAAACTACATTACTTGGTGCATATCATTTAAAATTGATGGTGTTTCCCAGTGATACAATCCTTCCAAATAATGTTTTTACTTTAAAGGCTGTTGTCCTTTAGTTTACGTACCCCATCTTTCTTTTGCATAGTGTATTTTAGAGCATTACAGTTATGCTCCGTATCTAGACTCACAGGTGAAGCATGTTAACCCAATAAAACATCTAATTACGATTCTAGAAAGATAATAAGACTTTATGAATCTCAACTGCCTCATTTTCATAATGAGGGCTCTGACTGTGATGATCTTTAACGTCCTTACAACTCTGACGTTCTATGATCGTCCCCCTTATCTATGCCAAAGTCCTACATTTACTCTAACTTACATTTTGCCACCCTATGAAATAGCATAAATATGCATCTATTTCAGGTAATTCTATATCCCAAAATGGAAAGGAAGATCAGAAGGTCCATGCTATTCTTTTGAAATTATTTAAAAAAAAAAAAACAGGAACTTTTGTTTTGTGTGAATTTCTTTTTACAACTGTGATTTCATCATAGTCCTGCTAACAAAATACTCAAGCCAAAATCTGCTTTGGATGTTAGTATCTTCTACATAATTTTTGGGTGATCTAACAGCTAACTAGAAACAAGGAGAAGACAGTTCAAGGAGAGGAAAACAAGAGCAGAGATAATGCATTTATCTCAGCAGGAAAAGGAAATTTATAATAATTTGTACATGTTACCTGTATCCAAGCCAGACACATTTTATTCAAAGGCTGTTGGCCCAGCAGCCTTATCATCAAATATGACAGAACATAGTAAATAACTATTAATACTATTTTGTCTATCACAAAGTGTAGCAGAAATTTAAAGCCAGAAAGGACATTAGAAGTCATCAATTCTACATTTCTTCTTTTTAGAATAGAAAATTACGTCTCAAGGAGTGATTTACCGTATTACCTGTTTTACCATAGTATGCTTCTGATAAACACGTATTAATTACTAACTTCTTATAGTTAGAACCTACCAGAGATATCTGATCATAAGTCTATGTAAATGTACAACTCCCTTTTTACTACCTTAGTTACATTGTATGTTTTGCATTATAAGAACTTCATAATTTTTAATAATGTATTATATATATCTTAAGGAAGACTAAAAAATTATGTTGAGACAGAAGAAATACTTTGACTCAGAGATTTGAAAATGATTTTTTATATTAATTTGGAAATGTTTCTTCTTAAGTCAGCTGCTCTCCTTGGGGCTGACAGACATTGGGTATTTGTTCATTATAATTGGGTATATAAATTCAATATATATAATTAACAATTATGACTAAAAATAACTCACGAATTTATCTACATTGACCCTACTCCAGCTGGATTACCACCAAAATACTTTTTCAAGACCTTATTGGTTCAAGGATTTGGGGAATACATATTGTTGGCATTGAGTTCCATGGCTTGAAAAATCATTCCTACTAGCTTAGAATAAGGTTGGAATTATAAGATAACCAGAACTTTTAAAAAATCCACAATAAAGTCACCACATAGAAGAAGATAGTTATGAAAATACTAAATTCTGGAAGCTTCTTCAGATAGTCCTATTTCTTGCAGTACATAGTACTTCATAGTTCCTCAAGGTCCTCTAGGCCAGAAGTTCACCAAGTGTGATCTCAAAGCCAGAATCATCAGACTCACCTGGAATCATTTTAGAAAAGCAAATACTCAGCAGGCCTAGAGCTACTCAATAAGAAACTCTGTGCAGAAGGTAAGGAGATCCATCAACCTGTGTTTTAACAATCTTCCAAGTGACTCTAATGTACACTCATGTTTGAGAACCATTAAACTAGGCCATCTCCCACACTCTCTGTCTGCATTTTTTAAATGGGGAAAATAAAATACAGAAAATAACTACAATCCTTATGTCTTGAATATTGTGATTCTCTGGGTTTTCTCAGATCACACAAATAGTAACAAATCCAAGATGAGAAGATGTAACTCCTAACTTATGTAAAACTAAGGTTAGAATGATAAAATTTTAGAGGCCAAAGAGACTTTGAAATTGAATCGATGTATTTTATGCTCTCATGTACTTCTAAATAGTTATTACTCTTAGGATTTCTTATTTGCTGTCTGATTCTTCTACTGAATTGAATCTCCATGAAGCAATAGACTATACTTTTTTGATCATTATTAGTTATACAATGCCTTTACAGTAATTTCAATGTAGTAGCTGTTTAATAAATATCTACTGACCTAATGATTATTGACTATATAGACATAAACATACATTATATAGATCCAGAAACTGATAATAACACCGAATTTCAATTACATCCTCTTTCTAATCTGGTAAATTTTTAACAAAATCCATCTTCTCTGCTGATCCATATACATACATAAATTGACAGGTTTAGAAAGAGTTACTGGAATGTGGAGAGGGATGTTTACATATTCAGAAGGATGTTCTGATGTGTCTCAAAATAGAAAATCCATGACATATTTGATTTACCTTTGACGCACAGAAACACCTGGACAAAAAAGAGAATATTATCTTTCCATAATAAAAGAAAAATTCAGAATAAAAATACGAAATTTTTTAAATTTCTAAATATGGACCTCTAATTTATAAGTCCAATAACCTAGGGAATTTACAAAAATATATTCCCTCTTTAAGTAACAAGTAAATCAATTATAATTCATCTTGACACTAATATGAATGTCTGTATACATTTATTCATTATACGTTAATTTCTCCTTTGGGTTAACTGAAAGCTATATACAAAAAAAAATAAAACCTGAGACCTTATAAGAGTGCCTAGAATAATGTTTTGCTTATATGAAGACATAAAGATAATGTTTCTACCAAAAAGCAAAGCATCAGAGTTTAGACAAGAGGAAAAATGTGGGCAAGGCTGTATGGGCTAGACGTCTGTATTCAAATTACACCTCTGTTATGTACCAGTTGTACTCTTGGGCATATCTCTTCCTTTTCTGTTCAGTAAAATGTTGAATAATAATAGTACTTTCCTTGTAAGGATAATAGGGTTTAATGCATTAATACACATAAAGTACTTAGACATAAATGTTAGCTATTATTATAGAGAATAGAGTACTAAATTAGGACCTAAATCAGGTTCCATATATTTCTCTAACAATATGCTCTTAATATTAAAAGCAATTTGACAAAAATAGAAGTTTTGTAAGTAACTAGAGATGGATGGATGGATGTTGCAAATATGGACAGCCCTCTAGTCTCTCCACTGATTATTCAAACAAACTCACAAGATCCAGGTGAATTAAGTGACATTTTATTTGTGAATGTACTTTGAAAATGGTGAAATACTCCAGAGATGAAAAGTAATGGCAAAATGACAAATATTCAAATTATTTGCATAGTCTCGAAGGCTTTTCCTTGACTTTTTGGCCTCTTCCCTTGCTCCTGCCTTCCCTTCCCCAACTAGACATAAGCCTTCAGTGGACCTGTGAACATGTTACCCTCCTCCAGGCTTAGAAAGTTACTTCCCAGCAAATGTCCTAATCACCAATTGTGTGTCCTTCAGGTTTTTCTTAAATATTATTTCCTCAGAGAAATCTTTCAACCAGAAAAAATAGAAAAATAGGCCCCTTGTTAATGCTATTATATTAGTTATACTCAGGCTATAAACTGTGTACTATGCCAAATATCAAGAGTATTGAAAGTGAGATCTCTGTCTACCTTGTCTTGCTCACAGTAGGAACTTAAAAATAAAGTTGACTCAATGGGCGAATTAGTCATCCTTATAATCTGGTAATGAACAAAGTAAAATATGTTAAAGAGAAAGACTGATTCCGTTTGCTGCTCAATACAATTCTTTTATTTCATGGACCTCAATAAAAAAGCTCCCCGTGAGTTTCATGGGAAAAGAACATGTTTTTGAAGTTAGTCCATAGTAAATAGCTGAAAAATAAGACTGATGCTGAATTTTTCCATAAACATACTGAAAAATTGAGCTGCTTCTGTATATACATATTTTTGACTTTGTGTAAATACACAGTGAGGATGTATTTTCCCTTCTTGTTCCTAGTTTAACTCTAACTATTGTTTTTTAAAACAGTAATAACTTAATTACTAAATTAATTTTAGACACTAAAAATAACCCACTGGTCTCCATTCTCATCAAAATCCTAGTGGAGTTTTGCAACTATGCCAGACCCACCACACTTAGCAGATGTGACAGCAACTGCCAAAAGACAAAGCAAGGATCCAGGTACCTTCTTTGGTTTCTTTATATTTTAATGACAAAGTTTTCTATCTGAATTTTGTCCAAATTCAGAAAAAAGAGCAAGAGTGTTTATTTGAAATACTCTCCCAGGCCCAAATACTATCTTGCAGGAGAAACCAAACCATTTACCTAAGAAAGAACTGAATGTACATTTTATCCTCAGCAAACCTTACAATAACAAGATTTAGCTTGGGGAATGATGGTCGTTGACATACCTGCGGTGAAGTAATCTAAAACAGAGCTAGTCAATTGCTGTAAAGAAACTTGCAAACAATATCAAGGAATAAAACATGAGGCTAGTAACGGGGAACAAATAGATAGTAATTAGCAACAAGACAAAACAGGGTCTGCAGGATGTCAATTAGGAAGAGCTGCAGAGCCTCGGAGAAGTGAGGAAATGCCCAGAGCTAGGCTCTGCAGCCACTGCTCCCCTCCAACATGGCCCTGAATCAGCCTGCACCTCTGTTTCTTGCTCTCCCCCTCTGCATCCTCATTTTGCAAAGTATCCCGCATCTCTTTGGTGTCTATGCTTCAGAAAGTATAGGTGCAGGAGAGAAGAGTGGTGAAGGATAAAGGGGGATGATGGCAGGAACAAAGCCATTGATCTTTTATATATCAATTTTTCTCATCATACTCCTCTGAAGTATATGTGATTACATCCATTTTACAAATGAATACATTGATATCCATAGAGGTTAAATGAGTTACCAGGGTTTCACAGCTACTAAGTTTCAGCACCATGATTCCAGTATGTAGACCACGCATTTTCCACCATCTCCTCCAGCCTCTTTTTAGCCCTTCTTTATTAGTCCTTTCTCTGTGTAAGCATGAAAATATGCCTTCCAAAGGCTCCCAAATGCTTTCTAAATCTTAGGACCTCAGGGTCTCCCCCAAAGTCCCTGTTTTTCCTAACCTTCTTCCTTCAGCACCACTCTTATAGTATGTACACTCCATCTAAGAATTTTCCTGAACCACTCTAACGTCTTATTATCTCTTTGGAACATCACCATCTCCCTAGGCATATTCTCACATAAATTATGTTTATGACACTTATCTGTGTAATGATGCCAGCCCCATCTCATTTCAGACATTCAGTACTAACTCAACCCACTTCTTGCTTTTATATCCATTTGTAGTGCTAGTGCCCTCGCCTGGAGGACAAGAACTGAAATCTTTATTTTGGTTTAGTTCAGGAGTCTTTGTCATAACTACTGAACTCTGTTGCAGAAAGTAGCCATTGACAATATGTAAGTGAATGATGCTACTATACCTAAGGGGTCTGAACACCAGCATTTAGCATATGCCAATAATAGCTGTTTAGAAGGCCAAGGCAAAGTAAAGAAATTAAAAAATAAATAAAGCCAACCTTTGTAAACTAGGAAGTTCAAATTTTCAGAGACTCTAGTGAGTAGTGAATATGCCCATGTGAGTATGAAAGTATTCATGTCTATGACTCAGAGGGTCTTATCAAACAAGGTCTATTGGTTTCCACTTCTTACAATAACCTTAAAATAACCCCTACAGGATCTGATCCCTAACCCTCCAGCTCATTTCCCTGTTTCTGTTACTTCTCTAACAAATATTCTATTACTTTCTTCTTCCTCCCTCATCACAGTGGCATTCTGACTGAAACGGTGTATGGCTCCCAAACTTTAGCTCAATCAGAACTACCTGGAAGACTTTTTAAAACACAGATTGCTGGGCCTCACCAGGGTTTCTAATTCAGTAGTCTAGGATGGGGTCTGATAATTTGCATTTCTAACTTTGGGGTGTGTGTAGAGAGGTATGAAGATATTGATGCTGCTAGACTTAGAACCATACTTTGAGAACACTAGATTAAAGTCACTTTTCAACAGAACACAAAGATTCAGGTAAAAGAAACCAAGTGTGAGATTTTCCTATCAAGGCTGGCAGCCCCAAATTTCTGTAATTAGAGGGAGAGAAAGAGGGAGACAGAGAGAGTGATACAAACAGACACACAGGAAGAAAGGCAGAGAAGAAGGATCTGCATATCTAAAAAGTATGTCTAGAAAAGAGTTGTGGCTGTGGCAGTTCACACATGGGAATTAGATACATAAGAAGCCTTCCAAAAAATCTAAGAGTATTTTACAGGCAAAGAAACCACAGTATTAATTTTTAATTACATAATTAAATTATTATTTATTAAAATAAATAGTAAATTATGTAATTGTACAAGATTTAATACTACCCTTGCAACCTCAGTTATTTATGAGAAACAATATTTCAAAGTTACTAAGCCCTAGTGACTACCATGTGACTCTCATTTTCATCAACTCTGAATGATAAGAATTGTGCTATACAAGGGCCCACCCTTGTATCAGGTCCAGCTGTGTCTGGAGAGGATACACATGAAAATTCGTGATAGCATTTCTCCTTTAGGAAAAGGCTAAGCAATTCAATATGTATAAGGGACAATGAGCCACATACTTGGTGAGCAAATGGCACTCTGGACTATTTTACCAAATATCTCAAGACTTCTCTTCCAGATGAAACTGGACCTCTCTACACATACCCCAAACTTAGTTATGTCCATATGGCTTGCCCCGTATTAGATGCACTGTGTGTTACTTCTGGGTAGAAGTTCTAGGAGTACAATGACTTTCCATTTCCCATGTCAACTTGCAATGGTGGCTTTCTATCAGCCTGTGCTTCTGAGTGACTACGATGCATAGAGTTCTTTGCTGACCCTGCTGGATGGGTAGCTACAATAAGAAATAAATGTTTATTGTTTTATGCCACTGAGATTTGGGGATCATTTTTGACCCTAACATCATCGTGCCTTTTAAATTTTCAGGCTAGTTAAGCATGGGACTCTGGAAAATAGCAATCAACTGATGATACCATTCTTAGTACTGCTAATTACCATTGCTACCTGGAAATGTATTTAAAAATATTTAATAGTTGTAAAGTATTGGGCAAGACACTTTTCTACTAATAATTTCTTCTTCTGTATAATGAAGAGTTGAGCTATATGCCCAAGGACCCATAAAATCTATGACTCTACAGGAGAAAAATTAATCCATAACTTACTAAGTACAGGCTGTTACTACAGGCTTTCTATTTCATATCTTGAACCCCAAGTTTAATACTCTCCTTTGAAGATTATCTGATATACACTGTGAAGAATATTCAAATAAGGATGTTCAGGAGGGTTATTTAAGAGATTTGTGGTACAATGTCTTGTTGCAATCCAACCAATCATGAAAATAACTCTTGGAAAATGAAGAGAAGCAAGAGTCTTGGAAAAGTTGCTGGATTTCTTAAATTAATTTAGTATTAGAGAAATGGCAGTGGAGTCATACTGGAATACAAAAGCTTGAGTTCTACTCTATTGTTTTTGCCTGGAACCCTTGATTCAGAGAGAATGTATACAGAAAGAACTTTATGATTCCTTGTTGTTAGATATCATCTGACAAATTGGAACTAAGTGCTGGTGTCTTTTCCTTTTATAACAGCATTAATCCCATCATGAGGGCTTCATTCTTATGACCTAATTACCTCCCAAAGCTCCACTTTCTAATACCATCACAGTGGGAATTAGGATTTCAACATAGGATTTTGGAGGTGTAGGGAAAACAAATATCCAATTCATTAGAGAAGAGAAAGGAAGACAGAAAACAAAGGAAAGGGAGGTAATAGAAGAAATGTATAGTCAACAAAAGTTGCCACTTTGTGTAATGAGAATTAACATAAACAATACCAGCCCAGATTCTGTGTAATTGACACATGTGGAATGGCTATATTAGATTGCTGCTAATATTAACTGGGATATAGAAAAATCCAGTAGTATCTTTTAAGGCCTCCAGCAAAATCATAGAAGTGATTGTCACATTTTTCAGAACAATCATTCATGGCAATTACAATCTTCATTAACAGAAACATTTACTTTTGTTTTTGTTCTGCATTTTTAGAGAAGAATGTGAATGAAAGCTGGTAGAGAGAAAGTGCTTGAGTTCCCACTCTGAAGCTGTGAAATCTGAGCTCTACATATTTCTTAGGACTCGCAGAACTTCAGGGCCTCTGAATGCTCTCATTTTCTCCCAAGCAGCAAATAATTCCATGGCTAAATTGAAATTTATTACATAATGTAAATGTGGATGCGAAAGAGAACTAAAGCAGAAAAAAGTTCTGATTTATTTTGTCTCCCTTTTAGTTCACATTGGCCTATAAACTTGGAGAAACACAACTTCAAATTCAAAACCCAGGCCCTACAAATCCCTGATCTTATTTCTGTCTCTACAGATTTTTGGTTGTTTGTTTGTTTTTTGAGACGAAGTCTCACTCTTGTCCCCCAGGCTGGAGTTGAATGGCTTGATCTGGGCTCAGTGCAACCTCTGCCTCCGGGGTTCAAGCAATTCTCTTGCCTCAGCCTCCCAAGTAGCTGGGATTACAGGCGTCTGCCACCACGCCCAGCTAATTTTTGTATTTTTAGTAGAGACGGGGTTTCACCATGTGGGCCAGGCTGGTCTCGAACTCCTGACCTCAGGTGATCAGCCCGCCTCGGCCTCCCAAAGTGCTGGGATTACAGGCGTGAGCCACCGTGCCGGGCCTGTCTCTATAGTTTTGCATTCCCAGACTTTCACATTTATAGAATTATACAGTATGTAGCCTTTTGTAACTGATTTAGTTCACATGGTATAATTCTCTGAGATTCATCTATGTTGTTTTACATATCAGTAAAGTTGACTTTCAAGTTCGTTGACTTTCATTATTAATGTTTCACTGTATGGATGCACCATAATATGTTCATTTATTGGCCAGTGCATGGGTGTTCGAGTTGTTTCCAGTTTGGGGTGATTACAAATAAATTGGCTATCAACAAATAAAGGTCTTATTGTAGACAGATATTTTCCTTTCTGTCAGGTAAATACTTAGGAGTGGGATCACTGAATTGCATGGTAAGCGTATCCTAAACTTTACAGAAAACTGCCAAAAGCTTTTCAAAGTAGCTATACCATTTTCCATTTGTAATGTATGAAAATTTCAGTTGTTCTGCATCCTTGTCAACATGTGATATTGTCAGGGTTTTATTTTATTTAATTGTTTTTGCCTTTTTTTTTTTTTTTTTTTTTTGAGATGGAGTTTCACTCTTATTGCCCAGGTTGGAGCACAATGGTGCGATGTCAGTTCACTGCTACCTCTGCCTGCCTGGTTCAAGTGATTCTCCTGCCTCAGCCTCCTGAGTAGCTGGAACTACAGGCAGGTGCCACCAAGCCTGAGTAATTTTTTGTATTTTTAGTAGAGACAGGGTTTCACCATGTTGGCCAGGCTGGTCTCAAACTCCTGACCTCAGGTGATCTGCTCCACTAGGCCTCCCAAAGTGCTGGGATTACAGGCATGAGCCATCATGCCCAGCTGTTTTTGCCATTTTGATACATGTGTAGTGGTGTCTCATGGTTGAATACACATTTTCTAATGACCAATGAAATTGAGCATATTTTCATATATTTATTTACCATCTGTATGTTTGCTGTGGTAAAATATCTGTTTCAATATCTTGCTCTTCTTTTAAATTGGTATCTATTTTCAAAGTATAGAGGAGTAAGAATTGTTTATATATTTTAGGTAGAAGTCCTTCATCAGGCATGCAATCTGCAAATATTTTCTTTCAATCTAAGATTAGAATTTGATTTACTTAACCTTGTCTCTAAACAAAAAAAATTTATAATTTTAATGAAGTCAAATTTAGTTCTATGCAATGTTCTAGAAGTTTCATAGTTTTAAGTTTTATATTTGGATCTGTGATCCATTTCTAATAAAATTTTGTGCATAGGAGAAAATACAGGTTGAGGTTCATTTTTTACATGTGACTGTCCAATTATCCTATCACCATTTGTAGAAGAAATTATCTTTTTTTTTCACTGAATTGCCTTGCCAGAAAATGTCTGTCAGAAATCAATTAATCACGAGTGAATATTTCTGAATTTCTTTTTCTGTTCCATTGATTAATGTATCTATTCATTTGCCAATAAAATGCTGTCTTGATTACTATGGCCTTGTAGTATGTCTTATAATCAGTTCATATGAGCTCCCCAACTTTGTCATCTTTTTAAAAAATAATTTTGGTTATTCTAGGTCATTTCATACTCAATTTAATCTTTAAAATAAGCTTGTCAGTTTCTCTAATGTGTCTTCTGGGATTTTTATTGGCATAGCATTGGATCTATAGGTCAATTTGAGAATAATTAATATCTTAAAATATTGGATAAATATAAACATTTTTCTTTGTTTAAGTCATCTTTAAATTATATCAGCATTGTTTGTACTTTTCAGCATTCAAATCTAACACGTATTTTAAAAGATTTATTTCTAGTTTATATTTTTTGATACCATTGCAAATAGTATTTGTGTTAGTCCATTTTGCATTTTGGGTAATTTATAAGAAATAAAGATTATTTGCATCACACCCTGCAGGCTATACAAGAAGCCTAGTACCAGCATCTGCTTCTGGTGAGGGCCTTGGGGAACTTTCAATTATAGCAGAAGTGGAAGGGGATCCATGTGTCTCCAGGTGAGAGAGGGACAGAGAGAGAGAGGAGGAGGAGGTGCCAGACTCTTCTTAACAACCAAGTCTCACATGAATATGGGAGTAAGAACTCATTTAATACTGTGGAGAGGGCATCAAGACATTTATGAGGGATTTGCCCTCATGGTCCTCATATCGCCAACTAGGCCCCACATCAAACATTAGGGATTGTATTTCTACATAAGACTTGGAGTGGACAACTGTCCAAACTGTACTACTATTTTATCAAATTTCCAATTGTTAATTTCTATTATGGAAATTCAGTGGACTTTTATGTATAGACCATGTATCCTGTGACCTGTTAAACTTAAATATCAGTCTTAACATCTTTTTGTAAAATAGTTGGGATTTTATCGATAGACAATTATATTGTTTGAAAAGAAAGATCAAGTTTTTGTCTTTCCAATATTTATTTTATTTTTTCTGCTTGATAATACTGCTAGTACATTGTTAAATGGAAGTCTCAGGAATGGACATCCTTGCTTTGTTCCTGATCTAACAGGGAAAGCATTCACTCTTTCTCTACTAACTATGATATTAGTGTTAGTTGTATTTTATAGATGCTATATATCAGGTTGAGGAAGTTTTGCTCTTTTCCTCATTTATTGAGTGTTTTTAACATGGTGGATATTTTTCTGCATCTATTCAAATTTTTTTCATGTCTGTTTACATAGTAAGTTATATTAATTGATTTCCAAATGTTGAACCAACCTTCCATTCCTGAGATAAGCCCTACTTGGTCATAATTTAGTATTTTTTTACATGTTGATACATTTTATTTGCTAAGATTTTGAAATGGATTTTGTGTCTATGTTCATGAAGAATATTCTTTAGTTTTTTTTCTCATATATTTGCCTAGTTTTGGTATTAGAATAATGATGAACTCTTAAAATTAGTTGTACAGTGTTTCCTCTTTTTCTGTTTACTAGACTAGTTTGTGTAAAATCAGAAGTTTTTCTTCTTTAAATATTTGTTTGGATTCACCAATGAAGGCATCTATATGTAGAAGTTAATTTATAGGAATGTTTTAAATTATGAATTCAATTTCTTTAATAGATACAGGTCTGTTCTGGCTATCTGAATCTCATTGAATGAGCTTTGATAGTTGTAGCCTTTTAAAGAACGTATTTCTTTCATATAAACTATCTAACATATTGGCCTAACACTGTTAATTCTTTTATTAGGCTTTTTATATCTGTAGCATCTCTAGTGATGTCTCATCTTCATTCCTAACATTGATTATTTGTAACTTCTCTTTTATCTTGACCTAGTTAGAGTTTAATATAATTGATCTCTACCAAAAATACCCATTGATTATATTGATTTTTCACTATTGTTTTGTTTCCAATTTAATTGAATCTGCTCTTTATTATTTCAATTTTTTTTTGCTTCCTTTTGGTTTAAATTGCTCTGCTTTTTCTAGTTTCTTAAGATATATGCTTACATTATTGATTTGAAATCTTTCTTTTTTCAAATTTATGGCCTTGTGTTTCAGTCATCACTTTAAAATTTATATCTGTTGGATTATGAGTGTGGAAGTCAAGCCTTGAATTGTAGAGTGTTATGTCCCTTCTCAAAGTTAAACTTGTGTTATGTCCCTTCTCAAAGTTACATCAGATAAAAATTAAATAAAGATACTAACTAGATATCTCATTTCTGAAGGGAGTAAGGAGGAAGAGTTGAAAAGTTCCCAAAAAGGACTTTTACATGTCAGCTGTAATATGAGGGCAGAATCCATGAGGTTATTCTTAACCTTATTATTTTTGAAACCCAAGAAATGATTCAAGAAGGAGTTACTTAGTGTTTGGGAGTGTTAGCCACCTCCTTCTCTCCTATTAACTATTTCCTATGTTACCATTTCTTTTCAGCCACTGTCCCCACATAAACGCACCATTAAAAATTAACATAATTGAGAAATGTTAGAATATTTATAAAATTGAAACATAAACACAGGCATTGAACTTCGTAGCATCTCTAACAAGTGTTCATCCAATCTCTATTTAAAAAATTTCCAAGGCAAAGGTATAAACACATTGGCAGGCAGCCACTGTTTATTTTAGATATTACCTAAGCCACTCACTTTTTCATTCAGCCAACATTAACACCTTTACGTGCTAATGAAAATGTATAAGGCATGGTTCCCTCTTCAAAATATTCAATCAAGTAAAGAGAGGCCTATAAATAACTAAAAGTAAAAATGCGCAATAAAAGTCATGATGAAAGTGTATACGGGATACATGATTTAAAAAAAGCTTTACTTTTAGTATTTGTTGTAGACGAGGGTGATAGCAAGGATTTCCCCTTTTAATTAATAAAGAAAGGAAGTAAGAATTAAATAAAATGATTGACTCAAAGACATTCTCACAGACACATTTTAGGACCAGGAAAATTTAACATCAACCTTACTTAATGGATTAACATACAAAAGATTATGTCAATCAGAAAGAGGTTTGATGACACTTTTAAGGTCTCCATGACACTTAAGGTTGGTGGAGTTTCTTAAAGGCACTATTCAAATCAGCCAATTTGATTATTAGGTCTTTCTGGAAAGAACATGTCTACATCCTTACTGTTTCCGTAGATATATCTGGCTATCACAGCCTTCTGTTGTTAAACATTCAAATCCTATAATTAATTCCCCTTGTTGATTTCATGCTCAAACAGCAACCTTCTGATAATTTGGCTTCCTGAGTAGCTTGCACATGGAGAATAAAGGTGAAGCTCAGACTGGTACTATTATCTATTCCCTTGAGAAGCTACAGTTCTTATTGAAATTTAAGAGTCTGTCATTCTGATTAATAAATCAGACTCTTGAGAATATTGTTATCACAAGCCACTATCCCAGAGGGAGACCACCTCTGGAACTCTGATATGAACAACTTTTAAACATGAAGCCTAAATTCCAAACCCCATCCAATAGGGAATTCCCTGAATAAATACATGTAACACTGTGGAGTTACAGGTTACACCAATGAGAGGAATCTGGAAACAGAAGGAATTGTTCTTTTGACAAACTAGTATGTATGTAGACTTTACTTGTGTGAAGTTTTGCATTGCCTTCCAGGCATCCTTCTATGTATCATCCTGTTCAATATTGTTGGCAGGTGAAATATCTATTGGAATTTGCCATTGATTCCTGAAATTATCTAATTTCCTAAACTCTGGTGGGAACTTTCCCTTTTCCTTCATAGACATAGCAACAACTTTTAACAGCCAATTTTTACTTGAAATGCCTAGAGTAAATTTTCTTTTCATTATTAAACCTAAGCTGATACGAAGATATTTTTGTGTTTGGTATCCTTAAAAATAAGTCTAAAGTATGTTCAGCTGAGCTCATTGAAAGTATAGTATCTCAATGTTGGGCAAAATAAATATCTTAATAAAACAAATTTATTTCTAACAAGTCTATACCTAATGAAAGTGGATGAACAAGAAGTCTTCCTAATTTTTATGCAAATATATACAAATAAAACCACATCATAACAAGTAGCACAGATGAACACTTAAGTAATACACAGTTTTGGTTGTGTATTTATGCTGCTTTCTTGAACACATCTATTATTTAATGATACATGAGTGTTCCTATGATATAACATAATGAAAAATGGACTTTCCTTATTGATCCTGTACTTATCAGCCTCCTATAATGCTACCCCAGTGGACATTTCACTACTACAGAAATCCTATTTCAGTGCAAAGGCAATGATCGTTATGGGAAGTGGGAAAGAAACTGACATGGGCATAAGAAAAGTTATAAAAGGGAGTGCATAGGTAGGCAGCAATAATTGAGGTTTAGCAACAATAGAAAGTTAGGAATGGCACAGGTAGAGTAGACCTGCTCAGAAATTCAAGGATAACTAACTGTTTTGGTTGGAGAGACGAAGAAAGGGTGGGGTCCAATCAGTGAGCCAGTGGAAAAGGAAAGGGCAGTCATGATGGAGAAAATAATTGGTCATTACAGAGGCCATGTTCAGAGATTAGCTATGTCTTTATTTACATCTTCACAGACATCTTCCAGGTAGCACTAGGTGTTATAAGTAGTGTAACAGATTGTAAATCTTCACATTTATTATTGTCATAATTAACAAAGTAAAACATATTTCCTGGGGGAAAAATGCTTATGAAGAACTTCAGTACAAATATAGTAAACTAAACCCAAGATCTTATCTTTGTTTTCTTCTAAACTCCACTAAAATTAAACTAAAGATAAAGCAATGATATAACTCTGTAATAGTAAAAACAGCAGAAGAGGATAAGGTAGCAGAGTGCAATATTCAACACAAGTTTGAAAGAAAAAAAAAGCATAGTTAGCATTTACCTTTTCTTGAATCTGCTGTGTGCAAGAAGGTAGAAAGCTACCACGAAATATTTTTTTTTCTGCTAAGTACAGAAAAATCCAGGAATTGAAGGGTTCAGTCATATTTCAATGCAAGTAAATATTATGAGATTGTAAACAGAATATGTTGAAAATAAGAAGTTGTTGGAATACAGATCTCCTCTGCCACCCTGGGTGAAAAACAGAGTTAATTCTCTCCAAGGTTATGATCAGACAGACTAGGGACTAGGTAATGCCAGGTATCATGGAAAGCAACAGAGACAATACCTTATTGAAAACAGAGGCATTCATTGAAACTCTGAATAATAACTAGTGATGCTAAACCACTTCCCCCATTCTAGTCTTGAATCTCAGGCTGCCAGCTTTTTAATATGTTTCTTAATCCCAGGTAGAAAATTGGAGGACTTCTGTCAAGTAAAAATACCTACAGATATATTTAGAAGTGATGCAATAAACAAGTCTCCACCCATTTATTCACTGTGAAGCCTACATGTCAAGAAGCATAGTCAAAGTATAAAGATATTACAATCACCTTTTAACAATTTTTAGCAGTTCAATCTTAACTATAAATAGATATTTTCTAAATTCTTCAAGAAAGCCACTAACCTAAAAGATGAAAGCTGAAGCAAACAGGAAAACGAATAAGAAAGAAACACAAAATATAGAAAGGTGGAGATAACTTCCAAAATCAACCAATATAGTTCCAGATAGATATCTTTAAATTAAAAAGAATATACTATTTTTAAGGGACACAAGTAAGAAGGAAGAACTAAAACTGAAAGTTATGAGAGCAAACCATAATAATCAATAGAGTGTTGGAAGACAAACTTCAAGAAATCTCCCAGGAAGCTTCCATCTCTTGATGGAAGCTAAATAAAAAAAGTAAAGGCTCAAGTTGAGAGGCCTATTATACAACTCAAATAAGAATTCCAGAAACAGAGAAGATATATAAACATATATATATATATTTCTTTTTTCATGAAAATGTTTCATTACTGAGACATATTCTTTAAGAATAAAACAGCTACTGAAAACCCAACATATTAAATGAAAGAAAGATTACAGTAAGATGTGCTATTATGAAATTTCAGAATGCAAAGATCAAAAAGAAGATTCTAAAGATTTCTGAGCCACAAACAAAAGATTATATGCAACATATCAGTAACTATAAGGCCACTAGATTTCTCAACAACTAAAAACTGTATAGTGTTCAATACCTACATCAAAAAGTCTGAAAGATCACAAATTGATGACCTAATGTCACACCTCAAGGAACTAGGGAAACAAGAACACACTAAGCCCAAAACTAGCAGAAGAAAATAACAAAGATCATAGCAGAACTAAATGAATTTGAAACAAAAATTACAAAAGATCAATGAAACAAAAATTAGACATTGGAAAAGACAAAGTTGATAGACTATTAGCTAAATTAATCAAGAAGAGAGGATTCAAATAAGCCTGATTAGAAATGAAACTGAAGATATTACAATTGACACCACAAAAATACAAAAGTTCATTTGAAATTACTATGAACACCTCTTTGCACAGGAATTAGAATATCTAGAAAAAAATAATAAATGCTGGAAGCCTACAGCCCTCCTAGATTAAATTTGGCAGAAATAGAAACCCTACATAGACCAATAAAAATCAGTGAGACTGAATTAGTAAGAAAGAAAAATTCCCAACAAAAAATGTTTAGGACCACACATATGCACAGCTGAATTCTACCAGACATCCGAAGAAGAATTGATACCTACCCTATTGAAACCATTCCAAAAGATTGAGAAAGAGAGTCCTCCCTAACTCATTCTATGAAGTCAGTGTCACCCTGATACCAAAACCAGGGAAGAATATAACAACAACAAAAAACCTACAGACTAATATCCCTGATAAACATACATGCAAAAACCCTCAACAAAATACTAGCTAACAAAATCAAATAGCATATCAGAAGGATACTATACCATTATTGAGTGAGTCTCATTCAAATGATGTAGGGGTGGTTTAACATATAAGAATCAATAGAGGTTAGATTAAGATGGCAGATAGGAGGCAGGACTAGCTTGCCCCTCCTGCTCTGACAGACAGAGCAGTGTGTGGAGACTCACATCATGAACTTTTGCTCCAAGAACTACCACAGGAATATACCAGGAAAGCTGAGAGAATCCACAGACCTTTCAAAGGAACTAGATGGCCCCTGCAGGCTCCCTGAGATGCCAGAAAACTGTGAGTCTGCTTGCTTTTGCAATGGGGAGGCCCATGGTCTGGGAAAAATTCTCAGCCCTGGTCAACAGCTGCCTGGAAATAGACTCAGTGCAGTTGTGGGAGGAAGCACAGTGGGAGTGAGGCCAGCCTTTTGAACTGTGGGCAGCATGGAAGCAGGGTAGTCCTGTGACTGCCTGCTTTCCCCCATTTCCCTGGCAACCTGTATGACTCCACAGAGGCAGCCATAATCTCCCTGAGAATGTAACTCCATTGAACTGGGAACCACAACCCTAAAGTCCACAGCAGCTGCAGCAAGCCCTGCCATAGGAGAGGCTGAGCTCAGACATACCTATCCCTGCCCCCACCTGGTGATCTTTCTCTACCTGCCCTAATAGCTGAAGACAAAGGTTATAATTTCTCTGGAGTTCTGTGGCCCTGCCCACGACCTGAGAAACCTGAATACTTAACCAGGTGTCCCTAGGGTCTCCCTATAGGACCACAGCTGATGCATTCTTGCAAGCACAACCTCCTGGCTGGAGGTCAACCAACACAACACCAGTGCACTAAAAAAAATACAACCAAGGACCTCACAGTATCCACTTCACTCCTCTGCTACCTCCGCTGGAGCAGGTGCTACTATCCGTGGCTGCAAGACCTGAAGACAGATCACATCACAGGACTCTGAAGACACTCCCCAGTACCAGCCCAGAGCCCAGTAGCTCCACTGGGTGGCTAGATCCAGAAGAGCAGAAACAATCACTACAGTTCGGCTCTCAGGAAGCCCCATTCCTAGAAGGGGGAGAAACACCACATCAAGGGAGCACACCATGGGGCAAAAGAATCTGAACAGCAGCCCTTGAATCCCAGATCTTCCCTCTGACATAGTCTACACTAATGAGAAGGAACCAGTAAAACAATTCTGGTAATATTGTAACGCCTAAGATTCTTGCATAGCCACACCAAAGAATTGGTGTGGTGGCTGACCACGGCGAGTGATAGAGACACAGACTGAGGAGAGAAAAAGCTGTAGGCTTTATTGAGCAGAGTAAAAGTACAAAGCTTCCGCAGCACAGAAGGGGTCCTGAACAGGTAGCCAGAGTTAGATTATGTGATTGCCTTTTAAACTCTTTAAGGCGGGAAACACCTGTGGTGAGAAGATGTTACCAGAGCGAAAAACGAAGGCAATTAACGATCTGTGACATGTCTTAGATCTTGAGGAAAACCGGAATTGCAACTTAGGTTTTATCTACTTTTTGACCTTGCAGTGGCAAGGCAAAAGAGACAGGACTTTACAAAGTATGTTCACAAGGAATTGGAATTGGGAGGACAGATAAGGTCTGCTGATAACAGAAAAACAGGCAGTTAACATTCCTTTTAACTTTAGTTTTGGGAGATGGGGAAGGGAGAGAGGGAGAGGACACAGAGAAACTTACAGCAAAATTTTCGCTCTTTATAGCTTTCTTGGGGAAGAAAACATGCACAAATCCTGGTGCTAGGAATATTTTAAGCATATATCTTCAATATTATTCATCCAGGACTGAAGTAAGTCCTGAGGCAGGAAATGAATGAGTTTCACAGCTTTCTGAGCCCCTACTCAACCCAGGAAGCCCAGCTGGCACCTCCTCTCAATATGACAAAACAAGGTTCTTTAACACTCCCAAAAGATTATACCAGCTCACCAGCAATGGATCCAAACCAAAATGAAATCTCTGAATTGCCAGAAAAATATTTCCAAAGGTTGATTATTAAGTGAATTAAGAAGGCACCAAAGAAAGGTGAAGTCCAACTTAAATAAATCAAAAACATGATACAAGATATTAAAGAAAAATTCTTCAGTGAAATAGAGAGATAAATAAAAAGCAGTTAAAAGTTCTGGAAGTCAAGGCCACACTTAGAGAAATGCAAAATGCACTGGAAAGTTTCAGCCATAGAATTGAACAAGCAGAAGAAAGAATTTCAGAGCTAGAAGACAAGGCTTTCAAATTAACCCAATCCATAAAAGACAAAGAAAAAAATTGATTAACAAAGCTTTCAAGAAATTTAGTTCTATGTTAGAAGTCCAAACCTAAGAATAATTGGTGTTCCTGAGGAAGAAGAGAAATCTAAAAGTTTGGAAAACATATTTGAGTGAATAATCAAGGAAAACTTCCCTGGCCTTGCTAGAGATCCAGACACAAAATACAAGAAGCTCAGGAAATTCATTGCAAAAAAAAAATCATTGCCTAGGGAAATAGTCAAGACAAAGGAACAAATCTTAAGAGCTGTGAGGCAAAAGCATCAGGTAACCTGTAAAGGAAAACCTATCAGATTAACAGCAGATTTCTCAGCAGAAAGCCTACAAGCTAGAAGGGATTGGGGTCCTATTTTTGGCCTAGTTAAATAAAACAATTATCAGCCAAGAATTTTGTATCCAGTGAAACTAACATTGAAGGAAACATACAGTCTCTTCCAGAGAAACAAATGCTGAGAGAATTTGCCACTACCAAGCCAGCAGTATAAGAACTGCTAAAAGGAGCTTTAAATCTTGAAACAAATCCTCAAAATACACCAAAATAGGATCTCTTTAAAGCATAAATCTCACAGGACCTATGTAACAATAACACAATGAAAAAACACAAGGCATTCTGGCAACAAATAGCACAACAAATAAAATAGTACTTCACATCTCAATACTAACATTGAATGTAAATGACCTAAATTTACATTCACATGTAATTTTGTGAGCATTCACATCTCAATACTAACATTGAATGTAATGGCCTAAATGCTCCACTTAAAAGATATAGAATGGCAGAATGGATAAGAATTCACCAACCAAGTTTCTGCTGTCTTCAAGAGGCTCACCTAACATATAAGGACTCACACAAACTTAAGGTAAAGAGATGTAAAAAAAATATTCCATGCAAATGGACACCAGAAGCAAGCAGGAGTGGCTATTCTTATATCAGACAAAAAAAAACCTTAAAGCAACAGCAGTTAGAAAAGACAAAGAGGTACATTATATAATGATAAAAATACTATTTCAACAGAAAAATATCACAATTCTAAATACATATGCACCTAACACTGGAGCTCCAAAATTTATAAAACAATTACTACTAGACCTAAGAAATGAGATAGACAGCAACACAATAATAGTAGAGGATTTTAATATTCCACTGACAGCACTAGACATGTCATCAAAACAGAAAGTCAACAAAGTAAAAGCGGGCTTAAACTATACCCTACAACAAATAGACTTAACAGATATTTACAGAACATTCTACCCAACAACTGCAGAATATACATTATATACATCAGCCCATGGAAAATTCTCCAAGATAGAAAATACAATAGGTTACTGTATTAGTCTGTTTTCACACGGCTGATAAAGACATACTCAAGACTGGGCAATTTACAAAAGAAAGAGATCTAATGGCCTTACAGTTCCATGCGGCTAGGGAGACCTCACAATCATGGTGGAAAGTGAAAAGCACGTCTCACATTGGGGCAGACAAGAGATGAGCACTTGTGTAGGGAAATTCCCATTTGTAAAACCATCAGATCTCATGAGACCCACTCACTATCATGAGAACAGCATGGGAAAGACTTGCCGCCATGATTAAATCACCTCCCACCAGTTCCCTCCCATGGAATGTGGGAATTGTGGGAGTTACAATTCAAGATGAGATTTGGGTGGGTGGGTACACAGCCAAACCATATCAGCCACAAAACAAGTCTCAATAAATTTAAGAAAATTGAAATTACATCAAATACTCTCTCAGACCACAGTGGAATAAAATGGGAAATCAACTCCAAAAGGAATGCTCAAAACCATGGAAATACATGGTAATTAAATAACCTGCTCCTGAATGCTCATTGGGTTAACAATGAAATTAATATAGAAGTTAAAAAAGTATTTGATGTGAATGATAAAGTGACACAATATATCAAAACCCCTGGGATACAGCAAAAGTAGTATATACCAATCCTACTGACACTATTCCAAAAGATAGAGAAAGGAGAAATCCTCCTTAAGTCATTCAATGAAGCCAGTATTACCCTAATATGAAAACCAGGAAAGGACATAACAAAACAGGAAAACTACAGACCAATATCCCTGATGAACATGAATGCTAAAATCCTCAAAAAAATGCTAGCTACTCAAATCCAATAAAATATAAAAAGATAATCCACCATGATCAAGTGGGTTATATGCCAAGGATGCAGGGATGGTTTAATATATGTAAGTCAACAAATGTTTTACACCAAATAAACAGAATTAAAAACAAAAATCACATGATTATCTCAAGAGATGCAAAGAAAGCATTTGACAAAATCCAGCACCCCTTTATCATTAAAACCGTCAGGAAAATCAGCATAGAAGGGACATACTTTAAGGTAATAAAAACCATCTAAACAAACTCACAGCGAACATTATACTGAATAAAGAAGAGTTGAAGGCATTTTCCCTGAGAACTGGAATAAGACAAGGATGACCACTTTCACCACTTCAATTCAACATAGTACTGGATGTCCTAGCCAGAGCAATCAGACAAGAGAAAGAAATAAATGGCATCCAAATCAGTAAACAGGAAGTTAAACTGTTGCTGTTTGCTGATGATATAATTGTATACCTAGAAAATCCTAAAGACTCAACCATAAAGCTCCTAGAACTGGTAAATGAATTCAGCAAAGTTTAAGGATACCAAATTAATGTACACAAATCAGTCGCTCTGCTGTACACTAATAGTGATCAAGCTGAGAATCAAATCAAGAACTGAACCCTTTTCATAATAGCTGAAAAAATACAAAATACTTAGGACTTTACCTAACCAAGGACATGAAAGACCTTTACAAGGAAAACTACAAAACACTGGTGAAAGAAATCATAGATGACACAAACAAATGGAAACACATCCCATTCTCATGGATTGGAAGAATCAATATTGTGAAAATGGTCATACTGCCCAAAGCAGTATACAGATTCAATGCAATTCCCATCAAAATTCCACCATCATTCTTCACAAAACTAGAAAAAAAAACCTATAATTTATCTGAAACAAAAAAAGTGCCTACATAGCCAAAGCAAAACTAAGCAAAAAGAATAAATCTGGAGGCATCACATTACCTGACTTCAAACTATACCATAAGGCCATAGTCATCAAAACAGCATGGTACTGGTATAAAAGTAGGCACATAGACCAATGGTACAGAATAGAGAACTCATAAATAAAGCCAAATACTTACAGACAACTGATATTTGACAAAGTAGACAACAACATAAAGTGGGGAAAGAACATCCTATTCAACAAATTGTGCTGAGATAATTGGCAAGCCACATGGAAAAGAATGAAACTGGATCTTCATCTCTCAGTCTGTACAAAAATCAACTGACAATGGATCAAAGACTTAAACCTATGGCCTGAAACCCTAAAGATTCTAGAAGATAACATCAGGAAAAAACCCTTCTAGATATTGGTTTAGGCCAAGACTTCATGACCAAGAACCCAAAAGCAAATGCAACAAAAGCAAAGATAAAAAGATGGGACTTAATAAACTAAAAAGCTTCTGCACAGCAAAAGAAATAATCAGCAGAGTTAACAGACAACCCACAGAGTGGGAGAAAATCTTCACAATCTATACATCCGACAAAGGACTAACATCCAAAATTTACAAAGAACTCAAATCAACAAGAAAAAAACAAACATTTTCATCAAAAAGTGGACTAAGGACATTAATAGTCAATTCTCAAAAGAAGATATAGAAACGACCAACAAGCATATGGCAAAATGCTCAACATCACTAATGATCAGAGAAATGCAAATCAATAACACAATGCGATACCACCACCTTACTCCTGCAAGAATAGCAATAATCAAAAAATAAAAAAAAAATAGATGTTGGTAGGGATGCATTGAAAAAGGAACACTTTTACACTGTTGGTGGGAATGTAAACTAGTACAACCACTATGGAAAACAGTGTGGAGAGTCCTTAAAGAACTAAAAGTAGATCTACCATTGGAACCAGCAATACCACTACTAGGTATCTACCCAGAGGAAAAGAGGTCATTATACAAAAAAGATGTTAATACTTGCACACATTATTTATAGCAGAACAATTTTCAATGGTAAAAATATAGAACCAGCCTAAATGCCCATCAATCAATGAGTGAATAAAGAAAATGTGGTATATCTATACCATGGAACACTATTCAGCCATAAAAAGGAATGAAATAATGGTATTCGCAGTTACCTGAATGAAATTTGAGAGTATTATTCTAAGTGAAGTAACTCAGGAATAGAAAACCAGACTTTGTATGTTCTCACTCATACATGGGAGCTAAGCTATGAGATGCAAAGGTATAAGAATGATACACTGGACTTTAGGGACTCAGGGGAAGGTATGCGAGTTGGCAAGGGATACAAGACTACACATTAGTTACAGTGTACACTGCTCAGGTGATGGGTGGATGAAAATCTCAGAAATCACCACTAAAGAACTTATCCATGTAACCAAGCACCACCTGTTTCCCAAAAACTTATTAAAATAAAAAATAAAATTTTAAAAAACATAAGTCAATAAATGTGATACATCACATTAACAGAATTAAAAACAAAAAACATATGATCATTTCAATTAATGCAGAAAAAGCATTCAATGTGATTCAGCATCCCTTTGTGATAAAAACCCTCTACAAACTAGGCAAAGATGAGACTTACCTCAAGATAATAAAAAGTCCTATATGGCATGGCATACCCACAGGCAATATTATACCGAATGGGGAAAAGTTGAATTCATTCCATATGATAACTGGAACAACAAAAGGATACCAACTTTCACCACTTCTGTTCAGCATAATATGGGAAGTCTTAGCCAGAGCAACCAGGTAAGAGAAGAAAATTAAAAGCCACTAAATTGGAAAGGAGGAAGTCAAACTATCATTGTTCACCAATGTATATGATTATAAACTCCTAGATTTTATAAACAAATTCAGTAAAATCTCAGGTTACAAAATCAATATAAATAAATCAGTAGCATTGCTATACACCAACAATAACCAAGCTGAGAATCAAATCAAGAACACAATCTCTTTTATAACTGTAAAAAAAATACTACAAATATGCTTAACCAAGGAGGTGAGAAATCTGTACAAGGAGAATCACAAAACACCACTGAAAAAAATCATAGATGACTCAAACAAGTCGAAACACATTCCATGCTCAAGGATTGGAAGAATCAATATTGTGAAAATGACCATATTGCCCAAAGCGATCTACAGATACAATGCAATTCCCATCAAAATACCAACATCATTTTTCACAGTTAGAAAAAAAAATCCTAAAATTAATATGGAACCACAAAAGAGCCCAAAGAGTCAAAACGATCCTGAGCAAAAAGAAAATATCTAGAGGCATCATATTACCAGACTTCTAATTATACTACAAGGCTATAGTTACCAAAACAGCACAGTACTGGTATGAAAGTAGACACATAGACCAATGGAAGAGAATAGAGAACCCAGAAATGAAGCCAAATACTAACAACCAACTGTTCTTTGACAAAGCATACAAAAACATAAATTGGGGGAAAGAACACCCTATATATTAAATGGTGCTGGGAAAACTGGATAGCCTTATACAGAAAAATGAAACTGGATCCTTATCTTTGACCTTATACAAAAATCAACTCAAGATGGATCAAAGACTTAAATCTAAGGCCTGAAACCATAAAAATTCTAGACAATAACCTAGGAAAAACTCTTCTGGACATTGGCCTAGGCAAATAATTTATAACTAAGATCCCCAAAGCAAATACACTTAAAGCAAAAATAAATAAATGGTACCTAATTAAACTAAAAAGTTTCTGCACAGTAAAAGAAATAATCATCAAACAGACAACCCACAGAATGGGAGAAAATATTTGCAAATGATGCATCTGACAAAGGACTGATATCCAGAATCTACAATGAACAAAAACAAATCAGCAAGGAAAAAATAAGTAATCCCTTTAAAGTGAGCAAATAACATGAATAGACATTTCTAAAAAGAGGATATATAAATGGCCAACAAACATATGGAAAAAAACTCTCAACATCAGTAATCATCAAGGAAATAAAAATGAAACCACAATGAGATACCAGCTTACTCTTGCAAGAATGGGCATTATTAAAAAGTAAAAAAAAAAAAAAAATACATGTTGGCATGGATGTTGTGAATAAATAAGTAATGCTTATACACTGCTGATGGGAATAAAAATTGGTACAATCTCTATGGAAAACAGTATGGTTATTTCTTTCTTTCTTTCTTTTTGACAGAGTCTTGCACCGTCGCCCAGGCTGGAGTGCAGTGGCACGATCTCGGCTCACTGCAAGCTCCACCTCCTGAGTTCACGCCATTCTCCTCCCTCAGCCTCCCGAGTAGCTGGGACTACAGGCGCCCACCACCACGCCCAGCTAATTTTTTGTACTTTTAGTAGACACGTGGTTTCGCCGTGTTAGCCAGGATGGTCTCGATCTCCTGACCTCGTGATCCGCCCGCCTCGGCCTCCCAAAGTGGTGGGATTACAGGCGTGAGCCACTGCACCTGGCCATTTCTTAAAGAACTAAAAGTATACCTACTATTCCATCCAGCAATTCCACTACTGAGTATCTACCCAAAAGAAAATAAGTCATTATATCAAAAAGACACCTGCATGAGCATGTTTATTGCGGCACAATTCACAATTGCAAAGATATAGAACCAACCAAAGTGACTATCAACCAATCAGTCAATACAGAAAATGTGGTATATACGTACACATATACCGTGGAATACTAATCAGCCATAAGAAAGAATGAAATAATGTTTTTTGCAGCACCTTGATAGAGCTGGAGGCCATTATTCTAAGTGAGGTAATTCAGGAATGGAAAAGCAAATATTATATGTTCTCACTTATAAGAAGGAGCTAAGTGATATAATGGACTTTGATGACTCAGAAGCAGGAGGGTGGGAAAGGAACGAAGAAAAAAAACTACATATTGAATACAATGTATACTAATAGGGTGACAGGTACACTGAAATCTCAGACTTTACCGCTATACAATTCATCCATGTAACCAAAAACCATGTGTACCCCAAAAGCTATTGAAATAAAAATATACTGTAAATACATATGTAGTATATAAATATAAAAATTAAAAACTGAAAGACACTTAAGTATTGACTTCCAAGTTCTAAAGGAAAATTATTTCAACACTCTGAAATTTCATTCCCAGCCAAACTATTGGTCAAATACAGAAGCACGATTACATTACCAAATAGAAATTGTTTTAAGATATTTACATCCTATGTGTTTTTTGACATAAAGCAAATAAATGATGTGCTTTACTAACACAATGCAGCAAACTAATAAATTGAAAGAAGAAAAATCAACTAACTATCTCAAATAGGAGATAATTTTTCTAAAAATCCAGGATAATGATATAAAGAAGTTCCAGGACAACAGCCATGAATAATCCCAACCAGTTTATAAGAATACAGGAAGAATTCCAAAAGATGACCACAAGAAAAAACATAAAACAGATAAGTTACTGTATCTGATCATTTAGAGAGAAGGCTTGTATGTCTATCATGGAATTTATGAAGATTAGACTCATTAAAAGTTAAGAAGCAAACACAACAATTATTAGATTCAAGAAAAAATATGAGTAATAAAGGAAATGTAATCACAGTAAACTACACAGTTCAACAGTAAACTTACTATTTAGCTATAATAAAATCCTGAGCATTCAAAGTTTATTACATATATATATTGATAAAGTTGGTGGAGGAGGAAGTGTTTTTGATTGTTGGAGGAAATATAAGGAAGCTAAATCCTACTATGATATTATGAGAAGTCAATAATCAACAATAACAACAACAAAGTAAAGAAATAACAAGTTAAATAAATTATATGGAAGTAACCACAAAGAAAAAGAGCTTAAAAAGTTGAAAGTGCCTGGATAAGGGGGTGAGAAAAGTGAATCTTTTTTAAATCTTTTCTGCTTACAGCATTATTTAAAATTTCAAATTATAAAAGGTTGTAAATTGATAAAAATCAATGTTTAATTTACAAAAAAAAGTTGAAGATAGAAAAGAAAACATTATTTGTAATTCCCTGCTCATTCATAACAGCAGTAAATATTTTGATATAAATCCTTTTGGTCAATTTTGTTCAATGTGTGGATGTTGTTATATATATATACAAAACAACTTTATATATATATGTGTGTATAGATATATGTATATATATATGGAGAGAGAGAGAGACAAAGTGACAACAGTATACAATATATGTTTAAAATCAGAATATTATGATACATTTTATATCATACAAATTTATTCTGCATTTGCATTGATTGCATATCCTTCCATTGCAGGATTTTCCAACAATTTATTTAATTGTCCGCTATTTTTGGAAATGTGGGTCTCTTTCAATTACTCATTATAAACAACATTACTACAAATATCCTATTAGTTTTATGTTTGCAAATAATCTAGATACTTTCCTTAGAATTAAATTTCTACAATTTTCCAAAAATTATTATACTTGTTGGTTTATTGGCTCAAAGGGTATATGATATTATAAAATATATATTTATTCTGCATCTCTGTTCTCTAGCATACAACTCCTAAAATTCTTAGAATCTCAAAAGTGATGTCCTTTCATATGCTAATGAGTTTACTGGTGGCTAACAGCTCCTAGATAGCTTCAGGATGAGGATTGGTCAATGGAAAGACCTTGGCATGATTACAGGGTTGGGACTTTCAGCCTAACATCTGGGTAGGGGAGAGAGGATTAAAGGGTAAGTTGATCACCAATGCCAATTACTTTATCAATCATGCCTATGCAGTGAAGCCATGTATAGAGCATCTTTGACATCAGTAACTCCATCTTAAAAATGACTTCACTTTATATTTCATAGAAACATGGTTTGTTTCTTCCTCTGAGGGTGTAAGCCAGTGTTTCTCTCTTTTTTTTCTATCATTACTCTCCCACGAAGCTTTTTTAGCCTTTTTATCCTAATCACCTCCTCGTGTAATTTTAATACCACAAACATTCTGTATATATGTATATATTTCATATATATATGAGATTTTTTAATGTGTAAAGCTTAGATATACGTATTTCATATATATACCTATGTATGTACATATGCATATACATATGAAATATGTATATCTATGCTTTACACATTAAAAGAATGAGATTCAATGCCCCAACCAATCTGTCAACCTCTTATGGGTTATATCACCCCTGTTGAGAATGTATGTTGTAAATATTCTTTGATTTTTTGTACATTACCAAATTCTCCTTTTGAAAGATGTTACCAATTTTAATTTTCATCATCAACATAAGGAGACATGTTTCCCCACCTCCCCAGAAAACATGGTGTTTGAAAATAAGTATGTAAATTTTCTTAAAATGAGAGTTTCTCAATGCAAATCTTAAAATTACATTAGTTTGCTTGTAAACATTTCTTAGTAACAAATGCCAAGAGTAAAAATATTTATTTGTTTCAGACTTTGTCCTACTATTATGAGACAATGGCTTATTTCAAACTTTCAAGCAATTTACATTTAGAAAGTATGCTTCTGTCACCATGGTTCCCACTATAATTTAGGCTGTTTTTAAGTCAATTTGTCATTGATTCAACCAGAACAGTCAATTATATCCTGTACATCTTCAGTTCTCAAATTATTGACCTGGCCAAGTCAATTTGTAATTAGACAACTTCTAAAAAGTTATTTCTCTCTATGACTGTTATGCAGCTTTTGAACTTCTGAATTCTTCCAAACTTGGTGATTATCTTGGTCTGATACTGTTTTTACCTACAGCAATTACATGTTATAGAAGTACATCTTGTCTTTGTAAAAGAATTGAAAGAATTGCTTAGAACACTTTAACACTGGACAGGGTTTGTTAGCCCAGTATTAGGTAAGAACCATATGAAACTGTCATTTTTGAAGTCAGATGATTAAATATTAACAATTCCATAGGATTCAATCTAAAAGTTTAGTCTTCTTTTAGGTACCTTAGAAAAGAAATGAATATTTATAAGGTATTGGGACTACTTATACCCTACCACATGGACTTTAAATATTCTACTGAAATGTATAGTTTTTATAAAGAAGCAACAGTTAAGCTGACCTAGCCATAGAAGACTTGATATCCTATTTATATTTAATACAAACACCTCACAGCCTCCTTCTCCCACATCAGGAAAGCAGTCACAGTCCTGACCTTGTACAGGGAGCAGAGTATTAGAGCAGGAGTCAGGGGACCTGAATTGCATTCCGTACTTTTCCATTTCCTGCCCGTGTGAATTTGAGTGAGGCATCACCGCTCACTCATTCTTCAGGTTCCAGGAACAGTTTAGACATAAACTCCTTACTAAGGTCAAAATCTCCATAGCACTCTTTGCTCTCTCATTTGTAAAAGCATTTATCATACTAAAAATCATTTAATTAATGTCTATTTTCCTCACTAAATAGGCATGATGGCAGGGAGATGTTTGTCTTATTTATTCTTTTATCCGTGATATCTAACACAATACCTGATACACATTAAATGACCAATGTGGTCGGGCACAGTGGCTCATGCCTGTAATTTCAGCACTTTGGGAAGCTGAGGTGGGAAGATTGCTTGAGCCCAGGAGTTCATGACCAAACAGGGCAACATAGTGAAACCCATCTCTCCAAAAATAAAAATAAAATACATTAGCCAAGCATGGTGGTATGTGCCTATAGTTCCAGCTACTTGGGAATCTGAGGTGGGAGAATTGCTTGAGTGCTAAAGTTCAAGGCTGTAGTGAGGTATCATCACACAGCTGCACTTCAACCTGGGCAACAGACAGAGACTCCATCTCGAAAAATAAAAAAATATGTAAATAGAGACCAATGTACATTTGTTAGATGAATAAGTGAATAAAATAAACCTACTAGTTCAAAGCTTCAGTTTTATAATTTGTAAAGGACATTTAGCACCTGTGTTGCCTGTCACAGGGTTGCTATGTTGTTAACATGAGGTGGCTATGTAGATTCAAATGAGATGGAGGATGCATATTTCACCTCTCCATTATGAGACCTCTCCTCAAAACCAAGAGGGGTAATGTATGTAAAAGTGTTTTATATGCTAAATAGCTCTTTACAGGCAAGATTTAACATTATCTTCATAAAATTAAAAACTTCATTATATCCATGACAAAGATTTGCTTAAAGCTTCATTCCACTAGACTAGGCTTCTTGTGGCTACCTGTAACTTTGCTTTCTCCCAATTTATCACATGTACCATTTCATGCCCGTCCCCTAATCTGTACCTCTTTTGGTGACTTTTTTTCCTCTCCCTGGGAACACATCCAAATCATAAAAACCCTGTATCAACTAGAGTTCAGGCAAACAAAAACTAGAAGCTACTCTATGTATTTCAAGTAGAAAGGGTTTAATACAGGGAATTTGAGGCTTATACAGCCACTTGAACAGCTGGAGAACAAAGATCAGAAGAAAGTTCACCAAAATCTTAGCTTCCTATAGCATCAAAGTAAGTGATTCCCAAAAACTATCTAGTAAGGTATTGGAAATGTCAAGAACTTCCTGGAAGCAACCACCGAAGTCCCCAGTGGTACAAAATACTAGTGATTTATAGGATCTTGTCAGAGAAGCTACTGAAAAACTCATGCAGTTGCTCACAAATCTGCCTATAATTTCTCCAGGACATAATGGCTTCTCCTTCTAATAAGCCTTAAAACACCATGAAGACAGAAATAAAATGTTTGTAAGTGGATCAGTTATGGTTCCACTCCCACCTCTACCTCTTGTTTCCTAGATCTCTATATTTTGGCTTTGGGAGAAATGATTTCATATGTAGGTCGCTGGGTCAGAGTACTATAAACAGCATATAAGGATAACATCACAGCCCTGCAAAGTGTTGTTACCCCACCTGAGCTGTAACTACATCTTCAAAAGTTATTTTGGTGGAAAAGAATATATATAAAACCTATGAATCTTGTAGGCCTAGACCTAAGGTCTGCATCTGTTCCCTCAATATTATTTGGAATGCTAACAGAGAATAAAATATGGTGATGCTGGCCAGAAAAAAAAAAAAAAAAAAAAAAGCACGTGTGCAAAGGAAAAGCCTTCTTCTGAGTAAAAAGCTATTCCAGCGAAAACAAATTGATTCCCCTTCTATGGTGAAAGGTATCTTGTGTTATCAATCTGCTATTATATGGCTATCTGGTTCTCCTCTAAATCCCAGGAAAATGTGTAGCCTTGGACTCCATTGTTGGCTGATTGGGCATTCAGCTATGGCAATATCAGCCTATGTTATATCAGCCTATGTTGTTCCCTCATACATAATTTTCCTTGCTTCCATCATAATCATATCCACCAACTGAGTGTTCTTGTCCAACTGACAAGAAAGTCACCTTTCCTCATAAATCCATTGAGGAAGCACTGGGATGGTTGGAGAAGGAGGCTTACTGACACCCACAAAATAGGACATTTGATCTACCTCATTATTGAGCGCCTTCTTTGCAATGGATGCCCTTTGATTAGCATTTCTATTGACAAATATATATTGTCACAATTCATGATCATTTCCCCAGGCCTCCTTGTCATCAACTTTTCCACCATGTTTCTTCCAACTGCCTGGAAGATGGTGATCTGGCTAAACCATTAGCTACTATAAATTTGTGTAGATCTTTACCTCTGGCCACCTTTCCTTACAGGCAAAGAAAAAGACTAAGTGCGCTGCTTGAAATTCTGCTTACTAGAGGGATTTTCTTTCCCCACTAACCTTCAGAACCACCCTGATGAAGCTATGCTGCAGCATTTCACTTTCAAATGATGCTCACATGTCATATGGGACTATCTGCATGAATATTTTCTTCCTTTATATGTTGTTTAGAGGGAACTTCACATGAAACTAAAGTGTGTCCAGAAGACAGATGACAATGCAGCAAGAGTGACTGAAGTGGAAGTATTAGCCACTTGCTCAGGCAACTTACTACTAGGTATATCGACTTGATCTTCATTTAGAAGAGGCTATTCTGACCTGCCCTAGATTACTGTTTTCCAAGAAAAACTGCCAAATTCATATAAAGTATGCAAACAATTTCATATTACACTCATATTTTAGATACTATTGCTTGCTGTGTCTAATACTGATCATATTAGTTTTCTGGGTCTGCTGTAAACTATTACCACAAACTACGTGGCTTAAAACAACAGAAATTTATTCTCTCACAGTTTTAGAGGTTATGTCTGAAGTCAAGGAGGCATCAGACTAATGCTTATTTTTAAATTTTCTTAATAATATCATTCAAAAGAATAGATGTTCTTAATACTGATAATTTCCAATCTACCAATTTGCTCTTTCATAGTTCATGTATTTTGTGCTCTACCTTGGAAATGTTTGCTTGATTGAGGTCACAAATATTTTCTTTCATTTTGTTTTTTAGAAGTTTCATAGCATAGGCTTTACTTGTAGGTTTATGATCCATATCAAGTTAATTTTCATTGTATTTTGAGGTCCATATTTTGTAAGTGGAGGTTGAACTGCTCTTGGACCATTTGTTTAAAAAGACTGTCATCCCTTTTGAATTAACTTGGAAGTTCTGCTGAAATTAAATTGATTTGGGTCTATCTGGGTTTATTTCTAGGCACCCCATTCTATTTTATTGACCTATATGTCTATTATTTTGACAATATCAAACTGTCTTGATCAGTATAGTCTTATAGTAAGTCTTGAGATCCAGTAATATAAGTCTCCAAATTAGTTATTTTCAAATATGTTTTGAAAATTCTAGGTATTTTGTTTCCCTCATACATTTTAGAATCAGCTTGTCAATCTCCATAAAAACATGCTGAGATTTTGACTGGATTTATATTGAATCTACACATCAATTAGAGAAAAGGTGACATATTATCAATATTAAGACATTCAATCCATGAACACAATATGTCTCTTTGTCATTTTTAACTTCTTTCAGCATTTTATAAATTTTTGCAAGAATCTTATAGCCCTCTTGCCATGTAAGGATGCAAAATAAGGAAGGAGCCCCAGTCTCACAAGAAACCGAATCTCCTGGCACCTTGATCTTGTTCTTCTTTGACTCCAGAATTGTGGCAATACATTTTTATTATTTATAAATTACTCAGTAGAAACTCTTTTGTTACAGCAGTCCAAACAGACTAAAACAGTTGCCTTGTTCCTAATCTTAGGAGGAAAACAATCTTTTGCCATTAAAAGCAATATTACCTGAAGTTTTAAAATAAATGCCCTTTACAGGTTGAGAGTTTCTGTCATGAAACCATCTTGAATTTTGTTGAATACTTTTTCCGCATCTATTGAGGTGGTTTTTTTTGTCTTTTAATATGGCAACTGATATTGTTTGATTTGCTAATGTTGAGTCAATCTTAAATGTTTTTATTTAAAAAAAACCTAGGCCTGGAGTGATGGCTCACGCCTGTAATTCCAGCATTTTGAGAGGCCGAGGCAGATGGATCACGAGGTCAGGAGTTCAAGACCAGCCTGGCCAAGAGAGTGCAACCCAGTCTCTACTAAAAATACAACAATTAGCTGGGCGTGGTGGCAGGCACCTGTAATCTCAGCTACTTAGGAGGCTGAGGCAGAGAATTGCTTGAACCCGGTAGGCAGAGGTTGCAGTGAGCCAAGATTGCGCCACTGCACTCCAGCCTGGGCGACACAGCGAGAGTCCGTCTCAAAAAAATAAAATAAAAACAAACCTAGACATGGTAAATACTTCTTTTTATTAATTGTTGGGTTTCATCTTCCAAAATTTTGTTTAAATTATAAAGTCTATATTCATGAAGTTCATTTTCACTTAATAATAATTATAATACACTTTTGAGTTTCTTATATTTTTGACTGAATACCATAATACATATATTATATGTAGCAGGACAGTAGGGCTTGAGGGAAATAATATTTAGTCCTGAAAATGGTTGTGCTTCTTTTCCTGTGAGGTCATTTGTATGTGGGATTCAGCTGTGTTCAAATATGGTTATTAGTATTAGTATCCTCAGTGAACCATAAACTGTTATAGAACTGAACTGGGGGCCGCTTGCCTGGCACAATAAAATCAGATATCCACAATGAGGATTTTTGCAGCAATAGAAAGGTAGGCACTTATTTGCAAGGCGCCAAGCAAGGAGAACTAGCCAGCTAATGCTCAGTCCTGGCCTCTCTGGTGGCTTGCAAGTAAGGGGTCTTAAAGATAGGGTTAAATTTCAGGAAAGCAGAAGCTATAGCCAAAATAAAAAATTAGTGCATGGAAGTTACACATTGATTTTGGCCTAAAAGGGTGAAGTACCTTGAAATGTAGGGCTTATAGGTCATAGGTAGATTCAAATATATATATATATATATATATATATATATATATATATATATATATATATATATATACACACACACATATATTTACATTTGGTAAAAGAAGAAAAACTTTGTTTAAATATTTGAGGCCAGGAAAAAAAAAAGTTAACTGACTCAAGGATGGGACTCCCTCCAAGCCCCACAGGAAGAAATGTAGAACAGAGAATGGTAGTCAGAGTTCAGTTTTCAATTCCCTCTTATCTGAGGACTATGTGCCAATGGATCTGTTTGGTGGGGTTCCTCTGTGGAGGCTGTGGGGGCTCCATGTTTTTGAAAGACAACTCAAGAATATAAGTTAAGATGTTATCTTTATATAGATATCTATATCTATATATCTTTTGGTTTCTATAGGGAAGCCAAAAGTTTCTGGACTCTACCTTCCTTGGCTATTGTTTTAGGCTACTATTACCTTCTTGTTTAACAAGTTACTTATTTACTTCTCAGGGCTAGCTAGGTGCCTGGAATTTCTCCTGAAGGAATTCAGGATTTTCTTTTATTTCCATGCTTGGGAAGCACTTGCAGGCCTCTAAAAAACAGGTCCCTGCTCTATCTGAAGTTCAAATTATTTCAATGATGGGAAGAATTTTCCTGTCTTCCTGCCCTAACTTCAGTTTTCAGCAACCCTGATATCATAGAGAGTATCTCTATTCTTACTCTTTTTCCAGTGGTAAACTGTTCTTGCTTGTTTTCAATATTATTCTCATAGTGGAGACAGTGGGCACTACTTGATTTTCTTGAATCAAGTTCAGTCTTACATGAGGCCTGTGCACCTAGGATTCTGAGTTGAGTATTTCAGCTTTCATGTCTCTCTTCTCAGTGACAGCCAAACTCTCCTGTCCCTCCCCTAGAAGTAATAGACCTCTGCTTTCTATCATTGCAAGACCCTGGGCCTGGGTTTTCAAGCTCTTCTTCCATGGGCAGATCATTTTGCTTCTAGTCTAGTTTCCCTAGAACCAATGGATCTCTGCCTGTTTCTTGCAGTAGGCAGGGAGGGCTAGAGAGTTTCTTATCCCTCCCCAAGGCACACTGATTTTTCTTCTACCCTCCCACAATGGCATGAGGGGTGGGAGGATGTTCCACTTTTCCCCCAGTGGCTTACTGCTTTTGTTTCTTATGAAAGGAGAGTCACTGAACTAGTGTTAATTTTTACCATCTCCAGTGTCAATCAATCATTTTTACTATACCTGCACCGCAAAGGTCGGGGCTATACCCAGTCTTCAGGGAAAGGATATTTGTGTTTTATTCACATCTATATTCCTAGGACCTAGATTACCATTTTGATGGTACATGCTAGTATTTGACTCTGATAATTGTATAGATACATATTAATTAAGAACAAAGGCCATAACTCAGATGATTAAATTTAACTCCAGAGAAAGTACCTTAAGTTTGAAAATATTTAGACAATCTGCAGTTTTCTCTGTTCTAATAATGAAATCACCTTTGCAAAATTATAACAGTAAGAGAAATATGACATAGTTGGCTCCATCTTGCTTCTGACCTCCAAGCTGTCCTTAGTCATTCCTGGGCATAGGCCAAGCTAACTGTAGGAGGAATTTAGTTTATAGTTTAACTTGAAAACAAGGTTAATAACAGTATCTCCCTTAAAGTAAGTCCCTCCTTGCTCAGGAACCAAAAGGGACCTTATGTAAGACTGATGAAAGGCCACAACCATTTGATCATGTGAGGGGCCTGAACTCTGCTAAAATACAAGTGAATTTTCTATATTCCTTTACTTCTCAGGAGTCATGGAGCTAGAGGTTACAAGATAGGTGGAGTTTCTATAGTCCTTTAGAGCTCAGGAGTCAGAGGTAACAGCATTTGTGACTTCCCCAATTTCTCCTATAGATAACATCACTATTGTAGAACCCAATAATTTTTTTGAGATATCTTTAAGAGTGACTCCACCTGGACTCCTAACTCATGACTCATCTGATTCTGTGGCCTCCACCCAGAGGTAGACTCAGCACAGGGACTGTTCTCCACACCCCTGTGACTTCATACCCAACCAATCAGCAGCAGCTATTCCCTAGCCCCCTGCCCACAAAATTGCCCATAAAACCTTAAGCTGCATGCCTTCAGGGAGACTGATTTGAGTGATAATTCCAGTTCTCCCACTGGCCTCACATCAATTAAACTCTTTCTCTACTACAGTGGCATGGTCTCAGTGGACTGATTTTTGTCTGTGCTGCAGTCAGGAAGATTACAGTACTGATATTCTCATGACCATTTCCCCTCAATGTGAATATCATCACCAAACTATCCAAAATATATTATTTCTTTAGGAATAAACTTAAGTTAATGGCATTCACTAATAGCCCAACCCAAATATTCTCAATGCTATTTTAATTGGAAACCCAAAATTTGACATTTATTCACCTTGGCAGAAGTAGCATTATTGGCCTTAGGCAAACTTGGATTTGAATCCCATGCCTTTCATATACAAGTTGCGTAATTTTGGATAAGTTATTTAACTTCTTTTATCTCATTTTTCCATTTGTATAATTAGCTAATGGCAATGTCTCCTAGGGTCACTATGATAATTATATACCTTAGAGAATGTGGATATGTATACATACATACATGTATGCACATCCATAAGAGCTTGTTCAATATTTATCTGTAGTGCTTAATAGGCAGTAATGATTATTTATCTGATGTCATTTTTATAATTCCCTGTGATCATGTTTTATCTCTGTAACAAAACTGTAAACACTCCAGGATCAAAGATCAAATTTTGAGACTGTGTAAAGTAACATTAGTAGAAAAACACAGTGTGTATTGGGTTCATAATTCCTTTAAAAGTGAGTCATATTAAATTGGAAGTAGTTGGGTGTAGGTGTCATGTAGTGATGTGTAGTCCCAGCTACTTAGAAAGCTGAGGTGGAGTAGCTTGAGCCTATGAGTTTGAGGCTGTAGTGAGCTATGATCATCATGCCACTGCACTCCAGCCTGGGTGACAGAGTGAGACCCTGTCTCTAAAAATAAAATAAAATAATAAAATAGAATAATTTTTTAAAAAGAAAAACAAGTAAATATGGGAATATTAACACAGAAATAAAAGTATTTCTTTTTGCCTTTTTTCTCTAATTTTTTTAAAATTTTTTATTTCCATAGGTTTTTGGGGAACAGGTGGCATTTGGTTACATGAGTAAGTTCTATAGTGGTGATTTGTGAGATTTTGGTGCACCCATTACCCAAGCAGTATGCACTGAACCCAATTTGCAGTCTTTTATGCCTCACCCCCTTCCTTCCCTTTCCCCTTGAGTCCCCAAAGCCCATTGTGTCATTCCTTTGACTTTGCATCCTCATAGCTTACCTCACACTTATAAATGAAAAGATATGATATTTGGTTTTTCATTCCTGAGTTACTTCACTTAGAGTAATAGTCTCCAATCCCATAAAGGTTGCTGTGAATGCCATTAATTCATCCCTTTTTATGGCTGAGTAGTATTCTATTGTGTGTGTGTGTGTGTGTGTGTGTGTGTGTATATAATATGCCACATTTTCTTTATCTACTCATTGATTGATGGACATTTGAGTTGGTTCCCCTTTTTGCAATTGCGATTTGTGCTGTTATAAACATGTGTGTGCAAGTATCTTTTTCGGATAATGACTTATTTTCCTCCACTACCCAGTAGTGCGATTGCTGAATCAAATGGTAATTCTACTTTAAGTTCTTTAAGGAATCTCCACACTGTTTTCCACAGTGGTTGTATTAGTTTACATTTCCACCAGCAGTGTAGAAGCATTCCCTTTTCACTGCATCCATGCCAACATCTATTATTTTTTTTATTATGGCCAATCTTGTGGGAGTAAGGAGGTATTGCATTGTGGTTTTGATTTGTACTTTCCTGATCATTAGTAATGTTGCTCATCCACAGAGTAAAATGCATTGCACTCCTCCCACTTCCTTCTCTCAAAAATGTATCATTGATTTGAAAGTCCAATGACAAATAAAGTATATCCTACTTTAGGAGAAGAAACACTATGATTAGCAGAAGGGGAGAAGCAGATGTAACCAGTATGAGGTCAGAGATTAGAAGGGATAACATGGCATATTAGGCTATTCTTGTGTTGCCATAAAGGAATATCTGAGACAGAGTAATTTGTAAAGGAATTAAGTTTAATAGGCTCATGGTTGTGCAGTCTGTACAGGAAGCATGGTGTGGGCATTGGCTCAGCTTTTAAGAAGCCCTCAGTGAGCTTTTGCTCATGGTAGATGAAGCAGGAGCACCACATATGGCAATAGCACAAGTGGTGGTGGGAGTTGTGGTGGGACCAGATCTGGCAAGTACTCACTCACTATCATAAGGACAGCACCAAGCCATGAGGCATCTACCCTAATGACCCAAACATCTCCCACCAGGTCCCACCTCCAATATTCAGAATGCCATTTCAAAATGAGATTTGGGTGGGAAAAATATCCAAACCATATCACACGATATCAGGCAGAACTTGAATAGGCCCAGCCAAGGAAGAGGCTACAATCAGATGAGATATGACAGTGGAGGTAGTATTATTTTTCCTCTTTGTTCATCCTATCATCTAATAAATATGTATTGACTGCTTATCATTTACTATCCTCTCCTTAAGGTGCTGAATCTGAGACTACCTTATTGCAACCAGGTGGTGATGTCTGAGAGGAACTTAGGATTTATTACAAGCCATGGTTTAAAGGTAAAAGATTTCAGATACCATTACCAATCCCCAAAGTCATTTAGTCACCAGTATGAGCTATAATGGATTATTGATCTCATAGACTATAAAGGCTCTCAAAGATCTATCATAGGCTATTGGGTTAATCTAGCAACTGAACATGCATACTTATTTGTCTATTGTCTGCCCTTGTTCTCATGTATAATTCCTCCTTCTGGAGTTAATGGGAGCTATGTGCCTGCTTCCAAGGGGAAAGAAATACGTTTTTAGGTTTCATGCTTCAAATCCCAATGAAATAATAGCTCAGAGAGTGAAGCCTCTGAAGGCTTAAATTTAAATCCTTCAAATGTTATATTCATGTATGTGTCCATCATCATTAAACCTATTCAGAAGTAAGGCCCTGGCAAATTTCATTTTAATTTTGTTTGTTTTTGAAGCTATAGCATATGCATGTGTTAGCTCTGTCGTTCACAGTGGATACACGTCTTTTTGTTTTATTTGTTTAGGGGTGTGTATTTGTGTGTTTGTGTGTGTGTGCATGTGTGCCTGTGTATGTGTATGTGTGTGTAAAAGGAACAGAGAAACAAAAGCACCAGGTGACTTTCTTCAAGCATTCTAAACTAAGACCCTCACTCATCTTCATGATTTGCCAAGGATAGACCCCAACTAGAAGGTAGAAATCCTTGAAACATGAGCTACATAATGGACATACTTGCATAACTATTACTGTAAAGCTACAAACATGCATTGTCACCAGTGGGTTTGCATTATGTGCATTAAAGAAATATATCAATAAATACAATACAATACAATGTCACAGTAAACACATCTTTCCTTCTGCAGAGAGTCAATCATTTGGCAAATTCACTGGTTTAAATAAGAAAGATTACTCACTGGGAATGTATATATATATTTCTCTGAGAAATGCCTTGTGCAATATCCTAGACGCTCAGAAAAATTATATGAAGCCATATCTCCTCCCACAGATGATAGTCTGAAGAAAAATATATAGCCTATAATTTTAGAGTCTAGACATCAAAAATTCCAATTGCATCAACCCTCCGGGTATAAATCAGTAAGAATGTACTAAAGGTATCCCATGATAGAGGATACAGCACCATTTCACTGATTGCCTTACAAGTCCTATGCGCTTCTCGGGGTTTATCTAAATACTTCTCACCACTCAAAGTCAAGCATATGATCCATCTTATACATGAAGACTTTCCTGACTTCTAATCATCCTTATCTGCCGTCTACAATATAATTGCATCTACAGCTCATGAGCATAGTGTGCATTTAATTGTTTTTCAGTTGTTCATAAGAGTTCCTTTTGCTTTTCAGGCTAGTGTGATTTGGAGGGAGAAAATGTTTCCTGAAACTCAGGGTCTGTTAATCTTCATCAACTCTATATCACAAGAAAAGCACCAGCAAGTGAATTAGTCTTGTTAGCACACCGCTGGAATGAATATGAGAGACACACTTGCTGACTCTCTTTCTGGACCCAGATATCCTACTTGTTTTGACCAAAGCCCATATTCTCACTATAGACTAATGGGTTGTGATTTTATTCACCCAAGCATGGGTTTAATTAGTTGAACATGCAGTAGAGAAGAAATTAGCTTGGAGAAGCAAAGAAATAATCATGATATTAACAATGTCTTACACTTTTACATTTGTATTCATTCTAGAGTTTAACAATCAAATTCACTTATATTTTTCACATTTACATATCACAATTAATCCTTGCAATAGCTTGTTGAATCAGTATTGTAAAATAATGGTTAAGATTATGAATTCTCTAGTCACAGAGTCCCTTATTTGAATATAACATTCCCTGTAATTTTAGTTTCTTCAGCTCTAAAGTGGGGAGAATAATGACCTAGCCTTAGTTTATTGTAAAGGTTAATTGAGATAATGCATATTAAACAGTTAATTCTTGGCAGTGAGAAAGTAATCAGTAGATATTAATTATTATTATTATTTCAATTATGATTACTTATGTATTATTATTAGTGCAAAGTCATTAGTGCCTCCATACCATCCCTCTTTATTGATGTCACCTTTCAAGGTATTGGTCTACACTAAACAATTTCTGCAATTATCTTGGATGATTGTATTTTCTACCCACACTTCTCAGTTTGTTGACCTTATCTTGCCCAAAGACTTCTGCACTTTTTCCAGCCACCCACTTCTACAGTCATAACTGTGCTTTTCTCTCATCCAAATCTCTCCATCCCCCAAACTGCTCATTCAGGTTTCTTGCTTTCTCACCATGGTCTTCTATCTTCCTACCTTGCCCATTCAAAATCATGTGGATTACATCAGCACCTCTATTTAATTAACTTCAACTATAAATTTTTCCTCTCCTCCTGCATTTTTTTACTTTCACCCCAAGCTTAGGACTCATAGTCTTCAATTCAAAACTCTCTTGCCAAACCTTACTTTCTCCCACCCCTCCTATTTTTTTTTCAAATAAAACTCATCTAGCATCATCACATCCCTGTTTAAACTTGTTTTCTCTGTTCTTGTACCTAGAAAGTCAAACATTGCTTTGAGAAAATTACTTAACATAATGGATTGAAATTGTTTTAAATTTTTCATCAATAACTTCAGTGGGCTTTCTAAACCCCTAAAGAGCCTTACTCTTTCTTTTTTATTTTTTTGTTTGTTTGTTTTTGAGATGGAGTCTTGCTCTGTCACCAGGCTGCGGTGTAGTGGACCGATCTCAGGTCACTGCAACCTTGGCCTCCCAGTTTCAAGCGTTTCTCCTGTCTCAGCCTCCCGAGTAGCTGGGACTACAGGCAGCACCACCATGCCCAGCTAATTTTTGTATTTTTTGTAGAGATGGGGTTTTACCATGTTGGCCAGGATGGCCTCGATCACTTGACCTCGTGATCCGCCTGCCTCAGCCTCCCAAAGTGCTGGGATTACAGGTGTGAGCCACCATGCCCCAGCCTCCTTTCCTTTTGAATACTACAAAATACCCTTTTCCAAGCTATCTCTTTTGAGCCCTAAACTTGTATTCCAACTTACCTCCTTGACAAATCAGTGGCATCTCAAATTCAACATGATGAGCACTGAATTTGTCTTCCACTTAAAACCTAGTTCTCATTATTTTCCATCTCAGAAAGGTCAGGATTATCTATCTATCCCATTGCCCAAGTCATGAATCTAGAAGTTTTTTTAATTTACCTTTCTGCTTCAACAAGTCTCATTCATGTTACCTCAAATCTTTTAAACCCATCCATTTCTCTCCACCTTCAATAACATCACCATTACCTCTGCCAGTCTCCAGTCTACACTATCATCACCTCTCACTATAACTCTTTGCTGACCACGTGCTTCCTCACAGTTCAGATCTAACCTGAATCATGTGTATGTAAAATACAAATTGGATTGTGCCATTCTTATGCTTAAAATCTTACAAAGGTTTCCCATCTCTGTTAGAATCAAGTTCCTGTCTTTCCCTCCAGCATCACCTTAACTAGTCTACCCCTCATTGTCTATGCCCCCTAGACTAAAATTTCCATGAGGGAGGTTTCATGCTATTTTGTTCACCATCTTATTCTTAGTGCCAACCAAAATGACTCAGACCTCATTCATGCCTAGTAAATAAAACCCACTAAGTGGCTTGCCCAAGGGCACACAGTTACTAGTTCCAACCTTTATGCTTTATTACTGTTTTTACTTTTATTTTAGATTCAGGGGTACATGTGCAAGTCTGCTATATAAAGTGTATGTCACAGGGATTTGGTGTACAGATTATTTCATCACCCAGGTAATAAGCCATAGTACCAGATAGGTAGCTTCATGATCCTAATTCTTCTCCCCCATCCACCCTCAAGTAGTCACCAGTGTATATTGTTCCCTTCTTTGGGTCCCTGGTTATTCAATGTTTAGCTCCAACTTGTAAGTGAAAACATGTGATATTTGGTTTTCAGTTTCTGTATAAGTTCACTTAGCATAATTGCCTCCATCTTTATCCATGCTGATGCAAAGGACATGATCTTGTTATTTTTCATGGCTGCATAATATTCCATGGTGTATATGTACCACATTTCCTTATCCAATCTATCACTGATGGACATTTAAGTCGATTCTATGTCTTTGCTATTGTGAATAGCACTGCAATGAACATACATATGCATGTGTCTTTATGGTAGAAGGATTTATATTCTTTGGGTATATGTTCAATAATGGGATTGCTAGGTCAAATGGTAATTCTGTGAAAGCAGTTTGGCAATTTCTCAAAGAATTTTATGCTTTAGATAGCCTCTTAGTACAACAATAGAAAAAAGGACCATATTAGGCTAAGTGTGGTGGATCATAACTGTAATCCTGACACTTTAGGAGGCCTAGGTGGAATGATTGCTTGAGCCCACAAGCTTGAGGCTGCGGTGAGCTATGATGTGGCATCTGCACTTGCACTGCATCTTGCAGTGCACTTCAGCCTGCAAGACAGAGTAAGACCCTCTAAAGAAAAGAAAAAAGAAAACCCTAATCAAGAAATCAGAAAATCTAGCAAAGAGTCTACACTATTCTCAACATTAATATTAACATATTAGGGATAAGTTAATCTGACTATGGAGCAAGAGAAAGGAAAATTAATAATGTCTTTCCTGCAAGTTGCATTTTGAAAATCTTTCTTGATCACTAACCCAGATTAATCGCTGGTTTGAAAATACCACCTGAAAAGAAAGGGGAGGAAGAGAAGAAGGAGGAAGAGGAGGAGAAAAACAAAGAAGAAACCTTTTAAAGCTTTGTAAAACTTACATCTCATCTATCATTACAAATTTTCATTAGAAATAAAAAAAGATGACTGTATAGAAGAGAGCTTATAAAATGCAAAACACAGACCATTTTGTTTTCATTTTTGCCCCTTAAACTGCTTTACTTTCATTTTCCCTTCATTGTGATGGGTCTTGAAACATCATTTTTAGCACTGCAAACTAAGCAAGCTCCTGGCATCTCTGATACAAAAGAGGAGCCATAATATCATGCCTTTGCAAACACACACTGTGAGCAATCAAGAGAAAAAGGAAATTAAAAACTAATTCTGCTGTTTATTCTACTCATTTATTTTATCAGTCATCTCAGTCTCACACTGAATAACAATCAACAGAGTTTGATAGACACACCTAGGGGAAGCCAGACATCTTCTCTCACAATCTCCAGAAAGCTGGAAAGGAAAGTCAAATAACAATGCTTTGGGGAGTCATCTCTAATTATGTAATCAAAAGTGTCAGTGCTAACATTTCCAGTCAGAAATGTAGTGGAATAAGAAACTGCTGTGGGATATCAATGATTTAAAAAACTGAAATTCTTCTATCACGTATTCAAAATATTTGGCATCCCAATATTATGATAAGGAAGACTGTCCCCAGAGCAATATAGGCTTAGAAGAAAGGTGACCAACTACTAACATCAATGTCTTACTGTATCTGGCTACACTTACATGATCATCCATTTTTGAGTTTTGGTAGTTCAGCGTTCACTGAGAACCACAATGGTTCCTCTGGTGTAAATTCCACCATGCCTCATGGAAATGCTTCATAATGCGTGAAACCAAATTTTCCATCAGAGAAGAGTTTGTCATTTGCTGCTTCTGAAACTTTCTTTAAGAATTTGGGATGGAGACTGAACAGGATGGGAATAATTAGCTTTAATTATTCTTAAACATCAAGACCTATGTGTATAATTACATGTAAGGGAGGAGCTAACTTTCCTCAAAACAGTTAGAAAATGCACAACAGAGCACATTACATTAATGAATGCTAATGAGGCATATGAATCCTAATCATAACAATGCTACCTCTGATATTTGCAGCCATCAATAATAATTATCAACGTATGGTGTATTGCTCTCTTTATTCCTGAATAAATCTCAGGCAATCAATCAATAAGTATTTACTGAGAATTGGTCTTAAGTCAGGTTCCCTGGAAAAAAACTCTAAGGTGGATCATTTACATGCAGGAATTTATTGAAGACCAACACCTGTGTGGGAATGAAATAAACAGGATTGGACAGAGGAAGAAGCTGAATTGCGATGAAGTCACAACGAACGCTGTACCCGATGGTATCTCCTACAGCTTGCTCTGAAACTGGAGAAACCTTCAGATGGAGGCAAGGGAACTGGGCCTTTTGTACTCTCCCCCCAGCCCATCCTCTCTAATTGACCAGTTATTGGATACAGGCTCTCTTCGGTGAGAGAATTTACAAAAAAGCAACCCATTTGCATGGCGTTGACTATTTCTAAGTGATACAATACATCATCAGCTAAAAAGCCTATTATGTGTCTGTTCCATGAACCCTCTGGTATTAACTAAGAATAAAGAATGCAGAATTCAAACTTAACAAACTCCTATTTATTTTTCATGTCCCAGCCCAAATAATTGTGAGGTCTCTGGAGATTTTCCAGAGTAAAATTAGTTGCTCCTACCTCTTTGTTCCCTCATCACTACACTCATAGATTTGTAGTAATACTTGTCAAATTGAATTATATATTATTGCTTTCTGGTCTACGTCCTACAACAAACTATGCATTCCTTGAAGGCAGGTTGCAATTTAAATGTCACTTTCCTAACTAAAATCTCCCACCCTAAGTACCCATACTCCATTTGTCATTCCTAATCACATCATGCTTATGTTTTTTTCTTAGCATTTATCCTGACCTATAATTATTAGGTTTGCTTGTTTACTTGTTTGTTTTTAAACAATTGATGAAACTATTGTTTTACAATCTCATTTAAATAAGAGTAACCATGTATATAGCCAATGGTTTTATATGTGACTAATTAGTCATATATAATGACTAACGTAATTGTTTTATGTATGCTTAATTAGTGACATATGATAAATAGAATTCTGTTTATGTATTTTAGTAATGTTTGAATTTAACATGCCTTGTTTTTTTTTAAACCAAGAAGCCAGTTTCTATCATAAATCTTGTTTATTTCAAAACCCTAGTTTGTAGTACTTTTCTATGCCAGTTTTTTTAAATCACCAACATCTCAGTCAAATTCCATAATCAGTATTATTATCCAATATGCATATGTACAATGTAAAATAGATCAGCAGGTTGCATGTTTTTATGATCTGTCTAATCTAAGAATATACTAGGCATTGAATGTATATTTTATGACTTGAGAAGTGGAAATACGTCTGAGTTTGGAGTTGAGTTTAATTTCTACTTTTCCTATCCATGGTTTTAATTTGGTATACCTAGAGTTGATCCTCCACATCTATCTGTAGATTCTGCATTCATGGATTCAACCAGTTTCAGATCAAAAATATTTTTTAAGATGGATGGTTGCATCTGTGCTGAACATGTCATTATTTTTTGTCATTATTTCCTAAACAATATAGCATAACAACTCTTTTCATAGCACTTACATTGTATTAGGTATTACCAGTAATCTAGAGATGATTTAAAGTATACAGAAGGATGTGTTTAGGCTATTTGTAAGTACTACACCATTTTACACAAAAGACTTGAGTATCCTTTGACTTTTGGTATCCAAAAGGGGTCCTGAAACCAATCCCTCATGAATACTGAAGTATGACTATATATGTATACATGCGTATGTTTACTCAAATGAGTTCAATGAAAACCCAGGGGAAATAGTTATTGTTCAATAGCATACATTTTGTAACTAATTAGACTCAAGCAGTATTATAGAGCATGGTAAACATTCAATAGAGGATTACATGGGAATATCTGAGAAATTTTACCTATAAAAATTTATTATTCTTTTACTGGTGGGTAACAGTTGACTATCACGTGGAACTGGGGGGTCTGAGTTGTATTAATATTTTAGTTAGTGATGCATTCTCTCAAGTCACTGGCTTTGATCTCCAATTAGTACATCTTTATATTGTGAAGATTGGAATAATGATTGACAAATTGCCTGGATTTCTATAGTTCAACATTAATTTTCTGCAATCAGGATTTATAGAGCTTCCTAAAGAGTAATGTTTGTTTCAAAGAAGATCAGAAAAACCCATAGATGTATAAAGCGTTTTCTATTAAGTTTTATCTCTCTTATAGGTGATTTCTCCTTTAACCATTCAAAGGAAATTAAAAATCATAAACTAAATGTAGTTAACACTTAATATGAGCATTAGAAATTTAGAGAGGCAAGATTGGAGGATTTATTTTTCCAGCAGTTTCTCATTTCTCCTTCCCATTCTGCTACAGTAATAGGGTTTGTCTGCGAAAGCCTCCGTCTATAGAGTTTCCTTTTCATCCAGGTAAATTAGGCTGTTCTATTATTAAATACGTCCTCTACAACTGTTAAGAAGTCTCTAAAAGTACAAGAAGATTTAGTAATATAATAATTACTCTATTTGAGATGTAGGACATCAAAGTTGGGTTCAAAGTCAAAACAGGCCAATTTCCAATTTATAAACATTCATTTACACAAAAAACTTTAAAAAGGATTTGGTTACCTCACCTCAGAGTTCCTACCAGCCCATCATTGAAGCTTTGGAAAGAAGCGTTCTTTGAGTTCAGAAGTGAAAAGGGAGGATATAAAAACAGGAATCCCAAAAGGCAGTTGACCCTGAGATCTAGATCCAGGCTGAACCTAACACATTTTAGCCCATATCCCCCAAAATTCTTTCTCCAATCTGCCTGACATGTATAAAATGATGATTTCTTCAAGAAAATCAGCCCCACTCTGAAACACAGCAGGATAACATGACGGTTAAATGCATTGGCCCTAGAGTCAAACAAACTCAATCTCAGCTCTACTATGTAAGCGATGCAAAAAACAAGTAATTTTCTATCACTCTGTATTAATTTAGTCACCTGTAAAATGATAATAAAAGTAGAATTTACCTCATAGGAAATCTGTGAAGTTTTAAAGCGATTTACTCTATGGAAACTGCTTAGAACTATGCCTGGCACATATGAAGTGTTTTTAACGGTAGTACTGTGAATTAGTTTTCTGGTATCACTCTTCTATTAACTCTCTAATAGCAAAATAACTGAGGCAATAAGAATTCTAATAGAAAGAAGAGAGGAAAAATTTCCTGGAGTGCTGTAGAATGAAGAGGTATTGTTTAAGTGAAAGAAGACATAAGGTTTCAGGAAAGAAAGGCACTAGAAGAGGAGAAAAACAGAGTGGGATATGGGATGATGTTAAGAAAATATTTGACCAGGTAATTAATATGTTGGTCACAAATGACATTATATGAAAAAAGAAGTAGTCATTTTCCCCCTCTTTTACATTTTCATGCACAGAATGGTCTATGGTTCTTCGAACTCAGAACCCAATCTAGCGCTAAGGCCTTCAAAGGCCTCTAAACTAATCTGGAACCAACTAATTCTAACCTTCTTTTTATTATAAACAGAGCTCTAAATTCTAACCAAGACTCTACAATTGAGAGTTTGAATATAGTAATTAACCAAGCCTTTTGCAAATATGTACCAGCAGAAACCCAAAGAGATAGCTTCCATATAGAGCCCAAGGGTAAAAATACAAAGAAAAGGAGCAGAGTCCTGATGAGGATGGCTGATACAGAGTTCCCGAAATGGAAATATAGGAACCATCTGTTAAAAATGCATACTTGATGAGTTGTAAGCCACCAGGACCTTTTAAAGTCTTTACCATGTTAAGTACATCTGGAATCACACTGATTATTGGGTGCTCAGAAAAGGAAGCAGGCTCCAGCTGACTCTGGGCATTAGTAGCCAAATGGAAGTTAGAACAAAAGAAAAAAGACCATTAAGTAGCCCTCCTCAGGGAGCAGCACAGGAAAAAAGAGGCAGGAGGCAGGAGAGATTTATTTCCCTAAACACTCTAAACAAACGCCGCAGATTCTGACTTCTTGGGCCAGGGCTGGAGGTTTCCATGGGGAGAACTGCTTCAAAAAAGGTCATGTTAAGGTAAGACAAGAAATTCTTTTTCCAAAAATGACATAATTCAAGCTTTCCCAGAACGTCCAGTTTCTTATATTGAGCACTTACTCTGTGTCAAAATGTGGGCAAATCACACATAATATCTTATTTCATCTTTATTTTAAAACCCTATGAAGTGAGTGATGTTATTACTCCATTTGATAGATAAGCGAACTGAGAATCACAGAGAATAAGGGAGTAAGTAGTTTGTACAAGGTCACAAAGCTAGTTTGTGGTAAAACTTCAAATCCCTCACGAGAATTTATAAAATAATATGGGTTACACGAATGAGAGAATATTCCATAGACTATTTGGCTTTCTATTTCCTAAAGAAAGAAAGGGAAAGTAATAACATCAATTTGGAATTACACCAAAGTCTTTAAATTTGCTTTAAATATAATAGACTTTTACAATTTCAGATACATACATGATTTCTACAGGCGAATGATTGCTTCTTGCATATATAATTTAGTAAATCAACTGGTCTAAGTAGATTACATTACAAAAGTCTACTAACAGATTATTAAAGTTAGTAGAAACAGAAGAAGAAGCATTCATTGCCCTTGGGTGACATTTCTATTTGGGAAATGTTGGAAGTTTATTTCTACAAGATTAAGAGCAGTACAAGAATATCCCATTAAATGAGATCCTATGAATCTAAAATTTTCTTAAAGGAAAAAATAAAACTACTTGAAAGTAAATTATATTGTTCTGCTTCCTTACCAACACACATTATTTCACACACACACTCACGCCCAAACACACACACACACACATCCTTTTACACCATCTCATCTCCTCGAGCAGAGCCAATAGTGCATTATTAACATGCAACATTAATTTAGCACTGTTTTTTCTATACCATTAACTTTTTTTCTGGCTCTCTATATGTCAGTGTACATTAGTTTTTCATAGAAAAGTTACAATATCTGTTCTAAAGCTTAACTAAACTTCAGCGTAAATCTTCCTTGTCAAACTCAATCCTTTGACCCATCTTTAATCTGTGTTCCAAATTTACAGTTAGAGAAAGATGTGAGAGGGTGATATCAATGTAAAGTAAAAAAGTGTTTTGCCTTGATAAATTTCAGTGTATAAAATCACTAACTCCAGGAACCAAAATAGGACTTAAAATGTCATGTTTTAATATTTTTAAAGATTTTGCAAGCCAGCATGAAAATAGGAATGGTGTAAGGAAACTGATGGAGACATATTAGATATGTAATTAAAGCTATAGTTGTGCAGAATACTGTTAGCCGAGACATGTATTGTCACTGATAAAGAGAAAAAAGAAAAGAGTTGCAGGATTTTAAAAAATATTTTGCCAGTTAAATATACAAAAATATTCCCCATACTTTGGAAATGTCATACAATATGTGTCAAAGAGAAGTCTCATTCTCTTTGCAGCTCTGCTCAATGTTTTATGTTTCCATCATTTCTGTTTCCTCCTCTTTTGGTGATATGCATGTCATGTGTCTGTGGACCTAAAGGGAAAACTCACATAAACACAATGTCTGCATTGACAACTTTACAGTTCATCTGCAATAAAGACATCCATTGAGTATGATAAAATTCCATTGCAGTATATCATCTAGAGACTTTATAAAAGGAAAGCCCTAGGTGCTCAGCACCCATTGTGGCTACTAAATTATGTATACTGCTTTATGTTTCCTTAATTTCCAATGTCCCAATTAGATCACAGACTAGCATATTATGCCTTCTTTATAAATGCCAGGATTTGATTTGAAGTTATAGAACGGTCATTTATTACTTTTGGTTGAAATTCCCATTTTGGAAATATTGGAAGTTAATTTCTACAACATTAAATGCATGCAGTACAAGAATACTTCATTACATGAGATTCTATGAATCTAGCATTTATAAGGAAGGCAACAGGGACAGCAAATATCTGATTAAAGTAAATGACTAACAGGACTCTTATCAAATTTTTAATTCTGAAGATGCAAGGCAGGTTTGTATATTTATGGGATATATGGAATGTTTTGATGAATTATACAACGTGTAATAATCACAACAGGGTAAAAAGGGTATCCATCACCTCAGGCATTTATCCTTTGTGGTACAAACAATGACATTATACACTTTGAGTTACTTTAAAATGTACAATTAAAGTATTACTGACTATAGTCACCTTGTTGTGCTATCAAATACTAGATTTTATTCATTTAATTTAACTAATGTTTTGTGCCCATTAACCATTTCCACTTCTCTGCCTACCACCCCAACTACCCTTCTCAGCCTCTGGTAATCATCCTTCAACTTTCTATCTTCATAAGATTGGGTGTTTTAATATTTAGCTTCCACAAATGAGTGAGAACATGAGAAGTTTGCCTTTCTGTGCCTGGCTTATTTCACTTATGATGACCTCCAGCTCCATCCATGTTGTTACAAATGACAGGATCTCATTCTTTCTTATGACTGAACAGTACTCCATTGTGTGTATGTACCACATTTTCTTATTCCATTCATCTATTGATAGACGTTTAGGTTGCTTCCAAATCTTTGCTATTGTGAATAGTGCTGCAGTAAACATGGGAGTGCAGATATCTCTATATATTTGTATTACCTTTCTTTTATGGATATATCTAGGAGTGGGGTTGCTGGATCACATGATATCTCTATTTTTAGTTTTTTGATGAATCTCCCAACTGTTCTCCAGAGTGGTTGTGCTAATTTATATTCCCACCAACAGTGTACAAGGGTTCCCTTTTCTCCACATCCTTGCCACCATTTGTTATTGCCTGTCTTTTGGATAAAAACCATTTTAACTGGGGTGAGATGATATCTCATTGTAGTTTTATTTTGTATTGCTCTGGTGGTCAATGATGCTGAGCACCTTCTCATATGCCTGTTTTCCATTTCTGTGTCTTCTTTTGAGAAATGTCTATTCAGATCTTTTGCCCATTTTTGATTGGATTATTAGATTTTTTTTCTATAGAGTTGTTGGAGTTCCTTCTATATTCAGGTTGTTGATCCTTTGTCAGATGAGGAGTTTGCAAATATTTTCTCCCATTCTGTGGGTCACGACTCCTTTGGGTGGAAGTGACAAAAATTCAATGGAAGATAGCTTAAACTATAACAGTAAGAGCAATAATTAACATTCACCAAAAACTTACTGTGTTCCAAGCATTTAGCTAAGTATTTCTCACACATGTGCTAGGTACTCTCTTTGTCTCATTTTTGACACATGAGGAAATGTGGCTCAGAGAACTCAAGGCACTTGTCCACACCAACAGAACTGGTAGATCATGGATTCAGATAGGAATTGAGCCAGTTTGACACTTAATTACTATGCCACTGGGAAAGAAAAATCCATTTATCTGAAGAAAACAAGGGGTGGTCACAAAATTAAAGGAAGAACGAAACAACACCCCAAGTCAGGAAAGAGGGCAGAAAATAAAACCAAGAATTATCTTATGTTAAAATCTTTCATCCTTTTCTCCTATACAGTAACAGTCTCCATGTGGCAGAGAATATGGCTATGAACAGGTCAGATTCCCATCTTTACCACTAAAGTTGAAAGGACATAGCATCAACACAACCAACACCCAAGACTGAAACATTCTGGGGAAGGATTCTGATGCATACCCACCCTCGGACTCAACAATGGGCTGGCGAAGTGCTGCAAATGGTCCACCTCCTGCTGGTTTGAAGGGGATGGAAAGGGCTTAGGATCCATTATGGAACCACATGGAAGGATTTGAGGAGTAGTTTTCCAAAGAAAGGTGCCGTTAACAGAAAAACATAAAGGCAGTTGTATTATAATGGAAATAACAATAACTGTTCATTATTCTTAGATGCAGAGGTGTGGACTCAGACTTCGCTCAAGTGTGGCTGAATCAGAGGCCCTTGGGAATGTCTGCATTTCCATGTGACTTCTAATTCATTTAAAAACAATCATTTCTGCCCTACCATCTTTATGATTCTTTCAAATGTGGTAACAGTTTTCAAAAAATTAAAATTCCTCGATATGATTTGTGACTATTTCAAAAGGCAAAGCTTTGTACTATTTATAAGGATAAATATGTATACAAGCTAAGTAAATTGTATGCAACACTTTGACCTTCTAAGGAGAAAAAGCACTTTTCAAGTGTTTCAATAGTAGTACTTTAAAAACCAAACTTTAAGTGTGAAGTATATACTAAATATAAATTTTTCAAGTTATTTATTAAAGCAGATATAAAAAGCCTTTGGCTGGTAGAAAATTCTATTAAGATTTTTCATGCTCCTATAACAAAACAATTATACCAAAATCTTTCATAATTCACTTTTCACTAATTAGATTTACATTTTTGCCATTCATTCTTAAACTCATCTATTCATGTACTTGTACAAGCAAGGTAATTCTATCACAATGTGTATAAATTAACTGGCCTGACTCTATCAAGAAATCAGCAGCCACTTAATGACTTCATTCAACAAATGCTACAAGAAACATTAGCCTCAAATTTTCCCTCTTCACTGAGTCTAACAATCAAAGTCCTGTTCCACTATTAAAAAATGACTTTTTTCCCAAGGTAATGAGAATTTTACAACAAAATTTAAATTGTCTAGAATCACAGGTAGCCTCTTCTAAATTTTGTTTTGCATGTTGTTTCACTATTCTTTCCAAAACTTACTAGCTCCCTAACAATTCTGTCAAACTAGATATTATGGAATGGTTTGGCCCTCATTAGACCACTAGAAGATATAAAACATGTTTTAAATTTAACATGAGAGAGAGAAATATTCTTCCCATGTACCTGAGAATTTCCAGAAATACTTGGATAACAAAACTTCCTCCAAAGAACTTGAAACTCTTTGAACCATCTCATTCTTCCAAACTCTTAATCTACTTTAAACAATCATGAGAGCAAAATTGCTTCACGATATCTACTCAAAGAGCTAAAGTGAAGAGAAAGCATTCCTTATTATCTGAACTAGTAATATCTAAAATAGAAATAGAAATAAGAGCAAAAATGTCTTTCATGTTTGTCTAATGCACGATCATTAAGCACTCATAATTATTTTACTCAAGCATATTCTATCATATTAATAAATCTGTTCTTACATGCAAATGGCCCACAGAAATTCAGTCTTTCTTATTCCTGAGTGGTTCTAAGTTAGACTTCATATCCATGAACAATTCTTGCTTGCATGTCACCATATAAATAAATAACTCCTAAAGGTTATCTTAAATGTCACTAAGCAGACATTGCATATCTAGCAAGAATGGATCTAAATATTGAGGCAAACTAGGTCCGAATTTCCAGAGAATCAAAATAGCAATTAAAGAAACTTCTTATAAAATTCAGAAAGTTCAGCACTGATTTCTCCACTGCTGATGGGAATCAGAGTAGCCAATGCATCTTCCTGTCTTTTAGAGTTGTTTTATTCAATGGCTGGAAAGAAATTACAAAAAATACTTTGAAAGCCAAAATGATTTTGAAATAAAAAGCCACCACCCAAATAGATTAGACTGTGAAATCTCTTGGTCCCATTTAACAGAGTGGAAGCCTTCCACAAAGATTTGGCTATCTCTGAGACAAATCCCTCACGACAGTTCAATCTATGCTCCCAGAGCATTTAAATTTAGGATATCATTTACACAGAAACCCTCTAAATCTGATACATTCACAGACTCTCACTAAGTGAAGTCATATTTGTATTCAGTGCTAGATGATACTAGCTGCTACTTGCGAAAAGTGGTGTCGTTTGCTGAAATTTCTATTTTAAACCCAACATTCTTTGTGAGAATAGTTAGTCTGTGATGTTGTGTCCTCAGCTCCCTGCCACAGTTGAGGGAAGGGCAACCCTCATTTTCTGGAAGTGGGTGACAGATGTTTCCTTCATGATAGAACCAAACTGTCCATCAGTGTGTTTTTGAAGGTCTTCTGCTGACACCTGGAAACCATCAGTTGTATTTGCAGGTAAAGAATTCTCCCCAACAAGGGAGAAATTGTAGTGGTATAAAGAAGCTACTGGAGAAGACAAAGAACACACTGTCTTCATCTTGCAGTTGGAAACTGGTTATGTTTTCTCCAGCTACTCCAAATAGCAGCTGAAATCTAAAAAGAAATGTGAAAAAGAAGATATTTTTCTTAAGGTGTTTCAAAAGCATAATAAGCAGAGAGGAAAAAACTGTCACTCAGGATAGGATCTCCATATGACTATCATGTCCCTTTCTAAGAATATTCCCTGGTGTGGTCTCTCTCTACCTGGATACTCACTATCCACCTAACCAAACTACTTCTCTTGACTATTTAGGCTTAAGAGATACAAAGAAAGCCCTGACTCCAGCAAAACTAACAGGAGTGAGGGTGTCCATAGGCCTTCAGGCCTGAACTGAAATTGGCTTTTCCTTGGAGAAGCTTCCCCTGACACCCAAACAGGATTTGGTTTTCCCCACTATCGATTTTACTGGAATCATCCACTTTTTCTTCATAGTATTTATTCCAGCTGTACAAACATAATTAAATTATCATTTATGATATTATTTGTTTGCTGTAGACTGATTAGGGGAAATGAATAAACATATGTTACTAAAATAAAAAAAATTCTCAGTTAAACCATGAGAAAATTTAATTATTTAGAATTCTTTGTTCCAAAACACTTAATTGGGAAAAAAAAAAAAAAAAAAGAGGAAGGGAGAAAGGAAGGAAAAGAGGAAAGGAGGGATGGAAAAAGGGAGGAAGGGAGTGAGAATCTTACTGATTCACCTGAGGGAATAGTCCAGAGTAATTGTAATTTCAGATGAGACTGAATCTGGAGTTCAAACAATGTGACCATATTGTTTGTGACCATCTTTTCTGAACTACGTTTTCACAGGTTGGCTTCCTTCAATGGCCTTGCTTCAAGGTTACATGCTTATTTGTTATGCCTAGTGGAGAATAAAAGAACATTTTATTCACTAACAACTCAACTAAAGTCAGAGAATTGAGACTTTTTGGTCATATCTTAACTTGGCAGTGTGCCCATTCTTAAGCCAATCAATGTGGCAGGGATTTGTGGACAGGCTCACTTGCTTAAGCCAATCAAAACTCATTCTCAGAGCCAAGCACAAGGTTGTTGCTCCCAAATCTCATCACTGAAAAATCCAGGGTACTATTCAAAAGGCAAAAATTAAGAATAGATGCTACAGAGACAAGAAATAAATGTCTACAACAAGGACCAATGAAATTTTGCACTCGAAGCCTCAGAGGGGTTTTCAGTAGGGAAATAGCAAAACCTGATTTAGGTTTGTAACTGCTACCAATGTGGAATTGTTAGATATAAAGGGAATTTTTAAAGCAAAACAATAAGATTTGATGACTGGATATAAATGATAAGAGAGGATATCATAAGGAGGATGGCTCTGAATTTTCTAGCTTCCATGAATGCATAGATGTTTCTACCATGGATTAAGATAAAATATACAGGAGAAGGAGCAAACAGTTAGGACTCTTAAAATCTCTGTATTATTTTTTACATTCTGTAGCAAAGGGCTTTTACACAGATAGAACATTGGAAACTACAGAGGAATGTGTTAATCAGTCATGTGGTGAGCTTAATAGGCTACCACCTCCCAAGATCATATTAAAATAAACATTGAGTTACAATAAATTACAAACACATTGCCTAACTCTATTTTCTCATTTTTTTTAGAGATAAAATTATATCTCTATTTTAGGTACCAAAACAGGATATCCTACAACTTGAATAGCTTTTTACTAGAATAAAAGCTGAAACTCAACTAGGAGTACCCAGTGAATTCCAGTACTATTTCTGCTAAACACAGTGGAGGAATTTTTACTCTCTCACCTGAACTCACATCAGCTAAGAGAGTTTATTAATTAGTTTTGCTGCATGACAAACCATCCCAAAATTTAGTAGTTTAAATTACAATGAAATAATTTAACTCATAATTCCATTAGTAGGCAGTTTGGGCTAGGCTCAGCTAATCTGGGCCTGGAAAGCAGATTTCAGCCAGGACTCAACCAGGGTCAGTCAGCTGCCAGGTCAACTGGAGTCCCTATTTTCTCCTTAATAAGGTCTATCAATACCCAGTAGTCTAGCCCAAGTTTATATAAAGAGTGACAGTATGGTTCCAAGAAGAAGAAAAAGCAAGACCCAATGTACAAGTGCTTTTTAAGTCCTTACTTATATCACATTTGCAAACATCCCATTGACCCAATTAAGCCACATGGCCAAGGCCAGAGTTACTGTAAGGGGGCACTACTGAAAAGCTTGGAAAGAGGAATATGTGAACCCATTGGAGCTTTTATGGCAATTAATCCACCACAGTGACCAACAATTTGACCTACACAAAGTATTAACCACAAAATACTTTCTTACTCTTAAACCTGAGGGAGCATTATATCTATATTAAAGCTTCCTAAATTTTTAGAGTTGGGAAAATTAAGAAAGTATTTTTATTCTTTTCATTAGACAATTACGTTAAGATTCTTGTTCTGGAAAATTGGGGTGATGAGTTTTTAATTTGCTGTCTTACTTAAAATCACCCTCTCTGACACAATTATTTATAACTACATTGACAGTAAAATTCATAAGGCTTTATTTAACTAAAAAAATAGAAATTCAAATTAGCAACAGTTTAATTTAGTTCTGATCTTAATATTCTCATTGCTGTTCTCATTATTAATCTGCACCAACCAGTTTCAATCAGTTCTCAACAGTGAATCTCTATCCTAAGGCTCATGATGGTCTTTTTCAACTTTGCAAATCAGGTATGTGTAAGTTCCTGACAATAAAAAGTCTGCTAAAAACATAGTTTTGGGAAATTATATCTGTAATAATGAAACAGAAAAATAATTAAGACATTTAAAAATTCAACTTCTGTTTTTAACCATGAGGGAGCAACAAGGGCCAGACTTACCACTTGAAATAATTGTTGTGTTTTTATTATCATATGTTTCAAAAAATTTTTCAGTTTCTTTCTTAATATCTTCATGGATCAACTGGTCATTCAAGAGCATATTGTTTAATTTCCATGTGTTTATATAGTTTAAAAATCCTCTTGTTATTGATTTCTATTTTACTTCCATTGTGGACAGAAAAAATACTTGACATTATTTGAATTTTTTGAATGTTTTAAGAATTGTTTTGTGGCCCACCATAGGATCTATTCTTGAGAATGATCCATGCACTGAGGAGAAGAATGTGTATTTTGCAGCCATTGGATGGAACGTTCTGTAAATATGTATTACGTCCATTTGGACTATGGTGCAGTACAAGTCTGAGGTTTCTTTGTTGATTTTCTCTCTGGGAGATTTCTTCAATGCTGAAAGTGTAGTTTTAAAGTCTCCAGCTATTATTGTATTGGGATCTATCTCTTTCTTTAGCTCTAATAATAGTTGCTTTATATGTCTGGTTGTTCCAGTGTTGGGTGCATATATATTTACAATTGTTATAACCTCTTGCTGAATTGACTTTTTTATCATTATATAATGATCTTTTTTTCTCTGTATATAGATTTTTTCTTGAAATCTATTTTGTCTGATATAAGTGTAGATACTTCTGCTCTTTTTGTTTGTTTATTTCCATTGGAATGAAATATCTTTTTCCATCCCTTTATTTTCAGTCTATATGTGTAGAGATTAATCCATTTACTTGTAATGTTATTCTTGATAAGTAAACACTCACTCCTGCCATTTTGTTATTTGGTTTTTGGTGGTTTGTGGTCTTTTCTTCCTTGTTTCCTTCCTGCCTGCCTTTCTTTTAGTGAAGGTGATGTTCTCTGATGGTATGGTTTAGCTCCTTGCTTGTTTCTTTAGTATTAGTTGTATATTTTTGATTTGAGGTTACCATGAGGCTTGCAAATAAAAGAGCCCATTATTTTAAACTGATAACAACACTGATTTCCTAAAAAAAAAAACTAGCCAAAACACAAGCAAATAGAAAATAAAAACTCTACACTTCAACTTCATTCCCCCAGTTTTTAACTTTTTGTTCTTTTCTACTTATATCTTACTGTACTGCCTATGTCAGGAAAAGTTGTGTAGTTATTATTTTTGTTTGTTTCATCTTTTTGTCTATTTAAGATATGAGTGGTTTACATATCATGATTCCAGTGCTATAATATTCTGTGTGTTTCTGTGCACTTACTATTGCCAGTGAGCTTTGTACCTCAAGATAATTTCTTATTGCTCATTAACATTCTTTTCCTTCAGAATGAAGAACTACCTTTAGCATTTCTTGTAGGACAGGTTCAGTGTTGATGAAAACCCTTTTGTTTGTCTGGGAAAATATTTCTCCTTCATGTTTGAAGCATATTTCGCTGGATATATTATTCTAGGAAAAATCTTTTCTTTTCCTTCAGCACTTTAAATATGTTATGCCACTCTCTCGGTCCATAAGGTTGCCACTGCAAAGTCTGCTGCCAGACATATTGCAGTTTCATTGTATGTTATTTGTTTATTTTATCTTGCTTCTTTTAAGATCCATTCTTTATTTTTGAGCTTTAGGAATTTGATTATTAAATGACTTGAGGTAGTCTTTTTTGGGTTAAATCTGCTTGGTGTTCTATAATTTTCTTGTGCTTGAATGTTGATATCTTTCTCTAGTTTGGGAAATTCTCTGTTATTATCCCTTTGAATAAACTTCTCTCTCTCTCTCTCTCTCTCTCCACCCTCCCCCCCACCCCACTTTAAGGCCGTTAACTCTTAGATTTGCCTTTTTGAGGCTATTTTCTTTTGAGGCTATTTTCTAGATCTTATAGACATGCTTTATTCTTTTTTATTATTTTTTCTTTTGTCTCCTCTGACTGTGTATTTTAAAATAGCCTGTCTTCAACCTCACTAATTATTTATTCTGCCTCATCTATTCTGCTATTAAAAGACTCTGATGCATTCTTCAGGATGTCAATTGCATTTTTCAACTCTAGAATTTATGCTTGATTCTTTTTAATTATTTCAATCTCTGTTAAGTTTATCAGACAGAATTCTAAATTTTTTCTCTGTATTATCTTGAATCTCTCTGAGTTTTCTCAAAACAGATTTTTGAATTCTTTGTCTGAAATGTCACATATGTCTGCCTCTCTGGGCTTGGTCCTTGGTGCCTTATTTCACTTTTTTGGTCAGCTCATGTTTTTCTGGATGGTCTTGATGTTTTCCAGTGTCTGGGCATTAAAGAGTTTCATGTTTATTGTAGTCTTGGCAGTCTGGGCTTGTTTGTACCCATCCTTCTTGGTAAGGCTTTCCAGTTATTCAAAGGGACTTGAGTGTTGTGATCTACATTTTTGGTCACTGCAGCTATATCTGCATTAGGGGGCACCCCAAGCCCAGTAACGCTGTGCTTCTTGCAGCCTCACAGAGGCACCACATTGGTGGTCATGGATAAGATCTGGAAGAATTCTCTGGATTACCAGGCAGAGACTCTTGTTCTCTATCCCTATTTTCTCCCAAACAAATGGAGTCTCTCTTTCTGTGCTGAGCTCCCTGGAGCCGTAGGAGGGGTGACACTAGCACCCTGTGGCCACCACCCCTGGGACTGTGTTGGGTTAGACCTGAAGCCAGCACAATACTAGGTCTCATCTAAGGCCCACTTTAACCACTACCTGGCTATTGTCTATGTTCTCTGAAGGCCCCAGGGCTCTAGAATCAGCAGATGACAAAGCCAGCCAGGCTTGTGTCCTTTTTTACAGGGCTGGGAGTTCCCCTGGGAACTGCTGGGTCCAGAGATGCTGTCAGGGAGCCAGGGCCTGGAGTCAGAAACCTTAAAAATCTACCTAGTACTCTATCATACTACAGCTGAGCTGGCACCAAAACCACAAGGCAAAGTTCTTCTCACTCTTCCCTCCCTTTTTCCCAGATACAGGAGTCTCTCTCCATGTCCAACTGCACCCCAGGCCTATAAGGACTACTGCCAGGCTACCATTAATGTTCACTTCAGGCCCAAGACCTGAAGGAGCTAAAGACTCACTACTCTGCCGAGTGCCCTATCCTACTGTGGCTAAGCTGGTATCCAAGTTGTAAGACAAGGTCATCTTTACTCTTCTCTCTCCTCTTCTCAAGCAGAAGGCAGGGGTCTCCTTCAGAGCTGCAAGCTGTGCTGATTGAGGCTGGGTTAAGGGTGGTGCAACCACTCCCTTGGCTGACCAGCCAGTAACTCACTAGATCTTTTGCCCCCCAAGTCCAATGGCTCCAAGACCAGGACAGCACTAGGACTTGCCCAGGAGTTGCATTCCTTGTGGCCTAGACTGCCTTTCAAGTTTATTTAGAACCCCCAGAGCACTTCAGCCTGTGGTGGCAAGGCTTGCCAAAACTCAAGTTCCAACCACTGGGATGGTTGACTTCCCTCTGGCTAGGGCCGGTCTAAATGCTCCCTCCATGGGCACTGGCTGAATTCTGACTGGTGTTGCTTTCCACTACATTAGGGCAGCACTGAGTCTCAATGAAAAGCCCTAAAATCGCTGTGCTCTCCCTCTCTCAAACACACAAATTCTCTCTCAGCACCACAGGATGCTGATGGTGTACAGGTTAGTGTTAACAATTCAAGACTGCTTTTCCTACCCTCTTCAATGTCTCTTTCACTGATATGAGTTTAAAACCAGGTGCTGTAATCACTCACCTAATTTTTGCATTTTATGAAGGTGTGTTTTTTTGTGTGTAGATAGCTGTTAAATTTTGTTTTCCTAAGGGGGGATGAGTGGTGGAGGCTTCCATTGAGCCATCTTGCTCTGTCTCCTCCTCTATGTTCATTATCTTGATGTGGTAAAGGTTTCACAGTTAATAGATAAGTCATAACCCTTTGAAAGTTAAATATATGTAGTACGTTAATTAAACTTCCATAAAGCTGTAGAAGAAAAAAAATTAAAAATCTAATAAACAGTTTGAATTTTGAAACTAGTATTCTATTTGAACTTCGATATGTTAGTGATCATTTCTGAGTCCCAGTTTTCTCATCTATAGAAAAGAAGGGTTGGATCAAATGACTTCTAAAGTTTTTTCAAGGTTAAATGCCTAATTCTTTTGTTTTATGTGTTTATTATCTCAGGCATAATAGATTGTATATTTGTTCACAAATATGTGCTACTTCATCTCATGACCTCTCCCCTTATGGTAATTTCCTGTGGGTAGATTATATTCACAGTTGCATGACAGATTGGCTTGGCCATGTGATTTACTTTAGTCAATGAAAAGTAATTGGAAGTAAAATGATCAGAAGCTTTAAGACTATGATTGTGCCCTATCCGTTACCCTTTTCCATGTGATTAATAAGTCCAAACAGGAGCTGCTTCTTCAGCCTGGGTTCCAGGATGAAGAAGATGTGGAGCAAAGCTGAAGACCTGCATGGGCATTAATGTGAGCCAGAAAGGAATATATTTTGATAAGCCTCTAAGGATTGAGGAGCTTTTGTTAATATTTGGTAAAACTATCACTTGTAATAAGTTTGAAGTAAATACTGTATGTAATAAATTTTGGGCATTAAGCAAATAACATGAAAAACATAAGGCTCATAAGAATGAGTTAGTTGCATGTGCTATTTCTCCTATCTGACCTTAAGCTTCATGAGTATGAGCAGTAGCAATTGTTCATTTAAAAAGAAAATGATGAGTTCAGAAAAATATATATATGTGTGTATATATATATATATGTGTGTGTGTGTGTATATATACACATATTTTTTGGCTGGTTTTCAAGTAGCACTTAAAGGGCACATAGAAAGTCTGGGAATTCTAGGTTGGGAAGATTAAACTAATTCTTAATTCTAACTAATGAATTATAAATTGGAAAGAACCACTGGGCAACCAAATGTAATTAACATTCAGCCACTAAACCAGGACCAAATCAACAATATGCTGAAAAGCTTCTTTTCTTTTTTTTTTTTTTTTGGATTGTTATCAGTGCTCTTGTCTTATTATTAATACATTTTAAAAGAAAAAACTTTGAATGGATTATGTTCTCTGAGGCCACAACAGTAGGAAATCTCTTCCTAGGGCTGGTCTAAATACTCCCTCCATGGGCACTAGCCAAGTTCTGACTGATGTTGCCTTCCACGGCATTAGGGCAGCACTGAGTTCCAATGAACAGCACTGTACTTGATTGAGGTGCTACATGTATAGCACACATTTATTACAGAGTTGTTGGTTGGCTTACTTCCTTCATGAGATGAGATTATCCACTGTGATACCTTCTCAACTGGAAGTCCTCTTCCAAATAATCAACTGGCTTCTACCATTTCTGTGGCCTTTCTTATATCAAGAGTTTCTACTAATAATGTCATCAATGTTATCCCAAGTGAGTTCCCTGAAATACATATTTTGTAAAATGTTAATGTGTTAGGCAAAAATGGGTTTGTGGTCAAATTAGTTTAGAATGCACACAGTTAAACAAAATTAAACAGTTTTATCTAGTATAGAACTTCTCGCAGATTTTAAAATGCCAATGGATATGGTGAATCTTCAACGAGGGACTTGATATGCAACATTTGCCAAACTTATTTGACCACAGAACGCTTTTTTTCCCCTAGTGCATTTTGCATATTTTATAATCTATGGAAAACACATAGAATTTAATATTCTATGGAAAAACTATTTCAACACTGTGGGAAACACTAAATGTATGTTAACATCTACGTTTTAGCCCAACTTTACTTCATGTGGTGACTTCCATGATACTAAGAATAATTAGAAGCAATGATGACAAATCTTAAATTTTTGCTTCAGGTTCTTTTCTATGCATTTCTATATTCCATAAGGACTTGAATAATCAATACATTCTTTGTTCCTTCATTGTGCCATGCTTATAGCTCAATTACAGCACTTCTTTCCAGCTGAGAAACTGCCTTTTGTTGTCCCCAATGCAGCAACACGTGGCCCTGGTTCAATGGGAAGGAAGCCAATCATATCTAGTTGCTGGCCCAATGCCTGGCACACCAATTGAAAGCTATGTATGAGCATGGAGCCCTAAAAAGAGTTCTGAAAAAGTGTTGAAAAGTTGCTTATCTTGCTGGGTCTCTCCAGCCCCTTCCCCTCCTTTTCTGTTCATGCCATTTTCCAGCATCTTTGAGATATACTATTGCCCTTTGTTCGTTCATTATTCCCATTAACTCTGCTAGTTAATCCCCTCAATGTTCTCCAGATATGTTCTGTGCTTTCATTTCCTGCCTCTGCTCTGGTTGTCCCTTTTTCCCAAATGTCCCTTATTTCCACATAGGCAAGACTGCTTATCCTTCAAGGTCCAGTTCAAATGAGCTATTGCCTTGATTCCCTAATTTTAAGAAAGCTCTCTCTTGAGAATATCCACAGCACGTAGTTTTTGACATGAAGCATGCTCTTTCATATGGTAATTTATGTACATGTGTATCTCTTCTGACCATTAAGTTCCATGAGGGTGGATGGTACAATTTGCTCACCTTCAGCTCTTCCTGTGCACACACTTTCCTCGCCTATAATATGTTTCAGAAGACAGTGATGTGTAAGACATTTATTGAAAGTCTTCCACATTGACTGTCTCTATCTTGGTGCAACACACATACATCAACATTGACTGGCTTTATCTTGGTGCAACGTACACTAGTATATAAACTCAATACCCTTTTACTTCCCTAGAAAATAATTATTTGCAATAAATATGCTAGTAATATAGATTTTATAAATATTTTATAGAAAAGAAGATTTACGGCCAGGCATGGTGGCTCACGCCTGTAATCCCAGCACTTTGGGAGGCCAAGGTGGGCAGATCACCTGAAGTCAGGAGTTCAAGACCAGCCTGGTCAACATGGTGAAACCCCATCTCTACTAAAAAATACAAAAAAAAAAAATTAGCCTGGAATTGTGGCGTGTGCCTGTAATCCCAGCTACTCAGGAGGCTGAGGCAGGAGAATCACTTGAACCTGGGAGGCAGAGGTTGCAGTGAGCCGAGATCATACCATTGCACTCCAGCCTAAGCTACAAGAACAAAACTCCATCAAAAAAAAAAAAAAAAAGAAGAAGAAGAAGATTTACATGCCACACTCCACAACACCTTCATAATTTTTATGTGTTTGACACATCACTTCTGTTAAGTCCCTGTAGACCTACTGGCCATGAGAGCACTTCATCATTTTCTCTCTCTCATAGCAAAGCACACTTGCTTTTGGCTTTTCCATTCCAAGACCCTCTTCCCCAGCCATGAACTCCCTTTCTTCCTTTATATGCAGAAAAGATATCTCCATATCTGAATCAACATACTCTCAGGAAAGGTGTGTATAATCACTGTCTGCAATTTCTCTCCTTCCACTCAATCTTCAACATACTCCAATTACACTTTTGCTACCATTACTGCACCAAAAATTACTCCCATCAGGGCCAAAATACTTCCAAACAACTAAACCCTTTGATCAATTTTGGATGAAGCATTTGACTACTAATCAGTCACTCCTCCTTAATACTTTTGTTCACTCAGCCTCCTACATAGTACATTTTTGTGGTTTTCCTTTTACTCAACTCTTTGCTTACTCTCAGTCTCACTTGGTGATTTTACTTCTTCTCCTTGGCTTCTAAGTACGTACCTTCTAGGAACCAGTCATTGCATATTTTCTCTTCACTATCCTCATTTGTTTCATTAGAGATCTCATCCAGGCCCACAGCCTAAATATATGTTCGCTAGCAACTCCTGAATTTATTTCTCAACCCAAACTTTTTCCAAAGTCCAGATTCCCATATCCAACTTTCTACTCAACATTTCTACTCAACTGGTTAACAGCCTTCTGTACCCTCACACACCCTGGCTGTTACTCCAACCCCTGCTCTATCCACAGCCTTCTAAGTCTCACTGATGGTAATGCCTTTCTTCTAGGTCACAGGACACGAACCTTGAAGTCATCCTTAATTCTTCTTCTCCTCACACTCATCAACCAATCTATCAGAAAATTATCCTGGCTCTACTTTCATAGTACATCCAAAATAAGAAGTCCTCTCACCCCATTCATTGCTCCTCCCCTGCTCTGAACCACAACCATGCTGCCTAGATTGCTGCAATATCCACTTAACATGTTTCCCTACTTCTACCCTGGACCCACTTAAATCTGTTTTCAGTTTAGCAGCCAAAGTGACCATTTAAAATGTGAGACCATGTCACTCCTCTGCTTAAAACCTTCCAATATCACCACTCTGCTCAAAACTTTCTGAATTTTATTCAAAGTAAAAACGATTTACAGAAGCCTAAAAACTCTACATTTCTTAATACTTCTCTGACCACCTCTCTTTCCCCTTTCTTTGTCAGTCCTTCTTCTCCAGCTGTACAGCTACACCAGCCCCCTGGATGTTCATCAAACACCAAGCATCCTTCTGTCCTAAGGCCTTTGCTCCAACTGTTCCCTCTTTCTAGACACACATGAAGACACAAAGAGACCTGTTCATCTTTGCTTAAATCTCACTTACACTAAGCATATTATTTAATACTAAAACCTGGCATGCAGATGTGCACGCACACATAAAAACATGCACTTAGCATTCCCAATCCACCCTACCCTATTCTAATTATTTTCCATAGCATTTATCACCTTCTGCCATAATGTATGATGTGTTTACTTATTACTTCTTGTTTTATTAAGTGTTACCACAGATGGAATATGAGTTCCATGAGAGGAGACATTTTAATCTGACCTATTTGTTTGTTTGTCTTTTACACTGATATGTTCCAGATACTTAGAATAGTACCTGGTACTCAGTTGATGCTCAATAAATATTTATTGAAAGAATAAGTAGCCAAGTGTTAAAAAAAAAAAGTTCTTGACCTGGACCTACTTTCTTTAGTATACAATAGGGGCAGAATAATAATTGTCACTATTCCCTTTATAAAAGATTTATATATTTTATTTCCTTTTTAATATGAAAATACTAGCAATTCCTAATTGTTTATTCCAGCAGTCCCCAACCTTCTTGGCACCAGCAACCAGTTTCATGGAAGAAAATAAATCAGAGGGGTGGGGTATGTGGTTTCAGAATGATTCAAGCACATTGCATTTATTGTACATTTTATTTCTATTATTATTTACATACCCACCATAATGTAGAGTCAGTGGGAATCCTGAGCTTATTTTCCTGCAACTAGATGGTTCCTTCTTGGGGTGATGGGAGACAGTGACAGGTCATCAGGCATTAGATTTTCATAAGGAGCGTGCAATCTAGATCCTTCGCATGCACAGTTCACAATACAGTTCACAATACTATGAGAATATATTCCCACCATTGATCTGACAGGAGGCAGAGCTCAGGTGGTAATTCTTGCTTGCCTACTGCTCACATCCTGCTGTGCAGCTGGGTTCCTAACAGGCCATGGACCAGTAGCAGTCCATGGTCTGGGGTTTGGGGATCCCTGGTTTATACCTTTCACCTCTTCCTACAGTGTGATCCTCCAAGTACGACTGACCTTTCTAGGCTCTTACACATTATTAAGATCAGTCCTTCTTCTTCCTCTCTACTTACCCCAACAATGCCAACTCTAATATTTTAGCAGCATATAGACAATATTCAATAGCATTTTTATAAAATTATAAGAGAAAGTTTGTTTAGCCTTATTAATCATTGTCTATCATGTTTGGATTTTTAAAATCATTCTTTTTATTGCATTATAATGCAATGAACATACAATAAACTGCACATATCTTACATGTTCTATTATATAAAATTTGACTATTGTAAATATCAATGAAATCTATCTTCCAAAAGAAGTTATGGACTATTTCTATTATAAATGTAAAGTTCCCTCAGGCCACTGTCTTTCAACTGTCTCACACCCATTCATAAGAGGCAATCATTGTCCTCACTTCTATCCACAGAATTGTTTTGCCTGTCTATGAACTTTACATAAATGTATATGGTATGTATTTTTATGAGTCTTAGTATTTTTAATCAACATATGGTTTTGAGACTCACTCTTTTTATTACATGTATCAGTAGTTTGTTTTTTATTAATCGTTGAGTATATTCCACTATAGAAATATACCACAATGAATCTATCCACTCAATTTTTTGACAGAGAGGTATTTCCAGTTTGGAGTAACTAAGAATAAGGCTGCTATGTACATTCTTATGTAAGTGCCTCTGTAGATAAATATTTTCATTTCTCTCAATAAAAACAAAGAAGAGAAATTTCTGGGCTGTAGGTATGTGGGTTTTTTTTAAATCTTACAAGATATTACTAAAAAGGTACCTGAAGTTGTCATAACATTTTTGTCCTCATGAGAAATATATGAAAGTCAGTTACTCCACTCCTCAACAACATTTAGTGCTGTCCGTCTTTTTCATTTTAGCCATCTTGGTGTGTGTGAAAGGAGATTTCACTGTGATTGTAATTCATATTTCTCTGTGACTGATAATGCTGACAACTTTTCATGTGCTTAGGAATCATTCAAATGTCATCTGTTGTGTAGTCCCTGAGTTTTTTTGCCCATTTTGAGTGGAATGCTTGTACTTTGATAGTAAATTTGTAGGAATTCTTTACATATTTTCAATATGAATTTTTTGCCAAATACCTATGCTACAAATATTTTCTTAAGGCTGACTTGCCTATTTATTTCCCTAATGGTGTATTTTGGTGAGCTAATATTTATAATTTTGATGCTACCTAATCTATGAGATTTTTTTTCTGTTACTGCTAGCTCTTTTTGTGAAAACCTAAATAGAGAGATATATCCTGTTCATGAATTGGAAAACTAAACGTTGTTAAGATATCAATTATTTCTATATAGCTGTATAGGTTCAATGCAACTTCAGTGTAACACACAGCAGGGGTTTTAAAGAAATTGACATGCTAATTCCAAAATTGTATAATAAAATGTCATATATTTATAAACATTAGACCAATATATTTAAAAATATAACCACTTAAATGAACTATGCTACCTTATATCAAAATTTGTGAAAAAAAATCACAGGAAATAAACCAGGATGGTATTTGTATTAGGGTAGAAAATAGATCATGGGACATAATAAATTGTCTGTATTTAGACCCACTTGAATATGGTTAATTGATTTCACTACAGATAATTAATTGAGTCAATTAAATGTAAAAAGAAAAAGGATTTTGAACAAATAGTGTGTATTAGTCCGTTTTCACGCTGCTGATAAAGACATACCTGAGACTGGGCAATTTACAAGAGAGATTTAATGGACTTAACAGTTCCACATGGCTGAGGTAGCCTCACAATCATGGCAGAAGGTGAAAGTCATGTCTCACATGGCGACAGACAAGAGAAGAGAGCTTGTGCATGGAAACTCCTCTTTTTAAAACCATCAGATCTCATGAGATTTATTCATTATCACAAAAATGGCAGGGAAAAGACCTGCTCCCATAATTCAATTACCTCAAACCAGGTCCTTCCCATAACACATGGCAATTCAAGATGAGATTTGGGTGGGGATGCAGCCAAACCATAACATTTTGCTCCTGGCCCCTCCCAAATCTCATGACCTTACATTTCAAAACAAATTATGCCTTCCCAACAGTCCCCTAAAGTCTTAACTCATTTCAGCATTAACCCAAAAGTCCATAGTCCAGTGTCTCATCTGAGACAAGGCAAGACCCTTCCACCTATAAGCCTGTAAAATCAAAAGCAAGTTAGTTACTTCCTAGATACAATGGGGGTACAGGCATTGGGTAAATACAGCCATTCCAAATGGGAGAAATTGGCCAAAACAAAGGGGCTACAGGGTATGTGTAAGTCCAAAATCCAGGAGGACAGTAAAATCTTAGTGCTCCAAAATGATCTCCTTTGACTCCATATCTCACATCCAGGTCACGCTGATGCAAGAGGTGGGTGCATGGTCTTGGGCAGCTCTGCCCCTGTGGCTTTGCAGGGTACATACAGCCTCTCTCCCAGCTGCTTTCACAGGCTGGCATTGAGTGTCTGTGACTTTTCCAGGTGGATGGCGCAAGGTGTTGGTGGATCTACCATTCTGGGGTCCGGTGGATGGTGGCCCTCTTCTCACAGCTCCACTAGGCAGTGCCCAAGTAGGGTCTCTGTATGGGGGCCCCAACCCCATATTTCCCTTCCACACTGTGCTAGCAGAGATTCTCTATGAGTGACCTGCCCCTGCAGCAAGTTTCTGCCTGGGCATCCAGGCATTTCCATACATACTCTGAAATCTAGGTTGAGGTTCCCAAACCCCAATTCTTGATTTATGTGTACTTGTCAGCTCAACACCATGTGGAAGCTGCCAAGTCTTGGGGCTTGCACCCTCTGAAGCCACAGCCAGAGCTCTACATCTTTCAGCCAAGGCTGGAGCTGCTGGAGCTGCTGCTCTGAAGCCACAATGAGGGCTCTACGTTAGTCCGTTTCATCCAATGCTGGAGCTGCTGGGACACAGGGCACCAAGTCTCCACACTGAACACAGCACAGGGACCCTAGGCCTGGCCCACAAAACCATTTTTTCCTCCTAGGCCTGTGGGCCTGTGATGGGAGGGAGTGCTGTGAAGATCTCTAATATATCCTAAAGACATTTTCCCCACTGTCTTGGAATTAACATTCAGCTGCTTGTTACTTATGCAAATTTCTGCAACTGGGTTGAATTTCTCCTCAGAAAATGGGATTTTATTTTCTACTGCATTGCCAGGCTGCAAATTTTCTGAACTTTTATGCTCTCCTTCCCTTATAAAACTGAATGCCTTTAACAGCACCCAAGTCACCCTTTGAATGCTTTGCTGCTTAGAAATTTCTTCTGCCAGATACCCTAAATCATCTCTCTCAAGTTCAAAGTTTCACAAATCTCTAGGGCAGGGGTAAAATGCTGCCAATCTCTTTGCTAAAACATAATAAGAGTCATCTTTGCTCCAGTTCCTAACAAGTTCCTTATTTCCATCTGAGACCATCTCAGCCTGGTCTTTATTGTCCATATCACTATAAGCATTTTGAGCAATGCCCTTCAACAAGTCTCTAGGAAGCTCCAAACTTTCCCACATTTTCCTGTCTTCTTCTGAGGCTTCCAAACTGTTCCAACCTTTGTCTGTTACTCAGTTCCAAAGTCACTTCCACATTTTCAGGTATTTTTTCAGAAGTGCCCCACTCTACTGGTACCAACTTACTGTATTAGTACATTTTCATGCTGCTGATAAAGACATACCCAAGACTGGGTAATTTACAAAAGAAAGAGGTTTCATGGACTTAAATTTCCATGTGGCAGGGGAGGCCTCAAAATCATGGCAGAAGGTGAAAGACCCATCTCACATGATGGTAGACAAGAGAAGAGAGCTTGTGCAGGGAAACTCCCTTTTTTAAAACCATCAGATCTTGTGACACTTATGCACTATCCTGAGAACAGTATGGGAAAGACCTGCCCCCATGATTTAGTTACCTCCCACCAGGTCCCTCCCATGACATATGGGAATTCAAGATGAGATTTGGGTGGGGACACAGCCAAACCATATCATTGTGCCAGCAAAATTACATGTACATAGGGGGAGAAAAAGAAACAACACTGATCACACTTCATTCCCAAGCAGTAATTTAGGGTGGATAATAAAGCTAAACTTAAAACATGGAATAACATTTTATGAAAAAAAATAAGAGAAAATCTTTATGATCTTAAAGTAGGCAAAGCTTTTTTGAAAATAACTTTTTTACTCTAATTCCAGGTTACTGAATGAAGCCAATCTGATTCCTTTATCTGAGCTCATTTGTTAATGAAGAGCAAAAGGTATAAAATGTAGCCTATTTCAGAAAACACAAGGAGAATACTTGGAAAATTCAACCTTAGGAAGAATTTAGTACATAAGGTTGGAAAGAAAATATTTTTTGAGCAGAAGATACCCTCTTCAGATGCCTCTGTAATAAAAAGATAGCCCTCTTATTTGTAATATGTACCTTGTTGTATAAACGATTACCCTATGGTGACTACTCTGTTATAGAGACATGCAAGGACAGGCCTGCATTCCTATCATTAATGGGTGGTCCTTCCTTGAGAAAGTGGCCATTTCCTGGGGTCAGTCATCCTGATAGTGGTGGGTCTTTGGGTAGAAAACCAATCATGAGGAATGCTAAATTTTCTACTTCTTTTGGTCTATATTTAGACCAAAAGTTTATCAAGGATGGCAAGTACCTGGCACATTGCTCCTTACCTTTAGAAGACACAATTAACATAGCATAAGCAACTACCTCCTATTTATTAGAATTGGCATTTAAGAAAACAATCAAGGTATTCTTAATCTAAATGATTAGAAAAGGTACCCTCGATGGTATGTTTTAAGATGGTGTTTGTTGGGTGAAATCCATCCTGGAATAAAAAGGGAGGGACATAGAGATTTTTTTTTCTAGGGCTCCTCATAGATGGCACAAAGACTAAAAGCTCAGGGAAATAAGTTAAAATACATTTGGAAATGTCATATGCTCTAGATATCTGGCATTCTGTATTTATTGGCTTTTCATTACCTCTAAGATTTTTATGCATGTATGTATGCATTTAATGTATTTATTTATTTATTTATTTTTGCATTTTGACTTTGCCTATGAAAATCAATTTCCCAGCTACCTTCTGCTTTTCTAACAAAACTCTGACTTTGTCTTATACTTTTGTCATACTTCCGTGTGTTTCGGGGTAGTCTCAGGAATTGAGTGCTGATTGGTGCAAGCTAGTCATGCAGAGTACCATTTTTGTTACGGGCAATCAGTGCATGTATAAGGCAATGCTGGCCAAAGAGACACAAAGGGATGTCTGAGGGGTTTTAAGAAAGACTTTCTTGCTCTTTAAAACACATGAAAAGGTAGCCTTCCTCTTCCTCTGACCATCATCATGACTGGAGATAATGCCTGAAATTGCTGTAGTAATTGTGTGTCTCTAAGTGGCACAAATATAAAGAGGATGGTGAAACAAAAAGATGGAGGAAGCCAAAACTGGATGACATCATTGAATTTCTGATCATGTGGTGCCAAAGATCTGCTTTCCTCTGATGTTCTTGATAGAGTCCCATAAAGTTATATCAATTTAGTATAAGATGTTTTCCATTACTTGCTACTAAAGGCATACTAACTAATATGCTTTTTTTGTTTCTTTAAAAAGCTTCAGCCTTTCCTTCATTTGAGTAGTTAGGCTATAGGGATTTATGAAAATGGTTTTGGTTCATGTTTGACCTAAGTTAAAAATGGAGGAGAACAGTTCCATGCCCTCGTGTTCCCATAATCACCCTGCCTGGAAAGAGGTTGAGTGCCAACTTTGAAGAGTTTGAGTTTGATTTTAATTAGGAAAGATGTTATTCTTCTCAGACCTTCGAATCACACTAAGGAAATCACTCTCTGGCAGTTGAACACTTGTACACAGAGCCATTATGCTCAGAGACACTGGAGAAAGAAAAAAAGGCTGCTTGGATGCCTGCTGGCTCAGTGGGTACTTATCCAGGAAAAGGCGAGAGTCAAATTCTTTGAACAATGATTACCAGACTCCAAGAAACCACTTCTGTATTTACTTTTCTTTCTATTTTACAAGTTAGGACATGTTTAGGAGGCAAGATCGTTTTTATTCTAAGTTTTCTTTTTTGATGCTAATCACTCAATGACATTTTCTCCTTCTGGGCTGAGGTTTTCCACATTTGGTCTCTGTCTTCTTTTTGGCTTCATTAATTGGACCATAATCCCCTTCCCATCTGCCCTGCATTACCACTGATTTTCAGAGCAATCTCACAAAGGTGGAACAAGTACAAGAATGTGGCTCTTTGCTGGTGATGATGCAGCAGACAAGGAACTGAAAATATGGTGGCAGAAGATACATCTGGGTAGAGACTACCTCGTGAGTATTCACAGGGTTCCAAAGGATTCTCCACACCACTCACCCTCCAAACTCTGGTTTGTCACAGCACAATAAAGTAACCACATTTGAGCATGTTTATAAATCCTAAGCTTAACCCCCTTACATAATATATTTTGTTCACATTGTTTCTTAAGTGCCTTCAATTCAGCATTTCATTTACAATAATGGTTCTCATCTTTGAATACTAAGTATCTGCCAGGCACTATGATACCTGATTTGCAGATAAATCTTATTCATTCCACGCAGTTATCTAGCAAAGTTGGTATTATATTTTATATGTGAAGAAACTGATTAAAGGAGAATGATTTGCCCAGAGTCCCCCTGTATGTAAGTGCCAGAACGTAGATTCATTCTAGTCCTATCTGACTCCTGTCAATTCTCTTAAGCACTAAACTGGTTTCTCTTTTTCTTTGGCATTCACCTTCCAAATATGAATTTCTTAAGGGTATATGTACAATTCGCCCAGACCGAGTATACACATAAGTGCTCATAAACAGCTATTGCTATTAGTGTAGAATACTGTGAATAATATAGGCAAAAGGAATTTTATTGATTCAGAATAAAATTCTTGGTGAGTGAACATCAACTCTGAAGAAATTATCCTAAGTGTGGCACTTAGCTCAGTTATTTAAGATAGTTCTTAGTCAAGCTAGGTCTAAGATTTGGTGGCTATAATAGATATTTAGCCAAACTCTTGGTGGTAAGAATTGGTTCTGATTTATCTCTATTCCTCCAAGAATTGACACACAGTGGCAGGCACATATAAAATATTAAATAAATGTTTGTTAAGTTGAATTAAAACACATTACAGGCCAGGCGCAGTGGCTCATGCCTGTAATCCCAGCACTTTGGGAGGCCGAGGCAGGTACATCACCCAAGGTCAGGAGTTCGAGACCAGCCTGACCAATATGATGAAACCCCGTCTCTACTAAAAATACAAAAAAATTAGCCAGGCATGGTGTTGTGCACCTGTAGACCCAGCAACTTGGGAGGCTGAGACAAGAGAATTGCTTGAACCTGGTATGCGGAGGTTGCAGTGACGGAGATTGCACCTGCCCTCCAGCCTGGGTGACAGAGCTAGACTCTGTCTCAAAAAAAAAAAAAAAAAAAAAAAAACACATTACGTAGAGGGAAGGAAAATATATTTTAGTTATACATTTAAATAAATACAAATAAAAGTACAAAAGACCCTTTAACTGCCTCTCTATTTTAAATATATTTTGTAACCCCGATATTAAGAGAAAACATGGAGGTGGAAAGTCAAAGAAATATTTGCTCAAATCCTTCTCCTTTATTAAAAAGTTATATGATTCTGGATAAAACAATAAACATTTAAATTCTCAGCTTTTTCTTCTATTAAATTGAAAATCATATCCAACTCATGGAGTTTTTAAGAATATATATATAACTTATAAATTACATAAAAAATTGTTATATGTATTACATATATAAGATACATATACAAACATACATATACATGTAATGCAATCATGCAAAGCTTAACATGGAGATACATTCTGAGAAATGTGTTCTAGGTGATTCTGTCACTATGTGAACACCACAGAGTACACTTACAGAAACCTAGATCGTGCATCCTACTACATGCCTAGCCTATATGATATAGCCTTTTGCTCCTAAGCTACAAACCTGTACAGCATGTTACTGTACTCACTACTATAGGCAACTGTAACACAATGATATTTGTGTATCTAAACATATCTTAACATAGACAAGATATACACTAAACATACAGTATTTTATACTTATGAGACCACTATCTTATATGTGGTCCATAATTGACCAAAGGTGGATATACGGCACATTACTATATATTTAATATGTAAGATATATATCATATATGTAACATATAGTATATATCACATATGTATTACACATTACACACATATGTGATATATACTATATATTACATATTTTTATCATAAACTTATGAGTATTATTTTCTGTATCATATATAAATATGAAATATATGTATGTCACATATATGTGACATACATGTTATATATAAGGTAATCCGTCTATGTATTAGTTTTTGCTGCAGTAACAATCAACTGTAAAAATATCAATGACTTATAAAAACAAATGTTTATTTCTTGCTCTTTTTACATAAGGTCTGCAAGAAGTGTGCTGCAGCTCTGCTCTAGACTGCAGGTGGGTGTAGACCTATTCCATGTTTCTTTTAATCTAAGACCCAGAAGGACCTGCTGACTCATGGAAGAGGGCAAAAACACAAAAGTACTGGTAGAAACTTACAATGTCTCTAAAAGCTTCTCACATTCTATTTCCAAAGTTAGTCACATAGCCAAGCCAAAATAAATGAGTCAGGAAGTGTACCCACCTACAAAGAAAGTGGGTAATATAATTATTCACAATTATATCACCAACCACCATAGAGATATTTTTAAAAATTTAATTTCCATTTCTGTTAAAAAACAAACAAACAAACATTTATGGTATACTAGCTGTGTCCCATATATTGTGCTAGTGGCTGGGAATATAAATATGAAAAGTTTTAGATCCTGACCCTAAGGAGCACAAAATATCATAAAATGATATTTTTTAGAATCTCATCAGTCTAATACTGTTGCATCCCAAGCTGTATAATTCATTGAACAAAATTTTCTATAGTTAATACCTGTTATAAAGTACATGTATGTATACATATATCCAGTCTGGGTGACAGAATGAAACTCTCTCTCTCTCTCTGTGTTTCTCTCTCTGTCTTAAATAAATGTTTATTAAGTTGAATTAAAACACATTACATAGATGGGACAAAAATACATTTTAGTTCATATACATATATATACATACATCTATATATGTGTGTGTATGTGTATATATACATATATATAGAGAGATAGATAGATAGATAGACAAATAGATAGATAGATATAGACAGACAGAGAGAGAGAGACTCACTCTGTCACTCAGGCTGGAGTACAGAGGCGCTGTCATGGCTCACTGAAGCCTCGACCTTCCCAGGCACAACCGATCCTCGCATTTCCACCTCCTGAGTAGCTGGGACTACATGCATGCACCACCATGTCTGGTTTATTTATTTATTTATTTTGTATTTTCTAGAGACAGGGTTTCATTATCTTGCTCAGGCTGGCCTCAAGCTCCTGGGCTCAAGCGACTCACACACCTCAGCATCCCAAAGTGTTGGAATTACAGGTGTGAGCCACGGTGCCCAGCCTAAAGTATATATTTTTTTACTAAGTTTTCTAACTTTAATATTTTTGCTTATCTGAAGAAAATTATGTTGCTGAAAAACCATCCAACATTAAAGATGAACAGTCAGTATCCAAGTTAAGAACTGAATAGTCACATTAGCTAGTGCAACTTTTATATATTCCACATTTTCAATTGCTATCTTGTTAGAAGTTTGTGGTCCCATCTGTTAAATATGGCCATATTAAAACTGACATGAAAGAGTCTCCAGTTTGTTATTTTCTGTTTATAACTTTTAGCCTAAATGTTGTTCATAAAATACACTTTCTTACTTAAATTCTTAATGAAAATGTATTTTTAAAAACCCAGAAAGCTGGCAGAACCTTTCTGCTAATTGAAAATGTGGTCAGGTTTTCTATGAACTTTCTGTCTGAAAGCAGCGCTGAGCTTGGAACTGCACATGTGTATTTTTGCACACATGCAAAAACTTTTAGCAAAAAAAAGTTTTAGACAGGTCTTGCATCAAATTACTCAATTTTAAAGGTTGCCATGGAAACAGATTAGCCCTCTGGAAGTGCAAAACCATGCTTGAGTCTAATGCAAAGAACAATCCATAGTATGAAAGAGAAGAACAGCTGGGAGCTGAGGTAGTGTCAGCTGACATGTCAGACAGTAGCCAGACAAAGTGAGCCAGGCACTGTCTGGGAAAAAAGGGGAGTGGGGGCTGGGGACGCAACTGAACACTGGCTACAGAGTGAACAAAATGGCCCAGCTGTTCACTCTCATCATAACTAAGAAAATATAGAGAATTCCAAGGACGAAGATTAAATTTACTAAGAGAATGAATATTTAAAATAAAATGGATTGCCCAAAGCAGCCTCCACCAGATGCTTTTGACTAGAAAGTGCAAGCAGGACTCTTCGTGGTAGGCCCAGTATCCTGGTTGCTAATGTGTTTGGGATATAAAAACTGAGTGTAATCTCTCTCTTCCTGGGATATTGCCCTTCTTGCTTTGTGGCTGTTGGAAAGTTGCTTTCTTCTAGCAAGTTATCATGTAGCACTTCTCTTCTTGCACTGTCCCGAAGGGGAGGGGCAATTCCTAGACTGAGATGGATTCAAGGAGGCCTCTCATGTACATGGTATCGGTAGCATGATTTGGAGGAATGGCCTGGGAGACAAAATGTCTGGAGTCATCTAAGACACTTGTTTTCTCTGAGTTGCAGTTGTTGAGCAAAGGTAAGGCAGTATGTTTCAAATAAGCTGAGGTCAGAAAAGATGTTTTAGGAAACAAACAGGTTGAAAGACACTGTGTTTTTGAATCTTGAGGACTCACAATCTTATCTTGTAAGTCCTCACTTGATGTCATCAAAGGGTTCCTGGAAACAAAGACGTTAAGGGAAATGACGTATAACAAAACCAATTTTACCACAGGCTAATTGCAATAAACAAGATGTAAGTTTCTACAGCATATTTCTCATCACAAGACCTTCACCAAACTTCTAAGTAAAGACGAAAAACACTCTTAATATTAAATATTGCAAGGTGAGATATATAAGCATTTTTAAAAGATTAATAAAAACAAGCAGGATAATTAGTTAATAATATTTTCAATTAATGATCATGAGTTGCCAGAAGTGCCAGAGCCTATCCTGGTAGCTCAGGGTGAGTGGCAGGAACCAACCCTGGACAAGAGGCTATCCCATGGAAGGGCACATTCACACACACACATACACTCGCTCAGATGAGGACCATGTTAGGGACCACATCACATAATATAAACATCTTTGAGATGTCCAAGGAAACCAGAGTACCTGGAGAAATCCCACACAGATGTGGGGAGAACTTGCAAACTCCACATAATAGCCCTGGCTGGGAATCTATTTTTTTTTATAGCAAAACAATGTTGAATAAAATGATGTTATTCAAAGATCTGCTATATGCTAAATTCTCTACGAAATCCCAAAAAGGAGGAAAAGCTGTCAACTACGTTTAATCCAATGTTTCCTTCATTATTTGGCCACAGAAAACTTTTATCACTTAACACTTGTTAAGATTCCACAGTGATGGGACCTTACAGTTCACTTTGGAAAACACTGGAATAACTGTTCCCAAGGACATTTTCAGCTGTGAAATCTGCATTATATTCCATATTTTTCAACTTTGTTGACATAGGGTCAATGCCGGAAGCTCAACCTTGGCTAGCACCTGGAAAGGAAAGATTGACTATCTTTCAAATCATCATTAAAACACAGAGGGTAGCTTCTGTTTCATATATAAAGTATGGTCAAGTAGTAACTACAGGCAAATTATTTTTAAAAGTGGGTGCTCCCCTGGCCTCCAGAGTGTAATTAAAATGCAAGGCAAGTTCTTATCCACAGGCAGCATCAGGATAATGTAGTTTAAAAATAGCATAAAGAACAAACTCTACAATCTCACAGTTTAAAACTTAACTTTATCACTAATTAACTGTGTGCCTTCGGGCAAATAATTTAACCTCTCTAAATCTCAACTCCTTTTTTCTATAAAATAAAGATAACCACAATGTTCACCAACACAATACCTGACAAATAATAAGTGTTCAATAAAGGTTAGAAAAAAAAAATCAGTAAAAGGAAATTAGGAGGGCCTCAGAAAAACCAGGCAACTTCCCTAAACAAAAAAACAAAAACAAACAAGCAAACAAAAAGAATCATCCTTAGGTCAGGCCTTTTAATGACATCCCTATCATTTTAAATTAAGAAGGAATAATATCTAAAGTTAACTGAGTCTAAACACAAAAAAGGGGGTTTCTTTCTTTAGTTGTACCTTCCTGAATACTTAGGTGATACTTTTTCCAAAATACAAATACAAGCATGTCATTTGCCTACTTAAAACCTTGCTGTATCCTAGGAAGCCACTGCCTGCGCAGTGACTCATCCCACACATTTATCTCTACAACACAGCCCTAGCCCTAGCTCCAGGTTGTGGATTTACTTGTGATATTGTAAATGTACCCTGTTGTGTCCTAAGTTGATGTCTTACACTAGTTGCTCCCTTAGCGTGAAACACCCTTACCCTCACTTATCTGTTTGTTCCTTTATTCCACCCCTGGCTCATGTCACCTCCTCTATAAGCCTTCCCTAATCATCCCCCAGTTCCTGACTCACCCAAGTTCCTCCAGAGAGTTGGCTCTGTCCTCTGGGTGCCCTCATAGTTCACTATAGTGTCCCTGGGCTGCACTGAAATGATTTGCTTCCTCACCAACTTCCCAGCTCCAGCATGCTTCGTGCTAGAGACGCCATTTGTCTTTGTGTCCCCAGAGTCTCACAGGGCTCTGGGCAAACATCTGTTAAAGGAAGGCATGAGGATATAGGGAAATGTTTCTGGAAACTGTTTTACCAAACAAACACTGTTGTGGCATGGAAAAGGTATTTTTTCCCACCAAATGTTTTGTTTTGTTTTTTAGCTACATACTAAAACAAACAAACAAACTTGTATACCTCAGGAACCACAAGCAAAATTAGGGTGCAAATCACAAGTAGAAAAAAACAAATCCGCCACAGACATGAGAGTTAGTATCTTTAGCTATCAGAAAAGGCAAATGTAACAAATGCCAATAAATACCTTGCTCACCTTCCTCAAATGATGGGCTTTAGGATAGTGAAGGGTACTGGTTTCAGTTAGAAGGTGGTCTGGCATTCTCAGATAGGACTCTGAGATAGGATCTGGAAACCTGACGGTACATTTCTTTTTTTCTCTTTTATTATTATTTTTAGTTGACACATAATAATTATACACATTTATGGACTACAGTGTGATATTTCAGTATGTGTATACATTGTATAATGATCAAATCAGAGTAATTAACATATCAATCACCTCAAACATGTATCATTTCTTTGTGTTGGACGTTTTAATGTTCTAATAAGGATCATAGTGGAACTTGAGGCTCTAGAGTTGCCTGTGTTTAAATCCAGGTTCCACTTCTTTCCAGCTCTGAAAATGCGAGAAAATTTTTTCACGTCTCTGAGCCTGTTTCTGCTTCTGTGAATAACCATACACACTCCAGTCCTTAGAACAGGGCCAAGCATATAGTAATGTTACCAGTGGAGGTTCTTGACTACGAGTTGTCCAGGTTCTTGGTGTTTTGAACAAAGAATTGAACAAAATGCACAAAAAAAATGAAGGAATGAAGTAATAAAAGCATAGAATTATTGAAACAAAAGTACACTCCACAGACTAGGAGTGGGATTGTGCAAGTGGCTCAAGAGAGCTAGTTACAGAATTTTCTGGGGCTTAAATATCCTTTAGAGGTTTCCCACTGGGTATTTGATTACACCCTACATAAAGGAAGGAGTGGCCCACCACGTCATAATGGTTGTGGGAGACAACCAATCAGAGGCTGAAGTGAAGTTACAAAGTTACACAAGAAGAATTGGCCCTTGACCAGCCTGATTGGTTGCAGGAGGGGACCAATCAGAGGTACCTCCCATTTTTCATCTGCAGCCCAATGCAAAGGTAACTGATCGTTTTGTTACTTGGGTGTGGAGAGGTGGGGTTTTCCTTTTGATTCAGTTCTAGGAATTCAGCGTGAATCAGCCTTAGGTTCCTTGTCTCTGGACCCTATTCTCCTGCCTCAGTAACTGCTTGTTAATTGTTATTGGATCATTTTACTATTATTTGCATCATTACAGTATTTGTTGTTGTGGTTGTTACATAAAGTTATTTAAGTGTGGTGCCTGGAGCAACGTGTTCATTGTGTGACCTTAGCCCAGGGGAATCTCACACTTTTTTATATGTAACAATAGCAGAGAGGAGGGTTGGAGATAACACAAAAGATTAAATACGATAATCTCAAAATGAAATCATTTGTAAACTGTAAAGAGCGATTAAGTCGTTAGTTCGATATTGTTTATCTTATTTAAACTCAATTAAATAAAATTTGGCCCGTTTGAACCTTCCTCCAGGTGTGGCCATTTGGTTGGGGACCAAGTAATATAAATAATGTGAGCTAATTAGAAACTATAATTGTGAAAGAATTTCTGAAACCTTTCGTAGACTAAGTTTTCAGTGTGGAAGCCTACGAATTCTGCAGCCTCAAGACTACTTATTTTCCCAGATGGCATTCCAGATATACCTAAACTTTTGCAAAACCCATCCTCTTTAAGATGATGGGTAATTGAATAAAAAGAATGAAACTGACTCTGCAAATATCTGGTTAATACATTTACTCACTGCTCAGTACTTCAGTAATATAACAGTGAGCAGAAGCAGGTTGAAGGAGTAAGTCCTGAAACTTCATTCACTAGCAAATGGCTGTGACCTTCAGAGAACCACAAATTGGGAGTGAGTCCATGTATAACAAGCCCTTTTTTGGTTTGTTTGTTTTTACTTTCTCTTTCAGTAATGACATGGATCTGGAGAGATTCTCTTAGGAGAGAATCTGGCTAAGTGTCTAGCAGGATGATTGATTAACAAGATGTTTTGTTTTCATCATCTCAGAGATAAGTACAACTATTCTGTCATCTAATCTGCTAACTCCTACATTATCAATACGGTAGTAATAAATTATGAATAAACATAAAATATACAGAGATAGAAACTGCAAATTTATTTCAGAGAGCACAGTTAAGGGACTGATTTTATTATTTACACTGAATTATAAGCACAATTATTTCCTCCAACTATAACCACAGAAAGCACTTTAAATTAGGATGCTTGGGCTGAACAGCCCAGAAAATCTACTAGCCAGAAATTGAGATGAGCCTGTGGATAGAGTTTTAGGTCATGCTTCCAGTTCACATTCCAGCAGAGATAAATGTGAGGCCTGGGCAGCATTTAGGTTTTGAGGTTTTTCACTCTTTGTTTTTTCCTTTGACTTTTAGCAGTAGCTAGCCATGATGAATGACTATCAATTACAATTAGGGTTGCCAGATAAAATATAGGGCTTCACGTTAAACTGATTTTCAGATAAACAATAAATAATCATTTAGTATAATTTGGCACATATACTAAAAATTTGGGTTATACTAAAAAAATTCATTGTTTATCTGAAATTCAAATATAATTAGACCCTCCATATTCTTTTTTAAACAGCTGTATTGAGGTATAATTGATATGCCAAATAACTGGACACATTCAACTTGTGCAATTTGATGAGTTTGGAGATACACATACATCTGTGAAACCATCACCAAAATCAAGGTAATACATATATCCATCACCACTAAAAGTTTCTTCTTTCCCCTTTTTTTGTTATTTTGAATTTTGTGGTAAAAACACTTACCATGAGATGCTATTAAATTTTTACATGTACAATACTGAATTGTCAACTAAGGGCACTATATTGTAGAGTAGATCTCTAGAACTTGTTCATCTTAAAAAACTGAAGCTTCAAACCTATTGAACAACTCCCCATCCCCATCTCTCCCAGGCTCTGGCAACCATCATTATACTCTGTTTCTGTGAATTGGACTATTTTATTTATTTTTTTTTATTTTTTGAGAGTGAGACAAGGTCTCACTTTGTCACCCAGGCTGGCATACAGTGGTGCAATCATGGCTCACTGCAGCCTCAAATTCCTGGGCTCAAGTGATCCTCCTGCCTCAACCTTTCAAGTAGCTGGGGCTACAGGCATAACCCATCATGCCAATTTTTTTTTTTTTTTTTTTTTTGTAGAGATAGGATCTTACTATGTTGCTCAGGCTGATGCTAAACCCCTGGCCTCAAGTGGTTCTCCTGGCTCAGCCTCCCAAAGCACTGGGATTATAGGCATGAGCCACCACACCTGGCCTGGTTGAACTATTTTAGATATTTCACCATGATTGCAATGGTACAATTATAGCTCACTGTAGCTATTAAGCCAGTCACAGAAGACCAAATATCTCACTTACATGAGGCATAATCACATTTAGCATAACGTCTTCCAGATTCATCCATGTTGTTGAATTTTTATTTGCCAGCTCTGACAACCTTAGTTACAATCAATTTATGAGAAGGAATTATCTGTCTCCCTACATACATTTCCCAGTGAGGAGAAAATAAGTGATTCCCTCAGACACAGAGGTCCTAGACAGCCCCACTAGCTACATTTTCCTCTTCCAAGTACAGAAGGAAATAGCTCCTTTAATGTTAAGAAGGTACCAGTTGCTTCCTTTGCCTGACTAAACTTTTTTCCTGCCTTCCCCTTAACTCTTATTTAAGTGGGAGGAGAGAATGGAAAGGTGATTAAGCATTTCAACCCAATGCCAAAATACACAATTTGCTAAGCAAATGCTTGTAAAAGAGAGGCTTGTAACAGAAAGAAATTGTTCATTAATTTCCTTACACCCTTTTCTTTTATTAATGATTAATCTATTTTGGCAGTTAGCAGAAAACACTTCCCTCTCTTCTAGGGTATTTCTATGAGTCATATTGGAGGGAAAAACAGAGGTTTGGGATTCATACAATGTAGTTTCAAATTCAGCCTCCAGGACATACAAGTTATATGAGCTCTATTTCTTCATATTTTTATCTGTAAAATGGGACAATAACACAGTAATCACCCTTACAGAACTATTGTGAGAGTTAAATGGTATGAGGTACAAAAAGACACAAAATTTTGGGTTGGGATTTTCCTCCTCCTTCTCTTTCTGAATTTTTAGAAAGCTTTGAAAGGTTTATTCATCCTTTCATCTTTTTATTTTTTTAAATATAAAGAGTCAAGGCACTGCCTCCTCTTCTCTCCACCAAGTGTATTTCCCTTGGCACTGCTTGAAGGTTCAGGATTATCTGCTTAGGAATCCTGTCTGTGATCTCTATTTATAATCACCCTTACCTTCACATGTGTCTGCCATATAAACTTTATCTTTGGGGTAAGAATACTTGTAACTTCAAATCTGTAGATAAAAAAATAGTCTATTTTTATAGATGCCTAATACTTTTTGGAAGAGACCATCAAAAATTATTAAGTCACTCTCTGAGTTTGGAAGTAATGGTTAATGTTCACTAAATGTTATAAAGCTGTGAATGTTTCCAAATTTTGAAATATAAATATGCATTATGTTTATGATAAAAATAAAATTAATTGAGTATCAAAATATTAATAAGTTACTAAAGACCTCATAACCAGTCAGAGGCAGAAACAAACCTTGAATTTTGTTCTTCTGACTACAAATAGGGGCTTATTTCCTTCTAGTATGCTGTCTCCTTGGTATGTTCCACTTGCCCTGGTGATCTTACAATGGATAATAATAAATATTCAAAAGTGAACAAACCCTGTCTTCCCCAATAGATCATAATGACCTTGAGAACGGGAGCCATGCCCTGTACTTGCATAAAATGGTGTCATCTAGATCCTAAGTGCTTATCAAATGTTTATTGACTAAATGATTTCCTACTCACAATAACTTTTCATTATCTTTTTAATGGCCATGGTGGTCTGTCTGGAGTGGCCACTGCGAGGACACCATAAGCAGCGGGGTAGGTGCAGCCAGGGCTGCGCACTCTATAGAGCCAACGGGGCCCAGAAATAGGTGATCCCGGCAGGGGGCCTGCACCCTACCAAGTTGGGAGTGGCAGAAGCCTGTGCTCCCAGGGGTGACTGCAGCCACCCAGCTGTGGCTCCAGACCCAGGCCTCCCTGTACTCTCAGGGGCCTGGACAGTACCCTGTCCCCATAGGCTTGGAAATGCTTGCTTCCAATCCCTGGCCTCTTCCAGCCCCTGCCTCACAGTGGAGCGAAGTTGTGGACACGTCCTGATAACTGAGCCTGGGCACTGTCGTGACCTGACCGGGTGTGCATGTGGTTGGGGCAGCACTGATATGCCAGCCTCCCCACTGCCTCTGCCCCCTCTGGAAACTGCTTCTAAGGCTAAAACTTTGAGCACCAACTAGCACAAGAGTGAGGATGTGGCCAGGGGTGGGAAGGCCTGAGGGTGGCTCTGGGCCTGCAGGCACCCCTCAGCACAGCCTGTGCACTGTGGACAGCATGTTGATGGTGGTGGGAGGCAGAGAGGTTCCTAGGTGGGAAAGTGCAGGTCCCCAGTAAAACCCAGCCTTCCAGCCAGGGACAGCCTGAAGCCTGGGGGCTGGGCTGCCCTTTCCAGGTGAAGTCCGCAACCTGGAGTGATAACTTTCTTGATGCTTTTCAGCCAATCGATTGGTGCTTTCTCTGGGCCCACTCATAGACTGATCAGCACACACTTTCTCCTGCTTATGTGACCAATCAGCACACACTTCCTCCATTCTGAGCCCATAAAAACTCTCAACTCAGCCAGACTCAGACAATGGTTGGGACTACCTGCCTGTGGATAGGAGGTACCCACTTCAGGTCTTCTCTCCACTGGGGAGAAGTTTGGTCACTCAATAAAGCTCTTCTCTGCCTTGCTCACCCTCCAGTTGTCTGCTTAACCTCATTTTTCTGGGATATGGGACAAGAACTTAAGAACCACCAAATGGCAGGAGCAAAAGGAGTTGTAACATGTTCCTGGCTGACTTGCTGAGATGTAGGTGGACTGCAGAAGTGAAGAGTATTTACTGTATTAGTCCATTTTCATTCTGCTGATAAAGACATACCCAAGACTGAGCAATTTACAAAAGAAAGAGGTTTATTGGACTTAGAGTTTCACATGGCTTGTGGGGGGGCTCACAATCATGGAGGAAGCCAAGGAGGAGCCAGTCATATCTTACATGGATGGCAGCAGGCAAAGAGAGAGCTTGTGCAGGGCAACTCCTGTTTTTAAAACCATTAAGATCTCATAAGACCCATTCACTATCACGAGAATAGTACAAGAAAGACCCACCCCCATAATTCAATCATCTCCCACCAGGTCCCTCACACAACAAGTGGGAATTATGAGAGCTACAAGGTGAGATTTGGGTGAGGACACAGAGCTAAACTGTGTCAGTGAGCCTTCTGGGGGCCCACACCTTGGGATTCCCGAAGCCAGAGCTTAATAATATAGACCTCCCACCCTTTGCCAGTAACAGATGGCTGCCCCATATGACAAAAAGCAGCAGCAGGGCCAGGCCAGCCCAGGAGCCATGGGCCAGAGTGGGATGGTGAGACTGAAAGAGCTGCAACACAGATGGGTTGAAACATGCCCCTCCATACATGGTCCCTGCCCGCCCCACCCCACCCCCTCTCCCCGGCTGGCCAGGCTGCAGACAACAAGAAGAACAAGAAGGAGAGAAGAGCTGTGGCCCTGCTGGGAACCCAGATCTAGAGGATCCCTGAGCCAGGGTTGTAACATGTTGTAACTTGTAACATCCTCTTTGGGGCTCTGCAGTTCCTGGCATCTCCAAACTTTCAGGCATCACTGTGTTTCCCTCATCCAGATGCTGGTGCCTGCAGTGGAGGCTGCTTGAAATACATCTGGTCCAGTCACAGCCTTGATTGGGGCCAGTGCCTGTGCCAGCACCTGGAGCTGCCTGCCCCACCACAGCAGCCAGCGTGCCTGGCTGTGCACAGAGGCCAGACCTGTGCTCACTCACTCACACGCCCCTCACCACTCTGTGCCTGGCTCACCCTTGGCAGGCATGGGATCTCGGCCAGTAGCACGAGCCAAGCACAGCCTGCTGGGCCAAGTGGGTAAAACGAGCCCAGTGGGTGCGAGCAAGACTCAAGCAGAGGCACCACCAGCCGCCGAGGCACCACCAGCCACAGAGGTTTCTGGCTGGTGAAGCAACACCTGAAGAATCCTATGGCATTTTCCTGACTTTGAAATTTACCCACTTAGTCAAGAAAATATGAAGCTATTCATTCCCTTTACTTGTCTAGCAGAATATTTCCACATAGAAGATTTTAGTCTTTGTCATCAAGACTGCGTAACATTTAACACTCCACCACATCAAAATGCTACTTACACATACATAATAAACACTCAGAGAGGAATGCTGCCTCAGACATCATCTTTTCTTCACTCTGTCTAAAGCATGAATGTCCTTAGATGTTCATTCAAAATTAGTGCCAGGGAGTGCTATTTGGCAAGGCCACTTAGAATATAGTAATTAATTAGAATGCATTTATTAAATTAAGCTGAAACTATCCTCTCTAACTTTCACTGATGATTCATATATAAGCCACGTGGACTCAAATAAATTCTCATCCTTTCTACTTTAGAACTGCTTTTGAAGTGCTTTTAGATATATTTGGACCTCCTAAATATTCCTTTTTCCTTTCTTTTGGCTGGATATTTTTTAAAAAATTAAGCCCCCTCCTCAAATTCTAGAACATCCAACTTTTAATTTCCTGCCTTGCATTTGATATCTTACAGTAATGTGAATAGATGAGTAAGGGTAATATCAACTGTAACAAATGGATTCAAAAAATATATAATGTCTTAAATACAATAGAAGTTTATTTATCACTCATGTTATTGGTGGGCAGCTCGTTTTGACTTGGTGTTATGGACAGCTAGGAGGTTCACATCCCTTGGCTCTCTGATCCCCCAAGGTTTCATTATTATTGTTTGCATCCAACAGATAAAAGGAGACAGAAGAGTGTGGAAAAGAAATATTACTTAAAAACTCTTTTCTAGATACTCATCACTTATGTTTACACTCTAAGACAAAAAAAGAAAAAAAAAGAATCAATCACATGGTTATCTCTGAATGCAAGGAGGCCACGGAGGACAACCCTGGGAAAGATGGTCTCCTCTTTGGTTGTCACTTCCCTGGAACAACCTTACATTATCACTAAAGGGGAGAGAAAATTGTGTGTGTGACAGTAACCTTATCTGCCATAGTGTGAGGGTAGATCAGATTTAGCAACCAAGTAGCAAAGTGCCAGAAGCCTCAGGTTAACAAGAATTTCTCCTTTATAGGTCGTCTTCTCTCTAAGCCCTAGCTGTGCCACCCTCTCCATTATTCTCACCCTCTCCCGTGACTTTCTACTCTGATCAATTAAAAGACTCACCCAATATTTTGTGTGACCCTATGAAAGGAAAAAAAAAACACTGCTGATTATTCTGACACCGTTCTTTCAGAGCACAGTGACTGTATGATATATCCCAATATCTGAAGTTTTAAAATTGGGGAAAAAAAGCATCTTAGAATCACAATGTATGGTATCTGCTGTCTTATACAAACACATACATGCGCACACTGCAATGCATAGCTTGTTCTATTTTCTTTCTCCTATTTCAGAACTTCCAGGTATTACTCCTTTAATCTAATATACCTAAAGCTCACAGGAGATTGTTTTAACAATCTGGGAATCTCTCAATCACAGGACACTTATCTATCATGCCCCTTGTAACATGTTGTTACAAAGAGTGTAGCTCAAAACCTTGCTTTTTGAGTTTTCTGAATCAGTCTGAAAATCATACTCCTTGTAACACAGTATGAAACATACTCCTTGTATCTCAGTCTGAAAATGATACTCCTTGTTACAAGTCAGCAGAGACATGAAGGACAGGAGAGGCAATGGAGTCTCCAAGGCTCTAGCCACACCCAGCATACACTGAGGGAGACAAAACAAAAACAAAAACAAACAAAAAAACACACAAAGAAACGATTTTCTTTGTATTACCCACAGTTCTCAACTTTATTGATATGGATTGAAACTTAAAACTAGAAAATCTTCTCCTCTTTTTTGTAAAGAGAAGAGAGATGAGTACAATTAAATTCCCGGACTTTTCCTCTCACCAAGTCACCATTTCACTGTCCAGCCACACCAACAGTTCAGCGCTTTCTTGGCAGTAGAGGCCAAAAGCTTCCAAATAGACTCTGAAAGTGGCTACGCAGCCATGACAAGTGACGAGAACCCCTTGTTTCTGACAGGAAAACAACTCAGGAGCTGCTTGCCACTTTCACTGGGGCCTTTTGGAAAGCCTGACTTCGATGGGCCCTAGGGGTGCATTGTTGAGGGGGGAGATGAGAGAGCTCAAGAGGCTTGTGGAACGTGAGCCATGGCTTTTGAAATTACTTCTTCCTGTGGGCTGATTTTGCAGTTTGATTTTACTTTTAAGAGAGGAAATATAGAGCCAGTCTCTAACACTTTAACTCATTTGCCAGAAGAAAATCATATCAGAAAGCAACAGAGTTACCCCAAAGGCCCTGGAGTGGGTGGGGGGTGGGAGAATCAGAGGCAATGGGGGAGGGAGAAGAGAAGGAGAAGAAAAGAGGGGACTGTGGAACTGCAGCCCAAGAAAAACCTATAAACCTTTAATCCCTTATGCACTGCAAAGTGATTAAACTCACCTACCTCACACCTGCCTTAGAAAGAATGCAGATATATGGAAGAAGAGAATATTTGCAAACTGCACTTTGGACCCATGAAAAGTTCATTTGGAATTCAGAAGGCTGATCCCACTTAGGGTGTGAAATATACACGGGTTCTGGCTGCAAAATTGGAGGGGAAAGGTATGAGCCATTATGAACCAGAAACCTGTCTTGTGTTTCTCCAGAGAAAGTGGACTATGAACAATCGAAAGAAAGTGGTGGATGGTTTCTGGAAGGACAAGTCTGCACCAGAGAATAAAAGGGCATTCCTTAGGGTTGCTGAGGATTTTCTTTGATTGTATTCTGCTAATGTGTGTGCAAGGCAGATATAACACATTTGTGGAAGGCTCTAGAGACATTTTCTACAAATTTTACCCTGGTTTCAGGTAGTTTTCTTCTCCCCTCATTTTAATGTCATTATTATAAATTGGACTTAAAAAGTTGACATAAGAGTTGTTTGTGTCTTTTATAGAACTTTTTATACAATACCGAGTTAGGTGAATTCACTACATTTGTTTCTTTTTTGTGTATAATACATTCATTTTATTCTCTAACAATTTCAATATGTGTTTCCAAAAAATTTGGAAATGCCACTCAGTATAATCTTATCACTCTTCTTTTACTTTTTAAACTTTTAAAACTATTTTTCAAGTGATAGGGTAGTTAATATAATTGTTCCAATAGATAATTAGTCACAGAGTACAATAAGCATCTGGAAACTCAATACATCAGTGACAAAAGAATATGATGAAGGAAAACTAAACAACTGCCTGGCCAATATAAGTATGCAGTAAAATTAGGATTCTTAAATGGTTTTGTGCAAGAATAACAATCCAAAGACTTTGCATTTCTATAGTGTCATTATCATCATCATCATTAAGATTTTTATTATTGAGTCTGACCTTATGAAAAGACAAAGAAAATAATCTACTATCTGGGAGTAATTTGTTCCCCCATATGATGTGAATTAACTTTTCCTGGAGAACAGGGTTCTGTTCCAAGCTCTGAGAAGAGATAATCTCTGGGGAGCTCATGCTAATGTGAATGCAGCAGCAGAGGCTGCAGCCAGGAAGCAGAAGATTGTGAGGCCATTCTTTAACCAAAAGGAATCTGTCTCCTGCAGCTCACAGAAGCTCCCCGCTCCCCCTCTGACTTAGTGCACATTCCCAAAGTATTGCAATCTGTCTGGGCCTCCTGATGAGCTAGATTACTCCAATACATCCTGCAGAGATTGCAGAAAGTCTAGTTTTCCCAGGAGTGACACAGCAGAAACAGGAGGGACTTGATATTCTACCTATGTTTCTGACATGTTACCTGATCACACAGCAGGGGAGAGGGAAAGAGTGGTTTCTTTTTTTTTTTTTTTTTCCAGCCAGTCTTTCATTTTCCTTAGTTTCCCTAGGGACTTTCATGACCCTTGATGCCCACTATTTGCTTTATATATGCAAACCAAGTCAACACAAATCATATCACAACCCTATCTCTGGCACAAATGCCATCAATTCATGACTGAGAGAATCTAAAGTTCAAGAGCAGAGGATTTATATCAAACCAACACCCTCACTTATTAGCAATGTCACCTTGGGCAAATCGGGTAACAGCCTTAGTGATACAATGTAAATGCCCAATAAATGGTAGCTTTTAATATTATCTAATGCTGTATTAAGGAATAATATGTATGTTCTTTTTAATGTTTTTATTTTTTATTGATACATAATAGATGTACATATTTGGGGTCGCATGTGATAATGTAATACATTCACATAATTAATAAAGATTAAATCAGTGTAATTGGGATATCCATCACCTTAAATATGTGTCTTTTCTTTATGCTAGAAACATTTGCCAGCTATTCTGAAATATACAATAGATTATCCTAAACTGTAGTCAGCCTACTATCTATCAAACACTAGGTCTTAATTTCTTCTATCAAACTGTATATTGTACTCATTAATCAACTTCTCTTCATCCTCCCTTCTCTACCCTTCCTGGCCTCCGATTACCATCATTCTAATCACTATCTTCATGAGATCCACCTTTTTCAGCTCCCACAAATGATTGAAACCATGTGATATTCATCTGTCTGTGTTTGGCTTATTTCACTTAACGTAATGACCCCTAGTTCTACTTAGACTGAGTCCATATTTTGGCTATTGTAAATTCAGTGCTGCAATAAACATGAGAGTGCACATATCTTTTCTGTATATTGATTTCCTTTCTTTTGGATATATAACCAGCAGCAGAATTGCTGGATCATATGGTAGTTATGTTTTCACTTTTTTGGAGAAGCTCCATACACTTTTCCATAGTGGCTATACTAAGTTACATTCCCACCAACAGTGTAGGAGAGTTCCCCTTTCTCCACATCCTCACCAGCATCTGTTATGCCTGTTTTGTTGATAAAAGCCATTTTATCTGGGGTGAGGTATTTCACTGTGGTTTTAATTTGCATTTTCCTGATAGTGATGTTTCATAGACCAGTTGGCCATGTGTATGTATTCTTTTAAGAAATACCTACTCACGTATCTACTCAGATATTTTCTATATTTTCTCCATTTTAAAATCAGATTCTTTTTTTTTTTTTTGCTATTGTGCTGTTTGAATTCCTTATATATGCTGGTTATTAGTCCCTAGTCAGATAGATAGTTTGCAAATATTTTCTCCCAGTCTGTGTGTTGCCTCTTCACTTTGTTGATTGTTTTCTTCTCTGTGTAGAAGCTTTTTGGCATGTTGTAATCCCATTTGTCATTTTTGCTTCAGTTGCCTGTGCTTTTGAGGTCTTACCCACACACACACACAAAATTTGCCTAGACCAATGTCCTAGAGTGTCCCCTAAAGTTTTCTTCTAGTAGTTTCAAAATCTCAGGTATTAGATTAAAGTTGTTAACATATTGTGATTTGATTTTTGTATATGATGAAAAATAGGAGTCTAGTTTCATTCTTCTGCATATGGTTATCTAGTTTCCTCAGTACCATTTATTGAAGACACTGTCCTTTTCCCACTGTATGTTCCTGGAAACTGTCAAAAATGAGTTGGCTCTAAATACACAGATTTATATCTGGGTTCCCTATGTGTCTGTTTTTATCCCAGTATTATGCTGATTTAAGTTTCTACAGCTTTACAGTATGCTTTGAAGTCAGATAGTGTGATGCCTTTTGCTTTGTTCTTTTTACTCTAGATTACTTTAGCTATTTGAGGTCTTTTGTGGTTCCATATAAATTTTAGAATTTTTCTTTATTTCTATGAAGAACATTATTGGTATTTTGATAAGTATTGCATTGACTCTATAAATTGCTTTAGGTAGAATTGTCATTTTAACAATATTGATTCTTTCAATTCATGAACATGAAATATCTTTCCAGCTTTTAGTATCCTCTTCAATTTCTTTCATCAGTGTCTTATAGTTTTCCTTGTATAAATCTTTAATTTCTTGGGTCAGATTGATTGCTAAGTATTTTATGTTCTTTGTAGATATTGTAACTGGGATTGCTTTCTTGATTTCATTTTCAGATTGTTGTGTATATATAAATGCTACTAATTTTTGTACGCTGATTTTTAATCCTGGACATTTACTGAATTTGTTTGTTGGTTCTATTTGATGGAATCTTTAGGTTTTCAAAGTATAAGGTCATGTTGTCTGTCAACAAGCTTAATTTGACTTCTTTCTTTCCAATTTGCATTTTTCTTTTTCTTTTTTTTTTTTTTTTTTGAGATGCAGTTTTGCTCTTGTTGCCCAGGCTGGAGTGCAATAATGTGATCTCAGCTCACCGCAACCTCCGCCTCAAAGGTTCAAGTGATTCTCCTACCTCAGCCTCCCAAGTAGCTGGGATTATAGGCATACACCACCACACCTGGCTAATTTTGTACTTGTAATAGAGGCAGGGTTTCACCATGTTGGTTAGGCTGGTCTCAAACTTCTGACCTCAAGTGATCCACCCACGTCGGCCTCCCAAAGTGCTGGGATTACAGGCGTGAGTCACCGTGCCCAGCCGCATTTTCTTTGTTTATTTCTCTTTACTAATTACTTAGGCCAGGACTTCCAGTATTATGTGGAACAAAAGTAGCAAAATTGGCTTTCCTTGTTTTGTTCCAGATCTTAGGAGAAAGGTATTAAATTTTTCCCCAGTTAGTACAACGTTAGCTATGAGTTTGTCATATATGGTCTTTATTATGTTGAAGTCAGTTCCTTTCACACCCAGTTTGATAAAAGAATGTTATCACAAAAGGCTGTTGAATTTTATCATCAAATGTTCTTTCAGCATCTATTGAAATTATATGTCTTTTGTTCTTGGTTCTGTTAATGTAATGTATCACATTTATTGATTTACATATGTTGAATCATTTTTGCATCCCGGGGATGAATCTCAATCAATCACGGTGAATAATTTCTTTAATGTGTTGTTGAATTCAGTTTGCTAGCATTTTATTGGAGATTTTTGCATCTGTGTTCATCAGTGATATTTACTTGTAGTTTGTTATTGTTGCTGTTCTGCTCTTGTCTGGTTTTGGAACTACAGTAATGCCTGACTTGTAGAATAAGTTTGGAAGTATTCCTTCCTCTTCAGTTTTTCTCAAGAGTTTAATTAGGACTAATACTAGCTTTTCTTTAAATGTTTGGTAGAATTCAGTAGTGAAACCATCAGGTCCTAGGCTTTACTTTGGTGGGAGACTTTTTATTATGGCTTCAATTTTATTACTTATTATTGGTTTGCTAAGATTTTCTATTTCTCAAGGTTCCATCTTGGTAGGCTGTATGTGTCCAGGAATTTATCTATTTATTCTAGATTTTCAAATTTGTTGGCATTTGTTTATGTTAATGATGATGTCTAATGATTCTTTGTATTTCTGTGATCTCAGTTGTTTCATTTCTATTTTCATTTCTAATTTTACTTATTTGGTTCTTCTTTTTTTTTTTTTTTTGTTAGTCTAGCTAAAGGTTTGCTGATTTTGTTTCTTTTTTCAAAAAGCCAAATTTTTGTTTTGTTCATCTTCCGTATTGTTTTTCTAGTCTCAATTTCATTTGTTTCTGCTTTGTTCTTCATTATTTCCTTCCTTCTACTAATTTTTTTTTCCTCCAAGAGGTACAACCTTAAGTTGTTTATTTGAAGTCTTTCTACTTTTTTGATATAGCTGTTTATTTCTATAAACATCCCTCTTAATAGTGCTTTTGCTGGGCCCTTAGATTTGATATGTTGTTTTGCCATTTTTATTTGTTTCAAGAAATTGATTGATTTCCTTTATAATTTCTTCATTGACCACTTGGTCATTTAGGAGCATGTTGTTTACGTTTCCCATGTTTGTGTATTTTTTGAGGTTCCTCTTGTTATTGATTTCTAATTTTATTCCATTGGGGTCAGAAAAGATACTTTATATGATTTCTACTCTTTCAAATTTCTTGAGACTTGTTCTGTGGCCTAAGATGTGGTCTGTTCTGGAGAATGTTCCAATTGCTGATGAAAAGAGTGTGTATTCTGCAGCAGTTGGAGGCAACATTCTATAAATGTCAGTTAGGACTATTTGGTCTACTAAGTAATTAACAACAATATTTCTTTGTTGGTTTTCTGTCTGGATGATCTGTCCATTACCGCACATGAGGAGTTAAAGTCCCCTACCATTATTGTATTTCAGTCTATCTCTCTCTTTAGATCTATTAAAGTTTGCTTTATGTACTTGAGGGCATTGATGTTGGGTGCATAGATATTTATAATTGTTACATCCTTTTGCTGAATTGACCTATTTTTCATTGTATAGTAACCTTGTCCCTTCTTACAGTGTTCGATTTGTAGTCTATTTTATCTGATATAAGTAGAGCTACTCCTGCTCATTTTTGGTTTCCAGTTGCATGGAATATCTTTTTTAACTCTTTCACTTTCAGTCTCTATGTGTCCTTATAGGTAAAGTTGGTTTCCTATAGACTTTTTAATTGGAGAATTCAGTCCATTTACATTCCTTGTTACTGATGAGTAGAGATTTACTACTGCCATTTTGTTGTTTGTTTTCTGGTTGTTTGTAATCTTTTCTTTCTTCTTTCCTTTGACACTGCCTTCCTTTGTGGTTAAGCAATTTTCTCTGGTAGCACACTAGAATTCGGCACTTTTTATTTTTAAGTAATCTATTATAGGTTTTTTTTCACTGTGGTTATCATGAGGTTTACAAAACACATCTTATGGATATAATAAGTTATTTTTAAAAGGTGACAACTTAGATCATAAAGAAAAGAATAGACACAAAGTAAACATTAAAAAAATACTTCTATAATTTAACTCCATCACCCCCAAGCAAACAAACATTTTGACTTTATTTTGTCTTCATGTATATATTTCTATATTACCTATTTCTTAACAGGTTGCTGTAAGTTTTATTACTTTGATACATTTGTCTTTTGGGCTTCATACTAGAGTTATGAGTGGATTGCACATCACAATTATGGTACTATATCTTTTTGTATCTGCTCATGTACTTAATTTTACTAGTGTAGGTTTTGTACTTTCAAATGTTTTATTTTGGCACGTTAGTAATTTTTCTTTTAGATTTAAGAACTCCCTTTGACATTTCTTATAAGGCAAGTATGGTGGTAGTGAACTCTCTCAGGTTTTGTCTGGAAAAATCTTTCTCTCACCTTATTGGATACACTATTCTTAGATGCCAGGTTTTTTCTTTGAGCACTTTGAAATGTTGTTTCACTCCCTCCCAGCCTCTGTATTTTCTGTTGAGAAGGCTGTTGCCTGATCATTGGAGCTCCTTTATATGTTATTTGCTTCTTTTGTTTTGGTGCTGCTGCTTTTAGAATCCTCTCTTTGTCCTTGTCCTTTGAGAATTTGCTTGTTATATGTCTTGGGGTTGTCCTATTTGTTTTGAATCTGTTTGGTGTTCTCTGACATTCTGGTACCTGGATATTTGTCTCTTTCTCAAATTTTAGAATGTTTTATGTTATTATTTCTTTGAATAAGCTTTCTACCACTTGCTCCTGCTTAACTCCCTCTTGAACACCAAGATTCTTAGATTTGGTCTTTGAAGTAATTCTCTATCTTGCATGCAACCTTCATTACTTTTTACTCTTTTTTCTTTTCTGAATGTTTATGTTCAAGTAGCCTATCTTCAAGCTCACAGATTATTTCCTCTGCTTGATTCATCCTGCTGTTGATGTCCTCTAACAAATTTTAAAGTTCAGCAAGTGCATTTCTCAGTTCCAATATTTGTTTGATTTTTTAAATTATTGTAATATCTTTGTTAAGTTTTTCTGATAAATTTCTGAATTTTTTTTTGTAATTTTGAAGATCACTGAATTTTCTAAAACTGTTAATTTTAACTCTTGGTCAGAGAGTCCACATATTGCTGTCTCATTTGAGCTAGTTACTGGTTCCCTGCGTTGTTCATTTGAGAACGTCATGGTTCCCTGTTTGTTGTTGATTTTTGGGGATCCATATCTGTTTCTTTGTATTAAAGGATTAGTTATTTGTTCTAGTTTTCTCTAACTGGCTTGTTTTACTTTTTATTGAATATCATTGCCTAGGAATTCTTTGTAATTTACCTATTCTTTTCTCTTTTTATCTGCTAGGTTGCTGCCTCCTTTTGAGTACTAGATGGCCCTGGCATCTTAAACCCACATTGGCCTCAGTTTTAGTAAACAGAGTGCTGCCCATCCTAAATGGGAGAGGTCCCAAAGGGAAAATCTTGATAGTGTGGGAAGGCTGGCCAGTGGTTTCTGTCCATAGTAACTGTGGATAAAATCTCTTATAGTATGGTGCTGCCGAAGAGCCACTCTGATTTGGCTATGGCCTAGTTACAGGGCAGAAGTTCCAGGGCTCTGGGTGATACATCCACCTCCCACTTTGTCTGTGGCTATGCTCAAGGATATTTCACCCTTTAGTCGCTCTCAATGCTTCCTTTGGGTTGAAGCAGGGACTGGTCCCCTGACAGGGAATTCTAGACAGTAGGAAGCTGCTTGTCCACCTCAATCTCACTTTTTCCGGTGTAGAAACCATGAGTCAGAGGGAAGAGTCCTGTGCATTTTGTGCCAGACATACTGGAAGAAGGGCCACCACAAATATGAAATTACAATTATCTTACCATCTGCTCAGAGTTGCTTCACTTCTCTGTGGCCCTAGAAACTATCTCATTCCCATATTTGACTTCTGGGATATTGCTGGTGATAATCTCGGGCACTGTATATTTGTTTTTCATTCTCTTCGGGGGTGGGGATGAAGCCAACTTGCTTCTACACTGCCATTTTAGAACCAGAAGTCTGAAGGGTAAGGTCTTTAGCTCTGGCAAATTGTCATATTGAGTAAAATTTTTCCATTGCATGAGATATTATAAGTTAGGCATGTGGAAAGGGCTCATTGTTTTATCAAGAGTCTTTTTTTGCGTTAACTAAAACCAACTGGATTTAGGTTCAGCAAAAGAAAAATAAGGTAGAGTAGAGGAGTGTGATATATAGGTATCAGTATTTCTTAGAATCAAAGTAGCTGAATCTCTAGAGCACCAGTGTCTAATAGAAGTCTAATAGGAAACACATTAATAAGGTTAGATTTCCTAGTAGCCATTTTAAAAAAGTAAAAGGGAATAAAGTTAAATTGATTTTAACCCAATATATCCAAAATATTGTCATTTCAACATGGAATAAATATAAAATATTGATGAAATTTTAAAACTATTTTTTGCACCAAGTTTCTGAAATCTAATGTATATTTTACACGTACAGACAACTTAATTTGGACTAGCCACATTGCAGGGACTTAGTAGCCACAGGTGACTACCATGTTGGAAAGCAGCTCTAGAGATTCCTGAAACCAAAAACTAGACAGCTGTCTGTAATCAGGTAGTAGTTTCTCTGCTTGATTCTCTTCTGTTCTCTACTCATATTCTTATTCCTTTGCAGAACAACTTTCTCTGATCTCTGTGGACATGCTTAAAATGGCTGACTCACACAGCAAGACTATTTAACTGTGCCTAAAATCAACCCACATTCAGATGCTAACTGTAATCCTATTCCCTGATCCATCAGGAAAAAGAGTCTGATTGACATAACTTGTCAAGTGTTCGCCCCAGCTTCTATCAACTATGGGGAAGGAAGGGCCAGAAGAGGTGTAACCATCATGGCTACCAGGTTTCGAAATATTTACATTACATACTGCATTTATTAAAATACAAATTAAATCTGCAATAAAAAACTAATTGACCATTCTCTGGGATTCCGTCTATGGGTAATATTTTCTGCAGAAAATGTTAACCTCTCCCTTAATGGTAATGGTTAAGCTAAGTTGGTGCTTGATCTTTATTTTGATTTTTTGTTTGTTGATTTGAGCTGTGAACATTGGACAGTCCATGAAATTAATATACTGAATCAGGGATCAGCAAATGTTTTTTTAAAGGCCAGGCAGTAAATATTTTCAGCTGTATGAACCAAGAAACACAATTGAGGATATTGCATAGATATAGTGTAACCATTTTAAAATCTTAAAACCATTCCCAGCTTACAAGCATGCAAAAAATAGGGGACAAGCCAGATATGCTGTACAGGCATAGTTTGCAGACCCGTGTCCCACATATTTCTGTTCCTATCATCTACAGGTACTAAGTGATGGTCTCCAGGTATAAGCCTGGCTCTTTCACTGCACCATGAAAACCTGTAACAGACCTTAATGTGAGCAGCATGATGAAGTTCAGCTTCACTATTCCAAAATTAAAAAGAAAGAGACTGTTCTGTGATGAAGCAAACTCATTCCCAACACTAAATGGGCCACACTCCCTCCTGCTGCTTTGCTACTTTTAGGTTTCCTATAGTCTGGGCCTTTGAGGGGGCATTTGTCTGACACACACAGAGATGGCAGAGCTTTTGAGGAAACTCACCTCCTAAGAGGGCATGCTTCTGAAATGCCCAGTCACAGATCATAGCACACCCCCAGGTGAGCTACTGTTATAACTTTTTTACTAGCAATTATTCTCACCAGTAATATGTCAAGCCACTTTTCAGGACCGTTAGATACAGAAGACAGTATTCTATATTTAACCCTGTTATCTTGGGCACATAACCTCTTTAAGCCCATGTCCCACTATATAAAAATTAAAGTTGAATGCCTACCTCACGGGGCAGCCATTAGGACTAATGCAAATAAAACACTTAGCACTGTGCTTGGCATATATTCAACCACTAAATATATGCAAGCAGTGATGATGATGATATGATGATGGTGATGATGGCAGTAATGATTAAGATTCAGAAGGCCAAACCAAGAGTTTCTCCTAGAAACACATGAAGTTAATCTTCAGGAAATCTAAGTTGCAAGTGCCTTAGTCCCATTAACAGACATGCTGATATTTGAAGCTTACTGATATGATCCAGATTTGGAATTATCACATTAGTCACCACTCTGCAATTTCTCATCACTCCAATTTCAGATATTTTAGTGAGGGACACAATTTCCCAGCAATGTGTTCTGTGAAAAACAGAACAGTTTTTGGATTGAATAGCTTACATACACATGTGCAGACACACCATACATACATAGGTTCTGTGGACAAACAAGTTTGAGAGATACTGAGCTAAATAAAGTTAAACACTTTTCATATCAGTTATTTTTAAAGCACATTTATTATGACAATTTACATTGTGACTCTCTACGAAGAAACTAAAGAAAAAGTAACACTTCCCAAATTCATTAATAGAGGCAGTCTTTTATTCAGTGAGCTGCTTGTTGTATCAGCTTTCTATGGAACACATTTTCAAAATGATGACATTAAAAATGAGCATTTACTGATCAATTAATATATGCTATACTGTCTGCTAAGAACTTTTATTTAACTTTCAAAATAACCTTATGAGGTAGGTACTATTCTAGCACCAATTCACAAATGAGGAAACTTCTCAGGAAAACTTAAATTTCCCACATTCAGACAGCAGAATCTGTATTTGAACCAAGTAACCTGAATTCAGAGCCCGTGCTCTTGATCCATGTAAGTAATGAAATATGGAGAAAACTGATACATCATGTCCTATAGTCTAGATTAGGAATTGGATGGAGACAAATCAGAGGGGGAAAGTGGATGTTTTACATTCCTAACAATAACTCCCAAAACTGCTTCTCCTTTATTTTAAATGGAAGGTTCCTCTCCATCCATTTTTTTTTTTGCCAATTTGAGAATTATCTCACTTTTATCCTGAACCATTAGATTTAATAATACTGGATTCCGATTCTCAGAGTGAATGTTTCTATTTTCAAGGTTAACTGTCTGTTGGAGTGTTTATGGTATAAGATCATATTCTTAGAAACATAGGATCCTGTCTTTGATACTGACTGTTCCATTCAATAGCTCTGAGACCTTGAGCACATTATAGGACTTCTCAGAGGCTCAGTTTCCCCACCTATAGATCAAGAATAATGAGACTTTTAAGAAGTGATTACTTACAGGTAGAAATTTATGTAATTTAATAAGTTAATATTTGTATATGGCTTAGTGGAGAATCTGGTATGTAAATAGGAACTATATCAGTGTTCGTTAAATAAAATAAACAAACCATGTAAAGTTTTAAAATGGTATACATTAACCATTCAACAATGTTAGTTTTTATTATTATATTAGAAAATTTGGAAAATATTATCAAGTATAGGTCATCAGGAAATTTACAATTATCTTCCGTGATGGTTAATATTAAATGTCAACTTGACTGGATTAAGGGATGGAAAGTATTGTTTCTGGGTATGTCTGTGAGGGCATTGCCAGAGGAAGTAAACACTTGTGTCAGTGGACTGGGAGAGGAAGACCCACCCTCAGTGTGGGTGGGCACCATCCAATCTGCTGCAAGTGTAGGTAGAAGAAGCAGGAGGACGAAGGTGGGATAAGCTGGCTTGCTAAGTCTTCTGGTTTTCATCTTTCTCCCATGCTAGATGCTTCCTGCCTTTGAACATCAGGCTCTAGGTTCTTCAGCCTTTGGACTCTTGGACATATACTGGTGGTTTGCCCGGGGCTCTCAGGCCCCTGAAGGCTGCACTGTCAGCTTCCCTACTTTTTTTTCTGAGATGGAGTTTCACTCTTGTTGTCCAGGTTGGAATGCAATGGCAGATCTCAGTTCACTGCAACCTCTGCCTCCCAGGTTCAAGTGATTCTCCTGCCTCAGCTTCCCAAGTAGCTGGGATTACAGGCATGCACCACCATGCTCGGCTAATTTTTTATTTTTTAGTAGAGAGGGGGTTTCTCCATATTGGTCAGGCTGGTCTTGAACTCCTGACCTCAGGTGATCCGCCCACCTCGGCCTCCCAAAGTGCTGAGATTACAGCTGTGAGCCACCACGCAAGGCCAGCTTCCCTACTTATGAGGCTTTGAGACTCGAGCTGTGGCACTAGTGGCTTCTTTGCTCCTCAGCTTGAAGAGGGCCTATCATGGGATTTCACCTTGTGATCATGTGAGTGAATTCTCCCTAATAAACCCCCTCACTATCACAAGAACAGCATGGGGAAAACTGCCCTCAACCTGGTGGGATTACAATTTGAGATGAGATTTGTGTGGGGACACAGCCAAACCATATTAACAAAGTATGCCTGTATCCCCAAATCCTTTGTATTTTGGTTCTTTATGTTCCAAGAAATAATTTTTTCTGGAAATTTTAATTATTATCAGAGCAGTTGAGAACTCAGAAATAAAGAAAAAAAAAGCCCCTAACTCCTATAATAACTGCTCAATTCCCTTGCACTAAAAGTTTAGTATTTTGTGGAACAAGAAAATAGTCTCTTCATTTATACACAAGAATAAATCTCTGAGTCACCTGAATTCTCATAGCTCAGTAGATTAGAAACAGTAAATTCGGAGACAGATGGCCACATGAACCCTGGGAGGGGTAGTTGATGGCTGGACAATGAAAAAGAGAAAAACAAAACCTACCAGAATAGAACTTAATGCAATTGCCAGTAGCCATCGTGCTCTTTGGAGTTACTGAGAAAGTGTCACATTATAATCCATATTTTAAGAAAGCAAGAAATTATAAAGTGTAGAAAGAGTTATTTCAAAAACAATTGAAAATCATGGTTAAAATAGTAAAACTTCAGTTATACAGAAGCTTCACTTCTATGATCCCAAATTTCCACATAATAAAGTGTCATAGTATTTGATTTGGATGACTAAATTTATGAATGGTAACTTTTTGTTTGTTTGTTTTTGAGACGGAGTCTCGCTCCGTCGCCCAGACTGGAGCGCAATGGCGCAATCTCGGCTCACTACAACCTCCGCCTCCCAGATTGAAACAATTCTCCCACCTCAGACTCCCGAGTAGCTGGGACTACAGGCATGTGCTACCATGCCCGGCTAATTTTTGTATTTTTAGTAGAGACGGGGTTTCACCAGGTTGGCAAGACTGCTCTCGAACTCCTAACCTCAAATGATCCACCGTCTCGGCCTCCCAAAGGGCTGGGATTACAGGCGTGAGCCACCGTGCCCAGCCGGTAACTTATTTTTTATTAAACAAAATAATGATTGAGTGCTTATGCCTTGGTAAAATTCTGTTTGGGTATTATTTTGAAAATAATAAGATTTCCCTAGGCACAAACCAAACATTTATAAAAGGTGATCTTACTAGTAATAAGCTCCGCAGAGACGGTAAGTAAAATATATCAAGCAATGTGTGTGGAAGCCCATTCATTAGAAATTAAAATTTTACAGTTCTAGTGAGTTGCTATGAGGCTGAAATGACGATGGATTAAATTGCTTTATTAATATTAAATTGTTATGCAATAATTTTAGTGCAGATAAAACTTTACCCTTTACAAGACATTTTTTTCAGCCATTATTTCATTTAATTTTCACATAATAATTATAATGAAAATAGCAACAACAACAATGGCAATGTGTAGAACATTATCTTAAAATTTTATTTGATTATCTCACTTATTAATTCAAAAACTCCTAATGGTAAGTATCATTTTACCTTAGAAGAAAATGAAGTTTAAAGAGGTTAGGTAACTAGTTACGCAGGTAATAATTTACAGAGAATGCAATTCTAATACAAGCACCATGTTCTAAATCACAATGCACTGTTGCTTCAAAAAACTCTAAGTGCTGGAATTTTCTAGGACTGTTATGTACAAGAAAATTAATCTCCGAGTAATTTGCAAGATTTTTTCTCAGCATGTAAGTCTACGGTCAGATTCAGGCCTTCTGATGATTGATTCCATGCTATTGCTACCAGGCTTGCCCCATCCATTTTACTTTCCTAGCTTTAGGAAGCACATTACGGTTCAAAATTCTTAACTCAAAAAACTCCACACAAATCAATTCCCCCAGTATAGCTGCAAAGTGCCAAACAAAGTGTTCTCTTGGGAGCACAGGGGAAAACCTTCCATAGAATCATAGTGAAGAAGTGACTTGGTCAATGGCAGCTGGTGAGTCAGGTTTCCTCCAGCTAAAAATCCTGATTCACGCCCTTTGAGACTTTTGTGACCTTGTCTCAAATCACCTTTCATGAGTAAAATGGTCAATGTTGAAGTATTACTTAGACAAGAGTGGGAGGGAGTTGTGCTTATTATTTGGGGGTCTATTCCTACTGCAGCAAACATGAAGGAAAAACTGCTACTTTCTGAGGGGAAATTTACAGTCTAAGGACATGGTTTGGAAGCAGTAGAAAAATTACAACATAAAATATACTCCTCTTTCCCTTTGTAGACACAAATGTCTGTTCTGAACTCATGGGTTGCCTTCCATGGTGCATGAGATGGATGGAGTCAATGGTGGCCCAGGGTTTTGCAGGCTTTCCAGTAATTCACAGCCTGTATTCCACTTGCCCAAAGTTTCTTATTAGGCAGCGAAGATAATATACTCACAAAAATCAAGGTGGCTAGGAAGTATGCTTCTACTTCTAAAGAGGTATTTCCTTATCATTCTATGTAATTAAGACAAAAAAAACCTGGGTTTATCGAAAAGTCCACTGTGATATGCTTCAATGTTTAATTGTAACATTCATCATTATTTGCCTTTGACTAAGAAAAAGCTTCAGTTGAAGGCAACGAAATCCCAAGGTTATATTAAACAATGCCTTTGGACTAGCTAAAAACAGCATGGACTCTGGCTTTCTTGGGTTCGTTAAAGAGCTCTTCTGGCAGCTAAACAGCAGGAGTGGGTGCTGTAGCATTAACAGTAACAGTGGTGTGCCGCCATTGCCTGTGCACAGCCATGTGTGATGCATGATGAAGAAATAAATAGAGAATCCTTTTTAAAAAAAAAAAAGGCAGAGAGCAAAGAAAGGAAAGAGAAGAGGCTTCCAAATGTAGGACACTATCTTATTTTCCTATATTCAGCTCTTCACAGGGGCAAGTGGGGGAGAGGAAGACACAAAATTAACTTTTCAAAATATAATTGTTCTGCAAATTAATGACTTTGATGATTCACTGGAAGAAAGAGTATTATTTTATTTAAATTAAATCCAATATGTAATACCATTTTTGTCATACTGGAACTACTTACTGTGAATTCACAAGCTGCCTTATGTTAACTTCTGTTATCTTGTTATATCTCTTGTTTTGATTTTAATGAAGATGAGTTTCTACGAAGTACTTGCAAAAGATCCTGTGTCCAGGTTATTGGGATTTTTGGACATTGAAGTATACTCTGGCTATTCTTACCCTAAGTATTTACTCTGAGGCGTTCCTTTGGTTTAACAATGTTTTTCAAAAAGTGTTATGTTCAGTATAGAGAGCAGTTTTAAGTAAACTGAATTCATTATGCAACATCTCAACCTTAAATTATAAATATGGTTTTTGTTAAAATCACAGTTTATTGAGTTATTTTGTGTAACATCTAGCCAAATATAGGTACGATTATATGTTTATTGTATATTTTTCAATAATTATGATACTTTAGTAGCCTTTCTCACATTCTAAAAATGAAAAAAATACATACCTCTGTATCAAATATTTGTAGATAATCTTAAATTTTAGGTAAGTAAGTTTATCAAAAAAATGTTATTGAAAAATTTTACCACCTTAATTGACATTGCTTAGGACTACACTTTAGGATGCATTATAAAAACACTGAATGTAAGCCCATAAGGGCAAAGAACTTTGTTCATTTTATTCACTGATGTATCTCAAGCCCCTAGAACACTTCCTGGCAAAATAAATTGTCACTCATTAAATACGTTTAATTGAATTATTATGTTTACCATTGTTATTCAATCCAGATACAAATACATTAATTTTAACAAAACACACACTAAAAAAGAATTGGAGTTTTTCATCCAGAGGGATCCCTCAGAGCTACTCCGGAAACTGTTCTGACAACTGTTATTTTAAGCCTTTTCTTTAGTCATCAACTACCTTCATAGCCCTCTGATGACCCTTTTGTTGCTCAAATTAGCCAGAATAAGCATATGTGGCTTGTATCAAGGAATCTTAATGGAAATAATAGTTGTATCTTGAATTATCAGTCTCATAAGTCTATATAATAAGTGAAATAACCCATGTCATTGTTGAGGAGAGGTTGTGTGTGTGTGTGTGTGTGTGTGTGTGTGTGTGTCTGTGTTTGTGTGTTGTGGGGAAAGTGGTTGCTTTGTGTTTTGTTGTTTCACTTTCTAATGCCATCCAAATCAGATTGTATTGTTTACAACCACCTGGAAGTGAAGAGAGCAGTCTTGCTGAATAATATCTAGTTATTGCTTAGACTTTTAGAAATGTGCCATATGGCTGCTCATTAATTGCTCATAACAATGTTTTAACTACAAATAATTGGAGTAACTGGGCCTTGGAGCTCTCTTAATTTACCTTTCAATGGCTCCAGACATTCTCCCTCATTTCTCTCCACCCACCCTCCAACCCCTACTCCCTCATCTAGGCCAGAATTCCAGAGAAAGGAAAAAGAAAGCAGTGTCCAAACCACTTCCATTTTCCTGCTTATCCTTTGTAAAGTAGCTAGCCATTCCCCTTCCTGAGAGGTCAGTCCCACAGGAGGTCACCAAAGCCAGCCCACTTGAAAGGCCAGTGTCCTTTTATGAGCAGAAAGCACATGCAGAATAGCCACATGAACTAAATCCTCCACTTGGATCACCGTGTTCTGTCCAGAATTATCAAAGGTTTTTTATACCAGGAAAGCAACTACAGAAACTGCTGTGTGCACAGAGGCTGGGTTTTCCTTGAGTAATTGGATATTATTACCAGTATCAGGGCTTTTGAACAATGGGTCATGAACCATCAGTGAAGTTTAAAATCAATTTCATGGATTGAAGCAAACACTTTTTAAAATGTAACTAAAATTTTTCGAATTATATTCTGTTGCTCTGAAAAAGGAATTCTCATTTCATTTAATTATCACAAAGTAGGCAAAACTGAAACTAGCTATGTAGGTGTTCTGAGCAAACAACATATATGAAATATGCTATGAAGTCAATTTTATAACAGATGATACAGTCCACAGACATGTATTAATAATACTGTGTGCCCTCCAGTGGCACCTTACTCTTAGAAATTATTCTTGCTGACTAGGTGGTAGACTCAATTGTCCTGTGAATGGGTAAATGTGCTATGAGCATGTAAATCTAACTTTAAAGTGATAATCTTTTGTATATCATTATTTACATTTTTGTACCCTAGGGTAAGTATTGGATTGGCTCTCTCTATGTATGGATCTGGAGATGAGTGTTAGTATTACCCTTATTTTTATGAATGAAGACACTGAGCTTCAAGGATTTGGATAACTTCGCCAAGGTCACACAACTAGTAAGTGGGAGAGCTTAGAGAAAGTTCTCATCACCACAATAGTGCACTGCCTCTTCTTGAAGCCTGGGAAGTAGAGCACCCTGCTCCACCCAACTGTACAAAACTGCTACAGCAGTGCGTCCTAAGAAAATGGTCTCCACCCAAGAGCAAAGTGGGAGAAGGAATGTGGGTGAAGCCATTTCATTTCTATTTTGTTCTTCCTGAGCTGCCTTTTGTCAGCTTCTCCAGAAAGAACTGCCTTGCGCTGAATAACCATAATTTTATCTAGAAAGTTTTGTTGCAATGCTGTCACCTTTCTTTATTCCTCTGTGTAGCTTTCATGACGCCTGCTCTATTGAATTTTCGGATATCTTTTGTCTGTTAACTCCTCCACTCTAATATCATACTATTCCTTCTCTACTTTTAGTCACACTGTTTCAGTTATTATTCTATTTTTAATTTACCTACTGAAAGCATTTCTCTATTATATCTTAAAATACCATGACTTAACGCATCTAATAGACTGAGAAAAAAATTAAATCTAAACTATTGAAAACAGTCAGCTTTTTGAAATATATATATCATAAAATCACTTTCTGAGAATGCCCTGGAGAGCAAATTATAGATGGCTGGAGTTCAATAAAAACAACTTTGAATGTATTGGGACTGGGTTATTACATGCTTCTGCTGCTTATAGCCAGCATATTTCCTCTTTATTGTAAATCGTGAGTTCAAACGACAAATACTTCCTATTGACCTAAACTTAGTTGCACTTCAGGGTCTTTCTGTCCTGCCTGCCAGCCGCCTGCAATATCTGTTACAGAGATTTGGTGAGGTTTTATGATGACCCAGAATTTTTTTCCGCCAACATAAGCTATATTTTATGTTGGACAAGTGGATTTTATTTTATTATATTATCAAGATCTTGGAGTAGTAAGAAAACAGAAAACACAAGCAATAGGGTGATGTGGCACAAAGAGAATCAGCTGTGTCAGAAATGCTAGGAAAGTCAGGTTCAAATTTTTGTTTTCTTGGTACAATCATTCTACTTCTCACCTCCATTTGGTTGCCTTCTTTTCTTGGCCAATTTCAGTGCTGAGGTTGAAATTAACATTCCAAGCTGAGTACTCCAAATAAGATTAGAATTGCAAAAATGAGACGAAAGCAGAGAATGACTGATTTCAGTCCTTATGTCAAGGCAAACATTCATTTGCCATTTAGACTTTCTTAACCGTAAGACTGGACAAACTGTCAGCCGCATGATGCTATGGTTCAAGATGTCAAAACATCAGTATGGCAGGCTATTGCAGATAAAAGTTCTAACTTTGGAATCGGACTGCATTCAATCATATTTCCATTAATTACTAACAATGTGACTTTAGACAGATAACTTCCCTAAACCTCATTTATAAAATAAGGAAAATAATAATATCTACTTTATAGAGCTATGTGAAAATTAAAGGAGGTTATGGATATAAAATGCCTAATGGAGGACACCTTGTGACCACTCAGTATGTTATTTTATTATTGTTACACTACACTACTTTTACACCAACCCCAAGCTGAGAGGTAGGAAGAGAGTAAAGTTAGGTAGAATTGCCCACATTGGGAAAACCACTGCTGGAAGGCAAGATAGAGATAATTATGGAAGAAGCAAAGAAAGTTTGAGCCCAGAGAGTGTACATGTTTGTGGGTTGCAGGGCAGTTAATAGTGGTGGAATGAGAGAACATTTGTATGAGAGGGGCTTAGAGAAAAAGAAGCCTGGATTCTTGCTCTGGGTCACATACTAAATGGTTATGTGGCCTTTGGCAGGTCACACACTCTCTGCCTCTCACAAAACTCATCAGATGTTAAATGAAGAAATTGGTTTAATGCAGCTCTAATGCTCCTTCAAGCTATCAACGTATTGTGGCACATAGTTAAGGGTTAGTTAGCAAAGAAATAGAGAATCCAGGGGCAGAGGAAAGAGGCTTACTGCCAGTGGGGAGATGAGGCAGATGAGGCAAATTACTGTAACTGCCTGACAGGTTCTTCCTGCAAGCTGCACAAAGACCACAGCAAAGAAAGGCCGGCCACACCACATTGGAGACAGAGTTATTACTCAGATGGATCTCCCCGAAAATTCGGAGACTGGGTTTTTTTAAGGATGATTTGGCAGGTAGGGCCCGGGGAGTGGGGAGTGTTGATTGGTCGGGTCAGAGATGAAATCATAGGGAGTAGAAGCTGCCCTCTTGCACTGAGTCATTTACTGGGTGGGGGCCACAAGATCAGATGAGCCAGTTTATCTACCCGGATGACACCAAATAATCCACCGAATGCAGGGTCTGAAAAAATATCTCAAGCCGCAATCTTAGATTTTACAGTAGTGATGATATATCTATGAGCAATTGAGGAGGTTTTGAATGTTGTAGCCTCTAGCTGCATGATACCTAAACCATATTTTCTAATCTTATGGCTAATTTGTTAGTCCTACAAAGGCAATCTAGTCCCCAGGCAAAAAGGGGGTTTGTTTGGGGAAAGGGGTGTTATCATCTTTGTTTCAAAGTTAAACTATAAACCAGGGTCCTTCCAGTTAGTTTGGCCTACACCCAGGAAGAAATAAGGACAGCTTGGAGGGAGGTTTGGAAGCAAGATGGAGTCATTGAGGTCAGATCTGTTTCACTATCATAGTTTTCTCAGTTATGATTTTTGCAAAGGCAGTTTCAGCACAATGAAGGATGGGAAAACATAGGAGGGAGAGAGAGAGATCTAGGAGAAAATAAAAATTGAGTGCAATTTTTCTATTTTCTATTATGCCAGAACATTTACAGTAGGAGTTGTTCCACATGGGGACATTGCAGTCATTTCCTCAATATCCTGATAATACGTAAAAAGCTTACATCATACTACCCATTACCCTCATAAAGCAGTTCTGTGGGTGTTAAATATGTTATCACTCAGTAGCCTCAGGTTAAGCCACAGCAAACAGACAGACAGACACACACACACTTCTGAAAAATATGCTATCCCTATTCCCAATCCCTGTCTCCATTAAAACTTCTGATTACTTAATTTTTCTGTATAAATACAAATAAGATTTAATACTAATTATCTGTCTAGTTTTTTAGATTGTTATTCTACAAAATAACCCTGGATAGTTCTTTATTCCTATAACATGCTGTAGAAGATCATCTTCCTGAAGTAGTCTAATTACAATATTAGATCATCAGTGCCCTCAACTATTTGCTTTCCCCCTTCTCTTTGTTCCTCTCACACATACATAAATAAAATGGCAATAGGAATACCTTGAAGATTCTTTTAGCTTGCATTATATTTTCTTATATTTTTATATATGTATACCTACATCTGTGTGTGTGTGTTTTAAACCATTCAGCATTCATACACTCTATCTTATATCAGCTGTTTACAGGTATACTCTTCTTTAATTTATAGAAAATATGGGTCCCAAACCAAATCCAAGTGGAACACATAAACTAGGTTAGAAAAATCAGCACATTATATAACCTCTAGCCGCTGCGACTGGTTCTTTAAAGGACACACAATTCAATTAGAATCACTGAGATCCAATGAGAACCTTGCCCGAATGGAAAGCTGGGACCACCTGTAGTTATCTTCACTCCATGAAAGAAACCCTTCCAGAAATAGTGAGCTAATCCAGAAGCAGCAGGACTGAGGGATGAAGCAAGAGATTAGCTGAATCTGTTTCTACCATTTGAGGCCTTACATAAAGCTTAAACAAGGCCATTCTGACCTCTGAGCTTTTTAACATACTAGTTTTTTTTTAAAGATATTGTTATTTTTAAGAGATCACTACTATGTATATGCATATGTAAGCTCAGTAAAAATTAGGTAAAATGCAAAATTAACCTTTACATATTAAATAAAATCACTTTTGTTCTAAAAGGAAGAGGTACTGAAATCTGGCATTAAACCTGTATACACACACACACACACACACACACACACACACACACACACACACACATACACACACACACACAGTGAGCTAACTTTAAACTTGAAAATGACCTGTGATATTTTATTATTTCAAGTGTCACTGAAATTTTATTCTTGCTCACTAAAGCCTTTCTATTCTTTCTTCAAACTGGCTTTTCATAGATATTCCTATTTCTTAGCTTACCAGTGAAAATACAGCATTCTGAGATATTCAAAGCATGGCACTTTCAGCCCATAAAGACCTCAGATTTCAGGAGCTTAAATTTTCAGTTCACCTTATACTTCAACAAGAGCTTTATTTTGCCAGTTATAGTTCCTTTAAAGAAATAGCTCAAACTATTTCTATCCAGTTTTTAAAGTTAAGTGTTTTTCAGATGGATCATAGGGATAAATTGCCTCAAATAAGAAAATTGTTCATTCTGAGAGTAATTACAGGGCATTTTTCTTTTCCAAATGATTTTCTCTCCCAAATTTGTATCTCTCTAAATGAGCTCTCTCTGGTGACTAACTGCAGCTAGGATGTACAAACACGTCTGTGAGCAAACACGCACATTTATTCAGATATGTGGCATGTCCCAGATACTACCCTTGGCCTTCTTTCTCTTACGCTATGTCTCTTTTTGAATAATATCATCCATTCTCACGGTGTCTACTACCACCCAAATACTGATGATTTGCAAATGCATTTTTCCAACTCACTTCTATCTTCCAAAATCAGTGATGAAATGTCTGGGGTGTCCCAGAAGATGCAAGACTTAGTTGATTCCAAGCTAAATTCATCACCTTCCAATAAAACCTCTCTACAGACCAGGCAATGGATTCCTCTTCTGGGGCTGCCCATAACAAAGTACCCCAGATTGGGTGGCTTAAACAACAGAAAATTATTTTCTCACTAATCTGGAGGCTAGAAGTCTGAGATCAGGGTATTGGCAGGGTTGGTTTCTTCTGTTATCTGTCAGTGTCCAAATTTCCTCTTCTTAGAAGGGCAGCAGTAATATTGAATTAATGCCTTCTCTAATGACATAATTGTAATTTAATAACCTCTTTAAAGATCCCTTCTCCAAATACTATCACATTCTGAGGAATTGGGAGTTAGGACTTCATATGAATTTTGTGGGGGACATAATTCAGCTTATAACAGAGTTGCACTTTAGGAGCCTCCCAGAAAATAAAGGCATTGTGTTTGGTATAGAGTGAGTGCTCTGTAAGCACCATAATACCACAATGCCCCAGGCATAATAAACCTCATGCAGATTTCAAAACATGCCGTGTTCTCTCATATTTCCAGCCCTTTATTCAGGTTCTTCCCTCTGCCTGGATTGTTCCCTGACGCCTTCATCCCCCACCATTCTGCCTCAACCTTTATACTCCCACTTAGCTCATATTTACCATTTAAGACTGAGTCCAAACATTACTTCCTTCTCTGAAATGCTATTTTCTACTTGTGATGAAAGAATTCATCACCTTTTCCTTTACAAATATTTTGTAGCTGGTATGCATATATATGGACTAATTTTATCTGGTGTCATTGTGGCAAGTAACATAAATGCCTAAATCCTCCTCTAAATTTCCTGCTCCTCAAAGGCAGGGGTTGTGTTCTTACCTTTACTGATCAAATTTTAGCAAAGTGCCTGGTGCATAGTAGTCACTCAGTGTATGTTTGTTAGATAAATAAACATAAATAAGCCCACGAATAAAGCCATAATTGTGTGTAACAGCTTGCGTCTTACAAAGTACTTTTATGTACATGATCTCCTTTGAACAGCTCAATAAGGTACGAGAGACAGAGTAGCATAGTGCAGGGGACAGCTAGCTATGGTTTCCAGGCCAAATCTGAGTGACCTCTGAGTAAAGTTTTTGTTTGTGTTTTGTTTTAGGGAGCATACTTACAATATTTCTTAACATTTAATAAACTTCCTATTTCCAAAATTTTATATTTGCAGAAAAGTTGCAAGAATACTAGAGGTTCCCTTTGTCCCACCTTCTAATTTCCTCATTGTTAACATCTTACGTTACTTTGATGCAAATGTTACAACTGATGAACCAATATTGATACATTATTAACTAATGTCCATACTTTATTACATTTCTTTTTTACCTAATGTACTTTTTTTGTTCCAGAACCCCATCCAAGATACCACACTGCATTTGGTCATCATACTTCCTCTAGGATCTCTTGGCTGTGATAGTTTCTCAGACCTTCTTTGTTTTTAACAACCTTGGCAATATTGAGATATACTGGTCAGATATTTTACAGGGTGCCCTTTACTTACTTTACATCCATGTTTTTCTCATAGAGTTTATAGGTTTTGGGAAGGAAGACCATAAATGTAAAGTGCCATTCCCATCACACATATCAGGGTTACTGATATGCTATTAACGTAATTTTCACTGATGATATTAACTTTGAACACCTGGCTGAAGCTGAAGGACGGCTTTTACATTATGAAGGTTGAAATATCAAAAGAAGGTTAATATTTTGTGATGAGACAATTCTATGAAATTCAAATTTCAGTGTCCATAAATAAGTTTTATTGCAACACAACCAAGCTCATTTATTTGCATATTGTCTAGGCTGCATTGACATTATAATGGCAGAATTGCAAAACAGGCTCATGGTCTGCAAAGCCAAAAATATTTACAATCTGGCCCCCTGGTGAAATGAAACAAGAACAAGCTCAAATCAGACATGTCTGAGTTTAAATCTCAGCTCTGGCATTACCGTCTATGTGACTTGCAGCCAGCTGCTTAACATCTTGGAAATAAGGTTTTCTCATCTGTCAAATGAGGTTGTCAATGTCTGTTTCAAGGTTATAATGAAGATTGTGATAATGTTTATAAACCTTTCAATGATTAATATCAATTACTAATCAAACAGATAAAATTATCCTCATTAAATAGAGAAAATAGATTCAAAGGGGCAAAGTGATTTGCATACCACTGGTAAATGTCAAAGTGGAGTTTCAGTGTGCATTTGTAGGTGCCGCAGCATGAGGCATGCCACAAACTTTGAAACAGGACATCTTAGTGTGACTTTAGGTTCTGCCTGAGTCTTCCTAACTGTGAATTCTTGGGCAAGTCACTCACTCTTCCTCCCTGAGGCTGAGTTATTTTTATGTACAAAATGGGTCTCATGCACACTATTTACTACAGAAGACTGATGTGAAGAGTAAGTGAGCAAAGGTATACAAATTCACTGTTACACAGGATGGAGTCCAGAAACATGAGTTCAATTTTTTACTACATCAAGCTCTATTTATGGGAATAAAACTTATTCAAATAGTACTTTGAGAAAAATATTAAAAGGAAGGCAAAAACACAAAAGGCAAAAAAATCAATAATCCTCTGATTATCTCTTGTTTTGAATCGTCTGCTTTGTACTTTCTTCTATGAGTCCAGACACTAGAGCACTTGCCAGGTCTAAAACATGGTAGACAGATAAATGAATGGGATGCAGCTACTGACTGCAGGAGTTATAAACCTGATGGATAGCAGTGTAAGACTAAGATGTTGTACATTCTATGAAGTAAGAAAGCCATGACTAAGCTATGATAATGAATGAATTTTTTCATGTTACGTTCTCAGTTCTTTAAGAAGCCTCACAATTCCTATTGCCCTCACCACTTCCAAGCTCTCTCCAAATTATTTATGTAGCTTGACTCAATTCACACATACCCATGCTCTTGCAGACTCTCCTTCTTTACTCCCATAAAAGCTTGGGAGAAAGCCCCATCATGGTTAAGAAGCTAACTTATAGTATCTTAAAGAAATTTTGACATCAAGACATTCCTGGAGCTTCTCTTGGATGTTGGGGGCATATGGAGTGTTAAAAATAATTTGAAAAATGTAATATGTAATATTCTACAATATTATAAATAGTTCATTAAAAAACAGAAATTAAATTAACTTTTAACTCTTTCTCATACACTATTTAGAGTACATGGTTTCCAGGCCAAATACCACAGTGTTCCAGGCAAGGATGTGGTCAGTTTCCTTCTCTGCTGGATCCCAAAGCCCAGGGCAGCTCTTGCACATAGTAAGAACTTAATAAATATTTACCAAATGAATATCTACACAACAGCCAGAAAGAAACACTGCCTGTACTAAGTGATTACTATATGACCTAATCAAAATATATTCATTTTATTTTCATTTTTTTAATCCTTTTCTGAATATTTAGAGTGTCTACTGTGTGTCGTGACAGATGCTAAGTGTCGGAATTCAAAGATGAACAAAACAGACACAGGCCTAGCCTTTATCGGTATTACAGCACATTGGAGGAAGCAGGCAATTACAAGAGCATTTACAATATAACTTGGTAAATGCTATGATAGGAATTATAGAGTGCTATAAGACTAATCTAGACTCAGAGGTCAGAAAAAGCTTCCCAGAGAATTCAACTTGGCTTAGACTTGAGGAATGAGTAAGAGTATGATAGGAACATAAATTGAAACTTTATGTGGTCCAGTTTCGTCATGGAAAACCTTGTAGTATAGTTTGAAGTCAGGTAACATGATGTCTCCAGCTTTGTTCTTTTAGCTTAGGATTGTCTTGGGTATACAGGCTCTTTTTTGATTCTGTATGAAATTTAAAGGTAGTTTTTTTTCTAATTCTGTGAGGAAGTCAATGGTAGCTTGATGGGGATCACACTGAATCTACAAATTACTTTTGGCAGTATGGCCATTTTCACGATATTGATTCTTCTTGAGCATCGAATGTTTTTCCATTTGTTTTTGTCCTCTCTTATTCCTTGAGCTGTGGTTTGTAGCTCTCCTTGAAGAGGTGCTTCACATCCCTTGTAAGTTGTATTGCTAGGTATTTTGTTCTTTTTGTTGCAGTTGCGAATGGGAGTTCATTCATGATTTCGGTCTCTGATTATCTATTATTGGTGTATAGGAATGCTTGTGATTTTTGCACATTGATTTTGTATCCTGAGACTTTGCTGAAGTTGTCTATCAGCTTAAGGAGATTTTGAACGTATTTTATACATTAACAATGAATTATCCAAAAAGGAAATTAAGAAAATATTCCCATTTACAATAGCATCAAAAAAAGTCATAGAAATAAATTTAACCAAAGAGGTGAAAGACCTATACACTGAACACTATAAAGCATGCATGAAAAATTAAACAAGAAACTGAAAAATGGAAAGATATCCTATGGTCATGGATTGGAAGGATTAATATCATCAAAGTGTCCATACTACCGAAAGAAATCTATTGGTTGAATGCAATGTCTATCACAATTCAATGACATTTTTCACAGAGAGAAAAACAATTCTAAAATTCATGTGGAACCACAAAAGACTCTGAATAGCCAAAGCAATCTTGAGCAAAAAGAACAAAGCTTGTGGCCTCACACCACCTGATCTCAAAATATACTGTAAAGCTATGGTAATCAAAATAGTATGGTTCTGGCATAAAAACACATACACACCAACCAACAAAACAGAATAGACAGCCAAGAAATAAACCCAAGCATAGATGGGCAACTAATTTTTGGTAAGGGCACTAAGAAGACTCCATGATAAAAGGATAATCTCTTCAATAAATGGTATTTGGAAAACTGGCTATCCACATGCAAAGGAATAAAATTAGATCTTTATCCTACACCATACACACACACAAAATAAATTCAAAATAAATTAAAGACCTGAATATAAGACTCAAAACTATAAAACTCTTAAGAGAAAACATAGGGGAAAGGCTCCTGAACATTGATCTTGGCAATTATTTTTTGGATAGGACACCCAAAGCACAGCCAACAAAAGCAAAAATAAACTAATGAGACTACATCAAACCAAAAAGCTTATTTGCAGCAAAGGAAGCCCTCAACAAAATGCAAAGGCAGACTACAGATTGGGAGAAATTATTTGCAAATCATATTATCTGACCAGGGGTTAACATTCAAAATATATAAGAAACTCACACAATTGAATAGCAAAAAGAAAGAAAGAATAACCCACTTAAAAAATGGGCAAAGGACCTGAATAGAAATTTCTCCAAAGAAGACATAAAAATGGACAACACGTATATGAAAATATGTTAAACATCACTAATCATCAGGGAAATTCAAATCAAAACTATGAGATATCTCATATCTGTTAGAATGGCTTTTAGCAAAAAGACAAGAAGTAACAAGTGTTGGTGAAGGTGCAGAGGAAGGGAACCACTGTACACTATTGGTGGAAATAAAGACTGATGCAACCACTGTGAGAAACAGTAAGGAGGTTCCCAAAGAAATTAAAAATAGAACTACCATAAGACCCAGCAATATCCCTCTTCTGTATAAATATCCAAAGAGTACTTACTTACTTCTGTGTATACACCCAAAGGAAAAGTGTCCATCAATGGTTGAATGGATGAAACTGTGTGTGCGTGTGTGCACGTGCCCCCTTTGGTGCTCTTGCTAAAAATTAATTAGCGATATATGCTTGGGTTTACTTCTGTGCTCTGTATTCTGTTCCAGTGGTCTGTGTATCTGTTTTTGTGCCAATACCATGCTGTTTTTAATACTATATACATATGTACAGAATAGAATATTACTCAGCCATAAGAAAGAAAGAGATCCTGTCATTTACAACAACATAGATGAACCTAGAGGGCATTATACTAAGTGAAATAATCCAGATGTGAAAAGGCAAATAATGCATGGATCTCACTAATATGTGAAACTTTTTTAAAAAGAGAGGAAAATGGTGATGACCAGGAGCAGGGGTGGAGGGAAAGTTATGGGAAGATGTAAGTCAAAGGGTACAAAGCTGCAGTTTTATAGGATGATTAAATCCAGAGACTTAGTATACAGCATGAGAACTATAATTCCTAATATAGCATTGTATGCTGACAATTTGTCAAGAGAGTAGATTGTAGGTACTCTTACCACAAAAGAGTAAATATATGAGATATTGGGTATATTAACTTGCTTGTCTCTAGTAATCACACTATGAATATGTGTATCAAAACATGTTGTAAACGTTAACTATATACAAAACAAATTAAATCACCTCCTGATTAATAATTGGGTACAACAATTTCTTAGCTGGCTGTGATCAGGAGCCCTAGTCCTTTCTGGCTTCCTTCCCTCTACTTTGCTTCTGTGCTGCTCACATTCTTCTCCACCAGCTTCTCTACTGGACGGACCTACAATTTCCATGTTGGTTCCAAATGGCCTTTAAGGACATGGCATGACAATTGATGAAAGAAGCAAAAGTGGTTTACAAATAAACTGAGCAAAATTAACTCAAATAGTAGTTTAGTCATTAAATAACTTAAAGATATTACATAAACATGAAAGAACTCTTCACAACTCACAGTGTATGCTCAGAGTCCAATGATGTCACCACATAGTATCCCTCTTACACGTTCCATAGATTGTATGCTTTCCACTTACGCTTCTTATTTGATCTGTGGTGTTTGTGTGTAGGTACGGGGGTGCGAGCACATATGAACATGTACTTGTTAGTGGCCCTATGTGCACAGAAGCCCCATTCTTACTAACTGGCTAATCTTAGTCAAGTCTTCTAAATTTAGTTTCCTCACTTAGAAAATGCAGATAGCAACACTTAACTTGGTTATGAAGGTTGGTTGTAAGACCAGAATGCAATGATAATTATGTAATAATTGTAGTACATGAAAGACCTTAATAACAAAAGTTATTAATAAGTGAACACTGAGGATATGCTAATTCCCTCTCTTGGTCTTTTTGATTGGTGAGAGAAGCAAATCGAACCCCATCTGTCTCTTCCTCATTCTTGGTAAAAAGAACAAAAGTCTGATGTTGACCTTCACCATGGGGTAATTCAAAAAGTCTGAATGGGACTGTGAACATGCCAGATCTTCCAGGGGTAAACTGTCTTTTGCCTGGACAGCACACACACTTTAAAATAATATATTGTTCTAAAATGCCACTTTTCACCTCCATTGTCAATTCTGAATATTTGTTGCCCTCAGAAATTGAAACACACCAGTGGAGTCATTCCCATCTATCCATTCATCTTAATAGTAATGGATTTGTGAGAGGAAACTGGCTGGAGTTTAGCAAAGACAAAGCTCCATTCAGCTTCCAAAGGCCAGGGAGAAAGTCCAGGAGAACAGTGGGTTCTCAGGTCCTCTTATCCATTCTGCACCACATCATGATTCATGTCATCTAATGCTGTATATTTGGAGCACACATAGGGTGAAAGACTTCATAAGATTTCATCTGTATCTTGAAACATAGATGGGACTTTGATAGCAAATGGCAGGAAAGGGCAATCTAAGTAGGCAAGAGAAAAGGTCTAGAGGCATAAGAAAATAAGAAATTACCTGAAGACAAATATTAGATTAATACAGCTGTAACACATGGTACAGGGGAGCTACGTTTATAAGGAGCAGTGAAGAAATAGAATAGCTATTCTGAAAAAGGAACACAAAATTGGAGAAATAATACTACTAAATTTTAAGACTTACTATAAAGTTATAGCAATCAAATCAAAACAGTCAATAAAGCTTTAGCATTAGCAAAGAGACACAGAATAATGGAAGAAAATATAGTGTCCAGAAATATACCCATACAAATGTGGCTGTTTGAACCTTAACAGAGGGGCAAAAGTATTCAGTTGAGAAAGGATAATCTTTTCAATAAATAGTATTGGAATAATTGGATATATGTAAAAAATGGACCTTGAACTTGACCTAAACCTCACACATTTTATAAAGGCTAAAAATAAATAATTATTCTACCTGTAAAAGAAAACCATGCAACTTTTAGAAAAAAACACAAGAGAAAATCTTCAAGACCTGGGGTTTGGAAGAAGGGAGAGGAGGAGGGACGGAGGAAGGGGAGAAAAGGAAGGTGGGAAGGAGGAAGGAAAAAAGAAAGAGGCAGGCAGGCTGGACAAAATGTGGGTAACTTTCATGACATTACAAACAGCTAACACTGCTGATATATACGGAGCTCTTAAAAACTTGTAAGAAAAAAAGACTAACAGCTTATACAAAACAGCAAACTATATGAAAACTTAGTTTACAGAAAAGGAAATACAAATGACCTTTAAGTAATAAAATGCTACTCCTCACTCATAATAAAAAACAGACAAAAATTACATTGAGATCTAATTTTCACCTATCAAAATGTCAAGAATATGGAAACGTTTTCATAAAATACTTCTGAAGATGCTGATGAAAATAAGAACCCTCACACACCGCTTGTGAGAACATTCTTGGGAAAATGCCTATGAAGGGCAATTTGATAATATCTATCAGAACTACAAATAAATGTGCTTTTTGACCTAGCAATTTTACTTGTGCAAATATATTCAACATATATTCCACACATACATGTACAAGTTTGCAGCATAATTCACAATGTAAGAAATTGGAATGAGTCACATTATCCATCAATTGGCACTGGTTCAATTAATTACAGTATATCCCTATAATGAAATATTATACAGCTATGAAAAAGAAGGAGGAAGCTCTCCATACTATTATCCATAATACCTATTATCCTCTTAATCTTCACAGCCTGCGAGGCCACTGTAGGTTTAGCCCTACTAGTTCAGGCATAGAATGATTTCCAAGAACTTAAGTTAAAAAGAAAAAGATCTAGATACAGAACACCATGTGTAGTATGCTACATTTTATGAGTAAGAGTCCGAAAAGATCTTTTATGTGCTGTATATGCATTAAGCAATTCAAGAATACATAAGAAACTAAAAACAGTGGCTCTCTCCGTAACAGTGGGGAAATTTGGAAGATCAGTGACAGAATGGGAAAGAAGCTTTAATTATATTGTTTTCCACAATTTAGAAATATATGAACCATATGAATGCTTTATTGAAAGTTGAAAGAATTGATTCATAAGTTTTTCAAAGTTTCCCTAAATTGGCTGAGTAGTTTAGTCACTCATTTACCCAAAACACAGATATTTTAAGGTGAAATGTATATATTCCTGTAGAGCAGGAGAAAACAAATTGCCATGGGCATCAGCCTATCTTTTTCAAACTCAGAATTTAAAGCCTCAAACTATGGGAATAAAATATCTAAAAATTACTGACATTTTCACACAACCTCATACTTGTACTTTTGCTAAGACTTTGATCCTCAACTTTTGTTCCTAAGCACCAAGAGTTAATAGGAGTTCCTCATGGCCATTAGTGGATGGGCTTAGTTGTATGAATAATGCAACAGAAGAGGCTTTGCTGTCTTCATCTCACTCTTCCACTAAGCCAGCTACTGGCTTTAGTTGTCATTTCCAAGGACCACAAGATCAGTGAGGATTATACACTCTGGACTTCCTGACTACTAGCAGTGAAAATCAATAAAAATGATTGGTCATTTAGCATAATATATCTTGGAATAATGGGAAATTTCCCATTTGGTAACAGCTTGATTTTGAAACTCTGGTTTTTCATGCAGCTTGTTGAGATGTATCTCAGGAGCTGTCTTCTTGGATGACCAAATATATCATGGGTCAGAGAGACAAGGATTTATTTTAATACATCATGGACGCTTAATGATGCTTTGGCACTGTGGTTCATAATGAGCAGCTGTTTGCAGCGGCATTGCCTGCAGTCCTAATGGGGCCTTCATCGGGTTTCAGAGCTGGTTGCTAAGTAGGTGTTGGTGAATACAGATTTTGAAGTAGAAGACTTCCATCTGCCTTTAAAACTTTTCAAAAAATTATGCATTCCTTATCCTTGCCCAAACAGTAGGCTCACAAATGGAAATTGCTGATTTATTTTTAAGCAAGTAAAATATAAATAAATAGACTTATTTTTCCAACATTCTGTTACTAGGAGAAATTTCAGAGTTTGCTTAGCCAGATTTTCCCAGTCTCTACCCCATTCTCAGTTTGCATGTATGAGGAAGCCCTTAGAGAGATAATGTGATGAAATCAAAAGAGCAGAAGCATCTCTGTTTGAATTCTGACTCTATGCTTAGTAGCACCGGAGTCCTTGGGCGAGTTACTTACCTCTGAGCTCAGCTTTCTCATATAAAGGAATAATGATAATACTGCTTTGTACGGTAGTTCTGAGGATAAGAAAAATGTATATTAAAAGTGGCTGTTACATCAAAGACACTCAAAAAATATACGTTATTATTTTATCAAGGGTCATAACTTCCAGCTTTTGCAAACCAGTTAAGGTCTAGGAGTAGTTCCAGGAAATAGGTGAGCCATTCCTTTTGGCAGGGCATTCCCTCTTTCTCTTAGTTAATTAGGTGAAGATACAATATACTCCAGAAGGGTCACTCCATTTTCTTTAGGTGGCCAGGTTAGTGACATTAAATGAGAAAGTGTCATTCTTATTCAAGACTTTTAAAAAATAGAATAAGCTTCCTGTTAGTTTTCTTAAACTTAGACTTCAATATACTCAATTCAGCAAGTCTCCAATCAGTTTCATCTCAATCTCAGACCCTTGCATTAATGGTGAAAAAGACAGACATAATTATTGTCCTTGTGAATCCTAAAATTTAATGAGTTTTAGGTAAAAAATAAGCAGGCAATTAAAAATGGTGTGATACATGCTACAATAGAGAATCTACAGAATGCTGTATCAACAAAAACGTAGAGCTTGGCAGAGCATAGGGGAACAGTCAGATAAGGCTAGCTTCAGAGACCTAATGGGTAAATAAGAGTTACCCAGAGGAATGTGGTGCATGGTGCTCGGGTGGGGAACAGACAGAAGGAACAGAAGTAGGTGAAGACTAGTGAAAAAATGAAGGGGCTAAAGAGTTGAGCAGTGAGCATACCCGGCAGGGTCATCTGAGTGAAGGTTTTGTACACTATCCAAAGAGCAAAAGGCAGATTTCAGTGTGCTTTAAGCAGGGGAAGGCACCATCAGATCTGTGTTTTAGAAGTATCAGTGACGGTAGGCTGCAGAATGGATTCAAGGTAATCAGACCAAAGACAACAAGCCACTAGCAAGCGGTCGCAGTAAGCCAGGTGAGAGATGAAGCTTTACTAGAGAACTAGCAATAGGACCTTGAAATAGAAAGGATTTTCTGGGTAATAACCTCATATTGCACATAAATCTTAGCAAATTTTACCAGTTAAAGTAAACTGGTAAAAATTTCAACTAATCACAAACTTTGTGAGTTTAGTTTCAACTGGCAAAGCATTCCTACACAAATAGGCTCTAGCCATGGAATCATTTACTTTAAAAATCTGCAGGGACTGGCATGTGTACAAAGCACTCTGGACTTACAAAGCTAAAACTGCCACTGTTGGTCCAGTAGGGCAAATACAACAAATAGAAAAATAACTTGAATAGAAGGTATATGTCTTCTGTAGCATAAAAAAAAAACATTTTCAACAAACATTGGTCAAATAAATTTTACAAATAAGTCAATGATGTTAGTTTATGTTAGGCCTTAAAGACTGGAGATGGGAGGACAGTTCTGGGAGGATCTTACTTTTGCAGCTTCGCTCACACAGTCTCCTTAAGGTGGATATTAAGGTGGATATATGTCATATCCACTTGCATCATACCATATTCATATCCACATTTAGGAGACTCTGAGTGAAGATGCAGAGATAGGAAAATAGGGATTGTTTTCTGGGAACATGAAAGAGCTTCATTCAGTGAAGCATACAATTTCTGCACAGGGAGAGGCTGTAGTAAAAAATGGTAGGAAAGAACACACAAACAAGATGTAGTGAAGAATAACAAAATGTAGATAAGAGAATGCAGACATTTGAAAGACAGATATTTTGAAATTCTTTCAAAAAGAGGAAAACATTGGAGGTTCTGGGTATGAAAGTAGATAAGCCAGTGTCAGACCCGTTGACTTAATTGATTAATTTCTTGTCTTTACTCTCTTTCGTGCTTTATGTTCTACTATGCAAACATGTGTATGCATATGTACACATATTATAGTGGGTTGGTGAGTCTGTAATGCAAACATTTCTTTTAGGAATTTGGAGCCCTCCATGCAAATCCTTATGCTAAGTCCCTTTCCACCTTGTGCTCTTTCTTGTCTTTTTCTTTTCTCACAGATGCTTCACTTCAAACTTCTCCATACTTTCTCTCCTATTGTGTGGTTTGCAGCTCTCTTACCATGCTGGCTCTCTCTGTGGTCAGACATGACTCTGCCATCAGGAACAGCTGGCACACTCTCTGCAGAGCCTGCCCTCCCCTGCCACTCCTTTGACCCCAGCCCCTTTCAGAGACCAGTATTTACCAGTACAGGCTTCACCCTCTAACATCCAGAGCAAAAGCTGCATTCCATATGGAGGTGACAACTGTAATTCTGTTTTAACTAGGAGTAGTAAGAACTGGACATCTACTCCTTGGAAACCCTGGCTTTGAAGCAAAAAGACTGTTCTATTTTTAATCCTATTACAGATCAGCCTTCAGGAGCTAAAACATCTATGCTGCCTATGGTGTTTTGGGTTTCCTCCAAATGTCTCAGAAGCATCTTTGAGCATGATTGCAATGGGTTCTTAATTTATGGAGATTTACACAGCAGGAGATGGAATTTTAACTCTGCCAGCCATGTTCATTGGTTTCACATGGCCTGGTCTGGAGCAACTCTATCTGATGGAGACTAGGGTTGCATCTATCCCCACACCCAGCCTACCCCCACCACACACACCCATATCTAATAACCTCATTATAAGAGGGAAAAATCCTCATGATATACAGGTGTGGTAGAAGAGGGACTTAATAATTTTTGACATTCAAATCAAGAGCTACACAGCAATTTTTTTCTGGTCCACGTCCTGGTATAGAGCTTTACAATTCCCATCAGTTCAGCAAATATATACCAATAATTCACCAGGTACTAGGCCTGGAAAAACACCAACAATTGAGAAATACGTAACCTCTTCTCTCATTGACCTTATAATCAGGTAAAGGAAAAAGTAAATGGAATAAAATGATACTATATTGTGACAAGCGCCCGACAGATGTGCTGTGGGAGCAGGGGAAGAATATCCTTTCATAAATAAGTAGCACAGATGCCTAGAGCCTTGGAGCACAGGCAGACAGACAGGGTCAGAATCCCAGCTGGAGCACTTCCTAGCTCTGCAACCTTGGGCATGTTACTCAACCTCTCTGTGCCACAGTTTCTTTATCTGTAAAATTGAGATAAGGAAATACTTGCCTAATGGGATAGATGTGAGGATTAAATGAGAAACTACATGAAGAGCAACCGGCACAAGGCATGGCACATAGACAATGCTCAGTAAATGTTGACTAATATAGGATTTTTGTTATTTGCACTCCAAACAAATACCCATTTAGTATTGGTCCAATCACATCAGACCACTTCTTGGATCCTAAACATGCTCTGTCGCCATGCATTTATTCACATTGTTCTCTCCATCTAGTTGCCCTTCCTCTTTCACTGCATGTATTAAAACTCTACCCATCAGTATTAGTTTCCCATGAATGCTGTAATGAATTACCACAAACTAGGTGGCTTAAAACAACAGAAATTTATTTTATCATAGCTCTGGAGGCCAGAATTATGACATCCAAGTTATTGGCAGGGCTACACCCCATCTGAGTGGAATGAAGCGATCTCGGCTCACTGCAACCTCCGCCTCCCGGGTTCAAGAAATTCTCCTGCCTCAGCCTCTTGAGTAGCTGGAATTACAGGTGCCCACCACCATGTCGAGCTAATTTTTTGTATTTTTAGTAGAAATGGGGTTTCACCAAGTTAGCCAAGCCAGTCTTGAACTCCTGATCTCAGGTGATCTGCCCACCTCAGTCTCCCAAAGTGTCAGGATTACAAGCGTGAGCCACCATGCCCGGCCCTCCTCCAGGTTCTAATGACTGACCACATTCCTTGGCTAATGTCCCCACCTCTCCAATCTCTGCCTCTGTGGTCACAATGCCTCTTCCTATCTATCTATAAAATCTTTTTCTGTCTTATTTTTATAAGGATCGTTGTCATTGGATTTAAGAGGGCCTACCCTGATAATACAGGATAAACTCCTTCTCCCAAAACCTTTTCTTCTCTCAGAATCTTTTGGCAGGTAAGGTAATATTTACTCTTTAAATATATAAGGTAATATGCATAGGTTCTGGGGATTAGCACATGGACATATCTTTTGGGACCACCATTTAGCCCTCTGGGCCACTTCTTAAGAACCAAATAAATGTCCCTTTCAGCATGAAGCCTTCCCTGACAGTATCCAGCTCAAAGTAGTCTTTCCACAACTTGAGACTCCATAACACTATTTTTATATCTCTTAACACATTACTATGCTTTAAATTCTTAAGACAGTTATTTTTCTGCAAATCTAATTTTTCCTATCAGACTGCTTCTTATAAAGATAGCTAGACCAAAGGACCTTCACTTATTCTTCCAAACTGAAGATTGTATATTTTTCTACTTTAAGTTATTTGACTTTAGGGACCATGATGTTTTAACTTTGTTTGCCTATTGATGTCTACTAAACTCTTCAGCAAATAATAGACTAAAGTAAATCTTTCTTGCATGGATGGATCACAGGATAGAAGGATGTATACATGATTGATGTTTTTCAGCCTTTAAAAGTAGTTTTGTTTCAGAAGCATACAGAGGCAAATATGTTTCACCAAAATATTTCAAACAGTGGCCCTGTGAAGATTCTGTCAGAACAGCTTTCTAACATTAGGAGGGAATATTTTGATTCTGAATCATTTCTTCACACCTCCTGCAGAGCAGGGTATAAGTCTCTTGTATAGCATTTTCTCATCATGTCATGTAAAGTAGGGAAAGCATGTTCTTCCTCACAGTAGCTGGAGACTCTTTCTTGGGCAATGACAGTGAACATGCTAGGCTTTGGCTTATAGTTGGGGAAATCCACTTTGCAGTTGGCAGGACACATAACCAAATTACAGAATTTGTCATGCCGCCCTGCTAGCTTCTAATTATCGATGATCATGTTGAAGTCTGGAGGGCAAAGTGTAGTTATAAAGTATGGCAATAAAGTTGTCCTTGGTTGGACCATCATTTTGTAATGTGCAAGCAGTGACTGATGTGACAGGCTACACCACAGGCCATCTGCAGTCTACCGAAAGGATGTGTCTGGCTCCAACACCAGGCTCAGGCTACTCTCGAACTTGACATTTTGCGTGAACAGCTGGAAGGTACACAGGCTTATGGTGCTATGCTCCAGCTTCATTTTCACTCCATAAGCTCCTCTGAATAAAACTAAATATGCAGATTCACATCCATCTGCTAACCAAAACCTCCTCACTGTTGAAGGACTGTCTCAACACTGCCTAGTATTTGATCTTTTAGGCATTAAAACTTGAGCAGGGGATTTGGAAATACCAGGGAGGGAAGCCTTACTAGAATTCTAGGAGCTCCACATAGACCACAGGGAGCTTAAAGCTAGAGTATCTTACTATGAATATCAGAAAGAAGGCAATAAAAGCTAAAACACAGAAATAGCTTGGATTTCCCCCAGCGCACATGTGCAGATGCCTGCCTGCTAGGATACCCAGTGTCAAGACCAGAGTTCCATCTCTATCTCTAGGCTCATCCCATAGCTTTAGATACAATTCCCCTTCCTCTCTGACTTTGTTTTTGGATTACTGTTTTTCACTATGTGTTCAGTGGTGGGTAATATTATTATACTCTATTTTATGGCTTTTTATGAAACCATTATTTTGGAAATAAGAAGTATTTAGGAACACAAGTAAATAGAAATAGAAGGAAATAAAAGATCATAAACTGCTTATCAAATATTAAAATGTGGGAAAATTACATTTTTTAAAAAAGAAAAGAACAACAGATTTGCCTGCTAGGAAAAGAACTGTCCTTGGCTTGGAAGAAATGAGCTATAGTTCAAACTTACTAGTAACTGTGGGTCCTTAAATAAGTCACTCTTTTGCTCCATGATTTGTGTCTTATTCCACCTTTTAGCAAACACATTCAAGCATCTTCTATGTGCCAAGAACTTGCTGGAAAACATCACAAAAGTTAATATTTTCTGGAGATCAAGGAATGAAACTCAGCCCTCTGCAAGTATGATTTCATTTGATGTCACACCAGTTTAATTAAATTAGTGCTATAATCCCTCACTTTATAGATGGGGAAACTAGTATTAAAGAGTTTGCACAGTGGTAAGCCGTGAAACTGTAATTCAAATCAGACTCTAGGGCTCTAAAACTCTGACACTAACACAACAGACTGCTTTCAAGGAGCCCAGGATACAGACAATTGCAACCCTGCTTGGAACAATAATTAGACAAAAAATAAAAATAAAAGCAACCCAAAATAAGTTTTTGAAAACATATTTTAGTAAATTGGAAGGAGACTAGAAAAAGCATATAATAAAAAGGAAGAGGAAATAAAACTTATCAAGATGATGTTGTCTGAAGAGTCAATTAGAATATTCTACTCTAGATGCTGAATGTTTCTCCCATATGCATAATGATTGCCCTTTTATTGCTTAGGTCTATGCATGATCTCCTCTAGTACCAGCAAGAAATTTCCTGAAATATTCTTGATTATAGCATGGCCCTGACCTGAACATAGTTCTAAAATGTACTCTGGCCATCAAAAGAGAAGATGTTTGACAGCTTTGCCTTCACTGTGTGACAGGTCTATATTCAAGATTTGCATGAGAATATTTGTACTTTTCATTGGGAACAGATGGACCAGCAGTTTAACATGAAAATGAACCCAGGCGTAGCAGTCAGTAGTAGAGAGTTGAAAGCAAAGAAGGCAAGTCCCAAAGAAGCCTGGGAAGTGATGAGCACTGGAGCTAAGGGAAGGTGCATTCACTGAGCACATTCCTTCATCTCAACTGTTTGTTTATTCATTTAAAATGTAAAGTTGGCTTAATACACAAGACCAAAAAGTTTCTTTAAAAACCACCTCTCATTTAAGGACCAATTTGATGATCACCTCCACACTGCTGCCTTTGCTGACTAAAAATAGATTAGGCCCACAGAGCTTTGTACATTTTATTAAAGCATTTATATGAGTCATCACATTTAATTCTATATTAACACTCTGCCTCCTCAGATGGAACACAAACGCCTGGTACATGGATGCTACAATGAAAAGAATATGGGTGCTGAAATCAGAGAGAATCATCCAAGGTCAGAATTGAAAGTGACAGAATTAAGTTAATTAACCTTGTAAGCCTTCTTTTCTTCATCTGCCAATTGGAGATGATAATAATGTCTACTTACTAGAAGTCATGTGAGGAGAAATTAAGAAAATACATGGAAAATATTAACACAGTTCTCGTCACTCAACAAAGCTGAAATGTGAAAGTATTTTTACTAGTCTCATCTCCCTGATGCCAAATCAAAATGCTGATAATTAACTGGATGAATACTATTTTGCCTATGGCTTATAATTAGAATAATCAATATAATAAAACCACAGAAACCATGGAAAATAACTAGAATTATCTGTGAGAAACACTGTGGGTATTGATGAAAACTGTCCTAAAAGATTTTCCATGTCTTGGTGGTCCTCTTATATTTGTCAAGGGTACTGAAGTAAAATATGAGTCCAGACCCCTCTTCCCAGGCATCCAATGCATTCATAATTTTCTCCCTTTATCCCCAGGGTCCCAAATTAAGGTAAGCACTTACTAGCAAGTTCCTCAGGCTCTAGACTGCTCTGGAGTGGCTCTTTGACTTTGAGCAAATTATTCTATTTCTGCATCTCTAAAGGAGTAATAATAAACCTACTTTATAACAATCTCATGAGGATTACATTTGAAAATATGCATAAAGTAACTCCATAAAATATACTATAAATGCAATTTTTTTCTCCCTCCTTTTCACCCTCCTCACCATTCTGATAAAGTGTCCTGATAATAAAAAGAGTAAAATGATAGATTCAGTCACACCTAGGTATCAATGACTAAAGTCAAAGCTTTTCCTCTGCTATTCCCAGCCTCTTTGGCTTGCCTTTTCCCACAGCTGGGACCACTTAATTCCCACATGCAGGTTTAGACCTGCTCCTCCCCCTGGGACTGCCTTGCTTTCATGCCACAGGCATTTAAACACCTTCCTCCCAACTTGGGCAAGGGAGAGGAAAAGAAATAATTCACAAATCCACCCATCCATTCACTCATGCCATCATTTAGTAAACATTTAATGAACAGATATCATGTGCCAGGCTCTGAACTAAGTACTAGAGACATGAAGACAACAACAAATCATAATGATAATACATGGTCCATGCCCTCATATTGCTCACAATTTAGTGAGCGAGACAGAAATGTAAACAGAACACTGCAATGCAGCCTGATGAGTACAATGCAAGATGCAGAAATAAGCTCCAGTGGAGAGATGCTTGAGTTGTGTCTGTGTCATTAAGAAAAAGCAGCAGCTCATGTATCTCTACCTCAAATGCTAATTCTGGTTTTTCATTACCTTTCTTGGCAACCCAGTGCCTCCAGGGCAGGAGTCCTGCTTTGCTCTAGTCAATGGCTCTCTCAGAGACCCAAGTCCTTTCTTTGCACCCAAGCCAATGATTAGGGCCCAAACCATGTTAGTAGGCTGCTCTGATGTTCTTACCCATGCCTGGATTCCTGAGGTTGCCTCCCCAGGTGACCCACAAGCCTATTGGACACATGTCTAGGCTCTGCAGTATTCTCTGAGTTACCATAAAATAGCATGCATGCTGTCTTGCCAAACAAGAATTTCTCTCTGCACCTACAGGTGGGTCTCCTCTGTCCTTACAATCTCCAGTCACACCTTAACCACTTTTCCAGATGATCCTTATGCATGCTGAACTCTGAGAGCCACCAGTGAAGAAGATAAGTGACCCATCTACCTGTAGCTGGAAAATAAAGGCTCTTTGGGATTCTTTCCCATGAGTCTTCATTTCACCATATTGGTGAGAGAAGGCATTCAGGCCCAATAATTAACTGAACATTAGCTGTGTACCAGACACTGTGGTCGACATTGAGATATAACGGTGAGTGAAGGCACAGCACGTGGGGCTTCCTATAGTCACATATGTGACCCATACGCTAGAACAGTTTTACCCACGGTGTGAATGGTGATAGGTATGGAAGGAATAGTTGTATGTTTGTCTCCAGTGTCCCATGGTTCCAAAAAATGCTATGTCTGCAGAGGTCCCAATATCTGAAGGTAATAAAATTAAATAAGTGCCAATAGCCAGGTAGGTCTCTTTCCTGTCTTAACTCTCTTTGATTCTCACAGTCTCTTATGAGAGCTATACATTAAACATAATTATACTAAAAACACACTTTTAAGAACAATTGAGATAGGGCTAAAAATAAAAAGTAGCTACAATATGGCAGGAATTGTTCTGCATATAAAGTCCAAGAAAAGGTAAATTAGAGACAATTTCTGCTTTAAGTAGCTCACAGTAGGGAAAGAAAATAGTATAAAAATTACCATGAAATATAAATTATAAAATGCTTTATGTTCAAGTGATTGATTGATTGTGCATGTGAAGGATGATTTTTACAAGTGCCTGAAAAAACTGAGTTCCACATTTTATAGACTATTGATTTGGAATTGTAGATGCCGAGTCACCTCCACCTAACTATCAGATTGACAATTTTCTGGATGTATTTCAATGGTGAAGCATTTTTCAAGAAAGGTACATTGCAATGCCTTCACATACCTGATGACAAGAGAAGATTATGCAGTTATATAATAACAGCCTCCATTTGCTAGTCCTAACCTTATGCTCAGCATCATGCCAAGACACAGAGTATTATAAATAATTCTCACAAGTATCCTATAAAGTCAGCAATATTGTTGTTGCCAGTTTTCAGATGAAGAAACTGAGTTTCAGAGACAACAGTTAACTTGCTAGATCAAGGGCCAGGCAGTGACAAAACTGATTTGGACCCATGTCTCTCTCACTCCAGCACCCAAAATCTTTTCTGCTATGGCATGCTACCTTGAATACACCTTATCCTCTCTAAATTTTGATTTTATTTTTTATTTTGGCCTACCAAAATAAAAAATTTTTCTGAGTTCCTTACATTCACATTTACTGCATGCTTACTCATGCCAGATGCTGTGCCGTGGATACTAATGCAAACAAAACCTTCATCCCTAAAGGAATTCAATCTTCCCACACCTTTTGATTAGAAAATTTGGTGCTATTAATTATCACATGTTCCATAGCCTTTCATTTAACATATTATACCCATATGAAGCACCTACTTATACAAGACACTAGTGGCTTTGACCTCAAGGGGCTCCTAGTCTAGTAGAGGGAGAAAAAAGGATTTTAAGCCAACATAATTAATACAACTAATATAATATTAGAGATATGAAGGAGGGGCTATGCAAACTCAGATGGGTGGGAGAGGTCAGAGAGAACTTCTTGGAAGAGGAATGGAATCCTGCATGAATTCCAGAGGGTGAGTAGAATCAGGGTAAAGTGAAGAGTGGATTGTGAGAACATTTGAGGCAAAAAGGCTACAATGTTTTTTTCCAGAATCAGAAGGGCAACCACACCTAAATCAACATTAATTTTCCTAACTCATTATGCAAGCACTAAGCACAGGGTTATGCCAGAACACTGGGGTTAGCATTAGGCAGATCCAGTTTCAAAATTGGCAATCTCTATTCCCTCACCTATAAAATGGGGATAACACCTATTGTGAGGCATGAATAAAATAACTCATAGCCACAGAGTTTAACAGTGGTAAGCATTATTGGTGTTGTTATTGGCATGGCTATAGCACAGAGTGACAGAGCAGGTCTGTCCATTACCATCTGATTAGGGGCTTATATTATACGTTGTTTCAAGCCATAAAATAATGTTGCAGAATCTCCCTCATAGTCTCAGAGGGAGGATATGGATCAATGCTGTTTATGGTATGAGAGCCATAATTCTCCTGTGATCAGGCCAGACACGTCTATGAACAACACATACAGGAGAAAGCAGCAACTGACATCCATTTTTGCTTTGTTTTCTAAGAATGGTAGTGGCCTCAGATTACTTTCTTCCTCTCAGTGAGCTTGAGCAGAACAAAAACAGAATTTATTTTATTGTACTGCCAACACTTCATTTCATTTCCCTGGAATAATTCTCTGGGTATATCCTTGGCTGTTTCTTATTTGTCAGTCCTTTCCCAGTGCAGCTTAGGACATCTTAGAGGAGAGATGCTGAATCAATATTTGATCTTTATGTGGGTCCTGGAAAAGCCCTGAGTACACAACAGTGAGTTTATGCAGAGTCCAAAGCTGCCTTGAATGGAGCCCTGTCCAACTGGGTTAGCTCCTGACCTAGAAGTGAAGCGTGGCTACAAAGCTACTTCTTGTATTTTGCCCAGGGCCCCAGAAGAGTCCAGGACATCTAGCTTTAAGAGGTTATGATATGGCTGTCTTAGGGCCACAACCACCACCTCCATACCGACACTTGGAATTACCTTTTCAGTTACCAGCTCTGAAATGGGTATTAGTGAGCCTGAGATCTAGCCTTAGCTCTGCTGTGTGACTTTAAGCAAATCATTGACTTCTCCTGTCTTTGTTTTCTCTTCTACAGATTGAACTAATTGGGCTAGTTTCCAAAGTTACTTCTAGTTTCATGCTATTTAGAAAAACCAGTATGCTCACATTTAATATTTTAATAACAGGGTACTCATTCAGTCAGTTTGTCATGCATTCATTCAATAAACATTTATTGCACACATACCCCTGCTGGGCACTCTGCCAGGGATACTACTGAAAACAAAACTACTTCATGATCTTTTCACTCTTATGGTCTTTGCCCCTCTTGCTGTCTTGCCAAAGATTCAGACACTAACACAATCACATAATTGCAAATTTTAGGAGTCTTGATAAATGGCAAGGGAGAAGTAGTGGATAACTCCTTTCTGTCCTTCTCAGAGCAGATCAGTCTTGGAGACCTGTATACAATGTTGAGCATTCCATTTAAAGACTCGTGAAGATGAAGTTGAGTATGTCTAGATATGAACAACCTGAGGACACCTCATTGAGATGCTGAGACTGGGCCACATAAAGTACTAAGAATAAATACACAAGAAAGAGAAGATTTGGGAGAGGGGGGTAGATATTTACCAAAAAAATGTACTTCAAATAATGAAAGTCATGTGGAAGAAGGATGAAACTTGTCCGAGATGGTCTCATGAGCTAAAATTATGACCAGTGACTGCAAGTTGGAGGAAAATAGATTTTTGCACAACATAACATATATCACAACCTAAATATACAACAGAACAGGCTGCTTCAGGAAGTAGTGAATTCTCTATCACTAAAACTATTGAAACTGAGACTAGAAGGATGACAATACAGGCAGAGCATATTTAACTATGGTGAGCGAATAAAGGAATGGCTAAATGTATCAATGCATCCTAGGCCCAGAACATATATTTCAGCTTTGCCCATGTAGATGAAAAAAATTACCTATAAAATTCCTTTCATTCTGAAAATCTAGAATTGTTGTATCTACGATTCTAAGAGACATGTATTGCCCCAATAGAGTGCTTTGAGGAGCATAGAAAAGGTGCCCAGCCTAACAGATCTTTCTCACCTAATTGGAATTGCAAAGGACTTCATTTTCTGAATCTATAAAATGGCAACAATAACACTTATTATAGGCTGTGTTCTTCTTATTATTATTATACTTTAAGTTCTAGGGTACATGTGCACAACATGCAGGTTTGTTACGTATGTATACATGTGCCATGTTGGTTTGCTGCACCCATTAACTCGTCATTTACATTAGGTATTTCTCTTAATGCTATCCCTCCCCCATCCCTCCACCCCATGACAGGCCCCCCTGTGTGATGCTCCCTGCCCTGTGTCCAAGTGTTCTCATTGTTCAATTCCCACCTATGAGTGAGAGCATGCTCATAGGTGTTTGGTTTTCTGTCCTTGTGATAGTTTGCTCAGAATAATGGTTTCCAGCTCAGAATAATGGTTTCCAGCTTCATCCATGTCCCTGCAAAGGACATGAACTCATCCTTTTTTATGGCTGCATTGTATTCCATGGTATACATATGCCACGTTTTCTTAATCCAGTCTATCACTGTTTTATAAAAATTAAAAGAGATAACATATGAGAAGTATCCATACTATGGGATTAAATAAATTAATCCATGCAACATATTTGGAATAGTACCTAAGCAGGTATTCATTGTAGCTTTGAGCAATAGTATTTGTTCCTTTTATACTTTAAAGACCACTTTAGATGAAGGGCACATTAACGTGATCATTACACGAACCCTAAGGGAGAAAGCTGGCTGGATAAGGAATGAAAACTTGTATTGTTGAATCAATTGGACTGGAGCTAGCTATCTGAACACTCCCAGATGAGAGAAGTGTCCATAACATCAGACCCAAATGAAAATTCCAGGAGCTTGGGTTTGGATGAGAAGAAATTTTTAAAAATAAAGACAGGTTACCAAAATATCTTCAAATGTTGGTCAGTGTGTGGGCTGAGTGGATCAAGCTAATAAATACATTTGTTGGCTGTTTTAAAAATGGCTTTCAAATCTTTCTTTCCTATTTGTGGTGCTAGTGCCCTTAGGACAGAGAGAAACAACACAGGTAAAAGCAATGAAGCAGGAGCCAGAGACAGCAGGCAGGATCAAAGCAGAAAGCAGAAACCTGACATGATTCCCTAAGGGGTTAGAGTGTAGCTGCAGACCTTGTGGACTCATCCCTTGAGGAAGGAAAGGGAAATGGTGTTAAGCTGGTTGAAACTAATTGTAAAATCTTCCTTTCAGTACCCCGCGTCTGCCTCAGTCCATCCTCCACACCAGAATAATCTTCCAGGGAAACAATGCTTATTATGTCTACTAAAACCTTCAGTGAGCTCCCCATGGCTATAGGATGTAGCACAAGTGCCTTGGCATCAACCAGCCCAGTTCCCCTCTTGGGCTTCATGTCCCACTTTCAGTGTATGTTATCTGTGCTCTGTCATCTGGGCTTTTACACCATCCCAAGACTTTTTGTGGTCTCCCTGCCATTACATGTGCCATTCTGGCCTCCTGATACCATTTTTCTGCCCCACAGATCCACCTCCCCACCCTGTCCTACATAAATCCATCCTTTTTTAAACCCTTCTTTCCTTAAAATCTTGCCATACCACTAGAGAAGCCTTTCTCCAATATTTCCACCACCTGAATGCAATCCCCAAGCTCAACGGGGTTCATTTTTTCCCAGAGAACTTTTCTTCACATCTCTACAGAGTTTTGAGAAAAAGTCAAGTCAAAGTCTCACTTCCCAGATCGACAGTGAAATCTTCAGAGACTATATTATTATATCCTGAGTGCAGGGCAATTAGTAGGTGCAGCTAATTTGTTAAATAAATAACTGATCAAACATTCAGCTTGAACTCCATGGAAGCAAAGATCTTGATAAAACATGAATGCCAACATATCTGCCATAATTCAGAATCTGTCTTATTTGCCCCTTCCCTGTTCTTTCTCTACCTTTTTATGTTCTTTTTACATTTGTGCATTTATTTCAGCCACACCAGACACTTATTTATCGCTTTTGATTTAATTTCTCCCTCCATAGATCTGCTGTGCATGGGCATCTCAGCTGCGAGCCTTATGTTCATAAATATCTGCCGGATGGCTTTCTTGTTCAGATGCCTTCAGCGTGTGAATGGAAACTGTCGACAAAGTCTGCTCAATAAGCTGCATTGTTTGCTCACACTCAAACAGGACTGAGATGTGTCCATCAATAACAATTCACATTGCATTAAAATATAGATGAAAACACATACAAGGAAAATAAACTTCATTTAGACTTAATGAAATTTAACGCATTTTACAAGAGTGTAAAATATTTTAAAAGGTGGACACTTTCAGAAAGAGCTTCTCTGACAGGAATACGTCCCTCTGGTGGTTTGCTATTGGGATACAGGAACAGTTAGTGTCTATGTTCTCATCATTTTATGATTTCGTGTGCTTAAATGGACAGCTCTATTTCTGTATTTTTCAAATGGGCAGCAGCATTCCACAAAGGAAGGAAAAGCCACAGGCACATCTCAGGCCTGAAGGATCACTTGGGTCTTCGGTGCGCCAAGTCTTAATTGCAAGCTCATGTTAATGAGAGAAGCAGGGCAGGCAGGCAGGGGTCGAATTAGAAGAAAGGAGTGCTTATATGCCATTCAGACCAACCTCACTCTCACCTAATTTAGAAGTGGAGCTGTTTCTGGCTTCCCCTAGTCCGGATGAGCTGACATGTGGATTCCCTATTAACTGTTGCTGCCTGTGATTTTTGTGATTTAAGAGAGGAGCTGACTATGTTTTTCACCACATTAATAGCAATGAAACATATGATGAAGTGCCATGCTCTTTTCTGGGTCCAGCTGCACTTCCAGCCAGACTCTGTGGATTGAGAGCCCCGCTTGACTTAGTGTTCAATTTCTCTCCCTATAGATAGTATTGCATGGCCAGCAGCTCTCTGCCAGTCTGGAGCACAGAGACCCAGTCATGACCACACTGGTGACTGGAAGAGAGATAAATGCAGGCTTTGCAAGCCACTAGGTGGATTTTCCAGGAAGACAGAAGCACTATTGTAATTCCTAGCCTCACTAACTTATTTTTTTCTTAATGTTAGGATTTAAGAAAGTCTTTGTGGCTGTGGTGGCTTCAAATCACTCCCGAGGCTTTAGAAGAATATAATTGCCGTTCTAAGAAGAATCTGAGGCCTCTAGGAGATCTGCCAGTAGTGGCCCCAATGTATAACAGCACTAGCTCAGTGAAGAGAGAGAGAAAAGATCTGAAGAGAGTGGTTGCAGGTATTCGTAGGGGTTTTCTCATACTTCCTCTTGTTTCTGGTGCATAACAATTCTTTATGATTTCTGGATGTTGCAGTAAATGAGGCCTGTGTAAGGGTTTTTATTTTTTGGTTTTGGTTTTGTTTTAAGGATCTACATATAATCATCTATGCATGTGAATGTATACACACTTATACATACATACACTTGTGTGTACGTGTATTTCTTCATGGGTGACAGGAAAACCAATGATCTTTCCAAACAAGCTTATCATTTTCCTTCAGCATACTTCTAAGGGTTGAAATTACATTGTGGCCTCATCCATTTCAGTGACTACAGCCTGAGTCTAGCCATGAGAACCACTCAAACACTTAACATGTCCCAGCCATGGACAACACAATTGCTTTGTCATGCTTGTTACTGTAAAGCCTGAATAAAGAGAAACAGAGTCTGAATCCCTCTCTTCATATTTCTTGAACTTTTTGTTGCACAGAAAGCAAAAGATCAGGCTGACGTTTCTAGAGAAAAGTGGGTAGGTTAGTTTGATGGGGCTTCCATGGGAAAACAACACAGACTGGGTGGCTTAAACAACAGAAAATTATTTTCTTACAACTCTGGAGACTAGAAGTCCAAGATCAAGGTGTCAGTGGCTTTGTTTTCTCCCGAGGCCTCTCTCCTTGCAGGGGGCCACCATCTCCCTATGTCCTCGCATGGTCTCTCTGTGTGTGCCTGGGCTATCTCTTTCTCCTTTTGGAAGGACTCCAGGCCCCATGTTATTAGCCTTATTTTAGCCTCACTACCTCTTTACAGATCTTATCTCCAAATATATTCTGCAGTAGCAGGAATTTGGACCCCACATAGGAATTTTGGGGGACATAATTCAGGCTATAACAGTAGGCCTCCTCAGTGAATATCTCTACAAACATTATTATCAAGATTTTATTCAACTTGGGGCCCTCAGCTTCCAGAGGCTCTGCTTTTTGACAATGATATGCTTATTTAAGTCATTCTGTGGATGCCCTGTTTAGAATAATAGTCACTGTCTGTTGTTCATGGACAAAACAAAACAAAAGACCAGATCTGAGGCTTAACTCGGGTTACATTTGGTAAGGGGAATATGCCAAGTAGCATCATTTTTAATGAGACCTTCAGAAAACATTGCACGTGACTAAAATAAGGTAAGAAATGCCAGCCTTCCCTAGTATAAAATTGGAAGAGCTCTCAGGGCTGCATTGCTCTGACTCATTGAAATTTCTTCATCTGTCATCATATCTGCTTCTTTACTCCCAATTCACCTGTGCTACTATAGAAAATAACATATTTAAAAACCCTTCTGCCACTTGCCCAAGTCTCCCTCAGACATTCAAGGTTAGATATATGCACGATTGTTAAATAAGTTACAAAAGACTTCTTGGGATATTTCATCACTTTAAGATGTTTTCCTCCTCTGCAATTCCTTAATCATAATAATAATTATCATTACTAATGTCATAATGATAAAAACAAAAGCAGAGCTGCTATTATCAAGTTACAAGAACTTTGCTAAAAGCTTTGTATTTATTATCCCAATTAATTTTCACAACAGCCCTGTGAAATATGGACTATCAGTATTTCCATTAAGAGGATGAGAGAACTCAAACTCTATTCATCATCAAGTTCTTAACTACTTATTTTCTTCTTAGTCCTGAATCTCTCCAACTCCTGATGTCCAGCCAATCAGTCCTCCACTGTATTTGGTTTGGCAACTCTGGTGCTGATTTTAAGCATGTTCTAGGTCATAATTGCTCAAAATCTCTGACTCCCCTAACACGATCCAGCCCAAAGTCTAGGCTGGTCCTCTGGGTTGGTATTTTGCTAACCTGCCCCATCTCCACACCTGGGAATGTCTGAAAGCTCAAGTCTTATTAGGGTCATTTTTAAAAAGCCCTGCAGTAGCTGAGTTCAAAAATAATTCTGATAAATGAAGATGCTTTTCACCATTTAGGTTTGAAAAGCGTTGCTATAAAAATGTGTAAGATAATCAGCTGATTAAATTTTGTGTATTTCACCTTTCTACCACAAGTGTCTAAATTTAAAAAAAAAAGAGCAGAATCTTTTACAAGGGCCAAGATATCATCAATAAAATAAAGACATTATTTATAATCTTAAGGCGCCATGAGGGCCCTTTTTTTCTCTGAATTCTTTCCAAAAGGAATTATACACCTTGTGTCCACACCCTCAACAACTCTGATACCGCCTTTTTGTGAAGACAGCACTGTGCTGCTGTCTAATAATTTCAAGAGATATCATACTGAGCATTTTCTCACCAAGAGACTTAAGATCATCTTCTTTCAGGACAACCTGATTGACATTGTGACCTCCTGTTTGTTTGCTTGCTTTTTGGCTTATGACTTTTTTTCCTTTGTAACAGAAGTGATGCCATCATTCATTCTGAATCCAGCATCCCCTTGAATTAAGATAAAGTCTGAGGCCACCTTTGTGACATGGAGTTATGCAGAGGGGCCTATATGTCAACTAAAAATCCCTACTTCCTTTCTCAGTCTAAAAGAACTAGCTAAAAACTGTATAAGAATTCCATCCATTTACTCCATTCCAGTCACAGAGCAAATTCCAAACCTGGGCAACTTTGTGCTTGCTAATTGACTTTATTCAGTATCTTGATCTAAAGGTTGACTGAAGGTGGAGAAGAAAAAAATACGAATTTATACAAATGACTTAACTGCATGTAATACAACACGAGGCACAAGCAAGCTCAGCATACACCAGGTGCATCGCAGATGGGGGAGTATTCCTTATTGCTAATAAATTCAAGTGCATGTCTTCAGTGGAAAAAGTAAAAATGCAGGCCCCATTAGTATTAATGTAGTTACTTACCTCACATCTATACAGACTTTTTTTTTGCATTATCCCAAAGCTGGTAGTCATAGCATGCACATTTTGCATCATTTTCATAGACCCTCTTGTCTTCCCACACACATCTATGAAATGTCCACTCACTCAGAATTTAATTATTATAATGCATTTGTCTCTTAACAAGTAATCCAGTACCTATAAATCAATGCTGGGCACCCCAAACTGATACAGGATGTGCTGTTGGAGTCTTGCTCTGCACATATGGCTGGGATAATTCAAGAACAGAAAGAAGCAGGCTGTGATTCTGGCTGATTAGAAATATCCCCACCCTACAAAACCAACATATATACTATGTTCCAGATACTTTTCTAGGTGCTTATGTTATTTCATTTAGTCCTTGCAATGACCGAATGGGAAAGGGATTATTATTATATCATATTACAGATGAAGAAATCAAGGCACAGAGAGGAACAGTAACTTACCCAGGGTTGCCACTGTGACTGGTGGACCTGTGACCGAGCTAGGGCCACCTAACTGTGGAGTTTGTGTGTTGACCACTCCAGCCTATAGAAATGGGCCAGGACAGAGTCACTACTCATCTGCTTGGAGAGCCTCATGCTCAACAAGACATGAGAGAACCATTCTCCCAACAGAACATCTGAGCTATGTTCCTAAATCTGTCACCGACTTGATCCAAGACCCTGGGAAATGCCTCTTAAACTCCCTGGTAATTAGTATTGTTATGTGATTGCATGGTGGGAGTGAAACTATTTGGACAGCAGTAAACACTAGAGCAGTAAAAAGGGTCATGTGTGTTACTGTTGTTTATAAAAACATAAAAGTTATGGAGAACATTTTCCTTTCCATTTTCTCAAACTTCATGTATTGTCCAGCATTGTCTTACCCTTATTAATATGTCACTAATATTTTCCTGGAAATTAATCTTTCTTTTAAGAAATAGGGTCTCATTCTGTCACCCAGGCTGGAGTGCAGTGTGCGGTCATGGATTGCTACAGTCTTGAATACCAGGGCTCAAGCCATCCTCCTGCCTCAGTCTCTTGAGTAGCTATTACTAAAAGTGTGCACCACCACATTCAGCTACTTTTTTTTTTTTTTCTTTTTTTTGGTAGAGAGGTGGTCTCACTTTGCTGCCCAGGCTGCTCTCCAACTCTTGGCCTCAAGCAATCCTCCTGCCTTGGCCTCCCAAAGTGCTAGGATTACAGGTGTGAGCCACCATACCCAGCTGAATTTTTATATTAAATAATTAATCAAGTTCCATTGTAAGAATGTCACCTAATCACCATTAAAATACATACAAAATAAGTAAATAAAATGAAGTTACCCAGATATCACTTAAAATCATCTCACATACCACAGAGGAAAATATAGCTCTTCCTGATAGTCTACATATATAAAATTTTCATATTTTCTTCCTGCCTTGCCTTGTCTTTTTTTTCTTCCTTCTTCCCTTCTCTTCACTAATACTTAATGAGTATATTCTATGTGCCAAGTAGCTTTCTATAACTAGAGAGAATCCAAAGTAAGTCTCTGTTTTCATAAACCTTTCTTCCCGCCATGAAAATAATCAACAAATAAACAAAATTTAGCACTGAATAATGTCAGAGTTTCTAAGGAAAATAAAACATGGTAAAGAGGCAGAGAGCAGAGCAGGTATGAAGAGATCTTCTCTGTCCCATCCAGATCACTCTCAATTATTTTCCACACCCTTTTTCCAGTTTGAGCTCTGTCAATGGGACAGTCCTGGGCAGGAGACTGGGGAGAAGAGGCGGCTTGCTGGTTTTCCTGAACCACTTCCACCCTGAAAGGTCAGTGGATGGGGGACTGGGTCTCAGCACTTTCAATTCTCTTTCTGAATTTTGGGGCTTAGGACCCTGACTGCACGGGGAATGGAATTCTATTCGAGATGGGGTGATCAGGGAAGTCTTCCCTGAGGCCCTTTTACTTTTTCTTTAAATCAGAGAACATTACAAGACACCAAATAAGATAAACACAGGCTTTTGGTAACCTACAGCTCCCTTAGGGCCATCTGACATAAGAAGATTTTGGAAATTCAAATCAGATCTTTTTTCTTTTTCCTTCTAGACTCCTTGCATACAATCATCAGAGAAGAACCGTGGGAACCAAGAACCATGAGCAGGAGAACCATGAGCAGTAAGCACCTACAGGGACTGTGGAAATGGGAGAGACACTTGGACAGAAAAGCAGCTGAAGATGGGATGAGAAAGCAGACAAAGGAGGGAAGTGCTTCTGAACAGAGTGCCAGTCTATGGTGCCCAGAGCTAAATCCTCAACTTTCAAATCTGTGAAGACTGGAGATTCTTAATATTTGATGATCTGGTTTATCTGCACATATAACTAGCATTATGTTACCCTCACATTAAGTTATATTCTTAGTTTCAGTTTTCCAAGAAATGCTGCTTGAAACTACAAACATCGTTTAAGTATTTTTGAGCTAAATGTATTCTCTTTTTAATACTCTTGCTTTAGTTTCTCTTTTTGTTTAATTTTTTATGGCTGGAAGAGTATAATTAATTCAACATGGTTGCTTAGAGAGACATTTTCCAGGCCCCACTAGGCATACTGTAGTCATTTATTCAAAATTAGGCCTAGGGAATAAGAATCTCAAGTAAATAATTTATTATATTTGATGTAAATTCATCTAGATTTTCTGACTTTTCTGAAAAATATATGCTAATGCCCTTAAACTGTATGAAATATTTGTAGTATACTTCTGGAATATCTTTATCACCCCACAACTTTGTTTAGACAAATACCAATTGGAACTCAGAAATTCAGTGTATTACTCTGAAAGTGTGCTCATTGGGCAAGATTTTTTAAGCCTTTTGGACTTTAACTGGAGCATAGTGAACTGCACTTTCTAAGATGTGAGAAAAATATATTTTTCATATTATTGGTATCAGAAACTTGTCTTCTGGGAAGCCCTTCACCCCCAAATGGGCCCTAACTCACTTCAACCACTTATGGTTTATCTGAAATTCTAAAATGTATGTTTTGCTGAATTCTGATATAGCAAGAGCTCTTTATTTTTCTTAAATAACTACTTTGAAAGAATGATTTTGCAATCCTATAACTAGTACTTATTACTTCAGATCATTCTAACATGACTCATAGATTAAGTCCTTGCCACTCACTCAACTTTTGGCAAGCATGAACATCACCTCCCCAAAATCTACAGAAATGTTTATACATGCTATGTTAACTGTGGGCTCTTCTGAGGATTGACTGGAAATTCAATAATATATGCGTTTTTTTTTAGCTTGGATTCCTATAAATTAAAGCAAAAATAGAAATTGTATTTATAGAATAAATGAGAGTTTACTGTAAGAAATATGACAACAAAAAAATATTTTTGTCATGTTTCTCAGTTTAACAAAATACTGTTAACAAATGTGCCAATGTTTCTCTGGGCAGCTTATATTTTATCTGAAAGTTGTCATGTAACTAAGTAATCAAAGAAAATGTGTCTTTGCTTAGCTCAGACTTTAGAGTTGGAAGGGGCCTTAAAAATTAATTGCATAAACTTTTTTATTGACAAGAATGCCCAGAGCTTGAACAGAGAAGTAAGTTAGCTAAGAATGGTTTAATCTTTTCTGAATTCATACAGAGGCCCCCAGGAGCTTCTTTCTCTCTGCCCTCCTTGCTATGCTCCTCTGAAACTTCAAGGAGGCTAACTGAGATTGGCCAGGCCAGGAAAAGTTACTGCCAGGAACGTTGGAGATCTTCAGCGACCAGAAGAAAGAAAGAAATTATTGAGGTTGATATTCTAAGGAATTAGGGCCCAGTAATTACTGCTGGTCATTGTCCCATCAAACCTTAACAGGGTTCCACAGTTGCAGTCACTTCCTGCATGAATCTGATTCGCTGCCTGGAATTTAGATACATAAACCAGTGTCTTGTTTGGCCTCCAGTGCTTCTACATGTCTCTGTGCTGAATGGTCACTGTACCAAAGTACCCACCCACAGGGACAGATGGGGCTGAATTTTACTTAGCCCAACCCTGCCACTCATCGAGCCTTGCTCTGTGGCATACCAACATGTCATACCACCCAGTGAAACAGATACCACTTTCTGGCCTTACAGGAGAATTACCCACTCATTGAATTATCCATCTCCCCAAAGGGGGTGCCCTAATGCACCTCTGTAAGTCATGTGGACTGGTGGCATTCTGGATACTTTACCATTTGAATGTCTTTTGGAAATCTGCTTTTCAAATGGGTAGCTTAGCTAGATGACCTTCATTAACAATAACTCTGACTTTTTAGTTCTAAGAGCAACAGAGAGGGCACCTATTCCTCCTTTATGCTAATTCTTCATAAAATTTCTACAGAAAGATTTAGCCAATTGGCAGCACATACAGGGTCCTCTGTGGTTATTATGAGCAGTCACCCTTGAATTTATAACTGGGAGCCATTTTTCATATTCTAATAATGATCAGTTCTATGCAATACATATACTATGGCATTTTCTTGAAGAAGGTGCTTTTCCAAATCTGTGCCCTTGGATATGTTTTAAGGCTTCGATTGAGTTTTGACATTTTCATGTCTTCATTAGTGAATTCCAGCAAATCTCTTCTCCTTGAAACCACTGCCTGCTCCCACCACCTCTCTCAGAGAGCCATTTGCTTACTGAAGGTTTAGGGCAAATTTTATTACTCTGGACAATAAAATAACATCCATTATTCTTACATATCCTCCCATCATATTGAGAATTCAAGTTTTAAAAAATTTTACTTAATCTATTGACTCATAGAATGTTAAGCCTGGAGTAATGAATATTAATAAGGTACCACACCAATAGGCAGGACATTGTGTCCTCCATGTTGGCCACCAAGAAGCTGCACTTTCCATTTTCCCTTCCTCTCCCCTTAGCTGAGGACTATGTCTGACACCCAGCAGGCCCTCAATGGACAGACAATGGATAACACAGTGAGTGTAGAAAGTAACTTCTTTTTTATCAATGGCACCTTCAATAGTCCCAGTGTAAAACTGGAAGCATGTGGCACAATAAAACACATGGGAACAACAGAAAAGATCAGGAAGAATTCTCAGAGCCACATTCTGGGTGATACCAAGCTCTTAACTCTAACACTTAACTGTATCCCTCTGTTTCTCCAACTGGACCACAAAGCCTGTAAAGTGATTCCTGTCACTAATCTTGGGGATCCAAAACTTTTCCCTTTACATCTACCATTCTCCCCTTTCCCACAACCTAATAAGCCTCATGAGTGATGACCACAGCCTTGCTTTCTTCTGTTTTCACCTCTACTTAGGTCTCCAAAATCTTTATAGTCCAGGATCTACTTACTACAATCTGTTGGAAGGAAATACATTATTGAGTTAAAGCAGAGATCTCAACTAGTTGAGTAAGGGTGTTGAGAAATGAGGTGGAGGAGAAGAAAATGAAATAAAATTAGTAACAGATTATTGTCTAAGATCCTTTTAACATCTTATTTGGAATCAATGTGAGGGTCTGTAACACTAGGCTTCTGAGTCCCTTCTTTACCAGAACTACTAATGTAGTCTGCAAAGTAATAAGTGCTCCATTGGCCTGAGGGGATTTGTCCTGCTGCCAGACCTATCACCAAGAAGGCATACAGGCTTTCTGAGTGACTAAGCACACTCAGCAGATTTTATTAATGGTTGTGATGACTATCTACATAATTCCCCCCACATATAAGATTTTTAAGGGCACCTGTGTGGAGACAATTCTACCAATTTCTTTGGTAATCTCTTTTTCTGGTCGTGTAACCAATGTAAGCAGGGGCTTTCCCACATGTCTGAGATAAACTGGCCTGCTGAAGCTCAGCCCCTTTCCAGAGAGTCTATTCTGGCCCCTCCACTTTCCTCTTCCACATGGACTTAATAATCTGATTTACTGCACTTTACTTTCATGGGGGTGTAGGGGTCTCTGAACCAGCCAGAATAATTGATGACCCTCTTTCTCACCTGAGTTCTGAATAAATTGAGAAAAGAATAAAAGATGGCGATCAAAATATCCTTTTATGACCACTAACAGCTAAGGCAGAGGATGCAGCCTCATATGACAACTAAACAGGCTTCTTAACAATAAACCTTTGAATAGATAAGACTTATTCCTCTGCCTGCCAAGTCCCAGGCCCATGCAGCTAAGATTTGCAGAATGAGTGAACAAAGAAGAGACCCTGCTCCCTGTGGGCACCTGTTCCCAACAGAAGTTGCTGAGCTGAGCTTTATTCTTCACAAATTTATTAATCATCTGAGGCACTGCCCCCTCCCCTCTCCTCAGGTTGCTGTGTGCATAGGGTGGAGAAGAGCCAGAAGTATTCAGGGAAAATCCCTTCTAATGTAAAGCAGAGGTTGGGAAGAGTCAACGTTTACTTAAAAATTAACCAGTGGGGCCAACTCTACTGAAATAAATTGAAGCTTTAAAACAATTTTTTTTTTTTTGGTCTACTTAGTCATTCCAGGAGCAGTCTCTGCCATTTTGAGGATAGGTGCAGCCATGGGTAACAGTTTTATGTCTCCTTCAGTAATGTTTATTTCTGAACATTCCTGGCTAATTATACTGCTTGGTCAACCAAACCAGGCAGGCCAAGCCTCCAATAAGAGGCTCTGTGAGAATTGCCTGGAGACTTGATTATTCATTTCAGTAGCCAGAAAGTTGATCCTGAGTCGCGGCTGAGTGCAGCCGTCTGGCTCAGTGTGCAGAACCCTGCCCTGGCTGAGTAGTTAACTTGTTCAGAGCCATGTCCTTAGCCTGATTCCAACAGTGCCACTAATTCTCACTAATCCTCCTCAGCTGAGACAGCCTGTACATGACACTTCATTTGGCACACTCATACCTCCATGGTTTTCCAAAGAGCCTGCGGGGAATGATGGCAGGGCCATGGTGATCAGTACCTGGGAATAAGGTGGGGTGAGAAAATGTTATACTGGCATCCTCATCAACATGGTCAGTCTATGTCAGGTGAACATGGAGTGGCAGCTAGAGACTTGTTAGTCATCATTGCTATATGTGCTTTAAACCATATTACACATTTTTTGAGGGCAGAAAGGGACATTATTTCTCCAGTGTTTTCTTTCTGTGACTTGAATGTTTTTTCCATGGAAAAGATCACCATGTGTCCTGGAGGAAACATGGGCCTTAGAGCTTGATGACCTTAAAGGTGGGGTTCAGCCCTCTTGGTGCTCTGGGGGGACATGTACCTTTATCTCATTGAACCTCAGCTTTCTCATCTGCAAAATAAATGCATAATAATTACCCCATGTATGTATGGTGAGTATTGACTGGGATTACACATGAGAAGTGCTCAGCACACCTAGTACTAACACATAGTTGCATAAAAGTTGATCCAACTAAAATTATCTTATGATGACCTACCACATAGCAGAAAAAATAATCTTCAGATACAGGCTTTTGGTATTTTATGAGGCAAGAATTTTGACTAATGAGATTACCCTTCAAATAATACATATTACTCTAAGTTTCTAGGATATAATTCATTCTTTCCCCTTCTCTGTTTTCTAATTTTGACTCCCTTTTGATAGCATTAACCTAAAATGGTGTCATTTTACAACAAAGACAGAAATGGAAGTCATGTAAAGGTCAGGTTTCTACAAGGGAAATAAGGGAATAGAATTGCCTGCTTAAGAACCTGCATGAAATGAGATGCCATCTCACCCCAGTTGAAACGGCTTTTACTCAAAAGACAGGCAATAACAAATGCTGGAGAGAATGAGGAGAAAAGAGAATCCTGGTACACTGTTGGTAGGAATGTAAATTAGTACAACCACTACGGAGAACAGGTTGGAGGTTCCCCAAAAAACAAAAATAGAATCACCATATAATCCAGCAACCCCACTGCTAGGTATATGACGAAAAGAAAGAAAATAAGGATATTGACGAGATATCTGCACTCTCATGTTTATTTCAGCACTGTTCGCAATGGCCAAGATTTGGAGGCAACCTAAGTGTCCATCGACAGACAAATGGTTAAAGAAAATGAGGTACATATACACAATGGAGTACTATTTGGCCATAAAAAAGAATGAGAGCTTGTCATTTGCAACAACATAGATAGAACTGGAGGTTATTATGTTAACTGAAATAAGCCAGGCACAGAAAAAGAAACTGCATATTCGGAGTAATTTGTGAGGACTAAAAATTAAAACAATTGAGCTCATGGAGACAAAGAGTAGAAGGATGGTTACCAGAGGCTGGGAGGGGTAGTGCAGGGCTGGGGAGAAGTTGGGAGGGTTAATTGGTATGAAAATATAGTTAGATAGAATGAATAAGATCTAGTATTTGATAGTATAATAGGGTGGCTACAGTCAACAGTAATTTATTATATATTTTAAAATAACTAAAAGAGTATAATGGAATGTTTGTAACACAAAGAAATGATAAATGCTTGAGGTGATGGATACCCCATTTACTCTGATGTTATTATTATGCATTGTATTCTTGTATCAAAATATCTAATATACTCCATAAATATATACCTACTAGGTATGTATAAACATATAAAAAAAAAGAGCCTACATGAGACAGATGCTCACATCCACTCAGTTAAAAAGTAGCAGAGCTATAATTTGAACTCAAAACTGTTTCCTTCCAAAGCATTTACCCTTTCCACTGAACCATTTTCCAGTCTAGTTAGTAGAGGTCTGTCAGATAAGGACATGGTGAAGTACTTATAAGCTAAGTAGTAAGTCTAAGTAACTGTACTGAACAATAAACTCTTGCTTCATGATTGTCCTCATTAGGAAGGAATATCAAGAAAATAGACTACAAATAAATGTCTTTTATTTCTACTTCTTCAATATATATTATAACATTCTTCTTGCCAACTGATCTTCTTGCCTCCAATTTGACCCCTCTGATCCACCAAGTATTGCATACTACCGTGTTTTGAGACATAGTAAGTACTTGTAGGATGAAAATTCTATCTATTGCTTATAGGAGCATATTCAAAATTAAAATGTTACATTTACTCTCATCCTTATACCTCGTTGATAACTTTCCCTTGCCTTTCCTTGGTTGAAATGGACAGGTGTGACATACAAGAGCCTTCATGATTTGACCTGTTTCTCTCTGCATCTTTGTCTGTAACCACACATTTATGTTCAAATCATACTGAACTATTTGCAATTTCTCAAACATGTTCTGATAGCCATGTATGTTCTGATAGCCATTCCTTAAGATCTTTGCACATTCCTAGTCCCTGAAATACTCTTCCTACAATTTCTTTGCCTCCTATTTTATTTTTCATGTCTTAATACAGAAGGAAGACTTTCCTGACATCTCATAAGACAAAGTTAGCTATAATTTTTGTGTTTCCTTGTTAAATTCTGTGGTGGTATTTATCAATTTCTATCCTGTCCTAGCTACGTATCTCCACTAGATGATAAGCAGTTTGAGAGCACCTATTCTTTCTGTTATATTCAGTATTGTATCTTAAGGCCTAGAACAGTGTCTAAGCTCAAAAAAGGTTTGTTGAATGAATAAATGAATCAGACAATTGAGACAGAACACAGACATGAATTTGAAAGTGGTTGGGGGAAATTGGGCAGATAGTATATGTATATTTCAGAGCTCATAGTCCAGAGTCACCTTAATAGTGCCCCTAAAGTCTTCACCATTTTACATGTGCATCTCCCAGGGAACTCTAGATCATTTCCATCTTTGTCCATAAGAATCAAAATCAACCAAGATAAACATGAAATTTATGATTAAACTAAGTTTGAATTAAACAAGCAGGAGAGAATATTTTCAAGTCAGTCTTCATATTCAACTGTGTAGCTAATTTTATATATAAGTAACAGACTACAGAGATTATCTAAGGAGACATTTATTCAACAAATATTACTGAGTGCCTACTCTGTTTCAACAGAGTGCTAGGCAATGAGGTTATGGAAGTGAATGATACTCACTGAAGGTCTCTGAGCCTCAGTTTCCTCACCTTAAAATGAAGACTTTTAAAGTAACTACCCCATAGATTTCATATAATTGCTTAGAATAATGGTTGGTTTATAGTAAGTACTCAATAAACTTTAGCTTTGGTAAAGTGATGATAAAGAGGAGATGATGATTGTGGTGATAAAACAATTCAGCTACCATGTGGAACCCACAGTCTCACAGGAATGACAAACACATGAAAGGTATGTGTTCTACCACATGATAGGCACCATGAAAGAGAAGTCAAAAAGGAACAGCAGCGTAATGAGGAGAATAATTAGCTCTGTTTGGGGACAGCAAAAGAAAGTGGAACCAATCATAACGGCTTCCCCACAGAAGAGACAAATCTGAAGCTTAAAGAATTAGTTGTTCTCTGCAAGCATTTTAACCCATGTCTTACTTAATGATCTCAATCCTATGTCTCATTCTTCCTGTAAGTAACTTTTCCATAAATGATGGTCTTAATACCTGGGCAATCTCATCAGGAGAAAGTCAGATATAGAGGTACACTCTAGAAGGTTACCTCCTGAACTAAAGTTTATTTATCTACTTCAATTTTTCGGAAAAGAATTTTAAAGCATTTTAATAAAGTATGTTAATGAGATTGAAGTCTGAATATATTTTAAAATTTAATTTTTTTAATAGCTCACCTATCAAAGGGGGATTATCTATCTAATTAATTTCATGTCAGCTATCACTGGTATCTTTCTGCTTTGACAAATGCATTCATTTTTAGGCAAAACATGTGTGCCAAGAAAATTACAGTGTCTGTCAAGCTTGGAGGAATCTGATGTACACACTTTGCTATGAAAATTATAGAATATGGAGTTTTAAGAATGTGGCCACAGTCCTAAGCTGGAATTGTAGATCTTCATGAAAAATTTTTTGAAAGTACCCTTTTAACCACTAGTACTGAAAATCAAATTGATATTGAGGGCACCTCACTCCATGTTGCTCTGTCTCTTACTCGTGGAGTAGGGATTGCTTTAGCAGGCTTCATACCCCAGGAATGAGCCTTTCTGTTACTACAGCAAAAAAAAAAAAAAAAAAAAACAAAAAACAAACTAAAAAAAAACTTATTTCATCTTCATTAGGCATGGAAATCATCATCCAGGTAGATCTCCCTTTTCCAGGAGTACAGATAGACTTATGAAGCTATGTAGGTTTTAATTAGCCCACAGTATCTTCACCCTTTCATTTGGACCTCCTCAGTAACTAAAGTTTGATCTCTCTCTTTTTTCATTTTTATGATGTAAAGCCATTATAAATCTACAGCAAATAAACTAGCAGGAGATTAATACCAATTGCAACAATATAACAACAGCAGACATAAAAAATACAGCTGGACTCTACCATAAACAGATGAAACTGAGCTACAAAGAGTGCTTCACTATTCAGTTCATAAAAGGCTGAATGCTGTCAGCCCAGCCACAGGAGGACAATCAAACTGGCTTTCCTGGACAGGCACAGCAACTCATTGATCAACTCCGCCACTTCAGACAGAGTTAGCAAAGGGAAATAGATCTCTCTCCTTCCACTCCGGCAGTAGGAAACAAGGGAAGACAGGGAAAGTGAAGGGAGGAGGGCAGGATGTGTAGATGTGAAGTCAAGCAACCAGGCTTGGGGAAAACAACGGGGAAACCTCAGATGATCCTGCCCTGGAGATCTCAGCATAATCCACCATTCATTGAACATTGAACGATGCAGCACCCCCAAAGCCGATGTCAGAAGTGATGCAGAGTAGAGATGATGAAAATGAGGACCATATTTTTAAGCTGATAATCAAATATAAAACATATGTTCATGGGAAAATTTGAAAACTTACTGAAATTAGGATTGTTCCACAAAGTCTAGACACTATGGTTAGCAGACCTTTGAGATACACACACACATACGTATGTATAGTCACACACACATATGTAATCATGTGTTGTATGACAATAGTCAATGACAGACTGCATGTACAATGGTGGTTCCATAAAAGTGCAACACTATATTTTTGCTGTACTTTTTCTATGTTTAGAAATGTTTAGAAATACAAATACCACTGTGTTACAGTTGCCTACAGTATTCAGTAAGGTAACATGCTATAAAGATTTGTAGTCTAGGAGCAATAGGCTATATCATATAGCCTAGGTGTATAGTAGGCAATGTTGTCTAGGTTTGTGTATGTATACTCTGTGATGTTTGGACAAGAATGAAATTGCCTAATGACACATTTCTCAGAATATATCCCCATCATTAAGTGAGATATGACTGTGTATGTGTGTGTACCCTATTATGATGTGTTAAGTCTTTTTCTAGGTATAAAAGACAGGCTTCACACAAAGTAGAATGAAAATGTTGCAAAATAGAGATGACCAATGTGTTTTGGTATTCGCTCAGGCAGGAAGCTTGAAGGAAGACAAGGCATTTAGGCTTGATCTTAAAAGCTAAGTAAGATTTGCATAGGCAAAGTAAGAGGCAATAGAATGCTACAAAAGAAGAGCATGAAAGATGACATGATGGTGGTAAAGGTGTAACGGTGTAAATGTGTATTAAGAGTAAAGGAGTAAAGCTAGAGTGTGAGTATGTAGAAGGGGAAAACAGAAAGGTAGGGTATGAACTTCATGGCGGGACTTGGACTTTATCCTTTAGCCTTTGGAAGCAATTCAAAGTTTATGCAAGAGGACGTGATGTGTTTTAGAATGATAGGTATACATAGGTCTGAAGGATCAACTATAAGAGAAAGACTGCAGTCAGTAAGATTTCTTAGGAAGTTATTTTAATATTCCTGAGAGAGGGACTAAAAGACAAAGCAGAATTACCTACCTATTGGGTATGGAGTTTGGAGGAGAAGAAAGTTTTAGGTCTGTGCTTCTCCTATGTTGATATGCATATAAATCATTGTTCTGGTTAAAATGGATATTCCAATTCAGTAGGTCTGGTGAGGCATAAGATTCTGTATTTCTAAGAAGCTCCCAGATGATGTCAATGCTGATGAATTGTATGTTCAACAACAAGATTTGAGACCACTCCAGGTATTTCCTTCTTGTGAAACTGGCTATGTGATGTTTCATTAAATGAGATAGGCTTGGATCAGGGGAAGATACTGACTGCCTCCACTACTGGACACATTCAATGGGAGGCACACAAGTCAAGAGTTAGAAATTGGATTGCTCTTTTAGAAATGAGGCTAAAGCTGTACTTAAAGAATTGGAAATTACTAAAGGAGAGAATCAAGGCAAAATTTAAGTGGATAAGACTTCACAGAAAAAAAGGAATTAAAAAGAGTCAAAAATAGTATATTACCGAAGACCTGGAACAAAATGGGCACTTAATAATTACTTGTTGAAGGAACAAATGAATGTGCCCCTATTTAAAAGGCAAATAAAAAAAAAAAAAGGAGAACAATGGGTGACTGAGAAGGAGCAGTCAAGAAGGCCAAATGACAGCTGAGTCACAGAAGACATAAGAGAGAAGCCTTTTGCTGAATGCTGAATAGGGAATGCATACTGTGAGATGTCGCTGTGAGTTTGCATGGTCTTTCTAAGATGTTGTAGTGGGTGATGTGGCATGCCACCCAGATGCCCTCCAGGATTGAGAAAATCATTCTCCCAACTGCTGAGAGAGTTGGCTGCAATGAATCTCAGCCAAGTTCTTTTCCAGAAATGTGCCTTCCTCAAGAGCAGCCTCATTCAAATTCATGCTCCCTTTCCACAGGCAGCTCAAGTCCAATGACTGGCCCATGTGGGGATATAAAGGCTTAGTCCCTTGCCTCAAAGTATGATCCTGCTGAAGAGGCATCTCAGCTTAAGACAGTCCGTGAGATCAGCTGAGGTCCTGTTTATACTATTTAACAGTCCAATTCCTCCTTCTGCCCAGCCCTGCTGCCTTCATTCCTTCACAGGTGTTGTTTCTGGGAGAACTCCCCAGTAAAATTCCATCTGAGTCTGTTTCCCGGAAATCTGACCTAAGACAGATGTTGACTTTATTCCTAGAGATTAAATTGCAAAAGCCATTCATATTTGAGGCTGTGTCTCCCTAGGCCCTTTTCTAAACTGAGATCGCACTTCTCTGCCTCAATCTTCTTTTGCTTTTTTGCTTCTGAAACTGTACTGGCAGGTACTGCCACACCATCTGTGCATAACAGCCCAGCAAATTTTGGGGGCATCTGCTACAGTAAGGTCACATTCCCAGCTGTTGTGTCATGTCTTCAACATCTTCTTTGATTTCTCTCACTCCTTACTTTGCAGAGAGCAGTTCAAGGTAAAATCTCCCTGCTTGTTTGTTTCTATTATCCACCTGCTGTTGTAGAGAACTGACATTATCTTATGTACTCTTTAAAATGGAAAGACATGGAACTCACTAATTAAATTTGCAGATCAAGCTGAAATAAAAGTCATAGCAAAATCACTAAGGACAGGCACGTTATGTAAAGTGGCTTCAGTGCTTAGAAATATAGTCAGGAAATGACCAAATGAGCTTTAGCAAGGAGACCTGAAAATTAATACATCTGGAGGAAAGGAACCTGAAACACAGCTATTTAAATTTCCAGGGAGAAAACTGGAAAGCAACAAGACCAGCAAGAAAAAAAAAGAATAAAAAGAACAGGAAGGTGATATTAGACACTTCAACATAAGCTTATGGTGCAGTGAAACTGAATAAAAAACAGGGTGCATTTCTTGGCTGTATTTTAAGATGCGTTACTGCACATGGTTGCAAGGTGATCCCTATATGGAGCTGCCATGTGGTAGACCATGTTGGTTTTCAGGTGCTTGGGTAATAGCATGAAATAGACAAATTGGGAGCAATTGGAAGACAGCTATAGAAATAATGAATAGGAGTGATTGAATTACAAGAAAAGGAGATAAATGGGTGTAGGTAATTTCCTCCAGTGCCAAGGGAGAGTGAAGATGAAGGTCAGCATGGGAGCAACATTGCTCTAATGCAGAAAAGCCTGTGCTGGAGTGTTACCTGTCAAAATGGGATTAAGGCTGAGACAGGAAAGGGTAGTTTCAAAAAGTCGGCAAGTACTTCCAAATGCGCAGCCACTATGGCACAGTCATCAAAAAGGAGCTGTAAAAGAAACAGCACCACACTTGTAGACGAGTCTGTGAACACTGGGCTTCTTGGCATGAGTCTGAACCTGAGGCCAGCTTCAGCAGTGGACAAAGTTGCAGCTCCATTCCAGGCACAGAGTTGGTCAGTTCAGAAAACTGTTCTAATTTCTCATCTTTAATTGATTCAAAATAAAAATAGATGAACAAGTAGAATGTGTGTCCAAAAATAGAGTTGATGTTCCACCAGCCTGTAAACTCATTAAGAGCTGAGCACTTGTCTTATTCATCTCTGTGTCTCAGGTGTCTGGTGCAACAAAACTGCTTATTAAATGTTTTCTGAATTAGTTAATGAGGGAAAACTGAGAAAAAAATATTCCTGCCGTGAAGTTCCGGGCCACATTTCTGGCAGACCACAGGCTCAGCACTTCTGGGGATCTTTGGAAACTTTCCCCAAAGGGCTTGCATTCAAGAAAGAGATTTGTGCCTCACTGGCTGTCCTGGCTTCATAGTATCCTTTTTCAAGGGGAGAAAATCCCTCAGCATGGGGTCAGGCAGGCTCCCACATTTAAAAATTGGATAGCTTCGTTTTTTCTAAAGTCCAAGTGTGAAACGGAAGAAGCTGACAGGAAGTGTTCATTAATATATTGAACAAATGTTAGGACTCTGTATAGTTTAGCAGTTAAGAGCAGCTAAGAGCCAGATGGCCAGATTTCAAATTTTGGCTCTGCTACTTCCTAATTGGGTATATCCTTTGGCAAGTTATTTAACTTCCCTGTGCTTAGTTTCTTCATTTGTAAAACAAGGATAATAATAGTTCTTGATGAATGGAGTTGTACTGGGGATTAAAATAAATAATCTATGTAAAGCATTGAGAAGAATGCTGATCAGTAAATCTTTCATCTCTCTCTCTCTCCCCACTCTCTTTCTCTCTCTTGCTCTGTGTGTGTCTGTGTGTGTGTGTCTGTGTGTGTCTATGTGTATGCATGTGTGTGTGTATGTGTGTGTGTGTAGCACTTATGGGCTAGGCATTCCTATACATTGCAGAGACAATGGTAGGAAATAAGACTGGCAAGATATTTTCCTATATATGTCCTGCTCTCATAGATCTTCCCTTCTCATTAGAGAGTCAGACTCTAAGCAAAAAAGTAAGTAAATAAGGGCCATAATTTCAGATGGAGATGAGTTCCATGAGAAAATAAAATGAAATGATGTACTAAAGAATGACTTGGGGAAGAACAAAGTGCTGCATTAGAGCGTCCAGAAAGAGATGCTTTCAGAAAGTCAGAGCTGAGAACTGAATGACCAGAAGGAACCAGCCATGTGAGAGCACAGAGAAGAAATAATACAATGCATAGATGTCACTTTAAGATGGAATAAGTTTGTCATTTTCAAGAAGGCAGAGTAATAAGTGCTTTGCGGACAAGACAGGGCAGAGGTAGATGAGCTCTAGGAGGTAGACAGGGACAGATTATGTTGAGCTTTGTTGCCCAGGGCAATAGCTTTTAATCTAATTTTAATGCAGTGGGAAGCCATTGGAAACATTTGGGCGGAGAATGACATGATCTGACTTCAAATTTATAAAAGATCGTTTTGACTGGCTTCTGTGTAGAGACTCAACTACATGGTATTGGAGGAGAAACAAAGGGACCCATTGGAGGCAATTGGCTATTGCAGAATCCCGATGACAATTAATGCCACTTGGACTAGGGTTATAGCACTGAAGATGGAAAGAATGTGACGAGTTTAAGTTATGCATTAGAGTAAAACCAGTCAGATTTCCTCATGGATTAGATGTGGAGGAAGTTGAATCTGTTAGTTTTTTCAGTGTCTGGCACTTGACTAAGCCTAGAAACAAAAAGTTTAAAAACAATAATTATATACAGAGCCTGCCTTTAAGTAGCTCTTTTGAGCTGTATTTTGTAGGGAACAGAATCCTACTCAGACTTCAAGGAATGGATTATCTACAGAGGCATGAGCAACATTAGACAAGTCAGCAAAAATGGTGGAGAACATAGAAACTATCAAGAATCAAAAGCCACCACTACCTTAGGCTTAGAAAGGCAAGGCAAGGCAAGGAAATAGTACTAACAAAGCCCAGTGAACATGGGAATCTTGGAGAAGGGCTGCCCGGCAGGAGACGTATTCCCAGAGGGACATGCTCTGCCACAGAATGTGTCCAGCATAGAAAAGAAGTGGGGAGTGAATACTTCTTCCTTGTCCCACCCTCCAATTTTTTACGACTGCCTTCCATAAGCTAAGCCTCACTGGAATCCAGGCAGCAAAGGAGGTATGATCGTCTGAGGTGTCAGCCCACTCAGCGTATAGGACAGGACAGAGAAAAGCAGAGGAGGAAGCTGGGTGAGTTGGGAGGGACAGGCAAATGGAAAATGAAAAGTATACAAGCATGCAAAAGTATTACAGAAAAAAGAAAATGTCATTTGGAATCAAGTGCAAGACTAGCTTCAGGGTTTTCACACAGGCTTAGCTCAGAGACAGTGCCCAGTTCAAATTCTTCTATGCAAAAAACCTGAGAATACAACCCAATTTCCCATCTTCTCAAAGTAGTCACTACTCTCTCATTTCTTTCTCCCCCCACAACAGGGAGGAGGAAAAAACCATGGCTGCGGAGGTGATTTAATATCCTGTTGACTCTGAAGAAAAATACACTTCTTCATTATAAGAGTTTTATTGCCAATGACTAGAAGGAAATGTAAAGGGGACAACACAAGATGACTAACACAGGAAGTTATAAAACTCACAGCTCTAACTGTCATGGCCCTGGGCCCATGGTGCCTGAATCCCTCTGGGAGTATTAAATGGAAGGCCCCCTGGTACCTGAATTTTGTTTTAGTTTTCTCTCTCCATCTCTGTGATTACACATAAAATCAGCCAAGCACCTGCTCCCCTCCAGCCTAGATAACACATACCTCCATGCTATAAAGGGACAATTTGACCAAGAGACACCCACCTCACCTGACCACAGAGCTGGAAAATCTACTATGTCAGACTTCCATGCAACCGCTGGTGGGAGAAAGTTTTCACGAGTCTCTCTGGGCCCTTATCCCTCTCCCCTGTATTCCCATCCTTATCCAAATCCACATTTCACCAAACTCCCTAACGCTAAGCAGCTGTTGAAGTTCAGATCACAGTCTCTGAGGAGCTCCTGGTTTCCCATGGAATGTGATTTGCCTCATCATCTTACAGCCTGCCTCCACTTTGCTTTCTTATCATTTCAGAGGCTTGGGATGCCTGTGTGCACAATAAATCAATGGCATTTTAAGCTTTCCCTGTGGCCTCAATCACTATGCGCCTTGGTGCAGCTTGCTGTGCTGATCACGTTTATGACTTCACCTAAATTCTTAATGCTCTATCTCATTGCAAAGAAAGGGGATTATTTTTTATGAAAATGTAATTTTAGCTTAGCCACCAGACAATTTCCAATATGCTATGAAAAGAATAAAATAGCCCCCAAAAAGCCATATCTCCTAGAATTTACCCCTCCTATAATCTAGATTATAAACTCAATGGAGATACAGATCATATCTGAATTGAACATTACTGTACCCTAGACCCTATTGCTACATCTAGTGCACAATTTATGCTTGGTATTTGTTGATACTGAATAGCACATTGTTTTGCAAATGGAATTTTTTAATAACCACCTCTTCCTGTGCCACCCTAAGCATGCACATGTATATGCACGCACACACACATGCACTTTACCTTCATACACGCATGATGCTCTCAGTGATAAAGTCATGTGTAGCTCAAGGTGATCAAAAGAGGTATTTGTATAAGAAAGCAGAAACAGTTCTTTATAAAAACAAGACAACAAAGCTTACTGTTAGCAGTGGTCCCAGGAATGAGACCGCCCCGCATCCCTCACTGTCTCTATCTGTGCCCGTCCAGGGAGTCTGTTTTTAGAAAGCCCTTGTCTGTTTGCTTCCTCTCCACAATTCAAGAGAGAAACTCAGGTCTCTCTCTCTTCTTTTTTTTTTTTTTTTTTTAACCATTGCCTTTACTTCACCAAGTTTTCTATAGAGTAGAAATTTCCCCCTAGAGGAATAGAGGAATTCTGGACTTTTGCATTTATATTAGACATTCTGGAATAATCTTCAGTATTCCTTTGTTCAGTCTTCTTTGTCCATAAGCCTTTCCAGTGTCTCTCCCCCAGCACCATACAACAGCCTGCTTTGTGTTTCTTCTGCCTACCTCTTCCCCTAACTTCACCTCTTGTTTAGGTGCACATTTCTTTCAAAACTAGACCATTAACTTCTTGAGGAAAGTCCTAAGTCTTTTCCTTTTTGTATTACCTCATACATATACTTTACCTCCAATCAGAAAAAAATTGTCTTCTCTTTGGTCTCATAGCTGTTATTTCTTTCCAGCTTTGGTCTGTCAAAATTAATGTTATTTGGAAGAAGAATATAAAAATAGAAAAACACAATAGTTGAGTCAAGCCCATGAAAGCAAAATGCTCTCTAAGAGGAACCACTTTCAGGGCTCTAGGCTAAATGCTATTTGAATCCTGTGAACTGGAATTCCTCTGAGAGATCTTCTCTGCCTTCCTCAGGCAGGCCAGTCTTGGCTGGACACCTCTGGTTTTGCCAAGAAAGCACAGTTCCTGTCTGCAAACAGCACAAGCATAGTAGGTCAGCAGACGGGCAGAGCTGGCTCAAATTTATTAAAAGCATCTTCATATTGTAGCTCAAGAATACACTGCTGTTTTTACCGGGTGATGAAGATATTTGGTGAGGTTTTTAAAAGAATAAAAGAATAGAAAAGATAAACCTTATGTTTCTATGTAGCTTAGGGTCAGAGCATTTCATATTCATGCATCTAGCTGATTTTCACAATATCTCTGTGAAGCAGGCAGGGCAGTTATTATCCCCCTTTTATTGATGAGGACACTGAGGTTCAATATTTTAATTACTTGCCTAAGGCCACATCCAGCTCGTGATGTACCATCTACCATCTGGATGGCAGCACTCAGTCTCCAAAATAGACCTCTTGACTCCTGGAGCCAAAACTACCACACAGGTTTCAAACTTTTAGGCAAGTGTTGAGGAAAGAAATGGGATTTTTGTAAAGAAAAAAAAAAGAAAAACTCTTCTTTCCAGGTAATGTAAGTTAGCAAGGAGAGTTGATATCATAGAAATAGCACTCCATGGGAGAGAATATTAAGAAACTTCTTATTCTAAATTCCAAGGTTAGGCCTCTGAGATTTACATTGCCCTTTTTTTTTTTTTGAGATGGAGTCTTGCTCTGTCACCCAGGCTGGAGTGCAGTGGCACGATCTCGGCTCACTGCAAGCTCTGCCTCCCAGGTTCACACCATTCTGCCTCAGCCTCCCAAGTAGCTGGGACCACAGGCGCCCTCCATGCCTGGCTAGTTTTTTTGTATTTTTTGTAGTAGAGATGGGGTTTTACCGTGTTAGCCAGGATGGTCTCGATCTCCTGACCTCGTGATCTGGCCGCTTCAGCCTCCCAAAGTGCTGGGATTACAGGCGTGAGCCACTGCGCCCGGCCTGCATTGTCATTTATAACCAGAAGCATTTTCACCTGATGGCTTCCAGTTTTCACCTGATCCCTGATTACTCTGTATAGACAAAAGCTGGCCTACAACAATGGAAAGCTGCTTGCAACATTAACTAAAGTGCAGGTGCCCACAGGAGAATACTCCTGTTCTACCCAGACCTCAGCAGTAGAGGCCAACTTACTCCTCTTTTGTCTTTAATGCTGTCATGGCATCATGCATCCGCTTCTACAAAGCCACTGGTAATTTATGCAGTTTCCGTATGTGAGATCTTGAAGGATTTCTAATGTAAACCTGAATATTTCCAGGCTCTGCTACTTAGAAATGTAAATTATTTACTCGTTCGCATTTGATCTGTTGTTATTATATCTTGTTTGTAACAATTGGGATTTCCTGTAAGAGAAGATTATACATCTTTCCTATGAAAATACATTTTAATAAAGCATAAACATTTTCAGTCTCCATTATTCATAGTTGTATAGGGAATACTTAAGATTCTCTTCACCAGAAAGTATCTATACAGAGATGTATGCGTGTATTTTGTTGCCCAGAGGAATAACAAATGCAGGCCTCAGATTTGTATAGACATACAGGTTGCTAGGTCTGAGACTTTAGCCCTCTTCTTCAAATTGTCTCAACCTTCTAGCATTTAGAAACAGTTGTTATGTGTGTGGATCTGAAATAAGGATGAAAAACTTCCTCATGGGGTCAGAAGTATGCTGTTTGCCAATCTGAAAGGCAAAACAACTGGAAGTTACAAACAACTGATTCAGGTGATAAATTGTACAAAAATAAAATCAGGAAAATATTTTAGATTCAAAGAGTTGTAGAGAAGTTGCTGGAGGTTTGGGAGCATGGCCAGGACACCTTATATTAATATTTAAACTGATCTCTGAACATTAAGTCCATAAGAGAGTATATCTTAATAATAATTCAGGCCAGGCACAGTGGCTCACACCTACATTCCCAACATTTTGGGAGGCCGAAGCAGGAGGATTGCTTGAGACCAGGAGTTTGAGAGCAACCTGGGGAACGTAGCGAGATTCCCATCTCTACAAAAATATTACAAATAATATTTCAAAAGTCGAAGTATGTAGAGCAGCTGAGGATTTGAAATAAGCCATTTTGTGATTCTTTTGCCTTCATTCATTCAACTGTTTCTTTCTATGGAGAAAAGACAGGATAAACAAATACTTGGGCATAGGAAAGCCCAGAACAAGCATGCCTAAAAGGAAACCATTATATATGAATGAAAAGTTTGGTATATTGAGCAAGATGTGAAAGTCATGCCATACCCAATCACCCTCAGGTTTTCTTGTTTTCAAAAAGGACTCACGTAACTCAGAAATTTGCTAAGCTCTGACTTTTTTATGTTGCCCAAATTCCTATCTCAGGGGTCTGGGGAGTCACGCCCTACAAACCATAAATTCTCATCAGATGGGTTTTATTGAAATCTTTATATTATGACTTATTTTCCAATCTGACTCTGGCATAACATAACATGACAAAGAAGAAAATCAAAATATTTTACCCCAAAACATGTTTCTTTGTCATAGTTTGAAATGGTCCTGCAAAGCCATCCTTTGTGGGAGCAAATGTGCATCTGTAAAGAATCTCTATTTAAATAGCTAGATCTTTTTCTTTCAGGCCTTCCCAATCCTGAAGAGATTAACTAAAAGTCTAGTACCTTTTAAAGTCTGAATAGGAAACATCTGTCATCTAATGTCTCTAAGGGCAGCCATTATGAGACTTCAAAAGAACCTTGGTTTCCACAATCTTTTATCTTAACTTGAACATTTCCCTTCTCTTAATTCCAGGCCTTTAGACAAACTCAATAAATTGTAAACCAGAAAACGTTTAAATTTACCTACAGCCTGGAAGCTCCTCTGCTTAGAATTGTCTCACCTTTCTGGTCCAAAACAATATATTTCTCAATATATTGATGTCTCATGCTTCCCTAAAACCAAGCTGCATCCCAACCACCTTGGGCACATGTTCTCAGGACCTCCTGAGGGCTGTGTCATCGGCCATGGTTGCTCATATTTGGCTCAGAATAAATCTCTTCAAATATTTTACAGAGTTTGACTCTTTTCGTTGACATACTCATGATTTCAGTTTATTACAAAGTGTTACCTAATAAAATCAACAAAGGTAAAAAGTGCATGGGGCACAGTCCAGTAGAGACTACATTCAAGCTTCCAGTTGTATACTCCCAATGGACTCCTACCAACAGCACTTAATTTTCTCAGCAATAATGAGGGACAACAGGTATAGAGTATGGCCAGCCAGAGAAGCCCACCCAAGCCTACATGTCCATGGTTTTTATTGGGAGTCAGTCTGGTAGGCATGGAGCATCTGCATGGCTGACTACTTAGTTACTTAGTCTCCAGCCCCTCCAGGTGTGCAACTGATACAGCATGGTCCACGGCAGCCACCACAAATCACATTGTTAGCATAGACTATCTGGCATATCTCAAGGCTTTAGGTATATAAAGACACTCTCATCAGGCAAAATATTCCAAAGTCTTACTGGTTATCTCCAAGGAGGTATCAAGAGTCAGTTCTCTCTTTAGAATGAATGGGGTTTCAACACCCCAGATCACTTAGTTCATCCTTCACAGCACAGGGACTAAACCATGGTGGGCTCCATGGGAAGCCTTGAATGCCAGGACAAAAGTAGACAGCTTAATCTAGTAGCAGAGTTTACAATGGGCTAGACAAGAAAAGAGTAGAAACCAGAGAATCAATTCCAAACTTTTTGTACTCATCCAAGTAAGATACTGAGGTCCTGAGAAGGCATAATAAATGAGGACAAAGGAACATTTTTGAGCAGAGGAATTATATGAAGAGATTTATTTAAAGTTCAATCAGGCAGCAATGTGCAGTATTGCACTAAACCTTCAAGAACAGGAAAGCCTGAATCCCAACATTAAAACTTACCAGCCAAGAAAACACCTTGAACTCCCTAGATAGCTCTTTGTCCATGTGGATAGATGATCCCTACATGTGGTGGGAGGCTTTCACAGTTAATCTCTTGAAATGATTTCCAACTTGGTGTGTCTAAAACTATACTCTACTCAAAACAAATGTTGAGGTAAGATACTAACATAAAGCAATAATTAAATATTTTTCCAGATTTTCTTTTTTTTTTTCTTTCCATTTGGCGTTTCTCCCCATTCCAGCAGTCAGGCTTTCTGTGTTCAAGGATTTAGAAAATGAATGTGACGTCTCACACGGAGAGAGAGTCTCTCCCTTGATTTTTGTGCATTAGAGGTTCAGGCACTTGGGAAAATACAAAGGGTATACAGCTTAGACAACAAACTGACAAAAATATCATAAAAACAACTTGGTCTGCCCTAGCTTTCACCCTCAAGGGTATGCCATTGAAAGGGAAGGCAGAGACTAAAGGACAGCCACAGAGGTGTTTTTATGTGTGTCACAGGGACAAGCCCAGAATGAACTCTGGGAGGCAGCATGTGCTATGGAGGGGCATTGGGCCCTCCTCCTGGGTGCATCCTCAGGAATGAGGCAGAACTCCAGAGGAGAAATCACTCCATCATACATAGATGCGTACAGATAGAAAGGGCCTTAGAGAACCTCACAGGCCCTTAAGGTATAGGAGAATGACATGCATGCCCCCAAGAATGACTGGAATACGGCAAAGCTAATATGGAAACAAGTGATGCCTCCAGGGACTCCTGTGTACACTGACAAAGCAACGGATGGGACAATAGGGGTCTCAGAGGATGCTAGCATGATTACTGACAAAGAGGACCCAATGGGTTCCATCCTAATATGTTGTTAAAAAATAAACTTCCTGGCCAGGCGCGGTGGCTCATGCCTGTAATCCCAGCACTTTGGGAGGCTGAGGTGGGCGGATCACGAGGTCAGGAGATAGAGACCATCCTGGCTAACACGGTGAAACCCCGTCTCTACTAAAAAATACACAAAATTAGCCGGGCGTGGTGGTGGGCGCCTGTGGTCCCAGCTACTCGGGAGGCTGCGGCAGGAAAACGGTGTGAACCTGGGAGGCGGAGCTTGCAGTGAGCTGAGATCGCGCCACTGCACTCTGGCTTGGGCAGCAGAGCGAGACTCCGTCTCAAAAATAAATAAATAAATAAATAAATAAATAAATAAATAAATAAATAATAAATAAACTTCCTGAAATGTAATGAGATTCGGGGAAAATGTTAGAGTGTGATCCACAGATTGACTGCAATTAGTTTTTCATCAGCCCCTAACGGAAATAAGAAATTTTCAAGTTATAGAAAAAAATTAAGTTGTATTTTTCACACTTTCTGGATCCAGAGATATATCCACGATGTGATTTCCTTCCATGCTGTCCAATGTGTCTCAGCTAGTTTGAAGTATGCTCCCCTAGCACCCTGGCCCCACCTGCCTTCCTCACATTGTATTTAATAGTTGTTTGTGCCTCTGTCTCACTGAGGTGAACACCTTGAGAAAAGAAATTAAATCCTTTACATCTTTAGATCTTTCCTCATGCCTAGCACTGTGATTAGGACACCAAAATGCCTTAGTAAATTTGGCAAATGGGAGAATATTATCTTAAAAAATGACAAATATAAGAAACTGAGGATGATAAAGACAAACCACAATGCTTCCCACTATGCAAAGTTATCCTATCAGGTTTCTGTCAAATTGCCAGTCAGAATGTTTTATGCAATTTGACAGATCTTTTCAGTGACTCTATGAATCTATGAGCTGTTCTAGATTTGTGTGGACACAGTCAGAGGACCAGCCATAAAGTGAGCCTGACAAAGAAGGAATTTTTACTTTTATGATGTGGGAAATACATGCTGGGAATAAAAGGCCCTATTTCCACTAGAGTATATGGAAAATATCCTTTGGGTTGCCAGGAGTCTCACTTCTACAGTGAGATATTTCCATTTTTTTCTCCCTTATATATTTGCCTCTCATAGTTTTCCAGTATAAACAATATCAAACACACATGCACGTTTCATCGCAGCTCTGTATTCAGATAGGAGATTTACCAAATGTATGTTAATCAAAGAAACACAGAAAAAGCCAAAGAAAGGAAATAAATGACCCAAACCTATAAAAACAAAGCAATGTCCAACCTTCTTTTGAGGAGCAATTGTTTTCTGCAAAAGGAAATGATGCAGTAATCCTTTGCCATTTTCCAGATTGCTAAAAGGCAAATGTATCCTTCCAAAGTTAAATATTGCCTTTTTTTCCCCTTTGAACCTATATTTAACTTTAATTTCTGATCAAACTAACTGCCTGTGGAATGACAGAAATTCATTATCCTGTAAAAAGCATTTATCTTGGTGTCAGGTACCTAGGGGAGGAAAAAGAACAGTTGCATGGAAACGAGAGGCTCAGGTTCAGGGTGACTTGTGCACGTCTCACGGGCTTGTGACTTATGAATATATGCAAAATGCCTCCATAATTTGTTAGATATATATGTAGCTGGAAAAATTAAATACTGCCACAGAGTGTTATTTAAGGAGTGATTGAATCCGTTCTGATAGAGTTAGAATTGATATGTGCACTTCGCAGAATTTTAAACAAATCTTGAATCAGGCATTTCAATCTTCTCATGACACAGTTCAAGCCCATCCCAAAGCTGTCCTTCCAGGCCTGCACGCAGAGGTCGAGACCTGACTTCTCTTATCATTTCCAAAATCCTGGCCTCAGGCTCAGAATCCTGTTATCAGAAATGATTTCTTCGGACCAAGAAAAGAAGGTGCAGTCATAAGCACATCACAATGACATTATAGTGTTGAAAGTGACATGAAAGATAAGTTAGTTCAACCTCCTATCTGAACTAAAAACCTTTCTATATTGTTACTTCCAAGTAGCCAAGCAATTTCTGTGCTGCTGGATCACCGGAGCTCTCAGTTGAACAAGTAGCCCATTCAATCTCTTAATAGGGGCCATTTTTTTTTCTAACATGTAAGTATGACATAAAAATCCACTCCACAGATTGTAATGTTTGGAGAAATCACTTTCCAAGGATGTTATAACAACAAGAACATTAGTATTTATTTATTGCTTTCAAAGTGCCTGGCTAAATGCTTCATATTTTACATACATCCTTGAATAACTGTCAAAAATGCCATGAACAGAAGTGGATCCAGGTTTGTGTCATCTGAAGCATATTCTCTTTAAGAAAGAGAATGAAAAATAACAAATCCAATATTAGGTGCAAAGTAAATGTGTATTTCAAATGGGAAAATAAATCTCGAAAAGGTACCAATTTTGAAAAATTGATATCAAATACATGACAAAAATCTAGAAAACATGCTGTTTTGGTTCTTTCTAAGGCTGCTATGAAGAAATACCTGAGACTGGGTAATTTATAAAGAAAAAAGGTTTAATTGACTCACAGTTCTGCATAGCTGGGGAGGCCTCAGGAAACTTACAATCATGGCAGAAGGCACCTCTTCACAGGGTGGCAGGAGAGAGAATGAGAGCCGAGCGAAGGGGGATGCCCCTTATAAAACCATTAGATATCTTGAGAACTTACTCAGTATCACAAGAATAGCATGGGGGAAACTGCCGCCCATGACTCAATTATTTCCACCTGGTCCTGCCCTTGACATGTGGGAATTATTACAATTGAAGGTGAGATTTGGGTGGGGACACAGAACGAAACCATATCACATATCAAAAGTTTTTCTTAAGTGCTTTATCACACATCTCTATAGTACTTTTATCTTTTTTTTCAACTGCATGCTCTTAGATCACCTGTTAAAGTGACAGTGATTTTGAAATATTAATAAGATTTCTCACTGCTAAGATAGAGGCTTTCCTCTGGTAAGGCTGATTAGAATTTGTTTTTATTATTTATAATTTACAAAAACTTTCTCATAACTCTACAATCCATTAAAGCCAACATCATAGACAATTGTAGAATTTTAGCATTTATATTTGTAGAAACTTGTAGAATTCACATGTGATAAAACCAGGATCAAGTTATTACCTTTAATATTTCAGCAGCTGTAAGATTCCAGTCTTTTCTATTCTCTGAAAAAGTTGGTGTAAGATTGATGTTATTTCCTCCCTAAATGTATGGTAAATTTCACCAGAAAAATTACATTGTACCTGGAATGTTTTGTGGAACATATTTTAACTATGAATTCAAGTTCTTTAATCCTTATTAGACTATTCAAATTATGTGTTTCTTCTTTCATCAATTTAATAGGGTTAAGTTTTCCTAGTAATTCACCCATTTTATCTACACATTCAAAAATTTTGGCACAACTTATTATAAGCTCTCATGATCTTATGTCTATAGAAATGGCTAATTCCCGATATTGGTTATTTGGGCCTTTTCTCTCTTTATTGATAATTCTTGCCAAGATTTTATCAAATTTATTCATCCTTTCAAGAATCAAGCTTTGGCTTATTGATCCTCTTCATTATGTTTGTTTTCTATTTACATTAATTATGTTTATATTTATGTGAATATTTTCTCTTATTTTCATTTTTTGCCTTTCTTCTACTTAATGATTAGTTTATGCTTCTTAAAGCATTTTCTCGAGATGATATCTTGTTTTTAATTATCCCACATTATTTGCTATTGGTGTTATTTCAGTTAGAGCTTATTTAGTTTTAACCTCATATTTTTGAGTAAGTTCTGGCTTCTGATATTCTAGACCTTTTTCCTGAAGTATATTCTTCAGCAGTTTGTTTCAGTGAAGTTCACTGAGTGGATTATTTTCTCAATCAGTTGTGTCTGAGAAATATCTTTATTTCACTCTATTTCTTTGGTCATGCACTGAATCCAGATTGACAGTTACTCAATCTCTATGAAGATAATATTCCATGATTGTCAGGCATCTATTTTGCTCCTGGAAATCTGTTCTCAGCTTAATTGTCAATCCTTTGTTATTTAATTGCCTTTCTTCTTTGATTGCTGAAATGGTAATCTCTTTGTTTTCATGTTCTATAGTGTCACTACCTGGTTTTTTATATCCCTTCAGGACTTTGTATGCTTCTTTAACCTAAGGACTGATATTTCTGTTATTTATACTGGAAAGCTCTTAGCTAAAATTGTTCTGAATATTGTTTCTTCCCCCACGTTTTCTAGTCTCCTCTTCAAGGATTCTTATTAGATTTACATACGCTTAATCATCCTGCCCTCTCTTTCTCTAACACCTACATCAAATCTACGGGCAAATGCTGGCTATACCTTAAAAATATACACAGAGCCTGGTTATTTCTCTCTACTTCCACTGCTACACCCTGGTTCAAACCATCATCATTTAGTTCCTAAGAATTTGTAGTAGGCTCCTCATTGATTTATTTTGACATTTTTCTTCCTACAGTTTATTCTCCAAGCAGTGGCCACGATAATCCTGGTAAAGATACTTTTCAGCTCGTGTAATGCCTACTCAAAACCCTCCAATAGCTTCCCATTTCACTTCAAGTAAAACTGAAGGTCCATTCAGTCTCAGAGGCCCTAAAACACCTCCATGCCCCACTGTCACTCTCAGCTACTTCTATGACTTTTTATTCCACTGCTCTGCCCCTCAGTCCACTCAGAGCCCACAGACTTACTTGTTGTTCCATGAACACACCAACTACTCTGCTCCCATATACTTCCCTTTGGCCTACAAATCTCTTTCTTTCCCAAGATCTCTGCACCACTCACTTGCCCTCTTCTCAGGGGTTTGCTTCAATATCAAACCTTTCCCCCGGTTATATTTCCCAGTACACTTAAAAAATGCTGCACACATCACAGGTACTCAATTAATATTTTATAGATAATAAAATGTGTATATTTATTTTTATTTCATAAAGTTTTGTCATTTTTTACCCTGAGATTTTTAAATAGTAAGTTTTATTATGATTTATATTTTTTGTATCTTCAGAATTATTTTAAACATAAGTTTTTAGAGCCCTTTCTATTGTTTTATTATCTGAAATTCTTCGATTGCTAATCCTCCAGTTTGTGGTGTAGTATTTGATTAGCAATATTTATTGTGAGCCTATTTTCACTGTGGGGTGTTTCACTGTGTAGTCCCTGTGTTCCCTGTCCTGGGAGCATGCCTACCATGGATTTTGTGTTTGCTTCTGCAAGGAGCCCTTAGGTACTCTCTTGCTCAGTACCAGATTTACCTTAATGTCACCTCCTGTCATTCCTGCACCACACCAGTTTCTCATGGGCAACTACTGTCTTTTTCTTGTTCAGAGCCAAAAACTCACACTCTCTACAGCTTTACTTTGACTGATGGGAAGAGATTTTCCCCTCATTTGTTTTCATAAAATGGTAGCCTTTCCAGGGCTTCAGTTATGTTCTGTGCAACACTCCCACAGAGTCACCACACTTCCAACTTTAGCACTTGTTTGGTTTTAAATTTTCTCTGTGTTTCCAATTTGTGAAAATTTATCCTTGTTTTTCATTTTAAGCTTACATGCTTTGCTTTTTGGTCATGTTTTAATCAGCATTTATAAATATTTGTAGTAGGTGGCATCTCTGTTAGCTCAATCCACTATTTAGAATTAAAAGACACCTGCTAAAATTTTTTATTAATTAAAAATGTGTAGAAATAAATTCTAAAATAATTGTAAAACTCAACCTTATTATATTATATTCAATATCAATTAACATATAGGCCTGGAAGTAAACCACCTGGTATCAAGTCCTAGTTCTTCTACTGTCTACTTGAGTAAATTACTTAACTGTCTGTGCCTCCATTTCATCAATGTAAAATGGGGATAATATTAGCACCTGAATTTTAGTTTCTTTAACCCCTTAATGATTTTAATACTCCTAGAGAACTCAGAATAGCATGAGGTGCATACATTAAGTGCTTGAAAAGATTTAACTAATATAATCCTCTTCATTATTATTGTATTAAGGTCTGCACATGAATTCCATCCCATATATTTTGGTTAACCATTTATAGTCAGATGTCATATTCTTTTTGCATTCCCAGAGCCTACAATAATTTCTGGCAAATAATTGGTATTTCTAAAATATTTGTTAACTGAGAGTTATTTTAAAAAGCATTTCAGTCTATTAAGTTTTGAAATGCATGCTAGAAAGACCCAAAACTTTTACATCTTAGATTGATTACAAATACACACACACACACACACACACACACACAAATATATACATATATGTATGTATATATTCAGGAATTTTAGCAGTTGCTCAATTCATACTTCTCCAGTTCCTAGGCTTAATTATATTAAAATAATAAAACCTTCCTCAAGAAATTACTCAGAGAAATTCTATACCCAACCTGATGAAAAATCTAATTTAAAAATTCAATAACAGGGTTATTATGGTTACAAAGAACTGGTGGTAAGCATTTAAAGCAATTAAATAAAACAAGAATATACATTTGATATTAATATTGTCACAAAAAATAATACAGATGACAACACTGAAATATGCATCTAATATAAATAATATGTTAGTAATACTCATTCTACCTAAAATCACCTATTACTAGTAATAAAAATTAGGATGTTGGCAGGGGAATATTGACAAAAACAGAACATGTTAACTTTGTCAATTTTTCTAGAGAAAAGAATCAACATTCTTCAAATTATTCTGACTATAACTCATAATAAAAAACCCTTTTTAATTTTGTATTACTATCCAGCACAAACATCTTTTTTATCAAACATCTTATTTTGTATTCATACACACACACACACACACACACACACATATATGTGTGTATATATATATACACACACATACTTGATTGTTAGGTAAAATGAGTTTTTAATGTGCACCACAGCTAAAAAGGGCTTGAGACACACTGTTCTAAGTTGGTTTTATGACCTACTATTGTATTGTAGCCCACCATTTTAAAAATTAGTTAATTTGTCTTTGCGTTTTCTTAATCTTGACAAATAGATTAGCTTAAATATTATTTTACGAACACATCTTCAAAGTATAGTTTTAATAAGGATGTGTAGAATCCACAGTCCAAAAACACACTTCAGTAAAAGAAATGAATCAACAAGAAAGCACACAAAAAACAGAATAAACAAAAATGTAAAAATAAAATAAAACGCCTGGACGCGGTGGCTCACGCCTGTAATCCCAGCACTTTGGGAGGCCGAGGCGGGCGGGTCACGAGGTCAGGAGATCAAGACCATCCTGGCTAACATGGTGAAACCCCGTCTCTACTAAAAATACAAAAAATTAGCCGGGCGTGGGGGCGGGCACCTATAGTCCCAGCTACTTGGGAGGCTGAGGCAGGAGAATGGCGTGAACCCGGGAGGCGGAGCTTGCAGTGAGCCGAGATCGCACTACTGCACTACATCCTGGGTGACAGAGCGAGACTCAGTCTCAAAAAAAAATAAAAATATAAAAGTAAAATAAAATAAAACACATTTGCTCAAAATAGATAAAAAAAAGTTAAACACCCTAATTATAAGTTGAATAATCTGAATGCAGTTTTCAAACAACATGATCATATGCAATTAGCAACAATAAAAAATTAATACAATTTTATAATTATAAGCTTTGATCAAAACAATTAGAAAAACAGACAGAAAAAAAATGGTTTAATATATCAAAATCAGCTCTAGTAGAATTCTAGAAAATGTTTAGTTAGAAAGACAAAATATATTTTGTATAAGAAAGCAGTACAAATGAGAAAATTTTTACATGTATGATTAATAACAGTATTTTATACTTTCATATTTGTGTATGAGAAGATTTTATAAATCAATATTCTATCAGTTTTCTATTGGTACATAAATTATTTCAAAACTTAGCAGCATTCAAAATTAAGCAACAAGCATTTGTTATCTTTATGTTTTTGTGGTTCAGCAATTCAGGAGCAGCTTAGTTGGGTGGCCCTGACAGGGGCATCTCATGAGGTTACAGTCAAGATATTGGCTGTGGCTGCAGTCATTTTAAGCCTTGACTCAGGCTGTAGGATTCACATCCAAGAGGGCTCATTCACATGATATTGACAGGAAGCCCTCCTTAGGGCTCCTAGAGTGTCCTCACAACGTGGCAGCTAACTTTCCATAAAGAGAGTGATCTAAGAGAGTCCACAAAGCACAAAATTGTGTTTTATGACCTAGGCTTGAAGGTCATATACCATCACTTCAGTTATATTCTACCATTCACACAGGAAAACATGAAAACAATGTAGAAGAGGATTACATAAGTGTATTAATACTTGGAAGCTGAATCACTAGCACTTAACTTAGAGCAACTACAACTTAAAAAAAATTGCCCAAAATGCACAAAGACTGTGAATGTCAAATCACCAAGTAAGACATACAAAAATTAAATGAACATGAAAAAACTGACTCCTAATTCTAAAAGCAAATAATATTTAATATGTATTAAGTTCATGCATAAGTAATTGTAGTTTTTGCCATTACTTTTAATCACTTTAATGGCAAAACCATAATTACTTATTCACCAATCTAATAAGCCTGAAAAGTCAAGTGTAGATGAGAATTAAGAGCTATAGAACCCTTACATTGCTGGTGGAGTACAAATAATTTCAGCCACAGTGGAATTCAACATTATCTACCAAAGGTAAAGTTGTGAATATCCTGAGATCTAGCAATACTGCTCCAAACAACTTTTTGCTCTACTCTAGGGAACTTCCTTCACATGTGTACCAGAGAAAATTCAAAAATGTTCTTAGCAACATCATCTGTAATAGCAGAAAAAAAATACTAGAAATAAGGTAATTGGTGTTTGTTATCTCTGAGTTTTGAATTGTGATAAAATTTTAAAGTTTCTTTTTTTCTATTTCTGTATTTCCTAAATTTACCATTACAAATAATGTCAAAAACAAAAATTCCATGGCTAAGACAATAATATCTTAACAATAAGGCGAGTGAAAGGGAGAGAGAGCTAGAAACAAGGGCTTGATATAAGCACTTTCAGATACAATGTGAAGAATATTCCCCTTTAGCTTCCTGATCACATATTGAAATGTAAGAATGAAGGACCATGTTTAAACCCAAACTAATAGTGCTCAAATGACTACAGTGACCTCATTTAAATGTTAGTGCTGGGTATAAAAGGGCAAAATATAAATGCAGCTTTGTGATGACCCTGGACCTAATGATGAGATTGGTGCTAAATAACTAAACCTTTCCCAGAAGGTATAATATTCACATACTCTACAGTTCTCAGGAGCTACTTCGACCCAGACATCCGAGAATCTAGAATACATAGAGCTATTATTCTAACAATAATTCTCAAACACCTCAATGGCTTATAAAGTGTGGTACCTTAAGGCAACACACATCTGTTGCTGCCATATTAAGTGGCTGGATGGGAAACGGTGAGGTGAATCAAAGTTTACAGTATTCTTCCTGCCTTCTCGGCAACCTTATTTCCCAGGCTTTCTCCCACACCCTATGCCCAATCTCTCTTTTCTCTTGCCAGGGGCCTAAGGAGATTAAACCAGTACAGTCTTTCTTGCCTGATCACACCTGATGCTTTTGACATGTGGACCCGGCAACTCACGGGCCAACATCAGACCTTGCTTTCAGAGCATGTCAGCCTGTCTTCCTCTCTTGATCACTGCAGCCCACTTCCAAGACAGGAAGTACTTCTCCTTCTTGGGTGATGATGGACCTTCATGCAGTGAACCTTGAGATTCACTCTCCTACAACGTTTTTACTGATGTGATTATTGTTTTTGAGACATTATTCAAAATAAATCAGATTGTAATTTAACAGAGGATATAGATAAGCAAGCCCACAATTATAGTATATTGTGATGATTACTTAATAGCTAACACTTTCAGAGCATACGTTCTGGCACTGTTGTAATGGGCTTTAAATATATTCATTCAGCTAAGCTTACAAAAATCTCCCATTTTATAGGTAAGAAAACTGAGGCATGGAGAGATCTAACTTCTGAGTCTCAGCTCTTGAATTCTATCCTATATTGCTAGGAGTGCGATGGAAGCACAGAGGAGGTGCACAAACTCATTCCTGGGTTTCCTTTAGAAACTGGGAAGAAAATACAAGCAACAGGATTTGAAGAGCATCTGTCACTCCATAACCTCTTCCACACCTTTCTCTAGCTGTGCCCCAACTGGAGTGCCTTCCTCCCTTTTCTGTCTGCCTGAACCAACTCATTTTTATGGATTACTTTAAATGCATTTTTATGGATTAGTTTTAAATCCCAACAGTCTCGTTTTGGAACTGATTGCTTACTATCACACACAACCATTGCATTTTAGGTAAGCTGATATTTTGCCCATATAACTGTGATATGCATGCTAATTTAGAGTTATTTATAGATATGCCTATCTTTCTTACTGAATTTTAATCTCCTTATATAAATGTCTCTCTGTGTGTTTGTGTGTGTGTATTTCTTTATTTATTATTTTACCCTAGGACCTCTCACAGTTTCAAGATCTCATAGCTAGAAGATGGCAGAGTGACATGATGCCTGCATTGAAGTGCTCCTCCAGGTTTATGACTACTCCTGACCCATAGAATACTCAATGTATAGGCCTTTAGTAAATATTTTCATTAACAGCAGAAAACCACCATTTACAGTACATTTCATTTCCCATTCTTGTCACAGGAGACCTGCTTTACTAAGCTCTTTCACATCCATCACCACTCAGAATAAAATAGTATAAAGAATTGTGACAACATTAGAAGAGAGAAAAATAAAAGCAGAGTTGATAAGAAAAACACTTCAAGACACCTCTGGGTACAACAGAATTGGAAAATAAACTTAGACCTTACCATGTATGATTCATCTCCAACAGAGTATGATTAAACATATTCAACTGACAAGAAAAGTATTTAAAAGTAATAAACCCCCCCTTTTTTAACAGCTGTAAGGGTTTCTAGAACATATTATCTTTTCTTTTGGGTATTTTAAGAAATGTTTCTTTTCAGGTCAGAAAAACCTGATTACTTAGATCATGACCTTAGCTATACAAAGAGAAATAGGGATTTTTGATTAAATGCTAAATCCAGAATAGAAGAATTGAAAAGATTTGACTTTATCAGTGCTCATGAGAAAGGTTTTATTTTTGTCTGCCATCTTTTTTTGGGATCCCTCTTCATCATATCACACACACCAGCGCTTTACTTCCTTTCAGTGCTTTGAGGTTAAGAGTTTACCTTTGGGACTTTCTGAATGCAATATACAAATAGATTCTCACCTTAACCACCTGTGGTAGCTGTTTCCAAGATGATCTCCAATGATTCCTGCCTCATAATATTTATGCTCTTTCTGTAGCCACTCTCCTCCACATTGAATATGGCTAATATGTAGGCAATAGCATATCATGGAAATGGTAGAGGGTGACTTCAAAGACTTGGTCATAAAAGATCTTGTGACTAACATCTTGCTTTTGTTTTTATAACTTACCCTGGCAGAAAGCAGCTGCCATGTTGTGAGGACACTCAAGCAACTCTATGGACAGGTGCATGTGGCAAGAACCTGAGGCCTCCTGCCAACAGCCAGCAGGGAACTAAGGCCTCATGCCAATAGCTATGTGAATACACCATCTTGGAAGTGGATCTCCCAGCCCAAGTCAAGTCTTCAGATGCCTGCAAACCTGGCCAACTTCTTAAGTGCAACCTCATTAAAGACCCACCCAGAACCACCTATATCTGCTCCTTTTTGACCTACAGAAACTGTACAATAATTAGTGTTTATTGTTTTGAGTCACTAAATTTTGAGGTAATTTGTTATACAGTAGTAGATAGCTAATAGAAAATTTACTATTGATGATTAACTTTGCCAATGCCTTTCTACCCATTATCACATTTTGTCCTCTTAACTAGTCTTGATGATGATACTATTACAGTAAATTGAGGCTAAGAGTAGTCACACATGTATGAAGTGGCTGGGTTGGATTTGAACCCAAGACAGTCTGCTCCCAAAATCCAGGTTCTTAATCATTATGCTGAATCATATAACGCCCTATTTTTGTTAAAACACCAAAGTAACTCTGCCAGAACAGATGCTTATCAGTCCAGTAATTAATCTACAAGGGTTTCCTAGGCAAGGAAATTAAAACTGTTTTTAGAGTATGCATTATTTCAAAAGATTGTGCTGGCTTTCTATAGCTTATTAACTACTGAGAAAAAAATAAGTAATAAGTACTTAACATAGCCAACATTAAATTCATATGGTTGGTATTATGTGGTGGGTTACTGAATAACCTTCACTCTCCATAGTCACTATGGGGCTTTTATTTAAGGAAGTCATAATTATAAGACTGTACATTCAGTCTACTGTTTAGTAGACTAAACCCAGGAGTTGAGATTCAGCTGCCCATAAGAGGGTTCTTTTCACCACAATACTTTCCCTTATTAAACCCAAAGCAACACCAACTGACAATCGTCATAAGCAGTGTGTAGTCATTCAGATGCGAGAGCTGATTATCTAGCAGGATAGTGAGACTTCCAAAAAAGATATTCAGGTTTTTCTTTTCTAGGTCACTACCATCTGTCCACAGGGTTGTGAAATTCCAGAAAAGGCAGACTGATAGGGGAATAACTTGTAGAATGGCACGTTCTATGAGACAAAGTTGTTTTAAAATAATAATAACAGTGAGCAACAACAGTCCTTTTAAATTTATAAATCTTTTTACATATATTTGCTTTCAGGATCCTTAGTATCCTATAAGAAAAGATGACAATGATGATGACAGTGTCAACTATTAGTGTCCCTATTTTACAGATGAAGACTTCGAGGCTCAGGGAAATCAAATAATTCATTCAAAATCATTGAGCTAGGAATAGGACTGGAATTAAATCCCAGGCTTCTGATTTCATCCTGAATGACTTTCCTAAAACCTGAATTTCTAAATCTATTTTGTGCTGCTATAACAAAATACTGAAGACTAGGTAATTTATAAAGAACAAATCCTTATTTCTTGCAGTTCTGGAGGATGGAAGTCTGTGATCAAGAGGCCAACATCCAGTGAGAGCCTTCTTGCTGCATCATCACATGGCAGAAGACAGAAGGGTAAGAGAGAGCAAGAGACAGCAGGAGGGAAGAGGGCTGAATATATCCTTTTATTAGACACCCACTCCCATAATAACTAACCCAGTCTTGAGATATGACATTAATCCATTAAGAGGACCTAATCACCTCTTACATGTCCCAGCTGTCAACACTGTTGCATTGGGAATTAAGTTTCCCACATTAACTCTGGGAGATACATTTAAACCATAGTACTGACTGATGTGTCAATTATCTTTGTACACTTCACTGAAGGTGGCATGGTGCTTTGCCTACAGTAGACCCTCAATATGTTTTAGTTCTACTGAAACTGAGGTGGAGCTTACATTGCAGTGAAGGAGGAAGTGGAAAATGGATTTTTAGGGAGCCAGTTCTATTGGTTGCTTTACTTCCCTTCTTTGTATGCATATTGAGCAAAGATGCTAAAGATGAGAGGCAAATGAATTTTGATGGAGCTAGATTTCAGGATGATATCCCAAAATGAGACACATTTTCTAATCTGCCTTATTTCATTCTTCCTCCTTACAAATCATGTGACTGATTCATGGGGAATCTTGTTCATTCACTGGATAGTTCGCTATAGGCATGAAGGTCACCTTGATACCCGCTTCCTCCCTCCCCTGTCTGTATATTATCATTTGAATAATCAGAATGAAAGGTGGGCTTTAGAAGCTTGGATTTCCCAAGAAATCTCTAGCTGGGCCGGTCCTTTCTGACCACTCTCATTTCAGGTCAGCACAGCTTTGGTAATACATGGCTCACAAAAAAGGTTGCTTTCATTCAATTCAGCTGTGTCCAGGCCCATTAATTAAAACCAGATTCCCAGATAATCTCATGATGCTTATGTGAAGACTAAGTCAGAATTCTATTTCAACAGGCAAATGCTAATTTAAATAAAGATGTGAGCCTTTATTTTTCTCTCCTCCTTCCTCCCTCTCCTTTTTCCTCTTTTACTCTCTCTCCCAGAAGTAACGAAGTCATTCTTAAATGTCTCTCTGCTCACAAGAACACCATTTCATTCAAAGTGCTTGCTCCGTATGTCTCTTGTCAAAATTTGTTTGCCATGATTAAAGGCTTTAGGAAGAGTTAATAAACACTTTAGCTGTGTTCTCATCATAGAAAAGTAATATCTGAGCCAAAGTGCAGTGGTCGTCTCATTCCTTTAGCAAGAGGTTTTTGTTGTTGTTGTTGTTGTTGTTATTTGTGTGTGTGCATGTGTCTTTCCAAATGTACCAAAATGTGCATCCATTTCATTAATGAGGTTACTAATGGAGAGAACATTTACCTTTTTTATTCTTTCTTACTTTGGAAAGCATTATTCTAGTACCATGCTTTTTCCACAGGAGGAAAATAATTGCATTGTGAAAGAGATCTTTGATTTACATTACTTCGTGTGGATGGAAACATAGGCCGATAAAGGAAAAAAAAATCTACTCACATTTCCATGAAAATATAAGCCTAGAAACCTGGACAAGTTACTAAGCTTGAGGATCATTCTGATTGATTAGTGAGCTTGAGTTTTCTATCTTTTTTTTTTAATTACTCCTTAAAGTTGGCCTATTCATCTAGAAACCAAATTGTGTCTTTTCTCTAAGGGATTTAGAGTTTTGGAACTATATGTTCAAACTGTTAATATCCAAAGAACTAGTGGTGAACTACACAACAAGTAGTTCTGATATAAATTCTACTTCCCAGGTAAAAATTTAGTGTTCAGCTATTAAATACAATGGATGTGGTTTCTGAGTGTGTGTCTAAAATGATTTAAATGCCTCATAAGTCTGAACATACATGAATACACTTAACATACTGCAAGCACATTCATTAATTGCAGTAACCTTTAAACTTCTATTGTTAACTAGAACCCCATTTTGAAATTTGGACTGAATTTGTCATAGATTATAGTCATTACACTGAGATGTGATATGCTGAAACTCCATAGCACACATAACCCATTATACAGTCCTAATTTTCTCAAAGAAGACCAATATCTGTTAGAATTTTCATATATTTTTAAACAGCCATTATAAAAGCAGAGGATTATACTAACTTTAACCAATGTTATTTTTTAACTACAGAACTAAAAACAGGACTCTACCAAATGGGCTCTGTTTGTATACTAGCCTACATTCTGTGATAATGTATATGAGAGTCATATTATTGTCTCCAAAGTAACTAACATTTGTAATTACAGTCAAATGATGATATAGCTGTAGAATATTTACTCATAAAAATACTGTTTTCTGAAAATCCATTGTGTGTCAACAAATGGGCACTTAAAGAAATTCTTACAGAATTAGAATTGATCATGAGAGATCAGTAGAAAATGAGACTAGAATGTATGTCAGAGGTCTAATGAAGCTGGCTTTGTGGCTTCACTATTCTCATCAAAAGGAATAAAATAAAAACTCACAAAGATAACTTATCCAGGTGTTTGAAACAATATTTCAAAAGATTAAGATTCACTCATTTGTAATAGTTTACTTGAGTATATTGATTTTACATCAATACAATAATTTCATTAAAATTATCTTTTAAAGTCCTGGTACCCTGTTTTTTAAAGGGGATAAGACAGTTTTATAACTTTAATAAATTGAATATCACTGAAACATTCTGGGGGGAGGGGATGTTGTTTGCTCAGTGAGTGAATATTTGAGCTTTGGAGTTAGTGAGACCTTGGTTGCACTTGGATTCTTCAATACACAAGGTGATAAACTTGGAGCAAGTTGCTTACTCTTTCTAAACCTTTATTTCTTTATGCATGAAATGAGGGTACCACAAACTTCAAGAAGTTACTAAGGGGGTTAAATAGAGTGTGGTATGCAAAGGCTTTAAGTAGAATTATTGACATATACTAAAATACAAAATAGTAATAATTATGATGGTGCTGATTCTACCTACCAATTTATAGGCAGCCCAGTCATTAAGAAATATTTAAATATGGGCATTTTAATTTTGTTTCATAAATAACATTAATTCAGGCATCACAAAATCCATCACAGAACTCTGAAAAGGCAATGTCTGGTTCACTAAGGAGTTATCCAAAATATAAAACAAAGAGATTCCATTCTTAGAGGAGGTTATCAGACACACACACACACACACACACACACATACACACACACACACACTCACACTCATACACACATGTTCTTATATCATATTAGGATATGTCCTAATATCCTATAAATGCACAACTATCCCCAAAAGAAAATCTTAAGAGCTTATACACAGAATTTGGTGAGGGCACTAAAAATTGTAGATTCTCATCTGCTAATTCATGTTTCTTACTTGCTCAAAATGTAGGTTGGCTATCATATCCCAACCAACATTGATTTCTCCTCTTTCCTAAAGTTCACTTATAATTTAAAAGGTAGTTTGGGGTTATTTTCTATTACTCTTAAATGTGATAGACTTCAGAGTCAGCTCTGAATTCCAGTTTTGGCTCTCATACTATCTTGATTTGTGACTTGGGGCACTGTTTTTTCATTCATAAAATGGTACTATTATTTCAAGGGTTATTATGAGAGTTAAATAAGAAGCTCAATTTAAAATGTGCCCCAGTTGCTTGCACAGTAAATTACAGCCTCATTTTCTTTTAATATCTGCAATGGCTTCATGGTGTGCCAGGTTGACCAAGCTAACCTACATCTCCCAGAATCCCCCTTCTGGCATGTTTCAAGATAGGCAAGCTATGAAAGATATTTGTTTTTCTTTTGGGAGACGGAGGATGGAGAGGAAATAGCAGCCAGTTTGTAATAAGCAGGTACCTTATCCCGCTATTTAATCAAACTCTAGATGCTACTGTGAAGGTATTTTAGTGATGTAATTAAAGTCTCTAATCAGTAGCCTTTAAATTAAGTGGATGATCCTCAGCAGAGCTGACAATTTATTGGAAGCCTTTTAAAGGACAAGTTAGTCTTTAAGAGAGAGACTCCACCTATGGATAACAAGCTCCAGCTTGTGTCTATGGGGTCTCTGTCTACTCATTGTCTGCCCCAAAACTAATTGCATAAGCCACTGTATCATTACATAGATGGGTGCATGTGATAGATAAATAGATACTACATAGACACATAAATAGATGATAATGTGTGTAAATATGTACACACACACCCTACATACATGCACATATATAAACCAAAGTTCACCCAGAGAAACAGAACCAGCAATACACACACACACACACACACACACACACACACTTCAACCCAAGTTCACCCAGAGAAACAGAACCAGCAATACACAAACACATACATACACATGTGTATAGGGTGTGTGTGTATGTGTGTGTTTTGCTGGTTCTGTTTCTCTGGGTGAACTTTGGTTGATACCATGCCCAGTTTGATTACTATCCTTTTCATTTTATTTAGACTTCACCACTGTGCCTGGTAGAGAAGAGTAATGACAAATAGAACAAAGAACTATAGATTTAGATTCAAGATGAGAGAGTGTCCCAAGGCCACCACTTCTTGCAGTACGTAAATGTGGCCGAAAACTTAATCTCACAAGTGCAAATGTGAGTAGAATTGCCATCACATTGTTTTACCACATAATAGACTCAGTAAATATTACATCCCTTTCTCTCCCCACAGCTCACAGAATTTAAGAAGAATAAAATGATTATAGAATGTATTTACTTTCATTAATTTAAGAAATTGTTTTTTAGTACTTATTATGTACCAGGCACTGTTAAAAGTTATTTACACCTGTAATCCCAGCACTTTGGGAGGCTGAGGCAGGTGGATCACGAGGTCAGGAGATCGAGACCATCCTGGCTAACATGGTGAAACCCCGTCTCTACTAAAAATACAAAAAATTAGCTGGGCGCTGTGGCAGGCGCCTGTATCCCAGCTACTTGGGAGGCTGAGGCAGGAGAATGGCGTGAACCCAGGAGGCGGAACTTGCAGTGAGCCGAGATTGCACCATTGCACTCCAGCCTGGGTGACAGAGCAAGACTCCATCTCAAAAAAAAAAAAAAAAAGTGATTTATAAACATTAGCTCATTTAATCCCGATAATAAGCCTCCTAGTTAAATAACACTATAATCAACTCCATTTTACAGATGAAGAAACTGAGGCACAGAAAGGCTAGAAAACTTCCTAAGGTCACACAGAGGGTAGATTAGAGCCCAGGAGGTGTGGCTCCAGGTCAATACCCTTGGCCACTAAAGACAACATGAATTTTACAGAAGTATAAATGTAATACAAATTTAAAATATTACTGTATTAGGTTCTGGGTATCTCATAATGAAATATCAAAGACAGGGTGGCATTTAAAACAGAACATTTATTTTCTCAAAGTTCTGAAGGCTGGATGTCCAAAATCAAGCTATTGGGAGGGCTGGTTTCTTCTGAGGCCTCTCTCTTTGACTTGCAGATGTTGCTTTCTCTCTGTGTCCTCATGTGGTCTTTCCTCTATGCATGTGCATCTCTAGTTTCTCTATGTCCAAATTTCCTCTTCTTATAAGATCACCAGTCAGATAGGACTAGGACTCTTCCTTACAGCCTCATTTCAACTTCATGACCTCCTTAAAGACCCTATCTCCACATATAATCGCATTCTGAGATACTGAAATCTAGGGCTTCAACATATGAATTTGAAGGAGGAGGACACAATTTATTCCATATTAATGACTATTGTTAGTATTTATATTACTGCTAAAACATTCTGCCTACATTAGGCACTGAGTGACTGCATAGTGAGAGATTGGGTAAACAAACAGATAAATGTGGAATTGCTCATTGTAAGCTGTGCTGGGGGCTCTGATTATTCTTTTATGTCCTAAATTCTTGAAAATTCTAGACCATTGTATTTCCTACATTATTATCATTTCTTGTTTAGGGAGAGTAAACTGCAAAACTGGTTACTAATTATTTGGCTTTAAATTCTGCTGCATTACTAGCCAAAGTGCTTTTTCACCCAAATAAAATGTAAATAAAACTACAAGTTTCAAAGCTGTCATAAGAGAAACCAGTGCCTTGAGGAGGCTGAGAAATTTTCTCATAAGGAAGAAAGAAATAAGGCTAGGGATAACTAAAAAGAAAGATAGCACCCAGAGGGTTTTTCAAAATGTGTTGGAAGCTGGGACGAATAAATTGGGGTAGGCAGGGTAGCTTGAAATTTCGATAACTAGGAGACTGTACACATTTATAACTGCTCTAAAGAAATGACACTTTCCTTCAGTCTTCAAGTTTCCAAGCCTTATATTCAAAAGAAGGTAATACCTAAAATCAGCAAATGATCCTCTGTTTTGTAGATGAGCAGCAAAGATGTAAGAATTGTTTTCTCCTATATCCTAAGAGTTGCTTTGCTTAATATATGAAAGAGACACTCTGAAGGATTATTTGCTTAAAATATGGAAGAGAACCTGACGATGCCTACATGAAGGAGGAAAATTAGAGAAGTTTCTATTTATTGAGTGCCTAGTATATACTAATCAATATCGCTAATATTTACTGCACATTTAATATTTGCTGGTCAATGTGTGTTTTCACTTATTTATCTTCACAAGAAGGTTATAAGGTAGGTGCTATTATAATCTTCATTTCGTGATGAGAAAAGGATCTTAGGCAAGTAAATTATCTTCACAAGAATATAACCAGGATTTGGTCCCATGGAGTATAACTCTAGAACTCCTGTGCTTAAAGACAAATGCCACCATTATACCACTGGATCCTCTTAACAACTGTTGGAATACACAGGCATTAACCCCATCACACCAATGAAGAAAGTAAAACCTAGAAAGACTGAATAATAATTTGCTCTAGGTCATGCAGCTACCAGGTCACAGAGCCAAAGTGGAATTCTAGGTCTTTGTAACTCCAAAATCTTTTTCCAAGAATGCCACACTGCTTTTCCCTGTGTTTCTCCTAGGAGAGGTGATACAGGAACATAACAGCAATATTAAAGCTTTCTTTCATTCTTTAGCTAAGAAAGCACTGCATCTTAAATAAAAGGGTATTTCCGTTTAGAATATTTATAAAGGTTAATGAGAAACAAAATGAACTGAAAGCCAGCAGGGAAATATTCCCAGCTGTAAACACCAAACTTTTACATTCCAATTATACAAGAAAATATCCCAAACAGAACATCAAATTTTTTAATCAGATGCAGGTGAATCAGCTGAGCAACATTTTTACCATTTTTTATCTCTATTTTGAGGTCACTACTGACTAAACATTGGCAACATCACTCTGTTCAGGCAAATGTCGATGGATGAAGTAGGTGCTTAAAAAGGGAAAGGTGGACTCAAGTCCTACAATGAGGAATTTCCCATAAAAACAAGGAAATTAATACAGGATTTCTTTCATCTTTTTCCATTAAAATTATGAGGTCTTTTTTTATCATTTTTTTTCAGAAGGTGGAAAAGGAGTAAAAAGACACGGAGTCAATTGTGCCTTTATTTTAGTGGAAGTAGGCTTTTGGGAAGTTAACAGCATATATCTTATAAAGGCCTCTTTTTCACTATGTGTATACATGGTCCAGAAGGCAAAGGTTCTGGGGGCATCTATGAACATCAACTTGGGCAATCTTGGTGATCACGGGAACAGCAAACCTTCTTTAAGTTTTGAGAGAGACCATAGTGAGATAGCAGGGTTGATCCAAAGCGTGTAGAAAATCTAGGACAAATTCTTTTGGCAACTGGTTCCAAACCACTTCGTACCTGCCAAAGGGTGCATCAATCTATTAAGCCAGATTTTACTAAAGCCAGTTCTCTCTTATACTGACAAGGAAAATTAAAACCAGATGGGGTCAGATAATAACTTGCCCTAGGTCATAGAGCTGGCAACTAACAGAACTACTTGTCTATCAAACTGACGGCATCCTCTTTATTAGCCATATCTGCCTACGTGACAGTTTTTTTACCTTACTAGACCCAAGAGGTTTCCCAGCATCTCAAATACCTAAAAACACAGACATTCAATGTCACTCTCTTTCCTACCCCCTTGCCTCCCTGTGCCATTCCTCATGCTGCCTTTCCTATTTCTGCTCATACCACCAACTTTTTTTCCGAATCATGCAGGCTCAAAACCTTAGAGTCATGTTCAACTCATCTTTCTTGCCAAGTTCTGCTAATTCTGCTGCAACAACATCTCCCAAATTTGTTCACTTTCAAGCATCTCAGTGGTAACATGAAGTGTAGGATACCATCATCTACCTTTCACTTAAACTATCCAATGGGTTCCTAACCCCTCTCCTGCCTTCTAGTCATATTGCATTCTAATTCACCCTTGTTCAAATCTATCCTTACACCACTACTGAATTAATCTTCCTAATGTCTCAGTATGTCACCCCCCCGATCAAAAATTTTTTATCTCAAGTCATCCTGAGTAATTTCCACCTCATTTTCAAACCCATATATCAAATATTCCATGAATATGTTTCACTTCATATAAATTGGGTATGACCCTTTAGATTCATTGGTTTTTATTTATAACTTTTAGGTAGTACAGCATAGTTTTCTTAATATTCTTATTTCCCACCCTATTATTTGTGAATTTTTGAAGGACACAGACTGCATCACACTTTTCAGTTTCTGGTGATACTTAATAATTTTGCCAAATAAATAATCAGTAAGTTTTTTTTCACTTGGGTGCAAAATAATCAAATAGACTGCAATTAAAGTATGTCAAGGTCTGCCTAAAGCAAATCTCTCAAGTTAAAATGAAATAAAAGAAATTTATAAGAACATTCATTCCCTACATTTCCTTGTGTGTCTATTAACTGTAGGGCACTGAGTTAGGTGCTTGGGAAGAAAAGGGAGGAACATGCTGTCAAGTACCACCCACTCTAAGGGGAAATGAATGAGGCGATGACTATTAGACAAGGTTGGAGTACTAATAACACTCTAGGAAGGAAAACCAAAAAAAAGGACGAGAAAGAAGAGACAAATGAATGTCTTAAGAACTGCAAGCTGACCTCTTTAAGGCAGCTCCCTAATAACTGCCTGGGCTATTATTTTGTAAGGATGTGGAAATAAATAGTACTAGACCTCTCTATTTTTGAGGCGGTTCACACAGTTTATATCTTCCACATATTTCCTTCATGTGAATAGCATAAAAAATGGCATTCCCACAATCACCTTAAGCAACATGCCTCCATCACATGGGCCCTTTGTAGGAGAAATTACAGGGGAGAAAAAACACTTTTCTAAAGTAGGTAATCTCACCGTTAACAGATAATACAGTGGGAACTCCTGCGAGGGGATAAGAAAAGGAGCAGAGCACAAAGGCTACAGTATTTCAAGTAATTCGAATAGTTGTGTTAAAATGGAAATCACATAAATATTAGACTTGTGCTTTTCCGGGTAAAGCCTCTGCAGACCAAATTGCCAACAGGAATGAATTTTAATGACTAGTTTATAACCTCTGAGATGCTTGAAAATCTAACACAGTTGTAGTTAAAATGTAATACTATTATAGCATCAGTGCAATTAAGAATTCTGCAGGGAACATTCCCTGCTGGAAAATTTAAGTTGGCTTCACATTGGGAAACGAAGCTATTCCTGATCATTTAAGATGGAATGTGTCTAATTTATTGATCTGTGAATGTTACCAAAATATTTGACCCCCAAATATTAAATCACATTAATAAACAATTCAGTCTCTCCATGGGATGAATGTAAATATCAACATAAAAACTGACATTTATGCTGGTTTACAGTTTCCCATTTTTATGAATGCAGTCGTTTCATTTAAAATCACTTGGGTCTTGAAAACACAGTTAGGAAAACATTACAGACCCGAAATGCAGGTGCCAATAGAAGCGTTAGGTCATGGAACGGCTGCTCGGTGGCCTATGTACAGCTCCACTTTCTACATTCAAATGTGTTGCAGTCAACTCTCTCGGTAGCACTGGAATTAAAAAGTATGGTTTTGGTAATAATTTGCTTATTACGAGGGGAGCAACACCTGATATTATGAACGCTTATAAAGAGTTAATCACGACCGCTCTTAGCTTTCACTAAGATCAAAAACTACATCTCACAAACCCCTGGACAATAGGGAGTGAAAAGGAAATGGCATTTAAATCTATAACTCAAAATATCTTTTCTTCTTAGAGAACATAAAATCAATGCTTCATATAAAATCAAAACTACATTTATTCCTTACCAAGGCTGATCGTGCACAGAGGAAACATAGAATTGTATATTTTTGAAATCCCAAATTTCCACCATTCAGGTTATTACTTGGTTAAAGCAGCATGTCTTCAAATGTTCTGTCTTAAAATAAAATGTTATTTTCTCTGGTGAGTCGCCCTTCTATGATTTAACATGTTTTAATGTTGATTTGCCTCTCTGTGACTAACTCATGAGAAAGAAGGGCTGTAAGAGAATGACCATAAAACAGGGAAATCTTATTTCTAGGCAAAGAGGGAAAAGGAAGTAGCTGGACTGAGGCAGGGGAGCAGGCCAAGAAGAAGGGCAGTCAAGTTAGGGCCATTACAGGTTAAGGCTTGAAAGTGGAGAACTGCCTAAGGAAAAGTGGTGTCCATGGGAAGATGGGGTGCAAAACCAAAAAGGTACCCAATTTGTAATACTGCCCAGAGATAACCCTGTTAATGTCTCCATGAAACCTTAAGAAGCTATAAGGAGTAAAATGCACATACAATGTAAGCTACGTCATGATAAATCAGTTAAAAAATGCCCCTATTAAAGTATTTGGCATTGTTCCTGGAAGATAGTGTTGGAAGAGGCAATATGCCATGAGCCCTGAGCCTTGCACTTGTTGCTAGGTGTGCCAACAATGCAAAGCCCTGAAGGCTCTTTGTCAGGGCCATTCTCAGAGTTGTGTCTGCAGCAAGCAACCTTGAAAGATGAAGGAATGTCTCCCTCTGGGACTAAGAGCATACTTATTTACTGTTTGCTACAAAATGGTGAGTGCCTGAGTTCTGGTGTTCCCTGGCTACAGTGAAATCTGGTTATGTGCACAGCATCCATGTGGGTCCTTATCACAATTACCCCTGTGAGATTTTGGGGCCAAGGAGAACTGACACACATGTTGATGCTCATGATGCTTGCTCTACTATGAGTTATAAAATATTCTTTGTCTCTGATTTAGGAATCTTGTCTCTTCTCAGCGTCCATAAAACAGACTAACTTATCACCTAACTAGTGGGGTTAATTCTTAGACTTGATACCTAGGAATTGCTCAAAAAAAGTAGCCATTTTTATTAATGAAAAGTATGCATTTCAACAACTTACTAGAAGAAGATATAATATGAAAGAACTAGGGATGCATCCCAAGATTTGAAATCAAGGGGAAGGTTTTAAAATACAATCATTATGCTATAGTATAGTAAAATTTAATCAAGCAATTAGTGACTAAGGATTATTCCCTCCTACAGGCTGTCCAAAAGGACAAAATCTGGCTAATGTTTAGAGTTAGCTTTATACATAGCTCTTGTACAATTCAAGACTCTCTATGAATCTAAAATTTTGCTTTCTTAATTAATATATACAGATTTCTTGAAATTCTTAGAAATAATAACAAACAGTAAAATGGTTTTCAACACTGTTCTAAGCAACTTATAATTGTTAATAATTCACTATACAGAAGCTCTATAAGTTAGGTACTCGTCTTATTATCCCAATTTTACAAGTCAAGAAACTAAGGCACAAAAAGGTTAAATAACTTGCTCTCAGCACCCAGCTGGTAAATGGCAGAGCAAGGATTTGAACTCAGGTAGTGTGGCTCCAAAGAGTGTGTTCTTGACAAGCACATTGTAAGTCTTTATAGAAAATAACAGTAAATGATGGACAGAAAAAAAAAAACTAACATTTTTGAACACCCCTTGTTGCCAGACATTTTTGCAAAATTATCTCATTATCTTTTTTCTTGCAGGGAAAATATTGTCATCATCATTTTTACAGATAAGGAAACTGGAACTCAGAGAAGATTCATAATTCAGCCAAGGTCACACAAATAGAACATTGGAGAAATACAAATTAGAATTCAGTTTGATTTACTCTAAACCCTGTGTTCTTTCTATGACAAAATAGTGTCTACAGGACACTTGAAGGAAAGGCTATGAACGCAGAAGACAAATTTTCCCAAATAAATATTTTTCTATGTCATTTTTTACTGAAATAGAAATAGAAACAAATAGGAACTGCCCAAGGAGGTAATCTTGTCACTAGAAACTTTCTATATAATTTGAAGGTATAGTTTGTTTGCTTTTTAAATAGTCCTGATTTTTGTATAAAAGAATTACTTTATTTATTTGTCATTTTTTAGGAATTGTGTGCTTTTTAAAAACTCTTATACTTTAGCATCATAAAGTTAGCATTGGACTGGAGGCTAAGACTAACTCTCTACTAAATATCTAAATTATTTTCATATTTTAACCTGTCTGAAGATCATTTAAAATGATAGAGAGGTGGAGCTTGAAGAGATTCCTACAGCAACTTAATTTCTTTGAGGAAGAACTCCTAGAGAGGCAGTTGACCTACCCAAGATTATATGCGAACTTAAAGGCAACAATAAGTCCAGAACCTGGGTTTCTAATAAACAGAAGGGCTAAAACAGCTGATCACTAAGGTCTCACAAGCTGTAAGTTTCTGTACTTTTTTGAATCTGGGAAATTAATTATCACAAAAAGCCTACATACATCATAAAATCCTCAAACTTGCATATTTTTCCTCAACATTTTAAAAGTGTTCTATCTAAAAAAAACTAAGCATAGTACAGTGAACAGTCAGAAATCTTGTACCTAGATTCACCAACTGCAAAGATTACATTTGAGCTCACTTGCTTTTGCTTTATCTGTTTGTATATGAGTGTTTGTGTACATATGTACATGTAGGTGCATATACAGTCAGTTTGCATTACTTGAGGTAGCTATGTTCTATAAAATCACTGCAAACAGTGAACTGGAGAATATCAGGCCATTGATCCAAGGGAAAATACAAGATTTTTTTCTTAAGAGCCTATCATCAAAATATTTTAATTAACCAATCAAGATATAACCTTGTTTCATATGTATTTCCATTTAAAGACATTTTATTTATTATTATTGTTAATTAACTAACCTTGAACTCATAGACACAGCACCATAACTCACGCCTAAATGAACTTTACCTAATGTATGTATTTTTTTTGTAAGGCCCAACACAGCCTTTTGTGCTTAGAAATACTAGACTGAACCAGCAGCATTACTCTTGGAGGCCATTTTAAGCAGCAAAATCAACAACAAAATGCACACATACAAAAAAAGAATGCTAAAAACGTGGCACCACGTACACTGCAAAAAGAACACTAGTTTACAGTGTGAGAGCTGAAACAAGAAGTCAGGGTGTGGCCTCATTTGACCTCAGCTGGGAATGTGTACATCAGAAGACTCCAATTTTTCACCACTCTGAACACGGCTGCAAATGATTATGAAAGCAATATGGGTATTGATCTTACAGTCACAAATAAATTTTAGCGAAGAGGTGAATTTGAAAATACGGAATCTGTAAATAATGAAGCTTAGTTGTATATATAAACCATGTAATTTAAGTAGCAAGCCTCATGACATTTTACACTAAACACATTAAAGATGGTAAAATTTGAGTATATATGAAGCAAAAGTAAAAATAAGTAAATAAAAACATTGTAGAAATGTTTGCAGCCTGAGGATACCCTAATTTCACCTTGTTGGAAATCATATTTGCCTTTTTTAGGCCTACCTGAACTACCAAGCCAAAGCACACCACTCTCAAGTTAATAATCATCCTAACAGAAAGAGCCAACTGGAAAACATTATCTCAGAATATTCCTGGAATTACCAACAAAACAATGAAGTATCTCACTTATCTCCATCTGCCAGTGACCTTTATATGTCAGTTATGGATTTCATCATCTGATCTACAGTATTTCCTTGAGCTAATCTCCAATGAGCATGGAACTGACACTTTTCACAATCACTCTGCTTGTAGCAATGCCGTGGACTGCAATGAACCAGGAAGAAGCTATGCCTGTGCCTCAGCATTGAGCATTATATTTCTATTTGTGCTGAGCGAACAATGTGACCTCATGTCTCAGAAGTTAGGGCCAAAAGCAGGCACAAAAGCATCAGTTTCAGCTTCCAATCAAGGCCATTCTACACGTTTAGTGAGAACTTGATCATTTTTCATCTCACCAAGATTTTGTATCTTCCCCCATCCATCATCGAGTACCTGGTATGCAGGTAACTATTCAAGGGAATGAGATGAAGCATTGATCTTGAGCTAGAAAAACATGTATTACTAAGAGAAAAAGGAGGACTTTGGGATTTTAAAGTACCTAGCTTTACTTTCAATTATTACAAAAGTCATGTAAGTTTTATATGCCTTGTGCTTGGTTTTGCCGGTTTAAAGGAAGTTTCTGAGAGCCACTTGCACCAGAAAAGAAACCTATCTTTGCCCAAAGACTTTTATAAGGAAAAGTACAAACTAACCACCTAGCTGTTGTCTCCTCCAGCTCCATTTCTTACAGATGCTCACATCACACTGTCTGATTTGGACACACTGCAGTTCCCCTCATTTTAGTGGTTGTGACATCCCTAAGCCCTTGCACAGGCTGTGCTCTGCATCTGAAAGGCCTTCCTCTCCCTTCTTAGCTGGCCATTTCCTCGTTGTCTTTCCAGTCCTAGCTCCTGTATCATTTCCTTGGGAAAGACACCCTGGACTATTCCTCAGAGTGAATTAACTTCTCTCCTCTGTTCTTCAGCATTCCAAGCTTTCAGTGCTCCTTTCTGTCACAGCACCCTTCACCCTATTTTGATGTCATTCGTCTACAATTCTGTCACCCACATTAGACTATGAGCCTTTTGAGGCCTTCCAAAGACTATATCTTGTTCATCATTTCATCCTCTGTGGCTGGTGCAGTATCTAATACAGATGAGGGCTCAAGAAATATTTGTTGCATAAAAGATTGAATAAATGAATGAATAAATTTGAATTTTCACTTGCTCTAATAAGAGGTACCATTTGCCCCATTTGAAATGCCTAACCTCTTATTTTATAAATTGGGAATTCCAATAATTAATTCATACATTCAGTTTTTTAATATTTCCTTTTTTTTCTGTCTCCTTAGTTTGCCTCAGTTCCCCTATTTAGGAAAGAGGCCAGAAATTCATTTAAACCAATTTACTTTTAATTATCTGCAAAGTGCGAATTTTTCACAGTGCCATAACCCCCCTGTAGGGAAAAGATGCTCCTAACAAGCACAGCCTCTGAGGTGCACAGAAAGAAAACGTGAGGAAATGACTGCTAATCAGCTCACGAACCTTCATTGCTCCTCAACTGACTTGGAGGAGTGTGCTCCATGCTGACTTCTCCTCCCAGGAGGCCACATATGTCCTCTCTATCCTCTAAGCATCTGAGAGCATGTGTGCCTTTCGGGGGATGTTGACACAGGTCCTAATGAATCAATTTGTCGTGTGGAGGAGTGAGGGAGGTCTGTGTCCCATCAATTGACTTCAGCCACACTTCATCTTTCATGTATTGCAAGTGAGCGGAAACAGACTTTTTTTTTCAATAAAATAAAAAAAAAAAAATGAAGTGCCTTGAACCATTCTGAACAAATTGTCTCACCAGGCTCCAAAGTGCTCAAACATTCAGCTCATTTCTCCTAATTCATAATTAAACCCAAGACCTACCTGGAATGATAAAGAATGATATTTGTATATGCTAAGCCACGTTAGCATGGCAAGAGTAAACAGGGAAATTGGATACAGCAAACTCAGCATTTTAGGTGAATAAACATATGGAATGACTTTTCTGGCCAAGCATTTGGAGCGAAGGGCAGTTAAAAACTCTGGTGACACTTACCTGGTTTCCGGAAACTCTGAGGTGAGAATTAGACGTATTAAGTAAAAAATACATTGTAAAAAATGAGTAAATTAAACCCAACAGAGTGATTCTCTACTATAGGATACTTCATATATATTTTTTACAGAATAGGTTTCAATAGATAATTGACGATAGTGATCATTCACTTTGACCTGCATTTTCAGATGCTGCACAAGGAAACTGGATAAATCCTATTTCATGTGATCCTTACAGTAATTCTACAAAGTAGGTGTTATTATTATTCTCATTTTACAAATGAAGAAACAAACTCAGAAAAGTAATTGACTTGTCCATGATTGAAACCACATGTATTGCTTTGTCATATATTGCATGTACTTTATCAACTTTTTTGAAAATGATTTTACAGTTTCTAAGGATAGGAAGAGATTTTTTCAGGATAGGCAGACACCAAAAGAGCAGGCACATCCCTGGGAGATATAACAGGGATGCAACAACTGAATGCATTAAGATATAGTAAGCGCAACCATTCTCAAAGCATCCACTAACACCTATAAAAGGACCTTTACTTACCACCAGGTACACCTCTGGGTGAGTTCCAACTGCTCATAAAACACCTCTGTATGCATGTTTGCCCATTTCCTGAAGTTTGACATCCTTAACCAGGTAATATTCTTTTTTGTCTTTTGAGACGGAGTTTCGCTCTTGTTGCTCAGGCTGGTATGCAATGGAGTGATCTCGGCTCACTGCAACCTCTGCCTCCTGGGTTTAAGTGATTCTCCTGTCTCAGCTCCCCAATAGCTGGGATTACAGGCATCTGCCACCATGCCCAGCTAATTTTTGTATTTTTAGTAGAGACGGGGTTTCACCATGTTGGCCAGGCTGGTCTGAAACTCCTGACCTCAGGTGATCCACTCACCACGGCCTCCCAAAGGGCTGGGATTACAGGCATAAGCCACCACACCTGGTCCTTAACTAGGTGATTCTTAACCTTCTCACCCTGGAGAAAAAAAGGTAATCTGCGCATTTAAGGATTAACCTGAGTAAGAGTCAGGTGGAGAAAAACAGTATTGGGAAGACCAGTTTTTAAGATGTAAGGCTAACTGTCCTAGACTGGAGAAGTGCCTTTTCAAACCTGCCCTGTTTCTGCCAAGTATCTTGAAAAGAGAAAAAAAAAAAAGGTACATTACCTACTTTTCCACACTCTGACCTCCAAGGCATCTGTTCTGGCCTTAGGTGAGACACTGATCTTTTGTGTGCTCTAACCTCATTTCCATCTGCTGTCTGTTTCTGTGATGAGCTGATCATGAGCTGATGGCTCCCTTCCCACATAGTTTGTTCTGAATTCAAAACACCTACTTTCAATTAAACCTCTTCTACCTCCTGACCTCACCTACCTTCAATTAAATCATCAGAGTATTAACAGATTATTGTTACTTAATGCTGCTTCTGTGCCAGACAACAAGCTGAAATCTTTATATGTATCATAATATTTACATTTTCCAGATCTTAAAATTGAGATATGAGGATGTCAAATGATTTTCCCACGTCACAAAAGTGATAAATTCAGAATTTAAACCACCCCACTTATTCTGTGGCTACAGCTCACACTAGTAACCACTACACCATAACACCTCCCAGTGCAGTTAAATAGAAAGACACCCGAACTTTTTCCCATGCTACAAATTGATGGCTATAATAAAATCATTTTTCCAGCCTGGTGCTGTGGCTCACGCCTGTAATCCCAGCACTTTGGGAGGCCGAGGCGGGCGGGTCACGAGGTCAGGAGATCGAGACCATCCTGGCTAACACGGTGAAATCCCGTCTCTACTAAAAATACAAAAAAAATTAGCCGGGTGTGGTGGCAGGCAACTGTAGTCCCAGCTACTCGGGGAGCTGAGCCAGGAGAATGGCATGAACCCTGGAGATGGAGTTTGCAGTGGGCCGAGATAGCGCCACTGCACTCCAGCCTGGGCGACAGAGCGAGACTCCGTCTCAAAAAAATAAATAAATAAATAAATAAAATAATTTTTCCAGGGTCCCAAGCTAGAACTCTTTAAAATATCTTTGACTCAAATCTCTTCATCCCCTATAGTTATTTGTCACCCTGTACTATCAATTCTTCCTGTAAAATTTCATTTCATTCTTCATTTTCTTTCTACTTCTCCCTAACCATAATTGTTGCAATAGCATTCCAACGGGTATCCCCAAATTTAGCATTTTTTTCTTCCTGCTCTCATCCATGTTTGCCAAACTAACCTTCTTAAAATATCACATTCAACACAAAAGATTGAAGTCTGAAGATATTTAGCCTTTAAGGAGAAGATTTAAGTGGGATATGTTAGCTGTTTTCTAGCACTTGAACGATTAGCTTTATTTTGTCTTTCCAGAGAGCAAAATAATGATGACCCATATGGCATGGGGAGGTGTGATTTTTAAAAAAAAAGTAATTTTGATATGAAGACACAATTTTATCAATTAGAGCCATTCAAAAATGGGATAGCTGGCATATCATATTGTGACTCCCCCACTAATGTGTTCATGCAGAGCTAAATGACAGCTTGCCAGAGGTATTGTAATGCCAAGAGATTGGAATCAATCAGCTCAAATACATCTTACAACTTTTGGGGTTTTTAATTTTATAATGAGTCTCTGTTCAAAGGCCAAAAATGGCTCTCAAATTCATATTTCACTATTCATCTAACCTTGCACCTTAATATTTTCCAGCATGAATTCCTATTCCAAGCTACACCAAGCTTATTCCTCAACTCTCTACTTTTGTTCAAGTAGGTTGAACCATCCAGAATTCCTGTCTCCAAACCCTCAAGCCTGTTAAATAATCTTCTTGCTTTAGCAATGTAATACTCCTGTAGAATTTCATATATATGTGTGTGTGTGTGTGTGTGTGTGTGTGTGTGTGTACATTTTGTGTTCTCTAGCCTTCCTTTCATTAAAATCCTAAGTTATTCATGAAGCCTACCTTGAAGAAAGTGTTTTATATTGAATTTTTAAAAAAATCTAAATACCTACTATATAGGCTCTTAACCTTAGTGCCATCAATAAACTTAAGGATTTCCCTGAAATTCTATTCAAATTCTTATGTGTAAATGTTCATGCACAATTGTCTAGTGGATATAATTATCCTTTTAATTTACTAGCACCTCAGTGAGATCTTTGTATCCAAAAAGGTTAAGAAAAATTTTGTTTGCATTTTCAGTCATGCCTCAAAAGTTTAGCACTTAGTTCTTCTTTCTCTTTCATATTTTTTCACTCATATTCTTTCCTAGACTGTAAATCTCTTGAGGGTAGAGGTCATTTTTTTTTTTTTTTTTTTTTTTGCTTATTAACCATAGGCTGTGAATACTTTCATAAAGAACAAGATAGTATCATGTCTGTAACTAGGAGGTCATTTAGAAAAATTTGTGAATGAAAGAATTAATGTCAACATCTACTACTTGAGTAGTTTTAAGTCACCTCTTGTAGTTCTTTAATATTCTACTTTGGGACTTTAAAGTAGCGTTAAAGCAATGAACTGAATGTCTATGTCTCCCCAAAATTCATGTGTTGAAAATACTAACCCCCAAGGTGATGGTATTAGGAGGTGAGGCCTTTGCGAGGTGATGAGGTCATGAGGTAGAGGTCAAACCCGTTAATGGGATTAGTGTTCTTCTAAAAGAGATCCCAGAGAGATCTCTTGCCTCTCCCACCAGATGAGGTTACAGTGAAAAGTCAACCATCTGTGAGGAGAGGGGATCTCACCAAGCATCAAATCTGTCTCTACCTTAATCTTGGATTTCTGAGTCTCCAGAACTTTTAAGAAGAAAATTGTTGCTGTTTATGAGCCACTCAGTCTATGGTATTTCATTATAGCAGCCTGAATAGACTGAGAAAGATGCAGAATTTTCAAAATAATCACTAAGAAGTCAGCTTCTTAATTCCTAACATATCATGAGACATATAAATATTTCATCATGTTTTGTCAAATTTGTCTGCCACAGATTATCTGAGACTTTTTGCCATGCTAGAAGTAATTGCATTCATTTAATTTCCTGGTGCTTATAAGGAAGCATCTTCAATGTACTGCTGATTATTAGATAGCTGGCTCTTGCTTATTATGCAAAGACTCTGGATATGGAAATGTACAAAGAAGCTACAAAAGGAGCTAATGATCCCACAACAAGACCACAGAAAGAACCTCCTGGAGGCACAGCCCTATAACAAAGTCATCTGAGCATACACTGGCTGGCAGAGTGGAGGCTGCCTGATACTTACCCTGAATCTATTCTACTCTCTCATTTGCTGGTTTAAAAAAATGATAATAATGAAAATAATCTGGTTTTCCATTCTTATATAGGTGCTCAATTGAAGAGCAGTTATGAGCTTGCCCTTTCAGAACCCCAGAGAGCTCTGGCAACCTATCAGTTAGTTTTATCTTAAATGTGGATGATGAACTGAATGAAAATGGGCTCCAGACATTATCACTGCAATTCCTGCTAAATATGCCATCCGAGGTTTTAAAGTGTGCTCTCTGTTCACTGAGAATATTTGATGCAATGAACTCATTTTAGTAGCGATTCTTTAATAATCGTGTCTGTATGTTAAGGAGAGAGAATAGCTGACTTTTGTTAAATGCTTTTTCTCCTTACACTAGAAGCTGTTCTATTTTAAGTATCTAATATCAACATTCATTGAACACCAACAGTGAGGTAGAAACTGTATTGCGTATAGACATGTTCTTATTATCAGTTGCTGCACTATACTGGTCAACAATGGAATAATTAAGCAAATAGGAGGCTCACAATCTGAATTATATACAAAGACACAGGTCAGGTTAAGTCTGAAAGCACTCTCAAGAAAAAGCAAAGTGGCTAGCAACAAATCACACGTTTGAGCACTGAACCTATTCCTGGGAACCTGGTGAGGTTGTTTTGGGGATTTTGTTTTGTTTCTTTCTGTTATCTGATTTTCAGCATCTGATGATGGCTTCTAGAGACCAGATGCTCCAACGTAATATATACTTATTGATGATGCAATCGAGTCTTGTCTGTTGTTTCAGAATGGCAAGAAAAATGACTACCATTATCATTAATAAATTTTGCACTATGCTTTCCTATGCATTATATTATCTAAATCTTCCAAATCTTATTTGAGCTAGGGATTGCTACAGATAAGGAATTGTAGACCCATTAACAAGAAGTGACTTGCCAGGGATCACGCAGTCAGTAAATGACAGAGATGAAATTTCACATTGGGTCTTATGAATCTAAACCCTGTGTACTTTCTACAATATGAAGGATCCTCAAGAAACATATATTTGTTTTGAGCTCTTGTATGAGCAAGTCACCAATTTTGTTTTGGGAACAGAAAAGCATAAAATTGAATAATAAATAATGGCTTCTCTCAAGAACCTTAGAATTTACTAGGAATAGTAGGAGAAATAAGGCATGACCATAAATACCCATGATAGTGGGAAGTGTGGAATAAATGACACCTGAGCTATTCAAGCCAGGAGTCCTGTGCATTCAGAAGAAGTGCTTAGGAAAGGCTTCCTGGAGAATGTAGCAGATAAACTGAACGATGTTCGGCTAATGCATAGATAAACAGGATGGACGTATAAAACAAAGTAGCAGAAACCTCAGAAGGATAAAAATATTTTTCCACCTACTGTGGAAGGATGTAAGAAACACCTAAGATATATTGCCTGTGCTCAAGGATCTTACAATTAATTTGAGTAGAAAAGAACTATGCACTCCACATAATTGAAGAACAATCTAGAATATCACATATAGAAATTGAATGGTGAATTATACAGCACAGAAAATAGAATACTGATGGTACTCAGAGAATAGGTTTTGTAGGTCTTAAGGCAGGGTTGTCCACTGCGAAAAAAGAATGAAGCACATGTTGCCAAGGCAAAGAGAGCATGAGAATAAGGACTAAAACTACTTTGGGGATTATTTGTTTGAAGATTTATTAAGTTTCAGTGAACTCAGTGCACACAGAACTAGGTACACATTTATAAGTCCTACAGATAGTTATAAAAGTGTGACTGAAGATAAAACAGCCAGGAACCACTGGGGACAGATTTACCTAGAAACAAAAACCACAGCATGTAAGCTGAGTGAGGAAGGCCTGAAAGGAAGTTAGAGCTCTCCCACAAGTTGTGTGGTCTTGCTCAGACAACTCATTTAATCCCTGGTACTCAGTTTTATCATCTATCAAATGGAGCTAATAATAGCTTTCCTGCTTCAATCTTAAGTTTGTCATGAGAATTTCATAAGGCTTATTGATTGTATCAATCAAATGTCAAAGCACTGCCTACACTGAAGATGTAATGTCAGATGCTAGGTAGAAATGCAGAGATAATGAAACACTTCAATCTGTGCCCACACAGTCTAGCCAAGCATTGAATACATCTAGTCATTAATTCAACCAACACTTTTTGAGAATCTACTCAATTCTAGGCACCGTGCTTCTCACTGGAGATCCTAAGTCAAAAAAAAAAAATAACACAGAGTTAGAAAAAAGCGTAGCTATAAATCCTCATTACCTTGGATTGGCAATGGTTTCTTATATATAACACCTAAAGCACAAGCATAAGACATAACACCTAAGCACAAGGTAAATTAAGTGGACTTCATTGAAGTTAAAAACATTTGTTTTTCAAATGACTCTATCATAAAAATGAAAAGACAATGGAAAGAGTGGGAGAAAATGTTTGCAAACCATATATCTGATAAGGGTCTAATATTCAAATATGTAATTAACTCTGATAACTCAATAATAAAATGACAAATAACCCATTATAACGGACAAAGGATTTGAATAGATATTTCTCCATACAAGATAAATAAATGGCCAAAAATCATATGAAAAATTTATTAATATTATTAGGTATTAATGAAATGCTGGTCAAAATTTCAGCGAGATACCACTTCGCATTCACTAGGATGACTACAATAAAAAAGACAGACAATAAAAATTGTTAGCAAGGATTTGGAGTGTCTTAATTCATTTGGGATGCTATGACAAATGACCATAGACTGGATAATTTATAAACATCAGAAATTTGTTTCTTACAAATTTGGAGGCTAGGAAGTCCAAGATCAAGGCACGTGCAGATTCAGTGTCTGGTGAGGACTTACTTTCTCACAGATGGTACCTTTTCACTCTGTTGTCATATGGTGGAAGAGGTAAGCTAGATCTCTGGGGACTCTTTTATAAGGGCACTAATCCCACTCATTCACGACAACTCTGCTCTCATTGCCTCATCACCTTCCAGCAGTCCCACCTCCTAATGCCACATGGATAATTTGCTGTCAACATATAAGTTTTAGGGAGATGTAAACATTCAGAACATAGCATTCTGCTCTTGCCCCTCCAAAATTCATGTCCTTCTTGCATGCAAGATACATTCAACCCATCCCAGTAGCCCTAAAAGTCTTAACTGGCTCCAGCATTAATTCAAAAGTCTAAAGTCCAGAGTCTCATCTAAATGTTAGCGAAAACACATATGGTGAGACACAAGGCATGACTCATTCTGAAGTAAATTTTTCTCAGTTCTCTCCAGTCATGAGCCTGTGAGCTCAAACAAGTTACATGCTTCCAAAATACACTGGTGAGACAGGCATAGGATAGACATTCCCATTCCAAAAGGAAGAAAAAAGGAGTAACAGGTCCCAAGTAAGTCCAAACCCATTAGGACAAGCAACATTAAATTTCCACACTCTAGAATAACATTTTTTGACTTGATAGCCTGCTTTCCAGACATAGTGGGACAGAAATTGGGCTCCCAAGGCTTTAGGAGGCCCCATCATCATGGCTTTGCTGGGTACACCGTAAGCCACGTCTCTTACGCATTGGAGTCTGGTGTCAATAACGATACTGGGCTGAAATTGCAAGTCAGTGGCTCCACTGGTCTGGGGTTTCTGGGGTGGCTCTGCCCCAGGCTCTGCTAGGCATTGGCTTAGTGGAAACTCTCTGCAGAGGCCTTACCCTTGTGGTGGCCCTCTTCCTGGGTTACCTGTCTGAGGTTCTAGGAGGCTCCATTCTTCAAAATCTAAGCAGGACCAGGAATGGTGGCTCATGCCTGTAATTTCAGCACTTTGGGAGGACGAGGTGGGCGGATCACCTGAGGTCAGGAGTTCAAGACCAGCCTGGCCAACATGATGAACTCCGCCTCCATTAAAAAATACAAAAATTAGCTGGGCATGGTGTTAACGCATCTACTTCCAGCTACTCCGGAGGCTGAGGCACAAGAATCAGTTGAACCCGGGGGGCAGAGGTTGCAGTGACCGGAGATTGAGCTGCTACACTCCAGCCTGGGCAACAGTCTGAGACCTTGTCTCAAAAAAAAAAAAAAAAAAAAAATCTAGATGGAAGTAGCCACACTACCACAGCTCATGCACTCTGAGAGCCAACAGAGATATCAGCTTGAGGGTGTTGCCAATATTTACTGCCTCAGACTTCCAAAGGGGCAGCCACTGTGACCTGCATCACCCCTGGGCCCACTGGAGCTGAACCTGGGACAGGGGAGTAACACTGTGCAAGACTGCAGGGAGCAGAGCTTTGAAATCAGTTTGTCACCTCAGGCTCTGGCACTCTGGGCATGTAATAAGAGGGATAGCCTAAATGATCTCTGAAATGTTTTTGAGATCACTCTTGCATTGTCTTGGTGAATAGCACCTTGCTGGTCCATACTGATCTCCTTATCAAAGAGTTTCTTGGTCCCACCATCGATGTTCTTTCCAGAACACTGTTTCTCAGTTTTTACAAGATGGGCAAACTGAGATTTTCCAAATATTTAAATCCTGCTTCTTGTTTGATTAAAAGATTGAGGCAATAATTAATAGCTTACCAACTAAAAAAAGTCCAGGACCAGATGGATTCACAGCTGAATTCTACCAGATGTACAAGGAGGAGCTGGTACCATTCCTTCTGAAACTATTCCAATCAATAGAAAAAGAGGGAATCCTCCCTAACTCATTTTATCAGGCCAGCATCATCCTGATACCAAAGCCTGGCAGAGACACAACAAAAGAAAGAGAATTTTAGACCAATATCCTTGATGAACATCGATGCAAAAATCCTCAATAAAATACTGGCAAACCAAATCCAGCAGCACATCAAAAAGCTTATCCACCATGATCAAGTGTGCTTCATCCCTGGGATGCAAGGCTGGTTCAACATATGAAAATCAATAAACATAATCCAGCATATAAACAGAACCAATGGCAAAAACCATATGATTATCTCAATAGATGCAGAAAAGGCCTTTGACAAAATTCAACAATACTTCATGCTAAAAACTCTCAATAAATTAGGTATTGATGGGGATGTATCTCAAAATAATAAGAGCTATCTATGACAAACCCACAGCCAATATCATACTGAATGGGCAAAAACTGGAAGCATTCCCTTTGAAAACTGGCACAAGACAGGGATACCCTCTCTCACCACTCCTGCTCAACATAGTGTTGGAAGTTCTGGCCAGGGCAATCAGGCAGGAGAAGGAAATAAAGGATATTCAATTAGGAAAAGAGGAAGTTAAATTGTCCCTGTTTGCAGATGGCATGATTGTATATCTAGAAAACCCCATTGTCTCAGCCCAAAATCTCCTTAAGCTGATAGGCAACTTCAGCAAAGTCTCAGGATACAAAATCAATGTGCAAAAATCACAAGCATTCTTATACACCAATAACAGACAAACAGAGAGCCAAATCATGAGTGAACACTCATTCACAATTGCTCCAAAGAGAATAAAATACCTAGGGAACCAACTTACAAGGGAGGTGAAGGACCTCTTCAAGGAGAACTACAAACCACTGCTCAATGAAATAAAAGAGGGTATAAACAAATGCAAGAAAATTCCATGCTCATGGATAGGAAGAATCAATATCGTGAAAATGGCCATACAGCCCAAGGTAATTTATAGATTCAATGCCATCCCCATCAAGCTACCAATGACTTTCTTCACAGAATTGGAAAAAACTACTTTAAAGTTCATATGGAACCAAAAAAGAGCCCACATTGCCATGTCAATCCTAAGCCAAAAGAACAAAGCTGGAGGCATCATGCTACCTGACTTCAAACTATACTACAAGGCTACAGTAACCAAAACAGCATGGTACTGGTACCAAAGCAGAGATATAGACCAATGGAACAGAACAGAGCCCTCAGAAATAATGCCGCATATCTACAACGATCTGATCTTTGACAAACCTGACAAAAACAAGAAATCAGGAAACGATTGCCTATTTAATAAATGGTGCTGGGAAAACTGGCTAGCCATATGTAGAAAGCTGAAACTGGATCCCTTCCTTACATCTTATACAAACATTAATTCAAGATGGATTAAAGACTTAAATGTTAGACCTAAAACCATAAAAACCCTAGAAGGAAACCTAGGCAATACCATTCAGGACATAGGCATGGGCAAGGACTTCATGTCTAAAACACCAAAAGCATGGCAACAAAAGCCAAAATTGACAAATGGGATCTAATTAAACTAAAGAGCTTCTGCACAGCAAAAGAAACTACCATCAGAGTGAACTGGCAACCTACAGAATGGGAGAAAATTTTTGCAATCTACTCATCTGACGAAGGGCTAATATCCAGAATCTACAATGAACTCAAACAAATTTACAAGAAAAAAACAAACAACCCCATCAACAAGCGGGCGAAGGATATGAACAGACACTTCTCAAAAGAAGACATTTATGCAGCCAAAAGACACATGAAAAAATGCTCATCATCACTGGCCAGAGAAATGCAAATCAAAACCACAATGAGATACCATCTCACACCAGTTAGAATGGCAATCATTAAAAAGTCAGGAAACAACAGGAGCTGGAGAGGATGTGGAGAAATAGGAACACTTTTACACTGTTGGTGGGACTGTAAACTAGTTCAACCATCATGGAAGTCAGTGTGGCGATTCCTCAGGGATCTAGAACTAGAAATATCATTTGACCCAGCCATCCCATTACTGGGTATGTATACAAAGGATTATAAATCATGCTGCTATAAAGACACACGCACATGTATGTTTACTGTGGCACTATTCACAATAGCAAAGACTTGGAACCAACCCAAATGTCCATCAATGATAGACTGGATTAAGAAAATGTGGCACATATACACCATGGAATACTATGCAGCCATAAAAAATGATGAGTTCATGTTCTTTGTAGGGACATGGATGAAGCTGGAAACCATCATTCTCAGCAAACTATTGCAAGGACAAAACAACAAACACCGCATGTTCTCACTCATAGGTGGGAATTGAACAATGAGAACACATGGACACAGGAAGGGGAACATCACACACCAGGGCCTGTTGTGGGGTTGGGGGGAGGAGGAAGGGATAGCATTTGGAGATATACCTAATGTTTAATGACGAGTTTCTAGGTGCAGCACACCAACATGGCACATGTATACATATGTAACTAACCTGCACATTGTACACATGTACCCTAAAACTTAAAGTATGACAGAAAAAAATGTATGTTTAAATAGATTTTCTCATCTTATAAGCATTCAACAGAAGCCATACTGTACCTTCAGCACTTTGTTAGAAATTTATTCCACCAAATATCCTGTTCACAAGTTCTACTTTCCAGAAAATACTAGGACATGAACACAATTCAGTCAAGTTCTTTGCTACTTTTATAACAAGAACTGCTTTTCCTCCAGTTTCCAATAACATGTTCTTTATTTCCAGCTGATATGGCATCAGAATGGCATTTACCATCTATATTTCTACAATCTGTTTACAACCACTTAGATATTCTTTAAGAAGATTGAAATTTTCCCTACAGCTCTCCTTTTCTGAGTCCGCACAAAAATGGCCATTAATGGTCCATGAATATCAATATAGGCTTTTTCTAGCATGAACCTCCAAACTTTTTGGCCCCTACCCATTACCCAGTTCCAAAAGCACTACCACATTTTTAGGTATTTATTATAACAGCAAACCCACTCTCGGTACCAATTTTTGCTTTATTCTTTGTGGCCTGCTGTAACAAAACACCATAGATCAGGTAGTTTATAAACATCAGAAGTTTATTTCTCATGGCTCTGGAGGCTAGGAAGTCCAAGATCAAAGCACCAGCAGATTCAGTGTCTGGTGAGAGCCAGCTTTTTCATAGATGCCAGCTTCTCACTCTGACCTCATAAAAAAGCAAGAAAGATCTCTGGGGACTCTTACATTTATATAAGGGTACTAATTCCATTCATGAAGGGTCTGCTCCTCATCACCTCCCAAAGGTCCTGCCCACCTTCTAATACCATCACATTTGTGATTAGGTTTCAAGATATAATTTTTGGAGGGACACAAACATTCAAACCATAGCATAGAGAAATTAGAGCCCTCATACGTTGCTCGTGGTAATGTAAAGATAGTGTGGCCACTTTGGAAAACAGTTTGGTCGTTTCTTATAAAGTTAAATATAGAGTTATCATATGATTCAGCCATTCCATTCCTGGGTATATACTCAATAGAACTGAAAACATATATTCACACAGAAGTGTTTACATGAATGTTCTTAGTAGCATTATTCATAATAGACAAAACATGGGAAAAATAAATGCTCATCAATTTATGAACAGATAAATATGAAAACATATCCAGCCATTAAAAGGAATGAAACAGTAACACATATTACAATATGGATAAAACTTGACAATATTATACTAAGTGAAAGAAGCCAGTCACAAAAAGCCAAATATTGTATAATTTCATTTCTATGCATTGTCCAAGATAGTCAAATCCATAGGGATAGAAAGTAGGAATAGCAGTTGCTAGGTAGAGGGAAGTGGAAATGAAGAGTGACTATTAATGGGCATGGATTGTTTTTCGTGGTAGTGAAAATGGTCTGGAATTAGGCAGTGATAATGTTTGCACAGCCTGCTGAACACACGAAAGTGTCCATATTAAAAGGGTACATTTTATGATATGTGAGTTATTTCCCAATTTTTAAAAAAGTCAGGGTTCCTTCTAATCAAGGAGTTTACAACAAAATAAGAAGAAAAGAGAAAAAATTGCTACTTGCACTATTACCGCTGCTTGCAATGCAAAACATTTTTTGTTCAATATAATTAAGCATTGGTGAGTTGTATCATACATACAGAGAGATATGAAATAATCGTTAATATTTATTGAACATTTGTTGCATGCCAAGTATTGTTCTAAGTATTTTACAGGTTAGAAACTCACTTTGTCCTTATAAAGAGCCCTTGAGTTAGGTACTATTATTGCCTCCATTTTCCAGATAAGAAAACTGATGTGTACAGTGGTAAAGAAACTTGTCCAAGGTTGTATTAGACATAAATAACAAAGCTAGGATTTGAATCAGGAAGTCAAGCTATAGTATTGCTATATTTAACTAGGCAATATTGTTTCTTTTCTCTTCTTTCTTTCTTTCTTCCTTTCTTTCTTTCTTTCTTTCCTTCTCTCTTTCTTTCTTTTTCTTTCTTTCTTTTTTTTTTTTTTCTGGACAGAATCTCACTCTATCTACCCCAGGCTGGAGTGCAGTGGCACGATCTCAGCTCACTGCAACCTCTGCCTCCCAGGTTCAAGCGATTCTTATGCCTCAGCCTCCCAATCAGCTGGGATTACAGGCGCCCGCCACCACACCTGGCTAACTTTTGTATTTTTAGTACAGATGGGGTTTCACCAGGTTGGTTAGGCAGTCTTGAACTCCTGACTTCAGATTATCCTCCCACCTCGGCCTCCCAAAGTGCTGGGATTACAGGCATGAGCCACCGTGCAATATTATTTCTTTAGGAAATATAAGGCACAATATGCATATAAAAACGATTATTAACAAGTGTCAGTTCCTGGAATCTTTGAATCTTAGGGATGAGAGCTCATCTAGTACTACCTTCTAGTTTATGCCTGAAGTTTCCATAAAATATCTTTTTTTTTTTTTTTTTTTTTTTTGAAACAGAGTCTTGCTCTGTCCCCCAGGCTGGAGGGCAGTGGCACGATCTTGGCTTACTGCAAGCTCCGCCTTCCAGGTTCACGCCATTCTCCTGCCTCAGCCTCCCGAGCAGCTGGGACTACAGACACCCGCCACCGCGCCCGGCTAATGTTTTGTATTTTTAGTAGAGGCAGGGTTTCACTGTGTTAGCCAGGATGGTCTCGATCTCCTGACCTCGTGATCTGCCCTCCTTAGCCTCCCAAAGTGCTGGGATTACAGGCGTGAGCCACCATGCCTGGCCACCATACAATATCTTTGATCTTTGTTCCCAGCCTATATTGCATATTTCCTGGGAGAGGGAACTCAGTATTGACCCAGTTTGTTCTCTTTGAATAGCACTGGGCATTTTGAACGTTCTTTCTTGCATTAAGACTATATGCTTCTTAGACAAGGAAGCTGTTCCTTGGCAATACCCCTATCTTAGGTTAGGTTGTCTAGGAACGAAGTTTGAGATGAGGATTTAGATGGACATTATTTATTCACAGAGGGTTCTTAAGGATAAACTTACAAAAGAAGAGAGAGATAGGAAAGTGGAAAGATCAGATAAAGAAGTGGTCCCAGTCAAGTACATTCTTGGCCCCATATAAAAGGGTAAGGCTCTCAAAAGCATAAGCCATTCCACAGAGTTGCCAGGCTTAAGCATCAATAGGTCATGAGCCACAATGGTGGTAGAGGAATGAGTAACTTCTTAGGGAAGGCAGCCAGGAAAAGGGGTCAGGGCAGCTGCAAGCCACTGGTGACTAACACAGCAGCTAGGTGCAGGGCATGCAGGCCTATAAAGGAATGTGGGCAGGTGTCACAGCACCTAGCAAAGTAGATGAGCACAGTGGCAGGGGTCGCAGGACACAGAGTAGAGCCAGTTTTAGAACTTAAGTCAATTCTGAAGTCTACTATCTGTCACAGATTAGCTGTGTGACCTATGCCACTTATTATCCCTAATCCTGTTTCCTTAGCTGTAAAATGGGCATAATAATACCTGCTTCATAGGAATATGACAAGGATCAAGAGAAATGACACCTAAAATATATTTAGCATTATGCTTAGTGCATAGTTAACATTCAGTAAAGGTAGTTTCTATCATAGAAAGTATGCATTAAATACTTGTTGATACGAAATGTTGCCCATTTCTTTCCAAGGTGAAGTTAAAGAAGTTGAATTACTTGTTTAGCCCATCACCAATTTCAAACCTTTATTTCCAGCCTCTATAATATGTCAGCATTTTCTCACCACAGTCTGAATTCACACTGTGAAAATGTGAATTTTGTCCTGAAATCCACTTGCTATTCACTAAAGCCATCACCTCCAGAGGAATCGTCTTTCTCTTAGCTCTGCCTTTTTGTCCCATCTGAATTAAGTTTTCATTCTGTACTATCATAAATCCATCAGTGTCTGACTTTTTCCTTTGTGGTGGTGAATACCTAAGTCTGACTATGAATCCATGTCCTGCTGTAATGATTTCAAATGCATTCCAGGTTACAGGGTTATCCCTGTTAAAGGCATTTTTGTAAGAGTCTGGTATCTTGCCAGGAGAAGGTCTGTGGTCCAGATGCCAAAACACATGACAGCAGACATCAGACTGAAAACCAGTGATGAGACTGTCGGCTGCCAGACTGGCAGCTCTGTCATTGACAGTGGTACTAGACAGATTGGAACTTGACACTGGACAGGATAAAAAAAACTAGGGCTGTATATCATGACAAGCACAGAATGCACCTGAGAAAGGTGCATCCCAGTAGGGAAGCAGCTGTGCTGGGCAGAGCACTGGGAGTTCACACACCATCCCCAAAAACTACAGCCAGTCACCCCCTGGAGATGACCTCTAGGGGGAACATCTTCCCACCCAACACATCCTGTCCCTCCAAGGGACTTTCAGTAATGAATTGACTTACCATTTTACTCTCCTCCCATCCTCAGCTTCTCTCCACTACAACACATGCTAAGATGAGCATTCCTCACCAGCTGTCTTCCAGAGAGGGCAGCAATGTTCTTTTGTTCATGCATGCATTCATTCATTCATTTATTCACTCAATGAATATTTAGTAAGTGCTTAGGAGGCACTAAGGATACCAGATCAGATTGATGACAAATTTAGAATAAAGAAGACCATGGATGACTAAGTTTAACCTCTACACAGTACAAACTCTGCTCCACCCCTCTAATATATGACTTTTGAAAAGAGAAAGTTTGGAGAAAACCTCCTTACTTCAAATGTTAAGTTAGTAATGGCAGACATGTAGGCAGTGCTGCATAGACAATTGGGGCCCTTCCTGGTCCTCAAATCACACCACTTACGTAGCTGGCTATTCAGTCTAGAGAAAAGTTGGGCCTCTCTCTGCTTTCACAATGTAGAAAACAGCTACACTGAAATCCCAGTGCCTGAAATGAACTCTTATTAATACCCATTTATGTTCAAATCCCCCCCATGGAGTCAGTGTCTCATGACTCCATTTCTCACTTGGCGAAATGGGGATGCCGTCACATGCAAGAATGGCAGCCACTGAGGAGGGAGAAATCACTGCTATTTGCATTATCTAGTGGATTCATTTCCAACTGTTAGTTTTTCTTGTATGTTTGAAATACTCAGACAATAATAATGAGATGGGATATGACAACTAAAACTCTCCAATTTAGCAAGATTCATTTTGCAAAATCATCACAGAGCATCTGAATCACTGCCTAGCAGAGTAGAACAACATCTGGCAAACAAGTGGTGATGTATTATAATGTTTTTAGCACCATATGGCAATATGTCTTCAAAGTCACCTGCAGGTTGAAATGAAAAACCCACTCTATAACTACCTCAGGAAAATGGGGGAGGGGCAGGGAATCAAGAGGTACATTGGGATAATACTACATGGGCAACAAGAGCATATACTGTTAATATTAAAGCAAATATTAATATAGCAAGACATTACTTAGAAGCTCAAAAACAAGTTGCCCAAAACCCTAAATGTCATAAAGTTTAACAAACTGAAGACCCATCTATTGAACTACAAGATTATATTATCCAGGCCCAATTAAAAGTGATTAAAATTTGCTGTGATCAGCCTTAATTAGGACTCTTACCCTTCGATAGGAGAAACAAAATCAGAAGCCAGTGACAAATAGAACCTTAAATGTTAGATGAGTTTATTTTCTCTTGTTTTCGTTAAATAGATACAGCCATTCTAATTTTTTTTTCTTATAATAAATTGTCTTGCCCACCCTGTGGGGTGGAGAGCACAGCCTGTACTATTGGACAAATCTCTCTGTTCCAGCTCCTCCCTAGACCTTTCCCTGCACCCTACCATCTTCCTATGCATAGTTCTGGTCATCATCATTTCAATGCAAGCATTGGTGTCCCACATCACACCAGTTCAGGGAGTGAGGGCAGGAGGAGCAGGGACAAAAGGGACAAGAAACAATGACTAAATAGTAGAACACTGCCTTCTACCCCAGCTTCCTTAAATTCCTCCCTAAAGTTTCCAAAAGTCCTCAGAGTTGACGTACGTGTGCTTTTACGTTCTCCCTTCAGCCTGCTGCCTTCTACCGTTTTCCTCCCCTTTTAGGCATGACCATTTGATAAATGTTTACTGCAATGATGCCTGCTGCAGGACCTACCTATGTCCATGACAAAGATGCTAAAGTATCATGTCATTTTCTTTGTTCCAAATGTGATGTCTGTAATCAGTGGCTCTGACCACTGGGTGCCATATCCAATGGGCTTCAATAGCCTTCATGGCCATGTTCCCTGTCAGTCTCTCCCATGATCCACAATGTTGTGGTTGGTCCGTTGTGCTCACCACACCTTGTGAATTTTCTCTTCTGTCACATCGTTCTCTGGTCTCAGGCATTTATCTTTGGGATCGTATTACCAGAAAATACAATTGATCCGTATTTTTTCACCCTTACCCTGGCCCAATGTCCTTAAACCAAGCATAAAAATGATAATCCTAAAAGTAATAATAATAGTCATAATTTATTTAACATGTGAGATTTTTCAGGTTCTCTATTAAGTACTAACTATACATTATGCCGATCATTATCTCAATCACTTAGAGAAGTTGCATAGCGTAAGAGCTAAGAAAGTCAGGATTCAATTCCACGTCTGATTTCGGAGTTTTATCCATTACACATACTACCATTAATTTCTCAACTCTTTTTTTTTTTTTCCTTTAGAACATGTTTGTTTCCAAGAAAATCTTTAGGAGCTCATGGAAATAAATTTCAGAAATCAAAATATGGTGAGAACACACACTGAATTCTAGATAAACAGCGCAATTTAGTTTCTCAAGCTGAGATCTGATTGAATGGGAATAATGCCTTTTACTTTTACTTTTAGCTCCATTCTTCTGAGCGCTTTGCTTTCTTTAAGACCTCCAGTGTCTCCCGGGTACCCATTGGCGTCCAAATAGACCTCAAATATAGGTTTTCAGGCTTTATTCCCACCAGTTCCCTACATGTAGCCTCTGCTGCTGCCAGAATAGACTCTGCTATTCCCCTCTCCATACCTCCCCATACCTCTGTGCTCCTGCTTATTCCTTCTTGCTAGCATGTCCCCTGCTCTACTACCAATCCCAAATCCCACTTGCCATGAATGTGGTCTCTTCTGGACTCTCTAATGTGTGAGGGTCCCCTCTTTCACTTTTTTTTTTTTTTTTTGAGATAGAGTCTTGCTCCAGCCCTCCAGGCTGGAGGGCAGATGCGCGATCCTGGCTCACTGCAAGCTCCGCCTCCCGGGTTCACGCCATTCTCCTGCCTCAGCCACCCGAGTAACTGTGACTACAGGCACCCACCACCACGCTCAGCTAATTTTTTGTATTTTTAGTAGAGACGGCGTTTCACCATGTTAGCCAGGATGGTCTCGATCTCCCGACCTCGTGATCCGCCCACCTCGGCCTCCCAAAGTGCTGGGATAACAGGCGTGAGCCACCGTGCCCGGGCCCCTCTTTCACTTTTATAGGATGTTGTGTGTCCCCTTGGGTGGGTGATAATTCTGAATTTCTGGTTATTGTGGTTATTTGAATACTTGTCTTATCATATCCACCATTTAGATTGTAAATTTCCTCTAGGAAAGGACTCAGCCTTACGTCCTTATACCCCTTCCAGTACCTAAGAGAGTGCTCTTTTCCCGGAGTGGACACTTAATAGCTATTTATTGAATTAAAATTAATTTGTGTTCCTTCATAAACAGGTTATATTTATAATCAAATACAATACATTCCTTTTCCACTTGGGAGTCCCCATATTTTCCCTAGAAACAAGGGCACTTTGAAGTCATTCAGTGCTTTTAATTTACTTTTCCCTTAATGGAGTTTGCTTCCTAGTTGGTTCAATCTATTCTTTAGAAGTCTATTTCCCGATAGATTTATAGCCTCGAAAAACTTTTTTTTCTACCTTAAAAATCCCTTTGATTATTTATTGGGCCTGATTCATCTCAAGGGCATTTATATTGTTTTCTTATCAAAAGAGAATGTCCTATTACATTTCAGCCAAAATATCTTGTTTTCTTCAAGCTCCAAATGATTTATGGTGTATATTGTATATTTGGGAAAATTAAAGTTTTCTATGTAAACTCTGTCTCAAAAACAAAAATATTTGGCATGATTATTTCATAAGGCCAGCATGTCCAAATTGTTTCTGCCTAGTTTTGGCTTTCTATGCTACATCCAGAAGCAGCAGTGTGGCTCACAGCCAGGAAGGGTTACTTAGGAGCTTCCTGGCAGACTCCTGCTCTTAGCCTTACATGGACCTCAGCCTTATGTGGTCGATTGGTTATTCTGATGAGAGCTGTTGGTTTGCCAGTACATAAAGTTTAGAGAAAGACTACATGGAGAAAAGTACAGTCTTTCAAAACCATATTGCCAGACTTTGTGTTTTTAATACATATTTATTTTATTACATGTTAATTCATGCATATGATAAATTATCTATACCAAAGCCTGTATAGAGAAAAGTGTGCTCCTCTCCCACTTACGTCCTAGCCACACAGTCCAGAGACAATCACTGTTAGTGTTCTTTCTATATTCTAGACTAAAGGTTTAAAGAGGAACCAGAGAAATTATAATGAGACACAGCAACAGTCAACCAACAGTTACACATTGAGTACCTCCTATCCTCTGGGTACTATGATAGGTGCTTCTGCTAGGCCCCTTCCTGCTTCACAAGGTTTATAGCTAAGGGGAAAACAGTAAGCAGGGCGTTAGAACACAGTGCTGTAATTGTACAAGTGCCAGGTGCTAAGGGAAATCGCAGACTGCCCAGAGGTGGTAAAATCCTTTATGAGGGCTCCAGAAGGCAGAGTTTTGTCAAGCAGAGAGAAAGGAAATAGTGATCCTCAAGAATAGCTCTGAAAAGTCAGGAGGTAAGAGAGAATGCCTGACAAGTTTCACACTGAAAAATGGTCAGTTTAGTTAAAACTTGTGTTTGAAGAAAGATGGCGGGGGGGTGGGGGGTAGCGTGGGAAAGACTAGAAAGGAGAAAGTAACTCAATGATCTCCTTCCCACTGTCCTTGCTATTGTATCATAAAAAGAATACTGCACATGAAATAAGAAACCCAAGTTTTAAATACTTGCTAATTACCTGAAAACTTTAGTTGCTTCATGTGTAAAGGAAGAGAAATCAAAAGCCATCTCACAGAATTATTGAAAAAATTAAAGTCAATTATATAACTTATGCAAGGATGGCTAGAATAGTGTCAGGCAAATACAAATAGTGAAATCTAGCAAATGTTAAAAGCAAAAAAAAAAAAAAAGAGAGAGAGAGAGAAAGAACTAATCTAGACCACTGGAATTTCTTCTGGCACAAATGCAACCTTCTGAACTGCCAGGACACTAATCAAGAGGGGGAATGGCCTTCCCAAAGCCCCATCCCATGTTCTCTTACACTAGCCTGGTCCCATCTTGAAGATTAGACTACTTGAAAGACTATCCAAAGTGTGCTGTAAGACAATACACATCTGCCTCCTAAGGCCTGATATTCTTCAAAATATTACTGAATCAAACAAATGAATATGTTGTCACACTTTGAGGCTGGAAAATAAGTCTCTATAGTTTGGGAAGCAAATTGAGCTCTTAGTCATTTATATGAATTGCCTATTTTTTCAGGCTGAAATTGTAAAACTGGCAAAGGAGTAACATATTAAAACATAATTTGCATTCTTGTTTACTTGCTTGCCTTTATAGCCACAAATAAACGAAGTCCTAACAGAAAGGTTATTTGAAAATGGATCATCCCCAGAGTAGCAGAGCACCAAAGTTCTTTAAATGGTGGTGCTTGATTTCGCATATTTTTTTGAGAATTTCTACATAGCAACTGGTATTGTGCAGAAGACTGCAGAATCTCAGTGTTGTATATTTTTGCCCTCTAATTGCTATTTAATTTGCACTTCAATGCTTTCAAAATGAGTGTGAAAAATAAAAATTAAGTAGCAATTAGAGGGTAAGAGACACAATTGTATAATTTCTGACATCCAGAACAAAGTTTCAATAGTAAGGGAAATTAGCTATGGCAGTTCAGGCATCTGACCCACTTTGGGCCTATGGCTGAAGCATTTGAAATGCCAGGAGCTATGGTCTTGAAAGAGTTGAATTGAAGAGATCAGACTTGACATTGGAATACATGAATCTATTGTCAAGTCCATAGGTTTTCCACTGATAGAACCGTGTAAGTCCTTTATAGAATTTTGTAGGCATTTTCTAAGCATACCAAGGAAAATGCAAACCTCTGCTTAATTAATTGTGTATGATCTGTAACATATTAAAAGTCACTAAGGAAGCAATCTTGGCCATGCTAGAGATAATAATCCATTCATTTCTTTGTTTATTCAACTCATGGGCATTTCTTTCATACCTACTAAAAATCAAGGGAAATACCAGCCCCTAAAGTTTCAAAAATAAGTAAGACATGGTCTCTGACTTCAGGGAATTCATAATGTATTGCAACAAGTGTTAAAGGAAATAATAATCATTACAGAAAATAAGTTTGTTGCATAAAGAAGGGGAGAGTTAAAATTTAATCTGCTCTGGGTGTCAAATATACTGGGTACACTGTTGGTGGAGATATAAAAGTAATCAAGTAATTCTGATTGCCAATCTTACGAAAATTAGACTATTGCCCACCTAAATTGACCAACAGAAAAGAAACAGCTGATGGAGGTGGATTAACTATTTAATGACTTGCAGATTTAGCCACAGATCCAATCTGAATTAGTCAAGGAAAAACTGAATTTATTCTTTAGGAGACAGTGTTTGGAGTTTAGGGCCCCATATTCGTGGGTATGTGGAATTGCTTCAGCTACAACTGTTTCGGCTACAACTCTTTTAATATCTGTAACCTAAGGTTCAGTCCTTTATATATATATGGCCATGGCAGAGGTACGCTGCTGCTGATTTTCAAAAGCTAAGATGAAAGAGGAGATGGGGAGCACCTGTGCTGGATAAACACAGAGCTGTTTAAAAAAGAAAAACCCGGTATGACTGCAAGGACATATGAAAGAGTTCAAGACTAATTAGTAGTGTATAGTCTTTTAACAGGCAGGTGTCTTAGAAATTGCCCAAATAGCTCATTTTAAGAATGAGGAAACTTAAACCAAGGAGAGAAAAATTAACGCTTTGTCCAAGGTCACATATTTCACAGCACAGATAAACTAGAACTAAGTCTTCTGATGCCTTGCATAAGACACTTTACACTCCATTATATCACATGCTTAAAGAATAGTGATGTTTAGGGATGATATATTTTAAAGCAACCTCTAAATATACAAGGCCAAAAGCCACACATCTAGCAACAGAGAAATTCAAATAGAAGATCATTAAATGATGTGGGATAATGAAGCAAGATTACATAAAGAGAATGATTGTCTTTGTGATCAACCTTAAGAGACCTATAAGTGTCTACTGGTGAAAGAGAAAGAAAAATTATTCCAGATGAAATCAATTCAATTCTATTCAGCAAGCATTTTATTGTGCACTTATTCTATGCCACATACTATGCTGGGAGCTAGAAATACATAGCCAGTTAAGACAAGAACTGAACCTTTAAATAATCTAGCAAGTGAATACACTATGGATGAAATTCCATTAGAAGGACGTGGGATGAAAGACTATTCAGGGTATTCTGGAACTGTAAAGCAGGGATAGGTAAATGACACATGGGATCAGAGAAGACTTCCTGAGGTGATAATGTCTGGGACTAGGTTCTGAAAGACAAGTGCTCTTTAGCTGGGCCAGGAAGGTAAGAAGGGAATTACCAGCAGACATAAACTATGAAGGCACAAGCAGGAAAATCCACTTATCACTGGGGAACTCCAAAAACCTCTACCTGTCTGCAGCCAAGTGTCTATGTGGAGAGAGGTCGGAACAGGGACCACAAACATGGTGCTCTGTAAGTGTGGCAGAGATGGGATCCAGGAGCAAATGGTAATTTATTTGCAAATCTTTCCTTACCCATTTTTCTGTTTTCTATGATGCTTAAATGAGCTCAAGAACTAAAAAGGGACAACGTACAGTGAGGAGAGGGAAAGATGGGCAGACCCTGATGAGGCTTGGGTGCCAGTGTGCCAATTTTGAATTTAATTCTGAAAAGCATGAAAGCCACTGAAGCATTTGAAGCAGAGAAATGGCATGATCAGATTTGTGTTTTAGAAACATCAGCTTGGCAGAAGGGTGGAAAATGTACTGGCAAGAAAACAGACTGGAAACAGAGAATCTAATCTGAAAACTGTGACAGTAATCCAAGTTATCAGAGATTTGGACCCAAAGTAAAGTCATGGCAATGATATACAGATGTGGGAGATAAACACCACAGGACTTAATGGCTAAGGAAATGTGGAGCAGGAAGGAAAGGATGAAAGAGGGGGAAATGAATATGTCCTGTCTAACTTACAGGTTTTTTGTTTGAGTGACTGGGAGGATGGCATTGCCATTAACTGTGAAATGGGAAGAACTTAACTTACCAGCATATAGATGCCATGGCAGTGGATGGAGCCTTCCAAGGAGTGTTTTGGGTGAGAAGAGGACTAAATGGAGCCACTTGAGGGAACTAGCTTTAAGAGACATAAAGGGGGCTGTGAAGAAAACTGAAAAATAGAGTTGTTTGGAAAACCAGAAATAAACTATGGAAAACATGAAGAGTGCAGAAAAGTAGGAATGAGGAAAATGTGATGTGGAAAGAAGAATCATCAGAATAGCTTAACTGAACCAAAGACCAGGTAAGGTATACATAATCCTTTCTCACAAAGATAGAGTGCAGTTGAGAGAAGGACTTGAAGTCTGGGTGAAGAGTTGGTGTTTGAAATAGAAAGCATTGTGGTGTTAGTGATTCAGTAGATTTTATTAGCACCAGTGATAACAATGTCTTTCTCTTGCGCTTCATACTATTTTCAAAGTGCTTTCACACTCATTAATGTTCTCATTTAGTACTCATCATCTCTTTGAGAGAGATAGGGCAGGACTAATTATTCTTACTTTACAGATAAGGAAACCAACTCCCAGAAAAGTCTGAGTGATTTGACCTCACTTACATAGCAATTAAAGGCAGAGCTAGGACTGGAATTCTGATTTCCTATTTCTCCATCAGGGACTCTGTAATTTGTAATTCTGCCCAACCTCGGACCTCGGAAGCTCAGATGAGTGCATGTGACTATTCTGGGCCCCAAGGAGGGCCACCTCCCCTCTGCCACCTTCCTGCGTTCTCCATCATGGGCAGAGTTTTGTGAAGCCATAACCCTCACTTGGGATCTTGAGAGAAACCCAGCAGATCCTCCCTGCAATGCTGTGCCCTCCTCCAGCTGCACTGGATGCCCTCCAGGAGGCTTGGGTTTGCAGCCACTGCTGCCGGTTTTCACATCCTGCCTAATGAGGGGCAGACAGATACTAGACCAGACGCGTGGTGAGCAGTTCTGTTTTAGAGCTCGCTTCAGGCAGACTCACGATTCTGTCCAGTGCAATTAACAAGGTAAAAACAAAGCTCAGCTCTTCAGCACAATTCTGCATGGTCCAGTTACTCCAGCCTTGCCCTGTGGCCACTCTCAAGTTAACCTCTATGCGCTTAAATGCTCGCTTGGTCAGAAAGACTGATAGGTGAAGAGCTAAGGGAAGGTTGTTACATGCATGAAAATCCTTTCTCACCACGATAAAACAAAAGTACACAACTTGTTTAAAGTGTTAGAACTTTTGGAAGGAATCCAGAGCTCTGTATGTCAAGAGTTTAAACCTGGAGCAAAAAGCCCTAAACTTTGCCTTCTCTATTTTGAAACCACAATGAAGTAACTCAAAATCTGGAAGAGAGTGCTCCACCAATCCGGTTTCTCCTCTGTGTGACTCACGGGCTAATAAATCTGGAGAACTAAATGGATTCCATTCCTGAATCTCCAATTAAACTTTTTAATGGCTTAAAGCTACAAGCAACAAGTCCAAGTCAATTTCAAATAACCAATGAAATACAACCAAACTTTAGCTACAAAGTAAATGAAAAATATACAAAAATATCAGCTGGAAATGCAAACAATATTAGTTTATATCCTGCTAACCAGAATCAACCAGATAAGGAAAAGGTGGAATCTGGAGGGTGGCTCCATCGGACAAGTGAGTGCCTTTCCCCACATTCTGCCTCATCTTTGTTAATAGTTTCTTGATCAAAATCTCTTCAAACTATTCAGTTTTAGGCTGCCACTTATTTCCTGTTAGAATCCTAACTGGTATGGTAATTGGCATCAGGATTTTAGGAAACAGATGCAAAGTATGATATTTGGAGATTGGATTGCCTACATCATTGAGGAGCACATAGATAATCTCCAGTTGGTGGCAACTTGGACTTGAGTAATCCACAAAATTTGCGGCAACAATATAACTCAAATTATCTCCAATGGTGCCATAGATGAAAGTACCTTTGGGACATCAAATGGATTATGGCCCTTAGTTGCTATAGTGGTCATAGAGATTATGGCATTATGTAACTTCCTTTTATGGCCATAGAGAACCAAAAGAATAAACATAGAAAACAAGAAATTGAAAGCTATGCAATCTAGAGTACAGTGAGAAAAATCATAAAGCCTTATAGCACCATAGCAGGATTCTTTCATCTCCTGTAGGTAGTCACAGAATAGCTATTCTGCTATCTCAGGGCTTGATCATAAGGAGAGCAGAATAACATTTCAATTTAGAGCTGAAGTCTACCATATCTCTTATGCACTGACAGGGAAAAAATAAGACCCTGAGACAGATCCTAAATCTGCTTGAACAATTTTATTGGCCAAAGAGGCCCATCCCACCATGAAGGAACCAGATTTTCCCTCCTTGAAAGTTGTTCAATGACTTAAAGCTAGGACATGCTTCACCACTGATCCCAATTTTTCTGAAAGTCCCAACACAACATCTGTTAATACCTCTAGGTCCATACTTTAGAGTTAAATTTAATAGAGTTCAAACTGAGGAATGCACAGCCTTATATGAGACAAGATAACCTATATACAGAAAGATTTATAGAACCATTCCATTCTGTATCACCATAACCCTGGAATTTATGTTGTGAGAGTGAGTTCTAAGTTCAAAAAATGGAAGACAGATTAAGGTCATGATTAGCCCAAATTCATTGAGATGAATTTATTCACCTAATTTGGCTCAAATGTATGAGATTGGCATTAATTAACTACTAAGTGGTCTTACAGCTAATAAGATCAAAATTCCAGAACTTTTCTAGCATGCCATAGAGAAAAATGATATTAATTGTGTTTTTTTTAATTTTCTATATTTTATGATGCTTTGACATCTTAATGCCTTGCAGACCCAAGGAGGAATTGCACCTCCCAAGGTTAGTTCATTTCTAGAGATAGCAAATAACTTGCCTATGAGCACACCTTTGATATGCAAACCACCCAATTTAGAGCCCATACTCCCAATCATTTTATTTATCAAACTCACACACCCAGCCAATATTCCCCCTGCTGTAAATCACCCCAGGGCTAGGTATCTGACAACCTGGGACCACCCCTATTTCTCAGTGCCCCTTGAATTATTCAGACCACTTAATCCTAAACTTACTCAATGTACCTTCTCTACCTTGCTCATTTCCCCTGATGAAATCCACAATAAAGACTTGGGCCCCTGCTTCTGTCCCTTCTCTGCTTCTGCCTCCTGGACGACCTGAGTACTTTCCCCATATAGTTTTGCATAGAATGGCATTTCCCTTCTTTTGGGAATTGTGGATAAAAATTCTTTTTTCAAAGCAGTTGTTTCCATATCTGTCATTTTGCCATACTGAATTAAAACAAAATCCTGGGTACATTTTAGAATAAAGACCCAAGTATTGAAGAAAGAGGAGCAATGAAATGAATCAATTGTGTGTCCATTCATCCACAAACTATGTTTCACTGGAGGAACCAGAAAATACTTCTTTCCTATTACAAAGGATATTGGAGTGGTGGCTGAGGGAGAATGGCAGTTTTCTTGAAGAGCTCTATGCAGCTGTCCTATATAGTTTGGTTGAGATCGCTATATTAGCTGGCCCTTGACTTCAAGGGGAATAATGGGATGCTGGACTATTGGGCTAGTTTGTGGCACTTAACTCTCAGAGTATAGGTAGGTGCAATTACCACAATGAGACATGAAAGAGTGGAAATCAGAGTGTTTTGACCCATAGAGATCCATGACAATGGTTAATTGATCACAAGTTTCCTAGAAAATAGGAAAATAGATATGCAGCCCACTAAGATACAACTTAAAGGTCTAGTGGACAAAAACCTAATTCAAATATCAGTCATGAGAATTTACAGCCTTTAACACAACTTCCAGAACTACGTAAGTCAATTCATGTACCTGGGTCTATTCAACTAAGGGAACGCTGGATACTTTAATCATGAGGCAATGCCAATTACAGGTATGCTTTGGAATGTGGAATTTTTATCGAATAAATCCACACAGTCCTTGGCTTTTGATATGCAACTTTTATAACCCAGCAAATGCTTTTCCCCTATTCCTATCAGTATTTTTTTAAATTAGAAAAAAATTTGCCTTTACCTAGCAGGGACAGCAGTACATATTTGCTATCTTGTCTCAGGGCTGTATCAATTTTTTTTGTTTCTTATCACGTAGGTTGAAGGGAACTTTATTACCTTAATAACTCATAGAGCATCAAAGTGGTCAAATACATCAGTTGCATTCAGACATGATAAAGTGATATCATAAATACATATTTATTGACTTGGAAGGGACTTCTCAATATATCAAGTGGAAAAGTATATTATAAAACAGTTTCTATATTATGATAGCATTTTGTCATAAAATGCTTTATTTAAAGTCTAGAAAGATATACACTAAATGTTAATAAAATTTATCTTCAGGTATATTATGGATGATTTTTCTATTTTCCTTTATCCTTTATATTTTTCTGTTTTAATAAAATTTTTATAACTGTATTTGACATTTATAATAATAAAAATAAATAAATTCCAATTTGGTAAAAATGAAAGATCCACCTTCCAGACCTTGAGTTTAACATCTGAGAAAGGCTTGCATCAAAGCTGAGCATGCTGAACCTCCAAAAAATTTACCAAGCTTTATATAATCTCCCTAATAAAATATCTAGACCAATAGCTAGAGCTAAATCTGCATGTGATGACTAAGAAGATGCATCTCGGACAACTGGAGTATGCAGGAGCAGCGAGGGAGGGAGGAAGGCGTGATATGTCCTTGCTTCATATCTTCTAAGGTGTATAAATAGGACAGTATACCAGCAAGGTGAACAGAACCATGAGGAATTGAAAACTGAATGAAAAAAAGGGAAAAGGTAGATAAGCCTCCCTAATTTAATGACTCTTGGCTATCAAACAAATGAAATATAAAATTATTTCAACGTGTATACATACTTCATTAAGATTAATTTCATTTTATTATGTGCCAGGCATGACACACCAGATATAAAAAGGTGAATAAGATAGAAAAAAGGGACAAGTTCCTGTCTCCATGGAGTTCATAATCTAGTGCAGAACAGTCAGGCCAAAAGAGAGGTGACTGTAAAAGATCTAAACAAAGAAGATTTATTGGAGTATTCGGGCCAAGGTTTCAGAGAGGTAATATTTAGGCTGAGATCTGAAGAGTGAATAGAAATAACTAGTTTTAAAAAGAGAGGGAATAGAAGATGATGTTAGAATGGAAAAGGAGGTGAGTCTTTTAAGTAGAAGAAATTTCTAGTTATCTAGTAAAAGTCTTATTCTGGTATATTACTTTTCTGTGTAAGTACTTATACTTGAATATTTTTAGGGATAGTAAATCACTTCCTCTCAAGATAATGGATTCAATATTGGACATCTCTAATTGTTTGAAAGTACCTTATCAAGTGGAGGCCCACATTGCCTCTATAAATTCTATTCATTGATCTACTTCTTCACTTAAATGTGATACAGAATGAGCAAACCTCTCTTCCACGTAATAACCCTTCCAATGTTTGAAGCCCACTGTCTGATCCTCTGCTTTCTACTCCTCCAGCAGTGCTTCTTTTCTCTTGCTTCTTCATGATGTAATTTCAAATTCCTTCAACATCCTAGTCATTCTTTGCCAGATATGCTATACGATTCCAAGATATTTTGTAAATATTAAAAAATAACAACCATAATAATTCAGTAAACATTTATTGATCATCTTCTTCAGGAAAGGCAATTTTCTATGCTCAGGTAAGTACATAGTAAATCAAATGGATAGAGTCACTGACCTTGTGGAGCTTATACTCTAGTGGGAAAAAGGGAGATTAGATAGATAGATAGATAGATAGATAGATAGATAGATAGATAGATAATAGATACAAAGATACATAATAAATAAACACAGATGCAGACACACACACTCACACACACACACACACACACCCTTCAGGATAGATTCCTAAAAGCAAAATTCTTGGGTCAAAAGGTAAGCAGCTTTTTAGGACTTTTGATACATCTTACCAAATTATCTCCTAGAATTTTCCCAGTTTTATTTCCCATTGGCTATGTGTGTGATTTCTAATTTCCCCCTAACACAGCCTCCCAAAAATCATTTCAAAGTATTTCCAGATTCGGAGGTAAACATCTATATCTTGATTTGCAGCTTTTATTACTAGTGAGCCTAAACATTTTTGCATTTTGTGACTTGACTTATTTATGTCTTTTGCTCATTATTCTAAAAGTATTTTTCTTCACGTCAAATATTTGTAAATACTTTGCCATGTAATAAGGACACTAATCTTTTGCCTCTCTTATATGTTAAAAACAGTTTGCCATCATTTCACAAGTTTCTGAATTGTGTCTTTTTGTCAGAGAAATGTTTATAAGCTTTAGTTTCTTAGTAGTAAAATCTACTCATCATTTTCTTCACACTTTCTGGATCTGGCTTTGATTATAAGTCTTGGAAAATCCTTCCCTATTGTGTCATATAAATCTCCATCTATAATGATTTCTGGTTCTTCTATGAATTTTAAAGCCTAACAGTATTTAGCATTCTACAATTTATTTTGGTCCATGGAATAAGCTAGGGGTCACTACAGCTTTCTCTTAGAAAAAAAAATTTAATAATTTCAATAACATTATGTTCCATTTATTTTAAAATTCTGTTAATCTGTCTGTCATTTCATCTGAACAGATAATACATAAACCCAGATTTTAAAAAATAATTAGAAAGCCCAGGTGTTTTGAGGTCCTGGATGGATTTTTAATAGGGTTACAAACCTTGATGATTAGGAGAATGTTATGTGGCAGAATTTCAATCTCATCTACCAGAGCCCAGAATGGTAAGTCAATTCGTACAGTGAAGGGAGGACTTGTCAAATTGGAGGGCTTATACAGAGGCAGCCTCAAAGACATGGAGTAAAGAGTGCCCAGCGTGGCCATTTTTTAGTATATATTTTTTTAAAATCTCGTTTATATATGACCCGTTCAGAAGAAATAATCAATAGAATTTTTAAATAAATGGGTACATAATTTTGAGATGATCGGATTTTATATATATATATATATATATGTATATATATAAAATATATATACATATATATATATATATATGAAAAAATGGTGACACTGGGCACTTATTTCTTCATAGCTCTATATAATTAGTAAAATGCCAAAACTTCTGACAGCAGCAGCAAGATCTATAAAGCTAGAGAAGAGCATTTTAAGTCTCAGGTAGAACTGCTTGCTCCTGTGTAGAAGTGGCTGCCCAAATTCAAGTAGCTTCTGAAGAGGAAGGAAGGAATCCACAGCTGCCAAAATGTCAAGCTGCTGAAAAATGCAGGTGTCTAATTTGATTCTACAGAATCAAGTGGGGAATATAACTAGATAAGAATTTCAAGTTGGAGAGTTTTCCCCTTATTTGTTCATGTGTTTCCCTGTGGATGCACCCAGGGTCTGCTGTGATGTATTGTTTATCACCCCAGACAAAAAAGCAGCACACTTGATGCAGGCAATCATTTCCAAGTTCTGGGGCGACTCAGAGAGACATAGAAGAAAGTTAGATTATGGTCTTCACAGTGATAATCAGCTATGAGGATTAAGGAAATAAATGAAAAAGCAAATGGAAAACCAGGCTCTAGCTTCAGGATTGGCAACCTAGGCACCTCATGTATTTGCTGAGCTAATAAGTGTCATCTGAACCTGGCATGAGCCCATGCATACTCTCTTTAAGAGCAAAATAAATGGCATCGTAGGTGACAGATGTTTTAGCTAGATGCCTCCAAATAGCCCATTCTCATGAATTACAATTGAAAGCAGTTAATTATACAGTTGATGGTGGGGAGGAGGTTGTGGAAAAAACCTTCACTCAAAACCCCTCTCTTTAACCTGCCAAACACATCAGCAATTGCACCATATAAAATGCATTATCCAGGAATCCTGTTAAAGGGGTGTGATGGTTAATTTTCTGTGTCAAAATAGAAGGTGCTTTTAGATTAAATTAACATTTAAATTTGTGAACTTTGAATAAGCTTATTTCCCTCCATGTTGTGGGCAGGTGATATGGTTGGCTCTGTGTCCCCACCCAAATCTCGTCTCAAATTTTAATCCCCACATGTCAAGGGAGGAACCTGGTGGGAGGTGACTGGATCATGGGGATGGTTTCTGCAATGCTGTTCTTGTGCTCATGAGTGTGTGATAGTGCGTTCTCATGAGATCTAATGGTTTAGAAGTGTTTGGCAGTTCCTCCCTCATTCTCTCTCTCTCGCCACCATGTAAGGCATTCCTTGCTTCCTCTTCACTTTCTGCCATGATTGTAAGTTTTCTGAGGCCTCCTCAGCTATGCAGAACTGTGAGTCAATTACACCTTCCTTTATAAATTACCCGGAGTCTCAGGTACTTCTTTATAGCAGTGTGAAAACTAACACACTGGGCCCCATCAAATCAATTGAAGGCCTGAATAGAACAAAAAGACTAGCCTTCCTGAACCAGAAAGAATTCTGAAGCAAATTGCCTTTGGACTTCATCTGTACCATTGGCTCTCCTGGGTCTTCAACTGCCGGACTTCAGATTGGAAATGCACCATGGGATCTCCTGGGTCTCCAGGCTGCCAGCCTTTGGACTGAAACTGCACCATCAGCTCTCCTGGGTCTCAAGTCTGACAGCCCACACTGCAGAGTTGGATTTTCCAGTTTCTATAGTTGTATGAGCCAATTCCTTATCATGAATCATATATATATATGTATATATATGTGTGTATATATGTATATATATGTGTATATATGTATATATATGTGTATATATGTGTATATACATGTGTGTATATATATGTGTATATATATATGTATGTGTGTGTATATGTGTATTTTTGTTCCTATTGTTCCCATTTCTCTAGAGATTCCTGATTAATACAAAGGACAAATTTTGTTAGGAAAAGGAAAAAGAAGTCAGCATCATTCATTGCCACATTCAACTCCGTAGACTCTGAAGGAATGATATACAAGATAAATAAGTTTATGGAGAAGGCAAAAATAAATAAAATAAAATACAATAAAATCAGTTCCCACCCAGTGCAGACATCTGACCATGTGAAGGGCATTGAGAAACGATGGGCATGGTCATTGAAAGGGAGAACATGGAAGAAAACAAAGACACCAAAGGCAAACTGTTTTGTATCATTTTTCCCAGAACAAGGTCTCATGGTGGGAAATAAGAAGCTGAAATGCCTCAGAAATCACTTACTACTGCATGGTTCCATGGCCCATCAATAAGAGTGATGTGAGTCACAGACCAGAAAAGTCACAGATTTTTGGTCTAAGAATAGGACCACTGGATATGAACAAGACTGCTAAAGAAACTGAGGAGAGTGTCAGATGTAAAATCTTATATTTTAAAACATAGAAAAGAAAAATTAAGAAAGGAGCAATGATGGGCTATTTGGTGATCTGAAGTGTGCTGAAATTAGAGGAAAAAAATGATTCTGTCATTTACCATTCATGTGACCATGGGCAAATTACTTCTCTCATCCATAAATGACAATAGGAAAATAATGCCTACACAAATACATACTACAAAGTAGATAAACTTACCTAACACTAAACAGTCTTAATAAACATCAGATTCCTTCCCTCTGATCCCAATAGGAAAACAATTACTGTGGTATGTCCCTTCTGAAAATAGCTCTAATTTTCAACTCATTTTCTCCTAGCCTAAGAACAAGTTCATTTTGAACCTTTCAGCAATCAAACAATTGGTACATCATGCCTTTCCTAGGGTGAGTAACATGGTGTATCCCCAACCCCACAAACTTGACTACTTGCTACCAAAATGACTATCTGATAGAGATCCATTAATGAATATATATCACTGTTATCTTTCCAGTACACTATAGGTTCAAAGGCCCAAGAAGATTGACAGCACTATCCTCACTTATCGCTGATGTTTGTTTAGGTACTAAGTCCTACTGATGTTACTCCCACTATGTTGCCTGCATCTGCTCCCTTCCCCTTCATTCACAAGCAAGGTCAGGACTTCATTACATCTTGTCTTGACTATGCTCCCAAATAAACCTTTTGAGAGCATAGATTAAATAACGTCACGCTGCTGTGCAGTCTTCTCTGCAAAATGGAACTAATATAGTGCGTATCTCATGGGATTTTGTCTTTATTTTGTGTGTGTCTGTTTTTTTTTTTCTTTTGGTGAGGACTAATTGAGATACTATACAAAAAATTACCTAAAGGATTTACTCACGCATAGCTCTCATCATTGTAATTATTTATATCATCATCATATTACAAAACAAAGATTAAAATAACTTAGCCTGTTATTTAATGACCTGTAAAAGTAAGTCTCACCCTGTCTTCTCACCTGGAAAGCAGAAGTTTTCTGTTCACATACCCACCCCTGGAACCAGCACTTAATAAAGATGTATAGAGAAGTTCCAGGTACCCTATTAATTCATGAAGAACAGTGCCAGGTGTCAGATAGACCAGAAAGGAGGGTGCAGAAGTGTCAATGTGTCTGTGCTCAGGCAAAGAACATCTACCGATTTCTGAATCCCACTTGTCAGTCTGGTGGCATCAAAGTGCCATTGCTATTCTCGGAATGGGTCTACAAGTGGATCAGAAGAGAAGGTGGGGCAGCCTTCAGAGAGCCTGAACTCTCCAAAGCCATGACATCCTGCCTGCCCATCTGTACAAGAAGTTAATTAAGGCAGGCCCTACACACATAACAAGCTCCAGAGCCATACTACCTGGTTTTGAATCTGATTTCTGTAGCTCATTATTTGTGTGGCTCTGGAATATTATTTAACCTCACTGTGACTCAATTTCCTCATCTGTACAAGATCAGCAATAATAGAAACTATTTCACAGAGTTTTGTAAAAAATAAACAGCTTTGTATCACTAAAGATCATAAAGCCAACTGCCACATGGCCAGAATCCAGAGCTGTTAGCTGTTACTGAGAGTATGATCAATGTCTAGAAGAGATTTTGCTGGATCCAAGGGCATGTGCACTTAACATTTCAATGTATGCTGCTAAATTGACCACAATTCCTCCTCCAAATAATTGTACCAATTTATATCAACAGTAGACAAATACATTCCTCACACCATTGGCAGTGCTAAAAGACAATCAACTATTTTAATTGTGGTAAATCTGATAAGAAAAATTATAACTTTCTGTTTAATCACACACTTAAATTAGATGTTTGTATAATCATAAATTGGGTGTGTACGTGAGTTGATGGCTTGTTAGTTAGTTTTTTATCTACCAAAGTTCTTACTGTTGGTTATGTTCTTGTTTCCACTACATGAAAGTGAATTCAATATCTCTCTTTTCTTTTGTACTTTTCCATCACTGCAGGTTGAAAAAAATGGTGAAAGCACATTCAGAGCATGCCTTCAAACTGTTTTCATGCTGATGGAACAAGAGAAGTCTATTGGTCCCGGTGACCTAAGGTCTAGATGCTAAACTCTCAGTAGCAATACAGTGTGCATTTTCCAGATCTATTTTCTGTACTTATATCTCAAGAACAAAGCAAGGCAGTAGCTGAACCAGCCAGGAATTCCAGGTCTTTACCATCATCTCTTCTTCTGAAATACCCATTATGCATAACAACATCTTCCATATGTACCTGAGCAATGAATAGTGATGAAATAAATTAAATTTGCACAATTATTCATCCAGTCATCCATTGATTGATTTTGCTAGCTATATACTGAAATAACAGCACAGTGTTTGACATTGTTCAAGAAATGAAGCAAGTGTGTAAATACACTGCCTGCTCTCAAAGGAGATTATAACAACACAAAATGAAATGACCAGAATACACTCACTTCCCTTTTGCTTCTAACTTCGTCTCACTATTACCCTCCATGATAGTCTGGAGGGTCTTAGCCCTCGTACCTGTCTGAATTTTTAGACATGAGAGCTCCTCCTTTTTTAGTAAGAGTAAGGGCCTTTTAAAAGGGACTTTGTGCAGCATTTGGCTAGCTTGCTCTTCCACTCTGCTGCCATGTAAGGACTCCGTGTTCATTCCTTTTGCCCTTCCATCTTCCGTCATCCCACAGCAAGGAGGCCCTCACCAGATGGCGGTGGCTTGATATTAGACTTCCCACTTGTAGAACCATAAGAAATACATTTCTACACTACAAATTACCCAATCTGTAGTATTCTACCATAGCAGTATAAAAGAGACTGAGACAGTGTCGCAACAATAACTCAGACTATTGCATCCAAACTCAAATCTTTACCAGGTCCCACCCTGCCCCCAACTTGACTGGCAGTCACTGTCTCATACCTCAAGGGATCTTATCACCATTCAGTCAGCAGCACAAACAAAGCAGCGGTTGTCAGCTTTGATTTTCCTCTCCCTCTGCCCCATATCCACTCCACCATCAAATTCACCCTTTGAATCACATTCAGATAGACATCCCTCTCTCCATCTTCACCACCATTACCCTGTGTTTCAACCTCCTCTCCTATCCCTTAGCTTCTCTTATTTTTATAGCATTCTAGTTTGTATATCTGCCCCAATTCAGGTTTCTCTCTGATATGCCTCCCATAAAAAAGTCAGAATTACCTTTCCAAAAGGCAAATTATACCTATCTATGCATAAAAATGTCTAAAGCTACCCATTGCTCTTGGGATAAAAAGAAAACTAAAAATGGACTTCTAGACAGCATGGTTCATCCTACACACTTAGTCTCGGGCCCACATTCTTTATAAGAGCCCTTTACTTGGGGTGCTGTCCAAAGAGGTCTTCTTTCAATCCATCATGTTCCCTACATCCTCTCTCTGCAAGGGCCCTCTACAGTGTTGTCACCTCCCTCCCTCATCCTAACTCCCTCTGATGGGCTCTGTAGCTCTCTGTTTATACTTGTCACTCTTGTACTTTTTAATTTGTATGTTGGACTATAAGATTGTCCATCTCCCTAAGTGTATTAGTCCATTCTTGCACTGCTATAAAGAAATACCTGAGATTGGATAATTTATCAAGAAAAGAGGTTTAATTGGCTTATGGTTCTGCAGGCTGTACAGGAAGAGTGGAAGCATCTGCTCAGCTTCTGAGGAGGCCTCAGGAAACTCTCAGTCGTAGTGGAAAAGGAAGGGGAAGCAGGCATGTCTTACATGGCTGGAGCAGGAAGAAGAGAGAAGTGGGGAAGGAAATACACACTTTTAAACAATCAGATCTCAGGAGAACTTAGCACCAAGGAGATAGTGCCTAACCATTCATGAGAAACCACCCCATGATCCAATTACCTCCCGCCAGGCCCCACCTTAAACATTGGGGATTACAATTGAATGTGAGATTTGGATGGGGGCATAAATCCAAACCATATCACTAAGTAAGTTTCATTATAGCAGGGACCATTGGCTTTTCATTCCTTGTTGTACACCCAGCGCCTAGTCCATAGTAGGTGCTCAGAAAATACTGCTGGAGAAACAAAGGAATAAGTGAATGAGGAAATCATAAAAATGAGATAATTCTTAAATGTACTCTGCCCTTTTCTGTTATTTGTTAAACTAAATGTGCTCGTATAATAGGAGTTTGTGTTTCTCTTCAATGTTTTCCTCAGAAAATATACAGCATTTCTTAATCTGTGTTTGTAACTTTTACCCATGTTAATACATAAGTAGTGTATATTTTTGTTTAAAAGTAAAGGAATAAAGGTAAACATAAGAAATGTAAAAGATCACCCAAATACAGTACTCAGATTATTAGTGGTATTTTGATATGTATTTTTCTTTTTGTCTGTGTGTTTTTAAGCAAAAAGTGGAGATATACTATTCATTTTTTGTAATCTGCTTGTTTTTTCTATTTATCAGGAACATCTAATCTTTCCATATTAATAAATAGTTTCTACAACATTGTCATATCATTTAGTAACTACCTTGTGTTGTTTTACTTTGACATATCATGATTTGTTTTCAGAATATTGGAATATTTTTTCTCTCTGGCAATTACAAAAATTTCTGCTGACAATCTTTGAGGTTATATCTTTATGAACATACTTAATGATTTTTTGGAATAAATTGTCATATTTGGAAATGCTGGGTCAATGCTTGTACAACATTTTAAAGTAAAAATTAGCGAGGCGTGGTGGCACGTGCCTGTAGTACCAGCTACTCAGGAGGCTGAAGCAGGAGAATTGCTTGAACCCAGAGGTGGAGGTTGCAGTGAGCTGAGATTGCGCCACTGTACTCCAGCCTGGGTGACAGAGACTGTGTCTAAAAAAAAAAAAAAAAAAATTAAAGCATTTGGCATGCACTGCAAAATTGCCCTTCAGAAAGGTTGTACCAATTTATGTCTCTGCTGAGATAGCTGTGAATGCCTGCTTTCTTGCCCCTTTGGCAATAGTAGCTATCATTTGTGTTTTAAATCTTTGCCAATTTGACAGATAAGTAAATATTGCCTTCATGTTTAATTTTCATTTTTTTGCTAACCTGTGGCTAAATATTCTCATGTTTATAAGCCATTTGCAATTTTTCTTTTGTGACTTAAATGGATTCTCTTCTTTTTCTTTGTTTTTTTTTTTTTTTTTGACGGAGTCTCGCTCTGTCGCCCAGGCTGGAGTGCAGTGCCGCGATCTCGGCTCACTGTAAGCTCCGCCTCCCGATTCACGCGATTCTCTTCTTAATGATACAAGGTTATAGCTTAAAATGTAGAATATTTTATGGAAGGTCTTTGAAGGCGAAGGGGATGTAAAGGTTTCTCTCCTGATATTCTCAGTGGCTTAGCCCTGGCTTTCACACTTGCTATGTCTGCTCATTTTAGTACCTCTCTAAACTTCACATCAGCTATCACCTGTTCTTACCAATCTTACAAATAGTTAGTGCTTGCATTGTATTTACCTTCTTATGTTCCATGAGCTAAAAACACAAATTAAAAACTAGACAAAATTGAAAGATAATCAAACTTGCCAAACAAAATGTAACATTAACTCTAATATTAACTCTGGGCAAACTTCGGGTTGCTAAGAGAATGCGGTGACCTGCTTCTGGGTCTTGACTATGCTACAGGTAATAGATACCCCCATGTAAGTTTCTCTGAATAACTAAGAAGCAACTGCGTTTGTACTTTATCTTTTCCTTATCATGGGAAATATCTGATCTCTTCAGCAAATTTTTGGTAACAGGCCTCAATTAGAGCCAGGAAGTCCTGGGAATTCCCCTGACAGCTTGTCCACAGAAACCATCTGGCCCAACAGGGAAAATCAAAATAAGTCCTCTCTGCCTTCATCATGAGCCCAGATTAGCAAAGAAGAAAAAATTTCCTTCTCAGGAAGACTTACCATTAAATTTAGTCACTGACTTTCAGACACCTTCACTGCATAAATAGACTAAGACAGATTGTTCCCAGAGCTTCTGAAAAAGAAAGTCAGATAAACTGTAACAAATTTGAAAAGGAGCCAAAATAATTAATAGAAACTGTTTCATTGCTGTCTTGTTTCTCTTCCTAATTAATATTTATGTGCACACATTCCAGAGACATTGCTGTTTGCTTAAGAATACACTATTGCAATATTGTTGGCTACAGCTGTTTTTGCAATAAGAATTCATTGAGCAGCCTAAAATTGACAGATTAATACCCTGGTAATTAAATTTCCTAAATGAGAAGAACTATTTCTCTCCTCCTAAAAAACAAACAAAACAAGTATAGTAAGAACTAGGGGTGCAGAACGATTATAGATCCTAAAATACCAAAAGGAGTTTTGGTCAGAAAGATGTGTGAGATTTTCATCTTCAAAGAGCTGTAATAGGTTGAAAAATCACCAGACTGAGGTCTCATTTCTAGGGGCGGGAGGGGCAGGTGGTGCAGGTGGCTATGAAAAGTCAAAGCCTTTTGCAGAAGGCAGTGTTTGTGTTGGTGGTAAGTGCTGAATGTCTTTACAATGACTTTGTTATGACAGCTCTACACTAATAAATTACAACCAGTGCAACCCCTAATCGGGAAGTTTCATTCATGCCAATGAGTCATGTGAGCTTGTGCCTGTAGCAGGCCAGTTTTAATGTAATGGCAAAGGATCCAGAAGAGTCAGGAGGGGCCACCCCTGGAGCATAATACTCCTAATTACAGCACAGTTAAATTGCATCTGAAAACCTCACCACTCCACCCCACCCCATCCTGTTCCCACCCTGCCATACACGTGGGAAATCCAATTGTGGTTTGCAGTGAGAGACCAAGAGTCATCCAGACCCTTCTCCAAACAAATAACTTTCCCAGCTTTCTGCTGGCAGGCTAGATTTGGCTGCAATCATCAACTAAATTCCAACATTTTTGTTATTTAACATTTGTGTAAAACTTCCTTTCTTCCAAGTGCTTTGCAGTCATCAATCAGTTATTAGCCAGCTTGTGATGGATGAGTGTGCAGTTCCTAAATTTTACTCTGCACCAAATAAAGCAGTAACTCTCTCTTTCCCTCTCTACCTCTTTCACTTCCCATCTCTCCTTCCTTTTCTCTCCCTCTGTCCCTCTCTCCCTCTGCCCCTCTCCTCGTCTCTTCCCCTTTCTCCTCCTCTTCCCCTTACTCTCTCCTTTCCAGTCAATCCCATCAATCCAGTCAGGCTCTTAGTCCTGTGAGGAAGCTCTTTATCTTGGCAAAGGTGGGCCTCCCAGAACCTCTGACCACCTCCATTCAGCAGAACCACATCTCTTACACCACTCCCTGATGCTACACAGTAAAGTCCCTTTTCATCACCAGGTCTGTCAGTCACACTAAATTGGTAAATCATTTCTCTTGTCAGATGTTTCAGCCTGGCCTCCCCTGCCCTTCCAGACACTGATAATTGAGAACAAATAGTGTGTTAACCGCTTGTTTATTAATAAAACATTTGCCTCCCCTAACGCAAGCAGTAAGTAATTTGAAGTGACATGGCTGTTATGTTCACAGTTATTTCTCAGTACCGCTGAGAAATGCATATATTTATCTCTGTTTTGGGAAGCCCAAATTTACACCTTCAGTTTTTCATTAAAGGCACACATCTCCCCTTTGTAGTTTGTCTGCCTTTCTCAGCTGCCTGTTTTGGTTTGTGTAATGCCCATAGGTACCTGTCACTGGGAAGACTTGGGGAAACCCAAAGAGAAACACTGGGCATTTTGAAATCCGGCCGAAAGCACTGCACCATCTTTCATTCCCTGTTCAAATGCGATCTCTTCATCACAAAAAGATGCCAACTCCTAGTCAAGGTATTATTTCATTATGTACTCTCAATGATACTTGATCTAATTTCACTCTTTGTCTAAAAATTGGTTTAGTACCGATTGTACTCACTTGCAGCACTATCAAGGGAGACTACTGACTCCAACCCCATCGTCAATTCTCAGCATTCAGGCTGGTTTTAGCTATCTGTCATGCAACTCCTTTTTATCCAGTCACTTCCTCTAGGTTACTTTACCACCCTCAACTCAGTTAGGCCTAATCCAAGGAACAATTATTTTTTTTTTCCTACCAAATGTTCAGGCTTTCATTTTTCCCCTTTTCCTAGCTAATACTAACAGTTGAACTCAGAGAATATTCCTGCAGCATTCTCACTGACTCCAATTAATTCACATGCATAAGAATCTTACTTTCTAGCATCTTGACTAATTGCTTATACCCAGTTTCTACTTGAACTAGGCCAAAAAAGAAATTAAAGTATCATAAAGAAAACCTCATCAATGTTTTCTGTTTGTGTTTTTTAGCATACTTGAGCTTCTGAATGTGCTTTTCCCAGAAGGATTGAAGACCAAAGGGATCACCCTTTGGTCCTGAAAGGACATGTATTAGTAATGCTGTCAACTAATTAGCCAGGGCTGTACAGCAAGAGCACATGTTGTTGCTTCAACTGCAGACAGAATAAGCAACTCTGTTCCTCTGAGTAAACTGATTAACCTTTATCTCCCAATTTAAAAGTCTAGAATGATGTTACAAACAATTACCTCTCAAATCAATCATAATTAGTCCATTTGTGTGGTAGTAAAACAACACCTCCAAATTCTGGTATTTTTGATATTTACTAACTTTTTCAAAAATATTTATTGAATATTCACCATTTTTCTGGAATGGATTAGACACTGGACTTGTCATAAAATTGATTAAGCAAAGCTAGTAAGTAGTTTAGAGCAAAAGGTTTACATAAGGAGGATCAAAAAGAGGGGTGACAGTAAGAATAATGCCCCTTCCACATCCATGTTTGTGTCTTAATTTCGGGACTAGGGCTTTTTTTTTTCTATGAAAATGAAAATGATTGAATAGAGGTGAACACACAGCAAGTGCACACGGAGTGAGACATGGCTATCATAGAACATGTTGTGAGTGAATGAAAAATTCACACCTCTTCCACCCTTCACTCAGTAACAGAATGCTCCAGGCCACCTCCTCCTCGGCCCACTCCCCAAACTCTCCCTCCTGCTTGCCCATAGCATCCTGATATTGTTGGGACTCAGACATCAGGTCCTTCACGTTGCTCTCAGCCTCAGTCAACTCCATCTCATCCATGCCCCAACCTACGTACCAGTGCAGGAAGGCCTTGCACATGAACATGGCTGTGAACTGCTCTAAGATACACCTGAATAGCACCTGGAAGGCTATTTTGTTGCTGAAGAAGGTGGCAGACATTTTTAGCCCCCAAAGTTGGATATCACAGACAGCTGTTTTCACATTGTGGAGGATGGGAATGTCCCAGTGAACATGTTATTTTACATAGCAAAAGGGACTTTGCAAATATGATTAACAACCTTGAGATGTGGAGATTGTCCTGGATCCAATCCACTTATATGAGTCCTTAAAAACTAAGAACCTTTCCAAACTATGGTGACAAAGAGATGTGCTGATAAAAGCAGGGTCAGAGAGATGCTGTGTTACTAGCTTTGAAGATTTGAAAAGAGGCTACAAGTCAAGTAATGCAGGTGGTCTCTAGAAGCTGGAAAAGGCAAGAAAATTAATTCTTATAGAAGCTTCAGAAAGGAATCATGCTCTGTGGATATCTTGATGCCAGCCCAGCAGGGCCCATGTTGCATTACTAACCTACATAACTGTAAGATAATAAATTTTATTTTTCCGTCAGTTTGTGGTGATTTCTTATGGCTGCAATAGAAACTAGTACAGGAGTTTGGGCTCGAAGTACAATTGTACCCCTCATTAGCTAATTTGAGCATATTATTTAATCTTTTTAGTTTCTTGGTTTCTTTATCTGTGAATCTGAGAGAATAATATCTGCTTTATAGTTCATGATGAGGAAAACAGGAAGGTGAAGCAGGTAAATGCTCTGGCACTATGCTAGAAGGTAATGGGTGTTCAGCGAATAGTTGCTGAACACATTGTAGATGCATGACTCTGAAAGTCATCTCTACCAAGTCATCAAAGGTTTAAATATAACATCTTGCTGAGTAGACTAAGAAGCTCACCAAGTACAAGTCAGCAGCAGAGATGTAGAAACACTGCAGAAATCGGAAAAGGGGAACCTCCCATGAGTCCAATAGAGATTATGCTTCAACATCCTGCCCAATTAAGTCCTATAATAACTTTCCTCATTTTACCTCTGTTGCTTGTGCCAGGTACACCATTACTCATTAGAGCTTCCAGTCTACATTCAGCTGCATCCCTGAGCATGCACCATAGTTAAAACATGTATCTAGCTATACTGTACTGCTGGTTTCTTTCCATTCACATTAATTATGACCAGTAATGGGATGCAACTGAGGCAGTGTTGCAGATAATCCCACAGTAATGAAAAAGCTCTGGATCTCCCAATTATCCATCAGCATCATCCAAGGTTGGTTAATCTTCTCACAGAGTAAGATGTTTATATAAAAGTCTAACTGTGCTCACAGACTACAGGCTTCCGATTAACCAGAGAGCTTTGGGGTTGGCAGAGATCTTAGAGATCACTGGGCTCAACCTCCCATGGGTAAGCAGGGAGGTTCACAACTGTTCAAGAGAGACTGGTGAATCTACAAGGTCCAAGCTGGTGGTAAAATTTGCTATAGCTTTCCCTGTAAGTAATTTGAGGATTAATAGTTTAAACTTTACTAAGCTCATAACTTTTAGGTACCTGTGAATGTCAAATTTTACTAGAGTTGCCCCAAATGGAATGTACTACTTGTAAAGAATAGGAAGTAGAACATTTAATCAAAAGAAAGATGAAGATAATGCAGAAAAGTGGCCAGGCACGGTGGCTTACACCTGTAATCCCAGCACTTTGGGAGGCTGAGGTGGGTGAATCACATGAGGTCAGGAGTTCGAGACCAGCTTGGCCAACATGGCGAAACCCCATCTCTACTAAAACTATAAAAATTAGCTGGACGTGGTGGTGCATGTGTGTAGACCCCGCTACTTAGGAGGCTGAGGCAGGAAAATCACTTGAAACCAGGAGGCGGAGGTTGCAGTGAGTCGAGATCGTACCATTGCACTTCAGCCTGGGTGACAGAGCAAGACTCTGTAAAAAAAAAAAAAAAAAAAAAAATGCAGAAAAGAGTACTGAATGGATAAGATGATCAGACAAGATGATATCTTAGATAACTTCCAAAGCTAAAATTTGATGTTACACTGAATATATCTTCAGCCTTTGAGATTCTGTGCCTAGAAAAGACTCAACACAAAGAAGAAAAGAGGTGTAACCTAGTGAGATGTTTTCTTTTTTTCTCTTTTTTTTTTTTTTTTGAGACAGAGTCTCGCTCTCTCTGTTGCCCAAGCTGGAGTGCAGTGGTGTGATCTCGGCTCACTGAAACCACCATCTCCCAGGTTCAAGAGATTACCCTGACTCCACCTCCTGAGTGGCTGGGAGTCAGATGTGCACCACCATGCCTGGCTAATTTTTTGTAATTTAGTAGAAACAGGGTTTCACCCTGCTGGCCAGGATGGCCTCTATCTCCTGACCTGGTGATCCGCCCACCTCGGCCTCCCAAGTGGCTGGGATTACAGGCATGAGCCACCACGCCCGGCTGAGATGTTTTCTTAAGGAACAATATACAACTTTAAGCAGTCTTTGTCATTATCTGTCACTTTAACATTAACTTCCAGAAGTAAAAATGTGGCTAGTGTCTGGATACTTTAGTGCATAAAAGAGTTCTAGCAAAAAAATGTTTATTTTAAGGTCCATTGGAAAAAGAGGGAAATAATCAATATTGTCCAAACAAAGAAGTACATACCTGATGGAGAAAACCCATCACAGAGGCTGGAAATAGATTGTTTAAGGAAGAATGCACAAAGTTTGCTTTTTTAAGTGGCATTAATTATGCAGCTGAAATGCATCCAGCACGCACCTTCTATTTATCTCAAATATCTTTACAAACTGTCTTCTATGATCTTCACAAAAGAGCTTCTCTGAATCTCCTTTTCCAACAGTGCCCATGTTCCCTGCACAGAAATAAAAATCTATCATTCTATTTCTTTAGTCTCTTCTCCCCATCTTAACCTTTAATTCAAGCTATTCCCAATCTGGAGAATAATTTCTTTTTCCAGGTGGCAAGGTATTAGAAATCTTTATGACTTTACTTAAAGAACATCATTTTTGAGATTAATATAAAACTATCTATAACTGAATTGAGTTCTCCTTAATTCTCTCCACAGATGTTAAACTGTTAATTCAAAGCAGCCTATGAATGAATTTTATTTAGTCAATGTGCAATTCAAGTTTCAAAACTAAGTATTTTTACTGCCTTTGTTTCTAGTAATTAGACCCTTGAATATGTCCATAGGTTTGTCTGAGTGATTTCCAGGTCACCATCTCGAAAACAATTTCCCTGTGTTCTTTGATGCATCTCCTCTCCGCCTTGTGGCAGGCCACCATTGACTGTCTTTGCCGCCAGTAACAGCTTAGGGCTCACTTCTTTGATGTAAACAGCCACCCTTGCTGGTTACCATACTGCGACCACCAACTCTAGCCTCAGGAGAAAGGGCAGAGCTGCTTCCTTTCTTTTCTTTTTGTTTTTTGAGACAGAGTCTCACTTGGTTGTCCAGGCTGGAGTGCAGTGGCATGATCTCAGCTCACTGCAACCTCCACCTCCCGGGTTCAAGTGATTCTCCTGCCTCAGGCTCCCAAGTAGCTGGGAGTACAGGCACCCGCCACTATGCCCGGCTCATTTTTGTTTTTTAGTAGAGACAGGGTTTCACCATATCGGCCAGGCTGGTCTCAAACTTCTGACCTAGTGATCTGCCTGCCTCAGCCACCCAAAGTGCTGGGATTACAAGCTTGAGCCACCATGCCTGCCTTTTTTTTTTTTTAATTTGTTCCAAATATAGAACATACCTTCCCCTTAATCCCTCACAAAACCGGAAAGACCATCACACAACTTTTATGAGGGTTAATGGATGATTCAGAGACAACGAAATGGAAACAAGCAAGATAGATAATAATTTATAGCAAACTGCATATGCCCAGGTAACTCCTGGTGTTCCTTTACGGGCTGTCTCCCTGTAGCCAAATGTGGTTCCCCATTCTCACTTCCCAAAAGGCTCAGGTCATCTCTATGGCTCAGTACCTGAACCAAATTGTCTCTCAGCAGTAGGGAAAGGAAAACGTTTTTCCCTTATTTTATCACAAAGCTTGTCCCCTTAGACATCAAGTCCTGTGTTAAAATTCACTACCTTCCAGAATGATTAAAAATGGACAGTTTAGTCCTTTGGAATCCAAAAGATGATCATGCAGTAATCTCAAATCTGTACATTTACTGAGGTATTTGTTATCATGTTTAAATAATAAAGCCTTACTGGGGGATGAGGGTAGTGTTATGCCAATGTCAATCAAGTTTTTTAAATACTTTCCTCATTGCTGATTCAAAACCTCTGAACCTCTGATATCATGCATACACAGGGTTATCTTGATACATGAGTAAAGATCCAAGGATGACTTCTGACCAGACTGTAGGAATCATGTTGGAGCCATGATTCTGACAATGAAAGTATACGTTTCAATAACATTAAGAAAAATGCCAAATGGTTCAATTCTATCTGTACAATTTCAGTCATGTGTTTTCATGCCAAAACTTTAAAATGAAACTGACATTCAGAAATTCTATGAATTATTAAACCAAAGCCAAAGTACAAGGTAAACTCTTTGGTGATAAGGCTGAATAAGCTGGGTTCTAAAAATCCAGCAGATTTTATAAGTCATTATTGAACAGCATATATCAAAGCTAGAATGAGAAGGTGGAAAGGGAGTTAATATTTGATAAAAGCCAAGAATGAACATTTTTATGTAAGCTATCCCATTTAATCATGACACACACCTGAAAGGTGGGTGCTGTTATTTCCATTTAATGAGTAAGAAAAATGAGATTCATAAAGAATATGCAACTTGGGCAATGTCATGCAGCTTGTAAGTGGAAAAGTTGGGATTTTATTAAGTTCCCTCTGGCTGCAAGGCCCATGGTCTGTCTTTAAAAATGTCCTAATGAAAACCTAGTAAGACTTCAAATGAGAACTACAGCAAGGGATAGCTAATTTAAACTTGCAAAAAAACATTTTTTTTCTTTGAAAAACCCCTATTGCCAGGCAAGTTACAAGTAACTTAGGCTCCCATGTAACTTGGTCAATATGGGAAAGTCCACTGGTCCAACTGCTAGGGCAGAGATGGCCTAAAGGGCTATGAGGGCTCTCTCCCCAAGAGCAGATGAATTAATTGCAAAATAAACATTAAAAAATTATTTGATAAATCAACTCTGGTGAAAATAGGACCTATTACTTCCAAGCTTCCTGACAGTTAAGTGACTAGAATTTGTAGAGAATTATAAATACCTGATACTAGCTAAGAGCTCCTACTTTAGCTCACAAATCCTCTGAGTTCCCCAGCGGCAAAGGATATTTATTATCTGAATTTTACAAGTGAGGAATCTGTGTTTCAAAGAGGTTACACAGCTTGCAAGCAATGAAGCCAAGAATCAAATCTAGGTTTCTCTGATTCCACGTTCACTGAACTTTCCACTGTGTCTTACAGAATCAGAAATTTCAAGCACCATTTAAAATTTGGTATGGCCAAGAACAGGAGCTGTGTAAATGTGTATCTGAGAGAAAAATTTACTAGCAAAGCTGAATGACCATTGGTGTGGCACTGAGTCAGTGTACCATGAATAGATTTTTCCAGGAGCATTTCAGGACAAGAAGGTTTACTGGTTTGTCAGTTAATGGACTCCAGAGCCATTTATCTTCTAGGAATGATGAGGAAAGTACCAGTCTGAGTAGTATGCTAAGAAACCAGAAGCAAAATAGTTATATTTAAAAGTGGGGGAAAACCCCATAAGCCACAATAATGAAAACTAATAACTTGTAACTGTTGTTTGTTAAATTTTTTTTGCCCAAAGACTTATGGGAAAATATAAAATATATATAATATGAAGCAAGACATACTAAATTCAAAAATAGCACAATTAGCTCTAAATTTACAAAAGGAGTAGACCACAAACACCACCAGCAACAAACAGACATACTGTGCTATGCCTTGGAAATCAGCTGCATAATCAAGTATTACCTGATTTAATATTTTAAAATAAACAGACATTTTTCTCTTTTCAGGCATTGCTCTTCTAGAGATGACATATTCTTAAATAGATGGGTCCTTCAAATAACTTGTCAGAAGGTAAAACGCCTTACATCTGATTTTGAAACTGATTTGGTTGTTCTAAAATGTATTTAGTTATATCTTTGAGCTAGTAGAAAAGGTAGAATAGAGTATATAAGGAAAAGATAAATAAAACAAATTCTATATCAGTATGCATTGAAGGATTCTTTTAAATACAGATCAAAAGAAGAGGGGAAAGAAAAAAAGTTAAGTAGTTTATATAGACTCCCAGTTTTTAAGATGTGAAACAACATTTCTCTTTTTTAAAAAAATTTCTTTTCTTGGCTATTCACAATGAGAAAAATGAAATAATTTCTCCTGTGATAGACGACAACACGTATTAGCCATTTCCTGGCTCAATCCTGATTGTGTATGTAAAAATCTTATCTGTCACAGAGTGAAGTTGATTGTATAATCTGTAAATAAAAGAGACACAATCTGAATTTGAAAAAAGAAATCATATTGACTACAAAAAAGAAATCCAATTAGTCAGTAACAAATATTTTTAAGCACTAACTATGTACTATATACCCATATCTTTGAACTAATATTGAATCATCTACCCTGTAACTCTAGGTTTGCATGTAACAAAATGGAACATGAAATACTTTTTCAATAACATTTATGTATATTCCTGTTATCAAAGATAGCATTTTCTTGAAGGATTCCTTCTTCCTGTGATAATGAATTAACTGGTACTGAACTGACCTTCCTGCCATAAACAAACTAAAACTGGAAAGAATGTATAATGCTACTGCCTTCAGGCTCTGGTTAATGCACAGCACAGCACTGCACTCACTGAAGGCAAATAGAAGAGACACGCTCCATAATCTCCTGGTCATTGCCTGGATACATACAGTTTCCCAACCACAGTACAGAGAAATATTACCCTGCCCTTCACAACAGCCAGGGGGTCTACTGACTTGGGAGTCAAAGATCAACATGCAGGGCTCCTGAAGTATTAATACTTGGAAGTTGCAACACAGATTACCAGAAAGGAGAAACTTACACAATGAGAGGCAACAGAATACCATGGGTGGACAAAGGGAGGAAATGCTATGGATCATTGGCCAAGGTCTAGGCTGCACATATGCAGAGTGAAATTCTGTAAGGCTTATCAGAGTGACTTCCATAAGGTGGAGGTCTGGAGATATTTTAGGAAATGTTGAAACATTGGCCCAGTCAGAGTGGAAAGACATTAATACCCTGAACGTGCAGCTGAAACACCAGAATGGCAAAATCTCAGGGGTAAAAACTATGTCTTAGGATAAAGCCACTCCAGGCCTGCCCTTACATACTAACCAGAACCTCAATAGGATGAATGAGAACTTCTAGTAATCAATTGCTTGCCAGAATAAAATGTAAGGCTTTTTTAAGGAAGAAAACATAGTCCAAGCATTCCCTGATGTATTATTCATAATGTCCAGCATTAAATATTTTTTTAAAAAATTCTATACATAGGATATAAATTCTATGCATGGAGCAAGAAATTAATCCATAATCAGGAAAAATATCAAAGTAAAATTTAAGACACTAAAATACCCTAGATATCAGAATTAGCAGGTAATGACTTTAAAGAAGCCACGACATAGATTAAATGATTTAAACAAAAATATGGTATAAGTAAATGAACCTGATAGGTAATCTCATCTAGGAAATAGAAACTAGAAATTACTTCTTTAAAGCCAAATAGAAATACAAACTCTGAAAATTACTGCTATGGTAAGAATGTTTGCATCCTCACTAAGTTGATATATTGATACATAATCCATAATGCAATGATTTTTAAGAGGTGGAGCCTTTGGGTGGTGATTAGGTCAAAAGAGCAGAGTGCACATGAATAGGATTAGTGCCCTTATAAAAGAAACCCTGAGGGGGCCTATTTGTGCTTTTCATCATGTGAGGACATGCTAGAAGACACCACCTATGAGGAATGGGTCTTAACCACACACCAAATCTGCTGGCACCTTAATTTTGAACTTCCTAGCCTCTACATTGTGAGCAATAGTTTGTGTTGTTTATAAATTTTGTTATAAACAACAAAATTTTGTTATAGCAGCCTGAACAGATAAAGACAATTACAATGTCTAAAATTTTCAATTACTCAGTGTTTGGCATTAATAAAATATTATGAATAGCAGTAGAAGGGACAATAAACTTTAAGATAGACTCACAGAAATTAACACTTCTGGCAAAAAAAAACAAAGAAACAGGATAGAGAAAGTGATAACCCCTTATTAACCTACAGTAAAACATTAAGAAGTTGTTTTTCTGCTGTTGTTGTCGTTGTTGTTGTTGAGACAAAATCTCACTCTATTGCCCAGTTTGAGTGTAGTGGCATGATCTCGGCTTGCTGCAACTTCAGCTTCCCAGGTTCAAGTGATTCTCCTGCCTCAGCCTCCCAAGTAACTGGGGCTACAGGTGCATGCCAGCACACCCAGCTAATTTTTGTACTTTTTAGTAGAGACTGGGTTTTGCGGTGATGGCCAGGCTGGTCTCAAACTCCTGACCTCAAGTGATCCACCCACCTTGGCCTCCCAAAGTTCTAGGATTACAGGTGTTAGCCACTGTGCCCAACCAATAAGTTAAATATGTATGTAACTAGAGTCCCATAATAAGATGAGAAAAATAGGAAGAAAAACAATTCAAGGGAGCCATCAAATTTTTCCTACATTTGGTGAAAAATATCAATATATAGACCCTAAATATTTCTCTAAGCATGATCAAAATAAATAAAAAGGAAACAAAACCTATTCACATTATAGTCATACTGTGTATGACATCACAGCCATACTGCTAAAAATTAAAATTAAAGAGAAAATGTTTGGAAGCCCTCAGAAAAAAATGGAACATCACATACAAAAAAGTGACAACTGACTCCTCATTAGAAACAATGGAGTTTGTAATTCAAGTAAATGATATCTTTAAAGAACTGGAATGGTGAGGGAGGGAGGACAAAACAGAGGATTGTTCACAAAGTATTATAAGCCCAGTGAAAATATCCCACCAAAGTAACAACAAAATAAAGACATTTTCAGATAAATAAAAGCTGAGACAATGTGCTGCCAAAAATACTATTGGAGGAGGTAAAAAATGGCAGTAGGAGACAGGACTAAGGTGCAGTTCCTGCTTAGACAGACAGAACAGCATCTGGAGACTCATGCTGTGAACTTTTGCTACAAGAACCACTGCAGGAACATATCAGGAAAACTGAAAGAATTCACAGACCCTTTAAAAGAAGCAGCTTTGCTGCTGCAAATGCCATGAGACAACTGCAAAACTGTGAGTTCCCAAAGTGCGAAAGAGGAAAAAGTTGGCCTCCAAACACACATTTTTACTGGGGAACCTGAAAATCCAGATCGCAGGAGAAGGATTTAAACTTACCAAGAGCTGAAATGGATTTAGGGAGTCAAGCAAAATATAAAAGTAGAAGAAGCAGTAGGAAGAGCCCTGTAGGCACTCCGGGTCCTTAGTTCGAGCCCCAGGGAAGCCATCCTTGGCTTTATCCCACAGAGGACCTTGGGAGAAGGGAAGGCAGTCAGCAGAATTGGGGAGGGGCCACAAGGTGAAGGAAGCTCCTAGCTGATTTTGTAATAACTTTAACTGAGCACAAACGTTCCTGAGCAGAATCAGTGGGGTTGGGGATTAACGGGAAGTGCAGATAAGAACACAGAAACAGCAGCCAAAGGTGAGGACAGGTGGAGAGACAAGGCCTGAGAGCCCTGCTTGCTTTCTCAGCAGGGAGACTTGTAGCCTGGGGAAAGATCTCGGCCCTGCTCACTGGCTGCCAGAATAAAAACTCAATGTGGTTGTGGAGGCACAGAGGGAGTGAGACTGGCCTTGCTGGCTGTGTGAAAGCTGGGTGAGACCTGTCTCTTCCACTTCCCTGGCAACCTGTATGATGCAGCAGAAGCATCCATAATGCCCCTGGGAACATAACTCCATTGGCCTGAGAACCACCATCCCCTCACCCATAGTGTCTACAGCAAGCCCCGTCCAAAGATAGTCTGAAGTCAGACTCACCCAACCCTGCCCCCACCTGATGATTTGTCTCTACTCTCCCTGGTAGCCAGAGACAAAAGACATAATTTTTTGGAGCTCGATGACCCCACTCATCACCTGAGAAACCCGAGTACTCATCCTGGCCAACCTAAGGCAAGATTATATCACCCTTCTACTACTGCAGCTGGCACTCTCTTAAAATTGCCACCTCCTAACTGGAGGCCAACCAACTCAAGCCAAAACAACAACTCATAACAAAACAACCCCAGTCCAAAGAAGGAAAAAACAATAGCTAATTACCCTACCAACAACATCCTAGCTAACCAGAGGTCCTGAGTCTGTCCATGTGACAACTCCACTGCTAGCATAACCAGCATTCGAAAAAACTAGCACACTAAACAAAACTACAATGAAGGACTCCCACAGAGCCACCTTTACTCCCCTGCTACTGTCACTGGAGTAGGTGCTGGTATCCATGATTGGGATGCCTGAAGATGGATAACATCACAGGACTCTTTGCAGACATTCCACAGCACCAGCCTGTAGCCTGGTAGCCCCACTGGGTGGCTAGACCCAAAGGGGCAATAACAGTCACTGAAGTTTGACTCTCAGGAAGCCCTATCCATAAAGGAATGGAGAAAGCACCACATCAAGGGAGCACCTCATGGGACAAAAGAATCTGAACAGCAGCCCTCAAGTTCCAGATCTTTCCACTGAAACAATCTACTCAAATGGGAAAGAACCAGCAAAATAATTCTGGTAGGATGACAAAACAAGGTTGTATAACCGCCCCGAAAGATCAAATCAGCTCTCCAGCAATGGATCCAAACCGCACCCCCACCACCCCCCAAAAAAACTGAATTGCCAGATTAAGAATTCAGAAGCTACTATGAAGGCAGAAGGGAAAGGTGAAAATCAACTTGAAAATAATTTAAAAAACAATACAGAATACGGGTGAAAAAGTCTCCAGAGGAATAGATATCATAAAGAAAAGACAATCACAACTTCTGGAAATGAAAGACACACGTAGAGAAATGCAAAATACACTAGAAAGTTTCAACAATAGAATGGAACCAGTAGAATAAAGAACTTCAGAGTTTGAAGAGAAGTCTTTCGAATTAACCCAATGTGACAAAGAAAAAGAGAAAAGGATTTTTTTAAAAATGAATAAAGCCTCCAAGAAATGTGGGAGTATGTTAAATGACCAAACCAAAGAATAACTGGTGTTCCTGAGGATGAAGAGAAAGCTAAAGGATTGGAAAACTTATTTGAGGGAATAATTGAGGAAAAATCCCCCAGTCTTGCTAGAAATCTAGACATACAAATACAGAAAACTTAACAAAACACCCCAGAAATTTATCACAAAAAGATCTTCACCTAGGCACATAGTCATCAGGTTATCTAAAGTCAAAACAAAGGAAATAATCTTAAGAGCTGTGAGGCAAAAGCATCAGGTAGCCTGTAAATAAAAACCGAGCAGATTAATGGGATATTTCTCAGCAGAAATCCTACAAGCCAGAAGAGATTGGGGTCCTATCTTTAGCCTCCTTAAACAAAATAATTATCAGCAAAAAATTCTGTATCCAGCAAAACTAAGCTTCATAAATGCAGAAGAGATAAAGCCTTTTTCAGAGAAACAAATGCTGAATTTTCCACTACCAAGCCAGCACTGCAAGAAATGCCAAAAGGAGTCCTAACTCTTGAAACAAAAGCTTTAAGTACTCCAAATTGAACCTCCTTAAAGCATAAACCTCATAGAACCTATAAAACAATAACACAATGAAATGAAAACCAAGATATTCAGGCAACAACTAGCATAAAGAATATAATAGTACCTCACATGTCAATACTAACGTTGAATGTAAATGGCCTAAATGTTCCACATAAAAGATACAGAAGGATAGAATGGATAAAAATCCACCAACCAAGTATCTGCTATCTTCAGGAGACTCACCTAACACACAAGACCTCACATAAAAGTAAGTAAAGGCATAAAAAATGATATTCCATGCAAATGGAAACCGAAAGTGAGCAGGAGTAGCTTTTCTTATATCAAACAAAACAAACTTTAAAGCAACAGCAGTTATAAAAAAGAGAAAGAGGGACATTACATCATGATAAAAGGATTAGGCCAACAGGAAAATATCATAATCCTAAATATATATATGCACCTAACACTAGAGCTCCCAAATTTATAAAACAATTACTGCTAGATCTGTGTAATGAGATAGACATCAACACAATAATAATGGGGGACGTCAATACTCCACTGACAGCACTGGACAAGTCATCAAGACAGAAAGTCAACAAAGAAACAATGGATATAAACTATACCCTAGAATTAAACTATACTGTAGAACAAATGGACTTAACAGATATTTACAGAACATTACACCCAACAACTGCAGAATATACATTCCTTTTATCAGCACATGGAACATTCTCCAAGATAGACCATAAGATAGGCCACAACACAAGTCTCAATAAATTTAAGAAAGTTGAAATTATATCAAGTACTCTCTCAGAACACAGTGGAATAAAATTGGAAACTAATTCCAAAAGGAATCCTCAAAACTGTACAAATACATGGTAATTAAATAACCTGCTCCTGAATGATCTTTAGTTCAACAATGAAATCAGGATTGAAACTAAAAAATTCTTTGAAGTAAATGATAATAGTGACGCAACCTATCAAAACCTCTGGGATACAGCAAAAGCAGTGCTAAGAGGAAAGTTCATAGCATTAAATGCCTGTATCAAAAAGTTTGAGAGAGCACAAATAGACAAGCTAAGGTTATAACTCAAGAAACTAGGGAAACAATAACAAACCAAACCTAAACCCAGCAAAAGAAAAGAAATAACAAAGATCACAGCAGAACTAAATGAAATCGAAATAAGTAATCAAAAAAATACAAAAGATAAATGAATCAAAAAGCTGGTTCTCTGAGACGATAAACAAAATCAATAAACCATTAACGAGATTAACCAAAAAAAGAGAGAAGATGTGAATAAGCTCAATTAGAAACAAAATGGAAGATATTACAACTGATACCACAGAAATACAAAAGATCATTCAAGGATACTATAAACACCTTTATGCACACAAACTAGAAAACCTAGAGGAGATGGATGAATTCCTGGAAATATACAACCCTCTTGGATTAAACCAGGAAGAAACAGAAACTGTGAACGGACAAATAACAAATAGTAAGATTGAAACAGTAATAAAAAGATTTCCAACAAATAAAAGTCCAGGACCACATGAATTCAGAGCTAAATTCTATCAGACATTCAAAGAATTGGTACCAATTTTACTAAAACAATTCCAAAAGAGAGAGAAAGAGGGAATCCTCCCTAAATCATTCTATGTAGCCAGCATTACCTTCATACCAAAACAAGGAAAGGACATAACAAAAAAAGAAAACTACAGACCAAGATCCTATCCCTGATGAAGATAGATGCAAAAATCCTCAACAAAATACTAGCTAATAAAATCCAACAGCTTATCAAAAAGATCATACACAATGATTAAATAAGTTTTATACCAGAGATGCAGGGTACTGGAACATACATAAGTCAATAAATGTGATACACCACATAAACATAATTAAAAACAAAAATCACATGCAGAAAAAGCGTTTGAAAAAATCCAGGACCCCTTTGTGACTAAAACCCTTGGGAAAACAGGCATAGAAGGGACATACCTTAAGGTAGTAAAAGCCAGCTATGACAAAACTACAGCCAACATTAATACTGAACAAGTATAAGTTGAAAGCATTTTTCCTGAGAATTGAACAAGGCAAGGATGCTCACTTTTACCACTCCTCTTCAACATAGTACTGGAAGTTCTAGCCAGAGAAATCAGACAAGAGAAGGAAATAAAGGGCATCTAAATTGGTAATGAGGAAGTCAAACTGTCATTGTTTGCTAATGATATGATCATATTCCTAGAAAACCCTAAAGACTCTTCCAAAAAGCTCCAAGATCTGATAAATGAGTCCAGTAAAGTTTCAGGATACAACATCAATGTACACAATTCAGTAGTACTGTTATACAGCAACAGTGACCAAGCTGAGAATCAAATCAAGAACTCGTCTCCTTATACAACAGCTGCAAAAAAATAAAACATTTAGAAATATACCTAACCAAAAAGGTAAAATATCTCTACAAGGAATACTTCAAAACACTGCTGAAAGAAATCATAGGCGACACAAAGAAACGGAAAAACACCCCAATCTCATGGATAGGTAGAATCAATATTGTTAGTATGACCATACTGCCAAAAATAATCTATAAATTCAATGCAATTCCCGTCAAAATACCATCGTTACTCCTTACAGAACTAGAAAAAAAATTCTAAAATTATATGAAACAAAAAAATAACCTGCGTAGCCGAAGTAAGTCTAAGCTGAAAGAACAAATCCAAAGACATGTTACCTGACTTCAAACTATACTACGAGGCTATAGTTACCAAATCATCATGGTATTAAAATAGGCACATTGACCAATGAAACAGAATTGAGAACCCAGAAATAAAGCCAAATACTTACAGCCAACTGATCTTTGACAAAGCAAACAAAAAGATAAAGTGGAGAAAGGACAGCCTACTCAACAAATGGTGCTAAGATAATTGGTCAACCACATGTAGAAGAATAAAACTGGCTCCTCATCAGTCACCTTATCCAAAATTCAATAACAGATGGATCAAAAACTTAAATCTAGGACCCAAAACCGTAAAAATTCCATACAATAACATTGGAAAAACTCTTCCAGACATTGGCCTAGGCAAACATTTCATAACCAAGAATCCAAAACCAAATGCAACAAAAACAAAGATAAATAGATGGAACTAAATTAAACTAAAAAGCTTCTGAACAGCAAAAGAAATAATCAGCAGGGTAAACAGACAACCCACAGAGTAGGAGAAAATCTTCATAATCTATACATCCAACAAAAGAGTCATATCCAGAATCTACAAGGAACTCAAACAAATCAGCAAGAGAAAAAACAAATAATCCCATCAAAAAAGTGGGATAAGGACATGAATAGACAATTCTCAAAAGAAGATATACAAATGACCAGCAAGATATGGGAAAATGCTTAGCATCACTAATTATCAGAGAAAAGCAAATAATAACCACAATACAACACCACTCCTGCAAGAATGGCCATGATTTAAAAGTCAAAAAATAATAGATTTTGGCATGGATGTGGTGAAAAGGGAACACTTTTACGCTGCTGGTGGGAATGTAAACCTGTACAACCACGATGGAAAACAATATGGAGATTTCTTAAAGAACTGAAAGTAGATCTGCCATTTGATCCAGCAATCCCACTACTGGGTATCTACAAAGAAAAAAAAAAGGCATTACATGAAAAAGGCACTTGCACATGCATGTTTATAACAGCACAATTCACAATTGAAAAATATGGAACCAGCCTAAATGCTCATCAACCAATGAATGGATAAAGACAATATGGTGTATATACCCCATGGAATACTACTCAGCCATAGAAAGGAATGAAATAATGGCATTTGCAGCATTAGACCATGGGAATAATGGACTCCTGGATAGAATTGAAGACCATTATTCTAAGTGAAATGATTCAGGAATAGAAAACCAAACATCGTGTTCTCACTTATAAGTGAGAGCTAAGCTATGGAGATGCAAAGGCATAAGAATGACATAGTGGACTCTGGGGACCTGAGGGGAATAGTGAAAGGGCAGTGAAGAATAAAAGACTACACATTGGGTTCAGTGTACACTGCTCCAGTGATGGGTACACCAAAATCTCATAAATCACACCTAAAGAACTTATCAGTGTTACCAAACACTACCTGTTCCCCAAAACTATTGAAATAATAATGATATATAATAAAATCAATAAATAAGAAATGCTACAGGAATTTCTGCCAGCTTAAACGTTGTAAGATAAAAACAGATCTACATAAAGAAAGGACGAACTCAGAAAAGAATAAGTTGTGGCAAAATAAAAAGGATTGGCTTTTTAAATTTTAATTTATTTGAAAAGAAAATGACTGAATCAATAATAATATTACTACAATATGTATCTATTATGTATAGAGAAATAAAATATATGAAAACAACAGCACAAAGAATAGGGTAAGTGGAATTGTACTATTGAAAGTTTTGTATATTTGTGAAATATAATTTTGGAAGGGTGAAGTGTAAAATATTTAATTATTAATATTCTAAGAAGACTCTGATAATTTAAGACTGTGAATACCATATGATAATCACTAGAGTAGCCAATTAAAAGTGAATTTAGAAAGCAAGAAACAATAGAAATATCTGATGATAGGTGAACGGGTAACTATTCTATTCAAACTATTCTAACAGGGAAACAGCAAAGGAACTAACATAACTAAATACATTTTTGTTTAAGAAGCCTCTAGCCATGCCTACATGTGGGCTAGGGTAATTTTAGAGCACTGAGATAATATGCAAAAAGACAATCACAGTTTTTAAAACTAACTCTGGGATTAAAGGGAAAGTGTGTAAAACATGTAAACAACTCTTTTGTTAAAGATTTATAGGAGCACTGGGACCTAACCAAGAAATTCCCAACCTCCTCAGGTCCTTGCTCATGCCCAGATGTCTGAGGTCATGGGTTAGCTCTTGATCTCAACCCCTTTCTCTTCCCCCTGCCCTTAACCTAAAAATAGCCTAACATTTATGTTGACTTAACATTGTACTTTAGGATGATAGTCTACCATCATCTTGGTTTGCTGGCTTTCCAAATAGACTCGCTTTTCCTCCCAACAACTCTTGTCTCTCCAGAGCTTTATTCTCAAGTGGCAAGCAACCAAACCTGGGTTAGGTTACACTATGATCTATTTATATAATTGAATAATAGTTAGAAATTGAAAATAAGTAAATTTCTGACACATAAAGCACGATAGATAAAATCCACAGACACTATTTTGACCCAAAGAAAGTAAACACAAATTCTAAAAAGTCTATGGTGATAGAAATAAAACCTGTGTTTTTGTGAGGTGAAGGGAGTATTTCAACTGCAAGGGCACAAAGAGAATATTCAAAAATATTTATAGGAGTAATATTTTATGGTTTTATAGAGCAGTTCTCAAAAAGTTCAGGAAAATGCATATTATAAAAAATTATGCATGAATTTTAATAATTTTTGCACCAAAATAAACTCATAATAACTTATTATAACATGTCTGAACAGATTCTATCTAGAGGCACTAAGAAGAATAAGACACCAGTTTGAAAACAGCCCCTATTGAGCAACATGAATTCTGCTAAACTTGAAGCAAGAATGAACAGCAAATATATTGTGAAACTTGGATGGAAGATTGGTGAAATCATTGATGATTTACAAAAGGTTTATTGGGACAAAGTCCCCCCAAAGTCAGCACTTTACAAATGGATAATTCATTTTAAGAAGGGATAAAATGATATGAAAGACAAAGCCCACACTGGCAAACCATCCACATCAGTTTGCAAGAACAAAAATTAATCTTATTCTTGCCCTAATTGGAGAAGACTGATGATTAACAGCAGAAACAATAGTGACCACCATAAACATCTGAATTGCTTCAACTTACACAATTCTGACAGAAAAATTACAGTTGAACAAACTTTCCATTCAATGGGTGCCAAAAATGTTGCATCTGGATCAGCTGCAGAAAACAGTAGAGCTTTTAACAAAATTTTTTAAAAAGTAGTATTAAGATCCTGCAGCATTCTTTGAAGAATTATAACAGGAGATAAAACATGGCTTTACCAGTATCATCCTAAAGACAAAGCACAATCAAACCAATGACTACCAAGACCTAAAGTGGTTCAATCAAAGTAAAGCCTAATCTAGACTGAAGGTCATGGCAAGTTTTTTTGGATGCTCAAAGCGTTTTGCTTGTTGACATTCTGGAGGAGCACAGAACAATAACATCTGCTTAGATGAGAGTGTTTTGAGAAAGTTAGCCAAAGTTTTAGCAGAAAATGTCCAAGAAAGCTTTACCGGAGTGTCATTTTCCTCTATGACAATGCTCCTGCTAATTCCTCTCATCAAACAAAGGAAATTGTATACAAGTTTTAAGGGGAAATCATTAGGATTCCACTGTACAGCCCTGATTTGGCTTTTCCTGAATTATTTTTATTTCTTAATCTTAAAAAAATATTTAAAGGATTCCCATTTTTCTTCAGTTAATAATGTAAAAAAAAAAAAAGACTGCATTGACCTGGTTACATTCCCAGGACAGTTATTTAAGGATGGACTCTGGCTGATGTCACTGAGTACAAAAGTGTCTTGAACTTGATGGAATTTACGTTAAAAAGTAAAGTCTATATTTTTTATTTTAATTATTTAATTCCATTTCTCCATGAACTTTTTGAGGTCCCCTCTTACACTTGTCAAAGCAGATTGATTAAACTGTGCACCTAAAATCTTTGCATTTGACCATGTGTAAATTGCATCTCAATAAAGTTGATTTTTTAAGATAACACTTTTTACATGTAAGGGAAACTAAAAGAATCACAAACGAAATGGAAAAATTACTCATAATTCCATCTCCCACAGATAATGATTTAAATTTTGATGTATGTATATTTTTATACTCACTCTTTCCATAAATTTCTCATATAGCATTTTGTGGCCTTTTTATGTTAAACTTTAGCAATGGTAAAAGTGTTTTGTGTAAAATGTTTTCTTCCAGTATTTTTAAAATGATTACATAGTGTAAATATAGCTAGATTAAACATTCACACAGATGTACAAAAATATTAAATATAGCAATAAATCTCAAAAAGATTTTTTTTATTTTTTATTGCAAATCTCTTTTTATTGTTGAGCTTTCATATTTACTGAGGATTAAGCTTTAAATTTTGCCAATTAAAAATATCACCATCCTCCTGTTTAAAACACTCATGTCAGAGTAATTTCTCTGTCTTAGGGTTTCATCTTGCTGCTCTTAAATTCTCCAATGGTAACAGTCTCATGGCATTACATGGGGGAAAATGGGCCTTTTGATGTATTTTCAGGTCCTTGCAGTATTCACTAGAGTAGAGCTTAGCCTAACTGGCCACTGGTTGTTCTTCACCAGAATCTGGTATTAAGTACAGCTAGTACCATCTGGCCTTTTGAGAATCATGCTATGACCAACTGCTGGGGACTGTGGACCTTGCCCTTGGATCCTCTTTGTTACTCTTTTATTTTCTCTATAATCAAGATTCTGGACATTGGTATAAAATATATTAAATCCTACCTATATGAGTTGAAAGTGTAGCTACTAATTTTAAGATAGAATTTTTTGAAACTCAAAGCAATGATTTCTTCTGTTTGTTTTCTTTCCATAGGCCTTAAGCTCAACCAGAAGGCCTGGCAGTAATGGAGGAAGGGTTTCAGGGGCAACACCAACCAAGAAGAGAAAATACATTTGATCAAATGTCAAAACAGCATCTGGTTTCAATAATATTCCATTGTACATCTGTATCAAAATGTGTTTAACCTACTTCCTATTGTCGTACATTTATGTCATTACCATTTTTTAACTATTATTATCTTAAATTCTAAAAGGGAATTTTGAAAAGACAAGCAATCAGGGCTTATAGAGAGGAGGTACAAAGATATGGATAGAAGAAAGCCCCTACCACTGCTCAATCTTCTTTTTCCTCCGGATGACTCAATATTCTTACTCTTGAGCCTTTGGCTTGCTTCACAATTAAGAATTCAGGGTAGAAATGTGTTTATCCATATTCCATCACAAGCTCTCTAACAAGTTTATCAGTGCTCCTGATATTGTGCCCACTTCCTCAGATACAGTGCCCGAAATATCTTGGCAGCTTAAGTCAGCAGTTCCCTATCTAGAAAAAAATATATATCTTCAATCCAAAATGACTTACTATTTTTAATAAACTAAATGCCAAGCATAGACTTCATAGACATTTTTAAAGGCATTTCAGGCATTTACACTTCCTCTTATTAAAAACCTAATATCTATTCTTTTTCCCCTAATCACCACACCTAATCCCTCTCCAGGTCTTGTAAGCTCTGCTTTCAAACTCCCTATCAAATCTTGTCCACTGCTCTTCATATCCAATCCCTTTATTCTAGTGTCAGCCACATCTATTTCTTCTCTGAACTTTGCAAAGCCTGAAGACAGCATGTATTCTTAGCCCCTACAACTTTCACATAGCAGCTAATCATCTTTTAAAAATAAGGTAGATGATGTCCCTTTTCTGTGTCAACCTGCAGTGTATTCTGAATAAGATCCAATTTACCAAGGTCTGTAAGGCAATGAGTGGCCTGGCTCCTGCCTACCTCACTTTATCCCTTATTTTCTTTGCACAAAGTAAGGTTTCCTTGCTTTTCCTGGAACACTGCAGGTTCTGCCCTGCCTCTGGGACTTCATACTTGCTTTCCTCTCTCCTCAATCCCCTGTGGTCAACATAGACTCCTTCCCGTCCTCAGGTCTCAAATTGTTACTACAGTTTGGACCCCGGGTTCTTTGGCTCTGGTGTAAGTAGAAATGAACACCAAGTCAAACAAATTTTTCTCAGGCAATGTTGCATAGGTATTTGTGGCTCAAATACAAAAGGGAGCGGCATACAGGAAAGAAATCTGGGTACCAGCTCCCTGAGGGGCTCAGCTCTTGTCATTTTAAGAAAAGTGAGGCTGGAAAAAGAATGCCATCCAAGCATGTTTAGGCAGGGTCTTTCCTGTGCTTGCACAGTGGGGTATCATGCTTTAACATGCATCACAGGACCAGAAAGTAGCAGATGAGCCCTGCCTTGGGCTGAAACTGTAGTACTACAATGAGATTACAATGAGGAAAAAGTCAGTGAAAGGTTGGCACTGGAGCCCATCTTGTCTTCAGGAAGCTGTATCTGGTGAGGTTCTTATCAGGAATGCCAAAGTCTTGCTTCAGCAACCTTGGAAGGCATCACTGAAAAGCTAGATGGTTATGTTCTTCCTTTTATGGCCAGAAATTCAACCTGGCCAGCTAAGTTAGGTAGAGGTCCCCCTTCCTGATCATGTGAGTTGGGTCAGCTTGTTAAGGGAGGCCAAAAAGTAGTGGAGGAATGTAAGAGCCATCAGGACATTGGTTACCCTGTCACTTGTCTACCAGGACTCAGTCTCTTCCTTGTACTGTCTCAAAATCAAAGGTCACCTTCTCAGGGAGGCCTTTTGTCATCAACCTAATCATTGGCTCCCTAAGAAACTGTCTTATCTCCCTCACATTAATCCTAAGTTATTTTTGTTGGTTTTGTTGTTTATTGTTTTACATCTGTTTCCAAGAGATTTTTAAGGTCTCTGAGGAAATGAAATTTTACTTATTCACTCCTGTATCCCTAATGCCTACCCAGAGCTGACACATAAGGGTCCTTAGTAAATACATGTTGAATGAATGTATGAACCACTTGGTTGTGATGATTCACAAGGTGTTGTATTTCTCACCCTGCGCCCCTTGACCAGCAGCATCCGCATCACCAGGGAACATATTAGAAATGTAGCTCTTGAACCCCACCTCTCCCAGATGTACTAAATCAGAAATCCTGGTAGGGTCCAGCCATCTGTGTTTTAGCAAGCCCTGCAGTCATGATTAGCTTTTCTATCTTCCCCATTTACAGATAAAGAATCTAAGAAAGTTTGAGTAATTGCCCACGTCAAAAAGTCATAGACCTAGGCTGCAACTCTGATTTCCTAGACCTTAACCACTGAACCATGGTTCCCTAGGGGGCTAAATAATTTAAATATCAATAGAATGAGATTTTTGCCTTCAGGATCAGTGCAATGTGTGAAATACTTTGATCAATAATTGTAGAATTGTGTGAAAATGGCTATTATCTGAGTTAGGTACAAAGTTGTATGGGAGAGGCAGGACAGGGAAACTGCCTGGAGTGATGAGAGAAAGCTTATAAACCAAGTTTCATTTTATGCATGTCTTTCCTAATAAGATGAGGACGAGTTAAACAGAAAAGGAACGGAATATGTAATTCCAGCCACCTTGAAGTGGGGTTTGAGGTGAACTGGGGAGAGTGACAGAAGAATTCTGAAAGACCACTGGAGTGGCCAGCCTCTGAGTGCCCCTAAACTATATCAGTCAGCTCAGGCAGCTATAACAAAATACCATAGACCAGGTGGCTGAAACTCTTCCCACAGTTTGGGAGGCTGAGAAGTTGAAGATCAAAGGGCTGGCTGATTCAGTTTCTCATGAGGGCTCTTTTCCTGGCTTGCAGATGGCTGCCTCCTCACTGTGTCCCCACATGGCCTTTCCTCAGTGCACACACATGGAGATGGAAAGACAGAAAGGCCTCTCTTTCTCTCTCTCTCTTCGTATAAGGCCACCGATCCTATGGCATTAGGACACCGCCCCACCCCCACGCCCTGCTGCCATACAATCTCATTTAACCTTAATTACCTCCTAAAAACCATATCTCCAAATACCATCACACTAGGGGCTAGGGCTACAACATATAAATTTGGTGGAGGGACACAATTCAGACCATAACATTCCACCCCTGCTCCCCAAATTTATGACCTTCTCATGCACAAAATACAATTATTCCACTCCAGTAGCCCCCGAAGTCTTGACTAATTCCGGAGTCAACTCTAAAGACTGAAGTCCAGAGTCTCATCTAAATCAAGTATGGGTGAGTCTCAAGGTAAGATTCATCTTGAGGCAAAATTTTTCTCTAGCTGTGAAGCTGTCTTTCGTGCTTCCAAATGACAGTGGTGGGACAAGTAAAGGATAGAGATTCCCATTCCAAAACCTAGCAGGGCAAATTTCATTAGATATTAAGGCTCTAGAACAACCCTCTTTGGCTTGGTGTCCCACCTTCCAGGCCCACTAGGGTGGCAGCATCACTGCCACAGCCCTTTGAAGGCAGTCTCATTCCTTCAGCTTGGTGAGGTGCCACCCTGCTGCTTTCTGCTACAGCATCACCCACACAGTTTTCCGCAGTGGCGCTTCTCTCTGAAACTGAACAGGAAACAGCCTTGCCCTGTGGACCTGTGAGGGGGGTGTCAACTCTGATGACCTTTGAATTGTCTTTGGGGTCATTTTTTCCTTTCCTTGAAGAATAGCACACATTCACAGCCAAATAGCTCTGTGGTACATTCCCATAAAATCCAGGTCCAATGGCCTTCCTTCATTCGGTCTGACTTTCTCTGTCCACTTTAGTTCAAACTGGCAGTGGCCCTGCTGGCACAATTCCATCTGCATTCCTGGGTTCTGCTGAGATGATTGATTAACATTGTAGTTAATCCCTGTATGGAGTAATTGTCCAGCTACACCTTTGGTGTTCTCTCTAGAATAAGCTTCATCATTTTTTATAATATGGATTGGCTGAGAATTTTGAAAATCTTTAAGTTCAGATTCCTTTTGGCTTAACAATTCTTTCTCAATACATCCCACTCCTCTAACATTTTACTATTAGCAATCAGGAGGAAGTAAAGGAACTAAGCTGTTTCTTCAACACTATGCTTATAAATCTGCTCCACTAAATATCCAATTTCATTGCTGACAGTTTTACCTTTCACAAAACAATAGAACAAACACAAGCCATGTTTTTTTTTTTACTTTATAATAGAGATTACCCTTTCTCCAGTTTCCCATAACCTATTCCTCATTCCTGTCTGAGACGTCAACAGAATAACCTTAAACATTATTTTTATCAACGTTATGTTCATGACAATATATGCTTTTTCTAGCATGCACCTCAAAACTCTTCCAGCCTCTACCCATTCCAGTTCCAAAGAAATTTCTACATTTTTAGTTAATTTGTTCCAGTAGCACCACTACTTCTTAATACCAAAATCTATAGTAGTATGTTAGGGTTGCCATAACAAAATACCACAGACTGGGTGGCTTAAACAACATTTATTTCCTGCAGTTGTAGAAACTGAGAAGTCCAAGTTTAAGGTGCCAGCAAAATGGGTTTTATTCATAGGCTTCTTTTCTGCCTTGCTTGTAAGCTCCTTCTTACTGTGTCCTCACATAGTGTGGTGAGAGTAGAAGAGAAAGAGCTCTTGTGCCTCTTCTTATAAGAATATCCATCTTATTGAATTAGGACCTTAGTCTTATGATTATATTTAACTTTAATTACCTCGGAAAGACTCTAACTCCAAAATACTGTCACACAGGGGCTTAGGGCTGCAACATATGGATTTGGGGAGGTCACAATTCAGTCCATAGCACATTCCTACTGAGTTTGCCCTTGATCTCAAGGAAAATAGGAAATTATTAAATAATTTAGTAAAAGGGCAATGACCAACAATTCTTTTTTTTAAATTCCTTCCCACCGAGGATATAACATTTACATTGTTAAAGTGTTCAGTATAATTCCAAAGAGAAGATTATCCAGCAATGCAAACATGAAGACTTTTGCCCAGCTGGAGTATGAAGCAAAGTTCCTTCTGTGGCACCCTTCAGGGGTTCCTTCATACTTTCAGTCCTTGACTACTCTCTCTCTATTTTTTATTATGCCCTGCTCTTAATTGGTAGACATATGGTATTTGGGGGTTAAGTTTGAATTAAATATCATTTCATAATAAAAGTGAAAACTGTTGATAAAGGGAAAGCTACCATTCTAAATTATCTAGCACTTACTTGTGTGCTAAGGCAGATACTAGAGACTAACTTTTCCAAATGGGCTTGGCATGAGATTAAGAATTTTTTTCCTTGCAATCATAAACTAATATATTTAAATATGTGTGTATAAAGAATTATATGTCCTTTGAAGATCATTTGACAAATATTTGAACTTGCACATATAGACAAATCTTTAAGTGCCTATTTCTGGTTCTTAATATACAAATTTAGTCTATATAAGAAGCATCTCATTAACATATATTGTATGCTCTGCCAATTAGAGAAATATCACACTATCCAGAAAATTGCTTGAAAAGATTTTGGAAAAACTCTAAACACACAGAGGATTTAAACATCAGGCATTTCTGTACTCAACGTATTCTTCATAGATCACAGATCTCTCTGGTGCACCATGATTATGGCTGTATACAAATTGAGAAAAGAAATAACATCATCTGATAGAAGTAAAAATATCTAATTTATGGATATTCAATTCAGTTGTAAAGAGAAAGCAATGAAAGACATTAAAGTATCTGGGACTCGGGACTGCATTGGCAATTGGAACACAACCGTAAAACTATCTACAAATTACAAGAAATTTCACCTCTAAATGCTGCAAAATACATGTTTCATCAAAGGCTATCCTCTTCCAAGGAGAAGTTCTTCAGATTTATACTAAGTTTCAATGCAATATGCTCCCAAACTGAGTAGCATAAACTTAAAATCAGTTTGCATGTGGACATTCTTGGGAATTTGCTAGTCTCTTGCATTGCTTTTTCATCTCATCCATACAACTTGTATAATGAGCAAATATATAATTGCTGATAGAAATTGTGTATGTAAATTATTGATTTTCAAATGTGTACACTTTAAGTGGAGATGTACTAACTGAATAAAATTTACATTTCTCCTCTCTAAATGTAAAATGAATCCAACATTGGTTTTAGGGGAAAAAAAAAGAAGCAGCAAAAAACCCTGATACACCTGAAGGACTCTATTTCCAGAGCAGGTTATAAGGATACTACAAGTTCAAAAATCAAGCAGGTGCCCCTACACTTTCCTGTGAGAGTCTTTTCATTAGTCATAAAGCTTCATTTTATTCCATTGCCATGCTTAAACCTTTTTTTTTTCTCTTTAAGTTTCTAAGAATAAGAGCCACAGTGTTAATAGCATGAGTTTAAACTGAATGAGAACTTGCTTTGTACCAGCCCCACCGCTAAGCTCATTTAATCCTTTAAGACATCCCTAAGAAGTTGGTGCTCATATTATAATATTTAACTGAATCTAAGATGCAACTAATTAATTTATGCACCTCTGTACTGAACCCAGCTGTGCTCTTCACTAGATCTAATATGTCTCACTGGTCTCCCATGTCTAGACTGCTTGTCCTCCTTCCAGCTCCAGTAACTCAAGCAGTCCCCTGGTTATAATGGCAGGGCCACCTAAGCCTAGGCCTTCCAATGTGCAAACAGCCACTGTATTCACTTAATAGTTGGGGGCTGTGGGGAGTTCCACAGCGTCCAACCCACCCAAATCCTTGTAGGCTCTCTCTTTCCCAGTGGCTGCCTGGAGGGTGTCAGATAACACAGCCCAGAAGTGGGTGAATTAAACCAAACTGTGACCAATGAAAGACAGGCAATGCGAAGGAAATTGTTCACCATTTTCTCACAGACAAGAAAATGTTCTGAGACACGGTGATTTCTTATAGCTTTTCCAGACATATCTTTTCTGGCTCATAACTGGCTGCTTTCCTCATGAAGCTGTGGCCAGCCTGGCAATACATCTCCCATTTTTAAATCTCTCCTTTCATGATCCACTTGCATTTTCCTGTCACTCTTTGGGAATGCAATCTCCACCTCACACCCCCACCCCTCAGTAAAGCATCAGTATGCAATCTTGGCCTCAGGCTCTGTTTTCTAGGATAATCCAGCTAATATAGATGGACATGTAGTTGATTTTAACATGTATCCTGAGTTCAGAGATGTTAACATCCACTAATGCTTATATAGTTAATGCCAGGATCTGTTCTGAGCACCTTGCATATAATTAATTGACTCTTCAGTCTCCCTCACAGACTGTTTTCCCTACAGTCTGCCAATTTTACAGGTAAGGCAGCTGATGCTCAGAGAATTTATGTAACTTGATCAAGATCGCACAGCATGTAACTGGTGGAGTCAGATAGGAACCCAGTTCTTTCTGATGCTAAGGCACAGGACATTAGTCTGTACACTATGCTTTCTACATCTGCGTTTACCTCTACAAAGCTGGATTGACTTTAGGAAACAGTGTCAGTGTCTGCCACTAGGAAAGAGTGCCAGTGTCTGGTCAATGGGGCCCTCACTTCTTTCAAAGATATATTCAAAAAATGTACTTACGTAGACCCCATCTTTCTCTTTTTAAAGCCCCACATCTTTAGCAAAGCTTTTTCTGACTACTTCATTATACAGAAATCTTCTCCTGAGCACCTTCAGCAATTACCATATATTATTTTACATTGCCATTTAAAAGGGTGAAGAGAAGTTAAGTTTACTAGATATCAGCCACTATATGGATGTATAGACACATTGCTAAATGAATTTCAGCAAAAATCTTATTTGGCATACATTTACATCCATTGACAGACAAAAAATCTGAATATTGGAGAGGTTAAATAATTTGCTATGATCAGCGAGTTAATAAACACCAACAATTTCCACTGGTCTGGATATCATTTTATTATCACTCTTTTTTTCCAGAGTATAAGAACCAGGTTTTATGCACTTTTGTTTGTTTGTTTTTGTTTTTGTTTTTGTAATGACAGGGTCTTATTCTGTCCCCTAGGCTGAAGTGCTGTGGTACAATCATAACTCACTATAGCTTCAAGCTCCTGGAGTCAAGTGATCCTCTCACCTCAGCCTCCTGAGTAAGGTTTTATACTTCTCTACATTCACCACTGTGCCTAGCACAGCATTGTTTATGTGAAAGACACTCATCCAATGGAAAGAATAAGGAATGAATATATAATTGCAAGTATGCCATCAAATATATTAGTGAAGGGGAAAGAAACATTATTTCACTGCAATAGTGATTCTTTTACCCACAAAGTTTTCCAGTGCTCTATTTTTTTAAATGATCTAAAACTGCACTCTCTGTGATCACTTTTCTTGTATAAATGGGAATCCTTGGAAAGATTCAGTATATAACTGCCTTATTATATTTTACCTTCATAGAGAAACTGTTATTATAATTCTCATGTTTACATATAGTCAATCCTTCAGACTGTGAAAAACAATTTTTATCCTTATTAAAGCACCCATATATACCAGAAAGGACCTAATAAAAATCATTTGTAAGTAATCCATTATTAGGCATAGTCTATGGATATCAAGGTACAGTTGACAAATGATTTACCTGATTTTTTAAGTCAAATCAGAAGTTGAGAATTTCAATTTTTCAAATGCAGTTATTAATTTCTTAAGAAGGCAAGAGCACAAAATCAATGATTTTCAGACTCTTGTCTTTGCCACACACACAAAATCCTAAATCTCCTCCTACTGCCAATTGGCATTCAAATGTACATGCAATGTATATGGGCTCATGTTGAGTCTTCTATGGAAAATGATCTTTTCCTATCCAGGATAAGGATATTTCTTCACATGTAACCTAGTAGGAAAAAGGGAATTACTTACTCCTGAAAAGATGGTTTTGCTTTCTTTTTTTTTTTTTCATTTTTTTAACAATTAAGTCATTTCTATCTCACTAAATGATGTATGTAGCTATGTAATGAGATGTCCCTAAAACAAAACCCCACACTCTGCAGGTCTCTCTCATACCACACGGGCAACCTTTCTTTCCAACATTACAGCAAAATCCAGGGAAGTGGGGCTGCTTAGATTGGGGAAAAGGGAACAGTAGGATAAGAATAATAGTTTTTTTTGTTTTTTTGTTTGTTTGTTTTGTTTTTTTTTCAAAAAAAGACACTAGATTTGTATCATAAATAATATGGCACTTAACTTGGCCTCCATAGCCAAAAATAGCATGAGCTCATTTAGCGTGCCCATTATAAACCCAAATATAATTTGTCACCCTCAGCAAGACTCCAATGTCTTTTTCACCATCAGAGCTTTCCAGGTTTTTCTAATCCATTTAATATCTGTGTTTCACATTATTTTGTCCCATATGTATCAAGTTGCATTTGCCAAGACTGAATCTCATTCTATCAGTTCCTGCTCCTGTTACTGACCTTTTCAGATTCCTTCATATGACTTTTTCCAGATAAAGCCCCCACTGCATTCTAGCACAAAACCCCTCTCCTTTTTGATACACTGTAATGTGTTTGATGAACGGTGACCCTGTATAATGGTAAGTATAATAGTAATTCAGCCTTTATACACACACTGAAATAATTCAAGTCCCTGGGTGCACATCACACATACAGAAATTCACCCTAGGCTATTTTCTTCTAAAGGTATGCATGGGTATGCACCCTGGAATGAATTCTCTGCCAAACCACAGGGATTATTGGAATTGCAGTGCTCAGTTACAATCACTGACCTTGCAGACACATTAAGCTGAAAAAACAAAATGACTTTATTATAAGTTCCAAAATCCCAAAATTAAATATTCTACAAGCCTTCTAATTCAGGTCTCAAGTCTCAGTCCAAGTTCTAATACTGATTACAAGTAAACATTGACTTAAATATTTCCTTTCCACCCTACCCAAATATTAACTATGCAATACTCATAAAAACCAAATGATCTATTGATTACAATAATCTGTGAGCATAATAGAATGATTCAGGTGATCTGACAAGCTGGTACTCTGCAAATGCTCTAAACATAGCAAGTGATGTAAAATCTCCCAAATGTAAAAAAGTGTATCTCCACCACAGACACTTCTTGATTAGTAGGTATCTTGGCGGGTGGAAAACAGCATCATTTAAAGGGAAAAAGAAAATCAAGACTGGGATTCAGGAAACTGGGATGTATTCCTAACCCTGACATGAACCTACTATTCCTTGCTGGGCAAGTTAACACTTCTCTGGGCTGTATTTTCACCGGTAGCTACAAAGTAGAGCTAGATCATCATAAAAACAGACAATAGTGTGGTATTCTACAATGTATTTTCGATTTATTGAATTCCAAAATAACTCAATAAAACTGGATAATTTTTCTTATACATGAACAATGAGAAGTAAAAGTATCTTCAAAATGTAGGCCTATCATCTTGTTCATAAAGCATTTGGCTTGTTTTATTAACCTAATTTTATAAGGGTAAATAATATTAATTTTTAAACCAGAGTGTAATGTGCTTCTGCTATACATAAAAGGTTTTTTTTTTTTACTATTAACCAAACTGCAGATTTTACTAGGATATTCTTTTTCTTTTTTAAAAAACAGTTTTTTATTGTGGTAAAATATATATAACATAGAAATTACCAATTTAATCATTTTAATAAGTGTAAAATTTAGTGTCAAGTACATTCACACTGTTGTGCAATCATTACCACCATCCATCTTAAGAAATTCAGAAAAAAATCTCGACCTTAAAATGTTCCCACTGATGAAACTTTCCATGTAAAACTCTTACTACAATTGATATTACAGGAACATGTTAAACATTAAGAACCAATATACAGTGCATCTATTTCAATTAATGACAGCAAAAATATTCCAGCTATACTATCTGTGAATTGAATAACATGAGATTAATTAGCATATAAGATTTATGTTATAGGCCGGGCACAGTGGCTCACGTCTGTAATCCCAACACTTTGGGAGGCCGAGGCAGGCGGATCACGAGGTCAGGAGTTAAAGACCAGCCTGGCCAATATAGTGAAACCCCGTCTCTACTAAAAATACAAAACTTATCCGGGTGTGGTGGTGTGCACCTGTAGTCCCAGCTACTTGGGAGGCTGAGGCAGAAGAACCGCTTGAACTCAGGAGGCGGAGGTTGCAATGAGCCGAGATCGTGCCACTGCACGCTAGCCTGGGTGACAGACAGAGACTCTGTCTCACAACTCTAATATATTATACTGACAATTAATTATAAACTGTCATGTTTCTAATGGAGCCATCATCTAGTCCCTTACTGAATACTGAAAGAGATCAAAAAATATTTGGAAAAAAACAACATCTTGCTGTTGTTCTGGACCTTCAAAGTAGACTCAATGGAAGACAGATCAGCTTGAATGTGATCCCCTTGTGTTTCCAGGTTCTATAGAAAAAGGAGCAAATCTAGTGGTTGGTGTTGAGACATTCCTTATTGCTAATGGCATACAGTGGGTAGGCCAGGGAGAACCCTTGGTGGGAAGGACTCTGAGGGAGCTTTGTCTCACTTTCCAGCATAGAAGGAAGCACAGGTGTCTTCTTTTCAAGGAACTCCTGTCTGGGACCCCTCTCCACATCTGACCTCTGACTGGAGGACAATGCAAAGGACCAGAGCCTGGGCTGGCTGCCCCACTATCTTGTGGGGAGGTTGAATCAAAGGAAGTTATTGAGCTTCTGCTTGCATGAGAAGCACCAAGATGAGCTGTCTTGCTGTCGTGGTAAACCTACTGACTAAGGATGGAATTGGCCAGACTGGAGGGACTCCAGGGGCTGACAACAGATCAACAATGGTCATTGGGCCATTTGCACCTGCAACATCACAACATCACAGCCCGATGGTCTTTCTTCCTCAGGGATCTGATCATCCAGGAGATTCTAGATCATGCTTCTGCCAAATGTGCCACTTAGCACATCAAGAATGGAAGGATATTTTTCAGAACCTTCAAGTTCCTCCTCAGTCAACCTTTGGACATTTTCTTTTGTTATGTTGTCAAATTTTCTCAGTTGACAGAACTCTCACTTTGAGATACTGTAAGTCAGTAATTTCACCACATTCCAAACTCCTCTGGATCCATTATGTAAGAAGTCTCCATTAGATGCCTTCAGTATATTCAACTCCAAGTTTTCATGATCCATGCTGTATTCCCCTGAAAAAAGCAGCTCAATCACTCACCATTAGCAAGTGTTCATCTAAAACTTAATCTGACTGTCTTTATTATTAGGAACTAACTCCATAGGCAGTTTAGGGTTTTCTAAAGTTTTTCTTTCTCTTTAAGAATTGAGTCCATTCTTCCCTTCCTTTTTTTTTTTTTTTTTTTTTTTTTTTAGGTTCTTGTGAAAGCAGCTACCTGCTTCTCTGAAGACTGGAATTTTACTGTCTGCCAAAGCTGTTGTCCATTCTTTTGATGGGTTTTGAAGGACATTTTCTTTGTAGATACTTGAGGTTGGACTTGCTTTGTTGAGTCTTCTAAGGACTGAGTCTTACCTGTAATGTCAGTCACCAGCCAAACATGCGAACATTTAAATTTATCTTTTTTCCATACTTTTAATAAGAGTTTAGGACAAAGTAAACAGTATAAGATCTTTATCCTTGGTCATTACATTTGCTGGACCTCATAGTTAATTCTCAGTCTAACTTCCAGTACAATTGATTTAAGGTCTGCAAATTCACTTTCAATTTAGCTAAACCTCTCAAAAACTTAATGTTTTTCCTCCAGAAGGGCAGAAACTCTAATGGATAGTTATTTGAATCTCCTTGCTTTGTAATAAAACGTCTAAAGCACACAACCCCCCACTATGACTAAAAAGGTCAGCATGTTCCACCACATTCTTTGGATTTGGGCCTGGGCTAAGCTTCCCTGGAAAGGCTGTTACTGCCTGGCACTGAGCCTTCAAGAATGGTGTCATACAGAGCATCATGGCCATTAATGGACCCTCTATGGCTCCATGGCCACTGCTGAGTCATTTTAGGTTACTAGGATCTTGTGCCTACAATAGACAACAAAGTGCTATGGTGAGTATTTTTCACATAACCTTCCTAGTGCCTGGCAACCAGGGCAGACCTCAGTGGAGGTGAGGGAGGGGACAAGGAAAACAGTGCCTCCCAACCTTCTGCACTTCTTGACCTACGAAACACTGATCATGGCACACAATCTCTACTATGTAAGCCAAAGGGATGATCTGTGGTTCTGGCCACCCTCAGCTCTTCCTGGCTGCCCCAAGAACTAAGGAGTAAAAGTTTTTCTACATGTATAACCATTCAGGGTCACTGGTTGGGAAGCTCCCTGGTGGATAATTTGCAAGCCCCCGACACTGGCCACTGCGCTTCTTTCTCCTCAATAAACTTTTCATTCTGTGGCCTTGGAGACCTAAACCAGCCCACAATGATTGGAAAAGACTCCACCTCTCAGTGCTCTTTTTTGTTTGTGTCTGGATTAACTTGAGTTTGTGTGAGGAAGTATGTGAGGAAAAATTATTAGGAGTTCCTCCATGCTGAACCTCCAGCTGAAATGAGGTTCCGGCTCATTTTACTAATTTCACCTTTAAAAGATGAAGAAGAAATACACAGAATTTTCACGTCTATTGCTGTTTGCAGTTGAAGAGTAGAAAGTTCAGAGAGGGTAAGTGACTTGCCTAAAAATACGTGGGTATAGTAGGAACAGAATCCTACACTCAGGTTCAACATCTGTGCCTCTGCTCATCAAATAACCAAATTGTCTGCTGTAATCTCCTGTTAGCCATGTGATAAAGAAAAAGGAGCAATGAATGCTTTATGTTGATCACCTGGCTGCTTCCTGCCAGACTTATCCCAGAATTTAACAAGAAGAGCAGATTCTAAACTAAATCCAAGCACCACGCCATAAGATTAACCTAGAAAATAGAGGGTCCAAACGTAGTGAAAACTGCATTGATTATAATTTAGAGTCCCTGCATTGATATCCCAGCTCCATTATATACTTATTTTAACTCCCACAAACCTCTTGCTTTGCTTATCTGTAAAATGGGACTATTGTGAGGAGCACCGGGCCTACAATTGGTCTTAAATGGAATTTAGCTTCATTCCATTATTCACTTTTATACAAATGGAATCTGCACAAGATGGAATTTTATGTGCTAATAATACATTTTTACAGTCATTCTCATTCTTGTTCACATGTTAGAATCACCAGGGGAGATTTTTAAAAATACTGATATCTGCATCTCCAATACCAGAGGTCCAGACGTGATTGATGTCAAGTGTTGCCTGAGTATTGGGATTCTTTTAAAGCTCTCCAGGTCATTCTAATGCACAGCCAATCTTGAGACTGTGGTCTGTTAAAAACTATTATCAAATGATCATTTGTAGATACTAAGCATTGTCACATTGTAAAGCATTAATCCACACAACTACACAGCAAATACTATTATTCTACCTATGAAGAAATTGAGGCTCAAAGAGAGAAAAATTTTTTCTAAGGTTATACAGCTAGAAAATAGTGGTGGAGAGATTTGGATTTGGGTCTCTCTGTCTTTGAAGTCCACGCTAATAGCTACCAGCCAATGCTGTGAAGGCAGAGCTCCCACAGGTCATTTCCATGACACTGTGTGGCACCTTTTTATTCTTCTCAGTCAACCCACTGTTTCTCTGAATTTTTACCATCACATTCATACTATAGGGTCAAAAGTCATCCCACTTTGCTTTTAAAAGGAGCTAAGCCAGACAGCAGAGATTAAAATCCCAGCCCTGCTAAGAGTTAGAGGTGGAAAAATTTTCAGCTATTCACTAGCAGGGAACCCAACAGAAGCAGATTTTCTCCTAGTATTCAGCACGTTCCTCAGACTCTACTTGCTGATCACCTTTGACCGCCACCTCATTCCTCGTTCAACCACATTGCCAAATAGATCGATGGAAAATTACCACTTGGATTCACTCAATATCATTCCAACTGTACTTGGCAGGAGGGAGGGCAGGGGGAAGGGAATTGGTGGTAAATGACATTAAATGACAGACAGAAGCCTTGTCAGAGAGGCTCAGAACCAGGAAGTAATTGATTAATACCCAACTCTGGCAAGAAGCTAAGAGTAGAAGACACATTGCCTGACAGCGTGCAATAGGTCCTCATTACTTGCATCACCTCCCATTAAGCATCTGAGTCTCTCATGGGCTCACTCTTCCTGTTCATTTTCTAACACAGAGTACAGTCAGGGAAATTGTGTTATGGATTCAGCCACATTCAAGAAAACTTTGAGGTTTTCTCTCAGCAAGTTATCTCTTAATTTCTAACTGTGCCTTTAGACACCATTGTAAGACTAAATTAAAAACTTGCTAAGAGACAAAAGGCTACATCTGAAACCTGAGAGTTGTCAGGCTGGAGGTTAAACCCTGAGTTACTGAGGCTTCCTTCTCACTAACATTTGTATCCATCAACAAGAGAGAGAAAAAGGACTCCAATTCATCAGAGTACTGAATCCATTGAAAGGCTGACATTCTTTAACAACTTTTATTGGTGAAGCCAGCATTAGTTAAAGAAATAATCTTCACCTTTGTCATTAGAAAAGGGTGAGCTGCATCACAGCTGACTACATGCTAGTCCTGTGCGCTTGGGCAAGCCACTTAAATTTCCAAACTTCAGCTTCCTTATAGAAATTGAACATAAAATTACTTCTTCACAGGGTTGTTGGGAGAACTAATGTTTTAGAAGGTCCTTGTAAAGCCCTTGACATCAGAAAGATTAGCTGGCTGTCCCCTGTTGCTGGTGAGAATCATTACCTGTAGTTAAATTAAAAATCCCTGCTGCTAGTCACCCTGGAGCAGGCAACACAGAGATGTCCAATTGAGAAGCAGCCTTGACATAAATCAATACTGACTATTTAAAGCACCTACCCCAGTGGCCTGACTTTCACTTTGGGGCTCTACTTGAAAGCATGCTCTGTTTTCTCATACATATGCCATGTCTCTCTGGATCCAAAGTCACAGGGGCTCTTCATTGATCTTCAGTTTCAGCAACTCCAAAGGATGACTCGTTGAGTTTCTTACTAGGACCCCCTTCAAAACTAAATCTTGCATATGCTACACATTTTTTAAAATTTGTATCATACCATTCCACACGTATCATCAAAAATTTGTAAAAATTCATCTAGCCATTTTTTATGTGCTATGACCATTGTCAAGGTTTAAAAAAATCTCAACTATGTAGACATTCTGTTAATTTTAATAAAACTCAATTGGTATCTCTGTGCTGGACATCCATCTTCAGGGGCTCCCAGTATAGCAGAGGACACATACAGGAAGAGATGATTTCATGCACTGTGGTATATTCTAGATCTATGTTCATCCAGGATGCTATGAGAACACTTAGGTGGTCGGAGAATACTGGGACAGAAAAGGAGCCAGCCTGGATTAGTAAGTTTTGCCTCACCTATCTCTGAACACTCTTTGAAGCACATAGTTGGGTACATCTAAGATTCTGAGAAAGTCATTTACTTCCAAAATTTCAGGCATTTTTCTGCCATTTCCTTTTGCTTTGCTTTGCTTTTTTTTTTTTTTTTTTTTTTTTTTTTGAGGCAGAGTCTCGCTCTGTCGCCCAGGCTGGAGTGCAGTGGCACAATCTCGGCTCACTGCAACCTCAGCCTCCTGGGTTCAAATGATTCTCCTGCCTCAGCCATGCCCTGCTAATTTTTTGTATTTTTAGTAGAGATGGGATTTCACCATGTTAGCCAGACTGGTCTCGATCTCCTGGCCTCATTATCCTCCCGCCTTGGCCTCCCAAAGTGTTGGGATTACAGGGGTGAGCCACCGTGCCTGGCCTCTGCCATTTCATCCACTCATTCAATAATAATACTGAGGATCTGCTAGGTGCCAGGCACTGTACTAGATCTGAAGGTAAAGAGAAATATAGCACTTTTCTTGCCTTCAGTGTCTTACTGTCAAAGGATAGCATGTAGTGTAATAACTGCAGTACAGTGTGATAGTGAAATAATAGAGAAATATGCAAAGAACATAGTTGGCCCAAAGAATTTTAAGATTAAGTCAACTTTGGTCAGGAAAGGCATTGCTGAGAAAGACACATAAGATGCAGTGAGGAGCAGGACAGGAGGCATAGGGAGCAGAACAATGAAAGGATCAGAAACAAAGGCACACAGCATTTCCCAGGAAATGAGGGCCCCCACTCCAACAAGAGCATTTCTTTCACTCACCTCACTCTTGGTAGCACTTTCCACTTTTCTAAGTGCATAACAACAGATCTCTTCCACAAAGCCTAGAAAAACTATTTTGAGCATTAACACTTGTGAGATTGTGTCCCTGCTTTGACCTGGTCAGTAGTGTGGCATAAAAGGTCTCTTTCCCCTTCTGAGCCTCAGTGGCTGATCATCCCTGAGACATCCTTAACTCTTCAACTCATCAAGTTTTAAAACAAATGTCATATTCTTAATAGATTGGAAAATGAAGGGCAGAGATACCTGAGCGCATGGGTAGTTAGTGGCAGAAAGACTGGAATCCAAGTCTCCTGACTGATAAGGCAATACTCTTTCCACCAGAGGTTATCAAACTGGAGTGCAAGCATGACAAATATTCTCTGTTCACCTTCCTTGATCTCCCTCTACTCTGCTTCACTTTGCTCTCTCCAGACAGGCTGATTTCTATGGATGGGATCAACCAGGTTCTCCTGATGCCAGGCTTCTGATTGGCTTCAATGGGTCATGCAGAAAATATTAGAGGATTGAGGTATCTGCCTCCCCCACTGCACTCCACCCCAATCCCTCCTCTAGCAAAGGCCATAGCACTTGTCAAGTAGTCTTCTCCTAGGGCTTCAGCTAGGGCTGCAGCCACAGCACTGGTAGCCACTCCCTCCCTCTGACAATTCAGGCCTGATATAGGTAATGGCCCTTAGGATTGCTAGCCCAAGGGTGCTTATATTAGTTTCTTGTAGCTGCCCCCATATTGCCATGACATTGAGTGGTTTCCAGAGGATTTAGGAAAAAGTTCCTCCCTTCCCTTTTCAAGCTTCTGGTGGCTGTCTGCATTCCATAGTTTGAGGCCACATTATTCTAATCTCTACCTTCGTCTGTAAATTGCCTCCTCCCCTTCTGTTTGTGTTATCTCCTTTTGTTTCTTTCTTATAAGGTAACTTGTGAATGCATTTAGGATTCACCTGACTAATCTCAGATGATCTATTTATCTCAAATTTCTTAATTTAATTACATCTGTTACCATGTTTAATGGTATTTAAGTGAATACCATACTTATATTCACTCTTCTTCCACTTAAGTAAATAGTCACAGTTCTAGAGATCAAGACATGGACATATTGTGAAGAAAGTTGCCATTCAACCCATTGCAGTATGTTACTAATCTGTGATGGTTTTCCTTAGCTCTGCCTACTCCCATTTAGAATATAATCACACTTGTAATAGCCACAAAAAAATAAAATACCTAGGAATACATTTATTCAAGGAGGTGAAAGATCTCTATAAGGAGAATTACAAAACACTGATGAAATAAAGCATAAATGACACAAACAATTGGAAAAATATTTCCTGTTTATGGATTACAAGAATCAATGTCAATAATATGGCCATACTGCCCAAAGAAATCTATGGATTCAGCGCTGTTACTATCAAGCTACCAATATCATTTTTCACAGAACTAGAAAAAAAAAACTATTCTAAAATTTATATGGAACCAAAAAAGAGCCCAAATAGCCAAAGCAATCCTAAGCAAAGAGAACAAAGCTGGAGACATCACAACACCTGATTTCAAACTCTAAGACCAGAGTAACCAAAATAGCATGGTACTGGTACACAAACAGACACATAGACCAATGGAACAGAATAATGAACCCGGAAATAAAACCACATGTCTACAGCCATCTGGTCTTCAACAAACTTGACAAAGAAAGTGATGGGGAAAGGACTCCCTAGTCAATAAATGGTGCTGGGATAACTGACTAGCTATATGAAGAAGAATAAAACTAGATCCCCACCTTTCATGATATACAAAAATTTATTCAAGATGGATTAAAGATTTAAAGGTAAGACATCAAACTATAAGAGTGCTAGAAAAATACCTAGGAAACACCATTCTGGACATCAGCCTTGGGAAATAATTTTTGACTAAGTCCTCAAAAGCAATTGCAACAAAAACAAAATTTGGCACATGAGACCAAATTAAACTAGAGAGCTTCTGCACAGCAAAAGAAATTATCAACAGAATAAACAGACAACCTACAGAATGTGAGAAAATATACTTAAACTATGCATTTGACCAATGTCTAATATCCAGAATCTATGAGGAACTTAAACAATTCAACAAACAAAACACAAATAACATCATCAAAAAATGGGCAAAAGACATGAACAGGTACTTCTCAAAAGAAGACATACAAGCAGCCAACAAAAATATGAAAAAATATTTATTATCACTAATCATCAGAGAAATGCAAATCAAAACCACAATGAGATACCATCTCACACTAATCAGAATGGCTATTACTAAAAAGTCAAAAAAACAACAGATGATGGCAAGGCTGCAGAGAAAAGTAAACAGTTATTAACTGTTGGTGGGAGTGTAAATTAATTCAGCCACTATGGAAAGCAGTTTGGAGATTTCTTAAAGATCTTAACACAGAACAAACATTCAACCCAACAATTCCATTACTGGGTATATATCCAAAAGAAAATAAATAATTTTATAAGGAAGACACATGCACTTGTATGTTCATCACAGCACTATTCACAATAGCAAAGATATGGAATCAACCTAGGTGTCCGTCAGTGGTAGATTGGATAAAGAAAATGTGGTACATATACATCATGAAATACTATGAAGCCATTAAAAAATAAAATTATGTCCTTTGCAGCAACATCATGCAGCTCAAGGTCACTATTCTAAGAGAATTAATGCGGGAACAGAAAAGCAAACACTACATGTTCTCACTTATAAGTGGGAGCTAAATATCGAATAAATATGGACATAAAGATGGAAACAAGAGACACTAGGGACTACCAGAGGGGAGAATGAATGAGGGAAGCAAAGGTTAAAAAACTACCTATTGGGCACTATGCTCTGTGCCTGGATGATAAGATCAATCATTCCCTAAACTTCAGCATCGTACAATATACCAACGTAACAAACCTGCATATGTACCCCTTGTATATCAAATAGAAGTTGAAATTATAAAAACAAACAAAAAAAAGGTGTATTTTTTAGAACCTCCTCAATTACTCTATTTGACTGTGCCATGTTTTATACCCAATCTAATACAAATCCCCTTTGGGTATACATAGCAGTATGGGTATAGGAAGCCACCAAAAACACATAATGTATGTACCGATTTTATCCATTTCACTTAATATTAGGTTAGTGCAAAGGTAACTGCAGTTTTTGCCCTTAAAAGTAATGACAAAAACTGGGGATTAGAGTTCAACATGGGATGTGGAGGGGACAATTATCCGAACCATATCACATGGTGACAGCAACACCTCCAGACAATTTTACAAAAGGCTCCCTTCATTGCTTTACCATCCTCACTGAGAAACACTGATGGGAGGCCTGGAAAGCCATTTCAGAGGTTTTGGCATTTACTAGGAGCGATATGGAAAGCTACTGGAAGATGCACACTTTTAATCATCACTTTTAATGGCAAAAAATGCAATAACTTTTACACCAACTTGATAGAAAGTAATTTAAAATATGACCTTTCTATTAAAAATAATATAAAATAATAGAGAGTGAAATGTAAAATTTACATGAATTTTATGGATAAAATAAATAAATTACACATTGAAGGTCATTTTTAGCTATAATTCCTAATTCTTATATCCAACCACTGGGACAAGTTGATTCTTCTCTGCTGTAATGCTGTTATGTCCTTTGCAGCAACATCATGCAGCTGCATGTGAACAACAAAAATGTTCACTTTAAATTGTTGTTATATTTTCTGTTTTTAGTAATTAGTCTCTATGACTGAAGTTTTCTGTCCATGAAAAACAGAGGATTTGTGCAGCTCTCACCCTATTCCCTTGAGGACTAGAAAACTTATTTCACCTTTTTCTTTAGTTTACCAGCTGTGCAACGGTAAGATGATCAGGTGGAATGAATATATTGGTCAGGTTAATGAGATTTGCAGTATTAGACCACAAGTAAGGCTTTATTAAAGAAATTCAGGATGAGTAACCATTCTAATGCTATAGTCAGAGCTCTGATCTCCAAAGAAGGCTTCTGGGTGACAAGTGAAAGGCAAAAGTGAAGGCCTTACAACCTTCCAGACTAGTGACAAGTGGAAGACATAGCTTCACAAAAACCAAAAACTTTGGATTGGACTTCATGCCAAGAAACCACTACAAAAGAATCATGGACAGTGCATTAGAACACTGCCTCAGAGAAGCCCAGTACCTAATATTGCCATTCTTGAGTCATCCCTTTTTATTATTTTTCACATGAAATTCATCAGCAAATCCTGCTAGCTCTGCATAAAAAGATATCCACAATCCAGCTACTTCTCACCAACTGCCTGAGCTACGGCCACTCTGGCTGATTCCAGAGCCTCCAAACAATGCAACTGCTTCTGCCCTTTCCCCAAGTCTATTTTTAACACAACTAGAGAGGTCTTTAAAAACATGAGAAAAATCATATTTCTCTGATGAGCATCTTCCAGTAGCTTTTCATATTGCTCCTAGTAAATGCCAAAAACATCTAAAATGGCTTTCCAGGCCTCCCATCAGTGTTTCTCAACGAGGATGGTAATGCTATGAAGGGGGTCTTTTGTAAAATTGTCTGGAGGTGTTGCTGTCACCATGTGATATGGTTTGGATATTTGTCCCCTCCACTCTCATGTTGAATTGTAATCCCCAGTGTTGGAGGTGGAGCCTGGTGGGGGGTGTTTCAGTCAAGAGCACAGATCCCTCATGAATAGCTTGGTGCCGCCCTTGTGATAATGAGTGAGTTCTCATTCTGGTAGTTTATATGAGACACGGTTGTTTAAAAGAGCATGGCACCTCTCCCCTCTCTTTCTTGCTCCCCCTCTTGCCGTGTGACATGTCTGCTCCCACTTCACCTTCTGCCATGACTGTAAGCTTCCTGAGGCCCTCACCAGGAGCCAATGTCAACACCATGTTTCCTGTACATCCTGTAGAAGCATGACTCAGTTAAATCTCTTTTCTTTATAAATTACCCAGCCGAAGGTATTCCTTTATAATATCGCAAAAATGGCCTGACACACTCTTCATCTCGTGAGCAGGGCAGGGTTGCTAGATATTCTGCAATGAGTGGATGACCCACACAGTGAAGACTCTTCTTGTCTCTTGCATGACTTTTTGGTGTCCTCTGTGGACATCATATATCACTTCATTTTTAAAAACTTTATCAATCATTGTTCTCTTCACAAATGCCACTCATATTTGAGTCACCACTATATCACACTTGTATCAGTCAACATTTTTATGCCACATTTATGATGATTCTGACTAAGGGTAAAGAACTTGACTACTTCATTATATCTTCCACCGTAATCATACACTAGGGTTTACATATCTTTTTAGTAATTTCTTACATATATTACTATTAGAGGATAACATTAGGTTTTTTTTTTTTTTAGTTATGTGTGTGTGTAAGTAGGTTCTATTACCTACGGATTTCATTTCAAGGTAATATAGGAAACATTGCAAATTATTTGCTATGGTATAGGCCACTGGGTCTCATGGGTGCACTTTACAAAATCTGTACTGTGTCACCTCTATGTCCCCAAGGCCCTATCACTTCCACCTCTACAAGCTTCCTTGTCTAGGAGCAAGGCGCAGTCCCACCTCAGGACATTAGCACTGGCTTTTCCTTCTGGCTGGAATGCTCCCCACTCAGAAATCCATGTGGCTTACCATCTGAGTTACTTCAGATCTCTGCACCAGTGTTACCTGATCACTCTTTACAAAAAAACAACCCTACTCCTGGTGCTCTTTCTTTTTCATCCCACTTTTCTTCTCCATAGAACTTGTCAGCCAGCTGATAGTCTCTCTGTTTTACTTGTAACTGCATTTGATTATGACCTATCTCTGTCTGATGCAATGTGAGCTGCCAGAGGGCAGGGCTTTTCATGTCACCAGTGCCTGGCATATAGCAAGCATTTAGTGCATATTTGCATATTTGTTGATTAAATATATCTTAATTTCCATTTAAAATGTTAATTTAAAACTTAAAATTTTATTTTTAGAAGCTGTTCTTTGCTAAATGCTTGGGAAATTTTGTTTTTTTTTTTTACAATATCTTTTTCTTGTTTCATGAATGCAATATATTTTCATGTTTCTTTAAATATATTAATGGTAGATTTTGTTTTTTAATATTTTGTTCTTTCTACATTTTCTCTCTCTCCCTCTCTCTCTTTTTTCTTTGAGACAGGGTATCACTCTGTCACCCAGGCTGGAGTGCAGTAACACGATCATGGTTCTCTGCAGCCTCAACCTCCCAAGCAAAAGCTATCTTCCCACCTCAGCTTCTCGAGTAGCTAGGACCGCAGGTGTGCACCACCATGCCTGAATAATTTGTTTTTTAAATTTTTTTGTAGAGAAGCGGTCTCCCTATGTTGCTCCAAATCTCTATCCTGTTTATTTTATTTTTAGTTTATTTATTGGCTACCTTAATCTCTTTGTTGCATGTTAGAGGCTTCCTTACATACTAATGACACCTGCCAGATTACATTTTCTTGAGCGAGACACTAAATTGCAGACTGAAGGTTCTGGGTCTAGGAGTGAAGCAAGGCTTTTGACTGACATGTGTCAATATGAGGTGACCTGATGGCCAGCTGCCTTTCCCAACAGGGATGCTCCCAGTCAGTACCTGCTAGTCTTTCCTGTTGGTGGTGCTAGCTTTCCAAGGAAGGCTTCTCTCAACTCCTTCTTGAGAAGTACCAGCATGGCTGATAAACTCTGGAACTGGGCACTGTTCAATCAGAAGACTTGCACTTGGTCTACTTATTTTTGGTTCTAGGCCTCAGTATTCCATTTCTATGTGCCTGCCATTCCCTCTAGTTCCTCTGGTTCCATTCTGCCAGGGTTACTAGCTTATTCTCAGTAAGGAGTGAGTATCTAGGAATCTAACTGCTTCTTAAATAAACTTTAAAACAAATCTCTGCTACACACACAGACACATAACACTTTATCCATAACTTCCTCAATGCTTGGAGCTTCCAATTCCATGACTATACAAGTTTGTGGGGTAAATGGTAGTGTTTCCCATTGGCGTCACAGTCTGCAGACACTTTAATTTTCTTCTGTGCCACAGATTTACTTACCATTCTTCCATTTATCATAGAGTTTCATTGAAGATGTTTGTGTTTTGACTTTTGTTCTCCTTATTTTGGGAGTGATTTTTGAATATAGAAAAAAGTGGAAAGATGTCTTCTCTATCATGAAATTGCTTATATTCTACAATTATTTACAATGATACAAAAGGGTTTTTTTGTTTTAGTTTTTTAACTAATCAAATCTCTGTCTTGGCTTGATGTGCTGTTTAATTCATTTGGCCTAATAGTTTTTGAGTGGCCAATGTGTGTGAAGCACTGCTTAGACACTAGGGGAACAGCAGTAAACTAGACAGACATGGCCTCCACTCTCATCTACATTGCGGTGCAATAATTAGACAGACACCAACTTGTAGTTATATGTGTGAGGATTGTTATGAAAAGAAAAGTTCAGAATGTTGTGCAATCATACTGAAAAGGTATTTAACATCATATAAAGTAGAGTAGTCCACTCTTATCCATGGAAGATACATTCCAAGACCCCAGGGGATGACTAAAATTATAGATAGTACCAAACTCTAATATACTATGATTTTTCCTATATATACATACCTATGGTAAAATTTAATTTTTTAATTAGGCACAGTAAGAGATTAACAACAATAACTAATATTAAAATAGAACAATTATAACAATATGGCAGCATCACTACTCTTTCACCTTGGGGCCATTATTAAGTAAAATAGGGGTTACTTGAACGCAAGCACTGTGAGACCACAACAGTCTATCTGATAACTGAGATGGCTACTATGTGCCTAGTAGGTGGGTAGTGTAGAAATTGTGGAAATGCAGGACAAAGGGAAGATTCATGTCCCAGATGGCTCAGAACAGGACAGTGAAAGATTTCATCCTGCTACTCAGAACAGTGTGTAATTTAAAACTTATGAATTGTTTATTTCTGAAATTTTCTAGGTAGTATTTTTGGACCATGCGGGTACCTGAAAGTGTGGAAAGCAAAACTGCAAATAAGAGAGAACTACTATATAAGAAATGATGATTAAGCTGGCTCAATAAATTGGGTTTAGAGATTGGAGAATGGGGGTGAGTTGGAGAGAAGAAATAGGCCTTTGACACAAAGTAATAGCAAAGGCAAGCCAGCAAGCAGGACAGAGCATAGCATATTCTGGGAGATGAGAGAGGTCTGCCCATACCAGGGCAGGGCAGGCAGCAGTGGGAAAATGATTCTGGATGAGAATGAGAAATAGGAAGAGACCAGAAAATCTCTTGAGCTATAATAAAAATGTTAGACTTTTGCTGAAAGGCAATGGGAAGTCATCTCTCCAATCAAAGATCAGATATTTGATCAAATGTGTTATCTTGTGTATGTACTTATATATATGTTTAATATTTGGATCTTAAACTACAGGGATTGTATTTTTTACAGGCTTTGAAAAAAGAGCATATGTTGATTTTCTCATCCAAATAGCAAATTTCCCAATACAGTGTAATACACACTCTATTCTTTCTTTGTTAATGTATGATGCCTCCTTTATCACACATGAAGTTGTTATATAAATTAGACACTGAATTACTCATTCTGTTTTATTTATCTATTCAACTATTCTTGCAGTAATATCATAAGTTGTAAATTGTTTTGGCTCTGTAATATTTCTTCATACGGATAGAACAAGTTTCTCTTCTGTTCAGCTTTGAATTGAATTATAAAATCCTGATTTGGATGTGCATATATGTATATATATATGAATTTTCATTCTGTTACCAGAAGACCTTCAGTGCACATACAAAGTGAAATTCTGTCACAGTCAGTTCCATTGCAAAAAAATATAGAAACCAATACATGTCAAAGAATCATCTTTTTGGATGGTAACAATAGCAAACACCTATTCAATACTTCCCATTGTGCCCCAGTACCTAATACTGTGATTGAATTTCAGTGGCAATAAGTAAACACTTATTGATGGAATTAACTGTTTACCTTTATCTAAGCTGTACCAGAAGGATGAGAAGATGATGATGTCAGTCAAGATCAGGTATAATGAACAGCAAGAACAAATAAAATTTAACATCTTCTACACAATATTACCATGCATAGAATTGATTGGCCTAACTCCAGCAATTCTGACCCCAGTCTCATCTCCATGTTTTTGGTGGAAGTTAAGAAATGAGCGTCATCCACAGAAAGAGAAAGGATTGGAGAAGCTTCTTAGGGTCAACATTTATGTGTTCCTAACAGCCAAACCTGAAAAGCAAAAGGAGACTTCATGTTGTGACAGTTCAGTTCTGGCCAACACTGGGAATGTCCTGTGATTGGCAGCTGCAGACAGAGTTTATCTAAGTTTAAATCCTAGGTAATGTTACACCCTTCATGAATCTCTGGTGCCCTACACAGCTGTGACCCACAGTGAGAAAGGAACATATTATCTTCAGTTTAGATGTGTGAGTTACATTAGTTTCAGTGGTTTTTTACAAAACTTCCATTGCCTCGCAATCACAGCCACTTTATCCCCTCTTCAGAGCCCACCATTGTCCTATTAAAGCCAATTATCAGTTTCGATATCACAGGAAATCTCCATCAGCTCAATAAATATTTGAGGGGAAATTCAAAGATGGCATCACATTTATTTATTTCTAAGAATATTTTTCTATTCAGTTCAGACCAGAAATCAAATTTATGGATAAGGGGAAATTACTATATGAAAGTTAATTTCATCTGTCTTCCTGTTTTTGATTTTTATTAATATGGCTAGTAGAAAATTTAAAATTACACATGTAGCTCCAGAGATGACAAGTATGAGTACAGAGATGCCCTCCAAGTTGCCTTGCAGCCCAGGGAAGGAGATGGGGCTGTACAATGCAGTACAATCCAGGACAGTATGTGATCATTTCCAAAGGAAGTGCATAAATACAGTTATTTAAGAGTTATCAAGAGACACGAATTCCTTCTGACTAGGATAATTAGATATTTCTACTGGCTTGGTTACAACTAAATTTTCACAGAATTCCAAATCTAAGTATTTTCTGTAACCTGCATGTTATCATAGAAATATGACGAAGCCCCAGTGCCCACAGGAAAATCTCTGATTATGAATTCTGAGACCCAATCAGTTACCTGCATAGAGACTGAGAACCAAATGGGCTCACAAAACTCATGGCAACTCCAGAACTCAGTTAGTCTAGATCTGCTAACAAATAGCAGATTTCCTTTATCTGGCAAATATTTCATAAATGACTACCAAATACTGAGACTAAGATCTTAGATTACAATGATAGCTAACTTACTGGGTCATTTTTCCTTCTTTACCCATACATTACTAAAAATAGTTAAGCAGGGAATTGACCCAAAGGTTGACAGTTGGGTATATGAGGGAAAGCAAGGGCCCTGAGAAGACCACAAATTAGCAAGTAGCCTCCGAATAATCAGAATTAATTACATCAACATAGCCTCATTGGGACTCCACTGGATTTTCATTTCTGATTCAGTTTAAGAATTTAAATCTATTTTATGAACCAGCAGGATGTTTTGAAAGATAAACAAAGCTGTCTGCAGTTTGAATTTCTCCTGACTTTGTCTAGCTCCAATTTCATATTTACCTCATTCTCTCAATTGTTATGGACTACTTACTCTTTGACAACTCAAAGAACCAGATGTGTTTCAAACCAAGAGGCCAAATTCTTCTCCTGAGAATTCTCTTCCCCGGGAATTTCTATAAAAGGTGCTATAAAAAGTGAATCTTCCTGGCAGCATTTTGAAGGCGAGCTCTTTGCTCTGCATGGCATCAAGTTACCTGGAGGCTGTTCAGCATTTATGGTTCCGGAGCTATAACTTTCAAATGCAAATGTGATACAAGCAAGACCACTTGAGACATGAGAACATATTGAGATGTCATTGTAATTACACAGGACTCAGACCTGGCCAGCAGGCCAGGACTACGTACGTGCAGGGGTGATTTGCTTCAAGCCAGTTCTTCTTTCTCCTCAACTCCCAGAGGCCCAGCCAAGATACAGACAAACCAATATGCTATGAGAGCCGTTCTGGAATTGTAAACACTGACAACAAACTTCCCAGTGGATAAGGCAGCATTGAGTCTCTAACCACATGCCAGACATGCTGTTAACTTCAGTTCTTACAGCAGTGATCATTTAAAATTATTAATTTCCATTTACAAAATCAGAAGCGGAGGCACAGAATGACCAGGAACTCACATAGTGATTAGCAACTAGTATCAGAACCAGATGAGTTAAGTCACTTGCCCATAATGAAGCAAGGATTCAAAGACAGGGTTATTTGAATCCACATCCTAGTTCTCAAATTCCATGACACACTTCCTACCATAGAATATTTTATTTTAACAATGTATAATGCATCTTCTCCATCATCCTTCAAAGTATTTGATATAATTGGGCAAATCAAGCCATGATTAGTAACCATGTTTTCTCCTCTGTAAAATGAGTTAATGGTAACAGTATCACCATAACATCTGGTTATTAAGGGGTGATATGGGGTGCTTTGTAAAAGTCATGTTTTACTTTGTCTAATGACTGCCCACTTCATTCCACAGAGGATTTGAAATGACTTGGCCCAGTAAATAACTCCTCTAGACATCCATTTATTCCTCAACAAATGAGGATAATAACATCAGCCATGTGCTGATTGGGGTTGAATCCAAGCAGCCTGGGGTTGCTGGAGTGAAAGGGTGGATCTGCAAACACTATTTATTGCTAGGTGCTATAACAATGTGACTTTGCAAGTACGAGAGCAAAAGAAGAGTTACAGAATCCAGGACCTTGTTATGTTTTGTTTTTTCTCTTAACCCATATAAGGGTATAGTGAAAGGAAACAAAACACTTCATTTTCTTGTTTCTTTCTGTTCCCCACAAACTTGGGACCTGCTTATTTTAATTAAGCCATCATGTTCCTAGTACTCACAGCTTCAAGGGTCCAAGGAAAGATGGCAGTGGCCCTCATCCCAGAACTTGCTACCTGGGAGAATGTTTCTGGAAAGGAGTGCTCCGCTTTTGGGGATACTTAATAGTACTCTCCAAGGTATCATTTTCTGGACAGCTCCATTCTGCAAGAAAGGTCAGAGGGCAAAATGAAGCCCTCACAGGTAAATATTGAACCAGGTGTTTAAACACCACCAGACACCATACACAAATAGCAGCTGCTAGAGGGAATGTGAATATCTCATCACCTGGCAACAACTCTGATTAAGGTTTCTTCATGAGAGATCATAGGAGAAGGAAAATCAAGCATCCATGGTGTGTGGCCAGGCCTCTATGTACTCACACATCAAACTTTCCTGAGCAAGGCAAAAGGGATTACTCAGGCACTTGACAGTAACGGAAAAACCATGCAAAGGAAAGTGTGGTTCTTCTGAAAGAGGAGGTGGCAATGGAGTTAGCCTAGATTCTTTTCCTGCAATTCTAATCTTCGTGTAATTGTTCTATGGTCCACAGATGTCATCTGGGGAATATTTTACAGATATGTCTCAGACTTTTATGAAGTGTAAGCCAGTGTCACATATATAGAGAAGGGAGGAGGAGGGAATTAGCATTTATCATCTGCTGTGTGCCATGTCATGTGCTGGCTGGTTAGTTCTCATTATCTCATTTGATTCTCACAAGAGCCTCACAATTACTCCCAATTTACAAAGCAAGAAATTGAGACTCAGAGTTATGCTCAGTTTATGTAACTAGTAAATGATCAACCCAGAATTCAAATTAAAATTTATGTTATTCAAAAACCATATTTTTCTAATTTACCATGATCCAACGTGTCTCAGTAGTGGCTATTACTAATTGAACTTTCCCAGTTCTCACTCATCTGTCATGAAATACACGATGCTGGAACTAGACTCAGCACTTGAACTAAAACCTAGTAAGCCGTGAGTTCTGGTCCCCTAAAGGTTTCCACTGGTGCAATTCAAGTCTCTATTTACTCTATTTTATTTATTTGTACCCAAATAAAGGTTCAAGTAGAAGTTCTTATTCATAAGCTTTACATGGACACAGAAGACTAGTACTTGAATGGGTTGTTGAAAGCTAATAGCCAAAATCTCCTAATTTTACAAATTAGAAAACTGAGATACTGAAGAGTTGAGCATTTGCTTAAATTCACACAGTTCGTACTGAAGCCAAGAAGAGAGCCCAAGCCTGTGTCTGTCTCAGGTTATCCAAAAATTGTGGATCTTGTCATCTAAGAGTCATATAAATTATTTATTTATTTATTTATTTTTTATTGTTATTATTTTTTTTTGAGACAGAGTCTCTCTCTGTTGCCCAGGCTGCAGTGCAGTGGCACCATCTCGGCTCACTCTAACCTCTGTCTCCCAGATTGAAGGGATTCTTCTGCCTCAGCCTCCCAAGTAGCTGGCATTACAGGTGTACATGACCATGCTAGGCCAATTTTTGTATTTTTAGTAGAGACAGGGTTTTGCAATATTGACCAGGCTGGTCTTGAACTCCTGACCTCAGGTGATCCACCCGCCTCAGCCTCCCAGAGTGCTGGGAGGATGGATGTTGATATAGTTCTTCATCCCAGAACCTACTACAGGCATGAGTCATTGCCCTGGGCCAGAAATAAGTCTTAAATATGTGTTACATATAGGTGTAGGGGCGTGTGTGTGTGTGTGTGTATGTGTGTGTGTGTGTGTGTGTGTGTGTTATTTCAATCAGATAATGTTGTTTATTGTTCCCATCTAAAGGGATGACAAGATGAAGCAAGCACTTACAATAGTAGAGAAAGGCCTAGAATGTAAAGACAAGGAATATGAATTCATTGCTCAGCTTTGCTTTCTTTGTGACCTTGAACGACTTATTCAGTCTCTCAAAACTTTGGTTTTCTTACCTATACAATGGAAATGTTAATCCCTACCTTAAAAACTTTAAGGATTTAACAAATAACAGGCAAAATACCTGGCACAGACTGACATACACTAGCCATGCAATAAGAATTAATCTTGTCCCCATACTTCTTACAAATTATAAAAATAAAAGAACAAAAAACAGTAATGGCACTGCCACAGTGATTCTTAACTCATTTTTTGGGACATATTTAAATTCTAGAATTACGGGTACAGACTTATAAACAACAACAACAACAACAACAACAACAGAGACTCAGCACAAAGTTAGACCTGTAAGCAAAAACTGCAACCCAATCACTACAATAGCATAAAAATGCCACATTAAATCATCCACAGTTGTCACATTACTTATTCACACTGTCATCTGCACATCAGCATCATGTCTATGTGTAAGTAAAACTGTTCACTGCTCTGTGCTCATCCCACACTCACAAGGCCGAGGTCCCACCTGATGCAATCAGTGCCACTCTTCCTTTGGTACCAGTTTGGTATCTAACTGTGCCTCTTCTTTCTTGCAACACATTGCACCCAACCCTATACCATGTCCTAAACCAATATCCATATCCCTAAAACTATATATATATATATATAGAGAGAGAGAGAATTATATATATTCAGTTGTAGCAAAAACAAACACGCATTAGTTAAAATGCAGCAGTGCACCCATGAAAGCAACCAGGTACATGACTATGACCAAAGCCCTTGCATTTAGGTAATCTGCAAGCTCAGCCTGCTGCTGGGCTCCAGACAGCTCAAGAGTGAGAAGTCTTTTGTATCCCTGATGTTCCCCTTGAAATCTTAAAGTCTGAGTCCTAGCTACCCAAGCTGGAATACAGGAAACGCATCTCTTCCTCCCTTCCTACTTCCTTTTGGAGTGAGGGAGAATCTGTTGTATGATTAAATAAACATTCCAAAGACAAAGTTTTTTAAGGACATATTTTAGAATTAAGGTTTAAGATTTGTTTACGATTATTATTATATGGATTATATCTCCAATTGACACTGCCTTCTTTAATCAGAATCTCTGCATTTGACTCAGAAAGTGGCAGGCCACTCTTTGCATTCTAGGACATTAGTTCAAATCTGTCAGTGCTGATAATGACAAGCAATTGTCTCCAACCGTGTGTGCTCTGTCTGTTGGTTTTAATTGAGTGTATGTTGAACAAATATTCATTGTCACTAAGCTAATTCTGCTCAAGCTTTCTGAGACTTTCAGCAGGGGGAATAGAGATAAAAAGAAAAACAGGTAGAGGGAGAAAGGGAGAGAGAGAGGGAGGGAAGGAGGTGGAGAAAATGAAGGAAGGAGGGAAGAAAGGAAAAAATTAAGTTCTTCTCACATGCCAAGACCCACAAAATGTTGGATGTCATCAGGAAAGATATTAGAAATGAAATGGAAAGGGCCAGGCATGGTGGCTCACTCTTGGAATACCAGCATTCTGAGAGGCTGGGGTGGGAGGATTGTTTGAGGTCAGAAATTTAAGGCCAGTCTGGGCAACATGCGAGACCCTGTCTCTAAAAAAAAAAAAAAAAATGGCTGGGCATAATGCTGCATGCCTGTAGTCCCAGCTACTCAGGAGGCTGAGATAGGATGACTGCTTGAGCCCAGGAGTTCCAGGCTGCAGTGAACTATGATCCCACCACCGCATTCCAGCCTGGGTCACAGAGTAAGACAAGTCTCTTAAAAAACTAAAATTAACAACAACAACAAAAAGTGAAATGGAAAGCATGACCCTGCATTGTATACAGGTGACTACAGGTCACTTTATAGGGATCTTGTTAGTCCCCCAGCTCTGCATCACCTGTGCCCACCAACCTGAGGGCATTGGGGTCCACCTTCAGAACCTCCCTTCTGGGAATTTAGCATTAAGGCAAATCACTGTAAATACTCTCATCTTATATCTTAGTTATAGAGTTTATTTCTTCTTTCTATGATTAAGTTCCACCCTTGTCTTCTAAACCTAGAATTGAGATTCATATTATTTTTCATGATTAAGCCCCTGCCCCTGCCTTACTGTCACCCAATATGTCATTTATTTCAAGAACACAATTGAGTCATTATGAACTAAGCATCAAGTAAACTAAATTTTCATACTTTATTTTAATCCTTACAAAATTCATTCATACAGGTGTAATTATCCCCATGTTATAAATAAGGAAACTGAGATGTAGAGTGGTAACTCACCTAAGGTCATGCCACAGCAATTAGTAAAATGAATTTTAATATAGTTTTTTACCCCAGAACCAATTCTTTTAAAACAAACTAAACACTACACAGGAGTGTTCAGTGTTTAGATTTTTTTAACACTAAATACTCCTGAATTCTTGCCTTTCAGGTATTCATAATCTAGCAGTGTATGGAGACAAGAAAATTAATAGCATTGGAACATGATGACAGAAGCAAGTAAACAATGTTACATTAGCAGAGGAGAAAACAGTTTATTCTTCCTGAGGCTTATCTGTATAAAGAGAAAGAGGAAGTGTGGGGATGGGCTTTCAGAAAAATGAAAATGCATGAATGGCCAGTAGTAGCTTATAGTCAGAAATAAGGTGTTTGGTAGGAATATGGCAATAGAAAAAACTAAAATATTGTTAGAGATTGATTAGAGAAGAATTTGAATGCAAACTAGTAAGTTAGGACATTGCCTTTGGACAAGTATGCTTTCAATAAAATTTTTATTAGCACCATGCTCTAACCAACTGAGCTAACCTGCATGGCACATGTATACATATGTAACTAACCTGCACATTGTGCACATGTACCCTAAAACTTAAAGTATAATAATAATTTAAAAAAAAACCTTAGCAGAAAAAAAGAGTTTTATTTTCCCAAGTTTGAAAAATGGATGAGAGCAGAGAGAAGCAGAAGCAGAGAGGATTTATAGTCCAGACTGAGATGATAAAAAGCCTGATCCAGGTTTGTATGGCATGGCAGAAACAGCTAAGAAGTAGGATTTAACGTCCTATTATTGGTAGCCAGTCAGGTTATGAGGATTGAGAGTAAATAATTACTTGAAGATTCCAGTTCAGGGAACGGTTCCAGAAATCTCACTGTCTTCCAACCAAGGTGTATGACACCATTCTTGCACTGCTATAAAGAAATATGTGAGACTGGGTAATTTATATGAAAAGAGGTTTCATTGGCTCAGAGTTCTGCAGGCTGTATAGGAAACATAGTGGCATCTGCTTCTGGAGTGGTCTCAGGAAGCTTCCAATCATGGCATAAGGCAAAGCAGGAGCGGGACATCACATGGCTAGAACAGAAGTAAGAGCCAGTGAGTCAGGGCAGTGGGGTGGGGTGGTGGGGGCGGGAGGGAGTGCTGCCATACACTTTTAAACGACCAGATCTCATGTGAACTCAGAGCGAGAGTTCACTTATCACCAAGGAGATGACCCAAGCCATTCATGAGGGATCCACCCCCATGATCCAAACACCTTCTACCAGGTCCCACCTCCAATTTGGGGGCTTACATTTCAACATGAAACTTAGGTAGGGACAAATATCAAAACTATATCATAAGGGATACATCTTGAAGCATTAAAAAGGTAAAATTAGAATAATATGAACAAGTACTGAATAGTCACATAATATGCTCATGATATGTATAAGCTTGTGAGCAGATAGTCTAAAACAATGCTTCTAAAATTTTAATGTGAATTCAAATAACCCAGAAATCTCATTAAAATGCATATTCTCAGTAAACCCCATCTCTATCGAAAATATAAAAAATTAGCCGGGCATGGTGGCACATGCCTGTAGTCCCAGCTACTGGAGAGGCTGAGGCAGGAGAATCGCTTGAACCTGAAGACCAAGAACCTGCATGTATAACAAGCTCCCAATGATGTTGATGCTAGTGCTGGTCCATAGACCACATTTTCAGTATAAAATACAAAAATGACCAGGTGCAGTGGGTCATGCCTGTAATCCTAGCACTTTGGGAGGCCAAGGCAGGAGGATTCCTTGAGCCCAGGAGTTCCACACGAGCCTGGGGAACACAGTGAGACCGTCTCTATGAAAAATAAAAATTAAATAAAATACAAAAAAAGGAGATCTTTAAGACACTCTTAGACAGATAATAACTGTTTAATAGGTCAATAAAAAAACTGGCAATGGAGGATTTGGGGGTGTGAAAGGGGATAGAATAAATGTTTTAATTTTTTTTAGAGTGCTGCTTGGAGGCTAGCCATGCCTTCCACAAAGTGTCCTTGGTGTTGCTTGTAAAAGCCACATGAACCTAGGATGTCTTTGCAGCTCTTCCTGGGAGGTCTTTTCAATGCGCTAGATAGAAAAAATGAGCCCCATGTAACTGCAGAGTTTCTTCCATCACAGCCAAGAATGTTCACCTTCTATAGAGTAAAGAGTCCCTTGGCTTTTTCCTTTGCTAAAACTTAAAGACTCATACTAGAGATGGGGATGAAAACATTTAGCAGTTAGCTCCCTTAAAGAATGTTGAAAATATACACCAGAGATCTTCATCCAAAAGTAAATAATTACTGTTTGGTGAGTGTTTAGAATACTGATTGGAACATACTTAAATCCTGTTAGCTCTCTTCTTACCAACAACTGCCTGCCTATCTTAACTTGCAGGTGCTGTTGCTGTTGTTTGCTTGTTTGTTATTTTAATCTGGTTGCACATTAAAGGTATCCAAAAAAATTATTTTTTAAGAAATGTATGCTTTCACACACTAAATATACTGTTGTTTCTACAAAATTAAGGCTCCAAATATTGAAGGGAACCTTAAAAGTTAGCTACTAGCATTTCTGTACCAATATCCAGCTAGGTGGTCAACTATGCTCTGCTTGAACACCTCCAGCGCTGGTCAGCTCACCGCCACTCGGAGATCTCAGTATACCTTTAGACAACAGTGTTAGAAAATTCAAACTTACTTATTCCAACCTGGCTTCATACCCTTTCATTTATTAGTCCTACTTCCACTCTATGAATACAAAGAAAAATGTAACTCTTTTTCAAATAATCGTTCTTCAAATGTTCAATACCACTAGTATGGTCCCCTAGAGTCCTCATTTGTTCCAGGTCAACAATTCTTTGTTCTTCTGACTGCTCCTCATATAAAATGAATTCAAATCTCTTCTATGTTTAATTACTTGTACTCTAAAATTGTTCCTTTTTTTTCCTCTTAAACTGTGGTATTCTCAATCAAAGGTAAAACTGCAAGTGGGACTCTGAGTAGCTTAGATAAAAATGTGCCTATCACATCCCTTACATCAGTTAATTTTCCACCTTAATGTATTCTGAGGTCATACTTGAGAGGTAGAAAGAGAAAAAAGAGTATGGATTCAGAGAGAAAGAGATCTGAGATTGGTAATCCAGCCCCAACACTCACTACTATGTAGGCAAGTTATTTAACCTCTGAGCTGAAAACTTCAATTTCCAAAATGAGAAAATTAAATTTAAACATTAAGGATGTATACAAGATTTACAGATAAATGTGTACAAAGTCTCTAGCAATGCCTGACACATAGTAGACATTCAACACGTTACTATTATTTTTGGTATTTTGGTAATGCATATTAGTGATTAATCTACATTGCAATTGTTGTGACCTAAAAATCCAAAATCCATTATATGACACATTTTAGTAGCACAACTATTTTATTGTGAAACCAGTGACATAAATATACCTTCACTTATATGCCTTTACTTCTTTCAAAAATTAATCTACTGTTTCAGTTTCTTGAGTTCTTTATGGATAAAAATTCTGGAACCAAATATTTTAAATAATCTTCTCAATTTTGAACAAGGTAAAATTCTTATGAGCATGACACTTGTTTAAATAAGAAACACGGGCACTCCCCAGTACACACACAGGTTGAAGGAAGAGTCTAATGTCTCTAGATAAATATTGCCAAAAGTTGATCCTTCAAATCCAGCCCTTGGACTTCCTGTGAATTAGCTTATTTATTATAAATCATCCTCATATTGTTCCACCTAGTCAAAAAGATGTCGTAAGAGACTCTGTCTCACATCATGTTGAAATCCAAACATGTACTGTCTATACCTAGCCCATCAAAGAAGGAAATGATTGCAGCATTGGTGGTTCATTCTTGATGAACCCCTGAATTCTAATAATTATGATTACTTCCTTTTCTAAATGCTTACAAAATGTCTTCCTAATAATACTTTTCTATTCTTGCCTAGAATTTCAAAAAGCAGGTGTGATGGTTAATACTGAGTGTCAACTTGATTGGACTGAAGGAGCAAAGCATTGATCCTGGGTGTGTCTGTGAGGATGTTGCCAAAGGAGATTAACATTTGAGTCAGTGGGCTGGGGAAGGCAGACCCACCCCTAATCTGGTGGGCACCATATAATCAGCTGCCAGTGAATATAAAGCAGGCAGAAAAACGTGAAGGGGTGAGACTGGCCTAGCCTCCCAGCCTACATCTTTCTCCCGTGCTGGATGCTTCCTACCCTGGAACATCGGACTCCAAGTTCTTCAGTTTTGGGACTCGGACTGGCTCTCCTTGCTCCTCAGCCTGCAGACGGCCTATTGTGGGACCTTGTGATCATGAGCCAAGGAATGCTCCACCAATTTTCTAGGATGGAGACTAACAAAATCTGGCCTATGTTTACACACTTTACTCAAACAAGATCACAGCTATGCAAGCCAAAGACGCATATTGACCTTGCCCAGTGGAAGAACCAGGAAGATGTGGTCATTCATTCAACTCTGTGTGTAGTATTGGTGCTGTGTCCAAATTAGAAGCTAGCTGAGGCAGCTTGCACCATCTTTTCTAGTTGAAATGGTGAACTGATAGGAAAACTAATGAGTAGAAAGAGTTCACAAAGAGGCCCTCCTCTGCCTTTCAAAAGGAAGGTCACCTGCACATGTTTAAGGTGTCTCTGCACATGTCTCCACCCATTCATAAGAAAGCAAGTACAGTGTGGATTTCAAATGATGGGTAACTTCAGCTCCAGCTGATTTTTGACAGCTGTGTTGTTGCTGTGGTATCCTTTTTTACACATGACGGTGACGGTTTCTGCTTCTCCCCATCCCCACAAAGGCTGTTGAACCACAGCACCAGGAAGCCTGAGAATGCTTAGGGCTCTAGCCCAGGCTTTGTACCAGGCTTTCTGGTGTGTGCCCTCCTGGTGACAGTGAAATTGAAGCTACTTATTCTCAGTGGTTTTTTTCTCTGGTCTTGAGTGAATGTGTCCACAGTTCATTATTTTCCAGTAGGAATGATTCCTTTTCTGCATTCACACTCCATAGAGAACCCTGACTAACACAGTAGGACTGTCTATTACTATGTACAACTAAGGGATGATGAGAAAATGGTTTCACATATCCCATTAACAGAATTTCTAATAAAGTAAGGAAGTATTTTTCAAACACATGTTATACAGAAAACTATTCCAGGACGATGCACATTTTTAAAACTTTTTATGTTTTTCAAATAAATTTGGGAATGGCTGAAACCATGAGAATGTCTTGAAGATTTTAGCAGAGTTTTGCAGTTTTGCTTGTAGAGATCTTTCACCTACTTGGTTAGGTATATTCATACTTTTTGTTTGTTTGTTTGTTTGTTTGTTTTGCAGCTGTTGGGAAGGGGCTGAGCTCTTGATTTGATTCTTAGCTCAGTCACTGCGGGTGTATAGCAGTGCTACTATTTTTTGTACATTAATCCTGTATCCTGAAATTTACTGAATTTATTTATCAAATCTAGGAGTGTTTTAAATGAGTCTTTAGGGTTTTCTAGGTGTAAGATCATATCATCAGAGAAGTAACAGTTTGATTTCCTCTTTATGGATTTGGATGCTCTTGATTTCTTTCTCTTGTCTGATTGCTCTGGCTAAGACTTCCAGTACTATGATGAATAGAAGTGGTAAAAGTGGGCACCTTTGTCTTGTTCCATTTCTCAGGGTGAATGTTTTCATCTTTCACCATTCCCCATAGTTGGCTGTGGGTTTGTCATACATGGCTTTTATTACCTTAAAGTATGTCCTTTCTATGCTGATTTTCCTGAGGCTTTTAATCATAAAGTGATGCTGAATTTTGTCAAATGTTTTTTCTTTGACTATTGAGATGATCACGTGATTTTTGTTTTTAATTCTATTTATGTGGTGTATCACATTTATTGACTTGTATATGTTAAATCAACCCTGCATCTCTGATATGAAACCATTTGATCATAGTGTGTGATATTTTTGATATGCTATTTGATTTGGTTAGCTAATATTTTGTTGAGGATTTTTGCATCTATGCTCATCAGGGATATTGGTCTATACTTTTCTTTTTAATTATGCCCTTTCCTGGTTTCAATATTAGGGTAATACAAGCTACATAGAATGATTTAGGGAGTATTCCCTCTTTATCTTTTGGAATCATTTTAGAAGGATTGGTACCAATTCTTTGAATGTCTGATGCCATTCTGTTCTGAATTTATCTGGTCCTAGACTTCTAATTTTTGGAAATTTTGTAATTAGTCTTTTAATCTTGCTACTTGTTATTGGTCTCTTCACAGTTTCTATTTCTTTCTGGCTTAATCTAAGAGGGTTGTATATTTCCAGCAATTCATCCATCTCCTCTAGGTTTTCTAGTTTGTGTGCATAAAGATGTTTATAGTAGCCTTGAATGATCATTTGTATTTCTGTGGTATCGATCATAATATCTTCCATTTCATTTCTAATTGAGCTTATTTGCATCTTCTCTCTTTTCTTGGTTAATGTGGCTAATGGTCTATACATTTTGTTTATCTATTTTAAGAACCAGTTTTTTGTTTCATTTAAATTTTGTATTTTTGGTTTGTTTCAATTTCATTTAGTTCTGCTATAATCTTTATTTCTTTTCTTCTGCTGGGTGTGGGTTTCGTATGTTCTTTTTTATTTTTTATTTTATTATTTTTTTTAGATGGAGTCTCACTCTGTTGCTCAGGCTGGAGTGCAATGGCGTTGGTTCATTCTTGTTTCTCTAGTTCCTTGAGTTGTGACCTTAGATTGTCTATTTGTGCTATTTCAGACTTTTTGATGTAGGCATTTAATGCTATGAACTTTCCTCTTAGCACTGCTTTTGCTGTATGCTAGAGGTTTTGATAGGTTCTGTCACTATTATCATTCACTTCAAAGAATTTTTTAACTTCCATCTTGATTTCTTTTTTTGTTTTTATTACACTTTAAGTTCTAGGGTACATGTGCACAACGTGCAGGATTGTTACATATGTATATATGTGCCATGTTGGTGTGCTGCACCCATGAACTTGTCATTTACATTAGGTATTTCTCCTAATGCTATCCCTCCACCTGCCCTCCACCACATGACAGGCCCTGGTATGTGATATTCCCCACCCTGTGTCCAAGTGTTCTCATTGTTCAATTCCCATCTATGAGTGAGAACATGCGGTGTTTGGTTTTCTGTCTTTGTGACAGTTTGCTCAGAATGATGGTTTCCAGCTTCATCCATGTCCCTGCAAAGGACATGAATTCATCATTTTTTATGGCTGCATAGTATTCCATGGTGTATATGTGCCACATTTTCTTAATCCAGTCTATCATTGTTGGACACTTGGGTTGGTTCCAAGTCTTTGCTACTGTGAATAGTGCCACAATAAACATACTTGTGCATGTGTCTTTATAGTAGCATGATTTATACTCCTTTGGGTATATACCCAGTAATGGGATGGCTGGGTCAAATGGTATTTCTAGTTCTAGATCCTTGAGAAATTGCCACACTGTCTTCCACATTGGTTGAACTAGTTTACACTCCCACTAACAGTGTAGAAGTGTTCCTATTTCTCCACATCCTCTCCAGCACCTATTGTTTCCTGACTTTTTAATGATCACTAATATAACTGGTATGAGATGGTATCCCATTGTGGTTTTGGTTTGCATTTCTCTGCTGGCCAGTGATGATGAGCATTTTTTCATGTGTTTTTTGGCTGCATAAATGTCTTCTTTTGAGAAGTGTCTGTTGCTATCCTTTGCCCACTTTTTGATGGATTTGTTTGATTTTTTTCTGGTAAATTTGTTTAAGTTCTTTCTAGATTCTGGATATTAGCCCTTTGTCAGATGGGTAGATTGCAAAAATTTTCTCCCATTCTGTAGGTTGCCTGTTCACTCTGATGGTGGTTTCTTTTGCTGTGCAGAAGCTATTTAGTTTAATTAGTTCCCATTTCTCTATTTTGGCTTTTGTTGTCATTGCTTTTGGTGTTTTAGTCATGAAGTCCTTGCCCATGCCTATGTCCTGAATGGTATTCCCTAGGTTTTCTTCTAGGGTTTTTATGGTTTTAGGTCTAACATTTAAGTCGTTTATCCATCTTGAATTAATTTTTGTATAAGGTATAAGGAAGGGATCCAGTTTCAGCTTTCTACATATGGCTAGCCAGTTTTCCCAGCACCATTTATTAAATAGGGAATCCTTTCCCCATTTCTTGTTTTTGTCAGGTTTGTCAAAGATCAGATGATGGTAGATGTGTGGTATTATTTCTGAGGGCTCTGTTCTGTTCCATTGGTCTATATCTCTGTTTTGGTACCAGTACCATGCTGTTTTGGTTACTGTAGCCTTGTAGTATATAGTTTAAAGTCAGGTAGTGTGATGCCTCCAGCTTTCTTCTTTTTGCTTAGGATTGTCTTGGCAATGCGGGCTCTTTTTTGGTTCCATATGAACTTTAAAGTAGTTTTTTCCAATTCTGTGAAGAAAGTCATTGGTAGCTTGTTGGGGATGGCATTGAATCTATAAATTACCTTGGGCAGTATGGCCATTTTCACAATATTGATTCTTCCTACCCATGAGCATGGAATGTTCTTCCATTTGTTTGTGTCCTCTTTTATTTTGTTGAGCAGCGGTTTGTAGTTCCCCTTGAAGAGGTCCTTCATATCCTTTGTAAGTTGGATTCCTAGGTATTTCATTCTCTTTGAAGCAATTGTGAATGGGAGTTTGCTCATCATTTGGTTCTGTTTGTCTGTTATTGGTGTATAGGAATGCTTGTGATTTTTGCACATTGATTTTGTATCCTGAGACTTTGCTGAAGTTGCTTATCAGCTTAAGGAGATTTTGGGCTGAGAGGATGGGGTTTTCTAAATATACAATCATGGCATCTGCAAACAAGGACAATTTGACTTCCTCTCTTCTTAATCGAATACGCTTTATTTGTTTCTCCTGCCTGATTGCCCTGGCCAGAACTTCCAACCTATATTGAATAGGAGTGGTGAGAGAGGGCTTCCCTGTCTTGTGCCAGTTTTCAAAGGGAATGCTTCCAGTTTTTGCCCATTCAGTATGATATTGGTTGTGTGTTTGTCATAAATAGCTCTTTTATTTTGAGATATGTCCCATCAATACCTAGTTTATTGAGAGTTTTTAGCATGAAGGCCAGTTGAATTTTGTCAAAGGCCTTTTCTGCATCTATTGAGATAATCAAGTGGTTTTTGTCTTTGGTTCTGTTTATATGATGGATTATGTTTATTGATTTGCATATGTTGAACCAGCCTTGCATCCCAGGGATGAAGCGAACTTGATTGTGGTGGATAAGCTTTTTGGTATGCTGCTGGATTCAGTTTGCCAGTATTTTATTGAGGATTTTTGCATCAGTGTTCATCAGGGATACTGGTCTAAAATTCTCTTTTTTTGTTGTTGTGTCTCTGCCAGGATTTGGTATCAGGATGATGCTGGCCTCATAAAATGAGTTAGGGAGGATTCCCTCTTTTTCTATTGATTGGAATAGTTTCAGAAGGAATGGTACCAGTTCCTCCTTGTACCTCTGGTAGAATTCGGCTGTGAATCCGTCTGGTCCTGGACTTTTTTTGGTTGGTAGGGTATTAATTATTGCCTCAATTTCAGAGTCTGTTATTGGTCTATTCAGGGATTCAACTTCTTCCTGGTTTAGTCTTGAGAGGGTGTAGGTGTCCAGGAATTTATCCATTTCTTCTAGATTTTCTAGTTTATTTGCATAGAGGTGTTTATTGTATTCTCTGATGGTAGTTTGCATTTCTGTGGGATCAGTGGTGATATCCCCTTTATCATTTTTTATTGCGTCTATTTGATTCTTCTCTCTTTTCTTCTTTATTAGTCTTTCTAGTGGTCTATCAATTTTGTTGATCTTTTCAAAAAATCAGCTCCTAGATTCATTGATTTTTTTGAAGGGTTTTTTATCTCTATCTCTTTCAGTTCTTCTCCGATCTTAGTTATTTCTTGCCTTCTGCTAGCTTTTGAATGTGTTCGCTCTTGCTTCTCTAGTTCTTTTAATTGTGAAGTTAGGGTGTCAGTTTTAGATCTTTCCTGTTTCTCTTGTGGCCATTTAGTGCTATAAATTTCCCTCTACACACTGCTTTAAATGTGTCCCAGAGTTTCTGCTATGTTGTGTCTTTTTTCCCATTGGTTTCAAAGAACATCTTTATTTCTGCCTTCATTTCATTATTTACCCAGTAGTCATTCAGGAGCAGTTTGTTCAGTTTCCATGTAGTTGAGCGGTTTTGAGTAAGTTTCTTAATCCTGAGTTCTAGTTTGATTGCACTGTGGTCTGAGAGACAGTTTGTTATGATTTCTATTCTTTTACATTTGCTGAGGAGTGCTTTACTTCCAACTATGGGGTCAATTTTGGAATAAGTGCAATGTGGTGCTGAGAAGAATGTATATTCTGTTGATTTGGGGTGGAGAGTTCTGTAGATGTCTATTAGGTCTGCCTGGTGCAGAGCTGAGTTCAAGTCCTGGATATCCTTGTTAAACTTCTGTCACCTTGATCTGTCCAATGTTGACAGTGGGGTGTTAAAGTCTCCCATTATTATTGTGTGGGAGTCTAAGTCTCTTTCTACGTCTCTAAGGACTTGCTTTATGAATCTGGGTGCTCCTGTATTGGGTGCATATAGATTTAGGATAGTTAGCTCTTCTTGTTGAATTGATCCTTTTACCATTATGTAACGGCCTTCTTTGTCTCTTTTGATCTTTGTTAGTTTAAGGTCTGCTTTATCAGAGACTAGGATTGCAACCCCTGCTTTTTTTTTTGTTTTTGTTTTCCATTTGCTTGGTAGATCTTCCTCCATCCCTTTATTTTGAGCCTACATGTGTCTTTGCACGTGAGATGTGTCTCCTGAATACAGCACACTGATGGGTCTTGACTCTTTATCCAATTTGACAGTCTATGTCTTTTAATTGGGGCATTTAGGCCTTTTACTTTTAAGGTTAATATTGTTATGTGTGAATCTGATACTGTCATTATGACATTAGCTAGTTATTTTGCTTGTTAGTTGATGCAGTTTCTTCCTAGCATTGATGATCTTTACAATTTGGCATGTTTTTGCAGTGGCTGGTACCGGTTGTTCCTTTCCATGTTTAGTGCTTCCTTCAGGAGCTCTTTTAGGGCAGGCCTGGTGGTAACAAAATCTCTCAGCATGTGCTTCTCTGTAAAGGATTTTATTTCCCCCTCACTTATGAAGCTTCATTTGGCTGGATATGAAACTCTGGGTTGAAAATTCTTTCTTTAAGAATGTTGAATATTGGCCCACACTCTCTTCTGACTTGTAGAGTTTCTGCTGAGAGATCCACTGTTAGTCTGATGGGCTTCCCTTTTTGAGTAACCCGACCTTTCTCTCTGGCTGTCCTTAACATTTTTTCCCTTCATTTCAACCTTGGTGAATCTGACAATTATGTGTCTTGGAGTTGCTCTTCTTGAGGAATATCTTTGTGACATTCTCTGTATTTCCTGAATTTGAATGTTGGCCTTCCTTGCTATTTTGGGGAAGTTCTCCTGGATAATATCCTGAAGAGTGTTTTCCAACTTGGTTCCATTCTCCCCGTCACTTTCAGGTACCCCAATTAAATGTAGATTTGGTCTTTTCACATAGTCCCATATTTCTTGGAGGTTTTGTTCATTTCTTTTTACTCTTTTTTCTCTAAACTTCTCTTCTCGCTTCATTTCATTCATTTGATCTTCAATCACTTATAATCTTTCTCCCACTTGATTGAATCAGCTACTGAAGCTTGTGCATGCGTCATGTAGTTCTCGTGCCATGGTTTTCAGCTCCATCAGGTCACTTAAGGTTTTCTCTATGCTGTTTATTCTAGTTAGCCATTCATCCCATCTTTTTTCAAGGTTTTTAGTTTCTTTGCAATGGGTTCGAACATCCTCCTTTAGCTCAGAGAAGTTTGTTATTACCGATCTTCTGAAGCCTAACTCATCAGAGTCATTCTCTGTCCAGCTTTGTTCTGTTGCTGGCGAGGAGCTGCATTCCTTTAGAGGAGAAGAGGCACTCTGGTTTTTAGAATTTTCAGCTTTTCTACTCTGGTTTCTCCCCAACTTTGTGGTTTTACCTACCTTTGGTCTTTGATGATGGTGACCTACAGATGGGGTTTTGGTGTGGATGTACTTTTTGTTGATGTTGATGCTATTCCTTTCTGTTTGTTAGTTTTCCTTCTAATAGGCACGACCCTCAGCTGCAGGTCTGTTGGAGTTTGCTGGAGGTCCACTCCAGGCCCTGTTCGCCTGGGTATCACCAGCGTAGACTGCAGAACAGCAAATATTGCAGAATAGTAAATGTTACTATCTGATCCTTCCTCTGGAATCTTCATCTCAGAGGGGCACCCAGCTGTATTAGGTGCCAGTGGGCCCCTACTGGGAGGTGTCTCCCAGTTAGGCTACTCGGGTTCAGGGACCTACTTGAGGAGGGAGTCTGTCCGTTCTCAGATCTCAAAGTCCATGCTGGGAGAACCACTGCTCTCTTCAAAGCTGTCAGACAGGGACATTTAAGTCTGCAGAAGTTCCTGCTGCCTTTTGTTCACCTATGCCCTGCCCCCAGAGGCGGAGTCTACAGAGGTAGGCAGACCTCACTGAGCTGTGGTAGGCTCCACCCAGTTTGAGCTTCCCAGCTGCTTTGTTTACCTGTTAAAGCCTCAGCAATGGCGGACCCCCCTCCAGCCTCGCTGCTGCCTGGCAATTCGATCTTGGACTGCAGTTCTAGCAGTAAGCAAGGCTCTGTGGGCGGGGACCCAGTGAGTCAGGCGTGGGATATAATCTCCTGGTGTGCCCTTTGCTAAGACCATTGGAAAAGCTCAGTATTAGGGCAGGAGTGTCCCAATTTTCCAGGAAGCCATCTGTCACAGCTTCCGTTGGCTAGGAAAGAGAATTCTCTGACCCCTTGTGTATCCCAGGCAAGGTGATGCCTCACCCTGCTTTGGCTCACACTTCTTGGGCTGCACCCACTTTCCAACCAGTCCCAATGAATTGAACCCAGTACCTCAGGTGGAAATGCAGAAATCACCCATCTTCTGCATTGCTCATGCTGGGAGCTGTAGACTGGAGCTGTTCCTATTTGGCCATCTTGGAACAATCCACCTCCATCTTGATTTCATTGTTGACCCAAAGATCATTCACAAGCAGAATATTTAGTTTCCATGTATTTGTACAGTTTTGAGGATTCCTTTAGAGTTAATTTCCAATTTTATTCCACTGTATTCTGAGAGTGCACTTGATAAAATTTCAATTTTCTTAAATTTATTGAGAATTATTTCGTGGCCTATCATATAGTTTATCTTGGAGAATGTTCCATGTGCTGATGAAAAGAATGTATGTTTTTCAGTTGTTGGGTATAATATTCTGTAAATATCTGTTAAGCACATTCGTTCTAGCATACTCTTTAAGTCTAGGGTATAGTTTAAGTCTACTGTTTCTTTGTTGACTTTCTGTCTTGTGACCTGTCTAGTGCTGTCAGTTGAGTACTGCAGTCCCCCACTATTATTGTATTGCTGTCTGTCTCATTTCTTAGGTCTAGTAGTAATTGTTTTACAAATTTGGGAGCTCCAGTGTTAGGTGCCAATATATTTAGGATTTTGATATTTTCCTGTTGGCCTAATCCTTTTATCATTATATTATATAATGTCCCTCTTTGTCTTTTTTTAACTTTTGTTGCTTTAAAATTTGTATGGTTGATATAAGAAAAGCTACTCCTGCTCGCTTTTGGTTTCCATTTGTATGGAATATCTCTTTTTATCCCATTATCTAAGTTTATGAGAGTCCTTATGTGTTAGGTGAGTCTCTTGAAGACAGTAGATACTTGGTTGGTGGATTTTTATCCATTCTACTTTTCTGTATCTTTTAAGTGGAGCATTTCACCCATTTATATTCAATGTTAGTATTGACATGTGAGGTACTGTTCTATTCATCATGCTAGTTGTTGCCTGAATATCTTGGTTTTTATATCATTATGTTATTGTTTCATAGGTCCTATGATGTTTATGCTTGAAGGGGGCTCAATTTGGTGTATTTTGAGGTTTTGTTTCAATATTTAGGATGCTTATTAGCATTCCTTGTAGTGCTGGCTTGGTAATGTTGAATTTTCTCAGCATTTGTCTGAAAAAGACTTTATCTCTCTTTCATTTATGAAGCTTAGTTTTGCTGAATACAGAATTCTTGGCTGATAATTATTTTCTTTAAGGAGGCTAAACTTTGGGCTGATACTTTCTGGCTTGCAGGGTTTCAGCCAAGAAATCTGCTGTTAATCTGATAGAATTTCCTTTAAGGTTGCTTGATCCTTTTTCCTCATAGCTCTTAAGATTATTTTCTTCACTTTGACTTCAGATAACCTGATGACTATGTGCCCAGGTGATTATCTTTTTACAATGAATTTCCTGGGTGTTTTTTGAGTTTCTTATGTTTGGATGTCTAGATACCGAGCAAGACCAGGGGAGTTTTCCTCGATTATTGCTTTAAATAAGTTTTTCAAGCTTTTAGATTTCTCATCTTCCTCAGGAACACCAATTATTTTTAGGTTTGGTCATTTAATATAATCCCAAATTTCTTGAAGGCTTTGTTCATTTAATTTTTTTTCTTTGTCTTTGTCAAATTGGGTTAATTCAAAAGCTTTTCTTCTAGCTCTGAATTTCTTTCTTCTACTTGTTTGATTCTATTGTTGGAGTTTTCCAGTGTATTTTGCATTTCTCTAAATTTGTCTTTCATTTCCAGAAGTTGTGATTGTCTTTTCTTTATGAAATGTATTTCTCTGGAGACATTTTCATCCATATCCTGTATTTTTTAAAATTTATTTAAGTTGATTTTCATGCTCTCTTTGAGTAGCTTAATACTTCACTTTCTGAATTCTTTATCTGGCAATTCTGAGATTTCTTCTTGGGTTGGATCCATTGCTGTAGTGCTACTGTGATTTTTTGGGGTTGTTACAGAACCTTGTTTTGTCATATTACTATAATTACTTTCCTTGTTCCTTTTAATTTGGGTAGACCATTTCAGTGGAAAAATCCAGAACTCAGGGGCTGCTGTTCAGATTCTTTTGTCCTGTTAGGTGATCCCTTTATGTGGTGCTTTCCCCTTCCCCCTAGGAATGGGGCTTCCTTAGAGCCAAACTGCAGTGATTGTTATTGTCTTTCTGTGTCTAGCCACCCAGCAGGGCTACCAAGCTGGTTTAGGGGAGTGTCTGCAAAGAGTCCTGTGATGTGATCCATCTTCAGGTTTCCCAGCCATGGATACCAGCACCTGCTCTGGTGAAGGTGGCAGGAGAGTGAATTGGACTCTTTGAGAGTCCTTGGTTGTAGTTTTGTTTAGTGTACTGGTTTTCTTGATACTGTTTATGCTAGCAGCGATGTTGTCATGTGGACAGACTCAAGACATTTAGTTAGCCAGGGTGTTGCAAGCAGTGGAATTAGCTGTTTTCTCCTTCTTTGGATCAGGGTTGTTCTTTCATGAGTTTCTGTAATGGCTTGAGTTGGTTGGCCTCCAGCCACGAGGTGATGCTTTCAAGAGATCAACAGCTGCAGTAGTTGAAGGGGAATATAAACTCACCCTGCGTGCGTTGGCCAGTATAAGTACTCAGGTTTCTCAGGTAATGGACAGGTTCATAGAGCTCCCAAGATTTTATGTCTTTTTTCTTTGGCTACCAGGGAGGGTAGAGACAAACTATCAGGTGGGTGCAGAGTTAGGCATCTCTGAGCTCATACTCTCCTTGGGCAGGCATTGCTGTAGCCACTATGGGGGATGGGGAGGTAGTTCTCAGGCCAATAGAGTTATGTTCCAGGGGGATTATCGTTGCCTCTGCTGTCTCATACAAGTCATCAGGGAAGTGCGAAAAGCTGGCAGTGACAAGCCTCATGCAGCTCCCAGGTAGCCAGTAAGGCCAGGCTTATTCCCTCTGTGCCCCACCACCAGCACCAAATTTATACCTAGGGAGCCAGAGAGCAGGGCTGGGATCTTGTCCAAGGCCACAAGCTTCCAGATAAGAAAGCAAGCAGATCTCTCAGACCTTGCCCCTCCTTGCCTTCCAGCACTGTCAGCTGTGGCTTCTTTGCTAATATCTGCACCTGCAATTCACCCCTGCCCTCAACCCCAGATTTTGCTCAGTAAAATTCATGCTCGGTTGAAATTATTACAAAGTTCAGTTGGAAGCTTCCTTTACCCTGTGCCCCTTCCCCAATTCTCCTGGCTAACTTTTCCAGGGACCTCTTATCCCAGGGATGGCTATCCTGGGGCTTTAGTTGGGGACTGGAAGTGCCTACAGGGCTCTTCCTACTGCTTCTTCTACTTTTATATTTCACCCAGCTCCCTAAATCTGTTTTAGCTCTAGGTAAGATTAAATCCTTCTCCATGATCTGGATTTTTCAGGTTTCCCAGTGGGAATGTGTATTAGTCTTCCTGAGACTGGGTAATTTATAAAGAAAAGAGATTTAATTGACTCACAGTTTCACACGGCTAGGGAGGCCTCAGGACACTTCCAATCATGGTGGAAGGAGAAGGGAAAGCAAGACATGTCTTACATGGCAGCAGGAGAGAGAGAGAGAGAAAGAGAGAGAGAGAGAAAGAGAGAGCAAAGGAAGCCACACATTTTTAAATCTCAGATCTCATGAGAACTCACTCACTATCACCAGAACAGCATGGGAGAAATCATCCCCATGATCCAATCACTTCCCACCAGGTCCCTTCTTGACACAAAGGGATTACAATTCCAGATGAGATTGGGATGGAACATAGAGCCAAATCAAAGATGTGTGTTCAGAGGTGGACATTTCCCCTTATCACACTTTGGGAACTCACAGTTTTCTACTGTCTAGTGAGTTTGCAGGAGCAAGCCACTCCTTTCAAAGGGTCTGTAAATTCTTTTGGTTGTTCTAGTATGTTCCTTCAGTGGTTCTTGGAGCAAAAGTTCACAATGTGAGTCTCCACATGCTGTTCTGTCTGTCCAAATGGGAGCTGCATGTTAGTCCTGTCTCCTATCCATCATTTTCCTCCTGTCTTGAAGATTTTAAATTAACAATAGCCTCCTACAGATTCTAAGAATTCTTTTTTCTTTTTCTTTTTTTTTTTCTGAGACAGAGTCTCACTCTGTTGCCCAGGCTGGAGTGCAGTGGTGCGATCTCGGCTCACTGCAACCTCCAGGGTTCACACCATTCTCCTGCCTCAGCCTTCTAAGTAGCTGGGACTACAGGCACACACCACCATGCCAAGCTAATTTTCGTATTTTTAGTAAAGACAGGGTTTCACCATGTTGGCCAGGATGGTCTCGATCTCTTAACCTCGTGATCTGTTTGCCTCGGACTCCAAAAGTGCTGGGATTACAGGCATCAGCCACCGCATCCAGTGGATTCTAATAATTCTTACTAAAATATTTGAATTTGTTGAAATTGAAGGTACTCGATATCTGGCCACAAAATCATATTATTTATGTTACCCATAGAAGCACCATTAGATTTCTAATTTAATTTTGTTTGGCTAGATAGCATACTCTGAAATGTTTTAAACCTTGTAAATTAATTGAGGCATTTTATGGACAAGCATATAATCTATCTTGGTAACTATAACTTAAACAATTGTAAAGATAAATATTCTGCCTTTATTGGGTGGAGCGCTCCATAAATGGCACTTAAGTCACATTCAAGTCTTCTGTATTCTTTCTGATTTTCTTTCTGCTTTTTGTCTGTCAGTTACTGAGAGAGACTTTGAAGTCTACAAATACAGTATTATCTTTAATCTATTTCTTTTTTCAGCTCTGTCAGTTTTTTGCATTATGCATTTTGAAGCTCTATTATTAAGTGCATTGAAATTTGTTCTGCCTTGATAATGATCTAGTCTCTTAATCATCAGGAAAATCTCCTTATCATGAGCAATAGTCTCTATTTTGGAAAATACTTAGTCTGATACTAATAAAAGTCATTCCTGCTTTCTTTTGATTCATATTTGCTTTTTCATTTACTTTAAAATCATTTTAAAATTCATATTTTAGTTTTATTGTACATAGCATATTTTTAATCCAATAATCTCTGCTATTGGATAGTCTGATAATCTCTGCTTTTAAATGGAATGTTTAGACAATATATAGTTAATGTAATTATCAAGATAATTTCTAACTATAATTTTGTTTTCTATTTATCTCTTCTATTTTTAATTTTTTCTTTTCTTTTCTGCCTTCCTTCAGATTAAGGGAATTTTCTATGATTTAATTTTATCTCCATTATTGTTTTGATTGGTTTGTTAGCTACATGACTTTTTTTAACATGAAAGTTTTAGGGTTTACATATTCATCTTTAACTTATAATGTTATACCACTTTACATATAATGTAAACATTTTCAGCATATCTTTTTATTTTCCCCTCCTTTCTTTATGTTAACATTTTAATATGTTTTGCTTCTCATGTTATGGCCATATAATATACTGTTATTAATTTTAAAGAAACAAAAAAGAAGAAAATTCTCTAATATTTACTGTTTCTGCTGCTTTTATTTTTTTTTTTCTGTAGATATATGTTTCCATCTGGTATTGTTTTCCTTCTGTCTGAAGAACTTCCTTTCATATATTTTATAGTACAGGTCTGCCAGCAATGTATTCTCTCAGCTATTGTTGTCTAAAGAACTTTCATTTTGCATTCATTCATTTGTGAAATACAGTTTTGTTGGTTATAGGTTTCTAGGTTGAAAAATGTTTTTTCTTCAATCACTTTTAAAATGTCTTTATTGTTTTCTGACTTCCTTTGTTTGGGATATAAAGTATGAGGCCATCCTTAATCTCCCCGCCCCCATGTAATTTATCTTTGGTTATTTTTCTGGGATTTATCCTGCTAAGAGTGTGTATGTATAGTTTTCTTGAAATATGGAAAATTTTCTGCTCTATCTTTTCTAATATATTTTCTACCCTCCTCCTTCTGGAGTTTCAATTACTTATTGGTAAAGTTAGACTCCTTCATTGTCCACCAAGATGCCAAGGCTCTCTTAAATGTTTTGGAATGGTTTTCTCTCTGTGCTTCATTTGGATGTTTCTATTTCTATGATTTTCAGTTCAGCAATCTTTTCTTCAATAGCATCTAATCTTCTGTTAAGTACCTGATCTGAATTTGGCATTTCACAACATAGCAAGACCACCATGCTCTACCTGCCCTCTACCTCTCATAAATTGCTTCCAGGCCTAAGGCCAACATGATTGATTCTAGAGCATATATGTGGTCCCTTCACTCAGGGATCATAGCCCTAATTGGCTTCTTCTTGTACAATGTCAGAAAACAGTTATTATTATTATTTTTAATACTTTAAGTTCTGGAGTACATGTGCAGAATGTGCAGTTTTATTACATAGGTATACACGTGTCATGGTGGTTTGCTGCACCCATCAACCCATCACCTACATTAGGTGTTTCTCCTAACGTTATCCCTCTCCTAAACCCCACCCCCTAACAGGCCCCAGTGTGTGATGTTCCCCTCCATATGTTCGTGTGTTCTCATTGTTCAACTCCCACTTATGAGTGAGAACATGCGGTGTTTGGTAGAAAACAGTTATTTCATGCATTTTCCCCAAGGTTCTAGCAGTTTACAGTGGAAAGGCAACTGTCATATTAGTTTCTCCATGATCAGAAGCAAAAAATTTGTCCTGTGTAATTTGAAAAATTCTAAACTAGAGAAATTGTGTAGATGTTTCAGACTTACTTTTATACTTGAGTCATTAATTTCCAATAATTAATTGAGAGAATGATAATTAATTCATAAGAGTTTAAAAAATTATAAGTCTCTAAGTTAAATTGGTATTTAGTATCCAGGAGACAAATAGTATGCAAATCATTTGAGAAGGAAGAAGCTTAAATTAAGTAGAATATTTTAAATACAGTTGAATCAAGACACAATGAGTAATATTATATTGTGTTTAATTTAGCAAAAATTCTTACTTGGCTATTAAAGAAATGGTCCGTACCTAGTTCCTCAATTAAAACATTAAAATCAGGCATCAAAAAGATCATCCAATATTAGAACTGGAAGAAAAGTATATATCATCCTTGCCAACCCTCACATTTTACAGCTTTGGAAAGGAGAGTTGGAAAAGTCAAGGAATTTTTTTCATTCACCCAAAGAAGCATAACTTGTTATTGGAAGAGCTGGTGTTACCACATTCCTAGTGCTGTGAGCCACATACTTTTCCCTTCTCCCTCAGAATTCAAAGTGTGCTGAAATATACGGTGCTACAAAACTAATCAATATCAATAAACAGGATGTTATCTTTCTAAAAATTAGATTTTTAAATTATCTTTATGTCATATTATTTTTAAATTGTTAATTAAGCAAACACTAGATTAAATTTTACTACATATTGCATTATTTGTGGTCAGTTATTACTTTTCTAAAAATTGAGCAGCCAAATTATGATGCAAAGGAAGTGGGGAAGAGTTATAACTTTCTGAAACCATTTGTTTCACCTGTCTACTCTTTAGCCCTGTGCAATATTATATTGAGTTAATGTCTTAGAAAATAGTTATTATTTGAGCTCATGGAGATTTTGTAAAGAATCGTATCGCTTATCAAAAATCCCAAATCCCCATAACATATTTGATCACCTCAAGAGTTCCCTTAAGGTTTTATTTTTACGATCTTACTTAGCAAGCATTTAAGCAAATAACTCATCTAAGTTGTCTATAGAGTTGAATTGAATCTTCCACAAGCTTGTGTTAAAATAACATTTTGAATGATGTTCAAATAATTTTGAATTAGCTTTTGTAAAAGAAGTGTATAATTCCTATCACTTACTACTAACACTGTTATGTACCTTCCCTGCTTTAAAAACTGGGCCTTGAGTTCAAAAAGAGGAAGTACCATAATAGATGTAAGCTATAAAGTGACCCAAATCTTCTGAACTCCAAACTGCTTCCCACTGGCTTTATCTATGCTCTATTTCAGTGTCTCCCTCTGGTATAGCATTAACCAAATAACTGTTGTTAAAATGCACATTTGCAGCAAAATACATTAGTTCAAGTGAGTTATCAGTTGGGGAAAGCAGAATGTTGGCCTAGAAGAAAAGGGTTTTGAGATATGCATTTATACATTTAGTCAGCAGATAACTATTGAGTACTTACTGTATGCTAGACATTGTGTTAGGGGAATATACTGATAAACAAGCCATAGCAAGCATAGTAATCTTTATAAATTGTCTGTTTGTCTATTTCATTGTTGACAGTTTCCCCCACCCATTATCACCAGCAAACACTGCAATTGAAACTCCATTAGGACCTCATGTCTTGTTCATCACTGTAGCCCTACCTACTAGATTGATTCCTGCCATATAATACAGACTCAGTAAATATTTTTAGATTGAGTGAATGATTGAATGAATGGCACTGTCCCTGCTCTTAAAAGAGCTTGATGTTTGAGAGATGGTTGGGAGAGTTGATGGCATGAAATAGTTCATATGATGGAGTAGTTGGAAGATTTCAGAATGCTTTTACTGATGTATCAGTACTATAATTCTGAATTTTCTAGTTCTTCAGGTCAGTAGTAAAAATAGAAATATTTATTTATCTATATTTATCAATTTATATTTTAGTGGTTTCTCCACATCTGTTCATTTTATTTCATTCTTACAGCAATAAATATGCCAGAAAGATATAATGTCAGAACCTAAGAATTAGAAGGGGAAAGAGGAAGAATCTAGTACAATCTGAATGGGACCAGGCCCCTGTGGTAGTCTCTGCTCGTACATTGAGCCCACTTTGAGTTCAGATTCACCAGTGTGTTTCTCCTCCAAAAACAAACAAATCCAAATTCAAGAGAATTGGAGGCTAATATAGTGTTGGTTATTTGGAGAAAAATCAAAAAAGAAATATACATGACACAGCAAAGCTTCATCACCGTTACCATCATCACTTAATATTATACCTCTTCCTTTATGGAAAGTATTCCTTCATCCAAGATACTCATTGTCCTGACCCTGCTGTTTTTCTTACCTTACTCAGCCTCCAAAATGTACCCCTTCTATTGTGCTGGGTCATTCATTTTTTTACCCTCAATTTGCATGCCCACTAAAACAACAAAAACAACATCTGTTTACCTGAGGATCTTCTTGGAGAATATCCAAGTAATCTTGCCGCATGAGAATATATGGAGAACACACTAGGGCAATGTTCTATATATTTGTTTTCATATTTCTTACTCTAAACAGCCTTCTAAAATAATAACTATTAATATCTGTACTTTTGAGCTAAGGAAACTGATGCTCAGAGACCATAGGTAACTTAGTCAAAATGGCATAACTGGCAAATAGTGGTGGGGATTCAAAACCACATGTACCTCTCTCCAAATCCTGTGCTATTTACAGGTCGTATCTGCCTCATAATATAGTAGTAGCTACTATTTATTGAACACTTGCCTGTGCCAGGTATTGTACTACACATTTCACAAATATTGTGTAATTTCTCACTGTGAGTCAGCTATGAGTACTGTGATTATTCCCACTTTATAAATGAAAAATCTGAGGCTCAGGAAAAATAAGTCACTCGCCCAAAATCACATAACAAGAAAGTTGTAGTGGGAGAATATAATCAGGTACACCTGGCTGATTTGTCTGTTTCTTTCCACCATGTCACACTATTGAAATAAAACATATTGATGCCCCAATTCAATATTCCTCATCAATATAACAGGTCCCTTCACAGACATTAATAAAAGATGATTTTCTATTCTTTATTTAAACACATCCAGTGACAAAGTGCTCATTACTCCATGATCCAGCTCATTTCCAAACTGGATACTCTAGTAATAAGAAATTTGTTCTGAACCAAAAGGTGCCCTTCTTTAACATTGTCTTATGCAGTCTATTGTTTTGTCCTAAATAGCAACAAACCATTTTTTTCTATATAGGCTCTCGTCTATAGGATAGCTCTTCAATTATCTCATTTATTTTAAACTATTTATGATATATTTATCATATGATAGGCAGTGTGCTAGATGCTGGATATACAATTTATAAGAACACAATGACAGTCTCTTACAGCTTACTGGTTGAAATAGGCACTAATGAAATAATTATACAAATAGATATATAACTGCAAAATGTGATAAGTAACAAAGTTAAGAAAACTATACAGGATGGCGAAAGTGTATACCTTGGTCTAATTTAAGTTAAGATAGGTATTTTGGAAGGCTCCTCTGTAAAGAGGATATTTAAAGAATAAGTAGAAAATAACAAGGCAAAAATGGTTAAGGAGTAAAGGCAATGGGGATAAAAATTTAGTAAAGACGAGAGTATGCATATGTCTTTGAGGCTGGAGGGAGTATAGGGCCTTCCAAGAATGAAAGGAAGAACCGTGAGGCTGAAGCCCAAAGAATAACTGAGATGATCGATCAAGATAAGCCGGAAAGGAATACAGGCTCCAGTTCATGCATCAAGGTCCATACATGTCATGGCAGTATTTCTGATCTTCAGTAGTAACAAATACACTTAGCACACAGATCTTTGACTCTAATACCATTTTCCATAAAAGGAACCAGGGCTTCTTGGACAAAGGAGTAGGGTAGAAAATATATAAGGTAAACTTGTAGCATAATATAATTCCGAAAAGTAAAAAAGTGCTAAAACTAAAACAATATTAAGGGTGTATCAAAGAGACACAGGAGGAGCTAAATAAAAGAGCATCCAGTGACCAAAGCTGGAACAATCTGAGCAAAAACAATCAACAAAATGTCATTGGATCATAACCCAAAGCATAAAACAAATATCCATGAGTCCATACTGATGTAAATAAATGATTTGATAAATAAATACGTAAATTGGAGAGAATAAACAAATTGCCCTGTACACAATAATTTATGTCGATATTTTTTCCTCAAGGAGATGAATCATAACTCTCCAGTCTTTAAATTTGTACTGCACATAATAACTTCCTTTTAAAGAGGTCAGCATGAAAAGCAGGAAAAGAAGAAACACTTTACAGAGCAAAACCTGACAAACACTACCTCAGCCAGGTGACTAAGGTCAACATTGACAGATATAAATTATATTGATAATAGGCACCCTTCATGTGATGTGATGAGAATACTACTTTTTTTCTGTGATCTTCCTCACAAAAACCCATATTCCTAGTTTAATAATGAAAAAGAATCAGACACATCACAATAGAGGGACATTTTACAAAATACCTGACAAGTAATCTTTAAAATCATCAGGGTCATCAAAAACAAGAAAAGTCAGAGAAACTGTCACAGCCAAGAGGAGCTTAAGGAGCCATGATGAGCAAATGTAATGCAGGATTCTGATGTGGTACTAGAACAGAAAAATGATATAATGTACAAAGTAAGGGGAGGAGCCAAGATGGCCGAATAGGAACAGCTCTAGTCTACAGCTCCCAGTGTGAGCGACGCAGAAGAAGGTGATTTCTGCATTTCCATCTGAGGTTCCGGGTTCATCTCTCTAGGGAGTGCCAGACAGTGGGCGCAGGTCAGTGGGTGTGCACACCATGCGCGAGCCAAAGCAGGGCGAGGCATTGCCTCACTTGGGAAGCGCAAGGGGTCAGGGAGTTCCCTTTCCGAGTCAAAGAAAAGGGTGACAGACGGCACCTGGAAAATCGGGTCACTCCTACCCGAATACTGCGCTTTTCCGACGGGCTTAAAAAACGGCGAACCAGGAGATTATATCTCGCACCTGGCTCAGAGGGTCCTACGCCCACGGAGTCTCCTGATTGCTAGCACAGCAGTCTGAGATCAAACTGCAAGGCAGCAGCGAGGCTTGGGGAGGGGCACCCGCCATTGCCCAGGCTTGATTAGTTAAACAAAGCAGCCCGGAAGCTCGAACTGGGCGGAGCCCACCACAGCTCAAGGAGGCCTGCCTGCCTCTGTAGGCTCCACCTCTGGGGGCAGGGCACAGACAAACAAAAAGACAGCAGTAACCTCTGCAGACTTAAATGTCCCTGTCTGACAGCTTTCAAGAGAGCAGTGGTTCTCCCAGCACCCAGCTGGAGATCTGAGAACGGGCAGACTGTGTCCTCAAGTGGGTCCCTGACCCCTGACCCCTGAGCAGCCTAACTGGGAGGCACCCCCCAGCAGGGGCACACTGACACCTCACATGGCAGGGTATTCCAACAGACCTGCAGCTGAGGGTCCTGTCTGTTAGAAGGAAAACTAACAAACAGAAAGGACATCCACACCAAAAATCCATCTGTACATCACCATCATCAAAGACCAAAAGTAGATAAAACCACAAAGATGGGGAAAAAGCAGAATAGAAAAACTGGAAACTCTAAAAAGCAGAGCGCCTCTCCTCCTCCAAAGGAATGCAGTTCCTCACCAGCAATGGAACAAAGCTGGATGGAGAATGACTTTGACGAGCTGATAGAAGAAGGCTTCAGAAGATCAAATTACTCTGAGCTACGGGAGGAAATTCAAACCAAAGGCAAAGAAGTTGAAAACTTTGAAAAAAATTTAGAAGAATGTATAACTAGAATAACCAATACAGAGAAGTGCTTAAAGGAGCTGATGGAGCTGAAAACCAAGGCACGAGAACTACGTGAAGAATGCAGAAGCCTCAGGAGCCGATGCGATCAACTGGAAGAAAGGGTATCAGTGATGGAAGATGAAATGAATGAAATGAAGCGAGAAGGGAAGTTTAGAGAAAAAAGAATAAAAAGAAACGAGCAAAGCCTCCAAGAAATATGGGACTATGTGAAAAGACCAAATCTACGTCTGATTGGTGTACCTGAAAGTGATGGGGAGAATGGAACCAAGTTGGAAAACACTCTGCAGGATATTATCCAGGAGAACTTCCACAATCTAGCAAGGCAGGCCAGCATTCAGATTCAGGAAATACAGAGAATGCCACAAAGATACTCCTCGAGAAGAGCAACTCCAAGACACGTAATTGTCAGATTCACCAAAGTTGAAATGAAGAAAAAAATGTTAAGGGCAGCCAGAGAGAAAGGTCGGGTTACCCTCAAAGGGAAGCCCATGAGACTAACAGCGGATCTCTCGGCAGAAACCCTACAAGCCAGAAGAGAGTGGGGGCCAATATTCAACATTCTTAAAGAAAAGAATTTTCAACCCAGAATTTCATATCCAGCCAAACTAAGCTTCATAAGCGAAGGAGAAATATAATCCTTTACAGACAAGCAAATGCTGAGAGATTTTGTCACCACCAGGCCTGCCCTAAAAGAGCTCCTGAAGGAAGCACTAAACATGGAAAGGAACAACCGGTACCAGCTGCTGCAAAATCATGCCAAAATGTAAAGACCATCGAGACTAGGAAGAACTAACGAGCAAAATAACCAGCTAACATGATAATGACAGGATCAAATTCATACATAACAATATTAACTTTAAATGTAAATGGACTAAATGCTCCAATTAAAAGACACAGACTGGCAAATTGGATAAAAAGTCAAGACCCATCAGTGTGCTGTATTCAGGAAACCCATCTTATGTGCAGAGACACACATAGGCTCAAAATAAAAGGATGGAGGAAGATCTACCAAGCAAATGGAAAACAAAAAAAGGCAGGAGTTGCAATCCTAGTCTCTGATAAAACAGACTTTAAACCAACAAAGATCAAAAGAGACAAAGAAGGCCATTACATAATGGTAAAGGGATCAATTCAATAAGAAGAGCTAACTATCCTAAATATATATGGACCCAATACAGGAGCACCAAGATTCATAAAGCAAGTCCTGAGTGACCTACAAAGAGACTTAGACTCCCACACATTAATAATGGGAGACTTTGACACCCCACTGTCAACATTAGACAGATCAACGAGACAGAAAGTCAACAAGGATACCCAGAAATTGAACTCAGCTCTGCACCAAGTGGACCTAATAGACATCTACAGAACTCTCCACCCCAAATCAACAGAATATACATTTTTTTCAGCACCACACCACACCTATTCCAAAATTGACCACATACTTGGAAGTAAAGCTCTCCTCAGCAAATGTAAAAGAACAGAAATTATAATAAACTATCTCTCAGACCACAGTGCAATCAAACTAGAACTCAGGATTAAGAATCTCACTCAAAACCGCTCAACCACATGGAAACTGAACAACCTGCTCCCGAATGACTATTGGGTACATAACGAAATGAAGGCAGAAATAAAGATGTTCTTTGAAACCAATGAGAACAAAGACACAACATACCAGAATCTCTGGGACGCATTCAAAGTAGTGTGTAGAAGGAAATTTATAGCACTAAATGCCCACAAGAGAAAGCAGGAAAGATCCAAAATTGACACCCTAACATCACAATTAAAAGAACTAGAAAAGCAAGAGCAAACACATTCAAAAGCTAGCAGAAGGCAAGAAATAACTAAAATCAGAGCAGAACTGAAGGAAATAGAGACACAAAAAACCCTTCAAAAAATTATTGAATCCAGGAGCTTGTATTTTGAAAGGATCAACAAAATTGATAGACTGCTAGCAAGACTAATAAAGAAAAAAGGAGAGAAGAATCTAATAGATGCAATAAAAAATGATAAAGGGGATATCACCACCGAACCCACAGAAATACAAACTACCATCAGAGAATACTACAAACACCTCTTCGCAAATAAACTAGAAAATCTAGAAGAAATGGATAAATTCCTCGACACATACACTCTCCCAAGACTAAACCAAGAAGAAGTTGAATCTCTGAATAGACCAATAACAGGATCTGAAATTGTGGCAATAATCAATAGCTTACCAACCAAAAAGAGTCCAGGACCAGATGGATTCACAGCCGAATTCTACCACAGGTACAAGGAGGAACTGGTACCATTCCTTCTGAAACTATTCCAATCAATAGAAAAAGAGGGAATCCTCCCTAACTCATTTTATGAGGCCAGCATCATTCTGATACCAAAGCCAGGCAGAGACACAACCAAAAAAGAGAATTTTAGACAAATATCCTTGATGAACATTGATGCAAAAATCCTCAATAAAATACTGGCAAACCAAATCCAGCAGCACATCAAAAAGCTTATCCACCATGATCAAGTGGGCTTCATCCCTGGGATGCAAGGCTGGTTCAATATATGCAAATCAATAAATGTAATCCAGCATATAAACAGAGCCAAAGACAAAAACCACATGATTATCTCAATAGATGCAGAAAAAGCCTTTGACAAAATTCAACAACCCTTCATGCTAAAAACTCTCAATAAATTAGGTATTGATGGGAGGTATTTCAAAATAATAAGAGCTATCTATGACAAACCCACAGCCAATATCATACTGAATGGGCAAAAACTGGAAGCATTCCCTTTGAAAACTGGCACAAGACAGGGATGCCCTCTCTCACCACTCCTATTCAACATAGTGTTGGAAGTTCTGGCCAAGGCAATTAGGCAGGAGAAGGAAATAAAGGGTATTCAATTAGGAAAAGGGGAAGTCAAATTGTCCCTGTTTGCAGACGACATGATTTTATATCTAGAACACCCCATTGTCTCAGCCCAAAATCTCCTTAAGCTGATGAGCAACTTCAGCAAAGTCTCAGGATACAAAATCAATGTACAAAAATCACAAGCATTCTTATACACCAATAACAGACAAACAGAGAGCCAAATCATGAGTGAACTCCCATTCACAATTACTTCAAAGAGAATAAAATACCTAGGAATCCACCTTACAAGGGACGTGAAGTACCTCTTCAAGGAGAACTACAAACCACTGCTCAAGGAAATAAAAGAGGATACAAAGAAATGGAAGAACATTCCATGCTCATGGGTAGGAAGAATCAATATCGTGAAAATGGCCACACTGCCCAAGGTAATTTACAGATTCAATGCCATCCCCATCAAGCTACCACTGCCTTTCTTCACAGAATTGGAAAAAACTACTTTAAAGTTCACATGGAACCAAAAAAGAGCCCGCATCACCAAGTCAATCCTAAGCCAAAAGAACAAAGTTGGGGGCATCATGCTACCTGACTTCAAACTATACTACAAGGCTACAGTAACCAAAACAGCATGGTACTGGTACCAAAACAGAGATATAGATCAATGGAACAGAACAGAGCCCTCAGAAATAATGCCGCATATCTACAATGATCTGATCTTTGACAAACCTAAGAAAAACAAGAAATGGGGAAAGGATTCCCTATTTAATAAATGATTCTGGGAAAACTGGCTAGCCATATGTAGAAAGCTGAAACTGGATCCCTTCCTTACACCTGATACAAAAATTAATTCAAGATGGATTAAAGACTTGAATGTTAGACCTAAAACCATAAAAACCCTAAAATAAAACCTAGGCATTACCATTCAGGACATAGGCATGGGCAAGGACTTCATGTCTAAAACACCAAAAGCAATGGCAACAAAAGCCAAAATTGACAAATGGTATCTAATTAAACTAAAGAGCTTCTGCACAGCAAAAGAAACTACCATCAGAGTGAACAGGCAACCTACAAAATGGCAGAAAATTTTCACAACCTACTCATCTGACAAAGGGCTAATATCCAGAATCTACAATGAACTCAAACAAATTTACAAGAAAAAAACAAACAAACCCATCAAAAAGTGGGCGAAGGATATGAACAGACACTTCTCAAAAGAAGACATTTATGCAGCCAAAAAACACATGAAAAAATGCTCATCATCACTGGCCATCAGAGAAATGCAAATCAAAACCACAATGAGATACCATCTCACACCAGTTAGAATGGCAATCATTAAAAAGTCAGGAAACAACAGGTGCTGGAGAGGATGTGGAGAAATAGGAACACTTTTACACTGTTGGTGGGACTGTAAACTAGTTCAACCATTGTGGAAGTCAGTGCGGCGATTCCTCAGGGATCTAGAACTGGAAATACCATTTGACCCAGCCATCCCATTACTGGGTATATACCCAAAGGACTATAAATCATGCTGCTATAAAGACACATGGACACGTATGTTTATTGCAGCATTATTCACAATAGCAAAGACTTGGAACCAAGCCAAATGTCCAACAATGATAGACTGGATTAAGAAAATGTGGCACATATACACCATGGAATACTATGCAGCCATAAAAAATGATGAGTTCATGTCCTTTGTAGGGACATGGATGAAGTTGGAAAACATCATTCTCAGTAAACTGTCGCAAGAACAAAAAACCAAACACCGCATATTCTCACTCATAGGTGGGAATTGAACAATGAGATCACATGGACACAGAAAGGGGAATATCACACTCTGGGGACTGTTGTGGGGTGGGGGGAGGGGGGAGGGATAGCATTGGGCGATATACCTAATGCTAGATGACGAGTTAGTGGGTGCAGCGCACCAGCATGGCACATGTATACATATGTAACTAACCTGCACAATGTGCACATGTACCCTAAAACTTAAAAGTATAATAAAAAAAAAAAAGAAACAAAGTAAGGGAATATGTATAAAGTATGAACTTCAGTTAATAATAATGTACTGAAACTGATTCATTCATTCATTGTAACAAATGTACTATACTAATGTTAGATATTAATAATGGGGAAAATTTGACGTGGGGTCTATGGGAACTCTATACTATCTTGTCAGCTCTTCTGAAAATTTAAAACTATTCTAAAATGAAATGTTTTCTTTAAAAAATGGGGAGGGAGGAGACCCTGATCTTTGGTAGAATCAGGACCAACACCAAGTTTGTCTGACCCTGGCTTAAGAGTATTTCTACCAGATCACTATGCTGTAGAAAGATACCTGCTTGTTTCTTTATCTTGCCAGCCCTCTGAGATACCTCAAATTTTTATAAGTGATCCTCCTGATGCATTCTAGTCTCCCAATTCAGGAACTTGCTGAATTTCAGAGACCTCCTACTCCTCATGCGGCAACCACACATGTCCCTACCAGACAGAAAATGCCTGCTGAATGTAGACCCAGCATCTGTTCTGCTACTCTTCCCACTCTCTGAACCCAATCTTTGCCACCATAGCGAATTCCTATTCTTCTTCAGTTTCTTGTTATATCCCAATCTAGCAACGGTCTTCTCACACTGCCTCTCCAGAACTTGTCTGGACCCCAAGACTCTATATTTCCATCATACCTTCAGCTTCACCTCAGGTTGTCTTATGCCCTTAGCATTCAGGAACCACAGCTTTCCTAGTCCTTATTCAGTTTGTCTTCCAGTCCTGCTCCCAGAATGCTTAAGGCTGCTGGAAAAATCTAGCCATTCGGTTGACTGGCTTCAGAATAATATCTCATATCTCCTGGAATTTTAATGATGCCCACTAGTCCCTTTTCTTTTCCTTAAATGTCCTTGTACTGTGCTAAACCAATCCTAAACCTTGTCCATTCTGTCTGAGTTCTCAGCTTCCCTCTCCCTGCCCTGCAGGAACACCTTCCCTTACTTCCATCCCCCCACCTCCCCACTTCACCCTGACAACATGCTTCCCTCTCTCCACCATCTTATATTTCAACAAACAAAAACTATCAGGGGTCCTTATTGTCCACCCCCACCTCTACCATTGTTAAAAGTCTTTCTCATTTGCCGTGGGGCCTTACCTCCTTAATTATCCTTTCTCCTAATCTCTCTCCCATGACTTAACCATATTCTATGTTCACCTATCCTCCCTGGCCTCCAAACATTTTCCCATTCTAAAAACAAGCTTTGCCCAAACATACTTCCAACTGACAGACAAACAATGATACTGCACTCATTAATCATTGATAAATTATTTTGTTTAGTAGGCAAAATTTTTTCTAAACATGAGCACAGGCAAAAAAATATATATATATATGATAATGAAACACCTCACTATCAGTGAAACTATGGGCACCAATGAGATACTCTGTAGCTCCATTTCAGTTTTCATGTTCTGTGGTTCTCTGTAGTTTATCCCTTCTTTATTTATCTGTCTTTCCAGAGCTTCTGGATAGAAACTATGTTGCAAATTTCCCTTATCATTTCTCCTATTGTATTAGGTTGTTGACTTGTCTAAAATTTCCCTGAGAGATTTCATGTTTTATTTATCTCTAATATAGTGATTTGTGAATAATAAGAATTAATTATTATTAAAAGAACAAGTGGTGAACTGACTTTGTTCCAGGCTAATTATTGTTGGCTTTTTAAAAGCAATTTTTAATACTCTGTTTCTAAAAGTATTTGAGGCTATTTTCCTTGTTATAAAACACAAAGAAATAAAAATGAGAAACACAGCCCAAGGACCCAGATAATATGGAAAATCACCCTTGCAATTCATTTGATATAGATTCTACATGCTGCCAAGTGGGTCCTTGAGAGCAGGGTCTCATTTTGATGTATGTTTTGTACAGTGCCTAGGTCAATGGGAATTTGTGGTGAATAAATTGAGGATGAAAGCAATGTGACTGATGGATGCAGAGAGAAATGAGACTCCTATCATCTATTTTCAGCTGTAGTATTGCATACATAGCCTTTGGCCTCTAACATGGGGCTTTGAAAGTTAAATTCTTCAGCCTCGGAATTAGAAATAATACCTCCACATCTAGCTGGTTTCAAAAGAGTTTTGCTTAAGGTAATGGCCACAAAAGAACAAAGTATTGCTCTATACTGAGCAGAATAAATCAGCCTAGCATTTCAGAAAGTTCTGTACAAATTTAACAAAAACACATTCTATCCATTACCTTAGGTTCTTTCCTTCAAAATAGTTGTATTTGTATTCCCTTTAATTAGAGCTGCTGGATTTTTCATAGTTGCTTAATTAAATTAGGGGAATATCAATTCTTGATGCCTTTAGGAAAGTAACTCCAATTACACAGCCAATCTGTCAGTAGAAGTTAAGAGGAAAAAACATTTTAATAGCAAAGTTACAGGGAACAAAGTATGCATATAATAAGTAGGAAGAATACTTAATAATTAGTCTTGCTATTAACTAAATTTTATAGAAATTGCTCAGGACTTTCACTTAAAAGTTTTCGATGCAGGCATGGGTATGTAATTTAGCACTCCCAGCTCAGATAGCTCATGTAGCTATTTGGTCTGGTTTAGGTATGATTCCATATTGAAGGCTCAGCATTGCATCTGCTATGACAGGTTAGATATTCAGCACCAGCAGAGTCAGATCAACCTTGGTGAGAAAGATCCCATAATGTTGAGTCTGTGGATATTCTCTATCCGTGCCACCCTGACTACTCTGTCATTGACCCATTGTGCAATTCTGGAGTAGCTGAGGACAGAAACTGTCTGGCATTACCTGGATGAGTCATCCTATCCATCAGGCTTTTTAATGCTGCTTTTGTGATACATGCCTTCTGTATTAGCTGTCTATTGCTGTATAAAAACTTATCCCAAAACTTAGTGATTTTAAAAGAGTACACATTTATTATCCCATTGTTTCTGTAGGTTAGGTGTCTGAGCACTCCTATCTGGGTCTTCTGCTTCAAGTATCTCATAAAGATGCAACAAGATGTCTGCCAGGGTTGGAATCACATCTGAAGGCTCAACTGGAGAAGTATCTGCTTCCAAGCTCAGGTAGTTGTTGGCAGGACTCAGTTCCTTGCAGGTTGTTAGAATGAGTGTCTCAGTTCCTTGCTGGCTATTGGGTCCTTACAGGCCCTTGACATATGGGCCTCCCCATTATGGTGGTTTGCTTCATCAAAGCCAGCAAGAAAGAGAGAAACAAGACAAAAGTAACTATCTCATGTAACATAGTCTAGAAATGACATTGCATTACTTTTGTCATAATATATCAACTAGAGATAGTAGCTAGGCCAGCCCATAATCAAAGTGTAGGGATCACAGAGGACATGGATAACAGGGGACAGGGATCACTGAGGGCCTTGTTAGAGTCTGATGCCAAAATCTCTCTGATGGGCATTGTCATGAGACATAAAGAGTCACACATTTTGTGCTCACTCCTATAGCTCCATCCACATGTCTGTTCCCTAGACTTCCTTGACTCTTATCTTACACTGTTCCTCCTTCAGTCTCCTGAGCACCCAGTCAAGCCATTTGCCACTGCTCAGGAATCAGTATACCATTACCCTTACCTCTAACAACTCTCCACTGAAAGTTGAAGCCGAGGTAGCTCTTCAAAGTTCTGCTCACTAGGATTCCCTTTCACCATTGTCCTTCAGCCCAGAGTGGGGTTGTCAGGCAGAACATTGTATTTTCAGCTCACACTAACATATAAATTAACCTATTGATGAACCAGGCCCAAGAATTTTGTTGGGTTCTTATTTTTTAGATTTAAAAGTACATATATTGCTTTATTTCTCATTGCAAATAATATATTTTAACTGCAGATATATAGAAAATAAGCCTAAAACAGAGGAAGTTATCACTTACGACACTATCACTCAGAGATAACTATGCCTGTTTGTTTACATATACAAACATATAAATATTCATTACACATATGCGCATACATGATACATGGTCATATTATATATATGTTGAGTCTGATACTTGATCTGATGCTGCTGTTTTGGTCTCATGGATACAGGTAGAAGACACGAAACTCCTGGATCATAGACCAAGAACTTTATAACTCAAGGCACAGCAAGCAGCAAGAGTATCAATTCATTGCATTAGTTCTCCTTGCTCCCAAGTCCAATGGGGATAATGGGGAAGGTCCAATTTTTGACTTTTCCTCAGACCATAGGGAATCTGCTACCAGGCCATAAGCCTGAACTGAGGGAGGAGTGTCAGAGCAACAGATGTAAGTGTCATAGGATTCTGGGATACCTATTCATATAAACTACCATGGTCTCCAGACCTGCTCAGGTATGATCCCTGATATGCCATTTTCATCATGTAATGGATTACTATGTATGACTTGATGAGTCTGACAACATTCTTGATGGGCAACTGCAGTTACAAAGCTGCTTAATATCCCATGGTCTCTATTAGTCTCTGTGTATAGCAACAGCATAACAGGAACTGCCCATTGAACAGTGACCAGTTTTTGCTGCAGAAGGTGTGTACTTGCTCTAGAACTTAGATAGTCTGTGCTATGACTTTCTACCCAGGGGCTTACCAGAGGTTCTATGCAGCTTTCTTATCCTGGGCAGATATTTTTAGCCTCATTGGATCCACTAGGCCTTATGGTCCAAAAACAGAGCTGCTTTTATCACAGACTTACTCTGTTGTAAAGCCATCTCTCGCTCTGGGTCTGGCTCAAAACTGTCAGCTTTCTGAGTCACTTTATGAATAGGTTGGAACACTATTTTCAAGTGTGATACATGCTATTTTTAAAATCCAAAAATGCTATAAGCTTCTATACTTCATTCTTAATGATTGAAGTTACAGGAGAAAAAAGGTATTCTTATTCTTGAAGAGGATGTCCTGACCTGCCGTAGACTAGCTTACCAATGACCAGGTTCCTAAAATGTTGTAAGGTTTATCTCCCACACTCTGGTGCTCTACCTAGGAATTCACACTGCTTGTCACTTCCTACTCACCATATCAGATTAACCTGATGTCACCACTCTAGTAGACTAACATGATGTTGGGTTGGAGCAAGCATGAATGGTCAGTGCCAAAGGAATACAATCAGGGCACTAGAGATAGTCTCTAGTCCAAAGATACTTTAACTGAGGAGCAGAGAAATATAAAAGTCAAATAACAATAGAAGATTTTATGTCGTACTTACCAACTTTATGGTAGAGGCAACAAAGTGGTATGACAGTGTAAAGAAAGGCAAGAGCATTTTAAGCCAGGTGATTACTATAAGCCAACACATGGACTCAGAATTGTACATGGGCTAAAATACAAATAAATGTATTTATTATTCATTTATACTATATATACAGTCCAAAGGGTTTCCAGATTGGCTGGAAGGCTCTTTACCATGCAGCCATTAAGGAATCCAGGCACATAGAGGTTTTATCATGCTTCCTTAGGTCACCCTAGACTTTGATAAGTCATTAGTGGAAAGGAAATTTCCAAGTATGCAATAATTTTATAAATCTGGAAGTGAAACTCATCACTTCCTCTCACATCCTGTCACCTGGAATTAGGTCACATAGCCACAACTAGCCATAAGCCCAAAGTTGAGAATTGTATTCTAGCTGCAGTGCCTGATTACATAATTAGTAGAACCCTGTTCAAAGTGAAAATATGTGGGACTCTTGTTCAAAAAGAAGGAAAAATACGTACTGTTCTTAAATATACTTTCTTCTGTGTTCTCACCGCCTTTTCACATAGTGCTTTTTAAAATTTGATATTGTCATTCTAAGTAAAAAATTAAAATTTTAAATTATCAGCATGAATTTTGCCATTCATGTTTGTGCAATGCCAAATTTAAATGTCAATATGAGTATTTAATTCATATGCGGAAAGACTAAATTTATAAAATTTGCTTTTGTAGCTTGTATATGTATGCATATTTTGTTCTTACCAGAACAGTGGAAACACCGCACAAAACAAACTCAACTATTTTTATTTCACTTCTTGATACATGCACATTCTGCCAATACTCTCTACCTTTAGCTTTCGGAAGAGTCAGGAAGAACTGAAAGGAAAAGGCACTGTGAGTTATCCTATTATTCCCTTTCTTTCTGTGTCATCATTTTCAGGGGAAGAGGTTGGCTAATACAGGAAATAACAGGAGTAAGAAAGGATGTGATAGGGTTTCTTGGTGTTTTGTATCTTTAGAAGACTACCATTGTCATCTACTTTCAAAGCAATTTCAGGTTGGAAGGGAAAATGTGGCTCCTCAGGGCTGTCAGTGCACCTACTTATTTTGTCACAGATGCGAAACATTTACCTTGTTCCCTCTTTGAGTCTCACTGAACTTCCACATCTCATGGGTGCACAGAATTCTGAACTGATTGGACATTGCAAACACTATGCACAAAGGGGGCAAAAACAGTGGATGCACATATTGTGTACAGCTCCTCTGTTCATGCACGTGTTCTGCTGTCCCATTGCACTTCACTTATAAAACACAAGACCAAAAATAAAATTATTAAGAAGTTTTAGGATGGCAACAGCAGAGAATCAAACCAAGCATCAGGCTCTTCTGAGCATGGTAAGCAATGTAGCTGCACAGGGTACATACTCATGAGGTCAGCCTTGTCTAGCTGTTTCCAGAAAAAAACATTAAGAAAAACTATTTTCTGAAAGAGTTAACACTTAAGAAAACCAGGTACATAAACAGGATGGTTCCTGTCCTTTGTCTTTTACAATTATGGTGGTCACATACCAAGCACCTAATATTTGCCAGGTATCAGATCTTTGCAGGAACTATCTTTAACTCACACAACTCTGAAAGGCATATTATTATTATTATTATTATTTCTAACTTACAGATGAGAAACTGAGGCTCATTCAGGTAAAGTGATTTCCCAGGGCTACAGAGCTATCAAAATAACTAGAGCAATGTCCATTTCATGCCAAAACTTTTGTTATTAATGCTGATATATCTGCTCCATATAGATTACCAGTAATCAAATTGTTTTTTAAAATATCTTTTTCATTACCTACAGTATACACATTGTCTTTATCATTTTTTTCTAATCTGTATTTAACTGGTCAAAGACAAAACCAATAAATCTTATAGTTTGAAGAAACTTTTGGTCTAATCAAACCTAACTTCATACAGGAAATGCGACTCCTTTCTATAACATCACTAAGTGGATATCCATCTGTTATTTGACAATTCCAAGTGTTGGAAAACTCATTTACTCTCAGACAGGCATTCCATTTTCAGAAAGTCCTCAGTAAACCCAATCTGAATCAAATCAAGTGCTATAAAATGTTAGACTGTACATTTTGATGGTATAAAACACTGTTCCAAAATAAAATTAGGCTAAGAAATGTTATATTTTAGGAAACATCTAGGCAATAGTATTATTGTTTTCTAGGCATGGAAAAATTATTTTTCTTCTATTCATTATTACTGATATACAGTTTAATAATTTTCCAATGAGAAAATAGCCTGGCTCACAGGAACCTGGGGGACAGGTGAATGAGCCTGCTAAGACCAGTTTCTGGCCTATCGTCTCTTGCATTTTGATGGGCTGGTGAGAGACAAAGTGAATGATCAGAGAAGTGAGTGTAGAGTCTAAAAAGTATCTGGATTCAAATCTTTGTTCCACAACTTGTCCCAAGCCTCACTAGCTATATGAAGTTAAAGTAGAAACTTAAATTTTCTGAATCTCCATGTTCTCATCTGGAATCTGAAAATAATAACCAATACTTTACAGGATTGTTAAGAGAATTAGGTGAAAACAGATGAAAACAGATGAGCTCATATACACAAATGTTCTTTACAAATAACAAGGTGATACACAGATATAGATGTCATTATGCCCTCCAGTACTTAAAGTGTGTGAGTAAATGTGAAAATAAGCTAGGATTGAAAAATTGACTAAAAGCAAGCAAGAAATAAGAAGAATGAAGAAAAAAGAGAACAACTAAGAGTGGGAAAACAAATGCTGGAAGAGGAGAAAGCCTGTCCTGCAGTCTAAATTTGGAGACTTTTTATTGATACATAATAATGGTATATATTTTGGAGGTACATGTGATATTTTGATACATGTATACAATGTATAATGATCAAATCAGGGTAATAGGGATATCCATCTCCTCAAAGAGTTATCATTTCTTTGTGTTGGGAGTATTCCAGATCTTCTCTTCTAGCTTTATGAAATACACAATAAATTAATTACTATTAACTATAGTCACCCTATTGTTTTATTGAACACTAAAACTTATTCCTTCAAAACTATGTAGCCATAAAAAAGAATGAGTTCATATCCTTTGCAGGGACATGGATGAAGCTGGAAGCCATCATTCCCAGCAAACTAACAGAGGAATAGAAAACCAAACACTGCATGTTCTCACTCATAAGTAGGGGTTGAGCAATGAGAACACATGGACACAGGGAGGGGAACGTCACATACTGGGGCCTGTCAGGGGGTGATGGGCAAGCGGAGGGAGAGCATTAGGACAAATACCTAACGCATGTGGGGCTTAAAACCTAGATGACGGGTTGATAGGTGCAGCAAACCACAATGGCTCATGTATACCTATGTAAGAAACCTGCATGTTCTGCACATGTATCTCAGAACTTAAAGTGTAATAGTAAAAAAAAATTTTTTAAGATATTCACAAAAGATGATTACACATTATTTTAAAAACATTTTTTAAATCAATATTTATCTGAGACTGAATACACTGAAACTATTTTTATCTTATGTTATCAATCTCTGAGTAAGCATTAAGAATACGCTAAAATTATATTAAATTACTCTTGGCTATCTCTTTTATGCCAGAATAAATCTAGTTCTTTTCCAGGCTTTGATGATTTTTAGGTGTCAAGCAACCTGCAGTTACTTGACTGAACATATTTTTTGTTAAGAAACTGATATGGTTTAGATGTTTGTCTCCTTCAAATCTCATGTTGAAATTTAATTCCCAATATTGGAAGTGGGGCCTGGTGGGAGATGATTGGATCAGGGGGTGGATCCCTTGCTAATGAGATAGCACCATCCCCTTGGTGATAAGTGATTTCTTGCTCAGTTCATGCAAGATCTGGTTGTTTAAGAGTCTGGGAACTCCCTCCTTGCTGTCTTGCTCCCACTCTCTCCGTGTGATGCTCCTGCTCCTGCTTCACCTTCTGCCATGACTGTAAGCTTCCTGAGGCCCTCGCCAGAAGCCAGGCAGATGTTAGTGCCATGCTAGTAGAGCCTGCAGAACTGTGAGCCAATTAAGCTAATTAAACCTTTTTTCTTTATAAATTATAAAGAAACTTATTCCTTCTATCTAATCATGCTTTTATACTCATTGACTAGCTTCTCCTCATCCATGCTCTTCCTTCTCTTCATCCAGCTTTTCCCCTCTACCCTCCCCAGACTCGGTAACCACTACTCAACTCTCTATCTCCATGAGATCCACTTTCGTAGTTACCATGTGATATTTGTGAGAACATGTGATATTTGTCTTTTTGTGCTTACCTTTTTTCACTTAACATAATGACCTCCAGTTCCATCCATGTTGATGCAAATGACAGGATTTCATTCTTCTTATAATTGAATAGTATTCCATTTTGTATACCACATTTTCTTTATCCATGATGGACTTTTCAGTTAATTCCATATTTTGGCTATTGTGAAGAGTGCTGCAGTAAATATAAATGCTGGCAAGGATGCATAGAAGATTGAACTCTGGTACACTGTTGGCAAGAAGGTAAATTAGTAGAGCCATTATGGAAATCTGTATGGAAATTTCTTGAAAAAACTAAAACTAGAAATACCACATGATCCAGGAATCCCATTGTTGGATATAGAGCCAAACAAAAAGAAATTTGTATACTGAAGAGATCTCAGCATTCTGAATTTATTAAACATCTTCATATCCAGTATTGTATGAAATAATACTGAAAATTTTTTTGAAGTAATCATAAGGCCAGGCATGGTAACTCATACCTGTAATCTCAGTGCTTTGGGAGGCTGCGGTAGAAGGATTGCTTGAGGCCAGGAGTTCAAGACAAGCCTGGGCAACATGGTGAGACCCCACCTCTACAAAAAAAAAGTATATATATATATATATATATATATATATATATATATATATAAATTAGCCAGGCATGGTGGTACACACCTGTAGTCCTAACTACTTGAGAATCTAAGGCAGTAGGATCAGTTGAGCCCAGGAATTTAAAGCTGCAGTGAACTATGATCATACCACTGCACTCCAATAATAATAGCAATAAAAGTAAACATAAAGCAGTAGAAAAGATTATTCTGATCACAAGTGCTTCTCATTAGAATTTGGAAACAGAAGACCCGGACTTATTATTTATGTGACTTGTTCTGTGATTTTGGTTAACGATGTGACCAATTAGAGTTTTGTTTTCCTCATCTTCGAAATGGGAATGATAAATACACATCTTTCTAGATTGTTGATGATCATTAATTGAGAAAGCATCTGTAAAAATATATCATGAATATATCAGTAACTGGTGTGATTTTGTTAATAAGCATAGAGGGGCTGGTAAAAATATTGATAGGATAATAATTCAGTAGGGTATGGAAAAGCTAATTAAACCTTTTTTCTTTATAAATTATAAAGAAACTTATTCCTTCTATCTAATCACGGCTGAAAAGCTGTGCTGTTACTTAATGATATTTGAAGCACTAGTCAGGCAGCAGTAGAACAATGATCAGGATAAAGAATATTTGGGAAACCATATTCATTTTCCTATAAGAAGTTATAGTTAGGAATTTTGCCCAAGAAGAGAGACAGAGAGGTGTCATATCATCAGACTATGTTCCAGAGTTTCATATTCCTAATCCACACTTCGAAGTCATCACCTGTTTAACAAACCACTCAGAAATCTGAAACAGGCCAGTCCCTATTTAATAAATGGTATTGAGAAAACAGGCTAGCCATATGCAGAAAACTGAAACTGGACCCCTTCCTTACACCTTATACAAAAATTAACTCAAGATGGATTAAAGACTTAAATGTAAGACCTAAAACCATAAAAATCCTAGAAGAAAACCTTGGCAATACCATTCAGGACATAGGTATGGGCAAAGACTTCATGTCTAAAACACCAAAAGCAATGGCAACAAAAGCCAAAATTGACAAATGGGATCTAATTAAACTAAAGAGCTTCTGCACAGCAAAAGAAACTACCATCAGTGTGAACAGACAACCTACAGAATGGGAAAAAATTTCTGCAATCTACTCATCTGAGAAAGGGCTAATATCCAGAATCTACAAAGAACTTAAACAAAATTTAGAAGAAAAAAGCAAACAACCCCAATCAATAAGTGGACAAAGGATAGGAACACACACTTCTCAAAAGAAGACATTTATGCAGCCAACAAACATGAAAAACAGCTCATCATCACTGATCATTAGAAAAATGCAGATCAAAACCACAATGAGATACCATCTCACACCATTTAGAATGGCAATCATTAAAAAGTCAGGAAACCTCAGATGCTGGAGAGGATGTGGGAAATAGGAACGCTTTTACACTCTTGGTGGGAGTGTAATTTAGTTCAGCCATTGTGAAAAACAGTATGGCAATTCCTCAAGGATCTAGAACTAGAAATACCATTTGACCCACCAATCTCATTACTGGGTATATACCCACAGGATTATAAATCATTCTACTCTAAAGAAACATGCACATGTATGTTTATTGTGGCACTGTTCACAATAGCAAAAACTTGAAACCAACCCAAATGCCCATCAATGATAGACTGGATAAAGAAAATGTGGCACATATACACCATGGAATACTATGCGGCCGTAAAAAAGGATGAGTTCATGTCCTTTGCAGGGACATGGATGAAGCTGGAAACCATCATTCTCAGCAAACTAACGCAAGAACAGAAAACCAAACAACACATGTTCTCACTCATAAGTGGGAGTTGAACAATGAGAACACATGGACACAGGAAGGGGAACATCACACACTGGGGCATGTCAGGGAGTGGGGGGCGGGAGGAGGGACAACATCAAGAGAAATACCTAATGTAGATGACAGGTTGATGGGGGCAGCAAACCACCATGGCACATGTATACATATGTAACAAACCTACACATTCTGCACATGTACCCCAGAACTTAAAGGATAATAAATAATAATAATTAAATACTAAGTAACTGTTCTGTAACAAGAAACAAGTTTTTCTTTTTTAACTCAAATAGCCTTAAGTGTTTGAGTATGGCTCAAGGAGATTAACATAGGAATATAATTCAGGTAGAGAAATGATGACTTCAGTGGTTTATCACCCTTTCAGTTCCTTCTGGATCCAATTATTTGACCTCAGGATCCCCCTGTTGAATAGGTGCTAATTGCAAATTCACAGCACATGTACTTGGGTTTCATTTGTTTGTTAGCTGCATAGCATGCCTCCTTTCTCTGCAAACAGCACTTTTTATTTCCTTTGATAGAATTGGCTCTTTAACTTCATGTGGTCTTGACAGACCATAAATAAAGTTATTATTTCTTTCTTGAGGAGAAGGCTGAGGGTATCATGATTCAAGACTGGCCAGTAAGACACTGAGTTCAAAGACAAAGGAAGTGAAAAGATGGTTAGAGCTGACTCATCCTGTAGCATTATCTGATAAAACTGTGATGAACTCTTCCAACCTGGATTTCCCAAGAGCTCCCCTGTTTCCAGACCCTAGTGACTGTGATTCTGAAAATGTTCCTTTAGTTTTCTGAGCCAACTTATACACTTCCACTAAATCACTTCTTTGCTTAAGTTAGGCAGAATGGGTTTCTGTTGTTTACAACCAAAAGCAAGCAAAGTATACAATGAAAGCCTAACCTGTAGTGCTGAGAGGGCATTATCGCAGCCAATTATAAGGCTTGCAAGAACAAGTAGTGTTCAGATTTATTTTTCTATTGTTCCATTAACATAGGAAAACATCTATAAATAAAGCTATTCATTCTTGCAAGACACAAACCCTAGCTGTTTCATAGGTCACTATTACATATAAAAGAGAACCCTTCAGACACAAACAGAAATTTTGATATAATACAATTTATCAATTTTTTTATTTGGTTGCCTCTGCTTTTGATGTCGTATCAAAAAGAAATCATTGCCAAATCCAATTCACTAGGCTTTTCCTTGTTTTATTCCAAGAGTGTTGTTGTTTTAGGTTTTACGTTTAAGATCCATTTTTAGTTAATGTCTATATGGTGTAAGGTCACAAATATAAATTTAAGATCTAATGAAAAGCATGGCAACTATCATTAATAACACTGTATTGTATCCTTGAAATTAGCCCTCATACTACATCTTAAATGATCTCACCACACCAAAAAAGTAACTATGTGAGATGATGAATGTGCTAATTAGCTTGATTAATATCTAATTAATAGATCAATTCTCTTAATAGATCAATCTCTTAATTAGATATTAATCAGGGAGCTTAATATCTAATATGGAAGATAGAGATAATACAAGTGACTCATTAAATATTTTTAAAGAAATAATTGAGAATGGTAGCTAATTTGATATTTGGGAGCAAATAAATACTTGGCCAGAAAATCTTGGACCCATATCTCATAGAATCCTTCTCATGAGTTCAGTCCACATTCTACCAGTTCATTTATAACATATTACAGATACGAAGTCAAAGTATTTGGAATTTTGATTAGATGGGACACCAGATGGTATAAGAACAGGCAAGAGGAACACCACACCGTCCCCTGTGGTATCCAATGGCAATTCAATTCAATGGTATCTCATTTTTATCTTTCTCTCCCTCTCATTGAAAGATGACTGGACTGTCCATTAAAATCCAATAAAACAAATATAGAAGGAAGTCCCTTCCTTTGTTAACTACAGACTGAGCCACTGAATTTACTTGTGTGCATGACTAATAAATTGCTGACTTCCCTAACCTTTGCAGCCATGACTTTATCCAAACACCTTTCAGTTGCCATCTCAGACATTATAAGAAGCTATCTTGATACTGTTTTTATTTTTTATTGTTTTTATTTCAGTAGCTTTAGGTCTATAAGTGGTTTTTGGTTACATATATGAATTGTATAGTGGTGAAGTCTAGGATTTTAGGGCACCCATCAGCCGAGTAGTGTACATTGTACCCAATAGGTAGTTTTTCACTCCTCACCTGCCTCCCACCTTCCTCCCTTCTGAGTTTCCAATGTCCATTATACCATTCTGTACACCTTTGCATATCCACAGCTTACAGCAGATGTAAATTTACAATGTAACTGAATATGGTTTCATGAAGATTTTTGCCTGAGATAGAGAGTAAAAATTCATTTTTATACATTGTTTAAATATTTTTAAATTGATATTTTTTGTTAGTCTTGTTGTTCTTATTCCTTGTTTCTTTTTATTGAGGTGAGCATTTCATTTTTGTTTTGTTCTGTTTTTGTTTTGTTTGTTTATTTGTTTGTTTTTACTGGGAGTGTAGATTTTTTCTCAGAAGTCTGAAAGTCCAACTCTAGGAGGTAACGTCCTTCACCATTTACCATATAAGAAACGATAAGTAAACTGTCAATTGAGAAAGGACAGCAAATTAAAACTGAGCCCGATGATTCATTCTTATCAGAAAATGGGCTACACTTTAAGCCTAACTGCTCTGCAACTCACCTGAAAAAGGGAAGGTAAAATGTCTGTGATGAAAGGTTTCTTAGAGACAACAAAGAGATATCTAAAGTGGATCGACAGGACAAACATACCTATATCTCGTGTTTTCTGACACGAACGGACACTTTAGCAGTACAACAGCTTGTATTCACAAGATGTCAGGCTATTGAAAGCTTTCTTCAGACTTTTTGAAATATCTTTCTAATGAGAAATTAAAGCTAAAAGAATGATAGTATCAGAGAGATTTTTTTCCCTGTACTTTCTTTAGTTTGGGGAACAAAATCCCTGAATACTCTTTTGTGACTGGACTTATTGACCATTTCTGGAGGGTTGGAGGAATTTCTTTATGTGGCCATTTAGAAGACTCAATTCAGGTGGGAAAGCTTGGGACCTGTCAGCTAATCCATCCTCCCTTGAGGAGAGTTCAAAAGGAAGAAGAGAGTGAATACCTATATACATCATGTAGGAAGTGCTATTCACCTGGAGACAGAGGTTACTTTACTTAATATCCTATTTTCATTTACTGAGCAACTGCACTTCACTAGGCATGTGACCAAGCATGGACCCAACTGAGATTTCTGCTCCTGAATCGAAAGAAAGAAAAAAAGAAAGAAAGAAAGAAAGAAAGAAAGAAAGAAAGAAAGAAAGAAAGAAAGAAAGAAAGAAAGAAAGAAAGGAAGGAAGGAAGGAAGGAAGGAAGGAAGGAAGGAAGAAAGAAAGAAAGAAAGAAAGAGAGAGTAAGCAAAGGCAGGGAAAGATGAAAACATGTGAATCCAGTCTATCTAATCATGCAGGAATCTTAGGTAAGCCATAGAGAGCCAAGCTTTTGTCTGCTTCCTGAAGAAGCAAGAGGCAAAAATGAACAAAGGTAGAAACACAGCAACTCAAAATTTAAATTACTTTTCTTCCAAGTAAATAAACTGGCTACCAGAGAGCAGCCTGATTTGTGGAAATCTAACACATTAAAACTCAAATGTATGTATGCTCTCAGAATACATTTAAGATTTCTGAGGTTTCTTGTCTTTGAATCAATGGTATGACCTAGTGCCTGGGGCCCACTTTGCAGCCAGCAGAGATCCTGACTAGCTCATTAATCATTGTGTCAAACCTGGCACCGTGCCTGAAACACAGTAGCCTCTCAATAAATAGGTGATGAATGAAGAAATGACAGACAGAAAATAAAATAAACCCAAAGTTATTATCACCATATGCTCTGGGTCACTTATTTCAATTTAATTAAAATTCTGGTTGCTTCTTCCTGTTTTGACTTTCCATGTTATCTAATTTGATAGACTGGAAGTTCAAATGGTGGAAAAGAAAAGAGAATTTACTTTGCATTGTTTTTAGATCAAGGCTGAATGCAGACATTATGAATGTGGTATTGTTGTCCTTCTCACTGCTAGCCTTCAGTGGGACTTGGGGGTTTTTATTAATCCTCCATCTATATTGTTTCCTCTCTCTGCCCCAAGGATGTAGACATGCCCATGTTTCTAGGAAGAAGAGCCCTGAATAAGAGCACAGCAATCAGCCTCTATTGGGCAAACACCTCCATGGGCCAAAGCGATAGCAGTATACAAGGAATGTCCTGGCCATCATGCCTTCTTGTTTCTGCCCTGTGGGGACTCTCCACTCTTATAAACCCTAAGGGAATAAGAAAACTGCCAGAGACTGCTTCCTCCTTTCTTATCACATGCCCCCTACCCTCCTCTCCCTTACTCCACTTTTTCATGCCGTTTTTCCTTTCTTCTACTTTCTCCCTCATGGCCAAAGTGACTGCATCTTTCTTCCTGTTCCCAGACACTCTCCTCTTCCCAGAAAGCTAGGAAGCACAAGCCGGTGCAGCTCCTTCTCTAGAGTTCCACGGATTACACTGCCTAAATTGTTCAGCCCATTCAGATCTAAGCATGGGTGAATTAGGCAGCTATCTTCAAGATGCAATTTAGATTCCCTTAAACCTCTCCTTCATAAAAATCACTATTCAGCACTCAGCAGGCTGCCATGACAGCAGGCTTTCCTCCTATCCTAACTGGCTCACTGAGGTAAAAATGTAATAATAGAAGATCATTATTAAAAGTCCATGCTCTCTGTGATGGAAGAATGCATTGCTTATCAAGGTTGCAGTGATTATTGAACAAGGATGGATGGATGGATAGATAGAAGAGAGAGAGAGAGAGAGAAAGAGAGAATGCAAAAGAGCAGCCCTTGACCTTTGGAAGCTGGCCTGCACTTGTAGTCACATCAAGTTATTCTCCTCTTGGGCATAAAAAAATACTCAGAATACCAACATCAGACAAGGTTACTATGAGGCCATGATAAAGTAAGACAAAGCAAAGCCACTTCATAATTTTGTCTAAGAACAGACAAAACCAAGGCCACTGAGCAGCCAGAAAATACCAAACACCCCTCTCTCTTGACTGAAGTGAGTGATTGCTACCTGTTTACAGCTTTAACCTAGCTCTAATCTCCCTTCCCATAGATAAGATTTAATCAGATATTTAGTCATACAGTTGCTCCTGCTTTTTTCAGCATTCAAAATATATTCCTACTTCCTTAGACCTTTCTCCAAATTCCTCAGTTAAACCCAATATCTTTATTGTCTTCTTTCTAACACAGTTACTGAAACACTCTCACAGTTCCCTATAACGTATGTTCTCCCTCAAAGCAACTAGTAATAAACTCAACTTGCTCAACTTCTGGTGTTCCCGTGGTCTTTGGCTGAAGGGTATTGGTGATTGATAGATAGATACATACTTATATACATACATGCATAGAATAGTGCCTGACATACAGTGTTTGAAAAGTCTTTCCTATCATTATTATTATATATAGCTTGAGAGTATTAAGTAGAGGACAGGGAAATCATGTGAAACATAAGAACCGAAAAGGAGATTCAGAAGGTCAGGCCTATCAATCAAACAATGAGATTCAGTCATGTGTTAATAACAGGAAGTCAGTCCCTAGACAGTGAGACAACTGGGTTAAGTGCCAAAGAACTCACATGGGTTTGTGATCAGTAAATAAGGTAACATATTAAAGCACCAACACAATGCCTGGCTCATAGAAGATATGCAAAAATTTACCTATTTTTTTCATCATCTTCATCAAATTTTCAGGAAGCCCTTGGGAATAAGAGGACGTTTACTCTCTGTTTATACAACATGAGTCCATAAAGCACAAGAATATTCCTTCTACCCTGAAATAGCACATAACAAAGTACTCTGAGGTTCTACTTTCAGAAAGCTTTTGACATTCTTGTCTATAACTGGAAAGCACAAATATGTTTTTGCTCAGCAATCATACACTGTAATTTGGCATTCTGTGGTATGGCCCCATGACAGTCATTTGCAGTGTAAATTCGAGTCACATCCCAGCAATTTTGCTATCACTCTTACTGTAAAGTCACCTTGCAGGTTTTCTCTATGAGGCTGTATTTTTCAAATTTATTGCTAAGCTGATTTGTTTTCCATTTGCTTATTGATGAATTTTGCTTTAACCAGAGTATTTGTTCAGTGGTTAGTAATAAGACCAGGAAATCTTTACAAGGCAAACCTTATGAGCCAGCAAGGATAACAGATAAAACTGATGGGGATCCAGCTCTCATTGTTCATTCTGCAGCTTCTATTCCAGGCACTTATCAATTTATTCCACTGATAAGAATGGCTAGCTAAAAACAAAGTCATGGAGAGTGAAAAACCATACATCTGTGTCCATTATTTATTCATGCACAAGTCACATGAATGAAAAATGTTAACTATTAACACCAGGAGAGCAATCTTTTATGATAATTGTGCCATTGCTTTCTTTACCATTCACCCTCACAGAGCGCTACATGCAACAAACAAAATGGGAGTTTGGTAACAAGTTATTAGTGGCTTCTCCTCCAAAGCATAAGTTTAGGGACCAGAGCAAATATTTTCTGACTTCTCAGGCCTATATAGTTGGAAGGAAATATACACACAGTATAATTCAGTTCAAACTAGTCTACATATACAAATGTGTTCTGTATACAAAGTTGCATGAATATGTTTCCATGGTTTATATTCTAGGTTTTAAAGGTTGTATACCATTCTAAAGTGATACAATATTAAGAAAATATATAAAATAGAAAAAAATATTAAAATGCTTATTGTTTTACATCTCACCAAAATATACTCACTGTTAATATTTTAGTGTATTTTAAGTGCTTTTTTTAATGTCTGAGGTTTGGTTCACACACACATTTATATATACAGTTGAGTCTTGAACAATGTGAAGGTTAGGGGCACCAACTCAGTGCAGAGATGAAATCCATGTATAATTTTTTACTTTAAAAAACTTAACCACTAATAGCCTAGTGTTGACTGGAAGCCTTACTGATAACATAAACAGTCAATTTACATATATTATGCATGTCATGTGTATTATATACTGTATTCTTATAGTAAAGTAAGCTAGAGAAAAGAAAATGTTAAGAAAATCATAAGAGAAAATATATTTACTATTCATTAAGTGGAAGTGGATAATCATAAACGCCTTCATCCTTATCATCTTCACACTGAATAAGCTGACGAAGAAGAGGAAGTGGAGAGGTTAATCTTCCTGTCTCAGGGTTGTCAGAGGCAGAAGGAAATCCACGTACAAGTGGACCTGTGCAGTTCAAATCCATGCTGTTCAAGAGTCAATTGTATATGCATACATGCATGAGTGTATCTGTATGTGCGTGGTTGTATTCACACTGTACATACAATTTTAGAAAGAAAATTTCTCTATCTGCATTTTCTGGTCATATCTTCCTGATGGCTTGGTCATATCTTTCCAGTGTTTAACTGGAAACTTGAAGAATGCACTTGTTCTACCCATATTTTTAAGAAATTTCACTCCCTCTTCATACATTTATTCTTCTTACTGTATATATAATGCAGTAGACTTTTATTATGTCTTTAATATTACATATGTCTCCCAAACCCACGCAGTATTATTTTTTAAGTAGGTAACATCCTCATATTAGTTATAGATTCTGTTTCTGAAAAGGCATGATTCAACAACCTTGAAGGAAAAATCATTCACGTTATTGCCTCCACAGTAGTGGCAACTTCAGTTCTAAGATTTTGCATTTCTGTGTGTGCCATTGTTTAAAGGATTAGAGTGTTGACTAAATCTCTGGGTAGGTAGACACTCATAAGATTCACAGAGCTCCTGTGAGGGGCACTTGGAGAATCACTTGTATCAATCAGGTATAGATTGCAGTGGGAGATAAACAGGCAAAGAGTGGAGGGGAGCACAAGGAGAAAGGTAGAACTGAAGGAAAAATTCTTAGAAAGAAATCCAACAACCCAGAGGAGTACAGCTCGTTACGCAGATTCCCATGACTGGAAAGGATTAGAAAAGTTTCTGTATAATGAGGGGGCAATTAGAATGAGTTTAAAACAGCCTTGTTATTTATGATTGAGCAAGGTCAACGTTATTAAGTCTCTTCCATTATTTATAAGTTTGTATGTAATTACTGTAAATTTCTAAGTGTTTTGTATGTTATAATAGAATTCATGGTAATGTTATTTTGGGTCCTCATGATGAGTGCATCTGTTTCCCCCCCAAATTTCAGTCACTGAACCAAAAATACATGCAGCATGCTCTGATATTAATCAAGAGAAAGAGCAAAATAATTTTCGGCATACTGAAATTTTTTTAAAAAGCATAGGATAATGAAAAGCATAGTCACTTTTATTCTCTATCCTTTGCTTATGGAAAACAAGCTTACATCACACTGTTGCCTGGGGTCTTTTTTGAAATGTCTCTTTTGGTGGCCACTTATAATTAAACACACAGCTCCTATGATTAATGTCAATGTTTGTGGTTAAATGGGCTATAGCCCTGAAATGTAGGAATGAACAATGAGTGAATGCTGTCTTCTAAATTTGCATGACTAACATTTCCACATTGATGGGGGAGATCACTTATAGCATCTGTTTCAGACACATGAAAATTCAATTAAAATATCAGCTATCAGAATTCCATGGAGCAAATATCAACATAGGAAACCATGACCTAATTATATTATGAATTTTAAACCAGAGATAAAAGTTACATTCCAAGTCAGTCACACTGACTAATGTCTAAGATTTAGTGTTGACTAAATCTCTGGGTAGGTAGACACTCATAAGACTCACAGAGCTCCTGTGAGGGGCACTTGGAGAATCACTTGTATCAATCAGGTACAGATTGCATTAGCTTTCTAATGTCTTAGAAAGCTAACAAATATTTTAAAAATAAGATATTCCCTGGAAATATAGGCAATTTTTACTCATTTTTATCAAATTCATCTAAAATACAATTTAATACTAACTCAAAAATAAAAGTTTTAGTAAAGAGGATCCAAAATTCAGGTAAGAGATGGGTAAAAGGTTTTATAATTCTGCCCTAGGAGATAAGATGGAAGTCGAATAAAAAGTTGCACAGCCTTGGAACTATATTCCCACCTGATCACTGACTACGAAGGAGAAGAGATGAGATGTTCTATGTGAGTGTGAGGGACACAGTCAGGTCAGAAAATCATTCAGTTCTGCCGTGAGGAAATCTACTCTGAAAGAGCTAAAGCTAGGTGACCCGTAGGAAGGGCTGGTAGCTCAGAGATACACCACTGTTTCTGCTCTCTGGAGCTTTTCTCATTGGAGCTAAGCTAAGAGTGTCAAAAAGAGGTCATTCAGCACTCTTCCTAATTGAAGTATAAATGTAGCAGTGTTTACAGAGGCATGGAGCAATACCGAGAGGTGGAAGCTTTATAGAAAAATAGAGTAACAGATGCCAGCTGCCACTGTGGCCAAGGGTATGCCACCCTTACAGAATATGCCGAGTAGGGCCTTACCTCTCAAGTCTCAGGCATGGTGTACTCTCCTCTTACTGACCCACAGTGCTTATGAATTGTATCTCCTTTACTGATTGATACAAAAAAAATCTATCTCTTGCTAAGCAAATGACTAATAGAAGAGGAAAAAAGACAAAATTTTATGGCCTAACAATTCAAGTCTCAACCAGATGAGTCTTGCTGTATTAATCTAACAATAAGACCATGAGCGTCACTGCTGCACACATTTATCCTTCACCCCCAGTAGTCCAGACACACTGGATATTTTACATTGCTCAACCACATATACTCATCTGCACCTGCAAGAATGTATTCATGCTGGCTGCTGGTCCTATTGCCAGGTGTGTCCCTGGAAAGTCTCTTTGTCCGCCTGGAAAACTCCTAGACTTGCTTTAAGATCTAGCTCAAATGTCTAAAAGCAGATTAGTAACTCCTCTATTGTCCCATAGTATTTTCACACACAAACTCTATCACAGCCCTTAGCATACTATATTCTGACCTATTTATGTATCCATGTGCTCTTTCAATAATGAATTCCATGACAAAAGAGACCTTGATAAGAAGACCAATCAATTCATACCATAAGGTCTTCAATAGAGGTATCTTTAACTTGTCTTGCCTTTAATTAGATTATGAGTGGCCTGGGGGATAGAAAAGGACTTAATATTTCTATTTCCTTGCACACATCCTTTTCTTGAGAATGAGTAAACCAAGCTCCCATTCCAGCATGGAAGGGGAGTGAGTAACAAGACAGCCCATTAAACAGACTGGACACACATGATGGAGAGACCATAATAGTACTCATAGGGACATTCATGGGTTCAGTTTACTTCTAGGGACCCTGAGCAGTGGAAATGAGGACTGCAGACTAATTTCAGACCATTCAATCTGGACAGCTAATTAGAATTTTAATAGGTAGGGACTAGTACCTTCAACAATATCTTAAGGATAAAATCCCAGTCCTGGGTCAGGTAGAATCTTTCAACTTCATATGCACACAGGATCTGATAGCAAAAATATGTCCCGCTTTCAGAACTGCTACAAAAGCTAATGAAAACTCACAGTATTTTTTCATTCTGTAACAGTTTATATTGTCTTCTCTAGGCCAAATAAGCAAAGAGAAACCTTTACTTTATTGTATAAAACATTAAAAGGAAGTGAACTGACACAGAATAAAGCAGTTAGTTACTAGATTTCGATGGAAATAGACTAGGGAAAGTGAGAGGTCTGTAATCTTCATAACAACACTCGGTATTTTTCTTCTGCAGATATGCCCATGGAATATCCCATTTAAAATAAAATTCCTGTAACCAGCAAGCTTGTAGGTGGGTTGCAGTGTTCTTAGCAATCCATATACTCCATATGCTTTCCCACTGCTGCCATCTACATTGTTTTTTTGTTACCAGAAGTTTTTTTAATTGAAGGAAAGTGACTCTGCTTCCAAGGAACTTGTAATATGTGAAAATCCAGAAAAGGATCATTCAAAACTGGGTCAAAAATTCTCATAAAGATGTGGAATATGGATTATAGAATGTTATCTATGCTCACAGTCTAGAATTATTTTCCTCCCAGTCTCTGTTAAACCCACTCCACTCAGGATCTTGCTCCTTCCTCTCCTATTCTTCTCTAAGGCACCAATGACCACCACATTGCTAAAGCTGAGGGTCAATTTCAGTCCTATCTTGTGGGTCTACCAACAGTATTTAGCACAGCTGATCCACTTTCTTTACTTCACTTCCTGGACACCACTTTCTCCTAGTGCTCCTTCTCCCTCACCAGTCTTTCATTTGTCTGTGCTGGCTCCTCCTCTTCTCCAGCCTTTAACATTAAGGTGCTCTAAGCCTCAATCCTTGCTCCTCTTTCCTTCTGCATTCACATTCACTTATTTGGTGATCTTACCTAGTCTCAGAGCTTTAAGTACCATTTATGTGCCAATAAGTTTCACAACCATACGTCCTACATTGATTTCTCTCCCCAAAGTACAGACTTATCTACATCCTACCCATTCAACATCTCCTCTGGCATGTGTCTAATAAAAATGTCAAACAACTTAACATGCCTGCAGCTGAATTCTGATATTCTCCCCAAAACCTATTTCATCTTCAATCTTCTTTCTCCCTGTCGATAGCAATACCATCTGTCCAGTTTCTCAGGCCAGAACTTACAGGCATCCTCAACTGATTTATTTCTCTGACTACCACATTCAATTATTCAGCCAATCCTTTTGGCTCTAGAATCAAAATATTAATCCAGAGAACCAACCATTACAGAAACATATATGGGAAGAAAACATAGTTTACTAAAATATAATTTAAGCATCACCTCATGTCCTGCCTCACATAGATTTCCATACCATCGGGTGAATCCGTTAAATAATTTGCATTTGCCATCTGAAACAATTTTCTACAAGTTTCTTCTCTGAACATACTAAACAAAGAAAATTAAGTTTTGAGTTAATGTCTGTATTATTATTTTCAAATATCTTTCTCCACAGATGCTAATGTTTCACAGTTAGTTCATTATTAGAAGGTGATTCCCCCCGCACCCTCCCCCCACCAGAAGGACACAATACTATTCATTTGACAATCCACAGAACCTATTGATACAATTTAAGGTATGTGAGGATAATCAAGGGCATACCATTTTTAGCCTAATATGCCTTCATGGAAATTAGTAACAAAGAAATCATTTATTTGTTTCCATTTCTTAATACTTACATATTACTCTTTTCTCTCTTTCTTTCTCTTGAGTAATACAGTGCATATTTATGCTCAAAAATAAACACATATCCCTGTTTTTTCTGTACATATAAAACACATTTTCCATCAGATAGAGATGCAAAATTGGAAACAGTGCACAGTAATAAACTCAACTCCATGTTCTGTAAAAAAAAGTGAAACAACATAAATAATTTTCTGTTGTTTATTGCATTTATTAATCCATTTAACAAACATTTATTGAACATGTTTAATGTACCAGGCACTTTGCTAGAGACTGGTAACTCAGCAGGAGTAAAGGTAAATAAAGTTTTCATCCTTCAATATAACTCACTGTCTAGGGACAGTTACAGACAAAGACATAGTCACTACACTACATGTAAAGCCTTCTGAGATGGGTGAGAAACACGGTTTCATAAGAACATTAAGGGGGGAGACCTAGCACCAAATTCAGGATGTCAGTGAAGACTTCTTAGAGGAAGTAACTTGCAAGTTACAATCTGAAGGATGACTAGGAAGAACCAGCTTGTCAGAGAGGGGAGACCAGTGTTTTAAGCAGAAAGAATATCTGGTACAAGGATCTCAACGTAAAAAAACACCTTCTTACAAAAACACCAGAAGTCAAAATATTCAAAAAGGAAAGGAGGAGTGAGAAAATGAAGCTGAAGGAATAAACTAGAGCCAGGTCTAAGCCATGGCAAAGAATCTGTGCTTTATAGTAAAGGCAATAGAGAAACTTTAGGCATGAAAGTGAACAACCAAATTGTGTTTCAGAAAAATCACTTTCATTGCATTGTGAAGACACTAACAAAGGGGAAAGAGCAGAAGCAGGAAAACAGATAACAGTTGACATAATCTTGGAGAGAAATGATGGTCTGAACTAAGAGAATGAGACTAGGAAGAGAGAAAACAGATAAGAAAGAATCTGTAAGTCTGGATCATTGCCAAATAGAATTTTGGCAGCAAGAGAGATTTTAAATTCTAACAACACATTCGCTCAACAGTACTTGTTGAGTATCTATTATCAAAGTATGCAAACCATCATCTGGAAACTAAGACCCAAAAAAGTTAATTAAATTAATTAAGGTCACATAGATAATTACTGGCATATCTGAATCTAATATAGGTCTTCCAGTCCAGTGATTACAGCTCAGTATTTTATATGGAAGAATACTCCAGTTATCTCAATAAAATGAATTCCTATCCATTCATCTAAAATGCTACAATAGTAAAACGTTATGAACTACAGTGTTTAAAGTGAGCTTAATTCCAATCCCTACAATTCACATTTTAGAAATGTAATGTGGCTGAGTACCTTCCTCCCAAATAGTTTAAGTCCCTTTGAATTAGTCGGTACATACATAGAATTCATGCAGTTGCATCACCAACCAAGAATAGCCTAATACTGTCTGCCAGAGACTGCCTCCAGCCATGACAGTCAATTGTTGGAGCCATTAGCAGAGAAATTTATCATATACATTAACCTGCTGCCTTGAATGGACGATTACTGAAATAATGACTAGGAGTATCAAAATCATGAATAAAATATGGGAATCAGGATTGCAAGTTATAAAGTTCTCTTATCGAGCCTACAGACTAAATGTGTTCTCAAAGGTGGTGCTCCCACCTTGGGTGACACAGATAAATGATGATGCTGATTACAAAAACGAGTGAAGAGCAGATTAACACCTTTGGCCAAATTCTGTTGGTGTTGTTACCAGTTGGATCCAAATAAAATGTGTTAATTTTTCTGTTTTTTCAGTTTAGCTGTGAAAATTAAGTGTCTTGTAGAGCAGAAGATAAGGAAAAAGTGAAGATAAAGTAGGTATTTTCAACAAAAGAAGTTTGTTGAAGAGAGAATACTTTGGTTAAAATAAGTTTTTCTTAGGACCAAGATGACTTGATAATTTGCTTAAAGAGAGTGAGGCACAGAAAATATGAGGTAATTTGTCGGGCTTATGTGGTAGGTGGAGGAAAATTGGAGTATTGCCCTATAAAAGGGGAGTGGGAGAGAGTGGTGTAGTGTTTAACATACTGAATATATGTTTACACTCCTGGGTTGAATTATCTAGGTAAGACTTGATGAAGCCATAAATTTTTTTGAGTGGTTCAACTGAATCTCTACAAATTCAATGATAATTTAAACACTACAGAGAAGCCAGAAATTTCAAAACTGAACCAACTCTTACTGAAAGGGTTCAAAGTAAGCAGACACTCCCTGACCAGTGGCCTAAGTATTGCACTGAGGTTTCATTCTGAAGATTTGCTTTAAATGACCCCGTCTCCTGAGCAACTCACAGCGTACAACGTGGCACTTTAGTTGGGAATCACATATTTCGTTTGCAGGTAACTGTTAAAGAGAAAGCAAAAATTAACTGATTCCTCACTTATTTTGATAGTGTAATTACTCATCTTTAAACTGGTATGTTTGAATTATGCAGGGGAAATAATTAGGTTCACAAGACAACAATGAAGAATTCTTATATTTCTGTAGGGAACTAAATCCATGCAAGCACTTTAAAAGCACACATTTATAAGAATGATAGAGTGTCACAGTCAACTCAAAGAGAAATGGCCAGTCTCACTCCTAATGGTGGTCCCGAATAACATACAGTAAAAGAATACTTGCTCCTTCTGACATAAGCCTCAAAGGTTACAGATTTAAACACACACAAAAAAGTCCTAGATCATCCTTATAACTCACTAAGAATTTACTTCAGCCCTTTAAGTGTCTTTTTATATTTTCTTCTATAGCTAATCATTCGATATTTTCATTTAATTTTTATAGCAACTCTAAAAAGTAGGATTAATTAGCCTCAGTCTGAGAAGCCAGATAGTTTCTTCTTGGAATTTATCCATTCAACAAGTTTTTGTTCAGTATCTGGTTTGCTGGAGGGGACAAAATGAATAATTGGTGGCACTGGAACTGTTGCGAGGTCTGATTTTTGAAAGCTTGAATAAGACAGACTTTTATTAGAATGACCAGAGTTTACTAACTTTATGAATTGGGCAAATTTCTTGAACTCTTTGAAACTCAGTTTACTCATCTATAAAATGGGGCTATTAATAGTACCCACTACACACATGCTAAGATAATGTATGTAAAGGGTTCTGATGTTGACCTTCAGGCAGAATTCTTTATGTCCTTCCCTTTGCTGCATCTCACGAGGAAGAAGACCGACTAAAGTTGGATCAGGTTTAACATCTTTTTGGCAATAAACCATTGAGTGGAGTCACTTAAAATTTAATAATAATTGTATTTAGTTTGACCTCATTCTCTTCCTTATTTTGTCCATTGTATCTGCGTAGGAAGGATACTCATCATTTGTTTGCTCTTATTTTGATTCCTTCTGTCTTTGTGTGTGTGTGTGTGTGTGTGTGTGTGTGTGTGTGTGTGTGTCTTCCCTCCCCTACCACCACCTCCCCATTCTCCTGGATGCCATGGCAAGGGGAGGGCGAAAGGCTAGGCCAGTCAGCTCTGGGCATTGGTGAAGCCTTCTCTCTTGATCTGTCTCTAGCACCATTTCCTGTACCCAGCTAATTTGGGATGGCCTTTCCTCCAGCTAACAAGAAAGATAATAAGCTCTGGTTTGGGCTTTGGGAAAGTAGGAAGAACTGGTCTTTAATTATTTTGTTTCTGGGTTATTTAATCCTAAATACCCCAGGAAAATAAAACAGCACTCCCTGTGGTCCAGCTTAAATTACTGGACCAAAGTCCCAAGTAAAAAAGAGTTACCATGAGCTGCTTTGACTTTTTATGCATGGACCACCCTCAGGGACTTCACACCAAAGAAGCAAGGCTAGACCAAGGCTGAACTCATGTGTCTGGCCTAAGAAGACCATAATACCCTATCATTATGATTTCAATGTCTGTTGTAATTATTAATAAATTATTTTTCCCATTTCTAATTTCTATAATATAGGAAAACACCAGTTTTGAATATCTACCTATTTTATTACTTTTGTGACTATTCCACTTATAGGATCAATGTTGTAAAAAAATTATTTTACATTCCTCTTTCTGATGATCAAATAATTTCTAATCTAGACCATATCAAAAAACTACTTTTGAATGAGTGATATTATATCATTGAAAATAATATCATATTTTATAATACATATTTAGACTGTTTATTAATTTACATTGACTTTTTCCTCTAGTTAATCCCAAATAGTGTTGTTTTGGTTTGTGTACTTGTCTTTGATCTGTAATTATTTTAATCTCAGACTCAGTTTTTAACTCCTAAAATAAGAATAATAAAATAATGATTATTTGCTGGCACTTGGAATTTTTGAAATTAAAAATGCTGTTCAAATAAGATGCCTTACAGTTAGCATTTAATGTGACTGAATGAAGCATGAAAAAATACTCGCATACTTAGATCATGAGTAAACACAATAATGCAGACATTTCAGTTAAAATTACCTTCTCATTAAAGAAACTCTGCTGACATAAGCTCCGTTGCAACTGTGGCAAACTTGATTTTATAATCAAGTATTAACCTTATGGGTTTTCCCAGCAAGCTGCAAGATGTCATAGTATCACTTTTAGCTGCATAATCAAATGGCTATAACCCAAGACAGCCAAGCAGTTTTAAATGGCATTCTTAATACAAAGTCTTTCTAAATTATAATTTTTTTTAAGATAACAGCTCTGGAAATAAAGGAGACTTAGGAGTTAAGATCTAATCTGACAGTAAAGAGTTTCAAATGTCATTATAAAGTCATTGAGGTGTTTGACATACAGCAGTAATATGCTATTGAGATATCCTTTAATTTAACAAGCATTTTATTAAGTGCCTACAACATGGCAGCCCAGAACTCAGTTAAACTTGACAGATAAAAGAACACATTGGCCACGACCTCAGCCCTCAAGAATTCCTAGTCTGGTGGACAAAGCCCCTTATGATACATTGGGACAGAGATAAACTCAACCACCCATGGTCTATGCATAAGGCTGGAAAATATCCATGAGGCATGGACCCAGTTCATGAGGATTTTATATGATAATTCACATATTTCCAAACATGCTTTCCTAGGTAGCAAAAGAACTGACGTGAAACTGAGCAAAGGCTTGAGGTGTGGAGAACTCACATTTGTTGAATTCTAAGAGCTTTGTATGCATTATCTTATTTCATTCAGCAGACCTCACAGGGAAGACATTGTTGCCCTCCTTCTATAGAGGAGTAATCGAGGGTCTGTGCCTAAGAGTTGTTCCTCATCACCTGTTAGTCTATGACAGGCCCAGGATATACCTCAGATATATCTGATTTCAGAACATAGTTCCTCCCATTGCACTACACAGCTTCAATTCATACCTCAACAGTGTTTGGGCTTCCAAGAAGAGAAGCTCTGACTCCTGCTTCAGAGACTAGACATCATAGGTTGACCAGATTGGCTACAGAGAAAAGACAGCAAAGTGGTTAGAGTGGCTCAAAAAAATATGGGACCCTGGTACTACTAGGTGTATGTTAGAGGTTAGCTGATGGAAGAAGGACCATGTCTGTTAATTTGTTATCTCTCCTTGCCCAGAGTGTTGCAACACACAAGAGTAACTGATTAGACACAAGGGCAGATCAGTGGCCATTACAGTTACACATTATATTGTTCATTACATGAATCACAGCAGATAACATGGTGGCAAAACACTGCGTCTCAACTCTCAGGTCTGTATACAAGCACTGCTGTCATGTCCGGTTCACTAGTGTAAGCTCAGCACCTAGCAGTGTCTCCACGCAATAGAGTCTCAACACTTGTTGAAAGAATGAATAAGTGAAAGACAGAAATGCGCAAAAAAACGCTATCTGCCTTCATGCAAATTTCAAGCCAGGCCTTTCTTACTCTCATGATCTGAAGCCAGAAGACGGGCCCCAGGAGTAAGCCCTGGATTCTGATGCAGAAGTTCCTATTTACCTCCTTTGGGACACTCACTGTCTTCTGAGTGAATTCAGTATTTCATGTAATTTCCCCATGGCTCAGCTGTAGCACCTGTTCAAAGAGCAGCCTTGATGTGTGCCTCAGAATTTAAATGCCCAGTGGACTCGACTACATTGTGCAAGCTCATCTGGGTTTTATTATGAGGAGGCACAGCTTTCTTTCTACTCATACAGGTCTGCATAGATGAATAAATGATGTAGTGCATTAGTGCAGTGATTCAGAACCTCCATTAGCACATGTCTGTCCATTTTCATCAATTCCTAGGAATCAATCTAATTATCACAGTGAAGAAGAGAAGGATTCCTCAAAGGACCCACCCCACATGAAGGAGAACAGGGAGGGAAAGAAGAGGGCTGTGACAGGCCGGGTTTATATGTGTAAGGAAGGTTACCTGTGTGCATTGGCGGAGTGTGTGTTAATCTCACTGTGGTCAAGAGAAGTCAAAAGATAAAAATAAACCTGTCCAGAAGGTAGTGTGATAAAAAAAGTTCATGGACTTTGATGGCCCACAGACTTGGGTTCAAATTTTATCTCTGACACTTGATTTGTCATACGGCCATGAAAAAGTTACTTTCTTTCTCTGAGTTTAAGTGAACTCATTCATAAAACAAAAACAATTGCAAAGACCTCCGTGGGTTATAACAAAATTTAATTGAGAGAACTACACGGCCGGGCGCGGTGGCTCACGCCTGTAATCCCAGCACTTTTGGAGGCCAAGGCGGGCGGATCACTTGAGGTCAGGAGTTGGAGAGGATCCCGGCCGACATGGTGAAACTCCGTTTCTATAAAAATACAAAAATCTAGTAGGGCATGGTGGCGGGCACCTATAATCCCAGCTACTCCAGAGGCGGGGGCAGGAGTATTGATTGAACCCAGGAGGCGGAAGTTGCAGTGAGCCAAGATCTGAGATCACTCCACTGCACTCCAGCCTGGGCAACAGAGCAAGACTCTGTCAAAAAGAAAAAAAGAGAGAGAGAGAGAGAACTATGCAAACCAAATGGCAAAGTTCTCAGCCCATAGCAGGCACTTCACAAACATTAATGTCTTTCTTTTTTCTACCTTTGATAGGAGGGAAGCATCACTTGCTGGCATGCTCCTTAATTTGGGGGCCCTCTCATTTCCCATTCACTTAGATCCATTTTTGCAATTACCTGGGCATTAAGAACTAAGTTAGCAATCCAAACAATCAGGGAAACTTTTCTGATTAGCTATTACAGACATCACCCATTTTGCCTTTACTGTGTCACAGATACTGACAAAACTCCTACCAGAAAGCAAATGCCATTATCACTCAGGTTGTCAGTGTACCTTTAGGTGAAGTTGGTCATAATAGTAGCAGCTTCCACGTATGGAGCACCCACTAAGGAGGCAGAATTTCATGATAATTCGGAATATGGGTTTTGAAGTCAGAACATTAATAAAATCTCACTCCATCACCTAGTATATGACTGTGGGCAATTCATTTTGTCTCCATTATCACAGGGAGCTAATGATAGTAACTACTCCACAATGTGAATTATTCTGAAGATTGAGATATTTATATAAGACAGCAGTTAGAGTAACATTTGGCTCATGATAAGTGCTCAATATTTGTTAATTTTTATTGTTATATAGCTGATGTTATGAAGACATTATCTAATTTAAGTTAAGGAACTTTCCTGGCCCCCAAACTGTTTAATTTCTTCATTGAATGTGCCTTTCTCTGTAGGGTAATTTCTTCAAATTTGGCTAGAGCAGAGAGATCCCTACAGAGTGGAAAAAGCACTAGACTAGGAGCTATGAGAGAACGTTTAAGCAGTGGTTACTCCACTTATCTGCTGCATAAGCACCAATTCACTTCACCATTCTGCAAATGAGAAGGTCTGACAAGGTGTTTGCTAAGGTCACTCCTGGCTCTGACACACAGGTTCCATGTGACAGACTTGGAGACTAGAAGTGTGTGCATCTCAGGGGATCTTGGTGGGCCTAATTGATAGTGACGACATTACTGGAATCATCACACCACTTCCTTTGCTTTTCCATTCACAAAGATGGCCCTGTCATCCTTGTTCCCATAGGGAACTAAAAATGAGGTTCTCATTATATTTCAGCTTCCTCATCTGGTAAAGTATATTCCCAAACAACAATCCTGTTTTCATATGTAGCAAAAAAAAAAAAAAACTATTCATGTCCTCTTTTTGCTTCCTTTGATTTGTCATCTTTAGTTTGGGTTGTCACAAGGTGGGCTTCCTTGGATATTTTCAGGGAATTTATACTAAAAATGATCACAAGAGTCAGGGGACATAAATGTTGAAATCCCAAATACTATTTTGAATTTTAATTCTAAAGGCAGACTTGGATTACACTGATTCTGTAGAAGGGTTCCCACTTTAATACTAAGATAACAATGTAAAAATAGTCTTAGACAAATTTTACTTAAGTTAAAATGCTGACCATCTCATCAGACTGAAATAAATATATTTATTACTGCCTTGCAATATTTAACATTTATTGATCTCTTGCTACATGTCAGACACTGTTCTAAGAACTTTATAGGACAAATCTCATTTAATCCTTAGAGCACCCTGATGATATATGAAATACAATTAACTTTATTTTACATATGGGAAAACTGAGCCTTAGGACAGTTAAGAAAAAAATTCCAGAATCACACAGAGAAGTTTTTGGACCAAAATTTGAACTCAGGTCTGTCAGAGTCCAAAGGCCAAGGTGTAAAGCTAAGCTATTCTGCCTCCATTTGTAATCATTTTTATTTTTATATAGTTGCAACACTGTGGGAATCACCTTCTACTACTTTTGCTTAATACTGTCATAAACATTTTCTAGAATCATTTGAATCACTGTGTAAAAATAAACATAACAATCAACATCAACATTGCCCAGCCCTGTACTAAGTGATTTACCATAACTATTTTATTTAAGTTTCAAAACAACCCTATAAGGTAAGGAATTATGAATGTCTCTGTTTTACAGATAGCAAAACCAGTTCAGGTAAGGTTGTTCAAGTTGTTGTTATGGTCAGAGAGCTTAGAAGTGGCAGAGCCACAATTTAAACTTAGATCTGCCTGACTGAAGAGACCAGCTCTTACCTAATGCAATATATTGAATAATATCTTGATAAAACTAAAATATTCCCAGTTTTCTAAATAGTACAGAGACAAAAAGAAGTATCAGAACTCCCTCTTAGAAATGATATTTCTTTCCATTTTCACCTGGTATTATTGAAGAACTCTGAGCTTTCAAAAAAGGCCCAGAACCTCTGCAAAACCACAGATAAAATTATAAGCAGCTTGGTTTGAAAGAGGCTTATAATAAGGCATGCATTTCTCCATCAATGATAATCCCACCCATAGTCATCCACATGGAAGCTCCCTGAAAACCAAAAGAAGGCAGAAAAACGTGTGATTTCTTGAATTTGGATTTTTAATAACATCACCAACACTAGGTAAGCCAGCAGCTGTCCCCATGGACTCCATGTGGTCCTTCCATATACACCAATTCTCTTCATCAGCAGAAACGGCTTCCCAATAATTTTCTCCAGCAATTTAACAGAAGGAAAAAGTCAACAAATGCCCAATGGTGGAATCTTGAAAATGTTCATGGAAGAAATGATAAGAAAACTCATGAAGTTACATAGATGGATTTTAATCTCTGTTACATCACTTCTAGCCATGTCAAGTCACCCTTTGTATACCAGATTTCTCAACTATACAATAATGCCCCTCTGAAGACTTTTTAGAGATTAGTACAAGAAAGCTGGAACATTCATTGCCAATAATATACAAAGAACATAAATTCAGTGCACTATTGTATACCCACCCTTCCTCATGGACACGCATCCCTAAAATCAGAAGACAGCTTCGTCCAAAAGAGCAGAGGAGCTGATTCACAGCACTGAGAGCTGCTTAACAATACAGTGGTGCTGCACAGCAAATACAATTTTATGACAGGAAGCATGGCCATATTCTTTGTAAAGTCATCAGCTTAGAGCCTCTTGTCCACCTCCTGTTAATTTTCTTGTGCAGACAGTAAAACTTAACCAAAGAGAGCTCAGTAGTGCCAAGGCTTCAGAGTTTGCCTCTCAGCTGAATTTACTTATACAGAGATTATTCTTAAACACTGGCCATTATGCAAGCCTAGATAAGATTTCCAGATGTGCACATTTGGGAGACAAATCCTGTGTGTTAGAAGGCTGAAGGGAATTTTGTTTTTACTGATGATGGATGATCTCTTCACCCATGGAATATCTCTCCAGGAAGATAGGGACAATCATGTCTGGTCACCACAGGGCTAATCCCCAGTTTTTAGGCACATGTGAGGCTCCTATCATGGCTAAGGTAAGATCTTCATCCATCATTGAAAGGAAATATATGCTCTCTAATACTTTAAGTTACTTATGAGACTTGGAATGCAGGCTGATAGGGTGGTTAGAATTCTGGACCAGAACCTAGTGCTCTTGCTTTTTGTGCAGACTCTGAGTCATTCAAGGAATAAAACACCACCTCTTTATCTCCCCCGCTCCTTTTTTCCCCACTAATAAAAATGGTGTTGTAATACTGATACCTGTGTCTAATTATAGCAAGGACAAGAATTATATAGCACAGTTCAGCCAGGACGGTAAAAAGCACTTTTCAAAATACAGTTCAGCCATCCTCTCAAGCTTCTTCTGCTCTCCTAGGCCAATTCCTGAATGCTAAAATTATTTTAATAGTCACAGAGCATGGTGCATTAATAAATGATCAAAGAGTGTGCATTTTCTAATGTCCCTTTGGACTCGATAAAGAAACTGGCAAATATTCCATTAACCACAAGCCAAGAAGTCATTTTTTAAGCTTGAAATATATTTCCCCATCTCATGTTGGAGGTGGGTCACCAGGATTGCTTAGTTTATGCACTTAAAAACTGACTTCTTAAAGAAAAAGGTTGAGATGGATTATTTATGAACATGCATAAATTATGTAGTAATTTCATTGAGATTTCTCGGACTTCTATGAAGTAGAATATCCCCTGTGGTGGCCACATCTCATTTAATCCATTTGTTTCATCTTTTCCTCCACTTCAGAGGCTTCCCATATTTTAAGGTTCACTTTGATACAATAGCTCACTTTGAAATGTAATTTTACGATATATTTATTATGTGTTCCTGTGTCTCACTAAATATTGCCTTATAAGAAAAGAAACCCATGTAACACACACAAACAAAAAGGAAATTATACCTAAGAGAGTCATCATCATTTATGATAAGATGGATGAGTAGAAGAACTAATGCCAAACAAAATCACAATAAGGAAGAACAATGAGAAAAACTAGAAAATAATAATCTACACGTGATTTTACTTCTCTCGGTGCTTAGATATACTCTCCTGTCTTCACCATGGAGGATTGAGGCAGTATTATAAGCTCCATTTTACTGGCAAAGCATTGAAAAGCATAAAGTTACATGACTTACCAACCCCACATAAATGAATCACTTGCAAAATCACCACCAAAAATCTACAAATAAGTATTATTTTCATCTTAGCTACAGAACTGGAAGACATGAATCATTGTGGCCCTTTATTTGTCAGTGTTTTCAAGGGTTATATCCACATAAACAAAATTCTAAAATGTAATTGCACACTTAAACCCTACACTAATATATGTAAATAAATACCCCATCACACAAACTATCTAAATAGATAATACAGCAAGAATATGTACATAACAATTTCATAATAGTTTTTGGAAACTTCGATGATTAATAATAAAGGGTTATAGTCATACAATAAAACACCAAGCTGAAATTAAAAATAGCATTAGAGGCAAATCTTTATTTCCTGGAAAAATGATGTTCATATATTGCTAAGAAAAAAAATGAAACAGACCTCAAAACAGCAAATTGTAGTATTGTTGTAAAGAAATATCATGGAAAATTCTGGCAGATCATGCACCAAATTTTAACAGTTGTTATCTTTGGTGGCAGAATTATGGCTGATTTTTGCTTTCTTTCTCTGTATATTTCCATGCTTTCTGATAGTACCCTATTGATTTCTACCACAGTTATAATTAGCGGAAAATTGTAATCTACTTTTTTTTAGTAAAAATAAAAATACTTTATGAAGAGGCTGCGCCTAGTAATACTGATTAAATGAACATATGGATTCTGGGGATTCTACTCTTGAACGTGTCAAGTTTTACATATGATTAAATATCTGCTTAAGACTTTGATACCTTGATCAGCAAGTTAAAAGTGGGAAGATGAGGATCTGAAATCTTCCTCCTTAATTTCCAAAATACAGCTGGAATCTAACATAAAGAAAATTTAATGGGGATTTATTTATAGAGTTGAGTTCTGAAACATATAAGGAGATAGAACATAAGGCTTTGAGGTTGTTATCATTCAGTGTCTAAGCTCGGCAACTGTTTAGCTTAATTTGACCAATTTTTATTAAACACATAATATATGCTGGGCACTCTGCTGGTTGAAAGAAAAATGAAAGTGAATAACAAATGGTTCTTGAAATTCACTGTCCATTGTGGTAAGCTTGTGTGATGCAGCAAAGCACTATGTTAAATTCAAGAATAGGCGTATAATCTTACCAAGAGTTGAAAGGCAAGAAAGATTCCCTAAAGGAGGTGATGATGAACTCAGTGTAGAAGAATGATTAGAAAATATAGCAGCTAGGGACTTCTGGTTCCAAAATGGCAGCATAGAAGCAAGCTTGCTTTACTCCCCTCCACAGAAAACCAAAAACAAATATGCAGCACCAAGATTATCACCAGCAATATCCCAAAACTCAAATAAGAAGGTGAGACACTTTTCAGGACCACAGAGAAGCAGAAAAGACTCCAAACAGACAGTAAGAGAAGCAGAGTTCCATAACTGCAGCGCCCCTCTTCACGACCTGCCCCACACCAAGCATGTGGAAAATTTTCCCAAGTAACTGAGACTACACCAGCATGCCATCATGTCTGGCTAATTAAAAAAAGTTTTAGCAATGGGGGTCTCAATATGTTGCCCAGGCAGGTCTCAAGCTTTTAGCCTCAAACAATCCTCCCACTTCAGCCTCCTGAGTAGCTGCAGGTACAAGTTTTGGTTTCTATTGGATATTTTTGCTTAGAAATTATTTTTAATTTAAGTATTTCTTTTTTTTCCCCCACTAGGTTGCTGCCTCCTTTTTGGCACTAGATGGTGTGGTAAGCCCATGTTTACCTTAGTTTTAGTAAACAATTTGGGATAGGGAAAATTCACACAGTTTCTACACTGAAAAAAAGTAGGACTGAGGTGGAAAGCCAGCTTCCCCACTTTGACTTTGCTGGCAGGAAACTCAGGTGAATTCCTTTGGGTTGTCCCTGTTTCAACCCACAGGAAGCATGAGAAGTGCCTGAAGGGAGAAATATCACTGAGCACAGCCAGATAAAAAGTGGGGAGGTGGAACTTCCATCCCCAGCCCTGGACTCTGCTCTGTAACTCAGCCAAAGGAGACACTAAATCAGAGTAGCTGTTCAATTTCACCATCCTATGGGAAGTTCATTGTACAAGACCACTAGGCATGAACCTGTAGCCACCTTTGCTCCACTACCTGGATATTCCCTTTGGAACCTTCCCCATTTGGGACAGGTGGCACTCCCTGTCCTAAATTGTTAACTAAAACTAAGGTAAACATGAGCTTACTACACCATCTAGTGCCAAATAGGAGGCAGCAACCTAGCGGGGGAAAAAAAGAAAGAAACACTTAAATTAAAAAGGATTTCTAAGCAAAAATATCCAATAGAAACCAAAACTTGTACTTGCAGCTACTCAGGAGGCTGAAGTGGGAGGGTTGTTTGAGGCTAAAAGCTTGAGACCTGCCTGGGCAACATAGTGAGACCCCCATTGTTAAAACTTTTTTTAATTAGCCAGACATGGTGGCATGCAGCTGTAGTCTCAGTCATTTGGGAGGCTGAGGCAAGGGGATCCCTGGAGCACAGGTGTTTGAGGCTTCATTGAGCTATTATGATCATGCCACTACACACAGGCCTGGGTGATAGACTAAGACCCCATCTCTTACAAACAAACAAAAGCCCAAACCAAAAAACAGTCCAGACATACATGACTAGAATAAATTAGTAATCCGTCAATGCAAAGACACAGATATATATCTACAAGAAACAACAGCAAACAGGGAATCATGACCTCCTCAAATATACAAAGCAACAAACCAGTGATGGACTCTAATGAGACAGTGATATATGAATTCTCTGAAAAAAAAATTCAAAATTGCAATTTTAAAGAAACTCAATGATTTCGAAAATAACAAAGAAAACCAATTCAGAAATTTATTAGATAAATTTAATGAGATTGGAATATTTTTTAAATGAACAGAAACCTTGGAACTGAGAACTATATTTGCTGAACTAAAAGATTAATTAGAGGTTCTCAACAGCAGAATGAATTAAGCAGAGGAAAGAAGCAGTGATCTTGAAAACAGGCTGTTTGAAAATATACAGTCAGAGGAGAAAAAAGAAACAAGAGTAAAAGGAATAGGATTGCCCACAAGATAAAGAAAATTATCTAAAAAGACTATATCTAAGACATGTTGGTATTCAAGACGAAGTTGAGCAAAAGCAAGGGCTAGGAAGTTTATTCAAAGAGATAATAACAGAAAACTTTCCAAAATTTGAGGATATAAATATCCAGGTACAGAAAGGTTAGAGAACACCAAGGTGATTCAACCCAAATAAGACTACACCAAGACATATAACAAACAAACTCTCAAAAGCCAAGAACAAAGAGAGGATCTTAAAGGCAGCAAAAGAAAAGAAGCAAATAGAATGTAAAAGTGTTCCAATTCATCTGGCAACAGACTTCTCAACAGAAACAATGCAAGCTAGGAGATAATGGAATAATTCCAAAGTATTGAAAGAAAAAAAATGCCATTCAAAAATAGTATATCCAACAAAGCCACACTTAAATTTAAATAAGAGATAAGCCTTTCTCAGACAAACAAATGCTGGGAGAATTCACTACTATCAACCTATCTTAAAAGAAATGCTGAAGGAAGTTGTTCAATCTGAGAGAGAAAAAAAAACATTAACATGAAAAAAGAAAACATTTAAAGCTATAAAACTGCGAGTAAAATTAAGTACACAGAAAAACCCAGAATACTCTAATACTGTAATTGTGATGTACCATTCTCTAATAACACTAGTGTGAGGCTCAAAAGACAAATCTATCAAAAGCAATAATTGCTACAGCAACCTGATAAGAGATAGGCAATATAAGATATATAAATTGAGTCAACAAAGTCAAAATGTGAAGATGAAGGAAAAAGTTAAAATGTGGAGCCTTTAAAAAGTTTTTTCTTTGCTTGTTTGTTTTCAATGTAAGATAAGTTGTCATCTATTTAAAATAAATTCTTATATCTGTAAGATAGTTTTTGTAAGCCTCATGGTAACCACAATGAAAAAACCTATAATAGATTCACCAAAAATAAAAAAATATATATATCAAAACACACTACTATCTAGGAGGGGTTGGAGCCAAGATGGCCGAATAGGAACAGCCCCAGTCTACAGCTCCCAGTGTGAGCGACGCAGAAGACGGGTGATTTCTGCATTTCCAACTGAGGTACCGGGTTCATCTCACTGGGGAGTGCCAGACAGTGGGTGCAGGACAGTGGATGCAGTGCACCATGTGTGAGCCGAAGCAGGGTGAGGCATCGCCTCACCCGGGAAGCACAAGGGGTCAGGGAATTCCCTTTCCTAGTCAAAGAAAGGTGTGACAGACAGCACCTGGAAAATCAGGTCACTCCCACCCTAATACTGTGCTTTTCCAATGGGCTTATCAAAGGGCACACCAGGAGATTATATCCCACACCTGGCTCAGAGGGTCCTACGCCCACAGAGCCTCGCTTATTGCTAGCACAGCAGTCTGAGATCAAACTGCAAGGCAGCAGCGAGGCTGGGGGAGGGGTGCCCACCATTGCTCAGGCTTGAGTAGGTAAACAAAGCAGCCGGGAAGCTCCAACTGGGTGGAGTCCACCACAGCTCAAGGAGGCCTGTCTGCCTCTGTAGACTCCACCTCTGGGGGCAGGGCACAGACAAACAAAAGACAGCAGTAACCTCTGCAGACTTAAATGTCCCTGTCTGATAGCTTTGAAGAGATTAGTGGTTCTCCCAGCACACAGCTTGAGATCTGAGAACGGGCAGACTGCCTCCTCAAGTGAGTCCCTAACCCCTAAGTAGCCTAACTGGGAGGCACCCCCCAGTAGGGGCGGACTGACACCTCACATGGCCGGGTACTCCTCTGAGACAAAACTTCCAGATGAATGATCAGGCAGCAGCATTTGCGGTTCACCAACATCTGCTGTTCTGCAGCCACTGCTGCTGATACCCAGGCAAACAAGTTCTGGAGTGGACCTCCAGTAAACTCCAACAGACCTGCAGCTGAGGGTCCTGACTGTTAGAAGGAAAACCAACAAACAGAAAGGACATTCACACGAAAAACCCATCTGTACGTCACCAGCATCAAAGACCAAAGGTAGATAAAATCACAAAGATGGGGAAAAAACAGAGCAGAAAAACCAGAAACTCTAAAAATCAGAGCACCTCTCCTCCTCCAAAGGAACGCAGCTCCTCACCAGCAACGGAACAAAGCTGGACAGAGAATGACTTTGACGAGCTGGGAGAGGAAGGCTTCAGAATATCAAACTACACCGAACTAAAGGAGGAAGTTCAAACCAATGGCAAAGAAGTTAAAAACTTTGAAAAAAAATTATACGAATGGATAACTAGAATAACCAATGCAGAGAAGTCCTTAAAGCACCTGATGGAGCTGAAAACCATGGCATGAGAACTACAAGATGAATGCACAAGCCTCAGTAACCAATGCAATCAACTTGAAGAAAGGGTATCAGAGATGGAAGATGAAATGAATGAAATGAAGTGTGAAGAGAAGTTTAGAGCAAAAAGAATAAAAAGAAATGAACAAAGCCTCTAAGAAATATGGGACTAAGTGAAAAGACCAAATCTACGTGTGACTGGTGTACCTGAAAGTGACGCGGAGAATGGAACCAAGTTGGAAAACACTCTGCAGAATATTATCCAGGAGAACTTCCCCAATCTAGCAAGGCAGGCCAGCATTCAAATTCAGGAAATATAGAGAATGCCACAAAGATACTCCTCGAGAAGAGCAACTCTAAGACACATAATTGTCACATTCACCAAAGTTGAAATGAAGGAAAAAATGTTAAGGACAGCCAGAGAGAAAGGTGGGGTTACCCACAAACGGAAGCCCATCAGACTAACAGCTGATCTCTTGGCAGAAACTCTACAAGCCAGAAGAGAGTGTAGGCCCTTATTCAACATTCTTAACGAGAAGAATTTTCAACCCAGAATTTCATATCCAGCCAAACTAAGCTTCATAAGTGAAGGAGAAATAAAATACTTTACAGACAAGCAAATGCTGAGAGATTTTGTCACCACCAGGCCTGCCCTAAAAGAGCTCCTGAAGGAAGCACTAAACATAGAAAGGAAAAACTGGTACCAGCCACTACAAAAACATGCCAAATTGTAAAGACCATCAAGGCTAGGTAGAAACTGCATCAACTAATGAGCAAAATAACCAGCTAACATCATAATGACAGGACCAAATTCATATACAACAATACTAACCTTAAATGTAAATGGGCTAAATGCTCCAATTAAAAGGCACAGACTGGCAAATTGGATAAAGAGTCAAGACCCATCAGTGCACTGTATTTAGGAAACCCATTTCATTTGCAGAGACACACATAGGCTCAAAATAAAGGGATGGAGGAAGATCTACCAAGCAAATGGAAAACAAAAAAAGGCAGGGGTTGCAATCTAGTCTCGGATAAAACAGACTTTAAACCAACAAAGATCAAAAGAGACAAAGAAGGCCATTACATAAAGGTAAAGGGATCAATTCAACAGGAAGAACTAACTATCCTAAATATATATGCACCCAATACAGGAGCACCAAGATTCATAAAGCAAGTCCTTAGTGACCTACAAAGTGACTTAGACTCCCACACAATAATGATGGGAGATTTTAACACCCCTCTGTCAACATTAGATGATCAATGAGACAGAAAGTTAACAAGGATACCCAGGAATTGAACTCAGCTCTGCACCAAGCAGACCTAATAGACATCTACAGAACTCTCCACCACAAATCAACAGAATATACATTTTTTTCAACACCACACCACACCTATTCCAAAATTGACCACATAGTTGGAAGTAAAGCACTCCTCAGCAAACGTAAAAGAACAGAAATTATAACAAACTGTCTCTCAGACCACAGTGCCATCAAACTAGAACTCAGGATTGAGAAACTCACTCAAAACTGCTCAACTACACGGAAACTGAACAACCTGCTCCTGAATGACTACTGGGTACAGAAAGAAATGAAGGCAAAATAAAGATGTTCTTTGAAACCAACGAGAACAAAGACACAGCATACCAGAATCTCTGGGACACATTCAAAGCAGTGTGTAGAGGGAAATTTATAGCACTAAATGCCCACAAGAGAAAGCAGGAAATATCCAAAATTGACACCCTACCATCACAATTAAAAGAACTAGAAAAGCAAGAGCAAACACATTGAAAAGCTAGCAGAAGGCAAGAAATAACTAAAATCAGAGCAGAACTGAAGGAAATAGAGACACAAAAAGCCCTTCAAAAAATCAATGAATCCAGGAGCTGGTTTTTTGAAAAGATCAACAAAATCGATAGACCACTAGCAAGACTAATAAAGAAGAAAAGAGAGAAGAATCAAATAGACGCAATAAAAAATGACAAAGGGGATATTACCACTGATCCCACAGAAATACAAACTACCATCAGAGAATACTGTAAACATCTCTATGAAAATGAACTAGAAAATCTAGAAGAAATGGATAAATTCCTTGACACATACACCCTCCCAAGACTAAACCAGGAAGAAGTTGAATCTCTGAATAGACCAATAACAGGAGCTGAAATTGAGGCAATAATTAATAGCTTACCAACAAAAAAAGTCCAGGACCACATGGATTCACAGCTGAATTCTACCAGAGGTACAAGGAGAAGCTGGTACCATTCCTTCTGAAACTATTCCTATCAACAGAAAAAGAGGGAATCCTCCCTAACTCATTTTATGAGGCCAGCACCATCCTGTTACCAAAGCCTGGCAGAGACACAACCAAAAAAAGAATTTTAGACCAATATCCTTGATGAACATTGATGCACAAATCCTCAATAAAATACTGGCAAACCGAATCCAGCAGCACATCAAAAAGCTTATCCACCATGATCAAGTGGGCTTCATCCCTGGGATGAAAGGCTGGTCCAACTTATGAAAATCAATAAACGTAATCCAGCATATAAACAGAACCACACACAAAAACCACAAGATTATCTCAATAGATGCAGAAAAGGCCTTTGACAAAATTCAACAATGCTTCATGCTAAAAACTCTCAATAAATTAGGTATTTATTGAGATGGGACATATCTCAAAATAATAAGAGCTATCTATGACAAACCCACAGCCAATATCATACTCAATGGGCAAAAACTGGAAGCATTCCCTTTGAAAACTGGCACAAGACAGGGATGCCCTCTCTCACCACTCCTATTCAACATAGTGTTGGAAGTGCTGACCAGGGCAATCAGGCAGGAGGAGGAAATAAAGGGCATTCAATTAGGAAAAGAGGAAATCGAATTGTCCCTGTTTGCAGATGACATGATTGTATATCTAGAAAACCCCATCATCTCAGCCCCAAATCTCCTTAAGCTGATAAGCAACTTCAGCAAAGTCTCAGGATACAAAACCAATGTGCAAAAATCACAAGCATTCTTATACACCAATAACAGACAAACAAAGAGCCAAATCATGAATGAACTCCCATTCACAATTGCTTCAAAGAGATTAAAATACCTAGGAATCCAACTTACAAGGGATGTGAAGGACCTCTTCAAGGAGAACTACAAACCACTGCTCAAGGAAATAGAAGAGGATACAAACAAATGGAAGAACATTCCATGCTTATGGGTAGGAAGAATCAATATTGTGAAAATGGCCATACTGCCCAAGGTAACTTATAGATTCATTGCCATCCCCATCAAGCTACCAATGACTTTCTTCACAGAATTGGAAAAAACTACTTTAAAGTTCATATGGAACCAAAAAAGAGCCCGCATCGCCAAGTCAATCCTAAGCCAAAAGAACAAAGCCGGAGTCATCACGCTACCTGACTTCAAACTATACTACAAGGCTACAGTAACCAAAACAGCATGGTACTGGTACCAAAACAGAGATATAGATCAATGGAACAGAGCAGAGCCCTCAGAAATAATGCCACATATCTACAACGATCTGATCTTTGACAAACCTGAGAAAAACAAGAAATGGGGAAAGGATTCCCTATTTAATAAATGGTGCTGGGAAAACTGGCTAGCCATATGTAGAAAGCTGAAACTGGATCCCTTGCTTACACCTTACACAAAAGTTAATTCAAGATGGATTAAAGACTTACATGATAGACCTAAAACCATAAAACCCCTAAAAGAAAACCTAGGCAATACCATTCAGGACATAGACATGGGCAAGGACTTCATGTCTAAAACACCAAAAGCAATGGCAACAAAAGCCAAAATTGACAAATGGGATCTAATTAAACTAAGGAGCTTCTGCACAGCAAAAGAAACCACCATCATAGTGAACAGGCAACCTACAGAATGGGAGAAAATTTTTGCAACCTACTCATCTGACAAAGGGCTAATAATATCCAGAATCTACAATGAACTCAAACAAATTTACAAGAAAAAAAACAAACAATCCCATCAAAAAGTGGGCAAAGGACATGAACAGACACTTCTCAAAAGAAGACATTTATGCAGCCAAAAAACACATGAAAAAATGCTCACCATCACTGGCCATCAGAGAAATGCAAATCAAAACCACAATGAGATACCATCTCACACCAGTTAGAATGGCAATCATTAAAAAGTCAGGAAACAACAGGTGCTGGAGAGGATGTGGAGAAATAGGAACACTTTTACACTGTTGGTGGGACTGTAAACTAGTTCAACCATTGTGGAAGTCAGTGTGGAGATTCCTCAGGGATCTAGAACTAGAAATACCATTTGACCCAGCCATCCCATTACTGGGTATATACCCAAAGGATTATAAATCATGCTGCTATAAAGACACATGCACGTATGTTTATTGTGGCACTAGTCACAATAGCAAAGACTTGGAACCAAGCCAAATGTCCAACAATGATAGACTGGATTAAGAAAATGTGGCACATATACACCATGGAATACTATGCAGCCATAAAAAGGATGAGTTCATGTCCTTTGTAGGGATATGGATGAAGCTGGAAACCATCATTCTCAGCAAACTATCACAAGGACAGAAAACCAAACACCTCATGTTCTCACTTATAGGTGGGAATTGAACAATGAGAACACATGGACACAGGAGGGGGAACATCACACACTGGAGACTGTTGTGAGGTGGGGGGAGGTGGGAGGGATATCATTAGGAGATATACTAATGTTAATGACAAGTTAATGGGTGCAGCACACCAACAAGGCACATATATACATATGTAACAAAGCCTGCACGTTGTGCACATGTACCCTAAAACTTAAAGTATAATAATAATAATAATAATAATAAAGAAGGTGATAAAAAATGTATTTAAACAAATGAACATGAAACTCGAACATACCAAAATCTATGAGGTATGACAAAAGGAATACTAAGAGGAAAGTTCATAGCAATAAATGTTTATATCAAAAAAAGGAGAAAGATTTCAAATAAGCAACCTAAGGATGCACCTCAAGGAACTCCAAAAGCAACAATAAGCCAAACCCAAAATCAGCAGGAAAAAAAAAAGAAATAATAAAGGTCAGAGAAGAAATAACTTCAATCAAAACTTAAAAACAATGCACAAGATCAACAAAACAAAAAGTTATTTTTTGAAAAAATAAACAAAATAAAAACTTTTAGTTAGATTAAAAAAAATAGAAGACCCAAATAAAATCAGAAATGAAAAAATTGAACAATTGAGACCACAGTAACACAAACAATCATCAGAGACTATTATGAAAAGCTATATGCAAACAAATTTGAAAACCAAAACAATGGAGAAATTTGTGAACACATATAACCAAACCAGAATGAACCATGAAGAAATAGAAAACTTCAACAAGCTTATAATGATAAATGAGATGAAAGCCATAAAAAGTCTCTCATCAAAGAAAAGCCCAGGACCTGAAAGATTCACTGCTGAATTATACCAAACATTCAAAGAAGAATTAATACCAATTCTACAGAATTAGTATTCAAAAACATTGAAGGGGAGAAAATACTGCCAAACTTATTCTACAAGGCCAGCATTACCCTGATATCAAAACCAGACAAGGACACAACCCAAAAGGAAAACTACAATCCAGCATCTCTGATGAACATAGAAGCAAAAATCCTCAACAAAATACTAGCAAACCAAATTGAACAACACAATAAAAAGATCATTCACTAAGTTCCAGTGGGATTCATCCCGGGGATGCAAAAACAGTTTAACATACGCAAATCAATAAATATGATACACCACAATAACAAAAAAAAAGCCATACAATCATTTCAATACATGCTGAAAAAGTATTCAATATAATTCAGCATCCCTTTAAGATAAAAATTCTCAACAAACTGGGAATGGAAGGAACATAGCTCAAAATAATAAAGACCATATATGACAAACCCACAGCTAACATGGTACTGAACAGTGAAAAATTGAAAGCCTTTCCTCTAGGATCTTGAATAAGACAATGATGCCCACTTTAACCACTTTTATTCAGCATGATACTAGAAGTACTGGCCAGAGCAATCAGGCAAGAGAAAGAACTAAGGGGCATTCAAATTTGGAAAGGAAGATGTCAAATTAGACTTGTTTGCATATGACATGATTTTATTCTTAGAAAAACATTAAAACACTACAAAAAAACTATTAAAACTAATAAATTCAGTAAAGTTGCAGGATACAAAGTCAGCATACAAAAACCAGTGACATTTATATGTGACTTAGGATAACAATCTGAAAGAGAAATCAAGAAAGCAATCCTATTTACAATAACTACAAAGAATATAAAAGCCCTGGAATCAATTTAAACAAAGAAGTAAAAGACGTATACAAGGAAAACTATGAAACACTGATGAAAGAAAATGAAAAGAACACAAAAAATGGAAAGATATTCCATGCTTATGAATTGGAAGAACTAATATTGTGAAAATGACAATACTATACAAAAAAATTTACAGATTCAATACAATTCCTGTCAAAATACTAGACGGTCTTCACATAAATAGAAAAAGCAATCCTAAAATGCATATGACCCACAAAAGACCTCAAGTAGCCAAAGCAATCCTGAGCAAAAAGAACAAGACTGGAGGCATCATACTGCTTGATTTCAAAATATACTACAGAACTATAGTAACCAAATCAGCACGGTACTGGCATAAAAACAGACAGAGATCAATGGAACAGAACAGAGAACCCAGATATAAATCTATGCATTTACAGCCAATTCATTTTTGACAAAGTTACCAAGAACATACAATGGAAAAAGACAGTGTTTTCAATGAATGATGCTAAGAAAAATGAATAACCATATGTAGAAAAATGAAACTAGACCCTGATTTTTCACCATACACAAAAATCAGATCAAAATGGATTAAAAATTTAAATTTAACTCCTGAAACAATAAAACTACTAAAGGAAAACTTTAAGGAAATTCAACAGGACACTGATATGGTCAAAGTTTTTTTTTTTTTTTTTTTTTTTTTTTTTTTTTTTTTTTTTTTTGCAGGAGACCTCAGAAGCACAGGCAACTAAAGCAAAAATAGATAAATGGGATTACATCAAGTTATAAACTCCCTGTACCAAAAAGAAAATAATCAACAAAGTGAAGAGACAACCCCAAAAATGGCAGAAAATATTTGCAAACTATCCATCTGACAAGGGATTAATAACCAGAATATATAAGGAGCTCAAACAACTCAATAGCAAAATTAAATAAATTAATAATCTGTTTAATAAGTGGGCAAAATATCTGAATAGACATTTTTCCAAGGGAAATGAACATGGCCAACATGTATATGAAAAAACGCTCAACATCACTAATCATCAAAGAAATGCAAATTAAAATCACAATGAGACATTTCATCCCAGTTAAAATGACTTCTATCAAAAATATAGGGAGTAACAGATGCTGATGAGGACGAAAAGGAAGCAGAACCTTTGTACAATATTGGTGGGTGTGTAAATTAGTGGAGCCACTATGGAAAAACTGTATGAAAGTTCCTCAAAAAACTAAAAATAGAGGCCGAGGCAGGCAGATCACGAGGTCAGGAGATGAAGACCATCCTGGCTAACATGGTGAAACTCCATCTCTACTAAAAAGACAAAAAATTAGCCGGGCGTGGTGGCAGGTGCCTGTAGTCCCAGCTACTCGGGAGGCTGAGGCAGGAGAATGGCGTGAACCCGGAAGGCGGAGCTTGCAGTGAGTGAAGATCGAGCCACTGCACTCCAGCCTGGGCGACAGAGCGAGACTCCGTCTCAAAAAAAAAAAAAAAAAAAACTAAAAAAAACTAAAAATAGAACTATCATATGATCCAGTAATTGCACCACTGTGTATTTATCCAAAGGATAGGAAATTACCATATCTAAGAGATATCTGCACTCCCATGTTTATTGCAGCACTATTCACAATAGCCAAAATATGGAAACAACCTAAGTGCAAATCAACAGATGAACAGATAAAGAAAATGTGGTATATAAACACAATGGAATATTATTCAACCATAAAAAAAGAATGAAATTCTGTCAGTTTCAGCAACACAGAAGGAAGAGGAGGTCATTAAGTGAAATGAGCCAAGCGTAGAAAGACAAATATTGCATTTTTTCACTCATATGTGGGAGCTAAAAAGGTGGATCTCATGATGATAGAGAATTAGACTGGTGGTTACCATAGTCTGGGAAGGTAAGGGAGTGGGAAGGGAGGAATAAAGAGAAATTGGTTAATGGGCACAAATATACAGTTTAGTAGAAGAAATAAGACCTGGTGTTTGAAAGATCAGTAGCATGACTATAGTTTACAATAATCTATAGTATATTTCAAAATAACTAGAACAATTTGAATGTTTCTAGAATGAAGAAAAGACACATATTTAAGGTGATGATATCCTAATTACACAGATTTGATCTGTACAATTTATATGAATGCATTAAATTATCACATGTACCCCACATTTAACCCCAAAATATATACATCTATTATGTATCATTTTTTTAACAAAGAAAATTATGAGGGTGAACAGAGAAAAGCATAGCATTCCAGGCATAAGGGAGTGTACATAAACGAAAAGAAGAGAGGAGAACGACAACAAAAACATAAAAATACTCAAGTTATGAGTCCTGCTAGAACAAAACTTGGATGCAGGTACTGGTAGAAGTGAAGGCTGGATGTGAAAGCAAAGCCCAGATCTCATAGTTGTTTGGTCATTGGGGGGAGAAACAGGGGCTTGGAGATAATGAGATTTGTGATTATCTTGGATAGTCTGGCTTGTAGAAGTGATTCAGTGATATCACTGGCTGAGATAAGTATAACAACAGCAATAGTAGCAAAAATTTATTGAGATTTAAATATTTGCCAGACTCTGTGCTAAACTCTTTCATACATTGACTCATTTATCCCTGATAACCTTCCTGTGAGGAGGAGGGTGACATTGCAATGTTAAAAGATAATGAATTCAGGAAGGTGAACAGGCTGGAGTGGGAGGAGAAGATATTGAAATCAGTTTTAAACATGTTGAACTGGAGGTAAATATGGAACCTCCAGATGGAGAGTTCAGCAGCAGCAGGAAACTGGAGTCTGGAGTGGAGAGGAGAAGTTAGGGATAAAAAATGTAGAACTGGGAATAATTTGCACATAGAAATTTCTTAAAAACCATGCTCAAGAAATTACTAATTCAGGAAAAGCATGTAGAATATGAAAAAAGGCAGGTTACAAACAGAGTTTTTAGAGGATGGGGGCAACAACACAGAGGAAGGTAGAGAGTATTTTTGAAGGACATTGCCAAAAAAGTGTCTGACTTAGGCGAAAAAAGCCTACCCCACAAACACCAAGGCAAATAAGTCCTAAGAAGGTGATTACTACAAGGAACCAATGCTGGCAGGAAGTTAGTCACATGAGAAACAAAATGTGCCTATCTCATTTGGCAACATGAAGTCATTACTGACTGCATTGTCAGTTCTGACATGGATGGGAGCCACATTGTTGATGATTGAGGAGTGAAAGTTAAAAAAAAAAAGAAGTGAAAACAACAAGTAGAGAAGACTCACACTGCTGAGATGCTTCATAAGAAACGGGGGAGAGAGATAAGGCATTAGAGGTAGGATAGTAGCATCAGGGAATAAAGACGCAAAAGAGCAGGGTTTCACTTGTTTGTTTTAGGGCTGGAAGAAACCAAATAGATTCTAGATGAAGGGAAAGAACTAGTCCAGAGACATAGGGTGAAGTTGAAAAGAGGAAGTATTTTTTTAGATAGACTATTTTTCAGACTAGTTTTGAGTTAACAGCAATACTGAGCAGATGGTACTGCTATAGTTTGGATACTTGACCCTCCAAATATCATATTTAAATTTGGTCCCCAATGTTGGAAAGTAGGGCCTAGTGGAGGTATTTTGGTCACAGGGAGCAAATTCCTCATGAATGGCTTGGTGCTGTCCTTGCAGGAATGAGTGAGTTCTAATTCTGTTAGTTTCCATGAAGGCTGGAGGGCTGGTTGTTAGAAAGAGCCTGGCATCTCTCTCTCTCTCTCCTCTCTCTCTCTCTCTCTCTCTCTCACTCTCTCTCTCTCTCTCTATCTTCCTCTCAACGTGTGATATCTGCACATGCTGTCTCCACCTCTCATTCCGCTAGGAATGGAAGCAGCCTGAAGTCCTCACCAGAAACAGATGTCAGCACCTTGCATCTTATACAGTTCTGCAGAACAGATAGCCAGACAAACCAATTTTTAAAAATAAATTACCCAGCCTCAAGTATTCCTTTATAGCAACACAAATGGATTAAGACATGTACATGGGTTTTTCTTAAACCCCCTGACCCTTACAAATGCATGGCCTCCCACACTATCAAAATCTGACACCAGAGTAGTACATTTGATACATTTGATGGATCTATATAGGCACATCATCACGACCCAAACTTCATAGTTTACATTAGGGTTTATTCTTGGTGTTGTCCAGTTTATGGGTTTTGACAAAATGCATGATGACATATATGCACCACTGTAGTATTATAAAGAATACTTTTACTTTTCCATAAAAATCCTCTGTGCTCTGCCTATTCTTCCCTTTCTCTTGTCTTGCCTAGTAGTTTGGCAGCCACTGATCATTTTATTGTCTCCATAGTTTTTCAGAATGTCATTTCGTTGACATCAGACAGTATATGGATTTTTGATATTAGTTCTTTCATTTAGTAATATACATAAGCTTCCTCCTTGTCTCTTCATGGCTTGATAGCTCATTTTGTTTTAGTATTGAATAATATTCCATTGTCCAGATATTCCACAGTTTGTTTATCCATTCACCTGCTGTGGGACATTTTGGTTGCATCTAAGTTTTGGCATATATGAACAAAGCAGCCATGAACATTCATTTGCTAGTTTTTGTGTGGACATAAGTTTTCGCCTCATTTGGGTAAATGCAAAAGAGCACAGTTAATGATGCATATGGTAGGAATATGTTTAGTTTTGTAAGAAACTGTCAAACTGTCTGCCAAAGTAGCTGTACCATTTTGCATTCCCACCAGCAATGAATTAGAGTTCCTAGGAAATAATTGTTAGTATAGTTCAGTGGCGTTCATTACATCCACAAAGTTGTGCAACCATCCACTATTTCCAAAATGTTTTTCATCAACCCACACAAAACCTCTGTACCCATTAAGCAATAACTTCCCATTTCCCTTTCCCAACTTCTCATAACATCGAATCTACTTTTCATCTCTATGAATTTTCCTGTTCTAGATATTTCATACAAGTGGAATCATACAATATTTATCCTTCTGGGACACTTATTTCATTTAGCATAATGATTTCAAGGTTCATCCATGTTTTAACATATATCAGAACTTTATTCATTTTTATGGCTGAATACAGTATTTAGATTGTCTGTTTATCTGTTGATGGATGCTTGGATTGTTTCCATTTTTTTTGGCTATTGTGAATAATGCTGCTATGAACATTCAAGTACAAATGTCTCTTTGAGCCCCTGTTTTCAATTTTCTTTGGTTATATGCCTAGGAGGGGGAGAGCACTGAATCCTAACTACTAGACCACCAGGGAAATGCCTAGAAGTGGAATTGCTGAATCATATGGTAATTCTGTGTTTAACTTTTTGAGGAACCATCAAAATATTTTCCATAGAAGCTGCACCTTTTTACATTCTCACAGGGGACCAAGTTTTGAAATGCACACAGGATTTATCCGGGTGAAGAATGAGTAGAAGCACCTTCCTTGTAACAAGTAGATTTTAGTGTAATCCACAAAATGAAATAAAATATGAGAAATTCTTGGGGAAAAAATGGAGTTTAATATAAATGGTGACTGCCAGTCATCAGTTATGAAGTGGCTATAGAAAAATGCAAGAAGCATTCATGAATGGTGTTGTGTTCTTACTAATTGTTTAATTTTTTTCATCAAAGTAAAAAGATACTTTAAAGAATATGTGGTTTAGAAATATTATTTTGTGAACTTTATAAAATAGACTGAAAACACCTAGATGGTGGGCCAGTAGACCTTTTTGAATACCTAATTTAATAATCCAGAGTTGGTTGATGAGGCTTGACCTAGAGTGGAAATGAAAATGGAGAGTGATGGACTCATTGATGATATTGATGAATACTGTAGAATTAACAAAAGAGAAGAGAGAGAGATGAAATGGCCAATACAGGTCCTGAATATATGACAGTTTCTTTCATTAAAGAGGGGAAACAGGCTAAAGAGAAGGGCTGAGGTGGAGTTGGATCAGGAATAAGTTATTCATTCTTACACAAGGAGCTTGCATATCCATGAACCATCATGCAAGAGACTTCCAATGAGAGCTATGTAGGACTAGACTTCAGAAGAACAATATGGACTAAAGATACTGGGAGTCATCAGAGTAAAGTAAGAATCATTGCTTTAAATCTGCTACTAGGCTAGTAAGTGGCAGAACCAGAATTCAAAGACAGATGGATTTGACTTCAAGTGTTACATTCTGTCTTCCAAATGCTCTAGCTCTCAGTCATGTCATCATGACCAAGAGTAACTCTTGACTGGGTGAAATCAACCCAAGGAACAAATATAGAGGGAGAAAAAAGAAAAGAAGGCAGAAATTGAAATCCTGGGAAACACCAATATTTCAGGCTGTTTTGAGGAAAGAAGATCCAAGAAAAGAAAGAAAACCAGGAAGACGTGGTTCCACAGAAAGTAAGAGTTCAGTATTTCAACAGGGATTTGCCACAGAGAGCAGCAACATAAGGATTGATGACTGGCCACAGGATGGAGTAAAACGGATACGATTAATAAGGTGGGATAAGCTTTTTTCATGGAGAGACGGCATAAAAGGCAGATTGCAGCAGGCTGAAAATAAATAAGCAAGAAAGAAGATGGCTTAGAAGTGAAGGGAAAGAGAAAAAGCAAGGAATAGAGTTGGTGATGTAAGGTCAAAGGAGGATTTTTTTAACGTTATATTGTTTTATCCTCTTGGAGGGATGTTAGTATTTTTTTAGTCTGAGAGAAAGGAGTGGCAGAGGTTGAAGTAACAGGATAGAGGAATAACTGGTTAAATGAGATATCTTAGAGAAAAGAGGTGCCAGAGCACAGATGGTGGGATTAGCCTCCCCTTCTCGATCCCCCTCTCGGTCCCACCCTCTTCTATTGAGAGGAGAACAAGGTAAATAAAGAGGCAGAGATAAATAAAACTCTTCTCAATCATACAAATTAATTGCCTCTAAATGCTACATGTGTTAGGCTATACTCACCAGACCCTTTAGGCTTAAAGAGGACTTAAAAAAACGAACTAACTAAGAGACTTTCCAATTTAAGTGTTAATAGAGCCTAGAAGATATTTAAGCAAATTTGTTATTTCCCCACCTCAGCATATTATTCTAACTGCTAATAGTCCAAGGAAAGAATCAAGAAGTCAATGTATCAACTCTCTCATTAACTCTGCTGATCTTTAAAAAACAGTCATTTTCTGAGGCCAAAACAATAATTAAAATCATAAATATGTATTGGTACATCAAGTCAAACAATTGAAAAATGCCAACTCATTAAGAATATTTTAATCATCTCATCACTTCTGTGGCATGGTTGTGTATAAATAATTTTAATTATCCTTAGTTTAAGTAAAACATTTGAAAATACAAGTTGGTTTGTTTTTTATTTTTTGATTTTTCCCAAGGTAAAAGCTGAACTTGACTGAAATGGGGGTACTTCCTATGGGATAAACCTTTCCACAAGGAAATAGGATATGAAAAAGCATATGGATGTAGTGACATTTTGGTTTAATTATTGAAACCACTGTACAAACAAGTAGTTTTAATAATAAAACAAGTCTAATTTCAGGTTACTATAGACAGAGAAGTGAAAAATCTCATCCACAGATGATACCTCTAGGATCTGATGCTAAAAGTGGCCTTTTCAGATTTCATAATTAAATTGGTTAATGGAGATTAACTCATAGTAACCATCGCCTTGGCTGATTTACAGGCCACCACAAAAGGGGTGGAAAATATTGCCCTTTATCCAAGTTGCATCAGCCATCAGGAAATGAATGGAAGCATACATACCACCATTGCCCCCTCTCCATCTTTCCTCTCCCTCCTCACTCTGCCCACTCGAGGCTGGTCATCAGTCTTTCTTTCCAGCCTCAGCCTCAGGAAAACAGAGTAGCTTTCCAAAATGACAAATAAATATTCATGCTAGAGTTTCAGATTTTAGCTTTGCAATGTGCTGCATCATGTTGCACCATTGGCCTCGTCTGGTGCAGCGTGATGTATTTTCAGAGTTGGTGGGCAGCAGCAACGATGTGAACAAGGCTTCACAGTAACCAGAGAAACAAGTAAGACATCTCTCTTTGGCAAACCAAAAAGTGTCACTGCCACAAATCAGCAGAACATCCAGTCCATGCAGAGCAAGGGAAGTATTCATAGGAGATGAGTGGTTAATATTTCACTGTGCACATTGCAAGCCCAGATAAAGGTTGTTTGCATTCATTTATTTAAAAAAAAAATGCCAGTCATCTCAGCTGAAGGACTGTTTAACAAATATGCATATTTTAAATTTGACTTTTATAGGCTTAGAGAATACATTTTATGTATGTTAAAACAAATCTGTCCATCACTTCCCCCACCACCTCCCTCATCATGCCTTTTACTAAGAAGCTAAACAAGCACAGAGGCTAGCCAACTCCTAATCAGACCAGGGAAAGTTGCTTTGAATAGAAAAATAAGTTCAAGAATTAAAGACCACTGTGTCCTAGGGCAAAAAGCCAAAAGTCAGTGAAGAAGAATGTTAGCTTCAAACGGTGAGAGGAAAAAAAAATAGTGCATATGTCAACTGGAGAGCACAGAAACAGTATTTATTCTGTAGCTGATACCATCAGACACTTTATGGCAAAGATGGCAGCTACTCTAAGATGATTTCAGGTCCCATTTTAGCAGAAGGCTGGGCCCTACTGTCCGTCCTCTCCCAATTTGTTCTCACTCTCCCTCCTGTACTGAGAGGAATACTCACTGGTCAGCCTTAGAGACAGCCCACCCAGCAAGTGCTTATCACTCCTGAAACAGGTCAGAATCACCGTCAGTCCAGCATTTTTTAGAACACCTAAGAAAAGCCAGATAAAACTTGAGCAGTGCCTAGCATTTGTTCATTCAAGCAGTCAATTAGTCAGCAATCAGTCTGAAAACATTAACAGGGACCTATTGTATGCTTGGCGCTGTGCTGAGAAGTGAGGAAACAGTGGCGAGAAAAATTGACACAACTGCTGTCTCTGTAGGATTTCAGGTTTAGCGGGATCAACAGGTACTAATCTGAAACAGTAGTTCCAGGGCTTTGAGTGCTCAAAGCTGTGGGTTCTGTTTTAATCTTGCATGGAGTGGAAGTGGGGATGCTAGCTAAGTTAAATTTGAATGAAGAGCTCAACAATAAATAAGAATTAATTAGAATTGTGGCCCAAGCAGAGAAAAGAGAATATGGAAAAGCCTGGAGACAGGAGGGAGCATGGGACAGCAACGCACGGACCCCAGTAATCAAAGAGCAGAGAGGCAGAAAAGGATCCACACTAGACAGTAGATGTTCAGTAAATGTTACAAATGAAAACATAATGGATGATTGAACAATTGAAGGAACAGGTGTCTGATTACATAATCATCCAGCATTCCAGTCATTAATTCGCATATGGACCCGTGATAATATCCCACTTGTTCATTTCTTTTGCCCTCTCTCTGTTTACCATTGTAACATTCAAGTTTAATGAAACTGGAAGCATAAGAAGGGAATAAAACAAAACAATCATGGCCACCCTCTGCAATATGTTCAAACTGAGATCCAAGCCTTGCTGAATTGCCATACCCCACTGTGGGAGAAAAGTGAATGCAGAGCCGGGGCCAACAATTCACCCAAGGCTCAAAGAGTGGAGTTTGCTGGAGTTCAAGCAATATTCATCAAGAAAACATTTAAGTATATCTATACAACTGCCCAGTGTTCATTTTCTTTGTTATTTCATTCAACAAACAATTTTCATGTACCTACTATGAGCTTGACACTTGTTAGATCCTCTGTGACAAAAATATAAGGACAAAATTTGCTTGTTTCTGCCTTAAAGCAACTCAGAGTCTACTGAAGAGCACAAAACATAAGAAGATCCTATTTGCAAGACAATATGACCACAGCAATCACAGTAGCTTTCATATATATATATATTTTTTATCATACTTTAAGTTCTAGGGTACATGTGCACAACGTGCAGGTTTGTTACATATGTATACATGTGCCATGTTGGTTTGCTGCACCCATTAACTCGTCATTTACATTAGGTATATCTCCTAATGCTATCCCTCCCCCCTCCCCCCACCCCACAACAGGCCCCAGTGTGTGATGCTCCCCTTCTTGTGTCCATGTGTTCTTATTGTTCAATTCCCACCTATGAGTGAGAACATGTGGTGTTTGGTTTTTTGTCCTTGCGATAGTTTGCTGAGAATGATGGTTTCCAGCTTCATCCATGTCCCTACAAAGGACATGAACTCATCATTTTTTATGGCTGCATAGTATTCCATGGTGTATATGTGCCACATTTTCTTAATCCAGTCTATCATTGATGGACATTTGGGTTGGTTCCAAGTTTTTGCTATTGTGAATAGTGCCAAATCATGCTGCTATAAAGACACATGCACACGTATGTTTATTGCAGCACAGTAGCTTTCAGATGCAGATGACAATTGGCTTCATAAGGGCCAGGATTATGTTGGCTTTATTCACCATTGTTTACCAACATCTCACAGAATGCCTAGGACCTGGGAGGTACTCAATATATAATATTGAATAAAGAGTAAACAAGCTCTTACATGTGCCAGGCACTTTGTTAGGTGGTTCTACATGTATTATCTTATGTAATCATTACAGCAATCCTATAAACTAGCTATTACTATTCTCATTTTTGAAGATGAGGAACAGAAAGATTAAGTTACCTCCCCAGAGTCCTCAAACCTGACTTCCACAATGACAATGTATGGAGATACTTTTGGTTGTCACAACCGGGTTGGTATTACTGGCAACTAGTGGGTAATGGCCAGAGATGCTGTTAAACATCCACAATGCATAGAGCAACCACTCACAACAAACAATTATCAGGCCCAAAATATTTATAGTGCCAAAATTCACATACCCTGCTTTACACCATTCTGCCTTTAAAAAATTATTTCTTTGCATCTCTACTGAAGCACTTACTAGTGCCTATAGCGAATTGTAATAGCTACTTGTTTTATTTCAAATTTATTCTTATTTTTCCCAGTAATAAGCATAGTGCATGGCACACGGTAGATGCTCAGTTATTATATGTTCTTACTGCTACTGAAATTAGATAGTCCAAATGTGATAAATGGAAGCTGTAATTTCTCAGTGGAGGAAGAATACAAGAAATAGTACCAAGGCAGAGTACATGCAGGAGCCCAAGGACCTGTTTCACTCTTTGATCTAGGTCTTTTCTCTTTATAAACTGCCTGTAAGTGTTCATGAAGGGGACTTTGCCAAAAAAGAAGATATAGAGCCAGGATGGTAGGAAATTATACCCTTTAAAATCCTCAAAATATGGTACATTTTAAAAAATACAGCTATAAAGACAACATGGTCTCCAGGGCCAAATAAACTTCCTTATCTCTGGAAATTAAAAAGATGTCATTTATCTCCCCACCTCCCCCACCCTTCAACTACTGGTAACCACCTTCTACTCTTTATTTCTATGAATTTAACTTTTTTAGATCCCACATATGAAGATCATGAAATATTTGTCTTTCTGTGCCTGGCTTATTTCACTTAACATATTGTCATCCAAGTTTACCCATGTTATTGCTGATGGCACAATTTCCTTCTTTTTTTAAGGCTCAGTAATATTCCATTATATATGTTTACCACATTTTCTTTGGTCACTCATCCACTGATAGACACTTAGGTTATTTCCATATTGTCACTATTGTGAATAATGCTGCCATGAATGTAGGAGTGGAGACACCCATGTTGTATGCCTTAAATATATATAATTTTTGTTTGTCCATTATACCTTAATAAAGCTAGAGGGAAGATATTATTTACATAAAATGCTACAGCTATTTTGAAAAATAGTTTGTCATTTCCTTAAAAGCTTAAATATAGAGCTACCGTATGGCCTAGTAATATCACTCCTAGGTATATACCCAAGAGAATTAAAAACATCCACACAAAAACTTGTACATAAATGTTCATAGCAGCACTGTGAATAATAGCCAAAAAGTAGAAGAAAACCCAAATGTCTGTCAACCGATGAAGGGATAAGAAAAATGTGGCATATCCACACAATGGAATCTTATTCAGCCACAAAATTGGAAAAGATACCAAACATGCTACAACACGGATGAACCTTGAAAACACTACAATAATTGAAAGAAACCAGATGCAAAAGGCCACATATCGGATGATTTTATTTATATAACATTGCCAGGATAGGCAAATCCATGAAGACAGAAATAGATTCCTGGTTGCTGGGAATTGTGGGGAAGGGGAATGAGGAGTGACTACTAATGGGTGTATTGTTTCTTTGGAGGGTGATAAAAATGTTCTGAAATTATATAATTGTGTTTTTGCATAATTTTGAAAACACACCAAAACCACTGAATTGTATACTTTAAGCGGATAAATTTTATGGTATATCTGTTAAAAATTTTTTAATTCAGAGGCCATTAGGCTGGGAAGGCTGCAGTGCTTTCAATTTCTACACATGCGAGCCAAAGACCTAAGAAAACAGTAAGAACAAACTAGAGACCTTACCAATCAGTAATTACCAAGCATCCTCTAACTAGGGTCTTTCCACTCAAACCAATTAAATGTTTTCTTTGTCTTAGTGAGCTCACTGCCCACACTCTTACAATGGAGCTCTCTGAACCTCCCTTCCAGTTTTGAGTGCTGCCTGACTCATGAATCATTCTCTATTCAAATGAACTCTGTTAAATTTAATTTGTCTAGAGTTTTTATTTTAACATATCTTAGTAAAGCTGTTCCTTTTTTAAAAAAAGATATTATTTATTTGACTTTCTTCAGTGATAGTATTCACTAATTTCATTATTCACATCATTGTTGGTACTGTATCTTAAAAGTATTATTGTTTATCTTTAAATGAGAAGCAGAGTTATTCCAAATTCACTTGGAGATTTCATCTCTAAAATACACTGTTTCTAAAGATGATTTGCCTGCTGCTTTTAGATTACAAGCCCTCAGAGACCTCTCCCAATGCTATTCACAGAATTGGCTTCCTCTGCTTTCCCTGGGAATCCACACCTTCAGTGATATTATCCATTATGAACTGACCTGGGGATGTCACAGGATCAGATCAGATGGAGCTGAAAACTAATAAGAAGTTTTGCTCCCACCTAAACTGAAAATATGTTATCTAACCAAAAGTCTTTAGTGTTTTGCTAGCAATTTTTTTTAAATCCCATGAGTACAAGTCAGAGTACATGTTTCATTTTTTTGTCAATGCTCAAATCCTTTTAGGGTTACCAGGAAAATTGTATTTTGAAAAGGTCCATCTACTCTCAATTTCAAACTACCTCTAACCCTTCAATGTTTCCACCCTGGTGTTCATTAATTACATCAATGAGAATAACTTTAAAGATTCCATTTTAAAACACATTAAGATCCTCGCAACATTCACCCTTTCTCACCAACCACAGCCCTCTCTTCATCCTTCACATCACACCCTTTTCAGCCAAAATCTACCAGAGAGGAGAGAAAACAGGAATAGACTTTTTCTTTTTCCCAACATACTTTCCTGGGCTCAGAATCCTCAGTCATTTTACCCACGTAGCAGGAAAAAAATACTAACGTAGAGAAGATGAGTAGATTCTGAGATTTGAATTGACCTCTATCACCAAAATAATGACTACAGGTAAGCATCACAGGCAACGGGTTTTGAAGATGCTTGGGCAGCTTCATTATACCATCAGGAGTTCTGGAGTCTTTACCACACCAGTGGGCTCATTGATAACTGGAGATGTAAAGACTTTTTTTTTATGAAAATACAAAATCTAGAAGAAATGGATAAATTCCTTGACACATACACCCTCCCAAGACTAAACCAGGAAGAAGTTGAATCTCTGAATAGACCAATAACAGGCTTTGAAATTGTGGCAATAATCAATAGCTTACCAACCAAAAAGAGTCCAGGACCAGACGGATTCACAGCCGAATTCTACCAGAGGTACAAGGAGGAGCTGGTATCATTCTTTCTGAAACTATTCCCATCAATAGTAAAGGAGGGAATCCTCCCTAACTCATTTTATGAGGCCAGCATCATCCTGATACCAAAGCCTGGCAGAGACACAACAAAAAAAAGAGAATTTTAGACCAACATCCTTGATGAAAATTGATGCAAAAATCTTCAATAAAATACTGGCAAACCGAATCCAGCAGCACATCAAAAAGCTTATCCACCATGATCAAGTGGGCTTCATCCCTAGGATGCAAGGCTGGTTCAATATATGCAAATCAATAAAAGTAATCCAGCATATAAATAGAACTACACACAAAAACCACAAGATTATCTCAATAGATGCAGAAAAGGCCTTTGACAAAATTCAACAATGCTTCATGCTAAAAACTCTCAATAAATTAGGTATTGATGGGACGTATCTCAAAATAATAAGAGCTATATATGACAAACCCACAGCCAATATCATACTGAATGGGCAAAAACTGGAAGCATTCCCTTTGAAAACTGGTACAAGACAGGGATGCCCTCTCTCACCACTCCTATTCAACATAGAGTTGGAAGTGCTGACCAGGGCAATTAGGCAGGAGAAAGAAGTAAAGGACATTCAAATAGGAAAACAGGAAGTCAAATTGTCCCTGTTTGCAGATGACATGATTGTATATCTAGAAAACCCCATTGTCTCAGCCCCAAATCTCCTTAAGCTGATAAGCAACTTCAGCAAAGTCTCGGGATACAAAATCAATGTACAAAAATCACAAGCATTCTTATACACAAATAACAGACAAACAGAGAGCCAAATCATGAGTGAACTCCCATTCACAATTGCTTCAAAGACAATAAAATAACTAGGAATCCAACTTACAAGGGACATGAAGGACCTCTTCAAGGAGAACTACAAACCACTGCTCAAGGAAATAGAAGAGGATACAAACAAATGGAAGAACATTCCATGCTCATGGGTAGGAAGAATCAATATCGTGAAAATGGCCATACTGCCCAAGGTAATTTATAGATTCAGTGCCATCCCCATCAAGCTACCAATGATTTTCTTCCCAGAATTGGAAAAAACTACTTTAAAGTTCACATGGAACCAAAAAAGAGCCCACATCGCCAAGTCAATCCTAAGCCAAAAGAACAAAGTTGGGGGCATCATGCTACCTGACTTCAAACTATACTACAAGACTACAGTAACCAAAACAGCATGGTACTGGTACCAAAACAGAGATATAGATCAATGGAACAGAACAGAGCCCTCAGAAATAACACCGCATATCTACAATGATCTGATCTTTGACAAACCTGACAAAAACAAGCAATGGTGAAAGGATTCCCTATTTAATAAATGGTGCTGGGAAAACTGGCTAGCCATATGTAGAAAGCTGAAACTGGATCCCTTCCTTACACCTTATACAAAAATTAATTCAAGATGGATTAAAGACTTGAATGTTAGACCTAAAACCATAAAAACCCTAAAATAAAACCTAGGCATTACCATTCAGGACATAGGCATGGGCAAGGACTTCATGTCTAAAACACCAAAAGCAATGGCAACACAAGCCAAAATTGACAAATGGGATCTAATTAAACTGAAGAGCTTCTGCACAGCAAAAGAAACTACCATTGGAGTGAACAGGCAACCTACAAAATTGGAGAAAATTTTCACAACCTACTCATCTGACAAAGGGCTAATATCCAGAATCTACAATGAACTCAAACAAATTTACAAGAAAAAAAAACAATTCCATCAAAAAGTGGGCAAAGGACATGAACAGACACTTCTCAAAAGAAGACATTTATGCAGCCAAAAAACACATGAAAAAATGCTCACCATCACTGGCCATCAGAGAAATGCAAATCAAAACCACAATGAGATACCATCTCACACCAGTTAGAATGGCAATCATTAAAAAGTCAGGAAACAACAGGTGCTGGAGAGGATGTGGAGAAATAGGAACACTTTTACACTGTTGGTGGGACTGTAAACTAGTTCAACCATTGTGGAAGTCAGTGTGGCAATTCCTCAGGGATCTAGAACTAGAAATACCATTTGACCCAGCCATCCCGTTACTGGGTATATGCCCAAAGGATTATAAGTCATGCTGCTATAAAGACACACGCACACGTATGTTTATTGTGGCACTATTCACAATAACAAAGACTTGGAACCAACCCAAATGTCCAACAACGATAGACTGGATTAAGAAAATGTGACATATATACATCATGGAATACTATGCAGCCATAAAAAATGATGAGTTCATGTCCTTTGTAGGGACATGGATGAGATTGGAAATCATCATTCTCAGTAAACTATTGCAAGGACAAAAAACCAAACACCACATGTTCTCACTCATAGGTGGGAATTGAACAATGAGAGCACATGGACACAGAAAGGGGAACATCACACTCTAGGGACTGTTGTGGGGTGGGGAGAGGGGGGAGGGATAGCATTAGGAGATATACCTAATGCTAAATGACGAGTTAATGGGTGCAGCACACCAGCATGGCACATGTATACATATGTAACTAACCTGCACATTGTGCACATGTACCCTAAAACTTAAAGTATAATAATAATAAAATAAAATAAAATAAAAAAGAAAATATAAAATCTCATAGTTGAGAAAAAAACAAACATGAAGTTTGATTCTCTCCTCCAAAAGTAATTATCTAGCCCTTATTTTCATACATCACTAATGGAAAGCTCACCATGTGGACAAAAGGTCTTCAACTTCATTCCTTGTTTCAATCAACATGCAATTGATTAGTTCAATTAGTTCAATCAAAATGCAGAGCATGATTTGTTCTAGAATTCAATTGCATTTTTATCACTTACCAACTGTGTCGTCAGTATTTCTATTGTTATTTTTCCCCACTTGCCCTTCCCATCATTATTCCCATCCTCCGGCTCATAGGCCTAAAGCTCCTAAAGCCTCATGGGCCTCTCCATCTCAGAACTTGGACTTTTGTTGGGACTCTACCATAAGTTGCTCTGCTTGCAATGGACATAAAATGGGAGACCTTGAGGGAACCAGGGGTGGCTGATACAAGTTGGCCTGACTGGTCCTGCAGCACTGGAGAATGCTTCAGTACCTGAACAGATTTTGGGGGATAGACTCAATCCCTGGCTTCATTCAGTTCCACTTTCCAGGTTCAGTTTTTGCTTTTGTACCATGTCACCTCATGAGTAGAAAAGACAGAAATGCTATGTTAGAGTCTCTTCCGACTTCAAGTCCTGAATTGAGGTGCCCAAACAATAAAGCAACATGGCTGTTTAGCAAACACTAAAGAGCACTACACATTCTTAAGAAAACCAAGCACGGAGCTTGCTCCCACCTAAAACTTATCCAAAAAAAAGAAGCCACCATGTGGTGATTGCATGGCTTGAGTGTCATATTCAGAAGTCCTAATGTGCTCTATTCATTGCCCTTTATAAGAAGGCTGTAAGTGGAAATATGAAAGAGCATGCGTGAGCATACAGAGGCAACACTGAGTGACAGCATCAATACATAGTACTGTTCTTCAAGATTTCATTTGGATTAGTGGGGGAAGGAAGGTTGTTTATATATTTATATTTTATATTAAATCATGCTAAACTGAATGAAAAATGGGAAAGGAAAAAGGAATTAGTCTGATTTTTAATGAGAAACTACACTATGCCAGGCCCGGTGCCAGACACATAACCATTGAGTCCTTACAAAGGTAGCAACTAACCTGGGAGGTGGAACAGAAGCCAGGGATTGAGCCTATCTCCAAAAAGAAGCTCAGATATGAAAACACTCCCCAGTGCTCATTGTTCAGGTACTGAAGCATTCCCCAGTGTTCATTGTCCCTGCAGGACCAGTCAGACCAACTGGTGTCAGTCACCCCTGTTTCCCTTGAGGTCTCTCATTTTAAGCCCATTGCAAGCAGAGCAACTTATGTAAGAGTCTCAACAAAAGTCCAAATTCTGAGATGGAGAAAACCAAGAGGAATTCCTTCTACATGCTTATAGCACCAAAATGAAGCACAGAACCTCCTAAAATTCTCAATGAGCCACTCCTTGAATCCAGCAAATACAGCACCACTGCAAAAGTCACTGTTCTGTCCCTGGAGCAGCCTATGTTCAATAAACCATTCAGTAAACATATGATTGGGTTCTACTATGGGTCAGGCACTGTGATACAAATGAGACATTTAATTATAAATAAAAATTATTGTCTTAAGGAATTCATATTCTTTTAAGCCAGGTAAGAACATGGAGCTAGCTCTGTGAGTTGAGGTGTTGTGGAGTGCTTTAAGAGTGTGTAAACAGGGTGATAAGGCAACTTGAAGGACAGAGAGATTAATTCCTACGGCAGCAATCCAGAAAGATTTCCCAGAGCTTGCCCTTAAAAGAGGCCTAAGGTTTCAAAGTATCGTAGAAGGATATTCCATATAGAGAACATAGCATAAGAAATTAATAAAATAGTTTGGGAAATTATGTACATAATGATTATAAAGGGTATGCCTTTTCATTGAAGAAAAGGTGCTATTAGATTACACCAGATGATATTAGTAAATTTAGTTACTGCCACATTTTGATGAATTTTAAAAAGTCATACTAAAATACTTAGACTTGATTTATCAAGGAATGAGAAACCAACAGTGTTCTTGAGAATGTGTTAACATAATCAACACTATAGTCAAAGAGAGATAATGAGATGGGAGAGCTTAACAGAGGAGGTGACATTTCAGCTGGGTCATGGATGCAATTTCAAAAACTAAGGACACTAATTCTAGGAAAGGCAAAGACTTTCTCTCAAAGATAAGTGAAGATATAAAGCCAACAGAGCCCAGGGCACATTTTAACAGCACCCTGAAATCCAGTTTATCCAGAAATTAAATAGTACATTTGATAGGAGGGTTTGAAGCAGATCATGAAATGCTTTGAATACCAAAGAAACATTTAGATTTCTCAGAAGATGCTGAAAAAGCTACCAAAGCTTTCACCGATTTTGTTGATAAAAGTTTTGTTTAATGAGGTTGAAACTGTTAGCCAAATATAGAAGAATTTAGAAGAATGGAAAACAGAAGGTCAATGGAATATTGTAATAATAATAGCTAACTTTTACTAAGTACCTAATTACCTTTACATGTATTATTTCACGTTGACTAGCAGGTCAAAGCTTATTTTATCTGCATGGAGGAAACTGAGTGTTTGAGAGATTCAATTTTATTACAGCTCACAGTTAGAAAAATAGTAGAGCTGGCACACAATCCCATTCCATCTGAAATTGTTATCTCTAGCACTAAGATAGTTTCTGACATATGGTAAGTATTCAGTGAAAAATGGTTGAACTAATTTTATTAAACCATCTCAATTCCAAGGCCTAGATACACCATCTATTCAAAGAATGTTTTCATGATCTTTGCAAATCAAAATTGATATTTTTTCTGTATTCCAAGTTCTGTAGATTACATTCATTTGAGAGTATGTCTTGCTCCAACTTTATGGGGGTGGCCAGGAAAGGCATCTGATTCATCTTTGTATTTATCATAGGACATCTAGCATATTGTCTACCACAGAAAAATGGTTTGGCAAATATGAGACGAATTAATGGATGGATGAATAAATGAATAACATTGGCTACGTGGCCTCTTCTCCACTTCAGCACAGGTGAATTTCAATGAATTTTCATGAAATACCCAAGGCATATAATTGACTCAGTGCTCTCAATCAGATAATTCCTTCCATTTTCATTCTGATGAGAATTTTTATTGGCTGTGAATTAATTTAATCATTGCATTCATATTCTCTGTACAGAAGCCCAGGGGCTCTAAGGTGATGGGTTCTGTTAATTAAATTAAGTCAAATAATAATGATCTTTAATTTCCTAAAATCAGGATCACTGAACATATAAGAAGCATCACTTAATGCAATTTTTATGATGTTCTTATTTCTGTGTTAACAGAGACATTGGTAGACTGTGTCCTCACTATTGGGAGATTTGGTGGCCTTAAAACATCTCCTTACTTAAAAATAACTCTCACACCAGCCTGCCTCACTCTCTAAGATTCTACCATCAATATTTTATTTTGTTGGGTCAATAAGAGATCCCTTTTAAAATGCAAATAATATACGTCAGGGAAAGCAAAACATTATGTGATTCATCACATCCCTTTTATCTTTTTTGTGAAGGCTAAAAAGCAAGCCAACATCTATTGAGGAACATCTACACACCAGGCATTGTACAAAGCATTTTACATATATTATCTCATTGAATATTCACAACTCTATGAAGTATTTCTTCATTTTCACATTAGAAACCCAAAACTCAAGGAAGTTCAAAGACAAACAGGAAACAGCAGAACTGAGATGCTGGATTTGGTTTTAGTAACATCATTTTCTACTTTATTGGGCTGCTTCCTCTCTAAGAGAATGGAATTATGAGAGAGATGCATAACGTGGGAATGTAGAAATACAGGGAAAACAGGTAAGGCTATATCAAGGGCTATAATGAAAGACTGCAAACTTCTATTGGACAATTGGGGGTATTGAAAGGATTCCAGGAGAAAAGGAGGTGGTTTCAGAACTCACTGTCCATAAAATATCTAGGCAAACTTACTCTATAGGATAGCTGATTGATAGTTAATTTGGAAGGAGATGCTTGCTGACAAATGTCATTTCTTACATACATAATAAGTTAAAAATAGAAACTGGAAAAATATATACAGTAAGGTACTACTTTATTTGCATGTAACTTTTTATTAAAAAATCATATATTGAGAGATTTTTCAAAATTTTTCACGTTTGTACACCATTGATTATAAAGCATTTACAGGGAAAGACTACAGAGATCTATAGTACAGACTGTGAAGACAGAAATTACAACAGTCCAACCATATACCTTTTTCACCAGTCTTTGACCTGACTTGGAATCATATACCTTTTAACCTGTTTCAGAATATGTGACATTTAGTCTGAGTCTTACAGATGAAATGTGCCTCACCAAAAGACTGGCCTACGTAAAATACACATGATGTTATAGCTACCTGTTCAACTTTAGTGCCTTTGTAGAAATGAGTTAAATCAGTCTGCATTTTTGCCAATTGCAATTTCTTGGCAGCTTTTCACCTTCAATTTTAAGAAAAGTCACTTTGGGAAAAGCTGTGATTTTATATTTTTCAGTGTAAATTAATTCTTCACTCTTAATTTTTATACTCATTAATAGTTATCATAGGATTGGGATGGCAGGGGGAGTGTCAAGAAACTAGTGAAATCAGCAAGTTTAAAGAGAAAGGGTTACCTAGATTTTAAAAGGCATGATTTCACCCTTGACTTACATTTTACATCTGAATGAAATGCCTCAGCCAAAGTCCTCCTACAACCTACCACTCTGAGTGGGAAATGGCTCCCCTGAAACATGTACATCTTTTTGTGGCAAATGCACTGTGAGTCGCTGCTTATAGAGACACCACAGGATCAATATTGCAGGGCACCCCAGTGTACTGTATTATTGTTAAAATCCTGCTGGCTAGAATTCAGATTTCCATTTAATTGTGTTCTTATTTAAAATGTCTGCTGCACCTGCAGCCAACTCGATCACTATTAGCTATTTGCCTGGTGTTATGTACATCTATGAACAATAAAAACTTTAGAAAAAAATGTCAGCAGAGATGCATAGATCATAAATCACAAGATGATAACATTTCACATGAAAAGAAAGTCTTCAAGAAAACAGTCCCAGTGATATAAATATTGAATTTACCACCAATGCCATATCCCTATGGAGGGTGGACAATAGGCCATTGCTTAAATGGCAAAAGGGATGAGCTTTCTTCTTTATCTGTATTCACTTTTCCTTTTATTTCATTCCTAGGAAAGAGAAATACCAGAGGAGAAGCTTAAAACAGATTAGCCTGTGAGCACTGTATATAGGCTATTACATCATAACTGTCTTTGAAAACTCTCAAACAGCTGACCTGTTTATATTACAAGACAGGGTCAATTTCCATTCTAGTGACTCTTTTGATGTTTGTGAATACTAATGCTCTCCCCAGAATGCTGGCTTTAGAATAACGGCAATTGAACCATTAAGCCTTCTCTGATGCAATCTTTCTGCAGCTAGATAGGATTCTATACATGGATTTCATTGAGCCACACAGCTTGGCATGATCAAAAGCTTTGCTGGAGCCATCAGTAAATAATGTTTCAAATAACAGAGTCACATTGATGCTTACATTTTCTACTCTAGTCACTGAGGATGTGTGTGTTAGTGTGTGTGGATGTATGTATGTAACACAATGCCACAGTTTTGCTTCTGTTGGAACTCTGATGATAAAACATCAAAATGATACAACAGGGTCATTTTTATGGCAAATGTCTGAGAAACACCAAAGGGTTCCACAGCTGCATAAAGTACCAAAGAAACTGTTGTGTCTGTGATGTGAGCAAGACACTGGTTTAACTTTCATTTCTGCATCTTGCCAACTGTGGAAACTCAAACAATTTACTTGACCTAGGCTTCTGATGCCCTATTTCTAAAATGGAGAGGACATCATCAACCTCACAAGGTTATAAGGCAGAATAAATTTACATTTGACAATGACAACAAAAATAACAACAATCATAATGGTTAACATTTATCAGGAAATTAATAAATGTCAGGCATTCAACAATTTATGCACATTATCTCCAACTGATCTTCACAATAGCCTCATAAAGTAGGCACTATATTTATTCTATTCTACATATAAAGAATGTAAGACAGAAATAAGATATACAGCGATGAGTAAAAGGTTTTTCATGCATACCAATTGACTTAAGACAAACTGAATGAGCAAATCGTAATTTTCTGCCTATCAGACCTAAGCCAGTACATGTTTTTAATGCAAAGACAGTTCAAATCAACATATTATAGTTGAATATTAGCAATGGATGAGTCTTTAGGTTTTGTGACATCCAACACAACACATTCTAAAGTAGAAATTCAGACATCAGCATCTCATCATCCTGACCACCACCTTTCAGCACCAATGATCCCTACCTCGAAAACAATTCTGATCCATGTTTAGACAGGGCTCCATGTTAGAAAGGATTTTAATCTGCTTCCCTTTATATTCCAACCATGGGCCCCCTCTGGAGATATATCCTCCCATTACTGACAAATAGTTTTCTTATTTCCCCTAAGCCTTCATTGGGCTAAGCATCCCTGGCTTCTCAACTATTTCTCTTACAACAGTGTCTTCACAATCCTAAGGTTTGCCCCTGGTTTGTCAATATCACACTGAAAATATAGCAACCAAATTCTAGTCTCAACATAAACCCTGCATCCTCTGTGCATTTTAGTTTTTAATTAAAGTAGTTTTTAAGAGTAGTTTGTAGATTTAGTTTTTGAAAAGGTAACAACTTTTCTTGTCTGCCATAATCTACATAGAGAAGCAGATTCTGGGTATTCTTTCCCTCCAGAACGTGGTCTTCTGTTGAAGGCTTCACTGCTACCTCTTCCACTTGCACAAGTGCAGACTTGCTATGCAGAGGGAAGCACATTATAAATTATTTAAATTTTATTTAAATACCTTTCTAGAGTTTAATCTTCTTCAGCCAGCTGGGCACCAAGTGTTTGATAGTTTCAGTTTTGTACTGGCAGGTGAATAAGACACAGAGTCTTCCAATGGAAATACTGACTCTAAAAGCTTAATCACTGAAATTATAATTTGCTCCCTTTAGGGCAGGAAGGGGACCTGAATTAAAGACAATTTTTCTGCAAAGTAAGGGATTCTTTTTTATGGCAATGGTCCCAAGGTTCAAATTGATTAAACATGTATAGTATTTTTTATTCCACTTTGAGATAGTGGAAGAATGTTTCAATTCTATTATTATCTGGCCATATTACTTTGGGCACCTCTGTGTGTCAAATCCTCATCTGTGAAACGGGTATAACATTTATCTAACTAGATGTGTTCCAAAGATTAAACAAAATATCATATATGAAAGCACAAACGTTGTAATATAATTACCACTGACAAGAAGGGGCCATGAAGTAGGAGAAAGAGGTGGCAAGAGGAAGAAGAAATTAATACTCAGGAAGAGGAAAACCAGTCTTTTAGGCAAGGTAGAGAACCACGAAGTTAATTTCTTAATTAGCAATGAATTCTATTTGTATAACTATTGTGCTTTCACCTACAGTTCCCTTTGAATCTCAAAGCTGCCCTGTAATGTACATAGGGCAAGTGTCATTGTTACCATACTTTATACATGTGAAAGGAGAGGTTGGGGGAGATAAAGTACCAAATCTTCAGGATCATTCAGTTTTATTTTCTATAAAACTCTGATAATAATAATTACAAGTTTTTCAGCCAAGCTTCCTCAGAGAAACAAGAGGAAGAGAGATTTCAATAAATTGGCTCCTAGGATTATGGCTCACAAGTCTGAAATCCACAGGATAGGCCAACAGGCTAGAAACTCAGGCAGGATTTACATACTGCATTCTTGAGGCAGAATTTCCTTCCTCTCCAGGAAGCCTCAATTTGGCTCTTAAGGCATTCAACTGATTGGATAAGGTCCACTCACACTATCCAGGATAATCTCCTTCACTTAAAGCCGAATGACTGTAGATGTTAGCCACATCTACAAAATACCTTCACAGAGACATACATACTAGTATTGAACCAAACAACTGGGTACCAGACTCTAACCAAGTTGACACATAAAATTGACCATCACACTGCCTTACAGAGTGTTAGTAAGATGTAGAAGAAAACGGGTGTGCTGATTCAAAGTGGTGAGTGCTATAGATGAGCACAGGTGGAAATTGAGGAGTTGCTTAACATAGGCATGGGGTATCAGGGCAGAATTCCAGAAGGAAGCCATGCTTTAACAGACCTCTTCACCTCTCCCCATTGTCCACAGTCAGGAGTGACTCAAGGTGTGTGAAGTCTGAAGCTTCTACAACTTGGCAGTCCTTTTTAAATTAAAACCACTAAAAACTAGGCATGGATGTATATTTTTATTTACAATAATAAAAAATCATCATCATTACAAATTTAAAGCAAGTGAGAAATTCCATACTTAACAATTTGGACAACATGAATGCGTATATTCTTCTGTCTTATATTTCCTTGTTAAAGAATAGAGAAAAATCAAATTAAAAGTTAATGAAATATGAAAGGAAAGTTAACAAGATAAGTACTGGAATCAATGAAATTATTTTGACATGGAAAGGAAAATTGTAAAAAATAATTTTTTCAGATCATACCCAAGACCGTAATTTATTAAGAGAAAGAGATGGATTTTGAATAGCAGTAACAAACGGACTTCTGGTTTATTTGATAATTGAATTAATGAAAAAAAGTGACTCATATGATCACACTGTCAAAAGATTTTAATTCCTGTTGATTTGATACTTAAATAATGAAAAGTCATGTTAATTTTCTGGATTTTGTAATGCTTGAGCTAGTCATCAGCTTTTAAAATTACATACAATGCCTCACTGAGAATCTTCCTGACAGGGGAGAATTTCTCTTTTGACCAGGTAGCAAAGATACAATTTTACATGTCTGATATTCAGAAGAATTTTCCATACACCAGCTTCTGGCTCCTACATAGCAAGGCCTGCCTCTCTTCCCCTACCCATGCACTTCCAGCAAGTGCTGGGCATATAGAGTGTTCTCTTATTATAAGACAACTTCTGGTCCTAAACTTTAGTTCATGACACCAGTTGAGTCAGCCCAGAGAGTAGCAGGAGTACTCTTGGAAACTTGGTACATCAGGATTACTAGCAGTGACTTAATTTTACAGGGAATTAACTGTGCGTCACATAAATGTGATCCTCTAAATTTAAACCAAAAATATCCTCAACTTAACCTCCTCAATGCCCATGGTTACTCCAAAACCACCCAACAGGAGTGGAAGAGGGATGGAGGGGAAGAGGGATGGAGGGGAAGCTAGAGTGGAAAGAGACATCGGTTGCAAATTTTAATTAAAATATCTTATTTTACAAATTATACTATATACATATAGTATATAAAAATATATAATTTGTATATATACACTATATATAAATATATATAATTTGTGTATATATACACTATATATACAAATACATATAATTTATATATATACACTATATATACAAAAATATATGATTTGTATATATAGACAATATATGTACAAAATAATTAGTATATATAAAATATATATATATTTCTGTGTGTGTGTGTGTGTATATATATATATATATATATATATATATAAAAAATATATTATTGCTACATCAGCACTGTGCTCACTCAGCTGGCATCACAAAATAAATTTAGGACCAGAAGTTGTCTTGAGATAAGACAATACCTCATATGCCTAGCACCTGCTGGAAGTACATGGGTAGTGGAAGAAAGGCATGGTTTGCTATGCAGAAGCCAGAAACTGGTCTATGGAAGATTCTTCTGAATATCAGATATGTAAAATCTTCTCTCTGTGCTATAATATTATATATATGTATATATAAAAGTTATTTTATATATACACATTATACTATAAAGTATATATAATTTGTGTATATATACGCTATATATAATTTGTAGTATAAACATCATATATATCAATATATAGTATATCTCACTATACATCTATATATTTTATATAGTATAATTTACAAAGTAAGATATTTTATTATATAGTATAAAAATATTATAGTATAAGATTAAGGATGCTTTATAGTATTTATATGTGTGTGTGTGTGTGTGTGTGTGCCTGTGTGCGTGTGCAATACCAGGTGATCACAGCCAGGGCATTGAAAAAGACTTACTTTATAAGTGAAGGACTCTGAAGCTTCATTAGTTTTCAGGTAAATCAGCCTCTACCTAGTGCAAAAATACTTCTGTTTTTCTCCAAAGGGAGAAGACGAAAAGCTTTTCAAAACTGTATGGCACCTCTGTATCATGTGTTAACTTGCATCTTAGGCTCCATTTGTTCTTCGTATACATTTAGGGCTCACCTCCCAACTGAGCAGTGAAGTTTCATGAAGTCAGAGACTGCTATTTCTCACTTTGTATCCCTTGCAACTAGATCAGTTTGGGCAATGAGTAAGCACTTAATAAATATTTTACTTATTAGCAAAATGATTAGGATTTTATATTAAAATTTGATAAAATTGTAAAGAGCATTTTTGATCATAAAACTTTAAAAAGCACTTTTGATAGTAAAACCACTTATTAACAAAATGATTTTCAACAAAATGAAGGGAGAACACTTTTTAAACAATTATAGTGGCAGCCTTCTCATCAAAGCACCTGTGGCTGCACAGATGTTCACAGTTTTTATGGCTACAAACAACTTACCTCCAAAATTTATCAGCTGAAACCCACAATGATCGTTTATTTTTGCTCATGGTTTCTATGGGCTGAAAATTTGGTGCAGCACACTGGGTGGCTCCGGCTTTAAGTCTCTTGAAACTGCAGTCAGATGGCGGCTGGGATGAGGTGATCTCAAAGGTCTCTTCTCTTCACTCAGCTGTCTGATCCCTGGGCTGGAAGACTCCAACGGCTGGGGCTGAAACAACTGCAGCTCCTCAGGAATCTTTCTCTGTCTCTTTGTAGTCTCTCCACATAATCTCTTTAGCAGGCAGCTTCTGGGGAGCTGGACTTCTTATATGTTAGCACAGGCTCTCAAGGCGCATTTACTAAGAGAGAGAGCTAGTAAGAAGCAATTTTGCCCTTTATGACACAATCTTGGAAAATATGTAGCCTCTCTTCTACTGCATGCATGCTATTGGTTGGGAACATCTAACTCACTTCCTATGCAGTGTCAATGACATATTGTAACATCATCTGGGACAAGATACACCCTGGTGTGGCCATCTTGAGAAAATACAATCTGCACAATAGGGGACAGAGGTTTCTAAATTTGTAAGCATTTTTTTGAAATAATAAAAGTTTGTATACACTCTTGCTAATAATTACCATTCTTTATGTATCTGATCTTCAGGTGGCCCTGCTTATGAAATAGCGTGCTGCACATGCACACTTGTGGTAGCCTTACATTCAAGGTGCGCACTAGTGGATGAGGCTACTTTGAAAATATCTGATCCATTCAGTCTGTTGTGGTTTTAGAAGTGTCTTCTATTGTCTGGGCAGGAAGGTATAAAAAAGAATAAAAAAGAAATGTCTTCTAGAGTTCCTCTCTAACAAGCCCATCTCCTTGTTTCCACCACTATCCAATATGGTGGACAAAATTTAATAACTAATATTAGTACAGCCCTATATCTGATTGTACATTATGGGGACATAACAGGAACCTCTTTTGGCCCTATTCAAATTCCTAAGCCTCTGGCCACTTGGCCCTCACTTGGCCACTGCCATAGCACAGACGCACTGTGCAAAGCTGGGAAGTTATGCCTCCTTGAGCTGAATAGCTTCATTCCTGTAGTATCCAACTCCTTTCACCACTCCTACTTCCAGATTTCAATGAACTGCCATGCAATAGGATATGGGATCTGACTTTCTGAGCAGCTGTCAAAGTAAATTTCCCTGTGGCACAAATTGTGATCAATTGCAGACAGGATACAGAAGGAAGCCAGCAGATAAGTGCCCTCTGCTTGCTCCCAATGACAGTTAGTCTGGAGGAAATGTATTGTCTGGAGACATCCTGCAAGACCAAGCTGGTATACCTACCAAGTGACCCACTATTTCTCTGTGTGCCTCAGCATGCCACAGTGGCCAGCATGGTACTACATCCCATTACATAATTTTTCTTTCTTACCTGTTACACTTCCTTTGTCACTTTTAATGCTGTGAGATGACCACTCCCCAAAAAAGCACCAGCAATTAATTCTTTACTCAGACTCTCTGTTTTAGAGAACCTAGGTCAAGCCTGAAACGATTGATATTAGTATCATTGTCTTCATTTTAAACTTGAGGAACCTAAGATTCAGGGAAGTTAAATGACTTCTACAAAGTCTCATAGCTGAATGAAAAAACACTGAATTTGAAATAAGATATTGTTTCAGCTACAAAGCCCACTCTGTTTTTCCTTCTATACCTTATTGCTTTCTCAAGGACTATAGGACCTAAGGAAGCTAGAAAACAGTGTTGTTGCCCTGAGGGCAATAGTGGATTAAATAAACACTGAGAGGTAAATGTAATATAACATAATATAATATAGTTATTAATTAAATTAAACAATAATAGTGTTTAATATTAAATAATAATACCTAACATTTGTTGAGCCCTTACTCTGCGCTAGGCTCCATTCACAGTAACATATATGAGTTAATTTAATTTATTTACAAATCTTTATAATTGAACTAGTTTATCATCATTACTTTATAGATAGGAAAACTGTTGCACAGAACGGTTTTTTGCACAGGTGCCAGGTGGTAAAGTCTTTGTATTTCTCAGTATCCTTTCCTTTGAAATGTAGACATACTTCTTCTCATGCCTATCTCACCACATTCTTGTAAAAATTAACATAAAAATGCTTAGAAAAAATGCAAATATAAAGCATCTTTAAATTAGATCTGTCATTTTGATAAACAGAGTGGGAGACAAATCAATGCACAGGCAGCAATCAGAAAGCAAATCCTAAAGCGTGAGCCTCAGCCAACAACAGGCTGTACCAGTTAGAGCTACATTCCCAAATAAGCATTGGCCAGGCATGCAGATTCACACTGTGGAAAAGTTCACTGCTCTCCCTCCTGCCTCCAGATCTCACCCACAAACATGAACAGAACTCATGAGCCTTTTGCTCCTCCTCTGAATTCAGCATATGCATTTCCTGCCAATTTCTTCTTATTCAAAGATTACATTGTATCAATAAAATTCATTTAGAAGGAATCACAAGTCATCCTCAATCCTACAGCCTAGAAGATTGGCTAATTTCATGGGTCTGATTTCCCTTTCAGTCCCCATCATTATGTGTGAACATTTTTTACATGGCTGTAACTACAGTGTTGGGGTGGAGGGGAAATTCCGTTTTATTTTACTTAATATTATAGGATAAATTTTTAACATATTTCTAAAGAATCACTGCTGTCCAGATTGAGCAGCTACCTAGAAGAAGATTTCATCATTAAATGTAGTTAATTTTCACTATAAACTTGATAACAGACAAGATCAAGGCAACGGGTAATCCTTCACTGCTACCCTTTCTAAATCCCTTAATCTGGCCCCACTATTATTGTATTTTCCCAGCCCGAGTTTATCACTGGCTAATCAACCTCACCCTAATTTCTATCAGGTCAGAGACATCTCTTTCTTATTCAACTCTGCTTCAATAAATCACCTACGAGTATTTGGCATGCAAAATATTCCTCCCCTGTGTCTCAGAAACCACACAAAATTCCCATTATACTACGTTTTACATGGAATTTCCCAATCAGCTTCATCTCCCAAGAGCACATAGAACAATGATCAATACAAATTAAAAATAAACAATGCAGGCTGATTATACTTGAAAAGATATTAACTTTAAAATTACTGTTAATTGTATCCCCAAACTCATGATCTGGCTTTGGTGAGAGTTGCTATAGTTAATTTCTAAAAATTGAAAAATGTAACATTCAAATAACATAAATTGTTAAGCTTTCTTAGGGCAGAGACTATTTCTTTGCTCTAAAGTCTACCTTAACTGAAGCTCCTATAACCACTGTGCTTTATTTTTAAGTAATGTTTCCATAGTATAATTATTTTTTCATTCTCTCACTTGAATAACTTATTTTATTGTATCTGAAGTAAGTTTATTGTAGACAGCATATGATTGGATCATGTTTCTAAATCCACTCTGGGTTTTAGGGGCTTTTTTCCAAGATAGTGGATTGGAGGTATTGTTAGCATGCATCTCCCACTTTGAAACACAAATACTGTGTAGATATTCACACTGTGAATTTTTTCCAAGAAGCAATGCACCAACTTAACAGGAAAACTTAAAGAAACTACAGACCCTTTGAAAGCAGCAGCAGGCTGCAGCCTGCATTATGAGCCAGGTAGAAAACTGTAAGACCCCAGAGTGTGAGAAAGGGATAAACTGCCTCTGGGATATACACTCCCACTGGGGAACCTGGCAATCCAGGCCACAGGGGAAAGCATTAACCCTACCCAGCACTGGAGCTGATTTAGGCAGCAATGGGAAGTACATGAGAAGGAGTAGTATCGAAACATGCTTTGCCTAGGCTTCTAGTCTCCAGTGGGATGGAGGGAAGCCATTCCTGATCCTACCTCACAGGGGACCCCCGGAAGTCAATCTGCTAAGTCAGGTGGCCGTGGCAGTTGGTGAGAAGCTCCCAACTGAGATTTGCAATACAATCTCAAGTGGAGATGAAATCCCTTGGCCAGAAGCAAAGGGCAAGTGGAAAGTGTGCTGCAACCACGAGTGCAAGAACTGGTCACCCCTACTTCGTGGGCAGACCAGGAAGGGTGTGGCCTGAAAGCTGAGGTTGCTGTCTACCCAAGGAATGCTCATGGCCTTGGGCAGTTTTGAGTTTTAAACCCAGATTGCCTGGAACTTAGCTAGCTGCTGCCAGTGGAACACTACGAGTGTGAGACCTGCCTTGCCAAGTGCATGGGAGCTGAGTGGGGCTTACTGTCACCTGCTACTCCATACTCCCCATGTAGACTCCTCTGTACAGCAGAGGCAGGTGCACTCCTCCCTGAAACATTACCCCAGCAACCAGAGAACTGCCTTCCATTCTCCACTGGGACCATTTCTTGCTCTACACATGGAGAGCCAGAGCAAGGACTTGCCTGACCCAGACCTCACGTGGCTTTGCCCCTCCACCCACCCTAGCAGATTAACACAAAGGACAGAAACTTTTGGAAGCTTTATGTCCCAGCCCAATGCCTGAGACAACAGAATACCTCTCCAGGTAACATAAGGTAGGCACAGATTCCATCACCATCACCACAGCTGGTGATCTTTTCTAAGCACCACTGACATAATCCATTACAGCTTTGTCAAAACACAGCATTCAGGAAGGAAAAATCTTGTGTGTGACCTCAACTGTCACCATTGCCTACATTACTCTGGCTAACCAGGAGGTCCTGAGTCTGTCCACGTGACCACATCATTACTACTATAACTGACATTTTAGAAAGCCAAAATATTAAGGCCATTTATAAACAAGGAATCTCACAGAGTCTACATCACTCCCCTGCCACCCCATCAGAGCTGGTGCTGGTACCCGCTGCTGGGAGACCTGAGCACAGGTCACATCACTATCACTAGATCCTATGCAGACATTCCCCAGTACCAGCCTGGAGTATGGCAGCCGCATTGGGCAGCTAGACCCAGAGGAGCAGAAGTATTCACAGTAGTCTTTCTCTCAGGGACTCCTACTCCTAGGGAAAGGGGAGTATACCACATCAATGAAGCACTCCATGGTACAAAAGAATCCAGAAGGCAGGTCTTGAGTCCCAGAACTTTGTGCTTGTGGGCATTTCTTTCAGCAGAGGCACAGGTGAAATGCTGGGATCAACAGGGAATTTCTGTGTCTCTACCCTAATAATCAGGAAGTCTTGGTGTTTGTGAAGGGTCTTGGAGAGGTGACTTTTTTTTCCCTTCATCCACCACTGTAGACACAGCTGGAGCTTTGCTCATGGGAGCTCATGATAGGTGCACCTGTAATTAGCCTTTCTAGAGTACTTCAAGATGACTGCATCCCCACAAGAAGAGCAACCCCTAGGTTCAGGCTTGCATGAGGGGTAGAGTGACAATGCCTCTTTACATGGAACATTGGTATTCTTGCAGATAAAAGAGAGGCCTGTCTAATCTGAATAGATGGAATAATGGATCAAGAGTGTGACTGGAAGGTGGATCACCTTTCTGCTGGCCAGACAGGGGAGCTGAGGTGGCTCTCTCCCTCCCCACTGAAAAGACCTCAGTGTGTTTCACTGAGAGATTCTCTAGCCATCTCTGTCAAGACTGGGATCTCTGCCCACCATTAGGGTTGTATTTACCCACCTGCTATAGCCACAACTAGTTTTTACCCATGGATACCTTCCCTATTGGCCTGAAGCCTGAATAGTTCAACCCAGTAAATAAACTACTCAAAAAATATAAATTTTTTGTAATGTACAGCACTGGGGAACAAGACAAGCTTCAAGATACTTCTGCCATTCCAACCCCACAGGAGACAGTGAACCTGCTCAAAAACCAAGCACATTGCTACTACAACCATCAGCTGAGAAAGCCATCATACAAAGACTCTGTATAACCAGGGAACTCATATACAGCCTTCACCCTGAAAGCACCAAAAGCCAAATGAGGGTATAATAAATTATAAACACTGTATTAGTCTGTTTTCATGCTGATGATAAAGACATACCCGAGACTGGGCAATTTACAAAAGAAAGAGGTTTAATGGATTTACAGTTCCACGTGGCTTGAGAGGCCTCACAATCATAGCTGAAGGCAAGGAGGAGCGAATCATATCTTACATGAACTGCGGCAGGCAAAGAGAGAGCTTGAGCAGGGAAACTCCCATTTTTAAAACTATTAGATCTCTTGAGATTTATTCACTATCATGGGAACAGCATGGTAGAGACCCATCCCCATGATTCATTTACCTCTACCAGGATCCTCCCTTAACATCTGAGAATTGTGGGAGTTATAATTCAAGACGAGATTTAGGTGGGGAAACAGCCAAACCACATCAAACACTAAAGTCACATCCTCAAGGAGGAAAAGCGTTTTTTTAAGTCAAATCGAAAATAAAGTCAAAAATAATTAGAATAAATAGTCTACCCAAATGAGAAGAAACCAGAAAAATAATTCTGACAATATGACAAAATGGGGTTCTATAACACCCCCAAAAGATCAAACTAGTTTTCCAGCAATGGATCCAAACAAAGATGAAATCTCTGAAATACCAGAGAAAGAATTCAAAAGGTTGATTATTAAGCTACTCAAGGAGACACAAAAGAATGGTGAAAAACAACATAAATTTTAAATGTAATTCAGGAATGAATGAAAAATTTTCTGAAGAATTAGGTATTTTAAAGAAAAACTAATCAGAACTCATGGAAATGAAAGACACATTTAGAGAATTACAAAATGGAGTAGAAAGTTTTAACAGTAGACTAGACCAAGTAGAAGAAATAATTTAAGAGCTCAAAGCCAAGGCTTTCAAACTGACCCAATTAGACAAAAATAAGGAAAAAATAATTGAAGAAATAAAGTCTCCAAAAAATAGCCCCTTAAATGGAATAACTGTCAGCCAATAATGTTATATCCAGCAAAAACAAGTTTCATAAATGAAGGGGAAATAAAATCTTTTTAAGACAAGCAAATGCTGAGGGAATTTGTCACTACCAGACCAACACTACAAGAAATGTTAAAAGAAGTCATAAATCTTGAAACCCCAGGTCAATATGCAACAGAATAAAGCCTCTTGAAAGCATAAAACCTATAAGGTTTATAAAACAATAACAATGAAGAAAACAAAGCATCTAGCTAGCAATCAACATGATGACTGGAACAGTACCTTTTACCTTACTGTTCATATTGCATGTAAATCGTCTAAATTCTCCACTTTAAATATGCAGATTGACAGAATGGATTTAAAAAATCACAATCCAAATATTGCTATCTTCAAGTGATTCACCTAACATGTAAGGATTCTTATAGACTCAAGATAAAGGAGTAGAAAACGATATTCCATGCAAATGAAAACCAAAAGTGAGCAGGAGTATTTAAGATGAAACAAACTTTAAAGTAACAACAGTAAAAAAAAAAAAGAAGGTTATTATTCAATGATGAAAGGATCAATCCAACAAGGAGATATTAAAATCCTAAATATATATATACATAACTCTGGAGCTCCCAGATTAATAAAACAATTACTACTAGACCTTAGAAAAGAGATAGACAGCAACAGAACAACAGTGGGGGATTTTAATACTCCACTGACATCAATAGAAAGATCACTGGGGCAGAAAGTCAACAAAGAAACACCAGACCTAAACTACACTCTAAAAACAAATGGACCTAACAGATATTTACAGAATATTCTACCCAAGAAATTCAGAATATACATTCTCCTAATCAGCACATGGAACCCTCTTCAAGATAGTCCACACGACAGGCCATAAAACCAGTCTCAATAATTGTTTAAATATCAAAATTATATCAAGCATCTTCTCAGGCTACAGTGGATTAAAACTAGAAATCAATTCCAAAAGGAAACCTCAAAACTACACAAATATGGGGAAATTAAACAATCTGCTCCTGAATGATTTCTAGATTAACAATAAAATTAGGATGCAAATTTAATTTTTTTCCAAATGAATGATAATAGTGACACAAGTTATCAAAATATCTGGGATATAGTAAAAGAAGTACTAAGATGAACATTTATAGTGTTCAATGCCTACATCAAAAATTCTGAAAGATAAAAAATCGACAATCTAACATCACACATCAAGGAAATAAAGAAACAAGGACAAACCAAACACAAACCTAGCAGAAGAAAATAAATAACAAAGATCAGAGTGAGCTAAATGAAATTGAAACCAAAAAAAAATTACAAAGATCAACAAAACAAAAAGTGGTTATTTGAAAAGATAGAGAAAATCAATAAAACATCAGCTAGATTAACCAAGAAGAGAGAAGATGCAAATAAGTTCAATTAAAAATAAAAGTGGAGACATTTCTACCACCACCACAGAAATACAAAAGGTCATTTGAGACAAATATGAACACCTCTCTGCACACAAACTAGAGAATCTAGAGAAAATGGATGAATTGCTGGAAAGATACAACCCTTCTGGATTGAATTAAAAAAAATAGAAATCTTGAACAGGCCAATAAAAAGCAGTGAAACTGAATCAATAATAAAAAATTAGCAACAACACCACCAACAACAAAAACAAAAACAGAAACAGAGGGAGTTACAGCCAAATTATACCAGAAATTCAAAGAATTCAAACCAATCCTACTGAAACTGTTCCAAAAGATGGAGAAAGAAGGAATCCTCCCAAACTTGTTCTATGAAGCCAGTATCATCCTGATACCAAAACCTGGAAAGGGCATAACAAAACAAACTGCAGACCAATATGCTTGATGAACATACTCAACAAAATACTAGTAAACCAAATCAAACAGCAAATCAAAAATATAATGCCCCATGATCAAGTGGTTTCATCCAGGGATGCAGGGATGCTTTAACATACACAAGTCGATAAATGTGATACATCCCATAAACAGAATTAAGAACTAAAACCATATCATCTCAATAGGTGCAGAAAAAAGCATTTGATAAAAATCCAGCATTGCTTTATGATAAAAACCCTGAACAAACTAGGCCTAGAGGGAACATACCTCAAAATAACAGAAGCTGTATATGACAAATCTACAGCCAACATTATACTGAATGAAGAAATGTTGAAAGCATCCCCCCTAAGAACTGGAACAAGACAAGGATGCCCACTTTTACCACTTCTATTCAGTATAATACTGGAAGTCCTAACTAGAGCAATCAGGCAAGAGAAAGAAAGGGCACCCAAAACGGAAAACAGGAAGTCAAACTATCTCTGTTTGATGACAATCATATACCTAGAAAACTCTAAAGACGCCTCCAAAAGATTCCAAGATTTGATGAATAAATTCAGTAAAGATGCAGGTTACAAAATCATTGTACACAAATCAGTAACAATTCTAAACACCAACAGTGAACAGGATGAGAATCAAATCAATAACTCAGTCCCTTTTATGATAGCCTCAAAAATAAAATGTGTAGGATTATACTTAATCAAAGAGATAAAAGATCTCTACAAGGAGAACTACAAAACACTGCTGAAGGAAATCATAGATGACACAAACAATCAGAAATACATCCATGCTTATGAATTGGAAGAATCAATATCATGAAAATGATCATATCACCCAAAGCAATCTAAAGATTCAATTTGATTTCTATCAAAATGCCAACATCATTTTTCACAGAATTAGAAAAAAGAATCCTAAAATTCATATGGAACTAAAAAAGCCCAAATAGCCAAAGCAATCCTAAGGAAAAAAAAATCTGGAGGCATAACTACTGGAGTTCAAATTATACTACAAGGCTACAGTTACCAAAACAGCATGATGCTGGTATAAAAGGAGATACATAGGCCAATGTAACAGAATAGAGAACCCAGAAGTAATGCCAAATACATATAACAAACTGATCTTCAACAAAGCACACAAAAACAAATTGTGGAAAGGACATCCTATTTAATAAAAGGTGCTGGGAAAAATGGATGGCCACATGCAGAATAATGAAACTGGATCCTTATCTTTCACTGTATACAAAAATCAACTCAATATGGATCAAAGACATAAGTCTTAGACCTAAAGCCATAAAAATCCTAGAAGAAAATGTAGGAAAAACTTTTCTGGACATTGGCCTAAGCAAATAATTTATGACTAAGGCTCCAGAAATAAATGCAACAACACCATAAATAAATAAATTGGACTTCATTAAACTAAAAAGCTTCTGCACAGAAAGAAATAATCATCCAAGTAAACAGACAACCCACAGAATAAAAATAAATTTTTACAAACTATGCATCTGAAAAGATTAATATTCAGAATCTACAAGGAAATCAAACAAATTAGCAAGAACAAAACAAATAATCCCATCAAAAATAGGCAAAGGACATCAACAGACAAGTAGACGTTCCACAAAAGAAGAAATACAGGTGTTCAACAAACATGAAGAAATGCTCAACATCACTAATCATCAGGGAAAATGCAAATTAAAACCACAATGACATACCATCTTACCCCAGCCAGATGGCCATTATTAAAAAGTCAGAAATCAATACATGTTGGTATAGATGTGATGAAAAGGGAACACTTACATATTGCTGGTGAGAATATTTTCCATACAAGTACAACTTGTATATATTGTATATATGCAGATTTCTTAAAGAACTGAAAGTAATCTACCATTCGATCTAGTAATCCCACTACTGAGTATCTTCTCAAAGGAAAAGAAGTCATTATATCAAAAAGACATGTACATATATATGTTTTTCGCAGTGCAATTCACAATTGCAAATATATGGAACCAACCTAAGTGCCCATCAATCAATAAATGGATAAAGAAAACTATATATATGCACATATATATACACTATATATATACACATACACACACACACACACACACACACACACACACACAGCATGGAATACTACTTAGCCATAAAAAAGAACAAAGTAATGTATTTGCAGCAACTTGGATGGAGCTGGAGGCCATTATTCTAAATGAAGTAACTCAGGAATTAAAAACTAAATACCTTATGTTCTCACTTATACTCATAGCTGAACTATGGTTATGCAAACTAATATAGTAGTATAACAGACTTTGGAGACTCAGAATGGGGAAGAGTGGGAGGGGGTTGAGGGATTAAAAAAATACAAATTGGGTACAATGTGCACTATTCAAGTTACTGTGCACTAAAATCTCAGACTTTACAACTATATAATTCTTCCATGTAACCAAAAACCACTTGTATCCTAAAAGCTATTGAAATAAATGAATAAATATTACACACATACACACACACACACACACACTGCAATTTTTTTGTCTTCTAATTGGTGTGTTTAGACCACCTAGTGTCATTATTGATAATGGTAAGGTTTAAGTCAGCCATTGTATTATTTGTTTTCTTTGTTTCCTACGTTCCTCATTCCTCTGTTTTCCTTTTCTATGACTTATTTAGGATTTCCTATTTAGGAAACTTATTTAGGATTTCTTCATGATTTGTTTGTAGTATTTTTTAGTATTTCACTTTACAATGGTCTTGGTGTTTTTTCTAAATAAAACAATATGCGTATATAACTTAAGGTCTACTGGTAACTATATTTTATTCCTTCAAATGAAGTCTAGAAATTTATTTTCATATACATCTCTTTACCCTTCCTACTTTTTATGTATATATATTTTAAGTATTTCCTGTACATACATTGAGTACCATAACAGAGATGTTTATAATTTTCATTTCAATCACCAAATATTAAGAAATTCCCATGAGAGGTTGGATACTCTATTATATTTTTGCATATTTTTACCCATTCCACTGTCTTTCTTTTCTGAAGTTTCAAGTCCTCTTCTGCTTATTTCCTTTCTGTTTAAAGAACTTCCTTTAACCATACTTCAAAGAGATATTTTCCAGCAACAAATTCTTTTTGCTTTCCTTCGTCTTAAAATATCTTTTTCTTTTCTCTTCATTCTTGAAAGATTTTTTTCACTGAATATAGAATTCATGCTTAATAGCTCTTTTCTTTCAGTGATTGAAAACTGTTGCACCACTTTCTTCTGACCTCCATGATTCCAGATGAAAAATCTGCTATCATTCTAATTGGTGTTCACCTATAAGTGATACATTGTTTCTCTCTGGCTGCTTTCAAGTTTTGTTTTTTCTTTAGTTTCAGAAGTTTAAATATGATGCCCTTTTGCATTGATTTTTTGGAGTGTATCTTATTTGGGATTTGCTCACCTTCTTGAATCTGTAGGTTTCTTCTTTTGCCAAGCTTGAAAAGTGTTCAGCCTTTCCTTCTTAAACACTTCTTTAGTACCACTCTTTCCTCTCCTTCTGTAAGTTCAATGATATAAATACTAGTGGTTTCATTAATGTCCCACAGAGGTCTCTGATCCTCTGTTCATTTTTTTTTCAGTCTATTTTTTCTCTTGTATCCAGGTAGGGTATATTCTATTAATCTGTCTTCAAGTTCACTGATTTCATTTTTTGTCATCTCCATTCTACATTTGAGCACATTTAGTATGGTTTTTTATTTCATTTATTATATTTTTCAGTTCTCTAATTTGCATTTGGTTGTCTTTTTAAAAGATTTACTTTTTTGCTGATACTTTCTGTCTTTTAATTTGTTTCAAAGTAATTATTGAAATACATTTATGGTGACTGCTTTAAAATTCTTGTCAGATAATTCTGATTCATCTTGATGTCAGTACCTGTGTATGGTCTTTTTTCATTCATATTGTGAGTTTCCTGGTTATTACTACGACAAGTGATTTTCTATTGTATCCTGGTTATATGTTATATTATGAGGCTCTGAATCCTATTTACTCTTTTTATTTTTAGCAGTCACTCTCTGTTTAGGTGTAGCATGAGACCCAGCATCCTGCTGGGATGCCGAACACCAACACCCACTAGCACCTTCTGGCAAAAGGACACTAACTTACACTGCCTCATTACAATTGTATAGAGTTGAAGTTCAGCCCCCTCTTAACTCTGCTTACTTCTTCCCTTGAAAAATGGAGCACCAGCCATCATACTGTCTTACTGTCTTTAAGTGGGAGTAAAAAATGGCTCCCACTCTGTGCCCTGCTGCCACCCAAGTGGAGTGTAAGCACAGGGCTGATTCACAAAACATTGCTGCTGTGGGGGTGGAGGCTCAGCCCCTCAATGGGTTCCACGAACATGGAGTTGGTAGGAATGAAGTACTTACTTACCCTAACTTTCTCCATCTTGCTCAATCTCATTGATACCAGGTAGTGGTGGAGGCTCAGCTTCTCACTGGACCCCAATGCCACTAAGTTGGTAAGAGAATCAGAGTACTGCCTAGTTCTGCTGGGTGGAGGATAGAAGATAGCTGCCCACTCAGCCTTACAAAACTATTGGTGGTAATTGGGATGCTGCCATCTGCTTCTTCTGGGCAAAGAATGGAAGAGTAGCTCCCTGCTTGGCCCAGCTGACATTTACCAATGGAGAAGTGGAGAATAATATTTGCTTCTACATGGCAAGGGGTTGGGAATTGGGATGAATGATTAAGTTTTCACTGGTGACCTGCAACTGTGAGGTAGGGGTGGTATGGTTTTATTTTTCTCATAGTGTTTGGCTTAAGTAGGGTGAATATTGTCAAAAAGTTTTCCTGTTATTAGGCCACTTTTCCCATTGTCCTTTTTCTAAGGGGCAAAGTCTCCTTTCTTAGAGATTTTTGTCTGTGCCTGTGTCTGTTAGTAGTTCTGAGCTGGACGCTTCTGTAGCTTCCGTCAGAAGGCAATACACTTATCACCTCAAGACCTAATATCCTTAAGCAGCTCATGTTCTTTCCATCTTTCAGAGTCTTCCTACTCTTGTTATGTTAAGCTTGTGGTGTTATGGCCAGGGTTTCTTGGTTGTAAGAGGGAGGACCCAAGACAGAACCCCAGAGACTTTTGTTTTGAAAGATTTTCCTGTATATTAGCAAGTGTCTACCAAATATTAGTAATTTTAATAAATATGTAACTTATAAATGAAGAAGTTACTAATGCAAAGATGAATATAATACAGCATCTCCCTGCAGTAGCTCAGATCTGGATTCTTTCAATCCTAAATTCACGTTCTGAATCTGCCACTTACCATCTTGGGCAAGGTCTTAAACTGTAATATTTATTATCCATAAAATTTATATTATAATCATTCCAGTTGGGAATAAGCAGTCTTCTATAATCTTGACATTTCTTTCCATGTCAAAGTGACTCCATTAACATGTCGATCCTGGCATCTCTCCCAGCTTCTTTCAGTCCACCTCAGGTGAGTGAGGTGACCTACGTGACTGGTGAGTTTGAAAGAAGCTGGGCAGGTATGCTGGACTTCTGAGTTGTTGCAATTTACCCACACTGGCACCAGCACACTGGATGGGAGCACATCTCTTCCCAAAGCACCAGATTCACACCCTAACCTGGAGGATCAGAGAAGAATGTATGTATTATCTAGACATCTCACATTCAAGAAGGAGAGAGGAAGAGGGTGGGCTCTGGATGCCCAGTCCCATTAAATTATGAACTTCTGCCTTTCTCCATTCACTGTTTGCTCCTTGCATCTAGGAAAGAAGCATTCAATAAATACTTCTTGAGCAATGACCAAAGGCCAGATGTTGCGTTATACAGAGAGGAATATGTTAAGGTGTCTCCCTCACATAGCACATTGTCTATTTGGAGAATCAGAAATATATATAGTAACAGGAAACTAGCCTCTTAAATGGTGTAACAGAATATGAAAAATATGGTGAATTGAAGCAAAAGTGTGGAGGATATGTAAACTTTCACATGCTTTACCTAATTCAACCTAATACCCTCCCCCTAAAAAAGCTCTGGGAAGTTAATTATAATAATAATCACAATCATATAAACTAACATTTATTGGGTCCTTACTATGGTAAAGTGCTGAGGGCTTTACATGCATTATCTTCTTCATTATCACAGTAACCCTTTAAGTCAGGCACTTTCCTACCTTTAGTTCATGGCAGAGAAAGCCAAAGCACAAAGGAGTGAATTAGCTTTCCCAGGATCACACAGGAAGTTGATGATTCCACTTGCCTCAAAGTCTATTATCTCATTCATTAGGCTACACTGCTTCCTCTGCAAATGAAGAAACTGAGGCTTAGTTGTATTCATTTTTGCATGTCCAGAACTTTACAGTGTACATGGAAAACACTGAACATTTAGTAGCTACTAAGGGATAAAATAAAAGCTGGAGGAAAGAAAAGAAGGAGGGGAGCTCTTTGACTTAGAAAAAAAAATCAGCCAGGAAAGCAGAATAATACATTCATATAGTAAGTGGTAGTGGTAGGACTATCACCACCAGGAAGCAGTTGTTGAAGGGCAACATATTTGCAAATATTTAGAGTTCTGATTTATCTTGAAGAAGGCAGACTGTATACACAGCTGTATTCACACCTGGGTATTTGTTTGTTCTATAAATAATTGCAATGTGTTGTGTTGACAGTCCAGAGCTATGCAGAGAAACCACTCCTGGGTTACTCATCTCACCCCCAAACATCCCAGGATTCTGAGGCCAAGTCTTCATCACAAAGCAAGGGCTTTCTATTCTCTCGTCCTGGCCAGAGAGTCAGGGCAACACAGACACTTAATAGAGGAATGATCAAAGAGTTAGAAAATAGTAACAATGGTCAATTCTTGATTATCAATAAATAAAAAGTACATTAACTTCATAGATTCATAATTTATAATTATTTACAAACATGATTTGAACTTTTATGTCTTTCAGAAATGTTATAATGCTTTGATACTTTTCATTGCCTTTTTTAAAAAAACATACACTATTTAAGGTTATTCTGATATGTGTCTGTCTGATTCTGAATATACACACTTTATGAGCAAAGGCTACATCTTTGTGGCTTTTTAAAAATTTCTTTATCCGCAGTTCCTAGCATAAACATATAAAATGACACATAAAATTTCTCAGTAAATTACTGAGAAATTCATAATTAATCTGTAAATCTTCAGTTTCTCTGTATACCATCAAGAGATTGAGTGTTTTAGTCAGAAGAGAAAATAGGATTTCACCTGTTGTCAGCTTTCTCTGTCTTTTCCATTCCAGTTCATCCTATCTTCTACATCTACTTTCTGCTCATCCTTAAAAGCAGATTGGACTGCCTATTTTTTTAAAGCTGTGCTTTCCATTATGGTAGCCTCTAATCACAAATTTCTGTTTACATTTAAATTAGTTAACATTAAATTATGTTAAAAATTTGATACCTCATTCACACTTGCCACATTTCAAGTGCTCAATAGCCTCATGTGACTAGTGGCTACTGTACTGGATCCAAAGGTAAAAACCTTTCCCTCTTCTCACAAATTTTTGTTGGATAGTGCTGCTGAAACCACTTCCTTTTCTCCAGCTTTTAATGGAAAGATTTTATCAGGAGTCTGACTCAAGCTTCTCTCACCACACATCTATGCTTTTAAATGCACAAACATGACTGCTACAATTTTTCAGAATAATCTGGAGGCAAGCACAGAGCTTGTAGGAAATGTCTGGGGGGCTATTGGTGAAGGAGTAGACTGATGAAAGTGTCTGAGCTATGACCGTGTTCCACATGTGAATCAGCTTTCTCTAGGACCTGTGTTATTTGAGCAATTACATGTCTAAGGCTAGATTGTTTGCCTTCTGATAAAGTCGAGGGGTCAGGTCAAAAAATACCATATTGCTCCATTCTTTTCCTAGGATGTGAGGGAGTGAGTGTGAATCATTTATGTATTTCCTATAAATATTCATGGAAGATTATATATATGTATAGACATATGTATATATTTACTCTGTGTATGGTTAAAATTCATCTACATTATATTTGAAAGATCTGATGTTTACCATGCTAGAACAACTGTTGTACAACTAGAAATCACTTTGAAGGAAGAACAGTAAGGAGGATGCCCTTGCTAAGGAGGAGCATCCTGGAGTGGGCAGCTTGTGAGCAATATGCCTTTTCCCCAGGGATATTGTTTTCATCCTAATACTGCTGGTATAGAGCCCATTGCTGTGACATTACGGGCCTGGCTGTTTACTCTATCAGACGGTCTCTCCCATTGTCAAGCTGCTCTCTCCCACCCATTCCCACTATGGGAATGAGCCAAACCACTTCTTTTTATCCACTCATTTAAACACAACTGCAATGAGAAATTTTTTTGTTAAAAATGGTTGGTTTTCAACAAGCCTTTAATTTATTAATTTATTGAATGCTTACTGTATGTTGGGCCCATTATGGCCATTAGTTTATTTGATCATTGGTAATACCCTGTGAGTGCAATACCAGTAACATACCCATTTGACAGATGAGGAAAGATATATTGAAGCTGAGGGAAGTTAAGCATCTTTCCCAAGGTCACATAGCAGATAAATTTAGAGACTCTGATTCAACATGAAACACATCATTTCAAACAGTTGGAAAAGTGGGTGAATTAGGATAAAAGGAAGAGGATTTCATGTTGTATATTCTAGTGATTTATGTTTGCAACAGAGCTGCCACTGTCTAGGGATCCTTCCCTAATGTGGAAAGGCCATTCCTGCCCCAGACTTGACACTTACACTATAGTGTGCATTCTTGCTATATTATTTCCCCATGGACATGTTCATTTTCCAACTACAGTCTTCCTTCTCAGCCCTGAAACTGCACAGTTGCAGGCCAGCACACTAGGTTTTTAGATTGGTGAATTCCCTGTACACTTCCCTTAATTTCCTCAGCTTTCATTTTCACACCCGTAGAATGAGGCACTGACAGATACCCAGGCAGAGCAACCAAGCACAGCACCAGCTCTTGTTTCAGATAAGATTATTCACAAAGACAAAAGCCCGCAACATTTAACAAATGCAGGTACAAGCAGCCAGTTCAGCCTACCAGGGGCAAGGAAAATAGATTGCAGTGTCAACTTAATCAATGGTTCATCACTGTACTTTTTCAGTGCTTGAATCTTATTAGGATTGATGCTGCATTGCCCAGCTGAAAATCAATCTTGAATTTTTCAAATGGCTCCAAACTGCAGAAATACAATTGTAAATAATTTGGCAACTTTTCCAAATGCCTTGGAAAAATCCATGCAGAGCTAAATGAGGCTGGTACATGAATGTGCTTCTGACTGAGGTTTGGGGGCAGGAAAAGAAGATGAAGAGATCAGCAGAGTGCATGGTGGAGTTCCAAATCCAAGGCAAATTGACTAAATCCAGTAACTGAGGTCAATTTGGAAGATGCTGTGACTCAACACAGCAGTATGAGGGTTAGGATCTCTCAATACAGAAACTGACTGCAGGCTAAGATTGGAATAAAGATCCTATACTAGAATTATTGAGTTTTTCTTTGGAACCTGACTCAGCATGTAGAAATGGCTTCAGGAATAATATGGGTTACCAGGACAAAGGGAAAGATGCAAAGATACAGTGACACATTAGCTAACCTAAAGAGGTAAAGAGGGCATAAGGTGGAATCTTAGAGAACCTAAACAGGTCTATATGTACAGCCTCAAGTTGAGACTAAATATATGACAGATTAATGTTCAGTGCAGACATTAATAAAGAGTTTCTAAGTTATAGGACATAAAAAAATCCTAAAATAGCTAATAGACTCATGAATGTTAAAAAATTAAAAAAGAGAGTGAGCAAGAGAGAAATGTTTGCATTGTGATTAAGAATGTGGACTTTCAAAATTAGTGAGATCTAAATGAAATTCTGGCTCCACCATTTAGAATATGACCTGGTGTAAGGTACTCAACCTCCTTGAATCTCCACTGCACAGCTGTTAACAAGCCTAACACTTCCCACCTCTCACGGCTTGTTGAGAAGATTAAATGAAATAATTGAATGCTGAGCACTGTGATTGGCACATAATGCATGATTCCAAATGGTATAAGTTGATACTATCATAGTTAAAAAGAGAAAAAATAGGATTTTGGTCTTGGCCATTCTTATAGATTAATTGTATGACCCCTCAAAATGTTTGCTGAACTACTAACTCTTGATACCTGCAAATGTGACCTTATTTGGAAGCAGGGTCTTTGCAGCTGTAATCAAGTTAACATGAGGTCTTTAGCATGGTCCTTAATCCAATTTTCTTATATGATTTGCATCCTTATAAGACAATAAGAAACACAGAGATAGACATGCCAGAAGGAAAGATGATATGAAGACACACAGAAGATAGCCATGAATCCCGAGGCAGGGATTGGAGTTATACAGCCACAAGCCAAGGAGCACCTGGGGATACTAGAAGCTCTCTGGTGTATCCTCCAATAATGGCATTAATGGCATTGGACAAGGGTCTCACCTTCATGACCTCATCTGACAATTCTTACTTCCTAAAGGCCCATCTCCAAATACCATCAAGTTGTGGGTTAGGGTTTCAACACGTGAATTTTGGGGGGACACGAACATCCAGTCCATAACATATGTTTTAAACTAGTAAGGTATATATTATCATTTTTCTCTCCCAAATATATCATGAGATATGGTTAAATCAGTTCAAATGACATTTTGGGAGAAAGGGCAGAATATGCCCAGTGATGAGTAAGACTTAGTTTCTGCCCCCAAAGCATCTTACAGACTAATGGAAGAGATAGATTGGTAACAAGACATTCCAACACACTACGGTAAGTGCAGTGCTGGAGGTGAGCCTGATGGGTAGCTCTGGTTGAGAAAAATCTTCCTGCAGGTGACCCCTAAGCTAAGGAAAAATCATGTGTCTCATTCTTTTTCATCCATGAGAGCACCTAGCATACTGCAACTGATATAGTTGGCGCTTAATACATACTTCAATGAATGAATGAATTAATTAATCAATCATATTGCCACCAACCAGATCATCCAAAACCTTACCAAGTTCAAGGATGCTCTATGTTAGAATCTCATTATAATATTCTAAAATGTAAGTTGATATAATCTAGATAGTGCATAGGAAAGAAACACAGAATTTGGAATCTGAAGAATAATTTTTAGTCCTAACTTTGCCTTCACTTAGCCCTGGGACTTTGGATAAGAAAGAGATGGAGAAGGACACATCTAAGAGCAAAGGAAGTGGTTCAGCCTGTCAGCTCTAAAACTGTGATTCTGGGATTCCCTCTTTAGATCTCATCTATGGAGCATTATTTATAACATCCAGAGTGCTAAAAGGAGCTCATTGTTCTATATAAGGTAGTAATTCCTGAAAAGGGCCTAAAAATTCTAATAATAACCACAAAATAAATGTTTGTTGAATTGAAGGAGTAGTATAATGTAGAGGTTCCAATGAATTTTATTCATTCATTCAAAAGTATTATTTAACTACTACTAAGTGTCAGGCTAGGGGCCAGGTAATGATATATTGATATCTGTATTCAAAGGAACGTATACATGTATATATTTAATTTTTTAAAAGTTTAAATATATTTCTCCTAAGAACTTTCTAAAAGGCTTTTTAAACTTTTCAACCTAAGTGTTCTGTTGCCACAGTCTCGTGTTAGCAATGTTCTATGGAAAGGAATTCCATCTAATGCTTTTAGTGCTAGGCTCTTATATCTGAACCATGTGGTTATTGTAGTTGACAAAACCCAAAAATAGCTTTATAAAATGCAGCCTCTTTATTCCCCTTAGAATTTGAAATGTTTTAATATAGTTTATACTTCACTTCCAGCTTTGGGGAATGTAAGTATATTTTACAATTCTCTCTGAATTAAAGCCCATCTCTGTATCAATCCAGGTTTCCTTCTTAGCCTTTTCTACAGCCTAAAAGATAATAGAGTTCAAATATATAAAAGAATGTCAGTCCAAATCTCTCCTCTCTGCCTTGGCCTTAGTTTCCAAAGAATCATAGAATATAAACAGTAAAATGATCACAGCAGTGATTTAATCCAACTCGTTTATTTTACACATAAAGAATAAGGCCTAGAGGCATGAAGTGATTACCCAATGTCACCAGCTAATTACTAGTGGGGTTGAGACCATAACCCCAAGTCTCCCTCTGTGCCAACTACTCACCTCTGCGGTGGTAGTGCAAAAGCAGCCATAGACAATATATAAACAAAGAAATGTGCCTGTGTTTCAATAATACTTTGTTTACAAACACAGACAGTGGGTCAGATGTGGCCAGTGGGCCATAGTTTGCCAATTCCTGGTCTAGACTTGTATTTGCTATTCCTGATCCTAGAAACCCTCTTCCTCTGATTGTCAGGGTTGAGAATGAAAGCTACCATCCTTCTTCCCTTGTTGTAAGAACAACATCATGTGAATGCTATACATTCATTCCACAGATACCTACTAAACACCTACTTGATGGGAAAAAAAAAAACAATGTAACAAAATTAGCTGAAATAATAGTAACAGTGTATTTTATCTGTTGAGTACTTACTATGCCCAAATTACCAGGAAAAGTGCTTATATATGTGTGTATATGCCTCTCATTATTCTTATAAAACCCATGTTACTTCCAAGGAAAGCAAGGCCCAGTAGGGCTAGGAAACTCATGTAAAAGCACTCAGGCCAAAAGTCCTAGAGCTAGAGCTAGGATTTGAATCCAGATCTTCATGGCTCTTACCACTGCCATCTACTGACTTCCTGAGATTGGGGGTGTAGGAAGGAAAGTTATATCCCTGGGTTGCCTTCAGTTAGTACCAGGGATCCCTCTCTCTATTCCTGAACTTCTCTCTTGTTTGGCAGTAATTTGTATACACATAGACAACCAAGAATGATGCGGGTTATTGAATCAAAGTAATTACAGAAAATCACAGTGGTATATTAGTCTAGCTTTCAAAAGAAGGTTGAGAGCCAAACTATAGACATGTTTAAAAATAAGATAGCAATCAATCTCTCAATATGTATGATTCATGCAGTCTGACCAGCACAGTGCCAGGTACTGCTGCTCACACAAGCAAGATTTTCGAGCCCTGAGATTGAGGGTTGACTCTTCAGCTACTTAGCTGAAAGAATTTAGACCACTACCTCAGACTTCAATGGTTACATACTCTTTTAATAAAATAAGAACATTTTATTAAACTCTCACCAAGGCCCCTTCTGGCTCCAGCAGTCTAGTTAGTGAGTCTACCAGAAAGGTGAAGTGCAACACAAGCAGCCCGTCTGGGGTTGGAAAGGTCTTTAAAGAACTACCCCTGCTACATAAGGTTTTTGTGAAGGATCTTTCTAGGGAACAAAATTTAACAAGGAGCACCTGACTTTGATGCAAGGGTATGCAACTGCATTTGCATGAATACACATATGTGCATATTTGCCCAACACTATAATGTTGCTCCCTGAAAATGGAGGGTAAAAGTAGACTGAACAACAGGTCTTCTCCAGCTAAGACATAAGGAGGGAAAGAAATAGAGGTGAGTACATCAGGGGCACCATTGAATAATAAACTAAAACACCACTGATTATGGGAGAAATGTCAGATTCATATAAATTTTTAAAAGAAGATGAAATAGAATGGCTGTAAGCTCACTGTCCGTGGAAAGATTCAAATAGCAGCTGGACAATAACATTTTTGAAAATTATGTAAAGGAAATTCAGGTACCAGATAACAGTATAGCCAGATAGTAACCAAGATTCCTTCTGCCTCTGAAATTGTGTGACCTTAGGAAGTATGAAGAGATTTGTTGGCTCATTCCCTGCACTGACAAATCAAGTGTAGAAGCATTCCAGTGATCATCTGGGTTTAGCTCCCTCTCCCATGGAGTATCATGAGCACTTAACACAGCCTTTCTACAGTCCCAAAGGACATTTTCTCCTGCCTTAGGGCTTAGGCAGCTCTACAATTATTTATTTGTTCAACATGTGTGCAGTGACCTTGAACTCATTGTGTTTTTCACGTAAGATAGATAGTGCCTGAGAGCTACAAAGGTGGCTCCATGGAGTTCCCAGCCCAGTGCTCTCCAACTTCCTGTTCACAATCCACAAATCCTTTGATTGCCATTTGGAGTTTTCCTCTGAGTAATCAGAACCCTCAGTAAAATGACTTACCTCCCTTGTCACTGAAGTGTAAGAGGCGGATTAAATATTCTTTCACTCATTTAACAAATTGTATTGTACCTTCCATGTGACAGGCATGGTGCAAACCACTGGGAATACAGGAGCTACTTGCAATTAGCCTTACCTATCCTTGCTTCACAACATTAGTGTTGTGATTGATAATGCCTTGCATCTGGATCTCTGTGTACACAATGCCAGGACTCAGACATCATTCCAATATTCAACAGAGAGAAGTATCACTGCTGGAGCCAAGTGTGATGAGATGAAATGGAATGCAGTGTCAGCAGTAAGAGTCTGATCACAGGAATGATTTAATCCAACTCCTCTATTTTACAGATAAAGAATAAGGCCTAGAGGAATGAAGTGATTACCCGATGTCACTAGCTAACTACTAGTGGGGTTGAGTGAGACTATAACCCCGTGGGGGTTACACTCTCCTCCACCAGGTACATCTTTGTTTCTAACTCTTTTATTTAACTGCTTTCAGAGGCTTAGCAATAAGTTGCCCAACTTTATCTGTGACTAAGCTCTCAGATGTCTTTATTAAAGTCCATTGTTTGGACTCTATTTTGGAGCTTGTCCATTTCTCCATGCAGATTATCCAACTGAGCATCCAACTCGAAACTTTCTAGAAAGGCCATGATGCCCACCTCCAGTTATCATATGCTCTGACTTCTCTCTCAGTAGATTTCCCTTTACACAATTCCTAAAAGAATAAAGCTGGGGTGAAAACCACAATAATAGTAACAATAACAACAGCGGCACATATTGTCCATTGATACTCAACACATCATACCTGTACTTCTAAGCTGTCAACTCTACTGCAAGGGCCGAAAACCCAGAACCTGGTATTTTCCACATTTGCTTCCTCCAATATTTGTGTTTGATCAAGTGGGCACTTGCACAAGATTTATAAAACATAAAAGAAAAAGGAAACCATTATTTTCAGCTATGTGCAGGCAAGTGTGCGTTAACAGGTAGAGTGTTTTTCCAGAAGCTTTCTGGCATATACTTGATAATCACTCACTTCCATGATCCTGGCAGTCAAGACCACAGGCAGAGGCTCCTCTGTGATCCCTGGACATCTGTATATTCTGAAATCCAACAGTGATCTTCCTAAGTATCCTGTCCCAGGCTGTTCCAAGTTGTATAAGTCTCTCTCTCTGTTAAATCCCTTCCTTCCTGAATGTCCTAAGTGGCTTCAGTTTCCCTAACAGAACTGCATGGAAGATTATAACAACTAACTCACATAAGTAGATCATATTATTGAGTCATACTATTTGTCAGGTAGTCTTCTAAATGCTTTATGAGTATTTTCTTGCTTATTCTTCATGACTAATTATTAGCCTCATTTGTTGATGAAGAAATTGGGAACAGAGATGTGAAGCAACTTCCTCCACAAGGTCTCCCAGGAGCTGAATGGAAAAGCCGAGAGGAAGCAAAGGGCGTCTGAAATCTAGACAGAGCCAGAGTAGTCACCTAGACTGTCTGGGATGAACCATCCCTTGGAGAAGGTGCCGGGAGAAAGTCTAGGCAGGCAGACAGGACATAGGATCCAGAAAACTGTAGTCCAGGAAGAGGTACAAGGGTCAGTTTCAGAGGAGGTAAAACGGAAGATACAGATAGGCAAAGAGGCAGTTAGCATCAGTGAGGCCTGGCAACATGAAGCAAGACACCAATTGCTAAAATAGGACATAGGGCTGGGACTATAGATACCCGCAGGGCTCATCTAAACTATCAAAAGTGTAAGTCTTGAGGAAACTTCGGCACCAGGCCAGCTAGCCAAGCAGGGACTCAATACGGGTAATAAGACAATAATTTGAAGTGGAACATAGGGTCAGAGCAGAACAATGCCTACTGGAAGATAGGAAGCCTTCAAAATATAAAATGTGATGTCATGCCTTAGCATGTTCTTAGCTAGCTCTCCTTAAACCATTCTGAAATTAAACCAAATTGTTATCAGTGTCAAGTAAGAAAACGGGCTTAGAGGTGAATGTCAAGAGGTCTCTATTTTGGAGTTTATAAAAATGAAAGGATAGGAATTAGAGAACTTACTCCTGTATCATGCTACCTTACTCTTTTCCCTTATCTTCCCTTACCTTTTAGCCATTCTCTTGTCGTAGAAAGAACCATGGCTACACAAGACCTAAGGAGTGGAAGCTACAACGGGGTGTATTATGTGGGGTTCCTGCATATTCATTCAACTGCTTTACTCAGGAGGTGTATGCAGGAGAAGGAAGTGAGTGAAGTGGGATAAAGCAATGAGGGGAAAGCCAAATGGTCTCAACTAGAGACTACCTTCATTTTGGTGTCACAGAGAAGCTCCGAAGAACAAATTATACCACAGACTTAGTCCCACCTTGAAGTGAGTGGGCTGGACCTCTTCATCACTATACCAGTGAGTCTTTAGCTGAATGTTGTCCCTAAAGGAGTGAGGAGGGATAGCTTACAAGGTGAGGTGGGTTTTTTTTAGTCTAATACAATTCTACAAAGAAAGAGACAGCTGTAAATTATTTTCAGCTAATGTTCCCAGCAGGTGGGTTATGGATACACTGGTTAATTTAAAACATCTGAGCAACCTCAAGATTGTGGAGAAAAAAAAATGCTTTTAAACTGTTGGTGGGAGTGTGAATTAGTTCAACTGTTGTGGAAGGTAGTGTGGTGATTCCTCAAAGATCTCCAGGCAGAAATACCATTTGACCCAGCAATCCTATTATTGGACATATACCCAAAGGAATACAAATCATTATACTATAAAGACACATGCATGCATATGTTCACTGCAGCATTATTCACAGTAGCAAAGACATGGAATCAACCTAAATGCCCATCAATGATAGGCTGGATAAAGAAAATGTGGTACATATATACCATGGAATACTATGCAGCCATAAAAAGGAATGAGACCATGTCCTTTGCAGAGACATGGATGGAGTTGGCAGCCATTATCCTCAGCAAACTAATGCAGGAACAGAAACCAAACACTGCATGTTCTCACTTATAAGTGGGAGCTGAATGATGAGAACGCATGCACACATGGTGGAGAACAACACACACTGGGGCCTGTTCAGTGGTGGAGGGAGGGAGAGCATCAAAAGAATAGCTAATGCATGCTAGGTTTAAAACCTACGTGATGGGATGATCTTTGCAGCAAACCACCATGGTACATGTTTACCTATTTAACAAACCTGCACATCCTGCACATGTAGCCCTGAACTTAAAAATTGAAGAGAAAAAAATCTGAGCAAGGCAAGAGACCACTACATGATTGCAGCCACTACAATCGACCCCTTGCACCACTTAGATCCATTTGTTTCTTCCATTAAATTCACTCTATTGAGGTATAGCTTCTCCAGAATTCTGATGATCCCAATTTCTTTGGGATCGTTTACAAGAGGATAGTCAACTGGGATAAATTACAGCCTTTGCTGCTGCTGTTAAAGCATAACTGATATTAATTACCCCTAACTTCTAAAAACATTTTAAATTTCCCTCCCCTTGGGCCAGCACCTCTACCAGTCTAGGTGACTTGTCTGATGGGTTCCCCCAAATGTTTAGCCCTAGGGTGTCTGAAACCCTGGTTACTATGCTCTCATTAGGCCATGATTATTCTATTTTCCAATTTGCAGTTACAAATAGTCATGAGAGTATCAAGAGATGCCCAAGTGAATTATCTCTATGCTAAATATATTTCTCCTTGACTTCATTATGTAGGAGCAACTCTACAACCTCATGATAATCAGGGTTAAATATCCCCACCACTACAGCAACTCTTTTCTTTGGTTGATAGTCAACAGGGTTGAGGGTAGCTAGCACAAGGTGGAAGCCATAGCTTTACATTAGGAATACATTTACTGTGTCCCCTGGTGGAAGCATCCCCCTCTTGGACCTAAGACCTCTAAACCTGCAGCACAAACATTTTCAAAAATTAGATGTAAAAACATCATAATTTTTAAAATATTGGGAGTGAATATTAATGGTGCCACTTCTACTCTCACCCCTTGTTTCTGAGACTGATATATTCTACTTATTGGTTATTATCATGCTTAATGGTTTAAAATGTACACCGACAGCTCCTTATCTTTTCATGGTATCTTCTCAAAGCTAGTGCTTCAGCTGTGGCAGCAACAGGTTATTTCATTGCTCTACAATGTCATCAATTTCAGGATTAGGATGTGAGCTAGGACCAATGGATGCCACAGCAATTTGCTCACAACCACATCTCCTTTTCTGTAAAGTGGGCAATGTTATATGGGATTCCATGTTGTTAGATCAGTTATCCCATTTTTCCCACTTCATCGTTTGATTCACATGGCTCTTTCTCTGTACTTTTCGTCCCCAGGTGTCCAACCTTGCTCCTTCCAAAGTTTCAAGTCTGACCAACTAACTAAGCCATTTACCATTGCCCATAAGTCTATGTAGATCCTTAGTCCAAACCACTTTTCTGTACACAGAAAGTGGAAAATCAGGTTCAAGTACCTGAGCTCTTCCCATTGTCCCTATGGAATTGTGGCACTGTTGTTGCATGTATAGGCAACAGAAATCAATGGGAGGTTTGCCTGACTTTTTCAGTGGCATTTTAGGGCCTGCTTCTATTCTCTCTCTCTCTCTCTCTCTCTCTCTCTCTCTCTCTCTCTCTGTGTGTGTGTGTGTGTGTGTGTGTGTCTCTGCCATTTTCCTTCTCCCGCTTTATCTACTTTCATTCAAATACGTAAATGGAAAGGGTTTCCACTCCCCACTGTATTTTAGGGGCTCTCCTGAGTGAGGCTGTCATGCAGCAACAGCTCATGTGTGGTTCATATCCACATACCATGCCAGCCCATCCATTAACCAAATTCGACTTTTTCCCCCTTCATCAGCTGGTCATGGGGAGCCCCCAGCATGAGGGCCTACATGTGAGCCAAGGAAACAGCAGCAGTACAAGATGTGACATTGGGGTCTGGGTCTCCTGTTGTGTAGTTTACTTGTGCCCTTTGGGCCTTCTCAAGCCTGATGCTAGAGGCACCACTTCCATTTAATGACGAAGTATATCTGGGCTTTCTCATCTCAGCATCTCACACAGGACAGAACACATCTCTTGATCTATAGCTCTGGCCACACGATCCCTTGATAAATCATAGTCAGATAATCAATTTCAATCAGGTCCTAAAATCTTGTCAGGAGAAGTTTTAGAATGATATAGCTCTCTGCATATCTTTCTCAACTCTGCCCCCAACCAAAGCTAGAAATATAGGAGTATTTCCATGTTTGGAATATGCTACCTCCAAAATTCAAAGGGGACTCTGAAGTGCTCTGCTTCTTTCTTAGTGGAGAAGGAACAAGGTGAAATAATTTGTCCTTTACTTTCATAGAGATGTACTCGCATGCCTAGACCACTGGGTTCCTATAATCTTCTTCAATATGGCAGATCCTGAATCTTTGTAAGATTCAGCACCCATCTTCTTGGGTGCATGTTTCAATCCAAGGCATCCAAATTACTTGCTACTTACTGTTTATCAGGTCAAATTAACAAGGCATTATTAATTTTGTAGACTAATGTGATGTTTTCAATTGTCCAGACAGTTCAGGCCACATTGGAATAAATTATGGCAGAAAACATGAGAATTTAAAGCTCTGGAACTACATTGTAAATGTATATTTTTGTTTTTAATGATCGTTCTTGATTAGTATGGAAAAGAACACAACTGCCAGATCAATAGCTTCACACCATGCATCAAAGTCTGTGTTAATCTTCTCTAATAAATCTACCACATCAAATATAATAATTGCAATTGGGACTGCTTTTTGTTTACATAAAGATGGTTCACTGTTACCCGTCATGATATATTGGTTTTCATAGGGTCCAGGATGATGAAATAAAAAGGGATATGATGGGGACTGCCAACAAGGATGGCACTAAATGCTGTTATTCCAGGATGTGTTCCTATTTTTATTTACTTGAGGAGGCAGTTTTGGGACCTTCAACTTGACCTTTCTTTTAACAGTTCTTAGTTGTACAGAACACAGAACCAGTGTAGGGATTCTGTCAACTGCTAAATGCCTCTTCCAATTATATATTTGGGAAACAGTGTCCTGATCAGGTAAGCCTGTGGATCTCAGTGAATCTATTTGTTTTCTAACATCCACCACATGCCCATTCTATCAGAGGGACCATGACAGCAAATATCAATGTCAACTCAGAGTCTCTATCCGAAAGCTCTCGAAAGATCTAAACATTCCCCTTGTTCCACTATATTGTGTATACTCAAGTAAATAGCCGAAGAACTTCAGGAGTTATTACTGTGTACACTTGCCATTATGTTTCAGATTCTTTATCATGGGGACCCACCTATTCATCAACTGATTGTCTTGGAGCATGAGAACTATCCCAGGTGTCAAAAAAGAGACTATGACTTCTGTTGTGGCAGCCAATGTCAATCTTTTGCTCACCAATTTATGATCTCTTAATTTTATCTATTAAGCAATATATGTATTGGCTGACCTCCTTTCATGCCTTTGAAAACACCATGTTCTAGAACTCTCTCCACAGATACCTTTGGGATAGGTCTCCTATCGGCTTGTCCAATCTTGTTCTCCATGACAGCAATTACACCTACCTTGCTTCTGATTGCAGATGCTGTCACCTGCCTGTTATACTATGATCCTATCATCTCTGTTGCTACCACAGAGCTCAAATATATAACAGGATCATCTACTGTTTGTTCCTGTCTGCATAGAGCAGCCACTAGGAGGCTATCAGGGATGCTGGTGCCTCCCTCACCAGCACATTCCCTATCACCTGGTAAACAGCGTCCTCTGGGCTTTCATGAAGAACATGGTCAGCTATTGTAGTCTCCTGTAGTGTTCTATTTTAGCATACTCACTTAGCTGGACATTTTTATATTCCTGTTTCCACAGAGAGCAATAGCAGTTCTGGCATTCCTATTTTGTCTGACATGAACCACTGTTTACTTCCAAGATTTTTTAGCCATCCCCACACTCAGGGTTATTGCCAAGGTACTAAATACTGTGTCACAGTAAAGTGCCACACACACCCCCTGTCCTAACAAACTTTATATTGTATGCCCTTGATCTAGCTTCTTTAGGACCCACTCACAGATATGGTCTTTGATTCCCGGCCTATATATATTAGCATAGTCCTAAAGCTATTTTGGCATATAGTCTCTCTCCTACCTTAGTAAGAGAGTTGGGTTATACTGTAACTTAACTTCAGTTATGCACATAGCGACCAGAGGAGGTAGGGCAGATCATGAGGCATCTTGAAAGGCAGGCAGGGGGCCTCATTTATGGCATCTCACAGTATTTAAGTCAGGAGGCTGGGTAGCAGTACTCTATCGCCAACAAAGTGAAGAAAGCTATTTCTGCAGGGCCAGGGAGTTCAGGGGAATTGGGGGATTCAAAGTTCTCAAAGGCATCTACCAACTATCCCCATCCCAATTCTCAGAGTCCCACTCCTTCCCCATGAAGACGATTTTGGCATAGAAGACTTAGCTAGGCAGGGATTTCAGGCTTCTCTGAAGATCTGCTCTCTTCTAATTAAGTCCTGTTTTGACTCTCAGATGTACTTTCCCTCTGCAGGAGATGAGGGCTCGTTTTAAAAGCTTCCAAGGAAGTTTTCTGCCACTCACTTTGACTTAAATTGTTGTTATCTAGATCTGAAACTGTCATTATCTGTCTTACACGAATCAGTGTTGCTTAGGACAGCCACTTAATGCCATAGTCCTTAGAGTTGTTATTTACTGATACATCTCAAACACCCATCATGTTGCACTAGATAGCACATCCCTTCCACTTGGATCTATCCCACTTGACCTCAGGAGAACATCTTGGCAATTACACTGCTACTGCATGCCAGAGACTCTCAAGACTCCACTTAGCACAATGATGGGGTCCCCATTGCCATCCACCCAGTGGGGGATCTAATTTCAGAATACCATCTCAGCATTGTTTGTGGTACCAACTGCCCTATGTCCACAAGCAGAGCCTGAGAGGGGAAATGGAGTGCTCTCAAGAGAGGGAGAGCAAGGGAATCAGTGACAAGGACAGGACAAATGCTAAGCAAGTATCTGACTTTGGACACCACAGAATTAGTCCTTCCTTGAGGCAACTGGACTGGCCTTTTTTTGCCAGTCTGTCACCATCTGAAGTCTACAGTAGGTGAGGAGGGTAGCACATAGCAATTTCTGCTCTCATTTACCAATGTATAATTCCTTAGAGAGAGAACAGCTGTAAGTTGTAATCACCAGCACTCACAGTAACTTGGGAATGATGTGCAGCAGAGAAAGGGAATCTGGGCTGGGCATCAACAGTAACCACTATATAAGAAAGTAGGATTCTGTGCAACAAAATTTAAAAGCTTCTAATATAATTAATCAATTGGTTATTAATAAGTAATCATTAATGATTGATAAATAAAATAATAAATGTTTTAAAGTCAAATAAACAGCTGCTGGTATGGGATAAGTTCCTTGTCACTAGAAAAGTGCAATCAGCCCTGGCTGGTCATATGGAGCGGGCAAGAAGCAGGTTCAGTGGGCTTCAGGTCTCTTCCATGTCCAAGATGCTATTACTAAACTTCAGTTGCCAGGAAGAAAAATTAGGAAAAGGAGTGAGGAAATATGAAAAATTGAGAAGGGAAAAAAAAAAAACAAAATCAAAGCCCTAAAGAAGAGGGTATTTAGCTAAAGTCATTGGCCATGGACTAGGTTGGGGGTGTTTATAAACCCCGGAGATGTTATGCTAAACTGTGTATAAAGGGAACATGGGCCAGGCACAGTGGCTCATGCCTGTAATCTCAGCAATTTGGGAAGCCAAAGTGGGTAGATCATTTGAGCTCAGGAGTTCCAGACCACCTTGGGCAACATAGCAAGACCTTGCCTCTAAAAAAATAAAAACAAAAAATTGGTAAGGTGGCATGCACCCATGTTCCCAGCTACTCAGAAGGCTGAGTTGGGAGGATCCCTTGAGCTCAGGATGTTAAGGCTACAGTGAGCTGTGATTGCACCACTGCACTCCAGCCTGGGCAACAGAGCAAGACCCCATCTCAATAAAAGTGAGGGAGGGAGGAGTGTGCATTTTGGTAGAAAACCAACCCATAGTTTTCTTCATATCCACAGAAGTGCAATGTCTGTGCAATAATCAGACATTAAGGGCACAGTGAGAGAGGAGATCTCTCTTAGAGAAACAAAATTCTTCATTGGGAACTCCCCTCACTTTCCATACATCAGGGCTGAGCTTCCTTGCACTATTTGGAACATGTGTTGATTGAATTTCTATAAGAGAAGATTGAAATAAAAATGTCAGAGAATAAAGACTCCACCTGAAATTCTGCATATGGCTTACAAGTTTTAGACTGACATTTTGCAGGCCTAGTTTTCTAATGGAGAAAAGACCAAAGTGATTAAGGACACTTCATTTGTCCTAAATCTGAAATGAAGCCATTCTTGGTGACTGCCCCCAACCCCTGCTATAACCCATTCCCTTGCCACATACGTTTTGACTCTTACTGGAGTGAGAGAAAGTTCAAATTTGGGAATAAAATTATAAGGAAGAATTGCCACAGAGAAGATAAAATTTGTATTGTATAGATAACACATTTCTCTGGAATCCAATAAGCCCCAGCTCTGCGTCAACAGCACACAGAAAGAGGAAAAGATACTCAGTCCTTGTTACTTACTGAGCAGCTCCACTTCATGATTCATTGGTGAGCATGGGCCTGACCTGCAGGACATGCCCTTCTGTGATTTTTATTAGGACAACATTGATTTGGTCTATTGGATAGACTCATGGAAGGGATTTTATGGTTAATCTAAATGACTTCCTCGTTTTACCAATTAATAAGCTGAGACTCAGAGCAGAGAAGTGTCATGCTTGAAAATGGCAGAGGTGAACCTAGCCCTAGATAATATTGTATGGAACTAAGAGCAAAGAGTCTGCAACCAGATTGCCTGGAGCCAAATACCAACTGCCGTTTATTGGCTGCATGACCTGCAGCAAGCCAGTAACCTCACAGTTTACTCCCAGGTACAATGGAGATAATGTTATTGTAGACACAACTGAGTGCTTGGAATGGCTTAGCACAGGTATGGTACATGGTGAGGGCTAAGTTAATGTTAGCTTTATTGTTGTTATTTGGATAAAGGTCACCAAGCTCCAGATTCAGTATTTTGTTCAATAAAGAACACTGGATTCAAAATTCTGGATCTTTCACCTACTAGGTGGGACACTTTGGACATCTGACAATCTATACGAGCTCATTTTCTTATCTGGAGGGTGGAGGTAATAGATCCTACTTCATGGAACTGTGTAAGTACAAAAATACTGAGTGTCAAGCACCTCATATTGAGAAACACAAAATACTGCTTGTCCTGCCCAGCTATTCGTGACTTCTTTCCTAAGGGCCTTTATTTAGAACTTCATATTTGGAGAGAAGAAGGTAAACAGTAGAGATCTTACAGAAAATTAATGACTATATCATTTTTATACAGTCTATGCAATTTTACCTATGTAATCTTCATTATCCTCAATCCAAAACTGTGTCTACTATTAGCCCCATTTTACAGAGGGGGGAAGAGGGTCAGGAATATTAAAGACCTTCCTCAAGCCTACAGTGTTAATAAGCGCTAGATTAAGGATTCCAACGAAGGTGCCAGGATGCACCGCTCTTGCCATTCTCCTCCTCCGCTCTTGCAGGGTGGGCAACTAACATCACAGTCTTAAGCCACTCCCGTATGTAACTTTCTGTTCTAGTCTCTAAGGTGAATATAGATGTAGGAAAAGGAAGAGAAGAGTCATTTATTGGGTGCTCCTATATCCAGGCTCTCTGCTATTGCCTTTACTGATATTACCACAATTTAGCAAGACACGACATCCCATAAGCCTGGAAACCAACTTTAAAAAGAGAGTGCAGTGTTTTGTCTTGTCTTTCACCACTATTTGATTTTTTATTTCAATACTAAGATAAGCAACATCAGTGAAGAGGCCTGTGAGTCTGTCCACACAGGTGTTTACTCAGACACCTTTCTTCAAACAATTGCATTAAGTGAACTGCAAGTTGAGGAGCAGCCAAAATCAATTGCAGTAGCAGAGTCCATGTGGGTTGTTATCTGCACAAATATTAAAACACCTTCCATGAATTTAGAATTACTTCTAATCCAATAAAGAGTGGTGTCTGGAATTCATCAGCTGCTGGTCCAGAAGCTATCACTGTGGAAGCACCAGCGCTGACACAGACCTGGCTGTGGATAATTTGAGTTTAGGAAATCGGTTTATCTGAGCTGCGGGGTTGTTGCTGCCACTGTAGCCATTTCTTTCTTTCTTTTTTTTTTTTTTTTTTTTGAGACAGAGTTTTGCTCTTGTTGTCCAGGCTGGGTGCAGTGACATGATCCCGGCTCACCACAACCTCCGCTTCCCAGGTTCAAGCAATTCTCCTGCCTCAACCTCCCAGTAGCTGGGATTACAGGTGCCCGCCACCACACCTGGCTAATTTTTTTTTGTATTTTTAGTGGAGAGGGGGGTTTCACCATGTTGGCCAGGCTTGGTCTTAAACTCCTGACCTCAGGTGATCCACCTGCCTCAGCCTCCCAAAGAAACCACAGTTGTTAACAACTGTGATGATTAGGCTGACACATTCCTAGGAGCTCCTTTCTTATCTTTATTTACATATTGCCAACTCAGCATTTTAAAAACTTAAAAAGCATTATAACCAGACCATTGATGATAATTTTAGCTACACACATGGACATAACTGACTTATTACTATATTACTAATAATTAATATGGTATTAGTTTTTCCAAAGTGTATGTAAATATTTTCTTTTATGCTTACAAATCTGGGAAATGGGCTTGAATTATTATTATTGTTCCCAATTTACAGATGAGAAAATAAGAAAGCAGAGAAATTCAATGATTTTACCCAAGATTACACAGCTGAAAATTCAAGCATTCTTAGATAGTCCTGAGTGTTTTCACCTAAAAGATAGCTACTATCCCAAAAGGCCAGATGCTGAGGTTACATTAAATTAAGTCAAATCCTAGCTCTCCCATGTAAGAACTATGAGCCTTTGAATAAAGTACTAAACATGTTTAAACGTGTTAAGATTTTTAATCTGTAAACTAGATTTTTAATCTGTAAAACCTAAATAATATTACTTACATAATATTGTGAGAATTAAAAAAAATCATTCATGTAAATCACTTAGAACAGTACCAGGTATATTGCATGGATTTACTGAATTTTAAATGTCTTAACCTTTCATAGATAATAGACTAACAATATTTTAGCAATAGACTAAAATAACAATTTTGGAAATAGTGTTAAAAAGCACCAATATTCAAACCCTGACCTAATGCTTCCAACAACATAAGTTTGCGTAAGTGTCTAAATATAATATGTCATGTGGGACCAGGTTATTTTTGCCCTACCAACCCCACAGGATGCATGACAAAATATAAGTGGAAATACTTTGAAATTTGCAAAGTGCTTTGTAAATATCAGAAGTTGTTATGTTGGTGTAATACAAACTCTTCAGGCAACAAATAATACTAATGAACATAATATTGACTCACTGCACATATCCCATACGCAGTGTGCCCCATGGGTTTTTTCCCAAATGTATTCATGTATAATTGACAAATAAGAAATGTATAAACATAAGGTATACAACATAATATTTTGATAGATGTAAACATTGTAAAATGATTACCACAATCAAGCTAATTAGCATCTTCATCATCTCACATGGTTACCTTCGGAGGAGGTGAGAACACTCTAGTTCATAGCAAATTAAAGCTACACAGCATAATATTATTAAATAGTCACCATTCGGTACATTAAATCCCCAGAATTTATTCATCCTGCAAAACTGAAACTTTGTACCGTTGGATCATCATCTCCCCATTTCCCTTACCCTCTACCACCTGGCAACCACCATTCTACTCTCTTTGAGAAAGTATCATTCTATTATCTACTCTGCTTTTATGAGTTCATCTTCTTTAGATTGTGCATGTAAGTGATCATGAAGTACTGGTCTTGTCGATTTTGTTTATGTTTTGGAAAATACCAGCTCTTTGTTTTGTTGTTCTTTTCTATTGTTTTTCTTGCCCATTTCTCCACATATCTTTATCGTTTCCTCCTTCTGCTAGCTTTTGACTTAGTTTGTTCTTTTTTGTTTTAGTTCCTTGAGGTGTAAAGTTAGATTGTTTATTTGAAATCACTGTTCTTTTGTAATATATACAGTTATTGCCATAAATTTCCCCCTCTTATGTGCTTTTGCTGCATCCCATGAGTTTTGATATGTTGTGTTTCCATTTTCTAAAGATTTTATCTTATTTCTCTTTGATTTCTTCTTCGACCCATTGGTTGTTTAGGAGTGTATTGCTTACTTTCCACATATATGTGAGTTTTCCTATTCTCCTTAACATTGATTTCTAGTTTTATATTATTGTGGTTGGAAAATATACATGATATGATGTCAATCCTTGTAAATTTGTTTAAAATTGTTTTGTGGCCTAACATATGATCTCTCCTGTAAAATGCATGAGTATGCTTGAGAATGTGTATTCTTCTGCTGTCAGAGTGAACGTTCTGTAAATGACTGTCAGGTCTATTTGGTCCACAGATGATTCTTGGCTTTACAATGATTCAGCTTACAACTTTTTAATTTTATAATGGATTTATGGGGAAATAACCCGATCATAAGTCAAAGACCATCCATATGGTGTTGTCTAGTGTATGCTTTCCTTGCTGATTTCCTATCTGGATGATGTATACATTGTTGAAGTGGGGTCCCCTACTGTAATTGTATTGCTGTCTATTTCTCTATTTGTTTGTTAATATTTGCTTTATGTATTTAGTTGCCCCATCCTTGAGTGTATATATATTTATAATTGGTATATCCTCTTGATGAATTGACCCCTTTATCATTATAACTGCCTTCTTTTTCTCCTGTGACAGTTTTTGACTTAAAGTCTATATTGTCTGATGTAAATATAGCCACACATGCTCTCTTTTGGTTACCATTTATATGAAATATCCTTTACCATGCCTTCACTTTCAGCCTATGCATAATTTTAAAGCTAAAGTGAGTATTTTTGGACACAGCGTATAGTTGGATCTTGTTTTTATGTTTTATCCATTCGGCCACTCTTTATCTTTTGATTGGAGAATGTAATTCATTTATATATAAAGTGGTTATTGATAGCTAAGGGCTTGCTATTGCCATTTTGTTAATTGTTTTCTATTTTGTAGATTTTTATTCCTTTCTTTCTGTCTTCCTTTGTGATTTGATGATTTTCCTAGTAGTACACTTTGATACCTTTTTCTTTATCATTTGTGTATCTGCTAAAGGGATTTTTCTTTGTATTACCACAATGTTTACATAAAACATCTTACAACAGTTGATTTTAAGCTGATAATTTATTTTTGATTGCATATCCTCCCCACACTTTGTTATTGACGACACAATTTACATATTTTATATTGTATAGTCATTAACACATTATTATAGGAGAGTATTTTAATACCTTTGTCTTAAATTTTATGCTAGTGTTAAAATTGATTTATATGTCACCATTACAGTATTAAATGTTCTGAATTTGACTATTTTTTTTACCAGTGAATTTTATATCTTCACATGTTTTCATGTCCTGATTATTGTCCTTTCATTTGAACTTGAAGAACTCCCTTTAGAGTCTTGTAAGGCAGATCAGGAGATGAAGAACTTCCTTAGCTTTTGTGTGTCTGGGAAAGTCTTTATTTTGCCTTCATTTCTGAAAGACAGCTTTGCCAGGTTTAGTATTCTTGACTGGCAGGGTTTTTTCCTTCAGAACTTTGAATATATTATACTACTCTCCTGGCCTGCAAGGTCTCTGATAAGAAATCCATAGCTTTATGGAGGTTCCTTTATATGTCATGAGCAGGTTTTTTCTTGCCGTTTTGAAAATTCACTCTTGGCTTTTTACTTTTGATACTTTGATTATCATTTTTCTCAGGGTAATCTTTTTGGAGTTGATCCAGTTTAGGGACTTTTGAGATAAATGAAGCTGGATGGCTACATCTCTCCCAAGATGTAGGAGGCATTCAGCAGTTGTTTATCTAAATAGCCTTTCTGCCCTTTACTCTCTTTTCTTTTTTTTAAATAATCCTGTAATGCATACAGTGATTTTTTATGGTATTCTATAAGTCTTAGAGACTTTCTCTACTCTTTTTTATTCTTTTTCTTTATTCTCCTCTGATTGGATAATTTCAGATGACCTGCTTCTGAATTCTCAAATGTTTCCTTCTGCTTGATCAACTCTGCTATTGAAGTTCTCCACTGAAGTTTTCATTTCAAACAGCTCCAGAACTTTTTGGTTCCTTTTATGATTTTTATCTCTTTGTTCAACTTCCTGTTTTGCTCAGGTGTTGTTTTCCTGATTTCAATGAGCAGTCTGTGTTCTTTTATAACTCACCGAACTCCCTTAAAATAATTATTTCAAATTGTCAGGCAGTTTATAGATTTCTAATTTCGGGGGTTAAGTTACTGAACAATTACTGTGTTCTTTCAGTCATTGATTTTTCATGCTCCTTGAAGTCTCCTGCTGCAGTATTCACAGCTGAGGAAGCAGTCACCTCTTCCAGTTTTTTGTTTGTTTGTTTGTTTTGGTTTTTGTTTGACTGGCTTTGGGAGAAAAAGACTTTCATCAGTCAGACTGCCTGGGTATTCCTGTGGTCTTTCAGGATTTTTCTATGGATGTACCCTCTCCACTCCTTTTGTTACTTTTGGGAGGGGGAAGTCTTAGGATTGTGTGCTTTTTCTCAATTCCACAAAACTAGGCTGAGTGTGGAGAGTTTACCATTTCATTTCCCTAAGGTAGTATCTTGAAGTGGTCAAGGTTAAGCATCTTTTTTCAAGCCAGCATAGTTGGCGCTAGTTGTCTGTGTGTACACCTGCATGGTCTGCAGGGGCGTACTCACAATAGCTATGGTAAAAGGGGAGGGCACACAGAGCAGTGGGGCATGCATGGGTGTGTTGGTGGGAAAGATGCAGGTGATACATCCTACTAGATAAATGGGTAGGCCTCTTGTGAAGTCATAAGGCAGTTAGTAGAAACCATGGCCCTTTGTTGTATTCCATGCCTGGTTGCTGTGAGGCCCCACCCCATTTCCCTGCTCCTACCTGCCCCCAGACTATTCAGCCATGCTGATCCCCTCAGTATTCTGAGTGCAGAGAGAAAGAAGTGGGCCTTTGGGCAGGAAGCTGCATGGCTAGAGAAGCAGACACTCAACTACTCTCTCACTTTCCCCCGTGGATAAATTCATAAATTGAGAGGATCTGTATTGGCAATGAACTGTGCTACCTTCGGGAGGAGTGATGTGGGCAGGGTAAAACTGTTCTTATGCTCTTCAGTGTGCCTACTCACAAATTTGTTTCTTCCAATAGAATGCCAGGACATCTCTGCTTAACTCCTGGGCTCTTCTCCACGGATGGTTGTCAAAATCAGTGTTTCTGTCAGGATACAAAGGTTGAAAATTCTGATTCTGCCATCTTTCTGACATCCTCAAGGCCTTATATGCTGAATCATATGTCATTTTCACAAAGACCTTACGGGGCAAATATTAATATCCACATCCTATGGATGAATATAGTGAGGCTGAAAGCAGTAAGTAATTTGACCAAAGTCACTCACCTAGTAAGTGATGGATGGGATTTGACCCAAAATAAAATATAGGGAAATATAGCTGTTGAGCTTAAGCTCTTAAACACTAGAGTATAAAGATGAGCTAGTAAGCTGTGTAATGGCAAAGTAAGAACCAACAATAAAAGAATATTTTTTTTTTTGAGACGGAGTCTTGCTCTGTCACCCAGGCTGGAATGCAGTGGCCCCATCCTGGCTCACTGCAAGCTCTGCCTCCTGAGTTCATGCCATTCTCCTGCCTCAGCCTCCCGAGTAGCTGTGACTACAGGCGCCCGACACCACGCCCGGCTAATTTTTTGTATTTTTAGTAGAGATGGAGTTTCACCGTGTTAGCCAGGATGGTCTCGATCTCCTGACCTCGTGATCCGCCCACCCCGGCCTCCCAAAGTGCTGGGATTACAGGTGTGAGCCACCACGCCCAGCAAGAACATACTTTTATAAATGCAAATGCTTATGAGAAAATAATAAATTACCTCTAGCTTGTAGATTTTTCATCTTCATATATGGATACTGTCCATATATGAAGTATCCCAAGTGATGATGAATCCCAAGTGATCTCTAATCAAATATACTTAACTGTTTGTAACTGTTTCAGCTAGAATCCACCACTCAAAGAAAAAAAAAATAGAAAACCAGAAAGCATTTAAAGATAGTGACCCCCCACCCAAGGTATTCCAGGGAAGGAAATTGAAATGCCATTTCAATGGAAAAAAATTTGAATTTATAATCTTGAGTATTTCAATCTGTTATTTTGGAGCTTGACTGTATTACAAATTTATTTGCATCTTTTTAAAGGAAAATACTGTCAGAAATTTGATTGCATTTATTTTTACCTACTAAACCTATTTAGAAGAGGCCAATGTTGAAGGATATTTCTTTTCTTTAACTTAAAAACAGATCAAAATAATTTTTCATTCTTTTTCCCAAAAACAAAAAAAGTTTTCAATGCATTTTAATAAAACTCAAACTGTCTCTCTCTGTGCTTTCCCTCAAGTTATCCATTTTTAATTGTCTTCAGTTCTTGGCATTTTGATGCCATGGATAGGAATTGTGGCTCTTTCCAGTCTCCCCCACCCACTTCCTCGTATGTTCACTGAAATAGGCTTAGAAGCCATCTGCATCTCTGTGTGGAGGCACGCTAAATGTCAGTCTTCCCATTGGCTCCACACAGAAGAGGGCTCCAAAAGACCTGCTGGTCTCATGCCCAAACTGCTGTGACCCTTGCCTTGCTGGGTTTTTTTTTTTCTATTAATATTTTAACATGTGGGTTGCATGAGCTTGGGAAGCACTTTTGTCTCAGTAGGGAGTAGAAGACAAGCTCCAGTGCACAGATTTTTTTTTTTTTTCTCGGAGACAGACAGAGAACTGGTACTTAGGATCTGACTAAAGAGCACAGTCTCCACTACCTCTCTTTTTTGTAGGTTAGAGGGAGTAAGTGTTAATGTTAAACTTTAAGAAAGGCAAAGGAGAAAGAAGAGAAAAGTATAGGTTAGTTCAATATTGGATAGAAGAGAAGAATAGAAAAGAGGAAAAGGAGATGGTAAAGAAAAAGGCTAAAATAGAGAAAGCTGAGAAGGAAGGAAACATTAAGAGGAATGAAGAAAGAAAAAAATGTAAGTCCTATGCTTAGCACTGAGGTTGCAATGATAGGTAAATCTACAGTAGGAAGAAACTATTAAGAAGAGAAGATATGGAGGGAGAAAGGGAGAAATGAAGACTTCTCTAATGTCTACTGTGTACCAGCCATGTGGTAAAACTTTGATATCCACTATCTCATTCAGTCTTTACCACATTTGTATAAAGTGCATATAAAGAAAGTTAAGCTCAGAGTAATTTTGAAAGTTACATAAATTTCAAAGCTAATCACAGAATCCAATCTTCACTGGTCTTTACATTATAGAGTAAACCCTTTTTGAGCATCTTCTGAACAGGTGTCATATGCTGTGTCAGTTTTCCAGATGAGTGGTACAGTCTCTGCTTTTCAGAACCTCACAATAAATAAGAACAGACTTTTTTGACAACAAATGGAAGTCTAACCACAGGTCGATATGGCAGGGCTAAGAATCTGGAGAAGTCTATACAATACAAACCCATCTCTGGGTTTTAAGATCCAAATTAGAAGCTCAAGTTTATTCTAGCTTGGCTGGAATGATCCTAAACACTTTAGACTATTGGTGGAAACTCCTTGGATACAGAATTCAGTTTTACAACAGTTGGAGGAGTTTGCCTGAGGCAAATGCTTCCCACCTATAGTAGGATCAGTCTTGAAAAGATCTCAGTCTAGAATATGGTATGTGGAAGAACTGCAAGCACTAGACTTTAAGGATTGTCACGTGCCAGCAGAGAAACAAGTTCAGAATGACTGAATCTAAGGGAATAGGGAAGAATCAGAAGGTAAGCAAGGGTTATAAATTGGGCAAGGGTTTTAGATTTTATTTTCAGGGTGAAAAGAAGCCACAGAGGGTTTTAAGCAAAGGAATTAGTGTAATCTTATTATGTATTACAAGGATGATTTAGGGAGGGGATGAGAAGAGTAAGTGGACAACAAAGGAAGTGAGAGACCAGTTTGTAGATGAATTCAGTCATCTGGGTAATTAAAGATGATGACAAGAACTGGGTAGTAGCAGTGGAGATGAAGAGAAGAGAGTCAGATTCGAAATACATTGCAGCGACATGGTCGATGGGATTATCTGATCTATTCTATGTGGTAGGGAGGGCAGAATAGAGAAATGAGAAATGCCTCCTTTTTCCAGTTTGGGCAGCATATTGGAAAGTGATATATTTACGAAGACCTGGAAAACTGAGTAAAAAAGAATTTTTCATTGTGTTTGTTAAGTGGTATTGCCATACAGAAACAGCAGTTCTCTCTTGGGCTTTTTCGTTTTAGACGCATATTAAATACACAAGTGAAGCAGTCTGTAGATATACAGTCAAGTTTTAATGGAAGAATCAGGGGAAGAGGCACAAATTGGGCAGTCTCCAGCATATCCAAGAAACACAGCATAGAAGGAGAAAGGAAGAGACCAAGATCTAAGCCATTATGTATTCCAACATCTAATAGGCCAACCAAGAAGGAACCAGCTCAAAGGTGAAGAAGGAATGACCAATGAGGTAACAAGAAAACTGTGGGAGGGTGGTATCAAGAAAGACAAGAAAAGAGAGCATTTCCCTAAGAAGGGGATGGTCAGATTATCTAGATACTGCTTAGAAGTCCTGTACAATGAGAACAAGAAGTAGCCATTGAATTCAGCCAGATAGAGGTCGCTGGTGATCTTGAGAAGAGGAGTTTCAGTCGAGTGTTTAGTGTGGAAAACTGTATTGAGTGGTTTGAGCAAGGAAGGAGAAAAGAATTAGATGCAGGAAGACTGCAAAACTGTTGTGAAAGGGAGCAGAAAAATGGGGCAGTTCTTTGAGATGAACCAGGAATCAAGAGAGAATGCTTTTAGGTTAGGGTTTTCTGAGATGAGAATAAATACACAATGGAATTGGGGAACAGAATGGGACAAGAAGCAGCTCAGCAAAGGTGAGATCCCTGGCAAAATCCTGCTAAGAGTAGCTAGCTCCAGACTGAAGCCTTAAGGAAAGTTACTACCAGATTTCCCTTACCTTAAACAGTGAGATCTGGACTCTCACAATCCTGCCTCCTCCCCACTTAGGAAATAAATTCCAGGCACTTCTGGACTTCTGAGAGGACATGCGAAATGAAGTATAGTAAAAGGAAACATGGGGTATCTGAGTCAAACACCATCTAAGAGATTGATCTACTTTCCTGAAAGAGAAATTTTAGTAGAGACTTGACATATTTCTTTCGGGACACTTGTTTTTATTTTGCAGCACAGATTTTCCTTCAGAAGATCTTTACTGAGCACCTACTATGTGCTTGTACTGAATCTGTGCTGCTGTGTTATGTGGTTTGCAGCAAGGGATGGAATTTGGGCCTTTCTACACTAAGTTGTATGGTTCCTTTAATGGGTGTGAGTGTATATACAATCCAAAGATGAAAATGTGCAAATAATGAAGGTCTTTAATCATGCCTTCAATATCCATTTAACAATTACCTATTTCAAACTCAAAGCCTGAGTATTTACCTGAAGTGCAGTTTATAAAAACAAGTGGTTTTCATCCTGCCTCTGACCAGAAATAAAAATTTTACAATTCAAATTCTGATGACAATTTAGTGTTAACATGAGTGAGATAACAGATTCCTCCTCTCCCACTGTTCTGTTAATGGAAGAAGAATGTAGCTAATACCCACAAGTTGCATGAAAAAGACAAGAGTGTCATGTAATCTGATTTCATATACCCCCTGGCTCTAAGTTTTGTGGTTGACAACAAAAAAAAGCTTCTTCAATCTCCAGTGTAGTTCATCCTGTTAGTGTTGAGACGACAGAAATAAGTCACAGAGACACATCACCTGCTTTTGTAAAGCTATGCAAAATCCAAAGATAATACAGAAGATGCATGTAGTCCTAGCAAACATCGACCTGAAATGATTTGAATTTATCCCCATTTCTCTTCTATCCTGAAGGAATTGCTCATTAAAAATTTACTCTGGGCCGGGCACGGTGGCTCATGCCTGTAATCCCAGCACTTTGGGAGGCCGAGGCGGGTGGATCACTTTGAGGTCAGGAGTTTGAGACCAGCCTGGCCAACATGATAAAACCCCGTGCCTACTAAAAATATGAAAATTAGCTGGGCATGGTGGCGCAGGCCTGTAGTCCCAGCTATTCGCGAAGCTGAGGCAGGAGAATCGCTTGAACCCAGGAGGCAGAGGTGGTTGCAGTGAGCCAAGGTTGTGCTGCTGCACTCCAGCCTGGGCGACAGAGTGTGACCCTGTTTCAAATAAAAAAAAAAAAAGAAAGAAAAACAAATTTACTCTGAACAAGATTGTGACACAATTTCTTTCTTTTCTTTTATTTCTTTTTTCTTTTCTTTCTTTCTTTCTCTCTCTCTTTCTTTCTTCTTTAGAGACAGGGTCTTGCCATGTTGCCTAGGCTGGTCTCAAACTCCTGAGTTCAAGTAATCCTACTTTCTCAGCCTCCTGAGTAGCTGGAGCTATAGGCACATGCCATTGCACCCGACTTAAAGATTTTTTATTCTTTATTTTTGGTACCTCCTTCCTTCTTCATAGCCAGGACTACTGATTTGTTCAAAATCTCATTTCCTTGAACAAGCTGTTCAATAGAACAGTGGTAGTAAGCCCCAAAACAGTCCTAGCCTGACTTGAAACCCTTCTCTATAAATATTCCTCTTTTCTAGGGCACTTCAGAGTAAGTATGTTTCCTGAGCATGTGCAGATCTTCTCCCTTGGTCAGTTTCTAAAGACAGGCTCAAGACAACCATATGTGGCTGAGTGTTTCATTGCAAGGAGGTGTGTGGACATCAGTAGGTGAAAGAATGCGTCAATTTCCTAGGTAGTAGAAAAATACGACCCGGCATTGGTCCAAGCTGGGACCTGAAGACTTTATCGCTCAAGCACCATGGAGCTCCCGTAATAACTACTGTGGTGTGCCACCAGATGGCCTCACTTCAGGACTGCAGCACCGATGGCAGGCTGCTCAATGTGTTGGCAACTGCATTAGTTTCCCAGGACTACCCTAACGAAATACCACATATTGAGTGACTTAAATAACAAAAATGTGTTGTCTCACAGCTCTGGAGGATAGAAGTTCAAAATCAGGGTGTCAGCAGGGTTGGCTCCTTCTGAGGGATGGGAGGGCCGAAAATCTGTCACATGCTTTTCTCCTTGGCTTGTAGGTGGCATTCTCCCTTGTCTTCACATCATCCTCCCTCTACAGATGTATGTCTCTGTGTCCATTCTCCCCTTTTTTATTGGATTAGGGGACATCCTAATGACATCTTTATTTGATCACCTGCAAAAGCCTTATTTCCAAGTAAAGTCACATTCACAAGTTTCAGGGGTTAGGATTTCAATATCTTTTTAGGGAACACAATGTAGCCCACAATGGCAACTAAGAGCTCACAGATAAATCTCCTCCCAAGCTTGCCCTCAGCTGAAGAGAGCCACCTCTCCCAAGTCATTCCTTTTCCCTGTGTTAACCCACATCCTAAAACTGGTCACTGAGTGTGATATCAAGGCCTGAACACTCTACCCTGGTTCGGGACAATTCTGCAGGGATATCCCAGCTCCAAAATTTCATATAAGCTGGTACAGACATCTGTCTGGTCCTTCTTCTTTCACCTTCCCCATAGACATTACTGGAAAACATACCCCAATAAAGTTTCTGCAGGCAACTATCCAAATCAGAATCTGCTTCCTGAGTCACACCACTTGTAGTAGCACTTCTCTGAGCTTGCTCTGTGCCAGATACTGAAGACCAAAAACAACAAGACATATCCTAACCTCTGAAGCCTTCCACAATATCAGAAGACATTATTAAGTACAGAAAGAAAGGTTTTCGTCACACATAATCTGCCTTTGAAACCTTTATTTCCTATTGTATGACTTGTTTATCTTACTCCCTCCTCTCCCAAATCTTAACCAATAATCATATCCTCCATCTTCTTTTTGCAAAATCTGCTTCTTGAATGAAAAAATAAAGAGGACAAACTATTGTCAATTAAGCATAACTATGAGCTAGACATTTTGTATATGTGATCTCATTTAATTCTCTCAACAGCTCTATTGCCTTCACATTACAAATGGAGAAACGGAGATTCTATGAGGATCAATAAGGACTCAGCTCATCTGGCTTATAACAGACCCAGCAAGGATGAAAACCCCAGGGCTTTTGATTCCAGAGCGTGGGCTCTTTCTATCACACCAGTGGTTCCCAGACACATATGCCACAGGCCAATCAATTAAAAGCAAACAAAAAATTGGCAAACAGAAGTAGAGCTAACAACTTTGGATTTTGCCAGGAATATAAAAAAGTAAAAGCTTCAGTCTTCTACCACCACCATTTCATAATAAAATGAACACTTCAACCCAGAAAACTTTGCAAATATCAAATCTCAAAACAGAAGATTAGCACTTACAATTGAATTAATTCAGCTTCGTGAAAAATATACCACATTGCACTTCATTTTACTCATTTTGCAACAGACTTGTGAAATTTTTTTCAAGAACTGGTAGAGCTCTGGAAAGGAAAAAAAAAAAAAAATTGGACATCCCTAAAAGGTCTGGGTTTTATTCACACTAAAGTGTAAATGACCTCTTCAGGTTAGTTAGCAAAATATGTTGAATATCTAAGAAGATGTATCTAAGTCAGTGTTGATATGATCCAACATAACTAAAGACTACATGGGAATGCCATTATACTTTTCAAGAAACAAAGCAAAAGTTAAAAAAAAAATCGTATTTTTAACTTGGCTATTTTTTCCCCAGATTTCAGATCTCTCTTAGAAGTCAAAAGCTGGCAAGGGTCCAATTTCCAATGAGAAGGTTTTTCTTTGGCCATATCCATTCTCATTCAAATTCCCTATAAAAGTTACAGTCAACAATTTTTATTTTACCATCAGTTACCTTTGGTAGGGAAATAGTTAGAATTCACATGCTAATAACTGAAATCTTGTAAAATGCCAGCTCCGTGTTTGAAATGTACACATTTTAAAATGCTTGCTGCACATACTGTATAATTATTTGGGAGAGGTATAATGAGTTAATATATTCAGTAGTTGCAATGAATATGTGTTGAGCAGAAACCCTGACTTATATATTCAAGCATCCTTTATCCAGAAGGCTCCCAACGCACCGCATAGATGATCTAAAGATCAGCCACCCACCAGTGAAAGGCAGATGCCTTAGGTGAGGAAACGCTTGTGCCAGAGGTTTCAGTAGCACAGAGAGCATACTGCAGCATTACACAGGGTGAGGCCCTAATTCCCCAAGTATTACAGATTTAGAACTGATGTGAGGTATTTTGTTTGAAGAACAGAAGTATTTTAAGAAGGCTGAACACAATTTTGAAGTGGCAATCATTCCTTACAAGCAGCTTGTCACTGTCAAAAGAATGAAGTCTCGCAAGTTCATCAGAGCTAAGCTTGAATTCCAATTCCATTATTTATCCAGCTGGGTGACCCTGAACACAGCCCACTTCCTCCTTGTAAATGTGGAGGTGATAATGGTACCTCCTACAAGCTTGCTAAAAAATTGAATACGAGATTGCACTCAAGAAATGATAGTTTTTGTTATTATTTTATCTCTAAAATGGTAATATCTATGGATCTCAAACTGCTGTGAGAGTAATTTAAAAAAAAACTATAAAGAACATTTAGTGAGGAATTACGATGTGTCAGAGAATGTGCCTAGTGCTTTATATGTATTACCTCATTATGTCCTCACAATAATCATATTATTTTACAGATGTAGAAACTGAGTCACTTGAAGAGAAGGTAATTTGTCCAAGTTTGTCACACAGTTAACAAGTGGCAATATCCAAATTTGTAGTGTCTGAGTATATGGTTGGTACCAAACAAATGGTATTTAGTTGATCTCTTTAGAGAATGACCTGGAATGCCCAAGCCATTTCCCTACCTCCATTTATTTTTCCGAATGTACTCAAAGAAAAAGCTCACACTGTACCCCTTTAATCTACCTTCTCCCAGAAAACTCCTTCAATTCTATTCAATGCACAAAGCCATTAGGAAGCTCCTGAAGAAGGCAAAGACTCTTCTAGGTACTGCAAGCATACAAATGTTTTCAGGATGCAGGTCCGGTCCTGTCTTACAACAAGGCCACAATCACAACTAATTATCAAACAGATTAGTCTGTGATCAGCCTTATAAAAAAAGGATTAGCAAATTTTATGAACTCAAAGGAAAAAGTCACTAATTGCACTTAGGAGGAGAGAGCAATCTGCAAAGACGAAGGGCATCTGAGTGAGCCTCACAGTACTCTTTCTAGGCAATCTTTGATGGGGTGTCATTCCTTGGGTTAAGTAGCCCTCTTCTAAAATATAAACACTTCTTCCCAGAAGAGGAAGGCATTGCAGTTTTTACACAGTAATTTTTTAAGATCATTGTCAGCTGTGGCTGGCTGACCTTATAATGTTAGCATGCTGGGCCTTCAGAGAAAAGGAGCAGTAGGACAGGAAGGAAGCAGAAAGCAGTACACAGGTGAGATGCTCCGAGGACATGCTTCAGCTACCTCCCCATTGTGCAGGACTGTTGACCAGCTGTGTCATTGGCAGGAGCACACTGCCCTTCCCGAAAGGGATGGGCAGAAATATCAGAGAGAGGATTATAGTTACACACATGACAGGACATTTCCACACAGCACGTAAATGAACAGTTCTAGAGTCAGTTTCCAGTACTTTGACAGAGCCAGAGGCTAGGACAACGGATAGCTTGGGGGCTTCTCAGCCCTCTTCGTCTTATTCCATAAAGGTGGCTCTCTAAGAAATTCACTTTAATTCCAGAGGGTGACCAACATTTCCAGAGGAAGGAAGATAGCTTTTTATTTGAAAATCTATCTGAAGTTGTAATGATGTTGTAGAAAATATGAGTTTGGAAACCAAACAGATCTGAGAGTCTCTTACCTACAGCAAGACTACAAATTCCTAGCTGTCTAACCTCAAGCAAGTTAACCTTCCAATTTAATAAGGTTGATGTAAAATAACATGCCACACTAGAATATACATTGCATAACAGCAGGGATACTTTTTAATTTTAGCTGCTATGTCCCCAGTGCCTAGAACATTGCTTAGCATTTATTGAATGAATTTGTGAATAAGTGAGTAAATAATAAATCAACAATTATTTTCATTCAAAGCCTATTATGTGCTAGGTATTGTTCTAATAACTAGATTTCTATGAATACTAAATGAGATGCTGTCTACAAGCACTTGGTACACTAACTGCCTGACAGGTTCTTCCTGCCCACTGCACATATAAAAATTATCTTACCAAGATCATGTCATTGCAGTAAAGAAAGAGTTGACCCCCTCGCCCTCCCTCTCCCTCTCCCCACGGTCTCCCTCTCCCTCTCTTTCCACGGCTCCCTCTCCCTCTCCCCACGGTCTCCCTCTCTCTCTCTTTCCACAGTCTCCTTCTGATGCCGAGCCGAAGCTGGACTGTACTGCTGCCATCTCGGCTCACTGCAACCTCCCTGCCTGATTCTCCTGCCTCAGCCTGCCGAGTGCCTGCGATTGCAGGCGCACTGGTTTTCGTATTTTTTTGGTGGAGACGGGGTTTCGCTGTGTTGGCCGGGCTGGTCTCCAGCTCCTAACCGCGAGTGATCCGCCAGCCTCGGCCTCCCGAGGTGCCGGGATTGCAGACGGAGTCTGGTTCACTCAGTGCTCAATGGTGCCCAGGCTGGAGTGCAGTGGCGTGATCTCGGCTTGCCACAACCTCCACCTCCCAGCCGCCTGCCTTGGCCTCCCAAAGTGCTGAGATTGCAGCCTCTGCCCGACCGCCACCCCGTCTGGGAAGTGAGGAGCATCTCTGCCTGGCCGCCCATCATCTGGGAGTTGAGGAGCCCCTCTGCCTGGCTGCCCAGTCTGGAAAGTGAGGAGCGTCTCTGCCCTGCCGCCATCCCATCTAGGAAGTGAGGAGCGCCTCTTCCCGGCCACCATCCCATCTGGGAAGTGAGGAGCGTCTCTGCCCCGCCGCCCATCGTCTGAGATGTGGGGAGCGTCTCTGCCCCGCCGCCCCGTCTGGGATGTGAGGAGCACCTCTGCCCGGCCCGGCAACCCCGTCTGGGAGGTGAGGAGCGTCTCTGCCCGGCCGCCCCGTCTGAGAAGTGAGGAGCCCCTCCGCCCGTCAACCACCCCGTCTGGGAAGTGAGGAGCGTCTCCGCCCGGCAGCCGCCCCGTCCGGGAGGGAGGTGGGGGGGTCAGCCCCCCGCCCGGCCAGCCGCCCCGTCCGGGAGGTGAGGGGCGCCTCTGCCCAGCCGCCCCTACTGGGAAGTGAGGAGCCCCTCTGCCCGGCCAGCCGCCCCATACGGGAGGTGAGGGGCGCCTCTGCCCGGCCGCCCCTACTGGGAAGTGAGGAGCCCCTCTACCCGGCCAGCCATCCCGTCCGGGAGGGAGGTGGGGGGGTCAGCCCCCCGCCCGGCCAGCCGCCCCGTCCGGGAAGGAGGTGGGGGGGTCAGCCCCCTGCCCGGCCAGCCGCCCGGCCAGCCGCCCCGTCAGGGAGTTGAGGGGCGCCTCTGCCCGGCCGCCCCTACTGGGAAGTGAGGAGCCCCTCTGCCCAGCCAGCCGCCCCGTCCGGGAGGGAGGTGGGGGGGTCAGCCCCCCGCCCGGCCAGCCGCCCCATCTGGGAGGTAAGGGGCGACTCTGCCCAGCCGCCCCTACTGGGAAGTGAGGAGCCCCTCTGCCCGGCCAGCCGCCCCGTCCGGGAGCGAGGTGGGGCGTCAGTCCCCCGCCCGGCCAGCCGCCCCATCCAGGAGGGAGGTGGGGGGGTCAGCCCCCCGCCCGGCCAGCCGCCCCGTCTGGGAGGTGAGGGGCACCTCTGCCCGGCCGCCCCTACTGGGAAGTGAGGAGCCCCTCTGCCCAGCCACCACCCCGTCTGGGAGGTTTACCCAACAGCTCATTGAGAACGGGCCATGATGACAATGGCGGTTTTGTGGAATAGAAAGGGGGGAAAGGTGGGGAAAAGATTCAGAAATCGGATGGTTGCCTGTCTGTGTAGAAAGAAGTAGACATGGGAGTCTTTTCATTTTGTTCTGTACTAAGAAAAATTCTTCTGCCGTGGGATCCTGTGGATCTGTGACCTTACCCCCAACCCTGTGCTCTCTGAAACATGTGCTGTGTCCACTCAGGGTTAAATGGATTAAGGGCGGTGCAAGATGTGCTTTGTTAAACAGATGCTTGAAGGTAGCATGCTCCTTAAGAGTCATCACCACTCCCTAATCTCATGTACCCAGGGACACAAACACTGCGGAAGGCCGCAGGGTCCTCTGCCTAGGAAAACCAGAGACCTTTGTTCACTTATCTGCTGACCCTCCCTCCATTATTGTCCTATGACCCTGCCAAATCCCCCTCTGCGAGAAACACCCAAGAATGATCAATAAAAAAAAAAAAAAAAAGGCCAAAAAAAAAAAAAGAATAAAATCCCTCTGGGAATTCCTAGTTAAAAAAAAAAAAAAAAAAAAAAAAAAAAACAAGCCTGTACTTTTCAAAAATGTCAGTGTCATAAAAGATAAAGAAAGGCTCAGCAACGATTCCAGATGAAAAAGACCAAAGGGACAGAACCACTAAATGCATTGTGTGATTATGGATTGAGTCATCAGTTAAGGAAAATTTTGCCATAAAAGGCATTATTGGGACAACTGACAAAATTTGAATTTGTTTCTTGATTTTTGTAATCATCTCATGGTTATGTTCAAGCATGTACTTACGTTCATGTATTTGAGAGAAAAGGAACGTGATATTTACAGATTACTGTCAACTGGTTCAGAGAGAGAGAAAGGGAGAATGATAAAGGTAACATGCTAAAACATTAACAATGGTGAATCTGGGTAAAATGTATGTAGGAGTTCTTTGTACTTTTTTCTGCAGATTTTCTCTAAGTTTGAAATTATATCAAAATAAAAGGTTAAAAAAATAATAAAAAAAAAAAAAAAGAAAGAGTTGAATTAGGCTGAGCCCTGTGGCTCACACCTGTAATCCTAGCACTTTGGGAGGCCAAGATGGGAGGGTCACTTGAGGCCAGGAGTTTGAGACCAGCCTGGCCATCATGACAAAGCCCTATCTCTACTAAAAATACAAAATGTAGCCATGCATGGTGTCACACACCTGTAATCCCAGCTACTCAAGAGGTTGAAGCATGACAATCACTTGAACCCAGGAGACAGAGGTTGTAGTGAGCTGAGATCATGCCACTGCACTCCAGCCTGGGCAATCGAGCAAGACTCTGTCTCAGGAAAAAGAAAAAAAAAAAAAAGAGTAGAATTGACACAAGGCCATGCCATGGGAGACACAGAGTTATTACTCTAATCAATCTCCCCAAAGGCTCCGAGGTTAGCAGTTTTTCAAAAATAGTTTGGTAGTCAGGGGCTAGGGTAAGGGCCATGCTGATTGGCTGGGTCAAAGATGAAATCACAGAGAATCCAAACTGTCCTCTTGTGATGAGTTGGTTCCTGGGTGCAGGCCACAGGAAAGGTTGGCAGGTCTGGGTGGGGCTGTACAGTTGTCAGAAATGCAAAAACCTGAAAAGACATCTCCAAAGGCCAATCTTCCATTCTACAGTAGTAATGTTATCTGCAGGAGTAATTGGGGAAGTTGCAAATTTTATGACTTCCGGAATAATGGCTGGTAATTACTTAGAATTCAAACCCCTTTCATCCTCCTAACTTGGTGGTGTTTCATTAGTTTTAAGTTCAGTGTGGGGGAAATGCTGTTATTATTTAAACTATAAATTAAATTCTCCCAAAGTTAGCTTGGCCCACACCTAGGAAAGAGCAAAGATAGCCAACATATGAGGCCATAAGCAAGGTAGAGTTAGCCTTGTCAGATCTCTTACTGTCATAATTTTGCAAAGACAGTTTCAGTGCAATGCCAGTGCATAGTGTATGGGTAAATAAATATTGTTTCCTTTATGACATTTTAAACAAGAGCAGTGGACAACAGGGGAGAGAGTCAATCCAAGCATTACTAACCACTCATCAGTGGCCCTACACCCTCATACTGACATTCTGAGTTGATCTGAAGGAGCCTCTGTTACTCTGCTCCTTGCCATTAGTTTTTTCACCAGAAGCTGTGCTTTAACCACCAGCTTCAAATCCCCAGATCTTTCTAATTCAGAGACCATCAAGGTTGCAAATCAAAGTGAGCTTCACTTAAAGCAAATGCTAAACATCTAGTCCATAAAAGTCTTCCCCTAAAACAGCACTGGTTTTCTGCCAATGCATATTTTGAACACACATATATTTAAATCTCCTCAGGTATGTCTTTAAGTCTCCAGGGTCCATAAAGAATTTAGCAGTATTTTTCACACAATGGGTCCCCAGTGAGTAGAGTGTTTATTAGGTGAGAGAGAGAAGGCAGAGGAAGAAGAGCAAAATATGGAGAATGAAAGGAGGAGAAGAGGAAGGGAAGTAGAGAAAAGGGATCTTACCCTTGCTTCGTACCTGTCTGGTCCATTTAAGCATCCTTTAAGGTGGTGGGTTTTGAACACCAGTGCATAAAAGAATCATTAGGGGACTTGTTGAAAATGCAGATTCCTGCTCCCCACTCCAAAAGATTCTGACTTGCTCTCTCCTCCCACCACCCAAGATGCTGAAAGGAAAGAGGGGCAAGGGAAAGAAGGTGGCCTAGCCCCTGCTGTTGTGAAGAAGCATGAGGCAAAGAAAGGGGTGAATCCCTGTTTGAGAAAAGGTGAAGAATTTTGGCAATGGACAAGACATCCAGCACAAAAGGGGCCTCACCTGCTTTGTCAAATGGCCTCACTATATCACATTGCAGCTGGCAAAGAGCTAGCCTCTATAAGCAGCTGAAAGTGCCTCCTGCGATTAACCTGTTCACCCAGGCCCTGAACTGCCAAACAGCTACTGACTGCTTAAGCTGGCCCATGAGTACAGACCAGAGACAAAGTAAAAGAAACAGAGCCTGTTGGCCTGGACCGAGAAGAAAGCTGCCAGCGAAGGGGCTGTCCCCACTAAGAAACCACCTGTCCTTTGAGCAGGGGTTAAAACTGTCACCACCTTATTGGACAACAAGAAGTCTCAGCTGGTGGTGACTGCACACGAAGTGGATTCCATCAAGCTGATTGTCTTCCTGACTGTCCTGTGTTGTGAGATGAGGGTCCCTTACTGCATTACCAAGGGGAAGGCAAGAGTGGGATGTCTACTAGCCCACAGGAAGACCTGCACCACTGTTGCCTTCGGAAGAAGACAAAGGAGCTTTGGCTACGCTGGTAGAAGCCATCAGGACCAATTACAATGACAGATATGTTAAGAACCATCCTCACTGGGGAGGCAATGTCCTGGGTCCCAAATCTGTGGCTAGCATTGCCAGGTTGAAAAAGGCAAAGGCTAAAGAACTTGCTACTAAACTGGGTTAAATGTACACTGTTGAGTTTTCTGTACATAAAAATAACTAAAATTATACAATTTTTTTTCCAAAAAAAAAGCTGGGGGGATTCTGATTCAGTAGGGCCCTGGGAAGGTACATGTTAGCAAGTGTCCCCAGTCACTTCTGATACATAGGTAGCCTCTGCAAGCCCTTTTGAGAAACATTGCCCTAGGGAAATAATGATGAAGACTACTGCAAGGAAGGTTAAGTAGTTCAGGAAAAGGCCACCTACACACCGAATTCAAAATACTTTGAAATAAAGGAGTGGCCATTTTCTCTGAACTCTTATCATTGTAGGGAACAGGGTTATAATGTCACTTTTACCATGTTACACTCTTGCTAAACATCCCAACTAGTTCTCACTGCCAGCAAGACAGAGTCACAATGTCAGCAAGGCCTTTCATAAATGAATTCCACTTATTTTTTCCAACTTGGTCTCTTTACTCATGCATATAGCCTTCATTCCAAGCAAAATAATTTATGCATTGTCCCCAAGCACGCTATAAACATCGTCTCTACATCTATGGTGGAGTTTCTAAAAATCACCTAATTTCCACAACTTTGAGTGATCTAAAGCTTAATATTTCTTCAAATCCCAGGACTGATAGCACCTCCATCTTCCAGATGGCTCCTGCAAACCTGCTTCCTAGGTCCTCCAAGTTTGTTGTCCCCAGGTCTCCAAGCAAGACTCTTAAGAATTCCTGGCAGTTCCTAAAAGTCTTTGAATAAATTAGCTTTTTCTCAAGTTTTCAAGAGCATTTTTCTGTTGATTTGAGTTAAAGAATCCTAAGTCATATACAATTTTTTTTCTTTAACCTTTACTCTTCCTACCTTACATTGGGCACTTTACCTACATTGCCTTTTTCCATTTATTTTTCATGCATCTCTGTATTCTTTCCCCAACTAAATTGCAAGATCTTTTGGAGCATAGACTCTCTTATAAATTGTTTATGCATTTCTCCAAAGGCTTAGGACAGTGTCTTAAACAAAACATAAGTGGGTAGGGGTGGGGGTGGGTAATTGACTGCCCTCGGAGGTTCAAAGTCGCCTTTCTGGCCTCAGCATAAAGTGTTCTTAAAATTCTGATATCAAACTAGTTCTGGAATTTTCCAAATCATTACTAATCCTTTGCCAAACCAATCTAAACTGTGATGGACAGGAAGCATTCTTGTCTGTAACATTTCCCTGGTGCTGTTGTTTAATAAAGATTGCAGCCCTGTGAACATCTGCTTAAAAACAAAAACAAAATTCCTCCAGGGTAGCTTGATTTCTGATCTTCATCAGGAAACGTCTTACACTCTAGCACTCCTAAGAGCATTTGTAAATCCCACACTGTAATTACAGAATGCAAACCTACATTTTTCCCTGCGTTTAGAAGGTAAAGGTTGGGCTTCAGAGTCACAAGCCCTCCCTGTAGCTCACCAGGCTCCACTGTCTTGCCTCTTTCTTTCTAATTATCCAAAGTATATACTCTTCTGCACCAAGGCTGCTTTTCATGAGTGAAGGAACATTGCTCAATCAAGTGAATTTACTATGAATCTTGCCCTTTTAATTTCCACATGAAAAACACACAGAAAACATATTATGTAACTAAAATATTTTTAATTTGCTCATTGCAGTAATTTCATATATACTTTAAAAGTACCTATTCCTCAAAATAAGTTGAAATTTTGAAAAAACATGGTAAAAAGATTTAAGCAAGAGCATTTTTTTTTTGGTATTCTGTTCATATAGCTAAAAGCTTAAGAAATTTCTTTGCAGAAACTCAGGGATATACCAAGTAGGCACATAGACATTATCAGTGTACTCAGTCTTGAAAAATACTGTTGACCATTTTTAGTGTGTTTTCAGTATAAAAATAATCTCTTCTTCTCCTACTTCTAATCAGGCCACCTTTTAGTTTCTGGGGACTTGAAAGAAAAGTGATATATATGCAAATAGTAATAACCTTCAAGATTGACAAGAAAAATTATGCTCAAGTCTGAAGCAATCTCAAGAATATTTTCTACTTTCAGGTAACATTTCTTCTACGATAATCTAAGAGAATTCAGCCTGGGGTTACATTAAGAATAAACAAATTATCTTCTAAAGATCTTAATGCTAAAGCTCAGACAGTGAGTGACACAATTTAGATTTCACATGAAATCTGTCTCCATCAAGAATTCCTTAGACAACCAAGTACCACATTTAGAGCTCTTATTCTCTCCAACACAATTGAAAGTGTCACATGCAAAAGAAAGCCAAAGTTTTTTTAATCATAAGAAAACAATGTGACAATGTCTTGCCTTAGACTTCAACTGAATTCCTCACTGCTTATTACTATGATTATTGATAATAGGCATTTCTGTGCCATTGAAATATTCACAGGACTCCTTACCATCACTGTATCTACAAGCTGCTCCTCAACCCCTCCATGAGATGAATTAGTTATATTCTGACTTTTACTAAAAGTGAAACAAAGACCTCAAGTAAATAAGTAATCTGAGCCTTATAAAATGTTTTCACTTAACAGAAATCAGAATTCATAATTTTTTATTACACATCAACATTCTAAAACACTATGAGATGAAAACACACACACAAAATCCACCAACAATGGAGAGAATAATTTAAACAAAAATAGCTCAAAGGGAGCTCCATGAGTCTACAACTTCATTTTCTTTGCAGTTTCATCCAAGAAAGCATATATTAACCTTGTACCCAGTCTTAACTAATTCTTCCAAGCAATTGCCAGAAGCTTTCTTAGACGTGCTAGTTCTTGTTGTAATAGTTATGATATCTAAGTTAGTTCATGTGTGACAGAAACCTTGTTTTACTAAGAACAAGAGAGCATTCTAGTCATGAAACCCACTTTCTTGCCAATAAACTACCACAATACAGTCACCATACAGTTGCTTCCCTGGCCAGTCAGTAATGCATGAGGTACAATTTCAAACTAGGATATTTATCAGTTGTTTATTCCTAATGAAGCCCACAGTGCTACAAGCAGAACTACTGGGTTATTTTTCCTCTTTATAAATGTCAGCTCATATTTTCTTTAAGCACAGAACTTTGAAAGAAAGAGATAAGAAAATAAAGGAAGCAAGCTTTGTTTTGAATATCTCTTGCATAGCCAGTAATGACAAACACTTTACTCCAGCAAGAGGTAATGCATGGAAGCATTTAACACAGTGTATGCCTTACAGACAGTCCTTAGTAACTGATAATTAAAACTAAGATGAAAAACTCAGTGAGCCCTTCCTCTGATTGGCATTTACCTGATGGGAGATAAGCATTTCTTCTTGCCCTAGGAGTGATTATTTCTAGAAGAATCACAGAAAGCTCGATGTACCAGATTGAGTTATTAACAGACAATCTGTTGTCTCTAATTTATCAGAATGTTTCAAACAATGTAAGCAACACATCAAACATATTTCTTTTAAAAAGAGGAGTCTTATTATTTGAAGTTGTTTACAAAGAGGGGAGTTGCACCACCTCCATGGCCCCACAACCCTAGTCCTATTGCCAGCATTGAAAATCAGGGCTATCCCATGGCTACATTGTTCATGGCCCAACTCCTGGAACTCTCCAATGATCAGCAACGGGAGTGGCCCTGCCTGCAAGTTTGCCATATGGTAGCCCTGAAAGACTCTTCCTTAGGCATGTGGGCCCTCAGAATGAATATGGCTTAAAGCAGATGTAGATGTGATGACTCTTTCTGAACTGTGGTTCAGCTTTGGTGTCTGGCTTTTCCTATCCTAGGTAGAATAGATATGTAATGTTAGGTCTCAAGAGATCATTTTAGTGAATGTAGTGACAACTGCAGATAACAGTCCCAGGCTATGACAAGGGCTCAGACTTCATAAAGGGCTCAGTCATCACCTCCTAGCTTAGCTGGTCCCTGTACCCCAAGGCCATTGCCTCAGACATGAATGCTTTCCCTTGAAAGTTGTCTCCTTTGAAACCTGGGACAGAGGGTTAGGATCTTACTAGTATTGGCTCAACAGCTATTTCTTACTTAGCTAAAGAAATATAGTAAGCTAAGGCAGTCTTTTGACTGGGTCATGCTGATCAATATGAAAAAATCTCCTTCTTTTCTATTTATTTCAAGCCAAGACTCTAAATATGATCATTATGACTTGTGTTTTTCTTTGTTTCCAAGGAAAATCATAATAATAAATTTATAGGAAAATTTCCAATATACAGACTGATACCTACATTGTTTTTTCTCATCCTCCAAGTTTAAATACCTACAACAGAACCTTAAAAAAAATCTAAGAAAAATGTGTATATAACACTACATAGGAAACATTTATTCATTCAATACATAATAAACACTTTTGAAGTATCCCAGTGGTACACAAGATAGAGACAGCCACTGCCCTCAAGAAACAATCTGTCCCCAGGTTCTTAAAAGGACTAAAAGATTTCGCCAACACAAATGCCTTCTATAAGGAAAAAGCATCTCATCTAGTGTTATTCCCAAAGTAGGGGCTCAGCAGTGGTTAATTAATAATGATGAAGAACAATCAGTCCCTCATGAAACTGACTCAGTATTCCAGAAGTGTCACTATTTAAATGTGGCCTACATTTTCCCATCTTTTCTTATCAAAGTGACACTTTGTCTCAACACGTTGGCTGCAATGTGCATACAGGTACCTTACTGAAACTGTAAAAACACATCTCTCAGCGTGCTAGGGATGTAGATGCTGACATTTATTTTGCCTGTACTTTCAGGGTGGCATTACAGTTCCATAGAGAAGGAGAAACAAAGAAGTTTGGGCTTACTCTTGATGAATATAAGCTTACAAGTCATGAGCAACCGATAACCTACCAGTACTTAAGTTCATGACTGTACCTAAGTAAAAAGTGAGGAGGTCTCTACTGGGGTCTATGTGGGGCTTCAGCAGTCTCAGCTCCCAGATCCTTCACAGTCAGAAGTCTATTATAGCTTCATGTATTGCTCAATAAGTTATAACTTTATAACTTGACATTTTCCCTAGGCCTTCCAACAGGGCTGTAGGAGTTAAAATTCTTTGAGGCCCAACTGTTCAGTTGAAATTACCAAGGACAGGTCTATTGCTATCGTCAAATGCTCTATGCTCCTATAACACTTATCTTCTCAATACCCCATTCTCTCTTACACTTCAGGACTTTTAAACATGTTGGGTTCTACCAAACCCCATCCCCTCCCCACCACCATCGACACACACACACACACACACACACACACACACACAATTTCTTCACTGTGGAAAATTCTTAGTTATCCTTCAATGCTCAGACCAAAAATCCATTGTCCTATGTCAGTGTCATAGGGGCAGGACTCCTGTAGGATGGTGTTCATAATTCTGTTCTGAAATTTAACATAAATTGTAATACATCTATTTATATACAAGTTCCCAAGTTAATCAATGAAATCCTCAAGTATAGGGACTAAAACTTATTTACCTTTATCTTCACAGGATCCTTGGAACACATTAAAGTACTTATTAAATAGTTAAATTTGATTAAGTGCTTATTAGATGAATAAATACATGGATGAATGAAACAAACCCATCCCATCCAAGATTATTTCATAACCCCACCACCAAAGGTCTTTTGTCAGGACAACCATCCTCAAGTAGATCCAGGTTCACTTTAGATCTCAAGTTAATCCTTAGCGAGACATTCTGAGAACTTCTGACCCTCGGTGAGATTTACGCATGTTAGCAGAAGCCATAAGGTTTTTTTTTAATTACAGCTGAAAATATATATGAATATTAATAGTTATTACAAGAAGCTCTGGAGCTTTGGGAAAAAATATGTGGATTTCAAGGAAAAGAAATATTCTATCTCTGGCACAATTTCAAGTACCAAGAGCAGAGTCTTCTTAATGAAGTGTTAACGAAGTGTCAGCATAGACCAGAATGCTGCTGATTTGCATACTCCTTGGTTAATAATGTTAAAATAGGATTGTGTGGATGTTAAATCCTATGTATTTTATAGAGCTAAAACGCCTGTTAAGATTATTGATTCCTTGTGACAATTCTTAGTACAGAATAGTCTAGTAAATTAAAAGAGGATTCATTTGGTTACTCTGGAATGGTTATAATTCTAATTTTCAAGTAATGTATTTCTTTATTGTATTCACAAAGTAAAAGATTGTATGCCCTTGAATTTCACAGACAAACTCGTGGTCCTGAAAATCTAAGATTTTGTGTACTAGAGAAAGAGTTAATGATCACTAGGCTCATAGTTAATAAACCCAACCATTCACTCTCCTCCACAAAAGTATTGGAGGTAAGGCATAAGTGTCAATGACAAGATTGTATCACTGATTTTTGGAATATAGAGCAATTACTTTCTGAAATATATACCATCAGCAAAGCAGCTTAAATATATATACACACACACACAAAATATATATTTATAAATAAGTATATGTTAGTATATTTTAATATGTCTATATATTTAATACATAATGTATGAAATATAAATTAGTTTATATAAGCATAAGCAAAATTTATAATTATGTATATGTATATAAAAATAAATGATAAATACATTAATTTTAATAGTCATAATGCTTAATATATAAAATATATAATATAAAAATATATTTTATATTAATGTATATTTATGTATTAATTATATATGTATTATATATATAAAGTCATTTCAACTTGACCTTATAAATGTTTTCCAGAAAATATTTTGTTCTATTCCTAGTATGTTCCTGGTTTTAAATCCTTATTATTTGCCTTCTGGGCCACTCATGCAACTCCTTAAATTCAGTATTTTCTCTCTTAAATTCATCCTTCTATCAGCCACCATCATGATTTATCTAAAATCTAAATGTTTCTTTGGTTTAAAGCCCTTTAATGACCCACATTACTTACACTACAGGCTTGAGCTCCTTAACAAAGTAATAAAGAAGTAACTCCTGCTTATCTTTTAATCTCATCTCCAATAATTTCATGCCTTGCTTTTTAAACTGTGAAATACCTAAGTATAATAGTTTCACTCCTTTACATAGAACATAATGATGTTTGTTTGCTTGCTTGGGGTTTTGGGGATTTTTTAAAACCTCTATGGCTTATAATCAGAATTTTCTTCTCACCTTAGGCTTCAAGATTTCAAGACTAAGCTTGGGTGTCACCTTTTCCTTAAAGCTTTCTCTCATCTCCCAAGACGGTGGGAGTGCAGTAGTGCAATCATGACTCACTGCAGCTTTGAACTCCTGGGCTCAAAGGATCCTCCCACTTCAGCCTCCTGAGTAGCTGTGATTACAGGTGTGAGGTACTGCACTCAGCCCCATGCATTCTTTAATGCCTTCTCCTTAGATCTAGTCTTATTCTGAATATTTTGTTTTACATTTTTGTCTGTCCACTAGACAGTGTGCTCCATGAAGGCATGAACTATTTGTAGTTATCTGCCAATCTTAACACATTGCTTGGTGGATAGCTGTTGAATGGATGAAGGAATGGAGACATTCTGGATCACTTCTAACTGCTCTTAAGAAAAAAATGTGTTGGGCGGAGGAGCCAAGATGGCCGAATAGGAACAGCTCCGGTCTACAGCTCCCAGCGTCAGCGACACAGAAGACGGGTGATTTCTGCATTTCCATCTGAGGTACCGGGTTCATCTCACTAGGGAGTGCCAGACAGTGGGCACAGGCCAGTGGGTGCAGCACACCCTGCGCGAGCCGAAGCAGGGCGAGGCATTGACTCACTCGGGAAGTGCAAGGGGTCAGGGAGTTCCCTTTCCTAGTCAAAGAAAGGGGTGACAGACGGCACCTGGAAAATCGGGTCACTCCCACCCGAATACTGCGCTTTTCCGGCGGGCTTAAAAAATGGCGCACCAGGAGATTATATCCCGCACCTGGCTCAGAGGATCCTACGCCCACGGAGTCTCGCTGATTGCTAGCACAGCAGTCTGAGATCAAACTGCAAGGTGGCAGCGAGGCTGGGGGAGGGGCGCCCACCCATTGCCCAGGCTTGCTTAGGTAAACAAAGCAGCCGGAAAACTCCAACTGTGTGGAGCCCACCACAGCTCAAGGAGGCCTGCCTGCCTCTGTAGGCTCCACCTCTGGGGGCAGGGCACAGACAAACAAAAAGACAGCAGTAACTTCTGCAGACTTAAATGTCCCTGTCTGACAGCTTTGAAGAGAGCAGTGGTTCTCCCAGCACGCAGCTGGAGATCTGAGAACACAGGCAGACTGCCTCCTCAAGTGGGTCCCTGACCCCTGACCCCTGAGCAGCCTAACTGGGAGGCACCCCCCAGTAGGGGCAGACTGACACCTCACACGGCCGGGTACTCCTCTGAGACAAAACTTTCGGAGGAACGATCAGACAGCAGCATTCGTGGTTCACGGAAAACCACTGTTCTGCAGACACTGCTGCTGATACCCAGGCAAACAGGGTCTGGAGGGGACCTCTAGCAAACTCCAACAGATGAGCAGCTGAGGGTCCTGTCTGTTAGAAGGAAAACTAACAAACAGAAAGGACATCCACACCAAAAACCCATCTGTACATCACCATCATCAAAGACCAAAAGTAGATAAAACCACAAAGATGGGGAAAAAACAGAGCAGAAAAACTGGAAACTCTAAAAAGCAGAGCACCTCTCCTCCTCCAAAGGATCGCAGTTCCTCACCAGCAATGGAACAGAGCTGGACGGAGAATGACTTTGACAAGTTGAGAGAAGAAGTCTTCAGACGATCAAACTACGAGCTACAGGAGGAAATTCAAACCAAAGGCAAAGAAGTTAAAAACTCTGAAAAAAATTTAGACGAATGTATAACTAGAATAACCAATACAGAGAAGTGCTTAAAGGAGCTGATGGAACTGAAAACCAAGGCACGAGAACTACGTGAAGAATGCAGAAGCCCCAGGAGCTGATGCGATCAACTGGAAGAAAGGGTATCAGCGATGGAAGATGAAATGAATGAAATGAAGTGAGAAGGGAAGTTAACAGAAAAAAGAATAAAAAGAAATGAACAAAACCTCCAAGAAATATGAGACTATGTGAAAAGACCAAATCCACATCTGATTGGTGTACCTGAAAGTGACGAGGACAATGGAACAGAGGGAACATGCCGTTCCCTCTGTTGGAAAACACTCTGCAGGATATTATCCAGGAGAACTTCCTCAATCTAGCAAGGCAGGCCAACATTCAGATTCAGGAAATACAGAGAACGCCACAAAGATACTCCTTGAGAAGAGCAACTCCAAGACACATAATTGTCAGATTCACCAAAGTTGAAATGAAGGAAAAAATGTTAAGGGCAGCCAGAGAGAAAGGTCGGGTTACCCTCAAAGGGAAGCCCATCCGACTAACAGCGGATCTCTCGGCAGAAACTCTACAAGCCTGAAGAGAGTGGGGGCCAATATTCAACATTCTTAAAGAAAAGAATTTTCAACCCAGAATTTCATATCCAGCCAAACTAAGCTTCATAGGTGAAGGAGAAATAAAATCCTTTACAGACAAGCAAATGCTGAGAGATTTTGTCACCACCAGGCCTGCCCTAAAAGAGCTCCTGAAAGAAGCACTAAACATGGAAAGGAACAACCAGTAACAGCCACTGCAAAATCATGCCAAAATGTAAAGACCATCGAGACTAGGAAGAAACTGCATCAACTAACAAGCAAAATAACCAGCTAACATCATAATGACAGGTTCAAATTCACACATAACAATATAAGCTTTAAATGTAAAGGGACTAAATGCTCCAATTAAAAGACACAGACTGGCAAATTGGATAGAGTCAAGACCCATCAGTGTGTTGTATTCAGGAAACCCATCTCACATGCAGAGACACACATAGGCTCAAAATAAAAGGATGGAGGAAGATCTACCAAGCAAATGGAAAACAAAAAAAGGCAGGAGTTGCAATCCTAGTCTCTGATAAAACAGACTTTAAACCAACAAAGATCAAAAGAGACAAAGAAGGCCATTACATAATGGTAAAGGGATCAATTCAACAAGAAGAGCTAACTATCCTAAATATATATGCACCCAATACAGGAGCACCCAGATTCATAAAGCAAGTCCTGAGTGACCTACAAAGAGACTTAGACTCCCACACATTAATAATGGGAGACTTTAACACCCCACTGTCAACATTAGACAGATCAACGAGACAGAAACTCAACAAGGATACCCAGGAATTGAACTCAGCTCTGCACCAAGTGGACCTAATAGACATCTACAGAACTCTCCACCCCAAATCAACAGAATATACATTTTTTTCAGCACCACACCACACCTATGCCAAAATTGACCACATAGTTGGAAGTAAAGCTCTCCTCAGCAAATGTAAAAGAACAGAAATTATAACAAACTATCTCTCAGACCACAGTGCAATCAAACTAGAACTCAGGATGAAGAAACTCACTCAAAACCGCTCAACTACATGGAAACTGAACAACCTGCTCCTGAATGACGACTGGGTACATAACAAAATGAAGGCAGAAATAAAGATGTTCTTTGAAACCAACGAGAACAAAGACACAACATACCAGAATCTCTGGGACACAATCAAAGCAGTGTGTAGAGGGAAATTTATAGCACTAAATGCCCACAAGAGAAAGCAGGAAAGATCTAAAATTGACACCCTACCATCACAATTAAAAGAACTAGAAAAGCAAGAGCAAACACATTGAAAAGCTAGCAGAAGGCAAGAAATAACTAAAATCAGAGCAGAACTGAAGGAAATAGAGACACAAAAAGCCCTTCAAAAAATCAATGAATCCAGGAGCTGGTTTTTTGAAAGGATCAACAAAATTGATAGACTGCTAGCAAGACTAATAAAGAAGAAAAGAGAGAAGAATCAAATAGATGCAATAAAAAATGATAAAGGGGATATCACCACCGATCCCACAGAAATACAAACTACCATCAGAGAATACTACAAACACCTCTTCGCAAATAAACGAGAAAATCTAGAAGAAATGGATAAATTCCTCGACACATACACTCTCCCAAGACTAAACCAGGAAGAAGTTGAATCTCTGAATAGACCAATAACAGGAGCTGAAATTGTGGTAATAATCAATAGCTTACCAACCAAAAAGAGTCCAGGACCAGATGGATTCACAGCCAAATTCTACCAGAGGTACAAGGAGGAACTGGTACCATTCCTTCTGAAAATATTCCAATCAACAGAAAAAGAGGGAAGCCTCCCTAACTCATTTTATGAGGCCAGCATCATCCTGATACCAAAGCCGGGCAGAGAAACAACCAAAAAAGAGAATTTTAGACCAATATCCTTGATGAACATTGATGCAAAAATCCTCAATAAAATACTGGCAAACCGAATCCAGCAGCACATCAAAAAGCTTATCCACCATGATCAAGTGGGCTTCATCCCTGGGATGCAAGGCTGGTTCAATATATGCAAATCAATAAATGTAATCCAGCATATAAACAGAACCAAAGACAACAACCACATGATTATCTCAATAGATGCAGAAAAGGCTTTTGACAAAATTCAACAACGCTTCCTGCTAAAAACTCTCAATAAATTAGGTATTGATGAGATGTATCTCAAAATAATAAGAGCTATCTATGACAAACCCACAGCCAATATCATACTGAATGGGCAAAAACTGGAAGCATTCCCTTTGAAAACTGGCACAAGACAGGGATGCCCTCTCTTACCACTCCTATTCAACATAGTGTTGGAAGTTCTGGCTAGGGCAATAGGCAGGAGAAGGAAATAAAGGGTATTCAATTAGGAAAAGAGGAAGTCGAATTGTCCCTTTTTGCAGATGACATGATTGTATATCTAGAAAACCCCATCGTCTCAGCACAAAATCTCCTTAAGCTGATAAGCAACTTCAGCAAAGTCTCGGGATACAAAATCAATGTACACAAATCACAAGCATTCTTATACACCAATAACAGACAAACAGAGAGCCAAATCATGAGTGAACTCCCATTCACAATTGCTTCAAAGAGAATAAAATACCTAGGAATCCACCTTACAAGGGACGTGAAGGAACTCTTCAAGGAGAACTACAAACCACTGCTCAATGAAATAGAAGAGGATACAAACAAATGGAAGAACATTCCATGCTCATGGGTAGGAAGAATCAATATCGTGAAAATGGCCATACTGACCAAGGTAATTTATAGATTCAACGCCATCCCCATCAAGTTACCAATGACTTTCTTCACAGAATTGGAAAAAACTACTTTAAAGTTCATATGGAACCAAAAAAGAGCCCACATTGCCAAGTCAATCCTAACCCAAAAGAACAAAGCCGGAGGCATCATGCTACCTGACTTCAAACTATACTACAAGGCTACAGTAACCAAAACAGCATGGTACTGGTACCAAAACAGAGATATAGATCAATGGAACAGAACAGAGCCCTCAGAAATAACGCCGCATATCTACAACTATCTGATCTTTGACAAACCTGACAAAAACAAGTAATGGGGAAAGGATTTCCTATTTAATAAATGATTCTGGGAAAACTGGCTAGCCATATGTAGAAAGCTGAAACTGGATCCCTTCCTCACACCTTATACAAAAATCAATTCAAGATGGATTAAAGACTTACATGTTAGACCTAAAACCATAAAAACCCTAGAAGAAAACCTAGGCAATACCATTCAGGACATAGGCATGGGCAAGAACTTCATGTGTAAAACACCAAAAGCAATGGCAACAAAAGTCAAAATTGACAAATGGGATCTAATTAAACTAAAGAGCTTCTGCACAGCAAAAGCAACTACCATCAGAGTGAACAGGCACCCCACAAAATGGGAGAAAATTTTCGCTACCTACTCATCTGACAAAGGGCTAATATCCAGAATCTACAATGAACTCAAACAAATTTACAAGAGAAAAACAAACAACCCCATCAAAAAGTGGGCGAAGGACATGAACAGACACTTCTCAAAAGAAGACATTTATGCAGCCAAAAAACACATGAAAAAATGCTCACCATCACTGGCCATCAGAGAAATGCAAATCAAAACCACAATGAGATATCATCTCACACCAGTTAGAATGGCAATCATTAAAAGTCAGGAAACAACAGGTGCTGGAGAGGATGTGGAGAAATAGGAACACTGTTACACTGTTGGTGGGACTGTAAACTAGTTCAACCATTGTGGAAGTCAGTGTGGCGATTCCTCGGGGATCTAGAACTAGAAATACCATTTGACCCAGCCATCCCATTACTGGGTATATACCCAAAAGACTATAAATCATGCTGCTATAAAGACACATGCACCCGTATGTTTATTGCGGCACTATTCACAATAGCAAAGACTTGGAACCAACCCAAATGTCCAACAATGATAGACTGGATTAAGAAAATTTGGCACATATACACCATGGAATCGTATGCAGCCATAAAAAATGATGAGTTCATGTCCTTTATAGGGACATGGATGAAATTGGAAATCATCATTCTCAGTAAACTATCGCAAGAACAAAAAACCAAACACCGCATATTCTCACTCATAGGTGGGAATTGAATAATGAGAACACATGGACACAGGAAGGGGAACATCACACTCTGGGGACTGTTGTGGGGTGGGGGGAGGGGGGAGGGATAGCATTGGGAGATATACCTAATGCTAGATGAGGAGTTAGTGGGTGCAGCGCACCAGCATGTCACACGTATACATATGTAACTAACCTGCACATTGTGCACATGTACCCTAAAACTTAAAGTATAATAAGAAAAAAAGAAAAAAAGAAAAAAGTTTGTTAAGTTCTTAGGCAAGAGTGAATGAGCTAAAGTCCACTGACCTGCTCTTGCTTCATTCTTTTCTTCATTGTTCATTTACTTTACCAATTCCACTTTTCCCCTTTTTTAGAGTTTTTTAAACTAATTCTTCTTCAGAGGTTTTTTTTATTTTAGAGTTTTTAAAATTAATACCAGAAATTAATGATTTCAGGATGATCTTCATCACCTTTATTTCTATGGCTCCAAACATGCTTGTATTTAATTTTCTACTGGAAATGTCTGTGCAATGCAAGAACATAAGGGTTTCCTCTCCAATATAAACATGGTGAAATTGTTTGCTTTAATTTTCTGTCTTACTGTTATAAAATGGAAAGGGATAATAAATGCATCTTGGATTCTTGATCTTTTGATATAATTTCTAACTTTAATATTACCTTAAAAAATCATCCCCCACTGGACAGAAGAAATTACTTTAGCATTTCTTCTTGCATTACAATAATGCACAAGGAACTGAAATACAGTGAATAGGATCTAATCCTGTCCTCAAGAGGTTTATAGACTTGTAAAGAAATAAGACAAGAAACCAGTCAACTATAATTCAGTTGTGAAAAATGTTCTCTCACTAGAGAGTTACTTTTTGAGATCGGATCCCAAGCACACAGAGCTGGAGTGCAGGAGATCTCCTGAGAATTGGCATCCCCACCACTCTAATGCAGTGCCACAGCTCTGTCAATATGGGGAATGTCCGTCAGTGTTCTGGCAGGGATCAGCAGACACATTTTAGCTCTTCAACCGCAAAGCAAAATAAGCAAAATGTCAGCACTGTCTTAACAAGATTGCCTGTTAAAAGGGTGTTTAATTCTTGGGATAGAATTTCAGTTGACTCAAATGGCAGGCACACCCTCAAGTTCCCAAATGTCCATGTCTAGAAGAGTATCAGAATTATCATGCCCTGGTTCAATTTGGCACATAGCTCAGACAATAGCTCTCACAACCCCACTTATGAGTCAAATATGGGAATGGGTGGCTGACTTTAAACTTCCAAAGCCCATTCTGTTCTCCAAATCTTGGAATTATGGTGTCTTTCAAGAAAGACCATAAAAAGGCATGGAAATATTTGTAAGAGCAACATAAATAATGTGAAATCGATTTTTTAAATCAGGTCCACTCTACATGCATGACCAGGTCAAAGTATTTAAAAACATACATTGACATCATGGCAACTAGCTTAGTGTGAAAAATCTCATCTATGGAAACACACAGGTTTCTGTGACATGAAATGAGATTATTGACCATTTATGCTACAATGGATTGAACAAAAGGAATGGAAGAAGTAATATGCTAAATTAGAATCATGATTAACTTGTTTTACCAGCTTAGGCAACGCATACAACTGTAAACCACTCTGGTCCAGGAAATCAGATATAAGAGTTCTAGTGATGCCTGTCCTACTAACTGCAGCCTTAGGAAAGACCCTTCACCTCTCTAACATAAAGATGATACTTGTCCTTTATGCATTATAAGGCTCAGAACTTGAGGAGTGCAACCAAGGTTTTCTCACAAATGCTTGAGAAAAGTCAGAGCTCTTTTTTAAGGGAAATCACAACCCTAACCACATATGTTCCTGTTCCCCAAGCCTCTACTGAAATGGCTTGGCCCTCCAACTTGGCAAGAATGTGAGTAAAGCTCTTAACATTCATAACATAATGATAACTCTACCTCCCTCATGTCTGGTGTCTAAAGCACATGGCTTTCACATTAGCTAACATAAAAGAATAGCTGTTCCATGGGTAGTTGTAAGAGAGGCGTGAATTGTCTGTGAGCCTGCACCTGACAAAGACTAGCTTGAGACATCTGATATTTGAAAAAGACAGTCTAATGGATATGCTGAATATCCTTCCTTCTAGGTTCTAACATCTTGAGTTAGATCATCAGGAAGCAACGTACCTGGGTGAAATTATCTCAGTTATCCATAGAAATGCCTTCACTGACTAGTGATAAAGGATTTTTTCCTGAGCCTTTACTGAGGGTCGATATGAAAACTGGCTTATCAGTATTTCTATTGTTTTTGGAAAGCTGTTGCCAGGCAGTGTCCACTATGCCTGAAAATAACCAGTTTTGAAAGGGAGCACAGAAATTCACATTTAACTTAATTTCAAGAAGAGGTTAGTTTCTGTCTGTGAGTGTGTATGCTTTCTTTGGTGTGCAGTGAATATCAAGTAACTAATGAGCTTCCCTTTTTGCACAGGTATGAGAAAACTCACAGCTAAATTCATACATACCTTAGAAATTCACTTACTTTAGGTTATGGCACTTTATTCTTCATGGTTTTTAAAAATAGTCTTTCTTCTATTTTAATTATCAAATACCCATTTTACATGTTTGACTTGGGAGCTACTTTCTATATTTTTCAGATTTCAGAAGTATATAGCTGAGGGTAAGTAGGAAAGGAAATAAAACTCATGGAACATGACTCTGTTACAGGGAGTTTAAATACATAACCTTAGGTATTTAACAGCAACACCCTTTCCTAATTTAGAGATGAGGTTCAGATATATCAAATAACATAATCAACATTACAGAACTAGTAAGAGTCACAGCTGATATTTGAACCCAGTTTTTTCTGATTTTGTCCAAAGCCTATCTTCCTATTTATGATCTACTACATATATATTAAACATTCATTATTCATTATTATCATAAGTTAACTTGGGGCTTGGTTATTAAGTTGATTAATTAAATACCCATTCCCTTTTGTTGTATTGTTGTGAGGATAAAATAATACTAAATACATGAAAGCACTCTGAAAGAACTTTATTTTATTTTATTTTAATTTATTTATTTTAGATGGAGTCTTACTCTGTTGCCCTGGCTGGAGTGCAGCGGCACGATCTCGGCCCACTGCAACCTCTGCCTCCCGCATTTAAGTGATTCTCATGTTGCAGCCTCCCAAGTAGCTGGGATTACTGGCACCCACCACATGCCCAGCTAATTTTTGTATTTTTAGTAGAGACAGGGTTTCACCATGTTGGTCAGGCTAGTCTTGATCTCCTGACCTCAGGTCATCCACCTGCCTCGGCCTCCCATAGTGTTGGGATTACAGGCGTGAGCCATCAAGCCTGGCTCTGAAAGAATTTTAAAATGGTATACAACAGTATTGTATTATCTATTACTCTCATATTGATAATTATAAGTCTTGAATTATTATATCAAGATTTAAGGACTGTACGTGAGTATGTAATTCTAAATCTTGAGGGCTTCCTTGCTTACTCTATTAGTACTCAAGAATGATTTTTAACCAAGTGGTGTGCCAAGAAGAGTTTTGGTAAAAGTCCCTAGGATGTAAAATTCTTTACAGAAGTTCACCAACAAATGACATTCTAAAGTAAACTTCAGCTCATAAAATTGCTATTCTAGTAAAGAAATTATTCTGACACAATTCCATCTTCCTGAGCCATCTGAAGCCATCCATTTGAAAATCCTACAGTGGTTCTCTGACCTGCAAACAGGTATTTTCTATTTGTGAGTATGTCAAATAAAGAAGGATAAACTGTTTTTTTTCCTACAGACTGAGAAACAGCCTCAGACTTTAATGAAATGATCAACTGTCTCTAAAAACAGACAAGAACAGTCTCTGCACTCTTCATCTTAGCCCAAATCCTCAGCCAATATTAAAGTGCAACCTCATCATACTTGATCCTATTTCATTAATAAGTTTCACTCTCTCTTCTTATTCCAGCTCTTTATCCTTGCAATAAAAAAGACTTTTACTGCTTCAGCTTTTGAAACTAGTTATATTTTTCATTTTGTGTGTTACTATTTCCTTTAGCTTGTCAGTAAAATATATATATATGAACAAAACATTCTACATTAGAAAGCACAAATATTCTTCTAAGCCCCAACAGCAAGTATCACACAATGAAAACATCACTGTAATGGAAAGATTTCAGTGCCGCTTCATTATTAAAAAGATAAACAACTCAGGAAGTAGACTGCAGAACTTGGTGCTATTTAAATAAAGCTTAATTCCTTCGGTGAACATTTAGCAAACTGCTGACAAAATATTTTCTTTATCTTATTTTTAAATTAATGAATTGCAATAATACCCTCATGTAACCCTTGTCTAGACATTATCATTGCTGGTGGTTGGGGTGCATTTGTTTTAAGAGCCCAGAAATAAGCCCCTACATCTATGATCAATTGATTTTCTTTTTTCTTTTTCTTTTTTTTTTTTTTGACTTATGCTCTCACTGTGTTGCCCAGGTTAGAGTACAGTGGCATGACCATGACTCACTGCAGCCTCGACCTCCCAGGCATAGGACACTTGCTCACCTCTGCCTCCCAAAGTACTGGGATTACAGGCATGAGCCACCATGGCTGGCCGGGGTGCATGTTTTTTTCTTACTTTTATTTGAATTACCAAAGATCCTTGGACATTGACAAAAGCGTATAATGAGAAATGTCATCTAGGCTTCTGGTGCCCTATAAATGATAAAGACAGATGAGATAATAATAACGTGTGACCCTTGGAACCAACATAACAAAGACTGTTCCAGGCAGTCACAGAAACACTATTAGAGAAGTAGCCAAAAGAAAAACTGGGGGTTGCAGAGATAAGAAGTGTCATCCCTTCCTGAGAAGAGTAGCTCTGACCCAAAAGATCAACTGGGGGGAACTGCCCATGGAGCATCAGTACAGGAAGCTTCAGGGCTCCCTTAAAGCCAAGGCTAACACAGAAACAACAACAACAAAAAATCAGCATGGGAGTATTCTTTCAGGTTTCCTGGAAGCAGAGCCTGGTAGAGATTAGGCAAGCAATCTGTAAAGGAGGGAAGCAAGCAGAATAGAGAGGAGAGAGAATCAAGCAAGGATATAGTCAGTGATATCTAGCCTTGGCCTGATGCTTTCAGATAGGTGAGGCTCTAGACTAAGATTGGGCAAGCTTTTCATGTAAACAGCAGGATAGTGTGTCTTGCACCTACTCAATTCTGCCATTGTAGCATACAACCAACCACAGATAATAAAATAAATGAGTCCAGCCCTGTTCTAGTAAAATATTACTTACAAAAGCAGGCAGTGGGCTGGATTTGGCCAAGGGGCTGCAGTTTGTTGACTCTTTCTCTAGGGTATAAATCACACCATGGAGCTGCGACCTTCCCCCTACCCCAGAGGAAGGGAATTTGGCCTTTTGTACCCTGTAACAGTCATCAGCTGTGGCGGTGGGGTGAAGGTGGTGTCTGAACTCTCAGAACCGGTTCCCACCAGCCAGGACAGTGTTTTTCAATCCTCACTGTGAATCAGTATCACATGGAGGGCTCATTAAAACACAGATTTCTGGGCCCAACCCTAGAGTGTGTGACTCAGTAGTTCTGGGATGGAGCCCAAGAATTTATATTTCTAGCAAGTTTCTAGATGATGTTAATGCTGCTTGTTTGGGAGCCACTCTTTGATACCACATAGCTCAGACGGTTCCCCGGAGGAAGGGACAGCTGTGAGCCCTTTGCAATCAACACTCACAACAACTAGAGGCAAGACCAGTAAAGAGTGTCTCAGCAGGGCATCCACAGCACCCAGTACAATGCTATGTCCAACTGGCAGGGTAGAAATATACAGATTTTTAAAATATACCTCTGAATAAGAAAATATTTTTATTCATACTACACTCTGTTTTTGATGAGGCTGCTTATTCCTGAACTGTCCTTCTTGCCTAACCTACTCTGATCCAGCTACTTCTTAACACTCATTTACAACCTTCTGAATATCTATATGTATTTATATGTGTTTTCTACTATGTGTTTATTAATGCATTCACTGGTATTCATTGGCATACTAATCTTTGTTAGGTTCTAATCTCTTTGAAAGCACAGACCATGGTTTTTTTCCTAATTTTATAACTAACACTATCAAGGGAAGAGGATTCTATGCACGTCACAGCTGCTTTAAAACAATATTTCCCTAGGGAATATGAAACTAGTAGCATGTAGAAACTAAGAGTTCCTTCATTTAGTTCCTCTCATCACTCCTATCTTGTTCTTTTCCTGTATTTCTGATATCATAAAATATACTCCCAGCCAACTGACATTAAGGGCATAAATATTGAATCTTTCACTAAATTTGTCTTCATATGTATTACAGTCCCACCAATAATGCCTTTCCATGGGCACTCTAATCTTGGTTCATAGATTCATTTCAAAGAGACCAAAGCAGGAAGAAAAATTTTAATTTGTGCTTTATGAAGTCAGCTGTCTAAGACTCGTATAGTTTGAAGGCAAAAAAAAAAAAAAAAAAAAAGAAATAGATCACTTTTCCTGAACTGTGTATTTAAATCTTGACTTGATCTTTCTTCATACCCTTGAAAGCAAAAAAATGTGGGTTGTAGTTGTAACTAGTTAAATAATCAGGTCAATTTCTACAGTGAAATTAAATCTATCTAAATAATAATGACTGGCCAGGCATAGTAGCTCATGCCTGTAATCCCAAAACTCAGTGGGGACCAACGCAGGAGGATCTCTGGAGCCCAGGTGTCCAAGTCTGCAGTGAGTTTTGACTGTACTCCAATCTGAGTAACAGAGCAAGACTCTGTCTCAAACATACACACACACACACACACACACACACACACGGTTGATGGAGTGACTTTGACTTCAAGTGTTCAGATACTAATACACACACACATGCACACATATACATATACATATACATACACATACAGTAGGCCAAGGAAAAATACCTAGTCATTACACTGGCTCAATTGGCCCAAGCTTGAGATTGGAAACTGAGGGGATGAATAAAATGAGTGGAATTATATTCTATAGAGATCAAAGCAACACACACTCTAGTAGCAAGGCCAAGCCAATATAGTTTAGAAAGCACCGAGAGTCAAAAATCAGGCAAATAAAGTAATAACAGAAAGACCAGAGTGCAAGAGCTAGATCATAAGCCACATATGAATCCACAATCCAAACAAAAATCCAGGAGCAGTTCGGACATAAGAGATCATAAAAAATGGAAGGATAAACAGGTGATAACTGAAAGGAAAGAGGATAAACATATTTGATATGTTTGCTTTTTCTTTATTGCTCAAAAGGTGTGGAGGCATACATGAAAATTGAAAGCAAAGGCATTATTTTGTAATGTTGAACAATAGCATATTTATAATCCAACAATACCTCCTAGGTATGGAAGTTAGAAAAACTTACAAAGGCACACCAACAGCTATAAATAATAGTTCAAAGCAATGCTGTTCATAAAAATAAATAACTAGAAACTGCCCAAAAGCCTATTTATAGGAAATAAATAAATTGTGGTATATACACATAATAGAATATCATACATTGGGGTAATAAATAATCTTCAGCTACATGCAACAACATGAATGAATCTTAAAAATACAATGCTGTATCAAGAAAGTAAATCATACAAACCCTGCTTCCACTTGAACTATGGAAATCTAGAAGAGATTGTTGTTCCCATCCTAATAACAACAGCACATGTCAGATAATATATAAAATCAAAACTTTTATTGAACCTATCAGAGATCCAAAGTCATAAGGCAACCATGAGAAATAAATTCCAGAAACAGACAAATCCCTCCAAGGACAGACAAGATACAGGAATTGTTTACCCTTGTCAAGGCACAAGAGAAATAGGAAGGTCACGCTAGATGAAGGTAAGAAGAAATCAGCTAAAATTTTAATAAATTCGTAAAGGTCAAATATGGGCTAGCATATACATTTAGGATAACTAGTCACCCAGATACAAGAGTAGTTCATACACACAAGCTCTTCTCCATGGGCCTCCAACAGGTGCTCACTCTCAAGAAAAACTAGAGTTAGAACAGAAAACCAGAGAGATTGCCTTTTACTGGTGCAAGTATGCAAAAGGTGAACAGCTGCTTGGATTCAGGCCCCAAACACCACCCACTTCCCTGGACTCATCTCTCATAAAAAAAAGCAAAAGCCTTAAGCCACTTGGGGAGGGACAGCAAATCCTCTTGCCCCCAAGGTCCCTGGAGAAGGAACAGAAGCAAAATGTATCAGCCCTCTGGGGAAAGGGTATGGTACTCTCCTTCCTGCCATCAGAATCTTCTTGAAAGATAGAAACAAAGCTATTTTCTCCAAGGGAAGAAGAAAAAAAGTCTTTATGTCCCACCATTCTGCACCAATACAAAATGGAGGTCTGCTACCCTAGGGGAAGGTCAGAAAACCCTTCTACCCAAGACCTGCCAAAAGATACAGGGCGGTTTGGCTGCCATAAATGGAAATGGCAGGAACACCGAAAAAGCCCTCCTTCCAAGACCAAGGTGCGTAGGTCCTGGCTAAGAAGAAGGCTGGCCCAGGAGAACAAAGTTATCCCTTGTTTCTCACAACGAACCTAGCAGTAAGTAACAAACAATAGCAATCTACCTCTGGGGAAGGGGCAATCATACAGAGAGAGAACCTTGTGACACAGGCATACAGGGACTTCTGAAAGCTCCGGGTAGGGCATAAGCACAGACAAAAACCTCAGTACTCCAGGCCCCAAAACTGTTCACGGCTGGAGCAACTTACAGCCTGTGATACACTGAGAGTAACTTTAGCAACAAGAAAATCAAAACCTAGTTGAACTACTGACTAGGTGGACTCAACTTTACATGCTAGCAGACTGAAAAAAGAGGCATGCCCATTTCCAGGTATAAATGCTATTTACTTCAGTCTCTACTCTCCTTCTACAAATGATATCCCATACTCAATCAAAAATTGTGAGACTAGCAAAAAAGGCAAGAAAAAAAAAGAACCATTGTCAAGAGATAAAGCAATAAACAGAATCAGACTCGGAGATAATTCAGGTTTTAGGAGTATCAGGTAGAGACTTCAGAATAATTATGATGAATATGTTAAAGATTTTAGGAAAAAAATTGATAACATGCATAAACAGATGAGAAATTTCAGCAAAGACATTGAAACTATAAAAACAAAAAATAACAAAGCTAAAAATAAAAACTGGATATCAGAGATAAATAATTGTTTCAACAACTTAACAGTAAATTGCACATAGATGAAGGAAGAATCAGTGAATTTGGGGATAGGACATTAAAAATTAACCAATCTTAAAGACAAAAAGAAAAAGATTGAGCAATGTTGAGAGAGGAGAAAACAAAACCAATCAGAGAGTCCCAGACCTATGGTAACATCATCAAATCGTCGAAAATACCTGCAATTGGAGCTCCAAAATGAGAAAGACAGACTTCTCAACAGAAATTTTGTGAGCTGAAAGACAATGGAGTCTCACTGTTAAAGTGCTGAAAGAAAAATTCCCAATCCAGAGTTCTATACTCAGCAAGATTATTCACCAAAAACAAAGTTACAATAAAGACCTTACCAGAGAATCAAAAGCTGAAACAATTTACAGCCAGCTGACCTGGACTGCAAGCAGAAAGAGGATAATATCAGATTAAAATTTAGATTGAATGGAGAAATGGAGAGCAATAGAGATGATAGAAATGAGAGTAAATATTTAAATGTTTTAGAATTTTAAATAAATGTAAAAGGAAATTAGATATCCAAAATGAGAGTAAATATTTAAATGTTTTAGAATTTTAAATAAAAGTAAAAGGAAATTAGATATCTAAAGCAGGATTTATAACATACAAGAAAAATTTTGTGACAACAATAGTACAAAAGGTGAGAGGGAGGAAATGGAAGTATCCTGTTATAACATTCTAACATTACATATGAAGTGGTATAATATGATATAAAGTTAGACTATGATGAGTTAAAGACACATATTGTAAATCTTAGAGCAAGCACCTAAGAAATTAAAAAGATTTAACAAAAAAGGCAAGTGGGGGTAATAGAGAATCATAAAAAATGTTTAGTTAATCCAAAAGAAATGAGGAAAAGCAGAAAAAAAGGAAAAAAGAACAGATCATAGAAATAAAGGATAAGATGGTATGTTTCAATTCAACCATAACTAAAATACATTAAAGATAAATTGAACACCCTAATTTTTAAAATGATAATTCATGAAACTTAACTACAGTATAATAGCATTTTTATAAGCCTCAAAAATGAGCAAAACTGAACAATATCTTGCTTAAGGATGTGTGTTTATATAACTATTTGAAATCTGAATGATAAGATTCGCAGCCAGGATTACTTCTGCAAGGGAGATGAGAATGGCGGATTTAAAAGGAGCACAGCAATTTTAGTGATTTATTGTAATTCTGGTTTTTGAGTTGGATGTTGGGTATATGTTGCATTACTATGCTTTAATACTCATATATATATTACATAGATATTTTCTCTTAGATATTTAATACAATACTTCCAAAAACAAGATTGAATAAACAAGGACCTCACAATAAACTAGATTGATTTTCAAAAAGTAAAGGGAGAAATGGTTTCTAGAACTGCGAGATATTCCAAAAATTCTAGTTCAATAAAATTTATTGATTACATATTTTATGTATAAGATGCCAAGCTAAGCAGTGGATATAAAATTATGAAAAAGTCGCCATTTCTAACTTTGAATAGCATGGCAGACAAGTTTAATGTCAAATCTCTGTCTGAAAATAATGTTGCTTGGATTTGCTTTAAAATTACATAGTGATGGAGGGCACAAAGAGGGAGTAGGTGGAGATACAGGTGAAATAAAAGGGGCCATGTATTGATAATTTTTGAAGCTGTGTGGTTGGTACAAAGTGTTTATTATACTATTTTTCCACATTTGTATATGTTTTCAATTTTTCTTAACAAGAAATGGATGTGTTTCTTTTGTATAAACTATCTGGTATACTTTTTTCCAATTTTCTTATTTTTAATTTTTGTGGGTACATAGTAGGTGCATATTGGTTCAGTACTTCTAAATGAAAAATAGGAGGAGGAAATTGATGAAATTTGACAAACAATTAAAAAGCTAAGTGACAATTTCATGACCGAAAGTTTTTGACAAGCTAGAACAATGGGCTAAATAAAAAAAAGAAAAATACAATAGAGATGCAAGAAAAAGAAATGATAGACATAGGCATACTAATTGAAAAAGGAAGACAAAAACTGACTCTATTTGTAAATGACATTATTGTCTATGTAGAAAATCTCAAAGAGTCTACCAAAAGGCTATTACAACTATGCATAAAATGCATAAAAGTTTAAGAATACAAGGTCACTATATAAAATTTAATCATATTTCTATATACTAGAAATTTAATTTTTTAGTATCATTTTTGATAGCACCAACAAATGAAGCATTTAGGTAAAATCATATAAGCAGAAGATCTGTATACTAAAAACTGCAAAACCCTAATGAAAGAAAGAAAAGACAACATAAGTAAATGGAAATGTATACCAGTTCATGGATTGGGAGATATGATATTGTTAAGATATCAATGTTCTCAAACTGATCTGTGGATTCCCCATAACCCCAGTCAAAATCCCAGCAATTTTTTTTTTTTTTTAGAAATTAAGAAACTAATTCTAGAAAAGGCAAAGAAACTAAAATAGTGAAATCAGTTTTGAAGAAGGACAACAAAGTTGGAAGTTTTATATTACCTGATTTTCAAACTTACTATAAAGCTACAGAAGACAAAATAGCCTGGTGTTAGAAAAAGCACAGACATATAAATAAGTGAATAAGAATAGAGCATCTAGAAATAGACTACACATATGCTGTTAATTAAACTCTTATGAAAGTGTAAATGGAGAAGGAAAGTCTTTTCAACAAATGGTTCTGGGACAATTGTATAACAATGGAAAAAAAGTTAATAACCTTCAGTTCACCTCTCTTACTCTACACCAGTATTAATTCAGACTGGATCATTGACCTAAATGTAAAACCTGAAACTATAAAATTTCTAGAAGAAAATATAAGAGAAAAACCTTTGCATTCTTGAGTTAAATATAATTTCTTAGATATGATGCCACAACTGCAATCCATTAAAATTTTTGATGAATTGGTCTTCATCAAAACTAAAAATATCTCCTCTTCAAAAGACAATGTTGGTAGAATGAAAAGACAAGCCACAGAAAAGGAGAAAATATTTGCAAATCATATAGCTAAAAAAGAAATTATATCCAGATTATATAAGGAGCTCTCAAATGCAATAATAAAATAAACCAATTAAAAATGAAGAAGATGTCACTTCTGTAATCCCAGCACTTTGGGAGGCCGAGGAGGGTGGATCACCTGAGGTCATGAGTTGGAGACCAGCCTGGCCAACATGGTGAAACTCCATCTCTACTAAAAATACAAAAATTAGCTGGGCGTGGTGGCACCTGCCTGTAATCCCAGCTACTCGGGAGGCTGAGGCAGGAGAATCACTTGAACCCGGGAAGGAGAAGAGGTTACAGTGAGCCGAGATGGGGCCACTGCACTCCAGCCTGGGTAGCAGAGTAACACTCCGTCTCAAAATGAAGAAGATATTTGAACAGAAACTGTGTGAAAGAGATAGAAAGGTTAAGAATAAACACCTGAAAAGATGCTCAATATCAATAGTGACTACTGAAATGCAATTTAAAATTACAATAAGATATAACTGTATACTTATTACATGATAGAATAAATTTGTGAAAATTCATAGGAGTATACATCATAAAGAACACATTTTACTGTATGCAAAATTTACCTAGATTTTTTACGTGAAAAAAATCCTTCCCAAATCTAATAGAAATAATTATATAATACTTTATTTGGTTCACAAACTACACACATAGTTTAGTATGCACACATGTAGAAAAAGTATGAGAAATAATTATGAATTAAATACAGATAGACACTTTGGCATAGTTGACCAAAAAGCCAATTCAATCTTAATATATACACATAGAATTCAAAATAAAGGAGGCAAGAGTACCCTATTTTTCTTCTTCTTTTTTTTTTTTTTTTTAATGGAGATGGATTCTCGCTCGGTCACCCAGGCTGGAGCGCAGTGACATGACCTCGGCTCACTGCAACCTCTGCCCTCTGCCTCCAGGATTCAAGCCCCTATTATTCATTATTACTGGTACCATATATGAGGCAATAATTCATTTGGATCTGGGCCAGATACTAAGAAGGATATGAACCATGTACCACTCTCTGTAAATGGAGTAAGCTTTTTCCAGCCAGTATGAATTCACCTTCACTGAAGGCACTGAAGCAAAGAATATCAAAGTTAATTTTGAAGTGATGTAATGAAGTCAAAGTGTTAGGAATTGTTTTCTTCATCCAAAACAATATTAATAAAACACCTACTCTGGGCCAAAGATTATATAGACATGGGGATATGACAATGGAAAAGGTAGATGTGTATACAGCCTGGAAAAGACTTGGTTGAAGTTATAAAACTAAACATTATTTTCTCCAATCTGTAGAATCTATACTTAGAGAGATAGAAATGCAGAGAGCAAGATGTCCTGAGTTATTTTAATTATGCTCTGGAAACCCTCAGGTCACCATGATCATGAGTAATCAGTCAGATTCTAACTGACTGTTTCTACCTAGAATTCAGTTCTGTTCTGTTTTTGTATTTTGGATAATAAATCTGGACTTCCTCAGCCTTGTTGCTTGTTACCTTACCTTAAACCTCTCTCCAATTAGTATTTGAAATGATGCGAGTACAAAAACCAGAGACAAGCAATTCATCATACACCTCTGCTTTTACTGAGCTTCCATATCTGCTAGATGGTTTATAGAACACAAAGCTAATAATGGCCTTGCCCTATAGTTTGGTACTCTGGGCAGGAGTGTTTTCCACCTATGACCCATTCGTCATATTGTATATTAATATGTTTTATACATGTGGCTATGACTTTACCTTCGGAAATGTGCATACTCTCTTTAAGCAACTTCTTAATCACTTACAATTCGTTCACTCATTTACACTAATTAGCTCACCTGCATTTCCCAAGTGCCTACTATGTACCACTTAACCTGCTGGGCATTAGAGGTAAAAAAATGTTTTTTATAATTATCTCACTATAGTTTAATTTCATTTGGCTTTTATAGCTATCTGTGAACAAAGGAAAATAGCTTTCAAGCTGATAGCTTGTATTAGTATAATTCACACATCTCACCCAGTAACACATGTACACACAAGCACTTGCATACACATGACTAAAATGACTTGTTCTTCACATTGTCTTGTCAGAATCTGCTTTATTTTATAAATCACTTCATTCCTGAAGTTTTCTCTAACTCTCTTAGTTCGAAATGATCTTTCCTTTTATATTTTATTAGTATATTTTACCTTTTCTCATTTCTTGGAATACTTTAAAATATCATGTCTCTGACTATATTTGTGTGTGTGTACCTTCTTTTTTTCCTTCCTTTCTTTCTATTTTTTTTTTTTTTTTTTTTTTTGGTCAAGGTGGAGTCTGGCTCTGTCGCCCAGGCCAGAATGCAGTGGTGTGATCTCAGCTCACTGCAACCTCCGCCTCCCGGGTTCAAGCAATTCTCCTGCCTCTGCCTCCCGAGTAGCTGGGACTACTCCACCACGCCCAGCTGATTTCTTTCATATTTTAGTAGAGATTGGGTTTTACTGTGTTGCGCAGGCTGGTCTCGAACTCCTGACCTCAGGCAATCCTCCAACTTCAGCCTCCCAAAGCGCTAGGATTACAGGCGTGAGCCACCGTGTGTACCTTTTTTATTAAGTACCAAGATAATGTAACCGCATCACATAAGCACATAATAATGATAAAACATGCAGAACAAAAGAAATCATCTTGCAGAACAACAATGACTCCCTGTCTTGTCTCACCCCACCAACACCAAGGGGCCCCAAACTGATTACTCTCTTTGTAATCATCAGTAGATGTTAGTATTTGTAAGTATTCGCTATTTTTGAGTTGTAAATTGGGGGTATTATATCTTAGTTGCTACTCTTAAAGAATAAATTTCGGCTTATTTACCCTGGTTTCCATATTGCTGGTCACTCCCTCCTCACTTTTAGATTTCTGTTCACCTTGTTTCATCATCTTGGGAGTGGATGCTCTTCTTTGCTGGAGACAGTCATTTTAAAACAGCTCTGGCAGATTCTGTCTCTTGATTTGTCTACACCTGCTTCTCTGGCAACCTATCCTTTGCTCAGACAAACTTTCAGGGGTTCAGGCTTCCTGCACTGCCACCTCTCATCCCTCTGCAGTGAACGTGACTAATCAGCCATAGTCCCCAAACCTAACCTTTGTAGGTTTGGCCGAGGCCTTCAGAACAGAGCTCAATCTTTCACAATGGTTTCACTGAAGCTCCTCTCACTCAGCTTGGGAGGAATGTGGACAGAGTGGGTGGTGATATGAAAGAAAATGCCTCAACACTTCAACAACTTTTTCCATGTTAATTCTCTAATTGCCTCCTCTCAATTCTTTTATATGTGAATGTTGATTCAAGAGTATATTCAAGATTGATTGAAACTGGAGTTTGAAGCCTCTTTTGCAAATCCTGCCTAAGTGGCCTGGTACCTCACTGCATTGTACCAGAGCACTTGCACCTGCTGAGTTGGGGCCTCAGCCCAAACCAAGGCAGGAATAGTCTTTTGTAAAGATCCTGTAACCCTTAGTGATGACTCAATAAATGATAGTTCAGCAGCAGTTTTTGTGGGCAAAAGCTTTAATACCATATAAGATAAGCAGACACCATGGAATAAAGTGACAAAAAGATAAAAATCTAGTAAGATACAGGAAATAAGGATTTCAACAAATCTCTATCAGGGAAGACTTGATATAAGCAACAGAATGTCAAAACTTACCTTAGTGAATAAAATATTAATAGTTACCAGCTATTAAGTGTTTATTCTATTGCAAAGACAGTGTGAAACATTTTGTAAACAGGATCTCTTAATCCTCAAGCAACTATATTATTTAAGTATTATTGTCCCTACAATTCACATAAGGAAACCAAGGTTACAAGAGGCTAAACATCTTTTCCAAGTTTATACTGTATGACATTATGTGTAGTTTGCTGAATACCTATATAGTTGAACAGAAGTATTGGACGTCCTCCTATGTCTCCTGTGGAGAACATTTTAAGGTATTGTTAAAGAAAAGTATTTTAATTTGTAGGACCCAAATCGCAATCGTAACCAACGTTCTGGAGCCCACATTGCCCGGGTCAGGGACAAATCACCCGTAACCAGAGTAACTAAATCAGATCTCTTCATACATGTAGTGTCACAGTACAGACGATTCATTTTGTAGAAATGAAACTAAAAATACCTTTGTAACTTATTCAGAGACCTCATAACTCAGATCTTCTAAGATATAACTTCAATATAAGCTAAATCACTTACAAACAGATTTCTCCCCACATATGAAACTATTTAACCCCTAGCATCTTTTCTGGTTTAAGGAAAAGCCATTTTTAATAAGTAGGATGAAAATCACATACATGAAACTTACAAGCTTCCCATCTTTTTTTGCTAATAACTAGGTTGTCCTTACAGAATTTCATAATGTGGTATGTTTCCAATGACTCTTTGTGATTTGACAAAAACTCCTTTGATTTTCCTTCTCTCTTCCCTATAGTAGTTTCTAAGGTTCTTTTGTTTTTTGTATATCTTGTTGCCTATCATGTATTCTTTAATTTGCTCTCTGAGACTTTAAATTTAATTTTTATGTTAGTCATCAGAAAAGAAAATAAGTAGAGAGATAAACTTCATCTTACCATACTTTGAAGTACTAAATATGTTTAAATTAAAAAAAAAAAATGTAAAAAACCCTGAACCCTTGACATTCTATTGAGAAACACCCACCAATCCTTGAAGCCTGTTCCTCCTCCACTTTCTTATTTGAGCAAGAAATGTCTCTATCCACCTACATGCTCAACCCCCTCCATCAAGTCAGCTCCACATCCTGTAAGTTCTAACATCAACAGATATCTCCAAAGGCTCCACTTACCAATTCCATCACAGAAACTGCCCTGGTACAAACCACTAGCTTCTTCTCAGCCTCAGAAGTGATCCCCCTACTCTTGATCTTGCTCCCACCCCAACCACCCCAAGTTAACAGTCACAGAGAGCTTTTAAAAACGCAAACTGCATTTAATTACCTCTCTATTAAAAACCTTCAAAGGCTTCCTATTACTCTTGGAAAAAAATCTAATCTTAAAATGGCCTAAAAGATCCTTTATGATCTGCCTCTGCTAATTCCTCCAATCATATGGTGACCTTCCCCCCTCAAGCTTTTATCCCAATTTGTAAGTATTTGTGTGTTTGGTGTAATGTTTCTCTCCCTTATTGGACTGTGAGTTCCATGAAGTGGGGCCATGATAGTTTTATGCGTTGTTCACCAATTGCGTGTAGCAAAACACCTGGCATGTAGGTTCTCCATAAATTTTGTTAAATGAATAAATGAACTTGAGTAAAAATTACTATAATAAGTAGAAAGTATTTTATGTTATAAGCAGCCAGTAAAATGGAAATCACAAACATAATAGGAAAATGCTTATATATTATATGAGTGAAGCAAAATAGGAAATGTAAAATATAATGTACATAACATTTACAATATGATTACCATAACATTTACAATACGTACATGTTATAGATATATATAACATATACAGTGTGATTGAGCCTATTATAAAATAGAGTAGACATATATTTTTAAGACGCGATTCTGGTTTTTTAGGAGAGATCTATTTTAAGTTATAAGCAGGGTCTGTCTTGTAAGGTGAAAAACAGCGTTTGTCTTAGGAAGACAATCCCTGTGTCTGGAAGGGATGTTTTGGTGGCCCTTTGGTTATACTAGGTGAAGCAAAAACCCTCTCCACAATGCAAAGATATGTGGCATTTAACTATTCTGAATAACAGTAAGTTTGTCTTCAATGTAGGTAGAGTTGCACCTCTGTAGATATTGTTTCCTTTTTGAAAAATAGCCTGTGCCTCTTCTCCCTTTCCCCACTGTGGGTAGCAGTAGTAGACCGGGACTTTCAAGAAGCTTGGACTTGAACTCTGTGCAGGAAAAGCAAGGGGCAGGAAGTCCCATGCTGCAGACAGCTCATGACAACTCTTAAGACACAATTGCTAAATTTTCAGAAATTCTGTTGGATGATTGTTAAAGGCAAACATTATTTGAAAGTAAAATATTTAATATATACTTAAATAAATTTTATTAAAAGTAAAGGCAACAAGTATGCAAGACACATCACTTACTAATTATTTTATTATATTTTGCTATCATCTATGTTATGTCTCTTAAATCTGTAGGGCGGAATTTTTTTTTTTTTTTTCTCAGACGGAGTCTGGCTCTGTCATCAGGCTGGAGTGCAACGGCGTGATCTCAGCTCACGGCAAGCTCCGCCTCCCAGGTTCACGCCATTCTCCTGCCTCAGCCTCCCCAGTAGCTGGGACTACAGGCACCCGCCACCTCGCCTGGCTAATTTTTTGTATTTTTAGTAGAGACGGGGTTTCACCGTGTTAGCCAGGATGGTCTCGATATCCTGACCTCGTGATCTGCCCGCCTTGGCCTCCCAAAGTGCTGGGATTACAGGCGTGAGCCACCGCACCCTGCCAGTACTTTATATATCATTTAATCCTCACAATAATCCTATGAGATGCGGATGTGGTATTGATCTCATTTTGACACCAATTAGAGGTAACAAAAATAATGAGGGGGTAAAAGGCCACCTATTAAAATAACATATTCCTTGGTGAATTGCAATCCTTTTTTACCTATAGGAATGTCAATTTGACCCTATCTTCATCTAGCACAGCAATTATCTTTAAATATTATCATCGATTTATTTTATGTAAAGTTTTATGTGAGAAATCAAATCACAGTAGAAGAGATTTTCCAGATTATCAGGGGCAGCCTTAGGACCCCATATCATCTACTGATGTTTCTGAAAATGTTGCTTGTCACTTTTGGCTTTGCAAAATGAACAACTTTGCAACTCTGTTGCTATACAGTGCAAAGCATTTGATTTATAAGGTTGCCAGGATAGGAAATAAAACACTTTTTACAATTAACACTCTCATTAGAATATATTTCTTATTTTTCCAAGTTAATGGTGGAGATGCTGCTTAGGAGAATTAATGAAGAATTGTTCAGAGACAGATTATAGATATTTCATAATATCAGATTTGGTAAAGGATGTCAGCTGACCACCAAGGAAACAATACATTTAAGTACAGTTTAGCTTTACCTCTAGCATTTATATAATGTAGAGTGTTCTTTGCCCCATCTATCACTCTTTTAAGAAACTATGTTGTCAAACCACTGTATTACTTATTCCTCATTGCTACCTCGTGCACCAGGTTGCTATTTTACCCCTTGGAGATGAAAAACACAATCAATAAAGCCAAACTATTGAACCAGGTTTAGTTATAAATTGAGAGCTAGACTGCAGATCTTCTGAATTTGTGTAGTTCTTAATTTATTGAACTGAGCTGCTCTTTACAACCATGTATTTATTAGGTTTTAACTTTTTCAAAATAATAAAAAATATTGAAAATAAAGGTAAAGAGAATTGCTCCTAAGCACACCACTGTGACTATTTTTCATGGTGCCTATCACTCCCTAGCCCTTGTTTACATGCATGTATATTTCACATGTATGTAATATAGATGCACCCAACAGTCACAGGCTTCAGGAGTACTCTCGCTTTCTGTTCCATAATAGGAATAGTTCAAGTCCTCATCCTGCTCTGCTGCAGGAATGGCAGCCTGTTATTAGGCCCTCCTTCCCAAGAGTTTCTGTGTATCCCAAAGAAAGCTAAGTGTTTCACAAATTTCACTCTGCTACAGAAGTAGCCTAGACTTAGGGATGTGCTCATTCAATAGCTGGCTCTCTAGAAAGAAATGTGTAGTTTGAATCAGAGTAGGTGTGTGTATAATTAATTTTACTGATATAAAATATGTGTAACACAGAATTTACAATAATAATAAAATATACAATATTTTCATTATAAATTCCATATAGCAACTGATTTTCACAGACTCACAGACTGCTTTCATTGATTTTTGCCAAACTTAGTGTTCATGGACAACACATGGTTGCAATTGACAACAAGTACGGTCCTGACAAAAATGCTGTTTGATATTTGGTTTACATTATAGAATACAGTAAAAGTGAAACAACGAAACCATATGTCAGAACCTCACTCATTCATCAAGAGTAAGAGCAACTTTTCACTGAATCAAATAATCGTTTTTGAAGACTAGAAGTTTATTCCTGTTTTGCGTTATTTATAATGTAATAGACAGACATGACACATTTTAAGATTTAATCTGCATTATTAACATATTCCGCATCACTTTCTTAAATCTAGAAAATCAACAAAACAATAAATAGAGCCCTGTTTGGTAGCAGTTGCTGGTTTCAGTGATGTAAATACAACTGCCATGGCTGACTTCGAGCTATCACCATGACATCAAACATGGAGTTGGGAAGAGCTGTGCAGTAACATACTCTTATACAATATTTCTGGCCAGGCGTCGTGGCTCACGCCTGTAATCCCAGCACTTTGGGAGGCTGAGGTGGGCAAATCACCTGATGTCAGGCATTCGAGACCAGCCTGGCCAACATGGCAAAACCCCATCTCTACTATAAACACAAAAATTAGCTGGGTGTGGTGGCGGGTGCCTGTAATCCCAGCTACTTGGGAGGCTGAGACAGGAGAATCACTTGAATCCGGGAGGCAGAGGTTGCAGTGAGCTGAGATCACGCCGTTGCACTCCAGCCTGATGACAGAGCCAGACTCCGTCTGAGAAAAAAAAAAAAAAAAATTCCAGCCTGGGCAACAGAGCGAGACTCCGTCTCAAAAATAAATAAATAAATAAAATATATAAAGTACTTAGAATAGGCAAACAAGGCACACTATAGATATATTGGTATTATTATATTATATTATTATGCATGTTGGCTATGAAAATTTGATTTCAACTCTGTGCTTGCCTGGTGTAGTCCTATGGTACATTTTTGCTGTCTATCTCATAACTGACAGGGCATCTTCCTCAGTAATATTCACTTCTCTGATTTCTTTCTTGTAGTTTCATCCAGATTGCTCCAAGATTCTCTGGCCACCTCATAGAAATCAGAGACAGATAATTAATCTCACTAGAGGTGTAGAGGTAGCAGGTCTCCTAGGACTTTGTGTACTTAGATTCTTATAAAGCCCAATAGATGGACTGTGATTGCTTCTTAGGCTCTTGTCTCATGGTCACCTAGAGAATGTTATTCCTGGTAGTTTGTTTCTTGTTTTGTTTTTTTTTTAATTCATTCTTCCCAATACTGAGTATATAATATTGTTTCTACATGGTATATTTTTAGAACATATGACTAATCTTTTACAATTATGGAATTAAAGAATGGGAAGATTCTTTAAGTAGAAGCTCTCATTAAAAGTTGTATATAGCATTCCAAAACTTCCATCTTGAATCTCTCTCATCTCTCCACCATTGATATTTGTGTAATGGAAACCTTTTGGTGTTGTTGATGTTTTTCTTCTGTCTGCCCTTCCCACCATAGATAAGAGTGGTCAAGTGACACAGGCTGGTCATACGCCCTTAATATAAAATGACTGAATTTTCTTCCAATCATTACTTCAAAAAAATAAAAATAAAAAACATCCTCCCATCTAAATATACACACACAATAATAACCCTGTTTCTCCTGTCTTTATTCCCCTATCTTCTCTTCATGACACGAATTCTTCTCGACATTGCCTTGTCTATAACTCTGCTTACTGGGCTTTCCTGCCTTCTGCAGAGCACTGCTAAGCACATCCTAGTGGCATAAACCAGTGGAGACCTTTGCCCTGTCCCGCTCTGCAGCCCCAGACAAGCCCTGACCTTGGAGCCGGCGTACAGCAAGCCAGCAGCTTACACCAGATTTTCGCTTCCAAAGAGAAGGATCATTCTGTTTCCCCTGCCCAGAAAGCTCCTTTGAAAAGATATTTTCCAAAGGAGATTCTCAGAGCTCTATCTTACCTCCTTCAATATTTCATCCCATTTCAACATGATCATAAATGTCATTTCCCGGCCTCTCATTTTCTTAATCTGCTACTTTATAGTATTGAGGCCTTTCTTCTGTTCCCATAAGAGATTCAGAGTAGACTATGCAAGCAAAATATGTCCTAGCTCTCAGGGCCATACACATTTGCCCAAGGGCACTCTGGACCAGTGCTCCCTGTGCTAATCTTTCCTAAAAATCTTTCCCACCTACTAAAAATCCTTCCCACCTACTAAACTATAATTGGGTACTTTCCAGAAGTCAACCACTGGCTAAGTAATTGTGCTAAGTATACCATCTTGGGAGACCGTCAAAGTGATCTGATCACAGTTTTGGAATTTGCAGTTGAGGAATTGATGATTATAAAGAGAAGCAACTTTGGCAAGGTGCAGTGGTTCACGCCTGTAATTCCATCACTCTGGGAGGCCAGGGCAGGCTAATCACTTGAAGCCAGGAGTTCGAAACCAGCCTGGCCAACATGGTGAAATCCCATTTCTACTAAAAATACAAAAATTAGCTGGGCTTGGTGGCACACACCTGTAGTCTCAGCTACTCGGGAAGCTGAAGCACGAAAATTTCTTGAACCTGGGAGTTGGAGGCTGCAGTTGCTCCACTGCACTCCAGCCTAGACGGCAGAGAAAGACTGTTTCTCAAGAAAAAAAAAAACAGAAAGAAAAGCAATTTAATCTAGGTCACAGAGCAAGTGGCATTGTTTAGACTCAAATCTCAGACTGTCTGATTCCAAAGCCTGTAAGTTTTTTGTTTGTTTGTTTGTTTGTTTAAACTGTGCAGCTTACTGCTTTCCCAGGGAAAGACTAGAAATATGACATCAGAAGGCCTGAATTAACACCTCTGCTCAGCTGTTCATATGTGGACTTGGATGTCATTCACCTCCTCAATAACCACTCCCTCCTTCTGCAGGACCTGCAGGTCTCCAAGTCAGCCATGCCTTTGTTGACTTTGCTCCTTCTGTCTGGAATACCCCCACCTACACAGTGCTTGGCTAAGGACTACCTGCCCTTCAGCCCTCAGCTCCAATGTCCTTCCTGTAGGTGGTTTATCCTCCTCACAGATAAGCTCACATATGGCCCTGTGGTCACCTCTGTTAAGTGCCTCATCAGAATGCACTGTAAGCATCTGCTGTCTTGCACGGGCTCCATATTTATATAATACCAGCTTATCAGTGAACCATGCTTGGGTGTATGGAACCAATAAATGTATAGTTATTTATAGACATTTACAGTACTATATTTATGATATATGATGTATATTATAAATCATATAGAAAGATACAAAAATTTTAATATAATATGGTGTTTAAAAATGATACTCTTAATGTCTTGATAATTATAATGACTTGAGACTTTCATTACTGCTAATAGTGTAGAATACAATTTATACTTAGGGGAAAGCTTACTAAGAGGGTGGTGATAATCAATATTTCAAGTGGTCATCTTGATATATATTTTTATCTGACTTCTCTGCAGATCTGATTAGAATAACACTGTTTTTACCACATAATGTGGCTGACAAAAATTGTCTACCATTCTATACAATTTGTTTGTGGTTGTGTTACAAGCGTTACCTTCCATCCATTATTTCTTGGAAGGGAACTTTTTAAGCCATTTCTCCATGTTGCCAGAGCTAGTTATTTACAAATCCATTTAACAGAAACCTATAGGACACAGCAAACACAGAGAAGGGCAGGGAATGTGAAAAGAAGGAAATCTTCCTGCTCCCTTGTGGGTAGTAGAACTGCTACTCTCCTCAAATCATGCTTCACTCTCCCTAAGGGACAGAGAGCCCACAGACGCCCACACAGCAACTATTGTGATACCCTGATAATTTCCTTTATAAAGGTAAAAAACAAAAATAGATGAGATTTCTCGTCTTGATGATCTTGCTCAACCCGAGGGCACCTGCACCCAACTCTAGAGGACCACTGCTCTGGACAAGTTCATGGAGGGCAAGGATTACGTTTTCTTCATTTTCTCTGTTTAATTCAATCAGAAAGGCTCTTCCTTTTAATAACAGTAATAATAAATACCCATATACTGCTTAAGCATTTTACCTTCATTACTTAATCTTCATATGACACTATGAGGTGGATATTGTTATTACCTACAATTTGTAGATGACTAGAGCATCTGAGCCCATATTCTTCTCAGCGATTTTATTCTTCCTCATCTGAGGTGTGTATGTGTGTGTGTGTGCGTGTGTGTGTGAGTGTTTGTGTGTATGTGTGTGTGTGGTGTATCAGTAGGTAAATCTAATCATGTATCCATTCATTTACTCAATAAATATTTATTCAGCACCAAGCAGGGACAAGACACTGCTCTAGGCACCAAAGATACAGCAATGAATAAAATAGACTAGTCTTTATGAGATGCACTGGGGAGAGACAGAAAAAAAATTTAATACATAAGTGTGTTAAATTTTGTAATACGTTAGAAGGTGGTAAATGCTACAGGGAGAAAAAACAGGGAATTGAGGGTTGAGAGTATTGTGGGGTATAACTTTAAAGACAGTGGTCAGAGAAGGCCTTGCTGAATGGGGAACGTTTGAACAAAGACTCAAAGGATTTGAGGCAGGAGCATGTCCAGGATGCTGGAGGAACAGCCAGGAGGCAGCATCAGTACAGTGTGGTGCGTGTGATAGGGAGAGCAATGGCTCCCCAAAGATGTCTGCATCCTAATCCCATGAATTTGTAAATGTGTGACCTTACATGGCAGAAGGGACTTTGCAGATATGATTAAATTAAGCACCTTGAGATGGGAAGATTATCCTGGATTAGCTGGCGGGCCAGATGTAATCAAAAGAGTCCTTATAAGGGAAAGGACCAAGATTGTGAAGACAAAAGCAGAGGTCAGAGCCTCTGCTGGAAGAACAACATGAGACAAGAACTGTGGGAAGCTCCTAGAAGCTGGAAAAGACAAAGAATGGTTTCTTCCCTAGAGAATTCAGTAGGAAGGCAGCCCCACCAACACATTGCATTTAGCCCAGTGAGACTTCCCTCCTCTAAAACTGTAAGATGATAAGCTTCGTATTGTTTAAACCACTAAATTTGTGGTAATTTGTTACAGCAGCAAGAGAAAACTAATACAGTGAGGAAGAAGAAGAGCAGTAGGAAACACGGCCAAGGAAACAACTGGAGTCAGATCATGCAGGACTGTTTGGGCCATTCTAAAAACTTTGCCTTTTACTTCAAGTGAGATGGTAACCATTGGAGAGCTTTAAGCACAAAAGGAAATTGATGCGAATTACATTATGTTTTTGTTTTTTGAGAGGCGAGGTCTTACTCTGTCACCCAGGCTGGAGCAGTGTAATCATAGCCCATTGCAGCCTGGACCTCCTGGGCTCAAGTAATCCTCCTGCCTCAGACTTCTCGGTACCTAAGACCACAGATGTGTACCACCACACCTGGTTAATTTTTAATTTTTAATTTTTTTATTTTTATTTTTTGTGTGTGTGGAGCAGGGTCTCACTATGTTGCCCAGGCTGGTCTCAAACTCCTGGCCTCAAGTGATCCTCCTGCCCCAGCCTCCCAAAGCATTGAGATTACAGATGTGAGCCACTACAGCCAGCTGAATTTTTAAAAGGATTCTTATGCCTGATGTCTGGAGAAGGCCTGTGGCGTGGGGTGGGGGATAGAGTATGAGTGGCAGCATGTGAGAAGCAATGGCCATGTGGAAGCAGGAGACCACTTAGGAGACAATTGAAATCATCTGCAGAAGAAACCATGGTGGCTTGGCCCAGGACTATGGCAGTGAAGAAGGTGAGAAATAATCAGGTGCTGGAAATATTTTCAAAATAGAGTCCACAGGATTTGCTGATGGATTTGATGTGGAATGTGAGATACACGCCATCAAAGATTTCAAGGTTTGGCCTGAGCAACTGGAAGGACACAGTTGCCGTAAGTAAACTAAGGAATACCTTAGATTTTGGGTAGGATTGGGGGGTGAAGATCAGGAATTCAGTTTTAGATGTGTTAAATTTCTCATTTGAGAAGGCACTTAGAAATGTATCTATTTATATTTGTCATGATTTCTGATATAATTGAATTTATTCCTACCATCTTCTAGTTTTTGTAATTTTCATTTGCCATATATTTTTGTTGTTGCTGTTGTCGTTGTTGTTTTCCTAGCCTGCCTTATGTATGAAGTAATATATTTTGCTATATCCCTTTTTGAAATTTCCCTGATGGCCTGGAAGTTGTAGGTTAGACTTTTGTTCTTTACTGCTTAAATTTTTAGCATATATTTATAAATACTTGAAAGAATGTCTTATTTAAGGCCAGGCACGGTGGCTCACACCTGTAATCACAGCACTTTGGGAGGCCAAGGCTGGTGGATCACCTGAGGTCACGAGTTCAAACCAGCCTGGCCAACATGGTGAAACCCCGTTTCTACTAAAAATACAAAAATTAGCCAGGCATGGTGGCAGGCACCTGTAATCCCAGCTACTTCGGAGGTTGAGGCAGGAGAATTGTTTGAACCCAGGAGACGGAGGTTGCAGTGAGCCGAGATAGCACCACTGCACTCCAGCCTGGGTGACAGAGCAAGATTCTGTCTCGGAAAAATAATAATAATAATTAAAAAATATAATAATAATAATGTCTTATTTAGTATTTCTATTTCATTCCCAAACAACTTGAGACTCTTAGAATGTTTAACCTTTTAACTACACATTGAAGGTCTTCTCTCAACTTGTCCCCACTCATCTTCCTTATTAGAGTTAACTGGAGTTTTCATTTTAGTCTAAAAAAAAAACAAAACAAACAAAGTGAGTTTACCAAAAACTTAGCAAATTTCCCAACATTTTATCAGCTTCTGTGCCCACCAGGATTTCAGTCCTTCCCTCTTGTTTCACTGTTCTATTTTTTGGAATGTCTTATTAATGAGTCTGAGGGTGATAAACTCACAGTCTTTTTATATCTGAATATCTCATTTTTTTGCTGTTATTCTTAAATGATTGTTTATTTGGGTGTATAAATCAGGCTAGAGAGTGATTTTCCTTCAGAACTTTAAGTTACTTTTCCATTAGACTTCTGGCAAATAAGTTAGTTGCTGAATAGTCCTATTTTGGTTTGGTTATTGTTCCTCATATGGAATCTTTTTTCACTGATAGTTTCAAAGATACTCTCTTCATCCTTAGACTTGTGCCTACGTATGCATTTTTATTCATCCTTGTCACCGTTCAAACTATACTGCAAATCTGAGGGCCCCTATAATCTTTCTGTTATAGAAAATTTCTCGTCCTCTCCTCAAGTATTGGTTGTAAGGCATACATAGCTCAGGGCTTTCATTCCCCCTCTGGCTCCATTCACATTACACAATGTGAGTTCCAGAACACAGACTTATTTTTCTCCACTCTCTACTTCCTTTTTCTGAAATTTTTATGAAACATATTTTGGAGCCTCCCAGTCTGTTTTCTTTGTCCTCTATCTGCTTTCTTTTATTAATTTATTATTATAATATCATACATACAAAATAATTTTACCATTTATTAAGTATAATTACTGATACTCATGTCAAATAATCTGCTCAAGAAATTACACATAAACCTTTAAAACTTCTGCTATAGCTTTCCCCAGTTTTTGCCTACTTACCCATAAGAAATAACTAGTATTCTGAATTCTATGTATATAAGGGCCTTGTTTTTCATAACAGTTTTACTAAAGATTTATATATCCCTAAAATAGTTTGATTTTCTACATTTTTAAATGTATGTAAATGGTATGCCGGTATACCCTATGTATTCTTCTGTATTTTGTTTTTTCACTTAACATAATTATTTGTGACAATTATCCACATCAATGAGGGCATCATTAGTTCATTTATTGCTACTGCTGTACAATATTTCATTATTTAAATAAATCACAATTTGGGGCCAGGCCCAGTGACTCACACTGTAATGCCAACACTTTAGGAGGCCAAGGCAGGAGGATCGCTTGAGCCCTGGAGTTCAAGACCAGCCAGGGCAACACAGTGAGACCTCGACACTACAAAAAATAAATAAAACAAAATTAGCCAGGTGTGGTGGTGCTCACCTGTAGTCCCAGCTACTCCAGAGACTGAGGTGGGAGGATCACCTGAGCACAGGACTTGGCGCCACTGCACTCCAGCCTGAGTGACAGAGTGAGATCCTATCTCAAAAAATAAAAAAAATTTAAAAATCACAATTTACCCATTTTCCCATTAACGTACATTTGGGTTAATAATCTACTGCAAACAATGAACAATGCTGCTATAAATATTGTAAAAGTATGCTGGTGGACATGTGAAAGAATTTTTCTAAGATAAATATGTATACACATAGATGTAGATATAGATTTAGATTTAGATGTCTTTGAATTGCAATAGTCATAGCACTAGTATGTAAGAATTCCAGTTATTGATATCCTCACCCACACTTGGTATTCTAAGAACATTTTTAAACTTTTGTTAATATGGTGGGTGTGAAATCATATATTTAGCATTTCTCTGATTACTGGTGAGGTTGACATCTTTTCATATGCATGTTCTTCACAGATTGATTCTTTTGCGAAATGCCTGTTCAATGACTTCTGCCCATCTTTCTATTGGAGATTTTTAATTGATTTATAAGAGCTTTTATTGATTTGTAAGTGTTTGTTTTAAAATATTCTCAATTTTAGACCTTCATGGGTTTATTGCAAATATATTCTCTCAATACATAGTTTGTCTTTTCACTTTTAAATGCTATATTTTGATTCAAAAGATAAGTTTTTAATTCTAATACTTTTTCTCCAAATCTTATTTTGGTGGCTGTAATCTTTAATATTACGTGGAAAAGAATTTATTATAGTGAAATATCTTTTGTATTCTATATTTTTTAAATGTCCTTAATATTTTACTGTGAAGTATGATATTTGCTATAAATATTGTTCATATCTACTTATTTTTGTTTTATTTCTACTTTGTTTTAAAAATATTTCCTGATCTTTCCTATTTAATGGAAGTATTTGTTTCTCTAAAAACAATAAACATACTTATTATATACTCTTTACTCAAATTCTTCTATTTTATTTATTCTGTGGTACCTCATCCTCTGTTTATGGACTTTTTGGACTTCCTTATTATTTGTTCCTTTTAAGTGTACTTTGGATTTGGGGGTGCAGATTTACCTTGTTAGAACGGTTTCTCTGTTTCTCTCTTTCTCTTTCTTATTTCCTTCTTCTGCTCCCTAGCTTTTTTCCTTTCCCTCCTCTTTTTCCACCCCCTCCCCTTCAAACTTTTGAATTTGCTTTCACTCATCCTTTTGCAGAACTAGAAGCCAGTATGGTTCACTTCTCTGTCCTGAGGCTGGGACTATGCCCTCCAGCTTTCATAGCTCTATAGCTACATATCAACTCTAATCTAGAAGCCACTTGGCAATACCCTTTTTACACATCATTTCACCAGTGGGAATTGCAACCCTGGCACTAGTTTCAAGAAGTGAGCCTGGCTCAAGTCCACATCCCACTTGGGAAACACTTTCAGTCCAGTTATCTTGCGTAAACTCAACTCCTGGCTGACTTTGCCTATTTCTGAACAGGGACGGAGCCAGGAGACCAGCAGGACACCCTCTCAGGCTTGCTTTCTCTTTTGCATTTCTACTTCATCTGTGATCCAAGGAGATAATTGTCTTTTTTTGTCTGTTTGTTTTTTGAGTTGGAGTCTCACTCTGTCACCCAGGCTGGAGTGCAATGGCGTGATCTTGACTCACTGCACACTCCACCTCCTGGGTTCAAGTGATTCTCTTGCCTCACCCTCCCTAGTAGCTGGGATTACAGCTGTGTGCCTCCACACCTGACTAATTTTTGTATTTTTAGTAGAGACGGGGTTTCACCATGTTGGCCAGGCTGGTCTTGAACTACTGACCTCAGGTGATCCACCCACCTCGGCCTCCCAAATTGCTGGAATTACAGGCATGAGCCACCATGCCCAGCCAGTTTTCTTGTTTTAAAGCAGAGAAATCTCTTTTAAAATTTATCATTATATGTCTTTTCCTCTGGTGTGATGGGGTAGTACTTAAGCTCACAATTTACAACATTGTCTTAACATAAGGTCTCTTATCTTTGTATCCAGTAATGAGCACAGGTTATCCACAAATGCTTGATAAGTCAATGCAGACATAGACAACTTCATGCACAGAAATAATAATGCCTATCTTACAAGACTGTCTTGAGGCTTTGTTAAATAAAATGTATGGGGAGCCACTGTTTTGAACTGAACTCCTGCACTAGAACCCAATAGACCAAACCCCTTGATAGGGTTTGGCTATGTCCCCACCCAAATCTCATCTTAAATTGTAGCTCCCATGTGTTGTGGGATGGACCCGGTGGGAGATAACTGAATCATGGGGGCAATTTCCACTGTACTGTTCCTGTGGTAGTGAATAAGTCTCATGAGATCTGATGGTTTTATAAGGGGTTTCCCTTTTCACTTGCTTCTCATTCTCTCTTGTCTGCTGCCATGTAAGATGTGCCTTTTGCTTTCCACCATGATTATGAGGCCTCCCCAGCCACATGGAACTGTGAGTCCATTAAACCTCTTTTTCTTTATAAATTACACAGTCTCGGGTATGTCTTTATCAGCAGCATGAGAACGTACTAATACAACCTTCATACTAAGTACTACATGATAAAACTGAAACTACAAGGAAGAAGAAAAATCTTCCAACGGACCAGTTTTTCCTAAAAACAGGAGATTCAAAGACACCCATTGGGAAAGATCCAGTCAACCTGAGCCAGCATGATGTGAAAGTCCTCTGTGCTTTAATCATTACAAGGAAAGTAAACCGATATTAACCAATCTCCTTTTTTTGTTGTTTTATTCTGTTTTCTTGTTACTGCTCAAGCTATGTTATAACAAAAAACTCGTTCTGCCATGCCGAATGGAGCTCTCTGTAATTTTAGATGAGATGCTGCCTGATTCATGAATTACTAATAAAGCCCAATTCTATTTTTAAACTAAAGTTGTTGAGATTTTGTTAACAACTTTAAGTAGTCAGGTCTGACTCTTACTTTTTTTTTTTTTCCAGCTAGTTTTGTACTATCTCAGTTAATACCTTGAGGATCTCTGATTGTTATACAGGAGTTTGTGGTGGAAAGAACATTGCATAAAACTTTCAAAATCTGAAAGCCTTTCGCCTGAGGGCAGATTTGGGGAGGGGAGTGAAATAACTTCATAATTGGAAGGAAGGCATGAATGCTGGACTTACGAAGGAAGCCACTTGGCTCTGGATGGGAGAAGGTGATGTAAAGAGGCTAAAGCCAGATCTCTGGACTAGGATAAAATGAGATGTGGGATTTCACAGTCAGGAGAGACTTACTTAACCTCTTTTTAATCTGTTCTCCTCACACACAAATCAGGAAAAAATAGTTCTGTGCTTTCCATAACCCACAGCATGTGTTAAAAGTTGGCTAAGAATGTTAGCTTCCTGGAGGGGAAAAAGGGCAGCACTGTGTGTATTAATTTTTAAGTGTTTTTGTATTGATGTTATTAGCAAAAGAGTCAAAATATTCTTTTTATGAGCCCTTCTGATTTAGAGGTGTTTATTAGACATGCTGTACAATTCAGTTATTTATATTGCTTTTCCTTAACTTTATTTTTCTCATATGTAATTTAAACAATTTAATAGGAGAACTTGGTTAGGAAAGGCACTAAAACTCCCATTCTCTTTGTTACACACAGTAAAACTTAAATCTCCAAGTGGAAATACATTTTAAACATATTTGTATTCACCATAAGGCAAAAGCTCTATCTATTCCCTCTTTGAACCTGAGAAGAACCTCCATACAAGAACCTCCAACCTCCTTGGAGTTGGCCCTTTTGAATAAAGGTTGACCCAAGGCTGTAAGAAGAGGCATGTCAAATACCTGGCATACCTGCCAACCTATTACTGAATGTATATTTGGCTGCCAAAAAGTCTCTTCTAATAAATAAAAATAAATGTATAAATGAAGGAACCAGATGCTATGGAAATAATTTTGCTCAGTTTGAAGATGGTTTTCATGAACTGCAATTTTCAGAAATAACAATTTGCCTCTGAACAGACTTTAATAATGGAAATTGAAGCAGTTTTAAAGACAAAAGGAAGGTTGGTGTGTTTGAATAACCACAGAATGATTTATTTCCTAATATGAGGTGACAGGTATGAAATGAGACCACAAAATTGTTGGCATTTATAAACACATTATTTATATTCTTTTCTGAATCCAGATATCATACTTTGATTTTTTTTATCCAAAAGTTAAAAAGCTGTGAACCCAGATAAAATTTAACCAAGAGTTATTGTTCTTGTGTCATTACCAAAAAGGGACCTCTTTGATTGCTTGAGTGTAGAGTAAGTCCACTTTCATTTTAACCCTGGTGTCTGTAAGTTTTTCATCTGTAAAACTGTATAAAGGGTTGAAGTTGACATACATTCTTCAGAGTTGCAGGGTTTGCATCAATATTTTCTCTCCTTTAATGACTTTCACATATTTTACTGTGATTACTACAGGAAAAACAAGTTTGATCTGAAGATCAGAATCCTTTAATCACTTGCCTGTGTTGCAAAAGAGAGAACATTCCCATTCTGGGCTGAATTATCAATTGATTATACCTAAAGCAGGGAAGTTGACATTTCAGAACACATATTATGCACCAATCTTTTTCAGATAGTGTGTATTATCTGATCCTTGTAACAGCCTTATAAAGCAGAAAGCATCATTTCCATTTTTATAAATGAGGAAACAAAGTCTTAGAGAGGTAAAAGAACTTTCCAAAGGTCACACAGTAAGCAGGTGGAACAAGAGAAATTCCAACCTAAGTCTTCCTGGCTTCAAAGGCCCTGCTCATTTACATATTCCTCAAAAAGATCTTAATGCTCCAAAATGAGGGCTCTAAGTGGAGTGGTTGGAGGAGGCTTCCAGCTCTATTCATTCTTTTTCTTTAAGTTTATGAGCTTTCAAAGATGATAAGCAGATGTTAAGTATGTAGGCTCAAATCAGAAGTATCCTTATCTTGCATTTTTGCTGTGGAGAGAATTGGGTTCTACCTTCAGAATGAGCTTAAGTAGCTATGCATACTCTCCTTTCAGCCCGCCTCTTCCATCACCATGGAATACCTTCTTCTTACAGACACCAATGCCCTCTTGCCAGCAACAAGCTGTCTTCTGTCTACATCTCAGGTCTTTATTTCCAAAGCAACACCTCATCCTTCAAACCTCTTTGGTCAGTCAGCAAGCATTTCTCAAGGGCCTATATCAGCCCAATAGTAGAAATAAAGGATGTAAGTAGAAATAAATAATACACAGTTCTTGCCCTCCAAGAGTTTATAGTCTTGCAGGGAAAAAAGGCATCCAAAAAGCTAATTGTAGTACAATGTGATAAATACTATATATAATACATGGGACAAATACTCAGGTTTATTTACTGAAGCACAGAGGGAAAACACAGAAGGAGAAATTAACCCTGCCTGTGATATTTGGATCAGGCATCTCAGAGGAGATAAGCTTTCTGTGGTGTTTTGGAGATTGAATAGGAAGTTACATAGCTAAAGAAAAAAATAAAAAATAATTCCAGAAAAGGCAGATTGTATGTATAAGGGCCTGTAGGATTAAGTAAATGGCCGTGGGAGAGGCTTGGTATGACTCAGATAATAAGAAGAATTGTGAAGTGTATTAGTTTCTTGTGTCTGCCATAATAAAGTACCAAAAACTGGGTGGCTTCAAACAACAGAAATTTATTTTTTCACAGTTCTGGAGGCTAGACATCCAAAATCAAGGTTGACAAGGTCATGCTCTTCCTGACAGCTCTAGGAAAGAATCCTTCCTTGCCTCTTTCTGGCTTCTAGTGGTTACCAGAAGCAACCTTAGCATTTTGTGGCTTGTAGGTGCAACACTACAGCCACATGGCCACCTTCTCCAGTGTCTTCACTTTGTCTTCCATATATGTACATATGTCTCTGTGTCCAAATTTCACCTCTTTATAAGGACACCAGTCCTGTTCGAGTCCACCCTGATGACTTCATTTTAATTTGATGATGTCTGTAAAGATCCTACTTCCAAATACGTTTATATTCTGAGGTTCCAAAGGATAGGGCTTCCACATATCTTTTTTGAAAGACACACAGTGCAACTCAATAAGGAGTTAAACCGGGAAAGGTAGCTTGGGAACAATTGTGAGGAAACATTTATTCAAATGAATATTATAAATAAATCACATATCACATGACAAATATTTTGCTACTAAAAAAAGTTTTATAACATAAATAAATGGAAATGAATTTAGGATATAGAAAGAGAAACACTATTGTATCAATGCAGAGAAAGAGCTCTGCAATTAATCATTCTAAATTTAGTGGCTCGAAACAACCACTTGAAACAACCGATCATTATTCTGATTGTGTACCTATGGGTCAGCTGAAGCCCATCTGATCTAGTCCGCACTCGTCTGAGGAGGCTCAGCTTTAAGAATTGCTCATCCTCCTTGGATAACTGGGCCAGTTGGGGGCATGTTCTTATGACAGTGTCAAAAGGGCAGGAGAGTAAATGGAAGTAACTCAGGGCTATCACTTCAGCTCATATGTAATTAGTAAAAGCAAGACTTACGGCCGAGTTCAAAGTTTAGAGGGAGCAACTATAAAGTTACATGGCAAAGGGAACAAATACAGAGAGGAGTGATGAATTGGGAGCCATCTCCCTCTGAACTTTGCAGTCAAACAGATCTAAGGTAATGTGAGATACAAAGATAGATATTTAAAATTATTTTGTTACCTATTACATAACCCCTTTACTCTCTTTATAGCAGGCAATAGCTTGTTCCTGTAGAGTATCTGTAAAATTCTCTCTCTTCTTTACTCATTATCTTTTAACCTTCTCTTATTTTATGGTTAAAGAAGGAAACAGTCGATATTCAAGACAAAATGATAAGGACTAATAATGGTAGAATATAATATCTTCCCAGGAACACACTGAGGGACTCTGCCAAACCTAGGTAGGTTTTGCTTACTCCATCACAATGAGGTAAAAGTGGTGGAATTTCAGTTATATTCTGAGGTTTGGCACAATCTTCCCACTGTCCTTAGGTGATTAGGGGCATCCACCTAATTCAGCCATATGTAAAGTAATTGTGGTGCTAAAGGATACCAGAAAAGCCTCTCTGCCTGTTTCTCCTTATCAATCATCACCAATTGACAGTGATGCCAAGGGCTGTCAGGATGCCTCCTAGAAATGTGGATTAAATCTAGACCCTGAGACTGTGTCCAACTCTGTGGTCTGACAACACCTTTATGCTGTCAGTACTCAATCAGTGCTCTTCCCCTTCATCATTGTCAGTAATATCATCCTCCCACCAGTAAATGTGAACTCTGCCTCACAGCCATGGCAGCTCCCACAGACCTGAAGTGTGAACCCATCTCTGGGCTTCAGTTGGCAATTGAATTGCAGCAGAAACCATACCAACTCCTGATGTGTGAAAAAGACGAGGATCTGAATGGCACTGTGCTTTATCGGCCATAAACACACAGTTTATGAAGAAAAAAACTTAAAGGAAGGAATAAATGACTCTTTAGGTTCACTACTAATGGCTATTCTTTTTCTCTCTAATTTTAAAAGTAGAACGTGGTCATAGACAATTGGGAAAATTACAGAAAGGCATAAAGAGAAATACAAAAATGACCCATAACAGCACCACGCAGAGATAACCACAGTTAACATTTTATTGTTTCTCTTTCCTGTCACTCTTGCATACAGATAAATACATATTTTACATAAAAGTAGATCACAGAAAATAGATGACCCACTTTTTATTCATCTTTAATATTACGGGCACTAACCCAGATCATTTTCATTAAATATTATTCAGAAACATGATTTTTATACATTAGGGTAGTCCACTTTCACATTTCTCTCTGTCCTGTTTGGCATCCATGAGTCCAAAATAAGGACCTCATATTAAGGATAGTTGTTGCTAAAACGTTGACTTTCCATCCTCAATGTTTGTCATACACTGGGTCCTCTAGAAAGTGTCTGTGAGAGAGGGTATGTGGGCTATTAACTGATTGGAAACACAGTTGAAGGAAGCAGTAGCAGAGGATGAGGGGAGAGAGGCTGGGAAGGATGGAGAGTCAATACAATAAAGCATTTTCCAGCAGGTTGCCACAGGACTGCCTGGGAAGCTCTATAATCAGAATCGAAAGATCATCCATAGGAAGACGGAAGGAGACTATCCACATGCAACCATCTGCTGCTGGATGAAGATTCACTCCACAGAGTGCCAGTGTTCTTGCATTTCTGGGTTGCACATGCACGAACACCAGGTGGAGTCTCTTGCCATGGGCCTGAGGCAAAGCCCTGTCAGGCTGGAGCTGTGTGGAGTCATGGGAGCTGGTGCACAGCAGCAGCTGGAAAAGAAACAGGCGGGTCTGATGTACTGCAAAAAAGATGTCTGATTCAATGCCTTGTATACAACTTTATGGCTATTTTTAAAAAAAGAGACAAAAACCATAAATGTTTAAAAGAAATATTTCATTGTTATTTTGACAACGTTAGGCCACAAAGAGAGATAAGAGAGAATAAAACTGTAAAAGTTTTCTTTTACAGGAGAGCAGAGTTGGTGCATCTTATCCTAGTAGGACAGTCACAGGCACCTGCAATTCCTTTCCTTCAAAATCCTCCTAGTAACAACTGCTCTGGGATGTCTTTCTTTATTATTCCCCCTGAATGAGCATTGTCTAGTGCACCCATGGCATTTTTGTACTCTCTTCCCTCTGCAGTCACCATGACAGTATTGTAGGGTGGGTTCTCCACTTAACAGAGTAGAAATTGCTAAATACAACGGTTTAGCCTTTTGTATCTATGTATGTACTCAAAATTGTGAAGTAACTTCAGTCAGAATTTTAGAGGTAAGAACACTTTATTTAAACACATAAATAATATCAAATTCCCATTCTGTAAATAGCAATACTTTAGGCAAGTTCAGTGGACATGGAGATTAAATGAGGTATGTCAGTGAGGCTGCAGATAAGGTAGCACAAGTATACGAATGTCTTGTCCAACAAACACTGCTCAGTCACCCACTTATTCATGCCAAGCACGAATAAGAAGTAAAGAAGAATCAGATACAACCTTTTATTTATTTTACAGTTAAAAAAGGAGCACTTTATATTTGTTACAAGCTGAAAGTGCATTTTTGTATATATTAACTAGTTAGATGTTTATTCTAACCCTGGGGAATGGAAGTTAAGGCCCCAGGCTCTGGACTAAGAGAGGTGTCATTTCAAGTCTCACTTATGTATAAAACAAAAAGAATAATGATAATATGAACTTTACTGGGTTGCTGTGAGAATAAAATAAGATAATGCATATAAAGCACTTAGTACATTGCCAAGCATAAAGTAACTTAATAAATATTAGCTGTTTGTTATATTGTTCCAATTTCACAGTGAGTTTAAATGCATTGTTCAGGATCCCATGTCAGGGTGGAGTTAGAAGAACACTTGTTTTCTGTCTTCCAGGCTAGCAATATTTCTTTTGAGGTACAACACTGAGAAGCACAGTTGCTAGTTTCAGACCTCCTTCCCTAACACTCAGAGCAACTTTCTGCACTAATGGACAGTCAATAAACACGGTTGAATAACTAAGAGGTGGAAGACTGTAAGTCAAATTATATAGTTGCTAATGTATAAAAAAAACAAAACGTGTTTCAGTGCTTTGCTTGGCATTGCTGGGGAGAATATTAAAGATATCAAACATTATCGGTTCCTTTGGTCAACTGTCTGGTGAGAAAAGATTTAGTTGCTCAGCTCATGAACAAATCCTTCAGAGATAGGTTATGTTTTAGCAGAGTTGGCCTGAGCACTGAGCATCAAGATATTCAGGAGATAATTCAAGTTCTCATCATCTTGTCAGGTGAAAAGCAGGGCGTGGTGGTATTGACTGAGGAAAGGAAAGGCTTTTTGCTTCTCACACAGGAAAGACTGGGGGCAGAGACTTCCATGGCCCAGGCATCTCAGAAAGGAAAAGAGTTCTGGATCACCAAAGTCTAACTCAGTGTGTTTACATCAAGAATGTTAAGTGCATGCAGGCGTTGAAATGTTCAAGTTATTGAAGCCCAAGCAAACTGGAACAAAAGGACAGCAGTTGCATTGAGAAAGAGCCAGTGGGATGGAATCCACATCCTGAAATGTAAACCTGTGCTTGTTCTCCGGAGACTAAGGGCTTTGGAAAAGAATGTTGCAATTTTTCTATTTCATTACCTGACTATTACTACAGTAGACTTTCTAGTTACCATTTATTGAGCATCTACTATGTATCAGGAACATACATACATTAGCTCATTTAATTAGCTTCCAATTCTCCTATATCCATAAGGGATTGGAGCTCAGGGAAGGGGCTTTATTCATTTTGCTCACCTCCATATCCCCGTGCCTAAAATAGTGCCTAGCAGAGTAGGTTCTCAGTAGAAGAGGATAAATATTATTATCATCCAAACCTGAAACTCAGAAGGATTATATGGCTTACCTAAGCTAAGAAATGGAGGGGCTGAGTCTGGAATCCAGATCCATCTAACCCCAAGTCCTGCCCTCATCCCCTGCATTAGTTTCTCTTACCAGTTGCCCCACCTCTAGGTTTCTCCCTTTTCAAAGATCATGTCACCACATTTAGTCCCCTAAAACACTGTCCTTATGTTTTTCAACTGAAAATCCTCGAGGTCTCTCAGCTGCCTTAAGATGACATTCAAACTCCCTGGCCTAGCATTCCAGGCCCTATGAAATATGGTCTTTACATCACTAGTTTGCACTAAAGCTTGAGTGCAATATTCTTGCTCTTGCTTGAGTAGGTCTTGTGCACTTCTGCCCTCTATCTCTCTCCCTTTACATATGTCATTTGAAATGACCGATTGATTCCATCTGAATCCCTCCTACTCTTTAGAATTCAGCCCACATTGCACTTCTTCAATGATGCTTTTCTATCCCAGCATGTAATAATTTCTCATTTCCCAGAAATTTCAAATCTCTTATTATGTGCCCCATTCTCTAGTTCATTAGATAATATTTCTCACAATAACTGGTCTTCATTAGGGTATAAAACTTGTCTCCACAACTAGAATGTAAGCACATTGAGAGCAGTAATCATGGCCAGAACTAATTTGTAAAAGACAAACACTACATTTAGCATATAAAAATTATTGGTTGAATGATTAATGCAGTTAAGCATTTTGGGTTAGACTAGCTAGATGGCATATATTAAATACATGTGTGTGTGTGTGTATGTGTGTGCGTGCGTGCATGCATGTAATTATTGGTTTAGATACAAAAAAGTGCAAACACTAATATCTTGATACTGTAAGATGTCCCCTGCTTTTCCTCTTTCTTTGCTCTTTGGCCTTTGCTGTTGGCAGGATCCTTGTGTGTCTCTGTTACATGACAGAGACTGCCAATTCTGGGAGACATCCTGCTGAGAGATAAATCCAGAGTCACATCAGCCTGGCTGGGCTGGAGTTCAAAGATCCTGGCCAAGATTTCAAACTGGCTCTATTCAAGAGCCACGAAGTTTTGAGTGGCAGATTTTGCTGCAAGATTACTGCAAGATTGCTGATGGGGATTCTCAGTGACTTCAACAGGGACATGATCAAGTTCTACCCAAAATGCCAAGTCAAATTAGAGACTGGCACTGTGAAAAGCAAGAATTAGGAAAGATTATTATTTATTAACCCTTGTTAATGCAAAAAAAAAAAAACCACAATGATACACTTCTTAGCTTGGGAGTATCATTCAGACTAAACACTACTGTTCCTTGCAAATCAATCAGTTTTAAGGGAAATGCTCATTTACCTGACAAAATGTTTGCCATGTTAGAGTGGAGGTAGGAGAGAAGCTGTCTCCTTCCTGCACTGGCACATACCACCACAATAAAGAAATACAAAGCTGCCTAAGTCCATTCTCAAAAGGGCAGTTTCTAATCCTTTTAGGGTAAGAGAATGAATTTTACTGAGCAGTCTCCCATCAGTAGCTGTTCCTATTCTCAAAAGAATTCAGTTGTTCCCCCCCAAAAAAACCAACTACTATTTGGAACAATCCCCTGGGAACTATTGAGGAACCAGACTGGGGTCTCTACACCATGTGGAGCAAAGACAAAGATTTGAGCTCCTAGAAGCTGCTCTGGAAATATTATTCAAATAGTTGTTCACTTAAAAAAAATTGTTTCCTTTTCTCTGTACAATAGAAGCAGGTTGGGGGCTTAGAGGTATTCTGAAAGGGACAGCCACTCTGGAAAGGAAGCAAGTATATGTATTACACTAAATTACAATTACTATTGACTTGTCTTCCAGGGTACAATGGAGATAAGTAGAAGCAAGTAGAGAAGACTGAAAGCTCCTTGAGGCAGGAGCTGTCATGTTGACCTCTTGGCTCTCTGCTTCTGGAACATAATAAACACTCAGGAGTGTTTATGTGATTTACTTATGCTTGCACAAGTAAATAAATGGGCTAGGAAATGAATAAAAGTAGTGGGTTTCTTTTCTATCTTGGCTCTTATTGAGTGGATTATTCCCAGGTTATTAGAATATTACCATTTTTAAAACTTCTCTGCCATAAGTAACACCTAAATTTACAGTAATTAAAACCTAATGTTTCCTGAATTTTCTATAGCTTCCAAATATTTAAACCATAGTGGGCTAAAATATGCATATCCACTCAGAATGTTCCACTGGACACATGTCCCAGCTAAAAAACACTAAACATCAACTATGGTGTGATCTCTAAATGTCAGTATTGGGACTTGACCACCTTCCTTGACTCTGACCACTAATGAAAACACTCTGTGCTATGTTCCAGAGCTGCAGGATGCTTGACAGATTTGCTGGAAATTTTCACACTGCTCTGACCTCTCTACTAGCTTCCAGGAACACCGCTTCAATACCTTATAATGCCATTACTGTCACTCCCAAACAGGCTCAGAAATATGTGCTGAGAAATGAAATTTTCTTCAGACATTTCTTCACCTAAACCTTCCAACTCTGAAAGAGAGAAGACTCTATCAAGTGAGTCAATTTTGTCTTAAAGGCAAACAAAAAGTTATTGGTACCAGGTTTCAAATATTTAACAGAAAGTATACTTGAAGCATGGCTAAAAAAAAAAAAGTTACTGCTTTTAGGCGCAACTTGAAGAAAATGAAAATACTTTCTATGTCACTAGCTCCTGAAGCATTCTTTTATTTTTCAAGATGTGTAATCCTTGTAAATAATCTGATTATTTCTTAATACCAACAAGGATTGCTTGTAATTACTTGCCTCAAAATTCTCATCCCAGGTTTTCAGAAATAAAGTGTGTCCCCGTGACTATGATGGCAATAACATTCAAAAGGTGCACAAACTTCAATTTCAGTTCACATTCATGCAAAATGCCACTTAACAGGAAAATCAAAGCAGCTGAGACAATAGACAGCTGAACTTCCTCCAGTTACTTCCCTTCTTCTATTATGATTCCAACTATGGGGAGATGCTCCCCAAGTGTGCTTGACTATATGGGAAAGCACTTCCTTCTATGACTCACAGGCCAGACCTTAGTAGCATAAGATCAAAAGAACCAGGATGTAGAAGAAAGAAAATTGTTAACGTGGCCAAATAGGTGCAGATACTGGCTCTATTCTCTCGCCAAGTGGTTAATTCCCCCTCCTCAGCAGGTCTGTAGTTGGCTTCAACCTGAGGGGAAGAGGCTGGAACACCTTTAGGATACAGTGGATGCTATTACCTCCAGCTGTGCCTACCTAAGTGAAATAAATTGGCTAATTGAAGCAATTATTTGGGAATTCAATCCCAAACACCTCACCATCGGGGAGCAATGAGGATAATTTGGAGTTTTTGCCAAAGTAGGTTAACTAATGACTTTCTTTGCATAGATTTAAAAGTTGGGTTAAAGAAGTATGGTACTTCCATTTTTGAAGACATGGGATCAGGGTGCACCTGGGTTTACACTGAACTGTGAGCAGTGTGTGCATGTAAGGAGTGGGAAGATCTAGGTCAGTGGTTCTCAAATTTTAGCATGTATCAGAATCACCAGGAGAGCTTGTTGAAATGCAAATTGCTGGGCTGCACCCCCAGAATGTCTGCATCACTAAGTCTGGGGCCTGGGAATTTGCATTTCTAACAAGTTACAAATTGATGCAGATGTTGCTGGTCCAGGCACTACATTTTGAGAATCACTGATTTAGGCTTCACTCTTGAGAAATTTAAGACAGTGTAGATGTATGATAACCTCATTCTCTCTGATCTCTTGAAAATCCAAATATATAAGGTTGGCTAATATATTTATTCATTCAACAAAAAAATAGTTTGTTGAGCACTCAACACGTGAAGCTTACCTTGGTAATACAGAGATAAAAGATCAGCCTTTATCCCAAAGAGGCTCCTAGTCACTGGAGACACAAAAACAGATAAAAGATGAGGATGAAGCTGTGTGAGAAGTGATATCACAGAGGTAAAGACCAATTGCCAGGGAGAACACAGAAACTAGACCCAGACTGGCAGTCACCAGAAAATTTCCTAGGCCTGCAGGGTAGCAAAGAACGGAAAATAAAGGTAGTATGGTTGAAGAGATTATTGACATCCCTTAGAGCCAGTGTTCCTAAGCCCAAGTGCAGTGCTCCGTTCGTGGGTAAGCTTCTTGATGTCAAGAACCATTTATACCACAAAGCTGCCCAACACTGGCCACTAGGCACATAGTGGGTTTCAGTGTATGAATGATGTCAGCGCTCCATTAATACTAATGACTCCCCCAGTGGAAAATGTACTAAGAAAAGTACGTTGTTTCAAACTGACTCCTAAAACAGTACCAGAGGAAAAGAGCTATTAATCACCAAAAATCTGATTCAAATTTGGAAGAGCAAATGTTGAAGGGGAAAAAACTGAATCCTATTATCAACTCCTTGAACCCACTACTTCCTCCTAATCAGTAGTTGTTTCACTTTACTGAAAGTCAACCATATTTGATAACTAATTATTTACAGGTGAACAAAGTTACCAGATTTGAAAGAAGACGATGAGGGCCAGGTGCGGTGACTCAAGCCTGTAATCTCACACTTTGGGAGGCCAAGGTGGGCAGATCACCTGAGGTCGGAATTTCCAGACCAGCTTAGCCAACATGGCAAAACCCCATCTCTACTAAAAATACAAAAATGAGCCAGGCATGATGGCACATGCCGGCAATCCCCGCTACTCAGGAGGCTGAGGAAGGGGATTTGCTTGAACCTGAGAGGCGGAGGTTGCAGTGAGCTGTGATTGCACCACTGCACTCCAGCCTGGTGAACAGGGTGAGACTCTGTCAAAAAAAAAAAGAAAAAAAAAAAAGAAGAAGAAGAAAGAAAGAAAGAGAGAGAAAGAGAGAGAGAAAAGAAAAAGAAAGAAAGAAAAGAAAGGAAAATAGATGATGTTTTTGCAGTTTCTTTTTGACAACACAACTGCAGGCAGCAAGGTACTTGTTCACAGTGATTTTTTGTTATGCAAATAGTTTGATACAATTCACTTTTGGAAAATTACATTAACATTCATGGCTAACATTTGCCCTGGTGAAATGAAATGGGTATTAACTCGTTTAGCCAAAGTATTCAAAAATAAGAGTAAATAGCCCTTTTCATGAATTCAAAATGAAAAGGATGTTGATCTTCCTTAATTTGAGGCAACATGCCAACATTTATTCTTAATAGTACTTCCCTACTTTAATTAAGATCAGATAAAAAACAAACTGCTATAATTTACTCACCAACATTTTGGTAAGGCTTTTTTCCCTCTCTTTGGTTTTGGGGCTCCTTAGTTTAGATGTATTTCTTTCTAATTTTTCTTTTCTCCTTTAGTCAACGAATAAGGAAGAAGATTGTGTATTTTTTCCTTTTAGCAAGTAGACAAAAGTCTTCATTCTACACCTAGATTATTTTTGGAAGTGGACTAGAGAAGTAACTAGGGAAAAGAAATAGCAGCTATGATGTAGGCAAATCAAAAGGCAGTGAAATAGATAGATAAGCTTTATCTTCTTTTCTAACTCTAAGACTTCATGGTACCTATTGATACGGTTAGGTTTTGTGTCCCCACCCAAGTCTCATCTGATTTATACTCCCTATAATCCCCACATGTCAAAGGAGAGATGAGGTGGAGGTAATTGGATCATGGGGGCAGTTTCCCCCTGCTGTTCTTGTGATAGTGAGTTCTCACGAGATCTGAGTTTTTCAAGTGTTTGGCATTTCCTTCTGCATTCATTCTCCCTCCTGCTGCCTTATGAAGAACATGCCTTGCTTCCGCTTGCCTTCTGCCACGATTATAAGTTCCCTGAGGTCTTCCCAGCCTTGCAGAAATGTGAGTCAATTAAGCCTCTTCCCTTTATAAATTATCCAGTCTCAGTCAGTTCCCTATAGCAGTGTGAAAATGGACTAATACACCTATAATAAATTATCACCTCACTTTTAGATTACATTACAACTTCCCCTTTGATTGGTAAAGAAACATCTTCATTTGCAAACAAGTCATGTTTCAAAAGTCTGTAAGCCAGTTATTTTAAACATGGAAGGCTTTTGTTCCAGAAATATGTTATAAATGGCAATCAAAGTACATAAGCATATCTCATTCATAATATATCTATTGTACTAAAATATAGGGACACCAATAAGAAATCATAAATTACATGTAAGATTAAAACAGAGGTTTTGAATGAAAAACTCTAATATTCCATCCTCTAGACACTTGAAGAAAAGCAGGTTTAATCAGAGGCCAAGAGGGTGGATGAAAATTTTGCTAAAGATGATAAAGTGGGATCCTGGTACTATTAATAACTTGGTACTTGATAACATTTGCCCTTATTTATAACATTATGTCAAAACATATAACAGGTGTAACACTAAATATCCTTTATGCTCATTAGTCATTGTTCGTGTTGAACTTTAGCTTGTAAATAAATTAGAGAGATGAATAAAAATTCCCCCTCATTGGAACGGCAGTGGTGCTAACTAAACCACTTGAATCATGCAGTTGTAGCCCTTCTCACTTTTGCTTTTCTTTGTTTGATCATTTGATTAATGACTTCTCCACTGGCCCAAAGATCTATAAGGGTAGATATCTCATCAGTTTTTGCTAATCATTACATCCCCGACACTTAAAAGAGAGCCAAGTACACAGCTGCTCAAAAATAATTTTTGAACAGATGAATGGGTGAGTGAATGAACAAATGAGTAAGAAAGAGAAAAAGGAGTGGCCTAAAGAACATAGAATTATAGATGTGTTAAAAATGAGTCTCTGACATTACGTTTATTCTCTGTCTAGCCAAAGAGAAGAAAGCAGTAGCCAAAACAGGGGCATAGAAGGAGTTTCCCAAAGGATAAAGACAGTTAGTAGGACAATTTGCTTGCCGAAAATAGAGTACCTCAGTGTGTCCAAGTTTGGTTTGGTTGCTGTTCCAAAATAAGAGGGATTGAAATTGATCAGCCTTAGGATAGTTGAGTGGCAAAGAAGGCCACCTGCAAGTACAATTAGTGGTATACCAAGGGTGGGCCAGTAGGAGAGATCTGCACAGCAAGCAGGCAAACGGGTGGGTGGGAGCACTATCTGTAGAGAATTTAAAAAGAAAATCAGTCTTTTTTTTTAGTATTACTTTGTAGTTGCAATTCTAAAAAATGTCAGTGATAAAATATTCCTCTGTAACAAGATCATTTTGGTCTAAGTTCTAAAAAATTCCTGTAGTTACTGTTTTGAGTTTTAATTACATATATGTAAATTCAAAATTAGCATATTTTAATTACTTACTTTTTAATAAACCTTGCAGTCTAAGTTGAAATTGATTCAGAAAACTTCTAGTTGTACAACAGGTCCCCAACACAGGTGTCCTTGGGTACACGTTTGTTTAAAAGTAAAATCCTCATAGGGCAGTTTGAAAAATCATTTGGCCGTCCCTTGACGTAAGTATTTAGCATTAGTCGTAGGTGTTTTAGCCTGAGATTGCCAGAAAATAGAGCATGATACAAGGACTTGCTGAAAATATTTTATTTGGGAAGTGTGATCCCAGGAAGCATGTGAGGAACAGATGGGGAGAACCAGGGAAGGATGGAGCGCCAGTACAAGGATGTGTTATCAAGCTGGCCATTGCTTCAGGAGAATGGCTGCTTTGTTTAGCAAAGACCACCAGAGAAGCTCCATGGAACACATTTCTGAATCCTTTCCTTGCAGATGGAAAGAGGAGTATTTATCCATGGGCTCCCACCATAGGCTCTTTAATCTCTCATGCTTCTAGGTTTTGGTTCACATTGTAACTTCAACTAAAAAGCCCTGGGTGGGGGTAAGATGCAAGGGGAGCCCAGAGCAAAGCACTTTCAGATTATACCTGTGTGAAGCTGGTTAGAGCCCACTTAGAACTGGCTGTTCCTGTGGTGGCTAAAAGCAACAGGTAAGGCCCAGATGATCTGAAGTGGTGTATGGAGGCTGTGATACATGGCAAGTAATATGATTTTATTATAGATCTGCAATTTTTTATAGGTTCCTTTCCTATGAGGACTTCAATGTCCTACATACAATAATCATTGGGTCTGATAAAAAAATTCCCAAGTTTTCACCATTTGTTAATTATTTGAATATTTATTGAATATGTACTAATATTTATTGAGTGTGCCAGGCTTTATGCAGGGATAGAAATGTAAATATGACAGATTCTTGACTTTCATAAAGCTCACTGTTTTATCAACTCTATGCCTTCCACTGTAGTGACACAGTGGCACCCCTCCCCCGAGCCACATCACCTTTTTTTAAAGAAAGAGTCTTAATCCATCAGCCATGCTGGAGTGTAATGCGGCAATCATAGCTCACTGTAACCTGAAACTCCTGGGCTCAAGTGATTCTCCTGCTTCAGCCTCCCAAGTAGCTGAGTCTAAAGACATGAGACACTATATGTAGACACTACACTGGCCTAATTTTAATTTTTGAGGAGGTGGAGTCTTGATATGTTGCCTAGGCTGGTCTTGAACTCCTGACCCCAAGTGGTCATCCAGACTTGGCCTCCCAAAGTGCTAGGATTCCAGGCATGAGCCACTGTGTCTGGCTGGCACTTTAAAAAAAAAAATACAGTCCCCTTATACAATCAGAATTATTAGCACAATGAATAGTAAATGCTATGCAAATCTAAAATGACCAGAGGAGTGTCCCATTAGATAAACCACTCTACTATTTTTGCAGGAAGTCTCTTACCCACAGGCTATAATGGCTTATGTCAGCCCTGGGAGTAGAGACTGTTTACTTTATTATGTATGTACTGCCTAGGGATGGGGAGGCTGAAATTTAGACAGATTTCTCTACTTATCTCTAAGGCACCTCTGAGGCATTAAAGAACATTTGGGGAAGCTGAAATCCAGGAGCTACACCAGCAGCAGAAGTGGCCACTCCTCCAATCACCTGGCAGTCTTCCCAGGCAGAAGGTAGAAGATGCCTGGCCTCCTTGCCAGCACTCCTTCCTTGAGCATCCCAGTGGCCAAACCACCACCAGCCGACTCTACCCAAAGTGCCTGGTTGCAGGAGCCAGGCACTCAGGTGGGAAATACCTTGATTCTTTAAAACCTTTGATGCAAAGTTAGCTGCATTCTGTCACAAGGAAAATGCCATGCCAGGGACATATTTATATGACAATAAACTTTTAGTGCCTTAGAAAGTTGCTGAATAAAACTAAAATCAGAATAAAATTAATCAGATGCTAACATTTTGGAGAGCAGGTAAGTTTTCCTAGCTCTGTTAGTGGTTTCCTTCACTCCAGACCTATCTTCTGGCCTTCCGTGACAATGAAGCCCTTGGTAACATCATGCTTATTACCCCCGAATTAGCTGATGTATGAGGAGCTGTCACCGTTCCTTAGTATTCACATTAAAATCTCAGGGCGGAATGACCAGAGCATGCCGGGTGCTTTATGTGGCAGTCAAGGCAGCGAGGCTGCTGGAGGCTTTCAAGGGGAACTTTCCACCCGTGGGGCGTGGCGAGGCCTTTGTGTAACTGTGAACAGGGCAGAGGTCCCAGGCTGGGAGCGCGAAGGCCAGAAAGGTAAACTCAATCGGCATTTTAAAGCGCTTGCTCTAGTGATTGAGCACATAGCCCTCTAGAAGCAGCCCTACTTCGCCCTCCAAAGAGAATTTCGTGTTTCAAAAAAAAGTAACGATTTCCTCTGGGGAAGAGATCTGCAGTCCTGGGGTCCCTTTCTCCTGGTGCCAATGGTAGAGTTGGGGAGAAAGTTCCCGATAGAGAGCATAGGAGGAAATGCGCCAGCTGTGCTTGCCTTAGAGACATATGTGAGTTGAGCTCTCTCTCTCCTCTCTCTCTCTCTCTCTCTCTCTGTGTGTGTGTGTGTGTGTGTGTGTGTGTGTGTGTGTGTGTGTAGGTGGCGAGTGGAGAGGGTTAAGGCTGCTTCTTTGCTGGGGGGAAAAGAAAGGCAAAAGTGTGAGGATACACAGAGCAGGGAACGAGTGGAGTCCCCTCTCCACCGGGGCAGTGTGAGAACGGAGGGCGTGCAGTCAGGGGGTCCTAGGACTTGGGTGGGTGCTGCAGAAGTGACCAGGAGGGCTGACAGGGTGGAGATGCAATCATCAAGCTCCAAATCAATCATCCACCCCTTCAGAGTCCCTGTCCTCCATTAAGACAAAAAAATGTTTAAAACATATTGGGGGCAGAGGAAGAGTGAAGAGATTGGACCACGTTAGCTGCTTAGTCTAGTTCCCTCCTCCACAAGGCAATCGGATGACCCCAGGATCTCAATGTTTAGGAAAGTCGTAGGAGCCCTCACTGGGAGGCACATTTTTAGTCCAGAGGCACGACATTTGATGGTTTAATCTTCACACTACAAACTAGCCTTGGGACGTTATATAAACCATGTTAACCTCGATGTGCCTCAGTTTCCTCTTTGTCCCAGGAGAGTAACGCGTTCTCTGTCTTCACAGGGATGTGGTGCGGGTGAGACTCAATGCACTGTGCGAAAGCTCTCCCAAGCCAGCAAGCACCACGCTCTCCCCGCGGCAGGAAAGTACGTTGGTGTCATCCTAGAGCCCCAGAGGGCTGAGGGAAGACTCGAGCTCTAAAATTAGCCGCTTCCAGGCCCGGCGCCGGGAATGCCCTCCAGTTCGCCGCGCCTCCTCCGCCGCCCCCTCCCGCGCGCCCCCTCTCCCCTGCGCCACGCTCCTAGATCGCTAGTCATCCCCGCCGCCGAGGCTCCTCTCCCCCTCGCCCTTTTCGCTCGCGGTTTGGGAGGAGGAGACTGCGAGAGACAAGCGCGAGGGGGAGACTGGAGAGGGGCTTGGCCGTGCGTCGGCGTCGGCTGTGATGGGGAGCCCGGAGCAGCCAGGCGGCGAGCAGTAGCGGCGGCGGCTGCAGCTCGGAGCAGACAGGAGAGCCGGCGCTCCTCCCCGCAGGCTGCGCTGTGAACTGGCCTGCGGATTGGGATCTCGCGCCTCCCGTCCCTCTCCTCCCGCTGCTGTTCTCTTCATCTCGGCTCCCCTCCTCCGCTTGCGAACCCCCGGCGGCGGCGGCGGCGGCGTCCCGAGCGCAGAGCGCTTCTGCTCGCGGCCTCAGTCCCGGCTAGCGCGCGGTGGGCGCTGCGGCGGCAGCAGCCGGGGGACCGGCTCGCCCGGAGCAAGAGCGCCGAGCACCGGGTGAAGAAGACCACGGGGGAGGCGCCTCGTAGAGCCGTGGATCGCCAGCGGAGGCAAGGGTGCGTGGGGATTTGTAGCGTGATGATTTGGCTGCCTGGTGCACCGACTGGAGCGCGCCTGCCGGAGCACAGCCTCAGCTGCTGGGTGCAAATGGGCTGCGAGGTGGGCTGGGGAGGCGAGAGCCGACGAAGCGCGTGGGGGAAACTTTTCACCTTGTAAAGTTCCAACCTCCGCGCAGCCCCGAGCCGCCGTTGCTACCGCTGCAAACAGGAGAAGAGGGTGGCTTGGCCCCGCGGCGGGAGCCGGGAGGTTTACACGGAGAGTTGGCCAAGTTTGGGGCTGAGGATCTGGGGAGGGGTTGCGAGGGGGGTTGCGGATCAGTGCACCCATCCCCGGCTCCCAGCCGCCCCTGCAGGTGGATGAGAAGGTTCAGGTGGCGAGCCTGCTTGGCAGCCGGTGCCTCTCGGGCGCAGTGGGGGATGTTCAGATGCCGATGGATGATGCACTTAGGGGACCCCGAGGTGCAAGTTGGGTCATCGCTAGGCGAGGCGCGGCGCAGAGAGGGAGCCCAGCCTCCACTTTCGCTAGGAAAGGGAAAGGGTTACCAGTCTGCGGGTCCGTTCCCCACGCCTGACTCGGGCTTGCGGGGCTTGTGGTCAGGGTGAGATGTAGTGAACGGCGGCGGCGGCTCTTCGACTGGGGACGACATCCTTTACGGAGTGGTTGGGGACAGAGACTGTCCCTGCTATCTTGACAAGGAGAGGGAACCGGAATGCTTTGCGAGAGTGCATGATTTTTGGCGGGCGTGTGGGAAGGCTGCTTGTCTTTGAAAAGAAAGCAGCGCGGGTCTGACCATCCCCAGGAGTGCGGAGGAGCTGTCTCCGGATTGGGGGCGAGAACGCCAGGGGCACCAGCTCCGAGCTCAGGCCCCACTCCCGGGCGGTTCGGGACGAATCCCCTCTACAGGCCAGTGTGTGTGCAGGGCAAGTGTAGGGGGCTGAGGGGCGCTGGCGGGGAGGCAGTAGAGGTGGCCTGGACCATCTTGGCGCGGCGCGCGGTGAGCGCGAGGATTCCGCCAGTGGGAGTCGCTGAGCTAAAGTGCATCTGGCCCCCCGGCTTGCATGATGGCGAGCCCGGATATTTTTAGCTGTGCTGTGATCTGAATTCCCTCCTCTCCTCTCTCGTTGACTTTTGTCACATGTGCTTTCCGAGATGGTTTAACATTGAACATGATTGGGCTTTGCGGAAAGCAACTTTTATTCACTTTCCACCGTTCTCCTCTTGTGGGCGGGGGGTGGCGGGGGCGTGCTTGGGGCAAGGATGCAGGGGTGGCCGGAGTTTGGCTGCGAGCTAAGAGAGCCGCTTGGGTTGCTCGGGATGAGAGGAACAGGGGTGCTCCCGGGGTGTGGGTGTGCTGGCGGTGACATCCTGAGGCTGCAGCTCGCTGGAATAATGGGCTCAAACCAGGCGGTGGAGAGGGGTCCCCGGAATGGACGTCGGGGGCGGGGAGGCTGCGGAGACCCTGCGAGGTCTCCGTGAAGGACTAGGAGGGGCTCCCGGGAGGGAGTGGCGCCTGCGGCCCGGAGCGTGGGCGGCCGGTGGCTCTGGCACGCGGAATCTGGTGGACTCCTAGCGCCTCGGCCGGGAGCTCCAGCTCCATCCCGCCGCCGCCGCGCGCCCAATGGGACTCAGCTTCGGGTTTGGGCGAACCTGCAGCAGCCGCGGCGGGAGGGAGGGACGCTGGGACCGCGGTAATGATTGAAGTCTTTTTCCCCCCTCTCCCCTCCTCCCGCTCCTCTCCGCCCCCAGACTCTGGCGCGTTTGTTTTCCAAGTTGGATCCCACTTCCATTTACAAGTGTCAGACAAACCCGCGAGAACCTCCCCCAACCCGCCCCGGCCCCAGCCAGACTAGGGAGGGCGCCCAGGGGGAGGGGGCGAGCTGTCTGGGCAGTGCCTGGGGAGGTGCGACGCGCCCACCCGGGGCTTGAGCGGCTGGGGTTCCTGTGCGTGGGTCCTTAATGTTTAAAAGATACACATGAACAGCAACAAAACCCAAACCACTCGTGGCCACTTGTTTTCTGCCGCTTTTCTCCCACTTGCCTCGGACATATTAATTTTCTGGCCCCGACGCTAGTCTTTTCAAAGGCGAGTCCGGGGTAGTGGGAGGAAGGGGCGGGGGAGCAGGCCTACCAGTTCATCACGGTGGATTTGTGCTCCTGGCTTTGTTGCTAGGATTAGATTCTCTGATTGTGCCCAGGCTAAGTTAAAATAAAAGCAGAGAGACAGAGAAGCGGCCAGAAAGACTGCAGACGACTTTGCCTGGATCCAGGCGGCAAACTCAGGTGGTGGAAAGGGGAAGCCCGCCATCTAGGAATTGAGGACCGAGGTGCCCACATCTCAGTATCGATCAAACAGAGCCCAGATTTCTTCTCCACCAGCAGACACTGAACTTCTCTTCACATTTACTGAATGCTTGAATGATGTTCTGGTGTGACGTGGAGATTTGAATCTGAGAAGGAAAGGAAGGGAGGAGGGGATGGAGGAGAGAAGAGAGAAGAGATTTGAGAGACTGAGATTCTTCAGAATCCTAGAAATTGCACAAAGCCAACTGCTTCTGCTTTTTTTCTTTCTTCTTCTTTTTTTTTTTTTTCTTTATTCCTAAATTGGAGCAATTGAACAGTGAGAGAATAAGGAACAGCCAAGGAAACCAGGGCTCTAAGAGACAAAGACAAAAAAAAAGCATAATAACTTTAGCACTTTGATGTGCTTCTTATTTAATAGGGTTGGAGTGGGGGAAGTTTTTTTTATTTTTTTTTTAACATTTTACAAGGAGAAAAGTTGTCTCTTAGAATTAAACCGAATGTTGATATTCAATCATGAATCTCAGTTGTTGCCTTTTTGGAACTTGAACAATGAGTGATGCTGGGGCCAGTTTCTGTGCACAGTGCACTGGGATGAGAAAGTTCCCAGAACTGTCCAGTTATAATGTCTTCATATCATCTGAATCACACAGAGAACTCCACATGAAAGGCAGCTGGCTCAGAGATCAGAAATCAGTCAGCTGCTGGGCTGGCTCCATCTCTTGTGGCTGCAGGATTTTCACAGCCAGGGTTTGTTGACCAGCGACTGGCTCTCAAGCCTTTTAGAAATCTTTCTTTCAAATTTTATTTATTCTGGTCTCTGGCGGAGTCATTTTGGGGATTTTTTTAATAGGACCCAGTCTGTCTGTTAACTAGCAATTACAGTTGTGCTGAGCTACTCAAAAATGAAATGAGTAGCAATAAACAGTGGATACCCACTGACCTGTATGCTATACGGTTATTTTGCTAGCCCACAGCCTTTGTAAAGCTATGGCTCTTCAGGCTGCTCACAGAAGAACATTTTGATGTGTCAGGTTATGTTATCATCCCTGCTTTCTTCTTCATACGATCCTGAATGACCTTAGCTAATCTGGCTGATGAATTATGTCAAATAGAAAGAAGTAGGCAATTACCAGGCAGGAGAGGGTATTTAGTCATTACCAGCAGGTCTGAGGAGTGCTCCTGGTGGCTGTTGCGTTGTTATGCTATATTAATAGCTCACAAAGCATAAAGGACTATTGTGGCTTTATTTTACCAGTTGTGGCATTGGGGTATGGCATTCCTTCATAGCCCACATCTGTCCAGTTGCCTGGTGGGTTGGCTTTTTCCTCTAGGGCAAGAAGGAGAAAGATAGTAATGAGGATATTTGATTTTTTTTTCCATTGTGGGGTCATCCCCAGGTTTTTCTTTTTTTTCCTTCTGCAGGAGCCTTGAGTAGGGAATCATCTGATGGGAGCAGGTGGGCCTGTCCATTTGAATTGATTTCCTTTGATTGCTGAAGAAGGACTATTGATGAACCACTTCTTTGCTGATTGTGGCAAACATTAGAATTGGAATGGAAATTTAAAAGAAAGGGATCTGACAGACTTAGAGTGAAGGATTTGTGTTCTGCCCAATTCCTTCCTAGAGTTAGCAGAGCCTCTGATTTCTACAGATATGCATGGTCTTAAAAATATTAAAGGAAGCACAACTCCTGTGTATGCAGTTTTACTTATTGGTGAAATTTTCTGCAATGCTTTTTTGATCTCTAACTGTTGAATATGTCATTTTCATCATCTTTCTACCCAAATTGTGAGGAGTGGGTCTTTGTTTTTTAATATATCCTGACCTCTTGAGGATCACCACAGTGTGACAACTTTCTCTGGGAAGACTCAGAGAGTAAATATCTTTTCTGTGTTTTGGTCGATTTAATTCTACAGGCTTCTCAAACTTACTGAGTTTTCTGTCAATTGCAGGGTATCTACTCCTTTAATAAGCTTTATTCCTTTCCTTGTTTTCTTTTTTTGTTTTTTCGTGTTTTTTTTTTTTTTGTTTTTTGTTTTTTTTTACATTGCCTCCCTTTCTCCAAATTTCTAAGAATAATTTTCAGGAAAGACTGCCTTTCCTTGAAAAAGAAATTCAGCTTAATGACACAGACTGCATTTATTGAGAACATATTTGACACTTGTCTAGTGGCTTCAAGCCAGTTTCTGGTCTACCAAAATAGGCTATCAGTTACATGTAATAGTGACAAATGACCCATTCTAGCAGTTCTGAATTGGAATGGCATTTTCAGGTTAGTCTTAATTTTAGCATATTCCAGGACTTAGATTTTTTTTCTTTTTTTTTTTTTTTTTCTGCTAAGTGGAAGGGATGAAAATTTGAGAATGGATTAACTGGCATGATGATAGAAAATAGAAAACAGATTTCAGAACTTAATCAATTAAACTCTTCACATAAACAAAATATTACTTCCTTCACCAGATAGATATATATGAATGTGGAGAGCCTAGAGGAGGTGTGAGGAGGGCCACAGCATTGTCCTTCCTTGAACAATGCATTATTGAAGGTGTTGCCTACCGTGGGCGGAAAAGTCATACAGAGGACCCTGAGAGGAGTCCTTGAGCAGTTGTTAGTATTTCAACGTTCTGCTCTTCCAGGGTTCCAAAACTGTGAATTATAGACTCTTTAATAAAGGAAAGTTGTTTCTTTAACTTTTGCCTTTGTACATCTGAAATATATCCCTTTTTAAAATTCTGTAAAGTCACATGGAATTTAAAATAATTTTTTGTCTTTAAAAAATGTCTTGCTTTCTCCTCTATTTTCCCTATTTTATTTTTGTTATTTATTTATTTAGAAACAGAGTCTCGCTCCATTGCCCAGGCTGGAGTGCAGTGGCGTGTTCTTGGCTCACTGCAACCTCCGCCTCCTGGGTTCAAGTGATTCTCATGCCTCAGTCTCCCGAGTAACTGGGATTACAGGCGCACACCACCATGCCCTCTTAATTTTTATATTTTTAGTAGACAGGGTGTTTCACCATGTTGGCCAGGCTGGTCTCGAACTCCTGGCCTCAAGTGATCCACCCACCTCGGCCTCCCAAAGTGCTCGGATTAGAGGCATGAGCCACCGTCCTCAGCCCTGTTATTTATTTTTTAAAAAAATTATTTTAAAGTTCTTTTCAGCGATATTTACTGAATCTACCTCTTTCACAAGACAGTGGGCAAGATTCAAAGAATAGTAAAATATATCCATTGCTTCTGCTTCGTGCTGTTTATTGAGAAAATGAGAGATGCCTGTGTGTGTACACTAGAAGTCACATCTAAAAATGTTTATTAATTGACAAAAGAATGTCTATGAACAGGAGCCTCAAGGAGGAGGGAGAGATTAATGTGAGGTGGAGTAAACTTTTAAGAGGAGTGTAAGTTATTAAAGTGAATATAATTCCATTTAATAATTCTTACTACAGCCCTAATGTATGCAAGGCACTATGAAATAAATTAATTCCTTCATTTGTCAGGGGGCAGTGCAGAGCTCCTTTTTGGAAGAACGTATTCATGGGGCAGCCCAAATGGGCTGTCGGAATGTTAGTTAATATTTTGAGAAGACTTCAGAATTTATTCATGTCCTTTCTCCACTATCCCCTTGTGGTCTCCCACCCCCCAATTTCAAAGGTAACTTTTAGGATTTTTGAATGTGTCTGGGAGCCTGCATGCAGGTGCACATGGTGTATTCTTAGTCCTCTGTTTTCCTATGTTTGAGACTCAGTTATGAATCTCAAGGTTAACTTTGTCACAGAACACCTCAGAGTGTTCTGTCCTTTAGGTATTCATCATTTAGATCTGTTGCTTGGTTTTTTACCTTAAAAAAATTTGTAAAAAATGGCTTACAAAGTAACATTAGCTTCCAGAATGTGAGTGAAAAGGCAGACTTTTACCTTGGACGTTCTCTATGACTTGATCCTACTTGTACTTTTCAGAGCAGTTGCAAATAATATTTCAGTTAATTCTTTCTTTCTTTTCTTTTTTGAGATGTTGGAGATAAGCCCAGCTGTTGAATGAGGCACAGTTATGAAAGGTTAAGTGGAAGTTTAATTGTAACTTCAGGACTTCAACTAAATTAAATTCCAAACAATCTGAAAAAAATTGTAGCCTTTTCAGTACCATGGAAGGTCAAAAAGTGAGCACTCTGGAGCAGCTATTGATGTTTTATATTTTGAGATAAGCCCCAAATTATTAATGCTACTAAATATCATTGAACATTATTTGATAATTGTAAACATCTAAGAGTATGCCAGATGACACAGATTAAATTTAGTGACAAATGTGCTTAATGACAGTATAAATATCAGGGTTTTTTTTTTTTGTCAGATAAATTCTATGTAAGTCTGTGTGTGTTTTCTTTCAAAGCAAAATGAGGCTATATCTTGGTAGCAGGATCAGCTTGGTCTTTTTTGAAACCTAGAGCATTTATCACACATGACATTTTGTTGATTTTTTAAGTCTATGTGATCAATATTTTGGACCTCTGAAATCTATTTTTGATTGTGGTTTGAAATTCTCTGTTGGTTCTAAGTGGTGGCTTAATGATAGCAGTTGCTGTTGTGATTGGGTGAGCAGTGTGTTATGTGATTCATGTGGTACCGTCCCATGCTAGGGTGGATTTTGCAGCTAGGGTTTTCTCAGATTGGCCTGGCTATGGAGAACTTCACTGCAAAGAAATGTACACATGAAAGTGGGCCAAATGCAGATGACTTTAACATCGCCCATGTTATGGATAGAATGGGGTGTGAATCTTTCCCACACTTTCCACTTAAAAAAAAAACCTTTGCTAATAACAGTTTCAATCAAATGAATAAGAATTCAGAAGTGTGTGGTAATCTCTCTTGAGAATTTGGTACCTATCTGATAGGACTGTAAAGGCATTTCAGAATGTCAATTAAATGGAAAAATATGCCTGGAATTGAATATAATTAAGAAATGTTGAAGTCTGGTGTCTACATATTCAGACACTGTATAAGATGGTTTAATTAGTGAACAAGGATTTGGATTTATTGACAGAAGGTCTCTTTCTCATGGCATGTTTCACTCATTAAAAGCTCATAATGTCTTGGATCTTTTTAGCTGTTGGAACTTGACCATTTGTCATTTTGTGCTTCTTGACTTCAGTGATGTCGTTTTTTTTTTTTTTTTTTTTTTTTTTGTTTAACTGTGCAACTGATTAGGATGATGTTGCTTCTCTCATTGATGATTATTTCCATGGAGTGGACGCATGGTGTCTTGTAAACATTATGAAGCATCACCAAAGCACTAGGCAAAACTCAGTACCTCTGAAAAACAACAATTGGGAGGTAGAATTATTATTGTGGAATTTTTGGCCTAGCAACTTAGAAGTAATTAGAGTAACTTCCTCTTTATAACTACTAGCTTTATATTATATTTACCTGATGGCAGAATTTACATTTAAATTCACATTTCTCTACATCTCTCTCAGTTTTTCAGTTAATGGTTTATTAGTTTAAATCCTTTTTATTCCTGACTGTTGGGCTGAAACAGTTTCTAATCATACAGAAGACTGAAATTCTTTTTTAATATTCTTGTTGTTGGATATATTTCTTTTTGAACTGCATTTGATGATTATAAGTGCCTGAAAGAACTGCAGTTAGTAAAGAGAGAACTTGGGAATGTTGACAAGTGAGGTAGGGAGAAACATGGTTCAGTTAGTCCTTGAGGATTTTTCATTACCTGTTTATAACTTAGATTTTGGCTGTCTCCTATACTGGTACTAATGTGAACAGCTACTTTATAAGATTTTTTAATTCCTCATCTTCATAGGTATGTTCTCTAAGTCAGAGCTATTTAAAGTAATCTAGCGTTCCATCTTTCCTGTAGACATAGCAGATCATTCACAGTCTGGTTGAACTAAGTACACATTACATCGTTGGTCGTTTTGGTGGCATGTGCTGGGTTCTTCAGGCCCGTGTCATTGTTGGCAAAGTATACTAAGAGTGCTACTATTATCTTGGACTAATTTTTTCATGGAGCATATTAAATAAATGTGGTGTCTGACCCTTCAAAAGTTAGCTTCCTCACCTGAGTGATGTTCAGCTAAATAGGTATAAGTCGTAATGTATGTGTGATCCTAAGTCAGTAAGATGGTGAACTGAAGTGACATCATCTGCTTGGAAGTCCCTGGATTAACAATGGGACTTATATTTATATTCAGAAGACAACTGCTACAATGAGGAAATTGGGCAATCTAGGCAATTGAACAATTGAATGGGAAATGTAAGACAAAACATATTATATTGCCAGATCAATTCCCTAGATCTTGTTGAATTATACGATAATTAGATAATCTTCTTTTATTTGGAAGTGTACATTTTGTAAGTGTAATAACTTGCAATAATCACTTTATTCCTAAGTTGTATTCAGCAGTGCACATGTTGTGTTCAGTTTACATTCTGCATATTTTTGTTAAATAGGTAGTATTAATAACATATTTTACCTCATATCCAAAGAGAAAGAGGGAGATGCAGGTATTTTGAGATTTATCACTTTCATACAGCTCATCAGTGGTTACTATAATAATCCAAGTGAATAAACCTAGATTGTTCTTTATACAATAGATATGTTTTTAAACATTGAGTGTAAATGACATTTTTCAAAACAAATCACATCTTAAATGCTTTCAACTAGGGAAAATACACTCTTTATTTAAACAGATGTGGCAAATTATTTTTATAAAGTAAATAACAATTTGTCTCTCTTACATTTATCTGTTTTTTAAGTTTAGATTTTGTATATTAAATTTCTCAAAGAGATGCAAGAGTGTATACATATTGGAAATACGTTTTTGTTCAAATATATAATAAAATGAAAGAGTTTGACCTTCTCCCTCAGTACTGCTTTGACGAGAAGTGGCATCAGAGGGGAAAATAAAGGGAGAAGATGGAACTAGAATGAGAAAAAACAGAAATGTCCACCTAGTTTATGGAGATGTTGAGGAAATGTTAAAGTTTAAGAATTTCTGGGCCAGGAGTGGTGGCTCACGCCTGTAATCCCAGCACTTTGGGAGGCTGAGGCAGGCAGATCACCTGAGGTCAGCAGTTCGAGACCTGCCTGGCCAACATATAGTGAAACTCCGTCTCTACTAAAAAATACAAAAATTGCCAGGCACGGTGGCTCATGCCTGTAATCCCAGCATTTTGGGAGGCCGAGACCAGTGGATCACAAGGTCAGGAGTTCAAGATCAGCCTGACCAACATGGTGAAACCGTATCTCTACTAAAAATATAAAAATTAGCCAGGTGTGGTGGTGGGTGCCTGTAATCCCAGCTACTCAGGAGACTGAGACAGGAGAATCTCTTGAACCCAGGAGACGGAGGTTGCAATGAGCCGAGATTGTGCCATTGAACTCCAGCCTGGGTGACAACAGTGAGACTCCGTCTCAAAAAAAAAAAAAAAAAAATTAGCTGGGCGTGGTGGCACATGCCTGTAGTCCCAGCTACTTGGGAAGCTGAGGCAGGAGAATCGCTTCAACCTAGGAGGCAGAGGTTGCAGTGAGCTAAGATTGCGCCACTGCACTCCAGCCTGGGTGGCAGAGCAAGACTCCATCTCTCAAAAAAAAAAAAAAAATTCTGGACAGAAGGGCCAGGCCAGTCCAACCCAGAATCATACCTCTGACAATGTCAGTACTTTTGCTGACACTCCCATTTCTAGCCTTTGGAGCATCCAGAGAAGTTCCCCTCATCTCTCAGGGCCTCTTGTCTTCTGCAGCCCCTCTGCCTTTTTCTCTCTTTGGTACTTCTTGGCCCCTTTATCTCTCCCAACCCTCTCTAGTTCCTGTAGTCACTGGTTGCAGCTCCATGCCGTCCTGAAGGTATTGCTTACACCTGACCTCTTATATGGTCTCTTCATATCTCTGCACTCAGGTCCCCCTACACTTTGTGGTATTATTGCAGCACTGTTCACATGCCTTGTAATGAAATTACCTGCGCGGGTGTCTCTTTCTCCCATAGGCCATCATTCCCTGGGCTCAGTGGGATAACATATTAACCTTTGGTCTCCCACTCTTATTGCTATATCTTGCTGGTATTTAATATTTAAAATTGAATGACTCTATTTGTTTATGTTCAACTTGGTTAGTGATTATGGACTTCCACAATTGACCATCTATGACCAAATATTGAAAAATATCTCTTTGAGCTATTAAGACTGCGTTATGATTCTGGTACTGCAAAGATATATTACTTCTGAGGTCCACATTTCACAGTTGGAGGAAAGATCCTCTAGGCATAAATACACATGCTCTTTATTGGCTGATCTGCTCAAGCTCTGGATCTTTCCTGTATGTTCTAAGCAAGTGTTGGGAACACATCAAGAGGGCATGTTGGATGCATCCAGGTGTCCAGCCGCCTTTCAGTAGCATCACTTTGTCTTCAAGGAATGTATGATAAGGGTGTTATGTACCTAATAGTACATTTGCATGGCGTTTGATGTTCACAGTCGAAGGTAAAATAGACTGGGAGGTAGGAGCATATCTCAGTGCTGAGTTCTTTGTGTCTCAAGAAAGCATAGAACACATAAGTAAGAATGTTATTATTATAAGAATCCTTGGAGCCTTTCTCAATTCTATTTAAAAATTAAATTATTCATAAACACCTGTGCTGTAACTATTATTACACTAAGTTACAGTCAACACACCTCATAAGGGATTGAGTCTTTCCAGTATATTCTGAGGCCCAGATGCCCACTGGGGTATGGGTCACTCCATAGTGACCATTGTGGGCAAGAAGATCTTTCTTTAAAAGTTGGAGGTACAGTTTCTGGTACATAATAATGCTTGTCTATGTAAAGCGAATGTATGAAGTAATGTGACAGTTCATAATGGAATAGATAAAAATGCAAGTCTTGTAAAATTTAAATCCCCCTCTCCTTTTTTTTTGTTCAATTACACTGCACTATATTCATTATTTGAGGGGCAGGCTGGTGAAATCAACACGTGAGCAGGTGCGTGTCTTGGGAATGTCCTACTACAAAAAATATTCAATGACTATTTCCTGAATGAATAGAAATTGGAAAAGGCTGTGTCTGTCTTTTAGACACTTTGTTATTCTGTGAGTTTAACAAACAAAATCTCATTAACACCAAATCCACAGGAGCATGAGAAATGTGTAATGCTCTTAATTTCTTATTAAGTGATCTGTGTTTATTAAAAATTGGCTCGGAGGTACACTGCACATAATTCATAATATTGGAGTCTATATCCCTGAATCTTTCTTGTACTTAAAATTTGCTCACAGTTCAGTGTTGGGATCTTGGGTAGGAAAAGGGATATCTTATTTCTGGCGAGATTTACTGAAATGGGAAGATGACGAGTTAGACTTTGGAGATCCTTTTTTCATGCTCCCATGCCTTTTAGTTTTGTGTGATTGTTTTAGGCCTTTATTTCTCCAGGCATACTTTGTACATGTCTATAAGCAGATGAGAGGGAGCAAGGGCACATAGGGGCTGATAGAGGCAAATGTAAATCCCGTTTTTTCCCTATTAACTCATGAGGCCTGCTGGGTAGCAGCAGGCATTACCAGACATTTAATTGTGTGTAAGGTAAGGTTGGCACAATTCCAGCATCATGGTGGAGCAAGAATTATACTAATCAGCTGGGATATACTGCATATATTGATTAGAGTTGGATTTTGTTATGCAAAAGAAAAAATCCTTATAAATAGTGGGAAAGTAATTGAGAGTAATTAAAAAGGCAGAGAGTTAATTCACAGTTCTTTAGATGAAAGGGTATTTTGATCCTTTGCTTCCATGCAGATTTCCGGGCAGGCTGGAGCAGTCTGTGAGTGCTGAGTGTAAATGGTATGATCGATGTTACCATTCAACTGGATAGTAAACAGGCAAGCTGTGTAGATGATACACTGGTGACCAATTTCGAACAGTTTCTACTTGGTGACTCTCCTTTGTTTGGGACTAGGGACTTTTCCCTTATTTTTCTTGGACTTTTATATAACTTTTAATCATTATTAATATCCCTGATGAGAACTAAATGTGGACCCCAGTATCCTAGTGAACACTGGTGAGAATATTATACCACTTTGGAGTTACCTGGAATTCCAGCATGTTTTAATGTTGCTGCCCTCCTTCTTCCAAACGAGAAGGCTTTATAGCCTTTGGTGTCACAGAAGACCTGTCATCTGTGAATGGTGACCTGAAATAGTGTATTCACACACACTTTCTTGCCTCTTGAGCCCTTTCACTCATAGACAGTCCTTCCAAAAAATACTCAGTGAATACTGGTCCAATGAATGAATGAGATATTGTAGATTTTGGATGGTAGAATAATTTAGCATCTTGAAGAGAAATTATAGGTGGTATTTGGTGGAGTTCTGAGTATTACTATCTGAGATCCTGAATAAGATGTAGGAAATGGGAATGTGGTGTGGGGAAAGAAGAAAATAGCTATGATTTATTGAGTATCTACTTTATCATACTCTTTGCATACGCACTTTTGTTCTGGCATCACCCATGTCCTATGAAGTAGATATTAATATCATCATTTCACAGGTGACAAAGATAGGGTTAGGAGCAGAAACAAGGTCATAGGCCTTAATTGGCAGGGTTGGGATTTGAATCTAAAGCTCTTGTTGATAATAACATCAAGAGTAGCAGCCCCCATACTGGGAAAGGAGGAGGGTTTCATATTCTCAGAATCTGGGTGTGGGCCCAAAGATAGAACATGAGTATCAGGTGGATTTCTTTGAGGGCTGAGTATTTTTCTTCAAAAATTATGCTAATTTTACAGTCTGTTCCATAATGTGCTTGTTTAAATGTGAAACATATTAACTTACTTAGTCATCAAAGCACTTAAATTTTCTCCCCTAAATCTTTAAGTAAAATTGACCACCCAAAAGTTGCTCCCAGTATATACTCAGAGACACCTCTGGAATGTCCACATAGGGAATCGGAGGGGGCAATCTGGTTGGAAGAGGAACTGAGGGTATCTTGAAATTTCGTTTGTATAGCAAGCAGGTTTTGTTTGTTTGTTTTGTTTTTTGTTTTTGCTTAGATTGCATGCTTACTTAGGGTGGCCTGGGGCTGTTACAGATGGGGAAAGGGCTCATGCTCCAGATTTCATCTTTGTTTACCTAGGAACTTTAGGAATCATTATTGTAACTGCTGTCAATCCAAGTTTGAGAAGCCTGCACAGAACTATACTGCCCTAAATTATTTAAATAATAATAGTAATGAGAACAAATACTATGCATGTGTTTAATTATGAAGGGCTGTTTCTGTTATCTTATTTTTACCATAGAGATGATAAAGTTTATGTGGGAAACTTGAGAAAAAAAGAATGTGGATAAAGAATCCTGAAAAAAACAGAGTACTTCTAAACTTCCTGCTGGTCAGTTGGTATTGAATTGATAGTAGACTATCAAAAAAGAGTTCTTGACAATATTAATAACAGTAACGTGCATTCGTTTGTAACTTTGCCATTTGCAACTTTTCATTCATTTTTGCGTTTGTTAATAACAACTAACATTGCTGAGAGCTTTACATGTATTATCTCATTTATCCCCCAACAACTCTATGAGGCAAATACTATTATTATCTCTACCAAAAGAAATTGGTATTTCTCTACTAAAGAAATTGAGGCATAGAGCTTCTAAGTGACTTGCCCAAGGTAACATTGTTCAGGAGGTGTCAGAATAGGATCCTAACTCTACAACCTGTGCTCTTTACCCCTCTGCCTAAAAGAGCCCCCTGGGCCAACTGCTATTTATTTTCTTACTGGATTCTGGGTTTCTGGCCTGTCTTCAGCCTTACTCATAGTGATCCTATAGTGATCCTGGAGAATCATCCAGCTTCTCCAGGTTGTAGTACCCCTTCAAACATCTGCACGTGCATGGCAAATATGGTTTGAGTTTCTAAAACTTGAGTGTGCACCTAGGAAGCAGAAAGCAAATGGAGCATCTCCTGAGTCAACAGTGCAGATGCTCCCTCTTGAAAATGACTTTTCCTTTCCAGGCTCTCTGACTCCACAAAAGGAAGTGGAAAAGTTAACCAGTGCCCAATAAATGTGGGTTATTGCCCCCTGCCTGAGTAATTTATCACTTGCTGGAACTAACTTCAGAATTGCTTTGAGTCCATGTCATGTTACTCCTGGGAATGGGCTATTATAAGATTCTGAATGACTGTTATGCAGTTCCCTATGGCTGTGCTTGCACAGGAGAGGTTGAATTAGGAAGTTGGAAATCTACTGTTTTCTGATTTTGGCTTCTCAGCTGAATGTAAATAAAAAGATGGAAGATAAAATGTAGAAAACGGCATTAACTTGATTAGGGGTCTTATTTGCATAAAAGAGTCTTTGAATCACAATTACCCTCTGGCTTTGGACCCAGCTTTTCTTGCCTTTCCTATTATCTGGTCCAAGGTCATTACTAAAAGGCTTCCTGTTTCATGGAAGAGGACTTACTGAAATATTAATTTCATTGCCTGAAGTAGATTCATAATGTCTGGTGAATAACCTGAGGTTCTATCAGAATCACTAAGGTAAGAGTTATTTTTTATGCCTTTCGAAAGATGGTTCAGGAATTTGAGTAATAGGCAGCTAAAAGTTCACTTTCATTTTGCCTGTCTTTATGACAGAAATGAGCAGATATCTTTATGTCCTTTGGCAATTACTGCAGTGAAACAACTAACTGGATAAGGTGCATGTTCAAGGAGGTTTTTTAGTTTTACATTTTTTTCATTTAATTGTACTGTGACTGAGTTTGAATTTGATGTATAAGACTCTAGGAAAGAAGTGAACTTGTGACATTTAAAGCTTGGAAACATTTTCCTTTTCTTCTCCTTTTTTAAAAATACAGATAGAACTTGAATATTCAAGATTTTCTTGAATGTCTTTTCAGTTTGTAACTGCTTGTAACACAAAAGCTTGACTTACAATGCTGTTTTTTCTTGTTCTTTTGCAGCCATGGCTGTATGTGTAATTTAATCCAGTGTATTTAAAAGAAGTTGCATTCTTCCATGGTAGAGGTAAAAGCCCCCACTCTCCCTTAGTAGTAACTAATAGTAATACTTGCAAGCACAATTACTTGAAACAAAATGAAACCCCCCCAAAAAAAAAAAACCCAAAAAACCAAATCCCAAACTGTAATTGAAGGTTTTTGCATCAATGTAGACAACAGCCTATACAGCCTAAGGTTGTAACAGATACATTTTGAGTGAGTTTGGCTCATTTTATTGACATATTGTTTTGTCTGTTGTGAGTAGACATGCATTATTCTTGGCTCAAATAATACATATCCATTGACAAAAGCCAGCAACTTACTTACCTGGTCTCATTTTTGGAAATGTCCTGGGAAGTTATTATTTTATTGTTCTTTTCAGCTGGTTTTGCTCAGTTACTCAGTAGCTTTTTGCAGAACTGTTTTCCAGTCTATTTTATAATCCACATCCTTGTAGAATCCCCCCCATGCCCCCCTTCCTGCCACATTGCTGGAATCATTTCTGTTTTTACTTTGTAAAGCAGTTTGCTTAATGTCACAACAAAATAAAGCATGGATTAGAAACAGCATTGCAGTTTCAGACTTAATGCCTTTGTGACATCTCATTGCTATGCAAATGAGATTCAAGGAGGTCATCCCTTTAGCAGTTGCTCTAGCCCTGGTATCTACTTGATATTCGTTGGCCAAACTTACTAAGCATTCATTACTGAGCTATCCTGGGTGTTTAACTCTTTGTTAGCTTTGGACTTTCTATCTGAGGCTCCTGAGCTTAACAGCTCCTTCTTGGGAGCTCCTCCTTGTGAGTAAGGCTTTTCATTTCAGGATCTCCTTGCAACTCTCTTTTGCTTCTTAGCATTGCAGGCACCTCAGCAAATGGAGTACTCATATTTAAAAGATACACTTAATTATATGCCAAGACAGTATTGCAAAAGCTCATTTGTGATGTGTTTCTTTGCTGTTTCAAGTATTTTTATGATTGCAAAATACTCTGTTTTTAGATAGATATTTTATTTACCTGCATCTGTGATGAGTTCTTAAAGATATTTCACAGAAAATGGGTCTGTGCTGGTAAATGTTCATGTAATACTTATTTTAAAATTAAATTTTCTGTAATTCAAATTTGATTTCATCTGATTGAGCAGATGTATTAATAGTTACTGAAGGTGGAGGGGTCCAATTTTAATTCAGTAAGAATCAACTACCTTTAACGAATACAGAATGTTGCTGGTGTTTCATTTGCTTAGTTAAAGGGTATTATTTATTTATCAGTCATTAGTCTGATAGATGTTTTTATTTTAAAATATGCTTGTAAAAGTAAAATTAAAAAAAATCCCATTTGAATGAGCCTTTTGAAGTTTGAGAAACTTGCCATGTTTTAAATGGTTAACTAATTGAGTAATTATTCTCTTTATATTATTTTGGCACAGTGGAGTTATTTTTACACACCTGTAGATACAAAGCTGTCAAGACACTGAGTCTGCACTAAGAGTTTGGCTAAAATCACTGCTAACTCAAGGAAAGCACACTTTACACTCTTACACTTGATATAAGAAAGCTTAGGAACCAGAAAGAAGGACATTCATCTTACACCGTGATCTCCTACACATTAAGAAATAGAATGATGACATTGATGGCAAAGGTGATTTGAGCAACTATTGTGTTTAACATTGAGAACTCTAGGATGAGGATTTGACTCTTTTCAAGGATTAAGAACACAATCCTGGATTAAGGTATCGAATCAAACACAAAATTCTTTAAAGATGCTGCTTTAGACTTTTATAAAACAGACCTTTCCAAAGTGTCTTACCTGTCTACTGATGGTAAGGGACTCAGACATCTGATAAAGACAGGTTTTCTTGAATTCTGCTGAGAGGCATTAATCCTTCACAATCTTAATAAAGGACAACAGAAAACTACTAGTGGTTAAAATAGGGGAAAAATATTTGTATGGCAACTTAAGTGCAATTTTTAAAGTAAAAGCTTAGAACCACCTTTTTTTTGGTAGGATCTTTCATCTCCTATGCTGTTCTTCACTGACTCATAAATGTTCTCAGGAGCCTATTATACTGAGGCAGCTTGCTGGGTGCTAGGAGGTCAAGGAGATAAATAAATCACTGTTCTTGACCTCAAGGAGTTTAAGATCTGTGGATGAAATGAGACCTATAGGCAATTATCAAGAAAGAAAAATTGATATTGCTGTAGTTCATGTGTTCTGCTTGTTCATACATGAAAGTGTGTTTCTGAACTACCAGGGAATTGGTTTCGTATCTGAATCTTATGGTCACCCCTGGAAATAGGACTTATATTCAGTGCTGGCACATCCTGATATAGGAGCTGGGCATGGATTATTATTCAGTAACTACTACTTAAGGAGTCAGAGTTCTGAGCTTGATGCTCTTGATCTATCCTGGCAATTCGTATTTATCCAAGGAACAATTAGAAGGAAATGTTATTTTATTTAGTGGATGTGTTCCAGGGAAAAAAATGTGTACTTTTCGGAGGACTGTTTTTTTTTTAATTGTGGTAAAATCTTTCACTTAAACTTTGCAAGTTATTTTTTGTAAAGAAACAAGTATAATTTATGAGTTGTACATTTGGGATTATGAAACAATGCTAGAAATGTAAAATTGGGTAATAGTTGTATTGAATTTGTAGATTATCCTAGTGCCTGGCAGCTGCCTGTTTCCTATTGTCTTCTTTTTTCCACCTAAACAAGTGTTGAGTACAAGAGCTGTTGAATTGAAATCAACCAATATTGAATAAAATGAAAAGGGGAGACAAAGTTAAAGAGTATGTATTAGCTAAATTGAGATAAAGTCTGAATTTCATTTGTCTCTGCTGTCATTGTTTCCATTACCACAGATGATTCAATTGAATGTGTGCAGGCGTCGGTGAATTATAATAGCAGTTAAGTTTTCTTTTGGGGCTTTTGGGAAAAGTTTTAAAAATGAATTTCCTCAGAGTTAGATGGAAATGTTTTTTGTTGAAAGCCTTGATTTAAAAAAAAAAGACTTGCTTTATGTTTTAGAAACTTGTCTTTTTCCTAAATAGAAAACTTTCAGAAAACTTTAAAAAAATTAATAGGTTAAATATTTTGCATCCTGCCAAATTTATTGTTCTAGCAATCTGCTTTCTTGTTACAAAGCATACTGGTTAATAGAATGCTTCACACTGACTCTTGTCATCAGTGTTTGCAAATGTAATGTTAGAGTTCTCCCTGGATCCTTGTCCTGATAATAGGATAAAATGCTACCAGATGAGCCACAGTACTTTGGTTTGTGGTCTGGAGTTTGAACCATAAGCCAAGGACTTTAGTTTTAGATCCAGATTCCAAACCATGAAATTTTGATTTGGGTATCATTTTTAAACAATGGAACCAATCTTTATTAAAATATTTTAAAATAGAAAGCTTCAACTATGTTATTACTCTTTGCATATAACAATTGATAAAGATCAAAATTTAAGGAAAAGAACATCCGAATAAATTTAATGTCTTTCTTATTATTCATTATGATTCATATTCTAGTCCATTTCTTATATGCACGCCTGATTAGAATGTTACTCTCTGCCTTACCACTCTTTCCTCAACTCCAGAGTCAGAATCTCTTTTTTGTGTGGGTATTTAGAAGAGAACTTTGAAGTAGCTTAACTCACAAAGACCGTGCAGCTGTTAAATAACATCAGAACAGGGAGGTAAATTTTTGAAAGGTGAGATTTTGAGATTATCATATTTTCTTTTACTGTGTTTATGTCATTGGTTCCCTGGCTGAACTTTGTGCTTCTTTTGGGCAGAAACCCTTTCAGTCCTCCTTTTATAACCCTTTTATGGGATTGCTAGATTGAGTACATAAAAATCCGGACTCCCAGTTAAATTTGAAAAACAACAACTAATTCTTTAGCACAAGTATGTCCCAAATGTTGCACGAGACATATTTTATCTGGCAACTTGGCTCTTGCACAGATCACAGCTTACCCTATAAAAGGTATTGAGAAAGGTTTTGCTGAATGACTAAAAGAGCTTGCAGGTAGAAATATCTGGTAGTTGGAAATACTAATTTACAGCAAGCACAGTAGAGCTTTAATCAGGAGTCACCAGTGCATGCATCGGTGGTACCTAAAGTCCTGGGGATTGTCCAGGGTGATTGTATAGACCAGTAATTCTCAAACTTTAATGAGCATCAGAATCACTTGAAGCATTTGTTAAAACATAGATTCCTATACCTAGTCTCATAATTTCTGATTTAGTAGGCTTACGGTGGGGCTTAAAAATTGTATATCACATTGTGGTTTTGATTTGCATTTCTCTAATGACCAGTGATGATGAGCATCATCTCACACCAGTTAGAATAGCGATCATTAAAAAGTCAGGAAACAACAGATGTTGGAGAGGATGTGGAGAAATAGGAACGCTTTTACACTCTTGGTAGGAGTGTAAATTAGTTCAACCATTGTGGAAGACAGTGTGGTGATTCCTCAAGGATCTAGAACTAGAAATACCATCTGACCCAGTAATCCCATTACTGGGTATATACCCAAAGGATTATAAATCATTCTACTATAAAGATACATGCACACATGTGTTATTGCAGCACTGTTCACAATAGCAAAGACCTGGAACCAACCCAAATGCCCATGAATGATAGACTGTATAAAGAAAATGTGGCACATATACACCATGGAATACTATGCAGCCATAAAAAAAGGATGAGTTCATGTCCTTTTCAGGGAAATGGATGATGCTGGAAACCAGCATTCTCAGCAAACTAACACAAGAATAGAAAACCAAACATCGCATGTTCTCACTCATAAGTGGGAGTTGAATAATGAGAACACATGGACACAGGGAGGGGAATATCACATACCGGGGCCTGTCGGGGGGTGGCGGGCTAGGGGAGGAACAGCATTAGGAGAAATACCTAATGTAGATGGCAGGTTGATGGGTGCAGCAAACCACCATGGCACATGTATACCTATGTAACAAACCTGCACATTCTGCATATGTACCCCAGAACTTAAAGTATAATAAAAAAGAATGTATATCACACAAATTCCTAGATAATGTCAATGCTGCTGCTCTGGGACCACCCTTTGGGAGCCATTATGCAAGCTCTCTGGAGAGGGATTGTCCAACATTTTCTATAAAGGATCAGACAGTAAATATTTTAGCCTTTGTGGGCCACACTGTGTCTATTACAACTATTCAACTCTGCCTTTGTAGCTTGAAAGCAGCCATAAACAATATATGAATGAAGGGGCATGGTTATGTTTGAATAAAACTTTATTTGCAAAAACTGGCTACTGGCTGGATTTGGCCAGTGAGCTGTAGTTTGCAACCCCTGCTTTAGAGTAAGAAAAGATGATAGTTGAGGATAGAACTTGAACATTCAGGTTTAAGAAATGGGCAGAGGAAAAGGAATCAGAGAAAGAACCATCTGCGCAATGGGGGAAGACCCAGGGGAGGGGAGTGTCATGGAAGCCAAAGAATCAGATTTTCAAGAATGAAAGCATGCGTCACTCTCATCTCCTGTCAGCAGGGTGATTAAGGATGAGGAAGTGGATGAACGCTGAAAGAGGCCATTGGACTTGGCAGTTAGGATGCCATGACTGACTGTCGACTGAGCAATTTCAATGGATGTGGGGAGGGACCTCTGCCAGATGGCAGTGGATGGAGTGAAGAGGGAGGTGGAGGCAGCAAGTACTGAATACTCTTTTAAGAAGTTTGGCAGTAAAGGAAAGGGGAGGTGGTTGAAGTTGAAGCTTAAGGAGAAAGTTGGGCCCAGGAAGGTTTTTAAGAGGCTACGAGGAAAACAAATATGCATGTAGGCAGAGAGGAGAGGGCTGGTAGAAACAGGAGCCTGAGCTTCAGATGCATTGTCTCCTGAGTGGTGCCCCATGAGTTGTGCACCATGCACTGAAAAGGGAGCAGATGAAAATGTAGGAGAGGAGGGATAATTAAATGAGAAAAATTCTTCAAAGAAACAGGACAGGAAAAGGATTAAGACAGTGTGCAGCTGGTATACCTTGGACTGGAAAAGGGGAACTATTTGCTCTAAGACAAAGAGGGGATATGGATCATTTCAGCAGGGGGAGGAGGAGAAGAAGGAAGAAGGTGAGAGACTTTCCAACTGATTAAGTAGGCAGCTAGGCTAGACTGACATGATTGTGGAAAAGGTAGAGATTCTAAGGAAATTGATGAAGGTTTGGAGTAGACAATGTGGCAGCAAGTATGCCAAATGTAAGTACAAGGCTTACCAGGCAGCACCAGGGGCTGTGTTGGGGTTAGAGCTCATATATTAGAACACATACATCACACTGTTATATGGAACTTCCTGTAGTCCACAGCAACCTGGGTACTACAGAAAACAAAACATAGAGGTTACTGAGAGTTGCAGGTTGTCAAGAGATGTGAGTCAGAAGAACATGAAATGATGTAATTTAAGATGCTCATGAATAGGAATATTAAGGAAAACTAGGTGGAGAAAGAAATGAAACTAAGACTGATACATTTGTCACAGGTCAAAGGACTAGAACTCTTGGTGAAAGTGAACCAGTTTAGAGGGAGCTCTAAGGGAATTGGAGAGACAGAAGGATTGGAAATTACTAGAGAGGTTGGGATGTCTCAGTGATTCCAGCGACGTGGCAGTTCCAAGGAATGACAAGGGTCTGGGGTGTGGCTGTGGAATTAGGCTCCTAATGTGGAGCTGAATGAGTGTAGTCAGGAATATAGGTGAGTGTGTTGGGTAGGTTAGCAGGGTGGACCTTGAGCTCACACACAGTGGCAAAATATAGAAGGCTCTTGCCTTACCTGAACCTGTATCTGCCTTAACTTTGGGTACATGGCTGAGCCTTGAAACCATGTCTTTTTTTTTTTTTTACTTTTGTAGGGCTCCCGAATCCCTGCTCCTTTTTGTCCTCTTTTGCTCTTGCTTGGTGTGACATGCCTCTTCTGCAACTGCTGAAGTAATTCACCGCACGTTTTCACTCTTTCCTCATTTTTTCCACCTGGCAGAAGCGTGAAGAAAGATTACAGACACATGGGATACCTCTGTGTTGGTAACTTAAACTTCTGTGACTATCCCTTCCAAATCAGAAGGGAGTCATTTTTCAATTTCCTCTATAAAAGAGAGAGCAAGTCTGTCTTCCTACCAAGCATTACCAGTTGTTAGGCATTGACGAACATTTGCTGGCAAACTCAACTCTGTATTATGGCTGACTTCTTTGCGGAAGTCTGCCTATTGTAAGATGTTTAGGTTCACCTGTTTTTTTTTTTTTTTTTATATTCAAGCTTCTGATTTCAAGTTTCAGATTACCTCCTAAAAATGAACTAGATCCCTTTCCATTAAAAAATGCAAGTTCTTAGGGCATTGTGGCATGAGCCTGTTGTTGCAGCTACTCAGTAGGCTGACGCTAGAGAATCCCTTGAGTCCAGGAGTTTGAGGCTGTAGTGTGCTGTGCTCCTACCTGTGAATGGCTACTGTACTCTAGTCTGGGTAACACAGCAAGACCCTGTCTCAAAAAAAGCAAGTTCATGTAGATAATAACTTTAAAATTAAATAAGAATAACATTTAAATGAACATTTAAGAAGTATTTAAAAGAAATGATTAAAATGGTTTCCCCATAGAGGATTCATCTTTCAAAAGGAGTTATCTTCCTATTGCCCTCATCTTTCCTTTTTCCCTCAGTCTTACTATGCAAACATTTTCTTTCACCCACAGAAAAGAGAGCTATGTTTTAAATTCATCTTTGAAGACTATTTTTTGCAGGAATGGCTGCATTTATATCTCATACTCTCATGTATCAGTTGCAAAAATCAGATAAAATGAATTGGAAGAGTATATCATTTTTAGTATTTGAATCAACACATCTCACACTAGATTTCATGTCTCATACAGATGGCATTACCCTCTGCATACTTTTCCTCCAGTTTGGAATTGCCAAAAGAAAGATGTAAATACGAAAGGTAATGGATGTTGGAGAAAGATTACTAGAATAGCTGTCAGGTGTTATAAATACCATATCTGTATTGCTAGAATGCATGAAAGTTTACGCTTTGACTAAATCTGTGCAGAAAAATTTACCCTGTACTTGCCACCCATCAGCACTTTGAGAATGCAAACATTAAGAAAACAATTTTAAATTTATTTTAAAGTTACCCCCAATTTTCTTTGTTTATATTGTCATTGTAGAAAATAGTAGATATTGGAAAAAGAGAAAGAAGCAATTGATGGGAACAGTACTTGGAATTCAAACATAAGATTTCAAAACTTAATATATCAAAATGACACACTCACATGTATTTTAGTAAGGCATATAGTTTCTGTTAAAACTACCTGGCCCATACAGACAATTCCCAAGGGGCAGAATAAATTCCAAACACATAGCTACATTAATGATCCAAAAAAGATATAAGAATCATGGAACTTTAGGGCTGGAAGAAACTTTAGAATGAATCTGGTTTAATCTTACAGATAGATTGAGGTTCGGAGAAAGTGAATGGATTACCTACGATCACATAACTAAGTAGGGCTAGAATCCAATATTCTAACATCTGAATTCTGTGGTCCATCACAAATTGGCCATCTAAATTTCAGCATTTTAATATTTATAACATTTAAGGGTAAATTTTAAGGTTGGGGTGGCCATTTTAAAACACTTATTTGTTATTTAAAAGTAAGTTAAAGTACCTGCGTTTTGTTCATGAAATATGGTAACATTTTGACAGCTGCATCACTCTGGAAACAGACGTCATTACCTCAGATGAACTTGCAGGGAGTAATTGAGATGGCAACGATGATCAGAAGGAGAATGGAAGATTGTGATAAGGCAGCCTGTGTTTGTGTGTACAGACTCACCACCTGTGACTTAGGAGAAGGAAAACGCAGAGGCACGTGCAATCTGAAATATGTCTCTCACTCATCAATCAGTGTTTATCAGAATTGGAGGTCTTAGCAAGTGAACTGAATGCTTTCAATCCAGGCATGTCAGTGATTGCCATCGACCAAGCATTCTGTCACACCTGCCTGCTTTTCTTTCTTTTTCTCTTTACTTCATTACATATTGATTGACTTGGGTTTTACAAGTTCATAAATCACCCTCTTTTAAGAGGCTTCTTGGCTTTTGTGTGCGTAGACTTGAGAGTGCTGGGAAAGACTGATACTCGTATCACAGTAACAAAGAACTTCATATTCCCTCCTTCAGCTTCATATGCAAAAGTGAAGCATCAAAAGACAGTGTCATTATGAAGAAATAGATTTCAATACAGTGCAAACACCTTATAAAAACCTGAGGTGCCAGCAGCAAACCCTCCTCCATCTGATGGAAGCTCTTGTGTTGCACCCATGAAGTCATTGGAGAGAGCTTGAGAGACTTTACAACCAAGAAGAGGATTTAATATTAACTACATAATGAGATGCCACTCTTGTAAATAATTGCAGATATTATTACCTGATTGCAAATCTATAATTCTGGTGCAAGATAGAACAGACTTTCATCTGTCATAAAGTGCTTCCCTGTGGTAGAAAAATAGATGAGGTGATACGTATGATTTCTTTCACTCTTAAAATTTTCTGGTTGTAATAATTTTATGAGTTGAAGTCTTATTGTTATTATTTTTATTTAAAAAGATTAATTGCTCTCTGCCCCGGACATTTTAAATTCTTTTATAGATGAATCCTAAACCATTTGTTTCTTATTGTTTACAGATACGAAGTGGTACATAAATTCTGCAAGGATATTTTTCTATTTTTAGCATCTAAGTTTTTAATTGTAATATAAATCAGTTATATGACATTTTAAATTCTTGTTTGATAGGCAGATCTTAAAACATTCATTTCTTGCTGTTTACAGACACAAACTGGTATATGAACACTGAAGGGAGAGTATTCTAATTTTAACATCTAAGCATTTTTATTATAATATAAACCAGTAATAGAGTTTCTATTTTTTATGGAAAGGCCTATGCAGTTGTACAATATTAATGCCCAGCGTCCTCTTAAATAACAAGTCAGTCAACTTTGTAGGTTGGTAGTCCAGTATTAGCAACAAAAAATTATATTCCAAGCAGTGTTTAACAGCTGATTTAATTGGGAGGTATTTGGTTATTCCTTTCTGAATTAATTTCTGACAGCAAATTTAATACATCAGAAGGGAAAAAGAAAGCAAAACTGCATTCAAGAATGTCTGTAATTAATAGAGCTGACTTCTGAAGAGCTGCTAAACTCTTACATGTGAGAAGTGGCTTATTCTGGAGGGACAGTGCTTTGAAAGAGAAAAACAATTGAGGCTTGGGAAGGAGGTCTCTCAACCAATTTCCACTTCATTGCTTCAGAACCATTTTTTGTATTTTCTCTATAAGGGTAAGGCAGGAAGAGGACAAGAAATGTTCTGGGAATAGCTGTCGTTTCTTAGTGGAGTTTGCAAACAGAATTTGCAGGCATAAGTGTGTCTTTTGCACCAGTTTAGTAAAATGACATCCGCTCTTACAATGTTGCTACAGAAAGTCAAATCAATGGAGTGATGTGATAAAGATAGTCATATTTACTGTGGATCAGTCAAATTCTATGGTACATGTGGTGTTTTCTTAGGATACTTTTAGTAAATATACAGATTCAGAAAAGTTCCCTTTAAGCCAGAATAAAAACATTCAAGTCCTCCAGCAATAATAAGCATTACTATTAATTAAAAACTGACTATTCACCAGACACTGTGCTAGGTACTGTCTAGATAGTCTGATCAGTTTCATTGCTTCCGAGGTAGGTTCTGTCATCCATCTTTACAGATGAAGCCCTTGAACCTAAGGGAGGTTACCTCACTTGTTGGTGGGCTCACACAAGTGATAGAACCTAAATGTGTTTTAGATCCTTGTCTTCCTTAAAAACTATGGTGTAAGTAATGTTATATATAGTGCATCCAATTATTTGTCTTAATTTCTTTAGGAATATTTAGAATGTGACAGGCAAAAAAAGCAGGTACTTAATTCTTAAAACACTTGAAAATAATTGATGAAGTTACTGAAATAAAATTGCCTCATGATGATCTGATTGTAGATTTTTCTACAACCAGTTAGTTTTCCTATTCTAGTTTTCTTACCTTTCACTTCTCCAATAATATGCTTATAAACTTCAAATTTATTTTAGTATTAATTAAAGTAGAAATATAGTTTAAAAATCATCAGTTTACTGGGAAAAGACCCATGAGTTATATTTTTTAATTATGAATGACTTTTGTATTGATTGAATAAATAAGAAATTTGAGTGCCTACTGTGCCTACTTCTAGCCAGGCTTTCTCAAGCCCCAGGGGTATATGATGAACAAGACAGATAAGGTCTCACCCTCATGAAGCTTATTGTTTTTTGAGAAAAGAGATAATAAATGAGTAAGCAAGATCTTATTTACTTTTATCCATTATTGTAAGTTACCGATGATCCAGAAAGGCTCTATCAGCAAGCTGAGTGTATGTTGAAAATGCTATTAGTATGCTTGGGAAACCATATCTTTTCTTCTATTTTGCTTTAACAGGCCTGAAAATTCTACACAAGCCAACTTTTGGTTACTTTTAGAGATGTTTAGGTTATCTGGGCCTCTGTGTTACTCCATTTTCAACAGTTACCACGTCATGACTTAGCAAGGCTTGGAATGCCTTGAGCTGTTAAGAAATGTGTGAGGAATGGAAGCTGCTTGGCATGATGGAGCTTCTGCAGAGGTCCTCTGGAGTCAAAACCCACACATCAGAGAAGAATGAAGTGTCAGAAGGGAAAATGCAGAAAACTAATTTAGCAACTTTGCCTAACACTAGCTTTTTGCACAACCCTTGGAATTGAGAGCTCTTTCTATTAAGTTGTGTGTCTGCATGAAGCAAGGTCAATGGAATGGAATGAAAAGTGAAATCCTTTGGGTTTAACTACTTTTGTTTGTGTGCATCTCGACCACACTAACAAACCATACTGGTTAGTGTGACCAGTATGACATGGTTATACTGGCATGGTTAAACAGCTGTAGAGCTAGGACCATTATGACCATTTCATAGGAGTCCTATGCTTACGGTTCTTTGAGATGACATCAAAGAGAGAACAGTCTTTCTCTAAATCATGTCAACAGAGAACCTCAAAGAATTTACTTGGCTGCAAGCACTGTATTGGAACCATGTATCCTTTCCTTACATTTTCTTTTGTTTCATTTCCTTTTCTTTCTACTGTTGTGCCTTGGCCCTGTCCAGTCACTTGCTGGTGTGAAAGCTGTTTCCTAACACATAGTTCTCTATGCTGGCTGTGCATCAGAATCAGGGGAGCTCTAAAAGACAGATTCACAAATCCCACTGACTTAGGCCACTTACTTGGCAAAGAATAAGCAAGTAACTGCAGCTAAACCTTCCTCCAGTAGCAATATGATTAATTATTTCTCTATGAAGCCCCACCAGCAAAACTGCTGAAAAGGCATCTCTTCATCAGGCCCCCATCCTCCCCTCCTGCCCTCTAGAACTTTGGGTAGGGAGGAATACATTGCAGATATTCCATTTGGCTTTTCCTAGGCAGCTTGACTATCACACTGAGACCACTAGTAAAGCTTGGGTACCTCCTGCTCCTGTTACAATTATTGCCACCCCTTCCTTTTACTGCTGCCTTTTGCTTGAATCAGGCACTGTTTTGCAGGCTCACTTGCCTCTCTCCCATTGCCCAGGGTGCCTTGCAGTATGCCTTTTCTTTCCTTTGGGCAGTGCTGGGAGGCCCTAGGCAGGACCCTCACAAGTCTGGCCAAGTTTCTTGCTGTAATGCTGAAGCTGGTTCTCCCTTTTCCCTGTTTCTGAGTGGAGCTAAGAAATGCATCTACTCAGAGGCAGCAAAACAAGTTCATCACACCATGTACCCAACCTTCCACTCTTCCATCTCTGGGATGCCTTCTGCTCCCCTTGCTCTTACCAATGTACTTTAGATTTGAGCCCTCTTCTTTTTGGAGGTTCTCTTCAGTTGATCTATCGTCAACTTGGCATAATTAGTCATGTAAAACACTAACTTCCTAGTGATCAGCATTGCCCTTTGTTCTTAATATGATTTGCATATTTCCTGGGTTTCTGCTCTGAGCTGTTCCTCTGTGGAATGGGCCTTGGTGCTCTCACTTGCCAAGAACACCTAGGACATATTTATTGGCTCTTTGGAAAGGAAACCAACTGGGAAGCTTAAGTATGTGGGATTTATAGAGAGCATTTCTTCACAGTAACTCAGGTTTCTTTTAATATGAAGCAATACTATTTTTAGTCAAAATTGTGACTGTGGTTTAGTCATATTTTTTCTCCCTAGTACTTTTTTAAGAGGTGAGTTTTAAGAAAGTCAGATTTTGTGAGGAATTTGTTTACTGCAGAAACATCCAAGGTAAATGGTCCGGGATGAAAGCAGATTCAGAGTTATAGAATATTCAGTTGGAAAAGATCACATTGCAAATTCCTAGATCACTTGGAGATTTGATTCACTTGGATGTGGATACTTACTAATTCAAATCAGTTATCAGTAGTTTTCTAAACTTGTAAAGAAATGGCATCGTTTATTTGCATTGAAATCCTTCACAGAAGCTCCAAATTCAAAGCAGATAAAAGCAGAACTTCTCTGGTTGCAAGGAAAGGAATCACCACACTCTGATGGGCTCTGGGTTAAGAGTTCTTGCATCATCCTCTCGTTCTTTCTCCCCAGTATACTGTGCTCCCTAGAAGACAGAGGCCACATAGAAGCCCAGCAACGCTGCCTTCTGTCATCTATTGAAATTGTACACCCTCTTTCACACCAGGGGCTGTGTTCTCCACACCCAAATATGGACAATGAGACAAGATTTAAGAAATGTTGATATCCTGAGAAATCTCGCAGAAGGAGCCAAGATTCTGAATTAATCAGAGATAAGTTTTATTTTATTCACCAGACTGTTACAAAGATAAAAAGCTGTATTAATGCATTTTAGAAAGATTTTAAGGGGCAATGTGCGTAAAGAAGTTTCAAACAGTTTAAGATCCTGCTGGCTGGAAATATTAACCCTCTCCACTGAACATTTGAGAAAATTAGGACATTTTTATATATTAAAACTTTCAAATCATTAGGTAGTGGGGAGACTTGGATAAATTCCAAACTAATTTTTGATGTTAGGCTAGGAAGTAGAAAACTACTTATGGCATGTTACCCTATGGAAATTTTACTCCTAGGAGTCACACAGAGCCATGGTGAGGTCAGGGGAGGGTTGGTAGCCATCTTTCATTGTTATTATTATTATTATTTTTTGAGGTGGAGTTTCACTCTTGTCACCCAGGTTGGAGTGCAATGGCATGATCTCGGCTCACTGCAACCTCCCCCTCCCAGGTTGAAGAGTTTCTCCTGCCTCAGCCTCCCGAGTAGCTGGGGCTACAGGCACCTGCCACCATGCCCAGCTAATTTTTGTATTTTTAGTAGAGATCGGTTTTCACCGTGTTAGCCAGGCTGATCTTGAACTCCTGATCTCAGGTAATCTGCCTTACTCGGCCTCCCAAAGTGCTGGGATTACAGGTGTGAGCCACCTCACCCAGCCACTCATTGTTATTTTTTAACATCAGCAATTGGATCAACATTTCTACTGAGCAGGAAACATATCCAAAATTTATAGCAGCAAATATAATAGCTACTTTGCCTTTGCGGAAGCTACAGCTAAAGTTAACTCTGACTAATGTCCCTATGAAGAGCATGAGAGATCTGTACCCTGACCCTTCAGACCCAAGTGGCTACCTGTGCTGTGTCCCCTCACAGGCCCCTCCCTGGGTTTGTAGCAGTGATCCTAACTTTATTTAATAATTATTTGCATACTTTTAACTTTAGTTTAAAAATGTTTTAATTAATTAGATAATTTTTTATTTTAGGGTTTTTTTTTAAAAAAAAAAAAAAGGAAAAACTCTCAGTAGCTTACAAATACCTCGTGGGCAGATACAACATTTGTCTACCTCATTGGATACTCACTCCCTAGCACAGTCCTTGCCACAGAGTATGGACTCACTACATAAAAGCATATTAAATATATGAATGACTGATTGAATCACTGAGGAAACAAGCAGATTTCTACATTTTCACCAGTGGAGAGGAGCCATTATGGGCACTCTGAATATTAAGGAGGCATTCTAATAGAGTACTTAAGAACATATTGCTCTGAACTGGGTCCTCCTGTGCCAGTCTTCAGCTGCTGTGATGTTGGAATTTTCCTAACTTTTCTGTGCCTCGGTGTCCTCTGCAAAGAGGGGATAAGAGTAACACCTGCCCTATAGAATTTTATGGCAATGAAACAGAGTCTGGCGCAAGTGCTCAACATTTGAAGGAAAGGGTCTATATGAATGAACCTGCTCTAAAACTAAGTAAAGGAAAAATTCCATGTCATTCATATTTCACACTGTTGCGAATAGGTAACAGGGCCTTTGTTATGACAAAGATGTCAGGAGTGGCTGAAACCAGAAACAGCATTCATTGCCCAAAGAGTCGAAATGTGGAGGTGACATCTACCCCATGACACAGAAAATTAAGTAAAACTAGAGTGTTGCACTCTGCTGTAAATATCCTTAGCTTTTTGTGAAAAACTGTCCTAAAAAGCACAAAAATCTATCATTCTTTTCAAGATATTGAAGTCTGATAATAGAGAAAACTTGTTGCTGAGTCTAAATAACACTGAATATCTTTGGCTGTTTTTTTCAGCTCTCCTTTTATTGTTTCTCTTTGATTTAGGATCTATCTTTTGGCACAGTAAATAGGTCCTTTATGGAATAGGACATGGAGTTCCAGGAGGCAAATGGGTGTCCAGAGAAGATCGCCCTTAAACGAGTATACACTATTTAATCTACACACATTATTAAATGCTCCTGATTTCCCTCAGCAACAGAGGGAATGCTTTAAATATTTGGAATTTAAAGTTTAGGAATTTCCAGTGATCACAATTGTTTATATATATATATATGAAAAATATATGAAAAAATGTGACTCATTTATAGAGTTGATAAAACACTGTGGGTCATAAGATAAAATTCGAGTTATTAATATTATGAACAAATAAGGAGATAAATAAAAAAGAGATAGGGAATTAGAAAACCAAAGTGTGAAACCAAAAGAAAATCCATGTATCATTTGGCATGTGTAAACCAAGCCCTTTCTAAATGCAAGGTGCTGAGATTCTTTGAAGCTTAATCATAATTTAAAGGTTTGTATCACATTAATATTTATTATGGATTTACTCTGGGCCGTAGGATGTTTTGTGAAAAGCATCATGCATATGTTATGTTAAGCTCATCACAATTCTATGAGGTAGGTATTGTTAGGTTCATTTTTAAATTGAGAAAATAAGTTTAGAGACCTGACTGAATTTGTCTGAGATTATATAGCGAATAAGTTGTGCAGCCAGGATATGAATCCAGATCTTCCCTAATCCCAGTGCTGTGTACTCTTGACCACAATTAGGCTGTAAATCGTATAATCTCAGCTGTTGGGAAGCTTGGATTCCTTGTAATAGTAGCAACATGTCCTATGTTGATGAACAAACTTTGCTCCTCTTCCTTACTGAATTTTTGAGGGTTTTAGAACTCTGTAACCTGCTCTTGACCTTTCTGGTGTCAGCTTAAAAAAAAATATCCAAATAAACTCTTGTCCCTACCTCAGAGGTTGTCACTTCTTTTAAGAATGACAGAACCAAAAAATAAATTCCCATGTGCTAAGACTTGTGGGAGAACAGGTATGCTGAGGCTCATAAATGCATAAAAGCCTGATGTGATCTTTTCCATTTGTACCTAGGATTGTCTTGTCTCCTTGCAAAAAACAGAGATCCTGGTTTTAACGGCTGTTTGTAATTTCAGCTTGGGTCTTGTTATAAAGTTTACATTTAAAGCTTTGCAGTGGTACCAGGTTTAGGGTAAATTTGAAAGTAGCTGTGGGGGAGATGACTTTAACATTTCCCCAGGGAAGTAGACTGGAAAATTGCTGGAGAGTGAACTATAGGGAACAATCTTGAATTGGTCTCTTGGGTCGGACATAATTACCTAATGGATTTTCCATCTTTCAAAATTTTAGGCAGGAAAAAATTGCCTAAAAAAATATCGACAAAATGTGAAGCGTACAACCTGTTCCAGTTCTCTTCAAGACTGTAAACTCCTGGCCTTCTCTGGAACCTTTGAAAAATGGCAGTGTAGTGGAGTAAAGACAGGCAAGGGGAAGACATGTGGAAGAGAAGAAATCAGACTGATGCATGATTGGAAACTCAGAATTACATAACTCGATTTGTCCCTTTTAAGTCATTACTGACTGCTGATTCATCTCCATTCATGAATGTTTTGGGTGCAGTTAGAACTACATTTTAATGAACAATATAACCTAATTATGATTGAGCATTTTACTTTTCCATGGACTGTAAAGATATTTGTTGAGTGGCTTAGAGGTTTGCATACCAGAGTTTCCTGGTCAAAAGCGTGCATTATGCAATCAGTTTTTACCTCAAACATTCACATATGGATTCCCCTATCTTGCTTGGTTACTTTATTGGTACCAAGAACATGAAACCTCTTTCTTTCTTGCACCCCCAGGTATATCCCAATACATGTTCTGTTTTAATGTAATTTACTATTATTCACATTGCTTAAGGGATGACAAAGTATCTACTTGTTCTCAAGTTTTATTACTGGCTGATGTGTGTCAGACTAGACTTGGCTCTGTATATAAATATACTCCAGTAGAGAGACCCAGCCTCTGTGATCCCAAATACATTCATTGGAACAATAAGTGTGAGTGCTTGCTATGTGCCTAGCATGTTACAGCTGAGATGGACCCACAAGTGAAACAGACACTGCTGTGTTTCTTTCTTGAGTAGGAGAAGTAAGTCATGGACAGGAGAAACTAAAGCACTAGGTATACAAAGGCAAGAGCTCCAAGGGATCAAAGTGCTGTCATATTCAAACAAGGGGTCTGCCTTGAGGGATCGTGGGAGAGGGCATTTGCACTAGCTGCAGTCTTGATTGTGCCAAGAAGGAGATGTTCCAACTGGGTATAGGAGCATGAAAGAAGCCCACAGCTGGGGAACACAGAGATGCACTGGGAGGGAGCTGTGTATGGTTTCATTTGATTGGAGTTTTGGTTGTGTGGAGGATGGTAGTTGGAGATAAAATGGGGGCCAAATTTTCAAGATTCCTGGATGTTAGGAAGAGCACTAGAACTTTATTTGTTAGGCAGTTGTGCATCCCTAAAAAATGTGAGCATCTTAACATTATGATGAGAACCATGATTAGTGGAGAGTTACCTGGAGGCAGGCCGTGTACACAAGGAATTGGAGGCACATGGGGGTTAGAGAAAGAGATGCAGTAGAGGCTGGTGAGTTAGGAAGAGTTGTAATAAGGGATGGAGCAGGTGGAATGAAGACACAGAACTAGTGACCAAGGCCTTGTGGAAGAGCCAACACTTTAACCACTGATTCAGAGTGGGATGGAGAGGAAGATGAAGGATTAGGGGTTAGATGGCAAGGAGAAAGATGGTGGCATTAACAGAATTGGATAGGAAAGGAGGAATGTGGTTGGGCTGTGTGTGGGGGGCGGGGGTGGAAGTTGTTGGGCAGGAAAGAGCTATGGCCAAGCTAGTTTTCTTTCTAATCCTGATCTGACACTTCCTTAGCACTGCAATATTAAGTGGTTGTGCCCCTCTGAGCATGCTCCTGCATCTGTAAAATACACCTTTAATTCTTAGGATTCTTTATTTCAATTATTTAAGAGAATTAGAGAATGAAATGGTTCAAGCAGTTCTCAGAAAGTAAGAAAAGGAAAGAGCAGGAAATACAATATGGAAATATGAACTTTCTCCTGCTGCATAAGATTTAAACTCTTGACATTTAAAGCGGAAAAACACAATTTAAAGAATGACTGAAGGGTATGTTAATTATTTGTGAAGAGGCAGAAGATTCTTCTTTGACACTTAAGATGGCAATAATTTTGAGCAGCACATACATTGGCCATGTTTATAATTATGGCTAATTGTACAATGAGTAGTAAATAGGAAATGGATTGAAATTTCCAAAAAAAAGACATGAATGGACTTTAAATGAATATTACAAGCTAACAAAAAATAAATAAATAAAAATAAAAATAAATAAAAAAAGGAGAGCTGTACGAAGCCACAAGAAGAGTTCCACCTTGGATTGGTGGTATGGATGTGTTTGTGCTCAGAACTTAGAACTTCAAAAGAACAGAAGTCCTGCTCCACATCTAACAACTTGTAAATAATTATATGGCTTCTAAGTTACTTGAAATGTTATTGAATTGAAATAAATTGGAAGGAAACCAGACCTGCCATTGAAAACCAAAGGACCGAACTTTCCCCAGTGCTGGAGGGAACCTAAACAAAATCTCCAGCTTTTAAAGGAAGAGATTTTCAACCTGCTTTCATCTCCTCTTCCTTTTGGTGTTTTTCCTAGATGGGATGGAAAGCAGAAGATGTGGCTGGGGTGTTTTTAAGATGGAACTGAGTTTGCCCTCAAGTCTTTCAAAGATAAGACAGTTTTACTTACCAGGGAGAGGATCTATTACACCCTGAACAGCTGCTATTTTTGAGGCAGGAAAGTGAAGCTGAAGAGCTTTGTACAGCTGTCATGTAGAATTCTAAGCACCCATTTGATAAAACCTGTCAGCGTGACCCGGTTTCTTGGGCAGATGCAGCCCTTGGCTGTAGCCCCTTTCCTCTCTACCCCTTTCTGTTCGTCAGTTTTGTTTTTGTTTCCTGTTAGAAATATTCCAGATTTAGCAGCTTAAAGTGGTGTGTGTGTGTGAGTGTACAAGCGTGTGTGTGTTTTAAGAGCGGTCATTTGTATGATTGAACCCAAACTCGTATTTCTCTTTCAGGAGTTATATTAAAAAATATTTGACCCAAGGCTCTAGAAATTTTGCCCTATGGGGAAAAGGAAGAGAAGAAATCTTTATCAGCTTTCTTACTTGGTTATAGAAGTGGTAAGGCATGAAATTGGAACTGATGGCTTAATAATAGCTGGACTTACATCCCTTAGTTGAATTTTGCTGACAATTTCTTTAAAATCTTTATAAACTCCCACTTTTAATAGTTCTTTAAGGCTGTTAAGGCTCTGTGGGTAAATGCACCAGTGTAACAAGGCTTCATCCAGGTATGTTACAGGAAATGGGCCATGAACTAATTCAGGACTCATGATGTAGACCAGGAAGCCTATTTTATGTATCTGTAACAAATAGATTGTAAAGTTAATATTATCACCTGGTCCCTTGTCTATCTTGAAGTTTACACAGTGTCGTTACCATCTTAGGTTGTACCTGAGGGGGTATGTATAGTAGCCGGCCTCTCTTTAATAAGTCAAAGTGGACTTTAGAACATCCTTTAATACAAGAGTCGAGACAATTTTGAGAATTGCAAGCTGACTGAGTATGCCAACATGTAGGACATCAGACAGACAGTAAAAAAACTTAAGTGTGGGTATCCTGTTTGCTTTTTGTCCGCAGATGTTAAGCAGTTTCAATAGCTGGGGAAAAATTGTTGTGTCATTATCTGTGGGTAGTGTGCTGATAGTTTATTATAGGGCAGAGTTATTGAAAGAGAAAGAATTGTATCATTTATTCATATTTTAAAATGCTGTGACAATGTACTACTTCAGATGAGTGTTGTCCCCATAAATCATCCTAGATCCCTGTGCTCAGGAAATCTGTGAAAAGATAGTATTTTCAGAGGCAAAATTATTTCAGTTTCTTCACAGGAGGAATTTTAGAACATAAGGAGGAATTCATCCAAACAAGAAAGCCATCTACTGAGCTTACATCATTAAATAGGAAAGGTAAGGAGGGCTACACCCAGTTTAAAGATATCTTTAAGCTATTGTCTCCAACCTGGGGCCTTAGACCTCTGAGTAATTAGAGTATGTGACTGACATGCATTGTTTGTAGACTGAATGAATTAAAACTGGATTCCCCACTATACTTTGGGTACTAAAGGGGCCTCTTATGCAGAAGGATTGGAAACTGTGCTGTAGGGTAAGATATTTTAGGAACAATGCTTTAGTTTTCTCTTGCTCTTTTTGTCTTTTAACTTGGCTATTTTCTTATATATAGAATTTCTGTCCAAAAATCTAACTGTGTGATTTTTTAGCTCAGCTCAGAGTAGCACAACAAAATTACAGCCACCGGTTGGACCCAGTTCAGTACAGCATTCAATCTAAGGGCCTTGTAGCTTCCAAACGTTTGTATTATTCCAATCCCTGGGTGGCATTGTAACATATATTTATTCTTGATTGCTCCAGAGGTTTATTTTAAAAATCAGAATAATAACACAACTAGGTTAAGTGCAATGTACTTTGAAATTCCAAACCAGTAGTTCTTTAACCTATTCATGCTGGTTGGATGACAAGGCATTTTACCATTCTTTTTTATTTAAAATTACCCATATTTGTGGCTTTTAATTAATTATCTAATTAAATGTATTTTATTTTATTTTGCCTGCATTCCAGGTTTTCTTATTTCTATGTTGTTTCTCCTTTATACATATTTACTCTCTCTTTTTTTTTTAAATTCTGAGGTCTCTCGAACAATAAATGGACTCTAGCATTGTTCCCATGTGACCTAAAGAAACTACCATATTAGAAGAGGCTACCATATTAGATTAGCTTTCACTTAACACAGAGGGATCTGAAAAGATGGAATAGTGGTAAGAACCTCCTAAGAAGTGACATTTCATTGGAAATTGGAAATTCTATTGACTAAATCAGGAAATAGAAGGAGACCTCCTCAACTGCCCTTGATTGGTAATTACAGCTCATGGGTAGTTTTAATAGCCTTCAGAATTCCTCATCTTTCCTTCTCATATGTTTTCCTGTAAGTAGTGTCTTTTTCCAGAAGTTGCTTCAATGGTTCTTTTGAGGACTGAATAGAAAGAGCAAATGTGTAGTCACCTTTACTGAGTTCAAAGGAGTTATTTGACATATCAAGCTTTCCCATTGGCTGAAGAAACCTTAGCTCAGAGTTGGTAGACCCAATCCCTGAGCCATTATGAGATACCAGTGATCCTTGGCCTGGTCCCTCAGGTCAGAACTCAGAAAAGAGCAGCAGATACATCCAGAGTCTCAGGGAATTAGGCAAGTTTCTTTCCCCATCCAGTGGAGTTTTTGCTAGACCTCTCTGAAACAGGATACAGCATGATATATTTTTAGTAATTTACAGAAAGAAAATGGAAACAAGCTTTATTTTGATAATTATTTGATATTTTAGTACATATCTCTTGAGAAAACTAGAATGTCCCACATGGGACTGTGATAAGACCAGAGTTAGGAAACATTCTCAGAATACGGGATGGGTTGACAATGCCCATGTGTCTGAATTTACAACACTTGTCCAAAATGCAAGTGGTTGCAAATGGCTCTGAAGGATGCTTGCCAGTGCTGTCATATAAATAAAAGAATACAGAATCATAGAGGCAATTACTGTCGTCAAGGTGGCTACCGAAATGTAGGTATTTCTCTTTAGCCCCGGTTCCCTCATAATAATCTTTCAGTTTTCTCTCTTTTTTTTTTTATTCCTCATTACTTTGTAGCTGGATGCTATACCACATTGTTGATTCTAATAAATGACATGTTGATCTCATCTACCTGGGAATCCTTGGTTTCCAGTTTTCACAGCTTTGTTTCCAGTATTCACAGCTCAGTGCTGGAGAGTTGACCATTTGTGTAGTTCAGCATTTCTCTGTGTTAATCCTGTGAGGGTTGAGTGTTGTCGACAATTCTAGGCATTCTGTCCATCATTTTTTTTTTCTCGATTCACTTATTCTGGTTTTCCTCGGGGTTTTTATGTCATAGCAGAGTCTGGAATTTGGTCTGGAATATATATACACACACATATACACACACACACACCACACACACACATATTATATAATGTTTGCCCTTGTGTTACATTAGACAGTTGTATATAGAAAATTGATTTCTTGAAAAAGATTTCATATCAATGCTATGGGAGCAATATCTGTATCATTGCTTTATAAAGATTTTTAAGGATTTGTGAAAAACTTTTCTTCCTTCCTCTGAAATTTTCTTTCTGATGTGAAGATTACAGGAGATGTGAATATTGGATCTTCTGAGTAAAATTTCATTTATTCTAAAATGTTGAGTGATAAATGTGGTATTTGAATATAAGTGTGTGTGTGTGTGTGTGTATATATATATATATATAGAGAGAGATGCATATATATTTGCATGCTTATAATTTTAACTTTAATTCAAAATGATTAAAAATGAACAAATTATGAAGCATTTGCCCATTGTATCATGTCAGCATTGATCATGTCCTACTTTGTGTTGCTTTTAATTTTCTCCCTCCCTTTTTTCATCTTGATGTCTTTTGTTAGCCATATTTCTAGAAGCCCCAAGAGCAGGGATCTGCATTTGATATTAGCCCTTAGTGGAAAGAAAGCTGACATATACTGAACAACTACTGGGTTCCAGGCATTACGCTAGTGAGGCAGTGCTCTGAGAAGTGCTATAAAGTAGATAATCATTATGCCCATTTTACAGATTGAGAAATTAAGCTGCAGAGTAGTTAATTTACCTATAGACATGTAGTTATACTTGAGCTATTGACCAATCACTGCCAACCCCATCGTCTCACATCGACTCTATCTGTGTGCCTCTTCTACTTTGTGCATTCAAGGTCTCATTTTGTTGACTTTGGCTAATTTAATGATATAAATGATAAATAATAGAAATCAGAGTAATATAACATTTTCCTTGTCTCATGACAAACTAAGAGACATGAACACTGATACTAACAATTACTTCAGATGTGTATCTGGAATACTTTAAGACTCCAATTCTAAGGCTTGTTTTCTTGTTGTATATGTTTCAGGAGAGTAGGGGCTAACTGCATCAGTTTCCACATTTGAAGAAGAGATACAAAATAGTTATCTATAATGTAAGTGAAATGTGTATTGAAATGGTTAAATTGAAGAAACCAATCTTGGGTTGGTTTAAGGACACTAAGAGTCATCTCTACCCTTTGCCTTGTAGAGCAAACTGTGCATTTAGAGGGAGCTTAACTAGTAATTCAGAATAACCGCTATTGCATACCATGCATTTAAACTGTGGGGGAATCTAGGTTGCTATGACAATGGAAATATTTTCATTTTCTCCATTTTTAGAGTATAAACACATGAATCCTGAATATTGCTTTGGTTTGCACTTTATGTTTTCTGACTTCGTGAGAGAAGTGACAGAGACACTAGCCATGCTTCTTCCCAGTGATGCCATAGATTCTGTCTTTCACTCCAGGCTCCTTGTGGAGGTCCCAGAACTCGGCTTGGCCGTACCTGGGCTTCACTGACATCTTTTCTTTAGGGCGGTCACAGTGAGAGATAAGACACCTTTCCTACTGTTAATCATTCAAAGAATAACATGTATTTATTTCACCTTGGATTTGAAATCCACATCTCCTTGGGTAAAGAGGATTCCAAGTCAGAGACACCCCATGCCCACCTTTAAGATCATAAGGACTGAATTCTGTGAATATTCTGTTGGGGGTTTTTTAGCACTCAGTAAAGGAAAAAAAAGGTTGAAAAAAAAACCAAAATAATTGCTAAGCCGAGTCTAGAAATCACCACAGGTTCCCTGGAGCTTTTTATATTAGAGTATCTTCTTCAGGACTCAGTATGTGAATTAAGAGGACCACTGAAGAGTCAGCTGTAGCCAGTTCACTTATTTTTTAGTGACCTGGGCCCTGAAACTCTGTATTTGCGTGATAGAAAACACATTGCCTTCTGCTTGACTAGACTAGGAACAAAAATTGTTAAGGAAATTAAAAACAAATACTTTTATATATCCTCTCCTTCTATTACGCTGCCGTATGGTTTTTCTTCTCCCTCCCTTACCCTTCAGTATTGACTGCGTTCCAAGCATGGTGTTGGGAGCTGCAGATAAATTGGTGAATGGGGAAGACGTCTTTTTCTGTCTTCACAGCATCCCAGTCTCTGGGGAAGGCAAATGAGTAAACAGGAAATTATACTATGGTACTAAGCCTTCTCTTAGAGGGCAAGGGGAACACTTCTGGTGTGGGGTTGGGAGAATCTGGGGGATTACTAAGGTTGGGTGTCTTAGATCATTTGGGCTGCTATAACCAAAATACCATAAACTAAGTAGGCTATAAATAACAGAAATTTATTTCTCACAGTCCTGGAGGCTGGTAAGTCCAAGGTCAAGGCACTGGCAGATTCGTTATCTAGTGAGAGTCCATTTCCTAGCTCATGGACAATGTCATCTCCTTGTGTTTCTATATGGTAGAAGGGGCAAGGCAGCTCTCTGGTGCCTCTTTTGTAAGGCACTAACCCCACTCATGAGACTCTACCCTCATGATTTAATCACCTCCTAAAGGTCCCACCTGTTAGTACCACCTTGGGGTTAGATTCAACACATACATCTTTGGGGAAGACAAATATTCAGATCATAGCATTGGGGAAAGGGCAGGACGCTCCAGACCTCTTTTTCCCTTCCTTCCTTTCTACCTTGGCCTTTTCAAGTCCATCATTTCTTGATGTTTTTTGAACTTAACTTTAACATTTGTCCCAGCTAAAATTATGGCTTCAATAATTACTTTTTATTATTGAACATAGGATACAATTTGTAATATTTTCCTCCAAGACTTTGACTTGCAAGGAGATTTATCTTAGGTTCTAAATGCCTCTTTTAAAGGAATACCAACTAGTGTTTCATTAAGGGAAAAAGACATTTCTCTTCGAAATTCATTGAAGTAGCTCTCTGAGCCATTCATATGGTTTATTTCATTCTCTAGTTTGAGAACCTGGCCTCACTATGAAAAAGTGTCTAAATACCCTCGACAATGTATTTTCTCTTTAGTATGGGCAGGAGCTGAGGAAGTGTCTTCAGGACCAAAATGCTATTTATTCCGTGTTTGACACGTACAAATCCTCTTTGATAAAATGTCATTAGGGAGGCATATTGAGCTGTGTGGCCTCAGTTGATAGGTACTTTTCAGCTTTTATCACTGTCTGTGTCAGAAAATTAAGTGTAATCTAGGGTGTTTTCATTCCTTTTATTAATTCTAGCGGGTATATGTTATATTAGGGAATTTAGTAGAACATTTTGCCTTTGAGAAACACACGTCCCTTTCCACTCTAACAGCCTCAGCCTTCTCAGTCTGGAGTGTCTGTGGCTGAAAAAGCCTTTTTGCCCATCCTCGAGTAGCAAGCTCTCTGCTCAGGGATGGCAGAAATTGCAGAGACTAATTCCTTGTTCCATTTTGTAGAGAGAGTGTTTCTTCTGTTTGTTGGGATGGTGAATATTTGCCAGAAGTTTTATGGAAATGCCATTAGAAAATCTAGGCTTGGTTCTTGGGTGCCTTTTCCTGATTTCACCTGATGATCTTCATTCTCTGTGATTCATGCTCCATAATTCTCAGTTAACTCTGGCATATCACCCATGGAGTTACATTCTGTGAGCAAATGGCCCATTAGCATGTGTCTGTGTGCTGCTCTGGGCTGATATAAATCTTCTGAAAGAACTTTGGACTTTGCCACTGCTCCAGTCTGGTGTGGAAGGGCATTGAGAGGCTGCCTGCCTGACACTGCCTTGCCTGTCACGCGGGTGTAGCTTTCTCAATTCCCATCCTGCCGACTTTTGCACCAACTCGCTTATTGAAAATGCTTACTCAAAAAGAAGCCTATTTGGCATTCATGACTTTATCATGTTCTTTATTATTCAAGACAGAAAAAAATGGGGGCAAAGACAAGTTCTTATTTATTTGTATGTGCCTACATTTCTTAAAGATGGAAATGGTGTTGAGATTGCTAATTTTGGGCACATTCTTTCTTGTTCTTAAAGAATTTCTAAGTAAATGCTGAAACCTTTTCCCAGAAATCTAATTAGGTAATTAGTTCTGATTAGTTAACTTTAAGCATAAGAAGAGAATGATGGATATGTATTGACTCCGGACAAGGGGAAGGAGACCACAGAAGCTGGAGGTCTCCTTAGGAACCTGGAAAGAGCACAGAGTTTGGCGGAGGGTCCTTGGGCCAAGAGTGGCAGCTTGGGAACAGTAGCTTTTAGAAGGGAGCAGCTCCAGGGTTTGGAAGTATGAAAAGAAAAAAAAAAAAGTGGTGGTGGGAAATGATCCCAAAGAAAATGATCTACCAGTTAGACTTCTCACCTCCTATCCATTTTTTATATCCTCTGATTTAAGTTGCTGAAACATAGTTTTACCTAGAAGAATATTAAAGGAAAATAAAAAGAAATCTTTAATTCTGTTCTCATCGGAAGTTATTGCTTATCATTATTTATTTGCTGATACTCTTTTCCTAAGCTAACACCTTAAAATTAAGTAATTCAAATCTGTGAAAATCCTTTATGGAACTGCGTAAGGCTGTGTCCTTTGCAGGATGACATGTATTAACACTTATTTATTAGGCTCTGGGGAGTTGGTTTTCAGATTGAATGAAGTAGCGCTTTGTCTTGTAGGTGCACAAATTACTGAAAATTGAGGTTTTTCTTCCTTCAGTGTACATTACCAGCATTATAGGCTTTTAGAGTATTAAAGGAATTTAAGTTATCTGCCCTAAGTCCTTCAAAAAAAAAAAAAAAACCTAATCAGTTCAGAGAAGGAAAAGGAGAAAGAAAACAAACACTGGTCCCAACTCTGTGCTAATAGCTTTCAGTACCTTATCTCATTTAATCTTAGCCCTGACAGATAGCTATTATCCCCATTTCACATGTGGGGTAACTGATACTCAGAGAGGTTGAGGACCTTGCCCAGGGAAACACAGCAAGAGGCAGAGATAGGTTTTGAATTTAAGCCTTTGTACTGCCAATGCCCATACCTTTTCCACTACCCCACATTAAAGCCACTCAGCTCCTTAGTGATGAAGAGAATGGACCTAGCTGCCTTAACTTCCCTAAACAGAGATCTTTTCCATAGATTATATGACGTACTTTGGAAAAATCTGAACATGTTTGACAATTGTAACAGAAATTGGTATAGATTTCCTTTTTTTTTTTTAATTTTTAAAAGATAAAAATAATTTTCCTTGAGTCTGTAATTTCAAAATTAACCCCCAACCTTCCCCATTCTTTGTAAAAGTTTGGTTCCTTGCGTAGATAGAAGCTAATTGAGCTTTGAGACACATCACTAACTTAATTTTAATCTCTGGTTGCTCTTCTATATTTACTTCTTTTCCATTCAGATGATAATTATGCAACTGTGGTTACCCTGATTAATGTTTTACATATTTCCCCAGGCATTCATGGAGATTGACTAAAATATAAGTTACCATTGGCTTCAGAAAACTTCTGATTGGCATTTAGAAACATGTACAAAACATACCCCTTGGTAAGCAGTGTTCCAACTAACAATTTTCCTCCTTTTAAGGAAAGGGGAAGAAAAAAGAAACATTTTCAAGGGAGATTTTTGTTGCAGTAAAGGGAGACTATGGTTTGAAGCTATTATTTTTTTCCATTTCAGCCTTTTACTTTGTATGGGAAAAAATTTAAAATGGATGTATTCAGGTGTTTTTAACATGATGAGCTGGAATGGAATGCAGAATCAGCTCCTTTTCCCTCTTCATCTCAAAGGAAAAATATCACATATCTCAAATTGCCTTGGGTCACAACACTATTTATTGAATTATTCAATAGTTTGAACTGGTAGAATTAGAAGATTCATTAGACTGAAGGTCAAAAGTTAAGTTAAAAACATTTCCTCATAGTTATGATATGACTCGCAATGTTGACAGATTCCAGAAATGCCATAGAAGCTGAGAGATGCATAGTCTTAATGAGCTAGAAACATTCTTTCGCCTGGCCATTTAGATCCCTGACCACTCAGAAGTGCCCTGAATTCAAATCATTTAGGTCTGTGTTCACACCAGCAAGCAAGTATGTAGTGGGTCAGGTAGACACTGGTTCCTTTCACAAAGTATTTAGATGAAAGTGAAAATTATCCTATTGATTTAGTTTTATTCTTCTAGTTTTATCTACATCTCATGAAAAAGTGAAGCTGGGACATATACTTTGAACAAGCAGAACTTTTTTGCTTTTCAACTGATCTTTATGCTATCTGTTGGAAGAGCCTTGTAGTTTGAAGTTATAATATGGAAACTGTATTAAGAGGATTTCTCATTAGAAGTTATGGCAAAAGAAAGGGTAATAATAAAACCGTGCATGTCTAGAGTGCCAAGCTTTCCTGGGCAATACAATATTTACCTACCTTCTTTCTAATTTATTTTTATGTCATGAGTACTTAGTTTTGAGTATCACCATATTCGAAATGGGAGGAAATAATTTTCAGAATAAAGTCCCAAGAACTCCATTATCTTGACAGCAATGTAGCCACTGTACCCCACTTCCCCTTCCCATTCAGCAGCCCATCCAGAAAGTTGAGCTTTGAGAAGTTTTCTATTCTACATCCTCTAGGGCCACCCCAAAATTCATTTTCTTGCTGTCTGTTGAAGCTCACTTCTTTTTAAATGCGTTAAGTTATTAGTGTGGACACTTCAGAAATAATTGATGGTGAGGCATCTGAGGAATCAGATGTCTGCTTACTGTTTTGGCTGTGGTTCCTGTCCTCTCCATTAAGGCTCTCTTTCCAGGTGATTGATGACATCTTGTTGATCTGAACTTTAAGATGCTAAGCTGCCAGAGAGGGTGATGTCTCTCAGCAGCGTTTGGTACATATGACTACTTCCATCTTCTTAAAATACTTTATATTCTGGACTTCAATTATATTACCTTGCCCTGGTTTTCCTCCCACTTCACTGGCCTTTCTTTCTCAGTCTCCTTTATTGATCCTCCTACCACCCTCTAAATATTGAGAATGTTTCAGAGCTTGAACTTGGGTCTCCTTCCTTTTTGTCAACATTGTTCTCTCCCACTAGTGATATCATCTAGTCTACTGGTTTTAAATATCATCTACTGGGGCCAAGTGCAGTGGCTCACACCTGTAATCCCAGCATTTTGGGAGGCAGAGGCGGGTGTATCACCTGAGGTCAGGAGTTCAAGATCAGTCTGGCCAACATGGTGAAACCTCGTCTCTAATAAAAATACAAAAAAAAAAAAATTGCTGGGCATGGTGGCACATGCCTGTAATCCCAGCTACTCAGGAGGCTGAGACAGGAGAATCACTTGAACCCAGGAGGCAGAGGTTGCAGTGAGCCGAGATCGTGCCATTGCTCTACAGCCTGGGGGACAAGAGCAAAACTTCACCTCAATAAATAAATAAATAAATAAATATTATATATTGGCTATTCTTAAATCTATATATCCAATTGGACTCCCACTTAGATATTTGAGAAATATCATATACATACATGTCTAAACAGAACTAATGTTATTCCACTATACCCCTAAACCCACTTTTACCCCAGTCTTTCCAATCTCCATAAATGGCACCACCATCCATCCAATTTCTTAGGACCCAAAGTGAGGGGTCATCATCAATTCCTCTCTTTCCCTCATTTTTTACATCCAATCCATTAGCAAAGCCTGTCTGTTTGACTTCCAAAATATATCCCAAAGCAGGCCACTTCTCGTCATTTTTGTTATTATAACCCCTGTTCAAGCCATCAGGATCTCTCCCTTGTGTTCCTGCAGCAGCCTCCAAGCCCTGCCTCTAGACTCACACTCTACAGTCCATTCTGCATACTGAGCCAGAGTATTCATCAGGCTGCCTCACTTCCTTGTGCCATAACACCTTCCAGGGGCTTCCCATGAAGACCAGTGTGACATGTAGACTCCTTACTTTAGCCTCAAGATTCCATGCCTGCAACTCTGGTTTCATCTCTTTCCACTGAATCCCTAGTCTCTGGGCCACACTGGCCTTCCCTCTGGACCTTAACCCTCCCCAATATCCCTATGTGCTTCCTTGTCCTTCATGTCTTCCCTCTGCTGCTTTCTGTCTTCATTTACTCACTCCCCTCCAAGCAGCCATTCCTGACCACCTTAGCTAATGCTGTCCTTCCTCTGCCACTCCCCCTTAGGATGATCATATCTCATTTATTTCGTTTTCTTCACAGCATATTTTAGTACTTGAAATGGACTGTTTATATGTTGTATTCTCTGTCTTCTACTGCACAAGCTTAAGGTCCTTAAGGGTAGGAAATCTGTCTGTTTCACTGTTATCCCTCCAGTGCCCAGAACAGTGCTTGCAACATAGTTGTTGCAATAAATACTGATTGACTGAGTGACATTTAATATTCTTCATTTGTCTCTTCCCTTCTGTAGCTATTTTGATTTATGTTTTAAAGAGAGAGGTAACAATTTGCTTTGATATGCTGGGCTTAGTAAATTGGGTTTGCCCCATTCATCTGAAGAAGCTATGCTGCCAGATCCCATCAATCTTTTAAATGTGACTTTTCTTTTTCTGCCTTCTTCTACGTGCTGGAAGTGGATTTACTTTATGTTGCAAAACTGTTGTCCCATTTTTTAACCAGTATGTGACAACTCTTGGAATAAGTCTATACTGATTCCCTTCACTTCTTTCTTAGTTTGGGGGTAGTTTGTGTGAGACTGTACTCTTTTCATTATATGGCCCTATAAGAACTGAGACCAACTCTGTCAAGCAGTCGTTGTCCTCCATCTCCCTTCTCTGGGATTGCAGAAGGAAAAATCCCTAGCTTATGCATCAAGAAACTCTCTATTATTGATGTTGTAAAGTTCTGCACACATCAGATGGAGAGGTGATGGAAGGAGCAGCAAAGCTGCTGTAAAATCTTGAAGGGGAAATTGAGGAGGGGGTTACCAGTGTTCATTTTGCCCTGCTCCTTGGGAGTCACACCTGCATGGAAAGCTCCAAGCAGAGTAGAAATCAAGCACATAAGGCCGAGTGGGCTATGCCAATTTCTGGTTAAGGATTCTCTGTTCCAGCATAAACTTTGCATTCTCATGACAGAATTAAACTACTGTCTGAGTTCCTAGTAAATGCATGACATATTGTGAATTACTAAGTAGTGGTCTTGATAGGTTAGAGGACAGGATGGTCAGGGAGATAAATGAGACATGGATCCTATTGCTCAAGGAGCTTCTAATGAATAATATAATATAACCCACATAAAAGGGAGAATATGAGTTAGGCCAGTAGAAAGAAACAAGCAAAATGTGATGGATATTTAAAGGGGGGAAATCACAAGTAGGTTGAAGGGAGGATGGGAGAGAATGAAGAGGGAAAGCTGCATGGGAGAGGTGCCGTTTAAGGAGAACATGGGGTGTGGGGTGTGACAACCTGGGGAAAATGTGCCCCAAATGACTGAAATGTTACGGACAGGGATCCTCAGGCCATCCTTACTTCTGTTATGCAAGACTTTGAATAGGCCTGTTAAGGGAAGTATTGCCAAGGAAGCTTGCTAGACCTTTTGCAAAATTAAGAACTGTTGAGCAAAATAAAGTATTCATCTGCAAACCTGCTGTCCAGCTGACAGATGGAGCTCTGGCCAGGAGCCTTGCCCGGTGTTGTGTCTGTCAACAGGGAAACTGGGAGAAGCTTACTCCAAGGGGCCTGGAGGACTATGTTTTTTCATAAACAGATTTTTCCTAATAGCTCTTTCAACTAGGTTGGCCTTGCTGGGCATCCCCCATACCACTACTTACCTCACATTTTTCTATAAATCAATCCTCTATTTTACTTAAATGAATCTCGGCCTATTCTAACAATAGTATCTGTGAAATTATGAGTCTGATCCACCAGTTTTTATGTTTTCCCAAATTTTACACCCCCTGCCATTATCTCATGTATTTTATAAAAGTGATGCCAAATCTGTTTCTGGGGAACTTGTATCTCTGCCTTTAAAATAGCTTCAACTTTTGGGGAAAAGTAAAATTACTTCTTTAACATCCTTGTAGCAGTCCTATTAAGTCCTTCTGCCTCATCTCCCTCCTCCCTCCTATCCCTGCCCCTTTCTAGATTCTGTAACATTCTGAGCCTGCAGGGATTGTAGAGGACATAATAAAAAAGATCTTGGGTATTTTAGGATTTGAAGTGCAATAAAAGGAAATTACTGACACACTGAATTGCCATTTAATGGGAGATGGTGATATCGATCTGGTAATGTTTCCTGCGGTCCTAGTTGTAATAACTGTATAATATCATACACTTTATCAAAATAATTTAGAAGCTGGCAAATGAAGTTGTTACAGAGCCTCTGAGTAAAATGGAATGAAAGTCAGAGGGTCCAGAAGATGGTGAGGGAAGAAGAATGGAAAGGGCTACAGGACTAAATTAGAGGAAGACTATAAAGCTCTGGTCAGAATAGATTTCTGAGGATTAAGTTAATGTCTGCATGGGGCTCTAAGTCTCTTGGATCCTGTTATTCTACGAAGATACAAAATGATGTCCTTATCTCCTCATTTGCTTTAACCATTCTTCTTCTGAGCTGATGTAAGTTAGCATGTACACTTGCTTGATTTGTAGAATATGATTATGTTTATTAGAATATTTCTGATATAATAAACCAACTTTATGACGGGTTTGTTTATCAGCAGGTTGCAAGTTTAGTGCGGGGCTTAACACATTGGTTTTTATAGCGCATAATGAAATGTCTGCTGTTACCAAAAATTTAATGAAAATTATGATAGTATTCCTCAGCTTCCTTATTAAAAAATTAAGTCCTAATATTTCTGAAACTTTCATTATTACTTTAATCAGTTTGTATCCTCAATATCCTTTTTGAGCCCTAAGGTTCTTGAATTTTCAAATTTTCTTCTGTGTTCTTTCTTCACTGTTTTCTTCACATGAGTAATTTAGAACATGACAATAGAGAATTGGTTGAGCATAATTAAGGGAGATTTCTCTTTTTTTGAACAAATAAACCCCTACTTACTACTGAAATAATACATATTGTAAACCTTCTTGATTTGGTCTTCATTTAAAAATTTCTAGTAACTTGGAGAGTCACTGATATTTGATTTTGTATGAATGACAAAAGGGTGTTTTCTAAGAAATTAAATAGTATAAATATGTTTTAAATGGTAGCTTTAAATTTAAAGACCCAGGTTTTTTAGCACTTCAGAAGTATTAATTTTCTTGACCATTTCAGGTTTCTTTTCAACTCTTGTCTTCTGTAAATACAATATGTCAATTTTAAAGAATTTTCAAGTAATTAACCTATATGGGACCTCTTCTAGAAAACATCTTGGCCGAGAGTGTACAGATATTTTTAAACCTTTGAAAATATTTTACATTTAGTTAAAAGCTTTATATTTTTCTATTTCTGTGTTTTCTTTACTAGTTTAGGGACAGAGCTATATTATATTTATCTTAAATATCATCTTAATAGTCTCATTTTACCTTTTTTAAAGTGGAAAAGAAAATAGAACACTGAACTCTTGACCTTCTCTATGAGTCTGTGGGCACTTTTTCTTATATGTTTATTTTGCTGTGCTGTTTACTTCTACAGATGTTTACATAAAGAGCTTTTCACAGATTTTGGAAACTTTTAGGTTCCTATGAAAGCACGGCAACTTTGTAAATGGGGATGGTTAAGAGACAGTTCTAAAAGGTGGCCCTATTTGCACACATACACAGTAGTTACTTCGATATTTTAGCTATGTTTGTCAGGTATTTAGCGCAACATGCAAACCATAGCAGCAGTAACAGGGAACTTCTGTTGTAGTGTGTGCCATGAACGCCAAACCTTGATTCTCTAGTCTTCCCAGGTACCACACTGAAAGTAGGAGCCTCTCCATCCATCTCTTTGTCACGGGTGCCATAATCCTAGGCCAGACCCTCATCTTCTTGTCTCATGCTGGATTAGGGATGCAGCCCTCTCCAAGACGTTTATCTCTCTTTTCTTTCTCCCTAGCAATCCTTCCATGTTGCCAGAGTAATTTCCCACTTTTAGCCACTTACATTTAACACCTTTACCATATGAAATCCAAACTCCTGTGTCTGGATTTCTAATGCTGCAATAAATGGCTTCAACCTTATTCAACCTTATTTTTTTTTCTAAATGCGAACAGGCCTCTTGGCTCATCTTTGGTTCTACTGATTGGCAAACATAAGAATAAGCATGCTTATTCTTATTTCCATGACTTGATTTATGACACCCCTCCCCCAGCTTTTCTGGAATCTGTTTCCTTACTTTCTTTCATTTTATCCAACACCTATCTGCCCTTCAAAGTCCACCTTGATTGTTAGGTTCATCATGTTCACCATCTCACTACTCCTCTTCACTTCAGAAGACCACACTTAAGTCTCTACCAGCAATGTAACATGTAGCTACCAATTGATTGGTTTACTTTTCAGGAGCACATGAGTTGTGTAAAATAAGAAATACCTCTAAATGTTCATTTGGATGATAATGATTCTTAAATGCAAGACTTATGTACATTTATGCTTGCTTATAACCTTTTATTTTTCATAATTCCAGTTTTCTAGCAACTCTCCTAGGTTAAGAAATGAAGAAGTTGGATTAGGTATCTCATCTTTAGAATGTTTTCACCATTAAGATTTGAATAAATTTTCAGAGTGCATAGTTGATCACGTTTATGTGTGTGATACATATAAAGTAACAATATTTTTTAAAAAGAATCTCATATCTTATTAAATCAAGTACTGAATATGAAAAAGAGGCCACTTTGTTGACACATGACAGAATACTTTTTCTGCCAAATTGTAGTTCTTTGTGCTTGAATTTGCATGGGCAAATAGTCCCGAACCAAAATATTTTCTTTAGCACAAACTATTTTACAAAACAATGGCTAATACATTAACCCTTTTTTATTTGTATTAATATTGCCAATCAGCCTAGCAGTATAATACATTTTTATCAAATGAGTCACAAAATTGTAAAATCACAGAAGTTAGAGCCAAAAGTGACACTGAAAATTAGTTTTAAGCAGAATTTTACATATTTAGGACTGCGAGTAAGCATTTTATCTTGGTACATGAGGTGGAAAGTTGAAAATATTCACTTGCTTCCCCCATCTTCATGGGAGGAGTATATTTACTCACGCCAGGATCTTGACCTTGGCCTGTGACTTTCTTTGGCATCTAAGATGGTGGTGTCTACTACCTGTCCCTTGACTTCTGGTATGGCTGTGTGACTCCCTTTGGCCAATGGAATGTTAGCATTCGTGACACTAGGTTTAAAAGGTGTGTTGTGCTTTGCTATTGCCAGGGGAAGAACTTCCCCAGGTAGTTGCTGCATCTTCGGTCTGGGTGCCTCAACGAGTATGTATAGAGTAGACATAGCACAATCTGTAGTGGGGAGTCAAGCTCAGTTAGACCTACTGTTTGAAGCAGAGCCACTGGCCTACTTAGATCACAGCTGAGTTGGGAATCCAGGAGCATGAGAATAGAATGCTTATTGGCATATGCCGTTGAGTTTGGGGTAGTTTGTTATGTGGCATTACTGTGGCAATAGCTAACTGGTATAACCTCGTAGGACAATCTTATTTTTAATAACATAATTTCCATTTCTAGTACTAACTTTCTTAACTAACCCATTTACGTTCCTTTCTGGCTCCAAGACACACTGTTCCCACTCTAAAACAATCTGACTGATGCCTGTGACTCACTGATTGCTTGCAGCTGTAGCTTATTTTTTAGTGGGCCCACATACTTTTGCACCTAGCAGTTGCTAGGTGTTTACAAGAATCAATTTTTGTTGTTTTCAAACTTGCTGATACCAGTTGTACTTATATATTTTAATTAAATATTATGTAAATTAATGAAATGTGCCTGTGTAAAGGTTGCTTCTGGGAAACCAAGTTAAATGCCAGGAAAAAACTAGTTTCCAGAAAGTTTCTGCCAAGATATAACATCTAGAAGGTTGTTTTTTAAGTATTCCTAAGTTATTGCTTTATTTTTAGAGAATGCCTAAATGGAAATCACAGACAATTAACTCTATCTGCTGTTTCATGCAAGACAGAGCAGATCATTACTGGATATATACCCAAGGAAAAATAAACTGATCTATCAAAAAGAAACAAGCACTCAGATGTTTATTGCAGCACGATTCACAACAGCAAGACATGGAATCAACCTAGATGCACATCAGCGGTGGATTGAATAAAGGAAATGTGCATACACACCTTGGAAAACTACACAGTTATAAAAAAGAATGAAATCATGTCCTTTGCAGAAACATAGATGCAGCTGGAGGCCGTTGTCCTAAGTGAGATAACACAGGAGTAAAAAACCAAATACGGAATGTTCCCACTTGTAAGTGGTAGCATTGGGCATACATGGGCGTAAAGATGGCAACAATAGACACTGGGAATACTAGAGTGGAGAGAGAGAGAGGAGGGCAAGGGTTGAAAAGCTACCTGTTGCTTACTATGCATAGCACCTGAGTGACGGGGTCACTTGTACTCCAAACTCAGAATCACACCATATACATTTGTAACAAACCTGTACATGTAACCCCTGATTCTAAAAAGTCAATCTTTTTTTTTTTAAAAAAAAAAGGTAAACTTGGGCAACATGGCAAAACCCCACCTTTACTAAAAACAACAAAAAAATTAGCTGGGCCTGGTGGCACAAGCCTGTATTCCCAGCTCCTCAGGAGGCTGACTGATGGGAGAATCAGCTGAGCCTGGGAAGTCAAGGTGAGCTGTAATTGCACCACTGCACTCCAGCCTGGCTTATAGAGTCAGACCCTGTGTCAAAAAATAGAACACTAAAATTCTAACCCACAGAAATTCCTGAGGGGAGGAGGAGTGGCTGGGTAAGAGGGCTTGACCTTTCTGAAGCGATTGGTGAATGAGCTTATAGTTATGTATTTTATGTTAAAGTTACATGTTTAAGGTATGCATTAATCCTTTAATAAACTTTTATGAGTAATTAATCAACTATTAGGGAGTGGCTTTGTTAGGGATATCTCATTAGGGTTTGCTCCCTATAGAATGGTGTTGAGACAATCATAAAGAATCTTGACTTTGGTGCAAACATTTTCTCATTTTTATGCTTCGCCATGGTAGTTATTTTTATAGGTAGGCCTGTGTTTGGATGTTCTATACCTTTGAGTTTTGCTGGGCCTCTTTGGGTTTCCTAAGTGCAATTTTTGGATTGTATTTTTTGGTGGTTAAATCTAGAAATCTCCCTATGTAATATATAGTGATGGAAGTTGCATTGTGTAGACAACTATTTAAATATGTATTCTTTATGAAGTATATATTTTTATGAAGTTTATGTGTCTACATATATATATACACACACGTAATTTTCCTATATAAGAAAATTATAAGAACCTGTCAAAATAAATAGAAGAATAAAAACAAGTTGTGAGTCAATTCTTTAGTTCTTTAGTTTTGAATCCTATTTGCACATAGTTAATTTGGAACATGCAGCAATTCATCTTAGGTTTCCTGTCATTAGTAGCGATTAGTAAAGGTATGGAGCTAGAGGGAGGGATATTTCTCTGGAGACCAGCCCATCTCAGGAGACAGTGTACCTGGAGTAGGATATGGTCCATGCCTGTTGATCAAGTGTGTGCTGTTCACTCTGAGTTTACAGCATGAGTGGCTTCTCCTCCTCTGGTGGTGGGTGCTGTTGGATTCTAAGGACAGGAATGCCAAGAGAAGATGAGGAAATGAAAACAGTAACTCTTAAATAGGAAATGGCCATACCAAGTGGGTGAAATCCCAGCATGAGTAATGTAAATGTGGGTCCAAGGAAAAGAAATATTATTTTAAATTACATTACTAAACCTTTTATCTAAGACTTTATAAGCCCTGTGTGCTGTGCATACTATAATGACCTTAGGATATGCAGTTTTATTTAAATATCCATCAGGGCTCAGCTGCTTCTGTCCATGGAGTGATCAACCCCAGTGTGTGGCTCAGCCTCTCTCTTCACTGACTGCTGCTGCAGCTGTTATGCCACCCCTGCCTCTTATGTGGGAAGTTACAGGGGTTCTTTACTGTCTTTGGAATCAATCACCAAATCTTGTAGATTCAAGCAGCTTAATATCCTTTGTATGTATCCCTTTTCTGAATAATTATTATAATTATTTAATTTATTGAACACATGTTATGTATCATTCATTTACTTTTCTAAGTGCTTCACATGTATTAACTCAATTATCTTCACACATGTGTGAGTGCATGTGCACACACACACCCACCAAAAAAAGAGGTACTTTGTTCATCGATACATAATATTTTACATATTTATGGGGGCATGGGATATTTTGTTGCATGCATACAATGTGTAGTGATCAAGTCAGGGTATTTGGGACATTCATCACCTTGAGTCTTTATCATTTCTATGTGTTGAGAACATCTCAAGTTCTTTCTTCCGGCTACTTTGAAATATGCAATATGTTGCTGCTAACAAGTCACCCTACTCTACTACAGAACATTAGAACTTACACCTTCTGACTGTATATTTGTACCCATTGACCAACCTCACAAAAAGGAGGTACTTTTTAAAATCCCCACTAAAAGGATAAGATAACTGAGGTTCAGAATATTGCTCCAAGTCTCATGCTAGGTTAGTAGTGGAATAAGGATTTGAAGCCAGTCAGCCTTAAGCCATGATCTCAGTCACCTTGCTCTATTGAATCATTATTAATTGACTTAAGTTTCTCAAGCAAATGTGTTTTCTAGTAAAAATAAAGTTTTTCAACTAATCTTTTCCTACAAATCTAGTATAAAATCATAGGTATCCATAGATTACAACAACAACAAAAAAGACTATATTGTTGAACTAGTGCTAAAGTGTCCTTCCAAGGAAGAGGGAACATTAGTGACTTGCTCAAGAACGATCGAAGACATGAGCTGAGGTACTTTGACTCTCTGACTAGCTTTTCCATTTTATCATACAGATTTAATATGACAAAAGCCTGTTCTTATAGCAGCTATGAACATTGGGTATAGGAAAGAAAATGATTTGAGAGGCCTGGATGTAGGGGTTTGGAAAAAGTTTTTAAAAAATGCTCAGAAGATTTTGGAATTAATTGAAAAGGTGTACTTTGAAACTGGAAATTGACATTTAAGAAATACAGCAGTAAGTAATTAATGGGAATGAAAATGTTGAAAACACATATGTATTCCTTTTTGTGCATTACTGCTGTCCTGCTTAAGGTAATTTTTTCTTTGCTCCTGGATCGTTGCAGTAGCCCTCAAAAATATCTTTTCTGCCAGCTGCAGCTATCTGTCATTGCTGCAAGCATTACCTTTCTAAATCACAAACAGGATCATGAACCTCTTAAAATATTTCAGAGGTCCTCATAACTAACTCTGTGATCAGTTAGATCTCTATAATTCAGCTCCCAAGGCTGTTCATGCTTTATTGTCTGCCCATTTCTCCAGCTTCGTCTTTATTAGGCCACTCCCTCACCCAGCACACATATACCATTTGATCTAGCCTTACCAAATGACTTGAATTTCCTGAAACTTATCATGCTGTTTCATGAGAGACCTTCGTACATACAATTTCTTGTGTCAACCCTGTTCTTCCATTTCCTAGTATGTTATTTTTATTTGTTCTTCAAAACTCAAGCCAACTTCTTAAAATCTAGGTTCTCTTTGACTTAATAATTCCACCTCTAAGAATCTGTTTTAGTGAAATATATATTTATTGCAAATATGTTTATTGCTACTACTTATAATAGCAAAAAATACTGTATTTGAAGCAATTAAATATGCAGTAAGGGATTGATTTAATAACTACTGTGCAATATTACATAGCTATTAGCTTTGTATTGTCAAAAATTTTTTGATAAGATAAAACCTATAATATTAAATGACAAGAGTATGAAACACAAACACATGTATATGTCTTTCCATTTGTACATTACTCTCTGTATGTTAAGTGGGGAGTGGAAGAGAGATTGCAAAAGCTCACTGGAAGGAAATATCTTCAAATTAATAGAAGCTCTTTAGATGATAGGATTATAGGTGATTTTTATATCTTTATATTTATAATTTATTTTATTTTGCAAGTTTCTACAAGTATAGATGTATTTTGTAATCAAGAAAAGAACAATTTAATTACACACATGCAAATGAGTTCAAGGATCTGGCTACCTGGAAAGCCTTCCGCACACTCCCTTGCTGATCAGGATGCCTCTCTTCTGCATTTCCGCAGGGCCTGTGCTTAACTCCAGTTGTGCACCTGTGGCACTGAATGCCAATCACTGACTCATTCATCTCTCCCTGGTCCTAAACTATGATATTCTTAAGGGCAGGCATGAGTCTTAAGTGACTTTTCCTCAGAGCCTAGCATAGTAACTGCCAGATGGTGAGTGCTCAATCAAAGGTATTGAATCAATAAATGAGAAACAAAGGCTTCTCTGGATTTAGTCAGCCACCCTAATCGCTCACTGGTCCACTGCATGAGAACATTAGACCTGGATTTCAGTGGAACCTGGGAGAAATGATTGTATGTTTGGATTACTCCTTTTCCTAGTAGCTTAAACTAGAGTTCTCATATTCAAGGATCCTACTCTTCAAATCTCCATCCCCACCATCTGACTTGTGCAAACATTATCCCTTCTTTTTTTTTTGAGACACAGTCTCTCTCTCTTGCCCAGACTAGAGTGCAGTGGTGTGATCTTTGCTAACTGCAGCCTCCACCTCCTGGGTTCCAGCGATTCTCCTGCCTCAGTCTCCTGGGGAGCTAGGATTACAGGCACACACCACCATGCCCGACTAATTTTTGTATGTTTAGTAGAGATGGGGTTTCACCATGTTTGCCAGGCTGGCCTTAAACTCCTGACTTCAGGTGATCTGCCTGCCTCAGCCTCCCAAAGACATTGTCCCTTCTTTAAGGTCTGTTTCAAATGCCTGAAGCTCCTTGAGGACCTTCCTGATGTCCCTAGTCTGATCTGAAGATTTTAAATCACTTTATCAGGACTTATTGTCACCTGCCTTGTATTAGCCATTTTTTTCTGCATCTTATTCCCTTATGAGACTTTAAGGATTTAATAATTTCACAGTGTATTCATACATGAAAGCATGATGTTGGCCAGGCGCAGTGTCTCATGCCTATAATCTCAGCACTTTGGGAGGCCGAGGCGGATGGATCACCTGAGGTCAGGCGTTCGAGACCAGCCTGGCCAACATGGTGAAAACTCATCTCTACTAAAAAGTACAAAATCAGCTGGGTGTGGTGGAGCATGCCTGTAATCCCAGCTACTCGGGAGGCTGAGGCAGGAGAATCACTTGAACCTGGAGGCAGAAGTTGCAGTGAGCCAAGATCACACCATTGCATAAAGAGTGAAACTCTATCTCAAAAAATAAAAAAAAAAAAAAAGGATGTTGTAAATCACACATATATGTAATTTATGTCAATTAAAATTGTTTTTAAATGCTTTAAGGATCCTAAGTGTACGAAACATCTTGTTTTGATTTTAGTACTTGACAATGCCTAATAGTATTTTGGTACATAGCTTATGCTCTGTAAACGATTGTTTACTTATATCACCAATTCTGATTTATGCATTTTTTTCACTTGGGCCTTCCCTGACCAGGCAATTGAAAATTGAAAATTTTCTTTGCCCTTGAACAAAGAAAATCTGTGATCCTGTTTTTATTTTATTTTGCTCTATAGTAATCATCACCAACAGATATACTAAATTGTTCACTTATTTACTTATCTATAACCTTAAACAGATAGTAGAGATGATTATCTCTTTTGCCTGTGGCTGTATCCCCAAAGCCTATGACTGTGTCCAGCACTTAGTAGGTGTTCTGTGCTCTGTCTACAGCCCAGCCCGATTGTCTTAATCCTTGGAAAAATCTTCCTCCATAATCCTGGTGTTATCCTTCCAGAAAAGGTCATACTACTAACCATTTTATTTCCACTAAAACAAAATAAAATCTGAGACTTATTAGTCAGTGACAAGTTTTGCCCATGAGTGAAGAGGCATTCAGGTTTTTTACTTGACGTGTAGGTTGGAACATTATAAAGTTCATCAGTCAAAGTTTTTGACACCAAACCACCACCTTAAGAATTAAGCTTTAAATCATTTTCCAACACATCCTGGGTGCTGTGACAGTTAGGTAATCCTGGTTCTATCGGTACACTGGCTCTGTAACACCTCCTAGATTCTCTGCTCATTAGTTTTCATGGTTTGGGTTTCAGAGACTTTTGAGCTAGCAGCTCAGTGAATGCCCAAAGAGTTGAATCCAGTTTCTTTGGCAGCTTTTACAGTTAATGATGACCTGTTCACTTGAATGGCTTCTAGTTTCACCTTCAATTCAGGAACAACTAAAAGCTAAGTGATGTACTTGTCTTACCCCTTCTCAGTGAGACTGGAATAGCATGTCTTCATGTTTTCTGGAAGCATTTGTTAAAGTGGCCCGTGCATAAAGTGAGATCCACAGGGTGAATTTGATATGTCATTCATTCAAGCATGCATTGATTATTTTATTTTACAGTTTATTGTGTTAGTGCACCTTGAGATGCCGCACCAGACATTGACCTACCCTTCAAACACCTTAAATTTTAGAAGGGGTGATAAGTCCCTCTTCCTGACCCACCCAAGGAGGTGATATTGTATCTTTTGTGTCTTGGGACACAAAAGAATTCTGGGAACTTTATTAAATCTCTTATCTTTTTGTATTGCATTTCTATATTTATGTGTTTCTGCAAGTTTCCTGAGGGCTTGGAGCAAATTATATTCATTTATTTCTACATCCTCAGAACCAAGCACAGCATAGGATAAGCCTCAATAAATGTAGGGTGAATAGAAAAGAAAGCTAGGTGCAGAATAAAGTGCACCTTTATTCAGATGAAGGTGGTATAGGAGGAGACATTTGAGCTGACTTGATGGTTGGACACATAGAAAAGGGAGGGAAAACATTATGGCAATGGATGCAGCATGTCAAAGGTAGGAAAGTGTAAAAGGGTAACGCCTCCGAGAACTACAGGGAGTGTTTCCGTTTGGGTAGAGGGTGGGGTTCACAATGGGAGAAAAGTAAATTATGTCAGTAAAAGGCTTGGGATCTGATATGAGTATTGCAAAGGAGGCAGTGAATACCTAATGCCATTACTACTCACTAGTTTTTGTTCCAACTCTTAGGACTCCATCTATTAGATTTTAAGGTTAAAGAAAAGATAAAGGGGTCAGAAGGAGAATATTATGTTATAAGAGTCCTGGAGCACAGGACTCAGCAGGATTAGGGTGGGAAGATAGTCAGGGCTCTTGAAATGGGCCCCTCCCACCCTCAGGTTCTTGCATGTTGAATTCATTTGTCAACCTTAGGGCACACTGCGTTTGAAAACCCTGTGTTGGATTTTTTAGATGAACTTTGCAGAGGTTGAGTACTAAGAAGACTTTGTCGCTCTTGACCCTAGCTGTTTGCACATGCTTCCAACAGAGTACCTCACATAGTGCCCGGGGAATGCTGGCAGGTCAGCTTCTCTACAGGATGGCCAGACTGTCGCATGCTTCTTTGTTTCCCAGAGCCAAGTACAGTGCTGGCATGTGGAAGATCCTCTATAAATATCTTCTGGGTGAAATTGCATTGCTGAAATATAGCCAAAGATACTATTACCTCAGGGACATCAGAAACAGGAGTTTTCGTCTAGATTGAAGTTAGATGCTCATAGCTCATGGGTGATAGAATTTTCTATTAGGAAAATGACATTATAGGTATTATTTTTCTGGTTCCTTCCCTCAGTGGGAATGAGAGGTGAGTGGAAACACAGGAGGGCAGTGAATGTCATTAAATCAGTGAATATATCTAGAATATGAATTAGGGAGTGTTCAGAGAAGTTGAGGCTGCATGCTGAAGACAGAAGACTGATGTCTTCCATTTTTAATAGGGAGGAATGAGAGTGCAGAGTGTAAGAGTGCTCTGCAGACTCTGCTTATGTGTTGCATGTGCACAGCTAAGATTACAACTTCTAAAAACAGTTTTTCTAGTTAGACATACAATTGCATGTACATCTGATTTTTGGTAAGGACAAGCTATTACTTATTGATGTATTATTATTAATATTGTTATTATTTTGCTAAATGGTTAGTCGTTCTATTGTGGAAAAAAGCGAATATGCTGTGCAAGCTTTTATGTGTAGGAATGGGAAAGAGGATACTGGGAGAAGTAATGCACATTTCAGATGGTTAAGTGCTGAACATGTTCTATTGAGGGGAGTATCCCATTCTTACAACACTATTGTAGCTCATTTGAGGGGCAACACAAGTGGCTATTGATCATCTGTGTGATATTTTGGGAAAGACACTTAGGTCTCTGTTTCTATGAAATAATCTTAACCAACTTCTAATGTATTCCCTTTATGCTTAGGAAAAAACAGTTATCTTGGCAGAAGAATCATCTGTCTGGTTCCCTTGCGCATGTCCTGTTTTGTCTCATAAGAAGAGGCATTTGTATATTTTAAATTTGGTGCCAAAATTAAGAAGAAGTATCTGTAGTCCTTATGTATCTGTCTATATGTGTTGAATTAAGGTAGCAGAGGGTAGAAATGGCAATGTGGCTTATTTGGAGGATTGTATATTTTGTTTTCTAGAATGTTCCACCTTGTTTCCTACTTCTCCTCCAGGACGTGGGGTGTGGCCAGAAGGATGGCAGGCAGTGGGCACACAGCTTGGCAACAATCTTGAGTGCCACTGCTTGTGCTTTTCCCCGAGATGAGAGTGTCGGTAAAAACTGCTGCTTAAAACAGCGTGACTCCCTCTCTCTCCCTGGAGACTGACTGCCTTCCCTTTTCTGTTGACCTGAAGCTTTAGATCAGAAGACAGTTCCTAATGCGAAACTCTCCCCAGTTTTGGCAGTGGGGATACACATTGCCAGTGATGCTTTGTCATTCTGGCAGTTGATTTATTGCAGAGGTTCAGTATGCAGTGTCTGTGGATTGGAAAAATTCAGGGTTCAAGTCTTTTCTATCGACCTCTAGGCAATCACTGCCAGTGATAGGATCAGTCCAGGGTTTTTGATTATTCCAAATTTCATGTTGCAGAAGCCTGGATAATCGAGCAGTGCGTAATGGGATGTGAATGCCGAAGTCCTGGAAATAGCTTTGAGAACCTTCTTATATGCACGGAGGGAATGACTCCAACTTATCCCGTTTGTTCATTCAGTTCTCTATGTAATCTGCACATGGTAACTGAGTGGACTGGATGGTGTTATTCAAATATAGTATGTGCTTTTGGTGTAGTTGTTTTCCTGAAGGACCATGCTTGAGTTAGCAGTAGTCTCTGATAACTAGTTCACTTAGAAAAGCTTCACATTTCTCTTGTTTTAATAATACATAACACATTTAAGCCACAGTTAAGAGCATTTTACCATAGGATAGCATAGAAGAAAACTATAGCTGTTGCCAGCCATCTTTTGGTTATACACTAAGAGCTCATTTGCCTTTTGCTATTAACGCTTGTGGCATCTGTTAGAGAAAAGCGACTCCTGGTAGTTTAGACTGCATTAGGTGTGTAGCCTGAAGTATTCAATGCATCAAACTGACTTCAAGTTGACTCATTACTCCCTCTTGAACAAAAGACAGTATGTGTGGAATTCTGATTACAGCTTAGATCTTCAGCTTTAAGAAGCTGCCCTTTGAGCTTGCTCTGTAAATAGTGATTAGGTGCAAACCTTGGATTTTGGTCCTTCACCACCCAGAATGGTGCCTGGGTACTGAAGAAAAGAGCTTTTCCCATTGCAGAAGCACTTTAAACAGTAGATTCTTTAGCAGGGAAACTAAAATAGGTTTCCTGTTCTTCAAATGGGTATTTTAAGTGCTTTGCAGGTGTATCTTAGAGAACGGAGGTATTTATTTTTAATGAGAAGAACTGAAGAATAAAAACAATCACAGCCTTGGAGAATTGCAGATCAAAGCTTTTTTTTATAAAACAAATGAAGGCCTCCATCCTACGAGCTAGTAAATTCATTAATTTTTAATAGAGGAATAGGCTATAAATGGTAATTTAATTCTTTTGGCAGAAGATCGTTTAAGTGGTGTTTAAAAATCTACATACTTAGGTGGTTTGGAGTGAAAACCTGCTGTGATATCTAAGGCAGTAAATGTGCAGTGCAGCTGAAAAACTTGTTCAGAAGCACTATGGGTCCTTTATAACTGCTCTGTTTCTACCTAATGTACAGTATAATATTTTGTACTACAGCCATGTTTAGTTACTTTAGAGCTGGGTTTCCCATCTTGCTGTTTGGGTCAGAAATGCTACTGTCAAGAAGTAGAGTTGTAGGCAGCAATAATTAGAAAATCCCAAGCCTTTCAAATCTATTTCATGTTTCTCCTAATTGGTCAGGATCTCCCCTCACCATTCCAAATACTTGTGCTCCCCTCTTAAGTTATCCCTGTGGTTTCTTTCTTTTGCTCTTCAAATAGCAGCTGTAACATTTACCGAAGAAGCCAAGTTCAGCTCTCCAAATGATGGCTAGTTCCATGAGAGAGCCAGTCTGCTTGGAAGTGCCAGAGGTTCCCAGGTAGCAGCTCTTCTAGAACTGTGCTGCTGTGAAATGATCACATTGGAATGGTCATAGAACTCAGGGAAGCCACATTTGTTAAAGTGGCCTAAGTTTGGAGCCGTTTTGCAGGCACAGAAAAACTGCAGAGCAAATGAGTTGTCTATGATATAGGTGTGTGTATGGAGGCACGTCTTTGTAAAATGGAAGTTGTTGCTGGGCTGAGAAGTACCTTTGGGAAATAAGATAAATTGTGCAGTTGAAAAAGGTTAAGGCGTGTTCATCAATAAATGATTGGATAAAAAAACATGATATGTACGTACAGTAGAATACTATTCAGCCTGTAAAACAAAGGAGATTCTGCAATATATGACAACATGGATGAACCTGGAGGACATTATGCAAAGTAAAATAAGGAAGTCACAAAAAAACAAATCTAAAGTAGCCAAATTTATACAATCAGTGACATGATGGTTGGCAGGGTCTCAAGGGCAGGGAGAGTTTGAGAGTTACTAATCAAAGGACATAAAGTTTTAGTTGAGCAAGATGAGTAAATTCTAAAGATCTGCTCTACAGCATTGCACCAGTAGTCAACCATAGCAGGTCATCTGGGTCTATCCTCTGTTTTAGAGATGAGGAAACTGGCTCAAGGGATATCTCTTGAGCCTTAAACCAGTCAGTACCTGAGTCCCCTTGTTGCATCTCCTGTCGTTTAACTCTATATGCTGGCTTATTTATGCCTTTCCTCATCTTAAATCCTCTCCTGGAATACGGCAGTGTGTAAATAAATGGATGAATGTATGCCTTCTGCATTTTAACTGCTAATTCTTATCAATCTGTTTATCTGTATTATAAACTGACATGTGTTTGCCTATCTTGCTTGCCTTCCCTCCCCTACTCCTAAATTTAGAGTTGTATGAAGACAAGGATTTTGTTTAAACTAAAATAAACCTATGGTATCTAAAATTCTGTCATGTGTCAGTGAGTATTCAAAAAACATTGCTAAAAAGGAGTATCATAAATGAAACATTTGCATTTTTTAGTATTCTAGGCTGGCTGGACCACACTTGGTTGGTTCTTTGGTGATGGACAGTTAAACCTGATCCGGAAAAAAGAAAGGTTTCCCATTTCATTGCCTTCCCTTCTATTCCTTGTGAATGTGCTGACAACACCACCTCAGAACTGCTGGAGCCTAAACAATAATCTCCCCTGAGCTTCAGGCCCTGCTTGCGGGACTCACCATTGGCTGGGGGTCAGAGGACTAGGTTAGGCCTTAATGCACAGACTTGCAGGGCTGTGAAAAGAATCATAAATATCCCTTTTTTGGCTCATCTATGAGCAGGTGTTCTGTAAGTTATCTGTTTGGTGGTTTTAGTCACACATGTTGGCTGGCAGTTTAGAAATTTAGTTTTTGAAGGGTTAATCTCTTGGGTCGGATGATTCCAATTCATGTCCACATTAAGGTGAACAGTTTTCCTTCTCTCTAACCTATATTTTAGTACACTTATGCTCCAGAGCCTAATATATTCAGTGATTTTTCTCAGCATCCTGAATAGGATCTTTAAAGGGCATCTAAAATGTCACATGTCCAAGATGGATGTCCAGTTCTTTACCCCACACATTTGCTACTTCTGCCATCTTACTTGTCTCATCTCAATAAATGGTAGCTCCAACCTCCCAGCTTGGAGTCTCCATGATAGATACACACACACACACACACACACACACACACACACACATATATATGTGCACATTTTACATATATATGTGTAATCTTTTATTCAATTTGTCAGCAAATCCTGTTGGCCGTATCTTCAGAATATTTCCAGAATCTGACCACTTTTCATTGTTACTACCTTGGTCCAAGTCAAGAAGACAGGGTAAAAATGTTATAGATCACATCTTTAATGTTTGGGATGGTATCTAATCCCTAACCCTCAGCTTTGGGGCCCATTATCTGTCTGTAGGATTATTGCAGTAGCCTCTTTACTGGTCTCTTTGCTTCTGCCCTTCTTTGCTGTCATCTGTTTGCAACACATCAGCTCAGTAATGTTGAATATTGGTCAGATCCTATCCCTTCTCTGCTCAAAACACTAAGGGTTTCCTGTCTAACTGAGAGTAAACTTTGCAAAGACTCTACAGAATCTGACCCTTTGTTTTTCTGACTTTATTTTTTACCATTCTCTACTCACTGAGTTTTGACACACTGTCCCCTCTTGTTCCTTGAGTATACAAGGCCTGCTCCCACCTGATGGCCTTTGCTTTGGCCGTATCTTCAGCCTGCTGTGCTCTTCCCCATCATCTGCATGGCTCACTCCCTTACCTTCTTGTCTTTATTCAAATGTCCCTTTCTCAATGGGGCCTTATCTGAATACCCTATTGCCTGCCTATCCCTCTTTCCTGCCTTCTTTCTCTCTATAGTCCTTTGCATCATTTGACTTTATATATTACGGTTATTTTCTTTCTTTTCAGTCTCCCTCCTCTAGAATATAGCCCCTTGGGGGCAAAGATTATTGTCAGCTTTTTGTCTGAGCCTGTATCACTAGCTCCTTAATGGTGCCTGTCCCATAATAAGCCATCAGGATATTGAATAAATGAATGAATGCTTTCCAGCACAATCTGCTTTTTCATGGCCAAAAGGTTCTGTTTTCTGTGGCATTAACATTTAATAAGAGAGGCCAGGCGTAGTGGCTCATGCCTGTAATCCCAAAACTTTGGGAGGCTGAGGCAGGTGGATCACCAGCGGTTAGGAGATCGAGACCACCCTTTCCAACATGGCGAAACCCCATTTCCACACACACACAAAAATACAAAAATTAGCCGGTCTTGGTGGTGGGCACCTATAATCTAAGCTACTCAGGAGATTGAGGCAGGAGAATCGCTTGAACCTGGGAGGCAGAGGTTTCAGTGAGGCGAGATCATGCCACTACACTCCAGCCTGGGCGACAGAGTGAGACTCCATCTCAAAAAAAAAATAATAAATGAATAAAAATATATTTTAAAAGAGGTATTCTGAGAACACTAGCAGAAGGAGTAGATTGAGTTTATGTGGCTTTCTTTAGCTGCACACCAGCCACTTGTAGCACCAAGTTACTTCTCTAACTAATTGGAGAATTTCCACATAATTAGACTGGTGATATTTTAAATACTAATTTGAAAGGCTTGAGTTTGCAAATACATATGAGAAGCTAGAAGCCCCTTAGCTGTCCTCTTAAGGTGTCAACCATAGCAAAAATATCTAACACTCATTAAGCTCTTACTCTGCTAAATGCTTTTTATTCTACACACACACACACACACACACACACACACACACACATGCACGCGCGCAGAAGTAGGTGGGTATTTTCTCCATTTTTCAATTGAGGACTCTGAGGTTGAAAGAGCTTATGTAACTTGTCCAGTACAAAGATGTGTAGGCGGCAGAGTCAAGGTGCTGACCTGAGGTATCTCAAGCACTCTATCCTGTTGGAGGGGTTGATGCTTTAAACATGTTAATGAAAGGGATCTTTCTCTCCTTCTTCCTTCGGTGGGAGCTTGACACTTGTACTCATGAAATCAAGCCCAGCAAGGAGTGTAGAGAGAAGACAGGGTAAGAATGTTATAGATCACATTTTTAATGTTTGGGATGGTATCTAATTCATAACCCTCAGCTTTGGAGCCCAGCTCTGTGCTTCAGGATGTAGAGGGGAGGAACACTAGCTAGTTAGAAACTCAGTTGGAAAGAGGAGCCCAGAGTCTCTGTCTTTGCCTTACAGATATATAGTGTGTGCCTCCTTCCTCTGGACGAAGAGAGTTGGTCTAAATACACATTGTATTCTAGTGGCCAAAAGTTATTTCTGCTTTCCTAGGCCTGAGCCACAGATAAAATTCCAATCTACTCTGATCACCAAAATCAGAAGATTTCAGAGCTAGACTGGATTTTGGAGATTTGCAAAACTTTTCTCACCATTGGTGCTCCAGCCATTCAGAAAAGCATGCAAATTCTCCAACACATGATTTTCTTTATTGCCCTGGATCTTTGTGTGTTCTGCTTCCTGTCCTGTTAAAACTTGCCTTCCATGTTCCTCTGGCCAACTCCTTGTACTTTGGGATTCAGCCTAGAAGAGAGAACACAGTTAAAAATATTCAATTATTTTTTTCAAGGAAAAAATATCACTTTTAGCAATATCATGGTTTTTTTAGTGCTTGCAGTTTAGTCCCCCAAACAAAATATTTATTTGTGTAAGTAACAGTATATGTGGATGCTAGCATATGAAAGTTTGGCCTGTCCTTCAACCTCTTTTATCTAAAAAAATGGCAAAATTGAACCACGGATGTGAAATCCAAACAAGTGTATTTATTAATGGATATTGGTTGCCTGTAATCAAGGCACAGCATTTTGGTTAATCCTAGTCTTAGATTAATGATAAACAGAATAATAATTTTTAAAATATGCTAAGTGTATATCTTTAGCATAAGTATGTGACTACATTAAGTATGGGCTTATCATTATTAGCCTTAGTGAAAGAAGGCATTAAGTTATTTTTTAATGAATCCAGATGTCCAGAACTGTATTTTTCCTCAAATTTTAATGTACCTCCAGAGTAGTTTCAAAGCTAGAGTTGTTGAACATGACCATGGGGATGGGAAGTGAGGTGAGACAGCTGCTTTTGTTTGTGAGGAAACTTAATTTGTGTGACACTTGCCTTCTGTCTTCCAGAAAATTAGCATGTGTAGTTTTAAAACACAGAATGAGGATGCTACAGTGTTTATTAAGCAAATCCGGTTTATGTCCCTGCATATTTTTGTGATAGTGTATAAAAATTTGAGGTTATACTGCATATAGCAAATTCTCCCCACCTGGAATGACACTTCTATTTAAAAGAGGCATTTAGGTGTAAGGTTCAGTAGGCAGAGAGAGGATTGACATTTATTGAGAATCATCTGTGTGTCTGGCAGTGGGCTAGAAGCATGCATTGTGCAAATGCTGCATTTCCCACTGGACTCTGATATCACAGGTATTTTAAGAAGGGTAGAGTGATGAGGATGGGACATCCCAAACACTTCTGAATAAAATAAGCTCTCAGTTGGATTTGCTGGTTCTCGCTTGTAGTCACTGCTATTCAGGAGGTCAAGTCAGAAGGATTGCTTGAGCCTAGGAGTTGGAGGGTGTAGTGGACAATGATTGCACTTGTGAATAGCCACAGCCTGGACAACATGGCGAGACTCTGCAAAGGAAGGAAGGAAGGAAGGAAGGAAGGAAGGAAGGAAGGAAGGAAGGAAGGAAGGAAGGAAGGAAAGAAGGAAGGAAGGAAGGAAAGGAAGGAAGGCTGGCTCTCAATGACCTGAAGTGATAGAGGACAACAACAATGTGGGAACCTTAGCACGTAACCTCCCTGAGCCTTTTTGGTTTCCTATAAGAGGGTGGGAGCTAGAAGGCAGAAATGAAGGGGAGGCCATGGAGGGGGGATGAGCTTTCTTTTTACTCCAAGTGCTACTCTCTTACCTTCTGCTGGGGGTAGGGGCTTTCACTTGTGAGATTACCAGGCAGATCATCAGTCTTTTCTTCTTTTTCAACAGTTAAATTTTTCTTTTCCTTAGTATAAAAGTAATTCAATTATTTGCTGAACATTTAGAGTGTATGTCGATATAAAGAAGAAAATTATAATCATACTCATGATCACGTGACCCTGATATATAACCAGTTTTCAATTTGAAGCAGAACCTCAGATTATATATATATATATATATATATATATATATATATATATAAATAAAATATATTCCTTCCAATTTCAATATACAGTGCATATTCTTTTATTTAATATATTAGTGATCAGTTTTCCTAATTGAGCAATTAGACAATGATGGTCACATGGGTAGAGATGGGTCTCAAGAAAAGGATCAGGAGGTCTTCTAGCCCTCATAGCTACAGGAGACCCATGGTCAGAGCACATAGAAAAGGACTGCAGGTATGTTGATAGTAATAATACATCACAGCTTTGCTTTCATAAGGATCTTTTATTACTCAAAGGTACTCAGACCCTTACACTGCCACTAGGAGTAGAGAAAGGAAGTTTTATGTTACCCAGATTTGAGAAGAGGAAAGGCAGTATTGGGCTAAAGCCACTTGCGTGCAAGTACACAATTGGATAGAGATTCAGATTTCCAATGGGGCAGCTTTTCCACATTATTAAATCTGTCAGTTTCCTGCCATCTTAGTCATCTTGGGCTGCCATAACAAAATATCACAGACTGGGTGAACTAAACAATGGATATATTTTCTCACAGTTCTGGAGGCTGGGAAAATCCCAAATCAAGGTTTGGGCCTATTTGGTTTCTGATGAGGGCTCTCTTCCTGGCCTGTAGACAATTGCCTTCTTGCTTTGCCCTCAAATGGCTTTTCCTTGGTGCATGCATGCAGAAAGAAAGAAATAATTCTCTGGTGTGTTTCTTAAAAGGACACTAATCCTATTCAATCAAGGCCCCACCCTTATAACCCCATTTAACCTTAATTACTTCCATAAAGACCTCATCTCCAAATATAGCCACGCTGAGGATTAGGGCTTCGGCATATGAATTTGGGGGTGGAAGGGACACACACATTCAGTCCATACCACTTGTCCAACAAACACTGCTAGGTGCTGACTTTTGTTGTACTGCTAAGGAGCCTAAGCTACAGAGATGAGCCATTGCCAAGTCATACTATAGTGGAGATAAGTGTGGACCTATGTAGGACAAGCTAGAGAAGGTATCCATTGGGAAGTGATTTGTGAGCCTTGAGAGACAAGTATAGGTGTCATGCAGAAAAGAGGACAGCCATCAAGAGTTCATTCTATGTTGTTGTCTATTGCTAACACAAAGAAAAAGACAGAACCTGATTTTGCCTTTTTTTTTTTCTTATTTTGTTCTATTGAATATCATCATGCTGGATTATATGAGCCTTTTGTAAACCATGGAGATCCTTCACTCCATCCCTCTTTTTCTTTGGAAAGGTGGAAAATGAATAAATAAAATGAAATGTAGAACCTGGAGCCAGGTATTTGTCAGAATGTTAATTCCAGGCATGCATTCCTCTCTGTTTCTCTTTCAAGTCTTGTGTTTTTAAAGACATCATTGAAAGATTTAGTAGTGCTTGTGTAATCTCTGTCAATCCCTACTGATGTATCCTAGTGCAGTTTGCTTACTTTATTCACTGGCCATTGGAATGGTTTTTCCTTTAAAGGTCTTTCTGATCACCCTATCATGAGCAAACCTGAAATCTTAATTTGACTGCTAAGAAAAGGACATCAGAAAGCTGGAGGTTTTCTGTAAAATGCATTTCTCCTGTCATCATCTCATTTACTCATTCAGCTCACATCTACTGAGCATTTACTACTTGCCATAAACTCTTCTAGGTGGAACTATTGGGTACAAGACAGAATAAGATAATTCTTTACCCTGGAATGCATGTAGGTTCATGCAGGGATGAAAAATGTCGTTCAATTCAGCCATAGACTTGGTTCACAGAGCCTGCCAAGAGCACTTATGGAAGAGGTTTCTAAGACTGCATTTAAAGTGACTTGGCCAGGAGGCCGTGTTGGATTATTGGGAGTCACCATGGACTTTGGACAGGGAGTTGAGGAAAAGGAAGTAGTGACTTGCAAATTGCATATTTGCTATCCCGAGCTGTGCCGTGTCTGAATACAATTCTTTCACTGAATTATGGATGCAGGGTCAAAAATGCATTATCTTCAGTGGGATAAAAAATCAGCCTCCCACAATGATCAGTTATCTTGTATTTAAATTTTGTTAGAAATACATTTTAGTCTTCTAGAAATTTTTTTCTCCGTGGCTTTTCCTCTCTTTTCTCCCAAGACTTTAAGTTACAGTTGGGAAATTGTTCTCTTCTTAAGGGAATGATTCATCGTCGGCAGGCATTTATTAATGTTTTTCAGCAAAAGCCTGGGATGAAGCCAGCTGCTTTGCTGACTATGGAAAGAAGGGGCCTCAAACCCTTGACTTTTTCTTTTACACAACAATGTTCATTCTTGGATGCACAATAGAATCACCTTAGATGCTTTTTAAAAGCCCAGGACTCACCCTAAACTATAGAACTTCCAGGATGGGACCCAGACATCAGATTTCAATGTATAACCTTGGAGAACCAGTGTCTGACCAGGGCACATGCAGCCGCCACCAGGTTTTGGTCACTTGGATGGCTGGTCTGGCAGCTGTTCTGGTAATTGTGGAGATAGAAGCTAAGACTAGAGGGAGGAGGCCACCTTACAGGTTTCCCCTGGCTCAATGGTGTTTACTCTGGGCAAACTCAAGGTATACAGTTATGGTTGAGATATTCTGGTCCAACTCTGGACCCACAGTCTTTATGCTTCCCCCGAGGGTTAAAAATCTCAGAATTCCACTTCTAATTCCTACACGGTCTTTGGGAAGCAGTACACAGTTGTAGCTAAGAGTGTGTGGTTAAGACCACAGGCTTTGGAGTTGGAAAATACTGAAGTCAAATCCTGATCAAATGTGTGGCCTTAAGCAAGTAACATAACAGTATCATGACTCAGCTTCCATCTCTGGGAAGTGGTGGAATAATACATGCATTTAAGGATTGTTTAAGGGCTAAATGAGACAATGTACACAAAGAGGAAACACTTCATTATACTAGGTATAAAGGGAGGGCTCCAGAAACGTTGGCTGCCATGGTAGCTGCCAGTGTGAGAATCAACCATAGGTATGGGGCCACTGCTGGTCATCCATCTGCTGACCTAGGAGTAGGAAGCAAGTTCAGGAAGCTGCTGGTGGCCACGTGCATGTCAAGTTCAACTTGTTATGGCCTGTCTGTTTCATGGGTTTTTGACAATCAGTGGAATAAATGGATGAAATATTTAATAGATGTCTCAAAGCACTGTGAAAAGGCTCAGCGCGAAATGGAGCTGATCTCAGTGGTTAGCCTGCCTTTTCTATCTCATCCATGACCTCCCTGTTTGCGGATGGTGCCTGAAGTGATAGCCATTGCGCATGCTGCCTTAAATCATGGCAGTCCCTTTGCTCTAGCATTCCCCAGGCTCAGAACCTAGACAAGAGTACTGACTTTCTTCCTGGACTTGAATGTACCTTCTGTGCCATTTAAACAACATAGTGATCCAGAACAGTGAGTATTAAGTGATCTCTAGATTTCATTTTATTAATTAAAGCCTCTGTATGCATCCAATTACCTTTCAAATAAGCAGCAAAATTAGAGCTTGACTTTTAGTTATCTTGCTTCTACCTTACACTCTAGTAACAAGCAAAGCAATATGTAAGAGAAGGAGAAGGAACAACTGAAGAATTAGATGGTTCACAGCCCTGGAATATTGTAGTTGACTGTCAGGTTTAGTTCATCATTGGTAGTCCTTCTCTTTCATGAAGCCCTCCTTAAATTCCTGTTCTCCTCCAGTCAGCTTCAAGATCTTGTTTCCTCTGAATTTTCATAGTGTTTCATTGACTTTTTGGTGCCAATTTTTCTTTTATTAAAATTGTTTATGCAAATATTTTACAAGCTCCTTATGGGGAAGGCCTTGTATTAGTTAGTTTTATATCACCCCTAGTATCTAACACTGAGCCTTGTACCTAGTAAGTAAACATTTGTCAACTAAATGGTTACATACTTTGTAACAGTCACAAGAAAGAAATCCATACAATAAAGACTCATTATTATTCTGACCATCAAATGACAACTGTCATTTATTTTTCAGGTATTTATTGGTAACACGGATATTATGATCTTTCAGACTCCTTTTAAGAATATTTTGATGCCTTAATCCATTCTCCAGACAAAACTCATGACCAAGAGCAGTAAAGAGCTTCCACCATTAATTTTCCCCTCCAAATCTATGACAATTTTCTAAGCCTGCATTTGCAAACATATTGTTTCTGTGTTGCACGGTTTCCAAGTGAGCGTAGTTATCATTTAGAATTCTCCCACCTGCTTCCAGATGTCAAAGGAGTGGGGGATTGCTCCTGAGAGCTCATCAATTCTGCTTCAGTGGACTCTGTGAGGATGCAGAATGGATAAGTTTGCCTGTAAATTCTCTTTTGAAATCTTAAATTGTCCACAATCTGTGGCAACTCTTGTTTTATTTGAATATTTTGGGAAAGTGGGATGGCAGTAATTTGAAAGAGAAATTCTGTCCAGCATTAGCTGGACATAATAAACCAGCATTGGCCTGTCTGGTGGTAAGCTCTTTTTGGAAGAATAAGCTTGTTTCTGTGAGCACAACAAGGAAATGCGGGTGGTGAGGACATCCAGGATAAGACAAGTGGTGATTGACAGCCCAGCTGGTGGAGATGGGTAATTGGAAATTCATGGCACATAAATCTCCCAGTACTTATCTTGAAGCACAGGAAGAGAGGAGATCTGAGCAGGGGAACATTTAGCTCTTTCAAAGGGATCTAATAAGGTAGCAAATCTTTAAGTTCTTCATTTTAACTTTAATTAAATTATGGTTTTCTGTCTTGGAGAGATAAATGCATGCTGCTTAAGGAATGACTCTGTGCATAGAAAATGGAAATGTGCAGGACTATTGGAGGAGTTCTTTGTTTACACAGAATATGCAATCCTTTCCCATGGGTCCCATTCCTTTGGAGAGCAATTGTTTCTTTCTCTTGATGGGTTTCTGGTTTCCCTATGTACAGTCACATCTCCTTTATGTGTCTTAGCTTTCTAGTTTCCAAACTAATATTTAAAAAAAGAAGTGTTATTAGATCATTATGAAGTAACAATAATAGCAGCATAAAGGAAGAGATGTTCTTCCTATTTGTTGAAGTCTCATGCTTTCTGTGCTGGTTTGGGTCTTTGGTTCAGCATCTCTGAGTGGAAAGTCACCTTTCATTGTCTTCTTCATGATAACCCATCATATTAGTAAAGATGGTCGTTAATCAACTTCCAATTTTTTTTCCTCCAGGCCAGGCAACCTGTTCAGCCTAAATAACTAAGAGTTTTCAATCTCAACAAAGTTGAGTATTTTGAACTTGTCAGCATATGAGTGAGATTAGGACTCTCACTAAACCTGACAGATGGAGCTCCCTGGCTCCTTTCTGTAAGTTGGATGGATCTGCTGAAGGAATGGTTCTTTTTTTTCAGCCCAGCTTCCACTGCCTCTGCCTCATTGCTGTTGAAGTTCAGAACACTTATCTAATCTGAGTGCCCTGTGTGTGTGCAAAGATCTCTTTTTCTGGTTGGCAAAACATTTCATCTGTTGCAATGCCAGAGTTCCTGCTGGTGAGTGGAGCTACACAGAAGAGGGGTAGCTTTCTGTGGCTTTGGAGCTTCCATAAGCATCATGCCTAACATCTGGCTGAGGTCTGGAAAGGAAGAAGAGATTGTAGGGGTACACCAAAGTCCAGAGACAGAAGGAAAAGTACTTATAATGGTGGGGTACAAGATGGATTAATCAAACTGAGCAAATGCATTGAGCTTTGGAAGTGCTGAGCACTTGTATTAGGCATCCTGGAAGTACCCAAGAAAGACAAGATTTGCTTCCTGATGACCTGGAGTCAGGAAATTCACATTATCATCTGAGCTCTTCCAAGAGCCAATCTAGTTACCTGGGTTGGACTAGATCTTAAAGGTAAGATGAAAGAGTTAGTCTAGATAATAGGTGCAGTAAAGACAAAGATGACATAGACTTTCTTGCCCTTTCCAAAGGCCATTAAGGCTGCTTTATGCTTCTAATGTGTGCAGTATGTGTTTTCTCACTCCATGCTCCTTGCTGTGCACAGAGGAGGAAGACAATAAATACATATGAATTGACTGATCCGATGTCGAGCAAGGTAACAACAGAGGGGTGGGTCACAGAGAATGGGTGAAGACTTATATTTGACAATCACAGCAGGAAACCTTTAGTAGAAGTGATTATCAAGCTTTTACAACTATGTCTCATATCTTAAAAAGCACTGTAATTAATATATGTCTCTTCAGTGAAGGAAACAAAAAGCCATATCTTCATTTAAATAACATCAGTAGCAGCTGTCAGTACTACCAATATAGGTTTTGCAAAAGAAGCTTCCGGGTTCACTAGTAGGTTAAGTTCACTTTTGTCATCCTGAAGATTTGTTATGAATTGTAAAGCCTTCCATGGCCCCCATAGCTCCAGAAAGAAATCTATCTCTTCAGCAGGGCACATTCTGACTTTCACAAACTGACATTAACCTTTCTTTTTCCTCCTCATCTCATACATTCAACAAACATTATTAACTAAATCTCTGTGCCAGGTATTGATGCTAGATGCTCATGATTCAAAATGAGTAAGTCTCCTGTTGTCAAAGAGTGTGCATCCTAACAATTGGGGGAATCATGAAACCAATTAACACAATTAAGTGCATATGTGTTACAAGAGGAATTTCAACAGGGTACAAATGTAGGCCATAGACATGTCATGCACTTACATGTCATTATTCGTTGGCTCATTATATTTCCTGTGCTCAAGATTTTGTTTTTGCCAGGTCTTACAGCAAAGCACAGCCCTTCAATCAAATTCATGCTCTGAGGTCACTTTCATGGGCTGTTTCCATTTATGTTCCTGTGAGAGTTTGGGTGTGCATTTATCATGTTACTGTGTCTGTGTTTTCTGCTAGACCATGAGAACTTCAAAGGCTGGGGCTTTGTCTTACACACTTTTGTAACAAGTAGGTGCTCACTGAAACTTTACAGGAAGGCAGATAGGCTGTTATGTCAGACTGCAATTACTGTTTCCTCTGTCTGGAATACTTTTTCAGCAGATCTTTTAATTAATGACTTGCTTTCAGAGAGGCCTTCCTTAACAATCTTATCTAAAATAGACCCTTCTCTTTGTCTAAGTCTCTCTTGATCAGTTTGTCAAGGTATGCTGTCTTCATGGCATATGTCGCTATGTGAAATTTCATATTTGTTTTTGTCTGTTGCCACTAAATGCAAGCCCCCTGAGTAGAGATATTGTCTGTCTCATTCACTGCTGTATTAGCTGCAGCTAGAATAGCACATGGCTCATAGTAAAAAACCTTCAGTATATATTTGTCAAATACATGCATGACATTTAGTTTCTGGTATTTCCGGTCTAACACACCTTTATATTATTTTAAAAAATGAGCTCTTCAAAGTTTTTCATAGTGTTTTCTTCTCTCTCTGGGATTGTTTCGTTGTTCTGGTACCTTGAAGATAATGGCAGCAGGGTGGCATTTAACTTCTTCCACATTTGGCTTGGTGCCACTGACCTTTCATGGAGTTTTTCTCAGCAGATGCTGCACAGAAAATGAGCTCTTTCTCAATTATGGGGGCCTGAGGCCTCTCCTCATGTGCTTTTGGTGACGGGCAGCATGGGGTCAGACTTTGGCTTCTGATCTCCTCTTTCTCAGCTGTTTGTCTTCATCTAGATAGTCAGCTGGGCTACACTCACATAGGGGTTACATTTGAAAGGGAAGAGAGCCCAGTTGGTTTTTCTCTTCTTCATGATTGCTGACATTTCCAAATGTAGTAAGGACATACAGTTGAAGGAAGAGGATAGATAGGTGGCGAAAAAGAAAGGGCACTACAGTGGATAAGCTTGTGATTGGGAAGCCCTAGAGCTTCCACCACTTGAGTGCAGAGGGCCCTGCTCACTGGGATGGAGGTGGCTGGGGCAGCATTTCTCTCCCTTCCTCTGTAGGATCTGCTGCCCCTTCCGTTAGGAGGGAGGGGGATGGAACAGAATGCCTTATTTCTGGGCCCATAGCTCTCTGTCAACAAGTCACCTTTACACTTTGATTATCTTTTTCTATGTTGTCTGGGGAATGGCAAATGGGGGCAGAGCCAGCTTTGCTAGATGACAAGTGCAGCACCACTCTTTATTGGGGACACTTATACCCATTAGTCTCAACTTTGGGGATCACAACAGCCAGTTACATTATTATTATTGTTCCTTTATTCTGAGTGAGCTTGCAATTTGTTTCACAGTTATTCCAGGGGAATAGAGGGTCTCAATTATTGAAGGATCAAATGTCCAAACTAGATCATCTTGTGTGCCTCATAGTGGGTCTAGAGTGTTGTTGCTGTTGTTTGTTGTTTGTTTAGGTGCAACTGTAAGCACAAGAATCCATACGATTCCTCACCTCTTTCCAAAGGGCTTTGAGGGGCCCTGAATCATTCGGTATACAACCTAACTCTTCAGAATGTCCCAGAATTCTACTGACATCATACTAATGAAAGGGCAAGGAAGGGGTTAACTGCTGAAACTCTGCTTCAGGGATGAAAATGTGTATGCATACATGCATGCAGATACACACACACACACTCACACACACATATACATTCACATGGTAAATATGTATATACATACTCATGGTTATGGTATATGACCTACTCCACCATAAGGAGCACATGGTTGCCTTGTTTTGATTGGAGATTATTAGTGTAGGTGCTAGAAATGGCCTAAGAAAAGATGTAAAGTATTTCTTTGTAATGTTTTAAAATACTGCTAGGTAATAATATTCAAACCTCCCGGTGGTTTTACATTACAGAAACCGAAGTTCTAAGGAAAAAATAGGCTTTTTTTTTCTGTAACATGGCTACATAATGAGCTAGACTAGCATTTAGTCAGCTGAAAAACTGGCAGTTTATTGTGTCGATATAAATTGTAATTATCTACCTTTCCTTTTTTTCTCATGTTAAGCTTGCCATTCAAAAGGTTGTTTTATTTCCTAATTTTTTTTTTCTTTCAGCCTTGGCACCATTTATTTGTATATTAAGTTTAATTTAGGGAAAAGAAGAAAAAATTGCTAAAACCCATTGGTAGAAATCACCCATTTGTGGAATATTATCTAACCTCTATAGTGGCATAGAAGGCGATGCATTTACAAACAGTTTCTGCATTTATAAACATTTTTTTTTCATACTGGCAGAAAAATCCAAACAGAACTCATAGTCCTACTTTGAATGAGAAGTACTCTCAATTTGGAATTATTATAATCACTGTTTTTATTAATCATTTAACAATTGTATGGTGTTGATTAATTTTCTGGTAGTGTTATGTTAATAAGATTTCAAGGAAGGGAAATAAGTCATTTCATGTATGTGGGTTTAGTTTAATTTTATTCACCAAAATGGTATTTACTTAATAACAACTGTGGAAATAAGCACAGATTCAGGCTTTGTCATCTTCTATTTTAGTGCATAGCTAATGAACAGAGCGGGTGCCTGTGGAAAAATAGGTTGGTAGCACTATTCAGGGTATGAGTCACAGGGGCCTGCTCCGACCTCATTAGAGTTTTTTGCGGTGTGAATCAAAGATGTTTAGCATCTACCGAAGTAGGCACTAAATAGTGATGTATCCATGGATGTTTGGTTGATACAATTAATGAGGAGGGTTGAAAGCCTCTGTACAATTTTACAGTTTTAAATCTGTGCTCATTCATAAACTCAAGGAAAACTTTTAATTTTTCCAAAATTTCCTTGGGAAACCATTTTCCCAAGGAATTTATTTTTAAATTTGGAGGTACCATTTAGGATCGCTTTATTGGCACTAGTTTTTAAATTTTGTTGCATTGCTTCTCTTCCATTTCCCCTCTATTGCACATGATAAGCATTATTTTCTCATTTGTCAGGAAGGAAATTCCCATCACAATATCTAGCAGCTCTTGAGGCTGTGAATGTCTTATAATTTTAGAAGGTTCAGATCAGAAAACATACAGTTTCTGACTCTTAAAAGTACAACCTAGATATGTAACACATTGAAAGACTGACTAATCCAGTCTTGATCACTTAAGGATTTGAGGAGTCGAGTCCTGCACTTTCAACCAAGTGTCAGGCATTGCTTCAGTATTTAGCTCTTCTTGAGTCTAGAAGGTCTTTGAGATTCTGGCCATAAAAATGAACTTAAGAGCAATAAATGTATTGTTGTAGCTTAAAGTTCCAGGAGCACAGCTTAGGTGCTGAACTATCTTTTAAATTTTTTCCTTTGTGAAATGTTTGTAGCTTGGGATGGCTAGTCAGAGGAACAATGGTGTTATAAAAGAGGTGGGTTAGATTCGCCTCACCACCTGATCATTTCATTTTGGATGAAAATTTAGCAGCTGACATTGCAAACCTTGAGAAAGTGTTGACTGCCTATTCAAATGTAGTTTAGAGGGTTTTAGATTCTGATAGTAATAAGTGCAGAACCTTTTTTTCGCAATTGTGTGGTTACAAAAAGATTTCAGTTGATGGCCCATGAGATTTGACAACATATTCTGTTTGATATTTTAACGGTTTGAAAAAGGAGTTTTAGAATATGTATCTGGAAACTGTGTAATGCAGTTTTCAATCTACTGTGTAACCTTTCCATTACAAGACTTTTTCCCTCTTAATCCTGTCCAGTGGATTTCTGGTCCTCTGAGGAGTGTGCCTCAGTACACCTCTCCATGAGTGCTTAGGAAGGGCTTTAGGTGGCTCCTTTGTGGCCTCCAGCTTTCATTCTGCATAATGCATCAGGGTTCCTCCTGGGTCTGCATCTTACTTCCTGGAGTGGTTTCTCTGGGAAGTAATTGACTCAATGTATTGCTTCTTAGTCTTCCCCTTGCTCTTTATGGCAGGGTCTGATTGATACAGGTATAAACATCAGGGCTAGCAGCTGCTTTACAGTTTCAGGGAGGGATAACTGATGAAGACTTGTCCATTAGTTGGGAGTTGGGAAAGCCCCTGTTTTGGTAGCAGTGTGGTCATCTCCTCTGGAATGAATACTCATCCTTCCTCTCACAGAATCTCCTCTTGCTTGAGTTTATTGGCATTCATGTGATTTGCATGACAAATTTCGGTCTAATAGCTTATACTCAAACCACCTCTGCAGTTGTCTGTCAGTTGTTTGTAGATGTGAAGAGGCAAAAATGACTGGTCTCTGGGTCCTGTTCTAACTGGAAGGGCATTCTTTGATGTGTGAAAGTTAAGAGGACAACTTACACCTGGAATTCACGAAACTAGATCCTGCATTGACCTGGAGGAGGTGAGGTGAGACAGGGCACAAATGAAGCACAGGCATGGGGTCCAAGAATAAATGGGGAGCTGGTGGTAAGCAGGTGTGAGGTCTGGATTGTGGACCATCCTATGGGTCCTTTTGGGAGGGACAGTTGCATCATGCTGGGTGAGGATGATCCTTTAAATGGGTCAGACCAACCCAGGCATGAAAACTAAATGCTAAATTCTTTCTGAATTCAATTCTGGACCAGAACAAGGACATAAATGAGACCTGCTGGATATGTCTCCTTAATAGACATTTGTAACAAAAGTCACCCATTTGCTTCAAAGTTCTCTCATTATAAGCCATAGTTGCTGTTGGGAAGCTGATGCCATTTCTCAGTCCTCTCTTTGCTTCTGCCCTCCCCTTTGTTGCAGTAGATCTGCTGAAGAATCTTGAAATGCCAGCAGAAGGTTGAAAGGGAAGACCTTGGAGTTTTCACATTCTCAAAAAATAGGTGGCACTGAGAGGTCTTATTTTATAGATAAACCAGCTATGTTGGTTTCAGAGTAATTCAATTTTCATAGTTGTTTTTCTTTTAAAAGTCCCTATTCTAGAAGGTACACACCCTCCTTACCGTAGAATTCTAGTTAATAAATGTAGAAGAAAAGATGGGAAATGGAAAAGCACCATTTGGTAAACACCACGGCAATAATTGTTGCAAGCAAGAATCATCAATGGATGCTGAAAATAGTAGGTGAAAAGTATGATGAAACAGGATATTTACTTAGTCCCAAAGTATCTCCCCACAAGAAATTTATAAGCTAAAAGGAGAAAATAGTGGTTTTAAGGTGGAAAACCTAGCAAACACCAGCTTAAACAAGTGATCAAAGTTAGTATCATCAGCACTAATACATATCAATATTGTATACCTCTTGATATGATACAGGTGAAAGAACATCACTTCTATGGTATTCGTCCCAAAATGCACACCACAAACTAATAGTGAGGTGATATCAGATAAACCCAAATAGAAAGTCAGTCTGCAAAATTGCCAGCTAATACTCTTCAAATGTCAAGGTCACGGAAGACAAAGACAGACTAAGGAAATGTCCCGGATTGGAGGGGACTTAGTAGAAATGGCATCTAAATTCAGTGTGAGTTCCTGAATTGAATTCTAGACCAGCAGAAGGACATAAATGGAACAATTGGTAAAATTGAGTAGTCTGTTAACTAGTTAAGATTATAGTATCAATGTTAATTTCCTATCATTGTTATGTAGTTACGTAAAATGTTAATATCTGGAAAAGCTGAGTAAAGGGTATGTGGAAACTCTTTGAACAAATTTTTCAACTTTCAGTTTTTTTTGTAAATTTGAAATTATTTTTAAAAAGCAAATGTCTTTTTAGGAGATATTATGCTTTATTGAATTAATGGATTCATTAACTCCTTCATGCCCTGTCTATGTATAGCTAGTTACCCTTCTAAGAAAATGAAAGCCTGTGATAGATTTCCCTTTGCTGGTATCATTTTACTTCAATATTTAGACTAAATGTTTTTAGCTTCTCTAGGTGACTATCTCCTCCCATTACTACCAATGAGAAAATATATTCACAAATCTACTGTGGAATACTGGGGGTGCTCTTAGTAGAGTCCATAGTGGTGCTCTTAGTAGAGTCCTAGTGAAAGTAGAGGCCTATTTACTGTAAAGTTTTTGTAGCTTCAGTTTTAGTACCCTTCCCCCCATGAGCTTTTTCCAAGGCTCTCCACTTTATATATATATAAACTTATATATATATTTATATTATATATGTTATATATATTTATATTATATATGTTATATATATTTATATTATATATGTTATATATATTTATATTATATATTATATATATTTATATTATATATATTATATATTTATATTATATATTTATATTATATTTATATTATATATATTATATATATTATATATATATAAAGTGGAGAGCCTTGGAAGAGCCTTGGAAGAGGCTCATAAATATATATATTTATATATTATATATATATTTATATATAAATATATATAAATATATATATAAATAAATTATATATATATAAATTATATATATATAAATTTGAGATGAGTCTTGCTCTATTGCCCTTGCACTGCTGGAAGGCAGTGGTGTGATCATAGCTCACTGCATTTTCAGATTCCTGGGCTTAAGTGATTCTGCCTCCTTAGCCTCCTGAGTAGCTGGGACTACAGACCTGTGCCACCATGTCCGGCTATTTTTTTTTTAATTTTATTTGTAGTAGAGACAGTTTCTCTATGTTGCCCAGGCTGATCTCCAACTCTTGGGGTCAAGTTATCCTCCAACCTCAGCCTCCCAAAGTGCTGAGATTACAGACATGAGCCACTGTGCCTGGCTTTCCACTTAAGTATGAATTCATAAAGTTATATACTTAAAGGGAGTCCTCCACATGGAATCAGCTTCAGGCCCCCACCCCCACCCCATACCTGGATCTGTTCCTGCTTAATGGGAATACTTTGCCTGAGGCAGTTCCATACAAGATAACACAGCCCGTTTACATCCTGGCTCATTTTCAAAACAGCACAGAAGAAAACAACATCATGTTGAAGCTGGAATAGAATATTTCAAAAGTTTTCCTTTGTTTAATTTGGCTCACTACCTGGCTAGGCAGACATGCAATCAAATGAAACAAAAGTAAATGCAAATGGAAAGCATTCTTGTATGCAGACTGAAATTGAGCACATTTAGTCAGAAGATCAGATTTGCCTCATCCACAAGATCACTGTCCAGAGGAATACCCTTTGGTTACTTGGAAGTGTCATTGCTTAGACTTTGCCTTGAAGCTGCAGCTGTAAACAGCATCTAATACTTGGAACCATTGCTCCCAGCCCCTGCCACCAGTTCATCCCGCTTCATTGTATCTCTCAGATAAGCTCACAGCCCAAGGTTCTTCAACCTTGTACAAGACCTCACAAGAAGAGGCAAATTTTGCATATGTAGAAATCTGTGTTAAATAAAATACAGGATCAAGCCAAGGAGCATGAAATTTGGAGTTGGTGCTGACAGCCCCTCATTCCTGTCACTTATTAATTTTATTTCCCTCCTCAGCTTGTGTCATTGCCTAAAAATTATTTAAACACAGGTTTTCATATGCTGTGATTTAACTCTTTATAACCTTTAGTACCACATGGGAATTAGTAATCTCTTTCTTTATGAACATTTTTATTGAGCTTATTCTTATGGAAATTTGATCTTTAGTAATTTTATCAGAGGGATTTTTTTTTTCTTTTAACCAGATGTAAACCTAGCTCTAGTAGCCCTGAACTTAACAGCAACATTTTTTCCTGGTCACACAATTCTGAAATCAGAGGATTAGTAGTACAATATAAGAAACATGGCACTCACTTTGAAGTTGTCTTCCAGGTTTTCACAGGAGTGTGTGTGTATGTGAGTGTGTGTGCATGTGCCACATGAATGCGTGTGCTTTTTGGAAAGTTTTATTGCCATCTCTTTCTTTCACAGGTTGTTTGATTATCTGTGTTTTCAGAGTAAGCAGAGAACAGAATGTAGAAGTTGTTTGAAATTACAAATTAAACTAGTTGCACTAGGAATAAAATATTAGTGAATGAAGAGTTTGTTGGGAAAGCCTCACATGAGAATGGTTTCTTTTTTTAATTAATGAAATGCTGAAATATACCAATACTGCTTTGGATGTTGTTTTATCTCTGGGCTATGAAGAAAACCAGTTGTTTGATTGTGAAATGAAATCAAAACCAGAGAAAAAAATACTATTTTTAAGGAAGACTTACTATGAAAGTTATTGTGCAAACTAAGTCCTGTTTACCACAGGTTAGCTAACATGTATATGAGTCAATCATTTGCCAAAACACTAGAATTGTGTTATGAAGAACCTAGCAATCATTAGAGCCCCTTGTGAGTTAAGCCCAGAAAACCTCATGTGTGGAACAGCCCTCTGGTCATCAAATATCTGAGGATACAGAAGAGATTATTTAATTGACTTCAAAACTTTATTAGACCTAATGTTCTTAAATATGTTCAGCCAAGTCATGCCCTCTGTATCCTTTCTTAATGTCTTAAATGTGTGTGGCTTCTCTGCCCCACCCTCCCAATTTGGCTGTCAGTCTACAAAGGAAATAAAAAAAAAATAGCAGACCCAGTTTCCAGGCTGTTTTGTTTTATGGAGATGCTAAAAGGCAGCTTATTTCATATTGATCATACCAGGGAACTAGCCAAGTATGGTGTTAATTGGGTCCTCTGGAATTCTACGCCCCCGGGACCAAAAGCTTTCTAGTAAGGAGGGGAATAAACCCACAGGCTGCATAAAAATGAAATCCAGGAGCCCACCATGTCCCGATTGCTGATTACTGGTGATTTGGCCAGCTCGTTTTGTATCCAGTTGCTTATTTCAATTAGCTTGTTTTGTGTTATGTTTCCCCACACCCCCCTTTCCTGCAAAGCTGTGAAGCCTTGTTTTGAAAACTGCTGCCCCAGAGTGCACCGGCTTGGCGGTCCTGTCCTCATTGTTCTAATGCTCATTCCATATGTGGGTCACATCCTAGAGCTCTCCCCCCAGCCCTCCCCCTCACTTCTCCAGCCATCTCTCCTTCCCTTCCCTGTCCATACATTGGTGCTTGCACTCTCGCACTCTTTTACACACACGCATGCACACACACACACACACACACACACACACACACACTTTTCTCCTAAGAGGCAGAGGTAGGGCAGATTCTTCAGGAGCTTGCAAGTAGGATCGTTCAAACTTAAAACGCTGGTTGCTGTGCATTTAGTTTATGGCAAACACTTCACCTTCGGGAAAGTAATTATTCTGCTCCTCTCCCTGTTTCTTTCCCACCCCTTCCCTTTTCTCCTCTCTTCTTCAGGACAAAGGTTTTTAAGAAACTGAGATTGCCACTTCGTGAGGCCCTTCTTGTTACCCTGGTAGCTGGTATCTCAGACAGTGAATGAAGGATGGATCAGACAGGCTGGAGTTTTGATGCACAGTTCTTTGGGTACTGCAGGAGGAGCCCACTGAGAAATGTGCATGGCGGGCATGCCTGCTGAGTTTATTATGCTGGTTATCTGTCACTTACTCTGACTAAAAGGTAAGGGCTTCTGTAATTTGTTGCTGCAAAGAATTGGTACATTGTTCTCTTTCTAAGGCTTCCAACTAATTGGCTCTTGAGGGAAGATTGGAATGAGAGTTAGTGCTCGACTTCTGTAGCTTCTCCTGTTAGATCTCTGTTTTTTTTTTTTTAATATGTGAAGGAAAAATAACCTTGGCAATTTTTTGACTATTGGTGGAATGTCTATTCACTTGTTTTCAAAGAAAAACAACAAAAAACACCCTTTGATTCATGATGTTTATTTTAATTTAAAACTTTTCCTGGACTAGTAAAGAAATGTAGTGTATGTGTAGTCAATCTTTTCAATGATTTCTGTAAACTGTGGGAATAGGAGTTGTGATCTTATCCCAAGATAAGAATATTTTACTTTAACAGATTGCATTTTTACCGATTGAAAATTACAGTGCATTTTATTTAGTAATCAGAGTGAGGAAAGTTAGAGACTATTTAAATGAAGTACAATAGTAACATTTACATTAATTGGTCAGTTACTGTAGTGTGGGAATACACATGTTGATAAATATACATTACTAATTATGCTTCTTGTTTTCTGTATACTTAGAGGAAAGTTTTGTGTCTGTGCAGAATTGAAATATGTACTGAACCACAGGCAAAAGAATCTTAGTAATAAGAATTTTAGCAAAAGAATCTTAGTAGTAAGTACTTAGAAAACTATATAAATTTTTTATTTGTATAAATTTAAGAGATGCAAGTGTAGTTTTGTTACATGGATATAATGTGTATTGGTGAACTGTCAGCTTTTAGTGTATTCATTACCTGAAAAGTATGTGTGTATATACGTGTGTGTGTATATATATATGTGTATGTTTGTATATGTATATACATGTATATACACATATAAGTTTCTGTAGTTGACGGGTAACACATGACCTGAAAATAACCTTTTTAAAGTTTCCACGACAATATTTATTTGACATGCTAAGCATTTTTTCTGTATCATGACGAGTAGTTTCATGGATAAATTTAGGTAATAGCTATTGGAAATCATCTGATGCCACCAAGCAACTGTCTTGCAAGACCAGAGATGTTTTGAGCGTAGGGTACAACCAGATTTTTTTCCATTCTTTTTACTTTTATTTTTAAATTTTTATTTAAAAAACTTTTTTTGAGATGGAATCTCAGTCTTATATGTGTATGTATATATATACACATATATGTATATATATACATACACATATATATACACACACATATATGTGTACATATACACACACACATATATGTATATATCTTAAGGTTATGCTTTTAATCTGTCCTACTTAAAGTAATTAAAACTAGACTATCAGTTGATTGTTATCTCTCGGAAAAATGTACCTTTGGTTAAGAATCATTTCAAAAACAGATTGCCCATCACTATGGAATTTATGCAGTTGGAAACCAACTGAGCTTTATTGAAAAAAATGATTACGTCTTATTTTCTTAAGCACTAGTGATTTACAAGGACCGTTTGGTAGTAGCATAGGATGTATTTTATTGGGGACGGAGATCCCTTTAATGATATTTTCTTTATGGCTGCTGTACAACACTTGTGATGTGTGTTACAGTCTATCTCTATTTATCACTCTGTCTCATGAGCCATAAATGAAGGAAAGGTATATGTTGGGATACCCAATTTAAGTCACCTTATTTTATTTATTACGTTATAGAATTTGCTCCAAAGAGCATGTGGGAAGTGTTTTCTTCAAAAGGAAATATTGATGCATCCACTTAAACAACCTAGGGATATCAGCAAAACAAACTGGGTTTCTTTCATGTTAGACTTTGAGAAGAGACAAGAAGCAATCTGGGTGAAAGGAGGACACTATCAGTAAAAGAGAAGACTGTAATTTTCTTGACCTTGGCTCAAAGGTTTCTGTCAAGACTGCTGGAGGTTGAATAGGTAGAGTAGGGCCCAGATTTAAAGCTGGTGTCTCTCCCACACCTAACCCTCATCCCAGTCCCTCACTGTCCAGTGTCTTTGTCATTCAGTCTCCCCTGGTTTAATGTGTCAGCAGGAGGGCTTTATCTTCTTTTCAAAATCAAAAGGAGATGGCCCAGTGTGGCTCCTACATACCCATGAAAACCTTAAACATTTCCCCTTCCACATTTTATCCCAATCATCTACATTGAGTAAAAATAAACAAGGAAAAAAAAAACAAATACTTCGCCTTCATAATCAATTTTTCTTCTCTTCCAAGTTTTCGAACTTTGTTACTTAAAATGTCAACTGTATATATCCCTTACATAAAGCATAACAGTCTTAGGATACCTTTTCAGGTACAAAATCAGTGACTCTCAACCTGGGCGTATTCAAAGGACTCCCTTGTGGAGTGTTTGAATAATGCAGGCTCCAGCTACTGCCTACAGGAATTCGTGATTCTGTAGTCTTCATTAGTGCTTGGTATATGGGAGTTGTTTAGTAATAGTCACAGAATGTTACACAGTGAAATGTTTTCGCAGTAGTCTGACAGGACAGTGGATAAGTGCATTGCAAAATCTTTTCTGCTTCCTCTTTAGTTGAATTTGGAGAAGGGAAATTCCCTCCCTCTATTCTTCCTACATGTATATTAAGGAAAATGGGGCTTCTTTTGCAGAGGTTTCCAAGCCTCTGAAAGTAGATGAATCACCCTTAAAAGGCTAATAGGTCCCGCTAATCATTTTGCACCACACAAAACAAATAGTGACTTCTGTATCAGTAATACTAGTAAACAGCTGTCCTAGAAATGACTGTGAACATTAGTCCTAGGGCTCTCACAAACCTCAAAGTGATATATGGAGAGAACCCAGCAAATTGAAAACATTCTCTTTTTGTGAGTATATTTTAGGTGTATCTTGTCACTTGAGCCAGTAGGAGCGTGCTTCTTGGATAATAATATGGGTTTCCCAAACAACTCTTGAAGCACCTAGATCCATACATGTCGGATGCAAAACCATATCCATGGACCTGGAACTGGGCTGTGACCTAAGTGCTTGTTTTTCCCATCAAAGCGTCTTTCCTTTGGTACCTTCGCTAGTTTAGACTGGGTCTTGAAAATTTGTTAGTTTCCCTGAAGCTATACGGGCAAATTCTGGGGAAAACAAAACAAAACAAAACTCAAACAACATGCTGATATCTTAATATTATCTGTAATATGAGGACTTGAATTATGATAGCTGTTCTTTAAGTACTTCCCAGCTTTCTAATCTCTAAATTTTAATCTTTATGACTATAATCAATTCTTAGTAAAGTCAGTTCTGCTATCACACTTGTTTTGAAAAGGCAAATTTGTTCCAAAGCAATTGATATATTCAAGACAAGCATAAAACAAATGCTGTATTTGCTTATGTGTGATTTCCTCCCAGAGAAACACTAGGTAAATGCAGAAACTGTAGCCAGCTGAATGCCACATAGGAAAACCAAAAATGCACCCATGTTTTAGGAGCCCCACCCATCCACATCTGGGACTACCAACTTTCTGTCTGATTTCAGAATGCCCTTCTTCCACCACTTCACAATAACCCACAAGCCTCATTCCTTAACCACATTCACTTCCACAGTAAATCCCAGTTTTTTAATGTGATAATATGCCATGTTTATTGTTGTATTTGTATATTTCTCAACAATTTAACACATATAAAACTGTGCTACCATTTTTATTATGTTTCTGCTTCTTTTTAATGTGTTACTGACAATGTTTTTGATTGTTGTACCTCAAACCCATTTTTTGTTTTGTTTTGTTTTGTTTCGTTTTGAGACAGACTCTCACCCTGTCGCCCAGGCTAGAGTGCAGTGGTGCAATCTTGGCTCACTGCAACCTCCGCCTCCTGGGTTCAAGCAGTTCTCCTGCCTCAGCCTCCTGAGTAGCTTGGATTACAGGCATGCGCCAACATGCCTGGCTAATTTTTGTATTTTTAGTAGAGACGGGGTTTCACCATGTTGGTCAGGCCGGTCTTGAACTCCTGACCTAGTGATCTGCCGACCTCGGCCTCCCAAAGTGCTGGGATGACAGGCATGGGCCACCGCACCCGGCCTCAAACCTAATTTTTCCAGTAAGCCACTTGGTTTTTACTGTGCGATTTTGCAGAGCACAAAGAATTTCAGCAACACATACATTCTACTGGAGCAGAACTGACTGTATGGATTTTGATATGATAAAATTCTCAGAGGCTAAGTGCCAAGGATATTTTGCATGCTGTAGCATTGTTTGTTATGAATGTGGTCAACTTAGCCTGTTTTCTCCTACTGTATATTTTTTCAATGACTCTATAGAACTGCCTCAGAAAAACCATTTATCAAACCTTCAAACTTCAGGGAAAGTTGTGTGACATTCTCAAAAGTGAAGACTACAAAAGATGATTAGATACTTGGTCCAATCCTAGGAATGAAGTTTTGTGGTTTTGGCTAATTAATAATTAAGGTCATTGGATCATTTGATTTTTAACAGATTCTAAGGTTCAGATGAGAACATGGAGATGTATTTCTTCAGGTATGCAACTTAAACAAATACAAATTTGATAATTTTTACATTTGTAAAAAAACATATGAAGCCCCTCATTGCATGAAACAAGGAAAATGCTGGACTGGTTTGGTAGAAGGGAAAGAGAATTTTAATCTCCCGAAGCAGTAGAGGGGTAAGTATATACTGTAGGCTTTTTTGTTTGCTTTTATTGTCTGCTTATTGTGGGTCTGGAAATTGGAGTTTGGGTTTTTGTTTCTGATTCTCCTCAGGGTTCTGACTTTTGGCCACAAGCAGTTACAGGCTGCCAGTACTCTGAGTATCCTCTTGCCACTTCCTGCTGGGCTAATGTTTATTTCACCACTGAACTTGCCTTCCAGAACTTTGCAGAAATTCTCTAGGGAACTGAATGTCCCAAGACCTGAGTTTGAAGCCAGAATTGGGACCCTGGAGTTGTCCTAAGGCTCGTTTTTAGCTGTGTTATCTTGCAAACTACAGGGCCAAGCTTTTTTACCCTCAGTTGCCAAGTGGAGCTCTCCTCCCACTCCTTCACTAGAACTTTTCCTTTTAAAGTAGAACCATTTGAAACCTTTCTGGGCACAGCAGTGATAGTGAGGGAAGGTCACATGATCATGCTTTGAACTTGGCTGCTTGGGTGTGTAGCATGGTGCCTTGGGTATGTGGCATGGTACCTGGGTATGTCAGCTCAAGACTTTTTTACTCCTAAATATACATACAGCAGTTTAATTACAACCTTCACGGGCTTCTGGTTGAAGAGAGGAAACATAAGAAACATTGATACTGAAATACACAAACAAGTTGGCAAGGAGAATAAAAATGATAATCCTGTGAATAACCTTGAGATTTTCCTAAGCAGATCTTCAAGCTGACATGATCAGGGTCCTTCTATAGCACATCAGGTGTTAAAAATGTAAAAAACAGTGCCTACTAGATCCAATTTGGCTCTTTATTTACTGAGATTAAAAATTATTCATACTCACTCTATGGTTATTTGTTGAGAGACACTTGCAAATCAAAGCCTGAAACCATGAAAATTACAAAACAAAAGTAAGTTTTTTGAGGACATGATGCAAACATTCCACTATAAGGTCACAAAGTTTACTGTTAACACAATATTGGTTAGTCAAACCTCAGTGTGTGTGTGTATATATATGTGTGTGTGTGTGTGTGTGTGTGTATATATATATATATATATATATATATATATATAGAGAGAGAGAGAGAGAGAGAGAGAGAGAGAGAGAGAGAGAGACTGTGTTGCCCAGGCTGGAGTGCAGTGGCACGATATCAGCTCATTGCAACCACTGCCTTTTAGGCTCAAGTGATCCTCCCGCCTCAGCCTCCCGAGTAGCGGGGACTACAGACATGCATCACCACACCTGGATAATTTTTGTTTTTCATAGAGACAGGGTTTCTCCATGTTGCCCAGGCTGGTGTCAAACTTCCGGTCTCAAGTGATCCACCCACCTTGGCCTCCCAAAGTGCCAGGATTATAGACGTGAGCCACCATGCCTGATCCAATCATAATTTTTAAATAAAATAAATTTAAAGTAAATTGAACAGCATATATTACTTATTCAAAGGGGAAAGGTTGAAATTTGTCTTCATACATAATGAATATTATTAAAATTGTATTAAATGAACTTTCTGATAAAATCTTTAATAATGCATTGATCTCAAGTGAAATGCTTTATTTTAAATCTCTTATATACCATGCAAAAATGATGAAATCATTAAAAGATTTCCTAAGGGATTTCCAGTGATTATATGTTTTGGTGAAAAAAAGGATTCAAAAGTAAAAAATGAATAGAAAATACTAGGCTCAAATATCACCCAGGTCCTCTGTGGAGTCTACAGCTCTGACATGCCTTGAGCCAAGCAGAACTAGGGATAAAAAGAGAAATAGGGGGACCAGCTTACTTTGGAAGTGTAAAAAAGACACTCCACTTGAAGCGCAGTAAATACAGAAGGTTTCCTTTCACTGAAAAGGAGTGAGATTTCAGTACTCAGACGCAATCTGTGCCCTAAGATAACATGCTTGTTGGCAGGAGTATAACTGTTGGTTGTTGAAGAAATATATACAAAATGCATATTTAACAGTTGCTTTGATTAAAAAAAACTAATCTACGAGTCTGTTTTTGTATTGACAATGGTTCTCCTAATGGCATGCCAAAAATATACCCCCAGCTATCCATGCTTAACAAGTTGAATTGGAGATGGATTACCTCTTGAGTACTCTACAATTGACTGCTTCCGTTAGTCTTGGCAAATTATACAGCCAAATTGTCTATCTATTTTCTAATATGTCAGCAAAATTAAGCTGAAAAATGCATACAAGAATAAATTGCTGCTGGAATTGCATGATGCCCACCTTTTCTTTGTGTTGAGGAAAAAAAAATGATTAAATCACACTTTGGAATCATTCTATTTCAATCAACTCTATTTAGATCCTAGGTCTGGTTTAGGGAAGGTCTGTGAGACCTTTAGCTGCTGGGTATTGAGCTCAGTAAACTATTTAATAGCCACATTGTAGCTTTCAGTCAATGATTTTCCACATTCCAATCTTTCTCCACTTTGGAGCCAGCCTTTTTGGGAAAACGGAGACCCATGGTTTCATTTCAACAAAGAAGGAATAACCAATCATGGAACATATTGGCTGTGCCACCAAGGAGGTGGCAGATGAGGATTTGGGGACTTCAGGACTGATGATTCTGAATCTTGACATGTTATTAGACTCATTGCAATATGGCCAAAATTTTGAGTATCCTGGTTACTCAAGGCTACAGGCAAGAATTATTTTGAGTGCAGCTGTCAGAATTAAAAATAAAGGAAAGACTGAATGAATGAATGAATGAAGAAAACCAGGACATGGATGATTAAAATATTTCTCTTCTCTCCCTGCAAACATGTGGACAGGGAGATTCCATGTAAACTCTTTCTCTCTTTTAATCATATTCTTTTGTTCTAAGGAATATTTAGATTATTTTTTCTCCAGTGGAAGTTCTTTCAGTTTTACTTACTACAGCTCAGTGATTGCAGATTGCTAATTTTGCTTGAAAACCAAAGGATTTGGTTGTTTTCACTTCATTAGCATCAGAAAGGGGGATTGGCTAAAGTGCTGGCCAAGGTAGCCTTGCAGAAGGAGGCAGGGTTGGTTTGGTAGGGAGAAAAGATTGTTCTTTGGAAATGTATAGAACTGGCTGTGCAAAAAATAAATAAAGCCATTCTCTAAGGTATTGCTGAATATCAAGTTCTCTTTGCTGGGTTGGAGTGAAGTCTATTGCAGGTATCTATGGCTTTTTCATGGTTGTCAGTAAGTGTATGCCGGAGACTAAATAGTGATGCCTGGTGCTTTTTTAGCACTAATAACTTTTACAAAGGTGTTTTCTACCTCCAAACTCCTAGAATTACATAATGTGTAGGAGACATAGGGGAAGGAAGAGTTCTGGCCAGGATCAAAGTGGGGGCACTGGTGTAATCATTATTCTGAACCTGCTGGTCTTGAGCAGTTTTCCCCAAAGTGGCCTCAGCCCTATCAAGCTTTGAAATATAGTGCCTTGATGCTAATAGTCGTTATTTTTTTGTTTGCATTTATTCAGTACAAAAGTCTCCAGCTGTGATGGAACTTTGCCCACAGTGACAGGAGGGAGTTATTCTCAATCTTCTGCCACTTCTAGGTTGCTTTTTCTTTAGCAGAAATCATATGTCTTCACTCTGAAATTATATGTCTTTACTCTGAAAATATTTTGTAAAGTACTTCGTAAAGTATTTTGTAAAGTACTTTGCAGACTCCAACTCCATGGTGTAGAGGAGACACCATATCATAGTGTGGATTTCTAGAAAGGAGTAGACTGAGATATAGACAGGTGATGTAGCAGCCTTGATATCCTATCCCATAGAGACCTAGTGGTGAAGCAGGAAGCAATCAGCTTCACACTATTTGGAGAAGAGGAAAAGTTGTGATTTTCCTCTTCTGTGGGAAAAGACCCCCACAAAAGAAGATAGGACCATTTGTGCCTCCAATTTCTTTTTTCACGTAGTCATTTCAAAGCATTCTCTCATTTTTGTAGCTCATACAGTTCTGGGGGTTAGCAATGGCAGTATGTTTTGAAAATAAATGATACTCAGAAGGGAGAGGTAATAGGGAGAGTTCTAATTCCGTGAGATTTGTACTGTAAAGTATGTATGGTTCTAGCACCAGAATCCTCCTCCTTTTCAGATTATTTAGCCCTAATTACTTATTTCCCCTTTGCTTCCTAAACTCCTAGGAGATAAACTCCTTGAAGAAAAACTCCAGCTTATGGAAATAAATATTTTTGCTCAGAGAACACAGGAATCATAATTTTTTGGAATTGAAATACCCATAAGAGTAAAAGCATTGTTTTTCTTAAATATATTCAATACTACTGGCCAATCCAGAGGTCTTTCCTGAATTAACACAAACATTAAAAAGTTGAAGTTTAATGCTTGGGGAAGATACCAGGAGAACTGGTAGGCACAAATCTTGCTTTGAGACACTGGCCAAGGAGGGTGTTTTGGTAGATGGTACAGGCAGACCCTATGACACGAATGCTGGATTCTGCAACTGCATGTGCTGAGTGCAGCAAAGAGTCCATGTGCTGAATGTGGAATTCACTCATTCATTTGTTCTCAACTATTTATGGAGCATATTCTATGTGCAATAAACACAACAAACATCCTCTTCTCATGGAACCTTCTCGTGGGAGAGCTTTGATCAGTTGCTTATATGCATGCACTCATACACAATCTAAACAACAACAACAACAATAACAAAAAGCCCAGGTGATTATTGGACATCTCTATGAAAGGCACTGGGCAATAAAATGGCAAGCAAGAATCTTTTCCCCTAGAGTAATCAGCGTGTTTCACAATTAAGAGGTAAAATATCATAAAAGTCTTCCCCTACGTTTGTGTGTGGTTTTCTTTCGTTGTTCAAGTTGATCGGGATATAATTGGTTGATACTCTTGAATAAGTCAAGGTTGCAAGCAGTGGACAATATGTGTTCAACACTGAATGATGGGAAAAATACAAAGTGGTAGAATTCATATAACACTGAATGATAGGAAAAATACAAAGTGGTAGAATTCAAACATTTTTTGGTAGCCCAAGATTTAAGGCAACAATAAACCATTGTTTCTTCAACTCATGTTTTAAAAAGTCATTATAAACTACTTTAATCTCTCTGTGTGTTCAGTAAGTATAATAGTGTGAATATTCCTTCCATCAGCGCCAACAACATTGATGCATCTTATGTCCTGTGCAAAGTGTTGCTGATAGAAAAATGGGTGAGACATAGTTCCTACCCTTAAGGAGAATATAATATTGAGGATTTGAAATATTACGAGAATCTGCTTCTAAAAGTAATTTTTTCTTATACAGTTTTGTAGATGCATGTTTAGGAGATAAGGAAAACTGAGCTATGAATATAAAGTACCCAGTATAAACACAGGCAATCCTCTTGCCATTTCTAATCAAGTATATATAAAAATGACATTCTGAGAATGCTTGTACTAGTGTTTTTCAAACTGTATTCAGTGAAAACATGTTAATAGTTATGGGAGAGGAGTAGGGATGAGGAAGACAGAGGGAGTTTTTATGGTCAAATCAGTTTGTCAAACACGGGTAAAGGAAGTAAGCAAGTTTTTCTTATGCATGCTTCTCCCAAAACTTTAATTTGCTAGTGTGCATTGTGACACTCCAGGATGGGTTATTGCAGTAGTTCCCAAATTTAGCATCATAATCACAAAGTCCTGGGCTCCAGAGATTCACTGAAACAAAACTCTGGCAGGTGAGAACTGGGGATTTTCATTTATTAGGTTGGTGCAAAAGTAATTGCGATTTTTGCAATGAGTAATGGCAAAAGCTGCAGTTACTTTTGCATCAGCCTAATAAAACACATTTGGGAGATTACTTTTAGGTAGTCTTAGTTACTTTTAGGCAGAGTCAGTTTATTTCAGCACTGGTCCCATGTACCATTGACATGCAGGAAGGAGCCCTCCCTGATTTGCATAACAGCAGAACATCGTTTATCCAAGAAATGCATATTGACATTTATGGAACTAACAGTTTGGAAATGCTGGCCCATGCATTCTTTTACCAAAGGCCTAAAGAAAAAAAAAATTATAGGTAACAAGTTCACTAGTTTGGGACTTAGAGTTAATGTATATTTTGTGTGTGGTGGTTAAGATAGCACTAAGGATCAAATTCATTTTTTTGAACCCACATTGATGGTAATTTATTATTTTTAAAGTGGTGCTTATGGCTGGGTGCAGTGGCTCACGCCTGTAATCCCAGCACTTTGGGAGGCCAAGGCAGGTAGGTCACCTGAGGTCAGGAGTTTGAGACCAGCCTGACCAACATGGTGAAACCCCATCTCTACTAAATACAAAAAAAAATTAGCTGGTCATGGTGGCACATACCTGCAATCCCAGGTACTTGAGAGGCTGAGGCAGGAGAATCACTTGAACCCAGGAGGCAGAGGTTGCAGTGAGCTGAGATTGCGCCATTGCACTCCAGCCTGGGCAATGGAGCGAAACTCCATCTCAAAAAAAAAAAGGGGGGGGTACTTATTTATAATGTCCTTAGACCATTTTCCCCCTTTTTTCAGCTAATATTCTCACACAGTTTGAATTTAATTTATAGTAAACTTTGCTTTGTTCTGTCACTTTCCTAGAGAACAATGCTTAAAGTTGTTGGATATATAAAACTCAAATTCCTAGAGATAGGAAATTGTATAATTAGGGTAAATTTGATAAGGTGTTGGCATGAAATAAGATAACTCTTTAAAGAGAGAAGAGAATGAAGGATCTTATTTATATAACTAATTCTTGGCCGGGCACGGTGGCTCACTCCTGTAATCCCAGCACTTTGGGAGGCCAAGGCAGGCGGATCATGAGGTCAGGAGATCGAGACCATCCTGGCTAACACGGTGAAACCCCATCTCTACTAAAAATACAAAAAAAATAGCCAGGCGTGGTGGCGGGTGCCTGTAGTCCCAGCTCCTTGGGAGGCTGAGGCAGGAGAATGGCGTGAACCCGAGAGGCGGAGCTTGCAGTGAGCCGAGATCGCGCCACTGCACTCCAGCCTGAGCAACAGGGCGAGACTCCGTCTCAAAAAAAAAAAAAAATTCTTGGTTGTTTTTAGGTCTGTACTCTAGATTATTAATTTATTATTCTGAGAGGGGTTACAGTGGCATAATTAAGATGATCTAATTAGACAAAAAAATTTACTGGTCCTGAAAACAGATCACTTTCCTGAGAAAAAAAGAAAAAAAAATTGGAAAAACCTTCAAAGAGGTTTGCCTTTCTCTTCATAAACACTATTATGCAGCATTTCAGAGCAAGCTACGGAGCTGGGCTTGGGCAGTTAAATCCTGACTTTGTGGTTTTGTGTAGACTTGGGGGTGCAGCTGTATCTTGAGTGGAGATAATAACCACTAATGGTAACCCCAGACACAGCTATTAGTGTCAGATTAAATCTAAATGCAACCTTCTTTTCCTTTTGAATATTCTCTTTGGTAAAATGTTTTTCGTAAACTCCTATTTGAGTCTCTGCTCACTTACTTTGTTTCAAGAGAGTATAAACCAGATCAGGGTGATTGTTCAAGTAAAAGTGACTGAGGCTCAATGCCATGAACATTGAGATTATAGGTGTATGAAAGGGCTTTGAAAATTTGTGTATAGTCATCATTGAAAACCTTGATTGCTGAAAATCAGACTCTGGTTAGATGTAGGCCTTGTCCTAAGGTCCAAGAAGAAAACATGAATGTAAGATAATGAAATACCACACCAATACAGCCCTACCTTGGAGATAGTGTGGGTTCAGGTCCAGACTACCACAATAAAGTGAAAATAGAAATAAAGCAAATCATGCAAAATTTTTGGTTTCCCAGTGCATATGAAAGTAAGGTTTACACTGTAACCTATTAAGAATACAATAACATTATGCCTTAAAAAATATACATACCTTAATTTAAAAATACTTTATTGCTAAAAAAAAATGCTAAGGGTCATCTGAGCCTTCAGTGAGTCACAATGTTTTTGCTGGTGGAAGGTCTTGCCTCGATGTTGATGGCTGCTGCTGACTAATCAGAGTGATGTTTTCTGAAGTTTGTGGTGGCAGAGGCAGTTTCCTAAAATAGGACAACAATGAAATTGTCCTCATTGACTCTTCCTTTCACGAAAGATTCCTCTGTAGCATGCGATGCTGTTTGATAGCATTTAACCTACAGCAGAACTTTCAAAATTGGAGTCAGTCCTCTCAAACTCTGCTGCTGCTTTATTAACCAAGTTTATGGAATACTCCTAAGTCATTTGTTCTCATTTCAACAAAGTTCACAGCATCTTCACCAGGAATAGATTATATCGGAAGAAATCACTTTCTTTGGTCATACTTGAGAAATAACTTCTCATCTGTTCAAGTTTTATCATAGATTGCAGCAACTCAGTTACATCTTCAGGTTCCACTTGTGATTCTAGTTCTCTCGCTGTTCCCACCACATCTGCCGTGACTTCCTCCTCTGAAGTCTTGAGCCCCTTAAAATCATCCATGAGGGTTACAATTAACTTTTTCCAAACTCCTGTTAATGTTGATATTTTGACCTCCCCCCAAGAATCACAAATCATCTTAATGACCTCTAGAATGATGATTTTTTTCTCCAAAATGTTTCAATTTACTTTACCAGATTCATCAGAGGAATCATTATATATGGCAACTATAGCCATTTGAAATGAATTTCTTAAATAGTAAGACTTGAAGTTGATCCATGGGCTGCATAGTGGATGTTGTGTTAGCAGGCATGAAAACAGCATTAATCTCCTTGTATATCTCCATCAGAGCTCTTGAGTGACCAGGTACATTGTTAATGAGCAGTAATATATATATACATATACATACATATATATATGTGTGTGTGTGTGTATGTGTGTGTATATATATATTTGAAACAGGGTCTTGCTCTGTCACCCAGTTTGGAGTGCAATGGCGTGATCATGGCTCACTGCAGCCTCCGCCTCCTAGGTTCAAGCAGTCCTCCCACCACAGACTCCCAAGTAACTGGGACAGAAGTGCATGTCACCATGCCTGGATAATTTTTTAATTTTTATTTTTGTAGAAACAGGATCTTTCTATGTTGCCCAGGCTGGTCTCAAACTCCTAAGTTCAAGTGATCCCCCCATGTTGACCTCCAAAAGTACTGGGATTATAGGCATAAGCCACTGCACCTGGCACAGTTAATACTTTTAAGGGAATCTTTTTTTTTCTTTTTTTTTTTTTTTTCTGAGCAGTAGGTCTCAACAATGAGCTTAAAATATTCAGTAAACTATGCTATAAACAGATGTGCTGTCACCCAGCCTTTGTTCTATCGACAGTGAACAAGCAGAGTAGATTTAGCATAATTCTTAAGGGCCCTAGATTTTCAGAATGGTAAATGATCAGTGGCTTCAGCTTAAAGTCACCAGCTGCATCAGCCCCTAACAAGAGAGTTAGCTTGTCTTTTGAAGCTTTGAAGTCTGGCGTTGACTGTTTTCTAGCTATGAAAGCTTCTTCTTTCAATAGAAGTCTGTTTTGCCTACAGATGAAACTGATTTTCAAATCAGTTGCTTCAGCGCTTGCTGCCTCATCTTGCACTGTTATGTTATAGAGATGGCTTCTTTTCCTAAACCTCATGAATCAACTTCTGCTAGCTTCGGACTTTTCTTATGCAGCTTCCTCAACTCTGTCAGCCTTCATAGAATTGAAGAAAGTTAGGGCCTTGCTCTGGATTAGACTTTGGCTTAAGGGAATGTTGTGGCTGGTTTGGTCTGCTGTTCAGACCACTAAAACCTTTTCCATATCAGCAATAAGGCTGTTTTGCTTTCTTATCATTCTTGTGTTCACCAAAGTAGCACTTATAATTTCCTGCAAGAATTTTTTCTTTTCAGTCACAACTTGGCTAATTGATGCAAGAGGCCTAGCTTTCAGCACATCTTGGCTTTCAACATGCCTTCCTTACTAAGCTTAATCATTTCTAGCTTTTGATTTAAAATGAGAGATGTGTGACTCTTCCTTTCACTTGAACACTTAGAGGACATTGTAGGGTTATTAATTGGCTGAATTTCAATATTGCCATGTGTCAGGGAATAGGGAGGCCCGAGGAGAGGGAGAGAGATGGGGAATGGCTTATTGGTAGAGCAGTTAGACCACAGTATTTATCAATTAAGTTCACCTTCTTATATGGGTGTGGTTCGTGGGACCCCAAGACAATTACAATAGTAACATCAGAGATCACTGATCACAGACCACCCTAACAGATATAATATGAAAAAGTTTGAAATATCATATTCTGAAATGTGACATAGAGACATGATGTGAGAACATGCTGTTGGAAAAATGGCGCCGATAGACTTGCTCAAAGCAGGGTTGCTGCAGATCTTCAATTTATAAAAACATAATCTGCAGTGTGCAATACAGTGAAGTGCAATAACATGAGGTATGCCTGTCCATGAATAGTGGCATCTAATCTATTTCATGACTATTATCATTAATCTAAAGATACACTGATGAAAAGACCAATTACTGCTGACATTTCTGCAAGTTGGAACTCTGTATATTCACCAGAGGACTTAACTGAAGACTGACACCAGGAATTTGAGGATGGATTCTAGCAGAGATATTCTAGGAACCAGGACCTTTAATCTGATCACATTTAAAACCCGTTTCAAACATGCTAGTTAAATTATGTCAAGTCTCTGGGGAGATATCTCTGGAATCTGAACATTCTCTGGGGATTGTTGTTTGACAGGTGGAGCAGGTGAGACTCATACAGCATGTGAAGTCATTAAGGTACAATTATGACAAGCTTGACTTGATCCTTTCTGATTTGCCTGCCAGCCTTGACAGCTCCAAACAGTTGGTGGGGACCTGAAGACACCACTTCTCTGGTTCCTTACAGCACAAACAGGGAATATATTCTGCTTCCTTTGGCTAGAGCTACATGAAAGAAATTTTTGCTGAGAAAGTGTAGAAAGCCCTTAGGTTGATGGTTAAGTTAGAAACTTTGGCCCTATTATCAGTGACTCCCTAGGTGTACACAATGAGTATAACAGTTTTTTGTTGTTGTTGTTTGTTTTTTGTTTTTACCTTAGTCTTCTTCCTCTTCATTTTTTTAACTCCTTTTTAAACCTGTGCTTTAATTGCAGGTAGACATTTTCTCATTCTGACAGGCAACTCCTTACTTTAGCCCTCATTTGACGTGTGGCTAAAATTGTGTCTGTGCTTTGGAATGCAGGACTTTGGCATGTCTGCAGCAGCTTGAGTGACATAGATTAAGGGACATTCTTCTTTTTTTGAGATGAGTCTCGCTCTGTCACCAGGCTGGAGTGCAGTGGTATGATCTTGGCTCATTTCAACCTTCACCTCCTGAGTTCAATTGATTCTCCTGCCTCAGTCTGCTGAGTAGCTGGGACTACAGGCATGCATCACCACGCCCAGCTAATTTTTGTATTTTTAGTAGATACCGGGTTTCACCGTGTTGGCGAGCATGGTCTCGATCTCTTGACCTCGTGATCTGCCCGCCTGGGCCTCCCAAAGTGCTGGGATTACAGGCATGAGCCACCATACCTGGCCGGGCCATTCTTTATTTGTGGGGATGTGTATATTTCTTTTATGCATTACTAAGCCCTTTCAGCTTATGGTCTAGCTCTCAAGCCATATCCATGTTGGTGAGAAAGTTTAAAACACACAGTAATTCTTGGGTAGGCAACATAATATTGCAGACAACCAGTACTGAACACCAGAGTCATGGAGGCTCCATCATATACTAGCTATGTGATTCTGAGCAAGTAGTTTTTCTTTGAAGCTTCAGTTTACCTATCTGCTGAAATGTGAAAAGTGGCTAATTAAACCTACCTCATAGAGTTGTCGTAAGTGAAATGACATGGGGTTGGACATATTTGCTTTCTAAAGAAACGTGATGTTATTTCAGCAATACCAGGGTAATGAATATTGTGTAGGCAAAAACAATCCTGTACAATATTGCAGACTTCAGCCTAGTTTTTGTGCAAGCTGCTTTCTGAATTAAAGGAATTAAAAACCAGGGAAAGAGTTGATCCTAATCCTTCTAACCGCCTTCCATGTGAATTGAACACACTTAATGTCTGTATTACTTATTGGATGCGGTAGACAAAGAAGGAAACATTTCAACCAGCCATCTACCTGTCCGAAAGCCCAGCCTTTCCTTTAGGACAACATCTCTTCCTTTCATTGCCTCCATCAGGATGGTTGTAGTTGATGGTGGATATAATAGATGTGACCTTATTTGACCATGGCTGGCTCTCCACCAAAGGGCATCCAAATAAATAAGCATGAAGCCTGTTGCTCCTAACCCACTCTGCTGGGACCAGGCGCAGCCCGCTAGTGTATTTTCCTTGTACAGTCTGGAGGAACCCAGCCTCTATCCCTGCTTCATCAGAAACTGGAGTCTTATTTTCTATTGGCTATTTACTCTCAAGACTTAGAAATAGGGACCTATATTGACTCACTTCTTATTTAGATTACTGAGTAAAAGTATAATAATTCTTTAATAATTCTGGGAACTGAAGCTTTCTGGAGTCAGCATTCACTGGCCCAGTGCAAAGTAACTGCTTTTTTATCCTACTATTGCACTTGAGAGGCAACTTGAAGTTTCCTTTCCTTTACTCAGTCACTTTTCAAGGGGAAATAGGAATAATCAGAATTTTAAGATATTCTGTATGCAGTATAGGTGCATTTTAAATAATATTTATTAAAAGACATGGAGTTACTTTTGCTTATCATGCAACTTATTACTGAATTTTTCTTTTTTGTCTGTGTTGAAAAGAAAAAGGTGGAAGAAAAAGACTTATGTAGGCTTCCTATTAAAAGGCACCTAGACTGAATAGAAGATTCCCTTTTATTTTTTTTTCTACTTGCAAAGCCAAGAGTCAGAGCCATGGAATCAGAGAATTCAAGTTCTTTATAGTTCAAGCAGAATGAAGCAGGGAATGGACAGAAATAGGTCATATTGTGATCGCAAAACTAGGACAATGAGGAGTTTCTTGGAGGATTCAAGCTCTGATGGATTCTTACTTTGGGGCAGAGCATTTCAGAAAATTCAGAAGCCAAGAGATATAGTATATGGCAGCCTCTAAAATATTTTAAAAACGCTTACTAGTCTGCATATTCTTTTCTTGTAAAAAGAAGTTAAAAGATGCGTTTTCTTTAATCACTTGTCAAGACAGTGGCTTTCTCCAGGATTATAAGACAGTGGATTAAATGTATCTTTCCCATTGCTTGTGGCCCTTGAATGATTTTCAGACATCATTGACTCCACACATGTTTAAAACGGAGTCAGCAGCAGCAACCCTTTCAGTAGCTGAAAGCTCCGGGTCCCATCCACTGGGTCTGCAAGTAAGTAGCCATTTGGCAGTGACTCTGAGGAAGTCACTTAACCCAAGAGAGTTCTCACCAATAAAACAAGGGGGATAGTTTGCCTCTTTAACTTCTAAAACGAGTATGGTATTCTCACTTTGGAGTGCAGTTTCAAGGTAATCTTGGAATTCTTGAACTGTTGCTCTTGATCTAAACAGTTACAAAAAGATGGAGAGAGAAGAGGCAGAAATTTCCATGAGTCCCTGTGTCTACCTTTCTTTTTCTCTTTCCAACAAGAGGATAGGGTGGTGCCCATGAAGGCTATGATTTTCAGCCTTGCAGACAGCTCTGGGAGTTGTTTGGGCCCCAGTTCCTGTCTTGTTCCTGCTGCTCATCCATTTAGGATTTGAGTATCTCTCTCATTCCTTTTTCTTCTCAGTTCTGCCTGGACATTAAGTGCTTTTGACTCCCATACCTTACCCACTCTTGCCCTCCTGCTTCCAAATGCAACTCCCTACCTCCTGTCAACTCCTGCACTCTGAACACGAAATCATACTTAGCTAGTTGCCAGATTATTTGATTAAAGCAGTAGAAGCTAGGGTGACAAACGATGCTATACTTCAGGGATATTTGCATTTTTAACATCTGGTCCTCCTGAAAGGGATCTCCAGTTGGTGAAATATACACAGGAGATAAGAATAACTGAAATGCTTTTGTTCTATATAAAAGGCTTCATATTGATCATTGAGTTTTCTGTAATCATCGTACAAGGTAAATGAACTAAGTAGTGATATCCTCTGGGTATTTTATTTTATTTTACAGCTGAACCTCAGGGATTAATCAGAAATTGTTCAGGGTTATCTGCCTAGAAAGTAACAGAGAAAGAACTTGCACTCAAGTCTTCCCATCCAATGCTCTGGCTTCTGTAAGAGCCACTACTTCCCAAGTGCCACCTTACGAGGCACGTGACAGCCGTGTGTATAGGGGACATAATGACTTTAGAAGTTGACTGCTAAGTTAGATGTAATTCAAATCCATGTGCCCTCAGGTTTGCAGCCATAAAACATCGATTACCACCTTTTTGGCTTTCCACATATTTTAAAAAGTGGATTCATTGAAGACAGAGGTGATGAATTGTGTGGCATAGAGAAGTGGGGATATTTTTTAACTGTGACTTCAGCTGTTGTCCACCTGGGGAGGGAGGTGGGGTGATGTGACAGTGGGGTAAAGCACTAGGCCACCATCGACTTTGAGGCTTTAAAAGACTGTTTAAATTACCAGATTATAAATAATTACTTAAAAACCTTCAAACAATAAAGAAGAATATGAAATAAAATATACTATCTTTCTCTTTCACTATTCTAATCCCTCTTCTTTTATTTTTGAGTGTGTAATCATCCAGACTTTTTTTTTTTCAATACCATACAAAAATTGGTGCTATAGTTTCAGCATGCCTCTTTTGCTAGGTATTACATGTGGGGGTGCTATGGTCCACTCCAAACCTCATGTTGAAATTTGATCCTAATGTTGGAGGTGAGGCTTAATAGGAAACCTTTGGGTCATGGGGGTGGGTCCTTCTTGAAAAGATTAATGCCCTCCCTCCGAGATGAGTGAGTGTTTGCTCTGTTTGTTTCTAGGAGAGCTGGCTGTTAAAAAGAGCCTGGCATCTCCCCTTTTGCTCTCTTGCTTCCTCTCCTGCCACGTGATCTCTGCACATGCTGACTTCCCTTCCCCTTCCATAGTAAGTAGAAGCAGCCTGAGGCCCTCACCTGATACAGATGCCAACACCATGCTTCTTGTACAGCCTGCAGAACACTGAGCCAAATAAACTTCTTTCCTTTATAAATTACCCAGCCTCAGGTAGGCTGTTAATTAAGTTTATATTCTGCTAGTCACGTGGAATATGTACATCTTTTTATAGAATTTTTTTTTTCTCTTTGTGAAGACACACTACTGTGAAGGTGTAGTTCCTATCCTTGTCCCAAATTTTTAAAAACTATTTGTGTTCCACTTAGCTTTTATTTAATAAGAGCTCTTTATTTTTAGGGAAAAACCCCAAAACCGAAAACAAACAAAAAAACCCTCTCTCCAGTTCTAGCTTGTTAGCTTTTTCCAAACCTTTGGGAGCTTGCCTTACCAATCAATGAGTCAGAAACCTTGACAGTTTCTGCAGTAAGAAACTGTCGGGGAGGAATGAAGTTTGCACACTGGGTGATACCAGAGGAAGATTTGACCTGTGCTTAGTACACTTCAGCTTTATTTGAATGTTTTTCACAGTCATTAGAAATCAGGCAAGTTTTTAAAGTCAAACATTAAAATGACTACATTTTTAAAGTGAAGGTTGCAACACTTAGCATGAGAAGAAAGCTAACAGACAAACCCAAAAACAGTTGAAATGTAGTGGAAAGAGAACTGAAGCAAAAACATTCTCTTCCTAGAGATTGTTTAAGACCTTCAGATGCACTAAACATTGAAAGATGATAATGTGCCCATCTATGTAAGTCAAAACAAAATGAGACCTTTTTGAAATATTACAAAACTCCATGTATGTTGAAACTAAAATAGTGTGTTTCTAGATTTTATGATTGCAGAATTTGGCATTAATCCATGGAAGCTGCCCTATCCCCCTCTCTGCTTTATTCATGTCCTAACAGTTTGTCTGCCTGTTGGAGAATCTAGCAGAGCTATCTGTGTGCCCTCTGCCTTTTAACTCTGAGCAAGACATTTTCATTGTCTTGTCCTTGGCTTCCTCAGCGGTACAATGAAAGATAGTTTATACGTTAAATTTCAGGATGCTTTCAGGAACATGATTTTATAAATAGCTCTGTGAGGTTGGGGAGAAGGAGCAAAGTCAGAGAGTTTAAGTGTTTTGCCCAGGGTCCCAAGACAAACAGAAGTACAACTCAGGTCTTCATGTTCTGAGTGTAGTTCCTTCAGCTGTATTGCGTGGGTTTTGAGTTTTTAATAAACTCTAAGGGCATTGTGTTGGGTGATGGACAAAAATATGCAAATAAATGGAGTACTTTATTGCTTCATTATTATTTATTTGGGTAAATATTCATTTGAATGTTGCTATTATGCCTACAAAATGTGTAATTGTTTTATTTTTTAGAATATTAGCACTTTGGAAGGAAAGGCTTTAAATATCTGATAAACACAACAAATATTGAATAATGTGAAGTATTTTAATGAGTTCACATTGACTTTAGTTTGCAAATTATGGTAATGGAGTAAAGGAAGGGATTTCTTGTTAGGGAAATTGACAGGAGTAAAGGGTGTGTGTGTGTGTGTGTGTGTGTGTGTGTGTGTGTGTGAGAGAGAGAGAGAGAGAAACATTTACAGCTTTTCAGATGTTATTTAATGCTATACACAGTTGTTTAAATGTTAAGAAAATAAAACCTGTAATGAAATACTTTATCATGTCAGATAAAATATATAATTAGGAGGGCTGTTTGAGATAAATTTCAGCCTATCTTTAAGATGTGGTAGATCAAGAGTAATTTAACATGATTTAGCGCTGCTATTGCACAGTTAAGTATTGTCTGTGGTTGAATAGATAATGAAATGCAGTGCATATAAGGTATGTTTTATTTCTTCTTTTTTTTTTTTCAAAATGAGAGTTTCATGAAAACCTCTCTGAGGTATTAAAAGTCCTTTTCTGATCTGAATAAATATTTTCTCTTCAGGCAGGTCATATATTATAGTTTGTTTAACAAAATAAAGGCTTGTGGCAGAAGCACATGAAATGCAGATAATGGTAAAATGACACTAAACATAGCCCCTCAGGGCAGGTGTGGAGTGTTATTTTAGCAGTAAACCCCTTCTTATTAAAGTGTCTGTCATGGGTGTTTTGGAAGCAGCTGACCTTCTTTCTTACAAAGTGGCTATAAAACCACATCCTGACTTCTTTTCCTTTATCATGGACTTAGATACTCCAGAACTGAGGTACTAACCTTCTTGTCTTTGGCTTTGTGAATGTCCTAACACAATGTAGTCTAAAGTAAATGAAAAACTGAATTGGAACTCAGATTTTCTTGTTTTTTAAACGGAATTTTCTGGCCTATGTTCTTGATACCCACTCATTTAGAAAAGTTGTTGACTAAAAATAGTTTTGGCATATAATCATGGGGATTTGTAAGTGGAAAAATAATACATTAAACAGTAATACATATATAAAGTACTAAAGCTGGGATAAATTAACTTGACTAAAGGGCCATGATGTTTTCTTAAGATAGCCTTTTTCAGTTTAGGGTTCCTTATCAAATCCTTCTGCTTCTTATCTATCTACTCCCCTCAATTATATCTCACACATGTTAGCTACAAGAGCCATCATTTTCCTGAAGCAGCTCTTCCATCATGGTGCTAACCTGATCATTAAAGGAAAAAGCAGGTAGGGAGGGGGCTCCTGAAGTGCCCAAGTTTAAAGTTCATGGTCTTCATTTTGACATTTAGGGCTTGTGCTTTGTTCACCCTGTGTATGAGCTTCCTCCAGTTGAACTATACTGGGTCACTGATTCTTTCTCAGACAGTTCTTGCACTTTCCCACATCTGTGTTTTTACTTCCTCTGCTCCATCTGGATTTCGGGCCAAAAAGATTCCAGTTAATCATTAGAATTGTTTCTGTCTTCTGTGATCCACCTCAGATGAGAGCATAATAACATGGTGGGTAAGAGCCTAGGCATTGGAATTAAATACACTTAAGTTGGAATTATAGCTCTACCACATATGAATAAGAACATAAGCCAAATACCTTAATTAACCAAGCTTGTCTAACCTGCCTTATTTTGTTGTTGTTGTTCTGTTTTGTTTTGTTTTAGGCTTTTAGCAGCTTGAAGACATGGTTTTTGGGTTCTGTCTCTAGTGATAAGCAGAAGAGAGGGTTGAGGAAGGGGCTTTACTGGCCCAACCAGAAACAGAAACTAAAAACCCATGACTGTATTCTCTCCCTTGGGTACCCTTAAAACTCAGTTTTACCATCCATAAAATGGAGATAATGATACCCACCGAATTTATTGTGAGAATAAAATAAAATAATGTATTTAAGGCATACATGATCACAATATCTGGCAATTGGTAGGCACTTAGTAAGATACTATTTATTGCCTTCTATTCCATAGAGTTCCTCCATTTTCTTTCTCCTACACAGCAATTAGTCCCTGCTCTGTGTCCTCATAGCCCTTTGTTTCCTTGCTTTATAGTATTTGCTATGTTATGTTAGTATTTTCCCTCCCTTAAGTTCCTTGAAGTTGATCTCTGCTAGGTATTTCATAAATGTTGGCTGAATTAAATTGAGTTGCAGAACCAGTGTACTTAACAACAGTGGGGTTTAAGTGATCTCAGCGTTAAAAAACTAGAAATTTTAGATAATTGATGGCTCCAAGGTCAAGCCAAGAACCCAAGCACCATATTTTTATGTATAAAAACTGGACAGCAAGCTGAAAATCAGCAGAATAGAAGGCCAGATACTTATAAGTCCTACCCAAATGACTGGGGAGGAATGAAGAGGTCAAATAGCTGCCTTAGGTCATTCAACTGCTTTGCAATTCCACATGTGGAATCATGTTAATGGTATTTGGGCTTCAGCACCATTGGTCTGATCCTTTGTAAAGTTACAAATATTTATTATAATAGTGATTCCTGTGTGTTTCAGATTCTCCTTAAGTCATATTAGTAATTTAATTCTCTGACTTACCCTGGAATCATTGAAATTCTAGTATAAGAGAGTCAAGGATTCAAGTAAAGCAGCAGCTGGCCCCGGGACCTGGGACCAAGAGGGAGGTTTAGTAAGTCATCAGTGTCTGTCCAGCTGTCTCTCTGCACCTTGCCTTCTTCTCTTCTCTATACAAGTGTGTTTTCTCTCAGAATCCCCTTATTTGGTGGAGAATTTGAAGCTGCAAGTCCTGTAACATAATCAGAATTCTCCAGATTCTAGCCTTGATCAAAAACTAGAAAAACCATGGAAGTTTTTTTATAAGCTCTAATTATGTTCAAATTATCATTCTCTCTACTTCTGCCTCATAAATATACATCTTACCTTAAAAGTATTTTTTTTTTTCTCCATGAAAACAGTAGCAAGGCATTTTTGAAGGAAGGGTGGGATGTTTGGTACTCTCCTCAGTTATATCTCATACACAGGAGCTACAAAGCATTTATACTCTTCCTAAAACATCTCTTTAATCAAGGCCCTTCTTTGATTCCCCCTCCCCCCCAACAAAAGCTAAAAGGGAGAAAAACTTTTGCATTTTCTCCTCAGTTTAAATAGATTACAGTTAGTGAGAAAATTGAGGGTGAAAATTGAATTGGTAAGCAATGTAGTTAACCAGTATTCAAATATTTACATTTTGCCATGTCTTCTCATTTAAAGTGAGATCATGAAGAAGGGAGACTAATGACTTAAAGGGGGAGGTTGGGTGTGGTGGCTCACCCTGTAATCCCAGCACTTTGAGAGGCCGAGGCAGGTGGATTGCTTGAGCCCAGGAGTTTGAGATCAGCCTGGGCAACATGGCAAAACCCTGTGTCTACTAAAAATACGAAAATTAGCCAGGTGTGGTGGCATGCACCTGTGGTCCCAGCTACTCAGGAGGTGGAGGTGGGAGGACCCCTTGAGCCTGGGAGTCAAGGCTGCAGCCATCCATGATTGCACCACTGCACTCCAGCCTGGATGAAAGACTGAGACCCTGTCTCAATAAAAAGGGAGAATAACATCATTCCATTTGGTAGATCTTTAAAAGTAAGAGTAATGCATTTTTAATTTTAACAAAATTAAAATTTAATGAATTATGCCTTATGACTTGACAGGTTCCACTTCTATCAGGATCCATTTTATACCTTCTACAAAAGAGACTGATCTATTGCCTAGGGTTTTTTTTTTCTTTCTTTCTTTTTAATTTTAATCATCTATAGTGGGATTCCAGAAAATACTGTCAACAAAGAAGTGATTCTGCCCATGAGTTAGGAGGGCACACCCCACTTGCAAATAATGCCATTCATTCATTCATGTCTAGCTTATCATTCTTTCCCTGGTAGAATGTGGAAACACTACCTGGAGGAGAAAAGATAGCTGCCTCAATTATGGAAGATGCCAGTTGAAACAGCCCCAGGCCAGCATATGTGAAACCTGTTCAGAGTTTCTCTCTTCTATGGGTGAAGAGCTGACTCAGATAAGAATTGGCCCCAATTAAATTACGCTTACGTGAGGGAATGTCAGGCTGGAGGGACTGCCCTGCGTGTTCACCATTGATTATACCTGTGGAAATTCTTATCCAGAAGGGACTGGTGTCACCAGGATCTTGATGAGCTCTGCATATATTACAAAGGAGAAATGCTTACTACATTAAAAGTCTGATGATGTCGCCACAATGTTTGATGATGCCGCAGCAGGAACATTAGACATGAAACCATCTCTGTCCTCTGCTGACTTTGAGTATCTTTGGGAGTTACCTGTAGTCCATTTGTCCCCATCTTATGTGTTAGATCTATCTTCTGTTGGTCTACATGAGAAACCTAAACACTTGTTTTTGTTAAAAAAAAAAAAAAAGGAAAAATAATCCCCACCTATCTTTCCCTCCTGACTTAGACACCGAATGTATTCAAAATTCCTAAATGATTTCAAATTGAAGGTTTCACTCTTTGACTTGTTATTTAGGTTAAGTGGCTTTCTTGACAGGCAAGAGTTTTGCAATCGATTAGATGATGGACAGAAGGTGATGTATTGTAATTATTATGCATGTCCTTGGGTTTAAGTGAGGTAATTGTATGAAATTATGTAGTCAATAGCTACTCCCTCCCACTTCCATTCCAAAAATATTGTGGCTGTGCTGTAAAGCTCAGGTGTTCTGCACCTTATATAAAAAACCTTAAAAGTACCATCCCTAAAGAAGGCTTATTTAGAAACATATATATATTTTTTATTTTGAATTGTGTAAAAAAAGAAACATGTAAAATTGACCATCTTAGCCATTTTTAAGTGTACAGTTCAGTAATGTTAAGTATATGCACTTTTTTTTGCAGTTGTAGGTTAGTGGTTTTGAGGTGGCCCTAGTCTAGGATCAAGGGGACACTGTGTGTCACATCAATTATGAACATGTTATAAAAGGAAATTGAAAATGAAATTAAAATGGAATCAGTGGAGAAGGAAGAAGGAGATATATTAGGACAATCATTCCAAAATCAATCCCAAAATCAAACAGACACAACAAAGTCCAAAGTTTCAAAAACATCAGATTGGTATGCATTGACTCCTATGGATTTTTTTTTCAGACTTTCAGCCCCTTTAATTAGGTCAGAATGGCAGGCAAGGGGTGGGGAAGGTGGTGCTTCTTGAGCTCCACTCAGCAACTGGTCAGTTCTCATCCTCTGGCAACTGGATCGTGCTGGGGTTGAAGCAGTTGGATTCCATGATGGGAAGGTCTTTGGCCTCTCGGTATTTCACAAGCATCTCAGCTCTGCAGTGGGCCCACTCTCGCATCCTGTAATCAGGCAGATAGGCCACAAAGGTGCTGCCAAGGACCGGGACAATGGAGACGCCAAAGAAGAAGACAACTCACATGTTCCAGATGTCCAAAATGGGGTCCTTGTCATAGCAATGGGAGTCTGGGTTCTTCTCATAGAAGTTTTTGTCCTCAGGATCTGGGTCCTCCTGCCAATGTACGGTCAGTTCCGGGGGCTGTTTTCCCACCACAGCAGACAGGGCGACCACAGTCCTGGAGAAGCTGGATTCCCAGCGGAGGTGGGTGGCCAAGAGCCTTTGCATCACCACTGCCGCCAAAAGACTGGGAGCGCTCAAACTTAACAGCCCAACTGCCATGACAGATAGTCCTACAGGGTCTCCAACTCCTATAGACTCTATGTGGATTTTATAATACAGATGATAAAGATTTGATGCCTTTCCATGAACTGTAAAGGACAAAATTATACAAATAATTTATCTGCTTCATGTTTACTTAGTGGAGAGATCAATATTATGATGGCCTAGAACAGAACTGAATTTTTTGGCCATTTTTAATAAAACCAAATAACCAGAAGGTATTTGATTAACAAAATCAAATAATCTGAAACTATCAGATAATTTTTCTTGATGGTCTGGTAGTGAAATGTTGAATCCAAGTAAACTCGAGTAGGAGAAGTAGAGTCCTAGGCTATATGACTTTCATCTAAGATTCTGTGAGAGGATGGCAAATAAGCATGTTCTTTGGTCTTCCATTAAAACCCTTTTAAAATATAATAGTATTATAACCACTTACTTTTGGTCTGGGGCTTGGACCCTCATTTTATCGTTGCCATCCGCCAGCCTGTGTGACATATACTCAGCCCTCAGAAGCATTGTTTTACTTCCCTGGTGAGGCTGGTGCTGTAAACATCCGCTGAAGTTCCTGCCTCTTAACATCCCTGACTCTAGAAACACAAACCTTTAAGTTAGCTTAGATAACATAGCAATGATGTGTAAGATCTTGCAACCTGGTAAGAACTTATTCTGTGTTAGCTATTTGCTACACTGTTTCCCAATTCAACAAATATTTCTTTAATGCCTGGTACTTGATCTTGCAGAAATATGTGTGAGGCAAAGGGTAGTTGATGCCCGAATTTCTGGTTCAGGACATTTAGTCTAAGTAATTTTTTGCCAATTTTATCATTTGTTCTTTCTCCCAAAAACATAAAAGTAATGGAAGGATGGTATTGTTAAGCCACATAAGGCTGGGAGCTAACATTTTTCTTTTTGATCTGGAAAACAGTTTTTTTGTTTGTTTGTTTTTTGTTTTGAGATGGAATTTCCCTCTCATTGCCCAGGCTGGAGTGCAATGGTGAGATCTCAGCTCACTGCAACCTCTGCCTCCTGGGTTCAAGCCATCCTCCTGCCTCAGCCTCCTGAGTAGCTGAGATTACAGCTGCCTGCCACCACGCCCAGCTAATTTTTGTATTTTTAGTAGAGACAGGGTTTCGCCATGTTGGCCAGGCTGGTCTCGAACTCCTGACCTCAGGTGATCCATATGCCTCGGCCTCCCAAAGTGCTGGATTACAGGCGTAAGCCACCGCACTTGACGGAAAGTAGTTCTTGAAAACAATAGTATAGTCTATTGGATTATTCAAGTTCAAACCTCGAAGTACTTGTTGTACAAGCTTCTCTGTTGCTAAATTCCTTATTAATATCATTTACTCTTGTAACATTTGTTGCCAAATCATGGGCATTGAAAAGCACGTTTCTGGGCTTACATTTGTAATGGCTGAATGACATTTGTTCATAGTGGTCAAATCACTAGAGCCTCTTCTTTAGATTTTTTTTTAAAAAACGAGGAAATAGGAAAGGCATGTTAAACACAACAATAGAAATCTATTCTAAAAGAAAATTCAGATCTGAACTCCTTGGGTGGAATAGTTTGGTAAAGGTTAAACAAATTTTCCCTGACTCTTGTGGGACATTAAAATAAATTTCATCTAAATTCTTGTCAGCTTCCCTGTACAGCTGCCCTAAACATCTGCTGTGGATGCTCAAAATTGCTGCTTTCCCCATTTCACAGTTTACATATGCTGTGTAAACTATTTATTTGTATTACATAATTAGTGGCAACATGTACACTTGGTTTTTAACAACATATACTCAGGGGTGGCCTAGAAGAAAACTATCTACTTACCTACATGGAATGAGGCTTCTTAGTTTAAGGCTTATCAAAGCAATGATCCTATTTCCTTTGCAGAAGCTGTTGATATTAAGGAGAGGCATTTAAAATCTGTTTAGGTTATTGTAGCTTGGGGTAGAATTATGGGGATTGTGCTTGATTTCACAATGCGGGGCAGGATTTGACAGCCGCTGCCTCGTAAACCATGCTGCAGAGTAAAATGATTTCCTCAAAGCCATGGAAAAGTGAGGCCACTCGAAGGCCTGGGAGGCTGTGGTCTTGGTAGTCAAGCAGAGAAAATTATGCGAGCCTCTGGAGAGGTGGCCCTATGTTGACTTGAGAAGATTAGTCTTCTGGGGTCTTGATTTTGTTGGCAGAATAAATGCGTCTGTAAAGAGTGAGATACGAGTCAGGTTGGCCAAAAACTAGAGAACATTAGTCCTTGGGAACAAACGGGGATTCTAGCTGTCAAGGTGACTGATGGCCTTGCTACATGCGAACAGTTCCTGGAGAAATCTTGGTTCTACCACCAAGAGGTGATGGATCCTTAATTATCTGTTGTGGGTGGGGACCTCAGAACCCAGTCAGGTTTACATTGTAGGGATGGAAGTCATCCCAGCTCCAGTGGAAGGGAACCCAGTTTCTAACCTCAGCCATGCAGAGCTGACCTTGCATGGAACATGATCCCCAGAACCTCTCAATGGCAGCAGAAGAGCTCTATGCAGTGCCTCAGCTATGTAAAAATTCCTTTTGGGAGTTGTTTTTTTCTATTAATATATCATTGGCTCTATCCTTCCCAATATAGTTGAATTAGTTCCGCTAATCTAGGGTTTCTCAACTTCAACAGTATTGACATATTAGGCATGTAAGTTCTGTGTTTTGGGGGCTGTCCTGGGTAGGACATTTAGTAGCATCTCTGGCCTATACCCACTAGATGCCTGCAGCATCATTCTCATTGTGATAACAAAAAATGTCTGTAGAGATTGCCAAATGTCCCATGGGGGTCAAAATTGCCCCTTACTCTATGGGAAAACACTGATCTAATCCTATGTTTTCTTGGAGTTTCATAAGACATTTGTAGTTCATTAAACAACAAATATTTATTGAGCACCTACTATGTGCCCAGTAGTATGTACGTTTTGTGTGGGGTAACTGATGTCCAAAGAGAAAGTGCCTTTCTTCGTTCGGTTTATAGTCAAGTTGGAGTAACAGATATTAGTCAAATAGTCTTACTAAAATATATTTAGAATAATAGTAAGTATTGCAAATGAAATGTTCTGTGTGCTCTGAGGACACATGACAGGGGCCAGACCTAATTGTGGAGATGACATAAATCTGTCCTGAGGAATATGGAAGCTGCAGTGACTCTGTGCATGTTTTTATAATGGGAAATCAGGGCAGGGGAAGCCAGTTGAACTTGGGAAATGTGCAGACTCCTGAGGTGGGACCTGCTCTACTAGGATCAAAAAAAGGCCAGTGTCGCTGGAAAGCAGAGAGTGGTTTGAGATAAGCCAAACAGGAAGCCAGGGGCCAGGCGCGGTGGCTCAAGCCTGTAATTCCAGCACTTTGGGAGGCCAAGATGGGCGATCACGAGGTCAGGAGATCGAGACCATCCTGGCTAACACAGTGAAACCCCGTCTCTACTAAAAATACAAAAAATTAGCCAGGCGTGGTGGCGGGCCCCTGTAGTCCCAGCTACTCGGGAGGCTGAGGCAGGAGAATGGCGTGAACCTGGGAGGCAGAGCTTGCAGTGAGTGGAGATGTTGCCACTGCACTCCAGCCTGGGCAACAGAGCAAGACTCCATCTCAAAAAAAAAAAAAAAAAAAAAAAGCCAGGCTCAAATTTGGCGGAACCTTTTCAGCCACAGCCTTGTCAGTTTTGGTCTTTATTATCCTGAAAGCATGGGAAAGGCATTGAAGTGTTTCTGCAGGGCTAGGATTTGTGTAGGTTTCAGCTAAGTGGCTGGTTGGTTGTAGCAGGAGTCCTATGGAGGGGATGAGAGTGGAGATGTCAGACTGGTAAGCGGCTTAAGGCTGTAGGGTTGCTGTCATCTTTTGCACAGTCAACTGATACCTGGCCCCTTAGTTGTTCTCTCATTCACCTCATTGGCTGTGAAGTGTAATCTGCTGTGTCTCCACGGCCTTAACTGTATTTGAGCTCACTGAGTTCATATGCATTCATGTTCTGTTTGAACCGTCTGCATTGGATTGCTTTCTCACTCTGGCTTTCAGTTTCAAAAATGATACCAGGATCCCAAAGAGGGGATTGGAGGAGCAAAACAAGCTGATTGTCCTTGGTAACTTCATTTCAAGGATACAACATGTCCTAGGAAGTCACTTCATTGGCCATACCTTACCCACCCCGAGTTCTAATTCTTCCAAAGATCCACGTTGACCTGTTGTTAGGAATATTCTGTGGGTAGTCCCATGTGGTGATTGAAGGGGTGACCTTGGTCTCATTAGCACTGAGTACTAACTAATCCAGGCAATGTGGGCTTATATGCACCAGTCAATAATAAATAACTTTAATGGGGACTATGGGAGAGCTGAAGGAGCCAGATTTGCATTTTGCCTTCTTAGCTAAGACGCAGTTGTCAAAATTTGGGATGTGCAGCAGGATTTGCGGAGATCCGGAAGACTAGTTTTCTCTTAGGATGAGCTCCATCACCTGGCTTTGTCTTAGTCTCTGTGGCAGCACCTCTAGGGGGCAGCATTCTACTCAGGCCAACTCTGAAGGGCTGGGCGATGTCACATCTGGTCTATTTGTGGTTGCCTTGGGATAGTAACCCTGTCCTGGACCTAGAATGTTAGGCTGAGGTTGCTTATGCTGAAATAACTAGCTGGAGGTTCTTGGACACTTTCTTTAAGGCGTGTCTACAAAAATGTCTACAGATGTCCCGTCCCTGTAAGAAAATATGTTTTCTTAAGTGAGCATACAGGAAGAGGATCCCACTGACTCAGGATTCTGCAGCCTCGGGCTCTTTAGTGGAGATGGAGGGTAGTTGAGAGGTGTCCATGTTGACCTGTTCTTAGGAAGAAAGACTCTGTGGGTAGTCCCCTGTGGTCATTGAAGGGGTGACCTTGGTCTCATTAGCACTGAGTACTAATCCAGGCAATGTGGGCTTATATGCACCAGTCAATAATAAATAACCTTAATGGGGAATACGGGAGAGCCGAAGGAACAAGATTTGCATTTTGCCTTGTTTGCTAAGACACAGTTTTCAGTGATGGTAATATCAGGAGACAAGACTGACAAGATTTCTGGATTGTCAGCAAACTTTTGGATTGTATTCCTTGACCCACATGCAAGCTCTTTTAAATCCTTGGAATGCTTATTGCTGCCTATTTCCAGATAAGCTTCTTTTTCTCTTCCCATGCTATAATTTCTACCTCTCTGCAGTATGTTCATCCTTCTATTAATATATGTTAAGCTGTTTGGTTTCTTCTTTTCCTTTTTGAGTTCATTCAGATTGCTGCCTGAAATACTATTTTAGAGTCTCAGCCATTTCGTGATATATTGTTTCTTTATTTCTTGCATAATTATTTTCTCCCTTCTCCTCTCCTGATACTCATCTGCTCATATCCCAACCTTCATGAAGCCAGATATAGCTAATATTATCCCATTTTAGAGAGCTGAGTGTGTATCACTCTTCTCATTCAATTCATTTTAGCAAGTTTTCATTGTCTACCTACCATGGATGAACTCAGTGTTGCTGCCTTACATTCTTGGGGGACGTTTAGCCAAATAGACAAGCACTTACAAAACCACCTGCTTGAGCCTGTGTCTGCTTTGTCTAGGGCAAGAACTGGTCCCATGTGTAAACGTGGTAAGATTTGGAACTGAATTATTATTCTCTCATAAGTCCTCCACAAACTTCAGGATGTCTTATCATTTGTTACATCTTTTCTTGGCGTTTCCATTCTTTGGAAAATGGTCACGTGATGCCCCTTCACCTCAATGATGTATGGCAGCTCTACGTATGCCCAAGCCTCCCCTCCCCACCATCCACTGGCTTTCCCCTTGCCCTGCGTTACCATCTCTTTCTCAACAGGAAAGGGGTGCAACAAGGGAAGGTCCTCTATCTTCTGCTTTCGTATCTTCCGATTTTACTTTGTAGATTCTCTTTTCCTTGAAAGAGACTCACTTTTAAAGAGGAATGGCAATTGGGATGGCTAAAAAGATGTTAACTTTTGGAAATATAACAGATGGCAGGAACTTGGCAGAGCAGTAAAAATCCATTGTGTCAGACTGTAGCAATCAGAGGCTCTCCAAGCACTTTTTTTTCTGAACTACATTTTGCCCCCCGACTATTGGAATTAACACTATTTATTTGTCCCATTTGAAATGATTTGGCCCCTTTTCTCTTCCAAGCTGTTTTTCCAGAGTAAGTGCTATTACTAGAAAAGGTTTTCTTTTTTTTCTTTCTTTTTTAAAAATCGTAAGCATGAGAGAATACTAATATATTTACCCTTTGGTTTCTGTCAGCGAGGCCTACAAGAGAAAAAATGAAATCATGCATTTTTCTGGCACATTTTTTCAGACAGCCAAGCATAGGAGCAAATTATATCCTCTCCTTACTTTTTTTTTCTCTTATACCATGATGAATTTCTTTCTCCAGAGAGAGAAGTGATTTTTAAAAGGCTTGAACAACATGCTAATCTTTCCTTCTGATAGCCCCTGGTTGAATTACTCCTGAATTTGAAGCATTTACTGATGAAATGATACTTGACATTAACCAGTGTTGTATGGAAATATTTCTAGTACCTAGGGAGAAAATAAAGGAGGGTATTCGTAACACTGCCGCTGTGTGGCTGAATCTTCCATTTTTCTCAGAATCAACTTGAATTACTCTTGCTGCATGCTGACTGACTTCTTTCCTAAGAGACCACTCTTAGACAGGAAGATTTGCACCACTGGAAAAAGCTAGAATTTACAGTATTATTATGATGAAAAAGGTTGGGTTTTGGTCGTAGTCTACTTGGCTATTTGGCAGAACCAGCTGAAGGCTTTGGTTAGGGATTTTTTTTTCCCTTGTGCAGAATGACAAAGGTGATATCATATCCCTGTAAATAAAATACTCTTCTTGTTATAAAGCCATACTTAGACTTAGAGCTCAGGGTAGACAAGCAGAGTTTTCCACAGAGAGGTGAAATATGACCTTGGCTTTTGGTTTTGTATTTCAGGATATTTTTGACTTGGCTGACTACTTTTGGCCATTGACTAAGTAAAACTAGATAAGAAAAATTATGAAAATATATGGATGATTATTCAACCTTGAGAAGATTCTTCTCTTCGTGTTAGACCTTGTAGCTCACAGAACTGTGCAAATTCTCTATTTGCTTTTTTTCTAGTGGGAAAAAAGTTTAGCACAGCAAATTATGGAGCAGTTGTCTCATTCTTCAGTCGAAATGTGGGGATGTGTTTATATGACAAGTATTGGAACAGTTTCTTCAGGGATGACACTCAGCTTAGTTAACATGAGAATTTGTACCCTATGATATGGTGTAGGAGGAAGGAGAATAATGAAAGTCTTCAGAATCTTGGGATTGATTATACCTCACTTCCAAAGCTTTCCAGGCAGCTAGAGCCACAGTGTCTAGCTTAGACTCAATGTTGACCCAATTTTATTTCACAAAACACTCTTTCTTTAAGACTTTGCAGTATAGGTGTGGGGTATAGGGGGAAAGAAAGGAATTCATGATCAAATAGATTTTTGAAATTGTACATATTATATCCCTTGGGATCCCAAATTACATAGCATGATTGTGCATGTAACAAGTATTTACTGAATTCTGACTATGCACCATGGAACTTCATTTCTAATAGTAAAAGTAGACAATAGGTGCTGTAGTCCTCACTTATCCATGGTTTCACTTCCCAATGTCTCACTTATCCACTGCCAACCACTGTCCCAACATATCAAATGGAAAATTCCAAAAATAAACCATTCATAAGTTTTCAATTTCATTCCATTTTGAGTTACCTGATGAACTCTCAGTTCATCCCTCACTGTTCCTCCAACGTCCTGCTGGGATGAGAATCCTCCCTTTGTCCAGCGTGTCCATGCTGTGCATGTTTTCCGCCCCTTAGTCACTTAGTAGCCATTTTGTTATCAGATCACCAATCCTGGTATTGCAGTATTTGTGTTCAAGTCACCCTTACTGTACTTAATAATGGCCCCAAAGCTCAAGAGTAGTGATTCTGGCAATTTTAATATGCTGGAAAGAAACTGTACACTGCTTCCTTTAAGTGAAAAGGTGTAAGTTCCTGACTTTCATAAGAAAAGAAAAAAATGCTGAGATTGCTAAGACCTAGAGTAAGAGTGAATCTTCTATCCATGAAGTTGTGAAGAAGGAAGAAGAAATCTGTGCTGGTTTTGCTGTCACACCTGAAACTGCAAGAGTTACAGCCACAGTGTGTGATAAGTGCTTAGTTTAGATGGAAAAGGCATTAAGTTTGTGGGTGGAAAACATAAACGGTAACACATCCCGATTGATGGCAATCGGGTTTGGTTTCAGGCATTCACTGGGTGTCTTGAAACGTACCCCCCTCAGATAAGGCTGGGGGAGGGCACTATATCTACTGTGCTTTCATATGGAGATTAAAAAGCAGAGTAAATTTTTAGAGGTGACTCAGGATGGGAGATGAGGGAGGTTTATTTTGGAGCATATTAAAGGCTCCAGGAAGTTCTACTTTAAGAAACCTCTTTATCTTTGTTCAACTAGTGTTTCCTAAAGAGTATTTTAGTTGCCTACCTATACAGAATTAGTGTGTCATGGAACACAGTTTGGGAAATAGTGGGCTAGCTATTTCCACAGGGTCTCTATGTTTTATGATTATAATTCCTATTTGGACTGATGTTCATTTCATCTTCTCCCTGGAGCCTGCTGTAGAGTTAATGGTGTATGCTGACTAGCCCAGTCTCCCTCACCAAAAATTGATTCAATTTTTACCATTTCAAGGCTGTTTGTTAGATACTATAAGAAGAAATAAGGCCCATAACTTTTCTTCAAGGAGCTATGGTCCAATGTATACTTTAAAGATACACATAAGTAACTAATCTAAGGAAGACAGTACTATCAGAAAGGTAGGTAGAAATAAAATACAGACAATATTTAGAGCAGTGGTTCTCAAAGTGGGGTCCCAGGACCAGAATTTCTTCAGAACTTGTTAGAATTTTAAATTCTCAGGCCCCACCCCGGATCAACAGAGTCAGAAACTCTGCAGTGGTACCCCCAAATCTGAAATTTAACAAGCCTTATGATGGTTCTGATGGTCTCTAGAGTTTAAGAGTCATAGCTTTAGAAGAAGTGGTGCTCACATTTGAATGGGGAATCTCCAAAATAGCTTCATAGAATTGGTGGGTGGCATTTTATCTAAACCTTCTGAGTAAAACTTGTAGGTGCAGATGGGTAGAGACCTGCATTCCTAAAGGAGGCAAGAGCTGTCAGAGTCAAATTCACAGTGGAGATCTCAGGTCTAGTTTTAGCTTTCTAATAGGCAAGCTGTGTGACCTTGTTCAAATCACATAACCTGTCTCAATCTGTTTCCTCAATGGTTAAACTAGGGTGTTGGGGTAGATAAGCTTATGATCCCTTTGGCTATAAAACTCAGTGACTTTACATGGCTTTGGCTCAGTATTTCATTATATAATGTGAATAATGGCATAAGCTAAATTATTGTGATTCAAATACTTAGTATATTATCTTATACATTCTCTAGCTACAGTGGTTTGTATTTTAAAGAAATAACCCACATCAAACCCTTTTTCTTCTTTTCAGGCAGCCATTAGCACCAACCAGGGAGTAAAACTTTATTCCCAAGTATGTCATACGAGCAGTCTATAACTGATTTCAGGAGCAAGGACCCAGAACATAAAGTAGCGCCATGAGAATGGTAATTTGGGTGGTATCAGAATAGGCTGCTCTAGAAGATAGGGCTAAGCAGTATCTGGCTGTTCTGGGACTCATCATTGCAAGGAGAAATCTTGCTTGAACTCCCCAGGAATTAAATGCTAGCTCTAAGGAGTAGTTCCCTAACGCAGCTGTAGCTTTTGGAGTTTGAAAGTGCACACACGGGAATTGGAATCAATTACAGAGCTCTGGCAATAGCTTTTGGCCATGTCACCATGCACAGGACCTCTCTGTGGCATTGACTCTGACCCCTGGCACAAGTTTGTGATCTGTGAAAGGGTAGCTTTCATATTAGGTGTGGTCCCTCTCTGGACCCTTTATCCTTACCTCAGTTTTACTCGTTTTTTGTTTTGTATCCCTGCTTCTGAAAACCTTAATAATTATGTCAGTTAATATTCACGGAATATTTACTATGTGCCGGACACTATGTTAAGCCTTTTACCTGAGAGTGTGAACTCTTATACTCCCCATTTTAAAGATAGAGAAACTGAGATTTAATGAAGCTTTCAATATTAGCCCCAAAGTCACCCAGCCACTAGATGGCAAGTCCTGGATTCAACTCAGGTTTCTCTGACCTTTGAGGCTAACATAGTGTTCTTCCTTTGCTTTTAGTAAAGAAAGGACATTCTTTCCTTTACCTTTGATGGGTGTTTTTTTCTACTGGAAAATAAAACGTAGAGTAGGTTGTAAATTTTACTCCCTGTCTTGTGATTCCCAGATTTTGTCTTCTCTAAAATCTGCCTTTATTAATGATAATAGCTAACAATTATATACAATGTGCCATGAAGTGTTTTAAGTATTTTCCATTTATTAACTCAAATCCTATTCGGTAGGCATTATTGTTCTCATTTTATAGAAGAATAAACTGAGGTGCAGAGAGGTTCAATAGCTTGCCTGGGGTTGTAAAGCTAGTAAATGGCATAGATAGGATTCAAATGCAGGCAGTCAAGTGCCAAGGTGCATGTTCTGTAACCATTGCATGCTCTGCCTTTGTGTTGGCATTGGCTCTGGCACTGCATACACCAGAGCAGAGACTGATCTTCCATTTGCAGTTTGAACACGGGTCACCTTCCTCAAGGACTCCTGTCAAGGGGACTCTATATTGACTTTGTTCTTTGCTTTACAGCCTAACATAGCAAATTTCTTGAGTACCCTCCCGATTTGGCTAACAAAATCCCCTCAAAATAGAAAAGATAGGAAGAGAGGGAATGAAAATGAAATATATTTTTAAAATACCTTTGGTAGTGTTCAGAAGTCTCACCAATTTAAGCAGACCAGATTAATGTTGGCAGAAAACAGCTTTATCAGGTTACCAAAGCAAGCATAGGTACCCTACAGAGCCAAGGCTGTCCCAGAGAGGTAGTCTCTGTGATTGCTGTTCCCTGCCCCCAAGGTCTCTGGTATTTATTCATCCATGGAAAGAAAAATCTGCATGCCCTTCTGAGTCCCACAGTAAGATCCATCCTAACAGAGCAGAAGGGCAGGATGGGGAGGCACACCAGGAATGCCTCTGAAAAATAAATGTCTCAAAGATTGATGGCTTGATGATCTCTTTGGAGATTATATCAAAAATTATTGATTATGTTAGTAAGTCGTAGAAAATAGGCTCTGAGGTTGGGAACTAAGTGCTTTCTTTAAAATAATCTAGAAGCAGTAGAATAAATCAATGTGCAGAGCATCTAAAATACTGTATCATATTGGCTTCACAAATAGCTTGGCTTCAATGTGGAAAGGGCAATATTATTTTTAAAAAAAACTTCAACAGTTGTCTTGGCATGCTAAAAAGAAAAGAAGACAAAATTCAATTCTATTATTTGCTTTGCAAAATTTTACAACATTCCTAGCTTCTAGCATTCATTTATTTCCTAATCAGTGGGAAAACTGCAAGGCTTTTTAAAATAATTTGTGCCAGATAGGGCTTTTTTTTTTTCCTTTGCCACAATAAAGATACAAAAGCCTTAAAAGATATTTTGTTTTCAACAACTGAATTTGACAAACTTAGTCCTGCTCAGTTTTTTGGTGGTAGGTCTGAATTTCAGTATGTGATAATACTACTCCATTTATGCTTGTTTTGAAATATTTTCTATTTGCATTTAAGACCACCGATTCCGGTTTTTAAGAAAACAATTCCAGCAATGTATCTTGCTGAAAGAAAAACTCACTATGCAAAAGCACCAATTTTTGAATAGTTAAATTGAATGATACATTTTCATATTATGATAGCATTCTTTGCCTTGAAAGATTCACAGAAAGATTTGTAAAAAGTAACTATCCCCTTAGGGCACTTTAATGTTTATTTATAAACAGTTAACTACTTAGAGGAAGAAATAACACCAGGGAGAGTAATATGGTGTCAGAAAAGGAAGATGACTCCAAAATAATGATAAACCACAGCTCTAAAATTTTAATGTAACTTAATGAAAACTAATTCAATTGAAGCGTGTTTCAGTTTGGTATTAGCTCTGAACCTGGGAAACTTGAGTCCTGGCATTAGGGGAATCTCTTCATTTTATGGACCCTGGTTTCTTCATCTGTAAACTCAGGAGATTGGAACAGATGATCTTTAAGGCTCCTTTGAACCTGTATAATTTCTTGATTCAGTTTCCTGAAGTAAGATGTGCTTTTTGTTGGGGAATAGGAAACGGAGCATATTAAAGGCATCTGGGCCTCTGGTTACATTAGTACTTAGGGTTCTGTTCAACAAACCAGTGTTGTTTGCTTCCTGTGTGGTGGGTGCTGTACTGGATGCTGGGAATAGAGTGATGTACTTCCCATCAGGTTTCCTTAAGTAGAAGTTCAAAGTGTGAATGAGGGGGCAGACTCAGAAAAGTTCAGTTGAACTGTATTTTTCATGGGGGAAGTTTTCCTCTCTGATGACCATGGAGTCTAGACTCCTTGGGCTAAGGATCGGCAAAATTACTGTTACAGGAAGTCTTCTCAGCACAGGATAGTGAGTGGGAAATAAGGCAGAAACTTTATTTGTATTTCTCTGGAGCATTCTGGGAGTGATCCCAGTATTTCACCTTGAGAGAGTGTAACCTAACCTTCACATTCCCTTACGAGAGACTCGCTTACTTTACCGTGTTCACATGTCCACAGTGAGCCTAAAAATGTCTCCACTGCTTTGGAGCCTTTTGAGATGATGAAATAGAGACTCCTGAGGCATACAAAATACTATTAAAGCTTCTGCTAGTGTACTTCTGTGATCACTACAGAGAGGTTCTTTTGCTCCCATATTTCAGTTGACTGTGCTCTACAAAGTAGACACCCCAATCACACTGTGGGCTTCGCCACTCTGCTAGGTAGGACATTTGAACCTACTGCATCCAGAAAACCCCAAATGTATCATTTTCTTAATAAAGTTTCCTTTGAAATGACCAGCAGCCCAGTGATGTCTTTCTAGGAACTTACTGAGCAGGGTCACCAGCGGCCATCTGACTTGGTCCCTGCCCTAGTTACCAGAGCTGCTGTCCACAGGCTGCCTGTTCCACTTACTTAGCATATGCAATGTCTCTAAAGAACTGCATGTGAAATTAACTTCCTTTATAGACGCTTACTCCCTTTTTCAGCTTTTCATTTTTGCTGTCTATTAATGCCTGTAAAGTCCCTAAATTAAACTTGACTTTTTCTATCTGTAACTCCATGTTTTCTACGGGATACTTCAGCAAATGATAGCAGCAAGATATCTTACATTCCCAGGCAGAACCAGCATTTGCATGCTCAGGGTTTCACTTCAGGAGAGTCTCCTGTAAGGTGGAGCTGAAAAAAAAAAAAAAAGAAAAGCCTTGTGGGGTATGGAGAGAGCCTGAGCTCTAATCTAGAGTCTGCTAGACTCTATCAATGACTATTAAATTTAGACAGTTTCCACAGTTTCATGACTATGTGGGTTAAAAGGTAAAAACTTTTTCCTATTTTAGCCAGTAAAATTAATCAAGGAGAGGGGAGAAAGGAGGTATTCAACAAGAAAAAGTTAAGTCTATTTAGACTTAACTAATAAAGTCGAGATAGGAAAATGAGGTTTTATATTATCATTAACAAAAAGGTTATAATAATATGTGCCTTGCTAACCTTGGATATGAAAGGGTTTTATAAACCATACAATTTGTAATATTTTAATATGTTAAACTCCTGTAGGGATTTTTTTTTTTTTCAGTTTGCAGCCAATAACTAGAACTACATTAAAACCAGAGAGGAGATAACCAAAAAGATATGCTGGGGGCAGGGATGGGTTGTACTTTTTAAAATCAATGACATATGTTGACTATTTCATTAGAATTAAATTATGTCATATATGCTTCTAGGATCCTTAATTATTTCATTCTTGCTTGCAGGTAATTTTGAGAGAGTGATTGTGTGATGGGGAAAAGCATGGATTTTAGAGAAAGATTAAGGTCTGAGATCCTGCTTTACTACTTGCCGGCTGGGGAACATTGTTTGGGCAAATGTCTCAACTAAATAGATTAACTTCTCTGACCCTCAGTTTTCTAATATGTCATTGGGTAAAATAGTACCTATTACTTAGGATTATCATGAAGATTAAATACAACAAAGTGGAAAAATGACTGACACAGTGCCTACATCATTACATGCCTGCAAAGAAATTCATTTTCCATCTCCTCTCATCTTCACGTTCCCTGTAAAGGAAGAAAAGGAGAATGTCAAGGGCTTGCAGAGTATAAGACTGGATGGAAGAACTCATATTTGGGGGTTCTAAAAATCTGATCCTTTGGGTATGAATAGACTTAACTTTTTCTTGTTGAATACCTCCTTTCTCCCTTCTCCTTGATTGATTTTACTGGCTAAAATAGGAAAAAGTTTGTATCTTTTAACCCACATAGTCATGAAACTGTAGAAACTGTCCAAATTTAATAGTCATTGATGAAAGTAATTGGAAGTATCTCTTGTAATTTCTAAAGTTTTTCTTGCAAGTAATCACTCTTACCTCCCTTGTTCTGAATAGTTCTGGATATCACTCCAGTCATATAACTCCTTAGGGATTATTGTCTCTGCTTTGTAACTTGACACTTTGTTCATTCTCATGGCATTGCATTATTCATAAACCTTGATCAGTTTAAAAGTAAGCACAATAAAAGATGGTAATACCTTGAAGCATTTTAAAAAGATTATAATTATAAAAGTAATTATGTAACTATTGATGAACAATGTTCATTGAAGAAAAGTTAGAAAATGCAAATATGCCACCAAATCCCAAAACACAGTTAATCCTTTTTAAATATAAAAATTCATTTGCACATATAGGTGTTTATATAATAATAGAACTCATGCTATATATACTGTTTGATGACCTTTTTTCCTTAGCATTACATCTTACTGCATCTGAAAATGCACATCTTTTATGTCTCTATTTTTAATGACTGCATAATATTTTATTTTATGAATACACCATGAATTATTCAGTCCTCTATTGATAGGCATTTAGCATCTCTTCATTTTTTTTTTACTTTAAACTGTGCTATAACAGATAATTGTCTAAATGTTTCTATAGGATAATTACTGCAAAGGCAGTTCTAAGTCAAAGGTAAATGCACTTAAGGCTTCCAATATATCTCTAAATTGACCTTCAGAATGTAAGAAATCTTGTACCAATGAACAACGCTGTCAGTAGTATAAAAGTGTTATTTAAAACAAAGTGTCACTTGAAAACAATTCTTACAAGATTGGGCTAAATTCTAGTAATCTTAAGTTCCTTATTACCTAGTAGTGGCAAGGTTTCTAATTTTTTCTTATATTGCTGTTTTAGTAAAAAGATTTTGTGATAAAGTTTTAAAAAGCATGGCTTCCTAATAGTTATTTCCCACTCTCCCCCTTCTTCTAGGATGGTTAATTTATCTTTTCTCTCTCTCTTTCTTCCCTCCAGGATGGAAGTATGATGTGATGGATATAATTATGGGACACTGTGTGGGCACACGGCCTCCTGCTTGTTGCCTCATCCTCCTGCTTTTCAAGCTTTTGGCCACTGTCTCCCAGGGGCTGCCAGGGACTGGACCCCTGGGCTTCCACTTCACACATTCCATTTATAATGCTACCGTGTATGAGAACTCAGCAGCAAGGACCTACGTCAACAGCCAGAGTAGAATGGGCATCACCTTAATAGATCTATCCTGGGATATCAAATACAGAATAGTGTCCGGAGACGAGGAAGGCTTTTTCAAAGCAGAGGAAGTCATCATTGCAGATTTCTGTTTTCTCAGAATAAGAACTAAAGGTGGCAATTCTGCCATATTAAATAGGGAAATCCAGGATAATTATTTATTGATAGTAAAAGGTTCTGTCAGAGGAGAGGATTTGGAAGCATGGACCAAAGTGAATATACAGGTTTTAGATATGAATGATCTGAGACCTTTGTTTTCACCCACAACATACTCTGTTACCATAGCAGAAAGCACACCTCTAAGGACTAGTGTTGCCCAGGTGACTGCAACAGACGCAGATATTGGTTCCAATGGAGAATTCTACTACTACTTTAAAAATAAAGTTGATCTCTTTTCAGTTCACCCCACGAGTGGTGTCATCTCCTTAAGTGGTCGATTAAATTATGATGAAAAGAATAGGTATGATCTGGAAATTTTGGCTGTGGACCGGGGAATGAAACTGTATGGGAACAATGGAGTGAGCAGTACTGCAAAGCTTTATGTTCACATTGAGCGCATAAATGAACATGCCCCAACAATCCATGTAGTCACTCATGTTCCTTTCTCGTTGGAAAAAGAGCCAACATATGCAGTGGTGACAGTTGATGACTTAGATGATGGAGCGAATGGAGAGATCGAATCTGTTTCCATTGTGGCTGGGGATCCTTTAGATCAGTTCTTCCTGGCTAAGGAAGGAAAGTGGTTGAATGAGTACAAGATTAAGGAGAGGAAGCAGATTGACTGGGAGAGCTTTCCCTATGGCTACAATCTCACTCTTCAAGCAAAAGACAAGGGATCTCCTCAAAAATGTTCAGCATTAAAGGCAGTCTACATTGGCAACCCCACAAGAGACACTGTCCCCATTAGATTTGAAAAAGAAGTGTACGATGTGAGCATAAGTGAATTTTCCCCTCCTGGTGTCGTGGTTGCTATAGTAAAATTAAGTCCTGAACCGATAGATGTGGAATACAAATTATCTCCTGGTGAGGATGCAGTGTACTTTAAAATTAATCCTCGGTCGGGTCTGATTGTTACAGCACGGCCACTGAATACTGTTAAGAAGGAGGTTTATAAACTGGAGGTGACAAACAAGGAAGGAGATTTAAAAGCACAGGTCACCATCAGCATAGAAGATGCAAATGACCACACCCCAGAATTTCAGCAACCACTGTATGATGCTTATGTGAATGAAAGTGTCCCAGTGGGAACCAGCGTTCTAACAGTTTCAGCTTCTGATAAGGATAAAGGAGAAAATGGGTACATCACCTATAGTATCGCTAGCCTGAATTTGTTACCATTTGTCATTAATCAGTTTACAGGTGTTATTAGCACAACTGAAGAACTGGATTTTGAATCCTCCCCAGAAATTTACAGATTCATTGTTAGAGCCTCTGACTGGGGTTCACCATACCGCCATGAAAGTGAGGTCAATGTGACTATTCGAATAGGAAATGTCAACGACAACAGCCCTCTCTTTGAAAAAGTGGCTTGCCAGGGAGTTATTTCATATGACTTTCCAGTTGGTGGTCACATCACAGCAGTCTCAGCGATCGATATCGATGAACTTGAACTTGTAAAGTACAAAATCATTTCTGGAAATGAACTTGGCTTCTTTTATTTAAACCCAGATTCTGGTGTTTTACAGCTTAAAAAATCACTGACAAATTCTGGCATTAAAAATGGCAATTTTGCCCTCAGAATTACAGCAACTGATGGAGAGAATCTTGCAGACCCCATGTCTATTAACATTTCAGTCCTACATGGGAAAGTGTCTTCAAAGAGCTTCAGTTGCAGAGAAACTCGTGTGGCTCAAAAGCTGGCAGAGAAACTACTCATTAAGGCAAAAGCAAATGGGAAACTGAATCTGGAAGATGGATTTCTTGACTTTTATTCAATTAATAGACAGGGACCATATTTTGACAAGTCTTTTCCTTCTGATGTGGCTGTAAAGGAGGATCTGCCAGTTGGTGCTAACATTCTGAAGATTAAAGCCTATGATGCCGACTCTGGCTTCAATGGAAAAGTGCTATTTACAATATCAGATGGAAATACGGATAGTTGCTTTAATATTGATATGGAGACTGGGCAGCTTAAAGTCCTTATGCCCATGGATCGAGAACACACAGACCTCTATCTCCTTAATATCACCATCTATGACTTAGGTAATCCACAGAAATCGTCATGGAGACTGCTGACCATCAATGTGGAGGATGCTAATGACAATAGCCCAGTTTTTATTCAAGACAGTTACTCAGTTAACATTCTTGAAAGTTCAGGCATTGGTACTGAAATCATTCAAGTGGAAGCCAGAGACAAAGACTTAGGTTCTAATGGTGAAGTGACTTACTCAGTCTTGACAGATACACAGCAGTTTGCCATCAATAGCTCAACTGGAATCGTTTATGTAGCCGACCAGTTGGACCGGGAATCCAAAGCCAATTATTCTTTGAAAATAGAAGCCAGGGACAAGGCAGAGAGTGGTCAGCAGCTGTTTTCAGTTGTCACTCTTAAAGTTTTTTTAGATGATGTCAATGACTGCTCCCCAGCTTTCATTCCCAGTAGCTATAGTGTGAAGGTTCTTGAAGATCTCCCTGTTGGCACTGTCATTGCTTGGCTTGAGACCCATGATCCAGATCTTGGACTGGGGGGTCAAGTGCGCTATTCTTTGGTCAATGACTATAATGGGAGATTTGAAATAGATAAAGCAAGTGGTGCCATCCGCTTGAGCAAAGAGCTTGATTATGAGAAACAGCAGTTCTATAACCTTACTGTGCGGGCCAAAGACAAAGGGCGGCCTGTCTCTCTGTCATCTGTTTCCTTTGTTGAGGTGGAAGTGGTGGATGTCAATGAAAACCTCCACACTCCCTATTTCCCAGACTTTGCTGTTGTTGGATCTGTAAAGGAAAACTCACGCATTGGAACAAGCGTGCTGCAGGTGACTGCTCGAGATGAAGACTCCGGAAGGGATGGAGAGATCCAGTACTCCATCAGGGATGGCAGTGGTCTTGGAAGGTTCAGTATAGACGACGAGAGTGGTAAGTGTAATATTTTGTGCCAAGAGTGTTGTTTCACCTCTTTTAAATGGTCAACAGTGGAAAAGTAAAGGGATGTTAGGACACTAAAATAGAATGACAAATGAGGTTGCATTTGGTGCAGAGACGACGCACATAGATGCTTTTTCTTAGGATGTTCTGGTTTGTTAGAAGATCTGTTTATAAACTAACAGCTGTGGTTTCCAGTGGGAGTCCTGGTTTGTTTTGTTTTGTTATTTTCTTGCTCAGCACTATTGCTACCAGGTCATCTTTTGATAAGCCTAAGTAATTGTCACTTCTGTTGATTGTACTCCTGACCCTCTCTAAATGAAGGACTCTGATAAAGTAAATTACATTTGAATTGGCTTTAAGTTAGAAGTGTGAAATGGATTTTCAAATGGATCTTATATAGGAATCTTTCCCTTTACAGTAAGGCTTTGCAGAAGTGATATTGCATTAGTTGCTTGGTCTTTTATCTTTCATGGGTTCATCTGGTCCTTGAATGATGGGCATTTGCACTCTGTAGCTCCATTAATATAAGGAGGTGTGCTTCTACAAATGTTTTCTTAATGGAATAAATGAGTCTTGCTATGAATTTTATTTATAAAAATTGATTTTAAGAATTTATTTGTAAGGAGATATTTACAAAACATTAAAAAATATGGGGCAACATTGTTCCAGTATTTTCATCGCTTCTGACTTACTTTTTAAATTATTCATTCATAGATACAGATACAGGTTTTTTAAAATACTTGTTATTGTCGCTATTTGTCTTTAAAATGTTCATGTGCCTGGACACATGCATCTCTTTGTGTATGTGTGTGTTTCTGTTCCTTTGTTAGCACTGTGCATTTTTCTAGATTTTAGATTGTAGACATCTCAAGTGAGGGCCTGTGTCTTCCCTGTCTTGTTTAAATGGTAATATTAGCACCTTACCATTTTCAGAGCACATTTACATACATTAGATACTTGTCCACAATATTTGTAGAGTGCTTTTTTCCCCTTAGTCAGCTCAAGCTGCTATAGCAAAATACCACAGACTAGGTAGTTTAAACAACAGACATTTATTTCTCATAGTTCGGGAGGCTGGAAGTCCAAGATCAGGGCACCAGCACAGTCAAGATGAAGGCCTTCTTCTGGGCTTGCCAACTACCAACTTCTTTCCATGTCACATGGCAAAGAGAGCAGGCTTTGGTGCTTTTCTTCCCGTAAGGGCACTAATGCCATCATTAAGGCTGTACCCTCATGACCTCATCAAAACCTAACTTCCTCCCAAAGACTCTATCTCTATATAGCATCACATAGGGGGTTAGGGCTTCAGAGTATGAATTTGTAGGGGACACATACATTCAGTTCATAACAGTCCCAGTGATGATGATGATGATTAGAACAGGTGGTAGGAAGGTATCACTATAGACATACTAACTGTATATCCACAATACCAGAAAAAATGATTTAAGAAACTATATTAAATATTAGGTAGCAAGAAAGCTACATGTACCATCTCAAGTTTAAACTATAACTTTTGTATACATAGGCTCTAATTATGGCCAGTGTAAATTATAAAATTGGTCTCCGTGGCTATAGTAGATTAAAAAGTCTATATTAGGAAATTTCACCCCTGACTTTGCCACATACTGTATGTTATTATGTATTCCTTATAATTTAGTTGGAATATATTTCTGCCTTTTAAGCACAAAATGATAAAAGAGGGGAACTAGCCTTTACTGAGTGCCTACTCTGTACTAATACTTTACTACTAATAACAATGAGTTCATCGAGTACTTACAATGTGCCAGACACTGTACAGAGGGTTTTATAGACAGATCTTATTTAATTCTTCCAACAGCACCATGAGCTGGGGCTGATAATTACCAACTCATGAACTGAGGTTCAGAGAAGACATAGAATGTGGAGCCTATTTTCAAACTTAGCTTTGTGTAACTGCAGTATACCTTGCTCTCACACATCTAAAGATAAGTTGGAATTTCCCTGCATGTACCCAACTACACTGAAATTTGGTGTTGAGCTAAAATCTGTAAGTCAATAAAGTATTAAACAGGTTTCAAAATCCTTGCAACCCTGGACTTATTGACTAATGGTGCTGGTCATTGATTAACCTTCCTGTTTTCTTTATAGCCCCATTGTTTATATGGCTCTCCAGTGATGAACTTAGCTTTGAGACTCAGGTAAATGTGGATAGGTAGGTCATAGGAAAAGTATGAGCTGAATCATTCACCACTGCTATACAGATGACTACATCAAGCCATACTGAGGTTTTTTTCTTTTTTTTTTAAAATCAGGAAGTTGCATTTTGGTTTACCTGATACAGTGAAAAGTTGGAACAATTTGGTATTAGTGGCCTAGATTTTCCCACAGGTAACTTGCTACAGTGTTTCTACCTTGGGTGTTATTTAGAAAAGATACGTATCTGCATTTGCTCCATTGTATTCTGAATTATATATATATTAAAAAAACTTTTATTGGTCAGTCATGGTAGCCTATGCCTGTAATTCTAGCACTTTGGGAGGCCAAGGCAAGTGTATCTCTTGAGCTCAGGAGTCCCAGACTAGCTTGGTCAGTATGGTGGAATTCCTAAAAAAAAAAAAAAAATACAGAAAATTATCTGGGTGTGGTGGTGCACGCCTGTAGTCACAGTGACTCAGGAAGCTGAGGCAGGAAGGAGGATCACTTGAACCCAGGAGGTCAAGTCTGCAGTGAGTGGTGACCACACCACTGCACTCTAGCCTGGGTGACAGAGTGACACGCTGTCTTAAAAAAATAATAATTAAAAATAAAAATAAAAACTTTTGTCATCAATGATACTAATGCCACTTACATTTTGACATTGCTTTGTGACTTAAAAACCTCTTTCCTATAAACATTAACTCCTTTGAGTTGAAGAGTAGCTAAGTGAGTTTATAAGGTCACATAGGCTTTAAAGGATATAAGCTGTATCTTGAACCCACATCTCCTCAATCCTAATCCATTGCCCTTTCCTTTCAATTCTTTCATGTTTCTGATGTTTTTTCATAGTTTTAAAATTATAGTAGCAATGTCTTTCCTCCTTTATTATTTCATTCTGTTCCCTTCTCTTAGAAAACACAACTGGGTTTTTTCTCTGTATTACAGGAAAAAAGGTTTGGGCTTGTTGAGATTTTTTTTAAGAAGACTAGAGTGTCCATACAATCTTAACCATCTTTCTTTCTCTCCTCTCAGCACTTGTAGATTTTAGAATCTAAGCCCAAGGAGCTGATGAGGAGTGACCATCTGGATTTGTTTCCAGGTGGTGCTAACACTGAAGAGAAGTTTGGCAATTGTATGTTCAATAAGAGAAGGTGTCACCTTGGTGCCACTGAATTTTTACTACTGTTGAATGATCCATCAATTTTTTGCTTCCAAGTGCTAAAAAAAATATGGTTTGAGTTGCCAGCAGAATGAAAAGCTGTTTAGCCCTGTAGCCATTACTGAGTCTCAGGTCTAGACTCTGTTGTCTTTATTTAACCTGTGGGCATAGAATGGCCTAGACTTGCTTGGATTTAAGTCTTTTAAAACCTTTAAGTTGGCTGACAAAGATTACCCAAGTGTTTGCATTGGTTAGCAGCTCTCAAACTTAGAGTACACATGAGTCATCTACAGGGTTTGTTAACAAATGCAGATTCCCAGGCCAAATTCCCAATTATCGTCATTCAGTAGGTCTGGAGTGGGAGCCCGGGAATCTTCATTTAGGCTTTTCAAGCATTTCCTCCTCATGTGGTTTGCAAACACTACCCTAAATTTACTTGAGCTCCTCAGACAGTGGCTACCAGATTATATATATCTTTTCTGTAAAATATTTTTTCTTAGTTTTTTAAAAGGCAGATACTTGAGCTCATGTCTTAGATAAATTTCTTTTCTAGTCAAATTTTACAATTCAAATAATCTTTTATTATTTATTAGTGGTGATATTTTTCTGAATGCCTTCCGAATGGATAAAAATCTATTTCTATGCTTCAGTAATTGTAGTGCTTAATGTTTTGTGGAAGTGTGTATGCTGGGATTAGTTGATACATTTAGTAGTTTTATGTTCTTGACTTTCTTTTTTTTTATTATTATACTTTAAGTTTTAGGGTACATGTGCACATTGTGCAGGTTAGTTACATATGTATACATGTGCCATGCTGGTGCGCTGCACCCACTAACTCGTCATCTAGCCTTAGGTATATCTCCCAATGCTATCCCTCCCCGCTCCCCCCACCCCACCACAGTCCCCAGAGTGTGATATTCCCCTTCATGTGTCCATGTGATCTCATTGTTCAATTCCCACCTATGAGTGAGAATATGCGGTGTTTGGTTTTTTGTTCTTGCGATAGTTTACTGAGAATGATGATTTCCAATTTCATCCATGTCCCTACAAAGGACATGAACTCGTCATTTTTTATGGCTGCATAGTATTCCATGGTGTATATGTGCCACATTTTCTTAATCCAGTCTATCATTGTTGGACATTTGGGTTGGTTCCAAGTCTTTGCTATTGTGAATAATGCCGCAATAAACATACGTGTGCATGTGTCTTTATAGCAGCATGATTTATAGTCCTTTGGGTATATACCCAGTAATGGGATGGCTGGGTCAAATGGTATTTCTAGTTCTAGATCCCTGAGGAATCGCTACACTGACTTCCACAATGGTTGAACTAGTTTACAGTCCCACCAACAGTGTAAACCCCATCGTCTCAGCCCAAAATCTCCTTAAGCTGATAAGCAACTTCAGCAAAGTCTCAGGATACAAAATCAATGTACAAAAATCACAAGCATTCTTATACACCAGCAACAGACAAACAGAGAGCCAAATCATGAGTGAACTCCCATTCACAATTGCTTCAAAGAGAATGTTCTTGACTTTCTTAGAGCTCTGCGAATCAAACCATACCTTTGAAATTCTTTGCTATGCACAAGCATTTAATATATGTTTAATAATGTTCACAGTAAATGGATTAAATGGGGGCCTCCCCAACTATAGTGGATTTGATCACAATTTAAATCACTAGTCTGGAAGATGCAATTTAATCGTATTTTTCCTTCACAAAGAATGCATTCTTATTCTTTGACACAACAGGGATTCATATTTTTGACTACTCAGAGGTTTTACACCATTTTAGAAAGAGCACAGTATATATCTCAAAATGTAATTTTCTATAAATATTTTGGAAGGTACAAACTTGATCAATGGTTTCACCCTTTCTATTTATCTGGTTAATTAAAGAAATATTTAATTGAGATGAAAAATTTCCAATTGGCACTTTAATCATGGATAATTGGGAAGATATTTTGCCATCCTTTATTACTAATTGGATTATTTCTTCCAGTTATCAAGTACCTATTATGTGCCAGGCACTGTGCAAGGTACATTTTAGGTACTATTTGTAATTGTCACAGTAATGCAACAAGGTAGGGATCACTGAGGCTTGCCCAGACAGGGTCACACATCTGGTAGCTGTTCAGAGCTGAGATTTGAACTCTAGTGTAATGGACTCAAAATTTCATGTTATTGTCCTTCTTTTCCAGTCCAGCATGCCATCATAACCTTGTTACACATATGTATTTGTCAGATTTTTCTGGGTTATTGCTATATAACAAACAATTGTGAAACTTCACTGGCTTATGGAAATATTTTTTTCTTGCCCCAGACTCTGGGGGAACAGCTGAAACAGCACTGTGGCAGACTGGATTGACTTAGGATCTGATCCACATGTCTTTTCATTCCAGAACCCAGGCTGAAGGAGTACTCACTATCTGGGATATGATGTTCTCAAAGTGAGAGGCAGGAGCTCAAGAGGGCTGGTGCAAACTTGCAGTGCCTCTTAAAGTATCTATTCAAAACTGGCTCACTTTCCATTGGCCAAAGCAGGTCATGGGGCCAAACTCAGCACTGTGGAGCAGAAAAGAATATTCCTTGTTATGTCCTAAATGTTTGTGCACCCCTCCCCCACCCCTCATAGCTCATGTTAGAACCTAATAACAAATGTATAGTGTTAAGAGGTGGGGCTTTTGGGAAGGGATTGAATCACGAAGATTCCACCCTCGTGAATGGGATTAATGCCCTGATAAAACAGGCTCCAGCTAGCTCCCCTGCTCTTCTGCCATATGAGGACACCTAGCAGGCAGCATCTGTGAGGAGCAAGCCCTCTCCAAACACTGCTGGCACCTTGATGTTGGACTTCCCAGCTTCTAGAACTGTGAGCAATATATTTCTGTTGCTTACAAATTACCCAGTGTAAGGTTGTAAGGTTTTTTTTTTTATAGCAACTTAAACTGACTATGACACTCCTCCAACAGGGGAAAGGGAGAGAGGAGTGAATAATTACTGAACAATAGAATAGCATGACATAGCACGTGACAGCTCTCACAATTGTCTTCATAAGCTTACATTAATCGAGCACTGCCTATGTGTAAGGCACTGCACCAGGCACTAGTGACACAAACAGGCAGAAGTGTAAGAAATGGGTATCTGACAGGTCAGAATGCAGATGCAAGAGATGATGCTGGTAACAGTGGCAGCAGTGGTTAACATCTACTGAGCACCATCTGTTTGTGTGCCAAGTTCTGTGCACACTGCTTTAAACAGATGGTCTCATTCAGTCATCCCAGGAGGTATGGACAGTTATTTTCTTTTTTTTCTATATCTGGTGTTATGAGGAAAGACTCACAGGCCCGTGCCTATGCATTTACATTTACCTTTCTTTGCACTGAGGCTCTTGAAACATTTCTCCAGCATATCTGAGCACAGAATGCTCTTTATTCCAAATGTTTTGATAGACCTAGCAGAGACTTAGGAGACCTAATGTACACTTTGAATTCAGATAGACAAACCGAAAAGGTATTTGAGACACATTAATTACTGTCAAGCTAATTTCTATATATTGTGAACAGATTATTCCAATAATAAATAAGTATAACTTTATAATCGTGTTCAGAGTTGGGCTAACTCTCTCCCATTTGCCTCTCTGATCCATTCTCACTCTTCTTTCTGCTCTGTGCCCAGAGGCTTTTTGGCCAGTGGGCTCTTTTGCTGTCTGACATCTCTTGGTTCCACCAATGGGAACCTAAGAAAGAAGGAGAGCCAGGTCAGGATATTCATCCCTTTGACTCTTTCTACACTGGTTACTGTGGGCTGGATGCATCCCTCCACAGATGGGTGGAACAGTTCCTTGCTGTTACTAGCCCTAGATTACGACACTATTTTTGTTTTGTTTTGTTTTACTTCTTTAAACTCTGCCCACTCCTTTGTAAATAGTCTATTTATTAAATGTTCCTCATTACCCAGTTTGAGTGTGCCATCTGTTTTCTGCCAGGACCTTGACTGATAAAATATTTTTCTTATTTAAATATTTCTAAAACAGATTTTAAGTTTTAAAATATTTTGAATACTGATATTTTCTAGCAATCTCTACTGCAGTTTCTGTAATACTGCTTTGATGTGTTGGTACATTTCAGTACCAACAGTAGAGAGATAATAATTATCCAATGCTTTTTTAACAAGGTAAGAAAGTGAAACCAGAGGACTGTATCTTCCCATCTAACTTATGCTCTCCACATCTTTTCTACCATAAAAGAACAACTTTTGTTTTGCTAAAGAACCTGTGTCCTCAGACAGAAAAAAGAGGGGTTTGGCCGATGGTAGGGTACCAGGATCTTTCAAGCTCTCAAACATTGTGATGCTGTACTTTGATCTTCTAGAGGGAGAAGGATTTATTTCAGCTGGTGGCCAAGGAAAGAATAAAGGCAAACAATTGAGTAGCTTTTATTTATTTAGTTCAATTGAAGAACTGTTCACTAGCTGCCAGTGCTGAGTCTAATATTCTTTGTCCAAAGCCTCTAATCATCATAGTCAAGAGTGGGTGAGTGAAAACCAAGAAATGGAAGAGCTGTATTGTTTGAAAAAATGAGGAGCTCTTTGTCATTGAAGAAACCATTAGCTTCAGCCCAGATATTTAAAAGGGTGATTAATTCCTATAGTAGCATATCTCTTGCATAATGTAATATAATATAAACTTCCTTTGTCTCATATTCAGAAGCACCAGAAATCATATTTTATCTTATAGCTGGTTGTTAATCTTTCCAACTTCTTTTTCCCAAACTTGCCTGGCAACTTCTCTTTGACATGTTGAGGAATAAGACAGATGTTATTTGGTGGCTTTGGTTTAATTCATGACAAATCCAGACTAAATGGCATCCCTGTCCTCATTCTTTTTTTGAGATGATATTTTTACTCTCGCCCATCTAAATCAAAAGAGGCTTGTTGCATTTTGGCCCAGGCTTGCCCTTAAATTTTCCCCATGAGACCTGAGCAAGCAAGGGAGAGAAATGAAGTTATGATCAAGTGACAGCAGAAACTTTTCTTGGCTCTAGACTTTTTGACCATAATTATTTGAGAGAAAAAAAATAATGTTTCCCTGAGGAGTCCTGAACACTCCACAACATTCTGATGAACTTTGTAGTTGTCATGTAAGCCAGGTGGGAGAAAGGATTAGAAGCTTCTGGAAAATAATAAACAGCATGTTTTTATTACTCTTTTCAGCAGGTGTCTTCTTCTTGACCTTTTTTTAACTGTGGGCTGAGGGCAATTTAGGTTTTAATAGAGGACTGTTGGTTCAAATCTGTAATTATGTCTTCATTGTGTATCAGGCTTGAGCTGCTATTGTCTCTGTATAACTAGTAAATGATAAAAATAATGACAGTCATAAAGAGGTAATCCAAATAGGTTGGCAAACCTACAACCTGGAAACTTGTGTGGTCTTTTCTCTGTATGCAATCTTCCTTTTATATTTAATAATAGACATTTTCAATGGCTTACCGGCCCATCAGGTCAGGGTCCTCATTTCTCCAGTGCCAAGTGATGCTGTGTTATTTTTATTTCTTCAATTATCAAACAGTGAAATTTCAGAAGCCTAGTAAGCATAGATTACCAAAACTACGAGATGATTGCTTCATATATTTGTGACTCTCCAGAAGGCAGTGGGATAAATTTATTGCCCTTCATGACTTCAGATAGCTTGCATCTCATTTCAGTCTTCTAAGAATAGTTTTCTGCTAGTGTTTTGTACGCGCATTGAAAGATACTTTTATTTATCATTACAGTTGGAAGAATTATAGAGTTTGATAAATATTTATGTGATGCCACTACATTCACAATGTTTCGTTGAAAAGAAAATGAAATGAAAATTAAAATGGGCTGTAGTCTGTATTTTTCACTTGCCAGTTTTTATGAAAGCATGTCTTATCGACAGACAGAATCTACAAAGAGTTGTGTGTAGGATTCAGTTCAATTTATATTAAATTCTGGGCATTGGTATACAAGTTATTGAATATAATAGGACTCTCAAAATTTTCCCATTGGATGTTGTAGGACTTAGTGGCTCCTCTGGGCCACTCTTTGTGATTAAATTCACAGATTTTCATTTGCATAACATAGTTAATATTCTAGTTGGTTTTAAAAAGCAGTATACTGGTGAGAATAATACTGAGTAAGATAACAGATTGAATATGAAATGTCTTGAACTGAAAGTGATTAAAAGTTGAAAGAATTAAAATAAAAGGCCAAGCACAGCAGCTCATGCCTATAATCCTAGCTCTTTGGGAGGCCAAGGCAGGAGGATTGCTTGATTCCAGGAGTTCATGACTAGCCTGGGCAACAAAGTAAGATCCCATCTCTACCAACAAAATATAAAAATAAAAAATTTAGCTGGGCATGGTGGCATGCACCTGTGGTCCCAGCTACATGGGAGGCTGAGGTGGGAGGATCACTTGTGCCTAGGAGGTTGAGGGTGCAGTGAGCCATGTTTGCATGATTGCACTCCAGCTTGGGTGACAGAGTGAGACCCTGTATGAAAAACAAACAAATAAAAAATGAATTAAGATAAAAGTTTGAGGTACACACACATACCCTAAAAGATATGGCAAATGGTAAAAAAACAGACTTTGTAGTTACCTTCAAGATGTGTAAAACAGAGTTTAAATCATTTTTATGATTTTTTCTTCCACTTGCTTCCTTAAAAGCCTGCCTCTCTTCCTTTCCTCCTTCCTTTTTCCTTTTTCTTGACCTCTACTTCTTCCTTCTCTCATTTCCACATTTATCATGCACCTGTTCTCTGTTGTTATGGAGCTTTGCACTGAAGAGGATGTATAGATGATTTTTAATTGCATATCATTCCTTTATTATACTGATCTGGAAAAAGGATTTAGTACAGTTATGCTCAAATGAACACTGGGCCTGTGTGGCAGGGCCAAGCAACTAGAATATGATTCAGAAGTCAGTCAGTGAAAGACACACTTGGACAGGACCAAGAGGCATTTCACTGCCTTGAAACAAGGTGGGGGAGAGATTCTAAAATACACAGCAGGAGGCACTCCTACCCCTCATAGGTCAAGGAGCTTATCCCATATTGGTGTGAAGAATGGCTTATTTTCTGATGACCACATGTGGGGCTATTTCAACTGCCATGAGAAACCCCAGAAAGGTTAGTGTTTTGGATTATTTATATACACTATACTTCTATAAAAGTAAATGTAACACATACACTAAAGTCAGGATTGATCTCAACCTGCTAGAGCCAGCTCTCTGGGGTGAGGGAGGAAGGAGTTGTTTGTCACATCACCATGCAGGTTGCATTCATCTTCCACTGGAGTGACTAGAGCTCCCAGGCAATGGCCTGACTCTGAAAAGCACAGGACTGGCTCTAGGAGCAGATCGGCTCTCTTGCGTCTCCTTATTGGTCATGGCTTAGCATGGTTCCTCCCCACAAGTCCTTAGTAAACAAAGCACTGGCAAAAACCCAAGTCACTACCTTTCGACTCTCTTGGACAAGGAGAGCTTTTTCTCAGCTTGGACTGAGAACCTGTGCCCTAGAAGCATTATTCTGACTAGGTTGTAAAGAGAGAGGCTACAGGAGACAAAATGGCTAAAATGAAAATGGGAGCCACTGATCCCCATCTGCAGTTACAACTTAAGATGCTTACAGATGTGGTCAGTGTGACATGTCCAGGAGGGAGGTGCACAGGGGGATGTGACAGACAGGGAGGGTGCTCCTGGGGACAGTAGCTTGCCCGCCAGCCCTCACTTCTTGGCCTTACCCTCGGCAGCCGCAGCTTCCATGGCTTTACCGATCATCCCCCAAGAACTGCATGCGCCTGATGGGCTTCAAGTCCTTGTCCAATTCATAGACAATGGGAATAACCAGTTGACAGGTTCAGCTCCATGATAGCCTCTTCAGAGACCTTCCACATGCTTGACAATGGTTGGAAGGCTGTTTCCATGGGCTGCAATCAGTACTCATTTCCCCTCCTTGATCTGGGGAGCTATTTCTTCATTCCAAAAGAGTAGAGCTCTGGTGGTAGTGTCCTTCAGATGCTCACAGGAAGGTAGCTGATCTTCAGTGAGGTCTGCATACCTGCCATCCTTACTGATGTTGCTGTAGAAAGGATGGTTGGGCTTCATTAGAGGTGGTGGGACATCACAGGTGCACCTCCAGATCTTTACCTGGGCCTCGCCATGCTTTGCAGCAGTTTCTGCTTTATTGACTCTGGTCAGACACCCATAGTGCCCTTATTGAGGTGTCAAGTCCTCATTACTGGCAGCCACATCTGATCAATAACATCTAGCACTGTCCGGACGGTCCAGATCACTCTCTTCTGCACTGAGGTGAAGCAGGTGTCAAATTCAGAGCCAGCGTCTCCCAGTGCCTGCCTGTAGCACTTTGCCTTCTCGTGGCCTGCTGGGCTCAGGTTGGCATTGTACCACCCACTGAAGCAGTTCTCCAGGTTCCACATGCTCTCTCTGTGGTGGATCAGCACCAGCTTGTAGGCAGCCATGGTGGCTGTCTGGGCATGTGGTGCCAACTGGTACAGATGATTAAATGAAGAACTGGTAGTAGAGGCTGGGCATGGTGGTGCACACCTGTAATCCCAGCACTTTGGGAGGCCAAAACAGGAAGACTGCTTGAGCCCAGGCATTCAAGATCGACCTGGGCAATATAGTGAGACCCTCTGTCTAAAAATAAATAAATTAATTAAAAAATAAATAAAATAAATAAATAAGGTGGGCATGGTGGCACACTCACCTGCAGTCCCAGCTAGTGGGGCAGGGGAGGGCTAACATGGGAAGTTCACTTAAGCCTGGGAAATTGAGGCAGCAGTGAGCTATGATCATGCCACTACAATCCAGCTTGGATGACAGAGTGAGACCTTGCCTCCAAAAAAACAACAACAAAAAAAAACTGATAGTAGAGACAGAAAAGCATGTAATCTAATTGTACACCATGTGGTACAACATAAATGAGTGTCTTCTACTGATCATTCATCATGTTCCCTGTGGCCTTAGGCCCATCCTTCGGCATTGTGGGATGAGTTTTACAAATTCCAATTGGAGACATAACAGTATGAAGGATAACTAGAGCACTGAGGTGAGTTGATAATGCTATCTAAGCAAGGGTTAATTGTCAAGGAATGCCTAATCCCAGAAATGAATCCCAGTTTTGTGGGGCTTGAAGTTCATACTATTGCGAATGCCTGCTTTGAGAAAAAGAATAAGTTAGAAGAACAAAATTGTGTTTGTTTAGAACAAGGAAAACAATCACAGCAACTTAAAAGTTTGAAAGTCAACAAATATGACAGATACCACAAAACTCAGAAGAATAACATAGTATTTTTTTAAATGTCTGACACACCTCTCTAATGTTTTTTTTCTTACATTTTTGGGTTGAAATTTTGCTTGATTGCCTTTCCCTAGGATAACAATTTTGTAATCATTGCCATAGAAAATAAGAAAGATTATTTAATTTTTCTCCAGTGTGGTTGACTGAAATTTGTGTTTTTTATTATTGAGAGTTTAGAACCATTTCTCCAAAGTCACAACTTGTTATTTTTAATGACATGCCAATTTTTAACATTGTGTAAAATTTGGAAAAACTTCTATCAAGTTTCTTTTTCATATAAACTTTTACAGATACTCTTGCTATTAATAATACTGCTGCAAGTCTGTGTTCCATAAAGAACAACAACAAAAAAACTAGTAATTTCTGTGTCTGTGAGTTTTGTCAACAAAAGAAAAAACTTACAGTGCATTTTTAACTTGTATGCTGCATCATCCAGGAGAGAACTTTCATTTTGTCTCTGTATGCAAGAACCACATCTTCTAGTGACAAGTTTACATGTCTAATCATTTGGTAGTTTTCCACAGAGTAGCTTCTGGCTCTGTTCATTTTAGCCTAATTTCTCCTCCAAAACTGCTGTAATTCTAGTGCCACCCACCTCAGGTTATATTCATATGGTGGTACCAGTTTTTGTCTTAATTCCATGCTAAAATGCTGGGTGTCTCAGTGCAATGGATAGTGGGAGTGGTTTTGGAAGCCATTTCTACACTGGAATGGCTAACAACAGTATGTTTGTGTGTATACATATATATATATATACACACATACACATATATATATACACACATATACACATATATATACACACACACATATATATATACACATATATATATACACACATATATATATACTGTTGTTAGCCATTCCAGTATGTGTGTATGTGTATATATATGTATGGAATTGAAGATGAGTCATATAAATAATCCCACTAAATGAAAACTAAATGTATCCTCAACTTAATTCTCTTTTAGACAGATCTCTATACTGGCTGCAACCACTTCACCTAATGTGATGTAAAATGTAATCAAGGGGAAAGAGAATAGAAATTTTGAACTGATGCGGTTAAAATATATTTTGCAAAATTTATAAAAATGTAGGACAATGTGAATCATTGTTAGGATCCTCCCTGGGGCTTGGAAGTGTTGGCTTTAATAGCTTCATGTTAAATCTGCATCTGCCCAGCATTACTGGTAAATGAACATTTTTCTGAAAGAAGTCTTTAATGTTATTGCAGGAAGTGTTTGAGCTGGGCCAGGCCACAAAGTCTAGTCCTGATTTTAAGGTTGATGCCAAAGAAACCTGGTTAGACCAGGTTTTAGGTTGTCACTTCTCTTGTATGTTACTGAACCAACAGACAAATGTTGCAAAGGACATAGACCAAGTTTGTATGTGAGTGGATCTGGCTCTTTGGTGTCTCTGTATCGCTGGAGGAGGTGCCCTGGAAATTCTGTAGCCAAAGCAGCCTTTGAAGAATAAGAAATCTGCAAGGTCTTGGTAGGTCAAGGCGGGCAGATCATGAGGTCAAGGCAGGCAGATCATGAGGTCAAGAGATCGAGACCATCCTGGTCAACATGGTGAAACCCATCTGTACTAAAAATACAAAAATTAGCTAGGTATGGTAGCACACGCCTGTAGTCCCAGCTACTCGGGAGGCTGAGGCAGGAGAATCGCTTGAACCTGGGAGACAAAGGTTTCAGTGAGCCGAGATTGCGCCACTGCACTCCAGCCTGGTGACAGAGCAAAACTCTGTCTCAAAACAAAAAACAAACAAAAAAAACTGCAAGTTCAATAAGTATGGAGCTTTGGTCTCACTGCTTTTTCGGAGCAGTTGGCTGTTGAAAGAATTGCATTTTTTCTTGGGCCTACTCCTTCTCATAAAATATCTTTGGGAAATCACGAGTAACAATATACCAGTATCCAGGAAGCACACTAAAAGGGCTTTTGAGAGCTGCGCTAATAACTGTCCCAGAGTTCTTTCACTCAGACTCATTCTCCATATTCTAAAAGTGTAACTTGAGGGATTTCCCTAAATTATAAGAAGTTTCAATTAATCATAATATGCACATTATTGTTGTAATTTACTATAAATAATCTAACTTATAATCTCTATATTAGTAGCGTATCTTAGAATCCATAATTTCCATCCCTGTGGGCCATTGGTTTGGTGGGATGTTTCTGATTTCATTGACTAAACCCTAGATAAAGCACCATGATTCTTAAAAAGAAACATTATTTTGAGGTTGGCTTTGAAAGGAAATTCTTTACTCGGTCTATCCAAGTATGAGATCCGAGGTTGTGAATGGGGCTGTGAAGATGGAAAGTAAGGTTAGTCTCCTTCATGCGTGTTGGTCCTCTGTCCTCATACGTATCACACATCTCTCCCCGATACTGGGTAGAGTTAGGTATTTCTTTCTTACACCTTGAGGATACTTCTAATAGAATATTTGGTTAATAAAGGAATAATGATTAAACTGAATTAGCCTTGAAATAAAAACAGTTATTAAATATTGGATAACCATTTTATACAATACTGCTTTAGATGCTAAAATATCACATGTACTCTTTCTTTCATCTGACTGCTAATTTATCCTACACTGATATTTATCCTAGAAGGTAAACCATCAGAAATGGAGTGAGTTTGAGTTTGGTTTATGGTCACTAAATTCTTGTGTTTCACAACTGAGATACTGTAGGTGCTCAAGGGTGATTATGCTAACTCAAAATTCTGTATTCTGTAGGAATACAGCATGACTCAAACATAGATAATGATACTTTAGCTCATTTAGAACTTCATAATTTGGTAAAATATGTTCAAGAACCAGGATGTAAGCAATAATGGCTATTGGGAGCTTTCTACAGAGTTTGCACTAATATACATTAACTCTGTGGTTTTCATTCAGTCCCTACTTACTTTCACTTTGCACACAATTCTAATAAGATGGATTTCCTGATATGTAATCCTATAGCATTTTAGAAATTGCGAAGTGGAGATATTGCAAAAGATGGTCATACTTACAGCAGTGGGAAATAACCCCGTAAATCAGGCAGCAGGAGAAAGAGTTCACTAACTCTCATTGTGTGTTTTTCTGTGCCAGGTGTTAAATAAGTATTGACATATTTTCTTTTCATAAGGATTCTATGGGGTATGTACTCTGATTATCCACATATTATGGATGAGAAACAAAAGCTTGATTTTAAATTTCTTGTCCAAGGTTTCACAGCTTGTGGTGGAGCTGAGATTTGAATGAGGTAGGTCAGAACTAGAATCTGAAGGCTTAATCTTGGGACTTCAGACATTTTCAGGATAAACAGCCCTAAGTACCTCCTTAGGGGCTGTAAGCCCAGGCCAGGTAGTGGCTTATGCCTATAATCCCAGCACTTTGGGAAGCGAGGCGGGTGGATCACTTGAGTCCAGGAGTTTGAGACCAGCCTTGCCAACATGGTGAAACACCATCTCTACTAAAAAATACAAAAATCAGCCGAGTGTGGTGGCGCACACCTGTAATCCCAACTACTCAGGAGACTGAGGCAGGAAAATTGCTTGAACCCTGGAGGTGGAGGTTGCAGTAAGCAGAGATCGTGCCACTGTGCTCCAGCTTGGACAACAGAGCAGGACTCTGTACACCCCTCCCTGCCCCGCAAATGGAGGCTTTAAGCCCAAAGAGCTCTCATCACTTCATTCATTCCCATGCAGCATAATAGCTAGGTGATGATTGTAATGAAGTTGGGATCATTGTCAAGGCCCAGGTTCCCTAGAAAACAGAACCTAAAGGAAAAGTTACAGTACATGCTAATGTTTTACTAATCACAGGGGAGCAAGAGTGAGGAAAAAGAAGTCATATGGGATGAAATGGAGACCACATATAAATTCGTGTGTTTTTAAGTTGGTCACAGCTTCACAACAATACTCAGCCTGTTTTCAGTTGCTCTGCCTGTCTCCAGAGAGGGCACTGAGAACCACTCTATTTTGGACCATTTACCTGGAGTTGGAAGGAAGGGTAAGCAGTTTCTCTGCTGCCTCCTGCCCATTTCTGGCCTTTTATTGGTCAAATCTGCCACATAGACCATTAAGTCACAAAACTTCTGGGAAGTACTAGTGGGAAGCTAGTACTTCTGTGGGTACCATCTGGTCAGTGTTCACATTACTATCTGTCTTTTATCAATGAGTACTGGATTGGGGGGCTTCCTTATTCTGTGGTAGGAACAGAGAGTTCTTATCAGGGAGTAGGGTGAACAGTCGATGTTTAGGTGTCTGTGGTACAGGTTGGCCTGAGCAGATCTCGGTGTTGCACAAACTGGACCTGGAAAGAGAATTGTAATGCACTTTGGAAAGATTTTTTAAATCAAAAATAGAAAATTAAAAAAACAAAACAAAGCCCATAAAATTATGATGACCATCTGACAGGCTGCTCAACTACTTGGAAAACTGAAGTGTGCAAAATGACACATTTCCCAAGGGTTCTGGTTTATCAAGGTTTTGTGATCCCTCTGTCTCTGGAACCTGGACTGCTTAGAACTACAAAGAGGAAAAGTAGCAGCACTTTGCGTTCTTTGATTGACATGGGCAAACAATTTTTTTTTTTTCTGAGACGGAATCTCACTCTGTCACCCAGGCTGGTGTGCAGTGGCGCGATCTCGGCTCACTGCAAGCTCTGCCTCCCGGGTTCATGCCATTCTCCTGCCTCAGCCTCCTGAGAAGCTGGGACTACAGGCGCCTGCCACCACGCCCGGCTAATTTTTTGTATTTTTAGTAGAGATGGGATTTCATCGTGTTAGCCAGGATGGTCTGGATCTCCTGACCTTGTGATCCGCCTGCCTCAGCCTCCCGAAGTGCTGGGATTACAGGCATGAGCCACCGTGCCCGGCCAGCAAACGATTTTTTAAAAATTACCCATCCTTTCTTGCAAGTATCCGAAGTCAGAGTGCTATTTTATGGAATGTACGTGTATGAATTCATGAGCTGGAAATTGGGAGGGAAGTAGAGGGGCTGAAGTGAAGGAGTTTGGGAATTTAATCTGCTGGACTTATTTTTCCATCGTCCTTCCTAGTCACAATCATCTTTACTTCCTCTACCTTCTCCTCTTCCTTAGCACCATCACCACTATCGTCTAGTACTTACTGAGAGCATGCTATCTGCTAGATACTCTGTAAGTTGTTTAATGTACTTGAGCTCATTCATGCCTCACATTAAACTTATGAGGTAGGTACTCTTACTGCTCCAGATTTGTGGGCATGGGAACTGAAATTTAGAGAAATGAAATAATTTGCCCAAGTCCACAGAACTACTAACAGAGCCAAGGCTATAACTCAGCCTCGTCAAAATCCATGGTTCTATCTCTTGTCCCGACCACATACTCCTCTTGGAGTAGGTATGTTTGGATCTTTTTGTGCACATTTTTGTGTCTACCTTGTGCATTCTATTTTCTCATGTGCCTTTGTTGTTAGGAGCTTAAAGGGAATATCTGTAATATTCATGTATTCATTACAATATGTATTATATATTATGCAATATATAGTATATACTGTTATAATGAACGCGTGATGAACTCCTACAGTATTCTAGGCACTGAGTTAAAAGAGTGATCCAAACAGGCAAAAATCTTTATCCTCGTAACATTCTGTATTAGGCAGGGTTTCCAGAGAGACAGAACCAGTGGAGATATGTATGCACACACACACACACACACACACACACACACACACACACACACACACACAGAGACATAGATAGATATGGATATAGATGTATGAGAGGAGATTAATTAGGGGGATTGGCTCATGTGATAATGGAGGCTAAGTTCTATGAGAGTCCATCTGTAAGCTGGAGAAGGAGGGATGCCGGTAGCATGGGTCAATTCAAGTTCAAAAGCCTCAAAACCAGGGGAGACTATGGTATAACTCTCAGTCTGTGGCCAAAGGACTCTCAGACAGAGAGAGGGAGAGAGAGAGAGAGAGAGAGAGAGAGAATTTGCTTTCCTTCTGCCTTTTTGTTCTATCTGGGTCCCTCTCTAGGTGTATGGTGCCCACCCACATTGGATGAAGATTAATCTTCCTTACTTAGCCCACTGACTCAAATGTCAGTCTCTTCCGAAACACCCTCACTAACATACCCAGAAATAATGCTTTTTCACCTATCTGGGTATCTCTTAATCCAGTCAAGTTAGCACCTAAAATTAAGCATTGTATATTCTAGTGGGGATGTTGCACTTAAAACGGTCTAACATATCACACATTATGCATGTTTTCCTTGATTATTATCAAGTGCTAAGCAGAAAAATAATGCAATTGAAGGATCAATAAATTGTACAGGTGGTGGTGGGTTCCAAGAAGGCCTCACTAGGGAGAGACAACCTCTGGATAAAGTCCTGAAGGAATTTTAGTTTTGTTACCTGGTATTTTAACTTGCAGGAAGGCAAGAAAGATGGAGAATAAGTTTGACTGATTTGCCACAAACTCTGATAACTACTCTTTGTGATTTAAAAACCCACTATGAACTGTAGGAAGAATGTAATTTGAAGTACACAATTATAAATGCAGATTTGTTAAGCATAGAAGTAGCCTGTTTAAAACTATTTAAGAGTGAATCAAAAGTCGTGGTGTAAATGGACCCCATCTCAAACTTCCCTTCACTCCATCATGCCTGTACCATAAGAGGAAAAACACTACCTCCACCCTTTACTGTTGTTAATTGTATGCATATATCCCATCTTCCTTCTGAAATTCCATTTTTCTGAATACTGTCTTACAGCAGTTTTTTTTTTTAATTGTACAATGTAACATCCTTAAACATGACTTAAAATTGAACTGAAGAGCTGCTGTGTCAGGCATGTTGTCTGAATTGCTGGACATGGAGCTATCTCCCTGGTTTAGAGGAATTCCATTCTAGTTGGGAGCATAAAACATTCACGCAGAGAAAGTGGTAGTATGCTGACCTGTTTAATAAAACATGCGCACACACACACACACCATACCTAAATTAGTAATCGTCAAATAATTAGAGTAATTTAATATATATCCTGTTAAACTTATTATATAATTGGATTTTTCTGAGACAGGGTCACCCTGTCTCTGTCTCCCAAGATGCAGGCTGGAGTGCAGTTGTGGGGTCATAGCTTACAGCAGCCTCCAACTCCTGGGCTCAAGTGATCCTCCCACCTCAGTCTCCCAAGGAGCTGGGACTACAGATGCATGCCACCACCCTCAACTAATTTATTTTTATTTTTATCTTTGTAGAGATAGGGTCTTGCCATGTTTCCCAGGCTGGTCGTGAACTCCTAGGCTCAAGCTCTCCTCCTGCCTTGGACTCCCAAATAGCTGAGATTACAAGTGTCAGCCACCACACCCAGTCTAGAATTGGATTTTGTAAAAAGTGTTTAAGGATTCTTTGGAGGCTTGAGCTCATGCCCATGGTTGACATTTGAGGAAGATGAGACTTATTTTCCCTTAGCCCCAGGGATAGTCAGTGGCACAACTGACCCTTGAACCCAGGACTTGTAAACATGGGTACTATTTTGTTCAAGGCTGTCTTGATAATTTAGCAGGTGCATTTGAGGTCTTAGGTTTTCATTTTTAGCTGTATTTATTACTGAGACATGGAGTTACTGACATGGCTGTAAGTAAGCATCACCTTTTATTAGATGCCGATGCCAGAGTTGACTTTGTTTGCACTTTATACTTATATTGTGAGATGTTTGGTGACCATCCTTTATGGTATTTTACAACTTAGTAGTTCACATTTTGTTGTTTACTGACCTAAAAAAAATCATAGCTAACATCTGAAGCAAAGATGAAAGCACATTTTCTTTTATCACACATCTCTGCTTTTACTCACAGAACTCTTTAAATTAGGTCATTAACATATGCAAACACTTCTTTTCCCAAAGTGTTTTTCTACTCTGCAATTATTATGTTGTTTTTGGTAAGATAAATAAGCCCTACATTAAAACGCCAGATATTAAAATGAGAAACAGTAGCACTTTATAAAATATTAGAAAGCTTTGAAAAACACAAATAAATAGAAAGCATCCCCTTGTGGCTTCAGGTAGTGCATGTTAAAGAGTTTGTACCCCTGTACTCTGTCTTCCTGTGGGCTGAGTACTGGGATGTGGCAAAGTCTCCCCTGGAATTGACTGGCAGACCACTTTGCTGGGGGTGGATGGGGAAAGAGAGGCTTCTGCATTCTTTTGTCCTGATCAAACCAAAGCAGTTTCTCCAGCTGTGAGGTCAAGTTTCTAGCCTTTTAGTAAAATTAAATTGTTTGCTTTGTCTGATATCAGTTCTGGTTTCAGACAGAGGGAAATAACAGTGGGAAAGCAGCCTGTGTGGGGAACGCAAGCAAATGTGCTGTGGGCTCTCAGACGAATAGTGAATCATTCTGGGGATCTCACATGCTCACTTAACATGCAGAGCTTGGTAACCAGCTTAAGATAGATGACCTGTCACTTTCAAGAACATGTCAACTGTTTGTTGCAGGGGAATATTTCCTAGTCGGTTCATGGGATTCTTAATAAAGATGTTGGAACCAGCAGTCCTGCTGTGTTTCAGCTTCTAACCAGAAGCTGAATAAAGGTCAGAAGGGTTACTGCCCCTCTCAAATGGATCCCAGAATCCCTCACTTTGGATAGTGGTTGTGGTTTTATCTGCTTTGGTGTTTGTTGTTATTATTTTCTGTCTTCTTAGTGCTTCTGAGTTGCTCAGATTTGGCAAATTTTGAATAGACATATATATGAACCCCAAATAATTGTACTGAGAAATGCAGAAAATATTGAGCAAGACGCTGCTGAATTTCCATGAGTAAGCAAATATATTCTAAGAGCTCACAGGTGAAAATTTCTTTTTATTTAATATGTCATTTTTATTGGAAGGTAATGATTATGTCCAGGCCATAAATACAGTGTAAATTCTCTTCAATAGACATTAAAAAGATGACTTTCAATTGGAAGCAGCTTTTTAAAGGGCTTAAAGGATACTGAGGTATAAATTTTCAGACCTGTACAGTCTGTACGTGTAAGACTAGGAAGAAATGAGTGAAACCCAATACAGGCTCATGCATGGGAACACATGTTTATGACCATAAGCTGTAGTTTCACAAAACATGTTGAAGAAGGACATATAATGGACGTATAATGGCTAAGAGTTTTAAATGTATTGTTGTGTGTGTTAGTTTATAGTTATAATAAAAATATCCAATGGGTTATCAGCCCTATCATCATTTTTCAAATGAGGATACTGAGGTGTGGGATAATTTCTTAAAAATAGAGCTGTGCTTCACAAATACCCAGGAAATAAACACTTGTTCAGTCACTAAGTTCTGACTCCATGTTGTGTATTTTGTCTGTATTAAGATTCTGTTCAGCTGCCCAGATAAAAAGTGATAAAAGTTTTCTAGCTGATATTCCTACTATAAGATATCTTACTGTCTGTTTCCAACTAGCTCTGAAGGGTCAGCTAGTTTTATTAGAATTATTGAGCATGCCCAGGATGTGGTTGTATAGGCTCAGCTTAAATTTACATCAATTGGCAATACTTTCTCTTGGTTCAGGATCAGCTGTATATTCCTCTCATTCCTTATTTCTGCCTGATTGTAGGCTCCTTGAAGGCAGGATTTATTTCTGATGCACTATTGGGTCCTGTGTCTGGCTCAGTCAGAACCTGGCATATGATCACTGCTCAGTAGGTATTTTTGGAAGGAAAGGAAAAGAAAGAAGGGCTAGCTATGTAGATGCAACAGCAGCTCAGTGTCTATCTCTGATTCCTTTCCAAAGGTTAAATTAGATGAGGAAGACACGTTTTCTGGGCATCAGCTTTACCTCCGAGTACATGGGGGATCTGTTCCAGTATCTTTGTTCTTTTGTGGTTCAAAGCTTTGAATAATGTATGTTTTGATGAACAAAATGGACACTGTGGCTCTATGAAGAACTTAACTACAAATACTGCAGTTTGTGTCATTTTTTTCAGCCATTTAAGGTGGTGTCAAAAATTACAGTAGCTTACATTTTAAAAAATATTTGACTTTTAAATAATGTTCACTGTGTCATTGACCCTAGGAAGGATTTTAGCTTACATTTATGGCTTCTTACTGCTACTGCAATAGAGCCAACAACCACAGATCTGCCCATCACTTTCTTATAAATGTGGTTATTTCAGATTTCCAGTGTGTTCTGGTCACCTGGCTTGCTCTTCTCTTAAAATGTGTTTAATGCTCTCTTGGCCAGTGGTTAGGCTCATACTTCTTATATTTCTATTATCCAGGAGACTTTATCATCGAGATAGTTATAATCTTTCTTCTATTTTTCATTAAGGTCTTATAAGCCTATTATTGGTGCTGAAGCTCACCAAGACCTCCATACCCTTGCCTCTCTTCAGCAGGTGCTATCTCTTATACCCCAGTTGGAAATGTAGGTTCATTTCAGACAGCAGTTTTCACATAAGGCATTATATACTATTTTAACTATATCAAGGGCCTTGATTTTCACCATCCTCTTAAAGATTTTTAAAAATATCTTCATTCTGAAGTCTCCGAATTTTTATTTTATATGCATTGACTTCTTCTGTTATTTCCTTGCAAAAATACTTTGGTGTTTGTCTTAGTCCATTGGGATTGCTATAACAGAATACCATAAGCTGAGCAGCTTATAAATAACAGAAATGTATTTCTCACATTACTAGAGGCTTGGAAGTCTAAGTGCAAGGAGCCGACAGATTCAGTGTCTGGTGAGGACCTGCTTTCTGGTTCATGGATGGTGCTTTCTGGTTATGTTTTTACATGGTGGAAGGGATGAAGCATTTTTCTCAGGTTGCTTTTATAAGGGCACTAATCCCATTACTGAGGACTGCTGCCCTGTGATCTAATCACTTTCCAAAGGCCCTACTTCCTAATATTATCACCTTGGGGGTTACGAATTCAACATAGGAAATTTGGGTGCACAAAACGTTCAGACAATAGCAGTGTTTTTCCCATTTAGATCTTTGGCCTTGTCATCATACCCCCTGCCACTCCTCTCTCCATATGCTTTCTGTAAGAAACACTTTTCCAACCTCTTTAAAAATATTCTGTTTTCCTCCTTCAGCTTGGAAAACCAAGTTTTAAGCTTGTTCCACAAGTGATTTTGTGCTTTATAATAAGTGAGTTATTTTACATATAGCACAAAGCACATTGCCTAGATTCTTATATATTTATTTCACTTTTCTCGATCCAAAATACATTCATAAATTTGAACCACAAAAGCATTAAAGTGTCAAACATTTCTGTATTTGCCAAGCCATAGCTTTGTTTCTCTTCTGGAAGGTAGCAGAAGTTACTTTTGATGGAGTTATCTTTTTTGACTGGACCAGGAAAAAGGCCCCCATGATGATGAGCAGGAAAGCATCTTTTCTATCTATACCAGGCAGTTCTAAGGTAAGCCAGACCAAAGCAGATGATTCTGTCCCTGCCTCCACCAAAATCACTGTTGGATTGTAGATGAGAAGACAAAATGACTTAAACCTTGGACTGGGACAATTCATTTTCTGACAGCTGGAGGCTCTTATGAACAAGTGAGACCAATATTTGTGGGTTATCTTGGATTTGGCGTACTCATCTCTTCACAGTCAGGAGCAGTCTTCAGAGATGTGATCAAAAACATCATTAAGTACTAGGGTGAAAAATCCATCTTTTTACATTTGGGTTTGAACTTTATGTTTGTCACTGTTTCAGAATTGCTGAAATTACTAGAACAGGGTCTTTGGAGTGGAAGAATTTTGGTTTCTTCATTCTATCCAAATAAGTACAGAAGAAGGTCAACAAGGAATCAGGCCATAGTCTGGAAGACTGATATCCCAGAGTGGCTGTGAGGTAGATGAGGTAAAAAATCAACCTAAAGGGACTGGTTAGGTTCTGAGCTGGAAGAATGTTTGGAGGAAGTAACCGTGAGAGACAGGATGGATAGTTCTCTTGCTTGATGATGTCGTTGAGTCAGAATGCCATCATGCAAACTGATTCGTGTGTGTGTGTGTGTGTGTGTGTGTGTGTGTGTGTGTTCAATGAAGGATAATTGATGTTACGTTTTATAACAGGGATTTTGTGTGAGGAAGGTTAAATTTGAAAACGAATGCGAATGTACTCACCACATGACTGAGTGTCTCCCACCTTCAAGATTCCCATTTGCAGTTGACCTTTGACATTCCTTGTGCCTCTTGCTAATGCTTGGAGTGAACACTTTGGACCTCGTATGTGAAATTCCACTTGCTCTGTGGTTCTCAGTGCTTTGTGGTCTTTAATCAGTTCTGTATGCCTGCCCTGTCTTCCTCTTCCAAGACAACAAGACTTGGCTGTCAGCTTGATCTGTCCATTGTAGTTTATACAGATGTTTCTTTTGTTTTTGTTTGAACGCCCTCAAAGAAACCATGTTGACTGTGCTCCATCACATGAGGCGGTGCCCATGTGTCCTTCATAGTAACACTGTGAGGCATAATTATCCACACTTCAGAGATAATACACAGCCAACACAATTTAGCTTGCTTTATAGAGCTGAGGCAAATCATTTCCCCTCACCCTCAGGCCAGCTCTCTAGTGAGAGATTACCTCTTGGTGACACTTCAGTCTTTGGTTTAGCAGCTAGAATTCTTTTATAGTTTGGGAAGGATATGGGATCACATTTCTATGAGTGGGTGCTGGAATATAGACTCCCATTTTTCACCCTTATACCCTCAGTTAACTTCTCTATGTGAGTGAGCTTCTGATGGGATAAAGTCTTTGGAGAAACCTTAGAATTCTGGTTTTGTTTTTGTTCTATTAAGGTCAAACTCACATAGTATAAAATTCCCCATTTTAAAGTGTACCTTTCAGTGGCATTTATTACATTCACAGTGTTGTACAACTACTACCTCTATTTAGTTCCAAAACATTTTCATCACCCTACCATCACCCATACCCATTAAACTATCACTCCTCATTCTGCCTCCCCTCATTCCCTGGCAATGACCAGTCTGTTTCCTCTCTTTTGTTTTTGTTTTTATAAGAATAGATTATAGCCATATTAAGAATGAGATGCAACTTGACTCATTTATCCAATGACTCATTTATCCAGATGTTAAAAGAGAAAGTAAGAACTTAGGCACTGGAACTTCTTTTATATTCTTATATATCTAGGAGTTGGGCCAGGTGCAGTGGCTCACGCCTGTAATCCCAGCGTTTAGGGAGGCCGAGGCAGGTGGATCACTTGAGGTCGGTCAGGAGTTTGAGTCTAGCCTAGCCAACATGGTGAAACCCTGTCTCTCCTAAAATACAAAAATTAGCTGGGTATGGTGGCATATACCTGTACTCCTAGCTACTTGGGAGGCTGAGGCATGAGAATTGCTCGAACATGGGAGGCGGAGGTTGCAATGAGCCAAGATCACGCCATTGCACTCTAGCCTGGGTGACAAGAGTGAAATCTTTTTTCACCACTTTTTTTTCACCACTCCTTCCATGTGGTGGGTGCATTCACATTTGTTTTCAAATTTAGCCTGTTGTAAAACGTAACATTAATTATCCTTCCTTCCGAAACACCTTTGATCTGACTTTTAAGAAATAAATAGATATATTTTTGTTTAAGCAGGTATATAGGTAGTTAAAATATAATTATTCAATTAACTTTTTCATTTTAAAATTTGGGATTTTTTGGTGAATTATATTAACAGTCCAGGAAAAATGAAAAAATTATTAATTACTATCCTATTTTAAGTACTTCCTTTTTTTCTTAAAGGGAAATATTTTTGAAATGTTGATTGAATATTTATGAGACGATGAGTGTACCAGGTGTTAAAAAGAAAATGAAGGAAATATGAGATGTCTTTTTCTCAAACATTGGTGGGTAGTTTTTGTCCTTTCAGCAGGATTTTTGCTTCAAGAGTTTTTGTTGGTTCTTCATTGCTGCATTAAAGTTACTTTCAGAGGGCTAAATCTCATAAAATGCCAGGATATCAAGGAGAAAATTGAACTCTGGCTCAAATCAATTGCATATTATGTTAGGAGAGAGAGACCTCATGAAAATGCTTCATGTTAAGGGGCAGGAGCTGGATTTTCCTTTGATTCCGGATTTTAATATCAACTGTCAGTATTTAATAGTAAAAAGACATGGCTTCACATGTATTTTTAATTTCCTCAAATTTGAAAGTTGCGTGAGTCTTAAACTGGCCCTTAGAAGTGGATTTCAGAATTGGTGTTTAAAATATAAAATTCACAGAAACTCCTAGTGGGGGGTCAGCTGGAGTGTCATTTTCAGGAATAAGCAATATCTATATTGTTTTTTGTTCAATATTTTGTACAGTTTTCATTTGGTAAATCTGGTTGTTATTAAAGTGACAAAGCTAATGGAATCACCTGCTGAGGCGCTGTCTCCCAGGAAGGCACCTCTAACAAAACCTTTCCTTTCCTGACGGGAGATCATTATGAGATCCTGCCTCGTAAGAGGGACCCCTAAAGGTAGATCTGGAACATTCCTCCATCCTACCTGAGTGTCACTTGGCTTTAATCCTTCTGCCACCATCTAGATACCCATCAGCCTCCAGCTTGGATTCCTTTCAAAAGATACTTAGAAAAAAAAGAAACAACTTTCAGGTTTTGCTAATCTTGAGATATCTACAGTTCTATGACTTTTTCCATGTGTGTATAGAGAAGGATGTGATTGTGTTCCAGTTCAATCTGTCTTAAAGAGTGGTCCGCATGGAGTCAGCAGGTATGGGTAGGCCAGGCTTCTGCCTTTTTAAAATTTTTATTTTCTTCAAATTTTATTTTAAGTTCATGGGTACATGTGTGGGATGTGCAGGTTTGTTACATAGGTAAATGTGTGCCATGGTGGTTTGCTGCACAGATCATTCCATGACCTAAGTATTAAGCTCAGCATCCATTCGCTATTCTTCCCGATGCTCTCCCTACCCCCAGCCCCTGCCTACAAGCCTCAGTGTGTGTCGTTCCCCACCATGTGTCCATGTGTTCTCATTGTTCACCTCCTGCTTATAAGTGAGAATATGCAGTGTTTGGTTTTTTGTTCCTGCATTAGTTTGCTAAGGATAATGGCTTCTAACTCCATTGATGTCCCTGCACAGGACATGATCTCGTTCCATTTTATGGCTGCATGGGATTCCATGGTATATATGTACCACATTTTCTTTATCCAGTCTGTCACTGATGGACGTTTAGGTTGAATCTATGTCCTTGCTATTGTGAATACTGCTGCAATGAACATACATGTGTGTGTATCTTTATAATAGAATGAATTATACTCCTTTGGGTATATACCCAGTAATGGGACTGCTGGGTCAGGCACCAGCATTCCAGATGATTCTAATGTAGGTGATGTGCAGACCACAGTTTAAGAACCACTGTTCTAGCCCCTGAAATCATTTTGGGCCTGATTTTGTCCCACAGTGTATTTGTTTTCCCTCCCAGTTTTGAAGCATGTGAACATTTGGCTAGAAGGCCATGACCTAATCCCAGCCATTAGGAAAAATGTTGATGGATACAAGAGTGAATCAGAGCCCTGAGGCAAGCCACTGGAGACTTCTCTCCAAGTTGACACTCTGCCTTATGAATACTGAAATTCAATCCGTTTTAAACCCCTTTCTTTGGCTTGTCATTTGGCCCACATTTTTCCTGTCTTATCCTCCAGGATCTCATGAGAGATTTTGTCAAATGCCTTGCTGACATCCAGATATGCCAGATTTGCAGAATTACCCTGATGTACCAGTTCAGCAAACACATTTCATTTTTTTTAAAAGGAAAGAATTAAAAAGAGTGAGAGAGAGAGAAAGGAAAATAAAATTTAAAAAGGAAAAGAAAAATGAGATTTAATTTGGTGTGATATTCCTTTTCCTGCTAATCCAAAGATATAAATTTGAACCCACAATTTTTTTTTTGGTTATTTCATCTGGAATCCTGAGATTATAGGATATATTTCACAGTAGTCTCTAAAGCTCAGCAAAGAAATCCATGTGGATTTTCCAGGGAGGTTTCCCCTCCCCAAAGGAACATGTGCAGACTTAAGTGTGGTAAGTCATTAATACTAGCCTCCTTCTTTGTGTGATGGGAAGCGGGTGGTCATTCACCCTCAAGCAGTGATTTTTTTTGGGAGCAGTGCAGAGAGGGGCATTTCCCTGTATAAATCTGAAGGCTTCAAAGTGGTCACTTCATACCATCTCATTTTGAGTCAGACCACCCTCACTACTGCTAAGAAGCCTTAATAAGTGTGTCTGTTCTTCTTGTGTATTGGAGAGGAAACAGGTAGAGAGTTGTTACCCTAAAGAGAAGGGAAAATTCTTTGAGCACATTTGAATGACAAAATTATATTTCTCATCGAGTTTCTTTTTAGAAAAAGGGAAGAAAATAGATGTGTCTTGGAATTCTGTCCATGAGACCACAGAAAAGAACTTTGACTCATAACTTCTTTAAGCAAATTCCTCCCCCAGCCCTTTGCCCCATGATGTGTTGATTCATTGTGAAAATCTAAAGCAAACCAAATTTCAGCACATACAGAAGCCAGAGTAGTCAGCATCAGGGAGATCATGCACTGCTATCATCCCTGGAAGACTGATGTTTCAAAGGCTCAGCTAATGTGCTTCCTGATGTACGGGTTAAAAAAGTGGGAGAAGCAAATTAATTACATTCAAAAGGAATTTAAAGGAGACTAATCAGTGCAGTGGAAGAGACCAGGAGCTGTTTACAGATGTGCCAAGATGTAGAGAAATCAGTATTGGCTTTGTCTGGAAGAAGGAGTGGGGCTCCTCTTCTCTAGCTAATTAAAGCAAGCTTATCTGTAAATTTAGTTATTCATAAAGCTTGCTTCCACGGAGCTGCTGTTTTTCTAATAGGATGGGAAGGCTGGGTTTCTGTAAATGTGGGTCAGTCATGTGATTAAGTGACCCAGATTTCCGCAGACAACCAAAAGAAAGAGCAGAGAGAGGATGTGCCAGCTCCTGACTGCACAGCACAGCATGGGCACACCTAATGCCTCCTCCCTATGCTAAAGGCAGAGATTGAATGTGAATGTTTTCACTTGAAAATTGCATCATAGTATTACTCCTATAAGAAAGCAGCACCAAGCATCAGCTCTTTCTATTTCTTTTCAATTACTTCTCTTTCTACAGTCAGGAAGAGACCTTTTAAGCATTTAAATTACGGTACATCTTTAAATGCTGTAGCTATGTTTGAGTTATCTGGCATCCCAGGAAATGGGCTGGTGTTTCCAAGTGTCCGTAGGTAGAGAGTCTAGAAGTGGACTCATGCTGATTTTATTTCATTTTTGAGACAGAGTCTTATTTTATTTTATTTATTTTTGAGACAGAATCTTGCTCTGTTGCCCAGGCTGGGGTGCAGTGTCACAATCTTGGCTCACTGCAGTCTCTGCCTCCTGGGTTCTAGCGATTCTCGTGCCTCAGCCTCCCAAGTAGCTGGGATTACAGGCGTGTACCACCACACCCAGCTAATTTTTATATTTTCAGAAGAGATGGAGTTTTGCCATGTTTGCCAGGCTGGTCTTGAACTCCTGGCCTGAGGTGATCCACCTGCCTCGGCCTACCAAAGTGCTGGGATTATAGACATCAGCCACTGCGCTTGGCTACCTCTTGCTGATTTTAGACACCTCATCTCATCAGCATTTTCTTATCTGTTTTTACATTTTCATTATAATGTAGCAACTATTTTCATTGCATGGTCAGCCAGTTTTTTACCTCTTATAAATTATATTCAAGATTACATGGTTTACTGGAGGAAAAGTAGAAAACATGAATATGCAAAACACAAAAGAAAATAAAATTGGTCAGGTGCAGTGGCTCAGCCTGTAATCCCAGCACTTTGAGAGGCCAAGGTGGGCGGATCACTTGAGTCCAGGAGTTCAAGACCAGCCTGGGCAACGCGGTGACACCCCTTCTCTACTAAAAATACAAAACCATTAGCTAGGCATGGTGGTATGTGCCTGTAGTCCCAGCTACTCAGGAAGCTGAGGTGGAAGGATCGCTTGAGCCTGGGAATTTGAGGCTGCAGTGAGTGCCACTGCACTCCAGCCTATGCTGGAAAGAAAGAAAGAAAGGAAAGAAGTTAAAAGTGAGAAAATAAACTCATCCTTTCTACCACCACTCAGAAATAACCATTCTTATTATTTTGGGTCAACAACCAAGAGGCAGTTTTGTTATCTAGCTTGAAATCACAGCTCTGTCACTGTTCAGCTATGGGATTTGGGCAAATTACTTGATCTCTTTGTATTTCAGTTGCCTTGCTGATAAAATATGGACACCTACCTCAAGAAAATGCCTAGGAACATATACAAGACTTCAAACATAGTGAACATTCAATAAACGATTGTTGAAAAAGACATTGAATGAATGCATACATGAAACGTTTCCCATGTAGTATAAAGTTGTTCATGTATCTGGTCCCTAGTTCATTGCCTACTGCAATCATAAAAGCATAAAGGAACTTCACCCAGTGCGTGAGCAATAAGTACATTATAAATGTTAGTTATTATTATTGCCTGACACATCATTAATATTCATTAGATAGTTGTTGAATGAATGGATGTCAGTCACTGCCCTTGGGTAGTTTAAACTTGAGAGAAGACAAGAGAAGATTCATGAAACAATAAATACGTGGTGAGCCATTTGGTACTCAGTTTGAGGGGAGAGCTCCCCAGGGGCTGTTTTATTTGGGGATTTCCTTGGAATGTTCAGCTGATTAAACTGCTCCCATTACAGCTTGAGTGACACTGGGTAACAGATCTGGGACCGGATCCTACATCATCCCACCACGTAAGTGGACTATATCATGCCTTCATTCATTCATCTTTTCCCATTCCTTTTCAACAATGCTTACTGAGTGGCAGGAGCTGTGTGGGATTCTAGACAGCCAAAGACGTTTGCTGTTGCCACCGTCTTGTTAGGAGATCTGTGGCTCAGAGGGGATTCATAATGTACTGTGATAAATGCTATGAGCCAGCAATGCCCAAGGATTATGGGAGCTAGTGTGTGTGTGTGTGTGTGTGTGTGTGTGTGTGTGTGTGTGTGTGTGTAACAGAGGGAAGGAACGTCAGAGCGTCCTTTCCACAAGGAGGTCCAGTTGGAACCAGGTCCAAATAGAGAAATAGGTATTATTCTAAACCAGGAACACAAGAGTAGCATTTGCAAAGATTAGGCAGAGTGAGAGAACTGGGAGGTGCATACAGCATGGCTAGAGCTCTGAGCTGCAGAGAGGCACGAAGGTTCTTTCTTTTAGTGGTGAGTGGGAGTGGTTACATTAAATGGTTTTAAAGCTGGGAGTGACAAGATCAAATCTGCATTTTGGAAAACTAGCCAAAATCTGTGTGTGTTGCAGGGTGAAGGAAAAGGTGGTGGGATAGACTGGGGCCAGGAACACTAGTTGTTGGAAACCAGAAAGAAGGGACTGAAGTAAGGGTAGGGGAGAAGGGATGAATTGAAGCACCCAACTCAAGATATTAGGGAGGGACAGTTCACAGAATTTGTTAACCAGTGGTTGTGTCTGTGTCTGTGTGGCTGGATGTAGGGGTAAGTGACTAAGAAGGAATTAATGATGCTTCTCAAGTTTCTGGCTTGTTGTGGTGTGCATGGAATGGTGAGACCTTTTATCTAGATTAAAAATATAGGAGACAGAGAAAGGTTAAGGCGAGAAGATCCTGTATAAGTGGATTTTGATGAGCCATTGACACATCAGGCAGAGCTTCTGAATGGGAGTGGTGCTGAGGAGGAACAGCAGTGGAGGAGAAGCTGGGAAGCATGGATTTCTTCATGCAGATCATCTCCTACTTGGGTCAATAGATAGCTCTTGATTTTAAGTAGCTTCAGGAGCTAAGTTCTATCTTCTTAGAGTAATTGTCCTGTCAATACTGAACCATGGTATACTGTCCTTGTTCTAAATACAGTACAAAGATCTTTTCTGGCACAGGGACTTAATCTGAGCTACTAATTTCCATTTTGGGGCTTTTTGCCAGGCTATTTGAGGCAGCATTTAGAAGCAGAGAAAAGTAGATTAGCACTGACTATCATTTTTTATGTTTAGACTCCAAGCTGATAAAGCAATGACATTTTTATTATTTCAGCATGGTTTTGTGGATGTGTCACAATTATTTATATAGTTTTTTTTTAGGTAAAGGAAATTAAATTATTTGAGGAACTGTGCCCTCACCTTGTGGCTGAATCTATCTGGTGCTGCTCTTCCTTCTCCTTTCCCTCACTCCCTTACATGGTCAGGTCATTTTAAATATGTCCAGTCTTCAGAGGAGATGCCTCCTGATCTCCCAACTATCACTGAGGGGTGGAAGGTAGTGCTTATTCCTCATTTGTTTGATAGTGCTCAACACCTTGGGTTAAGATCTTTCCTGGAAGAGAAATGGTAGGGAAGCAATATGCAAAAGATGAAGACATGGCTATAATTTAATTCTTAATTGTTCTAAAGTGACGTATTTCAGACATAGCAGGATAAAGACTTGGGTACATGTTTCAACAGAATTTATTTAGGATTTAATATTTTATACCAGATGTTAGGATTTCCTTGTGGAGGGATAAGGGATTGCATGTATATAAGCAACAGGGCCTGGTAGTTCTGACCTGAAGAAGCTTATTCATTTCCTGGGGAAGATGGATTTTCAAAGAAATATATGCAAATCAATGAGAAAAGTACTATAATAAAAGAATATCCAAAATAGTATGGAGATTCAGAGCATAACTGCCTGGAAAATGCTAAGAAATTCTTTACAGAAGAATGCTTCGTGGGAAGTCTATAGGCTTGTCTGTCTTGTTTGGACCAGATGGCAGACTTGTTGAAGGTCATGTCCCTTTCCCTGAACTGGACTTTCTTTCCATTTTATCTGTGCTGCTTCAAATGCATTTGTTGCTTGGCTTTCTATGGCAGTTTCTTAGGCATAAGTCTTTTTCCTATACTCTCCTGGAACATCTTCAGGGCAAGACCCCTGTTTGTTCAGCTCTCCATCCCCTGCCATACCCAGTAGGTGCCATAGCAACACATGAAATCTTACATTTTGTTCTCAGAACAGCACTGTAACATTGATGTTATTATTAGCACCATTTTTAAAGGTAAGAAAACTAACACACAGAGCATTGAAAACTTTTCTCAAGGTGTCTCAGTCAGTTTGGGCTGCTTTAACAAAATGCCATAGACTGGGTGGCTTAAACAACAGAAAATGGATTTCTCACAGTTCTGGAAACTAGGAAGTCTAAGACCAGCTCGTAGATGAGTTTCTTGGGAACCTGGCTTTTGCCCATAACGGACCTAACAATGGTGACTACTGTTTTCTGTCCTGATGTCAGGCTAAGTATTCATAAACACCTTGACTTGATGTTTACAACTTCATAAGGTAGATTATTTGTATTCTTGTTTAAAGGTAAGAAAATAAGTTGGCAAATTTACAAGTATGGAGGAAAAGGCGTACATGCAAGGAAAGTTAAACAAAAATAGATTTAAATGGTAAAGACTAATGATATTAGAATATCTTAAGGCAGAACGGACCTAGTTGCCAGATGCCTGGTACTTAACAATAACTACCATTTATTGTGTTGTATGGATGTGGCTTATTTTTGGTGAAGCACTTTACAATAATCTTCACAGTAGCAGTTAGAAGTGAGGAAAATGGACTTTTCCTTTTACTGATAATAAAATAGAGGCACAGAGAAGGTAATTGCCGATGATCACATGAGTGTCAGGGTACGTGTCAGGTCTGTTTCCACTATTTATTCCCTTAAATACTATGGAATTAGAGCAACGTAACACACTGAGATGTTAAACTTGGAGTTTTTCTTTTTTACCCCGTCTTATGTATGGTCTCTGTCTAATCAACCAGTGTCTTCACATTACCTTGTGGAAAATCAGGGGCATTTTAGGCAGGAGCAGAGTAGGTGGGAGGCACGTCTGTAGAAAAGCAGTGGAAGCAAAAGAAAAAAGCCTGTTTTTTTTTTAAACTTTCAAAATAGACTCTTGAAGTCCACATCAAAAATGACAGTTTTAAAAGCAAAGTTTTTGATCTTAAGAGCTAAGTTTTGTTGAGAGAAGAAAGGGCTCCTGAAATAAAAAATAAAGTTCTTGTAAAGTCAGGAATAGAGTTTATGCCATAATAGATTAGGAAAAAGACTAAAGGAAGATCTAAAAGCTTTCCTCCCTATATAATCCTCCCAAGACTAGGATCCTTAGGCTGGTAGAAAAGGAGAGTTAGGTAGGACTTGAGTAGGGAGCAGTCTCTTGGGCTGCTGTGATGGGACTGGGCCTGGGCTAACCCACAGGGAGAGAAGCAAAGCAAGTATGGAGAGTTTGTCCAGCACTAGCCATGACCATCTCAGGGCACCCAGCCTAAACCTATTCTCCTTCACTTTTGAAATGAACATCTGAAGTCACTGGGGTCAAGGAGCCATAGTGGTTGCTCACCATCACTTACCATGCCTTCCGAGGATGGATGTCTGCCTGCTGCTAATGGATTGACCACTAGAATCCATAGTCCTCCCAGTGCCCCAAGATTGTGCTGAGCTTTGACGTGAACCACTAAGTTTGGGCATTCTCCTTTTTCTATAAGGAGAATGAGGAACAGGATTGCCCTGCAAGGAAAACCAGTTCTTGTCTGAGTGAGAATGACTATTCAAAAGGAGAAGTGAAGAATACTCTAATATGGCCTCCTGGAGCAGGAATGACCAAAACAGGACCTCCAGGAATGGGTAGAAGCTGGGAGGACTGAGGGTGAGAGGAGCCTGAGAGGTCTGGGAGCAGGGTGAGCAAAAATGTAGTCCTGGAGAAGCACAGTTAGAGTTGAACAAGTGCTTCTTCAATCTTGTGGTTCTGGATTGGGGCCACATTCTGGCAAAAGAGCCTTTGAATGGCAGATTAGGGTTTAGACATCAGCTTGTGTGCAGGGGGAAGCCATCAAAGCTGTCTTTTGTTTGCCTGTTGATTTGTGTGACTTGATAAAATTCTCTACTGAGCATTTCTCATAGTACCCACTTAATTTTTAAAAACAACTCCAGAGCAGTTAACAACTCCAAGTAGCCTAAGGCTGTGTAACTGAGAAGAGGTAGAAGTCAGCAGATTTGATTTTATATCCATGTGAGACAAAATTGTGTGCTTGTTCAAACCTTTCACTCTGTCTTCTGTTCCCTCCCCGATGTTTGATAATGCCAGAGCCCAGAGTGGACAGACTCTAAGTGGTATCTAGGGGACAGACCGTCGAAGACCCAGATGTGTTCCTGCAACCTTGCCAATAAGTATAAGTCCCTGACAGCCCCACCTCCCCAAGTGTTTCTAGCTTGTTTATTCCCAGGTTAGGTGTCCCCTTGTTCTCCTAATTTCTACCTCTCTGGGAAGCAAAATGAGTGTCAATCACCCCTAAGCCTTGGCCCCAATGCTGCAGGCAAATAGTTCTTTATCTCAACCTCTTAGTTCCTAGGTCTGTACTTTACACAGGATCAGTGTGTGTAATCTTTTGTTCTTTTGTCTTCACAGTAACTTAATTCCTGTGGTAAGGGAGGATCATGTGTATTCTTAAGTGTGGGTCCTTATTATTTGTATGTAGTTTGCATCTGTATTCTGTCAGCTCATTAGTTTGTCCACTTTTCATTCAGTTAATGACAAATGTGGAGTATGCAAATGTTTGACATTCAAAACAGACAGCTCTGCAGTTCTGTGCTTTTAGATCATTTACTCATTTCTTCTTAGAGATTTATCTAAATTAGCATGACAGTGGCCGTGTTTCCTCATAGTTGTACGTGTCCTTTATGGAGTTATATTTGGCACCCCAGAATTAGGAATGAGATCGTTAACATCAACAATTCATTGAGATAAACAGGACCAGTGTCCTTGTGCTCTTTTCATAGATGAGGAATCCACAATACCCAAGAGGTGCACTACTGTCTGGTGAGGTGGTGGTGATGGCTCAGAATGCTCACTTGTGTTCATTCCTTTGGCATTCAGCTTTACACTCAGGGTAGAAGCAGCTATGATTTCTCCCATAAGAACAGCCAGGTCTGTGCTGGTTTATCACATGCAGTTCTGTGCTTTTAGGTCATTTACTCATTGGCCAGTTCATGTCTCTGGGGAGACATGCACGCACGCACACACGTTATATTCCAGCCAAATCGAACCATGCTTATTTTCCAGAATGTTCCATACATTTTCCTACCTCTAAGTATCTGCAGACATTGTTGTTCTTGTTACTAGTATTACAAAATAATAATAATGATAAAAATAGCTATCAATTATTGAGTGCTAATATCTTAACTCACATTTTCTTATTTAGTGTTACTATTTTCATGTTTAAGAGATGAAGAAATAAGGTTTGGGGCATTTGGTGAGCCAGGACGTATTTCTGTCTCACTCTAAAGCTGCTCCCTCTGCCTCAGCGCTGCTTTCTTCCTGGTCACCTGGCTGACCGCAATTTATCCTTGGGACTCAGGGTATCTGTCTCTTGCTCTCTACCCCTCCCCACAAATCCCCAATCTATACTAAATGCTGCTCCCTTGAAGTGTCTACACCACCCTATACTGTAATGTAGCACATTGCACACTGCACTACATTGGATAGCTTATCTGGCTAACTCCTTTACTACAGAAAGGGACCACCACATCTGTCTGGTTTCCTGTTGTATCTCCAGGCTGAGTAGTGCTAGACTGTCATTGCTCAATAAAGGTGAAATAAGTGGCTGAAAATGACTTGGCAATTGTGGAAGGAGAAAGCTCCCCAGAACCCTTCAGCTATATAGAGATTGTTGCTCTTGAAGCCCCTCCTCTCCTAGCCCATAGCAGGTGATCAGCAAATATTTGTTGATTGACTGAATGAATCTGATGAAGAGGAGTCTGAGCAATTAGTGACAGGGAGCTTTGGGAATCTGGCAGTGCCTCAGTTGCGGGTTGGAGGAGTAGGAGGAACTAGGGGCAGTGGGACGGGTATGGGTGTGAGTGTCTGATCCCATCTCTGAGTTGCTAACAGGCCATCTTTTATTTGGTTTTTGTGAGTTTCTGTTTTCTAAGTGGAACCTAAATGTCAGTTATGTAGGCAAAGAACAAAATAATTCTCTAGCTGCTATTTCTTTTCCAGCTGGCTTTATACCTACCATTAGAGAGAGATGAAAGAGACCTATGGAAGGCAGATCTTACCTGGTTTTACATGCACATGTGTACCTGTGTGTGTGTGCCTGAGTGTGTGTATGCACACACACTCATGTGTGTCTCTCTGGGGACTGGGGAGAGGTTCTGTTTTGCCACCAGCCTCTCTTTGAAAGGCATTGCTGTCATCACAGTGAAACATGTGGCATCAAAGCAGCAGCAGCAATTATGCCACCATTTGGATGTCTGTGCTATGGCAGCATCTGTTGATGCTTTGAGACTCTTCTGCCAGGATTTCGCCGCCAAACCATCTGAACCATATGTTCTCATCAGCAGGAATACCAGCATCCCAAGTCTTTCAGGGGTGAGGCATCATAGATCAATGACCGACATCTCGATCTGGATAAGCACAGCTTGTGTTTGGCTTAGATAGCGGAGGGGAGGGGATGGGATGTTTTGCAATTTTGATTTTTGAAACAAAGGTATTAAAAATAATGTGGAATTTACTTATGATCCACAATAATTGGCAGTGTAATTAATGGATTAATTAATTACGAGTGCAGTATTTTTCCAAGACCTAATCTACTGGCTCGTTAGTGAGAAGAATCATTAAGCAGAATAGCATGAAGGGCTTCACTCAGAAGCAGTTGTTTTTGTAAGTGGCACTAGAGTTTCTTTAACTTCTGGTCAGGGAGGGTCTCACTTTCTGTTGACACTAACATGGGGATTTTATATGCTACTGACTTGTTATGTTGTAATATCTCAAGAATTGCTCTTGATTGCTTTCTAATTGTTACAGATGTACGTGTTCTATTATCTATCCCTCTTTTTCCTAAAGAAGAGAGATGCTTGTCAAGGGTGGGGACTGCATCTCCTATTCCTTTCCACTCCTAGAAACCCACCACAGCACTGGACATGTAGGAGGTGCTCAGTAATTCACTCAAGGAAAGAATAACATTGGCAAGTAAGACTTATTTAGGAGGCACTATAGTGTGGTTAAGTCACTGATAGATTATAAAAATTAAAACTTTTTAGGTCTGGCAGCGGCTCACACCTGTAATCTCAGTACTTTGGGAGGCCAATGCAGGCAGATCGCTTGAGCCCAGCAGTTAGAGACCAGCCTGGGCAACATGGCAAAACCCTGTCTCTATGAAAAGTACAAAAACAATTAGCTGAGGGTGGTGGCATGCACCTGTAGGTGGAAGGATTGCTCAAGCCTGGGAATTGGAGGCTGCAGAGAGCCGAGATTGTGCCACTGTGCTCCAGCCTATGCTGGAAAGAAAGAAAGAAAAGAAAAAAAATTAAAAGTGGGAATATAAACTCACCCTTTCCACCACCAGTTAGAAATAACCATTCTTATTATTTTGGGGCAACAAGCAAGAGGCAGTTTTGCTACCTAACGTGAAATCACAGCTCTGTCACTGCTCAGCTGTGGGATTTGGGCAAATTCCTTGATCTATTGGTATCTCAGTTTCCTGAGATACAAAAAAAGAAAAAAAAAACTTTATCAAAAAACTCTGTATCTTATTTATATATATAACAAAAATTTAAAGGAAAAAAACTCTCATTTTAAAATTGAATCTACAGTCTTTCCATTTTCTTGGACAATTTAAAATTAATAGGAAAAAATTTGTTATTATAGATGCCATAGAATATTCGTACTTACCAGTTATACAGATGAAGGCTATTGGAGTCTTTAAAACTGGTAAAAGTTTCTAGTTCTTTTCCTACACTGCCTAACTTTTAAAATTAAAGCACATTAAATGTATCCTCAGAATTCAGTTCCCATTAAGGCAGGGATGTCTGTTTTGTTTTCTGCCACACCCATTGGCTAGGAGAGTAACTGGTATATAGTAGGTGTTGAATATTTGCTGAATGAATGAATGAACCCAAGGTCCTTTCCAGCCCAGTTGAGAGTGAGTAGTATAAAATAACCATTTTCCTGCTTAATAACATTAGCTAAAATATTTTCAGGAGTACTAAAGACATTTTCCTCCAATTTTTCCAGATATATTCTCTTTTGGTCCTTTACCAATTTCTCACTTTGTCTTCCTGTAATGCTGAACGACTTGAGTTTAAATAGGTACTTGAATTGATTGACAGTATTGACATTGTTCAGCACTTAAGAGTCTCACCTATCATATATAGTGGGTGCTCATTAAGTATTTGTAGGAACAGTGCAGCTTGTCTGATTACCTATCAGGTCTCTTCTGTACATGGCCACCTTTTTGCTCATTAGTATTTATAAGCCAAGGCTGTATGCAATTATGCCCAGGTCTTTCATACCAGCCTCATCTCTTACCATGCCTGTCGAGAGTTCAGCACTACAGCCTCATCACAGTTCTCTCTGTTCTACAAGGATGCCCTTTTTTGCATGCCTTCTTTTTCCTCCTTGCTTTGCATCCCTATGACCCAGATTCAGTGTCACTTTTTTTTTTTTTTGAGATAGAGTCTCGCTCTGTCACCCAGGCCAGAGTGCAGTGGCACAATCTGAGATCACTGCAATCTCCACCTCCCAGTTTCAAGCTATTCTCCTGCCTCACCCTCCTGAGTAGCTGGGATTACAGGAGGCTGCAACCACACCTGACAAATTTTTGTATTTTTAATAGAGACAGGGTTTCACCATGTTGGCCAGGCTGGTCTCGAACTCCTGACCTCAGGTGATCCTCCCACCTTGGCCTCCCAAAGTGCTGGGATTACAGGCATCAGCCACCACGCCCGGCCCAGTGTCACCATTTTTGATGTCTTCCTTGGGCATCCTTGGCTCCTTTTTTCTCCTTCTATGTTAATATTTAGCCACTTGTACAGCAGTATAAATTCATTTGGGTGTCTTTTCCCTTAGGAGAAATTAGTGTTTTACCCTGTCTCCTCTCCCCTACAGCCACTTCACTCTAACATCCAGTCAGTCATGGGCACATCCAGACCCTGTCAATGTTTACAGAAGAAGATAATAGCTTCCTTCACCTACAAGCATAGGAGTAAATAGGTGTTACATCTAATAAATCTGAAGGGAATGGTGCACTTTCATGAGCCAGGCATTTTACAACTTTAATGCTCAAAAACTTTCCAAGATGAATATGATCATGAATCTACTTTGTTCTGAGGAAACAGACACTTGGAGCAGCTGAGTATGGTGTTAAAGTGTAACTAGTCCCAAACCAGGATTTGTTTACTTATCTAAACCTTGGTAGCTCTGCTTTCCTGGCTGCCTTTTTGTCTCATATACAGGTGTTTTATCTAAGCCAGAGGGGCAGAATTTACAAGTGCATACACTTACTCTCATACAGCCTGGCAATGGAAGATCCCGTCTACATGTATGGATAAAATCATGGAGTGGTTTATTGCCAGTAGGAATTGGGTATTGAGGTATGTGGTATGGATCAGTGGCCTCTCCTGGCCCATTGGTGGAGAACATCCAGGGACCCCGTGGAAGTGCAAGGCTGAGATGAGAAATCACAGCTCAGAAGTCAGCCATGGTGGGTCTCCCCATCTCATCATACCGTTCTTAGTAACAGAATAAGTCACTAAGTTGTGTTTTGTTGGCCCTTTGTTATTTATTTATTTTTTTTGAGATGGACTTTCATTCTTGTTGCTCAAGCTGGAGTGTGGTGGTGCAGTCTTAGCTCACTGCAACCTCCACCCTCGGGGTTGAAGCGATTCTCCTGCCTTAGCCTCCCAAGTAGCTGGGATTACAGGCACCCACCACCACACCCAGCTAATTTTTGTATTTCTAGTAGAGACAGGGTTTCACCATGTTGCCCAGGCTGGTCTTGAGCTCCTGACCTCTGTTAATCCGTCTACATCGGCCTCCCAAAATGCTGGGACTGCAGGCATGAGCCACCACGCCTTGGCCCTCTTTGTTACTTTCATGGGCCACACACCTTTATAAATAAATGAGATTTGGTGATAGTGCAGTTTTTATCAATTAATGATAGTACAATCCTATCTTACAGGAATTTCATGACACCTCACTTGTGCCACCAATGTGTGCTACACTAGACTGTAGTGGGGCTAAAACTGTTAACAAAATCCTTTTTGGTTTGGTCTTTATATATATAAAAAAAATTAACTGCGATTTTTGGGGGGAGTTGGGCACTAAGCAGTACATTTGCCCAGATGTTAAAAGTTAATTTCTAAGGGATGGGGAGATTTTGTTTATGGTATGGGAAGGAAGCTTAAAGGGAATTAGTTTAATTGTGTCAGAATATTAAGCAATCTTCTGCCATCTGCTGTCAGCAGCGCATGGGTCCCCTAAGGTTCGCTTTTCCATTACTCTGACTTTCTCCCCATCTAGATGGAGTTCCCAATATCATTAACATGCCTCACATAGTTTCTTTTGAAGCTTTGGCTGGGTTAAATCACTTTTACTTATGCAAAGTGGATTGACTAAAACCTTTTCCCCAAACACCTGCCAGACCAGCTATTTTTGTTTCCCCTTGCAATGGACTCATAGCAAGTCTCACGCATGCATCACCAGATCACCAGCTACTCCGTTTAATTGTGCTGCTCTTTCCACTCATCCTCAGAGAGAAGCTCGCTTTTTCCAGAAACTGCCTTCCATCCCCCGCTTGCGAACACGCCACCTCTTCTCCTTCCCAGAATTTTTTTTTTTTTTTTGCCTGCCTTCTGTCTTAAGGGGATTGCCCAGATAGATATCAGTGACACTCTATTTGCCTGTGTTATGGAATACTATTTTACAAACTTTTTTTGACTGTAATCTACAGTAGGAATTAGAGTTTACATTATGACCCATAATACACACAAATACACACATACATACATACTCATGTACACAAGGACCACCATAACAAAAACTGGGGGGCTTCAACAGCAGAAATGTATTGTCTGACAGTTCTGGAGGTAAGAAGCCTAAAATCAAGGTGTTGAGAGGGCCACACCCTCTCTGACTGTTCTAAGGGAGAATCCTTCCTTGTCTCTTGCTAGCTTCTGGTGGTTGCCAGCACTCCTTGGCTTTCCTTGGCTTATGGATGCATTACTTCAGTCACATGGCCATCTTCTCCCCCTGTCTTCACATTGTCTTCCCTCTGTGTGTGTCTGTCTCTGTCTAAATGTCACCTTTTCACACCTGTAATCCAAGCACTTTGGGAGGCTGAGGCGGGTGGATCACCTGAGGTCAGGAGTTCAAGACCAGCCTGGCCAACATGGCAAAACTCCGTCTCTACTAAAAGTACAAAAATTAGCCAGGCATGGTGGTGCATGCCTGTAATCCCAGCTACTTGGGAGGCTGAGGCAGGAGAATTGCTTGAACCTGGTAGGCGGAGGTTGCAGTGAGCTGGGATGATGCCATTGTACTCCAGCCTGGGAAAAAGAGTGTAACTCCGTCCCAAAAAAAAAAAAAAAAAAAAAAAGTCATCTTTTTATAAGGACACAAGTCATATTGAATTGGAGCCCACCCTATTAATTTTATTTTTAACTTGATTGCCTCTACTACAGACCTTATTTCCACATAAGGTCACATTCTGACATATACTTGGGTGGGGGATACCTACCCAGCTAGGGCTCCAACCTATTGTGTTTAGGGAGACACAATTCAACCGATAATAAATAACTCACCTTAAATAATGCCTTCATGTTCTGTTCTGTTCTAGTTTATTCTATTCCATTCCATTATTTTGTTTAGACATGTTTGTTGCTTTTCACTAACTTGATTTCACATTGATTTGAAAATACTGTTTGGGACAGTGTTCTGAGTCTGAATCCTGGCTTCTCTGATTTTCAGTTTCTTCACATAATAAACACAATCTTACTTCAGAGGATTGTAGTGAGAATGAAGGAGAAATAAGAGAAAGTACTTGGTAAGGTAAATACAGTAAAGACAAGTAAAAATGAGCAGGAAATCAGGAGCATTAATCTGTTCAATGAAACTATATAGAATCCTTTATATCTGATATGATCAGGACCTTGAGTTGTTTGTTAACCAAATAATTCAGTGAAAGTGTGGGATTATTAGCAATTACATACACATATATACACATATTAAGATGTAAATAGTTTATGAGTTCTCCAGCCTTTTAATGTAAGACTAAGAGTTTTGTGGTTTTGTTAAGAGTCCTGTGATTGATATCAGACATCATGTTTCTTGCATAAAGCCCATATCATCTACTGACCATTTCCTCTGGAGTTTCTTTATAATGGAGTGAAAATTTCAAAACACAAAATAACCTGAGGATAGAATTCGGACTAGAGATTCCTTTACCAGTAGAGGAAATAGTTAATGATATTCCTGTAAAATTTTAAGATTCTTTTGTCCACATCTAATTTGATGGGTGATTTTTAAAAAATTGATTCTCATTTAATTTTCTTTCTGTGCACACTCATATGAAATATTTAATTAAATTATAAAATGTTGTTAACAAAACTGGCAAACTAGTAAAACTAGTTTGGGGAACAAACTCAGTTGATTCTTGACACGCCCACAACTTGGTTGGTGGGAGCAGAAGAGGAAATATCCTACAGAAATGCCTATTTTCCATGACCCTTTATTCCAGCTATGGGCATGGGTTCGTATTTTACAGAGGAAATGGAGAGCAATGGTTGATTTGGTGAGCCCCTTAAGTGGCAGTGGATTAAGGGAGCTTTTACCTTTTAACAACCACTTACGCAAATCAGTTGTCAGCCACAGACAGCCTAGATGTTTTAGGAGACCCTTGTGTAAACCTTCTGTAGCACTAATATCCGTGTATTCACCAGGGATCCAGGGTATGTGATCAAAAGGCAGATCTGGCCAACAGGAGGTGCAATACAGACAGAGTTGAGTTGTTCACTAAGTGTTTTTCTTCCTGCCTGCTATACTTCAAGAGTCTGTTGGTGTGGGCTTGGGATGTATATATTCTTATTGAGGCACAGACTATTGGCTTTCCTTGGCTCTTGCCCAACACCTCTGAGATTGTCAGGAAGGGAAAATACACTTCGCAGTGGAGTAGCTTTCTCTATTAACGTGGGTGACTTTTTGCCTGTGTTAGTATTTTTATCTAGCAAAATGAGTTGAAGCTGAACTTTTAAAAAGACATATGCATAATTTCATCAGGTATTTATTATTAAATGTCAAGTGATGATATATTAACTTAGTGAGGTAATGCCAAAGAAATCCACAGAAGGCCTGAAGTCTGGCTGTAAATAGCTGAGAGCCATTTTCTTTGTAACTGTCTTAGGTTTGGATCACTTATCCACAAAATGTATAGGCTTTTGACTTTGATTGTGTCCTTCTAAGTGTTTTCTCTGCAGATCACAGTCCTCAAAAAATAGACCTAATATTCAGAAGATAAGGTTAATGAGAAATGGCGAGTATTGTAAATGGACCAAATTATGAAAGAAACCAAAATAAAGACAAAGATTTCTGAAGTTAAAAGTACTGTAGTTTGGCAATAAAAGGTCATATCATTGCATATTTGTGCATTACTTACTTCCTGTCAGATGCGCATTTTCTTATAAACAGCGCTATGAAGGAGGTACTTTCTATAAAGTTTTTTCTCCAAAGAAACAGACACTTGGACATTTAAATACTAGATAAGTAACAACAGGGTAAGCCACCTAAATAGAAGGGAGATAAATATCAAAATTAAATATAATACATAATAAAGTTATGAAGTAAGTTGATATGAACAGCAAATGAGAGGAAGCACAGATCAATAATATTCAAAAGAGTATATAATTTCATAATTAAAAGATTTATATAAGTATGTACAGATACTCACTAAGAGAATACCATAAAAACAATCTGCTGGTAATTTACAAAACCTAAATGAAATGGAAAAATCCTGGAACAAATATAGATTATTAAACTTGACCTAAGAACAAATAGAAAATCTGAAAAGATTAAAACCATAAAGAAGGAGACACCTTGTTTCAACCGTGACATATATAGAGTTTGGAAGTCCTTATTGCCATTCTTACAACAAGAGAAAAATGAACTAACTAGAAATTTACTTTTCTTGAGATTTGGTTACCTGGAGCAGAAACCACCAGATGCCATAAGCTGGCGGGGATACTTTACTAGTTATTTTGATGAATTGCTGGAAACTGAGTGCAGGCTAGTGGGAGATTAATAAGCTCCTGGGAGTTGCTGTCTAAGGGGATCTTCACACTTTCACAGGCTTTTCCCCCTGGAACTCTACCAGGTGCTCAGTAAGAGGACCCTCATGGCTCTGGGATAGGGGCTTGAAGGGGAGTAGCCTTCGTGAAACCCTTCCTGACTCTTCTCTCTAACAAAGACCTCATCTCTAGGAGGAAAGACTTCCCCACAGGGCAATTCTGAAAACTTATCCCAGCTGGGAGACGAGAATTTGGTCCAAAGAAATAAAAACCATAGTCAACAGGGGAGCTTCAAGGTAATAACCAGGAAAGGGACTAGAGCTGAAGGTTGGGCAGAAATAAAGCTCTACCTGTGAAGAGGGACAGAAACACATCTGAAATTCACACCCTTGAAACACAGCCTCACTGAAAGACTGAGGCTTAATTAAGAAGACTTGCAACACCATCCTCCCCTACACTCCACCACAATGACAAGGCTCCAGTAATAATAATAGGGGAGCCCAGCTGAAAAGCTGCAAGGAACAGACTCTCTGTGAGAATCAGTACAAAGGTAAGCCCCAAAGCTAGGAGGAGAGGAACAAAGAAGCCTGCTATAGGAATTTGAAGACTTTGGCACCAGTAGCTACAATAAACATTAAACACAGCTCATCTCAGATTAATAGAAATTCTCACACCAATGGCCTATTTACTTCAGTGCCTATTATCCTATAGAACATGTCTGGCTTTCAACAAAAATTTACAAGGCATGCCAAAAGGCAAAGAAACAAAAAACATCCAAAGACATAAAGCAAGCTTCAGAACCATACTCAGATATGACACAGATTTTGCAATTATCAAGTAATTTAAAATAATTATGTTTAATTTGTTAAAGGTTCTAATGGAAAAAGTATACAACATGCAAGCCTATATAGGTAATGTAAGCTGAGATATTAAAACTAAAAAAGAATAAAAGTAAATGAAATTAAAAATTAAAACCCACAATAATGGAAATAAAGAATGTTTTCAACAAGTTCATAGGTAGATAACACAACCACGGGAAAAAATATTGATGAACTTGAAGATAAGTTAATAAACCTTCCAAAACTGAAATGTAAACCAAGAAAGGATGGGGAAAAAAGAGACAGAAAATTCAAGAGCTGTGGGAAAGCATAAATGACGGATAATGTTTTCAGGGTGAGTCTTTGTTTATTTTCTGTCCTAGGGGAGAAAATAATTAGAGTAATATTACTCAAGAATTCTCGGTCTGGGTGCAGTGGCTCACACCTGTGATCCCAACACTTTGGGAGGCTGAGGCAGGCAGATCTTTTGATCTCAGGAGTTCCAGACCAGCCTAGGAAACATGGTGAAACCCTGTCTCCACAAAAAAATACAAAAAAATTAGCTGGACATGATGATGCGTGCCTGTAGTCCCAGCTACTTGAGAGGCTGAGGTGGGAGGATCACTTGACCTGGGAGGTTGAGATGGCAGATAGCTGAGATCACACCACAGCGCTCCAGCATAGGTGACAGAGTGAGACCCCCTCTCAAAAAAAAAAAGAAAGAAAGAAAAGAAAAAGAACTTTCCAACATTAATAATAGACACAAAACCATAAGTCCAAGAAGCTCAGGGAACACCAAGCAGAATAAGTATCAAAAACCAAAAAAAAAAAAGGCCAGCACCAAAAACCCCATAGCTAGACATGTCATATTTAAAACTGCAGAAAACCAAAGGCAAAGAGAAAAAACCTTAAAGGAAGGTGGGGGCAAGGGACATAAAGAAGTGGAATTAGAAATCAAAACTTGTCCACTCTCCCTTTCCACCTCCACCCAACCATGCCTCCTTCACTAACAAGATAGCAGGCCCATCAGTCTTACAGACAAGTTTACTTGCAAACTTGGTAGTACCATGGCCTCAGCTTACATACGCAGAGCTTGAGCTCCTCTCCACCATTCTGTCTCCAAAGAAAGAAAAATGAAGATGGATATGGGGGGACAAGTAGATGTAATGTCAACAAGAAGAAAAAGTCTGTGGTACCTGAGCAAGATGTCTGTTTACATTGATTTTGTATTTGAGGTTTTCTTTCTTCTTTTTACTTTACCCACTCTTCTAAGTTCCCACACTCAATGTCTTCTTAAATTGTTTAATTCAAGGATTTTTCACTTACTTGCTGTGTTTCCCTGAGCCAGTCTTATTTGCTTATTTTTCCCTAAAAAGGAATGTTCTTTGTAACATTGAGAAGGCTCCCAGAAACAGTGAGTTAAATAAAATTCATTGCAGTATGTGATTAAGTGCCAGGTGGATATTGCAAAATGTAAATGTGATAGGAGTTTAGAGATGAGAGCTGGAGGTACAATATAGGAAGATATAAAAGAGTTAGATTTGAGGTAGGCCTTAAAATTTGTGGTTGCTATTTACAGAGGTGGAGCTTATTTCCAGGGGTGTTCTAGGCCAGGACAACTGCACTACTAAAGGCCCAGGGCGGGGGAATGTGTAGGACAATGCACTGGCTCATTTGCTCCATCAGCAGAGAAAAGTTTATATTATGGAGTGTTACAAAACAAGTATGGGGGCCGGGTGCAGTGGTTCGCACCTGTAATCCAAACACTTTGGGAGGACAAGGTGGGAGGATCACGAGGTCAGGAGATGGAGACCATCCTGGCTAACATGGTGAAACCCCGTCTCTATGAAAAATACAAAATATTAGCTGGACATGGTGGTGGGTGCCTGTGGTCCCAGCTACTTGGGATGCTGAGGAAGGATAATTGCTTGAACCTGGGAGGCGGAGGTTGCATGAGCCAAGATTGTGCCACTGCACTCCAGCCTGGGCCACAGAACAAGAGTCCGTCAAGAAAAAAAAGGGAGAGAAAGAGAAAGAAAGGAGGGAGGGAGGGAAAAGTTGTATATCCTACCCTGAAGAGAAAAACAACTACAGGTTTTGGAACTTTCATCCATAAACTCATTCATTAGTTCCTCCATTCAACAAATATCAAGGATCTGTATATGTCAGTCCCTACACTACCACAGAGAGTACAAATATTAAAAAAGACATTATTCCTGCTTCCAAGGAGCTTTACTTCTAGAAAGACAGATGTGTTGATGGCTAAAACACACTGTGACAAGTGCTGTACTAGTGGAATGTATGCTGGGTACAGGATAGCCAGAAGAAGGAGTGATTAATTCTGTCAGGTAGGAAGAAGAAAATAAAAAGAACTGGGAGAATGGAATCCCAAGTAAACTACCCTGGATAACCTAGTAGCTAATCCACCTTTGTCAAATTCTCAACATTATTTCTCAGTGAGTGTTCATTTGACCTTTGAGGTCTTCTGCTTGTCTTTGGTCACAGCCTAACTCCATTGTTTGAAGACCATGTCACCATGGTACAATATGGCAGGTGGATGAAACTGACCTACTGGCAATTTCCCCAGGTACCTCTTACTTCCCATGATGGCTAATTTTATGTGTCCACTTGCTTGGGCCAAAGGATGCCCAGATAGCTGGTAAAACATTTCTACATTTGTTTGTGAGGATGCTTCTGAATAGCATTTGATTCAGTAGACTCAGTAAAGAATGCCCTCACCATTGTGGGTGAGTATCACTCAACCCAATCCATTGAGAGCTCATGTAGAACAAAAAGGCAGAAGAAGGGCCATTCACTCTCTTTGCCTGAGCTGGGACATCTATCTTCTCCTACCCTTAAACACAGATGCTCCCGGTTCTTGGGCCTTCAGACTCAGATGGTAACTTATACCATTGGCTTCCCTCGTTTGCAGACCTTTGGGTTTGGTATGGAATTATACCACCGACTTTCCTGGGCCTCCAGCTTGCAGACAGAACATCATGAGACTTCTCAGCCCCCATAATCATGCAAGCCAACTCCTCATAATAAATCTCTTTCTGTATGAACCCAGTTGGTTCATTTTTTTCTGAATAACACTGATTAATATACCACCCTATCCTGTGTTCTTCCTCATGACCATTTTCTCCCAAGCAGATCTCTCCTGTTTGACAGATGTTTCACTTTGGGGCATGGAGGTTGCTTCACTCTGATCATGGAGGATACTTTTCCAGTGCCTTCTCATGGTGCTCTAGAGGATCACAGGCATCATGGAGGGTGCACCTGGGAGCATCCTTACAACAGCATCTGCTGCAATATGAAATTCATTGTGGCACAACCTTTCTCAAGCCCTTCTCCAAAGAGGTTTATTATTCAGCAAGAACTTGCTGTAATATGATCTCATTTAATAATCTTTCCAGTGGCTTCTAAGGATGGCATTCAAACAAGGCTCCAGTTTATACATTAAGATTCATGCCTGTAATCCCAGCACGTGGGGAGGCCAAGGCGGTAGGATCACTTGAGCCCAAGAGTTTGAGACCAGCCTGGGCAACATAACAAGACCCCATCTCTACAAAATAAATTAGCTGGACATGATGGCATGTGCTTGTGGTCCCAGCTACTCAGGAGGCTGAAGTGGGAGGGTCACTTGGGACTAGGAGCTTGAAGCTGCAGTGAGCTGTGATTACACCACTGCACTCTAGCCTGGGTGACAGAAGCAAGACCCCGTCTCACAAGAACAACAACAATAAAAGATTCATTCAACATTTGGAGGACTTTTAGAAAAATATGTATTTGGAAAGGAGGCAATAAGAAGTTAGGGAATGAGAATGGCTAGAAATTTTGTGTCCTTAGGCAATTTGTAGAAATTTAAAATTTTCAGTGAGCAGTGAAATTCTGCTTTCTTTAGCAAAATTGTTTTGTTTTGAGCTTTCCCCCAACTTCCTAGTTAAAACTGTGAACATTTTGAAACTGTGAATATTTCAAGACATATTCTTGAAATTTGAAATGTGTCTTGTTATTGTAAAAGCTGAGAAAAATCTTCATTCCTTGGTTCATAAGTACGTGTGCTTGATTGATACAGTGTTCCTTATATATCCTTCCTAGTTTCCACTATGAGTTCAGTTTTTGTTTTGATTGATACAGTGTTCCTTATATATCCTTCCTAGTTTCCACTATGAGTTCAGTTTTTGTTTTTTAATCTGGCAGCAGCAGAATTTTTAAAAAGAGACTCTTTTACCATTTGAGCCATACTTTCTATCACATTGTCTTAACATTCCTATGGAGATTGTCTTGCTCTCTGGGAAATAAGCTATTTTAGGGGTTATTAGAGAACTAGATATACTTTATTTCTGATTCCTTGTGTTACCCCAGGCTCTGATAAAACTGTATTTTAGTAGCAGTTTATACACTTCCTCTCTGATTGTATTTTTAGCACATAAAGAGTCCTTAAAAATTCCTTTATAAGTAAGTGTTCCTTTCTTAAATAAATGCCTTAGTGCCTCCTAAACTGGAGTAACCAAGGGAACCAAGGTGTTCTCCTCTCCCTGAACTAATCTGATATCTTTGCTTCGTCACCTGGATTAATTTGCTGCCACGAAAGCTGTGCAGATGGTGGTAGACTTCCAGAATTGTTTCAGAAGGATGAGGTGACTCAGATTCTTCCAGTGAGGTGCTCTGTGTGCACTTGGCCTGGAGGAACATTTAGATTTCAACTCCTTTCCAGGAACCAGTAACAGCAAATCATACTAGTTACCCAATGTCCAGATTGCAGGTATCTCTGAAACCCAGGTGACTGAAATCTCCCAAGGTGGATCAGATAAAGGCATCCTAGCAGGCAAACACTAGACAGATCCAGGTTTCTACCCTCTTCCTGGCCAGATGAGGAATCCACTCTACAGAGCATGAAGGGGACTCTGTTTTTATCATGATACTGTCAAGTCAGTGCCTTTTAAGGTTTTCTTCTTAATATCTTAGAAGGGTTGACCCATAAAGACCACAACAGAAAGGGGCTATGAGAGGCTAAACTTGTTTTAAGGTGAAACTCAATTGTTCTAGCTGCCAGATACCAACCTTGTACTATCTCTGCTTAGGCTTAAAGCCAGGTGATTTTATTAGATAGGAAAATTCTTTAAGGAGGTACTACAAGAGGGTAGTGGGGGCAAACTATGTTAACAAGAGAAAGCCAGGGAGATGGAGATTGACTTTGAACAGTTACGGGATATTTTCGAGAGAATGAGTTTTTTTTATTCCCCATTGTGATGGAGGCTCCGGTATGCTAAAGACTGGAGCTGCAGTAGTGAGGGGGAAGGCAAGCACAGTTCTTGAAGAGATTCTTAGAATTATGCCTTTTCACTTCATACATCTCTTAAACACCGACAACACTGACTACAACATAGTAAGTGTTCTATAAATATTTGTTGAGGGGTAACATGAATAAATATTAAGAATGAATTTTCTAAGCTTTTCAGCACTTGTACCTTTGCTTCAGTTCATGCATTTACTGTAGTTTGCCTGTGTAACTTTGGGTTGATTTGAGAGGAAATGCCCTTGATTACATAAATGTAACTAGTCAAGACCGATCAGACTGAAATCTAATGTAGGCACCTAATTTAATGAGGAGAGAAAAAATTACCCAAACAAGAGCATGTGTAATTATGCTAAATTTCATGACTTTGGGGTCATAAATGGATTTTTCTTGATGTTCATCTGACACGTATTAATTCCAGTTGTTGCTGACTATTAAGCAGCGGCTTGTAGGGTCCTTTATAATAAGAGGACATTAATTCCTGTTAAATTATGATGAGCCTCCTGCAGCATCATACATTTCATTCATATGGATGTCACTAATAAGGAGACAATAAAAGACGAGGAGGATCAAAAGGAAGCTTTTGCTGCAGAAATTGATGGGGAATGAAACTTCCCAGCCCATGAGGCAAAGTGGTGGCAAAGAGCTTTAAAATGGGTGTGTCAGTCAGCTGGGCTGCTGTAACAGAATACCACAGAATGGGTGGCTTAAACAACAAACCTTTATTTTCTCATCATTCTAGAGGCTGGAGAGTTCAAGATAAAGATTCCAGCAGTGTTCAGTTTCTGGTGAGGGCTCTCCTTCTGGCTGCTAGATGGCTGCTTTGTCCTCATGTGGCCTTTCCACTGATCACATGCGAAGACCAGCATGAGAGATCTGAGGTGTCTCTTTTCCTAAGGACACTAATCCTATCAGACCAAGACCCCACTCTTATGACCTCATGTAACCTTAACTACCTCCTCATAATTCCAAATGTAGCCACAAAGTGGGGTTAGGGCTTCAACATATGAGTTTGGCAGGGGTGTAGGGAGGGTATCATTTGGTCCATAGCAGGGGGATAGCTTCGTGTTTGAACTCCAGTTCTTTCTCAACTCAGCTTCTTGACTCTGGCCTGTTGCTTAGGCTCTCCGAGCCTTAGTTCCCCCACCTGAAGCATGGGAGCAGTAATCACAGCCTGGGTTGGAAGATGACACTGAATTAAATAAGTGTATGAAACACCTCACTTAAGGCAGGGCACAGAGTGAACACTCACCAAATGCCAGCCCTCACTGGGATTTTGTCCTTCTTTGCCTGTTCAGGCTGGGTTCCAGGTTTGCAAGGACATTTCTGATGTTGGGACTCCTCTTAGTGATAAGTGGATCATATTCTGGGAGAGCAGAAAAATCTTCAGAAGCATGGATCAAATATGGAACATGTGCCTATGTGAATAAGTGGTGATGTTGAGAAAATGAGAGGATTAGAAAGCATATGAACTCCTATGGAAATTACGGCATAGCGATGCAAAGGAAGGCATTTTTAATGATTTGAGTAAATGAGAGAGTGACCTTGATTCTGTTCTTTCAAATTATAGGATTAGGTGAAGGGCTTGCTTTGATGAGAAAATAAAATGGAATAATTTTCGGCAAAAGTTCGTTTTAAAATTATGTCCATATTTAAATATTTTTCTTTAATAATCCTGTCAACTATTAATGAATTAAACATTACGTATAGAAGTGTTGTTTTTATTTCTTCTGCTGCAAATAAGTCTCATGAGGAAAGACTATACATCTTCTCTGGGCTTTCTTCTCGTGATATTTAAAATTAAGTTCCTCTAGCCAAGTGTTATATATAATTCTTATTCATGATTTTAGCACAGATGTTAATAAATGTCACCACAGTATATTTGCTTTCTTTGTTAACCTGAATCAATGAAGCTTTCGTGTGTGTGTGTGTGTCGTGTGTGTGTGTGTGTATGTGTGTATATAAACACACGAGTAGAGCCTGAACAGCAACACTTTTAAAGAGATAAGCATATTTTTCTCCCTTTGTACTTGAGAAAAAAGATGTCATCCTGTGTCGTTCCAGCTGCATTTCAATACATTTGTAAATTTTCGTTAAATACGCTGCTTGTGCCCTGTGTATTAAGCCTTCTAATGAGCTAATATCAGCCCTCCACTACAGTTTATCTGTGGAATTTCCTCAGCTCAGCAAATGCATAATCTTTCATTCATTCATCCTGTAGAGCACTTGTCAGTTGGTGCTATTTAATGTGACAGGAGGAGGAAAAAAAGCTGTGTTTTAAAGTGCTGTCAAATTATTATCATTTTTTTGGTCCCAGTCCTTGTATTTGGTATTCAAAAGAAACCCTTTATTTTAGGGCATTGAGCACAAAATTAGATCAGTTCCATAAGATAATGACCATATTTCACAGTTAGAAGCCAGCATGATTGCAGGGTAGTGCTTACAACTTAGAGTTGTTTCTTGTTGTTCCTAGAAGTGAACTTGTAGATTTATTTTTCTTTTGTGTTTTGCCAGCCTCAGACAGCATTCTATACAAGTGGTTGGGAAAACAGAACTTTAATTTTTCTGAATTCAGTGTAGTGGAGTGGACATAATCTTTTTGACTACTAAAGTGTCCTGATGTGTTGGGTTTTTTTGACTCATTTGTAAGAAGAAGTAAATAAGAAGTATACATTGTTCAATCCTGGGAAAAGAAAAAAATGCATGAGATGAACAAGGGTCAAAAATGTAAGGAATTTTAAAAAGAGTTTACTTTTTACATTTCTTTTACCTGAGGGTGTTTTTAGGATTATGACTATACCTGCTATGTGTGTGGTGGTTGGTGATTTTTTTTTAAATCATCAGATGTGCTGCAGCTGTGGAATTCTACAAATCCAGAAGTCCTTTGTGCTATTTTCTGCACTGCCTTTCTCACCTGCATGCTATGTAGCCACTTAAAAGTTCACTTGAATTTTTTTATAGGTGTGTGTGTGTGTATGTGTCTGTGTGTATGTGTGTGCACGCGAGTGAGAGAGACGGAGAGAGAGAGAGAGACCATAAAAATAAAATTCAAGTACAGTGGGGAGCGGGGAGAGAGAGTAATTACTCTGGGACCATTTTGGTTTGTGGAAGGGTGGAGCTTTAACCTTGCTTCTGAGACATCTGAGAGATTATGATGCGATGCCCTACTGCTGGACATATAATCTGACAATGTCTTTGTTGAGTCAACTTGAAGCCCAAGAGACATTCCCCAGTTTTTCCATTAGGGGGTCCTTATTTTTGCTGCTGTACATTGTTGTGTCCTTTTTTTTTGCTTTTTGTTTTTAGCTAACAAGTAAGCTTAGTAGCTAATGAGAAGAGGGAGTGAGTTTACGGAATAATTTTCCAGATCAGTTTCTGGCCCAGACTTCAACTGCAACCAGCATGATTTCAGAGATGCCAGGTCCTTATTTGCTCATTGACCTCCCTGGCCTCCCTGCCAGAACCAGGCAAAATAAACAATAAATAAAAAATATGGCTCCTTTCCTGCCATTTTCTTGGAATATAATCTTGGGGACATAAGCCAAAGCTCTAATAAGGAAAAATAAACCTTATGGGGTGGAAATTTTTATATATCATACTCAATTTTATTTTTATTTTGAACATTAGGTACTGTTGGTTTATGGGACAACTTCAAATGCATACATCAAAGGTCTTAAAGGTGTGGAGTCTCTTAGGCAAGGAAACAGGGTAAAATGTATATAATATATATATAAATATATATAAATATATGAGAACTATATAGATTATATATATTATATATAAAAATATATATATTTATATATTATATATTATATATATAAATTATATATATATAATATATATATAAATATATGAGAGATGATAAAATCAGTGAAGGCCTCTAGGCAAGTTAGACTGACCTTACTTTTCTAGGAAAAAAGTTAAAGGTAATGTTTTTTGAGCCCTGCCATGTTAGTGTCACCTGCTAGGCATTGTAGGAATTTCAAAGTCTCATTAGACCAAAATCTAGTAGGGAATTATGTAAAATACTATGGTGTAAGAGCAGTGTCGAGTGCCCAGAGAAGTACAGATGCATTTTCATGAGAGGTAAGTGTGGGGAGAGATTGTGTCTAGTTCATTGCTTCTGAAAGTGTGTCTACATACCCACCACTTGTAAGAAATACAATTTCACAGGGCTCACCTGAACCTTTTCTCAGGGCAAGACCCAGGAATCTGTATTTTGACAAGCCTTCTGGTGACACTGAAAAACACTGGCTGTGTTTCGCATGGAAGGAGAGAATCCAGGGATTCTCAGAGGAGGTGGTGATTAAGTTGGGTGGGAGGGGCCGACAGAATAGGAGTAGGCCCTGCAGGAAAGCAAAGTTCGCAAAGTCATTAAGTTGCCACCTATTTTAGTGCCTCCAACTCTTACAATGAAAGATTTATTTTTTCTGAATCTAAATTCATCGTGTCTTCTCAAAAGCCTGTTTCCTCTGTTTGCATTCTCGGTGGAATTGTGAATCATGGTGATCATATTTTGTATAATAGCCTTTGCCATATTTCAAGGAGGATATTAAGTTCCCCACAGTCTTTTCTTCCCCATGCTAATTAATCTTCATTCATCAGCCTTTTCTCTTACATTCCAACCCTTTCATCATTTTCATTGCTCTTGTCTGGGCTTTCCCTAAATTTTTCAGATTTCCCCAAAGATATAAAGAACCAAACTAAACCTGGTGCTGTGTTGATATCTTTACCTCTGCAGGAGTAGATGGGCATCTTATCCCCCACATGTTATTATTATTATTTATTATTTTTTGAGATGGAGTCTCGCTCTGTCGCCAGGCTGGAGCGTAGTGGTGTGATCTAGGCTCACTGCAATCTTTGCCTTCTGGGTTCAAGCAGTTCTCCTGCCTCATCCTCCTGAGTAGCTGGGATTACAGGTGCGTGCCACCACACCCAGCTAATTTTTGTATTTTTAGTAGAGACAGTGTTTCACCATGTTGGCCAGGATGGTCTCAATCTCCTGACCTCGTGATCCACCCACCTCAGCCTCCCAAAGTGCTGGGATTACAGGCATGAGCCACCAGACCCGGCCTATTTTTTTTTTTTTTTTTTTGAGAGTTTACCTAGTGAAGTCGCAGAATGTATAGTAGGATTTGTAACCTGTTACCCTTCAACTCATGGAAGATTGGAGATTGTTCACATTCACATGGGATTCTTAGATCTATATAGGTACCAACCATTGTCTGGAGACTCCATAACTATTATGATTCCCACATAGATACATTTTTTTCTAACATATTTAGCTGTAATAAGAATTAGCAAAATTCAAAATCTGTAATTTTATCTTCTTATGTTTTCTCAACAAAGAGTAAAAGTCCAACTATGATGGTGGTGATATATATATATATATATATATATATATATATATATATATATAAATATACATACATATATATATATTTAATGTAAGACTTTATATTTTTAGAGAAGTTCTGTGTTCACAGCAAAACAGAGAGGTAAGCAGAGATTTCCCATATACCCCCCTACACACACATGCACAGCCTTCCCTATAGTCGATATCCCCACCACCAGAGTGGTATGGTTATTAGAACTGACAAACCTACATTGACACATCATAGTCATCCAACTCCTACAGTTTCCATTAGGGCTCACCCTTGGTATTGGACATTCTGTGGGTTTGGACAAATGTATAGTGACATTTATCCACCATTATAGTATTCAGACTATTTTCACTGAGCTAAAAATCCTGTATTTGGCCTGTTCTTCCTTCTACACCCCAACCCCTGTCAATCACTGATCTTCTTACAGTTTCCATAATTTTGCCTTTTTCATATGTCATATGGATGAAATCATATTCTATACAATTTTTAATGTCAACAAAGGAACCCTTCTGTGTTTGAAAACATGTTTGTTGAAGCATCAGGCCAGACAAGTGGGGCCCATGATCATCTATAAAATAGGGAGAATAGCATTCCTCTTTCCTGAAATTTACTGTGCTGATAAGGTGTTATATATAAAAGAACGTAGTAGGTGTTTAGCAAATGGTGGTTATTATTTACATGTTGAGTATTCTGTCTCATATGTACCTTTTAATCATCATGATCATTTGTTCAAAGAGCCCTAGTTTATTTAGATAACACCTGTCAAATGGGGTCACATTTTTCTCCAACTACACCTCTGTGTTCTTATCATTTTCTTGTTTTTCTGTTTCTGTGGGAAGGGGATAAAGGAAAGGTTCAGTTTTGAGAGCTTCCTCTGTCTGAATTGGCTTTCCCTATGCTGGATCTTGCCATAAGAGGCCCCTTCATACTCAACTGAATGTCTAGAATTTCAGCTTTCCCTGCTTGAACGACAAGCCATAAAAAAGGAAATAGTATCGGGGTGGGTTTGCTGAACAGCACAAAGTTGAAAATTTAAGACACTTTTCTATATAATCATTTGAGCTTTCACCAAGAATATTATTTCCATATATGTTGACAGGCGGGAGAGGAAAGTTTCTTAGCAGAACTGAGATGAAGGCATGGCTGGTCTCAGTGAGTCCTCTCACGAAACAGACACAGTTTTATTGGTCCAATTCTGCCCCTAATTCTGGGATCTGTGCATGCATGTTGGTGATGCTGGCACAGGTTATCCTTCCAGGAGTTGCTATAGAAACAGGTAACAGCCACACCCACTTTCTCTGTCTGTTTTGCATTTTGCGTGTGGAGGTCTGGCGGTGCTGCCTTATGCGCCCTTCTTTGGTGGGTTGCTGCTTGGTTAATGATGCTCAGTCCTTAGGATTTTCTCTTGTTTGGCATACTGAGATATAATTTCCTATCCTTGTCACTTTTGGCTTCACTCCTTAGGCTTTGCTTTGAGTTATCTTGCTAACAAAATTCACATGTCTAAAAACAAGCTGAGAGAGATCACGGACACCTGCCCCTTATCCCCACCCAATTCATGATTGAGGAACTAGAACCTTTCATGAAACCACAACTGCTCCAGAAACTAGAGAACAATTGACAGTTTGATGCTTAAAAAGAGAACTAGAAAAATACCCCACGGATTTGGTGATCTGGTCAATACAGAGTACTTTAAGTCAATTAGAAAGTTATACTTCCTAGGTCATTCTTCTTTTGCCAAGCTCAGTCATTGGTGGCTTTCCATTGCAAAATAAAATGTAGTTACTTTTGTAAAATTTTAAATGTAGTCTGTCATTTCTTATTTTACTTTTTTAAAGCATTGCATTAGTTTTGTATTTCTCCACTACCTCTGCCTAGGAGAAATACAACACATGGGCTTGGATGATTTTCTTTCTTGGAAACATGGTTGACAAAGCTATACAATAAAAGGATAATTTTCTCAGCAGAACAAAACACACTACCCTCTTGTCGCTGGGCTTTTAAAAATCTGAAGAATAGGCCGGGCGTGGTGGCTCATGCCTGTAATCCCAGCACTTTGGGAGGCTGAGGCGGGCGGATCACGAGGTCGGGAGATCGGGATCATCCTGGCTAACACGGTGAAACCCTGTCTCTACTAAAAATACGAAAAGTTAGCCGGGCTTGGTGGCAGGCGCCTGTAGTCCCAGCTACTCCGGAGGCTGAGGCAGGAGAATGGCATGAACCCGGGAGGCGGAGCTTGCAGTGAGCTGAGATCCTGCCACTGCACTCCAGGCTGGGCAAGAGTGCAAGATTTCGTCAAAAAAAAAAAAAAAATTCTGAAGAATACACTTACTTAGATACATTTGGCTTGTATTTTAATATTTCTGCAGTGACATCGCTGCTTCAGGACCTTCTGAATTGAAAAATACCAAACTTTCTTGCCCTGATGTGCTGGGAAAAGAAAAATAGATTTTCCTGCCAATTTCAGTGTGGATAGCCATGGTGCTTGTTTAACTTGTTCTCTTTATAAGTTACAAACCTAGAATAATCCTGCCATTTCAGAAATTAAAATGTGTTCTCGTTTGATCTAGTTTATTCAGCAGTGAGTGCTGAGGACATTCCACAGATTGATCAGCCTCTTCATTTGTTATATGCCTTGGGTATTACATTCCTAGATGTTTGTGTGTTCTTGGCATGTCTGAATAAGGATGGGCATGGAGTCAGGATCCTTGGAGTGGGAACAGATGCTTCAGGCCATTAGCTAATCTGTCCTCCTGCATCACTGGAGCAGCAGGATTGCATTTGATTCACCTCATGTTGGCCATCGTTTCGGAAATGTGGGGCCTTATTAGACTGTACTCTACCTCTATGCTTCAGATGCCAGTGGCTGTGGTTTAAGAAGACACTAGATTGCTGTGGTTGGAAAAATAACATTTGTAGTGTTGGAAAGGACAGTAGGCATAAATCCATTTGCCAGCAGATGGTTCAAAGCATCTGACACCTAGGACTAATTTTGCAGGGTTTCCCTGTTACTAGCTTTGCAACGTGCAAATGGGGACCTGAAATGTACTTTATTATAGCTCCTACCACCCCAAAGTTGATAAATGTGTGAATAATTGTATTAGAAAAAGTACCAATCTTTTAGCATAAGCATTTTTGCTTTTTTTTTTTTTTTTTTTTTTTTAAGAGATTAGGTGTCTGTGTAGCCTAGGCTGACCTCAAACTTCTGGACTTAATGGATGTTGACTTCATCCTTAGCCTCCCAGGTAGCTGGACCTACAAGCAAGTGCCACCATGCCTGGCTATCTTTTGTTTTGTTTTAAACCCTGTTCCACGTGATTCAGAGCCAACCATCTCCACACAGGCAGTCTCCTGGAAGCCTAAAAAAAAAAAAAAAAAAAAAAAGTCCGGCATGGTGGCTGGTGCCTGTAATCCCAGCACTTTGGAAGGCTGAGGTGGGCAGATCACGAGGTCAGGAGTTCAAGACCAGCCTGGCCAACATGGTGAAACCCCATCTCTACTAAAGATACAAAAAAAAAAAAAAAATAGCCAGGTGTGGTGGCACGCACCTGTAACCCCAGCTACTCGGGAGGCTGAGGCAGGAGAATCACCTGAATCCAGGAAGCGGAGGTTGCAGTGAGGCGAGATCGCTCCATTGCACTCCAGCCTGGGCGACAGGGTGAGACTCCATCTCAAAAAAAAAAAAAAGAAAGAAAGAAAAAAAACCTTCCACGTTAACATCAATCAATGATAATTAATTTATATGACACTCAAGTTAGTGTATTTTATACATTGTTCTCTAATTGGGAAAATGGATAGTGTATTTTACACATTTTTCTCTAATTGGGAAAATGGATATGATGTTTTCTTAAGCGCATCTAAGAAACCACTTGAAGAGCCACTTGGTTCAGATTATTTCCAAACTCTGTCAGTGCTTTATCGACTAAACAGCTCTGACTTACTTGGGATGTGAAAACAGTTCAAATAGAAAGCCAGTCCTTGGAAAGCAGTTAACATCTAAGTAATGAGATTTTAGTGGGGCGTGAGGTCACCTGTGAGATGCCCTTGTGTAGCAGGTTCCAGTTAAGAGGGTGAACGCAGACAGAAATTGGTGGGACTCTTTGGATGGCTCCTCTAGCATCCTTTACAGATGCAGATCTGTCCACATCCTGCTGGGAAAGATTGATGCATTTGACCTTTGGTTGGAGCAGATGATGATGAGCACCAGGACAGATGTGGGAAGTTAGGCAGTATCCTAGGGCATTTCGCCAGGGCAGCTTGGATGTGTGCTTTGGAAAATACCAGTCAGACAGGACAAAATCAGGGCCAGAGTAGAAGAATAAAGGATAATGAAGGTATTGAGGCAACTGTTTGATTCTATAAGCTCTCCTTTTGGGTTTAGAGGTGAATTTCTACACGTCACTGTTTTTGCATAACCTGCTGTTTTGATAGTTCTTAAGAATCCATGGTGATTTTGTTGTGGTTCATTTCCTATTTTAAAAATGCTAACCTATTATGCAAGTTTTTTCTAAATCACAGCTGTGGGGAAGAGTTCACTGTCAACTGGTAACAGGGTTGTGTTTCTTATTAGATAACTAAACTCATTACAGGGAATCTATTTTAAATTGTACACACTCTCAAATTCAATATAATATGTATTGGATGCCTCTTAGGTGCATTGCTGAGTTATGGGGATAACAAAATGAGAAGATATGGTCTCTGTCCTCTTGAAACATATTATGTAGTCAGAAGGCAGGTGTATAAACCAATAAATACAAAGTAGTGTAATCAGTGATTGTAGCCACAGAAATATGCTTAAGGTAAATAATAAGCCTGGGAGAGGTCATTGTTTTCATTCCTAGAGAAGGAGTGTATGAATCAGGGAAATCTTCAGAGGGGAAGTGATATCTGAAGCCATTTGACAGGTGGATCAGAACTCAATAGAAAGGGAAAAAATACACAATGGAAAATATACTGGGCAGAGCCATAGCATGGGCAAAGTTTCATAGGTGGGAATTTTTTTAGTCTTAAACCACTCTTGATGAGAGAAAATTGACTAACCAAACATTTAAAAGTAAAACAAAACAACAAAACACATTAAGTAATAGACCCTGACTTTCCTGATTATTAACACAGAACCATTGCAGCTCACTGTGGATCTCCAAGTGATGGTTGTCCTTAAGCTCAGGTGAGAACTATTCTCCTTAAACTTAGGAGAGGACAATAGCAGTAGATATAGAAGGTGCTTTACCCCTAAACCAGCAGGTGCTTAATGAATTCCTGTTGAGTTAATGGGGGTGGAGGGGTAGCAGGGATGATTTTCAGGTGGGAATTCTAGTCTCCTCACTGATTGGGAATGTGAACTTAAGCAAGTCACTTGTTGAAGTCCCACTTGCCTCTTGATCAAAATGAGTTTTTGTATGTAGATTATCTAAATTCTCTTCCAACTCTATTCCATCAACAATCAAAACATCTTTTAATTGATTTCCGCAAATGAAGGAGAATAATTCATGTGTCTGGAAAATTTCCTTATACTGGATAACCGAGGTATTTCATGTCACTTAGCAAATCTCTTAGTAAATCCATCATTTAGTGAATGCATTTTAGGTAATGGTCCCCTTAGACCTTAAAGAAGCCAACTTTTGGTAGGCTAGAAAAAAATACTTTAAAAAATTATTATTTAGGAATAATTACAACAACAGCAACAAACTTCAGTGCAAAAGTTAAACACCCCCCCCACCCCCCCACACACACACAGAGAAAACAAAGATTTCATCATAACAATTTTTGGCATCGATTAGACTCTGTGCCTTGCTGTTGTCCTGGTTGTTATCCTCCAAATGTGACCCTGCTGCATGCCAAGTCATCAGAAGGCTATGAGCACCTTTGGTAAGGATGCTACTTACAGTGAGTCTGCCTCACTGTACTTGCCTCCCCAGGACCCATCTGAACTGCATATTGGCCCTACCACTCTGGGGACCATGCCAAGAGGGTGCATACCTGTGCGTGCTCATTTCTGTCTGCAGTAGTGACAGATGCATAAAGTAGTTTGCTTAGGGAATTTGCTTGGATTCTTTTCTGAATCAAAGCTGTTTCCAAAAGTTGGTTTTTATGGGCATATCTTGCTGGGAATTGCCTTGGTGCTGTTGGTAAATAACAAAGAGAGAGCCCTGTCCTTACAATGCTTGCAGTCTTTCCAAAACAAAATTGTGCCTATGATAGCTTTTAGGAAATCACTGGGCCTGGAGAGAAAACATTTTTATAGTATCTGGACCTCCAAGCCAAACAACAATCTGTCTTTTAAATATTACAGATGAAGCAAAAGAGTTTTCAAAAGGAACTTCAGTGTTTCCCTAACCCCCTCTCCACCAGACCCCTGACTTACATTCCCTGAGTGAAAGCTCTTGGGCACAGGCTCCTTGTTCTCCTACCCCCAATTCATATGCCATTCTCATTTATTAGTGCTCCTTTGGAAACCAGAGCTACTATGTGACCTCTGGATTTTATTTTCCTTATGTAAGTGATCAAATTATAAAACAGCTTTCTTAAAAGCTGAATGTTTGTGTTGCTATTAACTTTTAATGTTTCATGATGTGCTATGCTCCTATTTTCATCTTTGTGTAGCATTCTTAAATGTGGTTTAAAGGACTTCCACATTTCTAAATAGAAATGGCTTCTGGGGAACCTTGTAATAGGTTGCAGGTGAGAGGGATCTAATTAACTTGCATAGATCCAGACTATTCATGGGGCTCCAGTTTTTGTTAATTCTGGTATAGGATGCCTAGAACAGAGAGTTAGGGGCTTGAAAAAACTGAAGATTCCCATGAAGACTAATTGGAAGATACAGAGAAGAGATAGGGGAGTATCTTTATATTTCTTTTATACCTCAGCTTTCTTTAATCCTTAGGTGTGTTGTAATAGCGCTTATCTTCATGATTGGATTGGTATTTTGAATGTCCACTTTCTGCTTTTCCCATACTTTATATTGTTTACTGGTGTTACTGATTTATATTTCTTAACCTCCAGCTGTGTACCTGTCACTAAAGCCAGGGACCCTGACTAGTCTTAAAGGAGATAAATGAGAATCAGGATCTAGTGAGTCGATTTCAGATGGACTCCTTTTATCTGCAAGACTTCCTGCCATTTCTCAGGCTAAATGACAAAATCATAGCCTGTTGGCTCATAGGATACTTGCCATCTTGAGAGGATAACCTTTTAACCTCTTAGTGTCTTCGGGAAGATAGGAAATTTGGTTTATATAAGAAATCATTTCCTTAAGGATAACCAAGACAGGAGGAACACAGAGAGTCCGTTTAGATTTTATGCCCATTCTTATTTCTGTAGGTGATTATCAGAGCAAGGGTCAACAAAGTAAAGCCTGCCGGCTGGCTGCCTGATTTTGTAAATAAAGTTTTAACGGAACACAGGTTTTGTCATTCAAGGGCAGAGTCTAGTAGTTGGCACAGAGACCATCTGACACACAAAGCCCAAAATATTCACAATTTGACTCTTTACAGAAAAACTTTGCTGACTTCTGCCTTAGAATTTTACTGGTGTTTAATATTTATTAGGACCACTTATGGATGATAATTATAAATCATAAATGGAAAAGGTCTTTTTGATAAGTCCATACATCATGGTTTCTGCTTTCCCAAAAGTGGCCACACTTTTATAGATTGCTCCATGAGGATGCAGTGGTAGAAAAGGCTGAACCAAGTTTGCATGTGGATAGCTATGCTCAGTCTTAGTTCAGGGGGACATTCTATAACCCCTCTTCTTGTCTCCCACTCAACTTAGTATCGAGTGGGATTTCACATCAAAGTTCTTGTCCTGAAGGATTCAGCAGTTCCAGAAGACATGGCAAGAATCAGCTCTCAGTCAGCTTTTCAACTCCTTGATGGGGGGGTTAAGAGTAGAGAGAACTATCCATCATAACTAAATCTTTACTAATAATTTAAATTCTACAGATTCCAGGACTATGGCATCTTGACTCAGTAAATCTTTCTTGCCTTTCCTTTTTTTAAAACAAGGGAAAAATATACAAACAGATTAAAGTGCACTTACAAACCCAGCTGGCTTGTTTTAAGCTCCCAAAGGAACACTTGATTCCCAATTATACTATTTTTCCTTTTTATCAAATTGCTAAGAAACAGTAACTCAATTGATTTTAATGATTTCTATCACACATAGCCTTTAAGACTAGTAATAGGTTTATTATGCTCAGTCATAATGATGATATTTTACTTCTATGAATGGTATTTTTAGCAGGGCTCATAAAATACCCAGTTTGATTTTGTTTATTAACTTTCTCATTTTCCATTAGCGGATGTTTTCCTGTCTCAGATAATTCTCCTGCCTGTTGATATTACACTATTCAATAGAAATGTGTGTTTCAAAAGAACAGACCACATACTCTTTCAGGTTTGGATTGGATGCTTTTATTTAAATACTTCCCAAAGAATAATTCTTCAGTTTTTTGTCAAATACCACTTTTAATGTTGTAACTTGACTATCACTTGAATGTCACTTCGAATTTAACTCTTAATTTTGGTGGCTTGCTATTTAGTAGTTTCATATTGCTGAGAGCCTAAACATTAATAGGTAATTTTTTTCTATTTTTTGATAAGAAAATATTCAGTTTCCATTTATTCAGTTTTTATGGTCTGCAAAATTAGAGAAGATGTCTGGTTCTGTATTAGGAGGTTTTAATTTGTTGTTTAAATATCTATTGAGCCTCTTTCAGTCTGTTTGTGCAGTGATCTAAGCTTGCATAAGGCATCTGAATTATTTTTTCAGCTTCCCCCTGTTTTATTGGCAAGTGACCGTGTGTATGGTAATTGAGCAATTGTGTGCTTACATGGATTTATGAAATTTGCATGAGCAACTTTTAGAGATCTTACATTTTTGTCTCTAAGCAGACTTGAAGAGGAAGCTTTCTGAAATATTGTCTTTTGCTTAAAATTATATTTTTGCTTTTTATTGAGAGACAATCGACCTCAAAACATTGAAGATTTGTTTCCCTTTCCTCTTGGCTATATCTTCTGTTTTTGTTCTCTTGAGGACTGAGTCAACTCTCCGTCTCTAAGTGGGGTAGGTGAAATGCTAAGGCAAGGGATAGGTCATGGGCTCAGCCCCAGGTAGAGGAACAGGCAGCGAGCTGAGCCCTCATAGCTCCTCCTGATGCTCAGCTGCTATTTTTTCCTCCCTGTTTGACAAATGAAGACACTGACATTTAGACAGTGAGAGATCCTTTGTCTGAATCAGCCAACAAGTGTGATGGAACAAAGTTGCGAACGCAGGTCTGACTGGCATTACAGGCTGTGAGCTGTACCTGGTGCCCCTTTGTCTGTAAGTGAGCAAACCTTTAAGTAATGTATTACTGGGCTCTCTGGTCAACTTTTTTTGACTGTGCCATCAGGGAGACGCACATGTCTCAGGGAGTTTCCTTTGCCTATACTCCACAAGTCTTTGGAGTACATCTAGTTCTCCTTCCAATGACCAGTGAGAAAGACAAGTTTGCTTTCTTTATTTCACAACCTCTTTCCACAACAATTTTTCTCCTTGTTCAAGTTCCAACTCACTTATTCCTGAAATGGGCTCTACTAGCCCCTGGATGTTTTGCCTGCCACTTCAAATTCTATTTCTGCCCCTGTTTCTTGCTCATACTTCGCTGAGCCTCCTTCACTTTTTCAGTGCCTGGAGCAACTTTTGATGGAAAAGTGCTTGTGTTGAACTTGGGCCCCTCTAGGTTGAGCCAAACTCCATCTTGAAGCTATAGTTCCTTTTCAGTAACTGACAGCATCTGTGAAGGCCCTATGAAGGGAATGGGGTTAAAGGGCCTTTGAAGAGGAGAACTGTGGCAGGGCACATAGGATGGAGGAGACAGGAGAGAGTTCTTTCAAAGGAGGTGAGTGCTTGACCAGAGGCTGAGGGCAGGAAGCAAGGGTGTATAAGTGTCTATAAATGTTGTGTTGGGTGTAGAAGGGGGTGTAGTAAGAGGAACAAAAGGCTGAAAAGAAGGCTGAAGGTGGGATGTAGAGCCTGGAATGTGAACATGGCTTTGGACTTTCTTCTTTTTTTCAGCAAAGAGCTGCTGGGACTTGGTGGCAGGGAAGACTTTGCCTTGTATTGTGGCTGGCACAGTCTATCAGTAGATATTCGTTGCATGGCTAGTGGTCAAATCAGTTGTCTTGCAAGGGACGTTGACCAGACTAGAGGTAAATGACTGGAGGCAGCATCACTGAATAGGATATTAGTGTTATTCATTCTTCCCCCTTCTCTATGTCTGTCACTCAAAGGAAACTTGAGATTCACTAAAGGACAATGGCTCTGGAATCATATTTCTATTTGATGTGTTTACACTAAAAGCATTTCATTTATATTTAGGAGAAATAATAGCAAAGACTGTATGGAGTATAGGCAGAGGAAAATCTCTGAGACATGCCTATCTCTCTTCCTCTCTTCCTGTCTTTAGTGTGTCCTGAGACAATAATCAGCAAAATACACTGGACAGCCATGGATTCCTCCAAGTCAGTACTTTGCAAGCTGAGTTATGACCCTATACACGGATCATGCCATGAAGTTAGTCGGTTGCAAAGAGCATTGGAAATGACACATAATAAAATATAAAACAGCTCATTGCATTGCCATCATAAAGGTCAGTTTTGTGACATAAAATATATTTCTTATTGTGAGTCATGAAGAAGTTTGAAAAACAAGGGTGAAAGGAAAAGGATCTCATTACTTTGGAATACTATAAATCTATCTTTAGCTCTGCGTGTAAGGAGATCATGTAATTTATCATCCACGATGTGTTTCTGAGGGAAAGGGCTACCTCTTAATAATTATATCACAACAACTGGTGTAACCACACTGCCTCACGCTAATTAGGAAATATGGTCACTTTGCCTGTTTTAGTCAGGGTTCTCCAGAGAATATGAATATATTCTCAGCATCCGTATCTACCTATATCTGAATCTATGTCTGTAGAGAGAGGGTGGGGAGGGGGATTTAATTTAAAGAATTGGCTCACATGATTGTGGAGCTGGAGAAGCAGGCCAGCAGGCTGGCCAATCAGGTAAGAGTTTATGTTACAGTCTTGAGGATTCCTTCTTCTTTGGGAAACCTCAGTTGTTACTCTTAAGATCTTCAACTGATTAGATAAGGCCCACCTGCATTTTGAAAAACAATCTGCTTTACCCTTAGTCTACTGATTGTAAATATTAATCATGTCTAAAATATACCTTCACAGTAATATCTAGACTAGTGTTTGATCCAACAAGTGGGTCTCATGGCCTAGCCAAATTGTCATATAAAATTAACCATTAAACCATTTAAAGAGGACAAATGGAGGGTGGACACCTACAAAGGTTTTGTTTTGTTTTGTTTTGTTTTTTGCTTTGTTTTGTTTTTTTATTGTCCAAAGGCCTTTGCTGAAGCTGACCCATTCTTCCTGATTGCTTTGGCACTGTTTGCTTTCATTCATAGTAATAGCTATGAACTTGTTAAATATTGCTGTTGTGACCTTGTGGTTTCTTAAAATAATAATTAACAAAAAGGGGTTGATGTCTCACTTTGCTAATTTTGATAGTTTTTGAATTAGATGTGAATTATACCTGCTTATTTTTATTCAAAGCTGTTTTAATATTTTACATAATGTTTTTATGAAATGACTGGAGGAGAATGCTTCAGAATAGCTTGTCTGCCAAGGCTACAGTGGTTCTCCTATGGACCTTGCCACAACAATAACTTTATAATTACTCAACAACTTGCTATTTCTCTTGCTCCAGAATAAACCATGAAGGGTTTGTAAAATGGCCAGAGAATTTGTGAATGCTTTGATTCTTGGGAAGCTGCAAGGACTGACCACTGATCACTATTGCAGTCTAGTAGTAGACTGCAATAGAGTGGCTGCTATATCCCAGCAGAAATTTAATTTTGGCCTTGTGAAGATATTTGAAGAAGGAGGAAGAACTCTGCAAATTTCCATGCTGAAAAATGTCAAAGTGAAACATTTATCACTTCTTTTTTATTGACATGATATTCAACCTGATGTTCACCTCCTTACGTTTTGAATTTTTTTCTAATTTTGGAAGGATTACTTGCTGATTATAGAAACTATAACTTGGAAAACACTGAAGACATATGAAGGAGAATAAATTGAAAATGATGACTATGATCAGATTGTAATGTGATTATTAACTTTTTAGCATTTCCTTCCCCTCTCCTTTCTGTGATTTTTTTTAAGTAACAGAGATTGCATTGATTACATACTTTTATGTCTTGCATTTTTGTCAGGTGACTTAACAACACTTTCCAATGACAATAATCACCCTTTATAAATGTTATGTTTATTGTCTGTACAATATTTCATCATATGGATGTGTCACATTTAACTTGTTTTGAGTTATTTCTTTTTGGAATCTTTGGGTTTTTTTCCATTTCTTTTCCATTGTAGTAAATAATGCTGTAGTGAACAGCTCTGTGAATGAAGCTTTTCTGTTTCTTCAGAGTGATTTTTTAAAAAGGTATTTTTCTGGTCGCTTTTGAATTCTAGGATTATAGCATTTTCAATGGGCCCTACATGCTTTGGGTCCTGAGATTGGTCAGAGAGGGCCCAAAGATCAGCAAACCCTGAAGATCTTCACGGAAGGCTGAGCTACTTGCAAAGTAGCAACAAAAAGCCACTTCCTTTTTCTTATTTTTTTTAATTTTTATACTTAAGTTCTGGGATACACGTACAGAACGTGCAGGTTTGTTACATAGGTATACATGTGCCGTGGTGGTTTGCTGCACCCATCAACCCGTCATCTACATTAGGTATTTTTCCTAATGCTATCCCTCCCCTTGCCCCCACCCCCAACAGGCTCCAGTGTATGATATTCCCCTCTCTGTGCCTAGATGTTCTCATTGTTCAACTCCCACTTATTAGTGAGAACATGTGGTGTTTGGTTTTCTGTTCCTGTGTTAGTTTGCCGAGAATGGTGGTTTCCGACTTTATCTGTGTCCCTGCAAACGACATGAACTCTCTTTTGTATGGCTGCATTGTATTCCATGGTGTATATGTGCTACATTTTCTTTATTTGGTCTATCACTGATGGGCATTTGGGTTGATTCCAAGCCTTTGCTATTGTGAACAGTGCTCCAGTAAACATATGTGTGCATGTGTCTTTATAATAGAATGATTTATAATCCTTTGAGTATATACCTAGCAATGGTATTATTGTATCAAATGGTATTTCTAGTTCTAGATCCTTGAGGAATCACCACACTGTCTTCTACAATGGTTGAACTAATTTACACTCCCACCAACAATGTAAAAGCATTCCTGTTTCTCCACATCCTCTCCAGCATCTGTTGTTTCCTAACTTTTTAATGATCGCCATTCTAACTAGCGTGAGATGGAATCTCATTGTGGTTTTGATTTGGATTTCTCTAATGACCAGTGATGATGACCTTTTTTTCATATGTTTGTTGGCTGCATAAATGTTGTCTTTTGAGAAGTGTCTGTTAATATCCTTTGCCCACTTTTTGTTGGGGTTGTTTTTTTCTTGTAAATTTGTTTAAGTTCCTTGTAGATTCTGGATATTAGCCCTTTGTCAGATGGATAGATTGCAAAAATGTTCTCCAATTATGTAGGTTGCCTGTTCACTCTGATGATAGTTTCTTTTGCTGTGCAGAAGCTCTTAAATTAGACCCCATTTGTCAATTTTGGCATTTGTTGCAATTGTTTTTGGTGTTTTAGTCATGAAGTCTTTGCCCATGCCTATGTCCTGAAAGGTATTGCCTGTATTTTCTTCTAGCGTTTTTATGGTTTTAGGTCTTACTTTTAAATCTTCAATCCATCTTGAGTTAATTTTTGTATAAGGTGTAAGGAAGGGGTCAAGTTTCAGTTTTCTACATATGGCTAGCCAGTTTTCCCAACACCATTTATTAATTAGGGAATCCTTTCCCCATTGCTTGTTTTTGTCAGGTTTGTCAAAGATCAGATGGTTGTAGATATGTGGTGTTATTTCTGAGGCCTCTGTTCTGTTCCGTTGGTCTATATATCTGTTTTGGTACCAGTACCATGCTGTTTTGGTTACTGTAGCCTTGTACTATAGTTTGAAGTCAGGTAGCATGATGCCTCCAGCTTCGTTCTTTTTGCTTAGGGTTGTCTTGGCTATACAGGCTCTTGTTTGGTTCCATATGAAATTTAAAGTAGTTTTGTCTAATTCTGTGAAGAAAGTAAATGGTAGCTTAATGGGTATAGCATTGAACCTATAAATCACTTTGGGTAGTATGGCCATTTTCACGCTATTGATTCTTCCTATCCATGAGCATGCAATGTTTTTCCATTTGTTTGTGTCCTCTCTTATTTTCTTGAGTGGTGGTTTGTCATTCTCCTTGAAGAGATCCTTCTCATCCCTTGTAAGTTGTATTCCTAGGTATTTTATTCACTTTGTAGCAATTGTGAATGGGAGTTCACTCATGATTTGGCTCTCTGTCTATTATTAGCATATAGGAATGCTTGTGATTTTTACACATTGATTTTGTATCCTGAGACTTTGCTGAAGTTGCTTATCAGCTTAAGGAGTTTTTGGGCTAAGACGATGGAGTTTTCTAAATATACAATCCTGTCATCTGCAGAGACAATTTGACTTCCTCTCTTCCTATTTAAATACCCTTTATTTCTTTCCCTTGCCTGATTGCCCTGGCCAGAACTTCCAATACTATGTTGAATAGGAGTAGTGAGAGAGGGCATCCTTGTCTTGTGCCAGTTTTCAAAGGGAATGCTTCCAGCTTTCGCCCATTCAGTATGATATTGGCTGTGGATTTGTTTTATATGGCTCTTATTATTTTGAGATATGTTCTATCAATACCTAGTCTATTGAGAGTTTTTAGAATGAAGGGGTGTTGAATTTTATCAGAGGCCTTTGTTGCATCTATTGAGATAATCATGTGGTTTTTGTCTTTGGTTCTGTTTATGTGATAGCTTATGTTTATTGATTTGCATATACCGAACTAGCCTTGCATCCCAGGGATGAAGCAGACTTGATCATGGTGGATAAGCTTTTTAATGTACTCCTGGATTTGTTTTGCCAGTATTTTATTGAGGATTTTCACACTGATGTTCATCAGGAATATTGGCATGAAATTTTCTTTTTTTGTTGTGTCTCTGTCAGGTTTTGGTATCAGGATGATCTTGGCCTCATAAATGAGTTAGGGAGGAGTTTCTTCTTTTCTATTTCTTGGAATAGTTTTAGAAGGAATGGTATGAACTCCTCTTTGTACCTCTGGTAGAATTTGGCTGTGAATCCATCTGGTTGGTCCTAGTCTTTTTTTTTGGCTGGTAGGCTATTAGTTACTGCTTCAATTTCAGAACTTGTTATTTGTCTGTTCAGGGATTTGACTTCTTCCTGGTTTAGTCTTGGGAGGGTGTATGTGTCCAGGAATTTATACATTTCTTCTAGATTTTCTAGTTTATTTGCCTAGAAGTGTTTATAGTATTCTCGGATGGTAGTTTGTATTTCTGTGGGATCAGTGGTGATATCCCCTTTATCATTTTTATTGTGTCTATTTGATTCTTCTCTGTTTTCTTCTTTGTTAGTCTGGCTAGCAGTCTATCTATTTTGTTAATCTTTTCAAAAAAAAAAAAACAGCCCTTGGATTCATTGATTTTTTCCAAGGGTTCTTCATGCCTCTAACTCCTTCAGTTCTGCTCTGATCTTGGTTATTTCTTTTCTTCTGCTAGCTTTTGTACTTGTTTGCTCTTGCTTCTCTAGTTCTTTCAATTTTGTGATGTTAGGATGTCAATCTTAGATCTTCTGCACTTTCTCCTGTGGGCATTTAGTGCTGTAAATTTCCCTCTAAACACTGCTTTAGCTGTGTCCCAGAGATTCTGGTACATTCTGTCTTTGTTCTCATTGGTTTCAAAGAGCTTATTTATTTCTACCTCAATTTCATTATTTACTCAGTAGTCATTCAGCAGCAGATTGTTCAGTTTCCATATAGTTGTGCAGTTTTGAGTGAGTTTCTTAATCCTGAGTTCTAATTTGATTGCACCGTGGTCTGAGAGACTGTTATGATTTCTGTTCTTTTGCATTGCCGAGGAGTGTTGTACTTCCAATTATGTGGTCAATTTTAGAATAAAGTGCTATGTGGTGCTGAGATGAATGTATTTTCTGTTGATTCGGGGTGGAGAGTTCTGCAGATGTCTATTAGGTCCACTCGGTCGAGAGCTGAGTTCAAGTCCTGAATATCCTTGTTAATTTTCTGTCTTGTTGATCTGTCTAATAATGACAGTGGGGTGTTAAAGTCCCCACTATTATTGTGTGGGAGTCTAAGTCTCTTTGTAGGTCTCTAAGAACTTGCTTTATGAATCTGGGTGCTCCTTTATTGGATGCGTATATATTTAGGATAATTAGCTCTTCTTGCTGCATTGATCCCTTTACCATTATGTAGTGCCCTTCTTTGTCCTTTTTTATCTTTGCTGGTTTAAGGTCTGTTTTATCAGAGACTAGGATTGCAACCCTTGCTTTTTTTTTGCTTTCCATTTGTTTGGTAAATCTTCATCCATCCCTTTATTTTGAGCTTATGTGTGTCTTTGCAAGTGAGATGGGTCTCCTGAATACAGCAAAGGGATGGGACTTAACTCTTTATACAATTTGCCAGTCTGTGTCTTTTAATTGAGGAATTTAGCCCATTTACATTTGAGGTTAAGATTGTTATGTGTGAATTTGATCCTGTCATTGCATTGCTAGCTGATTATTTTGCCCATTAGTTGATGCAGTTTCTTCATAGTGTTGATGGTCTTTACATTTTGGTATGATTTTGCAGTTGCTGGTACTGGTTTTTCCTCTCCATATTTAGTGCTGCCTTCAGGAGCTCTTGTAAGGCAGGCCTGGTGGTAACAAGATCCCTCAGCATTAGCTTGTCTGTAAAGGATTTTATTTCTCCTTTATGTGTGAAGCTTTGTTTGGCTGGATATGAAATTCTGGGTGGAAAATTCTTTTAAGAATGTTGAATATTGGCCCTCACTCTCTTCTGGCTTGTAAGGTTTCTGCAGAGAGATCTGCTTTTAGTATGATGGGCTTCCCTTTGTGGGTAACCCAACCTTTCTCTCTGGCTGCCCTTAACATTTTTTCCTTCATTTCAATCTTGGTGAATCTGATGATTATGTGTTTTAGGGTTGCTCTTCTCAAGGAGTATCTTTGTGGTGTTCTCTCTATTTCCTGAATTTGAATGTTGGCCTGTCTTGCTAGGTTGGTGAAGTTCTCTGAGATAATATCCTGAAGTGTGTTTTCCAACTTGGTTCCATTCTCCCCATCACTTTCAGGTATACTAATCAAAGGTAGGTTTGGTCTTTTCACATAGTCCCATATTTCATGGAGGTTTTGTTCATTCCTTTTCATTCTTTATTCTCTAATCTTGTCTTCACACTTTATTTCATTAAGTTGATCTTCAATCTCTGATATTCTTTCTTCACTTGATCAATTCAGCTATTGATACTTGTGTGTGCTTCACAAAGTCCTCATGCTGTGTTTTGCAGCTCCCTCAGGTCATTTATGTTCTTCTCTAGACTGGTTATTCCAGTTAGCAGTTCTTGCAACCTCTTATCAATGTTCTTAGCTTCCTTGCATTGGGTTCTGAAGCCTACTTCTGTCAATTCGTCAAACTCATTCTCCACCTAGTTTTGTTCCCTTGCTGGCGAGGAGTTGTGATCCTTTGGAGGAGAAGAGGCATTCTGGTTTTTGGAATTTTCCGCCTTTTGCACTGTTTTTTCCTTATCTTCATGGATTTGTCTACCTTTGGTCTTTGATTTTGGTGGCCTTTGGATGGGGTTTTTTTTTAATATATACTTTAAGTTTTAGGGTACATGTGTACAACGTGCAGGTTAGTTACATATGTATACATGTGTCATGTTGGTGTGCTGCACCCATTAACTCATCATTTAACATCAGGTATATCTCCTAATGCTATGCTTCCCCGCTCCCCCCACCCTACAACAGGCCCTGGTGTGTGATGTTCCCTTTCCTGTGTCCATGTTTTCTCATTGTTCAATTCCCACCTATGAGTGAGAACATGCGATGTTTGGTTTTTTGTCCTTGCAATAGTTTGCTGAGAATGATGGTTTCCAGCCTCATCCATGTCCCTACAAGGGACATGAACTCATCATTTTTTATGGCTGCATAGTATTCCATGGTGTATATGTGCCACATTTTCTTAATCCAGTCTATCATTGTTGGACATTTGGGTTGGTTCCAAGTCTTTGCTTTTGTGAATAGTGCCGCAATAAACATACGTGTGCATGTGTCTTTATAGCAGCATGATTTATAATCCTTTGGGTATATACCCAGTAATGGGATTGCTGGGTCAAATGTTATTTCTAGTTCTAGATCCCTGAGGAATCGCCACACTGACTTCCACAATGGTTGAACTAGTTTACAGTCCCACCAACAGTGTAAAAGTGTTCCTATTTCTCCACATCCTCTCCAGCACCTGTTGTTTCCTGACTTTTTAGTGATTGTCATTCTAACTGGTGTGAGATGATATCTCATTGTGGTTTTGATTTGCATTTCTCTGACGGCCAGTGATGATGAGCATTTTTTCATGTGTCTTTTGGCTGCATAAATGTCTTCTTTTGAGAAGTGTCTGTTCATATCCTTCGCCCACTTTTTGATGGGGTTGTTTGTTTTTTTCTTGTAAATTTGTTTGAGTTCATTGTAGATTCTGGATATTAGCCCTTTGTCAGATCAGTAGATTGCAAAAATTTTCTCCTATTCTGTAGGTTGCCTGTTCACTCTGATGGTAGTTTCTTTTGCTGTGCAGAAGCTCTTTAATTTAATTAGATCCCATTTGTCAATTTTGGCTTTTGTTGCCATTGCTTTTGGTGTTTTAGACATGAAGTCCTTGCCCATGCCTATGTCCTGAATGGTATTGCCTAGGTTTTCTTCTAGGGTTTTTATGGTTTTAGGTCTAACATGTAAGTCTTTAATCCATCTTGAATTAATTTTTGTATAAGGTATAAGGAAGGGATCCGGTTTCAGCTTTCTACATATGGCTAGCACCATTTATTAAATAGGGAATCCTTTCCCCATTGCTTGTTTTTTTCAGGTTTGTCAAAGATCAGATGGTTGTAGATATGCGGAATTATTTCTGAGGGCTCTATTCTATTCCATTGGTCTACATCTCTGTTTTGGTACCAGTACCATGCTGTTTTGGTTACTGTGGCCTTGTAGTATAGTTTGAAGTCAGGTAGCATGATGCCTCCAGCTTTGTTCTTTTGACTTAGGATTGACTTGGCAATGCGGGCTCTTTTTTGGTTCCATATGAACTTTAAGTAGTTTTTTCCAATTCTGTGAAGAAAGTCATTGGTAGCTTGATGGGGATGGCATTGAATCTATAAATTACCTTGGGCAGTATGGCCATTTTCACAATATTGATTCTTCCTACCCATGAGCATGGAATGTTCTTCCATTTGTTTGTATCCTCTTTTATTTCGTTGAGCAGTGGTTTGTAGTTCTCCTTGAAGAGGTCCTTCACGTCCCTTGTAAGTTGGATTCCTAGGTATTTTATTCTCTTTGAAGCAATTGTGAATGGGAGTTCACTCATGATTTGGCTGTTTGTCTGTTATTGGTGTACAAGAATGCTTGTGATTTTTGCACATTGATTTTGTATCCTGAGACTGCTGAAGTTGCCTATCAGCTTAAGGAGATTTTGTGCTGAGACGATGGAGTTTTCTAGGTATACAATCATGTCATCAGATGGGGTTTTTGAGTGGTCCTCCTTTTTGTTGATGTTCATGCTATAGCTTTCTGTTTGTTAGTTTTTCTTCTAACAGTCAGGCCCCTCTTCTGCAGGTCTGCTGGAGTTTGCTGGAGGTGTACTCCAGACCCTGTTTGCCTGAGTGTCACCAGTGGAGGCTGCAGAACAGCAAAGAATGCTGCCTGCTCCTTCCTTTGGAAGATTTGTTCCAGAGGGTCACCTACCAGATGCCAGCCAGAGCTCTCCTGTATGAGGTGTCTCCCTGTCAGGAGGCACGGGGTCAGGGACCCACTTGAGGAGGCAGCCTGTCCCTTAGCTCGAGCACTGTGCTGGGAGATCTGCTGCCCTCTTCAGAGCCGGTAGGGAGGAACGTTTAAGTCTGCTGAAGCTGTGCCCATAGCTGCCCCTTTCCTCAGGTGCTCTGTCCCAGGGAGATAGGAGTTTTATCTATAAGCCCCTAACTGGGGCTGCTGCCTTTCTTTCAGAGATGCCCTGCCCAGAGAGGAGGAATCTAGAGAGGCAGTCTGGCTACAGAGGCTTTGCGGCACTACGTTGGGCTCTGTCCAGTCTGAACTTTGCAGCAGCTTTATTTACACCGTGAAGGGAAAACCACCTACTGAAGCCTCAGTAATGATGGATGCCCCTCCCTCCATCAAGCTCAAGTGTCCCGGGTGGACTTCAAACTGCTGTGCTGACAGCGAGAATTTCAAGGCAGTGGATCTTAGTTTGTTGGCCCCATGGGGGTAGGATCCACTGAACAAGACCACTTGGCTCCCTGGCTTCAGCTGCCTTTCCAGGGGAGTGAACGGTTCTGTCTCACTGGCATTCCAGGCACCACTGGGGTATGAAAAAAAACTCCTGCTGCTAACTCGGTGTCTGCCCAAATGGCCGCCCAGCTTTGTCTTGAAACCCAGGGCCCTAATGGTGTAGGCACCCAAGGGAACCTCCTGGTCTGCAGGTTGCAAAGACAGTGGGCAAAGCGTAGTATCTAGGCTGGATAGCTCTGTCCCTCATGGCACAGTCCCTCACGGCTTTCCTTGGCTAGGGGAGGGAGTTCCCTGACCCCTTCTACTTCCTGGGTGAGGCGATGCCCCACCCTACTTTTGCTCACCCTCCGTGGGCTGCACCCACTATGTAACCAGTCCCAATGAGATGAGCCAAATACCTCAGTTGGAAATGCAGAAATCACCCGCTTTATGCATTGGTCTCACCGGGAGCTGCAGACCAGAGCTGTTCTTATTCGGCCATCTTGCCCAGGAATCGAAAAGCCACTTCTTAAAAAGAGCCATCACTGGCTGGGTGTGGTGGCTCACGCCTGTAATCTCAGCAGTTTGGGAGGCCGAGGCAGGTGGATCATGAGGTCAGGAGATTGAGACCATTCTGGTTAACATGGTGAAACCCCATCTCTGCTTAAAAAAAAAATACAAAAAATTAGCTGGATGTGGTAGTGGGCACCTGTAGTCCCAGCTACTCAGGAGGCTGAGGCAGGATAATGGCGTGAACCCGGGAGGTGGAGTTTGCAGTAAGCCGAGATTGCGCCACTGCACTCCTGCCTGGGCGACAGAGGGAGACTCAGTCTCAAAAAAAAAAAAAAAGAAGAACCATCACTGTGGATTGAGAGGGTTGAACTTCAGAGGATGCTGATCAGAGGAGAAGAGTGTCTCATCTCATAATGGATTAACTATGGCTTAGTTAATCCACCATGAGGCTAGTGGATCCAGCACTCAAAGAACTCCTATTCCGGGAAAGTAAGGTAGTAGTGAAATGGAAATTGCCTTGCTTGGGGTGTTCATGTTCCTCATTGACAGTGACCCCTAGCAAGGAGGATGAAGGCAGACTGTTGCTATCTTAGAATCTCCCATGTACAGCTGTTTACATCATTTCTACTCACAGCCAAAGTATAAAAAGGGCGCATGTCTTACATAGTTCTGTTTACTCTTTAAAATAAATCAGTGGTAAATATGCTCTTCATCCATTAGTCTGAAGAATCCTCAGATTGCCATATTTCTGCATAAAATGTGGTGAGGCAAGCTTGTCCTCACCCCTGAGAGGTGTCATTACTCTAGAAACCTCTGATCAGGATGAAAGTGGGATTTAGGGGACTGAAATATCTCCTGCACCTGACATTTTCCAGTCTAGCAACTTTGGTGCTGGTTCAGTGTTGGTTCTAGAGCAGGCAGATCTCAACTGAAAGTCATCTGCCACTACTGATTAGCTGTGAGGACAGCTGCTTGACCTCACTAGGCCCATTTCCTCCTCTGTGGCATGGATATGTAATGCCTGCTTCACAGAGTTGTTTGAGGATTGGATAAAGATAATGTACTTATAGTAGTTTGCACATTACTTGACATGTAGCAAGTTTCATTAAATGCAGGTGTTTATTTTTATTAATGTATTGGGCCCATATGATCTGAAAATCAGTGTCCTCATATATGAAATTTCAGTGCAACATTGGGTGACTCTGTCATGCTGAATGTGTATCAACTCCAATGGGAATGGAACCACGTTCAGCTGGCTGAAGAAGAGACCTAAAGACATGGGATTTTATTAGGGGCTTGCATACAGTGGGAAGAGTTCCGTGGTGGCAGGCTGGGCAGAAAAACCACAACTGCTTGCAAACAGCATGGAGTTTATATAGCATTTTCACCTATATCCTCCCCCTTAATGACCTCCACCTGGCAAGAGTGATTTAATTCAAAACTCAGGACCTCAAGCCCCTGTGCAGCCTGTGTTCCATGGGACTGGACAGGGGCTCAGATGTTGCTCATAGACAAGGAATGGATCTCCTGATTCCCTAGCTCAGAACTCACATTCAGGGATGTCTGCCAGAGTCATTCTCAGGGTATGCTTAAGCTATTGCTATCAGGTGCATTTACCATACAGGCTTTTCCCTGATGTCTTTTCTGTGACCACTACTAACTGGTGTTAGAATAACAAGACACAGCTAGAGGTGATATGATAATACAGCTCTTAAAGACTTTATTCATTAGGACCCTCCCTCTCTTCTTATTTCTTCACATTTTCTTTTATTTATCCTTCCTTCCTTCCTTCCTTCCTTCCTTCCTTCCTTCCTTCCTTCCTTCCTTTCTCTTTCTTTCTTTCCCTTCCTTCCTTCCTTTCTTTATTCTTTCTCTTTTTTTTTTTTTTTGAAACAGTGTCTTGTTCTATTGCACAGGCTGGAGTACAGTGGTGCCATCTTGGCTCATTGCGACCTCTGCCCCTGGGTTCAAGCAATTCTCATGCCTCAGCCACTTGAGTAGCTGGAATTAAAGGTGTGTGCCACCACACCCAGCTCTAATTGTTGTATTTTTAGTAGAGAGGGTGTTTCACTGTGTTGGCCAAGCTGGTCTTGAACTCCCAACCTCAGGTGATCCACCTGCCTCGGCCTCCCAAAGTGCTGGGATTTCAGGTGTGAGCCACTGTGCCCAGCCTCTTCGCATTTTCATTACCTATTCTGTGTCTAGTACCCTGGTAAGTGCTGGAGATATTAAGTTAAACACCATTCGTAATGTTAAATCATCCATGTGGCCAATTAGTTGTCACGTTACTAACATATATACACATGAATTAAAGCACATGTGATGATGCTCTCTCATTCATCTGTGCACATCCTAACAATTCACAGGCCAGAAGGGCTCTTTATTCTCTCTTTAGGTTGTTTTTTATTTTCTTGCTTTTTTAAATTTTTCTTTTATTTTTTTGAAACAGAGTCTTGCTCTCTCACCCAGGCTGGAGCGTAGTGGCTCTGCTGGATCTGCTGGAGTGCAGATCACGGCTCACTGCAGCCTTGACCTCATGGGCTCAATCAGTACTCCCACGTCAGCCTCCCTATTAGCTGGGACTACAGACATGTGCCACCATGCCTGGCTAATTTTTAAAATTTTTTTCTAGGGACAGGGTTTTGCTATGTTTCCCAAGCTGGTCTCCAGCTCTTGGACTCAAGCGATCCACCTGCCTCAGTCTTTCAAAATGCTGGGATTACAGGCGTGAGCCACTGTGCTTGGCCTCTCCCTTTAGTTTGATACCCAAAGTCCTGTTTGCCTTGCTACAGATCCCTTTGTTAAGGGACAGGTTTCTACCCTGTAGACTTCAGACACTCAGCTCAGTATCATTCCAAGGACCTAGCTCTTCCACTGGTCCATAGCGCCAGTACCTAGCACTGTTTCTTCAGTGGTTTGGTTGGCATCAGGGACCACTCTTCTTATGTGCAAATATGAAAATCTTCATCTCAGATCCTAAAGCAAGGTCTCATCAAGACAAGCCTCTGGCTCGATGCCCTGTGCCAGCTTTGGGGTCCATCTGTTCCATTTTGAACTCTGAGTTTCCAATTTCTGACAGGCCCACTTTGATATTCTGGTTCCTGCTCTGTGTTGTTTTGCTTCCTGAGTACAAGCCAGGGTGGTGTGACGTGTTGCACAGCAGCCCCAGAAAGAAATATCAAGATAAGACATACTGATTTATTTTACACTTGCCATGGAAGCCTCTAGAAATTTTAGTCTTCCATGAAAAAGTTTTATGACATTTTCCTAGTGCTGTCTCAAGCCCTGTCTTTGGATGTTTAGTTAATATTTATGCTGGCATTCTCATCAATTGATTGATCCCTGAGTAGTAATAGCAATGACATTTATTCAATGTGTTGTGATTTTTTATTTCTGTCTCCAGTGAGACAGAAATAGGATGAAATCTTGAAATCTTATTTACCTAAATAATGTTCTAAGCAGGCAGCAAATAAACTCTCATCCTTCTTTTGAAGGATGCAAGGGGCTTGAAAAGCAACATGTGAAATATTTAAGCTACTCTTAACATCTTGTGGAATATCAGAGTTGAATATGTTTTGGTAGTAATTTAACCCACCTTCATTCATTTTAAATGTGAGAAAAGGCCAAGTTAGTTTTTGCCCAGTATTAATTACACAGTATTAATTGTCAGCAGAAGAGCCGAATTCAAATCCATCTCTCCTTATTCGCTGCATGACCTTGGGCAAGCTATTTAACTTCTCTAAGCTTATGTGTCCTCATCTGTATTAAAGGGGGAAATTATCTCAATCTAGTTTATAGAGCTATTTTAAGTAAACAAAATGAGGTTGCCAGTGATTAGTACACTTGAAATATACACTCAATAAACATTGTTATGATGGATTGTAGAGAAGGACATGGAGAAATCCACTCTGAGCTAGGCTTCAAAAAAGGAATCAATTTTCAACAGGTGTCAGTGATGGGTTAGGATATTCCAGTAAAGAAGAGACAGAGGCAGAGAATTGAGGGTCTTAATGGGAACACTGGGGGTAATCCAGCTTGGCTTTTCCGTGTAGTGCATGAATCGAAGTAGTAAGAGACGAGATCTCAAAAAGCAGTTGAAATTTGATCATGGTCAGTCTTGAATGCCAGAACATGGAAAGTAGATTTCAATCATTAGTCTGGGGATCAGCATGGGGGTCACTGATGGCTTTAATTGGTGGGAGAAAGAGAGACACAGTGACAGAGACAGAGACAGTTAGACCTGAGCTAAAGGAAGGGTAATTGGATGATGGCATACAAGAGAGAAAGGCCCTTGTTTTTAAAAGTGGATGTATGGAAGGTATTCTCACAGTTGATGCTGAAAACTTGAAAATGTGCCTGCCTCTGCTGTACTGGCAATTGTGATTTTAGAAAACTTTGCAGATATAATGATTAAAAAACAAGAATAATGTAAATATCTAAAAAGGGGGACTTGGTTAAGTAAATAAACACATGTTAAGTAAGAATTTAAAAATAAAATAAAGACATGTTAAATAATTTCATGTCATCTAGCCATTATGGATGATGTTATTTATCAACATAGATCCTTTGTGATCTATGATTTTAAGTCTAAAATATTAGAATAGTGTGATCTTATTTAAAAAATATGTGTACTTGAGAGGAGTTATTTCTTCATTCAAAGAAGTCCAGAAAGGGTATGAATCAAAATGTTAAACAATAGTTATCCTTGGGTGGTTGTGTCACAGAGGATTCTTTTTATTGTAGTAAAATATACATAGCATTACATTTACTATTTTAACCATTTTTAAATGTGCAATTCTGTAGTATTACGTACACTCACATTATTGTGCGACTATCACCAGTTTCCATCTCTAGAATATAGTTCTTTTTAAATTCATTTTTAATGTATTATTTGAATTTTATAATCAAATCAATTTCATAATCGAAACAATTTTGGTTAAATAATACAAAGTAGAGATTTGAGACTAGGATATTATTGCTGTGATGTGGGAAATTACATGCTAACTCAAGGTCAGGACAGTTGCAATAGAAATGGAGTGTAAGAAAAGAGAGAAGACCATGTTGTCTAATGTTTCTATTTACAATGTTTTATCCCCATGTAGTAGATGGTGCTTTTCCACAAGGTAAAGTTTGGACTCCAAGTTGAAAGTAACTGGATTTAAAAGTTATTGGGGACCTGTAGGCTTCTACTGTGCACCAGTAGATTGTAGTACCATGAAAGGTTTGGCTACACCACCAGATCCATGATCAGGTTTGGTGTTTACACAATCATTCCATCTCAGGCATCCAAGTGACACAGATCTGGTTAAGGTTACATGTGTGAGGAAAACATACAGGCAGAAATTCTTGTGTTGGCAGATCACTGACTATGGGAGAGGCTTACTTTGTTTTTGCAAAAGCATCAAGAATTTCAAAATCAATTTCATTCTGTGTATTATTGGATTCTCTGATGTCTAAATTCCTTCACTTACAGGAACCGTTGTTGCACAAATATTAACAGAAGGCCACAAAGTAATATAAAAAAACCCACAATTTTTAATGCTCTTTTAAAAAAACAGGCCAGTGCCTCTGATCTAAAACAGAGAATTGAGAATATTTTAGCATTTTCCTCTCATATGCCATGTCTTATTAGGTACACTTACTTTCATATTCCACAATATGAAAGCCAGAACTCTCCCTATAAGATAAGAAGAAAAATTCCTAAGGAAGCATCCTTCAATAAGAAACATGTGGTTTTATTTAGGGCTGTTTTTGAAGTTTACCTTTTTTCAGCAGACATTTAATGAATGTCTACCACAGAGAAGCACAGTTGCTCTGGTGAATGCAAGAATGGATATGACAGGGTGTCTGCCTTTCGGGAGCTCACAGTTTAGTCCCTGGATTGCAGTGGAAGTAAATATATTAATACATGTCACTATCCTCCTACTAGACCTGCTAAAGGCCAGGCATGGTGGCTTACACCTGTGATCTCAGCTCTTTGGGAGGTGGAGGCAGGAGGATCCATTGAGCCCAGGAGTTTGAGACCAACCTGGGCAATATAGGGAGACCCTGTCTCTACAAAAACTTCAAAAAGGAAAATTAGCCAGGCGTTTGTGCCTGTGGTTCTAGCTATTCAGGAGGCTGAGGCGGGAGGGTCACTTGAGCTCAGGATGTCGAGGCTGCTGTGAGCGTTGATCGCACCACTGCACTCCATCCTGGATGAGAGAGTGAGACCCTGTCTCAAAAAGAAAGAAAAAGAAAAGAAAGAAAAAAAAAAAACCTGCTGAAGCTGGCAGGTATCAAAGTGAAGCCTGCTATTAAAGAGATACACAACATTCTCCCTGGGGATTGGCTAAGGGTTACTGGTGGAGGGAAGGTTAGTATTGAGCACTGCAGGATGGGTAGTTTTGAGGAGGTGGATCTGAGTGAGAGGTGTGTTCTAGATGGAAAGTACCGAAGAGTAGGAGTATTGGAGATCTACAGGATGGTGTTGGGTCTTACCTTGGGTTCTGCCAGTTGCAGAGGCAAGGATTGGGTGCAATTAGTTTATTAGGGATGGTCCTGGAAGCATTAGTAGGGGAGTAAAGGAGCAAGGCAGGGAAAGGAAAGGAGTCAGTAAATTGTTTGTTATTAAGCCAATGACCACTGTGGGCAAGTGGAGCCAGTGCTGCTGGGAGCTCTGTAAACAGTTTGTAACATCCTGCAGATTTATCCCAACCAAGGGGCAAGAAAGCCACTGCCTGTAACTCTCAGATCATCGTTGGGTTGAGAACTACCTCTAGGAGCATTACTGTGGCCCTTCCAGAGTGCCCTGAATAGTCAGAGTGTGCTTCTGTGGCTAGAATTGCAAGCTCTCATATGTGGCGTACATAGTTAGAGCCTTCAGCCTATAGAGAAGAAAGGGAATAGAATGTTGAGGGCTGCTTCCATTCAATGCATGGTCAGTGGTGGAGATGTCAATCAAAGAAACCAAGAAGGAAGAGGACAGAGATAAAGTAGAATGCCATGAAGTGTTTTGGGAGGCGGTGAAAGGGAGAGTTTCAATAAGGAGGGAAAATTGAAACGAAGATAATATTTTACCAAAGGGTTAGTAATAATTGTGCTTTCCAACCCCAAACTTTTTAAACATGCATTAACCTGAGAAGTATAATGGAATAGGCTTGCCTTTGTAAGTTGGTTGTAGGGTCGTAGTTCTGGCTATGCTATTCACTAGCCATGTGCCCTCAGGTACATTCCTTAACCTGACTGGGTCTCAGCCTCCTGTGGCATAAAACAAAACCATTGTTTCCAATCTCTTGCAGCACTAAGATGCAATTCCTGTGAGTTCAAAGATGTGACATGACTCCTGTCTCACTACTTGTCATTTATTAAGTTCATAAGTGTATTGCATGTTAAACAGAGAAGTAATCTAATTTCACAGTTAAATATAATGCTGATTTAAATTACTTTTGAAATTAAAATGTTAATGGAATAAATAGGCTGTCCTCCCGGCTTCCCCCACATTCTTTGAATTCTCTACATTGTATCATCTCTGTCTGCTCCTGTTTCTCCACCTCATCTTAGACTCTAGAACTATTTTTATTTAGTGTTGGTTTACTTTTATCTGTGGCTGTTTTGGCAGCAGGAATTATATCCATTTGCCTGACACAGAGTTTTACGTGGATCATGTGTTTGAAAGATTAATATAAGCAGTTGCTTCTGAAACAATTTAATCTTGCTTTCCATAGTAATGAAAAATGAATAATCAAAAGCAGTAAATTGTGTCTGGAAGATAATAAATACTTCTTATAGCATTTTAGCACCGACTGTGAATTATAGCCGACCCGCAGATCGGGAGGGGTGAGTATGACCAACTGGAACTCCACAGTGTGTGCTGGCCTTTAATATCAGGCTTTAGCTGCTTGATTCATTTCATTGCTCTCTATCAATACCTGGAGAATCTGCTGTCTGTCCCACTGATTTAAAACTAAAAACAAAACAAAACAAAACAAAAAAACTAAACAATTAGAGGAGTCTCTGTTTAAAACACCACAAAACAGATTTTCTGTCTTTCTCTCAACCAACACACAAGCCTAAGTGGACCTAGGTAAGAATTTCAAACGTAAATAGTAACAACCTGAATTAATTCTAGATTCAGGCACTACAGGGAAGCTCCTAGGGATGGGTCTTACTCAGAACCTCATCAACTTCTTGCAAATGGTTGCTGCTTGAGTGAAATCTGGAAGGATACCCCCAAGACTTAGTCTTACCTTCAAATACCCACTTTCAGCAGACACGTTCACGACTCAGGAGCTACTCAAGAAGGGACAGCTTTTAAAAATTAGTGCATTTCTCTAATGAGGTCTCCTATTGAAGCCCTAAAATAAATGACTTCCTTTTTAAGTGCAAAACTTAAGAAATATATATTTTATATATATATATATATATATATATATATATTTTTTTTTTTTTTTTTTTTGAGATGGAGTCTCTCTCTGTTGCCCAGGCTGGAGTGCAGTGGCTTGATCTTGGCTCACTACAAGCTCTGCCTTCTGGGTTCACACCATTTCCCTGCCTCAGCCTCCTGAGTAGTTGGGACTACAGGCACCCGCCACCACGCCCGGCTAATTTTTTGTATTTTTAGTAGAGACGGGGTTTCACTGTGTTAGCTAGGATGGTCTCGATCTCCTGACCTTGTGATCTGCCTGCCTCGGCCTCCCAAAGTGCTGGGATTACAGGCATGAGCCACCGCGCCTGGCCAGGAAATATATTTGAGCATGGTATTCAGATTTCTAAATAGTAATAAAAATAATAAGTATATAAATAAATAAATAAACTAATAAATAAAATGCATCTATAGCCTCCCTGCTGTGATGAAACTTAAAAATTACTTTTCAAATGTAGACTTAATGTACTCTGTAAAGTAGCAGTCAGGCACAGACACCAAGAGTTTCCTTCAGAGCTGATGGCAAAGGGAATTCAGGTGTGACTTGTGCAGGTCCGGCTTCATCACTCTGTTTATCTGCCTGAATTGAATGTGCTTTAATGTGTTTATATTTGCCTGCTAGTCTGGTGTCCAAAGGACCATATCATCACAACCCCCAAACAGGACATTGTCTATGTCTTGTGTACTGAAAGGAACCCCAAATGACAGGTTCATTTTTTTTTATGCTACCTATTAGTTGAGATACATGAGCTAAGGTGCTTAACCTCACTGAGCCTCAGCATCCTCTAAAATGGTGATAAAGCTTCCCTTCTTTTCTATTTCTAAAATATGTTTTTAATAACAACTGAAACCGTGCATGATATATGTAAACCCCTTTAACAATTCGACACGATAAGCAAACACAAGGGGTGGTTAATCTACCTGACAAATGCTGATTTCTCTTATGTCTGTTTTGATTCTATTTTAATTACGAACATAACTATTTCAAATGTCTAGTCAAGAGATATTTTCGTGCCTTATACTTTTGCATGAGTTTGTGTTTTCAAACTTAGAGGTGCAATTAGGAAATCTAAGTCAATGAGAGAAAAATCAAGTGAGAAAACCAGTCTTTTGAGGGAGGAGAGATTCTTCCTAGTTTATTGTTTCTAAAAATAAGCTTTCCTAATTTAGCACAGCTGTTGAGGAGCAGCAATGGGATGTCAGTAGCTGAAAGTCCCCAAGCGCACACTGTACTGTATTGTCAAATCCTTGCAGAACTACTGAGAACATTCCTGGCATATGGGTTTTGTTCTAACAACTTAACACAGCTCAATTTTTAAAATCTGCTTTTATAGAAATGTTCAGGTTCTCCTGGATTCTTTTGAACTCTTGCCAGTAAGTGATTTAAGCCCTTGACTTGGCCATGAGAACAGAAGTTAAACACCAAAGATGAATAACCATGTGGTCTCTTACACATGAGAATTGTCCAGTTAATTTTTTAAGTCGCCAAGACTAGTCTGGCAGAAAGTATGTATTTTATTTTTGTCCTTAAACATTACATTTTGAGTTATCTCCTGAAGAGATTTTGCAAGAAACTGATCTATTCTGTGTGGAAAGATGGCTATTTCTCAGCGAGTACCTCACTTCAAATCATTTGTTCTGAAGTGTCATGGTGTAATGAAAATAATAAGAAGCATGAGGAGATGGTTACGAAGGAGGAGGTAGGAGGAGGAGTGAGGAGGAGGAGAAGAAGATAAATAAGAAGAGGAGGAAGAGGAGATCATAATGATGCCTTATAAATTGTTTATTTTTCATCATTTACAAAATGGCTTTATGTTTTAGAATCTAATTTAAAACTTAAAACACCCCAGTGGGAGAACTGATATCACAAGTGAGGAAACTCAGTTTCTTGGACAGTGTTTCCTATGCATCATATAGCTTAAAAGAGAGCTGGTATTTGAACTTCCAATTCAAAGTCTGACATTTTTTTCTACCAAAATTTGATTCCAAATCTTAATTCATATCTCTAAATGTATGAATAAAATATTGTGAACCATATAAATGAGAGTATCTTCTCTATAAACCTGGGGAGGGGTGGTGGTTGTGTTCCTTTCTCATCTGTTGTTTTCAAAGGCGAGTCATTTCCAGTTTTCCCTTCCAGAAGTGACATGCTCATTGGGGATTTACTCAATCCAGTTACCCAGTTAATCAAGAAGACTGAGCCCCCAGAGGTTAAGTCACATCATTATGAAGAAGAAGATCAGAAGATCTGAACCCCGGTCTCCTATCCTTTCATTTGTACTATTATATTGTCATGTAATTCACCTTTTCTCAACAAATGTGCAAGTGCTAAACAGTGTGAGTTTACATTATGAGCCTATTGATAAAACGTCTTGGACCAGTGTCCTGCGCAGAGTGAGTGCTATATAGAAATTTGATAAATGAAATAAATAAAAAATTGTGTTATGAGAAGAAAGAATGAAACATGGTAAGTTTATTTAGAGTCCATCTCAGACGTAGGAGGACATATCCACCAAGCTCCCAAGAAGGAAAATACTTTAATGATATTAATGGATATTACTGGGGGGGGGGGAAAACATACAGTTTATATTATTTTCTTAGAAGCACACTAATTTTTAGGACTAGATGGATCAGTTTTATAGCAGTCAGGACATCTGATTGTGGCAGCTGTCAATGCATATGACCTTCTCCTTCTTCAAGACACATCAACAGGAAGTTAGCAGAAACTACACATTTGAAATGTAATGACTACAACCCTTTCAATGGCTTCCGTCTTAGAAGAAAAAAGTTCTGTCATTTTGATGGCACACAATAAATTCCAAAGCCACAGTTTGTTAAAGTCCTAACCTCCAGTGCCTCCAAATGTGACTATATTTGGAGACAGGGTCTTTAAAGAGCAAATTAAATGAGGCCATTAGGGGAAAATTTGTGCTCAGGCACAGGATATGAAGACATGGGTAGAAGATAGCCAAGAAGAGAAGCCACAGAAGAAACGAAATCTGCTGACCTGACACTGTGATCTTGGACTTTTAACCTCCCAAACTATGAGAAAATAAAATACGTTATTTAAGAAACTCAGTCTATGGTACTTTGTTATGGCAGCCTAAGCAAACTAATACACTAATACACTGTTGTACGTCAGTAGCTCTCAAGCCCAGCTGTGTTTTAGAATCACTTTAGAATTTTTTTCAACAATGCTGATACAGCTCCATCCCAGAGCAGTGGAATCATGATCTCTGGGGATGGGGTTTGGGTGGCTGTGTTCTTCAATGCTCCCCAGGAGATTCCGATACTGTTTGGGTTGAGAATCACTGGTTTTCATTGTTCTCCCAGAAGAGTTCCCAACTGGTTCCTTTCAAGGAGGGGAAAAAAAATCTTCCATCCACTGTCTGGCTTGTTGAAGCACATTACTCAGAGAACAGAGGGAGCCAACCCATATGGATCAATAATGGTCCACTGTGACTCACCCTTAGAATCATCTGAGTATCTATGTTTAAGACAACCTATGAGTGATTCTAATGGTAATTTAGGTTAAGAAAGGCCTAATATTTGTTTTGCATATATGAGTGTATATATGTGTGTATGCATTGTCTTCAACAAGGAAAAATTACCTATAAGTCCATCAAGGAGCCTGTTCATTTTTGGGGGGGTGCAGGGGAGCAGGTGGTGGTCTGTGGTTGTTTCCTTGGGTCTTTTTTTCTTTATTATTCTCTTCAATGATGAGAGTGTTCAGGACACTGGGATTGATTTTAACAAGTAGGTGTGGAATTTCACAGTTTGGTGTTTTGTAGTTATGACCTCAGGTTAACCAGTATTTTCCCTTTCTAAAACCTGCTGTTAGAGCAAAAAGTCAGATGCTAACAAATTATGTTCACAATTGAAGTGAAAATTGGACTCTTAATTCGTTTGCTAATCACTCCTATTTATGAATATATTAATCAGCCTCCATGGGGAATTTATCTGTCATGTGCAGTCAAATATATATGCAATATTTCATTGACCTAAAGTCACTGATCCTCAGCCTAAACAAGTTAAGATCATGTTGGAAAAAAGAAACGCCTGTGGCATGTCAAACTAGATGTCAAGCTAATAACTACCACCTGTTGTGAATGATACTATGTGCTTACATGCACAATCACAAAATAGCCCTAGGTGATACTATTCCCTAGTATACATGGGAATGTGTTACTATTCCCATTTTACAGGTGAGGAAATTATGATCAGGTGAGAGATGCTGGGCAACTCAGTGATCCTGGACTGGCATGAAGGAAGAAGCCCTTTGACTCCTCAGCTCAAGCTCTTAACAATTATTACTCTCTGCTGAGCTATGGCATATCCACCAACTCCTCAATGAGATACTTCACAGATTGTTTTATTCTCTTTTGGTCCTAATAGCAAGTTTGGTTTTTGGATTTTCTAACCAATATCAAGTTAGAATAAGCTTCTCAATAAAAAAAAAAAATCAAAACCACAACTTATGAAATAAACATTTTTCAAGGTGATTGATTCCTTTACAAAATTTTATTTTCACTTAAAAGAAGACATACTACCATTTTCTTGAATATAAGGAGATTCTGTAATACATGTTTCCACGCATTAAATTGTAAAGATATCTATATGCCTATAGGCTATATTCGTAATCCCACCCTAATGGAAAAACAGGATCTTCTAGTTTTTGACCTGTTGGTGTCTTTGTATCATTGAAAGTGGAAATGAGTATTTTTAATATTAAGTTTTACACCAAGCAAAACTACTTTCTGTAGTTCCAGGTAGTTCTAGGTAGTCATCAGAGGAAATATCTGCAAATAGTCATTTGAGTTGATAGATTTGAACTTGCAGTTTTATATCTTTGTATTTCCAACACTGTCTACCTCTTAAAATTACCTGGATTATAAGCATTCTGAGGTTGATTACCCTGTCAAAAATTTACCTCTAAATCTGCAGGAGTTCACATACTACAGAACAAATTAGCCAAAAAGTGTTGATTGAATGTAGCCTAATAATTGTTATTAAATATCCTCTAAGTAACTGAAAATGATACACGTGTGTGCCATATGTGTGTATGTATGTGTACATATGTGTGTGTATATGTGTGTTCATATATATGTGTATGTATATGTGTGCGTGTGTGTGTGTGTGTGTGTGTGTGTGTGTGTGTACAGTGGTTTCAAGCACATTTTTCAGAGTTAGGCTGACTTAGACCAAAATTCTTGCTCCACTTTTCACTCCCTGAGTCACCTTGGGGAAGTTACTTAATCTGCTGGAGTCATACCTTTTTTTTTCCTGTAAGATGAGAACAGTAATGCCTACTTGGAGGTGGAGATTAATGACAGAATAAAGGTGGAGCACTTCAAGGTGTGCCATCCTGGCCCGCTGAATGTGTAGTAAGAGCTAAGCAATATTATAGTATTAAACAATTAAACACCATTCTAATGAATGTTTCATTTTCCCCAAACTGAACTACAGTAATTGTACAAAGTAAGGTAACACCTGTATATTTGAGGACAATGATGGTAACAGCACAAATGAAATTTCCCTGGTCTTACTTAGAAGCGCTTTTCTTTTGCTGAATCTTTGTGAGGTTCCCCTGTGTCCTGATGTGAGCAAGACCACCTACTGCTGTGCGCCAAGACCAGTAGTCAGGGATGTGGAAATGTTTTTGGAAGAAGAAGTGGAACGAGAAGAACCAGAATGGCTTCTTTTATCCAAGGCTAATCTTGTGAGCAGTAGGAGGGAAAGTCAGGCCTGTCCAAAGCAGCTTGAGCCTTTCTTTGCAGAAGGGTAGATGCTGAATAAAAACTTGCAAACACAGTGACAAGAAGGCAGGATCCAGAATTAGGTTCAAATTGACCCTAAGTTTTTAAAGGTCATTCTCTAGCTTGGGAGAGAACCTGGGAAAGGTGGCAGAGTGAAGTCACTCTGGGACCACATGGCCGGGACACTGATGGCTCAGCCCCTTACTAGCTGTGTGGCCTCGGACAAGTCTTTATGCTTTTCTGTGGCCAGTTCCCTTAATGTAAACTGTGATTAAAATCACACTTACCTTTTAGAGTTGTTGTGAAGATTGAGTAAATTAATTTATGAAAGTGCTTGGAACAACATAAGGCAAAAAATATAAGGATTCATTAACTGTTAGCTGTCATAATCTACGTATCTCAAAGGCTGAATGGTCAGTTTTTCTCTCTCCAACATTTTTCTCCCTCTTTTTTTCATGATTGCATCTGAACTTATGTGCATTTCTATTTAAGAGGTGACACTTGCCAGTGTGTGGTTTTCTGGGTGCAGACAAATGTATGGCATTATGATTGATAGGTCCTAAGACTGTTCTGTCATTAAATTGTGGTCATGGAAACAGTAACTTTTCATATTAAGACTGACTTATCATTCTTACTAATCTTTAAGATGCAAAATCTATATTATAATAAGCATGGGTTAGCACAGAACACATTTGCAGGCAGAGAACGAAAACATTTCTGAGGTTAGAGCATGAATTAGTTTTTAGAAAAGGTGTTTGCTCAGGATTCAAATAGCATTTCTTGTTCTCTGTGATAAACTTTTTGGAGTTTTTGATAGGTCTGGACTCCCCCACAGCCTTCATTAATTTATCTTCCTTGTTGCCTGCTGAAAGTGTGCTGGGAAAACAGAACTGGTGCTTTCACGTTTCCTTTCTCCCTGCTCTTTTGCATTCAGAATCTTAGGGATTTAACTTGTCACTAAGCCCCATTTAGAGCCACTGATCTCTGAATTCTGCTGTTTGGTTTTTCATGCTGCTATTCTAGAATATGCTACAAGGCTCACAGATGTTGTTATCCAGGAAATTCCAAAGGGCAGCATGGGGCTGCTCAGGTGCCAACCTCTGTCTCCAGTTGAGATGTGTGTGGCTGGCTGACATTTTATGCCAGGGCCTCTTGTGTTGCCGATTCAGCCAACATTTAGTGAAATCTCACACTGGCCCGGGCTCAATGCTAAGAAGTTGCAGATGCCTTCTCATTTACTCCTCACAATATCCTCATCCCTATTTTGCAGACTGCTGAGGAGCCCGAGCAATGCCAATAAAAAAGCATCACTCCTCTCAGCCTGAGTACTGAACAATTTGAGAAATAAAGTGAAAGAATACAGGCCAAAGAATTGTATTTATCAATTAGAAATGCTAAGTTGGTGGATGCAGGTTAGTGTCATAGCCAAATGAGCATGTGATGGCTGAATCTCAGAACTAGGCAGATGTACGCACCAGTCACACAGAAGTGGAAACTTCCTCACTTGGCCCCCTGACCCAAGCAGCATCTGAGCTCTGGGAGGGGCAGTGGAATCGGGTTCCCTATGAGTAGCTTAATCCCAAGACAAAGAAGTGTAGAGCTGAGTGCAGTATACCTGGTTATTCTTCCCAAATGCACTAACTCAATGAGTCACCCCTCTCCCTCCTTAGAAATGAATAGAATGGGTCAAGTGTTGGGGAGAGGCCAGGAGTGCATTTAGGGAACATACATCCTCATGAAAATCAGTGTAGGTTGTTCAGATGAGGAAACTGAAGCATGGAGAAGTTCAGTAACTTGCAAAGGTTACACACATCCTTAGCAGTGGAGCTCAAAGTTTAATACAGTCTTTGTACTTATGTACCTTATGCTGAATTGGGGCTTTTCTCAGAATTGAAAAAATTGGAATTATGACATAGGAAAGAACTGTGGAAAGTCATTCAGCCTCCAGAATTCAAAACGATATTTTATATAAATTATCCAAGAACAATAGGTGGGTATTTTCTCCCTTAGATTGGCTTCATCTTTACTTTCACTGTTAACTTTCTGTTGAAAGTTCTGGCTGCTTCCCCTTCCACAACATGGGCCACTTCCTTTTCTTGAAGTTACCATGGCCAACCATTGAACTTGCTTTTTCTGAAAGTGACTCTGACTTGGTACACTGAAGCTCATGTGTCCTTTCCCCATGCCTTGTCTTGTCTAACTCTAACTACCTCCTTAGCCAGAGGCCAATGCTGCCCCTGCACCAATCGGCTTTGACAACTGTGTATACGGCCCCTGCCTGACCTGCCTGTACTCAGCGTTGGCAGCCTCGTTGAGGTTTCATTCATTGCCTTCAGGCCCTGCTTCTAAAAATTTCTCCTTCTTTTAAATGTGGTTAACATGATGTTTAATATTTAAAATTAACAATTTTGCATTTTTAACCTTGACATTGGATGGCTGAACTGCATCCTCTTCAAGGACAGCTTGCACAGCCTTCTTGAAGGGTAGGACCCTACTTCAAATTGTGTTCAAGGTCAGGTGTCTGCTTTCCTGTGGCTGTGGGGGGTTGGGTAGGGTAGGGATTTATGGGTATGATTCCCATTAGGAGGCTTCTTGGAAGATCTTTATGAATGAGCTAGAGAGAGGGATTGAAGGAGACATAATGTCACAGCCTCTGGTTCCTACAAGGCCTTGGTTCCAACACAAGACTGGAAACAATTAGCAGCAGCAAGAATTTGCTGTTTATGGAGGAGTGGGAGGAATGAAGTAAATCTTGTATTTGGAATTAAACATGGGAATTTGGACCTGTATCTCAATCAGGTGAATCAGAAGATATGCTCCAGAAGCCATGAAATCCCTAAGTCTGTTTACATCTTGGGTGATAATTTTGGAAGCCTAAAATAGCCTTTGCCTTTGTGGCTATGCTAAACTGATACTATGGAACAGTTATAGATTATGTTCTCTTGATATTATTAACTAGATGAATTTGCATTGTTTAGAAACTAGGCTTTCAGTATGGCCCCTTTTAATTGCAATATTGAAAATCCTGGTAAACTTGGACTTCCAAACTTGGGTTTCTCTAGAAATCAAGAAGTTTTAAAACAGAATCCTGATCTTTACTGGTCAGGCTTGAAATTTAGTTTCAAGATAATTTTCCCAGAGACTATAGAACAGCTTTAGTTTAGAATTAGACAAGGTGATTCTTTTTTTTTCCCCTCTTTTCCTCTTTGCTGAACCTCCAATAGATGAGCAGAAAGGTTTAGGTGATTTTGCAAAGTGATTTTTCAAGCACTTGACTGAAAGCTGTAGCCTTGAGGGACCTTGGAAAGAGAATTGCCTTACTGCCTTCTTCACCAAGAGTTACCCACTCGCCTTGTGTGGTGAAGAAGGGTTTCTGATTTATGGCCAGGTTCATTGGTGGGTCACTCTGGTGGAGCTTGTCCTAAGCATTTTAATTTGGATGGTGGAGCTAGGGAAGCCTCAGCACAGCTCCGCGGATAAGGTTGTAACCAGCCTTCCATGACCTGTCTTGTCTCTGATTCCCTTGAGCGAGTGTTATTCTTTGGACTGTCAAATTGGCACCTTTGGATATTTCTCTGACCTTGAAAATTAGAATAATTAAGTTTCCTCTTGCACAGTGGGGTTTGATATGCGTAATTAACAGCAGCCAGCATTCCCCAGAGATCACATTTTGTAAAACATTAAGGGAGGAAAGACACAAACCTTCTTGAATGAAGGGATATGGACGTTAGTTACATATGACTGTGGCAGTATTTGGATGTTCCTTTTCATGTGACTGTAGATATTTCCATGAAATTTAGTAATGCACATTCCCTTTATTTATTTTTGGTAGCTCCTATCATGTGAAACAGAGGGAAGTGAATAATTGGCAACTGGATAATGAGTGGGGACAAGATCTGAAAAAGTCCTTTATAGTGAAGAAGAAAGTTAATTGTAGGCTACATTAACTTTGTTGCAGTAAAACCAATTTTTAGATCATAATAATTGTGTTTGTGCATTTCTGCATGTCATGGTCCCAAGCTATGATGGTGCCCCACATCAACTGGTCACATAGGAGTAGATGCCTAAACAAGTGCAATGCATGTTTTTGAGTCCTTGTCTTTTTAAAGACTTCTTCAAATAACTCTGATCCTTTATGGCACTATTTTCTCTGAAATTTTCTTTGGGCCTTTATACATAGATAGGCAGATAGACAGAGAGAAAGAACACAATCCATTAGGAAACAGTTCTGTCTGTTGATTGCTCTTAGAAATTAACTGTTTGCTTTCAGCCAATGGGAGTTAGAAGAACTAACTGTGGGTATACTGTCAACCAGTGAGCATTAGTGTTCCATACTGTGACTGCTCCCTGCTGCTGAGCTCTCCTAATTAACTCTGGATTCTGGACTCTGATTCTGGCCTTTATTTCATGGTGTGGGAACTGATGTCAAAAAGTATGCAAGTGATAGTATCGGACTGTTTATAAAGATTAAGAAAGAGCATCATTCTTGTTGCAAAAACGTGGATTTTACAGTAATTTTAGATAACTTCAAGGAAATGATCTGGTAATCCAGCAGCAGAGACCAATAGGCAATTAGAAATTAGTGGAGGTCCTTCGAAATTATGAAGGACATCATAATGTCTTGCCACTGGGGAGGGGTTGAGCAATAACTTAAGGGTGGTAGTTGGTAGAGAATATGGCAGAGAAGAAATTTCTGAAGCGCATAGAAAGGTTGTTAAAGTACTACAATGGGACCACATACCCTATAGGGATGGTGCTATTGTGACCTTATATACCGTGATTCAGTTAATGATAAATGGAACAAATGAATACTCACTCTTCGATAGAAAAGACTAAAAGGTGAGTGGGAGAGTGATTAAGTGTATCATAAGCATCTGTGACAGTGATCCTAATTTGGTATCCCTATTTTATTTATTTATATTTTTTGAGACAGTGTCTTGCTCTGTCACCCAGGCTAGAGTGCAGTGGTGAGATCACGGCTCACTGAAGCCTTGACCTTCTCCCCACAACCTGGTCTCAAGCAACCCTCCCACCTCTGCCTCCTGAGTAGCTGGGACTATAGGTGTGTGCTGCCATACCCAGCTAATTTTTGTATTTTTTGTAGAGATGGGGTTTCACCATGTTGCCCAGGCTGATCTTGAACTCCTGGGCTCAAGCAATTGGCCCACTACAGCCTCCCAAAGTGTTGGGATTACAGGTGTGACCCTCTACACCTAGCCTGATATCCCTGTTTTAATTACTGATTTTCACCCAACACCATTCATATCTTTGCCGATTAGCTCCACTTCTCTCAAAAAATAAGTCCGTATTGAAAGGATTTGAATGTTAAGAAAGTCTCCAAAAGCTGTTATCAGGGCCTGGAGTCAGTGAATGAGTCATAGCAAGACAGATTATTACTCAGATGCTGCTTTGCTTCCTATTCACCAGTAAAACCAAATGAGATCAGTTAAATGTTCATCATGTGCTGATACCAAGCTCGCTGCACTTTAAGCCAAGCAAAATGGTTGATTCCCCTTTCTTTGAGTCTTTTCCTTGTTTTAGTCAGCTTTCCAAGTTCTTTGGCCCCAAATAGAAGATTTTTTTTGTACCTATCCAGATTTCAAATTAAGACTAGAACCATTTTCCAATTTTTTTTTTTTGTAAAAAAGAAAGAAAAGAATAAAAGTCACGTGGGATCAAATGAGTCTAAGAATCAATGACCACTTTATTTTTTCTTTGAGAATCAAATTACATATAAGCATAGTCTAGCTCTGAGAAGTCCTTCACTAAAGAAATGTACTTTATTTAAACTCAAGCTTTTACTAACTATATTCAACAAGATAAAATAACTTTTATTAAGACTCTATTGTTTTTGGCATTATTTTATTGCCTACCCATCGTTTTTTCCCCCAAGTAACAACTGTTAATTGTCTAGGTGAAATGCAAAACTATCAAATAAATGTTCATATAAGAAAAACGCAGTGTTGTACAACCATATGTGACTTGTAGACCTCATGATCTAAATCAGTGCTATCTAATAAATATATAATGCCAGCCACATATGTAAGTTTTTTCAAGGAAATTCTTTTATTTGTTTTTTTGTTAACTGAAACACATTTAGATATACATATTTTCAGGTTACAGCCACATATGTAGTTTTATATTTTCCAGTAAAAAAGACAAAAAAGGTAAAAATAATTGTAATAAAATGTTCTATTTAACTCCCTATATCCAAATATTATTTCAACATGTAATGAAAATTAAAAGTTATTGGTAAGATACTTTACATTATTTGCCTACTAAGTCATGAAAATCCAGTGCAAATTTACACTTAAAGCACACCTCAATTTAGACTAGTTCCATTTCAAGAACTTGGTAGCCACACATGACTAATGGCTACCATTTGGGATGATGCAGGTCCAGAGTAAGCTGCAATGCAAAAAGTATGCAAGTGATAGTATCTGACTGTTCATGAAGATTAATAAAAAAGTATCATTCTAGTTGCAAAAACATGGATTTTATAGTAATTCTTCTTCCCACGAGTATAGTGCAACCAGCCTGATCTGGTCCCAACAACATCATCTGGAATTAGGCCAGCCTCTGGAAATCATTTGGTAAAAGACATATAGGAACTCAACATTTATATTTCTTTAATTTTTCTGTTTCATCCCACTCCATTGTCAAGTGTGCCCCCATGAGAAGTGAACACGATTGGTAGAAACCTTGATTACTTAATGGAAGTCAGCAGGAAGGGATTCAAAACCTCACTTAACTTTATCAGGATATATTTTAATTTTACTTATGGTAGGCCTTTGAGTTGATCTTCCATGTTTTAGAACTCTGATAGGCATTTGGATGTGGCTGAAAAATATTGAGACTTATTAAATGGAACCACTGGATTGGACTTTGAAGGGCCAGTGAAATTTTAAATGCAGTATCATTAGAGTAGACGTGTGTGCATGTGTTTATTAGGTAATAGATAATGAAAGTAATACTTAACATTTACTTTTTTTTTCCACGTGCCAAGCCCTATTTAATAGGCATCATCTGTTTTAATCCTTACAATTCCATGAATAGCCTCATTATACAGATAAAGAAAATAAGGCTTAGGCAGCTTAGGGAAATTTGACTGAGGTCCCACAGTTGTTGGCTATATTCAATGCCAGAGCCCATATGCTTATAGAACAGGGAGTTCCCATGTACTGTATTTCCAATAATCTGCAACCTTTGAGGATCAACCGAGATTGAGAAATCAGGATAGTAAGGCTGTAGACCAACCACTTTGCAAGAATGTGTCCTCTGGGGGAATATCCCTGAATATTTTTGACACTAGAATGGTGTTCACATAACTTTCCTCAATTCTATGATTGTGAAGATCATATAATTTCTATTTTAAAGATTGCAATTTGTCCTGGAGAGTCAAGATTATTCTCTGGGTACAGCTTTAGTTTATCCATGCCTTGCAATTTTAAACATGATGACTCTCTCTGTTCCCAGAAATTGTGGCTCTGACAAGCTCCTGCTGCAGTCACTTCATTAATCTTACTCTACCAGGGCACCTGTTCACTATTGTGCGGTGTCGGCTGATATCATATGGTAATTATGTTGTTAATTCATGGGCTGATGTTTTCCAGGCTGAAGCATGGCTTCTTACAGGTAGTGATCTGGGCAATCAAACTGAGCAGACAAGAAAAACACTGACAATTGTCTGCTTCTACTAGCTTGGTTGTATGACATGACTCTGGGTGGAACAATGGCCATTTGTTGAATATGGTCTTTTTCATGGGGCTGCTACTCAGCAGAAAGTCCCTTAGTTAAGTGGTGATATAAAGCACAAACTCTTGAGCAAGATTCAACTTGACCTGAATCCTAGCTCCACTCCTTACTTTTAGATCTTAAAGTTACTTAACCTCTCACTGTCCTTATTTACATGATGGGAATAATAAAAAAGCCAGTATCTGATGCAAACTATTAGCCCAATAAACACACAATAAATGTTCATTTCTATTATTGTTATTTGGCAAATATGTATTGATGCCTAACTTTTACTTAGCAACATGAAAAAGCTTCTTAGAGAAAATGGTACTCTAGTTCAGCTTTCCATAAATAAGACCAAATAAATAGGTTGAGATAAGATAGAAGGATGTTACAGATGGCAGCTTGTGTGGTCTGTTGTGGCTTGGGTTGTTGAACGCTGAGAATCTGCAATGAGATTTTTGCCTTTCAGTCTCATGTGATATAATTTCTGAAGGACTTAGACTACAATTTTGGCTTTACTACTTCTTAGCAGGGTGACTTGGGCAAGTTACTTGACTACTTCGTTTCTTCCAAAAGTGCAGGTAATAATGGTACCTACTTCATAAGGTCTCTCCTAGGATTAAATAAGTAAAGCCTATCAAACACCTAAACCAGTGTCTGGTCCATGGTAAATGTTCAGGAGCAATTAGCTATTGTTTATAATATTATTACTTATGGAGGTTATAGTTTCACTGGGGAGGCAGACTTAGCACATGAAATAATAAGTGACCTATGATTCATTGTCACATGTATAACATGTAGTCAAAGACAGTAGTTTTTAACCATTTCACCAATAAGAACCTCCTTATCATTCCCTCTTCCAGTGACTCTGTTAAAAAAATCACGCAAAACAGCACCACAGAAACTTTTGTTTTCTTATTATAAAAGCAGTGAATGGACATTGTAGACAAATTATAAAATATAGATGAACAAGGTGTGGTGGTGAAACCAGAACTATAATCACATTTCTCAGAGATAACAATTGCTAACACCTTGATATGTTAGCTTTTCATATCTTTGTGTGCACATATATATATTTTTAAAAAATAGAATTATACTATTCATACTATTTTTGTACTTAGTAAATTATGAGTATTTGTATCTATTAATAAATATTTATCAGCCATTTATTAATGATTAAATACTATTCCATTGATGAATGCACTGTCATTCTTTCAAGCAGTCTGTACCGTGGCATGTGTAAGGTCTTCCATTTTTGGGCATGTGTGCCATGGTGAACAGCGCTAGGATGAGACTGCCTTATGCCTACATGACCATGGATGCCTGGGTAAAGAGGATGATCATGGGTCTGTATCTTGGAGGTAAGGGCCTAGGCAGGCCTGTTGTCCACTTCTGGAGCAGGAGAGGACACAGGCAAGGCAGTCCCAAGTGGTGAATCCAAGACTGGAGGGGAGACAGAGTATAAAATGTGATTTATGAGAGCATAGCCAAGGTAAGCCAAAAAGGGCCTGTAGGTCCTGTGGATGAAGACCAGAAAGAGCCTCCAGTTAGCAGGAGAGGCCTTTTCTGGAACACCAGTCCCCTAAGCCTCTCTTTAATCGTGATTCTATGAATTTCTGCCCTACGAGGTCAGAGAAGGGCCAACAGCTCCATGAGATGGGGTAGTTAGAAAACCTCCCTGAAGCAGATGTTTTGGGTAATAAGTAAAAATGAATAGGCAGAGATACAATGGAAGCATGCTTCAGAAGGAAGAATTGCAGGTCTAGTGTGGTGTGGCTTGGAACCTGTGAGTTCTGAGAAGGTGGCAGTGCAGTTGCAGGCTTGTATTCACACTGGGGAGCCTCTGGTAGCTGCCCATGAGTTTCTGTGCAAAGAACCATGACTCATCTTTGTTGGCAGAAAAGTGGGGAAGAAAAACAAACCAATGAACATTAGTCGATATCCTGGCTTAAAAAAAATCTATTAAAAAATCACCATATCCAAATTAGCTTAATCTCCCAAAAACTGTATTTAATATAACCATACATGAAAGTAAATAAACTGAAATAGGCTGGGTGCTGTGGCTCACACCTGTAATCCTAGCACTTTGGGAGGCTGAGGCGGGCGGATCGCCTGAGGTCAGGAGTTCCACACCAGCCTGACCAATATGGTGAAACCCGTCTCTACTCAAGAGTACAAAAATTAGCCCGGTACGGTGGCGTGCACCTGTAGTCCCAGCCACTCAGGAGGCTGAGGCAGGAGAATTGCTTGAACCCAGGAGGGGGAGGTTGCAGTGAGCCAAAATCATGCCACTGCACTCCAGCCTGGGCTACAAAGCGAGACTCCATCTCAAAAAACAAAATAAATAAATAAATAAAAATAAACTGAAATATCTTGGACCACTGTGTCAGAATTATGCCAGCAGCTCTCCTGTCTGTTACCTGGCTGGTAGCTGAGCAGAAAGCATCATCTTCTTCTTTAAAGCCTACTGCTTATGCCCAGAAGAAAACTTCTAGTTTTCCCTAACATATTGCCTATTGTTAGGTTGTTTCCTTTCTTTCCTGCTATGGTAAACAGTGCTACGATGAGACTATGGTATTCCAGCTCAGTTATTTTAAATATTTTATCTAATGGAATTTTACTGTATTTTTGCCCTGGAGACTTGCAGCAGTGGGCAGAACCATGCAGGGCTAACTGATAAATAATAAATGTGATAATGCCCATTAATCTGTATTTGGAAGCAGTGTTTCCTCTGCTCTTTTCAGGTTTTGACATTTACTTGTACTGTTTGCCCTGTATGTGGAGGTTTATATAGTTACACTTTCCATGGAAACATCTTCTTTAAATTTCCAGAACCTGTAACATATATTTTTCTCTACTATTAACCCAGTAGGGAAGAATGTTCATATTAGAATGAGGTCAAGCTTGTTTTCTGTAATTTGCCATGAAACTCTGAGAAACCCAGTGTTCTTATCTGCACCCCCTTATTTCTGCTGTTCCCCTTCCCAGCCACCAGCAGAGTGACCTTTCTTTGTTTATATCTCTGACCTGCTCAGTTTCCATGGTGGTGTGGAGCATTGTGACTGTTTTAGAGATAAATGGCTTTTCACTGGCTTTTCCAATGACATTTTTACATGGTGAGCTTTTATAGCCTGTAATATACTATAGAGAAAAATGACAAGAGGCAGCACAATTTTGCTTGATCTTGGCCCTGAGCAGGCTGTGAGGCAGGGATGGGACCAGTCCTACAAACACCAGAGTCCTTGCTCTCTGATTTTGTGTCAGAGTTTTAATCCATTAACTTTATTCAGCAGAATTCACTAACCAGCATTGTACATGCCTTCCAGGGACCATGCACAGGCACTTGATAACTGTTTGGTAAATTTGAACTTAGGCAAAATTTGCAACTACTTATTATAATGTGTTAAGAAAATTGATTATATTTCTCCATATCAAAAAAGGCATTCACTGACAACTTTGAGATGCAGTTATGATCCTTTACCCCTACTGCATCATGGCCTGCTGGGGTGCAATCCTCATCCATCCTTTGGCAGTAGAAAGACCCTGTGAGTAACACAGTCCATGAAGGGTGGATGCCTGAATGGTGCAGCCCTGGGCACATGTGAGCATGGTACGATGGCCACCCTTCAGTGTGCTGTGAGAGAGCATGCTGCCAGAGAGCCTTGGAATCCATTTCAGACATTTAGAGGGCTTGATGCATCCTCTTACCTGCGGGGAGTTCCAGTTGGCCATTGGAGCTGCTCCTGTAGTGCCCAGGAGGTGAGAGAGCACAGAGTGGTGGAAAGAGTGAAGGAGCAGCTTTCAGTGCCTCATTACACTCCTTGGCAGCTTTGTAGCTTGGGTAAATCTCAACGTATCTCTGAGCCTAACAGTCCACTTCCATATTATTTTAACGGGCCTACTTGTGTACCTACCTTCCAGGTTATTGTCAGGTTCCATTAAATAAACTCCTCTGGTTCTTCACAACTCTCTCCAACTTCACTGCCTATGCCTGGAAGAAGAGGTGTTTGGAAGTATTTGATGATAGAATGAAAAGTATTGCACAGATAATTTTGGTCAAACCTTTTCAATTTTGGAGCAGATGGGGTCTCATTCACTTCCTGCTCATTGGAGGGTAGTGCAAATGCCTCAATTGCTTAATTGAGGGAACAGCCAACTGTGGTTTGATGTCATGATACATTCTATTGTGCCAGTCATCAAACCCACATTTCCTTGGGGCCCAAAATAGGAATCCGGTTGTTGTAGGACATGTATTTTTGCATTGTTTCAAATGCTAGTTGATCTTTAACTTTGCATGCCTTATATACATTCCTGGAGCTCTTTCAAAGTATAATATTAAGCAAGAGAAGCTATGGTTTGTGTATGGCACAAAAAAAAAATAAGAAAAAAGAAAATGTTTTCCTTTGTTTTGTCTTTGGCCCAGGGTTTATTGCTGCCAGGGACCTATTTATTAGCCAGCTTTAAAAAGCAGCTGTTCTCTGTCTTCTTTTTTCCTCCAATGATGCCTGCCTTGGATATTTGGGCATGGCTTAATGTTAGGCGATGCTCTGTAAAGCGAGTTCTGGGAAATGGATTTCATACCTCTTTCAGAGGGTAGAGAAATTGAAGCATAAATATTGAATCCACGTATTAAAGAGAAGGTAGATAATTAAGCTCTTGTCTGGTCCCTGGCAGCTTGTTGATGTGTTTTTATTTTCTAGTGAATGAGTGATATTCTTCAAAGAGAGGTGCCATCTGGGAAATCAGGTCTCTGCTGAAGCATAGCCATGATCCCTGCATTGCCATGTTCTGCACAGGTCCAGCTCTAACCCACAGGCGAACGGCAGGGCTGGACTAATTACGCAGCTGTCAGAATCACACAAATGAATGGACTGGGAGTTCTGCTTCCTTGTCTGTGACAGTGTGTATTGGTTTGGATTTCACTTTTCTAACAGTGGTATTTTAACAGGCAAGAGAGCATTTGTATGAAATTGAAAACTTTCTAAAAACAGTATTAAGAAGTGTATCTGTGCATGCTTGCAGCCCAGTGATACAGAGCTTGCTACCAGCACAAAGCCACCATTGCTTGTAAGACAAATAGATGAAATTTAGCATCCCACTGCAAGAGAGTGACTTTCATACCCTGCAGAAACATACTCACATGCACAACACATGCACCTAGTACCTCTACTCATTAGATATATGTTATGGACATTGTATAGCTGAAGTATAATTATGTTGTAGATATGTAACAGGAAGCTTTTTGATATAGAATGTTTCTCCTTGAATAGGGGAGGCAACTCCCTCTCCTGAATGAACCATCACCACTGCACTACAGACATGTTGTGAAATCATCCAGAAACCAAATAGAAGATCCCCTTTTTTTCTGTTCTGAGCTATGTGAACCAGGAAAATGTGTGAAGGGCCATGCCATGCCTAGCCATATTGGAGTCCATGGCTAAAGGAAAAATCACTAATACTGACTTTGTCTTTATACAAAATTTTGATATTTGGTTTATCATGGGTTGCATTAATTTTGATTTTTAAAAAAGTTTGCATTAAGATATTACTTAATAGGTTGGAACTCTTTGGGCAACCACTTAAACTTTATATCCCTAGTCCCAGCCCTGTTGAGGGTCCCTTTGCATTTCTCTGTGGATGAGAGGAGAGAGATAAGGGCTTCCCATGCTTTTTCTGCTGCCTATCACACTCTCCCCTCCTCCCTACCATATCTGGTTATGGGATAGCAACTGAATCAGGCATAGCCTTCATTCATGAAGTTAATGGTCTGGAAGTAATGATAGACAAAATCAGATTAAACACATTTATAAATATCAGAGTAAATACATTTATAAAAATTAGAGTTAACACATTTATAAATACATTTTTTACAAAGGGAGATGGAAAAAAATGAACATCATAATGTTGAAAACAAGGGTGGGTATGGTGATGAAGAATCTTACTTGAGCAGTTAGAACAGACACACAGATGAGCTGACATTTAAGTTCACACCTGATGAAAAGAAACCACAAGACAAGGTGTCGGGAGAGACCTCCAAGTAGAGGACACTGTGTGAAGACCTAAAGTTAAAAACAGATTGGCTGGTGTCAGCAAGTGTGTTAAGTAAGGCAGGAGGTGAGGCACAGGGAAGAGGGCCAGAGTCAGAGGCAGGGACCAGATGACATACAGTCCTTGAAGGTTAATGTTAGATGTTCAAATAGGGGAATGACGGTGTTTAGAAGACATCTCTGAGAAACTTCCTCTCACCCTCGCCTCGACTTGCTGTACCCACAGCAGCCTCTATCATGGTACTTATTGCAGTGTAGCAAATGCTTTGTTATATGTTTGAAGGTACTCCCACCCTTGATACTGCAGATAGCAGTCTGCTGAAAAAGAGCTTTGGAGATCAGGAAAGCTCTTCGCAGTATCCATTGGGAGTCTTAGGATCAGAATCTCGTACTCTGAATGCATGAATATTTTTTTGTGGTATACATTTTCTTCAGTTACTTCTCTGTCTCCTTAAAGAAAATACTGCCTCATCTCAGCTTTAAGGAATTATTATTTTGCTTTTTGAGGTTGTTTTTATTTTTATTTTTTCTTTCTAATTTTTATTTTAGGTTCAGGGAGTACATGTGCAAGTTTGTCTTATGAATAAATTGCATGTCATGGGGGTTTGATGTACAGATTATTTCATCATCCAGGGAGTAAGCATAGTATCTGATAGGTAGTTTTTCCATCCTCACTCTCCTCCCACCCTCCACCCTTGAGTATGTCCTGGTATCTATCGTTCCCTTCTCTGTGTCCATGTGTACTCGCTGTTTTGCTCCCACTTCTAAGTGAGAACATGTGGTATTTGGTTTTCTGTTCCTGCGTTAATTTGCTTAGGATAATGGCCTCCAGCAAGCTTTAAAGAAATTTTATCTAAAGTTTTAAGGAGAATCCAGTATCCTGCTGTTTCAAGAATCACAAAGGAAGGTAAAACCAAAGTGAGAAAATAGTAAAGGAAAGAGTGGAAGACCACCTAGAGAACTTCTTCCAAAGCAGAGACTCCTTTGTTTCTTATTATCTGCTAAAAACCATAGGATGTTTTAGGCCTTGTTTTACCAAGATTTATTTCTTTGCTCATGCCGAAGAATTTCAATATCTAATTTATTAATTAGCTTTCCATTTCAACAACTTGTTCAGTGACAGATTTTCCTTTGTTGATGTGTTTTAGGAATTGAAATTCCTACAATATATAAGAGGTTAATAAAAAAGTGTTTGTCTTATTCCCTGGCCAATAGAACTTCCAGTACTTCTTGTTCTCATCTGTCTCAGAGAGAAATCTCACTTTCCTGCAGTCAACTCTGTTGCCCATTGGCATTTTTTAAGTCCTTTATCCTCTCCTTCTGCAAACACACATTAGTGTCTGCTGCATGTGACTTGGCAATTGTGCAAAGAAACAAGATGCACAAGCCCCATGCTCAGCGTGGAGCAGCCTGCTTCTTGATGGTTTATGGGGTGACAGCATCATTTGATGTGCTTTGGAAGCATGCTAGAGTGAGAAGTTTATTTTGCTTTGCTATTACCTTCACAGAGGAGCAAATATTTATAACCAGACTCAAAAGATGTCTAATAATGTGTGGTATTGACCAATTTATATCATGTTCCTTGACTATAATTGCTGGCATGCTCTCATTTTGTATCAGTCTTGTCTGAACAAGTGAGAGGCAGATATTCTTTAGCAAATTATTGAATCGTTAGTGTGTTTCTTGGAGATAATGTAACATAGTGTTTAGAATTGCTGGTTCTGGAACAAGACTACCTGTCTACAAATTCCAGGTCTGCCAGCTGACAGCGTCTGTAACCCTGGGAAACATCCTGAAACCCTCCAAAGTTCATATTTCTTACCTGTAAAATGGGGTTGAATACTACTAGAATCTACCTCATACAGTTTCTGTGAAAATAAATGAAATAATCCTTGTAAAGCACTATTTAGCATAGTGACTAGCAACTAACAAACATCCAATCAATGGTACCTATTTTTATTGGCATCAGAATTGACTTGGGGAGTTTATTAAAAACACTGGCCCTTGGGTCCCACTGAGACTCACTGGATCAGCTGTTCAAGGTAATTTTTGGAATCTGTATTTCTAACAAGCACTCCAGGTTATTTACACTGGTAGTCTGGCACTCATATCTTACTGGGGCTTGTCAACTACAGAACTTCAAAGGGTAAATGCCTGGACATTAGTTAGAAAAGCCTGAGCTTGAATTGCAGTTCTCCGACCCCTTTCTGTCGGTGTGACATTGGATGTTTTACCTATTTTTCCTGACCTTCTGTTTCTTAACTTCTAAAATAGGGGTGATGTTTTTCTAGGTTTGTGATGAAACCACGTGAATGTGGTAAAATAATAAATGTTGGATACTAAGCACCTAGCACATGGTTAAGGGCTTTATAAAGCATGGCTTCTGGTCTCACGAGTGTGTGCCAGCCATGGTGTCAGATGCTGGGGATCCAAAGACAATAGACACCTTGAGGTTTGCAGCCAGAAGTGTAAAGGATGAGTGTTTTAATCAAGAATAACACCTAATGGTTGGGAGGGTCCCTAAAAATCACCTAGTCCAAACTGGTGGAGGGATTGTCCTTTAACATTCCCCACAAGTGGTGATCTTCTAAATGGCACACAACTCTGTCACAAGTTAGAGCAAACCACAGTGTGCCTCCTTGTGTATTCTAATTGTTGGTCCTGGCATGTAGGTCCCTCTGGGGGCCCACAGAGTAAGTTTCATCCTTGGATGCAGTTACCATCTTCAAATATCTGAAGGCAGATGTCATATTTCCCCTGCCTTTAATTTTTCAAATCACTATCTCCGATTACTTAAAGTGTTTCTCATATAGGGTAATTTGGGGCTTCCCCAGACCCACATTCTGCTCCCATTAGCAGGGTTTTCTTCAGCCTGAGGGAAGCTCAGGGAACAACTGTCGTGGCATGGATGCCTCAGCAGAAGGGCATATAGGGCCCCTTAAATGGTCTGCATGGGAACAGCATAGGAAATAATGCTGTTGCATGTGATAATCGTACATTAACTAGTTATGCCAAAGTGGGTGGATTTGATAACTGTGGAAGAACATTGGAAGGATAAGTCGGAAAAATAAGGGCTTCTTAGAATGTACCTAGAATATCCTGAGCTTTCATTTAAGCCCAGTGTCTGTTTGAAAGTTATTCTTTTGGAATGTTTAAGTATTTCTAGCACATTAAGCTTATCTGGCTTTGCTGTGCTTATAACAAATAAAAACGTTCTGGGACCTGTTTGAGAGGACCATGCCATTTAAACTCTGTGAGCTAATGAGAAGGCCAAAGCATACATTTGATAAGCTTTGTCATCTTTTTGTCTGCAGATCATAGACCTTGCATTTTAATTTACTATACATAATGCTTTCTTAATGAGTTCCAGTGGATGGCCATTGAAACATGCTGGAGCAGCTGCCGACGTGATTATGGGGGAGAAAAAGCATTTATTTGATTTACGTGATATGCAGTTAGGGTAACTAATATTTGCAGCCGGGGTACAATAATGGCAAGGAAAAAAATTTGCAGTATTACTGTGGACAGGAGAAAGGTGCTGAATCAATTTATTTTTCCCGTACATGTGAAAACTACTAATTGAAAGCTAATGGAATTGCATTTTAAATGTTGAGTATCTTGCTAGACATTGGTTAGCATTGTGCCAGAAAGTTCATATTAAGCCAATGCAATTATCAGAATTATTTTTTAAGTGAAAATTGAATTGAGTTTCCAGGGACTGATTTTGGCTATGTTATAAAACATTGCCCTTCACAATGGTTGAACTAGTTTACAGTCCCACCAACAGTGTAAAAGTGTTCCTGTTTCTCCACATCCTCTCCAGCACCTGTTGTTTCCTGACTTTTAATGATCGCCATTCTAACTGGTGTGAGATGGTATCTCATTGTGGTTTTGATTTGCATTTCTCTGATGGCCAGTGATGATGAGCATTTTTTCATGTGTGAAACCATCATTCTGAGCAAACTGCCACAAGGACAGAAAACCAAACACCGCATGTTCTCACTCATAGGTGGGAATTGAACAATGAGAACACTTGGACACAGGGTGGGGAACATCACACATCAGGGCCTGTCATGGGGTGGGGGGCAGGCAGAGGGATAGCATTCGGAGAAATACCTGATGTAAATGATGAGTTAATGGGTGCAGCACACCAACATGGCACATGTATACATATGTAACAAACCTGCACGTTGTAAAACTTAAAGTATAATAAAAAAAAATGCCTTTAAAAGTTAATTGTGGATTGGTGAAACAGGGAAAAAAAAAGATTGGAGATAATTCCTAAGAGTAAAACATCAACAAAGTCACAGATGTAATTACCATAGTCATAAATAGTAGCATTTAGTATTAATAAGTGTTGAAAAGCACTTTCATGTACATCACCTGATTTCATTATCTTAATTCTATACAGCAGGTACTATTGTCCTACCTTCCAGATGGGGAAATGGAGGCTTTAAAAGCTTAATTATGTATCCAAGGTAGGAATGATAGGAAGAATGGTAGGAATGATCAAATATGATGTGAGCTCTGACTCTTTGACTCTAAATTTTATTTCTAGGGATAATATCTGTTCTAATACCTTCAAACATTTTTGTCTCCAAATATATATTATGAAAGTATTAGTTAAATTGTAAATTACTATCTGTATGGATGTATGGGATGATTATTACTATTAACAATCTCAAATAGTTAAACCAGGAAGTGGAAACGGAAAATGGAAAACAAGCAATCAAAGACCCAAAATTGAAGGGTGTACTTAAAAAGACAAAAATGGCTTTTAGATATTGAGTTATTAGAGTTTTATGTCTTGTTTTCGAAGCCATGCTTCAAATCTATCACTTATGCACTCAGCATCCCCATTGTCTCTGTCCACTCGCCTGGCCAGGTAGCCAAAACTTTGCCTCCATTCCGCATATCTTTTTTTTTTAAATTTTTTAATTATTTTATTTTATTATTATTATACTTTAAGTTTTAGGGTACATGTACACAATGTGCAGGTTAATTACATATGTATACATGTGCCATGCTGGTGTGCTGCACCCATTAACTCGTCATTTAGCATTAGGTGTATCTCCTAATGCTATCCCTCCCCCCTCCCCCCACCCCACAACAGTCCCCAGAGTGTGATGTTCCGCTTCCTGTGTCCATGTGTTCTCATTGTTCAATTCCCACCTATGAGTGAGAACATGCGGTGTTTGGTTTTTTGTCTTTGCTATAGTTTACTGAGAATGATGATTTCCAATTTCATCCATGTCCCTACAAAGGACATGAACTCATCATTTTGTATGGCTGCATAGTATTCCATGGTGTATATGTGCCACATTTTCTTAATCCAGTCTATCATTGTTGGACATTTGGCTTGGTTCCAAGTCTTTGCTATTGTGAATAGTGCCGCAATAAACACGTGTGCATGTGTCTTTATAGCAGCATGATTTATAGTCTTTTGGGTATATACCCAGTAATGGGATGGCTGGGTCAAATGGTATTTCTAGTTCTAGATCCCTGAGGAATCTCCACACTGACTTCCACAATGGTTGAACTAGTTTACAGTCCCACCAACAGTGTAAAAGTGTTCCTATTTCTCCACATCCTCTCCAGCACCTGTTGTTTCCTGACTTTTTAATGATTGCCATTCTAACTGGTGTGAGATGGTATCTCGTTGTTTTGATTTGCATTTCTCTGATGGACAGTGATGGTGAGCATTTTTTCATGTGTTTTTTGGCTGCATAAATATCTTTTGACATATTTAGTAATTCTCCTCTTTTGTGAACACACAAACACACACTGGGGACTCTACTTATTATCTTGCCTTTTTTTGTTAGCCCTTCTTCAGTCCCTACTTTGTGTAAAGACAGAAACCCGTGATTAGCCCACTTGTCAGTACTCAAATGCCCTTATCCTTGGGCCTATACATAATTTAAATAGTTTTATCATGTCTGCATATGTCCAGGGCTTATTACTCACAATTTTGTTTCTTGGTGTTGGTCTGTCATGCATCCCCAGTCCCTTAAAGCTGTGCCTGTGCCACCTGCTCTGTATAGCACCCAGAACAAACCACTTACTTGATGATGGGTGTTGCTGAGGGCTGAGCTTATGCCATGTTCTTCTAATATGGAGGCAATAGCATTTCTGTTTTTGAACATTTTTTCTGAAGTGCCATTGTTTCTCCAATCCTAGGACTGCAGCATTAACTTCCTTCTTCTATCCTGTAAGAAGAAAGTAAAATACAAATATTAACACAGGTCCATAGCCCTATATCAAAACCACTGGGGTCAGATGTATTTTGGAATTCAGAATTTTAGAAAGGCAATTGGGAGTGAGCATATGACATAGGAGAAGTCACATATATAACATATGCATGACATTCTCTGTAGAGCCTAGGGCAGTGCCTTGTAATCAAATACTTTAAGATGTCAGCGGCAAAACATATGGAGAGTCACACCAGTGGGCTGAGTACAATAGCCTCACTTTGGGCCAGGTCGGGTTTAATCATTACATGGTTTCTGATTAGATCAGGTTTTGCAGTTAAATGAGTTTTCAGAGCTTTTGAGATTTTAGAATTGTGGATAGAGCATGGATTGTAGCCCTGTAATAACAGAAAAATCACTTTATGAAGTAACTCCCCTGCCATGCATCTTGTTATAAGAATTTGAGATTCCATTCTCTTAGACAAAAGGACACATTTTCATATAATAAAATGCATCAAATTGGAATATGGTTGGCCTAACATAGTGCTTAATAAACTTGATGGAAGAAGCCTTTGAAAGCTCCCTTGTCATATATAACCTTTTGTATAGCATCTTTAATGCACTGGCTTTTAGTATATTTTAAAGCCAGGTGTAGTGTAATTCTTCTTTTTTCTTCAGAGAAACTGTGGTAGGATCAGTGCAAAGCCAAGCAATGTTTGGAGGGTGTATTAGTCCATTCTCATGCTATTAATAAAGACATACCCAAGACTGGGTGATTTATAAAGGAGAGAGGTTTAACTGACTCACAGTTCAACATGGCTGGGGAGGCCTCAGGAAACTTACAGTCATGGTGGAAGAAGAAGCAAACATGTCCTTCTTCATCTGGCAGCAGCAAGGAGAAGTGCAGAGTGAAGGGGTGGGGAAACTCCCTTATATAACCATGAGATCTCTTGAGAACTCACTCACTATCATGAGAACACCATGGAGGTAAGCGCCCCCATGATGGGAACTACAGTTGAAGATGAGATTTGGGTGGGGACACAGCCATATCATATCAGAGGGTGTGGATAATTTTAGAAGCCCTGTGCCAATCTCTATAAATTATTATGATTTTTTGCTAATGATTTCTTTTTCTTGGATGTGAAGCCATAGCCAAACTTTCAAGGTGTCTTGTCATCTCAAAGTCATTTTCAAATGTATTCTGAATTTTGAGCCAAATCATAATTTCTCAGCATGGGTTCATTGTCTGTGAGGGTCATAACTTAACGAACCATAGGGCTGATCAAGGTCATTGTATATGTTACTGATGATTAAAAAATAAAAGGCAGGCATGTGGGATCTTGATTGTTTCATTCAAAAACCCAAAATTGTTCAGGAACTCATAAATTAGCCCTGTTTAATGTTTATGAAGACAATTAGGGAAAGATTGCTTCAAAGTAATAACTGTTATAAAAATGAGACCTTTTTAAAACCCTGATTTATAAAGCACTTATTTGCCTTCAAGAATTTTGGGGGCTGATTTATAAGCTGATTCGCCATCTGTCTCTTCTTGGCAAAACAAAGGAGAAATGGTTAGATACTATTTTCACAGCTACATTAAGATATTAATTGTGTATTTTACATGAGAAAGAAATAGAGCTAGGATTGGCCTCATCCTTCTTTTAAAGCTTATTTTAAAATGTTCTAATTTGTGATTTTTTTTTTTTGAGATGGAATCTCACCCTGTCACCCAGGCTGGAGTGCAGTGGTGCGATCTCGGCTCACTGCAACCTCAGTCTCCTGGGTTCAAATGATTCTCGTGCCTCAGCCTCCCGAGTAGCTGGGATTACAGGCACCTGCCACCATGCCTAGCTAATTTTTTTTTATTTTTAGTAGAGATGGGGTTTCATCATGTTGGTCAGGCTGGTCTCAAACTCCTGACCTCATGATCTGCCCACCTCAGCCTCCCAAAGTGCTGGGATTACAGGCATGAGCCACCGCACCTGGCCTAATTTGTGATTATTAAAGATAAAAAATATACACTAAACAGAAAAAGTAAAGCTTGAAGCCAAATAAATTGTGTTCCTATTAGACTTTTAATCAAGACTTTAGAGTTTTGTTTCATTTACATGTTGTAACAGTTAAATATCTGGAACATATTATCCAATCATGCTCCAATTCCAAGTGCAGAAGGAACACTATATTCCCATGATTAATATTTTCATGTCACATATAGTATTTATTTTCATTATCTCTAACGGTCCAGTGGTCATGCCACACTGATACTGTGTGATTATCTCCATTCTCATGAGAAAGAATTTGAGCCCTGAGAGATTTATTGCCCGAGGCAGAACCCAGACCTCTCTTACTCTGAAGGAAATTCTCTCTTCCATACTTGACCTTGATTCTTTCAAAATTTTGGATAATTATAAGCAAACGTTTCATAAACTAAAGACAATTATTCTAGTGGACTAGGCCATCAGACTTTGGGGTCAAGGTGTTTTTGAATCTGTTTTCTCATTCTGAGTTGGATGTCTTCCACCATCAGTTATATAATGTATACTTTTTATTTTGTAACTCTTACATCCAGTTTCAGCTATATTTTCTATTTAGATCTGGCTTAAATCTTCTTAAACCTGTCTTGAAATGTAAATATGAACATAGAAACCATATCCCCATTCCATGACTGGGGTACAAATTGCCTTTCCCATCTCTTGTCTGTTGATCTTAATTGTCTCATCTGTCTTTCTTAGATTGTAAGTCCTTTGGGAAACACCAAGCCCTGCTGTACATGGAACTCACAGAACTTCTTGGGTTATTATTTTTCATTAGGTTAGACAGCAGTGATCCAAGGGTGATCATTTTCTGTGGGTTTGGCTGAAATGCCTGGCTTTGGAAACCCAAGTCCTGCACACATGTACACACTGGTCCTATTTGTAGCTTTCAGTGCTACTTGTAATCTGGTACTTTTCAAAATTCTGTCTCTTAGATGCATTTTATCCTGATAGTCCAATTCTTAAAGAGTCATCCCATTATTTTTATATGACGACTTTAAAAAAATTATTTCATATCCTTCATAGAAATTTTAGAAAAAATAAGAATAAAAGGAAGGAAACATACTTGTAATCCCATAAACTAGCAATAGCTACATTTAGTATCATATTTTTCCTTGAGAATTTTTTGCAACCTGCTTTTTTCATTTGATATATTTTTAACATTCTTCTGTAACATTAGTTTTAATGTCTGCGTAGCAGTCTATTTGATAGATATGTCCATCCCTTTGTGTTGGAGAATTTCATATATTTACTTTTTATGACTATTATTTAAGATCAGTGCTTTTAATATTTTCCTATTATAAGCAATGCTTTGATAAGTATCCGAAGCCTAAATCTTTTAGCACACTTTTATTACTTCCTTAGTTTAAGTTAAATGAAGTGTAATTATTGGGGCAAAGGGTGAGAGCATCTTTAAGGGTCTTAATACATAGCACTAATTTGTTTCCTATAAAAACTCTTAACAAAATATTAGTGTTAACATATAAAAAAGAAATCCTACAATAAAGCAAATAGCTTAACAGAAAAATGGCAAATGTCTTAACTAAGCATTTTACGGAAGAGTAAACCAAAATGATCAGTAAACATGAAAAGATGCTCACCTTCATGTAATCAGGGAGACAAATTAAAATGACAAGAGCCATTTGATACCCTTCACGTTGGCAAAAATTAAATTTGGCTATAAATAAATGGTTTTGAGGCTGTGAAGCAATAGAAACTCATACATAGATGGGGATGGTGTAAATTGTTTCAGCAACTTTGGAGGACAACTTAGCCATATGCAAAGGACAGTTGAAAATGCATTTACGCTAATCAGTATCCAAGAAAACTCATCTACAAATGCAGGAAAGTTTATTCTAGCATTCCTTCTAATGGCAGGAAACTGGGAACAACTTAAAAGTCCATCTCTGAAAATATAGTGTGATACATTCATGCAGTTGAATATTATACATCTGTGAAATGAATAAACCAGAGCTACATTTAGTAGCATAAATAAATCTCAAAAAACATATTATTGAAAGGTAAAAGTCTTCAAAAGACCCTACTTTTCATATGCTATATATATATATATATATATATATATATATATATATATATTCTGTAAGTTACATACATAATTTATGTATGTATATTTATGTATGTAATTTATAGACTATTTTTAAAATGCAAAAGATTATTAGGTATTATTTTGGGAGTTCACATGGAATAAACATATCAAAAAGTGTGCATAACAGTGAGAAATATAGTGACACTGTGTGGAGCAGCTTTACAAGAGTTTCTGTTATATCTGAGTTTTAACTCTTAAGCTAAATGAGCAGTGTGTGGGTGTATATTTTTTCTCTACTCTTTTGAATGTTCTGAAATGCTATATTTAATAACAATCATATGAACAACTTTTACTTTTAGCAGTACTGTAAGTGGCTATCAGTTCCCCATACCCTGACCAACACTGACTGCCCCACTTCTGATGGCTCTTTGGTAACCTGGTTTCTGCAGCTTTATTTTGAATATTTTTTTCTACCAGTCATCATAGGTTTGACCTGGTGGACTGATCAACACTCTCTAGTTTAGTCTGTCTTGTGACAACCAGCAAGCATTTTGAGAATACAGACAAGAGATAAGGGTATATACTGAGGCATTGGGACGTAGTATTTGCAGTCAAAAAGAAAAATAAAACTGCCTAGCTCTGTGGACACCAAAGATGTTTCCAGCTAAGATAATAATTCAAGTCGACACATGTTTTTGACTGTCTTGTGTATATAGCATACAGTACCATGAGCTCTAAGTACAATGGAATATTCTACATAAAAACTGAACTACTAACACCCTCTCCATGTCTGAATTCACTTGTCAGTGTAAACACGACATAGCTGTCATGGCCTCCAGAGTGCCCACCACCCTGCTTTGCTTCCCCTTTATCCAGCTTATTAGTATCCTGCGATTAAACCCTTCTGGAGACAGTAGGCAATGTTCAGCACTTAGCTTGGCAGAAGAGGCCTTTTATGATCTAAGCCCCCTCTGCCCCCTTGCCCAGGAACCACTCTTATAGGCCAGTTTTTGGTTCTAAGAAGGCTGCTTGCTCTTCGTTTATCTGTGACTTCCAGTTTGTTCCTCCACATTTTTGGAATTTTCTTCTGCCCTGTATCTGCTTTGCAAACCTGCTTATCCTTTAAGCTTTAGCTTAAATGTAAACTTCTGGGAAAAGTCTCCACTGAGCTGCAGCCTCCCGTATGCTCCTGTGCCTCTGTACATATCACTATCTACACATGGCAGCCTTCACTTGTGACTCTGGGTTCACGTATCTATCTCTCTAATTAGGCTTATAAGTTTCTTAGAGTCAGAAACTATGTTCTTCATGTTTGTATACTTAATTGGCGCAGTACTTACCATAGAGCAGGCACTCAGTAAATGTTTGTTAATTTAATTGGAATTAGCAGTGTTCTCACTTGTGTGTGTGTGTTGGGTGGGGTTGTGCAGAGAGAGATGAAGGGATAGAGATATCAAATCCATCAGCCACCATCTTATTATATTTTCACACCTTCTATCTGTCTTTAGCATTTCATCTTTTTTCTTTGAGACCCTTTTTTAGTTGATTACAATTATTTTGAAATTTTATCATCATTGAGAGTATTTGGAACATCACCTCATTTAACTTCACCTGCAAATGTAGTAAGTACATCCTTGATTATCTCATCTTAAGGCGTCAATACAGACTGAAATAGATTGGATTTTAGGACATATTCCTGTGTGAATGTTTGATAAATCTCTCCCAATGTTTGTGAGACATTTGCTTTCTCTGCTTTTGGACTTAAGTTAAATACCAACTCTTAAAGCCAGGGTCCCAATCACCATGTACAGAAGAGGACTTTGGTCAGCAAACCCTCTCACAGAGAAAAAGACCTTGTGTACACAGGGACTAGCAAGAAACTCAGAATGCTTTTATTTTTCACATAGTTAAATGAAGATACTATTCCTACACTGCTAGCCCAGAATGATTTTGGCACTTCATGGGCCTTATGTGTGGAAAGATGACTAAAGTGACCTCCTCCGGCATTCCTAAGATCTGCTGTCACTCAAGGCTCTTTGTCAGGACACGTCTGCTGCCAGCCTTCCTATGGAGCTGAGAATTACAAACACCACATAGATGCCTTGTCATTAGGTAATGTCAAATCCAACTGGAGAACGTAACTTTTGATTGTCAGAAGATAAAGGAGCAGCCTGATCTTCCTTTGAGAGGAAAGAGATTCCCTTGCACTGCTCCAACAGCTTCTTATAAACCCTGTGCTGAGGCTCACTCCTCTGGTGGTTCCCATTTCAGATGCAGTGCCATTTTGCTTAATGGCAGCTCCTAGACCAGCTAATAAGAAAGAGTAATCCATCTGCTAATGAAGAGTGGTTGTGCCAAGGACATATTTCTTCATGAGAAATTTATTACCAGGAGTATATACATTAGAGGTGATATACAAATATGTTGCCTGGCCTGAAAAGAGTACATATGAAATACAAAGGGTAATGATGAACTCCTATAAAAAGCCTCAAGCCACTGCACCTAAAATAATTCTGGGCTTGGGAGTGGTAGGAAGGGCACAGACTCTACCTTAACTGGTTGTAATTCATGTATCAAATGTGTTCAGTGTGCTGGGCATACAGGAAGGGGAAGGGGATGGATGTCATTCCAGCCCTCAAGATGCTCAGGGTGCAGTGTAGGTGTCAAAAGGCCTTAGACAAGGGACCACAGGGAGATGAGGATCTCAATGAGAACAGGAGACTCCAGGAGCTCAGAGCCTGGGGTGACTAATGGAACCAGGGTCCTGGGAAAGCTCCCTGGAGATGGAAATCAGAAACTAGAAGGTGGAGTGGGAGTTACCAAGTAAAGAGGTGAAGGGAAGAGTGTTTCTTTGGATTTAGGTAATGCCAGGGGTATAGGCTGATGTCACGTTACTCCCAGGCCAGTGATAAAAGAGAATTAAGAAGGTGGACAGTGGGGAAAATACTAGAGATGGCTAAAAATGTGCTTGGCTATCTTTCTAATCTCTTTTCCTTCCTGATTGTATTCATGGCTTGTTCTATTTAGAAAAATGCAAGCAATAATGGCTTTCTGATGATCTGCACCTGGCAGGCCTCATGGGCACATTGCCCTTCCCACATGCCCACTGGTTTTAAATATTTCTCCTTTCTTCGTACCCACCTTGACACAATGGCGGTTTTGGTCTTATCATCCTGGGTCTTGATTAAAGGCTATTTTTGCATATGTGTGCCTCTTTTTCCGTCTTTTTCATGGGAAGGTCTTTGAGGGTGGGGATTGTGTCTCCTCTAGTTTCTAGGGTAACTGTCTTCTTTAGTTCTCTTGTCTGGGAAATTCTGGGATTCTCTGCATCTTTTTAAAAAATCCTTATGCTGTTTTTAATGATCTCTTCCAAGACATGTTTCTTATCTCCTGGCAGAGAACTTCATCCACATACCAGTAATGATCTGCTGACCATTTTGTTTGGGCTGTCTATTTTTTTGTCCTTGGGTCACTGATGAACAATAGATGTGGATATACTCTAGGATGCTACCCTGGCTTTTTTTCATTGTGGGATCCTAGGGTCAGAGGGAAGGTGAAACAGTTCAAAAGAACCTACATATGCTGTGAAAAGCTGGCTGTGGTTTCATGGCCCCCACAGAGACAAAGCCTTGAAACTCTCACTCTTATGTATGGAAGGCTTCAGTTTCTAACATTAGAAACTACTGACATTCTTTGTTAGTTCTTCAGCAATTACTTGTTTACCAGAGGAAGACTGGAAAAAAAAGAAATGCAAAATAACAAAAAGCAAAGAACCAAACAAAAAATTTCAGCTGATTGAGGAATATTTGAGAATATTCCAAATTTTTAAAAAGTTTTAATTATCATTGGTTCACATATTTATGAGTATGAATTTGGAGTGTGATATTTTAAATCTAAAGTTATAGACTAGAATCATGATCAAATATAAATTTAAATTTATTTGTAGGGAGTCACTTCCATACAAATCCTCATAAAAAGGCTTTATGGAGAGAGCAGGTCATAAAATCAAGTGAAAAGGAAGAAATTAAAGACCGAAGGTTAATGTGGAGCAAAGGAAGAAGGTTTAGTGATTTATGAGACAGCTCAAGTGAGAGATCACCTCCCTTTCAAGGTTCACATGTCTAATGGAGACACTGGGCTGGCCAGCAGTGAGTGTGTGAGTGTGTGTGTGTGTGCGTGTGTGTGTGTATACAAGTGTGTGCAGGGGAAGGGAGAGAGTGTCAGGGCTGGGTGGGTGGACAGTAAAGAGGTCTACCAAATACTGAGAAAATGACTTGGGATACGCATATCAAGAAAGCATCCTTTAACTTATTTTGGATTTGGCTAGATCACCATCTTTTTGTTGAAGCCACCTGAAAGCAATTGACCAGATGGAAATGTCAGACTGACAATAATATCTATTATTTGTATAACCTAGTTTCAAAACCATTTATATAAGCCATCTAAGTACATTTGGGTTGTAAGGAAAATTACAGCAAGTCAGGTTTGCTTCTGCCCATCCTAGGTTACTATCTCTTATCTTGGAGGCAGAAAGAGAGTTTAGAATTTCCTTGGTCTTATCAGCAGACCAGTACACACACCACCACCTTGTACACATACACATGCAGAAAGCACAAAATGAGGCAATAACATGAGATGCTGCAGAAAGCAGAGAGCAAATGAATACAGCCGTACTTGGGGGTGAATGGAAGACACATAAATGCATTGACTCTTATCAAAACCTAATAAATGGGCTGTGTGAAAAGTCCTGATCTCTGCAAGAACAAAAAGCTTTATAAACGAAGACACTCAGAGTGCTTGGGGAAAGAAATCAACATGGAGAGAAAAGGGAGCCTCACATTTACTTAAATGCAGTGGGTACTATGAATACTCTGTATTAGAGGATCAAGTTGAAGACAGTGGTACTGAGGAACTAAAAATTAACCACATTTTTTCTGGAAAATTACAAGAAGTTGCCCATATCAGGTATATTTCCTGTGACTTTCTCCTCTACTTGCATATTTGTTCTTCCACCATGACCACCACGTGAAGCTTTGATTTGTGTAGACAGTTGTTTAATTCCGTCCAGACTGCCAGAAGCCAATGGTGGTAATGGAAAACATAAATAGTGTCTTTTAATTGTGTTGGAAATTCCTCCATATGCTACCTTTTAGCTTCTGAATACCTGATGGTAAGTTCGTTAATGAACTTTAGTAGTGAATCCAACGGGACCATAAATGGTCTTTTGTTTATTATTTTTAATTGAGACTGTCTGACAGCTTTATTTAAAATACTTTCCCACAGAAAAGAATGGAGATTTCTATGGTAATGTGAGACTGCTTGTTTTATAGAACAGATGACAATGTAGATTTCACTATTTTGGAGTTTCTGGTGTGAAGTGTATTTTTGTCCACGGCCTCCTGCTTTGTGTAGGTGGCAAACAGGGCATTTTAAAAATACAAACTGTCAGACTTCTAATTTAGGGAATCAAGTAATAGGTACAAAATGATATATGCAATCTAAACACAAAAATTGAATATGTCTTTCCTTTCTTTTTGGATAATTATTGTTTCTGTCCTTTTATAAGTACTTGTTCTTATAGGCATGTCTTTAAATGTTCTCCAGTGTTCTTTCTCTGACCTTATCTATTATCTCACTGGAATCAACTGCTCACTCACATTTTATGTCTACATCTATTCTAGCACCTAATGTTTGCTAGTGTACTTATTTATTTTACTGTCTGTGTTCTGGCTTGAGTGTGAGCTTCTCAAAGACAGAAAATGTGTTATTTCTTTTTATAGCTCTTATACTTAACAACAGCTGGTACCTGACCCTAGAGCAGGTGCCGAGTAAATATCTAAGGTTGAATGTATTCAAGGTTCACTGATTTTTTCTATGTCTGTATTAGAACACAAGACCAGTTAGACAGCTCAGGCTATGCAAGTCATAATCAGACTTGACCTTGCTTAACTTACACAAGAGTGTGCTGCAGGAGTTCTGTCAACATGGCAGCATGGCACGGGGCTAGGAAACTGTGTGCATGTTAGAAGTCAGTAATACTGTCCCAGGTGATAGCCTTCAGTGTAGAAGCCAGAAGGCCTTGTATACCTGTGAGCAAGCTAGAGAGGCATATTACTTTCCTGACGTGTCCTTGGGGAAAAGATTCCAGCATAGAGAAGTTATTTAAGACAGCTAGCTATAGGTTAAACACTGGCTATGTGAGGCCAGGCAAATATTTTCCAAATAAAATGTTTTCCTAGGCCTTGAAAACACAGTTTCAAAGATCAAGATATTTATTTCAAAGAAACTGTCTTCAGCTGGTAACCGAATTCATCACCTTGCCCCTCTTGTAAGCCAGTTTTGCTCTTGAATTTAATCTTACTACGGATGACAACATCATTTTCCCAGTCACCCAGACTTAACATATTAGAGTCATTTTGTTCCCTTTTTGTAAAACTTCCTCCTGGACTTTGAAATTCTGTAGGTTTAACTTCAACATGAAGCTTGGTGTCCATCTCTTTCTTCCAGTTTTACCATCACTGCCCTTCAGCTCATTTGGCCTTGGCGACTACCAATTATTGCTTCCAACGAGTTCCTCACTCAGGAGATGATATAGGGTCTTCTAAGACTCTCAAAGGACTTGGGCATTGTCCTCATATATTAACAATTTTATTTCCCCAAACAACCTGACAACCTCCTGAGATAAACAGAAACGATGCACTTTCTATCTGATACATTTTTTTTTTTCTGAGACAGAGTCTCGCTCTGTCCCCGAGGCTAGAGTGCAGTGGCGTGATCTACGCTCACTGCCACCTCTGCCTCCTGGGTTCAAGTGATTCTCCTGCCTCAGCCTCCTGAGTAGCTGGGATTATAGGTTCCCACCACCACACTTGGCTACTAAAAATTTTTTGTATTTTTAGTAGAGATGGGGTTTCACCATGTTGGCCAGGCTGGTCTTGAACTCAAGTGATCCACCCACCTTGGCCTCCCAAAGTGCAGGGACTACAGGCATGAGCTACTGCGCCTGGCTGGCTTTCTTTCTTTCCTTCTCTTTCTTTCTTTCTTTCTTTTCTTTTCTTTTCTTTTCTTTTCTTTTCTTTTCTTTTCTTTGTTGTTGTTTTTTGTTTTTTTTTAGAGACAGGGTCTTGCACTTTTGCCCAGGCTGGAGTGCAGCGGGGTTATCTTGGTTCATTGCAACCTCTGCCTCCCAGGCTCAAACAATCCACCCATCTCAGCCTCTCTAGTAGCTGAGAACACAGGTGTGTATCACCACGGCCAGCTATTTTTTTTTTTTTTGTATTTTTTTGTAGCGACAGGATTTTTCCATGTTGTTCAGGCTGGTCTCGAACTCCTGGGCCCAAGCATCCTGCCCTCCTCAGCCTCCCAAAGTGCTGGGATTACAGGTATGAGCCACTGCACCCAGACTTAAACATTTTTTAATTGACTGAAATACAACTAAAATGTTCAGTGACTTGCCTAAGGTCATGGGCCAAATACAGCGACTCCAAAGTTTTAAAATGCTTCCATTTTCACAACATTTATTCAATGACTCATTTAGCAAGTATTTGTAAGTATTTACTATGTGCCTAGGGTGTAGGAACTAAAATTAAGGCTCAATATTACGTGCTGCCTTAAAATCTGATAAAATCATGCAGGCCTTGAATGGCCTAAATACAAGCTGTCCTTCCCATTCTGCCTCTGTAGATAAGGTCCCTTGGTCAAACACTCTTCTTTATCAAAGGGACTAAGTAAAATTTCTGCTTATTCCTCATTAGTATGCTTCAGTTCCCTGCCCTCCTGCAAAATTATTCAAACAAGCCAATCACATTGTCTCATGAGAACCAGGGGACACTCTACCCTCTTGGAACTACAAAGCTGGCCTTTCATAGTAGTTATTTGCTTTACTCCCAAGTGTAACTCCTATATGGCCCTGTGTGGTATCCTTCTCCCCTGGACTTTGTGTATACATGACTAATAAACTGCTGTCCATCTCGTCTATCCAGTGTGGGTGTCATGTGGTCAGCCAACCCTACAGTGCTACGGTGGGAATCCCTCCCTCACCAACAGGGTGAATAAGAAGCAATTAAAACAGTGCCAAGGCTGGGCGCGGTTGCTCTCACCTGTAATCCCAGCACTTTGGGAGGCTGAGGCAGGCGGATCACAAGGTCAGAAGATCGAGACCATCCTGGCTAACACGGTGAAACCCCATCTCTACTAAAAATACAAAAAATTAGCCGGGCGTGGTGGCGGGCGCCTGTAGTCCCAGCTACTCAGGAGGCTGAGGCAGGAGAATGGCATGAACCCAAGAGGCAGAGCTTACCGCGAGCCGAGATGGCACCACTGCACTCCAGCCTGGGCGACAGAGTGAGACTCTGTCTCAAAAAACAAAACAAAACAAAACAGTGCCAAGCATGCAAACTTTAAATTGGAGTAAGTTCAAAGACAGTATATTTTGGAGTCAAAGGCAGTATATTTTGGAGTCGGCCACCTCTGTGTACCTCAAATTATGGAAGAAACATATACCAGAGCTTTTACCCATGAATTAAGGAAAGCATTGGCATCAAGGTTCTCCCAGTACCACAACTGCATTGGTGAGTTTTTTTCTGGAATGCAACTCATAGGGTGAAAGGCAAGAGGAACAGCTGACTTTGTGTTCCACTACCCTAGTGAGCTTACATGAAACAAATCTTCTAGTTCTCTCTGACATTAGTAGCAAAATGTAATATGTCCATTCTCAGCAGCATTCTATGATGCATGTGGCTTTTCCTGGGAGATCAGAGAGGCTCCAGGGTTATGAAAGTGGAAGCAATGCACATTTTTTTTGTGTGACTGTAAGTGAACATCAGTGCTTAGTTATAAGCATTGGGGAGTTGTCCAGTTGCTGATTTTGGCTTTAGTGGAATACTTCCATTGGATGCTGCATGACCAGAAATGTCTAAATGAATCAATCGTATGGAGTGAAGTTATGATTTCATGAATGGGACAGTAAGAGAAGATACCTAAGGGGGTGCCCAGCAAACGTTTGTTGTGTGAGTGAAGCTTTAGCTGAGGAAAACTACTAATGTTATGTCCAGCCCCTTTTACTCATTCATATAAATGAAAAGGTATCGTTGCAAACTTAGAAGTTTCTGCCTCCAAAAAGATGATTAAGAGTGTACTTCATTTAAGAGAAACTGAACTGATGGTCAGGAAGGCAGAATTGAATTGTCAATATAATCATTGTGTTAATTCAGTATTTGTCCAATCTATGTCTCATATGTGAGTATGCATTGCAAGGAAAATGCTAAATCATTTCAATCAGTTAAAAGGAATTGTGCTGTTTCCACCTCTTGCCTATTCAAATAGAAATATCTGGGCAATGATGATATTTAAATTATATATAATTTGAAAAATATGTTTCTAAAGAATATCTACCTCTTTATATTATTTATTGGGATGCTAGTGATATTTCTAGCTTTGCATTATTCCCAAAATCAAATTCCAAAGCTTTTGGAAAAAAAAACTATTCAGGATAAGCTATATGGTTATAGGAAACATAAATTCAAGAAAATAGAGTATTACCTATATCAGTGAATATATGCATTAATCTAGTTTATTTTGTGTAGGAATTGTTTTGAAGAGGATTTCTAATTGAAGGTGGATTTGGATTTATTCTCTTGGTATTATTCAACAAAAACTAATATTGCATTGGTTCAGATAATTTCTCAGGATATTAAAAAGGAAACTAATGAAATAAATTGAGTCAACATCTAAAACATAAATGCTTTGTACTTGGTGTTCTAGTTCTCTTAATTACTGTACTTTATTTATTCTCTCCTTTGTGAGATTTCAGAGCAGTGAGGCTTTAAGTTGCTGTCTAGAAATTAGAAAAACACCAGATATTTGAGTTGTGTGGCCAGTGGGACACTGCAGCAAAAAGACTATTCGGAATAAGTTTATTTTTAAAAAGCACTGCTATCTTAAAATCTGCATCTTTAAAATGGTAATAAAAATTATTGTTATAAAATGGATCGATTTTTGTGAAAGCACACATAAAGTATAATTTAGAAAATTAAAGTTTCCTTTAATTTTACTCCATAGAGATAATCATTTTAATTACTTCATATGTATATTTTTTAGATTTTTAAAAAATAACATTTAACTTGCTTACCTAGAGAAATTGGGTAAGACTATATATATGTTCTTAAACGTGGTCTTTTTTTTACTTAACCATACATTTAGACATCTTCAATGTCAGTACACATAGATTTCATTCATTTTAATATAGTAAGAATGCTCTATACCATAAACCCTGCTTTTGTTAGTGAACACTATCAGATTGTTTTCCATTTATCATCATTTCCAACATTATTACAATGAATAGTCTTTTTCACTTATGAGAACACTTCTGTGAATTAAAATTCTTGGCATGGATATTATAGATTTAATAGTAATAGCAGTAGCCATTGGTAACTCTTGGGTCCTTATCACAGTGCCAGGTTTGCTGCTGAGCACATGCAGTGCTCAGCACTTTTTAATCCTTACAACAGTCCTGTTAGGAGGTGTATTTTTTATGTTTCTCCATTTTACCACTGAAGAAAATAAGGCTTAAAAAGATTAAATTGCTCCCCAAAGTCATCTAGCAGGTGAGAAACTAAATCCAGACTCCAACACAGGTCGTTCTGACTTTCCAGCCTATCACTGTCCTGGCCCCATCACATGCCAGCACCACAATTAGAATTGCTCCATCCACATGCTTTCTCTTTTCTCAGCTCCGCATCCCTCTCAGCTCTGCAGTTCTGGCAGCCCAATACAGTAACCTCTCAAAACCTCTTCCTTTGCCCTCATGCCTAGAGTCAGGCCTGAGCAGCCAGTCTCTCTCTCTCTTTTGTGCCGACACCCTTCCTCAACTACATATTCGCCTCCGTTCCTGACACTGCATTCCTGGCAAACAGTGCAGCATCCCTAAGTCTGAGAAAGCGAGAGGGAAAGTTCCTTCTAGGTTTCTGGGATTTATAACACCTTTGCTGTCAGCCAGCAGATTCCAGCTGACCAGCAGTCTCAGAAGCAGTCACAAAGAGCAGTTATCATCGTAAATCAAGAAGGGAAAGGCAAGAAAAATTACTGCATGTACAATATGAAAAGAGTCATAGGTGCTCTTTGGTGTTTTGAATTACACTGGCACAGCTAGTTATTGGGAGCAGCTAAATAAATAAACTGAGAGATGTTGGCATTGTCATTTGGTAAAATGCATCACAGAAAACCACCATAGTGCTGATGCTTGGACAAGCTAAGTGAACTAGAGTGTACAGGTAACACAGTATTTGCACAGGCCCTGGGCAATCTGGAAGGAGTGCATTTGTCTGGAATTTTGCACATGTCCATCATACCCTGACTGCTTTCATAATCTTTCTGTACTTCACCTATCAAACACATCTTTTTTTATCTGTTATTTCTTTTTTTTTTCTTTTCTTTTTCTTTTATTTTTTGAGGCAGAGTCTCGCTCTGTCTCCCAGGCTGGAGTGCAATGGCGCGATCTCAGCTCACTGCAACCTCTGCCTCCTGGGTTCAAGTGATTCTACTGCCTCAGCCTCCTGAGTAGCTGGGATTACAGGTTTTTCTGTTATTTCTAAGCAAAGCTGTTTTCTAACATATTTTTGTGTAGCTCTCTGTCTACTAGACTGTGAGATCTCTGTGGGTATGTATCCTATCTCATTTATCTTTTATCCTCACCTATATTTTCCTCTATCCTTTTTTCCATCCTTTCTTTTATCCCTGTTTATTAAACACCTCTTCTATGCCAAGCACTGCCAAACACATCATATCCCTGGAGGTACAATGATATGCGTGTAAGGTACAAACTCTCACTAGGTTTACAGTCTAATGAAAGTGTCAGATAACCTAGATCATTGCATAGTATCTGGCACAGAGAAGACACTCAGTAAATGCCCATTTATTGCATTTATGTATTAAATTCTTCAAAATAAGCAAACTGATTCTTAGGATTATTAACTGACTTGCTCAGTCACTGGTAGAACTCAAGTTGCAATTACCAGGTCTGCCATAATGCCATTTCCCACTAGATTGCCCACTAGTTATTATGATTGTGGTACACTCACATGAGGGTGCTATGTCACATGTCACAATCAGTGTTAATGATGATAAGAATTAGCCTGTGACACAAGTAAGTGGTCAAGGGCTGAGTCCCTTCAGTTTTCCAATGTGAGCATCTGCATGAATTTTCTAATCCATTATCCTTTGTCCAAAGGTATGTCTTCTTCTTGGCATAGGATCCGCAAATTGGCCTTCTGTCTATGCTATCTATGTAAATTATGAAAATAATTATTCCTATTTCACAAATTCCATGGTGCTGTTTTCCTCCTTAGCAGTTTTATGTTTTCTCTTATTTTATATTTTATTTACTTTCTTATGCTAGAATTGTTACCATAAAGCAAATTTTTCAGTTTAGGCACATTTAAATTATATTTAGACTATTTCCTAGTGTTTGACTATATTATAAGTAAAAGAAAAACCTCTGGGAGATACTGCTTAAAGAATGTCATTGATAAGAGTGCCCATTTGCACGAGGTGGATAAATGCAGGTACAGCGTGCAACTCAAAATCGTTCTGGGAAAGGGCGATGATGAAAAACTACTTCAGAACAATGGAATATAGCCTTCATTAGGCCTCCTCAGGGAAGGCAAAACAGAGCTTTAAAACATTGGATGATGGAAGATGATAATGACGATGCATCAGTTTTATCTTATGTAAATTACTGAAAAAAATCAAATCATTTAATCTTAAACCCACAGCTTATTGTTTGTAAGTTAGATGAGAAGGACTGAGTCACTCTTGCTTTCTCTCCACAGAGTAATAACTGTAAATCTCACTCTATATGTTCGCTTCTACGCTGCATCTTCAGCTAATAACCACCATTAATAATATTCTGCAATCAGGCTGCAGGGTTGTTAGATGGTTACTGTAGTGGGTCTGTAGGTGAACTGAATTTATTTTTTCATAAAGAAGTTAATTGGACAAGTAATTTTTGGGCGATGTCTTTGGAAATGTGTGCATTCTCAGAGTGTGTGAATGTATGTGGCACACATATGTATTTGTATAGCCTAGCAGTTTACTCAGTACACACTTTTTAGAAAACAAGATTTTTGGGTTAAAGAATATTGAGTTAAGCTTATGTGTGGGAACCTCTAAGGAAAAACAGGTCATTTTAAATATTTTGTTGACTTCAAATCAAACAGTTCTACAAATTAAAAAGAAGCTTGGCATGTGCCGTGGTAGACAATAATGTAATGAAAACAGGCCATTATTTAATTTAAACCCCTGGGAATTCTAGTATTGGTTTATATATGTGTCCAATACTTTCTCTCTGAAAATGGTGGCACAGTATAGGTGTTAAATAAATGCTGAAGATTAAAGACTTCTGCATATGTGCCCTCCGCCTCATTTGCTTATTGACAGATTTCATTTTAAAAGACCTTAGGGAGACTGAAGTGCCCCAAGCGCCCTGAACAAAGTCTGGAAGACAGTTGTCTGCAAAGTCATGCTTCTCTAGAGACAGGAAAGGACCAGACTATAGCTGTATTTAGACTATTGGAATAATTGGACTGCATATTGATAGAATGGCTTATTTTAATCATCTTAATGAGGTACCAAATCCAATAGATTACACAGAAACGAAAGGGCCTAAATACCAAGTTAGTGTCTGAACAGCTAATTCTATGGGGATGTATACATTATGTGAATGAAAATATTTGTCTGCATCTTTCTCATCACACACACAAACAAATACAGTTACAAATTCATATACACTAAATACCATAAGTCCCATGGGAATTATATCAGCTGCTAGAACAAACCAGAAAGGCATGGAAACAGTGCTCAATTGCAAAGAATGAAACACCAGCTTTTATGCAGCCTAAGAATTGTAGTATGTTAAAACAACCCCTAATGATTTGATGACAGGACTTCTGATTGGGCAACTGGGTAATTTGCAACCTTATCAAAACTCTGTGAATCTTTTTCTAGATTAATGCTGCTCATGAATAGATAATTCTGAGCATATTCTGCATGCAGGAAATAGAAAAGGGTAAAGCCATGAACCTAGATTTCATACAGAGAGCTATACATGAACAAAGGAATTTTTAGGTTGGCACTGTACACTATAGGTAGGAGATATGGGAAAAATATGAATAATTTCCATGAATTCCTCTAAGGACTCATATGTGAAATAGAGGAGAGGCTGCTGGGGTTTTTTTTTTTTTTTTTTTTTTTTTTTTGGTAGACTCATCTTTGTTTTGCTTTAATTTGCTCTCAGAATAAAACACAGCAGAATTGTCCTTTAGGGGGCTTTTACTATGGATTGGTTAGTTACTTTATTGACTGTGTATTAACACTCTCTGAACTACGTGTTCTGCCTGTTTTTTTACTAAATTATACTTTCCAATCTAGGCAGATGGTGGTGTCTGCTTTGGAGGCACATTTTGTTGTCCTTTTTTTTTACACGTGTCTGCTATTTCCTGGGGTCATGTCCATCTCATATTTTAGTAGTCAACAATGAAAGATTAAATTACAAAGTACAGGGAAAAGAATGTAGGATTTCATTTCGTTCATTTATTAATCCCTTAGTTAATTCTATAAAGCATTTATTTGTGTCAGATACTGTAATTAAGTGCAATTTTAAAAAATCCCAGATTTTTTATGCTCTCTCTTAGACCTGCCCAAATGATTCCATCCGTATCTCCAGAATTAGTTACTGCAATAAATTTGGTTTCCTCCAGACATTTCCTCATGTTTTTCTCTATTGTATCTTCCACTCTATTCTCTAAGTCTTTGTCTGGCTTTGCATGGCTAAAAGCCCATTCAAATGATTTTTCTGAACACAACAGCTTTCTTTTCACAGAGGTGAACTCTGATCCTTACCTTTCTGGGCACCAAGAATTAGAGGAGGGTTTGAAATTATTTTTCCCCTATATCCTGCCAAGATCTTGCTCAGTGTCCCACTCTCATCTGGTTCCTACTAGCAATCATTTCATTAAATGGAAAGCTTTTCTCAAATATTGGGGAGCCTAACCCTGATTGGATAAGGGAGAAAGAGGCATGAAAGAACAAGGGAGAGGAAAAGGCAGAGTTTAAAAGGGTCATTGTCTTTTTGCAGAAGAAACATCTTCTGCCCCTTATTCAGGACAGCTAAGAGCACTGGTTCCTCCAGAATGGGGTCCCCACTTAGTAATCGTTTAGAAGCAATCCTGAGGGTGTTGCTGTAGCTTGGTTTAATCTGTTTCATATTATTTTTTTCAAAGTAGGCAGATATAGGAACTGGGTCTCTGGAGGGTAATCCATGCCTTCCAAGAGGGCCATGCAGGTGATGTTTTTCTATCAAACCAAGGAGGTTGGTAGCTGCTCACTTCTAGCAGCACAGGAAATAAAACATTTGCAGGCTGGATGTTGCTATTACTATTCTAGATATCAGAGAAAAAGTTATAATCTTCTGAAAAGCATAATTTTTTATCTATTACATTTGAATTCTATAACTGAGTGCCTTACATATTGTCTGATCTAATCTCATTTTACGGAAAGAACTGAATCCCACAGATGTTAGCAGTAGCCTGTATTATTGAGCACGTCCTTAGCGTCAGACATACAGATATAATGTACTCTAGAGATCTTTTAACTCTCGCAACAACCCTAAACTCTAAAAAGTAGGTTCCTTGGGATTGCCATAATATATTGATAGATAAAGAGGCAAAAGCATAAGGTTAAGTAACTTGCACAAAGTCGTACAATCTAGAAAATGGCAGAGACTTGAACCTAGATCTTAATGGCTCCAAAGCCCATGCTCTTAACCTCAATGTTAAACTGTATAATCTAATAGGGTTATTATAGCTCCCAGTTCTTATGACCCTACCTTCTAATTCTCTCTCAAATCCATAGTCTGGACTAGTGATTCTCAAACATGAGCATGCACCACAGTCATCTGGAAGACTTGCCAAACACAGGGTACTGGGTCTGTGGTGGACAGACTCTAAGGTGGCCCCCACGATCCCTGTCCCTTGGTGTGCACACCTTGGTATAATCCCCTTCTCTTGTGCAAGGGATCTGTGTCTTGTTTCTAAGCAATAGAAAATAGCAAAGGTGATGGGGTGTCACCCTTACGATTACAATAGCTTATATAAGACTCTGACTTGCTAGCAGATTTATTTCAGAGAGTCTTTGCTGGATGGATGGAGTAAGTAGCCATGCTGAGCAAGCTCATGCAGCAAGGACCTGCAGGGCAGCCTCCAGATGACAGCCAGCAAGAAGCCAGGGATCACAGTCCTATAACCACAAGTGAATTAATTCTACCGGCAGCCTGAATAAGCTTGTAAGTGATTCTTCCCATGTTGAACTTCCAGAAGAGAACACAGCCTGTCTGACACTTTGATTGCAGCCCTATAGAACCCTGAGGAGAGGACTTAGCTAAGTGGTACCCAGACTCCTGGCCCATGGGAACTATGAAATGATAAATATTTTCTGTTTTAAGCTGCTAATTTTGTAGCAATTTGTTACACAGAAATAAATAACTAGCACCGCCCCCCCCCCCGCCCCCCAACCAGCCCTGAGTTTCTTACTCAGTAGACCTGGCACAATAATTTGTACTTATAAGAAGATTCCAGAGGTCAGTGATGCTACTGGTCCAGGGACCGCACTTTAAGAATCAGTTCCTAGATGTAGAGAATCCCATTATATCCTACTTGTCCTCCCTATACTTTCAAGTTTCCCTCCTCTGCCTAGAACCATCCCCCAGGCTCCTTTTGGATTAACTTCTGATCTCTCTTTAGATAAACTCATACTTACCTTTCAGTTTAAGTGTTATTTGCTCAGCAAAGCCTTCTCCCACCTCAGCCTGGATGAGGAGTCTTTGTTACACACTGACTAAAAGCACGGGCACTGAAATCCACCTGCCTGGGTTTGAATTTCAGCTCTGCCACTTACTAGCTGTAAAATCATGGGCAAATTTATTAACCTTTCTATGTCTCCATTTCCTCAACACTAAAGTGATAAGCACAGGTTACTTCATAAAACTAGGAAAGTTAATATCTTCCATATTAAAATTGGGTGATAGTAGTAGCTTACTCCATCCACCTAGGAGAGTCAAATAAGGTAAGTGCATAGTACTATGCCTGGTGAGTAAGTTCTCAGTAAATGGTGTTGGTGGTGGTTGCATTTTGTGTTGATGTTACTCTTGTGATCTCTCATAGACGCATTTACTTCACTGCTTAGAATTCTGCATTTGTTAATGTGAATGCTTATCTCACTTTCTAGATGATAAATTCCATGAGAATGAGAACCATGCCCACTCTTGCTTCTCATGTTAGCCCTAGCACTTAGGGCAGTACCTGGCAGAACAGGAATAGTAAAAAATTACAATATATATTTGATGAATGAATGAATACTCTCAGGGCTAGAGCCACACTCTGGAGGCCTATTCCCGATCATTATGCATTTTTTCCATCTGGTTGGAATGCACTTTCCTCTGTATTTAGTCCCCGAATGTACTTATCCTTTCGCCCTGCTCTTCACTCAATTGTGGTGAGATCTTATGGAGAGTCTGTTAGGTTGGTCCTTGGTCTGGGATTGCAGTGGCCTCTATACGATAGTTTGTTTTTGCCATGGAACATAGAGGAGAGTTGGTCATGGATAATTGTACTTGGGTACAAATTTTTAAAAAAGTACAAAAAAAAGCAAAACATCTTTGCTTTTTGAGATTTTCCTTCTTACTTTAATATCTTTCCAAATTTATAACACCTACCAGATGCTAATAGGACATCATTGCTCTATATCAAACTATATTAGTTCCTCTCTGAGATGAAGAAGGGTGTATCCAGAACTCAGCTACTGTTTGTCGGGCTGGACGGAGTAGGGGAAAATACATTATGACACAGCTCTCTGCAGAAGGCTGAAAAGTAGCTCAGTTCCATTCTTGATTCCAAAAAGTTAAATGAGTTTTCGTAGTTTTTTTCTTTTTCTTTTTTTTTTTTTTTACTTTCTCCCATGAGCAGCGAAAGAGGCAGCTCAGAAAACTAGTCTGCAGGGTTCTCTGGAGATGTTTTCCCTCCCTACCCCATTTCATTAACCTTTCTTCTGAAACTACTTTTGAATGTCTGGGTTTAATTAAGAGATTCTGCATGCAGTATGGAAAGAGCCCATCTCTCCTTTTGGCTTATTCCTTCATCTGATTTGGGTTGAAAATATACTTTTTTAAGAATTAGTTATAATTGTTTTTGACAAAAGAAATAGCTCTTTTTTATGTCTGCAAATCCTTAATGCTGGCTTATATGCAGCTAATGATGATAGCCATCGGCATAATCAGTTCTAATGGTCTCTACTGTCTTTCTAGCTTTGCATATAGGAATGTAATTCAAATTTCAGAAAGGCTGGGGCTGAATGGCTCTTTGTTCTGCATTTAAAATATTACTACAGTGTTCACTGGAAAGAGGTCTGTTATTACAAACTGGATTTGAGTCTCAACTTTACTTTGTAGCTCTGGGAACCTGGGTAGATTCTTGAGTTCTCTTAGGCTGTCTCCTCTCCTTTCAGATAACTTCCTGAGAAGTGGAGACTATCAAAAAACATTGTGTATGAAAGGATTTTGTATGCTGTAAAGTGGTGGGGTTTTTGTTTGTTTGTTTTGTTTGTCTGCTTGTTTTTTGCTGTTGTTGTTGCTTTTACCTAGAAGTGATTATTATTTCTAATTCAAATCATCCTCCCAAAGATTTTTTTTGAATTTCTTTGGATGTTGCATTGAAGGAAAAAAGCTCAATTTTTATCCTGAGTTTTAAAAAATTAGACAGTAAAACCTTAAATTGGTTAGCAGTTGCAGTTTATAAAGCATTCATAGAATTCATAAAACATTTTCTCACACATTAGCCTGTTCCCAGTCTTCTGGAGGAAAGGGGCTGCTGATCTTGCTAGGCAGCTTGATGTATATATTTCATTTAATCCAGAAACCTTACAAGATAGCTAAAATTAGCTTCACTTTTTAGATAGGAAAACTTAGGATCAAGGTCCAAGGTCATAAGGTTTGAACTCCCATCTTTATAATTCATCATTTCCTTGACCTCGGTGGCATAATTCTCTTCTGTGAAGAGGATTGTAAATAAAACAGTTAGGGGCCTTGAGTTTGCCTAGAGGACCATTATTGAAATTCTTCTTTCAAATCTTAACGTTTCCCTATGTTAGCAGAGAAAAATGGGATTAGGAAGGACCTTTAATGATTGATTCCTCTACTTAGATGTCAAGAAAGGCCATTGTAACCACAGCAAAGATTTAGCACTCAAGTACTCTAGCTTAGTGACTCTCAGCTGGTGCCAATTCTCCCTTCCTCCTGTCCCTAAGGGACATTGGCCTATATCTGGAGCCATTTATTTGCCACAACTGGCCAGGTACTATGGGTATCTAATGGATAGAGACCAGAGATGCTGCAAAACCTACTGCAATACACAGGAGAGCCCTACCTTTCACACAAAGAATTGTAAGTCCCAACATATTAATAGTGCTCAGCTGAGAAACCTTGTGGGAAGAATCAGGAAGGCTTCCTGGAGAATGGGGATACTACAACTGGGATTTTGAAGATAATTTAAAATTCTCCAAGCAGACAATGGAAGGAAAGGCATTCCAGACAAAGAGTATGGCATTTGAAAAAGTATAGAGGCCTGAAATAGTGCTGTATATGTAGGAATTTCTGGGCTCTTTGGCATTGCTGTAGCATTTCTGGGAGGAGCAGTAGGGGGATGACATTAGAGCAATGTGTTGAGTTTCTTTTCTCCAACAGTAATTCACATTAAGAGTAGAATTGTAAATTCGTTTTGTTCCTGAGGATAATTCTTTCTGCTAGACAACCTGTGACCATTGTCACCAGTTCTTAAGAGAGTCATGCAGAGACTACTCTTGATCGATGATACAGGTGGGTAGCCTGGCCATGGCTCTTGACAGACCTGTGCTTATTTTCTTTCAGTGGGCACCTATAAGGATTGAACCACAGGAAGGTGATGTACCACCCTGAGCTGAATACTTCCTCACTAGCTTTTTTGTATCCACAGCCCCTGTATCCATCTGCGTGGTCTATATTCCAAAGTAGTTTGATGGGGCAGCATGCAGAAGTGTGTTCTTATGCAGTAATATAGTGGTACTCAGTGTGTTCTTATGCAGTAATTGCTCTCCAGCCAAAGCAATTTGCTAGACCTAGGTGATTCTGAACTAATTTGTAATTATATATGTACTCCTATTACAGAAGATTGCCCTCCTTTGTGTTTTAACACAGCTTCAATTTGGTTAAAATAATCCTATTTAATGAATGCTATTCATCAACTATATATATATTTCCATCCATCCATCCATCCATCCATCCATCCATCCATCCATCCATCCATTCATCCATCCATCCATCCATGCTCACTAACCTTGGTTTGAGTTTGAGTCCTGGCTTTAGCATTTGCTTGCTGTGTGACTACTGGCAAATGCTTTAACCTCTCTAAGATGCAATTTCCACATCTTTAAAATGGAGATCATAATAATTAGCAAGGTTGTATTCTGTACCAGAGATAATACGTGAATAATCTAAAACAGTGATGTATTAGTAGTAGTAGATTTGCTAAATAAATGGTAGCTTTATTATTATTGCTACTATGACAATGATGATGACAGTGTCCAGAGCACTTTAATCTATGGTTTGGAAGATAGGAAGGTTGATAAATCCCTTCCTATCTTTTGGAGTTCATACTGGGAGCTTCCCCTCTCCAGCCCAACATAATTGATACCACATGGTCCCAACATCTAAATCTGGTACCAACCCTGTGGCAGCAACAGAAAGCCTGAGCTTTGTGACCTTGGGTAGGTTATTTAACTTCTCTGAGCATCACTTGGTAATTTGCAAGAATTAAATGAAATAAAACATTTAAAATTCTTGGCACTCAGTAGATGCTGAACAAATGCTGGTTCCCTTCTCCCTGAGGCAGTCATCATCAAGATGTTCTGTGGGTTTCACTGCTGGCAAAAACAAATGAGGTTAAATAAAAGTCAGAGGTGAAAATAAGAGGAGTTAACAGAGTTTCTGTTTTGTTTTTTCTTTACATTTTCTACAATTTACAGAGATTCTTCTCTCCCTCAAACTTAAGTAGATTTCAAACGACTTGTCATTCTCAAGGTGAAATTTATTTTTATGCTTTCTTCTCTAAGTCTAGTCAAGACGTTTCTCATAGATGGGTTTGACCTTTGATGGAGATGTCTCAAACCTGCCTGCACCATTCTCCAGAAATGAATATTTTTTCCCCAATCCTAGCTTGAATTCTCAGAATTTCTCCTCCAGATAAGTCACTTCTGCCCTGGCCTCTTGGTTTGTTTGCATTAGACCCTCAGATAATGGGCAGAAGTTTCCTCCCTATGCCCAGAGCTCTTGCCCTTTGGCTGTTGGCCTTACTCTGAGCTGCAGACACTGGCTCCTTACTGGTGGTGTTCCTGCCTTAAGTACTTAGAGTTCCCCTGGCCTGGACTGAACTCTGCCTAGAACTCAGATCTCTTAAATAAGCTTCCTCTCAATCTTTTGTTATTTTCACAGACACCTGCACGGCTTGCTGTGCTTTGAATACACTAACACTTCACTCATGCTGACTGGATGGGTCTTCCACACTCAAGGATGGGCTTGAATGTTCCTTCTAGGCCTCAACTGGGAGGACTCTGCTTCTTCCCATGTGTCACATAGCACTTGTAATACTTACAGTGTGTGTCCCCAGCAAGATTTTTGAGTTCCTAGGTGACAGGAGCTATGAAGAGTCAATCTGCTCTGAATCCTTTAGGATGTGGCCTAGTGCTTATAATTAAGGAGACAGAGAAGGAAGCAAAAGGGACTAACAGACGTGCTGAAGGCTAGTGGTAACAATGCAGCATGAGTTGATGGCTCAAACTTCATTCTATTAGTACCCCTGGGAATGAACCACATGGGAAGTGAAGACACCAGGAGATACAGGAGTTTCTGAGGCTGAACAGGAATCAGCAGTGGGCTGCAAGAATGACCTAGTGGAATGAGCAGAAGCTACACAGACCTGAGAGAAGTCTTAATTCTGTCATTTAACAGCTGTATGATCTCATGCAAATTGTGTAAGTTATCTGATTCTATTTTTTTTTTTTTTTTGGTAAAAATGTGATGTTTTGGTTTGTTTTCACACTGCTATAAAGAAATACCTGAGAATGGCAGGAGAGAGAGAGTGAGTGCAGGGGAAAACTTATATTTTAAACCATTAGATCTCATTGAGAACTCCCTCACTATCACGAGAACAACATGGAGGAAACTGCCCCCATGATCCAACCACCTCACACCAGGGTCCCTCCCTCAACATGTGGGGATTATAATTCCAGATGAGATTTGGTTGGGGACACAGAGCCAAACCGTATCATGTGGCTACTATCATCTACTTAGGGATAATGCATTTGGCCCATAATAGTCACTCAATAAAATATCATTATTGTTAATTTTGGAATGGAGGATGTACATACCCAAATATATGAGTGAATTTCATGTTGTCTCCAGCATATAAGTATTACATTGTCTGAGTACACTGTAGCTTCTACTTTTATAACTGTGATCACCATGTATAAACTACATGTAACAAACATGTAGTGTGTCAATCACTGTGTGGGTACTTTTATGCATCTTCTTATTTAATTTTTAATAACTGTAGCATAAGAGTTTCCGTTATCATACATATTATAGAGATGAGGAAATTATTACAATATTTAGGCAACTTGCCCAATATTTCTCATAATTAATAATTGGGATTTATAGCCAAGCCATCCTATTGCAGAACCTGCCCTCCTTGCCAGTATCCTAAATGCTGCTTCCAGTGTTGTCAGGAAACACTTAACAGAACATGTGGAAAATGTGATTCCTACCTTATAAAATCTTATATTTCAAGGCTCCCAATATTGACCATCAGGAACGGTTCATAGGACCAGGTAATCCCAACACATTAATAACCCTAATACATGAATTATTTGTTTGAATAATGAGACCACGAAACATTATATAGGGACAGCATGAAAACTGATTTAGGAAATGAATTTTTGATATTCTTCTTTAAAATGCTCAGGTTAGCAGATATACATACTGATTTGCAATAGAAAGAAAATCAACAACCATGTAGCGTGGTTTTTTTTCTTTCCTGCTAGTCCATAACCTTCTCAAGCATATGCAGCATCTTCTGTTTAATAATAAATTATTGTATTTGCCTAGCAAATTATACATTTCAAAGAGGTTTTGTAAACTTGTCTTATTTGATCCACATAGCAAAGCAGCGAGGTAGACAGAACAAGGGACAGTATTCTTTATGAGTAGATGAAATGGCTGAGGTTCTTAGCAAGGGTTAGTTATCCAAGGTCACACAGTTAATTAGTGACAGAGCTGGGGCTGGAATCCAGGTTTCTCTGCCCAGCGCGCATCTCCCAAATGCCTAGTTCAGTGGGATTGGACAGCTGCAACAATTTGTGTACAATGAAGTGTTCAACAAATGTTGACTGGCTTGTTTGGCTCAAAACAATTGAAGATATTTTTCACTATGATTTTCATTGTTTCTCTAAAGTAGCTTAGGAGCACATTATCTCTAGTTTGCTGGTGTGGAGGAGAGAAGCAGAAAGCAACCATTGATCAGCTTTGAAAGTTGTTTACTGAGACACCTAGAAAGTTTTCAGAGGAGAGAAGTTTGCTGTTTCAATCATTGACACATGGACTATCCTGTCTTCAGTCATAGCTGGGTATAATCTCCCTGTACCTAGTAAAATGGAGTTCAGCTTTACATTGCAGAGAACACCCATCCAACTCCAGTGATTTCTGAGACATAACATCCAAAACAAGATCCTCAGAGAGTAATAACACTATGTACACAGTGTACTGTTTTTTCAGACCCTTGATAGAGTAATTTAACAGAGCTGTGTAGTGTGAGCTACATGGGCTGGAGATGATTTTGATTCTTAATTCTCAGCTATTTGAACCCAAATCAGCTGGTTTAAATCAGAGTTGAAGAGACACTTCCAAGTGTTAGCTATTTATTTTGGTAACCTGCAAAATCTTTACTAGACATGCATTTTCTGTAGTGTTGATCCATCCAAAAGATGAGCACAACCAATTTTCAGTGTGTAAATTTGGAGACTGTTGATTGATTAAATCTGTTGTGCGCATTTGGGTGAGGTCTTCAGTTAGGGTCACTTGGCCAGCACATAACCACCCTTTCAACCGTCTTACCTACCGAATGGACAATTAATACAAGCTGCTGGGTTTCGTAACGTATGTAGCCTTTTGCTTAAAGAGTGTTCAGGCTAAATCGAGATTTTGCTCAATTCTACCCTCAGTGCCTAATGCATAAGAGTCAGTAAATATTTGTTGCATGAATACAATATAGTGTCATAAACCTTCTCCATCTGTGCCCCCTGCCTCTCCACCGCACCCTCTGCTGTTCCCCCTCCCTACTTCTAACCTGGGACCACACTTTTTATTGCTTCTTAGAAAATATCTTCTTCCATAGCCCCATCTCTTGCCTGGTGATCTTATTCATCCTGGGAACCCAGATTACATTTCCTTCCTCCGTGGGACATTCACACATGCCCAAATCAGAGTTCACAGTGACCCCCATGTGCCTCTTCTCCCCCTGCACTTATTGTCACCTATCTGGGATGGGGTTGCTCTATGTGCTGCTAGGTTGTAACCGTGACTGCGGTGAGCCTCTGTTTTATTCTCACTTGTAATTCTGTCTCTAGGGCAGTGGTGGGGACACTGTGGACACTTACTAATTCCTTGTTGGGTTGAAGGAAGGAAGGAATGATGCCTGCAGCCCCACGGTGTTAGATTTGCAAATCACTTTAGGAAAGGAGGAAAGGGGTTATGTTTTATAATATGAGAGTTGAGTTTTAAGAGACTCTCTGGTTTTATTGGAGAGTGCCAGAAGAGGCACTGAAGGCAACACCCCAGACCTGGGAAAGGTTAAAGATTCTGGTTTTCATTCACTGCAATGATCCTAAACATGACTCCCGTGCTATTTCCACTTTACAAGCTTCACAATGATGACTTCAACACTCAGTGCACCCCAGGCTGGCCCTTGTTTGGCCTCCTCACTTGGATCAAGTGTATTTCGAATGGAACCTGACTTAGGTGATGCGATTCAGTAGCATTTGTCTGGAGTTTGTCTGGAATTCTATAGCCTAGATTAGGTTTCTCTAGTACTAGTTTCCATAGACGCCTGGGCTTCCCCTTCCATACCTAATTTAGTGCCCAGCTAGTGTCACATTTCTGTCCCCTTAGCCTTCCATGGCACCAGAAAAGGGACCACAACCCCCTTTCTGCTGCCTGGCACTCACATTCTGAGCCCTTTTGTTAGATAATGAGTTTGTATCAAGAGGGTTACTTCTACAGAGAAGATACAAATTCAAGTTAATGTCTGTGCATTTTAAATGCCACCAACAGATGCGTAATGAAGAGCTCTTGGTTGGAAAAAATAATATTTTTTATGGAAAACTCTACACAAATAGAAGCTGAAGTTGATGCAGCTCTTGCACATACATTTTTCTCTTTTAATTTTCTTGACTCCCTTGTGAGGTGTCATTCTCATCTCCATCTTATAAAGAGGGAAACTGAGGCTGTGAGAAATGTAATAGTTGGCTGGAGGTCACACAGCTACTTAATGACAGAGTCACAACTTGACCCAAGCCTGTCTCCAGATTTATGATATGACATCATCTGATAATTATTGAGGTGACACAGTTTAAATTAGTCAGAAGCTATCTATCAATAGGACAAGGATACTATATGAAGGAATCCAGCTTGTGGTCAGTTTTGTAAGGTCTCACTTAAAAGCAAATTTGGAGGAGAGAGGGCTTTTCTAAGTCTCTTCTCTCTACAGCCCAGCAATTAGATGGAGCCTCGGATGAGGTGGTTTGTAATCTTTAATATCGGTAGCATACTTCTGGGGGAGACTTTTCTGCAAGCGAAACAGGCATAAACACAAGAGAATCTGGTTTTCAGATCCCTTTTATGTTGACTCAACAGATATTTATGATAGTCTTTGTTGTTCCAAATTCACATGCTGAGGCCTGGGGGTAGAGTGGTGTGGCAGGGACAGATGGACCTGCTCCTACTCTCAAAGAACTGACCATCTAACATTTTACTCACTGTTACTCTCTTGCTCTTATTTTTTTTTTCCACAAATGGGACTTTTTATCTACCACTATTAAAAGTCTGAACTTTAAAAAGATTTTTGGGCTGGTGATCCATATCCATCAGCTCATTCAACTTAGCACCACTTTCATTCCCAGTAGCTTTTCCAGAACTTCTGCCTTCTCCATGAAGCTCCATGAGTTTTCCCAATTCAAACTTGGGCTTCTTCAGCATTTTTACTTTTCTAACAAAAACATCATGAAGAGGATAAATAGATCGGCAAGCCTTTTCTTTGTCTTTTCCGATGCTGTCTGGAATCTATTTATTGACCATTTCTTTCAAATTATTTGTCTGTACCTCTCAGGTCATGACTTCCTTCAAATTTGGTGGACCTGTTGGTGCTGAGTGTAAGAGGTCCTCTGTCTCTGGTATCTGACCATTGCACATTTTTAGTAAAACTGACACAGAACAGACAAAGCAAATAACCATCTATAGTTTTAACAGCAACATGAGCTTCAATAATGATCTGCCACTTTTTGACCATGAAACACATTTTGTCATGGGCAAGATTCATGTCATGGAAGTTTTCAGGCAGTTTTTGCCCTGAACATCTTTAGTAATTGGCTTGAATTTTCTGAATGCAATTTCATCATTCTGCACATCACCAAGACTCACCTCAATCAGTCCACCCTTGAAGCCATCAGATACAAAATCGGTTCCATGAGTCCCTATGACCAGTGCCTTTCCAATATTTCTTATACTGAACATAGCAGGTGCTTTTACATTATACCAATATATCTTAGAAAATGAAGCAACCACTTTCTTCTCGGTTCCCTTTTTGCCACCTTTTGTATGGCACTTGTTCTTGCTAACCGTCATGGTGCTGCTCAGAGAGCCAAAAGGCTATCTTTCTCTTAAAAGTAACTTTAACCTTCATGTGTTTATAGAGATGTAAACTGCTATTCCTTTTATTTTTTCAATTTTATATTTTGTTATGTGTTATTTTGGTATCATTCATTTAGCAAGCATTTATTGAAGACCTACTCTGCACCCTACCTTGTGCTGGGTGCTGTTGATACAGAGGCAGTTACTACACAACCTCTGACCTTGAGTAGGTATGTCAAAAGGGAAGAGAATGGTAAGTGCTTTATTAATCGTACACAAAATTTGTTTTGGAAATACAGTGGATGAAGTTACTAATTCTGCTAAGGAGAGACAGGAAAGGAATTGGGAAAGTCTCTATATGGTGTGGGCTGGCCCAATTGTCTAAGTTCATTTCCTGAGTGCTGGCTTGGAATCATGTATTTTATTATATAAAGTGCAACTGCCATTTACTATTTAAAGATTAATTAAAAGTGATTACCTAATGAAATCTTAATAAATAGTACCCAGTAGAGTATGCCTTTAGTATTCATTGATTTAATATCAACGGTTTTGATTATTCAAGAACTACTTTGTAGGTGTTTGACATAGGCAGTCCTGATTTTGCTGAGAATCTAATTTTTATCACCTGGTTTTGGGATGCTGATAGCAAAAAAATTTGCAGAGACCCTGACCCTAGCTGACTGCCCAGCATCCACATCTGAGCTTGGCTATGTTGTTCACAGTGTCATCTTGAGTCATCTATGTGAACAAAGTCTTGATCTTGTGTGTGTGTATGTGTGTGTATGTGTGTGTGTGTGTGTGTGTGTGTGTGTGTGAAAAGTCACCATGATTAGAAAGAATAAACCCTCAGAAACTTACAAAGTCAGTTAGCTGGTGTTGGAAGTGGATACACAAGAAGTGTGACTTCCCTCAGGAAAGTGATAGAATAGAGCTAGAAGAGACTGTAACAGCATCAGAGCTTGGAGTATTAATTCTCAGGGTATCCATTCCCTTTACAAATGTCAGGGGTCTGATAGCTATAGAAATTTCTGATGTTCAGATTGGGACTGAAATCTAAGCAATATGCTAGTGATAGTAAGGGTAAATAATGTAAAATTTAAAATGTTTTCATTCCTCCTTGAGGTTTTACATTCTCCACTGGATCTGTAGACTGAGAAAATGCCTGTCATGTAGGAGATGCTTAATGAATATTTGTTGACTAAAATTTAGAAGGCTAGGCTCATTGACATTAAAATGCTAAGACCTGTCACACATATCATATATTTATTTTTCCCTTTAAGGATGAATTCCAAAAGATTGTATTGGACCATACAGTATTAAATTAGACTATGTTATTATGTAATTTAATTTAATTTAATTTCAGATATGGTCATAGATAATCTATCAAGTACTTTTATGATCTATAAGGTATTTTTTTCTTCTAGGAATGGTTTTGTGTTGGAGATTAAAAATACCTGTATTTATCAGGACAAGATTGATGCCCTAAAATGCTGGCTAACGTAATTAGGCTGATTGTAAAAGAAATTTGAAGGAGGAAAAATATGATGAAATGTTTCAAAATAGTGACATCTGTTACATCAGTGCCTAATGTGCATTTTTCCTTTATATATTTCTATCTCTCTCCCTGGAAACATCCTTCTTGGAAGTTTTCCCATTATCAGAACAAAGTGCGAAGAGGTAATTTTTTCAAGTCAGATGTGACAGAACACACATCAGCATTCAGGAATGAGGCTTTTGCAATAGGTAATAGTGTAATCGGTTTTGCCAGCAGCAGAATGTACAATCCTATTAGAGTTGTGGAAAAGGAAAAGTATCACCTTAATTTACCTCCAGGCAATACAGCAATAACTTGAGGTGCCTAGGGCTGCTGTGTAAAGATACTTTAATCACATAGTAAAAACAGTTTTAGTCTACTGCCTACTTTAGATGAGGGAAGACTCTCCTAAGTTAATAAATGAATTTTATCCAGCATACAGTCTGGCAATCATGATATGCTATTTTTAATCTTTTTCAACATTAAATCTGTTAAAGAAATTTATCAGGTTACAATGAGATCGATTTCCCCCTTACATTCCCTATGTTCATTGCAGGAAAATTGGATGACAGCTTTTGGATGAGACTGATAGTGCACAAGAAGGAATTGCTCCAAAATTAAGGGAAGTCAGAGTTTCATTCCACAAGCTTCAAATAGAAGCCGCTTTCTATTGTCTTGTACCTTTGGGACTGAACTCATTATAGTAACCATCAAACTAGAAAGTCTTCAGCTGGGGGTATTTCTCATGTTTGCTTTCTGGCTGTATGGGGAATGTGATCTTTAATTAGTTCAGGTTGTAAAATATTGCAGAGAATTTCCCAGGCACACTTTGCTTTGTGGTCTAGGTCAGCAAATGCAATTCTGTTTTAATTGTGGCTGAGCTATTGTCTTAGACTGGTATTCCTAGAGTGCCTTTTACCAATTAATGGTAATATACTACTGGGAAATCATGTTGCCTTGTGGAAGCCTGTAAATAGCAAAGCCCTAATAGGCTGTCTATTAATAGCAATACAGAGTCAGAGACCTAATGCCATTAAATGGCGGTATTCATGTGTGAAAGCCGTCTAGTAACTACTTTAAGGAATTTCAACAGTCATTTGTGTGTGTGGGAAGTGCGTGTGTGTGGGAAGTGTATGCATGTGCGCATGCCTGTTTTCCTCCTGTCTTTCTCTCTTCTTTGTCTTTTTGTTGGGCTTTTTTCTAATATGAATTTCCATTTTCTGTCAACTCTTTATGATGGATTGGGTTCAGGGAAGCAACATGTGCCAGTCGTTGCCTTTGAACCTGTACTTCAGATATGTGGCATTTTATTTTCTCTCCTGCCTCTTGGCTTATCATCAATTCTAGCAGTGAATTTTGACATGTGCAAATTAATAATCATTCAGTCCAAATGAATACAGTGACCTCTGTGCCCACATGATGTACTAAAAGGAGAGGATGCCATGCTTATGAACTCGAGGAGTTCACAACTTAATGAGAGGAGCAAAAATGCACGCGCGCGTGTGTGTGTATTTCCACCTGTCTCTAATAGGCTGTCAAGTTATAATAGTTTAATGTAATCACATGCTTTTTACATTTGTACGTGATAGACTCCTGAGAATAATAGTTAATTTTGTGAAAGAATTAAAAATTGAAGTGACCTGTCTAGTTTGGAAAGCTGGGCCGGCAGCAAGGCAAGAAAAAATTACAGGGATAAACATAAATCTTTCACCATAGAAATCAGTGTGGAGAGATGGTCTAAGAGTTCATTTAAAAAATGCCTTGATGTTTTAGGTGACCATAACCTGGAGATGAAGCAGAGGATAGGGTAGTTTGTTCCTATGAAGTCTAATGCAGTCTCTGAGGACAGTGATAGACAAGTGTGGGTTTTAGATGAACCAGTTCTCAGAATCTAGTTCTTTGTTCTGAGCAGGCCAATGCATCAGGAGTATTGCATTAGAAGATATTTTCACTCTGAATAACATCTAGGAGAAGATGAACAGCACTGGGGAAGGGATGAGTAACAGGCATCTTATAAGAGTGATGTCCAAAGACAACTAGCAATATTGAATCCAGAGGAGGAAAAGCAGAGAGAAGATAGATTCACTTAGTGTTTTAAGACATGTGAAGCAGAAGAGGCTGAATCTCTATTCTGCGCTGTTTCAATGGGTGGAAAGTGTAGGCAGGCAAATATATGGACAGGATATGAAAAAATATCTTCCTAACAATTGCAACTACTGCTGGAATGGCAAGGCTTGGGAAGTAGTGAGCTCAAGACTATTGGCCTTTCACCCAGACCAAAAGGATGCTAACCATTGAGGCTTTCCATAGATGGGCATTTGTATTTGATCATCATGATGTACTTATTGTGCTGAGGTTCTCAAGATGTGTGGAATGATCATGAATGCAAATCCTGCTTCTATCATTTGCGTGATGTAACCTTGAAAAGGTTACTAAAACTTTAAAATCTGTTTCCTCATTTCTAAAATGGGTTTAATATAATGCCTGTACGTACAGTGAAGTAAACACTCAAAGGTAGCCTATTGCTCTAATCTTATTAAAGCACCTATTTGGCCTTGTTGGCTTTAGTCTGAGAAGTGAACTTAATTAAGACTAGCTGGTGAAGTCCTGATGTAAGGTTCAGTTCACAGTCCCTTGGTGTTAGGGTTCCATTTTTCAGCTGAGTGTGAAGAGGCTGCTAGCAGTTTCAGAGTGTGGCAACAAGAAAATTTCCATCGACTTTGCTTACTTGTGTCCATAGATTTTGGAAAATAATGTTTGATTCTTGCATTTTAATAAAATACCTGATTATAATATGCATATTGCCTTACCAAAAAAAGTAGTAGTCATTTTAAAATAGTAATATTAGCAGCTATGATTAGTAATATTTAAAGAGTCCTTATTATGTGCCAGGCACTGTGCTAAGCAGTTTACATAGTAAATAGTGTTTACTATCATTAGTATTGTAACAGGTGGATTAAATGCATTATATTCTTTAAGTCTGAAGCAACTTTATGAGATAGTATTCCTATTTTATAGGTAAGGAAACAGGTACCTAGAAGAAGTTGTTACTTCCACAAGGGCATATCACTAATAAATGAAATAAATAAAATTAGGATCTTTCAGCTGAACTCTCATTGTGCCACCTGACTCTAGAATCAATCTCTCAACCTCTCTCTTTCTTTTGTTCTCACACAAACATAAGTTTTAAAAATTGCTATTTATTCTCATTACAGACAACACACTCTGATTTTTTTCATTTTACTAAAAAATACACATGTCTGGTCTATTACATTGATTCCCTATCTTAAGTTGATCATTACTAAATATAATTTAAAAAATAATGCACACTTGTTTCATTTTGTTCTTGTGGTAATACAAAGTTCTCTATACCTTAGATGGATTACAGTTCTCACATATGTAAAGGGATTTGCTTTGTGCTCTTTTGAGATGGTCCCTTGAAGCAGTGTCATTTTATAGTGGCAGAGGTTATGGTGAAGGAGAGGCACATTTTATGAATCACATTGTCCAAATAAATTACTGCTGTCATCTGAATTCAAAGAGATACATTGTTCCAAATCAGAGCCCTAAGTGACTTGAACATTTCCATCACAGATTGTGAATTATTATGTAATGGAAGCTAACTAGTTGTAGTTTTTCATTTTAGAGCAGCCATAACTGTCAGGTCCACATCATATGCCAAAAACAAGTTGTGCCATGGAAAACACAATGTGAGAGCCAGAAGACCACACAGATTCCATGAATGAGCCAGACTTCTTGGGAGGTCAGTACTCAGACCTGGGCATTAAAGGAGCAGCTCTAATTTGTTTTAGTAATTTTTCCACCCATCTTTTTTTCAATGGTTCCTAGCTACTACTATGCCTGTTTGTTTAAGTAGCATTTGAAACCTCTCTGGTCTCTGCTCAGCACTCAACTTTGATAGCAGAAACAGAAGGAAGGGTTTCCAAAAGACTGTTGGTCCTGAACAACTATTACTTAGGGGTTTAATATTGGTTCTCTGCAGGAAACATGCAAATGACTGATTACCCACTAAAAATAAAGCCTTTTATAGCTGATTTTAAAATCCTATGTTGCCTATGTCTTTGAAACACTCTTTAATTGCTTATGAATATATTATACTTTTGCCTCCTTTTCCTTGTTATAATTTCTCTTTCTACAAGAATAGCTATCTTGGTGGAATTTATTGATTTCCCCAACAAGATTTACCTGTTAGCATTTTCTCTGGCAGGACGTTCTTGTGACTGGCTGCAGTTCAGGAATGTTTCCCTTTCATTTGGTACACATTTGCCTAGTGATATGTGTATCAGGTACTGGGAGGACAGAAGACGAATAAGACATTGCTCTCCTGTAAAACACTCATTCAATAGTCAGACATAGAAAACTGCAGAATTGTGTATTAAATGCCAAAATAAGGGTAGGTTATAAGTATGGTGGTGAAATGAGTGCATGTCTGTTTTGGAATTAATGACATGACTTCATAAAGAAGGAAGTGTTCAGTTTGTGTCTTAAAGTGTGTGTATTATTGAGGGGTGGGGAGGTAGGTGGTTATTTCAGGCAGAACAATGCAATGCACTTTAGAAACATTCAGATGGTTCTGAGGTATCTGGAGTAGACAGGTGGATGGAGCAGTGAGTGGAGGGAGATGAGGTAGGACAGAAGAGAGGAAAGTTCCTGGAGGTGGTTGTGTGTGCCTACTAGAGACTGTCCAGGCCTGCCTGCTACCTCCGTTGAACCAATTCCTGATGCTGATGCAACCATCAGATCATGTATGGGCCAGCTTTTTCTGATTAAGGGCTCTTGAACTTCTGCTGGGGAGAATGGTTCTGACTGATGCTGCTTCCACAACTGTTGTTGGGCTTCTTTGAACTTTCCTGGACGACTAGATATTACACTTGATTCCTGGCTGTGGGTGTCTGTTTCCCTGGTCTGAGAGTCTGGCTGTGCAGCAGATGCATTTTGGAGGAGCTGAAGCTGAAAGTGCCAGTGTGGTGCTGGTGTGCATCACTGCCCTCTCTGGGATATCTCTGCAGCAGAGCAAGGTTACAGAGCTACATCTGCCGCAGCTTTCTGTGAGTTGTGTAAAAAGACTGTGCCAACCAGTGGGGAGCTTACATTTTCTTATATGGGATTCCTACTATTTTAATTAAATATTGCTTTTAGCAGCTCTTCCTATTTCTACCCTCCTGGGACTAACTAGGTGTTTGTTTGTTTGTTTGTTTTGCCTTACAACTCATCACCACATATAGGACATTGTTAATAGATGTGATAAATGATAATAATTCTCTGCTGGACTCTTCCTGCACAGTCAGGAGTCAAAGCCCCACTGGAAGAAGAAACATTATTCACTCATTCAACAAATATTTATTGTTCGTGTACTATGTGCAATAACTGTCAGGCACTCTGTAGGCGCTGGACTCCATGTTGAGTAAGACAGGAAGGATCCTCTCTGCCCTGGGGGATATTACAGTCTGTCTAGTTGCGGGGTGGGGGATAACTATAAACACCATAATTAAGGTCACGTGCAATGACATCTACTCCTCAGAAAGGCAGGACAGCATATCTGTGGCTACAGAGCATGCCTAAGATTTTGGGCAGGTAGCTGGTCAGAACTGACCTCAAAACCAAAAATTCCCCATAAAACACACAGTCCAGAATGGTCTCCTTGAACTCTAGGGCTGTTCCTAATTTCTCTTTTAACAGCACATTTTGCATTTTTGCAAACCTTTCTGTTGCAACCTCACATAGGTAACTGAAATTTCACTTCTGTTGAACTCAAACTCTAGATATGTGAAGAGAAGAAAGGTGGTTGTAGAATGGCCCCAAGATCCTCCTTTCTGGACGCCTTTCCTCTTTTCTCTTTGCTGCTAGCTTTTCCTTATTGTCTGACCTAAATTGAGCCAAAAGCTACAAATATTGAGGAATACCTCCACAATACCATTCTCATGCATTTTTGCTTCAGTGAGCCAGCTTTCCTTTGGATATTGGATATGTTATCAGTAATGTACATACAATATAACTATAACTAGCATCAGAATCCTTCATTTGAGCCATTCACACAATTTTTAAATAGTATGTTAATATAAGGTCAGAATATTTTTCATATTATCTTGAATTTTCACAGAAGTCCAGATTTCACACTATTATTGCCTTTTTCCAAGTTCCTAATATAGTTGTTTCTGATTATATGCATGTTATCTGCTTCACATTATGAGCAGTGCTTAAATAAATGTTCTTACAAAGGGGAAAAATTATCATGATTTTTCTTCCCCGGCTTGAAGAAACTGCATATCAATTTGTTTGCAAATCTCAATAATTTGTTCTAAAACTAACATTGACCTGTATTGGTATTTACACAGCTTACGATCACTAAGCACATTTAAATATAGAAATTTTTAAAGAACTAGTCTATCTGCAACATAAAGGCAGCATGGTGACAACAGGCTAATATTAAAAACAGCCTTCTCTTTTCTCCTCTTCTTTTCCCTTCTCACTGTGAGTCAACATCCATGCATTTAACAGATATTCAAGCTGTGTGCATATGCACACTGAATTCTGTTTTAAGGAATATAGAGGAGAATTCTTCTGTTTTCTTGTCAAAGCTGGTCTAACACAGTGAGTTAGTATTTATCGAAGTCTTGTCAGTGCCTCTGGTGCTGTCGACAGAGCAAGTGGGCACATTTCATCTCAATTACCAAAAGAAGATGAATACAAGGCGGGATGTGTGTGTCAGAGGTTAGAGCCATTTAATGGGATGAAATGTGAATGAAAATTGGAGAACAATCCAAGAAATCTATAGAAGATGAGAACTGGAGAAACTCAATTAGAGAAAACCATACACTTCCCTCCTTCTGGACCCTGGTTTCTTTGTGCTATTGTAGTTGCTTATTTGGTTATAAATAGGAAAGCAAAGAGTTTATTGTTTCCATTGTGAAGAAAAGGCAAGGTAGTTTTGAGGATTTCACTCATGTACTCTGATGCTTTTATATGTATATATATGTGTGGGGGTGTGTGTATATACACACATATATGTACACATATATATACACATGTATATATACACACATACATATATAGGGTGTATATATATACACACACATATCCTATATCTGTACACCCTATATAACATATATGTGTGTATATACGTATAGGAAAATTGGAGGAGATGTGGAATATATACATATATACACATATATGTACACATATGCACACATGTGTACATATACATGTATATATACAACATATACATGTATATGTACATATATAGGATACATACACACCCTATATATATACACACATATACACACATCCTATATAACATATGTGTATATGTGTGCATGTGTATATGCCCCTTATAACACACACGCACACCCTGTGTGTGTTTGCATGTGCGTGTATACCCCCTATAACCGAATCAACCAAACCTAATTACTGTACCAAAGTATGACATTGGCTATGTGATTGTGTCAACACTGGTCAAAGGAAAAGGCAGTTTGGTGAGATTTAACCTAAAAGGATGAAAGAAAATAGACATTCTGTAGGGCACTTTTCCCATCGTAGGCTTTTATAAACTTGTCATAATAAATGTAGTTATAAGTTTTTAAGTCACACAACATACATAGTTGAAGGAAGAAACAATAATACAAAACTAAGACCCCAATCTGTCTTCCTTTGCTTGTTTTGTGTTTCACTTCCATTACCTAGAATGTGTTTTCCAGGGGATTAAATTTTGCTATTTTGGTCAAAGTTGTCTCTGTGTCATATGTGCAGTTATCTTTGCAACCCCAGTAAAAATGTTTTCTTGGTAAACATAAAATCACCTGTGAAAGAGTGCATTCATTCACTTGAGAAAAGAATAAGTGAGCTATATGCTTTCATTATTTTATTGAGAAATTACTGAAGGCTGTTACTTTATAAGGGGTAGCAAGTATGAGATTTGTATCAGGGTTGATGTAGCTTTACTTACGTTTTTCAGATTCTGATACAGAAAAAATGAAAAAAAGTGTTCTTTTTGCCTTGGAGAAAAAGTTATCTGAAAAGGAAAATTTCCACAAAGTTTCAGCGTAAAAGGAGAGAAGTTCAAGTCCATTCATTACATTTTTAAGAGTATATTTTGTCCTGTCTGGCATATCTCACGGAGGAAATAGTTGGGCTTTTGAGAATATGTGGGTGTGGGCATATGCACCAAGGATTTGCCCAAGTCATTTCACTTTAGGGAACCTTTTTTCCAAGTGTAACTTCGTGAAAGAGAAAAGGCTTTTCTAAGCAAAACTCAAATTCTCAGCCCAAATGCTTAGAGACTCCAGATACTCTTTGTGCTAAGTTAGAGAGTCGGTATTAAATAAGTCTAAAAATTGGATTAAAGTATGGCTAATATCTGACAGCACATCCACCTGAAAATGTTCTTGCTTGAAGAGCTGAAGGTTATGTTCTGACATTTTATTTAAAAATCCCACAACACTTTTCAAGGCTGAAGAATTCAAAGTTTTGTGGACAAATTTTAATTTAAATTATGCCTCATGCAAAATCTTCTCAGCAGAATTTTCAGCACTATCTTTCTATCAACATCAACATCAATGATGTTTTATCTTACTAAACATCATGGAATTTTGTCCTTGAGTAAAATTATCAAAATACAAAAAGGAGCAGTTTAAGGATGTTAATTTATGAAATCAGTTATTATCTCTCTACATGGTAAATGATAGTATTTTTAATTTTTGTGTTTTTTCCCAACAAATAATGCAAATCTTATAACGATTTAATCAAAATGTGATCTGAAACTGCTGGTTAAAATATAATTGACACAATCTTTCTGGAAGGCAATTTAGTCAAATGCATTTAAAAATGTGTATCTCCTTTGACCTGTCAATTCTACTTTTGTGAACTTATCCTAAAGAGTAATTGAAAAAAGATAGGGATACAAGTTTATTCATCTAAACATGAGTTATAATAGTGAAAAATTTTAAAATGACCTAATAAGTGACCTAGCAAGAGTGGACTTCATTAAGTAAATGGTAAACATCACATGAATATTTCAGCCAATATTTATTGAGCACCTCATGTGTGTGTGCTAGACACTCTTCTAGGGTATATGGCAGTGATGGAGGAGAGAACATTCTTACACATAGTTTACATTTTAGTGTGTTATTGGACTAGTGGGCAAGTGGACATCACTACAGTCATTAAAAATGAGTCATAGAACTAAAGTTATTAATGCGGAAAGATGTTCCATGTACAATGGTGAGAATATATTAAGGAATGGTAAAAACTGCAGTTACTTTTGCACCTAAATAAAACTACAGATAAATATACTGCTTTGGGGTGAAAATAATATAGAACAAAGGCAATGCAACAAAGACACCAACAGTTATTATCTCTGGATCATGACATAATCAGCACTTTAAAAACATATTTATATTTCATATTTTCTTCTACAGTGAAGTGTTGATTTTTTAAATGCAGAGATTTGCCTAGTAATTAGTTTGAATGCTCCAAAAGTTTCTGCTGTTCAAAAGATTCATCTATCTTCTACCTATCTGCTTGTCTGTTTATCTATGTATCTATCTCTGAAGCAAGAATAGAAATAAACTTCAGCTTCCTTCAGATAGCTATTTCTGTGTTCACTGACCATTATCGTCAGAAAATATTTCTAGATATCTAACTGAAATCTGTTGTGCTGAAGTTTATGTCCATTTCTTCTTCTCAAGAAATAGAATCCAGTGACCACACTTCATGTTACAACCTCCACGTTTTCAGTCACTTCACACAAGCCATGTCTCGACTTCATTTCATATATTCTCTGAGGGTGTTTTTTCCATTGCTCTAGGTTTCAACCTTCCTTTCTTTCTGTGTGTATGAATCTATACCATTGTGCTGTGTATGGTGGTTATGCAAATTAGCACCCACCAGAGAAAGGATTTGAGGCTGGGAATCATCTAAGTTATAGGAGAGAAAAACAGAGTGCAAGCTGTACATGTCACTCCCAGCTTGGTACTCTTTTGGCTTCCTGTCTTCAAGCTGTTGGTGCCTGGTGCCAACTACACAGACAAGAGTTTTTATAGAGAGAAGAGGTGTGCATTTGGAATCCTATAAAAATGGGTCCTGAAAAGTTTATCTTGAAAACTTCAAGAAGCAAGTATGTGTTTTCTGAACCTACAGAACATCATGGCCAAGGAGGCTTTTGAGCATGCAGCTAAGTTTTAGAATTCCTGAGTCCCAAACAGACAAGGAGAGCTGTCCATTTTCATTAACTCCAAATAAAAGCTTGAATTCAGCCTGAAGCCCTTTGCCTTAATCTTCCTTGCAGCTCTCCAACTTACAGCCTTGAGAAGTAACAGGCACTGAAGGCGGCTTGCATTTCAGTGCATAATTGCTCTCAACAACTGTGTTGTGGGTTTTTCTTCTCCTTCTGCAAAGATGAAAGATGCCTAATCAATGGGCATCCTCATGAGGAGGAGGGAACAGAGTAGAACAAAAGTGTCCAGGGTGGAGGCAAATCTGTGGATGAGAGCCCATCTAGAGCGCCTTGCTGGCGCTTTATCTGGGGCCTGAAGGCACTGATTCTGGCAGCCTGCAGTGTGTACCTGTGGGCAGGGCACCATTTAAGTGCATGATAAAATCAGCTAATGCCTTCATCAAACTATGTCTTTGCTTCTAGGCTTGAGGATATTATCATGACTCCATTTGCGTTCTAGGTAGCAAAGGGAAAACCCAAAACTGGGCATAATTTTAAGAAAATTGTCTTATTACTTAGGATAATTCACAGATGGAGAGTTGAAATTCAGAGCTTGAATTATCACTTCTTCATATGCGTTAAAGAAGTCTGAAATTGACTATAAGCTTATTCTATCCACATTTTATTTTGTCCGGTGATCACAGGATAACAAAATATCTGGTTGACTCTTCTTTTTTTTTTGTTTCCAAATGCTCTTATTCATAGGGGGAGCTTGTCTTTAAAGAACCAGACATTCCAACTTGGCTAAATTTACCAAATGTTATGATGTTATCCTTCATTTACTTATTCCACATTTTTATAGTGTTCCAAATTTCTAGCCACCATCATAGGATAGAGAAAAGCAAATCAAAATGTTTCTTACTAGTGGGGAGCTCACAGTAGGATGGTAGAGGGACAGAAATAAAGTGCTAAGATAAAAGGCAGGAGGGGTCAGCCCCCACCCTGGATGGCTGGCTGGGTGACAGTGCTCTTTGAATCCTCCTTGAGGGTTGAGGAGCAAAGGAGGCCATTTGTGGAGATGGATTGAAGGAGCAGCCTGAGCAGATGTGCACAAAAGCAAAGGAGTGATGGATATTAAAGGAAGAGTTGGCCCTCCAATTTGCCTGGTTCCAGACCAATCCAACATCTGAAAATCTTCAGAGAACATATAATATTGAATTCAAAATAATACATTTCAGCAAATTTTAGAAATTGAGGAAAGTAATAAAATCATTGAATTTCCTATTACCAAAGAGCTGATACTAACCCACTGTGAGGAGCACAAGAACTTGGAATTGCCTTCTTTTTCATGATAATGGACACACGTGGATAGATCAGCAGCATACCTCATGTAATGAAAAGAATGTGTGACTTCTATTCAGTGTGCCACATTCCAGGCCTGACTTTGCCACTTGATTAGCTGGGCAATTCACTTAAAATCCCCAATTTAAAAAAAGTGCATTGAAGTATACATTTAAGTATGTTATATATCTTAATATGTGACATATAAAGTATATAAAAATATATGCACATATAATATAGACAGAGTTGCCAAAAGACAAAATCACAACAAATTTAAAGATCTTAACTGCCTTTTATTTGTGATTCTAGAATCAGGCACCACCTCATTCTCTAAAATAGAATGGGTGCTTTGATGAGCTGAGCAGAGGAGGGTGGCTTTATAGACAGAAAAGGGCTAAGGAGAACAGAACTGGAACAAAAAGCAGATTGATTGTTTCAAAATGACTTTCCTAGTAAAGGTTAAAGCAAAGGGGACTTTCTTATCATGCTAGCTAAAACTGCCCTGTTTTATATCTCAAAAAAAAATATATATAAATATATATAAATTATATTTTAAATTTATATATATAAATATATATAAATTATATTTTAAATTTTTATATATTAAATATGTTTTAATGTATAATATTAAAATATATATATTTAAAATATATATATATCTTGATTTCTTGGAAGGTCAGATAAACAACTTAGTGTTGGCTTGGTGGCATGGAACTTAACATGAGTGACTCCATTTTGGTTTGATCTTTTGGGCCTGGTGCAGGAACTCAGTCCAAACCAGTGACTTTCTGCAAATTGTATTTAACACACTAAAATGTATTTGAAGCATTATAAACATCTAAGTTAAGATTATCGGCCGGGCGCGGTGGCTCACGCCTGTAATCCCAGCACTTTGGGAGGCCGAGGCGGGCGGATCACGAGGTCAGGAGATCGAGACCATCCTGGCTAACACGGTGAAACCCCGTCTCTACTAAAAATACAAAAAATTAGCCGGGCGTGGTAGCGGGCGCCTGTAGTCCCAGCTACTCGGGAGGCTGAGGCAGGAGAATGGCGTGAACCCGGGAGGCGGAGCTTGCAGTGAGCCGAGATCGCGCCACTGCACTCCAGCCTGGGCGACAGAGCTAGACTCCGTCTCAAAAAAAAAAAAAAAAGATTATCTCCACCCACAATTTCTCTACTAATCTCTGTTCATGCCATTTCAATTTGTTTCAGCTGTGTCCATATATTTCAGACTGACAGCAATTACAGATATGACTATAGGAGTGAGTGGAGTGACCCTGGTTGGGCCTATGAGGATAAAATGCCCATTCTTCCTTAACTGTTACCACACACTGTGCTGAACAATGATTTCTGTGAAGGCATTAAGAATCTTATACAGGTCCAAGGATGAATAGAACAAGAAAGAAAAATAGTATCTGTATGATCTTGCTAGAGGCAGGCATGGGGTTGGCTAAAAGTGGTTATGGAGCCCATGAAAGAATTTCATGTGCTCTCAGAAATAAATCTAGTTTAAAGAGTTTGACTCTTGAAGAAATAAGCAATTTAAAAATGCACTGAGATGTTAATATTAGGAAAGATTAGGTAAACAGTGCAGGGAACTCTCTATATATTTCTTTGCACCTTCCTATGAATTTATAATTATTTCAGAATAAGAAGCTAAAAAATCTTTAATGCACTGAAAATTGAGAATTTACATTTTCAATAATTAGAAATAAGCGTTAAATGAATCATGCACAAGTGAACAGACTCTGTTAGAAGCATATACAACAGATATGCCATCAAGGTATTTTTTAAGATTGTTTTTAATGGCCTCAGAGTCTCTAATAATTATCCCAGCAGGATGATTTTTACCATGTTATAAACACATGACCCCCAAAGCATTCCCTGATCCATACGCTGATAGGTTGTTTGGAGCTGTTGTGTTTGGGTGTCATTCTTTTGGAGCAAGATGTCATTTTAGACTTGGCATGTGGCATATGGGGATATGGCTAGAAAGTAGATAAGGTAAACAACCTAGCATGTAATATTTATCTAATTATGAACAGCTTTATATATTTCCCCTTTCATCTCAAATATTTAGGACTGATTCAGTGAGCACAATGTACACATTTTTTTCTAATACTTGTTTGTGAATAAAAATTAATTAAAACAAATATGTGTTTCATGCTGGAATTAAATAATTAAAGTTCAGTCTGTGCACAGTTCTGCCAAAACAAACATACAAATAAATAAATACTTTCTGTGTATCTACTTATTCATTTAAATATTAAGATGCCCAGAGAATTTTGGGTCTGCTCCTGCCTTTATTATACAGCAAATAAAGATAAAAACAGAAAAGAACAATTTTGTAAACATAAGCATACCTCAAAAACAAAGAACATAAAAAATCCAAACTGTATTTCTAATGAATTTTGAAAATGACATTTTTATAAACATCAGGGTAAAATTTGAGCATCTCAACATAATCCACCTTGAGCATTTCAGTGATAGGTAAAAATGTGAGGGATAGGATACATTGCTGTCTGGGATATTCACTTGAGTCCTTTTCACTGAGCAGTACTACCTGAAACATGCTAGAAGCTCATTGTAGATGGTTTATTTTTTAAATGAGGTGTTCTTAATCACTCATTTCTACTCCCACTCAGCATGCACTTATGAATGGACAGAGGTCCTATCCTATTGAATCAGAGACAGAGATCAGAGTGAACAAAGAACCTATATGGCACACGAGGAAGGAATTCTTAGACTGGAGAAGAAAAGCCCAGCAAAGAAATCGTTATCTTTTGATACTGAAAGAGCTGTCACAGAAGAAAGATTGTTTGCAAAGTTGTTCTGTTTTATTCTGAAATGTGAATGGGAATATAGGTATAAATCGCTTTTGAAATTACAGAGACCAAATTTTTGTCTCAGTGTGAAGAAGTTTGTGTTAGCTAAAACTGCCCAGTAAATGGTGAGGATCCTATCACCTGATTTGGAACAGAGTCTGGGTTCTGGGTCAGAGATGTTGTGGAAGGGATGCTTTCATTAGGAGAATTGTATCTAGTGTTCTTTGAGGTCTCTTCCAGGTCTGAGGGAGGCTAATGAATCGCTTCATTGATATAAACTAGCCTACTGCTGAATCAGTGTCATGGACATACACTTATTGAGTGCCTACTATATGTCAGGCAGCCAGAAACTCTGCCATTATAGAACCCACTATGAACAGATAGATGGAAGGAGACCCCTTTCTGGGGATGAATACTCCAGGACTGTGTTGGGTAATGGGTTATGAATATGTCACAGACATTTATATTCTGCCTATCTTTATAAATAAAAACAGACTCTCTTTGAAGAGAGTCAGTAATGCTTTTTAAAAATATTTATATTCTACAAAGATATACCAAGATGTACCAAAAAGTATCTTTTTATGATTTCTACATTCGGTATGGAAAACATGAGTAAGAAAGTAAAATATTAATTAAATAATGTTTGCTTAGTAATGACACTTCTCTATCAGAGGGGAAAAATGTCTTTGGATATGATACTGTATCTGGGTTTTGTATAAATATTGATTAAATAGACAATATGGTTTTTGTTAACAACTGGTCTTGAGTCTGACAAACTAAAGTTTGAGAAGAGAATTTTATATTTACTGGATGAGTGATCACTGGCAAGTTGCTTAACCTATATCTGTTTCTTTATCTGTCAAATGGGGATAAATACAGTAACTGCCTCATGAGTGCTTACAGTAATAAATATTTGTTGAATGAATGAGGGATTTTAAAGAATTAATGAAGACTGAATTTATTGTACCTGTCAAAATACCAGGTGCACAATGATTAAATAGTGATGTGTGTGAAAGTCATGATAGTGATGATAGTGGTTGTAATACTGTCTCTGTTTGGAGATGATATGATCATCTATGTACAAAACTATGGAATTTATAAAAAATTGGTTAGAAGACTAAACCAGGAAGAAGTTGAATCCCTGAATAGACAAATAACAAGTTCTGAAATTGAGGCAGTAATTAATAGCCTACCAACCCAAAAAAGCCCAGGATCAGACAGATTCACAGTCAAATTCTACCAAAGGTACAAAGAGAAGCTGGTACCATTCCTTCTGAAATTATTCCAAACAATAGAAAAAGAGGGACTCTTCCCTAACTCATGTTATGAGGCCAGCATAATCCTGATACCAAAACCTGGCAGAGACACAACAAAAAAAGAAAATTTCAGGCCAATATCCCTGATGAACATCAATGTGAAAATCCTCAATAAAATACTGGCAAACTGAATCCAGCAGCACATCAAAAAGTGTATCCACCATGATCAAGTCGGCTTCATCCCTGGGATGCAAGGCTGGTTCAACATATGCAAATCAATAAACATAAGCCATCACATAAACAGAACCTACGACAAAAACCACATGGTTATCTCAATAGATGCAGAAAAGGCCTTCAATAAAATTAAACACCCCTTCATACTAAAAACACCCAATAAACTAGGTATTGAGGGAACATATCTCAAAATAATAAGAGCTATTTATGACAAGCCCATAGCCAATATCATACTGAATGGGCAAAAGCTAGAAGCATTCCCTTTGAAAACCCACACAAGACAAGGATGCCCTCTCTCACCACTCCTATTCAACATAGTATTGGAAGTTCTGGCCAGAGCAATCAGGCAAAAGAAAGAAGTAAAGGATATTCAAATAGGAAGAGAGGAAGTCAAATTGTCTCTGTTTGCAAATGACATGATTGTATATTTAGAAAACCCCGTCGTCTCAGCCCCAAATTTCCTTAAGCTGATAAGCAACTTCAGCAAAGTCTCAGGATACAAAGCCAATGTGCAAAAATCACAAGCATTCCTATACACCAATAGTAGACAAACAGAGAGCCAAATCATGAGTGAACATTCATTCACAATTACTACAAAGAGAATAAAATACACAACTGACAAGGGATGTGAAGGCCCTCTTCAAGGAGAAGTACACACCACTGCCCAAGGAAATAAGAGAGGATACAAACAAATGGAAAAACATTCCATGCTCATGGATAGGAAGAATAAATATCGTGAAAACGGCCATACTGCCCAAAGAAATTTATAGATTCAATGCTATCCCCATCAAGCTACCATTGACTTTCTTCAAAGAATTGGAAAAAACTACTTTAAATTTCATATGGAACCAAAAGAGAGCCCATATAGCCAAGACAACCCTAAGCAAAAAGAACAAAGCTGGAGGCATCACGCTACCTGACTTCAAACTATACTACAAGGCTACAGTAACCAAAACAGCATGGTACTGATACCAAAACAAATATATAGACCAAAGGGACAGAACAGAGGCCCCAGAAATAACCACACATTTACAACCATCTGATCTTTGATAAACCAGACAAAAACAAGTCATAGATTCCCTATGTAATAAATGGTGTTGGGAAAACTGGCTAGCCATATGCAGAAAACTGAAACTGGACCCCTTTCTTACATCTTGTACAAAAATTAACTCAAGATGAATTAAAGATTTAAATATAAGACCTAAAACCATAAAAACCCTAGAAGAAAACCTAGGCAATACCATTCAGGACATAGGCATGGGCAAAGACTTCATGACTAAAACACCAAAAACAGTGGCAACAAAAGCCAAAATTGACAAATGGGATCTAATTAAACTAAAGAGCTTCTGCACAGCAAAAGAAACTGTCGTCAGAGTGAACAGGCAACCTATAGAATGGGAGAAACTTTTTGCCATCTATCCATCTGACAAAGAGCTAATATCCAGAATCTACAAGGAACTTAAATTTACAAGGAAAAAAACAAACAGCCCCATCAAAAAGTGGGTGAAGGATATGAACAGACACTTCTCAAAAGAAGACATTTATATGGCAAACAAACATATGAAAACAAGCTCATCATCACTGGTCATTAGAGAAATGCAAATTAAAACCACAATGAGATACAGTCTCACACCAGTTAGAATGACAATCATTAAAAAGTCAGGAAATAACAGATGCTGGAGAGGATATGGAGAAATAGGAGTGCTTTTACACTGTTGGTGGGAGTGTAAATTAGTTCAACCATTGTGGAAGACAGTGTGGTGATTCCTCAAGGTTCTAGATCCAGTGAGCCAAATAATGCTAGAAATATTACTAAGAAATTTACTAGACATATACATTTTACCCAGCAATCCCATTACTGTGTATATACCCAAAGGATTATAAATAATTCTGGTATAAATACTCATGCACACGTATGTTTACTGCAGCACTATTCACAATAGCAAAGATTTGCAACCAACCCAAATGCCCATCAATGATAGACTGGTTAAAGAACGTGTGACACATATACACCATGGAATACTATGCAGCCATAAAAAGGATGAGTTCCTGTCTTTTGCAGAGATAGGATGAAGCTGGAAACCATCATTCTCAGCAAACTAACACAGAACAGAAAACCAGACCCTGCACGTTCTCACTCATAAGTGGGAATTGAACAATGAGAACACATGGACACAGGGAGGGTAACATCACACACCAGGGCCTGTCAAGGAGTGGGGGGCTAGGGGAGAGATAGCATTAGGTGAAATACCTAATGTAGATGACAGGTTAATGGGTGCAGCAAATCACCATGGCACATGTATACCTATGTAACAAACCTGCACGTTTTGCACATGTATCCCAGAACTTAAAGTATAACAATAAAAAAAAAAATTGGTTAGAACTAATAAGTAAGTTTAACAATGTTGTAGGATACAAGATTAACATACAAAAATCAACAGTAACTTATATACTAAAATTAAACAATTGACATTAAAATAAAAATAATGCATTTTATAATATGTCAAAAACATGAAATGTTTAGGGATAAATTTGACAAAAGATATGTAAGCTTTGTATACCGAAACTATAAAGCATTCCTTAGAGAAATGAAAGAAGACAAATACATAAAGATAAATACCATTTTTATGGATCAGTAGACTCAAAGCTGTCAAGATGCCAGTTCTTACCAAATTGATTTATAGGTTAAATCTAATTCCAATCAAAATCCTAGTGGGTTTCCTAAGTGTCTTATGGATTTTAAAGATGATTCTATAATTTATATAGAAATGCAAATCACCTGGGTTAGCCTAAACAATTGTGAAAAGAGCAAAGTTGGAAGACTTACACTTCCTGATTTCAAGATTTATAAAGCTACATTAATCAAGACAATGTGATATTGGCATAAAGGTAGTCAAACAGATTAATGGGACAGAATGGAGAGTCCAGAAATAGACCCATACATGTAGCAATTGATTTTTGACACAGGTGCAAAGGCAGTTCAGTGGAAAAAGAAGAGTCTTTTCAACACATGGGGCTGGAACAATGAACATCTACATACAAAAAATAAACTTAGATCTATATCTTTCACCATAAAGAAAACTCAAAATGGATCATAGATATAAATACAACACCTAAGACTATTAGACCAGAAGAAAACACAGGACAAAATTTTTATGACTTTGGATTAGGCAAGGATTTCTAAGATACAATACCAAAACATGACCTATAAAAGAAAAATTGATAAATTGTATATGAAAATATAAGATTTTTACCTTCAAACATTACTATTATAAGAGTGAAAAGCCACAGACTGGGGGGGAAGTTAGCAAATCACTTATCTGATAAAGACTCTTATCCAGAATATATAAAGAACTCTTGAAATTCAAGAAAACAACCCAAATTTAAAAATAGGCAAAACATTTGAACACTTAACCTACGATAACTTCTTTATCTTAGAGAAGATATTCAGGTGAAAAATAAGCACTTTTAAAGATGCTTAACATCATAAAGATGCAAATGAAAACTTCAATGAGATACCATTGTATACCCATTAGAATATCTACATTTGAGACACTGACCATGCCAAGTCAGCCACAAGTGGGGATGTGGAGCAACTGGAACCCTCCACATTCACTGCCAGTGGGAATGTGAAATGGTGCAAATATATGTCTATCCTATGATATAGTCATTCTTACCCCTAAGTTATTATTCAAGAGTAATGGAAGTATTCTTCCATATAAAACTTTTAGATGCATGTTCTTAGCAGCTTTATTTGTAATGGTTAAAAACTGAAAGCAACTCAAATATTCACCAATTGGTCAGTGGTTAAAAAAATAATGCTGTACCGACACAATGGAATATTACTAAGAAATGAAAAGGAATTAACTATTGTTATACACAAAATAACATGGATCAATCTCAAAATAATTACTGTGAGTGAACGAAAACAGAAAAACAGTACAGACTATATTATTTAAGTTCTATAAAATTCTAGAAAATACAAAGTTATTTATAATGACAGAAAGGTAATCTGTGGTTACCTGGGGGTAGAAAGAGTTGAGAGTAAGGGATTGAAAATGAGAAAGAGGCTACTTTGGAGGATGATGGATATGTTTGTTGTTTTGATTGTGGTGATGGTTTCATGAAAATCAAAACTTACCAATTGTTTGTTTTAGACATGGACAGGTTATTGTATTCCAAATACCTCAATTTTTAAAAAAAGTAATAAAGAATGCATTGTGGTTGTCACAATGTTAAGGGCCCTCAAGATGTGATTTTGGCATTCCTTGGTCAATCTTAAAAGTGAGATTTGATTGATAAAAGAGGTAATGTGGATTTACATTCTTAGCTGTGACTATGTTGACTATCATTAGCTATAAGAGGATAGGTATGCAGAAATGCTATCACTGGACATCAGTGGTGTTAGCATGATTAATATTGAGTCTTGGATGAAACTCAGTAATTAACACATTTCAGACTCAGTCCTTTTAAAATTTGTCCTCAAATTTTTGGATCATAAAATTGACATCTGAACATTGTGTTCCAAGATACTCATTCACACTTCTAGTTACTTGGTAAATATAGCCATATACATCTTTTATTTTAACAGGAGAGAATTCTAATTTTTAAGGAAAATGTCTGATCCTTCATTAAGAGTAAAATAAGGTAAAATCCCACCCTTGTATTTTGATTTGTATTAGTGAAGGCATTTCATCTAAGGACTTCTCAAAATCCTTTAATGTCCAAAGGCTGTGATATACCATCTTCCTGTTTGACAAGTGGAAGAAAATAATTTAGTGACTTCCAGGAATCGCAAAGCAATTTTGTGACTGCAAATCTCTATATGAAAGTGCTTTGGTGTGTGTGTGTGTGCGTGCACACACACATACGTGGAAATGTAGGCATGGCAGGTAGTCAGGCAAGGTGACAAATAAAACTGAAAAACTTCCTTGATTTTATTGCTTATTGAATTATGTTCTCTTTTTAGTGACCTTACTTTGATGTTCCCCAAAAAGGCCAGATACTTTCACACACAAAAAAATTATGTAATGGGCAAATCACAAAGACTGTGAGAATGGCACATGACCAGAGAAGAAAAAACATCTGGCATGACAATTCATCCCCAACTTCTTACCTTTCAAGATTATCCCCTGCTTTAGGGTGTGATTACCATTTAGAATGCCTATGGTATTGCTTTTGGTTCACATAGATTTAACACGTACTCAGCATGTGCTATGCCACACACGCATTTTGCCAAACTTTTGGTGTACATTTAATGATTACCACAACACTGAGAGATGGGTATGAAAACAAGATTCGCTTGGGTTGAACATCTTCTCTATGGTCAATTGGGTAGAAAGTGAAGGATTCCAGATTTGAAACTGGGTTATTCAAGGCAGACAGTCTAGGGTTCTTCTACATTTAGCTGTGGAGCCTTGGGCAAGTTACCAACATGGTGTCCTTATCTTTAAGAGATAATTATAAAGTTTATATTATAGAGAATTTGAATTACAGATCTCACAGCACATTATGGATCCTCAGTAAATGCTATTTCCCCTGCCTCCCATCCCCTTCTGGTTCTAGAGTCTTTGGTCTTCCTAGTATATCGGTCTAAACCAGATTAGCCCTTCTGGCTGTTGGGTATGCATTTATCCCCTCAGTACAGATCTCCTTAATAAAGATCTGTGTTCTCCAAAGGACTGGGAGTCTTTTGAGGACAGAGACCCTCTCATTATCTCTGTTCCTCCAATGGCAGCACAGGGTCCAGTGGATGCCTGTAAACTGAATGGACAGGTCTCATGGCAGTGAAGAGGTGCCTTGCAGAGACTGCAGAACATTTATTTTGTGTTACATTACCTGTATCCCTCACCCCAGCTCACACCTTTCTACTCTTAGTTTCCATCCCAGAGACAGCTTAGTTCCCTGTCACTTGTCTGTTCTATGACTTGCAGAGCTCCAGCCTACCTGGGTGGCACCTCATGGCACTGACTGCTATGAGAGTTCCACAAAACTGTCCATGGTGTCTGTGATGTGCTGGTGTCCTGTACTCACAGATGTGCTCACACCTGTTCAGGTATCCAACCCTCAGAGCCCTCCTTCTCTGGTTCTTAATGTCATATTGACAATTGACTCTGTCTGAGAGACCAAAATAGATGGTCCTTTATCAACTAAGATGAATCCTAAGGTTAAAAAACAGAGTAGCTTCTGGGTTGACGGTTCAGGGCCCAGCTGGCATGGCAGATTTCTAAATTCCTACAGGAAAAACCACACTCCTACTAGACTCTCTAACAATAAGTGCTACCAGGCAAATTGTCCTAACTTTGATTTACAACCCAGACCACTAAAACTCTGGTTGGACAGAGGATTTGTCTCACAAACATTACTTTCTGATAAGCTACTGCAGACCTAAGCCAGTATCAGCTGGCTTATGAAGCCTGTGCACAAACTGTCTTTGTGTCCTATAGTTCATCTTTTGATGTAAAGAGCCAAATTCCACCTCATTTTAATGCTAAAATCCTGCCCCAAAGTGAACATAGAATGTATGTTGCATGTATGTTTGCCCACTGCGAATATGGTCTTCTCATAAATATGTATGATGTTTCTCCCAAATCTGCTGAATATGTATGACTGCATTGTGTGCTATGGGCCCTATGAGGCATAAAACCAACCTGGCCTTCCCCTCTTGGAAAAGAGAGCACCTTCGGCACACACTGGACAACATCTCTTCCCAGTTTGCAAACCGATATTGGCTGCCAATAAAGTTCTCCTTTCCACTATTTAGTCATCCTGGTGGTCTTATAGATGGCAGTGTCAACCCAGTTTATAAAGCTGTCTTTATTCATTCAATCAGTGAACACACATCACTGCGTTTATAATAGCTTTTGTTGTTGTTGTTGCTTTTACTTCTCATTTTCTTCCTATTCTATTGTCTAGTACCTATTCCTCTAATGACAGATTGGCATTTCTCTTCTAACTACCAGATATCAGCCATATTCTATAGGAACCCATTGTTTTACATATTTCCATTTAGATTATTTGAGATTAACTTTTGTCCCATGGCCTACCACTATGCAGAGTTCTTTGGTGAATAACATAGCAGCTGAAATTTCAACATCAATCCGGTTATCACCCTTTAAATATTTTATCTGTCTTGAGTTTGAGGAAATTTTGAGTATTCCAGCCTAACTGTTTCTGGACAGATGCCCTCCTCTCTCCCCGTTGCTGTACTTGGCAGTTTGCTTATGCAGGGTCTATAGGCTAAGTTATATGCCTAATTTAGACAAAAGTTTAACAGGAATACAGAGGATAGAGAATTCAGGGCAGAACTGGAGAACTGTTTCTTGACTCTTTTCACAATGTCTTTTATAGTATAAGGATTTACATGAATTTCACGCTTTCTATGAGCCTCCTGACTACTTTTACAGTTTTTATACACTGAGCCCAGAGTTTTCCCATCACGATGGGCTCATGATCCTGTCCCTGTGGTAAGTTTCTGCAGCCTAGTGATTGGGTAAGTGTTGTAAAGATAGACAAGAGCACTGTGTTTTCTCTGGCTTTTTAGGCAGACATCTGATTTCCTGGTTGGCACTTGTTTCAACCATGAAATGGGAAAGACTGGGCATTTTGTGCTCCTAATTTAAAATGATTGTCCATGAGCATCTCTCAAAGTGGCTCAGAGTTTATTAGGGCCCTCTGTAGAGTTCTTAAGGGGGATGGAACTCGTTTGGAACGTGTTTATATGACCTCTTCTCTGATTATGTTGGAATAGCTGTGACATTTCATTTTCGGGGAAAAAGTAAGAAGGAGGGTTACACCTTTGCAGGCAAAATATTTTCCACTCTAACAGGCAAAAAAAGAATATTTGAAAGGTTTTTCTTCTTTCTGTAAATGAACAGATAAAATAATTTACCCTAGGAGAGCTTTTCATTGCATAAGAAGTCAATTCAATATCAGGTCAAATGGAGATATTGACCTGATACTATACTGATTTCCCATGAAACATGGGAAGTGCTTTGACCCCTGGCCCAACCTCTTCTCATTCCTCTATATCATCTATTCTGTGTGTGTGCATCTGAGCTCAGGTTTGTTTGAGAGATATCTATCTCCAAAATTCAAATAAAGTATTTGTAAATGTAATTATACTCTATAAACAGTAGAAGAACTATTTAATCTGGTCCTGCTGAAAATCATTTTCTTATGTAAAGAGTGACATCTTAATTTAACCTTATGTTATGGATTTGGGTGTTTTTCATATGCCAAGATTATTTAGTGTAGTCCTTTGGAATTTGAGATTATTTATTTAATGTCTTCCCTTTCTCTGTGACAGTAACACTTCTCTTTTTTGTCTCAGGGGTCATCACTGCCGCAGACATTCTTGATCGGGAGACAATGGGGTCATACTGGCTAACAGTGTATGCCACAGACAGGGGCGTTGTTCCACTCTACTCCACCATTGAGGTCTACATTGAAGTTGAAGATGTGAATGACAATGCCCCGCTGACCTCAGAACCTATATATTATCCTGTTGTCATGGAAAACTCTCCAAAGGACGTATCTGTCATTCAGATCCAGGCTGAAGATCCTGACTCCAGTTCCAATGAAAAACTGACATACAGGATTACAAGTGGAAATCCTCAGAATTTTTTTGCCATCAATATCAAAACAGGTAAGGGAATGCTTATATGACTTCTTTTTAGTTTGTAGTCCAGCCTTTAAATTCATCAGCCTGACACTTTCTGTACTCATTTACTTTATTTTCTAAAGAATAGCATCTTCCTTTCTGAGAATGGTTTCTGAAAAGGTGAGTGCCACTTCTGCCTATGTGGTATGTTTTAATTTCACTTGACACTGAGTGGGAGTGATCTAATCAAAATCAGAGGTTTTCACAAAAGGCCTTAGATTTGCTTTACTCATAATAATAAAATGTGGTTCCCAGGCCACTCAGAGAGCCAGCTGCTTCCTTCTCTTTCTTGAAAAGAGTAACCTGGCCTCTGCTGGATTCTATGAGCAAGCTGGCTTTGTGATGCCTCTACCTCTAGACACTTCTCCCTTGCTGATCTCCTTAAAGCCTTCACCTCAAACTCCAGATGTTTTTGCGATTCCTGTACTACCCATCAAGGAAGCATCCATGTTTAAAAGAACTTCCAGTGTCTCAATTTTTACATAAAATATGTATAACTTCAATTTTCTGGTCTTTTGCTCAAAACGTTTTTAGAGATTGTAATGAAAACTTAATTGGTTGAGTAAGGGTAAGAAAGGTCTAAGGATCGGGAGCAGGTGTGCATTTGGCTGAATGCATTCTGAGACAGGTATGTACGTTGGAAAAGTTTTTTGCAGATCTGAGAGGTTCATTGCTTTCTTGTGATTTGCCTCTTTTAGGTCTGAACAAAGGAGTAAAATAGTGAGAGTTGTGATGGATGGGGTTTTAATTCTTTGAAATTTAGAATAATTTAAATTAATTTCACCCTGGGCAAGTGAGTTGATATTGGTTCAAAAAGTTAGGCTTAGTTGAGATTTGTTGGTGTGAACAAACTCAGCTCTCCTAATGAACTACTAATCTAGTTGATGGTCGTTTCTCCTGCCTATGTTTGTTAAACAGAAACATGTAGCTGACCTCAAGTATTTTATAAATGTCAGACTCCCATTAATATAATGAAAGAGAATGTCAGGGTTTAAGAAAGAAAATTATTGATTTTCTCTAATTATGAGTGGATCAATCATTTTGTTAAGCAGACTTTTGCATTCTAACAGTGTTGAATCGGGATTTGACTTGTATTTTATTGTAAGACAAAGAGAGTAGTAATTATCAGTATCTGTTGAGGCCTGCTTGTACTTGCAGAAGAGGGCTCAGATTTGGAGCCTTGGCCCAACCTTTCAGAGCCCCATTAAGTAGATAAAATTCTCCATGCTTCTGCGGAACAGGCCTCCAACTTTCCTGGGAAGCCCTCCTGATTTACTTTTTGGTATGGCAAAGAGCTCCTTAGAACATAGCCACAGAGAAATGAATTCAATCACTTTGCAAATTTAAGAGTGAGGGTTGTGGTGGAGGGAGAGAGAGAACAAAAACAAAAACAAACAATGTCACAGTAAAGAAGTTGAGGCCACAGGTATCTTCACATTTCACAACCCAGTGGAGCCTGAAATACCCCAGTCAGATTCTGCTTCTTCCATCTTGATCCCATTGCTACTTGAGTCATTAATGGTAGGCCCAGCACCCTTTTTTTAAAGAATTTAATAAAAAGCTGCAAAAGGGAAGTTTTCTCTGTTCTCATCCTTTACTTAGGAATGAATAGAAAAAATAACTGTCACAGGGAAGAGGGAAGAATTTGGGTTGGATGTGAAGTTCAGAGAAGAACATGCTCATTCATGTAACTAAAGCTTTCTTTTATATGGCTTTTAAAAGTTTGAACATAATTTTTCAGAAAGCCCTGTTTTATCACTATTTGGCCTACGTTGCTAATAAGATCCTTAAGCATGTTCATAATTTCTCTCTTCTTGCCATAGATTTTTAAAAAGCATTTTTGCCAGGAATGACATTTTTGTCCAACTGATCTAATTGTCTAAAGAAATATATAGCATACCTTGTAGTTTCCAGACACATGATAAGAAAATACTGCTTTTTTATCCATTTATTCAATCACCAACCACTTATTGTACCTATTACTTTTCAAGTAAGATCTAATAAAGAGGGTTATAAACTTAAGATATGGTCCCAGCCTTAGGGACCCAAACTTATATGAACTTAACAAATACTTATGATATAGCTAAAGATATAAATGATTCCAGCAGGGGAGCTTCACTCAATATAGGGTTGGTGGGAGTGATGGTCAGGGAGGGCTTCATGGAGGAAGTCACATTTGGAGTTAGAAGTCCTGAGTTTCAAATGCTTGCTCTGTGCTTTCTAACTACGAAACACCATAGAACACAGTGGGGGAAACAGACTGTATTGCACAGTTTTCACCAGCTTCATGAACTTACCAGCTTCATGACCTTGGGGAAATTATTGAACCTCTCTTAAATGTAGTTTTTAGTGAGTAAAAATAGTTGCAAGGAATATAGGAGTCCTCACCAGAAATCCTTTGCACAGTGCCTGGTGCATTGAAATCCCACAAAAAAAGCTGATACCCCATTCTAACTACTTTACTGTAGTTACAGTCATTTAATCTCTTTGGACCTCACTTACTTATCTGGAAAATGAAAATGACCTTGCTTACTCTGCAAGGGTTGCTCATGAAGTCTGAATGTCATCATGATGTGTTTGAAGGCTGTTGGTAAACTACAGAGTTCTGTAAGAGTCATGTTATGCCTATTTCTAATGAGATTCACAGAACTCCAAGTCTGGTGAAATTCTTGTTAATGGTGTTGCTCTAAGTATCATGCTGCCTAGGGGGCAACCTTCAGCCAGCTCAAGGAACTCTCTAATAGAAGTCTTAATTTTTGGCATTTCTTCCTGACTCTAAAGTCATTTGTCTGAAATAGTTACATCAATATAACATTTTTCAGTAATGAAGCTGGATGTGTAGCTAACCAGTGTGTAGATAGATAGATAGATACATAGATAGATACATAGATACATAGACAGAGGCATACTAACCAGTATATTTAGGAAAGATTTATGCTTTAGATTTTTTTCTCAAATGGATGTTGACTCTAGTAAACTAAGCTTTCATTTCCTCCTCTGCTGTACAGTTGGAATTTTTAGAATTTGGTTTTGTTTTGGCAATGTGCTACATAATAAAGATTAAAATGATTAACGCCAACGCAAATAATGCCAAGATGTATGATATACAGCTTGTAGCAGATAACAGATGTTCCCAACCCCAAAATGGAGAGAGATTTCTTTATCGAACATCTGTTCTCTACACAAATAACTGGGTTTTTTTCTACCACATCTAGAATCACGTAGAATCAGTAGTCTGTGGACTTTCTTTAGTAATTCCTGTGGCTTAAGGAAAACAAAAGCTGTAATGCTGTGTGGTTTTTTCTGGCCGGTACAGAGAACTCTTGCTTAATTCCAGGCCAAGCAGTTAAATTCAATCAAATGCAGCCTACCCCCATGTCTGAGGTGGAGATACCATCAGGCCGGTGTTCACTTGCCTCTTTGGGTGAGCAGGAATGTTGCTTCCTTCCAGTTCGCTCAGTCGCCCAGGCTGGAGTGCATTGGCACGATCTCGGCTCACTGCAAGCTCCGCCTCCCGAGTTCACGCCATTCTCCTGCCTCAGCCTCCCGAGTAGCTGGGACTACAGGCGCCTGCCACCACACCCGGCTAATTTTTTGTATTTTTAGTAGAAACGGGGTTTCATCGTGTTAGCCAGGATGGTCTCGATTTCCTGACCTCATGATCCGCCCGCCTTGGCCTCCCAAAGTGCTGGATTACAGGCGTGAGCCACCGTGCCCGGCCTCCAGTTCTTTTGAGGGAGTCCAGGGTGGCCCTCATTGGTCATCCAGGCTGAAGTGGGGAGCAGGGGTGGAAATTTCTTCTAGGGCTTTGGAAGGTTTATTTTAGTCATGTTTACACCATGGAAACCCCATAGTACAGGGCTGACATGCCAGTGTTTAGTAGAGAACTCAATAAATGTTAACTATTACGATCATCATCATCATCCCGTATTTCCCCCTAGAAAAAAAGTCTGTGTAAGCTACAAGCACACTGCTCCTGGACCCCACTATCTTGAGGAAGACATTTCTGAAAGGCAGCCATGTCTTGCCTTAGCAATTGCTAGGTAGCACTGAAATCTTCAACTCAGTTTTATGAAGTGCATGACGTACCGTTGATCTAGACCCCAGGTGTCAGCAGGGTGGGAGACATAACAGAAATACATTGGAAGATACTTTCTGCACTCAGGGAATTTAGTCTCATAGGAAAAACAGAACCATCATACTTACCATTTAAGGCAGCTTATTTAAAACAAAAACAAAACAAAACAAAAAAAGAGTGGAGCTTTGTGGATTATAAGCTATGAACAGTGTAACATGTCAGAGCAGAGCTGAGTAACAGGGGATCTTTGCGGACCTGAAGGGGGCCTGAAGAATGGGCTGACCTGCAGAGACAGAGGCCAGATAACTATACAGGGAATATAAACAAGTGAAGCTTACCAGATAGCTTGAGAGGCATGATATTATTAGAAAGCGAATTTTAAGAGTCATAAATGTCAGGAAAGTGGTAAGATATTAGAAGTAGCAAATACATACATCTCTTTTCATTTGTTTCTGAGTTTGATAATAGTTAAATTTTAAAGGGCCTTGTTTTTTTTGTTTTGTTTTTTTTGTTTGTTTGTTTTTTCCAATCTTCCTTCTGAGAGACCTACTTCTTAAAGGAATTATTTTAAAGGGAAAAACACATACATAAAAGAGACCCCTTCATTCTTTCTTTTGTGTCTGTAAAACATAGATCCAGGATTAGCATATGCTGCATTGAGAGTCTGCCTGTGAAAGTGATTTTTGCTTAATCCAGATCTTTCAATGGTTCACTGTCCAGGGCATGGAATTTCTAAGTTTATTTCTGCAGTTGCTCTGTCTCCCTTTGACCCATGCTCCATTCACTGGCATCTCCACTTGTATTTGAGTAGAGGTGAAGTTCAGCTTTCTTTTGCTTTCTGTGAGCATCTTGAAATAAACCTGAGTAAAACATAGTTTATGTGTTGGTAGACTGGCTACCCCCACTTTAGGCGACTTAGGAGGAAGAAATCCTCTTCAAAAGTGTGTGTGCTGTAAGAATACCTCAAATTCTACCTTTAAGTATTGATTACTCCTAGGATAGACATTTCCTTTCTCTATTAAAATTGGAGGAGATAGCTTATTAAAATATTGGATGTCTTTAGTTTTTTAATCAGCTGCATATAACATCAGCATGCCTTTTGGTATATGGTATACAACATAGTGGATAAGAGAGGGGGTAACAGGGAGAGAAATCCAGACCACACTTCAACCTGAAAATTATTACCTGGTGAGCTTGCTAGACTATAGAGTCTTAGGCCAGAGCTTGATTATTTGCATTTTTAACAAGTTTCTAGGTGATGATGATGTTGCTCTCTCCTGAGAGCCTGATTAGCAAGGTTCTATATGAAACAAATGAGGGAGGTAACAAGGTGCCCAGAGACACCTGAGGACAAGACAGCAAACTTTATGAGTTACCCCAACATCTTACGGGGCTGAGGTTTGAGAGTTAATTCAGTCACCCACTCCCAAAATCAACTCCCATATCCTTACTTATACTTTCTCTTTTATCAAGTGGAGAAAAATGAAAATCCTGTCTCTAACTATCCATGAGCAAAATATCACATGGATTCCTAAGACTTGTAGTTAATAAAAAACCTGGGTCACGTAATGTTTGGATACACTTGTATTATTTCCAAATAGGTAGAATCAAGCAGAATTTGTTATTAAGTGGAGTTCAGACCTACTTTAATGAATCAACAAACATTATTGTATTTTAATATATGATTATAAAAAAGTGTTAGTTCATAAGATATGGATGTTCAAAAATAATTTGTTATCTTAGGTAAGTTAAGCCTTGTGTTTATGCACAGTTCCATGTGGTGGTAATCTGCTTAGAAAACCACCTTTTCTAGGAAAAGAGGAGGAAACCTTACTTTATTTACAAATATAGGGATTTAAAGAAAAAAAAAAAGGTGAGGTACAAGGGTCCAAATATTGGTGCTTGTTTTTCAGTGAACATTGCGGAAATCTATTGTTGTTTTTTGTTCTTTGTTTCTTTCGGGATGGCAGAGCCCCTCCTAATAAAAAGCTAAATTCTCCTGAATGGGTAGAAATGGCTGCCGGATGATGAGTTGATATTCATAACTACAGGCACAAGGCAGATAATGTAGCGAATGAGTATGTGTGAAACTGTAAATCACCCTTGCTCCTTCTTTCAGCCATGAAAGGAGCCCTTGTCCTATAGAACATTAAATTGTGTTCATTTAATCCAACAAGTCCAGTAGAACAAATCGGGCTTATGCAGATTTATCACGGGGGTTATTTAAATTCAGCGGTGACCTTTGCATCCACGTGAATGTGCTCCACATGAACAAGGACAAAGGGAACTTTTCTGCATTGTCATTATGTCCCCAGGGAAGCTGTGCAGTTCCCCACTTGATCAGCTCACAACTGTGGGTTGAGGGTGGGGGTCATGGGGTTCCAAGGATGTGGAGGGCTGGGTCAGGGTGGGCCATCAGGCATGGGAGAGTGTGGTGTATTATATAGCATAAGAAAAATGATGCTCTTGCCCTGGCTGGGACCTTATCCTGGGCAGAGGCAGCTCAGAGGTACTTCCTGGAACTACAGTTCATTCTGGGGGAATAATCGTGTTGCTCTGTGTTCCATGCTGCTTCATGTCTTGCTAACCCACTGAGAACAGGTAGCGATGGTGTGGTATTCCCAGATAACCAGCCTTCCTCTGGGGCTCAGCTGCATTGTGTAGCTGCTGTTGGAAATTAAGTCCAGAGTGTGGACTCGCTCTGCCTTCATATAGCTTCATTTTTTTTTTCATATACTTATTGTGAATGTAAGTACCAACTTCAGAGTTTCTCAACCTCGATACTGTGGATGTTTTTGGTCACATAATTCTTCGTCGTGGGGAGCTGTTCTATATGTTATATAAGATGTTCAGCAGTATCCCTGGCCTCTGCTAGATGCCAGGGTCACCCCTTGCTTCAGTTGTGACAACCAAAATATCACCAGACATTATCATACATTCTAGGGATGGGAGGAACTGCCCCCATTGAGAACCATTGCACTAACGTGGAATACTTTACAGAACCCCATTCCATATGGCCCCTAGCAAAGCACCCTGTGCAAAATGAAATGACTGACAATTGAGATGTGATGGCATATAACTATAACTATTATATGTAATACGTGTGTATGTATGTGTACATATATATGTACACATAAATATTATTAATAATAAAATGAAATACCTAGAGGGAAGGAATGTTACACAAAGAGGCCTTGCTAAGTTTCTCCCAGTTTATTACCATTAGGATGTACCCTCTTTGTCCAGTCATACTTCTACACAACTGACCATTCTTCATCAAACCTAAACACAAAAATACACAGTTTTCCCTTGGCTTTGGGTTTTCTTTTCTGAAGAATCTTCTGTCTTATGTAACTTCAGTTAAATACATTTGTATGTTTTTCTATTGTTAACCCGCCTTTTGTTACAAGTTTTTAAAAATTTAAAAGAGAAGAAATCCAAAGCTGCCTCTCACTTCCCTCTGACTCCAGGTTCTTTGTATTTTAAAGGCTCTATGAATACTTGAAATAGAATCCATTAGAGAAAAAATAATAATAATAACAAAACTTCAAACAGAATACATGTGAATTAAGTTATCATTTTCTCAACTCTTAATATTTGGAGAGGATTTGGCTGGTAACGAAATTCTCCTCAGAGCCCATTTTGAACAGCCTTCTCCAGAAAACATCATGAAGGGATTAATTTCAGAGTTTCAGGGTTTCTTCCCTTGAAATGCTTAAGCAGCTCCAAATCCTGTTCCTGCTTAATGCCAGCCTTCTGACGGATCAATATGTGGATTGTTTCATCATTGGAATGAAACAATCCACATTAGATGAATCCTAGATGAAAAGGGGGGAAGAAAAATCCTTGTGACCTCAGGTAGGGATTCTGCAGTCATGTATCTAGATTAAGGCTCTCTGAGGTGTTGGCATCCATATTAAGTATTCAGTGCCCATTTACAAGCCCCAGGGAACTGCAGATGCATAGGGACTTAGACCAGTGTCCCAGACCACTATCTGTTTGTTTTTTAAGAGACAGAGTCTCCCGCTGTTGCCCAGGCTGGAGTGCAGTAGCATGATCATAGCTTACTACAGCTTCAAACTCCTGGACTCAAGCAATTCTCTTAGCCTCCCAAGTAGCTGGGACTACAGGTATGTACCACCGTATCCAGTTATTATTATTATTATTTTAGAAATGGGGTCTCACTCTGTTGCCCAGGCTATTATTGAACTCCTGGCTTCAAGCAATCCTCCCATCTTCCCATGTGCTGGGATTGCAGGCATAAGCCACTACACATAGCCCCTGAGCCACGTGCTGGATCCCCATCTTCCAGTACGTCATAGGATTTTGAAGCCTTGGGCTAAGTGCGAACTAGTGCCACCATCCATGATAGGAAGTAATTTGACTCCCCAATTAAGTTAGATTCCAATGGACAGGGCAACAGCATGTGTTTTACCCCATTTATGAGAAGCAGATTTGGATCTTCGAGTTAACAGGATTGTTACTTGGAAAATGATTGCTCGATGCTGTTTCTTTATAAAACTGAATTACAGGCAGGGATAGGGAGCTTTAATAAAAGGAAGAGAGGAATCAGCAGTCATGAACTAAATGATAAGAGCATAAGAGAAATGATGCTCTTGACCTGGCTGGGACCTTCCCCAACGCAGGGGCAGCTCACAGGCACTTCCAAGAGCTATAGTTCATTCTAGGAGGAGAATTGTGTTGTTCCTTGTTCCATGCTGCTTCATGTCCTGCTAACCCACTGAGAAAAGGTAGTGATGGAGGTGGTAGTTCCTATAGCCAGCCTTACCCTGGGGCTCAGCTGCATGGTGTAGCTGCTGTTGGAAATTACTGAGAATTATTTGGGAGGGTGATAGAGTCATGTAAATAGAGCAGATGATGGAGCTGTATTTATGTGTTAAAAAAAAGAGAGATTGATTAAGGTCATAAATTTCTCTTTTATTTCTTCTATCTGGGCATTATTTCCACAGCAGTAATTTACTACATTGCTTTATTACTTTCTTCTGTTCTGTGGGAAACAGTGAATTTTAATTGAAACCACTGCCCGCCTCTCTCCATTCTTGGATGCCATTGTTAGGGAGACTCCTAGATACTGCTGGGCTGTGTGTCCCTTGTCTATCAAGTATGAAGGGATGGTGGAAAGAGGAGCCTTAACCCAGAGCACAGGTCTACTCACTGTCTCGAGCCATGCCAACATGTTCATGTATTAGCTCATTCAGCAATAACCACAGTCCTGGGGGGGGAGGGGAACAAAACTCTGGGCTCTGGGCACAAAAGTGGTTTGACCAGGGTCACCCAGCTGGTCAGTGCCGAGCTAGGATTGGTCTGATTGATGGACTTAATGCTAAAAATAAATGCTATTGAATTTGAAAAACATGAGCAAACTAAATAAATAATTAATGATCCTAGAACTTTGTGGGGAAAGTCTTTCAGATGATTAAGCACACATTCTTTGTTTTATAGGTGTGTTAGGGGTTGAATTGTTCCCCAAAAAGACACACAACTCCCAGCCCACACTTGTGAATGTGACCTTATTTGGTAAGGAAGATCTTTGTAGATGTTACCAAGTTAAAATAAATTCATATTGGATGTGTGTGGGCCCTAATTCAGTGACTGGTGTCCTCATAAACAGAGAGAAATTTGGACACAGAGACACAGACCCAGAAGGAAGACAACGTGCAGAGAAAAAGTAACATTTTCGTCACCGAAGACAAGATTCATGCCTGAAGTACCTGTAACAAAAGGCAGGCTAACAAGAGAAAAACATACAAATGTATTTAACTGAAGCCACATAAGACAGAGGAGTCTTCAGAAATGAAAACCCAAAGCCAAGAGAAAACCGTGTTATTTTTACGTTTAGGTTTGATGAAAAATGGACAGTTGTGTAGAAGTATGCTTGGACCAAGAGCGTATATCCTAATGGTAATAAGGGGCAATGTAGCAAGGCCTCTTTGTGTAGATTCCTCTTGGCATTTTTGTGTAACATTCCTTCCCTCTAGGTATAAGGCAGGACACCTGTCACATGAGGGTCTTTAAAAGAAATAAGAGGGTAAGGTCAGAGATACCTTTATGCTTCTGTAGTTTTCTCAGTTTCCTTTAGCTTAAAATACTCCGTATGCCAAGGTGCTGTACTTGAGGTTATTGTGTTGGAGGCCCCAACAACAGCCCTGAGAAGATGGAAGCAGAGACTGGAGTTAGAAGCAGAGATTGGAGTGATGGTGCCACAAGCCAAGGAATTCCAAGGATTGCCAGAAGCTAGGAAAAAACAGGGAAGGATGCTTCCCTAGGGTCCTGATAGGGACCATGAATCTGCCAACAACCTGATTGTGAACTTTCAGCCTTCAGAACTCTATGAGAATAAATATCTGTTCTTTTAAGCTACCCAGTTTGTGGTGCTTGGTTACAGCAGCCCTAGGAAGCTAACATGAGTGCAATTCAGAGAATAGCTGTGAAGGTGAGGTTCTCCTAAAGGAGGGAGGAAGACCCCATGGCAGAATGAAGGACCACTGACTCCTAGTGCAGTACTCTTTTCACTAGACAAAATGGTAAGAACTTTAGCAGTTTTTGAACCACTCAAGCTTGGTTTTAGCTAGATAGTTTTTTTGTTTGTTGTTGTAGTACTTATGATCTAGTTGAATTTAACTATCTGGGTTGTTCTAAAAGGGTAGAAGTTGGATGAGAGACTTCTAAGTCTCTCATTGTTTCTAAGTCATTGCATTACTATAGTCATTTCAAGACTTCTGAAAGATAACCCATGGATAACACCATCATTTCTTACAGGAGTGTTTTTACAGAAGGCCATGAGGTCACGTAGAAGTTAATATTGACTGGCATTCAGTGTGCTTCATAAATCAGGATCTCATCAGTTTAATTCATTTTGTCATTTCTCAGTCTTTTAAAGCAATTTTCTGAAAGCACTTTTTTAAAAAAGCATTGAAGTTGCTATCTGAATAGTTTCTATAGTTTGAACAGTAGTTTATCCATTGATTGTGAGAACTTAAAGTCCAGTTTTAGTATTGTTACCACTTTATATTCTGATCTTGTCCTTTTTTGTCATCTTTGAGTGATTTTGTTCTTAGCTTCTTGACGTTCTTATAAAAGTGTGTAAGTGTTTTAAAAATCCATAAACTTTATTAATATTGAGGTAGATTATTCTGGGAAAGCATATGGAACTTTAACAATAAAATTATAAAACCAACACATGTTGAGTTATTGATAGCAGTCCTGTTGCTCTGTAGTAGAAAGACACATTTGCTTTCTACTTTGCTGTACATAGTCATAGTTAGGCTTCATAATAACCTTGAGAGGGAAAGAAGCTAGATGGAGTAGTAATCATGAGCTTGGACATGAGAAATAAATGTCTTTGCATTTTGATCCCAGCTTCTTGGCCATGTGATGTTGGGCAAGTGACTTCTCTGAGCTTCAGTTTACTCTGTGAAGTGAATAATTATAGCAACTAATGAACTGGCTTGCTATTAACATTAAATGAGTTAAGATATGTAAAGTATTTTAAAGGGTATTTTGCATGTAGTATACTCTCAGTAAACGTTCAATATTATCTGCATATGGACGGAATTTGTTTTAGCTAATTCAATGTCCACATTGTATGATTAAGGCCTTAGACAGTTCGTCTTTTCAAATTATGAAGAACATTTTACCTGGGTTCATTACATTTCATCTTGTAAGATTGTGATCATCTGTTGATTTCTATATATGTGGTTCTCTAAATTAAGTTGTGCCTGATAAGTGGACTGTGATGGGGCTAAACAAAGGACCCTCTCTCAAACTCCTAGAAACCTCTCTCCTTGTCTTCAATATTTCAACTTCCCAAGAGTAAAATTATATGACACCTTGGAAAGTTCACTGGTAGTCATAGCTTATCCAGATTTTAGTCCAGACCCTATCACTATTATTAACAGTGGACAAGTTTACTTCATTTCTATAGGCCACAGAATCCTCACCTATAAATCAAGGAGTTTGAGCAACAATAAAACCATCAATACCTGCTGTGTGTACTGCTACAGCATTTCCTACTCCCACGTAGACATCATTAATCAATTATAATGGCCTTTCATACATGCTCATGCTTTGCATCCATTTCAACCTAACCCTGAGCGGGAGCTGGTTTTGCGAAATGACATTTATTTGCCATTGAGGGCCCTGAGACCGTCTCTATCTCTGACAGTCTTTGAGTCTATATATGAGAATGGTATTGAAGTGAAGGGAAAAAGGAGACTGGTGGGAGAGATGATAGAAATGCAGTTAATCAGGTCTTGGTGACTTGGAGAAGAGCTGAACATGAGAGGAGAAGACAGTCTCAAGGGTGTAGTGAAAAGGAGCAGCAGGTTTGAAACCTCACAGAGAAGATACCTTGCTGTAAATAACTCTGGTGATATCTGTATACCCCTTAGCAGCCTCCTTTCCTGTGTGTACTGACCCCCAGTCTTTCCCTCCTTGTCTCAGCCAGTTAGATTGGGGTAGACACTAGTTCCAGGATTCTCTCTTCCAGGAATTTATTATTGGGATTCAGAGATAATTTCTGGGTGTGGTGGAATTGTGGAGTTATAAACCTGAGAACTGTAGGGTGCCTATGTGCATGAAGCAACTGACAGACAGACAGACAACAGACAAACTCTGATAGGCATTACTGAAACTCAGCTATGCTCCTTGCATTTAAATTCCCTAATATACCCTTGTAATAATAATACGTAATTTTGCTGTCAACGTTTGAAATAGATTTCCCTTTATTTAAGAAAAATATCTTAACAGACTCTAACTGGATCCCCAGTCAGGAGAGAGGCTCAGGAAAGAAGAGCTATTCCCTGATGTCAGTTGCTGCACAATTTTGTTAAAGAGTGGAAGAAGGAAGCCTTTAGGTTGGGTAAGTGGGGGAGATATCAGGGAAAGATATTTATCTTTATAAGTCATGTTATTGCTGGGAGTTTTCATCGATGCTATTTGGATGTTGGCCATCACTTTTTATCTTTCATTTGTGAAATTTTGTGGATCAAAATCTAAAATGTCATGATCTCCAGCATGTATGTGAATTAAGCCCTGTCTCTCTTTATTAATAGTTCTTAGATGGATATTTGCTGGTTTAAATGTTATCTATAGTGTTCTATAAAAATTGCCAACAATTCTATTAAGTGTATTATTCTATTTTAGACAATTCTGCTTATCTTTAACCTGTTGAACAAGATCTGCATGATAAACACCTGTTTTCTCAGAATTTTACCCTGTGAAATTCACCAGTACACCCACAAGAAGGATGGAATCCTCTCAGTTGGAAGCCCATTTCATTCACATACTACCCATAAGGCAATAGCCAAGTTTCTTAACTTGGTATAGCTCAGGTTCCCTATCAAGAAAATGGGTATACTAACTGAGATGCTGAGGAAATTAGGCGGGCTACTGTATTTTATAAAGCACTTAGCTTAGCCTTGCACATACAAAGTGCTCAACAAATGTTAACTGTTATAGCTATTATTAAATGCATTGCTTGTAAAGAATCTTTTCTTGAAAATCGATGAATAATCAATCTGATTAAATGCCTTGAAAGTCTCTGATATATACTACATACTCATGTTTTGTGAGTGCCTGCTATAAACCAGGTACAATGCTAGGCACAGGGTGTACAAGGATGAATAAAACAAGGACTTTACCCCTTTAAGACCTCACAGTTCAGAATAATTTCACCATGCACTGACATTTATTGCTACTGCCACACAGCTTTAAAATGAAGAGATTAAGTAAATAATATTAAGGTTCTTATGGGACCTTTTTTTCTGGCAATAATGAATGGTTATAATATTTATTGGTTGTTTTAGGAAGGAAAGCCTCTGAGAACATGAGTGAGGAGATGTAAAATAAATCCATCACATTAGAAACAGACTATTAAAGGCAGAAAACGCTCAGCCTCTGCCAATGACCATTTTTAAATGTGTGGCCTTTGCAGATACATCAGTTAACCAAGACAAATCCAATTTTACCTCCCACCACTTAAGTAAATTTCTCTTCTTTGTAAAATTTCCTATTTTATAAAGACATGCTTCATCTTGACTATGTACATACTAAATTGTTCATTTTTTACTGAGTTAAATTGTTTTCTGTCATAGTGAGAAATGCATTCTTCTGAAGAAATGATATTCATGCCCGGGAAATGGGGATATTTATTAAAATGTTTTATTAGGAAACTAGATTTAGACATATTTCTATAATTTTCATATTTAAGTATTTTTATTGCCCAATGAAATGACTTTCAGTTTAAAATGGACTCAGATAATCAGTCTCCAAATTCTCACTTTTATACTTAATCAAATATAGTTGGTGGATTTATATTTGCCTGCATATGTTTAGAAATATTAGAGATGTTTTCAGTAGAACTCTATCAATCTTTTGCTGGGTTGTAATAGCTAGTAAATGACTTAAATTATTTTGTGCTTTCATCCAACTCTGATTTAATAAGCCTTTACGGATTTGGGATTGTGTACATAGGTGTGGGAGGAACACAAAAAACAGGAAACTTCTCAGGCCTAAAGAACGAACAGGCTGTTTACAAGACAAAAGCACCTCACAGTAAAAGAAAAACCTGTGTGTAAATGTGAATTTTTGGACTTGTTATTTAAGTTGCCTCTTGGAATTTTAGTCATATCTATTATTTCCAAAGTCAGAAGAATTATCTGTGCCCAGGGTTATTCCAGATAACTGATGTTTAACATTTTGAGTGGCATATAACACACACAAAAAAGATTATATTTCTGGACCACTTTTTAAAGTGTATTAATGTGTCTTTCAGTTTTCAAACATAATCTTTTGAACAAAGTGATAAAAGCAGGGCTGGCTTCATGGGCCTGCCATCTATGTCATCGCATAGGGCCCTGTGCTTAGAAGGGCCACATGCTTGGTGTCCTTCTGTCACTGTCTGGAAATTCTTCACAATTTTTGAACAAAGGGCTTGACATTTTTATTTTGCGCTGAGCCCTGCAAATCATGTAGCCCATCATGCATACAAGGTTTTCACTTGGACTGTTCATTATTGTCTAGGATATCTAGTGCAGTAATATTTGGGTCTCCTCCCTTGAGCTCAGCTTGCCAGCATACACTTCTGTTCTCAGGACGCCTCTTTCTTCCAGGGCTCTGCCTTCTAATTTGCTGCTTCTCATCTGCGGAGCCATCCCATAAATAAGGTATTAGAATAGTAAGTAGGCTGAGAATCACTAGGCTCTGAAGGGTGACCTTGAAGACTCCTCCCATAGAGTGAAAGTACCTCCACGTCAGTAGCCAAGCTTTACTGCATTTATTTCCGGGATCAGAGGCTCCTCTCCTGGATTGATTGCACTGGTGAAGTGGCCATCTCTGTATAAACACCAGGTGGGACCACACCATTCTGGCCCACTTTTATTAAAGGAAGATTGTTGTAAAAAAGCTATTTTAAAAGCCTACTTTTTTGGAAATTAATCATAGAGGGTAAGAAAGTAAGTGAGGCTTCTTTTCATGAGACTCCTGTTGGAGAAATCTTACAAATTACGAATGTTTCACTATTGACCATGACAGATCTCTTGGATTTCAGTAATTTCTGTGTCTTCAAGTTGTTCATATACCTTCAAAGTAGTGTTCATGCAAGTTGTTCATATACCTTCAAAGTAGTGTTCATGCTTGGTGCCCTTGTGCCTTGAGTCCTAAAGTGAACTATGGCATGTTTTTGTTTTGTTTTGTTTTGTTTTGTTTTGTTTTGTTTTTTTTGACACAGATCCCAGTTGCTAAGCTTTCCATATAATTACAGAACTATGTTTTTCACAATCTCCAGAGACCACTACCAGCTAAAGGAAAGTGGGTGGATTCTCTGTGCAATGATTTCTAGTTTTCTTCTGGTGCATTTTTCTAGTTTCTAATATTCAAGCTACAGGAAAAGGAAATAAAAAGGGGAAGCAAAGCCAACTGTTCTGTTGTTATTTTAGGCCATCCATAGCATAAGAAATATATTGGCAATTATGTTACAAGAAAATAAGATTTACCCAAATAGAGAAAAGAGTACTTCTTACTCATTTACTTACTCACTCATTCATTTATTCGCTCAACATTCAGTGTTATTTATTGAACACCTACTGTGTGCTAGGCACTGTGGTGTGTACCAGGGTGCAATGAAGGATAAGAAAATTATTATCCATTCCAAGGATGGAAGCATGTGTGTACTTTATACTCAACAGATGCTCTAAGGTAATACAGAATGAATGAATGAATAAATAAATGAATACATGCTTTGAATAATATGCATCACTGATACTGAGCAGGGATTTCTCAACTCATTTTTGTAGCAAAAGATTCTTATACCTTTCTGAAATTGAATGATGGCAGAAATTCTCCTAACTGCTTTTGTTTAAACTCCTGTTTGACATTTGAACTGTTTTCAAAATGTCATCTCTGGATTCACTTGCCTCTGAGGAATTGAAGGAAATTTTATATTGACATAGTCTGCAAGTTGTCAGAATTCACATAGTACTAGAAATTTCATAAGTATTCATAAAAGAAAATTAAGAGATCATTAATCTCTTTTTAAACTGGTTTACCCCACATTCTCAAAGTGCTTTGGGAATTGCAGTATCAAGTTTGTGCCAGGTCTTAAACATTAACTGAAATGGTTAAAGACTTGGGCATGGTTAACACAGTGCCATGGTGCCCTCCTACCTCTGTGAAACTGTCATTTTATTATGTTTGATTTTAATGCGATTTGATATGTGGGGGGAGAAAGCAGGTAATTATTTGGAAAATGCCCGTTACTTTTATAAATAGGAGAAATACGGGAGTTGGTCTTTGCTAATAGAAATCATAATAGTAATTGCAGTCATGATTATTATATGGTGCTTCACACTATTAAAACACTTTATCTATGATAGGTTTAGAATCACCTGTTTTACATGATGAAAGTCTACCTAGGGAAACTACAGAAAAGTTCTCTAAAGTTAGAATTTTGTACCTCAGAATGAAAAGCAACAGACATTATAACCAACTAAAATTTCAACGAAAATGCCAAGAACACACAATGGAGAAAGGACACCCTCTTAAGTACATGGCACTTGGAAAACTGAATATCCACATGCAAAAGAATGAAGCTAGACCCCTGTCTCTCACCATATACAAAAATAAACTCAGGATGGATTAAAGACTTAAATGTAAGACCCAAAATGATAAAAATACTGAAAGAAAACATAGGGAAAATGTTCATGGCATTGGTTTGGGCAAAGAATTTTTGGATAAGACCCTAAAACACAGGCAACAAAAACAAAACTAGACACATTGGATTATGTCAAACTAAAAGCTTCTGCACAGAAAAGGAGACAACAGAGTAAAAAGAAAACTTAAAGAATGTGAGAAAATATTTGTAAGCTATGCATCTAATAAGGGGCTAATAAATAGGGTATATTAGGAACTCAAATAATTCAACAGCAAAAAAAAAAGACATACATAACTCTGATTAGAAAATGGACAAAAGACCTGAAAAGACATTTCTCCAAAGAAGACATACGAATGGCCAACAGGTATATGAAAAAATACTCAACATTACTTATCATCAGAGAAATGCAAATTGAGATATCACCCCACCCCAATTAAAATGGCTATTATCAAAAAGACAAAAATAACAAATGCTGGCATGGATGTGGAGAAAGGGGAACTATTATGCACTGTTGATGAGAATATAAATTATTATAGCCATTATGGAAAACAGTATGAAGATTCCTGAAAAAAAAATAAAGTTACCATATGATCCAGCTATCCTACTACTGGATAGATATCCAAGAGAAATGAAATCGGTATATTGAAGAGATATTTACACTCTCATGTTTAATGCAGCACTTTTCACAATAGCCAAGATATGGAACCAACCTAAGTGTCCATCCGTGGGTAAATAGGTAAAGAAAATGTGGTGTGTATACAAAAAGGAATACCATTCAGCTGTAAAAAAGAATGAAATCCTGTCATTTGCAGCAACGTGGATGGACCTGGAGGATATTATGTTAAGTGAAATAAGCCAGGAACAGAAAGACAAATACCGCATGATCTCACTCACATGGTGAATCTAAAAAAGTTGATCCCATAGAAATAGAGAGTAGAATAGTGGTTGCCAGAGGCTTAGGATAATAGAGGAAAGGAGAGGATAGGAAGAGATTAATCAACATGTATAAAGTTACACTTAGATAGAAGCAATAAGTTCTAGTGTTTTATTGCACATTGGGGTGACTTTGGTTGCCAGTATTGCATTATATATTTCAAAATAGCTAGAAGACAGGATTTTGAGTGTTCTCACCACACAAAAAAGGTAAGTATATTATGTGATAGATATGCCAATTGCTCGATTTTATTTTTACACAATGTATTCTTGTATCAACACATCATACTGTTCCCACTAAATAGGTACAATTAATGTATGTAAGTTTCTTTTTAAGCAGCAGAGAAATCTAGGTGACTAAACCACCTGATGTAGATCCTTTATTTTTGATGGCAGCCAATCATTGTTTTAATAGTTAAAGGGAGAGGAGTGGTGGTAAAACTAGGGCTAGATGTCTGTAAACCTTATTATAAGCAAAATATTTGTAAAGCTATGCAAATAGTGCACATAGTGCACTGTATGCCTTATGGGTTTGATCTGTAACATGAACTCATCAGAAGTAAGCTAAATTCAACACTCTCCGACCTTTAATGAGTTGATGATATTGTTCTGCCTTGATTTGTATATTAATTATGGATGAATTAATTTAACAAATGGATATGAAAAACCTACTCTATGTCAGGCACTGTGTTAGGCCCTGGAAGCACAAAATGAGTAACACATCTTCCCTCAAGATAGGTAAGGTCTGTCTGTCAGAGCACACTTCTGCTGACTTATGTTCTGTTTTTGCAGTCCTTCATTTCACTTTTATTGATCACTACTGAACAATAGTTTCTTACCCTTTATAGCTTTAATTTTCCCTGCATTCTAGGTTATTTGTCAAGACAGTAATGATTGTAAAACAATACTTCTACGTACTAGGGAAGCTATTTTGTGTGAGATCCCTGTAGTCAGCCCTTGTGTAGAGAAGAATCTCAAATTATTGGTTCTGTTTTGGGGCATATAGTACCCAGTTAAATATTAAAATGTTTAAATTTCTAAAGTGATGTTAACTGGGAGAAGCTGATATCTTTTCAGAGATATATATTGAAGAGAGATTGATTAATGGTTACAAATATGCACTTAGATAGAAGAAATAAGACCTGGTGTTCGATAGATTGTAGGGTAACTATAGTTAACAGTAATCAATTGTACATTTCAAAATAGCTAGAAGGGAATAAGTCAAATGTTTCTAGTATAAAGAAAAGACAAATATTTCAGGTGATGGATATCCTAATTACCTTTACTTGATTATATGAATGCTTCAAATTATCTCATGTACTCTGAAAATATGTACATCTAATAAGTATCAATAAATATAAATAAACAAACAGAAGCAAGTGTTGAACTACCAGTTTGTTATAACTGCCAATCAAATGTGCCCTGGGACAAACTGTGTCTGCCATCACCTGCCACCCCCATTCCAAGTACTAAATTGCACTATAAAAGCAGGACTTTTAACAGGGTCAGCTGTAGCATGGGTGCCCCAGAGCCCTGCCCCCAGTCAGGAAAGCTCTCAGGATTCACAAAGACTCCAGATGCTTCCAGGGTTCAGCATTCTCCTCTGGGAACAGGGAAGGTATCGCCAACCGCTTCAGCCCTCAGGGAGCTCCTGGTTGAGAGGGAACAGCCTTTCCTATGGTTAGGTGCAATCACAAAGAAGATACTAGTGCTCTAACAGGTTTTGAGACTTATGTGTGCCAGACCCTGTGCTAAAGTCTTATTGACTCTTCATAGCTGTTGGAGGCATGTGTTGATAATGCTCACTGTTTTACAGATGCTTAAAGAAATTTGGTGTCTGTCAAAGCCTCTAAGGATAGGTCTTATCTGCTGCCTTCCTTCCTCCTCCGTGCAACCATTCATTACCTCTCTGTCCTCTTGCTCACTCCTCTTTGCCCTCCTCATGTCCCCAAGCACTCAGGCACACTCTTGCCCCAAGGCTGTTGCTGTTCCTGCTGCCTGAACCTCTCTTCTTCTTGATGTCCATGTAACTGGTCCCCTAGTTCTCTTCAAGGCCTTCCTCAGTGTCACCTCTAACAAGATCTTCCTTGGTTACCCAATCCAACATTGCAATTCTCATTTCTTCATGTGCCCCTTCCCTGCTTTATTTCTTTTTATCGCTCATCACTATCTAACAAGGTATATATGTGACCTATTTATTTTGTTGATCTTTTATTTTTTCACAGACTGGAAGAGCCAGGGATACAGAGTTTTTGTCCTTTTGTTCACCATTGGATATAGTTTCTTGAACTGTGACTAGCCAATAGTAGGTATTTACTAAATATTTGTTGAATGAATAAATGAATGAATAGCTAAATTAGTGATAGAATAAATTTGCTAGAATTTTCTCTCTCAAAGATAACAAGTAATGTGGTTCAAATGTATAGTCAGTCTACAGGCTATGCATTAATCTTCCAAGCCAAGGGCCAGGTAGTCGGTAAGATTTGCACTTGCTCTTTAAACATGATAGGTGTTGGTAAATTGCTCAAGGGTAGAAAAGGCAAGGCACTCATGAGGGCATGGAAGCAGAGAGACAGCCAGGCACATCCTTTTCTCTACTGTCCTGGTTTGCTTGGGAATTTGCCTTGCCAAGCATCTATTTAAGACAGCGTTATCCCATATCCAGTCATGGGTGTTTTATGCTATACAGCAAAGCCCTTTCAGAGCCACCTCTGGACATGTAGTTGCCTAGCAAATAACCTTTCCATCTTGAGTTCATAACTGATATTTGAATGTGACTGGGCATTTCTAAAATTAAGCTTTTGATCCTGGAAACATTCACAGCTCTACTAGAGAAATTGTCATTCTTTCTCTACTCCTCTCTCCACGTGCTTGTTAGATTTTTCCATACGTTGTTTATAATAACTTTTCCTTGTGGTTGAAGATAACAGATTTTTGCTTTTAATTCAAGAAATGTCGTCTGCTGTAATGTTTTGCAACATGATACTTTCCAAGTTTCAAAGCGAGCTTGTGTTGTGGGATTGTGTTTTTGCATCTGAAACTGTAGGGGTGGTGATAATATCCCGATCTACAGAGTGCAGATCCTCTGCCCTTCCATCCCTGTCAGTGTGTTTAAGGGAACGTAAAGGATTTTTCTGTCATTGTAATTTAAATTCAGAAGGAGTCTATTTGTATGGTAATCATGAGCTAAGGAAAACAGTGTTTCATTTCTCTCTGGGATTTGTTTTCTGACATCTTCACATTCTCTACTACTTTAACCTGGCAACAGCATATTAACAGCAATTCATACTCTGTATTTTAACATGTAGAACAGTACCCAGAAGATTAATACATGATGAGGAGAAAGAAGTAAGAAGGGAGGTTGAGGCCATAATTAATTTTGCTTTCATGCACCATATGCTGGTGTTTTCTGATCTTAACTGAAATTAGGGTCACCACTGAGTTTTCAATATTTAAAAAAATGACCGTACATAGTGAAGCACAAATAAAATTGCCCTTCTTTTGAATATTAAGCTTCCAACTTGGGGATGCAAATTATATTCTTGTTGTTTGGATTCATTATTTTTCAATGAGGCTCTTTTAGTGGGTGGGGAACGGGGGCTACCAGTGAGAACAATCAGAAAGAACTCCGCTAACTAACTGCTTGTTGGCCTGCCCTGAACAGTGGAAAGATGAATAGTTAAGAGGCTTCTCTCCCAATCTAAGTAATTACTGCATGTTCTTGTTTTAAATGAGAGAGTTGTGAGGCTAGGGGTTATATCTTCAATCACCCCAAATGACACCTCCTTGTTCACAAAACGAATTCAATTAGATTAATTTCCCCAGATGATCCTATTAGGTGAGACGATTCACATAATACGTAAGGTCTCTTTAGATCAAGGGTCTTATGCTCAGACCTTATGCTGCCTACATGAGCAGATAGGTAACATTAGGGAGTGAAATGTGGCTGGTCATCGAGCTGCTTCTCCCAAGAAAGCAGGGCATTGGCTTTGAAGTTCTGGCTGGAAGCTTTACTGTAAACCAATAAAGGTGGCCAAATAGCCAGTCTCACCCTGCCTAAAAGGGGGCAGCCGCTATTTAATCCCAACAGATGATTGACTCTGGAAGGTTGCCCTGAAGTTGCCATATTGCATTCTTCAAGAGACTCTACAAAGTACTGTTTTCTTGTGAAATCCCCTGATTATTATACATGTTAGTTCAAATTGAAAAGAAGCAATATTTTGTGCCAGCCAAGCAAAACATGCCTATAGCCTTAAAATTGGCAGGTCTGGGATCAAAAAGAGAATAAAGGGAGGCTACATACGGCAAGTGTAAAACTGTAAAATGTAATAAATAAAACTAATAAAATATGTTCTGTCTTCCAACTTTGACAGATGTTCAAACCTGAAAGACCAGGTTTGAAATTTTTAGTTGTTTCAGCCCTCTGAGTACCAGCACGAGGTAGAGGGAGGAGAGCAGGCCCTACCTCCCCTGCTTCTGCCCTCTCCCCTTCTCACCCCCAGCTGTGTACCACATGCATGTATGTAGAGACCCCAGGCCCACACTCTGCTCTGTCCCTCATCAACAGCCATCCTTCTGCCAACCTTCTGCCCTGGGTAGTATGAGGCACGGGCTGCCCTAGAGATAATGGATCATGTGAAGAGACCCACTTGGCCCTGAAACAGAGTAGGTGGGCATTTGAGCAGATAATTTCAGAATTCCTGGAACTAGAGTTTGGTCTAGAATCTAGATTTAGCTGATGTGTGGAGGGCTGTGCAGAGGCTCTGGGGGGCACATCTCCTTGGCTTCTTGGGCTCCTGGCCCTGTGTGGAGAGGCATGGTAAAGGAGACAGGTAGACATCTTCGGCCTTGGCTGGAATCTACAAGCAGTACTAGCTTGAGCACTTGATTTATAGAATATTTGTTCCAGATGAGACCTTAGAGTGTTTTATTAATCCCAAGGCCTCAGTATACGCAGAACGATCCTGTCTGATGAGAAATAGAAGAATTACAGGCTTTTTAGTCAGATATATCTGAACTTAATCCATAGTCCAGTCATTTACCATGTTGGTGACTTGTTACTTAGCTTCCCTAAGCCTTGTTGTGCCCCTCAGGAAAATGGAGATGAAGTGGATTTTATACTGTCGTATCAAGGGCTTTTATCACCCGTTATGCTCTTGAGACCTTTGAACAGTGGGTCATCCTGACAGAATACCCTCCCTAGGGAAGGTCTATTCCATGTGACTCTCTCTCAGGCACAGTTGTTTGCTTAAGCTCTTCTGATTAAATACAAGGACATTCTTAGGCTTCCCTTTCAGTCCTTGAATTATCTTTTTATTTTTCATAAGAAAAGGGAGCAGCAAAGAAAGGAAATTCGCAAAATGATGTTGCTTAAACCTCAAAAAGTTCATGCCTTTTCCCTGAACTGATGATGATAACTTTTCAAATTTTAGGGCACTTATAACAATTTTCAAAGCATTTTGTAATTTTAAAAATTAATTTGTACAAAGTACTTGGCACATAGATTATTGGCTAAGTTTCCCTAGAAACCTATAGCAGTGTAACTTTTATGAATCACCTCAGTAAAAGATCTTTCTGAAAAAGTCTTTTGTTTTGCTTTGTTTTTGACTTGGGAAGGTAGGGAAGAAGTGAGAGAGGGGGTATTTTCCTTACTAAGTGAAAAACATATTTTAAATGTAATTTAAACCAAAGCTTATCTGAAGTGATAAGACTGGTTATTTGTGTGGAATTTAAAATTTAATAAAGAAGTGAGAGAAGTTGGCATTTGCAGTTTTTATTGGCCAACAGTGTCAACCATGTATTGTTGGCATCAAGCTTATATTCTCTTATTTAGTATATTAAGTCAATTGATTAAAAGCAGAAAACCTGGCTAATTAGACTGCCAAGATCTTAATGTTAACTGTCAGATTCTAAAGCTATATAAGCCTGAAAACACCTTTATAGATTACTTCTTCTGGGTGCCAAATGGTTCTAAATGCTGAAAAATGTCATAATTGTCCCCCCTTCTTCTGAGAAAGGTAATAGATACTATTGGATATCCACTTCCTTACAGACTCATTCACATTTTTTCTTGTCCTGGATAGTATCCCCACTATCAGGGCGTTTTCATTTAGGGCCAGCAATAATCCGTATTTTGATTCAAGCAGAACTAGTTGTAGATTACAATATTTCAAGCCAAGGTTCCCATTCAAACTGTTTTCTGCTGCTTTAATCATAAAGGAATCATTTACTCTTACAATGCTGGAAATTAAGGATTTATTTTTCACTTACCACCATTTTCACTGGTATTTCAGCAGTCATTGAAGTACCTTTCTCTCCTCTTCGGTTACATGGCCCCATTGAGCTGGAAGATGGATTATGCAGTGAGACTCAGTTTATGGTAGAGGAAGACATATGACAATGTTATGACTTTGGCATTTACTTAAGGTACAGGTTGATGATGATGATGATAACTTATATCTTGGTTTATCTTTGCCAAACATACTTAGCATTCATTATTTAATGCTCACAATAACACACTGAAGTGATATTATATAATGTGGCATTATATAATCACTCCAAGTTTGTCATTGAAGAAATTAATGTTTAGAAATCTAACTTGCCAGAGTCAGTTAGTAAATAGAAGAATCAGGACCCAAGGCCAGATTCATTGACTCAAGATCCTGTTTTTTTGTACAATACACCGTGGATAGAGAGATTAATGATACCCAACATTTTTTAGTAATAGGAACGCTTTACATATATACTCTCATTTCATTTCATTCCAATAAGCCAGAGGAGGGCATTATGATTAGCTGCATTTTATAAACAAGGGTACTGAAGCTCAGAGAGTTTTAGAAATGGGCCATAATCACACAGCCTGTAAATGGAAGAGTTAGGATTAATCCCACTTCTGATATACTCTAGAGCTTGTAGAGTCTGCATTGTCTCTTGACCTGAAAAGGGAAAAACTTTCAAGAATTAAAAGCCAATTTTTGTTTTAAATCACTTTAAATGGTATTTCACAGATAATGCTAAGAAATTAGGCTGTAAAAGAAATGTCAAGGTGTATGTATTTGAGTTCCCCAAGCAAAATTTCCAAAAGGGGTCTTTTTTTCACATATATGAGCATTGTGTACTGTATTACCACTCAGTTTAAAGAAATAGAACACCAGCCAAGAGAGAAGAGCCAGGAAGCTGCTCACTGTGATGTTGTAAATGTTCAGTGATTAGAGTGGATAATTATTGATATTATTTTGTAATTTATTTTGCAGAGGATATATCTATCTGCAGATTTAAATATATATACTGGCTCAAGATGCAGAATCTTTTCCAGGGAAATTTTCATAGTTGTCCTCATTCTAAAACTGCTGTCTTGTGACTTCATTGCATTAGACTATGATGACCACTGGGAGTATTGGCCAAATCCTCCTCCCTGCTGACCTGAGTAGCCTCTCTGCAGAGTCCCCTGCTAAGACAGTCATTCACAAACAATAGGTGGCCATTGCCAGCAATTTGAGCACAGCAGTCCTCATACTTGGCAGCAGTTACCAGCAATTGGCAAGCTATTACCCAAATCTCCTGCCAAGTGAAAGCTAGGACTTTTAGAATTACCTTGTTCCTTTCACCTGGTTGCCACATTTATCTTTTTTTTTTTTTTTTAAAAGAGAGTGTTTTGTGTGCAAGTGTACTTCTTTATAGGCTTCATGCTAAAATGTCCCTGGCATGGGTATATTTGGGTCTTTAAAGTGCTTAGCAAAAGGAGTGCCCTTCCATATTGAAATGCAAATCTTTCCTTGGGTATTAAATTTGATTTGGAAGCCCTCTTCTTCTTGATTTATTGATATCACCTTGAAATCACACCATCCTCAGTCTTTAAGCATCGCCCAGTCCCCGTATTCTGAACTATCTGGCCAAGATGAGGCTGAGTCTCAGACAGAGTGTTGATACCTGTCCACCCATTATTCTTCACAGCCCTGATCTGATCCCTGTGAGGCAGGGCTGAGCTCCAAAGGTTAGTTAGAGACCAATTGGAGGTGAGCAAATACCTCAATTACAGCAGGTATCTGGATCCTGTCTGAATTTCACCTTCTGAAAGAACCTGTAGTAGAAATACAAGGTTCAAACTTGCATTCTCTAGGGCTTTCTAAATCTCTCTACTCTGGGAAAACTATTCTGTAAATGTCTATCCATCTTGGTTGCATTTAAAATATGGGGCCTCATTCTCCTCTGCCTTCCATCTGATTGCAACTTGGGCCTAGGTGATCTTGGTCCCATGTTTTTTTTGTTTTGTGTGTGTGTGTGTGTGTGTGTGTGTGTGTTTTCTCATCAATAAACTTTTCTTCAAGCCTTCTGCTGAAATTTGGATTAACTCAATTTTCATAGACCCTGCAGTTCAACCTTCTGTATTTTACAATGACTCCTGCTATTGTAGAAATAGAAGACAAGTGAGGAATCTTTCCTTTTACAATTCTGTATTATCTTAAAACATTCAAAGAAACCATTTCTTACTGAAACAGCTGTACTTGGTTATGTTATTAGAGGAGACACACTATGGACTTATTTTGACAGTGAAATATATTTAGACTAAAATTTTAAATTACTCATCTAGCTAAGGTGTGTTGCTATTCCATAATACTTCTCAAGTGTTTTGTGTTTCAACTTTCGGGTTTCTTTAAGAAAACAAAAACAAAAACAAAGAAAACTCCATCAAGTTAGAATAGAATGTGAGAAATTTGGTGTATAAGATAAATCTGTCTTTATGTTTCTCCAGGCAAATAATGTTTTATACTAGAGCAGGCTTCCTGCCTTTGGTATGCTCAGATAAATTAATTTGACTGTTTATGATGTTATTTAATTTTCAATAATTATTCAAGCATATATAACCACAGACATCTATGTAGTAGGCAGATGGATCAGCAATTGTGCATGTAATTAGAAATAATCCTTGAAATACAAAAGTAGATTTTAATATTCAGCATCTAAAAAATTGCTAACATTACAAATTGCCCATACCCCGTGGTTGCAGCCAGTGATGTAAAAATTTAAATACAAGAATTCAAATGAAAATTTCTGCCTTCTCAGCATCAAGCAGTTATTGAATAACAGTAGAAAATCATGGACAAGTCACTTAAAGAGACACATTCTTTCTCTCTTAAAATAAAGATTTGATGTGTTTTTAATGAATTACAATGTGAATAAATAAATTGTAAATAATTTAGATTGGAGTGCTCTTTGTAAAAGTCACATACTCACATGGAAAATATTAAATGGGAATTATATTAGTAAATACAAGCTCACTTTTCAAAATCTTATAGAGAAAGAAACAAAAAATATTCTATTTTTGGTTCTTAAAATGTATGCTAGAACTTATATTTACTATTGCCAATAAAATAGGGAATGTACTTTATTCATTTTCTGTTGAGAGAGAGGGAAAGATGAAAATGAGTTCATATGGTAAAATGAGTTATGATTTTTAGATTACTGAGTTCTGAATTCAAGTTCATGGTCTGCTATTTACAAGATAAATAACAAAGCCTTTAATCTTAAAGTCTCAGGATTTGTTGACATTTTTGCTGTAATGCCTACTGTTTATGTTTAGCACTATCTAACATGGTCCCTGACACTTTCATAATATCTTAAAAACTTACAGTAAAAAGAAAAAAAAAAAGAATTGTTAGCCAGGCATGATGGCACGTGCCTGTAATCCCAGCTACAGGGGAGTCTGAGGCAGGAGAATTGCTTGAACCCCAGAGGTGGAAGTTGCAGTGAGCCGAGATCGTGCCACTGCACTCCAGCCTGGGTGACAGAGTGAGACACGTTCAAACAAAAAAAAATAAAAGAAAAGAAAAAAGAATTGGAAATATGGAAGGAAATAGAGGAAATATGGAAGGAAATAGAGGAAGATAGAGACAGAAAGAAAAAAAAGAAATTGAGAGACAGAAAAACAAGAGCACTTTTCAGCTTCTTCTCATTCCTAAGCCAAAAAAACAAAACAGGTTTTTCAAGGAGTAATATCACCACCTTATGGCCTTTTACAATAATGCTGCGAAAAATTAATATTCCAGTTGTATTTTTGCAACTATAAACATCAATTCTTTACTCTTAGATCAAAGGTCACATCTTGTTCATATATAAGATATTTTCTATCTTTTCTTTTTGAAGTAATAATAAGCCCAATATCAGGTATCACAAATGTTTGCAGAGTTCCTGCTTAGTGCCAAAAGATGTATCTCACATCTCTACTTCATTAGATACAAAGATGAATAAGGCACAAGTATTAGCTTCAAAGAGCTTAGAGTTTGGAGGGCTGTTTCTTCCAGAAAGAAGGAATTCATGGCTAGTGTGTTCTGACATTGGGTTCTGTAGGTTACCGGGCATCTGTTCAACTTTAGAATGTGAGAAGGCTGGTAGTACACATTAAAACCAGATGTTTCTGTGCAAAACAATGAAGGAACCTGGGCCTTGGGCCCTTGGCCACACTGGGAGCAGACCTAAACTCTAGGGAGCATTGATGGGAAAATTGTAGACATAAATTCTAGAATCTCCGTCCCTTCCTTCCTTCCTTCCTTCCTTCCTTCCTTCCTTCCTTCCTTCCTTTTTCGTTGTTTCTTTCTTTCTCCCTTTCTCTCTCTCTTTCTCTCTTTCTTTCTCCTTCCTTCCTTCCTTCTTTCTTTTTTCTTTCTTTCTCTTTTTTTTGAGACAGAGTATCACTCTTGTTGCCCAGGCTGGAGTGCAGTGGTGCAATTTCGGCTCACTGCAAGCTCTGCCTACCAGGTTCAAGTGGTTCTCCTGCCTCAGCCTCCCAAGTAGCTGGAATTACAGGAGCCCACTTTTATGCCTGGATAATGTTTGTATCTTTAGTAGAGACGGGATTTCACCATGTTGGCCAGGCTGGTCTGGAACTCCTGACCTCAGGTGATCTGCCCACCTTAGACTCCCAAAGTGCTGGGATTACAGGTGTGAGCCACCGTGTCCAGCTCCCTGTTTCTTTGTTATTGTGAGATGCAGGGCAGGATAGGATTTGGTTCAGGGAAGAAAGAAAATGAATGGAGGAGGCCGGGCGCAGTGGCTCATGCCTGTAATCCCAGCACTGTGGGAGGCCGAGGCGGGCAGATCACAAAGTCAGGAGATCCACACCATCCTGGCTAACACGGTGAAACCCTGTCTCTACTAAAAATAGAAAAAATTAGCCAGGCGTGGTGGCAGGTGCCTGTAGTCACAGCTACTTGGGAGGCTAAGGCAGGAGAATGGCGTGAACCTGGGAGGCGGAGCTTGCAGTGAGCCGAGATTGCGCCACTGCACTCCAACCTGGGCGAAAGAGTGAGACTCCATCTCAAAAAAAAAAAAAAAAAAAAAAAAAAAAAAAAAAAAAGAATGGAGGAGTTGGCAGCATTAACTGTCTATTTCAAAGCCATTACTAGAGGGGATACTGTAGAAGTAGGGAGCAACCCCTGGCTTAGTGCATGAGATCAATGCTGGTAGCAGTTATAGCCTAACTCTAATACCAATTTTGATCTCACTTCTTCTAAACATAATGTAAAAGTCAGGAGTATATTCTCTGCCCCGCTTTTGTGCCAGGCCTTATATTGTCTATTGCCCATACATGCTGGTTACAGGCAAAGTCTCCTTTCCTTATGAAGAACCGTGTGCTATCTGTGTCATGGTGCGTTGTTGCCAGTCTCTTTGATGGCCATGTGCACTGCTGCGCTTGTCACTACAGAAGTGTGAAGCATCTTCTCTGCAGCTTCTGATCCTGCCGTGTCTGCTGCACTGAAGCTCATAATCTGCGAGAGAAGATGCCACTGGGGATTAAAGCGCCAGCAGCATCATTTTATTCATTTGTCTGACTGTGCTAATTTGCCAGTATCTTAGGAAGAAAATACTACTACAGAGCAATGGTTTTCAATCCTATGGTCATGACAAAAGCTTTGAGACCACACACACCCACTATACACACCAATCAACTCTTGTTTCAATTTTTTCCCATTATATCTAGGACTAGTTGGTGCTTTCAATTGAAAATTTGCAGGTACTGCAAACCCAGAGAAAAATGTTCTCTTCCTGGAATATGAGATAACTTGATGAGATGATGCTGCGATTCTGTGATTGTCACTACAATAATGTAATAGGGATTGTATTGCAGCATTAACGATTTCAATAGCTGAGTGGGAAATGAGAAAATATGTTTCCTTTGGTTACGGTTAGTAGTAATATTATGTAACTTTGCATTGGAAATAACTTAAACTGTGTGCCTTAAAATTAGTTTTAAATTGAAATGGGAAGCTGTGGTTATTTGAAGATGTTTTTCTTTTTTATTAAGCCAAGTGCCCTCTGGGATAACAGTTTGCGTACCTCTAACTCCTGGGCCAAATCTAGTTTTTCTTTAAGGCTTGTATTGGTTTGTTCATTCAGGTGTGTCTAGGCCACCTTCTGGTCATTTCCTTTTCAGCTAACACCCAGAGCCAAGCTCAGCAGAGAACTTGCTCTCTTATCACTGCCCCTTTGTGCCTTGTGTCTGAGCAGACAAGGAAAGCAGTGGCCTGTGTTGACTAATCCTGGCAGCTACTCTTCTTCCTCAAGACTGGGTCAGAGCCCTGCTCAGTCATTGGCAGAATCAGCAGGATTCACAGACTCATTCCAAGGCTTTTATGCAGTTCTGTGTTTTTAATGAAAAACACACAAACACACATAAAATTACCACACTCACCACAGACCTTACATTATGTCGTTCCTTTCTATAGCCTATTGGTTAAGAGTGTGATTTTGCATTTATATCCCAGCTCTGCCACTAGTGGCTTGTGACCAGGCAAGGTAAGCATAAACCTTAACAGCCTCGGTCTGCTCGGTTTAAAAATAGGACTGATAATAGTACTGTTTATTGTGGATTACGGTGAGTGTTATATGAGGTCATGAAGGAAACAGTGCTTAATTCAGCACCTGGGACATAATAAGTGCTCAACAAATGTTGGCTATGATGATTGTTTTATGAGTTTGCTCATAGCCAACTCAGTTTACTGTAGAGGGCTGCACTTTTCTGGAAACCATATCAAGTAAAGGCTATTCTCCTGTTCTGCATAACCTGGAGGAAGAGGATTCAAGGTGACTTATATCCAGGCTCTTCTTTTAAATTTTTGCTATTCTTTTAGCTGTTATCTACCAGACTCCTGGATGTTTTCCCACCAGTCACGTGCCCTGTGCCTTGCTTGCCGTCATCCTCTCTGTCCTTGCCCTCACCATTTGTCTCAGTGCCTACAATGCCTCCATGGGTCATTTCCATCTAAGTCATTTCTATTCTTCAGCCCATTTCCTTGGCAAAGATGGTATGTTTTTATCAAGTCCTATTCCTGACACTGAATTCTCATAATCCTTTGGTTCTCTTTTTCTGTTTACATGCCTCCCTACCCATTGAAAAGCTGTGGTGATTTGTTAATTAATTCATGTGTTCATCTTCTGATATCAGAAATATCTGTGAGGCCCTACACTGAGCGCGGTACTCTCCAAGGTGCTGGAATACTACAAGGAACCTTTGTTTCATGAACATGCTTAAGTTTCCACACGCAATTTATCATGCTGTAACTCTGGGTCCCTGCAGTCCTTGGTTGTAACTGCTCTTTTTAGGCTGCCAAGCCCACCACAGGAGAGAAAAAGGTCACAGAATTGCTAATCAGCTCCATTACATATTATTCCTCGAAAATGCTCCATGATTGCCCAATTACAACACTCATAACACCCTAAAATGTAACGTACCATTTACGTATCTGTCTCCCAGCTCTGCCCTGAGCTCCTGACACTGCCTCATTTGTTTATGCCCCTGATCTAAACCTGGCTTAGAGTAGGGATTCAATGAATATTTGTTGAATTCATATCAACTCATTCATATCTTGTTTTCAGCTTTGTAACTGGTCTCTAACTTCTGCTTGGCAAACCCATTTTTCATAGTTTTCATCTTTCTTTCGCTATCTATTGCATTCTTCCCTGTTTCTACTTGAAACTTTTCTACTTTCCTGTACAGCCCCTCCTCCATCTTCACCTTCTGCAGAATAACTTGGTTCGGATTTTATGGAGGATGTTGACTCCATCTGACGTAAGTTTCCTGGCCTTACCATTATGCTGCTTATTACCTTCACGGTACCTCACTACCACCCTGTTATAGGAGCCAGAGAAGTGACCTCAGGTCTTTCCGTCTCCCAGGATTCCCCTGCACCTGTGACTCCCACTGTGCCCGGGCTGATGACTTGTAATAAAGCAAAGACTTAAAGAGAGTTTGTTGAATCCCTTTCCAAGGAGCTGTTCAGATTACTTACCTTAGACTGACAAGATTTCGTGGTGCAGTGGCTCCATACATTGTATCGCCATGTCCCCACTGCTGTGACCAACTCTCAAGCCAGAAGTCAGCCAGATTTCTCTCCAGTTGAACCCCAGGCCACTGATCTCCTTAGCTCTGACCTTCCCAAGATGAGGTTGGTCCATTCTTGATAAATTCTGTATCAGATTCTGTGCCCCACCTGAATCCAGCCATGCTGCAGGTATAGACTGCAGCTCTCTGCCCCAGTCAGACTGTAGGATGCCTTTAAATTCCTGAGCATTAGTGGAGGTGATAAAACTTGCACTTTTGTCCTGATGTGGAAGGGAGGAAAATGAAATCCTGTGATGTCTTAAAATGTCCTGAAATCTTGGCCTATGATATACTAGGAACCTAGAAATGTTCTGAATTTAATAAGGAAAATAAAAGAGCCAATCCTCTATTCCTGAGGGCTAACTTATTTGGAGTGAAGATTCACCAGGATTGCCTTTGACAAAATGTGAGCCTGAAGGCTCTTGCCACATATTATATGAGCCTTATTTTGGAGTGGCTTCTTTTATTTGGCCAGGCTAGATATCTCCTGTTATCACATTCAGGCATTTGCTGCTGCCCCCTGGTTTGTGAGACATGCTTAGAGATATGAATCAGCCTATAAAGCGCATCTTTCTTTAGGAAAGTCCTGGGCTTGCCAGGCATGCAAAAGACTGTGATCCCCAGGAGAGCAGAGGGTACTTTCTGTCCTCACAGAGGCACTTAGTTGTCAGGATGCTTATTCCAGGAAGCTTAATTACAAACCACTGATAGGAATTTATTTTAGTAACTATAGAAAATGTTTATTTAGGTAAGAGGGAATTTTCCATTCCTGAAGATAAGCTCTTGCTTAAACTAGCATTCAATTACTTTTCAAGTGGTCTCAGAAGCCAAAGTGTGAGTGTGGTATGTGATAGATTCATATGTGCACGTGTTGTGTTTATGTGTGTGTGTGTGTGTGTGTATGCACGTGTGTGTTTAAGCTGCTGAGTACTTAAAACCTGCTTTAGTATTGTGATGGTTATTTCTAGTAGGAAATAAGGCTGTCCAATTTATCTCTGGCACTGAGCAAGCCCTATTTGTCTCTGGCATGAAGCAGGCTTAGCTCATCTGGTGCTGTCTCTGGTTATCATACTACTCAGCAGGGGTAATTTGTTTTGTTTTATTTCTGTCCCGAAAGGTAATTAATAATACAAGGACAAAATTGTTTGTGTAGTGTTTTTATATTTTTGATTACCCAAAGAAGTATTTTTCAGGAGCCTTTCCAAATAGCTGCTTTGCACCTGGCTGGAAAACTGTACTCCTCGGCGACAAAGAGCTAACTTTTGGAACCCTTCCAGGGGTCCAATTCTTTACCTTCATTCACCTCTGAGCCCCATTCAATGTGGGTCAAGGAGGATTTTTAGAGGGTATTAATATCAGTGAAAAGTCTTTGGTGCATAGTAACACTGAGCCAGAATGATTTTCTGGCTTCTGGCAGTGATTTAAAGAAATCCTTTGGAACGCTGTTACATGCTAGGTGTCCTGCTAAGTTCCTTCTATACATCTTACTTAATTGTCACAACAACCAATAAGGTTGCTATTACTATTCTCCATTTAAGAGGTGAGGAAATTGAGATTTATGATAATATAGTATTTAAAACATGCTTTTTGTTATTTGTGTGTGCATGTATTTTTTTGGTAACAGTTTAATTAGATGTCATTCACATACCATACAATTCACCTATTCAGATTGTTCAGTTCAATGGTTTTTAGATATATTCAGTTGTGCAACCTTCACCACAATGTATTTTAGAACACTTATATCACCTCAAAAAGAACCTTATACCCTTTAGCTCTCTTATGCCCTGAGCCCCAAGCAACAACTAACCTACTTTCTCTTTATATATATTTCTTATGCTGGGTGATTGTTTACTTATTTTCCTTTTTTTTTTTTTTTTTTTGAAACAGGGTCTTGCTCTGTTGCCCAGGCTGGAATGCAGTGGCATGATCATAGCTCACTGCAATCTCGAACTCCTGGATTCAAGGGATACCCCTGCCTCAGCCTCTTGAGTAGCTGGGACTATAGGCATGCACCGCCATGCCCAGCTACTTTTTTAAATAGTTGAGAGTCTCACTATGTTGCCCAAGCTGGTCTTGATCTCCTGGTCCCAAATGATCCTCTTCCTCTGCCTCCCAAGCACTGGAATTACAGGCATGAGCCACTGTGCCCAGCCCTTATGCTGGACATTTCATATGAATTTCATGTAAGTGGAATCACGTAACATATAGTCTTTTGTGACTGGTTTCTTTCACTTAGCATAATGTTTTTAAGGATCATTTGTGTTGTGTGTATCAGTATTTCATTTCTTTTTATGGCTGAATGTTGTATGCATACATCACCTTTTGTTTATCCATTCATCAGCTGATGGACGTTTGGATTGTTTCTGTCTTTTGACTATTAGAAACAAGGATATGAATATATATAAGTTTTGTATAGATATATATTTTCACTTTTCTTACAAATATATCAAGGAACAGAATTGTTGGAGCATATGGTTACTACTCCGTGTTTAATTTTTTGAGGAACCTCCCTACTGGTTTCCAAAGTGGCTGCACCATTATACATCCCACTATCAGTCTATGAGCATTTCAGTTTTTCCACACACTCCTTAAAACTCATCTGACTTTTTGTTTTTAGCCATCATACTGGATGTTAAGTGGTATCTTATTGTGATTTCGATTTACATTTGCCTAATGGCCAATGATGTTGAACATTTCATGTTCTTCTTAGGTCATTGGTATGTCTTCTTTGGAGAAATGTCTGTTTAAGTACTTCAAAATTGAGCTATTTTTCTTCTTATTAGTGAGTTGTAATAGTTATTTATATGTACTAGATAGAAGACCCGTGTCAGATATATGATTTACAAATATTTGGCTTGTCTTTTACTTTCTTGATAGGGGCATTTGAAGAACAATGGGTTTTCATTTTAATTTTAATAAAGTCTAGGTTTTTTTTTTATTTGTATTGCTTGTGATTTTGCTTTTGCGTCTAACAGCCCATTGCCAAATCCAAGGTCACAAAAATTTACCCCTGTGTTTTCCTTCTTACTTTTGTTGTTCTAAGATATATTTTTCTTTATATGGGCATATTCTCTGGTTGTAGAATCTTGGAATTTGATCACATGGCTATTTAAAACAATAAAAAGAAAAAGACTCTGTTTATGCTGTGTATGATCACAAAAACTTGTGTCATTCAGTTTTAGTGTTGGGCTTTCTAAATACCTCATTCTGCTCATCAGACATCATTTTTGTTCACTGTAGGTGCTGGCAGATCTCTGGTTGGAACTTTGTTGTTATTCATTGGTCAGTTTATGAATGAGTCAGATATTTCAGCTTCTGTGTTTTATCTGATCCTATACTTCTTTTCTGTTATTCCATTGTTCCCTCTAATTGGCCTTATAAAAGTATTTCTGCAGAAATACCAGAGTATTTACTGCAAAAACTTTTCATACTTTAAAAATGCCAAAAGAAGCTTTTAGAAAAGGAAGAATACCTGTCAATGTGGTACTCTCTTATATTAACAACTTTTTTGACAGAATGTTTAAAAAGTGATTTAAGGCTGGGTAGGCAGCACTTATCTGTGGGAAAGAAAATTTTCAGTTACTTAATAGCCTGTCTGAGGCACTTGCAAGGAAAATTCTCCAAATTTCAGACATTTTTGTCACCACAGTACCCTAGTGAATATAGCATGGCTGATACTTTTACAGCTATTCCTTCAGTATTGACAGTCTCTCAGATCCTTCTACTTCGTGTGTGTGTGTGTGTGTGTGTGTGTGTGTGTGTGTGTGTTTACCCAAAATGCTTCCATTATGATGCTTACCTACCTTATGTATTAATAATGTTCTGAGAGCTGTTTGAAGGAAAGTGTGACATTTATACAAAGAAAAGTCAATTATTTGTTTAATATTCATAAAATTTCCATAAAAGTCTAAGCATTTGAAAATACTTGAGAGTACTGAAATATATTTCTTTACATATAGGACTTTGTTCCCATAAAAAATCTTGTCTTTCGTACTTCTTGTGACTTCCTTCTTTCGTTTTCTCAGAGGGAGTATTGGTTTGTTTCAAACTGGCATCAACATTTTGATTCTTTTATTATCTATTTATTTATTTATCATTTATTTATTTATTTATTTATTTTTGAGACGGAGTCTCGCTCTGTCCCCCAGGCTGGAGTGCAGTGGCACAATCTTGGCTCACTGCAGCCTCCACCTCCAGGGTTCAAGCAATTCTCCTGCCTCAGCCTCCCAAGTATCTGGGATTGCAGGCGTGCACCACCACACCCAGCTAATTTTTGTATTTTTAGTAGAGACAGGGTTTCATCATGTTGGCCACGCTGATCTCGAACACCTGGCCTCAAGTGATCCACCCATCTCAGCCTCCCAAAGTGCTGGGATTACAGGCGTGAACCACCATGCCTGGCCTACCATTTGGATAATTTTAAACAATAAATAAGAACGTCTCCTGCTCATGAAGTAGGAGTATTTGTGTCTACATTTATTCATTAAAGTGGGTAATTAAATTCCCTGCCTAGGGTCATTGTTACTTTCTACCTCTTTGCTGTTTTCTGGATGGTTTCACCTCCCCACAGGCAGTATTCACTAATCCCTTTCCTGACTTTCCTTAACTCTGATTATCACTTTTAAGCCCTTCAGTAACAAACATTCAGTTTTTACATATATGAATCAGTACTTGGGTGTTTATATTCATATGCAATTTATATTTATATTCATATACAATACCTCCTATTTGTATCATATACAATACTTCCTACCATATAGAATGGGAAATTCCTTATGGAAGCTATCCTATCTTCTCTCTCTCTTTCTCTACATTCTGTTTCTCACGTATTTTCCCTTGCATATAGAAGGCCAAGATAAATACGTACGGATTTTATTTCATGTTCTCCCAGTTACTCTGATGTAAATTTCTTAACCTTGCTGAGCCTCAGTCTTCTTACCTGTAAAGTGGATATACTATCTCACAATGTGTATAGGTCAGGGTTCTCCAGAGAAACAGAATGAATAGTATATATATGAGGAGATTTATTATGGGAATTGGCTCACACAATGATGGAGGATAAGAAGTCCCATGATATGCTATCTGCAAGCTGGAAAACCAGGAAAGCTGATGGTGCAATTCAGTTAGAGTCAGAAGGCCTAAGAACTAGAGGGTGAAGGGCAGGGGCATAAGGGACTCTGTTATAATTCCTGGAGTTTGAAGGCCCAAGAACCATAAACTCTGATGTCTAAGGATAGGAGAAGATGTTGATGTTTCAGTTAAAGAAAATAGAGTGAGAGAAAATTTGCCTGGATTTTTCTTATATCTGGCCCTCAACAGATTGGATGCTGTCCACTCACACAGGTGAGGGTGGATTATTATTCAGTCTACTAATTAAAACGCTAATCTCTTCTAGAAACACCCTCACAGACACACCTAGAAATAATGTTTTTACCAGCTATCTGGGCACCCTTTAGCCCACTCAAGTTGATGCATAAAATTAACCATCATATAGTGCTATAGTACATATGAATTGAAAAAAATTTTTTGAACAGCTTTGAATTTGGGGCCAAATTTAGAAAGAGCTGGAGAATGTGGCTTCTGCCTGTTATTTCTTTGTTACGTTGTACCCATGGATTCTCCTCTTCCAAGTCCAGTATCATCTTTTGAGTAATTGCTCAGAAAATATTTTCTAATTGGCTTCTGGGTAGCTACTTCATTATCTGAACATAAAAATAATTCTCTGTGCATAATATGGACTATATATATAAGCAACAGCAAATATGTGAGTAAGAGGGAGGGACTGTAAGTAATGCTAGTGATTGACTAACACAGTGGCCTTCCAACTTTTTGATCATGTACTCTTATAAGTAAAACATTTTGAGCAGGCATTCCCCCAATATTTTGTGATTGACTGAAACATAGATTTATATTAGTCAACTTCAGACACTACCAGGTTATTCAAATATATTATTGTAATTACTACTAACAGTAATAAAAATTATCAGTGTTCTTTAAGTTTCAGTCAAGAGATATGAATGAGGATAGGCTCATGATAACTTACTCATTTTCACTGAGAAATTCAAGAAATTCTTGAGACTGAATTTCTCTCGACTTATCCTACTTCGAAACCCAGCTTAAAATTCATACCCTCAAAGGGAAGCCCATCAGACTAACAGCAGATCTCTCGGCAGAAACTCTACAAGCCAGAAGAGAGTGGGGGCCAAAATTCAACATTCTTAAGGAAAAGAATTTTCAACCCAGAATTTCATATCCAGCCAAAATAAGCTTCATAAATGAAGGAGAAATAAAATACTTTACAGACAAGCAATGCTGAGAGATTTTGTCACCACCAGGCCTGCCCTAAAAGAGCTCCTAAAGGAAGCACTAAACATGGAAAGGAACAACCGGTACCAGCCGCTGCAAAATCATGCCAAAATGTAAAGACCATCGAGACTAGGAAGAAACTGCATCAACTAACGAGCAAAATAACCAGCTAACATCATAATGACAAGATCAAATTCACACATAACAATATTAAATTTAAATGTAAATGGACTAAATGCTCCAATTAAAAGACACAGACTGGCAAGTTGGATAAAGAGTCAAGACCCATCAGTGTGCTGTATTCAGTAAACCCATCTCACATGCAGAGACACACATAGGCTCAAAATAAAAGGATGAAGGAAGATCTATCAAACAAATGGAAAACAAAAAAAGGCAGGGGTTGCAATCCTAGTCTCTGATAAAACAGACTTTAAACCAACAAAGATCAAAAGAGACAAAGAAGGCCATTACATAATGGTAAAGGGATCAATTCAACAAGAAGAGCTAACTATCCTAAATATATATGCACCCAATACAGGAGCACCCAGATTCATAAAGCAAGTCCTGAGTGACCTACAAAGAGACTTAGACTCCCACACATTAATAATGGGAGACTTTAACACCCCACTGTCAACATTAGACAGATCAACGAGACAGAAAGTCAACAAGGATACCCAGGAATTGAACTCAGCTCTGCACCAAGTTGACCTAATAGACATCTGCAGAACTCTCCACCCCAAATCAACAGAATATACATTTTTTTCAGCACCACACCACACCTATTCCAAAATTGACCACATAGTTGAAGTAAAGCTCTCCTCAGTAAATGTAAAAGAACAGAAGTTATAACAAACTATCTCTCAGACCACAGTGCAATCAAACTAGAACTCAGGATTAAGGAACTCACTCAAAACCACTCAACTACATGGAAACTGAACAACCTGCTCCTGAATGACTACTGGGTACATAACGAAATGAAGGCAGAAATAAAGATGTTCTTTGAAACCAACGAGAACAAAGACACAACATACCAGAATCTCTGGGACACATTCAAAGCAGTGTGTAGAGGGAAATTTATAGCACTAAATGCCCACAAGAGAAAGCAGGAAAGATCCAAAATTGACACCCTAACATCACAATTAAAAGAACTAGAGAAGCAAGAGCGAACACATTCAAAAGCTAGCAGAAGGCAAGAAATAACTAAAATCAGAGCAGAACTGAAGGAAATAGAGACACAATAAACCCTTCAAAAAATTAATGAATCCAGGAGCTGGTTTTTTGAAAGGATCAACAAAATTGATAGACCGCTAGCAAGACTAATAAAGAAAAAAAGAGAGAAGAATCAAATAGACACAATAAAAAATGATAAAGGGGATATCACCACCGATCCCACGGAAATACAAACTACCATCAGAGATTACTACAAACACCTCTACGCAAATAAACTAGAAAATCTAGAAGAAACGGATAAATTCCTCGACACATACACTCTCCCAAGACTAAACCAGGAAGAAGTTGCATCTCTGAATAGACCAATAACAGGATCTGAAATTGTGGCAATAATCAATAGCTTACCAACCAAAAAGAGTCCAGGACCAGATGGATTCACAGCCGAATTCTACCAGAGGTACAAGGAGGAACTGGTACCATTCCTTCTGAAACTATTCCAATCAATAGAAAAAGAGGGAATCCTCCCTAACTCATTTTATGAGGCCAGCATCATCCTGATACCAAAGCTGGGCAGAGAAACAACCAAAAAAGAGAATTTTAGACCAATATCCTTGATGAACATTGATGCAAAAATCCTCAATAAAATACTGGCAAACCGAATCCAGCAGCACATCAAAAAGCTTATCCACCATGATCAAGTGGGCTTCATCCCTGGGATGCAAGGCTGGTTCAATATACACAAATCAATAAATGTAATCCAGCATATAAACAGAGCCAAAGACAAAAACCACATGATATCTCAATAGATGCAGAAAAGGCCTTTGACAAAATTCAACAACCCTTCATTCTAAAAACTCTCAGTAAATTAGGTATTGATGGGACGTATCTCAAAATAATAAGAGCTATCTATGACAAAACCACAGCCAATATCGTACTGAATGGGCAAAAACTGGAAGCATTCCCTTTGAAAACTGGCACAAGACAGGGATGCCCTCTCTCACCACTCCTATTCAACATAGTCTTGGAAGTTCTGGCTAGGGCAATAGGCAGGAGAAGGAAATAAAGGGTATTCAATTAGGAAAAGAGGAAGTCGAATTGTCCCTGTTTGCAGATGACATGATTGTGTATCTAGAAAACCCCATTGTCTCAGTACAAAATCTCCTTAAGCTGATAAGCAACTTCAGCATAGTCTCAGGATACAAAATCAATGTACAAAAATCACAAGCATTCTTATACACCAATAACAGACAAACAGAGAGCTAAATCATGAGTGAACTCCCATTCACAATTGCTTCAAAGACAATAAAATACCTAGGAATCTACCTTACAAGGGACGTGAAGGAACTCTTCAAGGAGAACTACAAACCACTGCTCAATGAAATAGAAGAGGATACAAACAAATGGAAGAACATTCCATGCTCATGGGTAGGAAGAATCAATATCGTGAAAATGGCCATACTGCCCAAGGTAATTTATAGATTCAATGCCATCCCCATCAAGCTACCAATGACTTTCTTCACAGAATTGGAAAAAAACTACTTTAAAGTTCATATGGAACCAAAAAAGAGCCCGCATTGCCAAGTCAATCCTAAGCCAAAAGAACAAAGCTGGAGGCATCACACTACCTGACTTCAAACTATACTACAAGGCTACAGTAACCAAAACAGCATGGTACTGGTACCAAAACAGAGATACTGATCAATGGAACAGAACAGAGCCCTCAGAAATAACACCGTATATGTACAACTATCTGATCTTTGACAAACCTGAGAAAAACAAGCAATGGGAAAGGATTCCCTATTTAATAAATGGTGCTGGGAAAACTGGCTGGCCATATGTAGAAAGCTGAAACTGGATCCCTTCCACACACCTTATACAAAAATCAATTCAAGATGGATTAAAGACTTAAACGTTAGACCTAAAACCATAAAAACCGTAGAAGAAAACCTAGACATTTCCATTCAGGACATAGGCATGGACAAGGACTTCATGTCTAAAACACCAAAAGCAATGGCAACAAAAGCCAAAATTGACAAATGGGATCTAATTAAACTAAAGAGCTTCTGCACAGCAAAAGAAACTGCCATCAGAGTGAACAGGCAACCTTCAAAATAGGAGAAAATTTTCACAACCTACTCATCTGACAAAGGGCTAATATCCAGAATCTACAATGAACTCAAAGAAATTTACAAGAAAAAAACAAAACCCCATCAAAAAGTGGGCGAAGGACATGAACAGACACTTCTCAAAAGAAGACATTTATGCAGCCAAAAAACACATGAAAAAATGCTCACCATCACTGGCCATCAGAGAAATGCAAATCAAAACCACAATGAGATACCATCTCACACCAGTTAGAATGGCAATCATTAAAAAGTCAGGAATCAACAGGTGCTGGAGAGGATGTGGAGAAATAGGAACACTTTTACACTGTTGGTGGGACTGTAAACTAGTTCAACCATTGTGGAAGTCAGTGTGGCGATTCCTCAGGGATCTAGAACTAGAAATACCATTTGACCCAGCCATCCCATTACTGGGTATATACCCAAAGGACTATAGATCATGCTGCTATAAAGACACATGCACACGTATGTTTATTGCGGCACTATTCACAATAGCAAAGACTTGGAACCAACCTAAATGTCCAACAATGATAGACTGGATTAAGAAAATGTGGCACATATACACCATGGAATACTATGCAGCCATAAAAAATGATGAGTTCATGTTCTTTGTAGGGACATGGATGAAATTGGAAATCATCATTCTCAGTAAACTTTCGCAAGAGCAAAAAACCAAGCACCGCATATTCTCACTCATAGGTGGGAATTGAACAATGAGAACACATGGACACAGGAAGGGGAAGGGAACATCACACTCTGGGGACTGTTGTGGGGTTGGGGGAGGGGGGAGGGATAGCATTGGGAGATACACCTAATGCTAGATGATGAGCTAGTGGGTGCAGTGCACCCGCATGGCACATGTGTACATATGTAACTAACCTGCACATTGTGCACATGTACCCTAAAACTTAAAAGTATAATAATAATAAAAAAAAATTCATGCCATTCAGTCAATCCGCAAATATTTATTGAATGTCTCCTAGGCCACCTGACAGTATTCTAGGCACTGAGAATATACCAAGGAACAAATCAATAAGGTGTCTGTCATTATGCAAATCAACCTGTTAGTAGAGAATCAGCAGAGTGGAGGCAATCACAATGCATTTTGCAATTTCTAAATACGTTTAAGTTCCCCCAAGATAAGAAGAATTTAAATGTTACTGGTATTAATATGCATATTAACATGGATATTGTCCCTTTATCCATGAATTAGATAGTGACCTACCAGGTGCAATATTTGTAGTATCCCGATGGCATGATGAGATAGTGGAAGTAGACTAGTGAGTACATTTTTATATTGTGTGTATAACTTATAGTGAGGAAAAATCATTTATATATGACATTGCCTCACGGGGATTGATGCTAGCAATGGAAAGAACATGAAATTTGTTCCTCTTAGACCCTAGTACACAAAACTGTAAGAAAATCTCAGGCAACATTTAGAACATTTTGATTAGACTGATTATAATGTAGTCCTTCAAACCCTTGAATGTCATTCCATTGCTAACAGAATAAAGTCCATACTCCTTCACCTGGCATGCAAGATATTCACTCTCTGCCTCCTGCCTGCTTTGCTAGTCTTGTTAACTCCTTTTTCAGATTTGTACATGTCTTGAATGTCATCTTCACCCTATTTATCCAACAGTTTCCAACTCGTCCTTCAAAACTCTGCTGAAAGATCTTCCCCTCTGCAGTCTTCCCAGATGTTTCCAGACAGGTACTCACAGTGTGCTCTGACCTCAGGTGGTATCTTCATGTGGATACCTGTCAACCCTCTGGTCACTGTATTTTAATTATCTTTACCTCTCTCTTCCCCTCACTAGACTGTAAACTGGTAACACAAACCTGTCCTCATGAAAACGAAGGCAATTTTACTTTGGGAGGAATTTCAGATACAGCTTAATTTTGGGGGGTTGAAAGGTCTCTCCCAGTCAGCTGTCACATAACTGAACTTCACTGTGCTTATTTCCAAGCCCTCTGTTTGCAAGTAGAAGCTTCTCATGACTTCAGCATAGCCCAGTGGCTGAGACCAGGTGTCAGTCAGCCTGGAGCAATCCCTGCTCTACTGCATACTAGCTCCGTGATCTTATGTTACTTAACCTCTTTGTGCCTTCATTTCCTTCTCAGTAAAATGAAGATAACAAGCGTACCTATTTTATAGCATTGCTGTGAGGTGGGAATGATGTGGAAGTGCATGCAAAGCCCTCAGAATATTCAGTAAATGCTAGCTACTGTTGTTAAAATGCATAGTCTATGCAATCACACATAAGTATGCCTAGCCTTCAGCCAAAGTATAAATGACATATCAGGCTTTTGTTTGTTTTGAGGAAGCCTGATGAGGGGGACAGAGGGAAGGAATGTTAACTCAGAAAGAAAAGTAACGAAAGTTGAGAACAAGGCCTCAAAAACACTATTGCCTCAGTTTTCCCAAGAGAAATCGGTGAGTTTGGTAGATTTCCAGTTGTACTGGTGGGAAATTGAGCAGAAACACTGGCACTCATGTAATTTTTGTTCTTGTTCTTTCTATTGTTGTTTTCTCCAAGAGAAATTGTTAACTTTGCTATATATCCCACCGTATTCATGAGAAATGTAGTGGGAACCCCACTGCATTAATGTCCCCCCTTTACTTGTATCATTTTGCATATTTAGTAGAGCTAAGATGCTTGCTGCCTTCATTAGGAGCTTGCTGTATGCAGTGGGAATTGCAAGCCTCCACCATCTCAGTGGCTCATCTCAGTAATTGGTTGGAAAAGTGATTTCCAACAGCTCATGCTCTCTGGAGCTATGACTTTGAGCACTTCATCTCACCACAGGCCTCCTTGTCAGCCTGTGATATGTTATGGCTCTCTTTTGTCTGACCGTATGTATTCTTTCATTGTCTCTGACAGCAGGGTCTCTGAAATCCACAATTTTGGTTGGTGATGAGAACTGAGGTCAGTGTTTATTTGACAGTCATTTTGGTGCCATGTAGTAAAATTGAGCAATGGCTGTTGAGTAAAGAACACGGTGAATATGCAGCAATTGGCAAGTATGGAAAACTATAATTGATTTAAGTTGAATTCACTCCTGAGCCTCATTCCCTCACAGTGCTTTCCAGTGTCTGCCAAGTGGTAATAAGAGATTCAAACTTTGTATCTCTCCTCTAGACTGTGAGATTCTTGAAGACAAGCCAGTCCTTGGTCATCTTGTACTTGCACATAAAGCAGATTGAGCATATATGAAGTTCTCATCAAATGTCCAATGAAGGATTGTGTGTGAGACAGGATCTAAGCATGGTGTTGGATAATCATTAATGATGTCACCTTGAGAAATGTTCATGAAGTTTTGATTATGAAAATTTGAGAACATATGCACAAGGGAAGAGAACAGTGGAATGGGCCCTTGTATACCCATCCTCCAGTTTCAACAGCCATCCATCCTTAGCCACTCTTGTTTCATTTATACTGATTTTACCCATCAGAATATTCTAAAGAAAACCTATAGGTAAGATTTGGGTATTTATGTGCAGATAATTCCATATATTAAATAAATGCCCTGCTTAATTTACATTGCCAGCCTTCAAGGGATATTTGCTAAGAGCAAGCTCTATACAGCATTTTTCATGCCTCAGATTGAAAAAGGCACCATCCCTATCTGTTTGCACACTGTTTTGACCACAAAGAACCAGTCGTTTTCAGGGTTTCTCAAGATTCTCATTGCTTAGTAGCTTGTGGAACTAAACTATGAGCAAGATATGATTTCAGTGTCAAAGTGTGGAAGCTTGCTCATTTGTTCCTTCGTTCCTTCATTCAGTAAACATGTGTAAGAACATGTCTCCCCATGGAATTGCTGTGGGGATGAAATGCCTGTCATCTAATGAGTGGTCAGTAAAAGTTATTACCATTTTATGATTATTCTGTACCAAAGACCGTGCTGGGTCCTAAGATTAAAAATCAAAAACAAACAAACAAAAATTTAAAATCCAAACCTTTTCTTAGTCTTTTTCTAAAACTCTTTGTCTAGAAATATGATCATTTTAGAGATCCTAAAGAGAGCCTAAATATGAAGAATGAATTAGGAGGAAAGAGGTAAGGAATAGGAGCCTAGAAAAGGGAACTGGATGGACAAGATACATATGGTTAGAGTGAGGCTCTGGTGGGATTCCTTTCCCTGCTTCTTAAGGATGGCATGTACTCTCCCAAGCCCATACTATTCCATGCTGGGGCACAGGCAGCTAGGGGTGAGGGAAGGGTGGGCAAAGGATGCCTGCTGGCCTCAGAATTAGTGACAAGCAGCAGCTATCACCGCAGGACCTGCACCTCACACCCAACAGTCATCAGGATCCTAACTGCCCTAGTGGAGCACAGTTCAGCCTGTTAGCCCCAACTGGAAAGGTCACTTTTTCATAGTGTGACTTTCACCACCATCCATTAGCACCTCACTTCTCTTTGCAGTTTTTACTATGACTTAGTATACATTTTGTGAAACATCATCTTTGGCCTAAAATTTGGGTATGTGATTCCGTTGAATACTCACTTACGTGTCTTTTGCATAGGTCTGGTAAGACTCGCATAGCCACTCACATTTCTTCTTTCTCTCTGTATGTGTTTCTCTCTCTGCATCTCCTTTAGCACTTAGCTCTTCTTTCCTGGTTCTTAGTTTTCTTTATCTATATCTCCCTTCTCCTTTGTGGCTCCTTCCCAATTTTGACTTCCTTCTGCATTTGATTTCTTTCTTTACTCACTATCCCGTTTTTTCTCAGCTTTCTTCTTGGGTGCCTATGCAAGGGCATTCAGGGATGTAGCGTTTTTGCACTTCTGAAAACATCAGAGAACTTTAACATTTCACTGTCCCATATTTGGGGATAGAAAGAGAGCTTGAAGCCTCACCCTTAAATTGAGGTGTGGCTCTTACAGCCCTGACAGGTGCCTTACCATGTACTCTTTTGTTCATTTGGATGCTGGCAGCCGAGTGCTCCATGTGCCTGGCACTGGAGATTCCTGTGAGTGTGAAAAAGACATGGCCCCTGCCCTTATGGGGCTCACCATCCAGTGTACCTTATGGTGAAATGCTGTGCCCCTAAAAGACATTGAATGACAGCTCCAATTGAGTGATCTTACTGGGGGACCTATTATTTTCAAGATATGTACTATTTACTTAGGTTACAGTATCATTCTATCATCAAATTTCATGGGTAATTTTTATGTACAAAAGCTGATAGATTCTGAGATGAGATCCAGCCTGAAGCCAGTCAGGATGAAATGATAACCCTGAACATGTGATGATGAAAATCAAGTGAAATGAACACTATGGATAGTTCGATATTTTCTCACCCACACACTAAATGTCAAGGGATGTTTTAAAGAATGCTGTTCTCTGTGCAGCTAGAGTAGGTTTTTAATATCTGCCCATGCTTAACAAAAACTGTCAATATTGCAACCTTAATGATAGAGTGAAATGGAAGATCGCATGTAGCAATGCATTATTATAATCACTAACACATCAGGTGAGGTATACAAATTAACAATCTCACAGGAATGAAAGGATTAAAATGACTGTGTACATTGAGGTGCTTTTAACTAGTTAACTACTAATTGAAATAGCTAGCTGCTGAATGGGTAAGTTGTCCTTGTTCAGCCTATTGGGTTACCATGACAACAGAATCCTTCATCTTCCATAATATACACTGAATTTTTAGTACTTATAATTTAAGCATTTGATTTCCTCATGAGGTGACTGAAAACATGCAGTAGCTTGCTAACCAAATTTTAAAAACTGAGTCCATAAGAAGATGGTGCCTAGAATTCAAGTGAAAAAGAAAAGGCAGATTATTAGAAATATATCCATGTCAAAATTGAGAAATGCCATGGCTTGATTTAGGCAACAATGATTAATTGTACAAAATTGAAGGAAGCCATTTTATCTTCTATCTCCTATTCTATTTTCTTTAATTTTTCTCCACTTTCCCTGCAACTTCAACTGTGTTAATTTAGCAAATTACTGTGTTTTAGGACTTATGCAGGTGCTATCAGGACAGCAATGAGAAAGGATGCCCATTTCTCATAAGCCAACATACTAGTGGGGAAGCATCATTTAAATTACCATCTTGGGTAATAAATACTTAAATAGGTGTGCCGTGGGATGACCCTGAAGGAGTGACTAACTCTGCCTCTCTTTCCTGACTCCCTGAGGATGGCTATGCTGGTTGCGAATTATGGAGGCCTCTTGAAGAGATCACCCCACATCCCAGCAGGAAGACTCTCAGTGGCCCCTAGTAACATCCCTCTGCTTTCTGTTTTATTGGATGTGAACACAAACAACACAGTCATTACCGGTTGTAGCGGGCTGAATAGTGGCTTCAAAAAGATATGTCCAAGCTTCAACTCCTGGTGCCTGAGAATGTAACCTTATTTGGAATTAGGGTCTTTGCAGATGTAATTAAGCTAATGATCTTAAGATGATATCATCTTTGATTTAAGATGGGTTGTAAATCTAATGATGAGTGTCCTTATAAGGGACAGAAAAAGAGAAGACATAGAGCTACACAGAGAGAAGAAGGCCATGTGAAGATAGAGGCAGAGGTTAGAGCTATGCAGCCCCAAGCCACAGAATTCCAAGGGTAGCCAGCAGCTGCCAGAAGGTAGGAGAGAGTCATGGGACAGATTCTCCCTCAGAGCCTCCAGAGTGAACCAAACCTGCCAACACCTTGGTTTTGGGCTTCTGGCCTCCAGAACTGTGAGAAAAAAAATGTATGTTGTTTTAAGCCACTTGGTTTGTGGTAATTTGTAATGGCAGCCCCAGGAAACTAATACATTGGTCAATTTAAAAAAATGAATAAAGAAAATTGAAATCACCTAAATGAAGGTTTGCCATTCAGCCACAACTTGTAACTGGCGTGTTCCTCTGAAGGCAAATTGAATAAAAGAGCAAACACATATTTTGTCAAGGCTGACATGCATCGAAATATCACAAGGGCCTCAAGAGGGAAGAGAAATTTGATTTATGTCTTCATGCTAGTTGAAAATAGTGTAGCCATGGATGAAGCTGGTTGTCACAGTCAGCCCCACACATCTGTTTAGAAGCGTTATGGTCTTTGGTGGACAAAGTTAAATACAAATGTCTGTGAAAATACTGTAGCAACAGCTTCAGGAAATAAAAATCCCACCTTAAACTCCCCAACCCCACACCAAACATACAAGAGACTGAAATGTGTCCATGGTGCCTGCCAGAGATGACAGAAGTATCTTCTCCCATGAATCCACCCCCTCCAAATCTTTCTGTGGCTCCAAATGCCTTAACCTGGCAGCAGACTCTAGTGGAGGGAGCCCTGTGTCTTGTGTGGCCTCTGCTGTGTGCCTCTGAACCTGGGGCTTAACCTTGCAGGACTTCCATTTCTTCATTGATAAAATGGGAAATAATATGAATCACTATGGGAAATGTACTCACCAGTCCCCATAACAGGGGGAGGAAGCAGCTTTATTTCTCTTCCGTGGTTGCTTTGTTTTCTTCTGATACAACCTGTCAATTAGGAAACATCGTTTTGGCTCTTACCTTAATGGGTTTGAGGTCAAGCCAAATCATGGTGAGCTTCTAGTAAACATTCTGGACCTTTGACACTCATCTTCATGGACTATGTATTGATTGCTATTTTTAGTATTGATGGCTAATATTTGTGGAGCATTCCTGCACTGCAGGCACTGTACCAAGTATGTAATATATATTTTTGGCTGCATACCTTATAGCAACCCTGTGATGGGGGTAGTGATGCTCTCATTATCTGCACTTTGCACATAAGCAAACTGAGGCTTCCAGTGTTTCCCTCATTAACTCAAGGTTCCAGGATTATTAAGGAATAGGAATTAAAAGCTGCTAGCCTGCACTTAGATTCGGGTCTGATGGCTTCAGAGCTCAAGCTCTCAGCCACACAAAACATTATGCCTTATGTCTGACTTTTTAAATATGACTGTCCTTGTTATTTCCCCTTTACCTTGATTTTTTTTCCATTTGTTAGTTAGTTGTCCTGTTGTTTCACTAATATCTTTTAGGTATTTCATGAATTTGGGGGAACAATGCATAAAACTAAGTATAGGTGATGTAAGGATTATTGAGCTAATGTAGGTAGACGCCAACCCATTATCTGGCTCACTAAAGATACACAATCAATACGGTTCTCTTGGCTTCCTATGCAATGCTCACCATCCCCTGTCCCCAGTTGTTTTCTTCTGCTTCTCAGGCAATGACATGAATTGATTGTAAATGATTTCCCAGAAACCACAACAATAATAATACGTTGTATATGAGTGTTAGTTAAATGTATAAGATGAATCAAATTTGTATTAAAATTATTTCTGTATTAGGTCTTTTATAACTTCAACTTCATTATCTAAGTACAAAGTATATCAATCCTCTCTAAAAACCTTGTAAAAGAATTGTTTTGTGTGTGTGGAGTTCACCCTTTGACAATGTTAACATTTCCTTTAAGCCTCAGTTTCCTTATCTTTAAAATGGGGCTGATAATAGTTACTTCATGGATTTGTCGTTATAATTTAGTGATAAGCATATATATGAACTCCACACTTGACACTTCTAAATGAAGTGATAACGTGAATAAATATATACCTCTTTCCTTCTTCCCCTCCCTCTTCCCTGAGAGGGGGTCTTTTTTTTGTTTGTTTTTTTACAAATTGTTTTTAATCTAAATAAGTTAATAGGCAGAAGGAGGAAGGCTTTTCTTCAGGACTGTTTTCTATTTTTTGAGACTAGGAATAGAAAGGTGGAGCTTGGAATAAAAGAAGGTTATTTAAAAGTATCAGAGATGTTGCCTTTTAAGTTGTATTCAAATGTGCCATACTTAGTTTGAGGTTTACATACTAATTACTTTGATCTAATAATTAGCTGTCATATAATGAATTATAAATTGGGAGTTTAAAAATGTGTGCTGTGCTGATCTGAAGTATAATCTCTGCCAGTGTAGGCAATTGCTGAGGCCTGGGACTGGATTCTGAAACAGATGCACATTTTAAGAATAGCGTCTTAAGGGAGGACTTCAGGTCCATAAAGGCTAAACCCGAAGCAGGAGCAGTCTCTGTGTAGGTGCCAGCTTTGTCACCGAGCTGCATTCATTTTCTCTGGTGATTAGGGGCCTTCCCAAAGTTAACCTCTAGAGAATATTTAGTTACTTCGTTGGGTTTTAATTACTTATTGGTCTCAACCTTAACATGACCTTGACTGTGTCATTAAATAGCATCTTGCAATGAGGTCTTTGGGACATTTTTACAAACAGGTGGATTACATCACAAGTAAATTGATAAAACTTCAGTCCAAGAGGAGAGTTAATGTTTCTGTGTTACGGATCGTGTTCATTCCCAAGCAGGATGTGTATGCTGTTCTTACTTTAGTAAGTACAGTCCTTGGAACACTTTCCTACCATTTGGATAATCGATTCAAATTCTAGCCTCTGTGATAAAATGCTAACAATTACTGATTTGGGCAAAGCACACTGTTTACATACTCTGTGGAATACCTCCTCTGACAGCCAGCAGTAACTTAAAGGCAAAGGTTCCAATCAGTGGAGCTTTGTCACACAGAGAAGGGAGAAAGATAGAAAGGAGGATTCCACCTTGCTGCACATGGTAGAAAAAGAGATTTCTTTACAAAAGGAAAAAACAGAAAAACTTTCTTCTTTACCTTAGATTTGCTTTTTATAACTACAAAGAAGAGATTAAAGCAGTATACTTGTACACTGAAGCTATTTTTTTAAATATCAATGTATAATCACATAAGAGAGCTAGATGCCAAGAATGTTACAGCATACAGGCCAAGGAGTAAGACGTTATATTTAAGGTTCACTATGCTGTACACAGTTTATTTTTCTGTATATATTTGAATCATAGACTATTATACCACAAAATAGAATTCAAATCATTCATTCATTCATTCATTCATTCTTTTAGTATATATTGAAAATGTATTATGTGTCAGGCATTACCTTGTTTTTATTTTTTATTTTTATTTATTTATTTATTTTTGAGATGGAGTCTTGCTCTGTTGCCCAGGCTGTAGTGCAGTGACATGATCTTGGTTCTGCAACCTCCGCCTCCTGGGTTCAAGCGATTCTCCCATCTCAGCCTCCTGAGTAGCTGGGATTACAGGCGGTCGCCAACATGCCCCATTAATTTTTGCATTTTTAGTAGAGATGGGGTTTCACCATTTTGACCAGGCTGAACTCAAACTCCTGACCTCAGGTAATCCACCCACCTCACCTCCCAAAGTGCTGAGATCACAGGTATGAGCCACCACACCCAGCCTATTTTTTCTTTTTAAGTATTATTTTTAATTGACAAATAATAATTGTATATATTTATGGGGTACAATATGATGTTTTAATCCATGTATACATTGTGGAATGATCAAATCAGGGTAATTAGCATACACTTCACCTGAAATGTTTATCATTTATTTGTGGGAAAACATTCAAAATAATCTCTTCTAGCTATTTTCAAATATACAATATATTATTAACAGCAGTCACCTTACTGTGCAGTAAGACTTTTAATTTCCTCAAGAAAGGAAAGCTACTTTAGAAAAAATTAATATTGTGTCAGTGAGATTCCTGCAGGCCAGCAGCCTAGGGATCAGCAAAGAAATTTACGGGGCAGCAGTGTGCTGGGAGATACTTGGCCTATTCCAAAGGAAAAAAAATATCTATTTGTGATATGCAATTTTTTTCTTTTTGTGATATGTAATTTTTGATTGTTTTATTTCTTTCTATTATGCCTTGTGGGAAAAAAGGGAGAGAGAGATTGAGATAGAGAAAATAAAGATAGAGAGAGACAGATGGAGAGAGAGAAGAGGAGAAAAAACTGAACTAGAAAATACATACACTGAAAAGTGAATCACTTACAACTGATATATATTAGAAATAAGTCAACAAATATTTATAGTGTTCCTATAGTATGCACAGTATGACGGGACTCATAGCTAGTATGTAAACTCTACGTGTTGTGTTTAGAAAATATGTGCAGGCTAATAAATTATTAAAGAAATACTGAAATAGTTCCAGAAAGTAACAATTTGAGTTTTAAATGTTAAAGATCTTTTAAAATTGTATTTTGACCAACACTGATAATAATATTCACAGGATTACTTGGTTCTCTATATTAACAGATTGTGAGTGTGCTAAATCATTTTAAATAATTATACAATGCATTAAAAATTCAGGGTCTTGAGGGTGGTTTGCTTATTTTCAGTGACAGCTTCTATACCCAGTTTGGAAACACTAGTGTACTCCCTACTTGACCCTGTGGGTCATGTATTGTTATCCTGATCATTTTACCAAACAAAAACATAGGGAACATAAGTAATCTACTGGAAGTCACACATCTAAGAAGTGGTAACCTGTGTCTTCAGACTGTGTACCACGTGGGCATTCCACTGTGCCTTGTTGCCCACAACACAGATCTGCCAAAAAGATCTCCCTTTTGATAATGGACTGCAAATTTGAAAGAATTATTAAACAGTGCTATCTTCCAGCTGCATTAGGCAGCGAAGAGCGTGGAAAAAGCATCCCATTGCTAGTCCCTGAATCACCTGAATCATATAATCTTCCTAGGCCTCACTCTCCCTGTTTATAAAATAAGGGGTAATAAAACCTTCCATCTCTCACAGATGAGTGTTTTAGGGACACATTAGATCACTTATGAGAGAAGCTTTATGGTCTTTGCAAGAAAAGTACATGGCAAAATAACATTTTCCCCCATGATCGTCTAATATATCATAAAAAAAATGCTGGAAAGGTAATTAAGTATGTGGCTTTGACAGACGTGTTGAAAGGAATGAAAAACTGATGAAAATAAAGACAGTTGTTATCTTGGTGACTGGAATGGTATTACTTATAAGGACATTTCTAAGTTTCACTAAGACAGTTCATTATGAAAAACAAGATGGGTATCTATAGTTCCATTAATTGTGTTGTAAGCTAAAATCCAGATTAATCTAAAAGTAAAATTTGTACCATAAAAGATCAGTGGTTGGTTCTTATTAAACTGCTACATCAGGATCCTACAACAAATGAAATATTTGGGAAAGTCCAGGAATGGACCAGTGAAAATGATTCAAGAATTAGGAAGCAGAATCTGTTAAGGAAAGGTTGAAGGGACAAAATAAAGTAGAAGATAAAGCTGAAGGATGAGAGAAATATGGGAGGCAGATGGCAACTAGAGGATAGAATGAAAAGAAATTGGTTTAAATTATGACCAGAGGATTATAGGTAGTGCCCAAGGGAGACCGTGATGCTTCTGAGAGTTGTAAGCTACTGGAATGTACTATTGATTAAATTTATGAAATCTCTTTTTTTCTGGAGATATATTCAATAATAGGCCACCTTTCCATCTCAGCAAATTGCTGGAGGCTGTGGATAAAAGGGTACATTCTATCATATATTGTAGTTATGCCCTAAGATAATTAAATTTGGGGACAGAGTACTTCAATATGTGAAGTCTATCCCTAGAAGGGCTCCTTTATTTCAGGACCCCAATCAAATGCTACTGGGCATATTAATAGGCTCATGTTCCACTTTAAAGAAAAAAAATACCATTACTATTTTTCATAGCTCCAGAATTCTGGCTGCCTTAGCATTGACATCAGAGAAATCTCCCTATAATCAGCACCTGTTATGACAAAATATTAGAGGTTGTAGGATTAGCCACACTGTAGCACCTTATGAAACACCTATGCACCCCAAATGGTAAAGATAATTGAATGCCTCCTTTAAAATTATCAAAAGCTTATAAAATGCAGTAATTATATACTCTCTGAATATTTAAAAATGATTAATATGCTTTAAACACACCAATAGTTAGGGTAACCTAATAATTTGTCATAGGCTAGAATATTACATAAACACAGTTATTCAGGGTACATTATATGCTCGATGACTGCTTGAATTCTTTAAGGCATGTAAAGCATCCCAGCTTATAATCTTGCTTTTGTTATTTTTGTTAAATTAGCATGAAAAATATTTGAAAATATTAGTTTTTGTTGGTGTTAAGGAAAAGAATAGGTGAGTATGAATAATGCCCCATATCTCTTACTGAAGTTCTTACTCTTCATTTTAACCCCAGTTTTGCTTCTCTAGTCAACTCCAGAGCATCCTTACTTAGATGCCTCAATATATCCTGGACCCAATGTGATACCCAATGTCCCACTTTGTCTAGTGATGCTACCATGATTTTTTGACATTATGTATGTTTGAAATGTTCTTCCCCTAACACTAGCTGTGCCTGTCAAAAGTCTTACCCATATTTAAGCTCCAATTCAGAAAATCTTTCTCCAATCCTTTCCTCACCCACAATTTGGTAAGATAGTTTCCCACCTGAGCCACACCCATGTCAGCTTGCTAGTGCCCTCTTGTTGTCACTTATCAGAATCTGGCTGATGTTTTGGTTCTCTGTCTTATCTTTAATCCTTCTCCTTTTGATCAGAAGCACTTTGAAGATGTTGATGTCTTATTCTTGTCTTCTCTGCAAACCCTAGTTATCTTGCTTATGTTGGGTGCTTACTAAATATCTATTAAGTTGGCATCGCCTCCTGCCTCAGTTTTATCCATGTCGTTGGAGTCCTGTTTCATGTATTCAAACTGAATGTTTCTGGCTATCCCCACTTTTGCCATTGTGGTCTGGCCTTCTCTTGGGGATATGTGGCTGAATTCCTGCCCCAGCCACCTCATCTGAGCCTACATGGCCTCCTTGGCAGTTTCACCTTTTCCTGCCAAGCTTTGGAAGCCCTCTTTAAACACCAGAGTTACAATTTAGCAGCCCAGGAAATTTTTCCAACCATTGGTTTCATTCCATTCCCCCAAGTTTGATTTGGGGTTCCTAGATTCTTATTTGTTTACACATAGTTGGGTTTAGCCTCTCTGGCTAATTCCATCATTCATTGCCTGAGCTGGACAGCTGTTGGCTTCGTTTTCCACTTCCCTTCTGCCCAGGAACTGGTTCTTGGCTGTACTTCCCTTGCTTTTGTTACAGTCCAAATACAAGTCTGGCCCTCCCCATCCAGCATACTCCAGATCCTACTAGGGTTACAGAGCTTTGCTGTCCTCCTTAAAGGGAGAGGAATTATGGCCCCTGTGTAAGTAGCAAGTCACCTTCTTACACCAGTATCCAGAGCCTTCCATAACTTGCTCTCACCCTGTCTAGACAGCTTCTCTGCCATGTCCTGTCCAACGGCTCCCTCCTTGCAGTGAGGCTGTTCTTACTCTTGAGGACAACAGACTCAGACTGATCCCCCACTGGGGTTTTGCTTACACTGGGGTGGTCCCTCATTCAGAATATCCACCTCCTTACTCTCATTTTTTTTGTAACAGTTCCTTTAGGTCCTACTTCAAGATGTACTCTCTCTGTGATGCTTTCATGTGACAGTTCAGATCATCTGATTTTTACCCCTTCTTATGCACACATAGCACCTATGAATTTGGCCTTGACTCATTGTTATCCTCTGATTGTTCTAGGAATGGGTGTATCATCTTACCAGTTAGCTTATAAAGGTCTGCCAAGGGGGGGGATTATGCCATAAACTTCTTATTTGCCATTGCACCTTGCTCAGAAAATACATACATATACACGTGTGTGTGTGTATGTATACATACACATACATATATTGATATATGCCAGGCATGATGTAAAATGCTGTACATAAATTATTTAACCTACATAACTAGTGTTGCTGTTACAGGAAAGGGATCCAAATCCAGACTCACAGAGAGGGTTCTTAGATCTTGCACAAGAAAGAATTTAGGGTGAGTCCATAGAGTAAAGTGAAAGCAAGTTTATTAAGAAAGCAAAGGAATAAGAGAGTGGCTGCTTCATAGACAGAGCAGCCCTAAGGGCTCTTGGTTACCCATTTTTATGGTTATTTCCTGATGATATGCTAAACAAGGGGTGGATTATTCATGCCGCCCTTTTTTAGACCATATAGGGTAACTTCCTGACGTTGTCATGGCATCTGTTAACGGTCATGGCACTGGTGGGAGTATAACAGTGAGGACAACTAGAGGTCACTCTTGTCACCATCTTCGTCTTGGTGGGCTTTGGCTGGCTTCTTTATTGCAACCTGTTTTATCAGCAAGGTCTTTATGACCTGTATGTTGTGCCAACCTCCTATCTCATCCTGGGACTTAGAATGCTTTAACTGTCAGGGAATGCAGTCCAGTAGGTTTCAGCCTCATTTTACCCAGCTCCTATTCAAGATGGAGTTGCTCTGGTTCACGTGCCTCTGACACTGCTAGATAAAATATAGGATGCAAATAATACATCCTGTAATATCCTAAAATATTATCCTAAAAATTAATTTTTGTGTATCTGATATTCAAATTTAACTGAACCTCCTATATTTTAATTTGATAATTCTAGCAATCCTTCATATAACATTTCTGAGAGGTAGGTATTTCTTATATACAGAGTTTTATAGATAAGGAAACTGAGGCTCAGAGGCATTGGATAATTTTTCCAAAATTGGACTTCAGATGAAATCTGCTGGTCTGCAGAGGCATATGCTCTCTAAGCATTATTCCTGGCTTGGTGAATGTGAAGTAAGATGCTGCATACTGTGACATGGCATTCTTTGGGACAGCCTAGATTCTATCTGTTTAAAGGAGTGAATTACATGGCCTCTGGGTCATCTTCAGATCTGCTGCTCCTAAGATAAAAGTCCTATCCAATAGTTGGAAAATGCAATACTGTGAATATTATCTTAATGTAGGGATGGAACTCTTTTGAGCACAAAAGCAAAATCTGGGCCAAAAGCCTAGTCACTGTAAGTACTACTGGAAGCAGTGAAGATAAAATACATTGTGCACGATAAGGTACCTTTTAAATAATCTTTTAACAGTTTTTTGTTTTGCTTAATATACTCCCCTGTAAATATTGGTTTCCTTTATTAGACTATTATAGTAAAATTAAATTAGCACTTTGCAGAATATTTTTTTCAAAAAAAAAAACTACTCATTTCTTACAATAACATTAAATTTAATTCAGGCTCCCTTGTCTAAAAGAAAATATCTTTGCATTTAGTGGATCTAATTAGCATTACACAGACCTTTCCCATTAAGGGAGGGGACTTGGAATATTGTCTTTGAATAGAGAAATTCATTTACCTATTAATGAAGAAGAACAGGACGAAAGTCTAGGGAGCTTTACAAGATAGCTTTCTCCTTCTTTTGTCTTTCCCTCCTTTCTGTTGGGTTAAGGCAGGGATTTGGTGGAAAGCTTTGCATCATGTTGGTCTGTGGAAACCAGATCTAATGGGAGAAAATGGATCTGTAGCCTCTTAAAGTGAGATACCTATATATTATCTCAGATATAAGCAACCTAAGATAACATTCCTGACATAATCTGTCTCCAGGAACCTTAGCAAAACCGCAAAGTATAAATGATGTGGTTTTTTGGCCTCCTTGTCCCCCATTCTGAGCCTTGCCCCCTATTCTGCTGTTCTCTTTGCCAATAGTTCTCTTGATGAATTTTCATCACGAAAGTTTCCCGCTTTACCCAGCCCTGCCTCTAAAGCTCCAAAAGGAGCTCTTATACCCTTCAACCGCAGGACACACCCCCATTGTCACTATAGTTGATGTTGGTGGAGCTGATGTTCTGTTTGTTTAAAATTTGACTTCCTCCCAGACAACAGATGCATTGTTCGTTCATTTTAATTGGAAAAGATTTTAGGGATGAGGGTAGCTGACTCTACTCGCCTGCAGAATATGGTTTCACATAGCGTATTAAAACGAGAGAGGGAGCAGATGAAGTATTTGGATTGGGGCATCTAGGTTAGACATCTTAAATTTCTTTTGGTACTAAACGAAGAGAAGTGCATGTTCTGTGGCAATGCAAAGATTGTCCTTAGATAGAACAGCGCTTGAATTCTTTCCGGGTGACCTCAGGCAAGTTTCATAAACTCAACTCTTCTTTTCCTTGTCTAAAAGATTATGTTGAATACTGCTACCTTTCTGTGTTTTTGAGAAGATTAAGGGAAGTAACATGTCTTGGATCTTTTTGAATCTCCATAAATGACAGCTATTACTGTTGTACCTGTTATATGTGTTTGAGATCAGGTGCGCCGTTCATCCCATCAGCTGTTCGTACATAGCTTCAACTCCCCCAGGGCACAGCAACTTTGCTTTGGCAATAACATTGGTGACTGTAATGGTGCTTCTTGAATTCTGCAAAGATCTATTCTTCATATTTTTAATCATTTTTTAAAAAATGATTTATCCCTAATTCATAGAATTAATTGAAGTGGTTTTCATCGTACAGAAAGCTTTTGAGTTGGCATTTTAGCTAATTCTGCTCCTGAAAGGTTAAAGAAAAATATTTGACAGCTTTTTTTCCCCCCCTTTTCATCTTATTGTCCAAATGCCCCTTAACTCATTCATACAACCAAAGATGAGAGCATATGTTGAGTTAGTGTTTCACTTTGTGGCCATATTAGTACCATCTATTTTTGAAACAGGTATGTCCAGGAATATAAAATGGAGGTTGAAACACAGGTCTTCAAACAGGCTACTGACAAGATGATGGAGATGGTAGAAAAGGAGTGGGGAATGCATATATTTTAGTCCTTTGATAGTCTGTGATCTTCACTGAGGTCTGTGTGGTAACTATTTATAAATTAGAATATGTCTTCAGGGGCCACTTCATTTTCTAAACATGCTGAAGAACATCTTCAAGGATTGAAAAAAAGAAAGAAAAATTTAAAAAGAATGATTGGTAGAAAATTAAGTCATTATCTCAGCTGGAGGGCAGTATTTTGCCTTGAGCTGTGTTTTGAATAGCCTGTGGAATTTACTTAGATTATTTGAGCTAGAGATTTGTAATATAAAATGATATCCCTTTGTATTTATGTAGAAGCTTTCATTTTAGAAATGCTAACTGCTAAAAAAAAATGTAACATCCTGTGGCAAGAGAAAAGATAGAAATGATTAAAGCAGTCAAAGACAAGTTATTGAAAAATTAATTAATATTTGCAAATTCTTGATAACCAAGATGTCCCAGATTCTGTTGTATGATATGGACGTTGTATAGACGTGAAGGGTTGGGGGACAAGAAGGAGTTAGGGCTGGATATGATAATAAGTTTCATCTTCAATGTTTCAAATATTGGTGACTATCAATTTAATTTTACACTTTCTGTAGTTTGTATTATCAACATTCTTGCCAGGACATCTTAAGGTAAAAAGATGAAATGTACAAAGCCACACAACAGATTTCCCACTAGTGTGTTGGCCTGGATTGGTAGATATGAAAATATTCCTAAAAAGCCAAAAAGTTTGTCTAGGCTCACTAGTGTCTTAAAATAGTTGTCTCATCAGAGACATCTCTTGTAGTACTAGCTTAAAAAGAGAAATTATAAAGTTCCATAGATAAGTTAGAAAAGTAAACATTCAATTATTCCTACAAAGCACCGGTGCAGCTCCAAATGCTTTACATGTATGAACATGTTAATCCCTATAGCAGTCTCCTAAGATGGATACATGATTGTTGTTTTAAGATGGAGAAGCAGGAGCACAGAGAGGTTAAGTCAATTGGCTGTTTTTATAGCTAATAACAGTTTCAGGATTCAAACTCAGCAAGTCTGATTCCAGGTTCCATGCTCTTAGCCATTATTCTCTGCTATTTCTTTTCTCCTTTTCCCAGTTATTTTCCTCTTTCTCCTCCTCCTCCTTTGTTTGCTTTCCTGTTTTTTTTTTCCCCATTAAAGGCATGGTACTTATTCCTACCAAAAAAATCTAACAATCTGTCCTCCCTTGCTCCCTCCTTCCTTCCCTCCCTTCCTTCCTTCCAGTCAAAAATAAGCAGTCTCATGTGAAGGGAGAAGGTGGCTGGGTAGGGTTAGGTCTGAGCTGGAGGAAGGAAGCTACAGAGAGGAGCAAGGACTGGTCATGTCAGGAGATGACTGATGATATACTGAATAGTGGAAATGTTTTTCCCCATGAGAGGAGAAGGATGTTTCAGATAGAAAAGGTAAAGGCTTGATTGACTCTTGTGATACTGGGTTAGAATTAGAGGTACTGGTATATTCTCAAAGTATATATTCAGCCATAGAAATAAATATATAATAGATACAATGGTGTGTGCATATCTGTGTGTATTTATATAAAAGACATTTTATAGCTCTGCCCAGTGAGAAGTCCTGGGAGGAGTGGCACCTCAGTAGCAATGAGTATACCTATAGCACAGCCTGCAGTCTTAAAAAATACTAAGTCCATGAAAGTCAAAGAGGACTGAAGACTGTTTTCCTGATTGAAGAAAACTAAAGCCTTGTGACCACTCAGTGCCACAGATGATCTCAGGTTGGGTTCTTTTACTATAAAGGACCACTAGTCAAATTTTAAAAGGTGTCTCTGAGTGAAGGATATATGAGAGTTCTTTGGTATACCTCTTGCCATTTTTCTGTGAGTTTGAAAATATGTTCTAATAAAAACTAGAAGAAACAAATAATAATCATGGCCAGGGTAATAGAGTTGTTACCCTCTAGTTCTTTTTGTCAATAAATTTAAATTTTTGGAATTCAGCCAAATACCCAGAACCAAGGATTACTAAACTCTACTAATCATGATTAAAATGTGTCTCTGTTAATTGCAAATAATGAGTCTGAATAATGGTAATATTTTTCTACTCTTTTTGGGGGGAACATACTTTCATGCATTGAAATATCATGCTTTTAAGAAATGGGCTGTATTTCAGCAACCTGTTTCTCTGAACTGCTTTTGTTAAATAATGTTTCTGAATGATACTAACTGGAGAGGTTTTTAGAACATAGAGTCCAGGTAATTAAGGGAAAGGTGCTTTTCTTGCCTTGTAGTAATTTCAAATGTGAGAAGCATGGCAGAAATAAGATGTGCAAAGCCATATAAGAGATTTCTTATTAGTGTATGTTTACATATATAGTAGCTATAGGAATCTTCTTATAGCTGAATTTTCTTCTCGTCACTGACTTTCTTTTAGAGAAGGCCAAATACCATTACATTTCTTAAGGATTTTTAATTTTATATTAAATTGTGTGTACTTTTACAGTCCTCCTAAATTCAGATGAATTCAGTAAATTCTATTTAATATTCTCACACAGAAACCTCGATCTATAGAAAGAGAGGTATTTAATCATATTAACCTGGTTATTGGTGAAATTTCATTACAGTAGATCCCATGCACTACTTATTCTGTTGCCTAAAATATCCACTGTTGGACTGTTTTACACTTTTTACCATTATTTAAAAGGTGCTATGATCAATATTCTTGTAAACGAATCTGCTTTTACTTTTTTCCCCTTAGAACAAATTTCTAGAAGTAGACTTGCAGGTCAAAGGAATGCACATATTTTAGGCTTTTGATAAATGTCACCAAATTATTTGTAGTTGCACAGACTAAAATGTCCCCATCCATTTTAACTTTTTATTTTTAACATGAAAAAGGCTATAATGTAGCATATTTAGCATAACAAAATAAAACCTTGAGTTTGAGTATTTCATTCTGTTTTTAGAATGATGAGTTTATTGAATTCAGGCTGTACCATGGTGTCTTGAGAACATAGAATTTCTCATCCTCAGGGTGGTTTCAGAGTATATGGAATTGTAAGTGCTGGCCCCTGAATCATGTGCTAAAGGGCTAATATGGAACGTGTTCCTCCTTCCTTTAAGAAATGTTTGGTCCTTCCTGCCAATTATTTGCATTTTTGAGGGACAGGACAAAAATTGGAGGCAAAATTTCACTTTTTCCCCATGTTAAGCCTTTTCCTGCCCTATCTAAAGCCAAATCTAAACAAAGGACAAATTTGTTCATTGTTCCTTAATAGTGGAATAAAAACAAGTTTGGCCAGCAGTGATAATAACCCTCCATTTTACTCAAAGTCTGCTGTAAATCCCTCACCACTTCTCTGAGTCTTCTAAAGACTTTCAGGTCTTTAGGTAGTCTGCCTCCCACCTTGCTTCATCCTCAAGAGGTTGACTGTATAGGTCTAAGGATCTCCAAGTTCTGACCTTTACCAATAAGTTTATGCTGTAGACTTGGAGAGCATGCATACTTTCAACAGTGGTGTCTCTTTTCTACCATTTACCTTGGATTTTTTTTTTAGACCAACAGTGTTCCTAATGCTAGCTTCTATTGCTGCTCCTTTTTGATGTCATTTTGTCATGACAATTTTTTGTTTGCTTTTTACAATAAGTTGCTGTTCCAGGGCAGAGATGAATTTTTTTTTCAGTAAGTCATGAGTGTGGTACATCCACTAAATCCAGTTACACATGTAACAGAATGTACTATTATTATTGGCAGTGACCTCATTGATTAATTACAGCCTGACCCTCTTGGCAACTTCCTACTGATTTTACTTCTTGAGTGATTAGTTCCAACATTGCTTATGCAGTTGAAGTAAAGGAGGCTTACAATAATAGTCCTACTTTGGAACACTCTCTGCCCTACTGACATTAATTAACAAAACACTCCACAGAGGAAAATGGGTATTTATTCTGCCTTAGATGAAAAGAGTAAGAGACTTGGTGCAGACCATTCATCAGATTGGATGAGAACAAAATCAACCATTCTTCTGTTAGACATCAGCCAGATGGGTTTGGGTGGAGAGAAGGTAGCCAAAGATCTACAAAAAAGCAAATAGTATGTGACACATTTCCTACAAAATATGCTTATCTATAGCCAGTCCACATTCTGAATTTAGATGGGAAGGTGAATTGCAGCCAAGCCTCCCTCCAACAGTTTGGGGGAAGATTTCTCTTAGGGAATTAATGAGGAATTATATTAATTAGGGTAAAAATTAAGCTGTCGTAACAAAGACACTCCCAAAATGCAGCGGCATAATGAAGACAGACAGTTTATTTCTCATTAATGTGATAGGTCTGAGGTGAGAGTACATGTTGATTGGGTGGCACTATTCTGAATAATTAATCAGAGACAATGATTTCTTTATGGTGAGCCCCACTATCTCACTGGGTATTATCTTTGTCTCTGTAGTTGTAGTTGATGCTGGGTCATAGGCATGTCCATGTTCCAGCTAATAAAAAAGGAAAGAAAGGAACTCCAGGGCACATGGCTTGACTTTTACATTGGAAGTGACCTGGAAGTCACATTCCTTTGGCCTGAAGTAGCCATACCCATTTGTAAAAAAAGGCTGGAAAATGTGTGTGGTTTCCAGTGGGATGACCATGATTTCCCATTATCATGAAAGAAGAAAACAGATATGGGTGAGCAAGTGGCAGTCTTCACCACAGATCCATGTGTTATGGCCCTTCTTTACTACTGAAAATTTTGTCAAAGGACACATGACTAGCACTTAAAGCCACTCCATATATATGTGTTGAATGAGTTGCTTCAAGTATGAAGAAATAGAGCAAATTTCAGTTTACAAATACCAAGTCCTGACTGTATGTAAATACACACTAAACAGTTTTTCCTCCTAATTTAATCATGCTGCTTACTTAAGCCTGAGTTTGTTCACTTGCTCAGCAAAGTGGATATATCATATTTGCTTTACTCAACTAAGCTTTTTTCTTGATTGAGTTTCGGTGGTGTTTCTCTCTCGCTCTCCCCCACACCCCGCCACCACACACACAACATAAATAGCATTCTTTCCCTTCAGATCTCAATAACAGAGATATGACACACATAACTGAAGCCTAATTGAGGCTGTTCATATTGTGAGGCTGCTGTCTACTTCTATATCAAGCACTGTTTGTCATAAAGGGATGCTTAAATACAGGAAATCAATCTTGTACCCACAGCAAGTACACAGAACACTAGGCTGCTACTCATGTAATGAGTAAACCAATGTAAATGGATGTCCAGATGCTCATCTTTAGCCAAAACAGCCTAAATTAAATTTCAGTAGATTTTTAAGTTGGAACAAATTTCTCTCCTTATAGAACTTCACCTTTTTCCTCACTGTATTCTTTTGGTGTCACTGAATGTCATTCCAATAAGTTTTCTCCACGAAACTGCTAGAATTCAAGTTCTATGCGTGATTCAAGTACTCAGTAGGTAAAGGCTGACACAGAGAATTTTCCTAGTCCAGGGAAGTTACTCATAAGTGGTATAATCATGGTATAAGCAGTATACTGTAGAAATATAGGGGAGGCACAGATTAATTCAAAATGAGTAAGTCTGGAAAAGGCTACTTGAGAGAAGGAAGATTTGAACTTGGCCTTTCAAACTTTAGTTGGACTCAACAATTGCAGGAAGGCTGCGTCTGACAGAAAGAAGGGCTGAGCTACAGAGATGGAGAAGTTTAGGAAAACAGCACCTGGCTGTGTTTGGAAAGGGTGGGAGGGTAAGTAAGAATAAACAACATGAGTAGGTAGAGGCCAAATTGTGGGTGGACCAAAAAGCATCTGAGAAATTATGTGAAAGGAAGAGGTCAGGCTCTCAAAAATACAGTTTCTCATAATAAAAGCAAACTCAGATTTTAGTTAATTATCACTACCTCTGTCAAACCCTAAAAATAGCTGACCAAATGTAAAGAGGCTAGAGAAACAAGTACTTAAAAACTAATGTTTATTGATTCATAGAAAAATCCTCTACTTTGTAATCTAGTTGAGTCAGGTACAAGTGTTTCAGTAAGCAAGGGTTTATTGCCTATTCATTATATGCTGGGCATAGTTTGCTGATGCTGAGGAACAGAAAAGAAGGAGATATGTGTAGCAGGCATTTGTTATTTTTGCCTACATTTTTTACTTTTCCTCATTTTTTGTAAACAACTCTCTGTCTCAGTATTTGTGGTCAGATGAGCTGAGATTTTAACACAAAGCCTAAACTGTACTAAGTCGATTACAAGAAAAAATGGATTAGAAATGGATGAGCCAACACAGACCCATTTTCACCACTGGACAGACAATTCAAACACAAGCCTGATCAGTCTGACCTCTGTGTGTGTTCTCAGTCAAATAAAAAATAGGGCAAACTAATGGCCTGGAGGGTTTATGATGGGGTCTCAAAAATGCTAGCTCAAATAAAGGACTCTTTGAAATAATTCTATTTCCAAGCCAAATATAAATTTACCTGCCTTAGGAACAAAGCAATAAAACCCATTTAAAGTACTTAAGATGGCCCTCTGGCTTTGAAAATGTGGCTTTGGTGACCTCATCTCCTCTTAGGCTGAAGTTTAATATCCCTCTTCTCTGAAGTAAGACCAGGATAGCTGATGGTTCTTAATGGGTCCCTGCATCTGCCACAAATGAGCTTTCTGCATTGGATTGGTTTCCTCGGTACAGTCCTTACTTATATGTAGCACTGTGAGAAAAGAACACTGAGGGAGAGATGATTTTGGAAGTATTTAGGAACACTGTGGGATGTATTTATATATTTCTGTTAATCCAAAGAGTATATTAGTTTAACATAAACAACCACATCACTCACAGCAGAACCATAGCAAATAGGACACTTAGTGTGTTAATTACTAAACTCTTAATCTCCTTATTTTACCTGTAATGTTTTCTTTCAGAAAATGTTTTCATGTCTAATGCAGTTTCACTATTGCAGAGACTAGGAGGAATACCAAGTCAATTTTTGCTGAACTATAAGCATACCAGCTATTTTACAAAGCTCATGACAGAAGCTTAAAATATTTTTACTCCCAAAAAGGCATAGAATTTTATCATTTTAGCTGCAGGCAGAATAGCAAGAATCTAGCTTTTGACATACGAATTGTTGCAAAGAAAAATGAACATTTTCTATCTTTATTTCTTTGGATCTGTCTTGTTTCAACAGTAGTTAAACTGAAAGGGCCGACTACCTAGGCATTTATTCAGTATTCATTCTTGAGTTTGAGGGATATAGAATAAATAAGACACATAGTGGATACATGACTTTGTGCATTTGTCAAAACCCAAAACACTGTATAACACGAAGAATGAACTCTAATGTAAACCATGGACTTTAGTTAAAAATAATATATCAATATTGGTTCATAGTTGTGACACATGTTAATAAAACGAGAAACGATGAGGTGGGGGTGGTGGATGGAGTATATAGGAACTCTGTAACTTATGCTCAGTTTTTCTGTAAACCTAGAAGTGTTCTCAAAAATGAGGGATAGTATTAGGGGAATGAAAAAAAGGCACAGTCTCATTAGGTTTGCAAACATGTAACAGTTTTAAACTTATCTAATCACTAACTCTTTTGTAAACAAAGATGTTGCCCAACAATGTATAGGAAATCTCCTAATTGTCTTTTTTTTTTTTTTTTTTTTTGAGATAGAGTCTCGCTCTGTCACCCAGGCTGGAATGCCATGGCACAATCTTGGCTTACTGCAACCTCCACCTCCCAGGTTCAAGCAATTCTCCTGCCTCAGCCTCCTGAGTAGCTAGGATTACAAGCGCGTGCCACCACAGCTGGCTAATATTTGTATTTTTAGTAGAGATGGGATTTCACCGTGTTGGTCAGGCTGGTCTCAAATTCCTGACCTCATGATCTGCCTGGCTCGCCCTCCCAAAGTGCTGGGATTACAGGCGTGAGCCACCACACCTGGCCCTAATTGTCTTTTTAGGAGTATAAATCACTTTTTGATACTGACTAAAACAAACTATGTTTAAAAACATTTATTACATTTATAAGATAACTGAAAATTTGAGCACTAATGGATAGTTGATGATATTAAGGAATTCTATTTCTTTAGGTATTTAAAGATATGGTGCATATTTTATTTCTATTGACTTTATTTTTTCAATTGTGGTAAAATCCATAACATAAAATTTACCATTTTAACCATTTTAAGTATAAAATTCAGTAGTATTACGTATATTCACATTGTTGTACAATCTTCAGAACTGTTTTCATTTTGCAAAACTGAAACCCTATACTCGTTAAACAGCTCCCCATTCTTCCCTCCCCCAGGCCCCTGACAACTTTCTTTTTCTATGAATTTGAATTTGACTGTCCTAAGTACCCCATGTTAGTGGACTCATACAGCATTTGTCTTTTTGTAGCTAGCTTATTTCTGTTAGCATAATGTCCTCAAGGTTTATCCATGTTGTATGTGTCGGAATTTCCTTCCTTTTAAAGATTGACTAGTATTCCATTGTGTGTGTGCATACCACATTTTTTTTTATCCATTCATCTGTCCATAGACACTTGGGTTGCTTCTACATTTTGATTATTGTGAATAATGCTGCTGTGAACATGGGTGAAATCTCTTTGAGTCTCTGCTTCTAATTCTTTTGGGCATATACCCAGAGTGGAGTTTCTGGATCATATGGTAATTTTATTGAGGAATTACCATATTTTTTTCTATAGCAGCTGTGCCATTTTACATTCCTATCTGCAGTGCACGTAACAGTTGTCACATGCCATTTTCTTTTTTTTTTTTAATATTAGCCATCCTAATGAATGTGAGGTGGTCTAATCCCATTTTTGGAGGACCTACTGATTGAAAGATCCTGAGCTAAGCTGTACTGGGCTCTGAGAGTATTTTCCTTATAGTCAGTTGGCTGGTCAATAATTATCCATGGCATCAACTAATAATCAAGTGCCCCCTATATCTTCTACCTTCTAGAAGGGTAACTAACATAAATCTAAGAGTCTGCAGCACTGACCTTGTTGCAAAATATAGTACTCTGTTTCACAAGACTTCACATGAAAGGAGTCCCAAGATTATGAGCAGATACTATTTAAAATGTATTTGCTAATCTCTTATCGGAATGCATGCCAATATAACATATGATTCCATTGCCTGGCTAGGCCAGGAAAGTCTATTGAAACAAAAAATTATAATGAGGTATGGCAAATTTTTGTTATAAAGCGTTATTTCAGTCACATATGTTCCCACTTCTTGTTTGGGGTGCCAGAAACACAGTATCTCTACTCTACACTGCACACATGCTTGCAACAAAACATGAGAAGCAAGGACCCCTTCTCCCTGACCCTCCTTTTTCCCATCTGTAAACAGGGACATGTGTCATGGTGGGAGGTGTGGCACCAGAACCAGAGTCAGGACTTAAGGGGCTGCAGGTGAGAGTGCAAGACCTTGTGATATCCATCCTGTAACGTACACTGCTGCATAAGAGAATAATTTGATGGCTGGGCAGTGGTGCATGCCTGTAATCCCAGTACTTTGGGAGGCCGAGGCCGGCAGATCACCCAAGGTCAGGAGTTCGAGAGCAGCCTGGGCAACATGGAGAAACCCTGTCTCTACTAAAATTACAAAAATTATCTGGACATGCTGGTGGGCTCCTGTAATCCCAGCTACTCAGGAGGCTAAGGCAGGAGAATCACTGAACCCAGGAGGTGGATGTTGCAGTGAGCCAAGATTGCACCACTGCATACCACCCTGAGTGACAGAGTGAGACTGCATCTCAAAACAAAAACAAAGAGAAGAACTTGATGTAGGCTCCTTTGTTCCACAGTCTTCTGAACCATGAAACAAAGGCCATTTTTCATTCCAGTGTATGACCTTAGTCATTCATTTATTTATTCAATCAGCCTGCTAGACTTTTATTGAACACATCTTTTCAGTACCTAGTATGTGTCAAGCACTGTGCTGGATACAGGGGATACAATGGTGAAAAGCACAATTTAGTCTCTGAACTCATGACACTTAGGGTCTGTTGGTATTTATTAATTATTCGTAACTCGGAGGCCTTTAGTCAAAAGACTGCCTATATGTTTTGCAGTAGTACCGTTGTAAAATCCAGCACCCACCCCCATTTCCTACCCTTGATATTTGCTGCCAAAATCCACAATATGTTTCAGAATGCTTTCTATTTTAGTAGTACATCTAAATGGGCATGAGGTAGATTGCTTACGGGAGAAAAAAATGTATAGTATGGTTAGCTTAAAATAAAGTATTAGAAAAATTGTACCTATTAAGGTGCTCATTCATATATATGAATACATATAGACTCATGAATAAATGTGTGTGTGTGTGTGTGTGTGTGTGTGTATCCTTTGGAGCTAGGAATAAGAATAATCATGATGCCCATGTGTACTCCACACAAACCATGTGCATGCCTTATTTTTCACTACCTCCTTTTCCTTTGTAAGATGAAAGCTTCTGTTTGGCAGGGATAATGGGATTTCAGATTGATGTGAGCCTCTCAGCTGAATCTGACTTCAACACCACATGAGTTCAGGAGAGGATGATGGAGGCAGAGTCTCTTGTGAAGCAAGTATGGAGGAGGAGTCCACATCCCCATCAAGGCTTCTCAGAGAGTCCTCCCCTCCCCAGCCTGTGTGTCCTCTTGGCTTCACCTTAGATTGCATTTCTGAGAAGGCTGGAATCTGTTGAATTGAGCACAGGGATGTGGGCAACGGAACAAAAAGTGTTTTATTTATTTCCTGACAGGCTTTTAACAGGCTGTGGTTATAATGGGAGAGAAATGTATTCTGTCCACAACACAAATTGCTTTTCTTCCCGAACATTATGGTAGTACTTCCTGGCCCAGGATTTCCCCACTTGTTGAATTTGGTCTTTCTTTGATTGGTCTATGAACTAAGAAAGAAAAGAACAAGACCTTTGTAACTCACATAATGAAGTAATAATTAAGTCCTTTATAAAGGCAAGCTTATTCCCACATCTTATTCCAAGGTACAGGACATGCTTTCTCATTAGGAAATATTTTAAGTATTCATTGGTAGTGTATCAGGCATTAGACAGAATAAATAAATATGACCTCATTTATATGGAGTTTCACCTTCACAACTGACACCTGATAGGCATGTTCTCCAGTGCCATTCATGTTTTGCGGGAATAGTGTTGGTCAGGTGCCTGAGACTAACTCTCCCAACCTTCTGTCGTGCTGTCATGCTTGGGATCCGGGTTCCTGGGACAGAAAGGGTAATTGACACCTTTTCTTGACTAACCTGGAACAAGAGAGTACATTGGGCAATGTTTGTGAGTATGGCTCGTACAAGTTTGGAGGGGATTGGAGTGACAGAGAGCTAGTTGGATCAAGAAAGTTTATGAAAGTGATGTTTCCAAGGTCATCCTTATCAATAAATAACTCACTCAGGACAACCACTTTTTTGGTTAAGAAATACACTACATTTTTGCATATGTTTTCCTTTTAAGAATTCTTGGGGCGAGCCTACTCGTGTTGGGTAGGCACCCCATTTTTGAGGGCTTCACCATTGCGTTATCTGTAGACTCTGACTACCCAGTCCCACTTTCTGAAGAACCCTGACATCAGCTCCAGAATTTCTATATAGGATGAGTTCAGAGAAGCAGTCTGATTAGAAGGGACTCCAGGGAGCTGTCTTGAAGCCACATTTGTAGAGTCAACACAATTTTATGTTCTGATGGTTGGTACATTCAAGGACACTCCTGGGGCTGATGGAGGTTATGGGTGCTGTACTCTGGTGAAGGTCTCTTTCAGATCAAGTGGCCTGCAGATACAGTGCTCCAGGCCACCACCATTCTCCCTTTGATGACAGAGAGAACTATCTCTCTGTTGACCATCTCATGCACAGACAATGCAAGAGAGTAAACCATGGGTACAGTGAGAATGAGCATTTTTCTCCATTCTGTTGAAGCAGATAGCAGGCTCATTGTTATCCAATTATAAGAACAACAAACCTCCTTCATACTGGCTGTGTTTATTAAAAAAGTTTTGACTAAATAATCTCTGTCAGGCTTCAATTTTGGCAGACACCGTCTATCATAGTACCACCAAGTGCTGGTTTCCTGCTTCTCTCAGTAAGGCCAATGGAATTCTGGTGAGCTTAAATGCAGTTACTGTGTAGCTCTCTCATAGTGGGTCCACCCAGTGTTACTAAGAGTTTGTGAATTTCTTTTCTACTTGAATGACCAGCATTCCTGTGGATTTTGTTCTCTTTCCTTTCTAGTTTAACTCTTCTTTTCTTCTCTGTACCTATCTCTTATTTCATCCCTTTCATCATCTCCACAGACCCCACCCTCAATATCCTTTCTCCATATCCCTGTCTCATTGTATTCTCCTTCATGTACTAATGGCTTGCACACTGTATTAATGAATTAGCCCAATTGTTGAAAATGTGTCTGATGTCACAAATAACTGAGTCATTTATAGGTCATATTCTGGTTGGAAACAACTCTAGGGGAATTTTCTTATGACTGTATTAGCTGTAGCTTAACTGATATCCTTGACATAATTATCTGTCACATCTTTTCAAAGTAAATGAGTACTCCTACCTTGTTTTTTGGCCAACATTTTTTGTGTACCTTACAAGTGACAGGCATTTTCTAATTCTCATAGCAACCCATAGGACATCATTATTCTTGATTCATAGCTGAGGAAATGGAAAATCAGAGTTTAGATCTTTTGCCCAGATTCAGAGAACCAATGAACGGACAGTCACGATGTAAACTTCAGGCTCTGTGGCTCCAGCCAAGCTCTACCATGTGCATTATTCAGGCCCCTTCATGGCTGGGGAGCTCTTGGCTCTTGGAGCCTTAGACCATTTCTCAGGCAGCTCTTCTTTGGCTGCTTGTGTGGAGAGCAGCAGTAAGAGGTTTGCCATATTCCTTGCCTCCCTGGGAGGGTGCAGAAAATGTTGACCACAGGTACATTCTGAAAAATGTAGGCTTTTCTCTGGAACTGGCTTCTATTACATATTATTAATAACAGTATACAAAATGAAATGACCCAGGGATGCATGACTAGTCTCGAGTTTATAACTAAGTTCAACATCCAGACTGATATGAATCAAAATTAGAAAAGCCTTTGGGAAAATTTTGAAATAGCAGAGTAGAAAAATGCATCAGTAATCCATGGGAATACAAAAGTTCTCATTCATTTAAAAGATCTGTATTTCATTTTAAGTTTCTTAAGAGAACAGTCTCTGCAGGATATCTTTTTCTTTGAAGCTTATGGTTGGAGAATAATTTTGAAATCCATATTGAAGATTCTGATGGGGATTGGGGAATGATCAAACATGAACTTGTGGTATACAATGTTGCTGGCTTTTTCTTTTTTAAAATGGTTTTCTTAGGTATGAGAAGAACATGATTTTGTCTGTACCAGGTGGGTGTTCACCCAGAAGTCATGTGCATAATCAGACACATAGTACTTAACTTTGTATATCACATAAAAGCATAAAAGTTTCCACAGGATTTTAAAAATTTATTTTCATGTATATAAATATATATGTATACATATATATATATATATTTTTTTTTTTTTTGAGACAAAGTCTCACTCTGTCACTCAGGCTGGAGTACAGTGTCACAATCTCAGCTTATTTCAGCCTTGTATCCTGGGCTCAAGCAATCTTCCTGCCTCAGTCTCCCAATTAGCTGGGACTATAGGTGCATGCCACCATGCCCAGCTAATTAACAAATTTTTTTAGAGATGAGGTCTCACTATGTTGCCCGGGCTGATCCCGAATTCCTGGTCCCACCTTGGCCTCTCAAAGTGTTTGGATTACAGGTATGAGCCTTCATGCCCAGCTTCCACAGAGTTTTGAAGGTATCATTTGAGCCTCACAGAATTTTATGAGTGAGAGAGTATGGATGCATTTATCCTCATTTTATAAATGTGAATACCAAGGCTCAGAAAGGTTATGTAACTTGTAAGATATTCAGCTAGAAAGTGGCAGGAACAATGGAAGCCTGATCTTTAGAGGCTTTAGAGGATTATACACAGTGTAATTGGCAAGTTGGACTTTGGAGTTAGTCTGTAGTTGAGGCCTGGCTCTTTTATTTACTAACTGGATATCATTGGTCAGGTAGAAGCTTTCTGTCCCTCAGTTTCTCCTATGTGATGATGACAATGATAATGATTAAGACCTGCTATAACTGTTCTTAAGATTAAGTGAGGTAGTGGCCAAAAGTGCTCAGCACAGATCCTAGTGCAAAAATAAATACTCAATGAATGTCAGCTCCTCTCATAATCGTTTTGACTCCCAGCTTGTGCCCTTTGCTCCATGCTACCCTGCTCTGCTGGTCATAGAAGAAGCTTCTGAGAATACAGCCTGTCTGGACTGCATCAGATCTGGGGATAAGAACAGCTCTCTGCTATTTCTCAGCCTCTCTAATGAGTGTTACTATTCAGGGGAGTACACTTCTTGCTCAAGGGAATTGTATTAGTCCATTTCATGCTGCTGATAAAGACATACCCAAGACTGAGTAATTTATGAAGAAAGAGGTTTAATTGACTCACAGTTTTGCATGGCTGGGGAGGCCTCAGGAAACTTACAATCATTGTGGAAGGAAGCAAACACGTCCTTCTTCACATGGTGGCAGCAAGGAGAAGTACAGAATGAAGTGGGGGGTGGGGGAACCCCTTATAAAACCACCAGATCTTGGGAGAACTATCATGAGAACAACATGGAGGTAACTGCCCTCATGATTCAATGACCTCCTACTAGGTTCCTCCCACGACATGAGAGGATTATGGGAACTACAGTTCAAGACGACATTTAGGCAGAGACACAGCCAAACCATATCAGACACAGCCAAGCCATATCAGAAATTGTCTCACATCCTAGGAAGAAAGATGAGTGGGAGGATCAGACATTCCAAGCACCAACCCCCATCATTATCCCAGCCAAATATCCAATCAAACTGTTGTTTGTAACATGAATTAATGATTGCAGAGATTAAAGTTCACATTCTAGACTGGTTTCCTAAGAAAATAGTTTCATCAGTAAAAATTATATCTTAATTATACAGCCAGAATATCTTATTTACTTGACCTCACCAGAGAGGAGGTACTCCATACATAGGGGAGTTGTCTAGACAACCAAAATGTACACCTTTTAGGAGCTTAGACTTCAAAGTACTTCTTTTGATTATAAGCTTATAATACTCCCTATGCCTTTTAAAACTGATCACAATTAAATTGAAAGGTTTAGTGATGACTGCAGGTTATCATATAAAAGATCTATGATCACACAGTGCTGTAATGAAGTGTCTTTTGTGACACTTTAGGCACAGTTGAGGGAGATAGGTTGTTGGCTGTCACCATTAAATGCTCTCTATATGTCTATACATGCTCTCTTTGCATCCCCTCTATGATCTGTGCCTTTTGATTTCTTGTATCTGTTTTTTTCTTTGTATAGCTGTCCTCTTTATCTCTTATTCTTAGTTATCACTTACTGTAGTCAGAACCTGCTTCTGGCACTCCCATGCAATCCACTGTTGTGAATGGAGAAGCTGTAAAATCATAGTTGCTAAAATTATGCCTTAAAAAAGTGTATAGAGACCCCTAGTGAGGCCCAGTCAGCCTTTCCTCTGAGTTAAGTGCATAAACTTCTAATTACTCCTGATTTACAGCTACATTTGAGATGGTTGCTGCCCTCAAGGAAGTTAAAAATCAGTTGGGGAGAGAAGACTTACGTTTCTACAAATGAAAAAGGACAAGTATGTTTATAATAAAGTGCTTAGTCCTGATAGTAAGTGCAATAGGAATTTAGATTAAGTGAAGTCATTAGAGAAGCTTCATAGAATAAGAGCAACTTACACTAGAACTCAAAGAAATGCTTAGAATTGTACATTAACTCATTTATTCATTCATTTGTTCATTTGTTAATTGAGTGTCTACTATTTGCCAGGATGTGTTGTAAGTGCAGAAGATACAATAAATAAGCCAATCAAGGTTTGTGCTTTGATGGAACATGTATTGTAGTAAGGGTAGTAAGATCATAGACAAGAAAATTTTAAAAAGAAATAATAACATTTCAGAGAGTGAAAACTCCTGGAAAAAAAATAAGACAGAAAAGTAGGAAAAAGAATGATAGAGACTAGTTGATTGAGGGCATCAGTGACTACTTTAGAGAAGATGGTTGGGGAAGGCACCTTCTCTAAAGATTAAAGGTAAGATTTCAGTTGAAATTGAATGGTGAGAAGGATCTAGCTCTGGGAAGAATGGAGGAACAGAGATCCAGTAAAAGGAACAGAAATGCAAAGGTCTTGAGGCTGGAGCAAACTTACGGACCAGAGCAAAGGCCTCTGAGACAGGAGTCGGGGGAGAGATGTCATCAGAGAAGGAGGAAGGGATGGAGCATATGGGAGTTTAGATTTTATTATAAGAGCAACAAGAAGCCAGAAGAAGGTTTTTTTTTTTTAAGTGGGGAGTGATATGAGTCAACTGTTTTTTAAAAGATTATCTAGCTGCTATGGGAGGAGGAAGTGAAGGTGCAGGCAGGAGTGGAGATGAGAGTAAAAACAGGCAAAAAACATTCCATACAGGCATCATCAAATTAAAAAGCATAGGCTGCCAGGTGCAGTGACTCACCCCTGTAATCCCGGCACTTTGCGAAGCTGAGGCGGGCAGATCACCTGAGGTCAGGAGTTTGAGACCAGCCTGGTCAACATGGTGAAACACTGTCTCTACTAAAAAATACAAAAATACGAATATACTGTCTCTACTAAAAGTACAAAAATTAGCTGAGTGTGGTGGCAGGTGCCTGTAATCCCAGCTACTTGGGAGGCTGAGGCAGGAGAATCACTTCAACCCAGGAGATGGAGGTTGCAGTGAGCCGAGGTCGCACACCACTGCACTCCAGCCTGGATGACCGAGTAAGACTGTGTCTCAAAAACCAAAGCATACACTACAAGGCATGCGTGTGGTAGGGAGGTAGTCTGACTAGGAGGAGGGGATTGATGAAGGACATAAAGTTGGAGGTAGAGGCATAAATGTGTGGAATTTTAGAATGGAACCTATTATATACAGAATAAGCTTTGTAGCTCAGAGGTCTACTTCTCCGTTTGTCCTTCTGCACCAGAGTTTAGGGTTGAAATAAACATCATTCGTTCCAAGGCTTGATTCCCTCTGAAAGTTCACATTAAAAAAAATAGCAGTGCAGCCAGGTCCTGATTTCAAAATGGCTAGTACTTAACATTTACTGCCGTGTGCCTTTTGTGTATTTGGGGCTTTGGAAGACTGATGTTCCAGCCAGGTGTTTAGAACATACTTGAATCTGCCTCTCCCTCCGTAAGAGGAAGGTGACATTTATTGATTTTACATTGTGGGCACGGCATAGTCCTAACTACTTACGTGTATTACCTTAATTAATTTTTTTTTTTTTGAGATGGAGTTTAGCTCTTGTCATCCAGGCCAGAGTGCAATGGCGCAATCTCGGCTCACTGCAACCTCCGCCTCCAGGGTTCAAGCAGTTCTCCTGCCTCAGCCTCCTGAGTAGCTGGGATTACAGGTGTCTGCCACCACGCCCGGCTAATTTTTGTATTTTTAGTAGAAGGTTTAGGGTTTTCAGTAGAGGGTTTACTTCAGAGTTTCACCATGTTGGCCAGGCTGGTCTTGAACTTCTGACCTCAGGTGATCCGCCCACCTGGGCCTACCAGAGTGCTGGGATTACAGGTGTGAGCCACATCACCTGGCCTACCTTATTTAATTTTTACATCTATTTTTGTCCCAATTTTGCTGATGGGGAGACAGGAACAGATTGGCCGGTTAGCCTGTTCAAGATGACAGATGATGAGAAGTGGTGCCAGAATTTGAACCCAGGCAGTTTGACTTTTGAGTCTATGCTACTAAGTGTTCTATCTCCCTGCAGCTTCATTGGCTGATGCCATGTTCCTGAAAGAATCTTTAGGGATACAAATGTGGCTGAAGCATGCAGCAGGTCACAGAGGCACTGATGATCCACCTACTCAGTGCTTCCTGAAAGGACTTACCCTTCTGCCTGTTTGCTTTGTTGTTAAACAGCTACTGTAATCCACTCCAGCCTGAAAGTGGCTGCTTCATTGATATCTAGATAGTAGATGTGTATTACGTATTAGGTTTATTCCAAGAAGAATAAAGTAGGGCAAGCTTTTTGTGTCCTGTGAACAAAGAATTTGGTGGAATCAGGATTGGTAAATTTTTATTTCATGTATTTGTTAGGCCTACCAGATATCAGCCAAAAACTAAAGTAGTCATCCTCACAGCTTCTACATGCTTCTCAACAAAGATTTAATAGCCTCATGCATATGGAAGGTTCATATTGCAAAGACTTCATTACTTTCAGTATGCATACTGTGAGATAGGGTGATAAATCATTTAACCCAAACTTTACTAATCAGAATAAATGTACAGAAGTCATGTGGTGATGGCTTATGTTTTCTCAGTAATTCCTGAAGTTTGGTAAGCTTCACTGGGCTTCCAAGTCATTAGAGAGAATTACAGAATTTCTTCAACTCTCTGCCACTGCCCCCTCTACACTGTGGCTGCTATTCCTGTCATGTGTTGCCCTAAGAAAAGCATTTCTAGGGGCGTGCAATTTCATAGTAACTTCTGCTTCTTTTGGAGAAACTAGATTGTATATGAATAAGGCCAAAAGCCTTAACTCACCAAAGCATAGATGAGGGAAGAATAATGAATTGTGTTCATCTGTAATTCTCAAGATTAATTGCTTGATTATTTCAATAAAAGATTTTTGCTTTTAATTAAAGCCCTATGAAACAAAATTATGCCTTGATTTCAGCAAGGTACTGGAATTTCACAAGTTCCACATGTCTCACAATTTCGATTTTGAAATTTAGATTTCATTTCAATCATTAGATATTTGGTTTTATGTCTTTGTCTTCTGTCAGAGCCCTCACTTGGGTGTGCTTCTGACCCATTTAATTCTTTATGCTTCCATGTCTTGCTTCATCTTTGGATGGTCACAACACTTAATATCAGGCTTTGTATAGAGTAGGTGTCTATTACATGTTCGTGAAATTGAAAAGCTGTAAACAGTCCACCAGATTGCTCTTAAGTAACTAGCATTGGAAATATAGTACCAAAAACCAAAAAGAACAACAACTTGTGCTTTTAAAATACGTTCTTCTTCTCTGACTTTTAGCCATTCCAGGATCTCTGTTTTCACTGGGACTGGAGTCTTATGTTCTGGATCCTGAAAACAAACTGGGATACATATTTTATCTTTCCCTTCATGCTCAGTCCAAAATACCCTACCAACTACTTATATTCAAAATGCTGTAATGTGCACCATAATTTTCCTGTGAAGCGGGCACCAACACAGCTTTCATTTGCACTGAAATGGATGTCACATGCATATTCTTGAGGTCCTCCTCAACATTTGGATGTGTTCAAGGGTTCTGTTTTCTTTTGTGAGTGCCCATCAGCTATGCTAATTAGTTTTCTGTATTACCAAACAGGAGGGAACTTCTTGAAAGTTTACCCATAGTAATACTGCTGAGCAGATAGCAAAATATGCAAAAGGTGCTTTGTAAAAGGTAGATACTAATATATATGGACCAGTTTGCTGAGTAGAGATTATTTTCTTCTTTTTAATTATGACTTTGTACTCAGGGAATATGGAATAACCTTATAAACTTAATTATATTTAATTAGTCCTTACTTCCTTCTACGTCTACAGTAGTAGGCTGTGAATTGTGAAGAAATAAATGACACAAGGATTATCTTTTCTGCAGGTGATTAGTTGATAATCCTCCCTGGGTAGTCTCCAGTCTCACAGATTATCCCCTAGGCCAACTCATGCTATCCTGCATGACCACATTACTCTTCCAAATACAGAATTTCCTTCCCTTAAACTAGATATGGGTATTTTGGCACTCACTGCTTTTAGTAATTGACCCTAATGTCTATACACATCCTGCGTCACCTTACTCTGTCTATACTCATCCTGTATCACTTTGCCCTGTATATACCCATCCTGTATCACTTTGCCCTGCTCCCAACAGCAGCTTTGGCTTCCAAGAGGGCTGGTCTTTGCTCCTCTGAGCCCCTTCCTGGCATGGCACAGCTACATCTCAGCCAAACCAAGGAAGGAGTGATATTTAGTAATGACTGGAGAAAAGAATTCAAGATCAGGCAGGTCTGGGTTCATCTGTGGGCTCTGCTAGGCATTAGCTAAGTGCCCATGAACAAATTATTTAACCATTTTGAGTTATGTTTCCTCATCTGTAAATATAATGCCTTCTGCGTGATGCTTATGAAGATAAAAACAAGATATGTACAGGAAGCATTAGGCAGTGCCTGGCCTAGGACAGGTGCTGTTCTCAGTGTATAAATCTAAAACAGATTTGTGTCCTGATGAAGCCTTCCCCAGTAACTGCACCATCATTACTGTGTCCCTCCTCCTGCACTTAGAATCTCAGTCACAGACTTCCTACCAGGCAGGAGCATGGATTTCATCTTCTTTTGAATTCCTACACACTACCTACTCTGACAGACAAGAAGGACTTGACAAATCCTTATTGTCTCTTGTGCAAGTGTCAAACGCAACCTTCCCTCTTATCATTGAGGCTATAAATGGGCAGCACATGTGTCAGAGGAGGCCATGATGGAGCCTCACCCTGGATGACGATCCTTCTGTCACTTCCAGGTGGGCTGCAGTGTGATGGGGCCAATGGGCATTTATCCCACAGGCACCCACTCTAACTCAGCCATGAACATAGAAGAACAGTGATTTGCAAGACAGACATGACCTCTGCCCTAGGATAAGTAATTATTTGGTGGGGAAAAGGTCCTTATATAAGCATACACATTAGTATATAATGGGGAAAACAAGGGGCTTCCATAAGAAAGAGTTAAGGAGAGAGAGGACTAATATGGTTTAGAAATTCAGGGAAATTTCCTCTGAGAGGGACAAATGGAATAATAATAGTTAAAATCACTTACAGATTACTTTGTGTACTCTTACAGATATCACAAAATTAAACCTCAAGATAATGCAATAAAATAGCTATGTTTTTTTTTTTTTTTTTTTTTTTTACAAATGAGATTTGGGGAGAGTAATTCTTCCCCAAGTCAATCCCTATTTATTGGCAGAGACTGGTCTGCTGCCAAAAATGTTCCCAGTCTTCTGCCCCTGGTTCAGTGACGGATGTGTAATACTCCTGGCGAGGGCCCCTTTGCCAGATTGCTTGCAAGCATCTGATTTCAGAATGGGTGACCAGTCAGAAAATGTGCTTGAATGTGGCAGACAGCAAATTCAGTGAGCACAGAATGTCATCCTTTAACCAAAAACTCATGTTCTCTCCTCATTTGCAAGCTGGGCAAGTTAGGGTATTATAAAGCTTCTGTGTTTTTCCATCATTAGACAGAGTGTCAACAATTGGTGAGTGAGCCCTAGTCTTTGACTCCCTCCTGATTTATATTATACTATTTCTGTTAAGTCAGGAAACTATGCCAGTGTTTTCTCCATCAAACTAGATATGCATTTTCTGTTACGGCAGTGTTTGTGCCTAATGCTTCTGTCACAGGAGTTTCCTTATGGGGTTTTACTTCTAAAGAATTACTAGGGAGAAAATTCTGTTGTCATTTGGCATGAAGCCACACCATCCCTTCCAGGTTGTTGGTTTGCAAGCATCCCTCCTTCTGCCTGAAGGAGAGTGCAGCATGCATGACCTTCTAGGAGAATGGAGACTTCCCCAGGTTAGGGAGCTGGCACCCTTTAGACAGTACCTGGGCTTTGCCTGCAGCTCAGGCATGCTGGAGAGGTGGGCTGCTTTGGGGCTGCTTCTGCTCTCCCACCTCGTCTTTCCAGCTCACCGATTAGCAAATGTCTTCACTTGCTGAAGATGGTAATAGCAATGATAAAAGCACTCTCATTTGTTGAGTGCTGTCTCAGTGTCAGTCATTCTGCTAACTTTTTTATGTGTGTGGTTTCATTTAGTCCTCACCACTATTTTCTGAGGTCGCTATAATTAAATCACATCTTAGAATTCAGGAAGCTGAGACAAAATGGCCAACTGACTTGTTCAAGGCACAAAATCAGTAAACTGTGGAACTAGCACTTAAAGCTGGTTCTGTCAAAATCACAAGCCTGTTTCTTAACTACTTTGTATAGGCTTTGGAGCAGATGAGGGTAGGAAGTGCCCACACCTCACTTCCATTTTGTATCATCTGACCCACTATGGGTCCCCTGCCCAAGACAGTGAAGGTGGCTGAGGGGCAATGGTCATTACCATGACTCTGACATTTGGATAGATTTCAGAGGAGCTTTAGTGCCTCCCTGCATCTTCATCTTCTCTGTTCCACACCACCTCGCCATTAGCCATGAATAGATATCACTAACCATCACAACTCGTGGATGTCCTTAGTGTTCACCTAAATAGCCTATCCTAATGTTTGTACCCTTGATTGAAAGATTCCAGTTGGAAAACCAACTCATATTTTGGTAGATTTAAGTCTTCTATGATGGTTTGAAATTTTCATTGGTGATCAGTGAAAATATTCACTGGAATCTACCTTATGATATGATTTCCCTTGTAGCCTCTCATCTCTTCATGCATCACCCTGATAGGTAAAGTAGCCTGGCTGCTGAAAGAGGAGACTAAGGAAGGGGGGTGGGGGGAAATGACTTGCCCAAAGTCATGCAGTTAGTGGACTTCATCTGTAATCCATCTGATTAAAGAAACATGACAACAATTACATTGATTTTTTTAAATGAACTTTTAGACAAATTTTAATATAGCATTTGGTTAATAACAGAAAATTTTGCCTTCTGAGGGGACTTTATCTGCCTTCCCTCACTGCTTTAAACTAGCTTTAAAGCAAATGTTTGGCAGTTTCTTAAATATATGAAGGGATAATTGTTGTTTTGCTGTTCAGTTGTAAAACAAATTAACCAAGTAGAACTATACTTTAAACGTGTATTTTGTAGTAGGATAAACAATTCAAATGCTGAGCATCCTTGTGAATACCATGTAATTAAAATTGTCCCCATATTTTATGTGCTATATGATATTATAATCTGTTCTTTCCACATGAGTCACATTATTTAGTCATAAAATTACTACCAATTTCTCATTTACCTTTAAAACGGAAAAGGCAACACTTTACTTTTCTTGCTGATTTATTTTGAGGCCAGTTTTCTATATACCTTTAATATTACCACTTTCCCCTTTCTATAACCCTTTCCAATTTCCTTTGTCCCGATAAGACTTTGAGCTGGCATCTATCATATCTACCTAAATTTCCTTAGATTTGTGATCAAGTAAATAGAGTACCTTCCATTTCTTGAACTTTTTTTTTTAATCTTAAAATGAAATACTACAAATACCATGACATCTAACACTGTGGTTGAGGGTTTAAGTATGTTCAGGAAATTAAAAGCTAGGATCCCTGCAGGAACCATAAGATTATGATACACGGATAAGTGTAACAAGTTTCACATGTATCTGAAAGAGCTGAGTCATCACTGCCTTTTTGTTGTGAACAAGTATCAATTCTCTAACCTTAGAATCTTCAAACATTAATTTAATGCATTTTATTTCCATTTCTAGTGAGTTGTTTGAGGCAATATTACACACATGAGTTCTGATGGGTTTTATGTTACGAGGATATTGATACTTGTCAATGCTCAGGTAATTTACTTTTCGTTTTCAACTCCTTATGGAATGTTATGCTGTTAGTTGTTACTTTTCAACCTTGTGTTCATGCTTTCATATTGCAATTACTCAGTTTTTAATATAAAACTAAATGGAAAAACCTGCTTGGGTGTGAAATATGTGAGTTTGCAGGTTATATATTTTCTGCTTGTTTCTTCTTCTTGCATCATGCTCCAGAATTTCTTCAGGCACTCTTTCTCAACCGCACAATGAAACAAGATATAGCTTTTAGAATGGGCTACCTGATTGTATATTAGTATTCCTGGGTAATTATGCCTATGAGAATCAGAGAACTGATAAAAACCTAATAAATAGTGAGATAATATTCTCCATGAAAATATAGTCCTGAATTCAGCAATAATAATAATAATAATAATAATACTCCTCACATGCAACACAGCAATATTCCACTGCAGCCATCAATGCCTAGGGAACAGCATCTCTGTCTGGAAGGTTGGAAGGAACTTCAAGGAGTCACCAGGAAACATTGAGAACCTCCCTTTGCAGGGGCCTGCTGGGAAGACTTAGGAAGCATACTGGTGCCATGCCCAGGCTTCTGGAGGCTACAGTATCATGGCACAGAGCAAGAAAGAGAGAACCTTTGGATAAACAGGAGTCTTTCTCAGAGATACTCCCGAATTTTGCATTTCTGTGGCCATGGTTTATGAATGCTGCTGTTTATGAATGCAGCTGTTTCAAACGCTCTTTACATAAATTTTGATTATTATACTCTTGAGCATTTACAAAGCAAAGAGGTGATTTCTTTTTTACTGATATTTATTCATGATTTCTGAATAATTAACTGTGGGTGGTTCAGTTGTCAGAACTCTAGTGAACTTGGACACTTTTGCTCCATTGTGTCTCTGTGCCACTTCTGTAGCAGAAGCAAACTTTTAAGTCATTCCTTGATAACAGCAAAGTGCTTACAGAGGCTCAAAATGGAGGAGGGGAGTCTCTGACTAGTATTTAGTATGAATGTGGGTTAAAACCTGTTTAGAATTTGCAAGTGGCTATATCTAATTTTCTGGTGTCTTTGACAGTCTGTGTATATTTGATGTAATGCACATTAGTTTGCATGTTAGCCTATGTTTTAAATGTGTACTATACAAATCCCTGGTGGAATTTGAATTTGGATTCAGTTTTTGAATTTATGAAAAACAAGTATACCAAAAGCTCATTGTAGCTCAGGTATTGTCTAAGCTGAATTAAGTGCTCAGCAAAATAATGTATTTTGGTATCAAAGCAAGTTTTGCTATTAAAAATAACCTAAAGATCAAATATGAAAGTGAAAACCAACAACTATCAACCTGCAAATAAAATAATTTTCATCTTGTGAATAAGAGAGTAAACTAGAAGGATATAATATGAAAGTGTGTGTGTGTGTCTATGATTTAAGCATATCATTTCTTATTGATGTAGTTTCAGTTATAGTCTACAAATAGGCTTGGAAGCTGTATCATATATTAGCATTTTGTGGAGTTCAGACATTGGATAATTTACATAAAACTACTTGAAATAGGCAGACTAAAACTATTTTTTGTTAGTAAGTAAAATTAAGATTTATTTATTAAGTTTGAAACTTCGTCAATAATTCTAGAAATAAATTCCCATTCAGGCTTCTCATTTTTGTACATTGATACTGCACAAAGCATTTTTAAGCAGATTCCTTTTGAGTTTTTTTTCTTCATAATACAAACTTAAGTAAGTCGATATTATGTGAAAATTTAAGGTAATTTAATTTTGATTAAGGTGACATTTACTAGTGCACTTGTAAAAGGGATTTGCTAACTGAATTAAATGATTAAACTAAATTAGCAATAAAATTCACATGAGAAGGGGTGTTTCAGTTACCCTTGCAGAAAATTTTTATTGAGCATCTAGCCGATGTATAGCTTTCAGTCATATGCAAATTTTTCTTAAGGACATTTATTTCTTTTTAAATTTTTTAGACACAACCAGGACTTTGTCAAGTAATTCTAATAAATTCTACACAGGCCTTCAAACAGGTTTGTGTTTTATCTGAAAATTCTTTGATAATGTTTATTTATGTTGTAATACTCATTTTTAAAGTATTAAGCTGTACTCCTTAAAAACTGTCTTTAAGTTGAACCAGTTGTATAGTTTAGACCAATATTTAGGCCCAACTTCCTTTTTTAGACTTTCAAGTGTCTTTTTTCATTTTCTCCTTCGAAGTTACAGGCTTCAGAGATCCCTCCTTTTACCTTCAAAATCTCAGTTTAAGCCTCTTGTCCTCAGGGGAGCTTTCTCTGGCATCTCAGATCAGCTTGGGTTCCTTTTTATATGATCCCAAAGCATCCACCGTTTCTTTTTTGCACTTATCATAATTGAAATGATATAGTTTAAATATTTCTTTAGTGTTTTCTTCCCCTCACTCCTACAAGCTTCACAGAATAAAGACCATGTTCATCCTGCTCACTTACAGTGCCTGGCACACAGTAGGCACTTAGACATTTGTGGAAGGGATGATTGAGTGCATAAAGACTGCAGCAGGCTGAAGCCTCTGCCTCCTCCCTGTGAGATGCTTTTGTCTGAACCCATTTAGTGTTTATAGGAGAATATCCCTAAGCCCAAGATTAAGGATGAATTAAACCCAGTTTCTTTCTTTGACCTTGAATCTTTCATTTGTCCTATTCTGCTGGCCGTTTTATTGTCTCTGATCTTCAAAAACATTTTTCCCTAGTTCAGGGAAAAATGAGTAAACAGCCATACAAGAAGATTATTAAGTGACTATCTTCTCTCTATTTATTTATTTATTTAAGAGACAGAGTCTCACTCTGTCACCCAGGCTGGAGTGCAGTGACAATCATAGCTCACTGCAGCCTTGACCTCCTGGGCTCAAGTGATCCTCCATCCTCAGCCTCCTGAGTACCTGGGACTGCACCATCTTGCCTGGCTAATTTCTTTTTTTCTTACAGAGACAGGGTCTCGTGATGTCACCCAAGCTGATCTCAAACTACTGAGCTCAAGCTCCTCCTTCCTCTGACTCCTCCTTCCAAATTGTTGGGATTGCAGGCATGAGCCACTATGCCCAGCATTTTTTGAAACAGGGTTTTGCTTTGTCTCCCAGGCTAGAATACAGTGGTGTGACCTTGGCCCACTGCAACCTCCACCTCCCGGGTTCAAGCGATTCTTGTGCCTCAGCATCCCAAGTTGGTGGAACTACGGGCCCAGCTAACTTTTGTATTTTTAGTAGAGACAGGGTTTTGCCATGTTAGCCAGGCTGGTCTTGAACTCCTGGCCTCAAGAGATCCGTCTGCTTTAAACTCCCAAAGTGCTGGGATTGCAGGCATGAACCACTGTACCCTGGCCCACCCTTCTATTTCTTGATATACTCCAGTGGTATAGGAATTATAGGGGGAGAGAGGAAATCAAATTGCAATGATCTCAATGGAGGTTATTCAGAAAATATTCTAAAAAGGCCAAAAAGGCCAAACATCTATACAACTTATAAGAAAGAAGAATGGAGAAGTTAGTTGATACTGTGGAAGAAAACTTGACAAGCACATTTGTTTTCACCGCATACCCCTTTAGTAAGTTTCTTAACCTTTTTGTGCTTCAGTTTCTTGACCTTCCAAATGAGGGGAGAACAGTAGGACCTACCTAATAGCAACCCCATTAGGATTAAAGGAGACAATAAGATAATACATAAACAGTGCTTAATTAATGTAGTACTAGGCACATTGGGAACATTTAATAACTATTTTATTGTCTCCCTATATTTAGAGTTAACCCAGAGTGATAGCATCTCTGTGTTTTTCTTTCCTTTTTTTACTTGTAATAGTGTTTTTCCATACAAAGCCATTTCAGTTTTATACTACACATTTTGTCTCTTTGTCCCAGAATAACTACAGAAATGACAATTGGTCACTTTTCTCTCCACCTCACCCCTGCGAAAATCTCCCACTTTGCAAACTGACTCAGGGCCCATGCCCAATAATGAGAATGAGAAGAAATCATTTTATCAGTTTTGCTGGTAGATTTTTTTCTCAATTAGAAGAATAAGAGAATGTTGGAGAATTCAGCAGGACTTAGAATGCTGGTTCATTGGGGAACATAGATACAGCAGAGTAAGAAAAATTGGAAGAAATAAGAACTGGGACTTCTTTATCTGAATAAAGCCAGGATTTCTATGCAATTCAATCAGAAGACCATTTTTTAAAATGTGGGGAATTGAATTGATAAAGATTGATTGAATAGAAGTAACACAAATTGTGCTGGAGAAAAATGATGGTGTTCTCTCTGCTGGAGCCAAACCTCTTGCTCACTTAAATTCTAGTGTGGGGACAGTTTATACTGTACTGCAACATATAATTAAATAAAATACGTTTCAAGGAAGTGCTGTGTGAAGTTTGCAGGTGGGAACGATGGCAGTGGATGGAGGAATCAGGAGAAGCTTCCTGAAAGATAGTGGCATTCAGGACAGGTCTGGAAGGATGGATGCAGTTTTGACATGTGGAGGTAGAACCCTGAAAGGATACTTCAGGCACAGGGAATGGGGTGAGCAAAGGCACAAGGGTGGGAAGATGTGTGGGAAATGGTGATAGCTAATTCAGTATGCATGTGTGCTATGCCAGTGTTGGGAGGAAAAGACTGAGTAATGCAGCATAATAGGTAGGACGGGATCGTAGAGTAACCCTTCTTTTTCTACCTCACTGAAAATGTATCCTAAATTTGGAATCATTTAAGTTCTTTAAAACCTTCTTGGATTCTAAGATCAGAGTTTCCTATAGATCATGTTCAAGTATTCAATGGGCTCCATATGTGCAGCTTTTTCATTCTGTCCATCCTAATATTGTTTAGAATAATGCCTCTTTCCCTCCTTTGGTCGAGAAGACTTTGGAACTCACCAGATGAGGCCATTCACAGGTGTGACTTCCAGCCTCTTGCTTCTCCTCATTTGTAGAAATACAAATCACTCTACCTTCTATTTAGGACTTAAGAAAAATAGAGTTCATTTTAAAATGTCATTTTTGAGAATGAGACTATTGAGTTCAAAAGTAATTAAATATTTTTTTTAAAAAAAACTAAGTTTAAAAATAACACAATTAGCCTCTAAACCAAATTCAGATTAATTTAAAAGTGATTAGAACGAAAACTGGTTCTGACACTTGTTTTAATCGCTGTTTTTAAGTATTTATTTTTAAAATCACATGAGCATATATGTATGCATATTTAATAACCCACCAACTCTCTTCTCTCTTTATTCCTCTGGGATTACCCTCCAAACCCCATCTTCTAGCCTCTGTTTTGGAGCTGGCCTAGGAAAATGAGGAAGCTGAATCCCTAAGAGCTCTCCTCATCACGGTATCAGGCAACTGTACTGGGAAGCTGATCATTGGTGTTTTGGGAGTAAAATAAGTGATAGAGGATGTGTGTTGTTCATTTGCTTGCCTTTTAAAGTGTACAGTTCAGTGATTTTTAGTTTATTCACAGAATTGTGCATCTGTCACCACAATTTTAGGACATGTTATAGCCCCAAAAGCAAACATTTTACCCATTATCAGTCACTTCCCATTTTCCTTTAATCCCCCCAGACTTCAGCAACCATATGTCTATTTTCTGTCTCTGTACATTTGCCTACTGTGGACATTTCATATAAATGGAATCATGTAATATATAATCTTATATGACCAGCTTCTTTTACTTAGCATGTTTTCAAGGGTCATTAATATTGCAGAGTGTATCGGTATTTCATTCTTTCATATTGTAGAATAATATTCCATGGTATAGATATACCATGTTTTATTTATTAATTCATCAGTTAATGGATATTGGGACTGTTTCCATGTTTTTTTGGCTATGATAAATAATACTGCTATGAACATTCATGTACAAGTTTTTGTGTGAATACATATTTTCATTTGTCTTAGGAATATACATAGGTATGGAATTGCTAGGTCATATAGTTATACTATATTAACATTCTAAGTAACTGCCAGACTATTTTGCAAAGGTGCTGGACCTTCTTGCATTTCCTGAGCAATGTACGAGGGTTCCATTTCCCAACATTTTTATCAACACTTGTCATTATCTGTTTATTTTGATTCTAGCCATCCTACTATGTTCAATGTGTTCTTATTTTGGTTTTGATTTTGATTTCTCACATGGCTAATGGTGTTGTGTATCTTTTCATGTGCTATTCACATCCTTTGCCCACTTTTTGATTAGGTTGTTTGTCATTTTATTATTAAGATATAGCCGCTCATTTGGTATTCTGGATAGAAATTCTTCGTATGATTTATGATTTCCAAATTATTTCTCCTGATCAATGCATTGTCTTTTCACTTTCTTGATGATCTTATTTGAAGAAAAAAAGTTTTACAATTGTGATGAAATCCAATTTATCTTCTTTCTTTTCTCACGTGTGTTTTTTGTGTCATACCTAAGAAGTCTTTGCTTCTAACTCAAGGTCACAAAGATTTAATCTTATATTTTCTTCTAAAAGTTACATCGTTCTTACATTTAGATCTATGATTCATTTTGAATCAATTATTTTGTATAATATGAGTAGAGATCCAACTTCATTCATTTTTTTATGGCTATCCAGTTGTCCTAGCACTATATGTTATGTCTGTACAATATATTCCATTCCTGCTGAATTGTCTTAGCACCTTTGTTGAAATCATGTGACTATAAATGTAAGCATTTATTTCTAAAGTCTGTCTCATTGGACTATGTGTCTATTCTAGTGCTAGTACAAAATTGTTTGGATTATTGTAGCTTTACTGTAAGTTTTGAAATCAAAATGAATGACTCAATCAACTTTATTCTTTTTTAAGATTGTTTGGGCTATTTTGTTCCTTGCATTTTCATGTGAATTTTAGAATCAACTTGTTAATTTCTTTTCTTCTTATTATTTTTATTTACTTAATTTTTTTGAGACAGAGTTTCGGTCTTGTTGCCCAGGCTGGAGTGCAGTGGCACGATCTTCGCTCACTGCAACCTCCGCCTCCTGGGTTCAAGCAATTCTCCCGCCTCAGCCTCCCAAGTAGCTGGGGTTACAGGCACCCACCACCACGCCTGGCTAATTTTTGTATTTTTAGTGGAGACAGGGTTTCACCATGTTGGCCAGGCTGGTCTGGAACACCTGACCTCAGGTGATCCACCCACCTCAGCCTCCCGAAGTGCTGGGATTACAGGCGTAAGCCACCGCGCCTGACCTAGTTCTTTTAGTTATGATGTTAGGTTGTCAATTTTAGATCTTTCCTGCTTTCTCTTGTGGGCATTTAGTGCTATAAATTTCCCTCTATGCACTGCTTTAAATGTGTGCCAGAGATTCTGGTATGTTGTGTCTTTGTTCTCATTGGTTTCAAAGAACATCTTTATTTCTGCCTTCATTTCATTATGTACCCAGTAGTCATTCAGGAGCAGGTTGTTCAGTTTCCATGTAGTTGAGTGGTTTTGAGTGAGTTTCTTAATCATGAGTTCTAGTTTGATTGCACTGTGGTCTGAGAGACAGTTTGTTATAATTTCTTTTCTTTTACATTTGCTGAGGAGTGCTTTACTTCCAACTACGTGGTCAATTTTGGAATAAGTGTGATGTGGTGCTGAGAAGAATGTATATTCTGTTGATTTGGGGTGGAGAGTTCTGTAGATGTCTATTAGGTCCACTTGGTGCAGAGCTGAGTTCAATTCCTGGGTATCCTTGTTAACTTTCTGTCTCATTGATCTGTCTAATGTTGACAGTGGGGTGTTAAAATCTCCCATTGTTATTGTGTGAGAGTCTAAGTCTCTTTGTAGGTCTCTAAAGACTTGCTTTATGAATCTGGGTGCTCCTGTATTGGGTGCATATATATTTAGGATAGTTAGCTCTTCTTGTTGAATTGATCCCTTTACCATTATGTAATGGCCTTCTTTGTCTCTTTTGATCTTTGTTGGTTTAAAGTTTGTTTTATCAGAGACTGGGATTGGAACCCCTGCTTTTTTTTTGTTTTCCATTTGCTTGGTACATCTTCCTCCGTCCCTTTATTTTGAGCCTGTGTGTGTCTCTGCAGTGAGATGGGTCTCCTGAATACGGGACACTGATGGGTCTTGACTCTTTATCCAATTTGCCAGTCTGTGTCCTTTAATTGGAGCATTTAGCCCATTTACATTTAAGGTTAATATTGTTATGTGTGAATTTGATCCATCATTATGATGTTAGCTGGTTATTTTGCTCGTTAGTTGATGCAGTTTCTTCCTAGAATCGATGGTCTTTACAATTTGGCATGTTTTTGCAGTAGCTGGTACCGGTTGTTCCTTTCCATGTTTAGTGCTTCCTTCAGGAGCTCTTGTAAGGCAGGCCTGGTGGTGACAAAATCTCTCAGCATTTGTTTTTCTGTAAAGGATTTTATTTCTCCTTCACTTGTGAGCTTATTTTGGCTGGATATGAAATTCTGGGTTGAAAATTCTTTTCTTTAAGAATGTTGAATATTGGGCCTCACTCTCTACTGGCTTGTAGAGTTTCTGCCGAGAGATCTGCTGTTAGTCTGATGGGCTTCCGTTTGTCGGTAACCCCCACCTTTCTCTCTGGCTGCCCTTAACATTTTTTCCTTCATTTCAACTTTGGTGAATCTGACAATTATGTATCTTGGGGTTGCTCTTCTTGAGGAGTATCTTTGTGGCATTCTCTGTATTTCCTGAATTTGAATGTTGGCCTGCCTTGCTAGGTTGGGGAAGTTCTCCTGGATAATATCCTGTAGAGTGTTTTCCAACTTGGTTCCATTTTCCTTGTCACTTTCAGGTACACCAGTCAGACGTATATTTGGTCTTTTCACATAGTCTTATATTTCTTGGAGGCTTTGTTCATTTCTTTTTACTCTTTTTTCTCTAAACTTCTCTTCTCGTTTCATTTCATTCATTTGATCTTCCATCACTGATACCCTTTCTTCCACTTGATCAAATTAGCTACTGAAGCTCATGCATTCATCACGTAGTTCTCATGCCATGGTTTTCAGCTCCATCTGGTCATTTAAGGTCTTCTGTACGCTGTTTATTCTAGTTAGCCATTCGTCTAATCTTTCTTCAAGGTTTTTAGCTTCTTTGAGATGGGTTCGAACTTCCCCCTTTAGCTTGGAGAAGTTTGTTATTACCAATCGTCTGAAGCCTTCTTCTCTCAACTCGTCAAAGTCATTCTCTGTCCCACTTTGTTCCGTTGCTGGAGGAGCTGTGTTTCTTTGGAGGAGAAGAGGCACTCTGATTTTTAGAATTATCAGGTTTTCTGCTCTGGTTTCTCCCCATCTTTATGGTTTTATCTACCTTTGGTCTTTGATGATGGTGACGTACAGATGGGGTTTTGGTGTGGATGTCCTTTCTGTTTGTTAGTTTTCCTTCTAACTGTCAGGACCTTCAGCTGCAGGTCTGTTGGAGTTTGCTGGAGGACCACTCCAGACCTTGTTTGCCCGGGTGTCACCAGCGGAGCCTGCAGAACAGCAAATATTGCAGAAAGGCAAATGTTGCTGCCCAATCCTTCCTCTGGATGCTTCATCTCAGAGGGGCACCCGGCTCTATGAGGTGTCAGTCAGCCCCTACTGGGGGGTGTCTCCCAGTTAGGCTACTCGGGCATCAGGGCCCACTTGAGGAGGCAGTCTGTCCGTTCTCAGATCTCAAACTCCATGCTGGGAGAACCACTACTCTCTTCAAAGCTATCAGACAAGGACGTTTAAGTCTGCAGAAGTTTCTGCTGCCTTTTGTTCAGCTATGCCCTGCCCCCAGAGGTGGAGTCTGCAGAAGCAGGCAGGCCTCCATGAGCTGCGGTGGGCTCCACCCAGTTCGAGCTTCCCAGCCACTTTGTTTACCTACTCAAGCCTCAGCAATGGTGGATGCCCCTCCCCCAGCCTTGCTGCCTTGCAGTTTGATCTCAGACTGCTGTGCTAGCGGTGAGCGAGGCGCCATGGGTGTAGAACCCTCTGAGCCAGGCGCGGGATACAATCTCCTGGTGTGCCATTTGCTAAGACCGTTGGAAAAGTGCAGTATTAGGGGTGGGAGTGTCCCGATTTTCCAGATACCATCTGTCATGGCTTTCCTTGGCTAGGAAAGGGAATTCCCTGACCCCTTGCACTTCCAGGGTGAGGCAATGCCCCGCCCTGCTTCGGCTCACACTCTGTGGGCTGCACCCACTGTCCGACAAGCCCCAGTGAGATGAACCCAGTACCTCAGCTGGAAATGCAGAAATCACCCGTCTTTTGCGTGACTCACGCTTGGAGCTGTAGACTGGAGCTGTTCCTATTCGGCCATCTTGGAACCCCCTCTGGAATGGCTCTTTAAATTTTATTTTTGGATGTTTCATTGCTAATGCATATAAATACATTTATTTTTTATACTTTGAGCTCATACCCTGCAACCTTGCTGAACCCATTTATTAGCTCCAACATTTCTTTGTGTATTCCTAAGGGTCTTCTATATACAAAATCATGTTATCTACACATGGAAATAGTGCTAGTTTTTCCTTTCCAACTTGATTTTTTTTTTCTTTTTCTTATTTAATTGCCCTAGATAGAACTTCCAATAGAAATCTGAGTCAAAGCAGCAAGAGCATACACCCTTTTCTTATTCTTGATCTCAGGAACAATGGATTAAGTATTTTACCACTAAGTATAATTTAGCTGTGCGTTTTTTATGGATGCCCTTTTTCAAGTTGAGAAAGTTCTCTTCTATTCTGATTTGTTTCATGTTTTAATCCTGAAAGGGTTGTTAGATTTCATCAAACTTTTTCTGAGTCTATCAGGATGGTCATGCGGTTTTGTCTTTTATTCTATTGAAATCATGCATCATATTAATTGATTTGTAGATGTTAAGCCAACTTTGTATTTGTGGGAGAAAGCCCAATTAACCATGTTGTATAACCTTTTTTATTCTTTGCTGGATTCAGTTTGCTAGTATTTGTTGATAACTTTTGCATATATATTCATAAGAGATATAACTTTTGCATATATATTCATAAGAGATATTGATCTTTGGTTTTCCTTTCTTGTGATGATTTTGGTATCAGGATAAAACTGTCCTTATAGAATGAATTGAGAAATGTTCTCTTCTCCCCTATATTTTGGAAGAGTTTGTGAAGAATTGGTATTAATTCATTTGTAAATTTGTTCCAATTCACCAGCGAAGCCACCTGGAATTGGTCTTTTATCTGTGGGAAGATTTTTTGTTTTGCTTTTAATTATTAATTCATTCTCTGTACTTCCAATATGCCTATTCAGATTTACTGTTTCTCCCTGAGTCAAGTTTGGTATTTTCCTTCTAGGATTTTTTTCATTTTTTCTAAGTTATCCAATTTGTTGTAATATAGTTATTCATAATATGTCCCTATGATCTCTTTTATTTTTGTAAAGTTAATAGTCGTTTCTCATTTCTGATTTTAGCAATTTGAGTCCCCTCTCTTCTTTTTCTTGATCACTCTAGCTCAATTTTGTCAAATTTGTTGAGCTTTTTAAAAAAAACACTTTTAGTTTTGTTGACTTCTTTTTTTCTATTTCATTGATTTCCACCACCACCTTTCTTCTACTTGCTTTAGGTTTAATTTGCTCTTCCTTTTTCACTGGAAGTTTAGGTTATTGATTTGGTTTTTATAATACATTTTATAAATTTATAGCTATTAAAAAAGTCATTTATAGCTATCAGTTTTCCTCTAAGCATTGCTTTACTGCATCTCATAAGTTGTGGGGTACATCTATGTTATGCTTTTATTTTCATTTATTTCAAAGTATTTCTAATTTCTCTTAGTATTTCTACCTACATTGACCCATTGATTATTTAGGAGTGTGTTGTTTAATTTTCACATATATGAGATTTTTAAAAATGTACTTTTGCTATTAATTTCTAATTTTATTCCACTGTTACAAGGGAACACACTCTGTATAATTCCAATCTTTTTAAATTTATTAAGGATTGTTCTATGGCCTAATAGATGGTCTATCCTGAAGAATGTTCCATGTGCACTTGAGAAAAATACGTGCTCTGTTGCCACTGAATATAGTGTTATGTATTTTTGTCTTTGGTCTAGTTGGCTTAGAGCATTGTTCAAGTCTTCTATTTTATGGTTGATCTTTTGCATAGTTGTTCCATGGCACATGTACTTTCATGTAGAAATATCAATAGTATAAATCTTGTGCTGATTTAAGCCCTGTGCTTGAAAACATTTTACCTTTCTCCCCAGTAGCTAACTGTAGCAATAATCTTGATTTTTTTTAACCAAATTTCAGTCAAACCGTCTTCTAAGCTAATTAGGGAAACTTGTTTTAATTTATTAAGTACATTCTCATTCACACTTATTCTTCCATTATTAAAAAAAATTATATTTTTAATTGATGATTAAGACTACTGGGCTTATTCCTATCAAAGACTCTTTTATTTGATTTTTTTAAAGTTATTTCTTTTATGATTATCTTAATTCAGACTGCTGTAACGGAATACTCTGATGTGGGTGACTTAAGCAACATTTATTTCTCACCATTTAAGGCTGGAAGAGTCTGGGAATTCTAAAGTCAAGGAGCCAGCAGATCTGGTGTCTGGAAGGGGCACTTTTCCTGGATTGCAGAGAGCTGTCTTTTTGTTATGTCCTCACATGACAGAGCAGAGAGAGAAGAAGCAAGCTCTCTCATGTCTCTTCTTATATCAGCACTAATCCCATCATGCAGGCTCCACTCTAATTACCTCCCAGAGGCCTCATTTTAAACTATCATGGTATTAAAGATTAGAGTTTCAACATACAAATTTTGGGGTTGGGAGGGACACAAACATGCAATCCATACAATCACCATCCCAAATCAAGGCTGATCTTGAAAACTCCCTCCTTAAATTTTGATTCCAAAATGTAACTCTGCCTTTATCGTGATCACGTGTCTCCTTCCCAGTCAGCCAAGGGGAAATAGTTACATATGCTCTGGGTTGATCAATGAATCAAGAGTATCCAAACAGATAAATTGAAGGAGTAGGAGAATTATTTATATTATGCAGAAGGTGGGGAGAAGGAAAAAAGAGTTTTAAGAAGGTCTTTGCAAAACAACTATTTCCAGATGGACAAAATCGCTAGCACTTTTTGCTTATCCTTAAGGCTTGTATTTCATCCCCAGCTCCTCCTCCTTGAGATGTTAAAGCTTATTCAACTAGATCAATTTTTTGGAGGAGTTGGAGAAAATCAAGTGCCCCACAAAGATGCTTGGCATAAACTTCACTGTGTGATCTGGCTCACTTCTTCCAATGCCAAATGCTGCTGCAACATCACTAGGTTCCACAGCACATGCAGCTCATGGCCATCTTGTTTCTTTTAGCATTAATGATCAGGATTGTTCTTCTACTTGTTATTTTATTGTAAAGTCTTGTTCTTGTAATCCGTTCTGTTCTTTGAATGTTGTGATTCCTAAGGCCTGTTATTTGAATTGCTTGAATTCGTATATTAAGAATGGCATTAAAATTGTATATGCTTGTAATAAAAGCCAACCTCAATCAATGAATATTCACAGTGTTGTTTTTCACGCCACGATCAGCGGAGCCCTTTATCAGAAACCCCTAGGATGCGTGTTTAAAAATCAGATTTTGGCACAGTGGCTGTAGATAGTGGCTCAGGAATCTACATTTTAACAACCCACGTAATTCGAATGCATTGACATGTTTAGATCCACTGATTTAGGGGCTTGTTAAGTAGGTAGTCCATTGTAGATGCAAATTCTTATCCATTAGCCCCTAGGTAATTTTCCCCCAGCACCTTAAAAAATGTGGTGAACTGGCCTAGCCAACATGGTGAAACCCCGTCTCTACTAAAAATACAAAAATTATCCAGGCATGGTGGTGCGCCTGTAATCCCAGCTAGTCGGGAGACTGAGGCAGAAGAATCGCTTGAATCTAGGAAATGAAGGTTGCAGTGAGCCCATATCATGCCACTGGACTCCAGCATAGGCAAGAGCAAGACTCCATCTCAAAAAAAAAAATGGTGGAACATAATTATGAAAGACTTCCCAAGATTAATGCAGTTAATTCTCTTAGTAATAAAATTATTTTTGTACTAAATAGTATTTATTGATTATAAACAATAATCCCAATAATACCTTGCTAAGTAATTCTTTGGAGGCAGTAAAGTGCATACAATACTGTGTTTGTACAAGCAAATAGAGAGACAGAGGGTGAGATCATTGTTGAGTAAGATTTGATTGTGAATCCATCATTGCTGCTTCCTCAGCCTTGACTTCTGGGGAGCATCTGAGGTTTTCCCTTATGATAAGAAACAAGATTGCTATGTATATTTATATATCAACTGTCTAGCTGAAGCGTCACACATCAGAAGTCATGCATGACCTGTTTTCATGACATTTTAGGAAGAAGTAGTGGAAAACCAGCTAAAAGATTAGGAAAGAGGGCTTTTCAATTGCACGGTCACAGAGAGTTCTCATTTGTGCTCTAGTACTTTCTTCGTAAAGCCCCAAAAGTTAATTAAAAAGAATTTAAATCTTCTGCCTGAAATGATGCTCTTCTTCCCTGAGACTCCCTATAAGACACTTGGCTGCCAAAGGAGCCTCATGTCTACCTATGCTGTGTGAACAAGCTTCCTCTTAAAGAATTATGACCCTACTCCTGGGTGGTTCCATGACAATATATCAGCCCCTGACCACGAGATCCCCCAGAGAAGCATCCCAGCAAGCTTGGATTCAAGGCACTTCCCATAACAAGGCTGACTCCAGTGATGTCTCTGAATGTCTTTTACCCTCTGCTCTTGAAATCCTTGGCGTTCATCTCTGATGTTGTCTTAAAAGCTTAGAAAATAAACCAAATGCAAACACTTTCTATCATGCTGACCTGCCATAGTCCCATGTTGCTACATGTTGCTACATGTTGCTACATTAGTCAAATCTGACTAAATGTTGTAGATGAAGAAGGTATGCTTCCCCCAGTGACCTGTGAGCTTACTGAAGACAAGGGCCATGTCTTACTCATTTTAGCATTTTCAGTCTTCCTCACACCACTTGCTTTTCTCACTCTCCTCTCTTGCCTCCTCTAATATCTTAATGTTCAACACATAGCAGTACTCATACTATCTATATGCTATTAAGTTAGAATTGCATTGAATTGACTTGAGGAACTGGTCTTAAATCAGTTAGATTAGCGGAGGATATGTCAACTCGAGTTTTTGTTATATATACTGAAAAGAGAATGGAAATATGCATGTTGATGTTATATGAAAGCAAGATAGTTCATATTTTTATTTGCTGCCTTAGAAAGAATACTAAATGGTGTGGGTTTTTTAATTATAACATTTAGGGTGTAACAGAATTTGTATTGCCTGCTTTAAAATATTTAAACAGTGGCTGGGCATGGTGTCTCATACCTGTAATCCCAGCACTTTGGGAGGCCAAGGCGGGTGGATCACGAGGTCAGGAGATCGAGACCATCCTGGCTAACATGGTGAAACCCCGTCTCTACTAAAAATACAAAAAATTAGCTGGGCATTGAGGCGGGTGCCTGTAGTCCCAGCTACTCGGGAGGCTGAGGCAGGAGAATGGCGTGAACCCGGGAGGCAGAGCTTGCGGTGAGCTGAGATCGCACCACTGCACTCCAACCTGGATGACAAAGCGAGACTCTGCCTCAAAGAAAAAAAAAATTAAAATCGCTTACCCCGTATAACAGATATTTATGAAACTATTTTTTTGTGGCCAGCATTATGCTAGATACAAATACAAATGGATACATAGACAAACAAAATATGACCTCTGCTCCCAGGGAACTCAGAGGCAAAAAGCTATTACAATGCAAAGACAGTTTTGGAATCATGCACACTACTATGGGAGCAGTTCAAGAAAGTAACTAAGCCCTACTGGAGTCAGGGAAAGCTTCTCAGAGAAGCCCTTGAAAGTGATGACACCTGCCTGTGGTTGTGTAGTATTTTGCCGGATGAAGAGCAAGAAGAAAAACATTCCTTTGCAGAGGTAGGTACATGAACACAGAGATGGGTGATGTCTGACGGACTTAGGAAGCCGGTTAAAGTTGGAACCATGGATTTGACAGTGGAGAAATTAGCAGGAAAAAAACTTAGAACTTGTCTGGGTCAGATCCTAAAGGGCCTGGCATGTTTAGACTAAGGACACTTTTCTCTACTCTGATGCTAGGAGGGGTGCACTGAATGTTTGAAAATGGACTTGCAATACAGAAAGACAACCTTGGCAAATGTGAGAATTGGCAGGTGGCGAAATTCAAGGGCCTTTGCTAGTGATCCATGTGGAAGGCAATGGTGGCCTGAATTAAAGTCTAATAAGGTGGTAGAGAGAAATAACTCCAAAAATAGCAATTAGATACAATCAGTGGGACCATAGACTGCTGGGCTGTGGATTTAGAGAGAGAGGAAATGTCAGAGTCTGGCTTGGGGGTGTTTTAGTTTGCTGGGGCTGCTACAAAAAGCACCACAAACTGAGTGACTTAAACAGCAGAAATTTGTTGTCTTACAGTTCTGGAGGCCAGAATTCTGAAATCAATGTTTTGGCAGGGTGGCCTTCTTCTGAGGACTCTGAGAGACGATCTGTTCAAAGCTGCTCTTCTTGGCTTGAAGATTTCTATTGTTATCGTATGTCTCTTCACATCACCTTCCTCTATGCATTTCTGTCTCTGTATCCAGATTTTCCCCTTTTATTAGAACACCAGTAATATTGGATTAGAGCCTACCCTAATGACCTCATTTTAATTTGATAACCTCTGTAGAGACCATGTCTCCAAATAAGACACAATTTAACCCATCATGGTGGGTGTAGGGCCATTCCCTGAGACAGAGAACACGAGAAAAGGAGATTTGATGGATGCTGGGGCAAGAGGATGAAATTGGTTTCATGCTATGCTGCCCATGCCACATTTTTGTTAAATTTATTATAGTATTATGGCCCAATAACTGCTTGCTTTTGTGACTTTTATGTTATGCCTATGCAACAACTCTCTCTCTGGGTTCCTCTTGCTTTATTGGTTTAGTCTTCTGACAGTGCCTGGAGGAGTGGGGCTCTGAAGAAACCATGGGCTGTCCATCTTATACACTGGCTGTCAGATCCTATAGCCTGGAAGGCATTCTGTTTGGATGACATTAATCCATGTTTCAACTCCCCCTGCCCAAGACAGTGGTTGTTATCATCAAGAATGACACCTGAGGCCTGCAACACCAGCCTCTAGAAGCTCTCCACAATCATACTGTCAGCTGGAGCACCCAACAAAGCTCACACCGATGGCCCAGAGAGCAAAGATGTTACTGTCAAATTTAGCAGCTACATACACACAGATGCCACACTGATGACTCTTTATTTCCCCAAAGTTGTCATTGGCTATGGCTATTTGATGTTTTATGGGGTGAGGTAGGGTGGGCAGATTGTCAGCCCCCAAATCAGGAAACCAAGTATCTGTCCTTCAACTTTTTTTTTTTTTTGAACAGGATAGTCAATATTGGCCAAGTGCTAAGACACACTTAGCTAACCCCAGGCCTGAGATTTCTCTCATTTGTCACTTTGAAACACTGGGTCCTATTGAAGGCAAAGATGAATTGTGACCCAGAGAGGAGAATCACATTGGACAGGGTGACTTCCTGGGTTTAATTAAAGTACTGAAATTAATGAGTATTGTAAGTGACTTGCCAAATTGCCTGACAAAATTATTTCCACAGATAACTCCTTGTTTTCAGAAAAATGCAAGAGAGTAGCCAGAACTTTGAAGTGAACCAAACAAATGACATCCTAATGGAGGATTAGCTGGAGGATGCCTCAGGTTTGGAACGTGACCAAGTATTACTCTGGAAAACTCCCTTTATTGCAGCCCCTGGAGCAGCCCCAAAGCCTGAGTGAATTTATCTAAGGTTGTTTTTCTCCTCAGTTTAAGAAAGGCACTGGAATTATATTTGTCTAAATTATTATTGTTGAAAGTTAATTTTAAAGAAAGATAATTGAGATAATAGTTTCAAAAGTTGAGATTTACTTTGCTAGCCTGATTTAATTCCCTGATTTAATCAGGGGATTTAGAGATAACCACCTGGGACTTTTTAGGTGAGAGAGATCCAAAAAATAATTTAATGTACCAATTTTTTAGCTAAGCAGAAAGACTATTTTTTTAGATCAAGAAAAAGGGAATTTGAAATTGGCGTAGCGTATCTCTTTTTTTTTTTTTCCCTTCAAAAAATAACCTTGATGCTTTTCTTAGTGAGTTCATTTATAAAAGAGCCCAGTGGCATCTCTTCCTGATAGTTGCATGGGTCTTTTCGGGGGGCACTTATTGTGTTCCAGAAGACACTCAAGTGTATCCAGAATGAACTGGGGGAGTAATCTTAGAATTTTGTCTTGATGGAGAAATGGAGAGGGTTTTCATGAGAAACTTGAATAATTGTGGAGAGGTTTAGATTTTCTCCCTAAACCAACAAAGAGTTAAGGAAAGCCTAGAGTAAGTGAGATGGCTGTCACAGGGCTGTCAGGGCAGATATCCTCCGCTCCATTGGATCTGCCAGCTATTAAGCTTGCTTATTCCACTTCTCATGAACTATGCATGGTGCTTGTTCTGCTATGGAGGGAGCCCCCATCATTAATACTCTCCAACCCAGTAAGAGCCATTTGATATAATGACACTGAATTTACCCAGTGATATCCTTAAGAAAAAATGAGTGAATTCTATTAATGGAGCTGTAACATTGTTGAAATAGGCATAGACTTCCTCATTCTGTGAATTTTAATCAGCCTACAAATCCCCATTTATTAGTTATGAGTAATCTATGAATGTCTTACTTTTTAAAGGCCTTCAGAGAAAATTAAATGTTGTCTAATACTTGGGGTCTTCTTTGATATGTGTGTAACTCATGTTAATATTAATGAATGTTCGTCGCTGATTAATAAGAGGGAGACCTCTTTATATAAAGGTTAGTAAGAAAGACACAGAGCAGTGATTTCAGTGTCTCTCTATGAGCAAATAAGGTCAATAGCTTGATTCATAGGTGAAGGTTCTATCGCATCAGGGAAGATAAATACAATCTAAGGATGTATGACTTTATGACGGGCTGGGGAAGGATGGATAAAGGCAGCTGCCTCCTCTGAAGTTCTCCTTATTTAACAGTTCATAGAGTGGAAGGCAGTCTTTTGTGAAAGTGTTTCCTGGGATTTAAACTTTTATCATATAATATGGCTCCTAAATCTTTTGGAATTTATAGTTGGATGGGGTAGAGAGAGGGGAAGGGAGAGGGATAGAGATGTCCCCTTAGGAAAATAATTTATTAATAATAAATAAAAGGATGAAGTCATAAAAGATGTGAGCTGAGGAGAAGCTGTGGTTTGAGAGCCAGGGAAAGACAGTGATTCTAGTCTCACCTTTGTAAAAGGAATTTACTCTCTTTAGACGTTCCTTAGCAATAACATGAGACACTTGGGCAGGTTCCCTTGAAAGGCCCACTTCCTCTAACAGTCAGTGATTACCGTGTAGAAAGCAGAGTGCATGCCATTGATAAATAGGGTGATGGCATTAAAAGGATGAGTTGACATTAATCATGAAGGGATTACAGGAAAAGGTACAATATGAACATCTTTGTGAGTGAGCAAGGCTGTGCAGAGGTGACAGAGCCCATGACTGGAGCGTGGGGCTTTGAAGCCAGGAGACAGGTCTGAGTCAGAGCTTGACACCTACTGTGCGACCTCAGAAATGTTGACTCGCCCAGCCACCATTTCCTCATTTGACACACAGGTCAGTATAGTCTTCCTCACTGGGTTGTTTTATGGGATAGTTCAGATACCGGATGCCTAAGACATAGCATGATGTCTGACCATAATGGGCCATGAGCGACAGGGCCTTTACTACTGAGTAATGCACATGTGCACTGACCCTTTGGTATATTTAGCAAATAGTTCCTGAAATCATTGTTTAAGTAACTTTTAGAATGTAAATTTTGTCTTATGTTCACTAGGGGAGCTTGCTATTTCAAAGGAATCTTACTTGACTCTCTTCATAAGGCCTTTTTATAATGTTAATTACCTCCTTATAATTTATCTGGTTTATTAAGTTTAGCTTCTGTTCTTCGTGTTTTCCTAAAGTGGAGCAAACCTGAAAGCTTACTAATATCTTACTCCATTCACATTTGCCCTTTTTTGTGAGCAGCTATGATAATATGTGATGACTGACTTCAAGAAAAATGCTCTGCCCTCCTCTCTTGAAACATTAAACTAGGGGAAGCTTTTCTTCCAGCTATTATTCTCATAGGTTGAATGGTCTTTAAATTGCAATTGACAGAGTGCTTAGTGAAATGCTATATTTAGGAACTATTGTGTACCTATGTCTATTATCTGTGTTTCCTTTTCTTTTCCAAAAGGCGGTGTTTCCATGGAAAAAGCGCATTTGTTGCTTAGGAGATTGTCCACTCTTGTCTTTTTGCTTATCCTTCCCATTTAGCCCCAGACAGGTTTGTAATATCATTCACAGTTGCTGTGGAGACTATTATGATGTCATGTGTGGGGAGCTATTATTTAAGGTGATGACTTGGCAGCTGGATCTTCTGAAAGAAGAAGGGTGCATGCACGTGTGTGCACAGGCACACGTGCACTCATGCACACACACACACTCACACACACACACTGCAGGACTTCTTCCTTGAAATGACCCTATCACAGACTTTTTGAAGGGAGTAGTGCATTAAGCTTTCTTTTCATAATGTGGTAGAACTTATCTTCTGCTCTTAAGCAGCCCAGCTTTTCAGTCATTCATGATTAAAACAGTGACAAGAGAAAGAAGGAAGTACAACCTTTCTTATATGAGATACCAACTAAAACTGCAGCACTCTCTAGCAGGGCCAACTAACTCATAGTATACACTGAGATCTTTCCCTGCAAGTTGATCATTCTTTATTAATCAGTGCAACTGGAAATAAATCAAGATATAGTAGCAGTGGGAAAATTCAGTTACTCATAACTAAGCTAGAAATATCATTTTACTAAAGGGAAACTGAAAGAAGAAGAGGTGACTGACATTTTATCAAGCTCTTTCTATGTGCTAAGCAGTGGATATCTCTGCCTGGGATCATCTGCCTCTTCTCTGTTGGCACTATTACCTCTCCTTCCCCTACCTTTTTTTTTTTTTTTTTTTCTTTTTAAGAGACTAGGTCTCACACTGTTCACCCAGGCTGCTAGGCTGGAGTATGGCCTCAAACTCCTGGGCTCAAGCAATCCTCCTGCCTCGCCTCAGCCTTCCAAGTAGCTAGGACTATAGGCACGTGCCACCACATCCAGATAATTTTTAAATTCTTTGTAGAGATTGATTCTCACTATGTTGCCCAGGCTGGTCTCAAACTCTTGGTCTCAAGCAATCCTCCTGCCTCAGCCTCCCAAAGTTCTGGGATTATAGGTGTGAGCCAATGTGTCCAACCTCCTTCCCCTTCTTCAGCACCAACCTATAAATATGCCTGTCTCTCCTACTATGCTTGCTTCCCACCATCATCTAAATCAGACTCCTGCCCCATGTCTCTCATTCCATTTTGTGCCAAGTGTCTTGAAATAATAGTCTACTGTTCCCAAACAACATGTACATCAGAATTCACCAGAGGAGCCTATTAAAATACATATTTGTAGGTCTCCATTCAGAGGGGTTGATTCAGAAGATTCAGGGTGTGACCCAAATCTTTGTTTTTTTTAGCAAGCTCTCTGGGTGATTCTGGTGTGCGCTCAGATATTGGACAGTAATTGGTACTCATTTCTTAATTCCTCTCATCTTAATCACTCATCAGTCCTTCTCCATCTGGCTTCTACCTCTCTTGTGTGGGTGAAAATGCTTTTGCCAGGATCGCATGGCCCTCCCTACCTGCTGAATGAAATGGCATGTGTGTTCACTGTAGAACACTAGATGTGGCTGGCCACTCCCACTTTGGAATTCCTTGCCCCTTGATGCCTGTGACACTGTGCTCTCTTAATCAGCCCTTTGGTCTCTTTGATGATTCCAATTCCTCATCCTACTCTGTAACTGTTGGTTTTCCCCAGGATACCATGCTCGGCCCTCTAATTTTATTTCCCTACAGACCAAGCAATTTCATCCATTCCTGTAGCTTAACTACCACATATCTGTTGATGGCACCCACAGGTACTTACAACTTTGACTGTGTCTTACCTAAGCTTCAGATTCATAGATATCTCTGTGTGCTGAGTATATGTGTGTCTGGATGCCCTGTCAGCTCCTTAGGCTCAGCTTGTCCAAAACCAAACTTGTTGTCTTCTCACTAAACCTTCCACAGTATGTTTTCCCCCAACGGAGATCCCACTGTCAACCAAGCTAAAAACCTGAAGCCATCCTCCTCTAATTTTTCTCACTTCCAACATCAAAGAATTATCAAACCCTTCCAATTTTCCTCCTAAATATTTCTTGGATGTGTTTTCTCCTCTGTGTCTCAGCTTCAGATCCTCATCACCCCTTGTGACAGCCTTCTGGCAGGTTCTCCCAGGTATATAGCAGTAATTTATGTTCTCACCCACCCCTATTGAATGCTTAACTCCATGAATTTAGAAAGTATGGCTTCTTCATGCCATATTCTCAGCTAGTAGCAGCATTCATGGTAGGTGATCAATAGAGTTAGATAAATGAAAGCATGAACCATCTAGCTCACAGCTTTTTTGGAAATTATTATTTACAAATACAACATATAAAGCAGTGAGCTTAAGGGCTAACATGTTTAAAATGTGAATTGCCAGCAACCATATTGGTATTGGTATTAAGTCAAGAATTTTGATATTTATTTCCCTCCTTCAGGTCTTCAGCACCAAACTAGGTCAGCTGGAATCTTCTCTCACACTGAGAGGGTGGCTATTTTGTTTAAAAGTGATCTAGCTCTAGTTTTACTGCTATAAATTTGAACTTTACAGTGAGTTCCTCAGACTTGTGTATTCTCCCCTGACCCATTCAGGTTATTGGTGAATTATAGGCATTGTCAGCATGGTTTGATTCTTCTCTGTCAAAAAGGGTCACCATGACAGTCTTCTCACTGAGTCTCTGATTTGTCTTTTGGATCTTTCAGAATGGAGGGTGATATGGTTTGGCTGTGTGTTCCCACCCAGATCTCATCTAGAACTGTAATCCCCAGGTGTTGAGGGAGGGAGCTGGTGGGAGGTGTTTGGATCATGGGGGTGGTTTTTCCCATGCCTTTCTCATGATAGTGAGTGAGTTCTCATGACATCTGATGGTTTTATAAAGGGCTCTTCCCCCTTTGCTTTCTGTCTCTCCTGCTACCATGTAAGACGTGCCTTTCTTCCCCTTCGCCTTCTGCCATGATCACAAGTTTCCTGAGGTCTCCCCAGCCATGCAGAACTGTGAGTCAATTAAACCCGTTTTCTTTATAAATTACCCAGTGTCAGGTATTTCTTTATAGCAATGCCAAAATGAACTAATACAGAGGATTAATTGCTACAATAAAATATGAGGAAATTAAAACCTATAATTCTTTTTTTCCTCAGTAAACCAGAGACAAGCAGAAAGTGGAGCTCAGAGCACTGAGCGCCTTGTCCAGTGAGCCAGTGACTTGGGAAAATGGAGAGCTTCTGTGTTCTTCGATATTATGGAAGCCACTGAGCTTCCCTTTGCCTCTATGTCTCCCTCTGTAAAGCTGCCAGCTTTTCTGGCCCTTCACTGGATAGCTGTACAATGTATAAAGAGCATTTGTAGTTTCTTGGAGGAAATATGTCAGCTTAAATAAGTGGTTCTTGATGTAGCCAGGGTGATAGGTAACATTTGGAAGTCTGTGTTTACAGTTACTGTTTTAAGGATTATATTTGTAGTATTTTTCTTTGCTTCAGCCACTCCTTCTAAAAGATCATCAACACAGAACATCTGTGAAGACTTGTGGGATAGTTTGCTGCACAACCTGCCACATACTAAATACAGCCATTCTAGCAAGACCTTGCCTATCCATGCTAATGAGGACTAGGCACAGTATGGATAATTTAAATCTGCAGGAAAATATAAAAATCTAGAGTCACTCAGTATTTTTTATCTTTCCTGCTGTCAAACCAGCAGTCATTTAAATTTCACATCCCCTTGTTTCCCAGGATGCTTTCATGAAAGGCACTAATGAGAGGCAAAATGGCCGAGAGGCAGACGGGTTACTGGAAAAGGAGCTGTATGCAGTGAGGGGATGAGCAAGGCAACAACTGGATAATCACCACCTGAAAATCGGCTTCAAAAAGCATTTGTTGAACTCGACCTGACTGCTCCTGAAGATTAGGCAGTCACTTCTCTTCTGCAGGCAGAAGGTGAGGCCTCCTTGGGGCCAGGTCCTGTTCAGAGGCATATGAAAGGAGAGGAGTTAAGAAGGTAAACAAGGCAAGGCAGTACACACATTCCCACAGTGGAACTCAGCCCCTGACCAGTTCCTAAGGGAAGTTCCGTGTGCTGCAGGTTCAATGGCAGGAGGCAGAGAGGCATTGATGGAATTCCACCTTCTGGCTAGTAAATTTGCTTGTCCAGATGTCACCTGAGATGTATCATCAGAGGTTAATTCCTGTTGCAGCCTTAGGTCAGAAGGGAAGTGCCTCTCTTCACTCCTCAGTCTTTGGAGAAACACATCTTAGAGTGTGAGTTACAGTCACTGCCCCTAACAAAGTGGCTCATGTGCTATGGAACATTGCCCCTGATCCTTGTTCTCATCACAGTTCTCCTTATTTTGTACCTGCTACCTTTGTGGATAATAATTAACTACAATCATGGTGTTATAATTTACTGTGTTTATTTGATAAGTGGTATGTTCCTGGTTCTTGATTTTTCTTTTATTCTCTAATGCTCTATGACATAGGTGTGGGTTGACTGTCACCAACTCTGTTTATTTATGCATAAATGGCTTTGCAAACAAAAGGAACTTTTCACTTACAAGAGGACTTCAACTGAGGAACTTTGAATCTCTTGTGAGTCAGTAATTTTTTAAATAGAAAAGACAGCTTTCACAGCCTTGATATAAGGGAGTCCTAGTTTCACTTGGGCTCAGTCTTTTTTTTTTATCTGATGGATGTCCCCAGATAACAGAAAATGTGATGGTTATGTCTTCCAGGCCAGCATCAGCCAAATGTGTTGTCAGAGAGTGACTTTAAGAACATTATTTTGTTTGCCAACATCCTAAAAATTAGGACGATGATGTGAACTTTACAAATGTCAATAAGTGGGGGTCAGCATAATCTAGTAGACTGTTGACTAGTTCCACAGTGTGTCCTTCATTCTCTGTGTCCTCAAATTCAGAGGACTGACACGGGGATTGGGATAAAAAAGCAAATTTTTTAGCATATGGATGACAAACAGTCAACACCTCTTTTTAAACAGTACATTGATCAACAAACCGTGTCTACCAGGCTCTTGCTCATCCTGCCACTTATGGGTCAATTGGAGGCAAAGGATAGAAGGAGAAATGTATCACTTCATAAATATGAATCTGATCATTGTCAACCCCCTTTACAATGATGTTGTTTTAAAAGTGATTTTCAATAAGTGAAGTTAACAGAAAAAGTAAAATTGAGCATGTCAGGGTTCAGTTAGGTTCATCTTCTGCCTGCCTGTCATTATTTTTACTTGAGGATAGAAAGATTAATGTATCTGTTGTCTCTATGTACTGAGAACTGTGCTAAGTGCTGTGGATACAGATATTAAATGAACAGTTCCAAGCACAGACTGATACATGAGTATGTGCTGATCATGGTATGCACATAACTTTTCAGTCCTTATGACAAGGAAGTGAGACACCTCTGTCCACTGCTGACTAGAAGGTTATGTTATAAGCAGCGATCTTCTAGACTACAGCAGCCCTACACAGAGATTCAGAAATGCAGAGATTTTTGCAGTGAGTTATTAAATGGGTAGCATCCCAAACACAACAGACAGGAACTAACATGATAGACTCTGTGTTGAGGTTCTGACCTACCAGGATTTCTTCTGGCCATTTTGGATCCCAGCCTATTCTTTATAGCTTTTGGGAACCCAAATCCCCCTTTTGTTTTCTATTTCCCTATCTCTGAATCCTCATGGTCAGTAGAAAAATTTGTATTGTCAAGGAGTTTCCCAGTGTTGTAGCTTCATCCTATTTTCTCCTGACTAGAATAAGGAACAGCCAGACAGGATTTTGTTCATAGTATCTCCTCCTATACTGAAGATTGTTAAGTCCTCTCCATCTTCACTCAGCTGGACAATTCTTGTTCTTGACTGCTTCTAATAAATCTTATTTTCTTATCTTTGAATCATGATTACTGCTCATCTATTCCAAAGAGTAGAGCGCAGGGCTTCTTGCAGACTTCAGCAAGCAGAGGTACTGAGATCCTCTGCAGGAGTTCCTCAGCTGGGGCCAGTTATGCACACTTTGAGGACCTGGCTCTCCACACAGCACAGGAACATATGAGCATTGCTCAGGAATCAATGAGCACTGTACAAGAATGAGATAAGTAGTGTTATGGACTGAACATTTGTGTTCCCCAAAAATTCATATGCTGAAGCCGAGCCCCCAGTGTGGCTGTATTTGGAGAAGGAGCCTCTAAGGAAGTAATTAAGGTTTAGTGAGGTCATAAAAATGGACCCCTGATCCAGTAGGATTAGTGTGTCCTTATAGGAGGAGACCACACAGCGTTCTCTCTTTCCACCATCCCTCTTTCCCTCTGAGCACCCACAGCGGAAAGGCCTTGTGAAGACATACCAACCATAAAGAGAGCCCTTATTAGAAACTGGCCATGCTGATACCTTGATATCGGACTTCTAGCTCCAAGATGGTGAGAAACGATATGCCTATTGTTTAGACTATCCAGTCTGTGGTCTTTGGTGATGGCAGCCTGGACACACTTACATAAGCAGCTCTGGGGCAGTCCTTGTGCTGCTCCCCTGTTCCTCTATCATCATGAGGTCTGTGCATTCTTGAGCATACTATGATGCTTAGATTCAGATTTTTTTTTTCTTTTTATCACTCTGACCTACTCTCCTACAGAATATTTAAGACAAAATTTTCAGCAGGACATTTTTGTGTTACTGATATGGAGAAACCCATTTCATAGAAGAGTTTGTTGAACCAGGCTTCTTCTACATGCTATAGTTAGTTTTCCACTGGAATTGATTTAATCTCTAGTACAATGAAATATATTTGATAATAAGCCATATCATGAAGGCCTTCTACTTTGTTATTAAAATATCAGGAATCACTGTCTGATGAGTTCTTACGCATTATGTTTTAATTATATGGAGAAGAAGAGTTCTTAGGCTTCAACTCAGGGTGTGATTTTTTTAAAATTATTTAAATTGACTTTGAAGCACCTTCCAGCCATTTGTTCAACAGTTAAATTCCCCAGAATGCCTGCTGTTTTCTGTCTAATTTTTGACATTATTATCTTTCTGGAAACAGAGCTGCTATTTAACTCAGCTAGCACTGAACAGAAACTGATTATTCTCTTTCAATGTAACTGGAGTGACTTAAATACTTACAATCTTTTTGTTAAGGGAAGATTAAAGCATAGGAGAAAAGTGTTCTGTCTTGCAACTCAAAATAAATATTTCAATAAGAAGTAGCCATAATTTCCTTATGAAAACTATATTGGGTCATTGGGTGTTCAGTAACAAAGTATTAGAAATAGATGTAAGCAGTTCCTACAAGGTCTTCTTTTTTGTTTTGTTTTGTTTTGTTTTGTTTTTGTTTTTTTGAGACAGGGTCTCACTCTGTCGCCCAGACTCGAATGCAGTGGTGCCATCTTGGCTCACTGCAACCTCTGCCACCCAGGCTCAAGCAGTCCTCCCACCTCAGCCTCCCGAGTAACTGGGACTACAGGTGGGTGCAACCACGCCTGGCTATTTTTGTATTTTTAGTAGAGATGGAGTTTTACCATGTTGGCCAGGCTGGTCTCAAACTCCTGACCTCAAGTGATGCACCCACTCTGCCTCCCAAAATGCTGGGATTACAGATGTGAGCCACTGCACCCTGCAGGTCTTCTATTCTTAAAAGATTCAGAGATTTCCTTTGACTTTGGCCGTGATATGTGATTGGGCAGGAAAAAAGAAAAGCTAAGGCTAAGTTATACTAGGGACTCTTCTTTCTATAAATCAGAGACTTGTCATTACCTTATCCTTAATCCATATTCCAGTCAGAGTTCTTCAGAAATTACATTCCTTTCAGTTACATCTTCTTAAAGGACTTACTGGGTCAGGGACACATGTGGTAGAATTTAGACAAATTAGATCATCTTAATTGTTGGGCAGTGAGTTTTAGTAGCTCTTAAAAAAACATTTTTAGGCAGTGAGAAACAAAGATCCAACAATAAAGAAGAAATCAATCTGTGATAAAAAAGTAAAGTCAGCAAGATTCATGACAGCTATTGGGCTTTCTATTGAGTAGCACAGTTTGGAATTTACTGAAGACTCTGCTTTCACTGGGCTTCAGGCTTCAGAACTCTCTCTTTTGTTTAGGCGAGTAGTGTAGACTATATTGCTCAGGAAGCCTGTTTCTGTCAAAGGAACCATGACAATCCAGCTGTGTTCTTTTCATCATTAGCCTCAGCTGTGTCATTTTTCAAATAACTTAATGACACATCCAAAGCAAAATTAAGTTATCTTGGCTACAAATGTCAATATCACCCATGACATCAGTGCTGGTCTTACATAGCCTCTCTACTTGGACCTCTGGCCATCACTGCAGATGCAGCTGTGAGTGGTTCCTTCATCCTCCTCCAACTTGCCCGTTTCTGTCAGCATTCAAAGGATCGGTCATTCAACAACAGCAGACCTTTAATGAACAAATGTTCAGTGCCAGGCATTAGGCTGGGAGAGTCAGTCAGGATCAAAATGACAAGGGAAATACAAAGATACACAAAAGGGAAAAGACATTTCCTCTCTCACAAAGCTGATAGCCTGTTGAGAATTAGTGTAAGTGAGAGAAGGAATGACTGGAAACCCACTGCCCCATTGAGTATTGGTTAGAGAAGAAGCATGAGACTTCTTGCATACTCTTTCTTCTCAGAGCCCCAGATGTGATTTACAGGTGTCTAGCCCTATTGTCCTGTTATCTTAGAAGAGAGGATGGCTCAAAAGAGAGAATGGCTAAGAGGGGGTCAGGAAGGATGAATTTTCATTTTTGCACCATTTGTTTCAGTAACAAAATAAAGACAATGTAAACTGCCTCCAGCTTGTTGAAAAGATTAAATTCTCTCACTTTTGCAATGAATCATTCCAAAGAATGGCAATAACTGCAGAATCTCTCTGTCATTAATGGCACTGAAGTCACAAATGCCTTTCTCAGAGAAGGGCTTGGCAAATAGCAATGCACCTTTCATTTCCACTAAGTAGTCAGCTAACCTACAGGCTGACAGGAACATACGTTAAGAACTATAGTAACTTCATGACTGTGTGCCTCTGTGTGGTTATGAAGATCTCCCAAGGAAATAAGAGCAAGGTAACTATGAATAATGGGGTTTGTCTTTCCTTGCTGAGCTTTTGAATATGTATCCTATATACTATGTAAATGATTCTGACTCTATCATATTCTAAATAATGACATCCCTTATTATACATGAGGCTTTGGTTTTCAAAATAAATGAACCAGCCTGTCAGGCATATGGAGTTCCTGGAAATAAATTAGAATCTCAGCAAAAGCCGCATGCTGTTTGGATATTGCGTTTTTTACCTTAATATACTGCATATCCCTCCTTCAGGTGACAGATACTCTTGAGGTTTGGGAGGTCCATGTACTTCATGTTATGTTTGGTGCATACTCTGGGATGGATCACAGTCATGTGGAAGTCTGAATGTCACTATATGCATTTTATTGACTTTACCTTCAATAAATAGAACTCTGTCAGATGCCTTTCAGAAAGGTTGAGAGGTACTCATTGGACTGGGTGATAGGGTGACCATTTGCATATTAAATTTAAGCTACATTAAGTAATGTGGAGAGCAGACAGGCATGTATATGCAAGTATGTATCTAACCCTGAACTCATACGTCTTTTCATAATCTATTGAACGTGATCTTGAACCAAATGCAGTAAAGCAGTCAGAGGCCTTTTAGGACCTTTGTGTCTTGGGCATTCTTTACTCTTGTTTCCACATGAGTTTGCCTTAGCTAAGATCTCCAGTGTATTCCACTGTGATTGTCGATTTTTATAGCATCTCTCTTATTCTTTATTTACCTGTAAGTGAATTAAAATAAGCTGTATTGTGAATTTGGACTTTTGGAGCCCAGATTTCATAAATGGGGAAAGCATTGCTTGGAGTTGTATTTAAATCTAAATGAATACGAGTTCTGAAATGTGGTTCCCCTACTTTTTGCTACACATCTGGACCCACTGAATTTTACAATTGAATTGGACACTTGAAGCACGTCTCATAGGAAATGTCAGCACCAATAATTTTCAGAAGTCATGAAGACATTCCGATGTAAATTTTGCTATCCTGGGTTGTGCACGTGAAGGAGTATGTGAAACTTGGCCAATTGTGCTGAGCATACTTGATTTCCAATACCTGTTAATCCCTTCTTGTGAACTGTCAGTGTTTTTAAAGGAACCCAATGACGATTGGTCTGGTAGTGATATTAGTCATGTTTCAGACTATAAGAGTGCTTATTCACTGATTGATTATTAACTTCTTGGAGCCCCTACTAATCTCATATAAGCCATGTCTGACTAAGAAAATTCAGATTCCATGCCTACAAGCATAATCAGCCCATTTTATTCTCCCATTTACCCACATTTCTCTAGGTTAATGCATTAATTAGTTGTTATAATATTATGAGTATATTAATGCTAACAGCTAGAGGCACAGACACAAATGAATTAAGCCAGGCTGACTTCCAGACCAAATCTTCTCTTGGTCAGGAATCAACCATCTAGCCCTTTCCATCTGAATCAGTACCTGCATGATGGATGGGAGATTAATGAGTGTAACACCTTCTAGGATCTCCAGGGCTTCATCATTAGTATCTGCCACTCTAGAGCAAACGTCCCCAGAAACTACCTTTAATGCTGTCTGCCATCTTTTTTATGTTGGGGAGCAACTAATTTTTCTAAGTCTAATAAATTATACTATGAGAACCATGCATACTCAAGAGCTGGGTGCCTCTCTCCATAGTTCAGGGAGCATCACAGAGTCCTGTAGTTCTTTACAAACAGCACTGCAATGTGGTTGTGAAAAAAATCAAGATCACTTCTCTCTTTCTCTCTCTCTCAATCTCTCTTTCTCTCCTCCCCCATGCCCCATCTCTCTCTGAGGTCCCTAACTTACCTGGCCTGCCCACTTTGCTGGGAACCATTTAATGTCTGAGCATGGTGCTTGAAAAGATACCTGAGCATAGAAATGATTCTGCAACAGAAATGCCTGAGTTGTGTGAGTCTACTCAGCCAGTGAGGAGGATGTATTTGAGGGGCCTGCTGGTTCTATTCATTGTATTGTGATTTTCATCCTTTACTAGTCAGTGGCAGTGTTTATTTATAGGTAGACTCTGTTTTTGAGAATCACCACTTAGCATTATGGGCTATCTGGGTTGTAGTCACACCTAGCCACTTTACAAGTGTGTTTTCTGCAGTGGAAATATAATTTATATAATCACCTTACAGGAAAGGGCCGGAGCTACATTGGTTCATGAGTTTGATGTCGGCGACGTCCATGGACAATGCCAGGCCAGTTTCCCTAATGGCTTATACATGCCACCTCCATATCGTTCCTCCTCAGAACATCGATTTCCCCTACTGTCCTTGGCCAGACCCTACTTATCATTTTAATACCTTTCAGTTCCTGGCAGTCTTCATTTTAGTATTCTGATTTTTTTTGCCCTTTTTTTCTTTAAATATATTGGAACAGGGAGTTTAGAGAGGCTACATCAGGGTCCTCTAACTGATTCTGAAGACACAAGAGAATCTCAGGACAGATTTTAGGTTCTCCCTGCCCTCAAGCCTGCTGTATACTGCTTGGAGTCAGGAGCTTTTGGGCCAAGCAGCTGTGGGACAGGAGCCTCTCACTCCTGCCAACTGTGAGAACCACCAGCCAGGGTGAGGTGCTTCATCCTGCTGAACATGATGTTTGCTTTTAAATCTAAAAACAGATATGATAGTACATTCCTCAGAGGAACTCTATGGATTTGTTAAATGAAATAATGCACATAAACAGCTTAGCCTGGTGCCTGAGTCCTAAGTGCTCAGTAATTATTAATTACTGCCATTATGACTATTATTTTATTGTTATTAATAGAACAGGTTAGAAACATGAGAAAGTTTTAGTGTAAATGCATACACATAAAAGTAAGGACACAGAGTCATAAAATAGTTTATATGAATCATTGCTGTAAGTTTCATGCCAGATAGTCCTTTAAATATTGAGCACACTGCACTTTCACCTTTTAATACTTATTTTATGAATGCAGTTAGTATGAACTCTTTCAGGTAGGCCAACTGTATAGAGTATTTAATGAATCATTTTGAGTAAAAGGTAGCCCTGTATTGTTTTCTTTCTCAATTCCCATTTTATGGGCCCCAATGTTGTGTCACTGTTTCTTTCCCCAACATAAGGCACAGTTGGTGAATGTGAATGTGGCTTCCTGTCCATCATTCAACCCAGGATGATGAAGGAATTTAGATACTACGTGATAGAAAAACAGTGTTCTGGTCTGGGCATGGTGGCTCACACCTGCAATCCCAGCACTTTGGAAGGTGGATTGTTTGAGTTCAGGAGTTTGAGACCAGCCAGGGCAACATGGTGAAACCCTGTCTCAACAAAACATACAGAATTAGCCAGGCATGATAGCATGCACCTGTAGTCCCAGCTACTCGGGAGGCTGAGGTGGGAGGATCCCTTAAGCCCAGGGATCAAGGCTGCAGTGAGCCAAGATTGTACCACTGCACTCCAGCATGGATGACAGAGAGAGACCCTGTCCCCTACCACACACAAAAAATGTTCACCATATACTATGCATTCTCTCTCAATATATCTCTCTCTCCCCAGATACATAATATGTATTTATATATTTATTTAACATATATGCTAAATATCTGCATAATTATAAATGTACTCTAATAGCTTTTTAGTTTCCTAGGGCCAATATGACAAGTTACCAGAAACTTCATGGCTTAAAACATCAGGCATTTATTCTCTCACAGTCCTGGATGCCAGAAGTCTGAAATCAAGGTTTCCGCAAGGCCATGCCCTCTCTGAAGGCTCTAGGGAAGCATTCTTCCCTGCTTCCTCCAGCTTCCAGTGGCTCCAGGTATTCCTTGGCTTGAGGCTGCGTCACTCCAATCTCGGCCTCTGTCTTCACATTGCTTTCCACTCCATGTTCCATATCCCCCTCTGCCTTTCTCTTATAAGGATATCTGTCATTGGATTTAGGGTCTACCCAGGTAATCTAGGATGATCTCATCTTGAAGTCTTTAACCTAATTATATCTACAAAGATCCTTTTTCCAAATAGCATCACATTCACGTATTCCAAGGGCTAGAATAGATATGTCTTTTGGGGGTACCCCCTGCAAACATGCTATAATCATTTTGTCACTTTATCATTTATGTTAAGTTTAGAAACAAAGTTTATTGCTATAACTGTAAAACTCAAGCAAACAAAAACAATGGTTCTTAATAGCTGAAAAAGTATATACCAATACCAAATGCTACTGGAATGTTGAGATCTCTGCAACATGAGGTTGAAGGGAGGCACAATGCACACTTGTAGAAGCCGTTTGAGGAAGTCTGAATTTTCATGAAAGCCATTGATCCAACCTGGACCACATGTCCATTCTTCCAAATGGGAACAGCTGTGGCAGGTCATGAAATGCATGTATCTGAAAAGGGGGGCTGTGGATCTTCCTTTGTGTTCTGCCTTTCAGAACCTGAGGAACTGATCCAAGCCAGCCATGGATGCTGGTAGAGGAAAAGTTTCTGCCAGATCTGCCTGGGCTTTAAGCCTCATCCTCTTTTCCCATCTTCACCCTGTGCTGTGATTGCCTTTGGGTTCTCCAGTGCCATGACTCAGAGATGCCCTCATGTGGGAACATGGCCAGTTCACTGCTTTAGTTGTCATCCTCAGAACCCAGTAAGCTGGCAGGATGAATCAACATCAGACATAGAACTGATACAATTTGATATTTTAACCTCCAGTGCAAAACTGGACTGTCATCTCAATTATTTTCTGGGCCCCACACAACCATTTGACTGGCAGGAAGCCCATTCTGCTAAGTGGATATGGAAGGTATTTTGGATTTCATCCTGACCAGAGAATTCACAGACTATATTTAAATCAGCAAGAAATGCTTATGAAAATGCAGACATGGTTGCTATTGTTTTTGCCTTTAATTTCCATCATTAAACAAGGCAGATAGTGATGCATTACTGCCCATTTGAGGATTGGCTGAGCATTTCTAGAGAGCATTGAGACAGGGCTTCTTACCCTTTACTTACTGGGAGACAGCAGACTATGTCATGACTGACACTTCCCTCCAGCTGCCTTGCTGACATTTAGCCAGCAAAAAGGCTTTCTCTAGATGCCTAGAGTCCTGGGGCATTCCCATGATGGGAACTCTTAAGCATATCCTTCTCTCCTTTGCAGAGTAAAACAAAACCCACAGAAAATCTGACAGAAAATGGAACAGAGCTAACCCTTACTCTGCCATGCACTGTACCTGGGCTTTGTCCATGCCATCTCATTCAATTATCCTAGTGACCCTGTGAGGTAATATGAATGAATAAATGAAGCAGAATACATTATTTCAGCCTCAGGATGCTTATCTTTTGCTTTAAATTGCTACACAACACAGACATGATTTCTTATAACGAAGCCAAATCCCAAAGAGATTAAATTACTTCATGGAGCTCATGTGGACCAAGCTGAGCCTTGAACCTGAACCTACTAACTGAAAATCTTTGTTCTTTCTATTACATCAGGTTGCAAATTAATGCAGATACTGTGGTCTTGCCCTAATTCAAATTTCCCCTGGGCTTTGGACCTGCACCGTCAGAAGCAAAGGGGCATTTAAGATGCCAAGCAGCCTAAGTCACCTAAACAAGCTGCCCAGACAGCCCTGCAGTGAGCTGCCCTGACACCCAACTTCTGCTCAGAGGCTTCAGGAAAAACCCTCATCAGCCAGTGCAGTGTCCAGAAAGTTTGTAGGTTTTTCATGTAGTGAGAAAACCTGCATGTGAGTCCTGCTTAGGATTCTTACTGCTGCATAGCTTTGGGCAAGTCCCTTAATGTCTCCCATCCATCTTGTCCATCTGTGAAATTGGGATAAGATCACTTGTTATGCTTCCAACAAGGAGGATGATGAGGGTAAAGATACACTGTAAACTATAAAAATGACTGTACAAATATTAAGGTGCTGTTACAAGGAGATATATACACTCAGAGATAGATGAAGACAGTCCCTGGCATTATGAATTCCCCAATTGTGATCACTGCCCATAAACACCCCAGGCTCTCACAGAAGCCTAAGATGCAAAAACTTTACCACTGCTTGTGTGCAAACACACCAAGCCACCTAAGCACTTTTGTTCTCATACGGTATTGGGTAGGGGACTTTTATGATTGGAACCTGACAATATTTCCAAGGCCAATGTTTTGTTGACATCTGAACTTGCACAAATTGCCTCATGTGATTTATCACACTAAGTAGATGCCTAGTAAATATTTGTTGAATGGATAAAAGAATGGCTACATGCCTTCTAGATTCTTTTCAGTGCATTGCAAAGGTTACTGTCATCATATCAGGGAGAATAAAGTGCTGACCTTGCAGCCATCCTTGTCAATGCCTGGGTGCCTCTGCTGCTGCCTGCGAGGGCAGCCCAGGGCAGTCTCCAGGGCCGGGGGCCAAGGTGGCAGCCCCAGAGCCATCCTTTTGTCAGGCAGGCCAGGGGTGGGGGTGCCTCTGAAGCCTGCATTGACATATAGCATCTCTTTTTAGTAAAAGTGCCTCCCTAGTGCCAAGTACCCTGCTCAGTTGCAGGTCATGGGTTTTCTCTCTATCAATTATGTTCATGAGTTGCAGGTCTGAGGGTTCCCTCTATCAATTATTTTTGGATTTTGACCCCTGGATCAGTAATCATAATGCTAAATTTTGAGATGTCAAGCCAACATCCTGAATATTCCTGACTTCCTCACTGGGTGATGCTGAGGAAGAAGTAGTTTCTGATACCTGTCACTGTGTTTTGTTCTATCGAGGAAGACACACATACCACCCCGCCCCCCCGATAACTCTGATCCTTGGCCTTGTGCCTAAAATAAAATGTTCACTTCCTAACACCCCTTTTCACATACTTCTCACTGGAGATAGACTTTTATGAATTTTCTATTATGAGTTCACGGACACATGTGATTACGTCCCCTTTGCTTTGCAATACAGAGATGTTACCACGTGACTTGACTGTCCTGAGGCCAAAAAACCCATAAAGATGACATACCAGGCTTGTTATGCGCACTGCTGCCTTTTCATAGCTCATTGCTGGCCCAGGTATTGCACTTTGGGGGCAGAGTCAGAAGTTAATTGAAGCGGCTGCCACATCGCATCTCACAGAGAATCCTTTCTCTAACATGCGTGACTGGTTATGTCTCCATGTAGTGATTCTTCTCTTTTGCTGTGCAAAGCATAACTGGAAATATAAAGTCTTGGGGAAGAGGGACTTTCTTCTTGATTGGAGTGAAAATATGACAGAGGCGGGACTTGTTGAGGAAGTGCTTGCTTCCATGGCTGTCAGCACTTTCCTCTAACAGAGTGAGCCATTTTTTCCAAAAAGTGTTTTTTTGATAATCTTCCTGCATTTTATATACTTCAGTCCATGTTAAGAAGTTTTCTGAGTAGATGGCAAAGAACAATTCTTAAAATGTGCGAATACCAAATGTAAGATAAAAAACATAATTGCAGTTTAGACTTCAGATTTATTTGAAAAGGGGATAATGATAGTAATTACCCAGTTTGAGTTTTGTAGAAGGCTAATTAGATCCCCAAAGCATTTGTATGCACAAGGAAAACCATAAATACAAAAGACCATCTGGTCCTTATCAGCTTACAACACTAATACTGTCTGTAATTATTTTTTCTATACTGTTTTGATGTTGACATTTTATGGAGCAATACATTCTACGCTGGTTAGGGAATAACCTACATTTCTGAAAAGCTGGGGGTTTGCCCCCTTTTTTCCTAATAAAAGTTTTAGGACTCCAAAGGCAAAGAAGACACTGCTTTTCAGAAAAAAAAAAAAAACAGGTAAACATCTTTTCATTATACCCATTTGTACTAGAAATGTGTTGTTTATAAACCTCTCTGGCTTATCTGACTTGTCTTGTTAGTAACTTAGTCTACTAAATGCTTGGATTCAGTTAAGTTTCTTTGTTTGCTTTTTTTTAGGTAAAGTTGGGAATGACACATTTAGCTGTGTTGTGTGTGCATAGAAATGCAGCCTTCATTAGTCACTACTTTCTATAGTTAGCGCTGTCCCTGGCAATTTGGATATTACAAAAGTATTTAATAACATTATTTGTTTTCATGTTCATTCTTTGTCTCCCCTACTAGTGTGACAGAGATATTTGTCTCATTCATTTCATTTTATCTCCAGCTCCTACAACATTGCCTTGTACATGGTGGGTATTCCACAGCTCTGTGTTGAAGTGAATGGGTAAATGAAGTAAAATACATGATTTAGATTTACATCATGTATTCTACTTCATTTATCCAATCGCTTCAACAAATAGCCTCTGGATGCTTATGACTGATTTGCTATCAATTGTTACATAACAAATAATCCCAAGATTTAATGTCTTACAACAATCAACATTTCATTCGATTTCAAGATTCTATAGGAATTCAGGCAGGAATTGGATGAGAATTCTTTAGTTCCGGATGGCATTGATGGAGGTCACTTGGTGGTGGTCAGCTGGTTGATGGACTGTCTAGAGAGCCCAGGACAGCTTCAGCATAGGCCTAGTTCATAAAATAGATGGATGGAAGGCTAGGCTCAGTTGCGACTGTTAACAAAAGTACCTGCATGTGGCTTTTTCTCATGGCTTAGAATTTCTACAACATGGCACATCAGGGTTCTAAGAAGTCCAGAGAGAATGTGCTAGTTGTCTGAGAAGATAAGCCTGAATTGCCATGACATTACTTCTACCATATTCTATTGGTCAAGCAAGTCACCAAGGCCAGCCCAGATTCAATGGGAGGATAATTAGACTCTTCTTCTCCATGAGAGAAGTACAAAAGAAATTGCAGCCATCTTTAATGTTTCATACCAGCTAGTTGAAGGGAAAGGCATACTTACTGAGCAACTCTAAAACAATGTTTAAACAAAAACACTAAGTTCCGTATGCAGAACTCTCACATTAATGCAGAGTAAGAAAATCAACATGAGGAAGGAAGTCTTCATGGAGGTCAGGTTTGAGTTTTGGGCTGAGCCTGGAAGAATAGATAAGGTTCAAATCATGAAGGTACTGGAGAAGAGTATTCCCAAAAAAGGAACATTTTGCTTAAACACAGATGTGCACCCAGAGTTGTCAACACTGATAACATTTATCTAGCAGCTGTTAGTTTGCAGTACATTAGTGATAAAAGGACATGGCCATCACCATTTTTGGAAGGACTTGTAGGAAACAGCATACACAATTTCTAAATGTATTTTCTGTGAAATGCTAATTGCATCCCTCATTACAGAATCCCTTGTGAGAATCATACTAGGCATAGCTTTTTTAGACCTGTTCTGCTTGCTTCTTTCTGATAAGAACTAGGACAATTCCTATTTTCTTTTACCCATTGGCTTTTAGGATGCTCAGACCCAAGATTGAAACTGAATCAATAATGTTGAGCCTTCCATTTGGCATTTTTTGCAATATCCCCTTTTCTTTGATCTTAATACTTTAATTATCTTTCGTTTTGCTCTTTTGTAGCATGAATGGTTTGCTTTAATCTCTCTCAAAAACTTTCCACAAACTCAGTTGAGCAACTTAGAAAAAGATATATAAAGATGAATAAATAAAAGTTTGATCTTTATTTTAAAAGAACATATAGTTTAGGTAGGATTCATATACAGGAGGATGTTATGGACAACAGAACATTTGAGGAATGGACTCCAAATGACATAATTGCTCAAAATAAGATGAACAAGGTGAATTGTGGACACTGGATTGAGTCTTTGAAAGCTAGGATGAAGAGTCTAGTCATAACTGGAAAAACTCTACATCAATATTACATAGTATTTTAAACTGATACAGCATGCACTTTTCTGCAGAAGTTAAATATTTCAAGGATATTCTGAACTCTTCTTCATCTAGGAAACAGATGATAATTCTTATAACATTTTTCAGCCCAATAGCATTGAGGGCTCAACATGAACAGCAGCTTCTACCAGGGGCTCTGGGAGATGTCAAGTCCAGTAAGATACATTTCCTACTTCCAATGAGCTTATAGTTTTGCAACCAATAAACTATCAATTAAATGGAATTTCCTCAATCATGTTTCTGGATCTTAATACCTCTGGCCCTCTAAACAAGGAACGCAGGAAACAGTAGACATTTGCTTCATGTTTGGTTGGAGAAATAGATTGCTCCAGGATAAGCAGGGTTTTAAAATAAATGTTAAAAGTACAGAACAGGAAATTATCAAGCAGAATATGTGCCTGTCTTCATGCTGTATGTTCATCCAGTGAAAAAATATGCCTAGTTTTATTTCACTAGTAGACCTGGATTTCAGTAGGTTGATTTCATCTGTTAGGGATAGAAGAGCCGGAAAGAGGATTTCAGTAGGAATTCACCTGACCATGAGGAAAGTGGTCAAGGAATGAAGACATTGGAGGCATAAGGTCTTCTTCTCTTCCTTCTGGAGATTTGGTCTCTCATGCTCTATTCCTATGACAGTAGTGGTAGGTAGGGTAGGGAAGATGGCAGAGTTCTTTCTGGGATGAAGAGAGCAGATGAATTGCATTGCCATGTTTTAGTTTGGAGGAATGAGGCTTTCTGCAAAGAATGTATATGAAGATGATTACTTGAAGAAAAACTATAGTCATTGACCCCACTGAAAATCAGAGGAAGTGCTTTAATAGTTTTGCATATAAGTGGCACCTTTGACCACTCTTACCTTTGGGGGTGTGCTGTGCAGGCCCCTCCAGGACTAAGTCACCAATTCCTCCTGCTTCTGGAAGTTTTGGCAGTTGATGACTCTCAGCTGATTCTAGGAATAGCGTTCAGGTGAAGAGAGCCCCTTTGCCCTCTCCAGGGATAGGTCCAAATGCCTGGCCTGCCTCCCTCAGAGCAGAACAACACTGCAGTACCTTCCCAGCTCCAGAGCTCCTCCTGGATCCACTAATGCCTTCTGTCATTCGTTTTCTGCCTCTGCCCAATCCTACTCCCTTTACAGCCCCACAGCTGTTGACACTTTAAGCTACATGCTCATCTCCACCTCAGTTTGCTTCCTGGAGGATCTGAGCCCAAGACATGGACCATCTATAAAATTGTGTCCCAGAACCAGGATTCAACAAACCATTGTGACGGCCATGCTCATTGCCTTGGACTGGTGCCAGGCATGAAGATCCACATTTAAATAAGGCCTGTGAAGACACTGCAGTCGGAAGCTGTCCAGAAACGAGTATGGATCACACCGGAATACTGCAAAGTATCTCTGGATTACTTCCTCCAGAACTGAACACTGACTCCCCTCTCCTTCTGCTCTCCCTTCTGTTTTCATCTCTTGTTTCTACAGCCCTGTTCTGAGTCCCACCTGCTCCATTTATCTTTATAATTTAGCTTCAAAATGCACCTGCCCAGTGAGGCATAAATGGTGATATTTGTCTCTCATATTCAGTGTGTGGAAAAGTGTCGGGGCACGTGAAGAAACAGATCTCACCCTGGATTGTGATGAAGACTGGCATTTCTCCTAATTATAAAGAATATAGGATTCCTGGATCTATTGATTTCCATTAAACTTGTGTAGAGTTATGAATCTTAAAATGGAAGTTTACAACTATAGATACCTTAGGATAGCGTTTTATAGCAAGCAGGACTCTAGAGAGCACCATACAAATCAGCATTTGATGCTTGTCTTAGGGTTTTATGATTTAAAGAATTGCTTGTACTTTATCTGCAACTATATCCCAGCTATCCCTTGTAATTCTGGCCTGAGTGAGGGAAAAAGCTATTGCCAAGGTGAAGGCAGAGCTCTAGACCTCTCCTGAAATTGGTTATTTTCTTCCTTCACTCCCTTTTCCTTTTAGCTGCTGTTGAGGACTTGTTCCTTATCATGTTGCCAGTGGGTCCCTGCTCTGGATGTCCATCACTCATGATTTGGAAAGATTCTCCCCAAAGTTGCATAGCAGGAGTTTTGATTGTGCCTCAGCGCTTTGTTAGCCAGACCCTCATCACTGTGGGCTACACACATCGCCATGGAATGCAGGGATGTCAGAAAAATGAAACTGGGCCTTCCATCCTAATTTAAAGCCAGATGGGTCTGCCTTAGGTACGTTCTTATGTCAGCGATCTAGATATTAGATGGTGAGAGATCAAAGTGAAATCATAAGTGAATCCTCCTTTCTTCATTATCTTTTCTTATTCTTTAAGCGAGCATTTGTTAAACACCCACTTTGTATGTTCATATATATATATATATATATATATATATATATATATATATATGCACCTTCTTTCTCTTTCTCTCCATTTTCTTTCTCCTTTTCACTTTATTTCTGTAGGAAATAATTGAAGTCATACCCAAAGAGAGTGCTGGGTGCTAACCTTTGTATACGGTGAAGAAAAGTTTCACCTGTCCACCTAAGAGTTATAAAACATTAGAGAACTGATGAATAGGTCTATAGGAGCTGATTGAAATGCCATTTTTTTTTTGCCATTATGATTGGATGTATACCTTGCATCCTACCAGAATGCTGGTGTCTGTTCTTCCTTCCAGGAACCAGAGAGGGGACACTGGCTGCTCTTGAGGGTTATTTGTTCTAGCCTCTGGTGGAGATTGATGAACTATTCTTCCTTCTGCTTTACAAGATCTTAACTTCCTGATGACATGAGTCTTCCAGATATTGTATTTGTCCCCTGTATGCTGGGGATTCTTGACAAATCTTAATATTCACAGCCTCGCTACATACCTATCCTTCTGTTTGCACTCATTAATACGCACTGTCCTTCTTATTTCAACATTCAGCTATTGCTGAGTTCATGTGCTATTATTTTTCAAGTACACAGGGAGTAGTGGTTCCTTAGCACAGAGTCTTTGGAATCAGACAGCCCTAGGCAGTGGACATGCTGATAAGAATTGGCTCTTTAACAACAAAAAAGCCCTGATTGGTAATGCTTGCTGATTTTTGTGGTGTAAATACTCCCATTGCAGCCAATTTCAAGCTACCAAAGTGAAGTCATTGAACATGGAATTGAGGAAGATGAAAGCACAGTTGGTTGTCATGAGCTGGTGCCAGACACCGTCATCCCTAAGACTGAGCCCAAGATCACCCCTTGCTAGTTCTGGAGATCATTACTTAGCTCCTCTCAGTCTCACCTTCCTCATTTATGAAAGGGGGTTAATATGAAAATACTTACCTTAAAGGGATATTGTGAGGATTAAATGATATTTCATGAATAGCACTTAGTTTAGCAGGAGGAACATATTAATAACAATCATTCAGTAATGGATAGCTAGTTAGCTAGGTATGCTAGGTACCTTAACCTCATCAGTAATGCAGCTTGCTCTCTGGAGTAAGCATTCCTTCGGATGAAGTTTTCAGTATAAACCAACTCAGTTCATGATGTTGGTTTCAGTTGTGGAAAGGGGTTGGCCTCCTTTGGTTTGTGGATATACTTAACAAAGTAAGGCTGGTAGCCCTGCTCATCTCCTATAGTTCCAGCATCTTCTTTACTTTACAGCCAATTGTCAAATGGCTACTGTTCACAAAAGAGTCTGCTGTGCTAGATGTTGGGAGGAGAAATGCCTGAGTGTACCTAGACCTTGCTCAGGCAGTTTGTGGTTTAGTGGAAGAAGACAGGAATGTGTGCAGGTAACGTGGAATTGTGAAGATGGCTGGGCTGAAGGGAGTCAGGGAAACAAGCACCTTTGATGCTGCAGGCTACTTCCCATGAGGGCCCGTTTGGGCTTGGTCAATGCACTCAGCTTCAGGAATAGGCACAGTATGGAACATGCTTTCCTGGTGTGTGAATCATTCCCAAGTGTGGAGTAGAAAAGGCTTGTTGCTCCTCTAATCCCTTCTGGAACTATGTGTTCCTTCAGATTAGAGTCTCCATGGGGACATCTGTGTCTTCTAATAGGAGTTGAGACACTTTTTTTTGTCTTAAAATAAATCCACCTGTCCCTACTGCATTCTTTCTCAGTCAGTCTGAGTCAAGGGTGCACAATAAATTCTTTGAAATTGTATTCATGATGAGAGCAGACACCTCTGCCAAAATGGTCAGTCCCCTGCACACTTCCAGATTTCCAGTTTTTCCTCCAGTCTATTTTCTTCCCCCAGATTGTGTAGGGAATGCGAATCCACCAGGTCACCATTTGTCTCTGTTAGACCATGCCAAAGCTATAGTTGTCAAAATTTTATTCCCCAGCTCTTGAACTTCTAAGTGTTTGACGTTGTGTCTAACAACATCAAACATCTAAGCATCTAGGGGATGCTTTTCCTTAAAGAAATGAAAATCAATTTGATCACTTGCATAAACTATTCATTTCCATTGTCCATCTTTTCCTCTGGGTGTAAACACTTTGAAGGTAAAGGATTCACTTTTATATACCTAGCCCCACAGAGAGCTGACAGTGTGGAACACATAGATTCACTTGCAATCATCTCAGCAACCCCAGGAAGGAGGTATTGTTTTATGTCTTTTATATACATATTGAAACACAGGGTTTAGTAACAACCCCCCTCTGCAGTCGTGGGATGTAACCAGGGCTGACTCCAAAGCCTCTGCTCCCAGGCCTTGGCAGCCAACACCCCACTTTTATCCGCTGGGCACAAGGCGCTACCCCTGGCCACACAAATCCATCTGGAAAAGACCTCCATTCTCATTGAAACCACAGGCCATACACATACATTGGTCTGGCTAGTTAAGAAGGTTAGATATTCAAATAACATAATTTTAAAATATTTAATTTCACTGTTCTTTTAAGGCCATAAAACTGACTTGCTTTTAAGAATTTACAAAGACACTTTGAAGAGATAAATTTACGGAAAAATCTGGCCCACATTTTCCAATAAAACTGGTCCTGTGTTCCTCAGAGCTACAAACAAGGCTTTGATGAAAACACAGAAATCAGTAGCTTGCCTAGGATGAAGAACATGAGGCTTCTCCTACTCATTCTCAGTTCCCCAGAGACCATCTTCTTCCCATGGATATTTCCCTTTGCTTTAACTGCTCCTCAGAAACCGGCGAATGGGAGGAAAGGAGTCTAAAGACACCGGGGCTGGGAAACGATAGCTGTTCTTTGGTATGTGTATGTGTGTATCCCTGTAATAATTTCCCCTTTAAATATAGAAGCTGGGAAGATGCTTCCTGAAGGTGCTACCACCTCTTCCAGCCCTGGCTTCTTCCTCATTTCCCTTTGCTTCTGTCCTGCATTTGGGCTCACACTCTGTTTAAAATCCCCTTCTCAGACAGGCACAGTGGCTCACGCCTGTAATCCCAGCAGTTTGGGAAGCCGAGGCGGGTAGATCACCTGAGGTCAGGAGTTCGAGACCAGACTGGCCAACATGGTGAAACCCCGTCTCTACTATACACAAATTAGCTGGGCATGGTGGCACATGCCTGTAACCTCAGCTACTTGATAGCCTGAGGCAGGAGACTCTCTTGAACCCAGGAGGCAGAGGTTGCAGTGAGCTGAGATTGTGCCATTGCACTCCAGCTTAGGCAACAGAGCAAAACTCTGTCTAAAAAATAAATAAATAAAATTAAATCCCCTTCTCTGCTTGACAAAAGTGTATGTGTGTGTGCTCGCATGCGTGTGCACACGTGTGCATGTCCTTCGGTATCCAATTAAAATGTTCCTCCTCCATAAGACCTATTTGAATGCCCGAGCCAGAATTCGTGGAACCTACTTCTGTGTCCTGGTGGCACTTTCTGTCATGCCAGTGGCCCACATCTGCTGCCTTGTGGTATTAGCAATTATGGCTGTGCCTGGTTTCAGAATATTGCTCGAAGCTGATAGATAAGCTCCTTGAGATGGGGCCTGAATCATCCATGCAGGTTACCTTCCTACCAAGATGCTCTGTATACTGCAGTGTTCAGTAAAGGCTACCAAATCATATCTGCTTTCCAAAAATTTACTAAAATATAAATATTCTGGGGACACCCAGAACTCCCTTTACTAAAGCAATTGGTTGCTCTAGCAGTATTAAGAGACAATGGGGTTTGTTTCACAATAGAGCTTAAATCATTACATTAATTGTTTCCATATGTTGCAGTTGGAAAGTCCAGTTCCTTGTTATTCTTCCTACTGTGATCCTAATAAATTACATTGTCTCTTCTTGGCTGCTGGAGCCTAATTAGCATTAATTCTTCAGTGAATTTTAAATATATTCACTATCCTTTCCTATTTTTCACTAGAATAGATTATTTGTGCTGTCACTAAAGCAGGGTCTCTCGTGGTTCTAGAAAAGCCATTTCTACACACATTACCTGCCACTTCTCACAGCTCTCCATAAATCCCATAGCAATACCAAAATATTTCTAAGCTTTTCCATCTTTAGTTTTAAATTTTGCTTTCAAATTTTTAAATTACCCCATTATAAGGTATTGTTTATTTCTTTTTCTGTAGCATATTTTCAAATTAGCTTAACTATCTTTCTTTGCAAATAGTGGCAAAAATCCACTCAGTCAAAGGACTTTAGCTATATTGTACCCCGCTGCAGCATTCAGGAGATAAACTGATGAGAAACTAGTTCATTACACATTTCCCTCAGAATCCCAACCCACCTTTCAATCTGGTTTCCCATTAATTCTTTTCAGTTCTGTAAGTTCCAGCCAGAATGGGTACAGTTTGGAAATCAGAGAGACTAGCATCTGGAGCATCTATACATGGATGATTCACCAAAATGGACCTCTTGCCTATATGTCCAATTTTCTTCTGAACACACACATTCAGATGGCTAACAGATTTGTCCAGCTTAAGAGGAATATAACAGAATTCTTGATTTCTCTCTACCGGGTCCTCTTACCTGTATTACCAAAACCTGCTGCTTCTTGCTGCTTTTCCATCTCCATAAATGGTGCTACCGTCTGCCTAGCTATGCAGGCCAAAAACCAAAGCACAACAATGAAAGATAAAACAAAATAGAAATAAAAAATGTAACTCACCCATTATTTATCTCTCTCTTTTTCTTACTCTTCACTTCCAAGGTGTCAGTAAGTCCTATTGGCCTGTCCCTAACCCAACCACCACTACTATATTTACTGCTGAAACCCTGGCACAACTATCATCTTCTCACCCAGATTACTGCAAAGCACAACAGGTCCGTCTGCTTTTATTCCTGTTTCCTTTGCTCCAGTTCCACATAGCAGCTAAAGTAATCTTTTTGAAAGAACAAGTCAGATCATATCAGTTCCTTATTTATCACCCAACAACAACTTCCTCCTGAAAAAAATAAGATTCAAGTTCCATAATATCCTACATGACCTCACCAAGTCATCTCCTTTTCCTCTCTTCTTGTAGCAGCTTCCATGGCCTGCTTTCATTCCCTCCTGTAAGTTCCTACCTCAAGGCATTTGTAGCCCCATGGGCCTATAATGACCTCTTCCAGGTTTCTGAAAGGTTATTGCTTTCTGATAATTCAGGTCTCAGTTCATATAACACCTCCTCAGTCAGGCCTTCCATATCCCTCTTACTAAAGTAGTCACTCTCCCACTCAACACTATTCACCCAACATGTATTAGTTATCATGTGGCATTCTCCTTCTGGCCTGTATCACTATCTAGGATAGGTAAATGAATGAATGAATGAATGAATGAATGAGATGGGTTACTTGTCTCTTCTCAGGAGAACACAATATCTTGGAGGACAGCAACAGGGTCAGTTTTGATACACTCTGTATTTCCAGCACCTAGAACAATTTTTGGCATTGTGAGGACAATAAATATTGAATGAATTAATGACTGATTGAATGAATTCAGGAATACTGGACCTATCACTTTGGGACCATGGACAAATCACTTAATTCCTCTACATTTGTTTCTTCATCTATAAATTGGTTTTGTTGGCAGGACAGAAGGTAATCATTACATAAAACTCTCAGTAAAATAAGCAATAATCATTGTTCATTGTGACTGTTGTTGTTTCTCTGTATATTTCTTTTCTCATCATCCCATCTACTTACTCCTGACTCTTTGTGCTTGGTTCCCCTTGAGGTACGCCACAAACCTTCCCTGGCCCTCCCAGCTAGAAGTGCCCTCTTCTGACTCCAACTTCCCAGTGTGTTTGCCTTGAATATGGCTCTTACCCAACCCTCTCTGCCTGTATTCAGCTATTCAACGTTCCTTTATTGCCGTCAATGGACCAAACATTTATGCTGGGTGCAAGCATTTATTTTTTGGTCTATTTCTGAAGCTTGCTTAGAAGCTTCTTGAGAGCAGATCTATGTCTGATTAGCTTTGTAACCTTGCATTGTCCAGAATTACGTCTTCATTTAGTCCTCATTTCATAAATATGCAATGAATTACTGTAACTGAAACTTAAGCTACTGGATGCATTAAATCCATCCCATTTTGTCCATTGCCACATTTCACAGGGAAACAAGAGGGATGGGGCTGTGAGATACTTGAAATATTTGCCCATCTCGCTGCCAGAGGCCCACAGAGTTTTGGGGTTATGAGCCCCTAGAACTAGGTTGCCTGGCTCCAAATTTGATTCAAACTATCGGCTCTGCTCTTTTTGACATACGTTCCTACTAGGAACTTTGATTACCAAGTCATCTTGGATATAGAAACAAAATTATACAGTGTTCAGTGGTATAAAGATGGGGGTTGGTTGTTGACTTTCCCTTTGTCACAGCTAGAATACAGCCAGTCAGCACTTGATTAATTTCCTTTGTTCCATTAAAATCTACCATAGTGCTGATCTAGTGACCTAGGGGCTCACAAGTGAATCCTTGCCCTGGGCAAGGTCCATCAGCCTCCAATGTATAGATGCTTTTACTACTTTACTTTCCACTTCATTCTCAAAAACAAATATGTAGGAAGTTTTTATAATTCAAGCCACCTGCTCATTGCATGTAGACATCTTCTTGATGTAATGGCACAACCAAACCACCAGACACCAACATAAACTTTCCACTACAATGGCTTAGACCACCATTAGTTCTGCTTTTTTTTGCCATCCCAGTAATGGGTTGTTAAGTTTAAATTTACTTTCTAATTCACAGCAACTGTAGTTTTGTTAATTACTTTAAATGGTTTCTGTGTAAAAAATACTTAGCATTAATGGCATTCTTTGGATTTTTAAGAGTGAGTTACTTTCATTAATTAGCCAGTTAATATAGCATATCTGGGTAGAGGACTTTATCAGCTTGGATTTCATTTTATTGATGGAAGAACTAAAGCAGATTGATGCAGACTCGACCCTTGGAACTCTTCATAAAATGTCTTTTACCATTTATTTCTTTACCACTTTCTCCTCTGCTTATTTTACCACATCTTCCCACCCCCTAAACACCTGGCTTACAGACTGGAGTATGTGTGTTAGGGGAGGGGGTGCAGGGGTAAGGTGGGGTGGGGAGAAACAGCTGTGGCACAAAAGAAAATGTACCAGTACCAGGGAGTAAGCTAGAGAAGACCCTGTTCTACAGGAAGAGTGTTGGTTGAAGCAGGGGTTTATATTTCCACAGGAAAGTCACATTGGTAAGCATTTTTCAGATCTCTTTGTATAAAGCATGCCCGTTTTCCAGTGGTATTACCAAAGACCCCAACCCCAACCCCAGAATGGGATTGGGCTGATCCCCTATTACTCCAAGTGGTTGGTCATCCCCAAAATATATCTCCAGTAGTACATCCAGCCATCTGCCCAGTAAACTAAAGTGAGTAAATTTTGCTGAACAAAGATAATCATGAAAGGGTAAATGTAGTCATTTCATGCTTCCTGGGCAATAATTTTGCTGGCAGAAGTTCAGTCAACAGCATTTGATTATTCTCTGCATTGTGGGCATGTAGACAGGAAGTAGTGGGCACAGCCCCGGACTCTGAGGTAGCCAAGTTTATGTGAGGGCTGTGAAATTAACATGTAAAGTACAGATGAGTGCCTTCGATGGGCACTGTGAAAGGAGACATCTTTACTTTTACAAATGATGGGATGTTGGAGTGTGCTGTGGAATTCACAAATCTTTGAAGCCCTCCCAGATGAGTTACACAGCATTTTGTCATTTGAACAACTAGGAATATTTATCAAATTTTCAGAGGACATAAAGATAAAAGGGACAGTGAATACTTTCAAATATTTCATCCAGATTCAGGAAGACCTCAGATGCTAAGAACGGGTTGATGAAATCTAAATTAGTAGAAACTGGATTGAAATTCAGTTCATGGCTCTAAAGCCTGGGACATGTTAGACCCAACTAATCCATTACAAAGGATAGGATACTCCTAGCACATTTTTAGTGGTCTGACAATATCTGAAATTTCACGTCCAATTCTGCATTATATAGACCAGCGCTGTTCAATGGAAAAGCAATAGGAGCCATATATGTAATTTTAAATTTTCTACTTGCCACATTAAAAAAGTGAAAAAAAGGCTAAAATAATTTAACAACATATTTTATTTAGCTCAGTATACAGGAAACATTATAATTTTGATATTTAATGAATATTAAGCATGAATAAGATATTTTACATTTTTATACTAAGTCGTCAAAATCCAATGTGCATTTTACGCTAACAGCACATTTCAATATGAATGTTATGTTTTCCTCAGAAATACTTCATCTGTATTTAGATTTCATGAAATTTACAGTTGGAAAAATAAGCTCACTTAAACAAGTTGTTCCAAATATATTTGAGAAGTGTCCAAAAGTGGAATTAAATATAAGTTTTTAAATTTAAGTTTGAACTATTTAAAATTAAGTGAAATTTACAAGTCGTCTTCTCAGTTACACTGGCCGCATTTCATGTGTTCATGTGAAGATGTTAGCTACCATATTGCACAGCACAGGTTCAGACTCAGCATCATTCACAGCATGGTGAGTGGGGTGAGGCAGGGTCTCAATCAGAAACAGTAGGCAAGACAGGGCTTGCTTGGTATCTATCAGAGACACAGGGGAGGAGGCTGGACTGAATGACCTCTACCTTGCTCTGAGTTCATCCAGTTTTTCAGAATCCAGCCCCAGCGATCTTGCCCTTTTGCCTTGCTGCCTCCCTAGAGGCTGCTGACTCCGTACTGACTTAAGTAAACAAGGCCTGAGCAGTTTTAGTCTTTCAGATATTTGCTATGCCACGTGTTTTCTCAAGTTCTTCTCTAAAAGTAGAGATGCTTGTAGCTCCTTGAGGGCCCATCACATTTTCTGAATGGATAAACTCTCCTTTAGAAAGACAGCTGGTTCAGCATGCCCCATCAGCTCAGCATAAGCCCTGTTCAATGAGCTGTCAGTGCCTTATGGATAAAGGGTGTAAAAAATGGTTGTCCTCAATGACTCGCCTATTGTCATCATCGTCATTATCATCATCATCATCATCATCATCATCATCAATATCAACATCAACATTGCCATCATTTTCCTGGCCCCTTTTCAGTTCATCAAATCCTCACTATCTAACTGCAGGCTCCTGTTTGGGGATAGGGGACACTAAATTCTTGTACTACATGTCAAGCTGTGTAGGTTATGGAAAAGAGAAAAGAAAAGAAAATGTGGTAGGCATTTTTATGTAACCTTGCCAGAGGGAAGGTGGGCTAGCTCTTCCTACCTCTTTCTAACAGTTGAAAATACTAAAATTCACAGAGGCTAACCAGCTTGCCGCAGCTCACATGAGTGGGGCTTAGATGTAAATCCAAGTAGGGATTGATTCCCAAGTTCTTGTTATTTCTGTTATTCATTCCTACTGAAGAATAGAACTCAGGGAATAAAATAATACAGGTCCCCATTGTAATATGATTTTGTTGTACATTGAGTTTCTACAACCAAATGAAGGTGCAGTCGTTAGCCTAGAAAGCTGATGGGAAAATTACTTTTTTACTGCTTTGTTATCAGTTCATGGACCTAAACTTCAAATAAGGATTCTACTTCCACTTTTTCCTTCTATGCATGCTCACAAATATTATCTTACACCTTTTCTCACACTTCTTCATAATTATCCCTATTTTGCAGATGAAAAATTCAGGAAGTCTCTGAGAGGAAAAGTAGGTGTTTCAGGTAAAAACATTGGTTTCTTGTGAAATAATATCTCAGGAGGGATGCTACCTAGGTTCAGACCCTCTAGAGCATAAAAGAAAAAGGGTGAGAAGCTGATGGTAGAAGATGGCCTTGTTTCTGTATCGTGAGTTATGAGTGCTGATTGTCAGTGATGAAGACACATTGCAGGAAGTAGCCAAGTGGGAGAGGTGGAGGTGGGTTGCCAAGAGCATCTCAGGAAACTCAGACTGGAACTCCTGCAATTGTGGACACCAACCCTGTGAATGTGTTGTTTTTACACAGTAACTCTCTGAGGGAAGTTGAAAAGGTACTAGGAAAAAATGGCTGAAGCATCAGCCAAGATTTAGAGCCCTTTCTTGTGGTTTTCGCTTAGCCAAATGTTGAGAATATGGCTGTACATTCCAGGCAGCATAGAGGAGAAACTCGAGAGTAAAACCACGGCAGACTTAGTGCAGCAATGATACACACCACTTAGTATTCTTTTTTTTTTCTTAAGCTAGTGAACTAGCAAGAGTTCTACATAATAACAATCCAAATAACTCATTGAATTTCTAGCAACATTTGTTTATTATTTATTATTATTATTGGCAAACTGAACATCTAACCTGAGAGTAAAATGCTGATACGAAACACATGACCATTTGTGCTGCTGGGACAAGGTGGGGGTGGGGAGTTTATAAAGGTGCCTTTAAATGCATGAAATAGATGCTTTTCCTACATTGACACTAGCGTCCCAACAGAAGGATGACACCAAGAGAGTCTCAGTGTCTTTTATAATGTCCTAGAAAGTGATGAAGGCTGGGGTAGGGGTGCCAGGGATCAGCAGGGGCTGGGCAATGAGATAAAAAGGTCTTTTAAGGCTTAGAGCAGAGGTGTGTCTGCTGAGATGTCCAAGAGCAATAACCAAACAGTCATCCTAGGTCCAGATTGCATCCTGCTCTTGCCAGTGGAATCTTGTCTTAAGCATGATGGAGTGGTGTTCCATGGTCAAGACTTTTGAGAATGGTTGAAATTAGTATAAGAGCTAGTATGATGTCAAAAAGAAAACAGGAAACAAGAACTCTGGGTCTCTCATGCTGTGATTTCAATCGTGGTCTTAAACTGTGGACATGGCCTTTTCTTGTTCTGGATTTTATGGCTTTGAGACAAAGGTAAACCACAGAGTCAGCCATTACTGACTTCATGGGCTGAAGGGCTTTCATCATATAGCTGTCACTTAGAATCTTCTCTACAATCATAAGCACATAAAATATGTCTTATTCTAGATTATGTCTTAAACAGCAACAGCTGTCTTCAAGGTGGTGATTTATCAGCATTTAGGTCCAATGGCAATAAGAGTTGTATCAGCAGACCTAGTGAAAGTTAATCATTGAAAAAATATTATTCTACCTCTACATCTACACATAAGTATTTTAATCTGGGCAGTTCACTAGGTGAGTATTTGATTATGAAGTAACAATAGTCACAGGAGTAAGCAAAATAAATGTATTTGGTAGTGTTGGAAATGGCTCAAAAACCCAACAGTAGCCAGTAGAGCTGGGAGGCAAGGCAGGGGTGAGCCAGCAGAAGAAGGGTGGCTTTCCAGGGAAGGCCCATGTGGTCAGCTGTTCAGACACTGACTGTCCAAGTGCACATCAAACACACAATTACATCTGAGGCAAGGATACACAGAAATATTCAGGGGATAACCTTGATTAAAGATGGTCACATGAAGCCGACAGAAAGGTGTGTGGTCTTTTGAACCCTGGCAGTCATCCATGATATATCTAGAACTGCCCCACAGCTCTGAGAGGAGATTCCATTACCATATGTGGTGAACCCTTGAAATAAATTCAATTCCAAGATCCACATCCTGCCTCTGAGGACGCCCTAGCATCCATAAAGACAGTTTCACATGTGGAATCTGAGGTGTAACGGATGGGCATTAATGTGTGTGGTGTGGAGTGCTTTTTTTTTTGCATTCTGCTATAATGCACTGGTGTCTTCTTTTTTTAAGAATATGTTGACACATGCCCATTCAAATAAATAAATGGTCCCGTTTCTACCGATCTGTTTGGAAGCATCAAGAAATTCATGTGGGGGAAAAAACTCATTTCTCTTTAGAAATTGCAAAGAGGAATGTTTCAGAAAGAACTGAAGAGGAGAGGCATTTAACAAATTATCAATAAATCAGCATCTAATTTTTTCCTAATATAAGCCCTGGTTATTTATATAGTTCAGGTGGAGATTGTGAGAAAGGAATTATAAGATGGAGAAATACAAAGAATCTTTGTGTTTTGTTGGAGAGCCAGAAGAGCTTCAAGCAGATGTAAGATGCATGCCTTACACATCTGTGAATGTGGGTGATTATTATGTGGAAAAGTGACTCTCTTGGTAGCCAAGCAGAAGAACTCTATTTTTTTCTACCTCTATATTAATATTATTACGACTGTTATTACAATTATCAGAATGAGATTAACATACCAGACCAGACCAGTATAGATACAGAAGGAGTTGTGTTTTATTACCAGAGTCTAAGGACATATCCATTCCTATTGGCACTCAAAATCCAAGTTACTAGTACTGTGTCAGCTAATGTGAAATAAGAACAGGGCATATTATGCCAGGAGCCATTATCAGGAGCAGGCACAAGTAAGATGTCAGCCATGGAAGCATAGAAGAAACTAGAGGTGGCATTTGGGCCTGGGGAGCATTTTCCTACTTGTTTCTGCATTTCTAATTCTTGAGTGATGAGAGAATTAACAAAGAAGAGGATGCCTCTTCTTTGAGGTCCACTTCTCATTACTCTGCTTCCTTTCATGGAGTAACTGTGTTAAAATGGCTCAGAGGTTGAGCCATGTTGTTTTCCTGGAAGATATTAAACTGCTGACAACTGAGGTTACAGCCTGGATTTAGCCATAGTCAGAGTCACAGATGCCTGTGTTTTCATGCAAGTAGCAAAAATCACTAAAAACATCTAATGAGTACATAAACATCAAAACCTCACAATTAAATTGCCAAAGAAAACACATTTTCCCTCTTCTTGTGTTCTGTTCATGGAAGTCTTGACACTTTGGGCTATGCAGGAAGGGTCATGATACGTAGAGAAGCCGGATGAACACCAGAGAAAAAGGAAGGTCTAATCTTTGCAATTTTGTCAGCTCACTAAGTCATTTGTCATGTTTCATCACATCATCTTGAATTCTTTATTCCCCACTGGGAACTGACTGATCAGCCCTGAAGCTTTTAGCTGGCAATGTGATAAGAAGTCTCTGTGCTCCCATGAGCACAGCAAAGAATGTTGTATGCTGTAAGCCCAAGGAGCCATTCCACTCAGCACTCCTTTAGTTAGGATGTCCTGTGGGAATGGCCCGGTTCCTCACAGACTCCAGTTCATTGCTGGAGACTGGCTTAGGAAGACTGTGATGGGGTAGGCTGGAAGACATAAGACCATGCACCAGGGGTGGGAAGCACGTGTTCCGGAAGCCCAGAGGAAGCGGAAATTTTTTAGAACTAAGAGAGTTTGGGGGAACACTTTAAGGCCAAGCTAGTTGAAACCTGAGACAGTTCAGATTTCAGCACCTGGAGTGAGTCTGGGTAGAAAGGGAATTCCAAGCTTTGGAAATAAGAGCAAGTATGATGAGTTGTATTGCAGGAAGGTTGAGTGGTTTTTCTGTCTTGAGCATTCAGGTTGAAGGAGTTAAGGGTGGGAGAAGAGATTGAGACTAGGTCACAGTGTGCATTGAAGACCAAGATGAGTTTGCACCTGATACCACAGGCAATGGAGAAGCTAACGGAGATTACTAAGCAGAATCAGACCTGCAGTTTAGGGAGAGTATAGTTGCTGATGGACTGAAAAATATAACCATCCCTCTCCTGAGCTTGAGACTTAAATAGCAACTGCCTCTTGAGCAGCGACTCTGTCTGGATTTTATGTGTAAAATCTTACATCTGGCATGTCCCAAAGTTCTACCAATGTAAACTTACTCCTCCTTGTCAAGAAGTAGCACATACACCTGCTCAGTTGGTCAAACTGAAAAGCACATTAAAAAAAGTTATCGCCCTTAAATGCTGTCTCTATCTTCCCACATCACACTTGTCGTCATATCTGATAGATCCAAATTCCCTCTTCATGAATCTGCTCATTTCCTCTTACTCATTGCCACCACTTTGGCTTAAAGAAGACCCACACCAGCCAATTCCATTCATTTTTTATCTTCCCAGTCCAGCTTTCATGTGACTGCCAGTTATTGTTTGAAAATAGAGATGAGCTTATGTAACTTTTAGCATCTTTTGAGATTCTAAAAATCACCACTGGTTCTCTTCTACCAAAGGCTAAAACCCTGCTCCTTAGAATATCATAAAAGAACCTTCATAATTTGCCTTTCTCTACCTTTTCTGTCTTCAATCTTGACACGACCCACCCTCCCCCAAACACACACACACAAAACCGTGAGTGGTCTTGTGTTTTCCAGGTGTATATGCTCATTCTCATCATCACTCTTTTACACAAAATACATGTTCAGCATGGCATGTCCTTTTCTTACTTGGCAAACTCCTACTCACCCTCAGAAATCCAACTGGATTCTTTCCTTTGTTGCCCCTTCAAAGTGATTGGCTTACTACTCTGTGCTCCAGTAATTGAAAGTACATAAAGTGACTAGTTTAGCATTACTAATCTATTGTATTGTAATGAGCTATTTTACCATTTAGGCTTCTTCCACTAGGGTATGAGCTGCTTGAAGGCAGTGATGGTCTCATTGATCTTAGTTCTTCTTATGTCATCTGATACTCAGGAGATGGTCCTCAATATCTGTGGATTAAATGAAGGACAGAGATGACTACAATCTCACATTTTGGTGTGAGATTGATTATTGATGTGCTGTTTCTTAACTAGGCTCTCAAATCTCCTTTAAGTTTGCCTTTTGTTATTCTATAAAATGAGTTACCAGAGATAAAACATCTAACACAATATCTGTGGTTGGCAAATGTGTCACTCCTACCAACACACACATGCACACTTTTTAAAGAGATCATTTATGACTCTTTAAAGAAAAATAATTACCAGTGTAGCTTATGAAAGAGATCATGAACTAGGTAATAAATTTGATACATGCTTTCATCCCAGAATTTTAAACATTAAATTAACTCCTGATCCTTTAGAAAAACATCTTTCTTATGCAATATAGTCAAATTTTACATTGATTGTTTACTTCTTTGCAATTTGAAGTGGATGCTTTTATGAATTCCTCACTTTCTATTTAGTGCTTCTTCCCATCCCCACTCCCAACAAGGGTGGATGGGTTATTTGTTTTGGATTTTGTTTGCGGATTACATTTAATAAAGAAGGAACACTTGTAATTTGGTCATATGTTTGGTCTGAAATATCCACCCTAAAAATCCTCAGCAAGGGGCCACATTTGTCTCATTTGTCATCCATGACAGTTGCAGTGCTGATCTGCACTCACGTTCCTCCAAGAGCTTGTTAGGTCATTTTTATCCAATTCTGTTCTACAGTCAAAATCATTTTAATATTGTAAGATGGAAGAGGTTAGAAGAATCTCTGTTTGCCTCAAAAATAAAGATTCCTTCAGAACCTCCCACAAATGCACGTTGGCATTTGGTTTGAATGCTACTGCCCCGAGTTATCTGACCTCAGTTCGTCTCTGCTGTGCACTTGCCAGAGACGAACGGTTGACCAGATGCCTCTCACAACATGATGTTGTCAAGTACAGAAAAATGACTCCAGTAAAAATAACAGATTTTTGAAAATTTAACAAGCACCAACTGTAGTCATGTTCATCTGGTTCTGTTGACAGCAAGGTTTCTCTTTCTAATTAATAAAAGAGAGAAGAAACAAAATATTCAAAATAGGAAAGACTAGTAATAGCAAGAATTATATTTTTCAGAAGTCTCCTAGAGGTAGTTCTTCTAGAGTTTTTGTAACTTCCCTGAATTGAATTGTAAAGAAATTGGTGTCATCTCAGTGGCTGATCACTGAAACCCTAAAAATTATGGGAATGACCACAGATCAGTCACATGTGAACTCTTCTTTTTCATTTTAGTGGTCTCAGCTCCAAACTCTGGGAGGAAAATGGTCTATTTGCCCATGTTCTCCTGTCTAAATTGTTAGAGTCCTCCCCTCCTCTCTTCTTCATGATACTTCAAGAACTTTTATGTTCATATTATCATGTAGCCATGGTGTTACAATGACAGTGACATTTCCTGTGGTGGAAAGATACCGGTTCCTCTAATTTGGTCTTCCTTCTCTTCTACTTAGAACTTGCTTGCAATAGGCCAGACATAGTGGCTCATGCCTGTAATCTCAGTGCTTTGGGAGACTGAAGCAGGAGGATCACTTGAGGCCAGAAGTTTAAGACCAGCCTGGACAACATAGCAAGACCACATCTCTAAAAAATTTTTTTAAATAAAGGCAAAAATAAAAAACTGCACTCTAAGCTTATATTTTTCTCTATTTAGCACTCTGTTCATAAACACCTTAACCATCTCACTTGATACAAATTTTGTGACATTACCTGTTGGCAGCTTGCTGCTAAAAAGTGGCTCAAAAAAAGGGTTCAGTTATAAAAGTAGTAAAAGTAGTAAACTAGGAACATCAAGCTTGAGAGGAGTCAAGATAAAACATATCCATTTGATGATTTAATTGATAAAGGTGTTAATTTGGCTGAGGAGCAGCTAATACTTGATAGGTTAATATTATTTTAATTTCTAATCCATAATTATGAATCAATTTGAAGGATTTTTTTTTTTTTTTTGAGACGGAATCTCGCTCTGTTGCCTAGGCTGGAGTGCAGTGGCCTGATCTCTGCTCACTGCAAGCTCTGCCTCCCGGGTTCACGCCATTCTCCTGCCTCAGCCTCCCGAGTAGCTGGGACTACAGACAACCGCCACCACGCCCAGCTATTTTTTTTTTTTTTTTGTATCTTTAGTAGAGACGGGGTTTCACCATGTTAGCCAGGATGGTCTCGATCTCCTGACCTCGTGATCCGCCTGCCTCGGCCTCCCAAAGTGCTGAGATTACAGGCATGAGCCACTGTGCCCAGCATTGAAGGACATTTAAGACACATTCTTAAGGGGTAGGTTTCTGGTGTGAATTGTTCTGCTAAAGTGAGAGATAGCAACATGGCATAGCACTGTGGTGGGTGAAAGGGAAGGTAGGAGAGCTGAGCTATAGTCCAGCCATATTGCCGCAAGACAGTAGAAGGGGAAAGAGCATGAAGCAAGGGCATGGGAGCTTATCCTGGACCAGCCTGAGCACACATCCCATCTCCTCACACTCCATTGGTTGGAGTCATTCACATGGTTGTGCCTATGCTGCAAGGCATAATCATGTGAGTAACCCCAGCCAATGGGGTCTAGTCGTGAGGAGATGGGAAGTCTAGTCCAGCTTTGTTTCCAGGAAGAAGCGGAAACCAGCTACACCGAGAGCTAGGTATCTCTTGCCAGCACAGACCAGACAAAGACAGATAATTTCTGGGCCTCAGTTTACTCACCTGTAAGATGAAGGAGTGATGCCTAAGGTTCTACTTGTAACTTTCATATCTGTGATGCCAACTTGGTATTAGATCTGATTTAGCTACACATGTGCATTTAATTCTTAAAGGAACTGTCCACCATTTAAAACATTTTTATAAGCTAGTGAGACGTGGCAGCATCCGTTTTGTTCAAAAGATGTGTCGTGTGGAGTTCTTTCCTGTGCCTGGCAAGTGGGATGAGGTAGGTGCTTCTTGCCCTTCTCCACACCTTCTTGTACCCTTTCCCCTCTTACTTAACCCCAGCAGGCTCATAAACAAAACACAACGGAAACAAAAAACCAAGAGAACATCACCACACCATCATCACCCCTCCCGTCCAAGGTAATTTTGAACATGGGCCAATTTCCTTTAGGATAAAGGCCATGCATTCTGGCAGATCCCTTTGGAAGTTTGAAGCCAGAGTGCTGACAGTCAAGATCTTATTGAATGGGGCTGCCTGCAGAGGAGCCAGTGCTGATTAACGACACACACACACAAGCCGCCCAAAGAATGTTGGCTCTTGCTGGGTCACTGATGTCATCCCTAGCAACAGGTGGCAGCCCCCTTTCTCTGAGCCCTCCTCGAGGAGGTCCTAGTGTTCCCAGTCATGAATGAGGAACAATGAGGCATCCACGGGGTTAACTGCCACTTTCACTCACTCCTTTGTGGAGCTGGGGCTTTTCCCATAGAAATGTCATTGGCCTGAACTGATTTCTTTTTTTCTACTGCCCAAATGTCAGACTCTCATATAAAAGTGGATCATGTGCATCTTTTGCCACCAAGGCCTTTTCAATAGCAGCATAATGATGTGTGTGCTTTCCTTGTGCAAATAGAGGTGAGCCTGTCTCAGGGAAGGGTAACAGGATGTGAGCCTGCCTTGGGCTCTCCATTAGGAAAGATCATCAGAGCAGCATGAAAGCTGCATTGCTTGTTGAGCTCATATTTTACCTTTATTTTTGTCTCCTCTGGTTTGGGAGCAGAGCGTGTCTTTATGACTGGAAGGCAAGATACCAAAGTTGCAAGAACTTATCCAGAGTTCTTATCAGAAGTTGCCAAATGAATACAAATGAAATACAGTAGAGAATTATCAGGATAGTGGTTGGCCAAATATGACATCAATTAATAGGGCTCAATTCTGTTACAGCAGTAAGGTAGCCTTTTTGCAAATACACATCTTCAATACCTTCTATGTATTCTGCACATAAAATAGAAGACACAAAGAAGAATAAGACATGGTCTTTACCCATAGGAGATTCAGGATAGGATATCAGAGTGGGCATGGAAATCTCTATTTCTCCAATAATCCAGATGGTTCCAATTCACATGGGCCTAACACTGTGTCACATCTTAGTAGAAAGAGAGATTGCCATGGGGATGGAGAAATAAGACTGGGTGTTGGACTCACAAATATGGGCTTGTATCTAGACTCCATCACCTGCAAGCTGCGTGACCTTGATCAAGTTATTTAACTTTCCTGAACCTCACTTTTCATTATTTGTAAAATGAAAAAATAATACCTTCCTGCAGGACCTTCATGAGATTTAGAATAAATGTATGTCAAATTCCTAGCACCATGGATGACATAATTTAAATTACTTAGCAAATGGATCTGTTTTTACACTAGGCCTCAGCTACTTCGATCTCTTATATGTAAAATGTGAGGATTGGATCAGATAACTTCTGAGCACCTTCTAAGCTTTAATATTCTGTGGTGCCACTTCAGCATTGGTGTAAACTTTCAGGATCGGTTGTATCGAGCAGCATTTAAGTTCCCCAACAAGGGAAGGAATCTCTTTCTTAGGGATTGGGTAAAATGTGGAAGTCATGAGCTACTCAGGGCACTTAGACAATAGCACCAAAGGATACCTGTGGGTAGACATAGCTGTTTTCAGTTATTTTAATTTACAAGATTACAGGGGGTCCTGTGAAGCATCCCTGGTTTTCCAAGACACCTTCGAAAGTACCATCAACTTTGACTTTTCTAGATCTTTTTTCATCTTACTTGTGGTTTCACCCTGTTCCATGCTCTAGGATAAAGCATCTAAGTTAACTCTTGCAACCTCAAGTAATATGTTCTTTTTACCTGGAGAATTAATTCTTTCACCCTTGAAGGCTTGGGCTTGGCTTCAGACAGATCCCGGCTCCAAAGTTTTCTAGCTTTGTGATCTCACAAAGTCCCTTAATGCATGTAGAGTGATGACTGCAAAATGCATACTACACAGCTATAGTGCAAATTGAATGAAATAACTGGTGCCTCTGCAAGCACATAGGGGAGTCCTCAATACTCAACAGCTCCCTTTTATTATTTCATAGGCAAGCCTGTGTGCATTGCGTTTATGCCTTCATGAATATGCAGATATTGACAACATCCCTCTTATGCCTCTTGATCCCAGATCTGGTCTGTCCTACCCAGAATTTATGCTTTAAAGACAATACCAGTTCCTCAGCACTTTGCCTGTCTTTGTTCTGACCCCATATGAACAAAAAGCCAGTTTTTGCATTCTGGGTTAGGGTAAGAGGGGTTGGCCAGTATATCCAGAGGTGGGGTGGTAATTAACAGTGGTTAAGAACATGTGCTTTCAGGACAGGCAATCCTAGTTTCCAATTCCAGCCCAATCACTTCTAGCCACAGGCCCTGGGACCAATCATGTACTGTCTGAACTGCTGCTCCTAATCCATAAAATGGGAATAATCATACCAACCTTGCAGTGTGATTGTGAAGATTATATGAGAGCATGGAAATTAATCGCTAGACAGCTGTTACTACTATTATTCAAAATAGGCAGCATGGACTGCAGAAGGAAAATTAATCGGAAGTCCAAGACCTAATTTTGCCACCAGTTGGCCACATGACTTCAGAGAAGCCATTTAACCCCTTTGTGTCAGTTTTCTAAGCTGTCAAATGGCACAAAAATTATTCTTGTATGGGTACCACAGTGGTGTTTTCTGGCTAGAAGATAACATAAAAGTGCTGTTAATATTTTTATTAATGCTCTAATTTTTTCTTTTTGCTGCTGCCCGGAGATGGCTGCTGTTCCTGGTGACTTGGCATTTGCTTTATAAACATACTTTTGAAGCACAGGCAGCCTCTTGTTTCTCTTAAGCCAGTATGTTTGTGATAGGGAGGTTTTATTGCTTTTTGTTGAAATAACTGTTTTCCATTCTGGAGCATTCCTTAAAAGCAGACTTCACACTCACAAATTTCAGATCCTCCATGCCCATCAGCACAAAACTAGAGCCTATCCCTATCCAATTATACAAAATCACTGTGCAGCCTTTTCCAGATAGGGATCTGCAACTGCGTTACATGTTTCTTTATTAATGAAATGCTGCAAATAGCATCCTTTTAGAGGATACTCAAATTACCTCTGGGAGGAAGCACTTTGTTAATGTGTCGAACTGCCTTGTTTGGGGGGATGAGTTGTGTTGACATATCAGGTATCCTTTTGAGCCAGCTCGCAAGTGCCTGGGAATTGGGGCCAGACTTTTTCATGACACAAGTTTCCTGAATTCCATTGCCTGAAATTTTCTGTAGCAGAGTGGAAGCTAGATTATTTACCTTGTGATAACATCTGCAAAAGAAATGGCTTGAGTTTCAAAAGAGAAAAAGCATTTTATAAATGGGTCACACCTGTGGCAGGGAAGTGAGACAGGTTAGGGTGAACATATTGTCTGGACATAAAAACACTCTGTGTCTAGCTGGAGCTTATTCACAGGCTAGGGGAAGGCTCAGGAAGCCTCTGAATCCCAGGCTGACAATCAGTCATGTCACTCCTTTCCTCAAAAACCCTTAAGTAGCTTTCCATTGCTATAAAACTAAATTTTTAAAAAATCCCAAGCCTGACATTCAAAGCCCCTGCATGCCCTCCAGCCTCATCTGACACCATCACTCCTTGGCTCACGGTTTTTGTTTTTTGTTTTTTGTTTTTTTTTTAAGACAGAGTCTCGCTCTGTCATCCAGGCTGGAGTGCGGTGGTGCAATCTCTGCTCACTACAACCTCCGCTTCCTGGGTTCAAGTGATTCTTGTGCCTCAGCCTCCTGAGCAGCTGGGATTACATGCATGCACCACCATGCCCAGCTAATTTTCGTATTTTTAGTAGGAACGGGGTTTCGTCATGTTGGTCAGGCTGGTCTGGAACTCCTGGCCTCAAGTGAACCACCCACTCAGTCTCTCAAAGTGCTGGAATTACAGGTGTGTTGACTCACACTTTGAAGCCACACTAGCCTTCTTTCCGTTTCACTAGTTCATCAAGTTTTTTCTTTACTCACCAATTTGTCACCATAATTCATTCATTAATTCATTCCAGAAATTATTTAATAATGGAAACATGCTGGTTACTGCCTAGAACATTTGCCCCCGTCCTCAGCTTGACTAAATTGTGTCCTTCTCCCAGGACTCACCTTTAAGGTCTCTTGATCAAATGGGCCTTCCCTGTACACTGAAATCTAAGTTTGGTCCTCTCATCCTTTTTATTGCATTCACTAGTTTTCCTTCAAAGCATTTATTGTTTCCAATCCCATATTTGTGCACTTATTTGTTTAACATGTGTCTTTCCTGCTAGACTGTACATTCCATGAAGGCATGCATCGGATCTGTTTTGCTCTTCATTATATCCCTTTACATTTGAGTAAGGTGCTTAGATAATAGTAGTGGCTTATTAAATAACTTCTGGAATGAATGAATGAATGAATGTGGCTGGGTGCAGTGGCTTACGCCTGTAATCCCAGCACTTTGGGAGGCCAAGGCAGGTGGATCATCTGAAGTCAGGAGTTCGAGACCAGCCTGGACAATATGGTGAAACCCAGTCTCTACTAAAAATACAAAAAATAATAATAATATTTACCTGGGCGTGGTGGTGGGTGCCTGTAATCCCAGCTATTCAGGAGGCTGAGGCAGGAGAATCGCTTGAACCTGGGAGGCGGAGGTTGCATTGAGCCAAGATCATGCCACTGCACTACAGCCTGGGCAACAAAAGCAAAACTCTGTCTCAAATAAATAAATAAATAAATATTTTTTAAATAACGAATGAATGTGATTTCTACCATGTTTAACTGCTAACCAAACAGAAAAAAATATTCAGTAGGTACCTTCTCATCCCCAGACCTACTCATCAAATCACATTTCACAGGACTTGGTATTCTCACATCATGATCACATTTGAAAGACCCTTTTAGAGTCAGGCATCCATCCACATGCTCTGCAGCCTGCCCATTGTCAGATGGGCAGGAAAATCTAGAAGAAATATCTTTATAGCAGAAATGGACTTTGCAGTGTTTCCAGACATTGAAAATGTTGAAGTAAATATTGCTGAAGACCCTTCCCTTTGTTTTAAATGGTTGTCTCTTAGAATGGAAAGTCTCTGGAAACCATATTGTTGTTTAGGCCCTGGTGACAAACAAAGTAGCAGAATGAGGGCAGGTCTTTGTGCCAATTAGAATTGCCAAAAAAATATATCAGTCAGCATAGTGGTCCCCACCCCTTTGCCTCTTTGGGTGATACACAGATACACAGATTAAGGAGCATATTTAGAGGCAGGTGACCATGATGGAACATGAACTGAAATATTTGAATCTGAGAGAGGAACTGGGACATAACAATTATCTTTGGAAGACAAAGGAGAGGTCAGTGTTTGTCATCACATATTCCAAGAGGTGCCAAGCAGAACAGGAGTAGATTTTCTTTTGTTTTGCTGGAAGGCGGAACTCAGTTAATATTATAGGAATCCATCTTTCAGTCACTGTGAGGAGGAATTTATGATTCCTCTTTTGGATTCCGAAGTAAAGGGTAACCTGTCATAAAGCTGTAAGGAGAATTCAGGTAGAGGTTGGTTGACCATCTGGTAGTGATATTGCAGAAAGGATTCATGTATTGATTCTGAGATCAACTCTAAAATTTTCCAACTCTAACAGTTAATAATTCTTATTCTGTTTTGGATTATTACTAAAAACCACTCATCAGTTTGATTTAGCTTTTAATTTAGGCTACTTTACTATAGACCTTGGGTTCAGAAGGTCAAGCTAATTTTTCATATTGATTTTAAAAAGGGAATTAAATTGAAATTAGGTTATTTCCTCAATTTTATAAGACCAGCTCATATTTGGGGCTCCGCAAAGAAGTCATAAACTACAAACATTTTTCTAAGTGTCATTTTTATTTATACTTTAACTTAAGTATCCAATTATGTTCAATTCAATAAACACTAGTGAACATCCACTATATGTATTCATCCAACGAAACTCTATTGCATATTTATCATGGGCTACATTGTATTAGATAGTGAGAATATAGCTGTTTTAGATAACTCATGGTAGAGTTCAGGCAAGTACATCAGCAATAACAGGTGTTTTGATATGGCAGTATACGAGTGCAAAGAAGACTGTATAAGCCATCCTGGGTGACAATAAGGGGTTGGGGAGACTTCCTAGTGGGGGTTAACTGATAGGCACTCAGATGCAAAGATGGTTGCCTCCAAAAGTTTACAATTAAGTTGGTATTTTGGTGTTCAGAAGATGCCTCAATGGTGCTATGCTATGTTAGTTTTTTATGGTGCACTGTTTTCTTAGCTATGACATGATCTCTATGCATTACTTTTCAAACTAGTCTGGACTCCAATCCTGCAATTTAAAAAAATTTTCAGGAGTCTGGAATGGAGATGGTCCCAAATCTGAACATTGGTAGGAAACCAGGTGAGTGAGGAATCCTCCTAGACTTCCAGGAGGATAAGATTGATAAGTTTCTATGTACTTATCAATAGAAACACTTGTTTTGGGCCAGGTATGGTGGTTCATGCCTATAATCCTAGCATTTTGGAAGGCCAAAGTGGTTGGATCACTTGAGGTCAGGAGTTCGAGACCAGCCTGGCCAACATGGTGAAACCATGTTTCTACTAAAAATACAAAAATTAGCCGGGTGTGGTGGCACGTGCCTGTAATCCCAGCTACTCTGGAAGCTGAGGCAGGAGAATTGCTTCAACCCTGGAGGTGGGGGTTGCAGTGAGCTGAGATCATGCCATTGCACTTCAGCCTGGTTGACAGAGTGAGACTCCATCTCAAAATAATAATAATAATAATAATAATAATAATAATAATAAAGAGACACTTGTTAAGACAAATACTGGGTGTGATGGAGAAAGAAGGAGTTTGGAGATGTGGAGGATGGACCACTGTGATATTGGTTCCTCTAAGGAGCTCCTGAGCTTTAGGACAAGGAGAAAGAAAGAGATTTATGGGTGTATACTATGATGCACAGGAAAGCATGGATTTTAGTGCTCTGAGAAACATTGAGACCCTGGAGTCAGTAAGTTAACTACTCCCTCTTTTCCCCCTACTCACTCTAACCCTGCTTATTGGTTCTGAATTATGTTACTTTACCTTACTCCTTATTTTAATATTAATTTAATTAATTTTTTTTAATGCAGAGTCTCACTCTGTTGCCCAAGCTGGAGTGCAGTGGCGTGACCAGAGCTCCCTGCAGCCTTGAACTCCAGGGCTCAAGTGATTCTCCCACCTCAGCCTCCCAAGTAACTAGGACTACAGGCATGCTCCACCATGCCCAGCTAATTTTTGTATTTTGTGTGTGTGTGGAGACGGGGTCTCGCTATGTTGCTCAGCCTGGCCTCAAGCTCCCATGCTCAAGCGATCTTCCCACTTCGGCCTCCCAAAGTGCTAGGATTACAGGCATAAGCCACTAGCTCAGCCTCTTTATCTTACTTCTTCAAGGCATAAAATGATCTAGAAAAAAATGCACATAATGAGGATTTTGGAAGGAGCACGATAAATGAGTTCTGTTCATTAGGATGTCTTCATAATTAGGCCCTCCTCTGAGAATTAGAACTGCTAGGTTTTATTCCTTGTTCCTCCTCTGAAATTGATCTTCCTCTGTCTCAGTTTTCTTATCATTTTAGTAGGATGAGAATGCTTGTTACCCTCATGATTTAAAAAGGTGCCCTGAGGATTCATTTCCTACAGCTTCAGTAGTTGAGAAATCTAATTCTCAAGCAGGAAGCATGAGTATTATTCTCTTTGTGGTCCTTGAGAAACATTTATCGTCTGTTTGCTCTACCAAGAAGCCAAACTAACAGTGAGAAAAACTTGTCTTCTTAGTTTTAGAGAGCATCTCATCTGTGCAATTGGAAAAAGAAAACAGTTCCTAAATGTATAGCTTGGTCATTTGAGAATCTGTTCTTTGCAACTATATAGTGGTGAACTTCACAGTATAGGAGAAGGACCTAAAGTTCATCTTAACAACACTTAAACTTAAAACTCAATGGGCAGCAATTAGGAGAAATTTAAAGCATACCCAAGAGGCTCCAAAAGTAAATATTTCTCTGGGCAGATGTGTTATAGCTGAATTAACTGGGTGTTTGTGCAACTGCAATGAATTGGAGAGATAACAGTCTTTATTGCCTGTAGATGTAGCCTGTGATTTCAAAATACAAGCGGTGTTAAATGTTCCCAGTAGAGGTTCAGGCAGTTTGCTAAGCAAACCATTGCTGCTGCCAGGTTATAATCATACTGTCTTAGGTTATTTGTCCAATTCTAAGTAATGAGGTTCCCATCACCCTCCATTTGAGGTGCGTTTATCTTACAAGAACTTGGGTCAAATTGAACTTAAATTTAACTTGATCATATTCTCCGCTAAGAACCATTCGGAGAAAAGTGAAACACAAGATTCATTTCTCTTGTATTATTTCTTGTTTAAAGGTTTTGCAGGAGAAAAAAATCATCTCCCCTTTTAGGTTGATTGGGTAATTTTGGGTGATCACTCCAGTCTCTCACTTTAGCAAGTGAGAAAACTATAAAGAGGATGCTGCTGCCTGGATGTTCTGGTCTTTTGTTTTCATCCTGAGACTGTTGACAGGAGCAACCTTCTGTGAGATCCCTGCCAACATCTAATAATAGGAGAGGGTGGCAATGAGCATAGAGATGGAGGCCACAGAGATAAGAAAAAAGAAAGTACGGATGCTTTTAAAGCAGCGAGCAGCAAATATCTGTTCTGGCTTACAATAATTGTTGTTACGTCTACTGTAATATAATACATTTAACCAAAATGAAAACTATTCCAAATGGAAACTGGTTTAGTTTGGGCCCAGCAGAGGACAGGATAAGGCAGTTATTCGCATGTGCTTGTCACCTATAATGCTTCAGGCTTCATGCTAGATGCTTTATATGTATGATCATAATTTATATTTCTAATAAGCACATACAGTTGGTCTTATTCCTCACCTAACAAATAAGGAAATAGAGTCTGCTCAGTGTCACACAGAAATCAAAATAGTAAAGTTTGGACTGAAATCCAGTCTGCCTGGTTCTGGTTATCTTAAAATACAGCTAAGCCCCTCATGATTGTCACTCAGAGGTAAGAAATGGCAGGTCTTATATCCAAAGGGCCACACCTGGAAACCTCCTGAAAGAGGTAAAATTACCTGGTGCCCGGCCTGAAACCGTTCCATTTCAATACATTTTTGTTGAGTGAATCAAAGAATGAGATGAAATTTAAACTGGACTCTGAAATAAGTAAGATTGAGAAGAAGTGGATCTTAGTCAAAGTGAGATTGTTCAATTACGGGATGGCTGGAGAACTTATTATTGTGTATTATTTCTTATTCATAGCTATATATTTAGGCCTGAAAGAGGAGAGACTTTAATTGCTGTTTCATTTTAGCTGAAAATACTTTCTATTTGAAACAGATTATTTAAAGTTGTCTTATTTGGACTCTCTCATTTATATCCATTCTCTCAACTGGCACTTATTAAAGTACTAAGTACAGGCACAGTGCAAAGGAGAGTTAGAACTGGAAAGAAAGGCTGGGATCTGGTCATAATGTGCTCTGAATATCAGGTTGAGTTGGGACTTTAGGCTACTAAAGACACAGTTGTTGAAATGTCATGGATGATGGTAAATGGATGAGCTACGTGGTTAAACTAGGTTATTATTATCCCTGTTACAGGCGAGATACTGGGTCACAGAGTGCTTGTGTGACTTGCATAAGATCATAAATTATCTAAGGCAGAAACTTAGATGTTTAGCCTTGTTCTCTGCGCTCTAGAGCTTTTTCCATTTTCTTTTGGTGCAGCCTCTCTTACCAAAAGCCACAAAGTCCTTTACCAAAAACAGTGACATGATAGAAGAAAAGAGATACAGAACTGCCCCATTTATACAGGAAGAATACACCTGGGTAAAAGGGATATGTAAGTAAGAGATCCTTGCCCGGAGGAGCAGAGAGTTGCTCTGATAGTCTCATTTGCAAGAGGCTAAAATGAACTCTGAGATTTGAATCCAGTCCATTGATACAAATGAGATTAGATATTTTAACCTTCACACTGACCTCTTTTGTCTGATGGCAGCAGTTACATCCATCTCCCTGGAATTTTCTGCCAGCAGGATTATCTTTTGTGCTCCTATAACAGAATACCTGAGAATAGGTAATTTATAAAGAAAAGAGCTTTATTTCTTGCAGCTTTGGAGGATGGAAAGTCCAAGGTCAAGAGGTTTGCATCTGATGAGGGCCTTCTTTGCTGTCTCATCCCATGGAAGAAAGCAGAAGGGTAAGAGAGCAAGAACTCACAGCCTCAAGACCTTTTGTAATGTTACTGATGGAAGGTCTTGACTGCTGATCGTCCAGGTTATTGGTGTTTTGAACAAATAATTGGACAAAACACACAAACGATGCAATGACAGAATGAAGCAACAAAAGCACACATTTATTGAAATGAAAGTACACTCCACACAGTGGGAGTGGGCTCCAGCAAGTGGCTCAAGAGTGCTGGTTACAGAATTTTATGGGGTTTAAATGCTTTCTAGAGGCTCCTCATTGGTTACTTGGTTACACCCTATGTAAATGAAGGAGTGGTCCCAACCAGACTGATTGACTGTGGGAGGTGACCAATCAGAGGCTGAAGTGAAGTTACAAAGTTCGCTTTGTGACTTCAAAGTTAATTACAATTTGTAACTACAAATGTGTAACTACAAATCACCCTGTGCAAATGTCTGGTTGCAAGAGGGAAACAATCAGAGGCTGAAGTGAAATTAGAGTTACACCCTATGTACATGTTTGATTGGTTTTGGGAGGGGATCAATCAGAGGCTGAGGTGGAATTACAAAGTTACACCCTTTGCACATGAAGACTGGTTGCAAGAGGGGACCAGTCAGAGGTACTTCTCATTTTTCATCTGGGAGGCAGTGCAAAGGGAGTAGCCTCTTAGCCTTTTGTTATTTGGGTGTGGAGAGGTGGAGTTTTCCTTTTGATTCAGTTCTAGGAACTCAGTGTGAATCGGCCTTAGGCTCTTTACCTCCAGACCCTATTCTCCAGCCTCATTAATTAGCATCAATCCATGCATGGAGGTGGAGCCCTCATGATCTAAACACTTCCCATTAGGCCTCCCAGTGCTGTTGCACTGGGGATTAAGTTTCCCACACGTGCCTTTTGGGAGAAACTTTCAACTGATAGCAAGAATGCTGATCTTGAGGCATTGCTATGAGACCAAACTTCTAATAATGACTTTTTTTAATAGTTGGCCCCTTAAGACTCCGAGTTTTTTAAATAAAACAGAGCTCTAAGGCTTTCTTAAATATATTCCAAGCTCTCCATGTTCAATTAATAATTTAATTGCTTAGTAATTTACATCTGGGTAATTATGTGAAATTATAGAAGTTAAATATACTTTTTTAACTTTTTTAAATTTGCACAAATTTATGTGGTACATGTGCAATTTTATTACATGCATAGATTGCATAGTGGTCAAATCATGGCTTTTAGGGTCTATCCATCACCCAAATAACATACATTGTATCCATTAACTAATTTTTCATTATCCTAGCTTTCTCATCACCCTTCTGAGTCTTCATTTTTTATCATTTCACTCTCTACATCCATGTGTACACATTTTTTAGCACTCATTTAATCGTGCAAACATGTGATATTTGACATTCTTTGGCTGGCTTGTTTCACTTAAGGTAATGACCTCCAGTTCCATCCATGTCGCTGCAAGAGACATGATTTCATTCCTTTTATGGCTGAATAGTATTCCATTGTGTATATATACATTTTCTTCATACATTCGTCTGTTGATTCCTTAGGTTGATCCTATAGCTTTGTTATTGTGAGTAGTGCTACAATAAACATATGAGTACAAGTATTTTTTTTTTGGTTTATTTATTTATTTATTTATTTATTGGAAGATAACCAGTAGTGGGATTGCTAGATCAAATAGTAGTTCTATTTTTAGGTATTTGAGAATTCCCCATACTGTTTTCTATAATGGCTAAACTAATATACATTCCCTCCAGTAGCATTTATGAGTTCCCTTTTCTCCACGTCCTCATCAACACCTAGTATTTTTTGTTTTTTTAATAATAGCCATTCTAACTGAGGTAAGATAATATCTTACTGTGGTTTAAATTGCACTTCTTTGGTGATTAATAATGTTGAGGCCAGGCACGGTGGCTCACGCCTGTAATCCCAGAACTTTGGGAGTCCGAGGTGGGCGGATCATGAGGTCAAGAGATCAAGACCATCCAGGCTAACATGGTGAAACCCCATCTCTACTAAAAATACAAAAAATTAGCCAGGCGTGGTGGCAAGCACCTGTAGTCCCAGCTACTTGGGAGGCTGAGGCAGGAGAATGGCATGAACCCGGGAGGCGGAGTTTGCAGTGAGCCGAGATTGTGCCACTACACTCCAGCCTGGGCGACAGAGCGAGACTCCATCTCAAAAAAAAAAAAAAAAAAAAAAAAAAAGTTGAACGTTTTTTCAAATACCTGTTAGCCATTTGTATATTTTCTTTTGAAAAATGTCTATTCATGTCCTTTACTCAAGTTTTAATGGGATTTTTTTGTTGCTGTTGTTGTTTCTTGTATATTCTGAATATTTGTCCCTTGTTTGATAAATAGTTTGCAAGCAATTTTTCCCATTCAACAAGTTGTCCATTCACTCCATTTATTACTTATTTTGCTGTGCAGAAATTTTTTAGTGTGATTAAGTCTCATTTTTCTATTTTTGGTTTTTTTTTTTCATCTATGCTTTTGAGATCTTGGCCATAATATCTTTGCCTCAACCAATACCCAGAAGAGTTTTCTTTAGGTTTTCTTCTAGTATTTTTATAATTTCAGATCTTCCATTTAAGTCTTTACTCCATCTTGAGTTGATTTTAATATAGAGTGAGAAACAGTGGTCCAGTTTCATTCTGCATATGGCAATCCAATTTTCCCAACACCATTTATTTTCTGAAGAAGCTATCCTTTCTCAATGTATGTTCTTGTCAACTTTGTCAAAGATAAGTTGGCAATAAATGTGTGACTTTATTTCTGGGTTCTCTATTCTGGTCCATTGATCTATGTGCCTATTTTTATACCAGTACCATGTGGTTTGGTTTACTATAACCTTGTAATATAATTTGAAGTTAGACAATATGATGCTTCCAGCTTTGTTCTTTTTGCTTAGGATTGCTTTAGCTTTTGGGGATCTTTGTTGGTTCCATATGAATTTTACGGTTTTTTTTCCTAAAAAATTAAATGTACTTAATAACTATATAAGGGAAGGGCAAGGACCACATTGAGTACTTGTTGCATTGCAAGTGCTTGCAACACATCTCATCTCAATTCATATTCACTCTTCTTCCCATGAGGTAGATACAAACTTTTTCATTGTTTGGGTAAAAAAGCTTAAGCTCACAGAGTTTAAAATCACTTGCCCAAGGTCATTTAACTGGGCAGCAGGGAGGCTTGGTACTGAGCCTGGATCCTTCTGACTCCCATTCACTGTCCTTCTTGCTAGTTCCCTGATGGGAAACATCTAGAAACTTTTAGTGGTAGAGTCAAAAATGGTACTAAAAACATTCAATATGAAAATTCAAATAGGACAAAAAGCATGCAGAATATTTAAATGCAAGGACAGGAGGGCTTCAGCAATGTTTGGAAGTATTTTTTATATAGACATTCATTCTTTCATTCAAGAGTCATTTAGTGAGGGCCTAGTATGTGCCACAGCACTCCTAGCTGCCATGTATATGACAATGCATACAAAAGATCGAGATGAAATGCCTTTTTGTACCTTACATTCTAGAGAAGGAGCTAGACAATAGATAAGTGAACAAATATGCCCACAGGATGACTTCAGACAGATAGGGATGGATGAAAGTAACACAAAGCAGGGGAGACTTTAGGTGATGTAAGCAGAGAAGGGAAGGATTCTCTTGGGAGGTGACATTTGAACTGGGATCTGTTTGAAAAAGAAAGAATTAGCCATGCAGACATCTGGGTAAGAGAGGAGGACAGGAGAAGGGTGTTGCCAAGGGAAGGTCAAGGGCAAAGGCTTATGGCAGAAATGAGCTTTATGTGGTCAAGGAACACGAAGAATTTCAGGGCAGCTGGAACCTGGTAATAAATTTGCAATGCTTTGGTGAATTTAGTAGAATGTATTTGAGGTGTAAAGACTTTGCTTTCAGAAGAAAGAGGTTAGCAAGTGGGAGAGCTGGAAAAGCCCATAACCTAAGAGCAGAAGCCCTCAGAAGGAAGTAGCAGAAATCTAAATGGTGAAGGTGCTGCAGAGCTCTTAAGAGAAGCATGGCATTTGAATCCCTTTAGGGTCTCCTTCAGCTAATGGGACACCACATGACATTTAATTGGATTGCTCCTATAAGAGCTCAACGGCTTAAGACAGAAAACACTGCCAGCACATCAAATTTGCACTTTTCTGAAGCAGTATCAGTGTGGGAGGGAGGAGGAGGGGGGCCCAAACTCACTGGACAATGCAAAGCAAGCTTAGCTTCTTATCTGAAGATGCCTTTCCAGTGAATGAAAGAATGAGACAGAATAGAAATAAAGTGTGAAAATGGGGAAACCATCCCTGTGCACTTTCACATATTGTGGTTACATGGTGGAGTAATTCTACAGAAATAGTGAAAGATAAAATTTAAAAAGGAGTCCTGTGTCTTTGTGGTTAAGAATAAGGATTCTGGAGTCAGACAACTTGAGTTTCAAATCTCTTCTCACCTACTCATTGCAAAACCTTAGGCAAGTTACACGGTCTTGCTAAGATTCAATCTCCTCAACTACAAAATGGGGGTAAGAATAGTATTTAGCAACTTATAGTAATTTAGAATTGTTATGAGGATTCAGTGAAATTTTGCATGTAAAGTACTCAGCATACTGCCTGCCACATAGGGAATACTCAGACAATTTAATTGGTTGTTAACTATGTCAGGGAAAAGCTGTGAGTTTTTAGAAGCATGTGATTATGTGAGAAAGAAAAAAAATCATAAAGCAGTTCTGAGTGTTTTTGAGCAGGCGCATTACCTAATTGGAGCTAAGCATTGTTTGAATGAATCTAAGTCACTGCTCCTAGCTGGGCCTTACTTTCCTCACCTGCAAAACATTGGATGCAGAGCCAACGTAATAATCGCTCTCACTCATGTTGGTTCAGCCTTGACAATCTACCATTTGGGAAGTTAATCACAAATACTTGGCATTCAGTTGCGAACTGAAACTAGGGTGATCAACCATCTTAGTTTCCTTGATATTGAGGGATTTCTTGGGAAGTAGTACTGAAACTTTTCATGCTAAAACCAGAACAGTCTTGGGCAAACGGGGATGGTTGGTCACCCAACAAATGTGTTCTGAGAGGAGGACAAGGGAATGGGGAGGAAGTGCTATTTAAATGGTATCTGGGCCAGGTGCGGTGGCTCAGTCCTGTAATCCTAGCACTTTGGGAAGCCGAGGTGGGCAGATCACCTGAGGTCAGGAGTTTGAGACCAGCCTGGCCAACATGGCAAAACCCAGTCTCTACTAAAAATACAAAAATTAGCCAGGCATGGTGGTGCATGCCTCTCATCCCAGCTACTTGGGAGGCCAAGGCAGGAGAATTGCTTGAACCCAGGAGGCGGAGGTTGCAGTGAGCTGAGATCATGCCATTGTACTCCAGCCTGGGTGACACAGCAAGACTCTAAAAAAAAAAAAAAGTGGTATCTGACTGGCACTCTCCAGCATTTCCTGCCTGTTTTATTGTGAGGGTTATTTACTTGCTTTCTAATGTGGTCTTGGTCCCTTTATTCTGAGGATGACAGGAATGGAGTGGGGAATTTTCCCATTGTTGCCCACAATGCTGTTTCATAATGTATGAAGACACTTCCACACTGAAAGTTAAGAGAGCTGACTGATTGCATGCCCCTAAAGGAAAGGATATTTCTTTTCTTCCATTTCCAACAATATGTAAAACAAAATTCTAGGGTTTCCCCTAAGGTCTCCTGAGGTAACTTGGGGTTGGGACCAGGGTTCTTCTTCCCTGTATGATTTTCCTTTCCCATCAGAGTATGGTAAAAGTACTCCTTTTCTAACTGGAAAACTTCTACTCATCCCAACCCAAGAGATCCCTTCCTGGGAAGCCTTTTCTTGCACCCCCAGCTGTTGTTAAGGCTTCACCCCTCTGTCCCCCATGTTAACTTTTTGCATAATTTCACCCGATCCTCTAACCACATGTCTCTATTTATTCAATTCCCATTTCCCCTTATTCTCAGCATCCGTTGAAAGCCAACCACCCCAGTGCCTAGCCAGTGGTAGGGCTGGCATTGTAGTACATATGATATTTTAAAACCTAAGCCCAAAATGGCCTATGAGACTATGGAATGCAGCTTCAGTTCGTTAATACAGAAACCTTCCAACAACTTTCTTTTTCCTGGAAAACATGAAATACATTAATATAATTTCAAACCTTAGTTGAACTAGCTAGTCCCAGATTTTCTAGTGCCAAGGCATTAATGTGATTCAAAAGAATTAAAATCACAGCAAAATTAAATAATCTTGTTGAGTGGATGCTAAACCCGGCACGAGTTCCATGACATGTAGCATCGACATGTACAAGTACTAATTATCCACTAATTACAACCACAGTAGCATTGAGCTGGTTTTCCCTAAGAATGAAGGACTGACACAGAGCTGTGAATGGTTTAAAAATCCACTCTCAGGCTCAATGCACAGCCATTTGTTCAGAAGATACTGAATTTTTCAGAGTGCGAACAAAGAAGATGAAAATGTCTTTTAATCTGGGTGGCATGTTCATTTGACTAGTTGGTTTTTAAATGGGTACCTCTTGTGTACCTACCCATTACAAACCCTTAGTCCCAAAGAAAGACTGCTAAATGGCTGAAAATGTAGAAGAAACATTTTGCACCTATTCTCCTGGGACCATTGCTGAACTGCATGGGTGGAATGGAGATCAATCTTGGGATGAAAAGTAATGGTGAAAGGAAAGAAAGTCCCGGGACCCTGGACATGAGTGCCCAGCAGACCCACTGCCAGTTGCAGCTCTTAATTTTAAATTTGCCATGGGGTGTGCACATTTCAGGTCTGCCACCACTGTTCTTGTTTCTGAAACAGGAGGAAAATCTGAACAACCTTCTTCCACTTCTACCAAGGGAACCAGTAAAGCCAAGCAAATACTGTAATTACAGTATACCAGTTCAGGGCACAAATTTAGGAGTCGAACAGATCTAGCTACTTAGTGATGTAACACTCAACAAATGATATGTAGTTATATTTATCCTGTGGATAACTATGGAATAAACAAGCTAGATATAGATGCTTATGGCAGTCTTTGGTGCTTCCTGCCTCTCCCCACACCCCCATACTAGCCCCTATCCCATAGAGCCGGTATTTGCAGCTATCTGATTCTTCCTGACTCTTTCAATGATTCTCTCATTTGATTTACATTTCTTTTTCTTTTCTGAACAAGAAACTAAAATGCCACCTAGCTCATCTTTTCTATAAGACATGGATGATATATGCCTTTAGCACATTTCTTGCTAGATTCTTAGTAGAGTTTTGGAAGGATTAACTCATCAAACTCCAGCCAGGGAGTGTGATCCTACAGGGCGCTTTGTCTTATCCTCCATCTTGATATGTATCGTGGGGTGCTTGGTGGACCTACAGAAATCAGAGACTGACTATTTTTTGTAACCTCTCTTTTCCTTTTTTAAAATGTTTTTTGAGAAATGAAACATGGGCTGAGCCCTCTCTGATAGGTTATCAATCCCTACTTACACATGACAGATTCTTGTTTAAATAACATAATTTAGTTAAACAAAAAGTAAAAACAAAAGAGGAATAAAATACATATCAAAAAGAATCAAGATAAACTCATTAGCACTGGCAATCTGCCATTTCCCTCCATTAACCTCAATTAACCAAACAGACTGCAGACTCTGACATGACACCAAAAAACATGGCTTTTTATGAACCTGTAACATTTTATGTTAAAAACCCATAGCAATAATCATCGCAGCACATAATTCGTTCTGAATTTGGAAACTTTTCCCAAAAAGTCTTTACAAGCCATAATATAAATGCTAAATGAATATTCCCATATGTATAGACCATTACCTGCTTTGGATGGAAGCATGTGTGTGTGTGCACACGCGTACATACACATTTCATTATTATATATTTATTTGATTGTGTTTACTATATATTATATATTTAATTATTTATTATTATTATTATAGTTTATTTAGTCAATAGACCAATATTTATTGATGCCCTTCATATGCCAGGCCCTGTGCTAAGCACAAAAGATACAATGAGTAGCCTGGGCTCTTAAAAGGTATTCCTTTAATGAACATTAAGTGAATAAAAATATGGTTGCCCTGGAGAAGTCACAGTCTATTGACAGAAAAAAACATGTAAACAGAATACAAAATGGTATAAAGGAATTGTTTATGAAGTCCCCTGCTAAAGAGCAGAGGGAAAATACAAGGCTTCTTCCCTGACTTATTCAGCATTTCTTCCAAGGAGTTATAAAGCAGTTATAAATAATACTAATCTCTCCTTTGTTTCCACTTAAGTTTATATGGGAAAAATATCATATGTTACCCCTAGTGATGAAGAGATTATTTGCTCCTCCATAAAATAATTGCTGTGTTACAGAGGAAGAAACTGAGGTGCACATTTTTAAAGACTTGCCCAAAGTTGTATTGGTAAATGATTAAGCACAAATTGTATCATTCTTATGAGAGATGGTACTTCCTCCCTGAGAACAGAAAGACAGTGAAATGCCACTGATTCAGACTCTGAGGAGCACGTTGTAGCAGCTGAAAATGTGGATTTCTAGAATATTTCAGGAAACACATATTTACTGCTCTCAAATAAACACATAAGGTTAATGCTAATATTAGCATAGTGTTGCCAAACAAAAGACCTGCTTGGACAGATTCTAATGAATAGTTACATAGGCTGTTTGCAATTACAACATCAAAATGGTGGTTGTTAAAATTGAAGTGCTCTGCAAATGGTTTATCTTGAGTACAATAAATATTCCCCTGAGACCTCTTCATCCTGTTAATTTACCTAGGTAGTGCAAAGGTAAACTCCAACCAGCTTTGGAACTGTTATATATTCTCAGACAGGTGAAATGAAAACTAATGGGGTTTTACAATGTAAATATAAATTTAAGACAAAAGGGCAAGTTTGAATTAAGTGAAAATTAACTGGAAAATATGTGGGTTTTTTTAAAAAAAAGCATTATCAGTCTTCTGACAGCATTCAAAGCTTTCCATACGAGTGATATTTTTTCCAGGTTTTTAAAATTGAGTTTCAAAACATCACTCCTACCTAAGGGGTCTTGTATAAATTATAGAGCAAAGATGATCTTAAAGGATTGCATGCCTACAAAGCACACATGCATTTTCAAGACTTTGCACATTCTCTGAGTAATTTGCACTTTATCCATCCTCCTGATTTTATCTGTCAGATGAAAACATGTAGAAACAAATCATTTACAGTGACATGATTTCTAAGGGGAGTGCAGTGGCTGTTTTCACACCTCAAGTGTGTCAGGAATTACAGAACTTTAGAGTGTTCATCTGAACAAAAAGAAACTTCAACTTTTAGTTTCCTGGTTATTAAATTTTCAGACATTTTGGGGGTTGAACAATCCAGATACAATAAGGTTTTCCTTTTTAATATAGGCTAGAAATAGCACCCCAGGGCTATTAGGGTTTTTAATAAAAATAAAATATAATACACTGCTTTTTGTAGATACTGTGCCTGCTTTTTAAACAGCATCTGAGTACAAGCCACTGTGCCAAGCACCTCAGCTTTATTGTTTCTAACCGAGCCTCTGAGGAACCTAGTATTGTCCCCATTTCAGAGATGACAAGACTGCGATCAGAGAAGTTATGTAAGTTTCCTTGTCCATACAGCTAAAAAATAGCAGAGCCAGGACTTAGACCCAAGTTTACCGTTTTTGTTAAGCTTCTGTCTCGTTAATCTTAAATGGAGATTGGACATTTTGACTTTTCACAACTTCTCTGTCAGATTCTTATTAAACATTAAAGGCCCAGTACAAACACAGCTCATTCCTTTATGTTTTCTGATTGTACAATTCAGCATTAATCTTTCCTTCTTAGGGACACTCAAAGTTGTCTAGGGTGTGTGTTAGATCTTGCCTTGTACTGTAGTGATTCTTATATGTGTCTACCTCTCTCACTGGATTGTTAGTTTGATGAAGGAAAATATAGAGACTTATTGTTGTATCTTTTTATCTTTTGCCTTGTGTCCAAATGTGTTTTTGTGGGGAAGAGAAAGCATCTGTATGGAGGTGGTGTTCCACCTCTGCTAGGGAGATCTTGGTGGCCAGATGGGGCTAGGCAGTGTGTAACGCTATAGGCGGTAAAAGAAAGTATGCCTGAATGCAGAAGTGAAATTGTAGCTGATGGAAGCCAGTATAGTATGGGAAGGCAGGGCTTCCTGTCTTCCTTGCTAGGCATGCCTAGCATGCCTCAGATCTAAAGTCAAAACAGGCTGGGCAAGGTGACTCACACGTAGAATCCCAGCACTTTGGGAGGCTGAGGCCAGAGGCTCACCTTGAGGCCAGGAATTTGAGACCAGGAATTAGAGACCACATCTCTACCAAAAAAAAAAAAAAATTTTTTTAACTAGCTGGGGATGATGGTGCACCGGTAGTCTCAGCTACTTGGGAGGCTGAGTGAGGAGTATTGCCTGAGCCCAGGAATTTCAGCCTGTAGAGCTATGATCATGCCACTGCACTCAGCCTGGATGACAGAGCGAGACCCTGTCTTTAAATATTAATTAATTAATTAATAAGTAAAGTCAAAACAAACATGGTAACCACATAGTTTAGTCCTTTGCTGGAAGGATTCGGATCAGAACGTTGTGGAATTCAGATGATGACATACGGGAGGCTGTTCCTGGTGCCTCTATTTTATTGTCCTGTAAATTATTTTATTTCATAAAGTTGAGTGTTGTTCATGTTAGAAAAACTAGATATTTAGATAAGCCAATAAAAGTAATTACTATAACCCCATCATCCAGAAGATAACAACTAGATATACAGTCATTCTCACCCCTAGCTGAACATTAGAATCACCTAGGAGAATTCTTTAAAAATACCTATGCCTAGGCTCCACCACATACCAAATAATTCATAATCTCTGGGTGTGGGACCCTGACGTGAGTATTTTTTAAAACTCCCCAGGTGATTCCAGGGCACAGCCAAGTTTGAAAACCAACCATGGTCTAGAGCCAGTCATCTTAAAATTCCTGTGCATACATTATCTAGGTCTGGGGGGAGCCTACAAGTCTGCATTTCTAACCAGCTCCCAAGTAGCACTCATGATGCTAATGCATGCTATGCTTCAAGTAGCAAGAGTATTATATATTATCCTCTCAAAAAAATGTAACCATGCATGGATAAAGGGATTTTTTAAATCAGTAAGTCTTTGAACAGGTTACTTATACTGTAAGCCTCAATTTCCTTATCTGTCAGATGACAGAGTGAGTATTAAATGTTTTAGAACTTTTGCTGCCCAAATATTTAGGTGGGAAGGAAGCAAAGTTAAACCATTGAACACATATGATACTCCACACACTGTTCTTAGAGCTGATAATAAGAATAGTATTATTTGGGCATGTAGTATGTGCCAGGAACCATGCTAAGCATTTTTAATTATTTAATTTAGTAAGCTTCATTTTATAGATGAGGAAGCTAAGTAACCTGCCCAAGGACATGCAGCTGCCTAGAGGTAGAACTGGGATGGGAAATCAGGCAGTCTGATGCCAGAGCCTGAGTACTGCTAGCCAGTATACTACAATGCTTCCTGGACTAGATAATCTCTAGGATTCATCTATATAGTGGAATTTAGATTGCCAGTCACTTAGGCTTCTTTATTTTGATTATCCAATATTCAGAATTATGAAAAAAATCTTGGCAGAAAGGGAAAGGGGGAGAAGTGCGCCATATTGCACATCTAAGCATGCACATCAGTGGTATGTAAATAGCACCTAAAGATGGCATCATTTCATACGACATCCTTAGTATTGGTTCGCCATCTGTGGCTTAATTTCTCTGAAGAAATCCAATATGGCATTCAAGGTTTAACTTAATAGCCTAGAGACTTCTTCAGGTGCATAAGTGCATCCTCATCTAGGCAGAATCGGAAGGCAGAACCGGAGGGCTCTGTGCAGTTGGGAGGAAGAACCATGAAGACTGGTGATGAGGAGAGGAATTGATGGAAGAACAGATGGGAGTGGGAAGTATCCAGGTATTCTGGTAAAATTAGGCATGTACACAGCATCTCTGGTTCTAACTGTATGAATGTGTGCACATGCATGCATGCATGTGTGCATGAGGATGGCAAGACCACTGGGTACAGGAGAGGATTATACAGAGGAGGAGGACTTTGGAAGTATTGTCTATCATACAAGATCATCTTCACTACTCCCTCCCTTGTTGGCCCCACCTTACCCTTCACTCTGATGACAAGTGGACTTGACCCAAATGCTTCTAATCAATCTAGTGTAGCAGTAGAGTTAGGAAGCAGGGCTTGCCTGAACCTTAGAACTCTCCGTCCAGGCTGTGGGCAACTCCATCTGTCAACTAGGCCTGAAGGGAAGTTGCCAGGTCTGTGCCAGCCTCTACAGTTTTCCTCTGCAGGATGGCTTGTTCCCTTTGCTACCTGTAGCGGCTACAGAATCCTGAATCCAAAGGGAAAATATTTCTGGCAGAAAAATACTGCCTGGGATTTCCCTGCTGCTAAGGCAGAATTCAGAAATGCCATCCATTGGCTTGCAAAGAAAGAAATGAAATGTATCTGTTACAGAAAACCAACAGCCATAAACCATGTTTGACCCACAGCATCTTCATACTTTGGTTTAAAATGTACCCTCACTTTTACAGTTTTAAAGCTTCTATTAGCATCTCAGAAATCTCTATTTATGAAGAGAAGTCCAACTTGCAGGCTTAAGCTCCATGGGTGATTTCCCCTTCAACTTTTCTTAAGAAAATTTAATAGCAGCACCATGTGCTCAATTGAGCAATTCCAAGTCTTTACAAACCTGATGAAACAACCCTTACTTAAGAAGCATATCTCGTGGGGGTAGTTTCCAGAATCCTTTTTTTAACCCCCTTATAACTGATGTTGTAGCTCTTGTATATATATTTTTTTCTTTCTGGTATTTTTTCTTTTCAAATAAATATCATCCAGTCTGAAAATACATATTACTTAGTTGTTTATTTTTTAAGGAAATGTGATACAACTCTTCTCTCCAACTTTAATTTTTCCTCTACTCCTGAAAGTTGAATTTACTATGCATGCATTTCATTTCTCTCCAAATTAAGTGCACAGCCTGATGTCCATATGTAAATACTGCAGGGAATATTTTAATGCTTCTTAATGGGCTGAAGGGAAAGAGGTGGAAATAGGGGTTCTAGAAGTCAGAATCTTATAGAAGACATCATAAATGTGGGAATAACCAGTGTGTGTATTTTCCCTATTTAAAAGCACGTACTTAACTGATATTTTTACTTTCCTCCTTTTGAGAAATATGCATAGGATGTTTAATTTCATGTCAATTCTGTGGATAAATAAAAACTATAACACAGCATGTATTGTTCCCGATTGGGTGACCCACCCAGGTCCTGCACTGCCGGGCACAGAACCATTGAGAAGAAAGTGTGCTCAGGGAATAAAGCAGGGAAGGAAGAAGACTAATGATCTTCTTGTAATATTCCTTATATTACTGTACATTCTTCACACTGAAAAGATGCATTACGACTTTCCTAGATGAAGAAACTGAGGCCTAGAGAAGGAATATGATTTCCTGTGATCTTATGACCAGTTATTGACAGAGCCGATTCTGGTACCCAGGTCTCCTGGCCCCTAGACAGATGACTTTGCCAATGCTCCACATCTTCTGCTAGGGAGATAAAAAGGAAACACTGAAGAAGCTCCAGAGTTAGTTTTATTTTTGGTTTACGAGGTTTCTTTTTTTTTAAAGAAAGAGTCCTCTCTCTCTCACCCAGGCTGTAGTGCAGTGACGTAATCATAGCTCAGTGTAACCTCAAACTCCTGGGCTCAAGCCATCCTCCCACTTCAGCCTCCCAAGTAGCTGGAACTATAGGTGCCTGTCTAATTATTATTATTAAAGAGATAGGGTCTTACCATGTTACCCAGGCTGGTCTCATACTCCTGGCCTCAAGCAATCCTCCTGCCTTGGCCTCTCAAAGCATTGGGATTATAGGCATAAGACACCACACCTGGCCAAGAGTTGCTGGGTTTGAATTGTGGTATAGTCATAAATCACAAATTAACCTCGGGCAAGTTTATTTAACTGTTTCCTCCTACAAATGGAGTCAAAATAATTCCTATTTCTCTGAAATTTCAGAGTTAGAGGAAAAATTAAAGTTGTGGTAAAGACATGTATTAGGTCTGTTTTTTAAAAAAGCAACCATGTAATGTATATTCTTAGACTATATGATATCTGAACTATTGTGAGATAAAATGAGATTATGTATATGAACTGTTTAATATGGTGCCTGGCACATATTCAGTACTCAATAAATATTGGATACAACTATATTATTATTATCCTATTTTTCTCCCTAAATTAGGTAGAAATCAGGATGGGAGAGAACAATGGAATGGCCACAAATCCTTTGTGCATAAGATTAAAGATTAAAAATATTTAATCAGCTGCTGAAAAAAATTTTTAAAAGGCTATCAGGAATTGCTCTGATGACCTCCAAAAAACAGGAAAACATTAAAGTTATTCAAAGGATGGAGGAGAGCATTCAGACAGCTTTAACACCCATGCATTGGAACCATTATGGCCACTCTGTATAATAAAATAACATTGAGAGTTCTGGAAGACTACATCCACATCACCTTCATTCAGATAAATTTTGCTTGGTACCTACAATGTGCCAGTTTCTGTGTTAAACACCAGGAATACAACATGAATAAGATTTATTCACCACCCTTTTGCTTGTGCCCTATTAGGGAAGACTGACTGTTTGGAAAATAATTAGAGCAAAATGTTGTGTGCTGCAAAAGTAGTATTTTATTCAAAAAATTGAGGAGGCATTGATCTAAGTTGTGGGCTTAGTTGTGTTTAAAGACCCAAAGCCTTTGCCTTTTGCAGCTGTAGTCTAGATGGAGATTCAGATGATAAATGAATTAATTACATGCAACATGCCAGGTAAGGAAAGGTCCGAGAGGGCTTCACATAGAAAGTAACAACTCAACTGTCTGAAAGGATGGTGAAGGGTTTACCAGATAGCTGGGTACAGACATGAAGAAGTGAGAAGCATAGGGGATGGGATGTGAAGAACACAGAGGAAAGAATTAATTGTCGCTCACAAAGCTGATAATTCTAGTTGTATTTTTAAAATACCAAACCCAGCTTCCAACAGTCTTGGAGAATTATGCTGAAACAGCTAAGACCTGCATTTCTTCAAGTAGCACTTAAAGAAAATGTGAATGTCATGGCAGCAGATTACACAGCTGCGACCCAGGACACCCACAGGCAGAAAAATCAGGGAAAAGAAGTCATCCTTACAAGTATCACTTCTCTGACCATAACTACTTAGAACATTTTGAATTCTGTTTGGAACAGGCAGCCACATTTTCATGCTCAGGCTGTTTCTCAGAGAGAGGTCATTAGATTCTTCCATCTCCATAACAAAAAATCAAAAGCAGCCATTTTAAAAGTAATTGCACAGTTCCAGCCATATGTCTCCCCCACCTCCTTATTGAGTATCATTCACTTAGGACTGGCATACTTCCCCTCCTAAATTGGAGGTTTGCATATGTAATTATATCAAATGATGTGTTTGTTTATATCTCCAAACCACATTCAAAAGCTTGCCTATGATTTATCTTTGAAATTCAGTTTCATCATGTCAGTCCCCAATTTACTGTGCCCAGTGGGTCTACAGTTACATGTGTAATGCACACACCTCTCTCGTATAGATTACAGAATGGGGTTGCCTTCCCCAGTGATGAGTCAGAGTGGTTGAGGAGGGAGGTTGCTCTGTTTTGTCTTGTTCTCTATTCTCTGTATTTTTTCTTGTTCTCTATTGTCTTGTTGTCTTATTCTCTATTTGTTCCAAATGCATTCAGCTACAACAAAGTTATTATAAATGAAGAGGTAGCACTGGTCATTTTAACTAATTCCTCTGGGCCAGGAAGGATGGCTCACTGCATTCTTTTCTGACTGTAAAAAATGGCAGTGCTGCTGAGGTGCCGTAGCTCATCGTAAGTAGGTACTTTGAGCAGGAGGAAAGCTTTTACACCTTAGTGGTTTAGCTGACCCTGGCTTGATAAAAAGATTTATTTTATCAAGATTTTGATAACAAGATGTATTTATTTATTTTCAACTGCAAATAACTACCAGTTGTTGCTGTAACCGTAAAATTTCAATGTTTCCATGTTCCAGATTCCCATGGACAAGCCCAATCAGCTCTATTCATTTCAACCCTTCTTCATGCCTGAGGCCTAAACTAACTAACCTATTCATTCATTCATTCATTCATGTAAATATTTTTAAGAGCCTACCTTTTCCAAACATAAAAGACTTATTAAAACCTTAAAGTCAGGGTTTATGATTTTCTAGTGATTTTTCTAACAGCTTTATTAGCATATAATTTACATGCAATAAACTTCACCTATTCAAAGGATACAATTTAATTGTTTTCAGAATATTTACAGAATTATGCAACCATCACCATAGTCTGTAATTTTAGAACATTTTCATCCCTTCAAAAAGAAACCTTGTACCCATTAGCAGACACTCCCTATCCCCATACCACCTCATCTGATTTCCTACCGATTTCCACTTTTAAGTTACATTTTATTTCTTGCCTTTTATTTCATATCTATGAAAATAAAGGTGGTAGAAGCCAAGAGAACTGTAACCTGCAGAGGCTTTCCTGTGTCTTTTTACTCCAGGAACAGAAACTGCTTGTCTTCCTCACAGCTCCAAGTTCACTGTTGTGTATGTTGTTTCAGACTTTTCAGGAAGCCTGTCTCTCTCTGTTGGCTGATCAATATGTGAGAAACACATCCAGGTGAAGGTATGAAGGTGAAGGGGACCCTGCAGCTCTCCCAGTTACATGTAGGCATTGTGAAAACAAGTGAATGTCCTAAAGAATCGCCCTGAGAATCATCAGGAGAGGAAGCTGACCTCTTCCCTGTGCACAGCCACACCACAATGGGCTGTGGCCATGTGACCCTGGGCAAGGAGCACCTGTGATGATAGAGAGTCCCCAGGGGAACAGAGGGCAAAGGGGTCCTGGTCTTTTGTGGCCGGAAGAGCAGCAGGGTGAAGGCCAACAGCCCTTTGACTCATTTATAGCCTCAATATAACAAGCATGTCTCATTCCTATTGTGGACTCTAATAGAGGAGCCCACACACAGGAGAGGGGAGGCTCCATGAAAGCTTCCCCTGCCTTGTGAGAAGAAAGTTACTCCCCACTTTGAAAGAGCCTCTGTGACATATGACCTTGTCCAATAGAATGGCCCAAAAATGAAGGTGTCAGATATGTGTGTTAGACATCCACTGGGGTGACCACACAGACCCTCTGTCAATGTGACTCAGAGCGATGTGCTGCCCTTTATTCCTCTCCTCACTTCCCCACAGCAGGCACTCACAGGCTATCTCCATCACCCCACCCCACACCCACACCCACTGAGCCCAATGCTCTGATCTAGATGCTAGAGCAGCTCAGTGTATTTCATTCTTGGGCCTGTCTGGTCAGAAGAAGTAAGGTCAATAAAAAGTCACAGTGAGATTCAGTGAAAGATAGTGGAATTGGATAGTACTTTACTCTTAGAATCAGAGGACCGTCACAGGCCTCACCCCAAGAGATTCTGATACAGTAAATGAGGGATGGAGCAGGGAGACAAAAATCCATGTTTTTTACGTTTCCCTGGTGATTCCGATGGTCAGCTAAGGAAGGAAAGTTACTCATCCTCCTTGACCTTCTTGGTGGCAGTCTTTCCTCCTTAATCTCAGACAGTAGCTCTTTACATCCAAGAGTGCCTAGTATTGCTCATTCACACAGAGGAACTCTGCAAACTTTATGAGTACACATGTCACACAAGCCTTTCCCACCCACAAATACACCCTCCACACACAAAACAATACCCTCCTAAACAAACACATTCCAAGTCTGTAGCAAAACTGAAGAATAGAATACAGCAGATCTCTTCCAGAGCAACTTTTCATTAACTAAGCATTAATGAGTTCCTATTCTTTGTTCTAGGTGAGGAACTAGGTAGGCATCAGAGTTTCCGAATCAAAAGACAGGCCCATCCCATGAAGTAACTCTGTCAATTTGTCTAGCGAGGAAATACTGACATGTGAACAAAGGATTCTAGTATAAGGCAGAGATCAATAATGGAGAGCACTGGTTATATGAGGGCAGAGCAGATGGCCACCTAACCCTGTTAAACAGGGTCAGCAAAGGCTAACATCTGAGCTAAACTTAAAAAATCTAGCTCAGTGTAGTAACGTACAGCTTGGGTGAATATAGTTAATAATAGTGTATTGTACATTTCAAAATTGCTAATAAATTTCAAATGTCCTCACCACAAAAAAATGATAAGTATTGTAGGTGATGGATATGTTAATTCACTTGATTTAATTATTTCACATGGTATGCTTGAATCATAAGCTCATTTTTTACTATATATATATATACCATGTGTATATATATATATACCTACAACTTGTCAGTTTACAATGAAAAAGATAAAGAAAAAACTCTGTGGGGCACATTCCAGAATGAATTCATGGAAAGTTAGATCATTTATACACTGGAAACACAGGTTTTCCTCCTGTGGGCAGTGTGGAGGTGGAGAGGAGGGGCTAGCTTGTAAACAGCCATGTTACTCTGAGTGGGATATTATTCTGAAGGCCGTGGGGAGCCATTTAATTTCCTGTGGTATCTTCTTGGCTTTCTCTAAAATCTGTGTGCTCCCACCCACCACTTCTGTATAAGACAGAAGCTTGAGGTCAAGGGCTCTTTCACAGCCCCTGGAAATACCTTTCCACATTGCACCTACCTCACCAGCACTGGGATCACGCTTTTCATATGATTTTTCTCTGTTCCTCCATTGTCCATCAGCATATACCAGGAAAACAGCCCACACCATATTCTCTTTAGGGACATTGTGGAATCAAGAAATGGAACATAAATTTGACCTCCTAATTGCCATTTGACAAAAGGAATAATAAAACCTGCAAAAGACAAATTGGTGCAATAAGCTGAGAGGCCTTGAAGGTTTTGTCTTCTCATTTTCTTTTCTTTGTCTTTATACTCAAAGGGGTGATTCACTTATGAGAAACACCATTGGAAGAAAAGGTAGATATTTTTCATGTGGAACTTGTTTTGTATAAAGATTCAAACACATAAAACAAAATGATAAAATTACAGTATGAAATCTTTTGTGTGTAAGTTATTAAATATGAAATAATTATGTGTACAAGTAGCGATTACAACATTCTTTGTCAAGTATAACAAAAATTATATGTGCATATAAAAGTTAAGTAAGAAAGTACTGTTTCATAGTCTGAATCTAATCAGCATAAACAACCTATTAATTGTTCAGGAACTCTAAAATCTTTAATGAGGTTTCTACTGTAGAATTTCAGTCATATGCAAATGAATCATTGGAATTCTTCATTATCTTAAAAACAGAAGTTTTTTTAGTGATTTTTTACATCCCCAAAGTGGGATGTACCCCAACTGTGGTAGACAGGCTGAAACAATTTTTCAGGTTTTCTTTGTAAATTTTACTTTCTTTTAAGAATAATTCTTGAGACCATTCTGATTGTCATGGGGGATTGGAAAGTTACAGTTCCATACCACTTTTGCTTTTCCTTTAACTGGACTTGTTTCCCCACACTCAGTAAGCTGTTTGCCCCAGATATTTAAAAGTCAAATATTCTCATTTCTACACAGGTCTGATTACAACAACTTCAAGGAAATTGGATCGAGAACAGCAGGCAGAACATTTTCTGGAGGTAAGCGCATAGAGGGAACTGAAATTCATTAAAACTGACTTTCACTAAACTTCTTTAACCTTCAACATAAACTACACCTTCAATATATTTGAACAGTGGATATCAAAGTGAAGATATTTCTCTTGGGCTGCTATGTTCTGAATTTAGGGATTTCTAGTGTGTTCTTCCCAACATGCTCCTGTGTGCTGAGCCAGGGTGGTAGGGCAGCCTTTGCCTTTTGCTGAAGGCAATGGTGTATCACCGTCTCTGCCTTGACTTCAGGCCCTCGTGTCAATAATCAGAAAAGAAAGTTCAGGAGCAGAGCCCTGTGAGCCACGGGGGCCACAGACGTAAAAAGAGAAAGAGCGTCAGTGTACCATTTATGAGGAAGCTTTGCTTTCCTCTTTTCTTTTCGTGGGGAGAGAGTTGAGAAAAAGAAAGCTGCTGGTTGAGTCACTGCCAGAGATGACTATTGCTGAAACCATAAAATGGACTCCTTTAATTCATTAAGACAGAAACTACAGCAAAATCAACTCTAAAAGTGTTATTTCTGGAGAGAGAATAAAAAGCTATGAGATGAGAAAATAAATATGAAAGAGCTTTGCAGCACATTCTTTCTTTAAGCATCGAGTGTCTTTATTGGGAAGCTTGAAGCCTGGGTAGTTTGTATGACACCGTGATTTAATTGTGACTGTGTGATATGAAACAGATGACGATGCTTAGAACTCAAGGCTCTGTTAAGGTTTTATAATGTGTCTACGCTTCTAAAATAATCTTTTAGTTCCTAAGAATCACTTTCTGGAATCCACTACCCCTCCTAACACATACACAAACACACATACACACACACACACGTGCACATGCACACAAACACACCTTTCAAATCTGATGATAGAATCTCTTCTGGTCTACTCCTTTAAATTAGCTCACCAGTCATGATTTATTTAAAGAACACCGGACTAGGAATCAGGCTACCTGGGTCTTGAAGCTGCCCTGCTGTGAATAGCTTGAAGCTATTTAATTGCCTTGAACCTTAGTTTCCCCTACTATGAAATTTGGCAAACAATTACAATCCTTTATACCTCAAAAGATCACTCTTAGGATCAAACCTTCTGTTTTGTATCAACGTATTTTTAAAACTCTTAAAGCATTGGATATAATAAAGGATTATTATTATTATTATCATCATCATACAATACTATGATAATCCTTTTAAAACATTACTATCATCTCATAAAGATAAAAGGCTCCAGGCTGCCAAAAAAAATAATTATAGTAATTCTTTTTTCAAAATCCTTTTAACAGGATGCAGTACCTACCTGGTCCAGAACTTAAATACATTTGCCAGAAAAATAAGACCTTATATTATATTCATGGGCTTCTTTCCTTTCCAGAAGACAGTCCAGGACACCTGGAAAGGCTGTGTTCTTAGATAGTTGAACCCATTACTTCCCAGAAGGAAGCAGGAAGGGTGTCTCATTATCTGAGGAGTCTGGCTGAGATCACTTATGGCCCAGTCCCTTGCAAGGTCGTCTCTGTCATCAGGAGGTTTGTGGTGCAGTGTGACTGTCACAGGACGGATCTATAGCAGAGCAAAGAGGAAGAGTATTTTCCAAGCATTTGAATTCACTCCCCAAAGAACCCTGAATGGATTCACATCCTCTACAGACTTACATAAATACTGAGTAATGTTTTAGTACCTTGGACTAACACAGATTGGGGTCTGGAATATCATTGATTAGTACAAGTTGAGTCTCCACTTATCCAAAATGCTTGGGAAGGGGTGGGAAGTATGAAGAGAAGTTAATAAATTAGTACAAACATATGGTGTGATACAAGACATAAGACTCAGTATTAAATAGATCATTAGGGTGACTAGAGTTTATAATAATGTATTGCATATTTCAAAATAGCTAGAAGAGAAGAATTAGAATGGTTCTAGCATAAAGAAGTAACAAATGTTTAAGATGATAGATAACCTAAGTACACTGATTTGACCTTTACAAGTACATGAATGTATTAAATTATCACATGTACCTTGAAACTATGTACATCTATTATGCATTGTTATAAAAAAATTTTTTAAATGCTTGGGATTCGAAATGTTTAGTATTTTGGAATATTTTCGGTATTCTTAGTTGAGCATCCCTAATTCAAAAATTCAAAATTCAAAATGTTCCATTCAACATTTCCTTCGAGCATCATGTTGGCACTCAAGAAGTTTCAGATTTTTGAGCATTTTGGAATTTGGGTTTTCACATTAGGGATATTCAACTTGTATCTGGTATCATCTGCAGAGGGAAGTAGGACAGCATAGCAATTAACAACTTTATAGGGTTGTTGGGAGATTAAACTATAAAATACATGTAAAACATCCAGTCCAGTGGTGCTAAGTAGGTGCTTAGTAAAGTGTGGTTATCATTGTTGATTGTTGTGGTTTTAAGTATTATCACATGATGACATAATATCAGAAGCTTTCTAAAGATTTAACAGCACCTCCCCACTCCAGGAAAGGTAGAAGCTCCAGACCACTGAAATGCAGAAGGAGCCCCAGGTAGCAAGCCCTGGACTCACCTGGTGTACCAGGGACTGCCCTAAGTCCTGGGGACACAAAGTGAGCAGGAAGGATGGGGAAGCACATGGAAATGAATAAATGCTGTAACTTCAGAAAGAAGCTCTCTGAAGCCACTAAAAGAAAGTTCCATGATAGTGCCTGAAAGCGGGGGGTGACAGGCAACATTCAGTAGACTAGTAGACTTGTTTGACATGGCATTTGATGACATGATGCCAAGACTCTGTTCAAGAAATAGAATCAAGACCACTGTGATGAAGAGTGTAAAGGCAGAGTGGGGATGGGAGCGGAGGTTATAGGAAAGCAGATTGGAAAGGCAAACAGAGGGGACTATGGTAAGGATTTTGAATTTTTCCTGAGTGCAGTGGAAAGCCTTTAAGCAGGGGTGACATGATGTGACTGCCATCATAAGTGATGGCGGGCTGCCCTGCTGGTCAGAGACCGGCTTGGGGTGGGGGCTGAGGGTGACCAGTGGCAGCAGGGAAATGTGGAAAGCTTCTATAGAGATCCAGGTGAGAGATGAGGGTGGTTTGAATGAGGGTAAGGGCAGTGGATCAAGTAGGTCTAACACAAATCCTATCATGATTTCAGCTAGCAACAGCACACTGGCTTTTCTGTGATCTTTGGAGTGAAGATTTTTAAACCACAGGTAATCAGAATCATACCAACTTGCCCTCCAGCAACCTCGTTGCCCTATCCAGCTTCCAAGCTCGCCACACACACCATTTCATTTAATAAATCTGCTAAGGCTTTCAGAAACCAGTTCAATATCAATCTCTCTCTCCCTTTGTCCTCTCTCTCTTTTTCTCTCTCTTATGCACACTGTCTCACTCTCACTCCCTAAAATTGTACAATTTTGGCCACATTTTTTCTTCTATATGACATTGCTGCAGGAGTTTGAACATTTCTTTTTTTTCCCTAAATAGACCATAGAAGGAACATTACTTTAACTTAGTCCTGCAGAAAATAAGTGAAATGGTATCATTGAGAATGTAGAATAGAGTTGTCTGTTATACACAAAATTTTGAAACTGCTGATATATTTTGTGACTTGTAAGGCCTAGGTGTGGGTAATTAACCTCCTGGAGAGTGTTTAATTGCCGAGATAACCTTATGCTCCTCTTAAACTCATATTAACCTTCTGGCTCTATTTCATATCTGTCCTTCCCAATAAAATAAAATTGACTCTTCTTGAAAGGACCCATTTAGAAGCTGACCTGGCAGGTACACTGCTGAATAGATAACCAGGAGGACATTAATGATTTCTTGGTAGTTTGCTATCCCCATGGTAGAAAGCACTTTAGTTGTATACTGCTGACACTCCATCTATACATTGGTTTAAGATATTTAGCTTGATGGTGTATGGGCTGCAAGGGTTTTTCAGTCTGTAGAGCATTTGCCTAAAATCTGTTACTATAAAAGGAGGGTTGTCATTATCAGAATCCAAAGACTTGCTAAAGCAACAAAAGCAGCAAAGAACTGTAGGCAAATTCACAAGTACAGCTTATACTTCTTCAGTGAATTCTAAGTGTTAACTCTTGCCTGGTTTGGAAGTCTGTTATGTGAAAATATTGGCCTGATCTTCTCTTCCTACCATAAAATGCAAAAATGTAGAATTTTTAGCTCATTTGTTCAAAGTCGTATACCTTCCTTGATACCCAGTTATGATTATAGTGGAGATAGAAGACTAATTCCAGCATACAGATGCCAAGAGTTGATAATGGACACGTAAATGAAACAGTGAATTAACGTTTTAGTTTTTTGGTTGTGACTTTAGCTCTGATTACTTCATTATCAGAGAAGGCAGCTGTGAAACAGGAAATAAATGCACTAACTCTGTCTTATTATATAATCACTTGTATGGATTGTGTTTTTTTGTTGTTTTGGGTGGGTGTTTTTGGTTTTCTTTCCTTGTTTTTTACCTATGAGATGTTTAAGCTCCCTGTGGGCATGCAACTTGATTTATCAAGACAGTGAATTAAGGTAGTGTGGGAAAGCTCAGATGTTAAATTCAGGTGTGCCTGTGATTGTATTTTGGTACTGTTCACAGAGCTTAGATGGGCTATTGAACCTCTCTGGATCCCCTTTCTCTCATCTGTGAAGTGGGGATAACAATTCCTACCATAGGGTTGGTATAAAGAGTAGATTAAATGACAGGTGAAGCATGCTCAGGACGCTGTCTGTTAGACAGTACATGTTCCATGAATGGTAGCCATGGTCAGCATGGAATGTCTTAGTCATCTCTGTATACAAGCATCTGTTTGGCACTCAGGAAACAAGGGACGCTTAATAAGTGTGTGAATGAATGCTTACATTAAGAGACGTTATTTCACTCCTCAATGAGACCTTGAAGGGGAGAGAATTAACATGCAAGACAGAGCATGGATGTAGAGACAGGAAGAAGGCATGCTCGGCTTCTTTTCGTCTGCATGAGCGTTGCCACGTTAAATTAACTTTGATCCTCCTTTTCTTCATCTGGAAAATGGGGTTAATAAACTTGCCTCACAGATAAACTGCATGGAAGGCCTGGCACACAGAGATGCTGGTAACCTATTGCTTGCCCTTTCCCTCTTTTCCATCTACTTCCTCCTCCCCTTGTCCTCCACAAACACACTGCCAGTTCCCTTTCTTTTCCTGGACTGGCTCCAGCAGTTTGAAAAGCTTATAGCACTTCGATTATTCTTGAAAGATACATCTACTTAAATAATCCTATAGTCCTGGCTTAATTATGTGTGAATCTTTATCTTGCTTGCTGAAGAGTATTATTTGCCTCCCTTTTGATCTTGAAATGCTTCTGTGTTCAGGGCTGGATGGTTCTGATAAAAGTCTCCCAAAGAGAACACAGAGAGTGTTTTTTATTTGCAAATCAAAAAAAAATTAAAAAGAAGATGACAAGGCCCAGTAACCAGTGTAAAGACAGTGGATGAGCAATTATGTCATATGTATGCATAGAATTTGGAACAGCCCAGAGAATGTGGTTAAATGTAATAGTGAAGTCAGTATGAATAACAGATTACAGAGGAATAGACTAGATCCATAGGAATGTATATTATTTAGTATCTGTCTTTTTTAACAAACTCATCCATTGTCCTCTGTAACATACAACTCATGTGAATAATTTTTCTTCCTGTCTGAAGTTCTCATCCCTTTTTATAGTTTTATTTTCTGAGGGAAAAAAATATTGTTCTTTATTAAGTTTTTATAACATTTTCTCTTGCCTTAGGATGCAAATTGATTTCTTTGCTGAGAGCACACCCTTAACAGCTTCTTCCTTTGGTAAAGCATCTGCTAAGCATCTGCTTTTAAAATGATGATAATTTCTGGTAGAGAAGAACTGCAGGCTCATTTCAACCCATTAAACAGTCCACAGTTTCATAATTTAACTTCAAGAAAAATGGAAGTTTCTCTTCTTAGGCATCTCTTTCTGCCACCTTCAGAGAACTCTACAGGAAGTATCCATGGGCCCTCAAAAAATGGCATGTCTGTGCATAAAAATAGCAGCATGGAGCAGGCATCAGCGTCAGAAGGAGAGTTGATGACACCTTCTGTGCTCCAGAGCTCCCAGGAGGCACCACACACAATTAATGCCCTGTGACACAGCTGCTGACCTCTTTCCACTCATTCCTTCCATTCTCTCATTTGTTCACATTCTTATTCTTATTGTATCAACCTCGATAGTTAATAGATATGCACTCTTTCTGTTTTTACTTCCTTTCATAAAAGCTTTATCGAATGACTGTTCAAGGCCTGGCATTGGGCCAAGTACTAAGGTTTTCTTCTTAGAATTAGTGTGGTTTTCCCACTGGACATTTTTTCCTTTGACTTTCACAGTAAGGTCTCCTAGAGTACTAAACTGCAGATCAAGTAGGGAGCTACTTTCATTAGCTGCTGTCTTGGCATCAAGAAACTGTTATTAATTCGTATATTCCTAACTGTGCTCTCACGTTATATAGATACAGAAACTGAGACCTAGAAAAGAGGAGAGTGATCCAAGGTCATACAACTACTTCATGGCAGTACCCAGGATAGGTCTTTCTCTCTTTATGGAACAAATATGGCTACCAATATCCATCAGCTTATTGAAATGTGGCAAATTGAATCATCTTTTCTCGCTCTCATTTTGTAATAATGGATTGACCCAGGTGTCAAGTTAACCCAGCCTCAAGGATCAGTCTCTATGCATCTGAAGAGCAGGTTTTCTCTCATACTCTGGTTGTCCATCCACCACCCCCTCAGCTAATCCTCAGAGCCCGATACTCTGGCCTGCCCCATCCACCCAGCTCTGGACAAGGCTCACTCTGCTGCTGGGCTGTGCCCTGAGCTCCAAGACCAAGCCCATCTGAGAGGATGCTGTGTCCACATGGTGGGTACCAGCTTGGACTCAGCAGAGGAGTAACTGCAAAGCACGTATTATGGGCTGAATTGTGCACCACCTCCCACCACCAAAATCCATGTGTTAAAATCCTAACCTCCAGTAACTCAGAATGTGACTGGATTTGGAAAGAAGAGTCTTTAAAGAGGTCATTAAATGAAAATGAGGTCACTGGGAAGAGCCCTAATCCAATATGGCTGACTAATGTCCTTATAAGAAGAGGAAATTTGGACACAGATATGTACAGAGGGAAGGCCATTTGAAGAGAGAGGGAAAAGACAGCTGTCTGTACAAGCCAAGGAGAGAGGTGTTGTAAGAAACCAAGCCCTGTCATTACCTTCTCAGATTCCTAGCCTCCAGAACTGTGAAAAAACAAATTTCTGTCATTTCAGGCACTTTAGTCTATGTTCCTCGGTTATGCAGCCCTAGCAGACCAGTAAGCAGCCAGATTTCATCAACTGGCCTGTCCCTGCCCCTCCTCACACCACCACCTCACAAGGCTACACAAATGCATCAGACTTTATTAGGGACTGCAGCAACTACAATACAGTAGAAAAACCTCTGTCTAAATTTGAGGGTTCCCGTGCTTCATGCTCCATATTCCAAGGGAGAATTATCCTCCAAGTTAAAACTCTCCACAGAAGGCCCTCTTGTGGCATACATGGGTTCCTAACTCCTTCCCTGCCTTCAAGTTTCTAGCTTCCTGAGTGCCTCCTTCCTCCATTCTTCTCAGTGAGTGTTGCCAGCGTACCTTTCTCAGAAATCCCAGTGTTTTACCCACAAGAATGCTTCTTGCCCAGGAACAAACCCCTCCTAAGCAGATTTTTTAAAATTCATGTCATTCTTAAATAATCCCCCCAAAAGGTTTTAGTAGGCTAGTTAGGGATGGCCATTGACATTCCAAGTCTAGCTAAACAAGGAGTGGTGATGGTGGTGGTGTGATGATGGTGGTGATGGTGGTGGTGTGATGGTGGTGGTGATGATGGTAGTGTGATGGTGTTGGTGATGGTGTTGGTGGTGGTGGTGGTGATGGTGGTGGTGGTGATGGTGGTAGTGGTGGTGGTGGTGATGGTGGTGGTGTGATGGTGGTGTGATGGTGGTGGTGGTGTGATAGTGGTGTGATGGTGGTGGTGATGGTGGTGGTGTGATAGTGGTGTTGGTGGTGGTGTGATGGTGTGATGGTGGTGGTGTGATGGTGGTGGTGGTGGTGATGGTGGTGGTGTGATGTGGTGGTGTGATGTGGTGGTGGTGGTGTGATGGTGGTGTGTGATGGTGGTTGGTGGTGTGATGGTGGTGTGATGGTGTAGTGATCGTGGTGGTGTGATGGTGGTGTGATCGTGGTGGTGGTGGTGGTGGTGTGATGGTGTGATGGTGGTGGGTGATGGTGCTGTGATGGTGTGATGGTGGTGGTGATGGTGGTGGTGTGATGGTGTTGGTGTTGGTGGTGGTGTGATGGTGGTGGTGATGGTGGTGGTGTGATGGTGGTAGTGATGGTGGTGGTGTGATGGTGGTGGTGGTGGTGTGATGGTGGTGGTGATGGTGGTGGTTTGATGGTGGTGGTGTGATGGTGGTGATTGTGGTGTGGTGGTTGTGATGGTGATGGTAGTGGCAGTGATGGTGATGGTGGTGGTGGTGGTGGAGGAGATGACAGTTGTGACTATAGTGGTGGCAGTGGTGATGATGGAGATGAGGGTGGTAGTGACGACTGTGATGGTGGAGATGGTGTTAATGGTGGTGGTGGTAGTAATGGTGGCATGCTTATGAGATGGGAGTGAGGTTTACTATTCCTAATTTTACAGAACTGTCCAGGTTAGTATGGGCCCTTAAGAATAATCCTTTCTGAGATCTTCCCACCAGTATAAATTGCAGATGTACCACTTAAATTTCCCTATTATCTGAAGAGTAAATATTGAATCTGATGCAGAAAAACAAACCTTTCAGAGCAAATATTAATTCTCAGAGCTAGTACATTCAAAACAGAGATTACAAGATGCCATGGGTCTGGGTAGGTCAGTAATTCAGAGAAGCAGCATGTGTGGGAGCGGTGGGGATGTGGACGGGGAGGAACAGTGGATTCTACCTGCCCCTTCTCCTAAAAAGGCACTGCCAGCAGCAGGTGTGGAAGCAGGTAGGCCCAGTATCAGCAGGAAGTCTTAATTTGTTTCCCAAAAAAAAAATCACATTTACATTCCACATCTCTCTATATTACATGTTGACAACTCCATCATTTTTTTTAAAACACTGTCAGCCAACGAACCCCTGTTTTGCAACAGTTGATAGAAAGGAAGACTTCTTACTTGCCTCATAATTTGTAATCCTCTCAGAATGAAGTAAGTAATTCACATATTTTGTGGGATGTAATTAGTTTCTTATCTTCCCTTCACCTCATGTCTTTAAAAATGTACCCATCTTTTAAAATGTGCATATAAAAATAAATAAGAAATGAGCCTATGGCTGAGTCTTAAGAGACTCTGTTGACATTGGAAATTACCACATATGAAGACTTGGTTGGGATCTCAGCTGAACATTGTCCGCACAGGCATTTCTATCTGAGCCAAGGAACGGAAGGGTGCTGTGGATCTTTGGGGTACCTCAAGTTGTGTGAGCATGTCATCTGGCAGTAGCTCTTCACTTTTTAACTTTGCTTTTCTGTGCTCCTGGTTGACCTACTCATTAATAAGCTGCAGGCAAACACTTATATATATTGGGAGAGTTGTCTGGAATAAGTCTTTGATTCCATAAATAGCCACCTCTAATTTACCTGTTTGTGAAAGGTTGTGTTTATTTTGTTTCTCCTTAAACCTGAACACTAATTAGTAGAGCAGCGGTAGATGAAACCAGTTCACTTGGATCTAGGGAGGTCCTTCCACCCAGTGGCTCCGCCTGGCAATGGAAATGAGCCAGTTTTGACTGCTCTGCTCACCCATGGTGCACAGGCAGATAATTGCTTTGGGCAGGTCACAGCTTGTTGAGCTGTGCACACAGGCCTTAGGGAGCTGAGACTCTGCTTTGTTTTCACTTGTGGATGGGAACGTGGTGCTATGTTGCTGCTTCCTTTTAGTCTTCTGAGCCAAGCAGCTGTAATAGCCTCAACCTCTGGCTGAGTTCTGGGGGTTGGTGGGAGGGAGCCTATTACCCTGAAGGGTTGGTATTGCACAACTGGCTTCTACCTTCTTGGAGAAGAGGTTAGGAGTTTCCTGCATGGCTCTGAACAATCATGAGAACTCCTGACTGTGAATCCCCCATCCTAGGAGCCCAGACTGGCTTCTTCCCCGTAGTGCAATGATGGTAAATTGACTCTCTGCCCTTTACTTCCATAGCTCCTTTTCCTTCTTTCCTTTGTGTTGCTTTCCTAGTTTATTTTATGACACACACTCTCTGAGCTACAGAATGATCTGTCCAGTCTAATTTTATCGAGGCCTTCAGAAACCACTGAAGCTCATGCCTAATGTCAGATGTGTTTGACCCAGTTGAGGACTTCATATCTGTCTGTGGGAAAATTTAAAATGTAATGACAGCAAGTTTAAAATATGGAATTCAACTCAAGTGCTTCTATTAATAATCAGGAAAAACTACTTTGGCATGCTTCCTGCCTGCAGCAGACAGCTTTGTTCAAATGAGCTGTTGTTTCAAGACCTTTCAAGTGCCTTGCTTTTGTGGCAAATTGGGAGCTACCAACCTCATCTATTTTGTGGCAATACTGGTTTACTGAAATACCAAGAGAGTTGTCAGCGTAAGGATGTAGAACATTGTCATGAAAATAAGTCAGGAGAGCCCTGCACGTCAGAGCCAAGGAAAATAGTTTAGAATCTTGGAACAATACCAGCCTTCAAAATGGGGAAAACCTATAATAAGTTTGGTTGTTTAATTTTTGGGAGTGTAGAACTGTAAGGATGTTACACAATTATTCAATCAAACAGTGAAAAAAATCTCTTATAAGACACTGTCCTAATTGTGATCATCCCTTTACATTTATATCAAACTAATATATTATAAATGTAGATAGAGATGGTTAATGCACAAGATATGGAGACAGACATAGTAACTCACTAGCTGTGTGACCTACAGCCAAATTACTTAATCTAAACCTCCGTCTCTTTACCTATAAAATTGGGACAATAATAATACCTTTATAAGATTTGGTGAGGATATTTACACTGCACATGCATTGCACATGTTAAGTGTTTAATATGTTAGCTATTATAATTAGAAGCTTTAAAATTTTCCCTGTGATTCCTGAAGCAGTCATCTTGTGACAAAATTCAGAACACTTAAGGCCTTGTATTATGCATTGTATTTATAGCTTGGTTCATAGTTGTTGAATATACTTATGATACTTTAATAAGATAGCATCTATGAATGAGCCTACAGAAGTTCCTGGCACATGGTATGCACTCAAAAATATATTAATTTTTTTGGCCCTTTTCTGAAGAAAATCCCAAAAGCTTAGAGATTTATCAGCTTCCGCTGGCCACCATCCACTTAAATAAGCTGTAAACATGTAAGTTGCAATAGCTTATTCTCCTAAGACAGGCTAATGAGTCAACCGTGGGTCTGGCATGGCTATGATGAAGGTCATTAGATCTCTACTATTGGATCCACAGTCTTTCCCTCTGGCTTTCTAAACCAGTATCCAATAGGTAGACCGAGGCACCCAAGCTCCAATAATAGAGCAGTAGCATTTCCAAGCATCCAGGAGCTCCATAAATTAGTCTTACGACTAGGATGGGACAAATAACTAATTTCCCCCGGCCAGCCATGTTCAGGCCTGTCCAGCCTTATCACTAACCCCTAAGCTTTCTCCCGGAATCATAACCCCTTTAAGGTCTTAAATTGTGTTTATTTGTTAATGCAGTCAATGTGTTTAACATTTAGACATCTAATGGGAATTTTTTTATGTTTCATTCAAATGTCAAAACCTCAATCGTGTAGAAATACGAAACTGGATGTGACTGTTTAGGAGATGTTCGATGGAGGTAGCCCACAGCATGGTTAATATTCAGCAGCAGATATCATCATTTGAAAATCATTGCCCTGGGTAGTTTCAAACTCCGCCTCTCCTTTAGGCTATTCTTAGCTTCATTAGCAAGCTGCAAGATGAGCTCCACTGAGATTTCTAATCCTCTGTCTTCCTGGCCCTACCTTTAGTGAAGGTCACCCGTAGGAGGAAGGGTCAGATTACTCCGCTTTGTACCCCAGCACCTAAAACAATGCCAGGGATGTAATAGGCACTTGATGAATGTTGGCTGAGTGGAAGTTTAGGGCTCCAGGTAATCCACAACCCAGGTAATCCATGCTTTGCAGGATATAGTGATATGTACTGTCCAGAGATCCACAAAATATACACTAAGCACACAGAGGAGGCACCTAGGTGGGAAGTTTGAGGAGCCCTTGGGGTGCCAGCTGATATGCAGAACAGGGAAGGGCTTTCTCCCACCGCATCCCAGTCTGTACTGAGGTGGCTTGCCAACCCCAGCTCCTGTTTGGAGCCTAAAAGCAGTTCCTAAATCACATTACCTCCGATCATCCTTGGGAGATCATAAATACATAATTCAGAAGAAAGATCTTAGATTTTTCATGATGTACCCATTATAATTCCTGGCATGCCACTCTAGAGTTTTAAAGATGCTGATAAGTCTTGAAATTAGATGTAGGGCTAAGCTCCAGGCTAACGTATACCTTGCTGTTATGTAATTGAAATAAAATCTACTTTTAGGTGACTACTTTCAAATAAAATAGAAAAATGTCAATATTTTAAAAAATGCATAAGTACTCATTAGTAGCCCTCTTAAGAAGCTTCACAAAGACAAAGCACTTTAAACTAAGCAACCAGTACTACAAAGTAGACTGAGCGATCCAGTGTTCTGACTTTCCCCATATTGAGAGAGGCTTAATTTGTTCTTGCTTTGTTTTTGAATTGAAGGCTATGAAAGCAAATTTTGATCCCATAGGATACCAAATGACTGAGATTTTCTCTTCATGGTATATGGCATTCTTCTTGTCACTGCAAATAACTTTGGCAAAGTCTCAACTTTGCATGTCCCATCTTTGCCCTCCAAGGCCTAAGAACCTCTTCTCATTAGGTGAGAAAGTCAGAAAGGCTGCAGTCAAATTTAAAGCAATATTACAGCCTTGTTGGCAGGGAGACATAACCGCAGCAGACAGACTCTTGAGGTATGCAGGAATTAGAGATGCGCTTGTTTGGTATCAGCCAGAACAGAATGGGATTTTTTATTTAGCATTTTTTACAACAGAAGGTGTTGTTCTGTCTCTATCAGCAGTAGCCAGGGCATGCTTGCTTCATCTCTGAATGAAGAATTACAAATATCTCTGCGCAAGGCCGTGACAGACCCATGATGTGTGCTTTGATACATGCACAAAACCATTTACCCGTCTTCAAAAATGATGCTTCCAGAAGCAATTCATTTAAAAGTTCCTGTCATGCCACAAGGGCATCAACATGTAAGGAAGAGTGAACTCAGTTTCTCATGGTGTAAAGCAAGTACACACCTAGGTGAAAGGGAGAAAAAGCCTATTCCAAAACTCCTCTTTTAGAAATTACATAGTGCCTATGGTAGGATTTTTAAAAATACAATTATTTCCGATTATAGAAATATGAGAATCATGTAACTATGATCATATATGATACATGTTCATTGTAAGAAAATTTAACAAAAACAGAGAAGACAAAGATAAATGAATAAAAACATTTAATAATATTCATAGTTTTTCCATAAATTGATGATTGTGTTTTAAATTTTGGTAAATAATCTTTCAGAACTTTCTTTTACATTTATGTATATATGTATACACATATATTTCATATAATCCTACATAAAATTTGTGAAGAAATCTAATAAATACTTTATATAGTTTCATATCCTTGCTTATTTGTTATGGACATTTTTCTATATTAATATATTTACATTCAATATGTTACTTTTTTCCATTGCATGGGATCTCATTAAATAGCAATCTAGGGTAGAGTTGCCAATGACCTTAAGTAGGAACCATCTATCACTTTTTCTAGAATATTGCATGAATATAGCCCAGCCCCCCAGGAGGCCCTAGTGATACTTCTGTAGTGTTGGTTTGGTGCCCAGTTTCAAGCCATTTACTAGCCTTCACTTCTGCCTGTGGATCAGCTAAAGGAAAGACTCTGGACATCATCTAATGTAATTTGGCAGATTATTTCCAATACTTGATCAGCTTGCACGCAAATATGAACAAAAATCTATCCCTTGGCTGGATCTGTAATACTCTACCTTATAGCATTTACCTACTGAAGGAAAAATTATACAGTGTAAGAAATGTTTATGTAAATATCTTTGAAACATTTGGAAAAGAGTACTGCATATTAATTCATGTCCTTTGAAAAATTATATCAAGAACCTAAACATGTAACCTAAATATGTAACTTTAGACATCTAAACAGGTTACCCACAAATATCAGCTACTCTCCTTTCTTCCAGTATAGTTTGATATTCTACCTTACAACATTTTGTCATTGAAGACAAAATGATATATTGTAAGCACCTTTTCACAAAAGTACAAATAAATCCCACAGAATCATAAAATTTCAGAGCTAAATAGTACCTTAGAAATCATCTGCTTGATGATGGATTATTTAAATCCCAAACTAAAGATCTGGATAAACATTTGCCAAATGTGGGCATGCAAGCGACATTCGCATTTGGCATAGCTGTCTGCATTCTCTACTGGTGACAAATTGTAGTGTAAAAAGAGGGAAAGGATCCAAACCAAACTGTAGCTGAGGCTTGACATGTCTCTGAGAGGGCACATATGCCTTCTCATGTTTAAAAGCAAAATCCCTTCAGATGATGCAGGTAGAATAAGGAGAAAGAAGAGCAGCCCCTGTCTCCCGCCACACATCCCCCATCAGTTCCAACTTGGAGCTATTAAGAAAAAGGGACTCTGGAAAGACTCTTACGTGCATGCCAAGAATAAGTCATCTCTGCACTCAGAGAAACCCCACTTTCAGACAACCTTGAAATGTGGTTTTCACGGAGGGAGGGCATGAAAAATAATATGCTTCTATAAAACATCCCTTTTTGAGAGTAAAAATGTAAAGAAATATATAATTCATGAATATGAGTCTGTTGTGAAACCATAGATTACAAGGTCCTTAATGACTGTTTTTGTTTTCTTCCTGGTACTGACTTTGTACTTATTAGACTCTAAGTAAATATTAGCTGAATTAAAATGAAAAAAAATATATTCTTACCTTCTCTTTTCATTGTGTTTAGACAGAGGAAATAGAAAACTAATCTCACCTCAACTTTACAATTAGTTCTTACCTGAGAGGAGCTTTAGCTATCTAGGCTTTTGCCCAGATATTTCCAAAGGCATAAATGTGTAACTATAAATGCCTAACAAATGACAAGGGCAGTTCCGAAACTGTAGCAGAAAACACCATCTATAAGGTTGCCAGTTGGTAACACAAATATTTCTGAACCACCTACAGTTTAACTTAATTATGTTTTCCACAGTAGGGTTACTTGCTCCTGGAAGGACAGAATGCATGAGGCTGAAGTTGCTTAATAAATGGTGTTATCTGGAGATGTGTACATTTCCAAAGCCCAGCCCCAGCTTGCAAGCTTGAAATCAGCACTCTGACCAATACATAAAAGACACTGCACACTGCTTACCACCTCACACAGGTGTTCAGGCTTAAAGTCTGACATAAGAGATTAAGAAGGCAAGTTGGTGAAAAATACAGCTTCTGGAAGCTATAAGTAGACCCAGAGATGGACCCAGGGATCTTAGAAATCATACGTGAAACTTTGAGAAGGAAGTTGCCCTTGACTACCACAACTGAGGTTTGGAGTAAGAGTTCAAAACTGCAAAGAATGATAAGCAAAGGGAAAAGCATTGTTCTCACTGCTTTTCTGTTCTCTCCTTGATTGTCATGCATTTCAATGGCATCCAGATGTTCTATTATTTTAGCTACCAACTTGGGAAATTACATTGTAGTTACTTTCAAAGTTGTCAGAACACTAAACTCAACAATGACAGTTTATAACCCATTTTCTCTAAAGTGCTCAATTTTTTTTCTTAACCCTGATGGGCTGGCATTTAAATAAAGTAAGCCAGGATTCTGAAACTCAATTAGTTTCTGGATATGCAAAGTTATTCTTTGTGCTCATCCACATGCATATTGGTTCTTACATCTTGGGTACCCTGTACTTTAATTTTTTCTCTATTTGTATCTAGATTTGTTTAAAAATAGGAAATTCACTTCATGCTTTAACTTTCAATAGTTTTCAGTCTTTAAAACTAAACTATTTAAATTCTTTTGGCTTTCAAATTTGCATTTTTCAGAAAATTGAAGGCTAGTTAAAAAGACCAATATTATTAAATTTGAAAATGCGTATTTTCCCAGTTGAATCAAAAACATAATAGTATGTATATCATATTTTACAACTGATTTCTTTAAGATTTCCCAGAAAACTCAGTTCATAATTTTCTGTTGCAAAGGGATGAAGTTCTCTTCAGTTTAATGCCTGCAGCATTCTTATGGTAATTTTGAAATTGGGAGACTTGGTCACATTCATAAATGGTAACTGTAGAAAACTGACTACCTTCAAATCAAATAAAAGCATAAAGAACCTTGAGGATACTTTTGAAAAGAGGAGACTCTCTAACAAGTCTAGTTACAGCGTCTATTCCTAGGGCAGATGAATGAGAGAGTTCTTATAAGACTACTGCTGTGGTTTCTTTTTCTTTATTTTTTTTATAGACTGTTTGTATTATCTGTCTGTACAGTACTTAGCACCCTGTTGAACTCAATAAATATGCAGTGGTGATAATATTGCTCCGAATTCACTTAGCACTTTCACATCTTTTGAGTGTCACAATGTTCTGCCTACTAGGTGCAGGGAATTTTAATTTAATGCTCATTCTGAGGCTTAAAGCTTGGAAGTGCAATGACCCATGTAAGATAATCCTCCACTCCAGTAGCACATTTTTGGAGCAAAGCCATTAGGTTGTACAAGAATTCATTAAAAAGCAGAAAAACTGTACTTCCCACACTAAAACACTGATGAGGCTCAGTACACTGTTGTTTCTAATCTCTACCCTGGAAGCCATCCACATCATATTCCCCCAAAGCACAAAAAAGGAAAAAAAAAATTTGAAAACTATGATGATTAAACAGTTCTGACCAACCTCAATCAAACTTTGATCCATGGCAGAAATTAGGAAAGAAATCAAAAGGTCCTGGAACAAGTTCTTCATCAGAACAATACAGTTTGTCCCTCAACCTAATTCAGCTATTACTAGATTGTGGAATACCTAGCAGTTTCCACGTATTTTCTCCTATGAAGTTGCATTTTTCTCTTGGCTTTTTAGAAACTATCTACAGGTAGTTTTAATACCAATAAAATCAATGGTATCTTTAGCACTAACACAGTTTCTAGCATCTAATAAGCACCCTGGAACTATTTAGTTGAATGAATGAATGAATGAATGAGTGAATGATCCATGAAGGGAAATACCAAATTGTTCTGAAAACCCTGGTCTCGGTTATTTTATTGCTTCATTAAAAAGAAAAGACTGTTGGGGTTACCTGACAGAATCTTTAACTTTTTAAAACATTCCAGTAGTTTATGGGGTATGGGTTGTTTTTTGTTACATGGATTTGGGACTTATGAGGACAACTAGCCTCCTCCAAAAAAAAAAAGACTAAAAGTTATCATAAATGTAATAAATGTTCTGGGAATATTAAAATTAAATTGGCCGGGTGCGTTGGCTCACACCTGTAATCCCAGCACTTTGGGAGGCCGAGGTAGGCGGATCATGAGGTCAGGAGATCGAGACCATCCTGGCTAACACGGTGAAAGCCCGTCTCCACTAAAAAAAAAAAAAAAAAATAGCTGGGTGTGGTGGCAGGAGCCTGTAGTCCCAGCTACTCAGGAGGCTGAGGCAGGAGAATGGTGTGAACCCGGGAGGCAGAGCTTGCAGTGAACCAAGATCGCACCACTGCACTGCAGCCTGGGTGACAGTGCAAGACTCTGTCTCAAAAAAATAAAAAAATAAATAAAAATAAAAAATTAATTAATTAATGTTAAATTGATATAAATTATCACTCATGAGAATACACAGATATTTGGTGTGAGATTTAATTGACAGTCCACAATTGATAATTAACCATAAACACACTCATGTATGTGCATGCACACACACATACACACACACGTACTTCCAGCATATAAAACATAATTATACCCAAAGTTACCCTAACACAGTTGAGGATACCAGAATAACACAGGTGAAGTACTTATGAACTGTAGGACAGCACATGATAAAATTTTATACCCAACTTTGAGAAACAACTTGTATGTGCTATAAAGTTAATGGCTGCACTTATCAGGGAGGACTTCACAGAAGAGGGGAGACTTGACCTGGGCCTTGGATAAGAAGAAGATCAACGTAAAAGAAGAGAACACTGATGATTCAAGCAGAAGATATAAAGAGGGATGCATATGGCACCCTTGGGAGACTATGACAGGAGTAGCCTACCTGCCAGTGGAAGTAGGAATTGGAGAGCAGTAGAGGAGGGAAATTGAAGTAGTTTCGACTAGATACTTGATGAAATACAGAACCATAAAAGGTTTTTGAGCAGGATGGTGGCATGATCAACGTCATATACAAAGACAGTTTATCTGGGAAAAGAGGACTTTGGAGTTAGAAGGAGTCTGGGATCAGACCAGCTGGTTAAGAGGAGGCAGATCGAGGTGTGAGGGGATTGCTATCCAACTGCAGGTAGTGGTAGCAGTAAGATAAAAGATACCTGGATAAATGGGCAAAACTCAGTGATTGAATAGGAAGGAGTGAAGGAAGGAACAAGGATAGTTCTTCCTCATGGATGTCAGAAGCTGGTGTTCAGTAGCAGGCATGTATAGACATCATAAGTTTGGTTGGCTTCATTTGTGTTTCTTCCCTTTAAATGAAGTGAGGTGGTCATCCTGCTAGCAACTGACTGCCTAATTAGCTCTTTCTCATTCGCCATCAGTATATGAGCTGAGGACTGATCTACTCTTGACTTGTGCTTTGAGTTTCCAGTGCAGAAAAAAAAAAGGCTTCCATAAGAGTTTTCTGGAAAAAAATATACAAAAATTATCTTTTTACTTTTACAGAAAATTTGCATATATCTTAGTTTTACTCATTTCCATAAGGTTCTTAACTCTGCCTGTTGAAGTAATCACTATGGCAACTGCAGTGTTTCTGGCACAGGTGAGTTGGACTTAGGGTCCATATATTTTAATTTTCTTTTTACTTGCATGTGTACTTGGGGTTGACATGAAGGATTAGGCAATTCACTCACCAGGGTCACTTTGATGAATACATCATCCCAGCCTAATTGCTATGATGTAGAAATGGAATCTAAAGAGAGATTCATTTGGGAAAAGGAGGGAGGTTTCCCTTTATGATTGTAGTAGAGATTTAATGTTGTTACAGTGAATAACAACTGATAGAACATTTGCATAGCTGGAAGAAACCCATTGTTGCAGGATGATGTTAAGCCATATTGGTGGAAAGAGGCTGGGTGTAGGTTCAGGCAGACCAAGGTTTGAATCAAGATTCTGCCATATATTTGCTGAATGATCTAGAGCAAATTCTTACTCTGTGATAGTCTCAGTATCCTCAATTGTAAAATGAAGATAATAACAACCACCTTATCGGGTTGTTTTATGTGTTGTGTAGAAAGCATGTGTGGAGAGACTAACAGAATGTCTTGCGTACAGTAATATATCAACTGTATCAACTGTTAGTTTCCTTCTTCACGTCAAAAAATCCTCCATGTTTCTTTGTCCCCAGTACCTAGCACAGTTTCAACATATTCAATAACTATTTTGCTCAATAGATGCAAATGCAGAAGGGCATTTTGAGGACTAGGAAAAGTAGCAATATCCCTTGTTAAATAGACATGTTTGCTTTCCAATGGGGGTCCTAATTCAGCGCTTCAGCTAAAGGGCATATATACAATTGTGGGTGTGTGCATTGTACTTCCAAAGATGAGCAGTTGTATCCTCTCACAGCTCTGTCAGGAAGCTCATCATGACTCACCCTCCTACAGATCAGGTGGTTAATTATGTTATTAAACTGTCAGAATTATCCAGAATGGCTTTGTCATCCACCTGACAAGAGACCTCAGTTTGATACCACTGTGTTCAAATGGCTGAAAAATGTGAATGTGTTGTGAGATAATGTATGAACATATATGGAAGATTTTTTTCAAAATGTTTTATGCAAGATTTTTTTCCTTTAATTCCTGTGCTTTAGCTATTACATTGTTCTTAACTTAAAATTGATTTTAGTTCACTTCTACAGCTATCTTTCAGAGCCTAAGATATGCAGGTTCTGTGGTCAATGTGATGGGGACAAAGATGAGTAAGATTTGGCTCATTGGGACCACAACCCTCACTTCTTAAAAAAGAAGAGAAGACCTTCATCAGAATAAAAATCACCAGCCATGATCTTTATTATGATATTTTTACTCATCGTGAAATGAGTAAACTGGATGGTAGCAAGCTAGATTCAGCTAAATAGTCATGGTGGATTGCAAAAAATGGCCACAAATTCTTGCAACTCTTTCTTTCAAGAGCTGGAGGCTATTTCCATGCCCCCTTGGGTCTGGGCTGGCTTGGTGACTTGCTGTGACCAGTAGCTTATAGTAGAAGTGATGCCGAACTTTCAGAAGCTCAGCCCCAAGAGACCTGGCTTCTCTTCTTATTGTGCCTATAATCCTGAGACATTGACCAGTTTTCATGATGTGGTCACTCCCTAGTGGCAAGATAGACCCTTCAACTAAACTTTGGTTGGAAAGTCAAGACCATGATGCCACACACACACCAAAAGTATATGTAAAGGTTTATTACTTGCATATGAGCTTTCTGGGGAGAACAGGGTGGGCTTCCAAACTGGTCCACAAATGGCTTCTGAAAGTAGGAAATGGAGATGAGCTTGGGGTTATATGGTGGGTGGGGGTAGGACTAGGTGAGGGTTCCTGCGCTCAAGCTGGGGTCCACGTGGTTTGACCTTCCAGCTAGCACCAAAGGAGGAAGTACCTGGGGTTTCTTAATGTGCCCACATGTGGAGCAGACAGGGACAGGATTGTGATGGGACAGAAGGCTGTCAGCAGTCAAAATGAAAAATGGCATCAATCTTGTTATTACTCTTTCTTACTAGTGTCTTCCTAGTATATAGCATCTGAAATTATTATTTAAAAATATTTATTCTTTATTTCTCTACCCTCTCCATCCTCTACAGTAAGCTCAGTAATGACTGAAACCAAGCATACATTGTTCTCCTCCAAATCTCTGGCTTCTAGATTAGTGTTTGGTACATAGAAAGTGATCAGTAAATATATATGAATGAATTTCTACAAGTGAACATTAGTTTTGCTGTATCCAGTCCTGATGCTTACAGTCTCATTACAGAATGAATGCACTCTAAGTCTAATGATCTTGAGTTTTTAATCCTAATAATCTTAAATTTTAATGACCTGCTCTGCATCTCCTAACAGTTGATACCTCTAAAGAAACGGGTAAGAAATGTTAGCCTTTGGTTCTTCTCTATGCTTTGAGCTATGTCCTTGTATCAAGTCCCATCACCAGAACACCATGTACCTGGATTAGGTTTCTCCAGCTTTCCATGGAAATATTTTTACAGTATTAGGTTCCTGATATTTATTGAAGCTATAGTACACAGCCATATACACCTATCTCTGAATATTTTATAAAGGTACTGCTCAGCACATGGCTATCTATTTTAGTCACTGTTTCCTAGGACAGACCCATGCAGCAGGCATCTCAGAGTTTAGAGCTGGGCCAGTTAGCATTTCCTCCTCTATTAGATGAGGAGTTCAGCCAACTTATAGAAGGAAACTGTTGTGTTAAACTGTAGGAGGTTCCCTTACCCTAGATTTTCTCACATTATTATCTACCAGTTCTTGTCTTTTTATCTTTCTTTTAATTTTATATGTATAGTCGTCTCTCAATATCCGTGGAGGATTGGTTCCAAGAACCCCCTCAGATACCAAAATCAATGTATACTCAAGTCCCTTACATAAAATGATGTAGTATTTGCATATAAACTATGAACTATGAAACCTGTATTCTTTAAGTCATCTGTAGATTACTGATAATACCTAATACAGTGTAAATACCATGTAAATAGTTTTTATACTATATTACTTAGGAAACAAAGACAAGAAAAAACAGTCTGTACATACATGTTCAGTACAGATGTTTTTTTCTTCTCCAAATATTTTTTATCCAAGTTTGGTTGAATCCAGGACACAGAACCCATGGATACAGGAGAACCAACTCTGTGTGTGTGTGTGTGTGTGTGTGTGTGTGTGTGTGTGTGTGTGTGTGTGTATAATTTTCTGTAAATCTCCACAAACTTTCTTTGTAAGTAGATATGGTATTAATAATTAATAAATGGATGCTTGCACACTGGAAAATATTCAAGTAAGACTGTTCCGTTGCCCTTCCCCTGTTTGGGGAAACCTGGTGTTTGGGAAAAAGCAAGGAGTAATGCTGTCTGGTTGCTCCAGCAGAAGTGGCGTGTTCTTTACCTTTATGTCTCCTGTAGCACGTTTAAAGGGATCAAGAAATGTTTGTCACATTAAACTTCCTGGATTTTTTTCTATACCACAGGGGCAGGGGCTTGATTAACGTCATTTATGACCGGAACTCATAGGATATAGGGATCTAGAATTTGAAATACATCTGCTTTCCAGAGATATCCTGAAGGATCTTTTTAAAGTAGAGTAAGAGGTTGATTTTCATCTATATTTTCTCCTTAACATAGTGCCTAACCCTGAGGCTTTAAGCACTGCTGTGGAATAATTACCAATTGATCTTCACGAGCACTTTAATATCTTTGAATCTCTGGGATTGATTCTCTTCTTTTACCTAAAGCTTGATACAGTAAAAATGAAACAATAAGTCATTGCTAATACCATTGCTTTAGTCTATAATTTAAAATGCTTTAAAAATATAATTAGGTTAACCTTTTCTCAGGGAATAGATGGATACACATAAAGAGAGCTACATAGTTCGTTTCTATAAAATGAATCTGTTTTCCTGCCATTTTTGCCATACAGTTGGAGATGTGCTTTCATTGAAAAACATGTCTTAACATAGTGAACTGTTTAGCATTTGGTGAAGGACTTTTGACAGTATTCCACATTGGACGAAAGTGTGGTGAAAAGTGTTTTCTAACACTTTTAGAAATGTGCCACGTACCCTCAACTGTTTTCATTTATCTTTCTCCTCATCCTTATTTCCAGATTTCATGCTGCAGTTTCTGTAATTTAACTCTTCTTCATCTTTTCTAATAGCAATTTGAAGTGTAGCCATCTAAATTTGCTTGTTTTCATTTTTAAAAATGACTTATTATTAAACTATACCTGTGCTTCAAATTCAAAATATGGTAAATAAGGTCCCTTAATGTAAATGATATTTGAACTCAGTGTTTTTTATCCCTTTAGGATTTTTGTGTGATAGTCCAGGATTCCAAATGTTATAGCATTCATTTCTTTTGTTTTTCAACTTTTATTTAAGTTCAGTGGTACATGTGCAGGATGTTACATAGGTAAACATGTGCCATGGTGGTTTATTGCACACATCATCCCATCACCCAGGTATTAAGCCCAGCAGCCATCAGATATTCTTCTTGATGTTCTCCCTCCCCCAATCCCTACAACAGGTGCCCAGTGTGTATTGTCCCCCAATACCATGTGTCCAATAGCATGTTTGTTTAGCAACAATGTACACTGCCTGTGTTGCAATATGGCAAATCAGGATAATGCAAGAAATAGGTTATTATAAAATTAAATGAAAGGTTAAAGGGCCTTATTAGCTATTAGTAATAGAAAAAATGAAGTGAAAATCTGTGTCCTCTGAGGATATTGAAAATATTCTAAAATTTGATTATCATGGTGTGAGTGCCCAACTCTGTAAATATATAAAAACAATTTAATTGTACACATTAAACAGGTGAACTTTATGGTATATAAATTGTATCTCAGTAAAGCTAATTTTTTTAAACAGCTCTGTCCTGGTGAAGGAATGAAATAATGGATTAATTTACATACACTTACATAAACAATAATGATCCTAATAAATCCTCAGTTGAAACAAATTGCAATTGCAATATTAAAGGCGCAAACCTCAACTGCCTAAGGAATTTTTCTAAAAGTCAAATCTTGTCTGTGGCTGTGGGTGCATCTTATGAGATACAAATGTTGTATCCTTGATGCTCATGCCAATTGTATTAAGTCCATTTTCATGCTGCTGATAAAGACATAACTGAGACTGGGCAATTTACAAAAGAAAGAGATTTACTGGACTCACAGTTCCATGTGGCAGGAGAGACCTCACAATCATGGCAGAAGATGAAAGGCATATCTTATGTGCCAGCAGACAAGAGAAGTGAGCTTGTGCAGGGAAACTCCTCTTTTTAAAACAATCAGATCCCATGAAACTTATTCACTATTATGAGAACAGCACAGGAAAAACCCACCTCCATGATTTAAGTACCTCCCACTGGATCCCTCACACAACACGTGGGAATTCAATATGAGATTTGGGTGGGGACAGGGCCAAACCATATCATTCTCCCCTGGCCCCTCCCAAATCTCACATTTCAAAACCAATTATGACTTCTCAACAGTCCCCCAAAGTCAACTCATTTCAGCATTAACTCAAAAGTCCACAGTCCAAGGTCTCATCTGAAACAAAGCAAGTCCCTTCCACCTATGAGCCTGTAAAATCAAAAACAAATTAGTTACTTTCTAGATATAATGGCAGTATACCCATTGGGTAAATACAGCCATTCCAAATGGGAGAAATTGGCCAAAACAAAGGGGTTACAGGCCCCCTGCAAGTCCAGAATCCAGTGGAACAGTCAAATCTTAAAGCTCCAAAATGATCTCCTTTGACTCCATGTCTCATATCCAGGTCATGCTGATACAAGGGGTGGGCTCCCATGGCCCTGGGCAGCTCTGCCTCTGTGGCTTTGCAGGGTACAGCCTCCCTCCAAGCTGCTTTTATGGGCTGGCATTGAGTATCTGCAGCTTTTCCAGACACACAGTGCAAGCTGTCAGTGGATCTACCATTCTGGGGCCTGGAGAACAGTGGCCCTCTTCTCACAGCTCCACTAGGTGGTACCCCAGTAGGGACTGTGTGGTGGCTCTGACCTCACATTTCCCTTTCACACTGCCCTAGCAGAGGTTCTCCATGAGAGCCCCACCCCTGCAGCAAACTTCTGCCTGGACACCCAGGCATTTCTCTATATCTTCTGAAATCTAGGTGGATGTTCCCAAACCTCAATAATTTACTTCTGTGCACTCACAGGCTCAATACCACATGGAAGCTGCTAAGGCTTGGGGCTTGCACCCTCTGAAGCCATGGCCTGAGCTCTATGTTGGCCCCTTTCAGCCATGGCTAGGGTGGCTAGGATGCAAGACACCAAGTCCCTAGGCTGCACACAGCATGGGGACCCTGGGCCTGGCCTACGAAAACATCTTTTCCTCCTAGTTCTCTGGGCCTGTGATGGGGGAGGGACTGCCTTGAAGACCTCTGACATGCCCTGGTGATATTTTCCCCATTACCTTGGGGATTAACATTCAGCTCCTTGTTGCTTGTGCAAATTTCTGCAGACGGCTTGAATTTCTCCTCAGAAAATGGGATTTTCTTTTCTATTGCATTGTCAAGCTGCAAATTTTCCAAACTTTTATGCTGTTTCCCTTATAAAACTGAATGCCTTTAACAGCATCCAAGTCACCTCTTGAACGTTTTGCTGCTTAGTAATTTCTTCCACCAGATACCCTAAATCATCTCTCTCAAGTTCAAAGTTCCACATATCTTTAGGGCAGGGGCAAAATTCCACCAGACTCTTTGCTAAAACATAACAAGAGTCACCTTTGCTCCAGTTGCCAACAAGTTCCTCATCTCCATCTCAGACCACTTCAGCCTGGATTTCATTGTCCATATTATTATTAGCATTTTTGTCAAAGCCATTAAACAAGTCTCTAGGAAGTTCCAAACTTTCCCATATTTTCCTGTCTTCTTCTGAGACCTCCAAATTGTTCCAACCTCTGCCTGTTAGCCAGTTCCAAATTCACTTCCACATTTTCAGGTATCTTTTCAGCAGGGCTTCACTCTCGGTACCAATTTACTGTATTAGTCTGTTTTCACACTGTTAATAAAAACATACTCAAGACTGGGCAATTTACAAAAGAAAGAGGTTTATTGGACTTACAGTTTCACGTGGCTGGGGAGGCCTATCTATCATGGCAGAAGGTGAAAGGCACATCTTATGTGGTGGCAGACAAGAGAAGGGAGCTTGTGCAGGGAAACTCCCCTTTTTAAAACCATCAGATCCCATGAGACTTACTCACTATCACGAGAACAGCACGGGAAAGACCAGCCCACATGATTCAAGTACCTCCCACCAGGTCCCTCCCACAACACGTGGGAATTCAAGATGAGATTTGGGTGGGGATGCAGCCAAACCATATCACCAATCATCAGGTATTTATTGAGTTCCATTGTGATAGAGGCTGCTCTTGGAGAGTCAAAGGTATAAAATACAAAACCAGCTGTATTACTTGCTATTGCTGTTTAACAAAACATAGTGGCTTAAAACAACACCATTTTATTTAGCTCACAGTGTTGTGGGTGGGTTGTTGGTGGGTTGTGTTGTTCTTGTCTGAGCTGGCTCAGCTGATCTCTGCTGGGATTTTTCAAGAAACTGTGGTGAACTGGTGAGAGGGCTAACTGGTGATCTAGGATAGACCCACTCACATGTCTGGCAGTTGGCAGGCTATCTTCTGAGGCACTTGGTTGTCCTCCATGTGGCCCCTCATCCTTTAGGTTGGCCACATAGTACTTTCAGGTTTCCAAGTACAGCAAGAGCAGCAACTATAAAACCTCTTGAGGTTCAGGATCTGGACTTGCACCATGTCACTTAGACTGTATTTTACTGGTCAAAGCAAGTTACTAAGCCATCCCAGATTCAGAGGATAGGGAAATAAAATTCACCTATTGATAGGAGGAGCTGCAAGATTTGATGGATATTTTTAGAGTCAATTTCATAGTCAATCAATTACTAAAATAAGGCTGCTTTCTAGACCTCCATCCAAGTCACTTCAACACTACAGCAATGTAGCTAAATCTGGTTTTGTGCTATCCAGTTTATCCCTTCCGTTTAAGTAAACTAAGTCTCATTATGAAGATGATTTGGGTATGTTAAGTACACACTCACAGTATTCATGTGTATTAAATGTTGAATTAATTACCCCCACTAGAAGTGGGCAGGGATAACAGCAGCTCTTGCTAAAACTGTTTAAATTTTGCTTCAAACTGTTGCCATAGATTTACCTAACATAAAGATTGTTTTGATTTCCTAAAGTACACACCATTAAATGGGTCCAAAGCCAGAGGAGCAGGAGACCACAAGATGGGAATAAAATTACAGTGGCGTGGTTACTTCACATTGAGTAATTAAGAAGCAACTATATTATAATATCTATTTTAATTCTGGCCATTTGCCAGCTATAACTTCTCTCACAGCAATAAGAAAAGTTGAGGAGCAAACCAAAATATTCACCTGAATACAATGAGAAACACACAAGACAAGAATGGAAAAAAAAACCCTAAATCCAATTGACTAATGTTAGAGAAGAAATTTATAAAATTCAACGTATCTGGTAAGCTACCTACCAAAAGGAAAATCAGGAGCAGGTAGTGAGAAATCACCCAATATAGTCTCACAACCTTGTTAAAACTGTGAGATCATTATCCCATTGCCAGTTGTTCCCAAGAAATGGGCCTCTTCTTAAATATGGGGGACTGAATGCTGAGGGCCAGCCAGGGAAAACACTCCCAGCTCCACTGACATCTGACATGAATCACATCAGAACCTAAGACCTTTGCCCACAGCCATTAAAAATTGTGACAGTTCAACTGTGAAAATCTTCAGGTTCAAGCTTGGGTCTCAGACAGAAAAATCCATCTCCCAACTACCTCATCAAAGTGTAGTGTTCAGCTTGACTTTTCCTATCCCTAGGCATCCGCTTTCTATAAACACAGCTCCCAGCATGATGGTGTCAATTAAATACCCACTTTCAATTACCTAATAGAAGAAAAAAAAGAAAAAAAGATCTTGTTACTTAGGAAGTTTTTTTTTTAACCAATTCTATGGATGTAGAAGTCTAGCATCTTAAAAGACACCTTAAATGACCATTTGCTTTCTATAAGCTGTTGCCTCAGATACAGTTGAGATTTATAAAAGTCCTAGGCAAGCTTCTTAGAAGCATACTAACATCAGCTGATAAAGAGTGTTTCTATTTTCCTTTGAATTAGACATCCCTTTCTCTGCTATAATCCTCTTTATATAGAGACTCCTTTTCTATTGAGCCAAGAGTGGAATAATTGCAAAAGCCTTGTCAGGGTGCCATACTGGAGAGACTTTCCATGTCTCCATTATCCCTCTACAAGTAGACAGTTTATTTTTTTTTAGTTTTTAAAAATTTATCATTTAAAAGCATGTTTAATCAGTTACTCAAATAATGCTGCTTTCTAAGTCACTTCATCAAATTTACTAAGGAAAAAATAATTATTTAAGGTGATGGATATCTCAATGACACTGATTTGGTCTTCACAAATAATATAAGTATATTAAATTAGGACATGTCCCCTGAAAACATGTACATCAATTATATACCAATAAAACATACAAAATTAAAAAACTTTAATAAAAGATCAACTATAAGATGGAATTGTTTAATAGCTATGACAATTTCTAGAAAGTTCTACTGCAGAGTTTTCCTTTTCTATATTTATAGAAGCATTTCAAGGAATAATCAACTTCTTAAAAACTATGGATATAAGTGGTTTAATTGTTTTATTATATGTTTAATATTCAGAAAAGCATATTTATAGTCAACAGTTGCAATTTCAAGTATCCTATATATTCATCAAAAATATGAATTTGCTGAGAAAAGACACAGAACAACCATAACAATGGGAACTGGTGAAATTGTGGTTACGATGTTTTAGAAATACAAATTTTAAGCTGATATACTCTTTGAATGGTTAGTAAAAGAATGATAAAATGCCTAAAATTCAAAATATTTTAAATGACATTCAGAAGATGGAAAGATACTCAGATGCTTGAAATGACCCCTTCACACGTGACATGATAAAATTTAACATGTTGCCAGAAGCACCAAATTGTGGCTAAGTCACTCTGGTTGTTAAAGAATGGTTAAACTAAAAAATAATAGAAAGTGACCTTAAAAACAGCTAAAGAAATCTGAAATGGCCAAAATCATCCTATGTCAGCTAATTTGTTATTATCTAGTATCTGGGACATGTATTAAGTGAGATTTGTCAACTCAGTAGCAGTGGGCTGACAGATTCAACATGAAAAGCAAAAACTGTCCAAAACAATGGAAAGGAAATAAGCAATGGAAAGGAAATAAGAGAACAGGACACTATCACATTTACCTTACAGTTAAATCTATTCAATAGAAGTCCACATCTCCCTAGGATTCTTAAATCTCAATAAAATGAACATTTACTAAAATACTGCTCTTATGACAAAATGAAAAAATTGTCATCTAAAGCTTCCCTAAAATATTCAAAAGCTTTTAAAACCACTCAATCTACTATGAATTTCGATTAACTTCATAAACAGCTACAAGAAAACAATGTTTTGGTAAATTTAGCACATTGATTTTTGGCAAGTTGGCTTCTGGCAAACTGGTCGTTTTATATATTGTTTATTTCAGCATATTGATTTTTAGCAATTTGGCTTCTTTCTGATACCTGGTGCCCTCAGAGAACAAGCTGGATAATCAAAGACTTATTTTTAGAAATATATCAAGTGCCAAGAGTCACTAGTTAGGAGACTGAGTATACATGGTGATTGAGACAGACATTGCCACCGACTTCATGGGAGATACAGCCTGTCAGGGAAGACAGACATTAAGTAAAAGTGACATAAATAATTATTTAGCTAGAATTTTAATAATGCTTAAAAAAAAACATGGTATGAAATGAGAGTGTCTGAGAGGAAGACCTGGTAGATAACCTTTTATTTTTAATTGATTTGTAATTAAAAATTATATAATAGAAAATGCAGTCTGGCCTGGTGAAACAGACAGGAGGACCAGTGCTGAGCATCATCATCAGTCAGGTGTGGGTGGCGTGGTAGGTTTGCAGAACCGACATAGACCATGGGCAGCACGCACTGCCTAAGGAGCAGTGACTGGCATCCATTAATGTCTCCAGTGTTCATCTTGTGCAGGGTCCTTTATGTTTTCCTCACATGCCTTAGAGTGGTCTTTGTCTTTAAAGTGACAGGCTCCACTTTCCATGTGCTTCTCTCTCACGGCTTACCTGCAGGCTCCAGTCTTCTCTCAGCCTGCAGCTTGCAACCCCCGTTGCCATTTGCCATGCCGCCACTGAGGCTGGCCTCCCCAGATCCTTTTCCTTGGCTGCTTTTTATTTTTATTCTTACACTTCTTTGTTGCTGGCTGTTCTTCTCAGGGTTCTCCGGGCTTTGAGAGAGCATGCTGGCCAGTGGTGGCACTCCTGTGCCTCTGCACAAGTGTACTGAACAACTGGGTCTCTGACACCTCCCAGGGAGTGGTTTTACATAGCTCTGGTGGTCTAGAGCTTCTCATCCCAAATACCATCTTCATTAGAAATCTAAGGATTCTCGGAGGCTATTTCTGAAATCATCAATGTTTTACCTTAACTAATACCAGAAAACGAGTTGTCCATATTATTAAGAGGAGTTCTAAATAGTTAGAATTTGTTTTCTGTTTTTTGTTTGTTTGTTTGTTTAACTAGTCCTTGTGGAGCAGGGCTACCCCACAGGCAGTGTGCCTTTGTTTAAAAAAGATAAATGAAAGACGGGAGGAAACTATGTATGCCCTGTGATTAAGATGTATCTAAACAATATGTAAATAGCTGTGTTAAAAAAGCAGTCAATAGCACTAAGAGACAAAAATGTTTTTGCTTGCAGTGTTTACAAAGAAGTTTAGACTTCAGCAGAACTGGACTGCTGGAATAAAAGACACAGTCCAGGTTTTGGTGGGGTTTTTTGTTTGTTTTTTTAAAAATCGGCATATTTGTTTTCTGGGGCTGCTATAAAACAAATTACCACAAGCTTGTTGGCTTAAAACAACAAGAATTTATTCTCTCAGAGTTTTAGAGGCTGGAAGTTCAACGTCAATTTCAGGAAGATCAATGTCAATTTCACTCACCTGAAATGAAGGTGTCAGCAGGGCCAGGCACCCTCTGGAGGTTCTGGGGAAGAATCCTTCCTTGCTTCTTGGAGCTTCAAGTAGCTGGCAGCATCCCTGACTTGTGGCCACATCCCTCTAATCTCTGTTTCTTCCTCTTCCGAGTGTAACCTCATCTGCCTGTGTCTCCTTTACAAGGACATTAGTGATGTCATCTATGGCCCACCAGGTTAATCCAGGATGATCTCCTCATCTCAAGATCCTTAACTTAATCGCATTTGCAAAGACCCCTTTTTCAAATTAGCTGACATTTACAGGTTCTAGAGATTAGGATTTGATATATTTGGTTTCATCATTCAACTCACTACACAGGGGTTACATTGTTTCTGTTGAGAATCACAATTCACAGAAAGGGGCCCAAGTCTTTGCTTATCCTGAAGGTAGGGTGATTTGTTCTATGTGTTTCTTTCCAGATATAAAGTTGTTTTTTCCCGACTCTGCTACTGGTGCACTTGATCATCCTGGTAGAGGACAAGGTGCCAGCGCTGCTTTCTCAGTTGTGTGCTTGCAAACAAACTGACTGACAAACGCAGAGCACTCGATAAATGTCATTGTTATTATTGGTGTGGCTACATGCAGGAAAACAGCCTGAAATTTTATTATTTTTTCACATCAGATGGGTAATAAGATTTGAGGGAGACACATCTCTCACGTGTGGGAAAACCCAGTCATCACACTTATGAACTGCAAATGGACCCCAGACTGAATTTTTTTTTTTTTTTTTTGAGATGGAGTCTCGCTCTGTCACCCAGGCTGGAGTGCAGTGGCGTGATCTCGGCTCACTGCACCCTCTGCCTCCCGGGTTCAAGCAATTCTCCTGCCTCAGCCTCCCAAGTAGCTGGGATTACAGGAGCGTGCCCCCGTGCCTGGCTAATTTTTTGTATTTTAGTAGAGACTGGGTTTCACCATGTTGGCCAGGATGGTCTCGATCTCCTGACCTCGTGATCCACCCACCTCGGCCTCCCAAAGTGCTGGGATTATAGGCGTGAGCCACTGCACCTGGCCCCCAGACTGAAATTTTAAAAAAGAAAACACTAACATGATAATGGTAGTTAGTGAATGGAAGGATCAGGGGGTCATACTGCTTTAAAAAATTACGTTGAAATTTAATTTAAAAAAAACATTTTTAAACATTCATTTAATCTGAATACTCTTGAGACTACAAGACTACTCTAAAATTTACTTAGTAAATTCTATGCTCAGAATCTATGAGAGTCTAGTGGTTATCTCTGGGTAATGGGATCATGAGTGATTTTTTAAAAATATTTTACTTTCCTGTTTTCATAATTTTGCTACATAAAACATACATAACATATATAAAAATTGATTAAAATTAATGTATTTGGGCCAGGTAGATCATGTGTGTAATCCCAGCATTTTGGGAGGCCGAGGTGGGAGAATCACTTGAGGCCTAGAGACCAGCCTTGGCAACATACTGAGACCCCCATCTCTACAAAAACCTTTAATAATTGGCCAGTCATGGTGGCTCATGCCTGTAGTCCTAGCTACTCAGAAGGCTGATGAGGGAGGATCGCTTGAGCCCAGGAGTTCAAGGCTGCAGTGAGCCATGATCACACCACTGTACTTCAGTCTGAGAGACAGAGTGAGATCGTGTCTCAAAAAGAAAAATTAATATATCAAAATTTTGATATATAAACTCTGAGCTTTAGAGTTTGCAATTAGTTTTATGTACATTATCACATTTACAGCTCCATGAGGTTTGACATTATTTGGCTATTTGGAAGGTGAGGACGTGAGCTGTACAGGGATCCAATCCAAGGCTGATGTAGCAAGGAAAGGAACAGGACCATAGTCCTTTTTATCTTGACTCCAAGTCTAGTGGTTTATACAGAATTTAAGTTACTGTGAAGTTAATGATACTCCTTATAAAATGTATGTTTGCCTGCTTTTGAATTTGCGCTAGAAGAAAATTTTGCTCATCCAACCCCAGTCTCCATGTGGGATTCCTAGAAGTTTTCAAACCTGTTTATTAATGTATTTTTAACATGTGTCAAAATTCTGCTTAGTTCCACAATCAATCATTATTTCTTGTAATTTCTGAAAAATGCCCATTTATGTCTTGAGACTATTCCATTCAAATCTCAAAAAAGACTATTTTTAATCATGTAGTTTTTAAAATTTTTTTTTCATCCCCCTGCCTTTATCATAGGTCTTCTTATGCCTAAGAACTAAAGCAATTTCTTTAAAATGAGCAGAGCAGGTTCTTTCCATGATAGCTGACCCTTCATTATGAAATCGGGGGCTAAGTCAAATTCGGTTTTGTGTTGTCTTCCCTATCACCCACCCCTTCACCCACCAACTTGCATTTATTGAAGCAAAATGTTTCACAATATTTGTGGTGCTATTAGAATGTCCTTCAGTCCAACACCCTTTATCCTCCTCCTAAAGCTCAGCATTTTGCTATTGAATATGTAGATGTATGTAAGGAAGTTCATTGATGTTTTGCTTTCCAGTTACTCTCAAACCTGTAAATATTTTTGAAGCCTTGAATAGATCATTTGTTCATTATTGGTGCCAGTTTTACCTCCAGGGGACATTTAGAAATGCCTGGAGACAGTTTTTGGTTGTCACAATAGCAGAGAGCAGGTACCTAGTCAGTAGGGAAAAGGATGGTGCCAGCCATCCTACAGGACAGCCCCCACAACAAAATTATATGACCCCAAATGTTCAATACTGCCCTTGTTGAGAAATATGGACCTAGATCAACACCACCCATCTTTCAATTCCATCTTATAGATGTTCACCTCCCCCAGAATACCACAGAGATACAGACTTTACAAAACATGCACTTAAACAAGGAGTGGCAGCATCATTCAGCTGATCCAGGTTCCACCCTTACTTTTTCTTGGTGACCTATGCATAGCAAATGGCTTTCATATCATCTAAAGTCTAGGATAATGATAGTGTCTTACTCTCTGGTGGCTGAAGGATTTCTGTGAGGCCTTAGGTTCATTCTCTTGGGAAAAAAAAAAGCCCTTAAGGCAGTAAGAAGACCCCCCAAGGGCACAGTTAGCTATGCCTTCGTCTGTATCCTCTCTTTATATCTCTAACACAAAAGTTTGTTTGTTTGCTTGGTTTTTCTTTTTTAATAATTTAAGGGAGGTGCTTTAGTCTCCTCAGTAAATTATATTGTGTCATAATGCTAGTACCTAACATAATGACAACACATAAAAATTGCTTAATCAATGTTTGTTGAATGAATGACTTTAATTGTTCAGAGTTTCATGTTCAGTTATAGATCATGAATTCCAATTGCCTATAGTCTCCTGTCACCTTCTTCAGATTTACTCTGTATTCTAACTTCTGTTTTACTTTTTCCACTGGTTTTATTTTTGCCCTTGGGGGATATTTTTTTATTCATTAAATTTACTAATTTACTCACATCAATTTACTAATTGTTTCTTACGCTAGGTACTGTTAGCATTGTCAGAAATGTTTAAGGGGTGAGGAAGCAAAGATGAGTAAAGACAATGTACAATTTAATTATAATACAGAGAGTGACTGAATGCTATTAGAATCTATTTATAGAAAGATCAAAATAAAATTTGAGACATAGAGGAAAAGCTTATAGAAGCGATATAACAATCAATGCTCCTGGAAGTGGGATGAGGTTTGAACAGGCATTTTTTTCATCCACTACTCACTCACTCACCTACTCATTAATCCTGTAAGCATATTTTGAGTGCCTGCTCTGTGGCTAAGGACACAAAAATGAATAAGATATTGCTTATACCCTCAATGCATTTATGGTTTAATATTTGAAAAAATTAATGATAAACCTCTTCACAGCAAGCCATCATCTGACAGTAGAGAATCAGAGAAAAACATTGCTTCTAGATCAGATGGGTTTGCCATGAGAATCCTGGTTTCTCCATTGTTTCTGAGCTATACAACCTTGGGCAAATTTAAATTATGTCTCAATGTCCATATTTGTTACATGGGAATAGCAATATCTACCTCACAGAGATTTTACTAGAATTAAAAGAAATAACATGTTAATTATTCAATAAACATTTATAGAGAACCCATTACTTTCCAGATACTAGGTTAAGCACTAGAGGTTAAGCACTGGGGATACAAAAACAAATGACCCTCCACCTGTCTTCCAAGGGACAGTTTGATAAGTGCTTTGGGAGACATCACAGAGCAGGTGTGCTTCACTTGGACGGTGGAAAGGTGATAAAGGACCACTTCCCTGTGGGATAACCACTGAGTTTGATGTTAAAAAACACTGGAAGTTAGACCCAGGAAAAAACTTCACCGCACAGGATGTTCCAGAAGTAAGAACAGCAGGCTTGCTGAGGGGCAGGTAGCTGACTGGAGCCTAGAGAGGAGGGAAGATGTGGAGTAGGGGAGACAGGGGCAGTGGTTACACAAGGGTAGCAAAGACTGAGGCACAAGGCTGGATGTCAGAAGGCTACGTATGCCTTGTTAGACAGTGTGGATCCAACTGGGAGCCACTCTGGAAGAAACAGGCTCAGTAACCACTTAATACATGAGTAAAACAAGTCTACATTCTGGAAGGTTTGGGGGAAGACTCAAGTGAACTGGGCACATTCTGATGTTACTAGCTGAAGCCTTGTACATGAAAGTTTAGGAAATCAATTTGAATAGGTAATATGAGGCAAGACTGTGATAGAATTTGGTGTCTTGGTGGTCTCTTGTCTACAAAATGATTGATTGTTTTAGCACCATGTGTACAATGTCCTAGATGAGGAAAAGACTTGAGGCTTGAATACCAGATATGAGATTGTGACTTAGTTATCAAATTATAGGGTCCAGGTCTAGGGTAGAGCAATCGAAGCATACATGCAGAGTTGGACAGCAGTCTTCTGAGAAGCATCATCAGTATGAGACAGAGAGGGTAGAGCCCACAGCTCTATAAGCTTAAGTAAATGAAAGCATGGTGGTCCCTAGGTTGAAAGGCCGATGTGACTTGAGAGAGAAGATATGAGTTGAGTTTGGCACGTTATGTTTTAGATGCAAGGGGGGCAAAAAAGTGAAACTTCCTATTGAGACCTTAGATATATGGGATGAAATCTTGTGCAGGAAACTGAAGCTGTAGGTACAGATTTGGGAATCCTCACAATAGAGATGATTGTTTAGGGGTATATAAATACTTCTTGATATTCTTTATTTCCATTTTTGAAAGGTTTTCTAATATTAATTAGGAGCTTTAGTCTGATATTCAATTAACAGAGCAGTGCTTTTAAGTACACTTTCCTTTGCTGCAAAGCATCTGTTTAATATGTGCTACTACCTAATATGCCAGGAAGCTCTGGTTCCCCAATAACTCTGTTATGATAAATTGGCACCTTTGGAAGTTATAGGAAGTTTTCCAGCCTCCAAAGTCCTCTCTGAGTATCTGATGTTTTAATTCAGAGGAGTACATTACTGGTTTAATTGTGGTAAGAATTCTTAATAACCAAACCCTGAGTATGGAGGTCTACCTGCTTCTTCTGGAAAAAGGATTGTCTCTGGAAGGGAGAGAGAAGCAAGCTGTGGTTCAGTTTATGTCACCTGTGTCAGTGCGATACCACATGTTTGAGAACCTAATGTGTATCCAGCACTGGCTTAGACACTAAGGATACAGCAAGTTCTTTTTGTTCCAAGTCCAGCAAACAAGCACAAGATGTGTAGAGAAGGGATTACATAGATGTCTGTTCCAAAGGCTGTTAAGCACTAGAAGAAGCAGAGGCTGACCTTGTCCAGGGCAGTAGGATTTTTTAAAATCGCAGTATAATGGCATGTTAACTGAACGCTAAAGTCTAAGTAACATTTACTCTGGAAGTTAAATGAGATAATGTCGGTTGGTTATCATAATAATAATGCACTAGAAAATAAAGTCAATTAATTTGTTTTAAAAAAGCAATGCTCTTATTTGCTTGGAACACTATAAGTACTCAAAAATGAAGAAAAAGAAAAGTAGACATTTGCCAGGTAGTCAGGGAGAAAAAGGAACAATGTATATATTCCAGAGAGAAGGAACAAGGTGTGTGTAACAAAACCAGACAGACAGGAAGAGTAGGCACAGCGTGTATGTTTGTTGGGAGAGCATACTGAAAATATTGGTAAACAAATTATCATATTTGCTTTACAAAATGATCCCTGAGCCTGCAAAAAGGAGCATGGCTTGTGGATAGAGGAAGATCGGATAAAAGGAGACCAGTCAGGAGGCTATAGACCAGGTCTAGATAAGAATGAATGGGGATCTGAACTAAGGTAGGGGATGGAGAAGAGAGGATAGATTTTAGATAGTTCTAGGTGGTAGAATTAATAGAACTTGGTGGCTAATTAAATGTGATAATAAACAGGCAAAGAGGATTCTAGAACACCTCCCTGCAGGAACTCCCGGTAAAGTTTGAGCATGTCATGTCTGACTTAGGGCATGCATATCTGAAACCACCTGTGCTGAATGACAAGCCTGATTTTTCCAGCACCAATGCTCTTCTTGATTGTTTGCTTGACACTTTGGGAAGTAGCATTAACACTCTCAGGTCACTAGGGGGCTAATCATAGCCATTTTCATGATTGCAATTCTGAATTGGAGTTTTCAGAGAATAATCATGGCAGTTCACATAAGGGTCTTTCCTGGAAGAGGCTCTCACTGTCTTTGGACAATGTCATTTGCATTAAGACCATTCCATGAGGCTAGTGTCATAAAAATCATTACTTATATAGCTTTTGCTCTCAAATCTTTAGTCATTCCAGAGGTCTACTGAATACTAAATTATTTGTTCATTCCAGCTGTAAATGTGTTAAGCTGATGGACACAAACTATTCACAAGTGAATGACTAGAAGGATGGATGGATGAGCATAGATAGATAGATAGATAGATAGATAGATAGATAGATAGATAGAAATTAATGACAGCAGTTAGTGCTCTATTTGCATGAACATGTTAACAATTTTAAAGAAAAATTAATTTACAATGATTTAGTAAAACCATAAACCTGCGTTTAAAACCTATATTGGCTAAACGTAAAACACTGTGTTGGACTATTACATACTAGATTCAGCCTTTAGAAGACATAGGTGGAGGGTTATTTATGTTTGTATATCCAGTGCTTAACCTCTAGTGCTTAACCTAGTATCTGAAAGTAATGGGTTCTCTATATATGTTTGTTGAATAATTAACATGTTATTTCATTTAATTCTAGTAACATCTCTGTGAGGTAGATATTGCTATTCCCATGTAACAAATATGGATATTGAGACATAATTTATATTTGCTCAAGGTTGTACAGCTCAGAAGCAGTGGAAAAACCAGCATTCTTATGGCAAACCTGTCTGATCCAGAAGCAATGTTTTTCTCTTACTCTCTACTGTTGTGAAGATGGCTCTTTGAAGGCACTGTCTGATCCTTCTTGAGCTTCTGCACAGTTCCTAGTTGGGAGCTGAGTTACTCTTTCAGATCATAGAGAAGTCTCATTCTTGGCAACCAAACTGTTGTGCTGACCCAGACATTTTATATCTGGAGCTGCCATTTGAGAGTCGCCAGCAGAGGGTTCAAGTTCAGGTAAGCCACAGCCTACCAGTTTTGGGAAATGATAAGGATAATGACATTCCTGACCCCAGCCTTCCAAGATGCTCACCAAGCCCAAATGTGCACCTGTTCAGAGCAAGCCATAATTCCTCACCTCAGACCACGAACCATGTTCAGGTAATCATGAAGATGATTCCCATTGATTCAGTAGGACCCAATTACACTGCAAAAGAGTGAAATTGAGTAGAAGAATGGCATTTGGGGACAGAATTGTTAAGTAACGAAAAAGAAGTAATGGCAATTGACCCTTGAGGTGTCTGATCAGACCCACACAAGACTGCTAGGAAAATAAATTAGTTGTAAGGGATCTATACCTTCTCTGTGAACCCCAGGCCATTAGCATTGTCCTTTCAATTTCTCCAGAAAGTTCTCAGGCTTCATTTAGCTACTGATACTGTAGAAATTTCATTTTTAGGAAGAAAGTCATAAATATAGCAACACCTATACTCTTTTGAAAAGGAAAGATTCCTAGTATCTGGGCAATAAAGTGAGAATTTGATTCATTTATTTAAAAGATCTCTCAGGTACAAATTCAGTCACTTCTAGGGTGGTCTTTTATTTTTTTCCTTTTATGTCTGTAAAAAGAGATATGATCCTCCCACTCCTGCCCATCTCACTGATGTCTTTAGAAAGCTGGAACCAGAGTCTGATTACAGACATTTGTTGCCATGAAGACACAACGGAACGTGGTTAAGGGAGAAGAAAGAGCCTTAACTATGAATTATTTTCCTGTGATGGCTAATTTTTTTTCTCTTATACCTTTCCAAAAAGGTGGCAAGGTGACATCTATTTAGAATGTATTTAATTGCAACTTTCAGAAGACTGAAACAGTAATATCTCACAGAATCCTCAGTCACAATTCAAAATGTTTGGAAAAGCAGAAGATGAAGTGTACTCTCAGCAGAGGGGAAAGAAATTGAAATTTCAAGTAATCTGCCTAGTCTGCTGATTACACTGTGTGACGGAGGATATACCAGCCCTTGATTTTTGTCTCTGATTTCCATTCATCTGAGGTCCTTTCCTTATGATCAGGGACTCTGTGGGTAGCCATGGTACTTAAAATCTAAGGAATAGCAAAGAGAATTTTCTTCTATTATAAAGTGGTGGTGTCAGATGAAGTAATTGGATCCTAATCCCTATTTACAGCAATTCAAAGACAGATTAAAAACCTCACCCAAAGCATCTTCCTAAACCACAGTCAAATGGTGTGTGTATATATACATCACTGTGTACGTGTGTGTGTGTGTGTCTGTGTGTGTGAGAGAGAGAGAGAGGAATGTTTATTCATAAAGAAACACACAATAAAGTCATGAGGATTATAAAAATTGATGACATAGTCATTAGATAAGAATCAACCTTGTTTAATTTTTACATAGAATTACTAAAAATAAGCAGTCAGAATTTTCCATGTATTTCAGTTAGATTTTTTTTTAATTCAGTGGAATTAATTACTGTAATTTGGGAAGAACGAACTTTGTTTTAGTTCAGAAAATGTATTACTCACATAATGGATCCCAGGAGCCATACAGTGTCAAGAATTGTTCAATTGTGTAACAGTGTTATCAAGAAACCTCATTCCTCCTCCCTGCCATCCTTGGAATCAGGCCTCACAGAATCTGCCCCCTGATTGCTTCAAAAAAGATACCAGAAACAAATACAGCTACCGATTTTTCATTGTTCTCATTGAGACAGGGCATCAGAGTGGTAGGGAGAATTGGGGCAAATAAACTTTCCTATAAACCTTTACTTCTTACATTTCAAAAGGTTGTGTAAAACCTGTGATCTTTTCTTCTATAGCATTTCATGAGAATTAAAGGTCTTAAGGTTAAGCAGGACATTGAGGAATCCTCTAGGAAGCCCTCTGAAATAATACAAATACATCATCACTCCAGATAGATTTTAAACATCCCATTTTATGAGGAAGAATTCCGTAATCACCTTATGAGAAGAGAACTCAATAATATAGATTTTTACTGCAGGGACATTTAATTCCCCAAAAGTAAAGGGCATTTATTTAAAACACCAGGTTCCCCAAGATACTAGAGTAACATTTAAAATGGTACCAAAACATTGATGATCCCACTGGGAATTTTTAGCCTGACTACTTTTGCACACAGCCTACATACAGAGCTTTGTCTCGCTTCCGCATCCCTTTGTGATTTGTAATCATGGCTGTCATCTCCTCCAGATGGGAAGCTCCTGTGGCGCAAGGACCATGTTTTTGTTCATCATCATCTCTCTCCCACAGTGCTTTTACATTGCAGGTCCTCAAGGAGTAATTACTGAACACATAATACATAGTACAGATCAGGAATAGTGAATTCAAAGTACTCTGATATAAACAATACGATTCTTTGATGAAGACATGCTACTTCCCCATTTATGCAACAAATATGTTTAGTTAATTTTTCCTGGAAAAGTATGTACATTTTTTTGTGTTATCCACCTGGATTTCACAACATGCTGAGTCTTGTATGGCTATGCTGTCACCTATAAGCTGAGTGACTCTGGGCAAAGCATTGGATCTTGCTGGATTCTTCATCCATTATCAAGTGGGGTTAATATTTCTTCACCAACTTTCCTAGTCAAGTCGTTGGGAAAATCAAATGTGTTCACAGATATTAAAGTGCTTGGAAGTAGTATGAATGAAGGGGCCTCAATATTATTGTTGCTACTGAAGACTCAGAACATGATGAGTCCCTGTCACACTATAGCTTTCAATAATAAATTACCCTGGCAGCTGACCCACAAACTCAAAAGCACCAAGATAGAGCACTGAGACTTGGGCCAACCTAGGGATCCTAAGTCTGTCTAAGGCAAAGCTACATAAAAGGACAGATGGATCTCACCCTAAGCCTTTCCTGGATTGCAGTGATATGTCTTAGGACTCTGATTATCTGATTTCAAAACCAAAGGGACCAGAACTTGGACAACAGCCATACATCTTTGCCAAGTAGCCTTCAGCTGCTGGTGATGCAATGACCTGATACCTCATGCAATCTTTTTGTTTTTTGTAATTTCTGGAGATTTCCAGGGAAGACTGTGAGCCTGCATGTTATGGTAATGGTCCTATCCACTGAAGCATGCAAACAGATAACTCTTTATGATCAATAGACATTCCTATTGCCTTAAAGCCTATTCAAGTATCATTTTTATTGTAAGCTTTCTGATGGAATTTTTAATGTAGCAAAATTCTAATCAGTTTGGAAGTTTCATAAACTGATTCCTCTTACTGTTATATGACAAGACTTCGCAGAACATTCTCTACATATTTTGGTGAATTATTTCTTCCTAGTTTGGCTGGATATTAGAATCCCTGACATACTCTTTTCACAAAGCCAGAAGGAAAAGAAAGATGCTTATTCACAAAGTTACATGTTTAAGCATAGAATGAGATTTTTCAGGACAGTTGGAGCAAATAACCTTCCGTGAGTGTGCACTGTGGTGTTAAACTCTCTACATGCTTGGCAATCTCTGCTGCCTGTCACATACTCTGAAACATGGTTTGGGAATATTTCTCCCAAAATGCTTTTGCCATAAAATAGAAACAGCTTTGGCTCCCCACTAAATAAAGCTCTTATGAAGAGACATTCATTATTCATTGCTCACTTTTCTCCAGTTCTGTCCACCAGAAATCTCAGGACCTTTCACACATAGGTACTTGTGGGCCTGATCTTCTGAGAACGTTCTGGGAGAAAGTACAACTATCTGGGCAATGTCATGCCCTGCTTCACTAAATGAGCAGTGAGAATATATCCATTAAGCACGAGTATGACTCCGGCCTGAATTAATTTAGCTTCTAGTAGGGAGTTAACTTTGATCATGATAATAACACTCTGAGAGTAATGTCCAAGATTGTAAATCATCATCTGTAAAAACTACTTGTATTCTACTTTCACTCAGCAAAACAACTGAGTACTTATTGGAAGTCTTTCTTTTGAAATGCCTTTTCAATGTTTTTGGCTGGGCAAAAAGACTATTTCTAGAATTTACAGATACACAACTGAGTTACACATTTTTAATTGACTCCAGAGGCAGTGTGACTCTCCTTTATCTTTCATTATTTAACACATTTAATCTGTTTGGCTTTTGACATCCGCAGAAAGTTCACCAGCCACTGTTTTCACATTACTTAGACTTCATGATAGGGGCTGCCTGAGGCGGAATGACTAGAACATTCTTCCTTAGCTGTCTGCCTCCCCTGTTGAAAAGTAAAAGTGAAGAATCATTGGAGTCTTTAAATGGAACTTAAGCAGATGAATGTTAACTGGGAGTGGAGTGGAAGTTTTAGGCTTTAAAAAAAATTCTTTTAGGAGAGTATTATTCATTCTCTTAAATTATTGGATTTCTGAATCCATGTGATTTCATGGTCAAAAGATAATTGCTTTTTCCCCTTATCTCAGGGAAAGAGGATTTTTAAAATCATGTAAGTACTTAAAAAGCATTTCAAATTTTCAAGAATTTATAATGAAAGAGATATTAGAACACTCATGTGATTTTATTTAAACACTCTTTACTACAGTAGTAACATTTCCAGACTTTTCATTTGATTGGTCAGTTTTATATTTTATATTTGTGATTGGTTTCATTTTCTGGATACATTGAGTTATTTCTCTGCCAATATTTTTCATGTCTGAGTTTTTCTGTCTTTGGCAATTTACCTCTTCCATACATTTCCTTTACTTATCCTGCCCTAGGCACCAGGAATAGAAAAATGAAAGACACAACGTCTGCCCTCAGAGAACTCAGAAAGATATATATATATTTTTTTGAGACAGAGTCTCACTCTGTCACCCAGGCTGGAGTGCAGTGGCACATATCATAGCTCACTGCAGCCTGCACTTTTTGTGCTCAAGCAATCCTTCCACCTTAGCCTCCCCAGTAACTGGGACCAAAGGTGCACACCACCACATCCGGTTAATTTTTTAATTTTCGTGGAGACAAAGTCTCACCATGTTCCCCGAGCTGATCTTGAACTCCTGGGTTCAGGCAATCCTCCCACCACCACCTCACAAATTGCTGGTGTTGAACTACCACATAGGCATGAACTACCACACCTGGCCATATACATACTTTTGGAAGAGACAGACAAAGTGGTTATAATACAGGTGCATAAGTGATTTGATGGAAATGAGCATAAATTCTGAAGGAACACAGAAGAGGAACTTCATTTAGACCTGGGACTAAACATGTGTGTCTCACATTCTCCTGGAAAGCAAGAACTGGTGACTATAAATCTATGTATAATAAATGTGCTGAATATACATACATGAAAAATACTTCCTAAATATTAGTTATTAATGACAGTAGTCACCTTGAATTTATCTGTTTGAACCTATTTAAGTCTACGGAGTTGATCTTTATTTAAAATTTACATGTACTCCCTTTCGTCTTGTGGAAGTAATTAAAATACTTTATCCAAGATGAACCATCTTTCTGTTTTAGTAGCTGTATCCTGAGACCCATTTCCCCAGGGACTTGAATTTTATTATGTGTAAAGAAAAAATACTACCTGTTGTGTGTTGAGTACAAGAGTACACAGGGTTTTTAATAGCTCTGTTAATAGGATAATGAATAATGTTTGTTTCCAACCAACAGGATATCTACCTAATTTATTAACAATCAAAGATCCAACTCAAAATTAAAATAGCATGCTATTAGAAGTAGGAAAACAAAACAGAATAATTTCTTCACCAATGCAAGGCCTTGTTCCTGATGCCTCTTATGAAAACCAAAAGGAACTGATATTAGCTCGGCATCCGTTATGTGTCAGGACATGTGCTGGATGCTGCCAGTACAATGGATGATATGGCATTGTCTTATCCCTCAGAGAGCTTACAAGCTAACTGAATGCAGGGGTGTGAAAGAAGACAGATATGCAACAATTAGATATGGAATTGGGGACGTGTTAGCATCTGAACAAAGTCAAGTGAAACATACAAAGGAGTCATTCTATCTGAATGTGGTCTCTGAGAAGGCATCATAAAGGGACAAACAGTACAGCAGGCCTTAGAGGATTTTATAAGAACTACAGGAGTAGGGAGTAAGGGGGATACCATGCAGTGGGAACCCCAATCAAAGCAGCAAGGGCCTTGGAAGTATATTCTCCATGTTGGAAGAACAAATGGACTGTGAATTCCCTGAAGGAAAGAAGCCCATATTGCTTTACCACTGTTTACCTAGTGCTGTGGTTTGGATGTGTCCGCCAAAGTTTATGTGTTGGAAACAATCCCCAATGCAACCATGTCGGAGGTAGAACCTACAAGAGGTGATTAGGTTAGAGGGCTGTGCCTTCGTGGATGGATTGAAGCTCTTATCTCAGGAGTGGGTTCTGGATAAAAAGGATAAGCTATGCCTTCTTCCTCTCTTGCTTTTGTCCTTCCACCTTCCACCATGGAATGATGCAGCAAGAAGATCCTGGCCACATGATGGCACCTTGATGTTGGACTTCCCAGGCTCCAGAACTGTGAGCCAAATAAACTTCTATTGTTTATCCATTTCCCAGTCTCAGATATTCTGTTATAGCAACACAAATCAGACTAAGACACCCAGTGTCTAAAACACTGCACATTGGAGGCACTGTAAATTTATGTTGAATTAAGTGATCTGATTGTGTGATTAAAACTGTAGGTGTAGCGGTGTTAGACACTGGAGGCTAAGAATAGCACAGTGGATAGATGGTGTCAATACTACAGGATCTTGTATGTTAATACTGAAGAGTATGCACTTAATCCAGTAATTAAGCACTTCTTAAAGTATGTTCCTTGAAATATCAGACCTACAGCCCTCAGAATTCTGCCATCAAATATGTTTCGGAAACACTGGTTTAAATGGTTAAGCAGTTTCTTTTGCTTAGACTCCCTTGGTCTTTACTCCAATCATGTACATTGTAAAGCTCCAAGAGGGGTTTATAATATTCTTCAAACTTCTAGGATCCTGGCCCCTCTTTTAAGGGGAGCACCTTGTGGCCTTGGTGTTCTCCATGACACCATTTATGAAATCTGCTGTAAGCAATAAGGAGCCAGTAAAGACCTTTCAGCAGGAGATTGACATGCTTGGAATTTCAGTCTTCTAGAGAATGGCATTGGGTGAGGCAATATTGGAGTCAGGGAGACAAAGTTGAAGAGAGATGCAATGGTTTAGGCAGGAGATAATGAGAGCTTGACACCAAGGGTAGAGAAGGGACCAAGAAATATAACTGACATTTAAGAAGTAGCACTTTAGGGACATTGTTATATTGTATAGCTTGTGCCCTATGCAGGGACACCTGGCCAAATGGGCCCCAGGGCACTGAATCCAGCCCACATTCACTGTTGCCAAGCTGTGCATCCAGGCAGAGGGCCGCATGTGTCCTAAGGAGGACAGCTTGCTATGGTTTGAATATTTGCTTCCTTCAAAACTCATGTTGAAGTTTAATCCCCAATGTGGCAGTATTGGATGACGAGGCCTTGAAGAAATGATTGGATCATGAGGGCTCTGCTATGAATGGATTTATTGGGTTAATAGATTAATGGGTTATCATAACAGGGGAACTGGGGGCTTTGTAAGAGGAAGAGAGACCTGAGCTAGCAAGTTAGTACATACAGCCCCCTTCCTATGTGATGATGCCCTGCACCACCTCACAACTCTCCAGAGTCCCACCAGGAAGAAGGCTCCTACCAGATGCATCCCTCAACCTTGGACTTCTCAGCCTCTATAACTGTAAGAAGCGAGTTTCCTTTCTTTATAAAATGCCCAGGTTCAGGTATTATGTTGTAAGCAATAGAAAGCGACTGAGAGACTGCCAGTATATAATTCACAGCCAGCTATGTCCCTAGTCAATGACTGATGAGATGTTGGGAGGAACAAGGAATTGTCTAAGATGACTCATATTTCTGTTCTAAACTATGATATGGATAAAGATGATTTAATTTCTTATTCTAATTTCTTTTGATTCTTCTAAAACTATACTATCTGAAATCATAATACCTAGAGAAGGAATGATGAATGTGCACCTCTGCTGCTCTGAATGTTCTCTTCCAAGAGTTACAGTTTTATCTTTACCACGCATTAAAGTGTACATACTGTCATTGCAGAGAGATTGTTATCAAGACCTCAAACCAAGGGTTACAAACTCAAATGCCCACAGAACCCATCAAACATAATAAATGGGTGATATATGTAGCAGACCATTTACATATTAAATGTTTTTCATTTACAATAAGAAATATACTCTCTTCATTTGTCTAAACATGCAGTGTTCCCCATTTATATTTTATAACCATTTTTTTATAGGAACATGAGTAGTGAGAAGTACTTTTCTATTCTAAGAAAATCTTCTGCACAACCGTGATGATGAATGATAACTGACATTGCTGTAGTATTAGGGACACAGTAGAGACTGGTGGGCCAGTTTTTTTTAATTTTTAGGAGAATCTGGGAATTTGAATTTTTATATGAAATCTCTCTCATTTTAAATATTGGCAGAAATTTTTACAATACACTGTATGGGCCAAAAAAAAGAAAGCATATTTCTGGGCCACCAGTTCATGATCTCTACCTTAGTCTATTTTATACATACACATAAGCCTAATTTCTGTAAATTGATCTATTTAAAATTCATATATTTAGGTAGGCAAGGTGTTAAATTACCTGCTAAATCGCCCAGAAATCCCTGTTGAATTGCTGAGAGGAGAAAGCAGTGTTTGCTCAGCTAGTAATTAGAGCCGTGTCCTTATTTTTGCATTAAGCCTTTACTGTGGAAAGAAAAGCCAAAAATCTGGTGCTTGGTGGAAGAGTTAGTGCTTAAATCCAAATAACATCATCAGTGGAGCTAAAGCATGAGAATCTGCCAAGACAAAAGTAACTTAAAGCATGAAGTCCAGCACTATGAAATAGAAGGGAAGCTACCAATATATACTTTCTGTTGTAATTTATATCTGGTGGATTCTGTTTCATGGAGAGGGGAATGTGGAATAGTATATCGACTAAGGCCTTGATGTCAGGGGAGTTGTGAACTAGTGCAGAGGGATTTAGATCTGCGGCTAATATGATGTCACATCTTGGTTCATGGCAGAAGTTTCTTAACGGCCCACATGTGAGCACATAGATTGGACTCATCTGTTTGAAAGGGGGAGTGAGCACATGGGTGGTAGTCACCATTGTACTAAAGAAACTTTGAGGAGGTGTTTAGTTCCTGCTGATAGGGAAGATTAGAATCAAGCAAGTTTTATGAATAGAAAATGATGAGCAGATGAGCCTGGAAGGAAATGGAAATGTGATGAGATTAGTAGCTGATGCATACCTCTCTGCAGGGAAAAAAAAAAAAAAAAAGCTTTAAGAGATGTCAGGATGGGAAATACTTTATTTCCTAAAGTGCAAAGAAAAGATTTGGACAAAGCTGTAATATCAGCAGCTGCTGCCAAAGTGAATTGGTCAAGGATCTTTCTGAAAAAGCTGCCATTTAGCAGTTGTTGGGTTTAAACACAGGGAAGAAAAGATACCTTCATTGTCCTGAAATGCAAGGTCCATGCATGCATGCATTCAACCAACAAATATTTGTTGAGAACCAACTATGTGTAGTCCTGTGGTAGGCCCTGGAGTGGCTCACACACCTGTAGGAATCAGTGCCCTGCAGAAGACAGATCATGGGTACCTGGAAAGGGTGGATTATGAGCTGACTTTCTCCTGGTGCTTCCCAATAATGCAATGTCTTTGGACAAAGAGAAAGCTCACCAAAATGAGTAACGTGATTCACTGGCCCCAAGGCCTAGGTTCCCTTGGTTCCATGGATCAGAGCATTTTCAGTTTGAGCATTTTCAAATTGTATTCTTTCCTAAAAGCACAACTTTTTAGGCAAAATGTAAGTTATTAAAGGCAGTTCAGAGAAAACTCTGTATTAGTCTGTTCTCATGCTGCTAATAAAGGCGTAACTGAAGCTCAGTAATTTATAAAGGAAAGAGGTTTAATTAAGTCAAGTTCCACATGGCTGGGGAGAGGTCTCACAATCATGGTGGAAGGCAAATGAGGAGCAAAGCCATGTCTTACATGGCAGCAGGCTAGAGGCTTGTGCAGGGGAACTCTCATTTATAAAACCATCAGATCCCATGAAACTTATTCACTACTGGGAGAACAATATATGAGAAACCGCGCCCATGATTCATTTATCGCCACCTGGTCCCACCGTTGATATGTGGGGATTATTACAATTCAAGGTGAGATTTGGGTGGGGATATGGCCAAATCATATCATTCCACTTCTGGGCCCTCCCAAATCTCATGTCCTCACATTTCAAAACCAGTCATGCATTTCTGAAAGTCCCCCAAAGTCTTAATTCATTTCAGAATTAACTCAAAAGTCCACAGTCCAAAGTCTCATCTGAGACAAGGCAAGTCCCTTCACCTATGAGCCTGTAAAATCAAAAGCAAGTTAGCTACTTCCCAGATACAATGGGGGTACAGGTATTAGGTAAATATACCCATTCCAAATGGGAGAAATTGGCCAAAACATAGGGGCTACAGGCCCCATGCAAGTCCAAAATCCAATAGGGTAGTCATTAAATCTTAAAGTTCCAAAATGATCTTCTTTGACTCCATGTCCCACATCCAGGTCATGCTGATACAAGAGGTGGGCTCCCATGGCCTTGAGTAGCTCCACTCCTGTGGCTTTGCAGGGTACAGCCTCCCTCCTGACTGCTTTCATGGACTGACATTGTGTCTGCAGCTTTTCCAGGTGCACAGTGCAAGCTGTTGGTGGATCTACCATTCTGGGGTTTGGAGGACAGTGGCCCTCTTCTCACAGTTCCACTAGGCAGTGCCCCAGTGGGTAGTCTGTGTGGGGGCTCCAACCCCACATTTTCCTTCTGAACTGCCCTAGCAGAGGTTCTCCATGAGAGCCCTGCCCCTGCAGCAAACTTCTGCCTGGACATCCAGGCATTTCCATACATCCTCTGAAATCTAGGCAGAAGATTCCAAACCTCAGTTCTTGACTTCTGTGCACCCACAGGCCCAACACCACATATAAGCTGCCAAAGCTTAAGGCTTGCACCCTCTGAAGCAATGGCCTGAGCTGTATGTTGGCCCCTTTTAGCCATGGCTGGCACTGAAGCGGTTGGGATGCAGGGCACCATGTCCTGAGGCTGCACAGAGCAGGGGGACCCTGGGCCCAGCCCACAAAACCATTTTTTCCTCCTAGGCCTCCAGGAAGCCTGTGATGGAAGGGGCTGCCTTGAAGGCCTCTGACATGCCCTTAGAGGCGTTTTCCCATTGTCTTGGTGATTAACATTTGGGTCCTCATTACTTGTGCAAATTTCTGCAGCTGGCTTGAATTTCTTCCCAAAAACTGGGTTTTTCTTTTCTATCGCATTGTTAGGCTGCAAAATTTCCAAACATTTATGCTCTGCTTCCTCTGGAATGTTTTGCTGCTTAGAAATTTCTTCTTCCAGATGCCCTAAATCACCTCTTTCAAGTTTAAAGTTCCACAGACATCTAGGGCAGGGACAAAATGCCACCAGTCTCTTTGCATAGCAAGAGTGACTTCTACTCCAGTTTCCAAAAAGTCCCTCATCTCCATCTGAGACAACCTCAGCCTGGACTTTATTGTCCATATCGCCATCAGCATTTTGGTCAAACCCATTCAGCAAGTCTTTAGGAAGTTCCAAACTTTCCCACATTGTTCTCTCTTCTTCTGAGCCCTCCAAACTGTTCCAACCTTTGCCTGTTACTGAGTTCCAAAGTCACTTCCACATTTTTTGGTATCCTTACAGCAGCATCCCACTACCTGGCATCAATTTATTGTATTAGTCTGTTTTCATGCTGCTAATGAAGACATACTCAAGGCTGGGTAATTTATAAAGGAAAGAGGTTTAATTGACTCACAGTTCCATATGGCTGGGGCAGTCTCACAATCATGGTGGAAGGTGAATGAGGAGTAAATCCGTGTCTTCCATGGCAGCAGGCTAGAGGCTTGTGCAGGGGAACTTCCATTTATAAAACCATCAGATCCCATAAGACTTACTCACTACCAGGAGAACAGTATGGGGAAAACCACCCCCATGATTCAGTTACCTCCACCTGGCCCCACCCTTGACATGTGGGGATTATTACAATTCAAGGTGAGATTTGGGTGGGGATAAAGCCAAACCATATGACTCTTTAATTCTGTTTTTCTCTTTTTCTTTCTTCCTTAATTCTCTTCCTTTCTCCTTTCTTCTCCTTCCTTCCTTTCTTTCCTTTGAACCCTCATTCTTTCTTTTCCTTATTTCTGATATTATTTCTGATGAAAACTTTCCCTTATAAACCATTCCACAAGTTTATTCAACATAGTAAGTATACATCTCCTGAAATAATTGATTTACTGAGATTGGAAATAGCAGAGACATGTGTTGAAGCATCACAGAATGAGGAAAGCAGAGTGGGGAGTGACTGGAACACCTATCCATCTCTGGTTTATTTCTTAATACCAAATCATAGGTCAAATAAGAGAAACCACATGTAATGACATTAAGGGCAGACAGTTTAATACTGCCTTCTTTTGCTTTTTCTCCGTGGGTGATAGCGCAAGTTAAGTTTAGTTCAATGACTTCACCTTTCAGAAAGTTTATCTTCAAGAGTTGCTGTTCCTTTGAGATCTACCCTTTAATTTACTGTTTGTGTATACTTTTCTTTCCAGAAATGGCAGGAAGCACTTGTCTTCCCAGGAATGCAGTAGTCTGAGACCATAGACAAAAAGGTCTGAATTCCAGCCTCAACCTTTATAACAGCTCCTGAGTATTCTTTGAGAAGGTCATTTCTCTATTTCTCCACCTGTAAAGAGGAGATAAAGTTTCTTTCAACCTTTTTACTATCTTGAAAGGTTTAAGTATTTAAGGTTTGTGAAACATTTTGAAGATAAAAAGTGGAGCGTAAACATTACATCTACTTTAAATGCAGTTCTTCTCTTTTTTATTATTTTTAAGAGCTCAGCATTCTGGAAAACACCTAAATTAAAACTTCTGCAATATCGAGTTAACACACATACACAAATAGGCACACACACACACAGATACACACACACACATACACACACACATAGATGACAATTTATGAATGCAAGCCTTGTTTGAGGCTCAAAAGCCAGCTTGGAACTAATCTCTTAGAAAGATTGAGGTTATTTCTAATAAGATGATATTAGGCTAAGAAGTACATCTGTCTGGACCTCAGTTTCCTCATCTGTAAAACAAATGGATTGAACGAGAATGATACCTAAGCTCTCATTTACTCTTGAGTTCTCTTAACATCTAGTGACTCTATGCTTTCCTGAGTATAACAGAAGTAAGGAAAGGCAGTTTCCCTTTATCCTGGGGTTCTTTGGGACATATGAGACTATGACGGAGGTAGGAAAATACTCAACGATGGGTACCTTCGTACATTTCTCTACCTATGTGGTGACCAGTAAGTAGAGACAGCCAAGCACACATAACTGGTGATTTACAGGGTCTTGTCAATAAATAGTGAAAATAGATAAGCATCTTTACTACAATTAATTTTCAACAGCCACAACATTAAATTCCTACCCATAGAGACTGTGCTCCTAGGGTCCAGTGACCTCTCTAGGCATATTGTTTTAAATCAATCAGATCCAAGAGAAGGGTAACATATTATTAGTAATTTATCACAGGGCGTCCTAACATTTTACCCATTAGGATACATACAGAAAATGATAATATTTGTATAATATCTTTAGGTAAAGGGAAAAGCTAATCCCAGCCAGAGATGACCAGCCTATGTAGATGAGTTCACATTCGTTCACCTGAGAGCTGAGAGGGTCAATGTGGCAGCACATTGGAAGCCTTCTTGCTGCGTGTGGTTGGATATTCTGCCTTAGTTTAAAAGACTTCATCTTTAGATTTCTTCCCAGCCCAGAACCTGTCAGCTTGGCCCTGAGACTTTTGATAATGAGAGGGGGAGGGAGAAATAAAACTCTTTTGAGCTCTGTCTTCTACCTTAGAAGAGTATCAAGTGCTAAAATAGCTCGCAGCAATCAGGAGAATCAGAGTGAAGGAAGGTGCAGAGTACTATGGAAGAAGTCGGGGGATGGTCAGGATAGGGGGAAGGTATGCAGTGTTGACTGACAAAATTACAACAAATTTAGTTTAAAGATTTTAGTTGGCTTTTATTTGTGATTCTAGAATCTGGCAACATATTATTCCATAAAATAGAATGAATGTTCTGATGAGCTGAGCAGAGGAGCTTGGCTTTATAGACAGAAAATGGCTGAGGAAAGCAGAAACAACAGAAAGCAGATCAGTCATTTCGAAGTTACAAAGGTTAAAGCAAAGGGACTTTCTTATTGTTACAGTTAAACCTGACCTGTCTGGGGATTTGGCTGTTCTCTCTCTCTCTCTCTCTCTCTCTCCTGATTTCTCTGAAGGTCAGATAAACAACTTAATACTGGCTTGGTAGCATGGAACGTTAGCATGCGTGACTCCATTTTGGTTTGGTTTGGTTTGTTGATCCTGGTGCAGGCATTCAGTTCAAGCCAATGGCCTCTTATACATTTTATTTACTAAAGGCAACCCCAGTATGAATGTAAAAATACGTGCTATTTGGGTTGTTTCACCTAGAACAAGAAGTACGCCTAGACAGTGGCAGATTGATTGGTAGTGACAGCTGTCTGGAAAGCTCCATCTCGGAAGAGTCTGAGACCACGTTCCACCTTTGGAATGAACAGTGAATTGTTCACGTTTCCTGTGGCCTCCAGGTGCAGCTGGCAGGATAGAGCAGCCAAAGCCCACATGCTGTATAATTGCCATCCCTGCACAGGACATGCTGAAACTGTGGTGCTGAGGCCAGGGAAAGGACATGTTTGAACTGTGTTCAGAGGAAAGAAAAGGTGGCCATGCCCATGGGGTGGGGCAAGCATTTAGATGAAAGGCAGCATAATGTGATGGTTAGGAGCACAGACCCCAAAGCAGATTGGATCCTACTATGCTTCACCCTTCTGTGCCCTGTTTCTAATCTGTCGTGTGGGGATAATAATCGCATCTTACTCCAAGACTGATAAAAGGATCCATGAGTTAATATTTGTTAAGCATTTGGAAGAGTGCCTACATGTGGTTAACACGGAGTGCCTGATAAATAAGACGTAGAGAGAAACCAAGACCACCCAGGCCCTCCCTCTCGTCTCCATGATCAGGGAGAATAATTTTTGTGCAAAGAAAGGTAGAACAAATTTTGTGAGAGGGAGCTGATGATGTAACCATGTAACAAGATAGTAAGAGAGGATCTAATTGCACAAAATAAGGTTCTCAAGTCTTGAGTGCTGAAAGAAGTTGCAGCCATACCCCACAACCCAGTGGCAGTTTTTAAGCATTGAGGACAGAAAGGTGCCAAAAGACTGGAGCCAGTCAAAGATGGTCCCTATTATCAAAGGAGGAAAAGGAGGCTTGATTCTAGAAGCACATCGAAGTGCTCAATGTTGATCCAAAGGCACACGTGGGAAGGGAATTTTGAACAGATGGTTAACAGATGCTTCTACATGGGCTGCGCAGGGTAGGGAAAAGAGCACGTGCTGCCACGCCAAACAGACTTGGGCGCAAACCCGTGTTCTGTCACTTTCCGGCTGAATGGCCTTGAGAATATTCTTAACGTCTAAGCCTCACCGTCTCCAGCTGCAGAATAGAAATGGCAATGCCTACAGGATTCCTGTGAAAAAGTGACAATCGTAGGTAAATGATCAAGCAGAGGACTGAGCAAAGCAGGCGTGCAATAAGTGCTATCAGTATAACCAAAGAGGCAGCAGCACATAATGTTTTAGACCAGGAGTCAGCAAACTTATTCTGTTAAGGGCACTTAACAGACTTTGTGGGCCATACAGTCTCAGCCTCAACTACTCAACCATGCCTTTGTAGCAGGAAAGCAGCCATAGATAATATGTTATTGCAGCATGGCTGCATTCCAATAAAACTTTATTTACCAAAACAAGCAAACAGATTTTGCCCTTGGGCTATAGTTTGCTGATCCCTGGCTTAGAACCAAAACTGCCAGGTTTAAAACAAGGCTCTGCCACTTGAGAATAGTGTGACCTTTGACTATACAAGGCTCTGCCACTTAAGAATAGTGTGACCTTTAACCAGTTCATAATTCAGTTTCCTTATTGGTTAAATTGGTGTAAAAACAGTATCTATCTTGTGAGATTGTTGTAACAAAGGAGATCGTGCAGGGCTCTGCATCTCACAGTGAGTACTTGATGCATAGCAAGCTTTTAATGCATGTTACCTGTTATCATTATGATTATCCCAACAGCCTAGGGTAGGGAGCCAAAGTTTCTAGTAACATGAAATTTAGTAGAGACAAATATAAAATCTTGCACTTATACCTGCAAAAGGAAACCACACACTTACAGGTGTGATTATATTATATATTGCTTTTTCTAGGAAAAGACCTAAATGCTTTAATTCATTGATATCACAGTGCTGTGTGACATGGCTGCTACCCAAAATAAGCATAGTCATCGACTGAAGAAATAGGTGTGAGATTGTCTCTAGGATAACAGAGGGGCTTTGCACAGTTCTGAGTAAGTTTAATATGCGATCGCTCTATCCTGGCCATCGTATTTTAAGAAGGAAGCTGGTATATGGGAAAACATCTTGAAAGATGTAAACAATATAATAAATAAGGACTCATTATATATAATAAATCATCTGAGAGATAATTATACAAATTAGTTTTTCAACCTGGGTTGAGATTTCTCAAATATATTTAAGTATTTTTATAAGGATGGCAGTTTTAAAACATAGCCTCCCAAATTATTTGACCCTCCTCCCATCTAGAGGTGGGGTTTATGTCCCCACCTCCTAAATCTGGACTCTGAGACTCTTGGTCAGTAGAATGTGGTACAAGTGATGCTGTGCCAGTTTTTGAGCCAAGGCCTTAAGAAACTGATGGCTGCCACTTTCCTTCAGGCCAGTTGCTCTTAGAACCCAGCTGAGGTCCCAGCTAATAGCCATCATCAACCAGCAGATATGTCAGATGACTACAACCCCAGCTACCTATGACATCAATTGCATGAGAGGCTCCAAATAAGAACCGCCCCCATTCAACCCCCAGAACCATGAAAAACAATAAAAAGATTCCAGTTATTTTAAGTCACATAATTTTCTGTTACACAACAATAGGTTGCTGGGGCAACGTGGAAGAGGAATTTGACTTTTTCTGTATAGCTACAACAAGTAAAACTAGTCTATAGGAAGCTCCAAGCACTCTAGGATAGTAAGTACAGGCAGTTAGATTTCGGTTTAATGTTAAGAAAAGCTTTGTGTAAAGTGTTGGGAGGATATGGAAAAAAGGAATCCCTTGTACACTGTTTTCCCAGTGTAAATTAGGACAGCCATAATGGAAAATAGTATGGAGGTTCCTCAAAAACTAAAAATGGAACTACCATATGAACCAGCAATCCAACCTCTGGGTCTACATGCAAAGGAAATAAAATCAGTATATTGAAAAGAAGTCTTGGATAAAGAAACTGTGGTGTGTGTGTGTGTGTGTGTGTGTGTATATATATATGGTGGAATACTACTCAGCCATGAAAATGAATGCATTTGCAGCAACCTGGATGAGATTGAAGACTATTATTCTAAGTAAAGTAACTCAGGAATGGAAAACCAAACATTGTATATTCTCACTGATATGTGGGAGCTAAGCTATGAAGATGCAAAGGCATACAATGTATTTGGAGGACTTGGGGGAAGGTGGAGGAGGGATAAAATACTACAAATATGGTGCAATGTATACTGCTCAGGTGAGGGGTGCACCAACATCCCACAAGTCACCACTAAAGAACTTAATCATGTAGCCAAATACCACCTGTACCCCAATAACATATGGAAATATAATACTAAAAAATATATTTAAAAAATAAAGACAATATTTTCCTATATAAAAACAAGAAAAGAAGTATGCATTTCCATGCTCATTGCAGCACTATTCACAACACTTGAGATATGGAAACAACGTAACTGTCCATCAACAGATGCATGAAGACTATGTTTGTATATATACACAATGGAATACTATTCAGCCTTTAAAAAGAAGGAAATCGGCCGGGCGCGATGGCTCACGCCTGTAATACCAGCAGTTTGGGAGGCCGAGGCGGGCGGATCACGAGGTCAGGAGATCGAGACCATCCTGGCTAACACAGTGAAACCCCGTCTGTACTAAAAATACAAAAAAAAATTAGCCAGGCATGGTGGCGGGTGCCTGTAGTCCCAGCTACTCGGGAGGCTGAGGCAGGAGAATGGCGTGAACCTGGGAGGTGGAGTTTGCAGTGAGCCAAGATAGCACCATTGCACTCCAGCCTGGGCGACAGAGGAAGACTCTGCCTCAAAAAAAAAAAAAAAAAAGGAGATAGAGACCATCCTGGCCAACATGGTGAAAACCCGTCTCTACTAAAAATACAAAAAAAAAAAAAAAAAATTAGCTGGGCGTGGTGGTGTGCACTTGTAATCCCAGCTACTCCGGAAGCTGAGGCAGGAGAATCATTTGAATCTGAGAGGGGGAGGTTGCAGTGAGTGGAGATTGCGCCACCGCATTCCAGCCTGGCAACAGAGCGAGACTTGATCTAAAAAATAATAATAATAATAAAGAAGGAAATCCTGTCATTTGTGACAACATGGAAACGTGGATATACTTGAAGAACATTATGTTAACTCAAATAGAAAGATAAATGCCACATGATCTCACAAATATGTGGAATGTAAAAAAGTCAAATTTATAAGAGCAGAGAATAGAATAGTGGTTACTAGAGGTGATAGAGGAGACAGGAGGGATTGGTAATGGGGAGATGTTGATCAAAGGATACGAAATTTCAGTTAGGCAGGAGGCAAGTTGAAGAGGTCTGTTTTACATCATGGTGATTATACTAATGGTAATAACAATATATTGTATACTTTAAAATTGCTAAGAGAGTAGTTTTTGTTTGTTTGTTTGTTTGTTTTTGAGGTAGAATCTCACTCTGTTGCCCAGGCTGGAGTGCAGTGGTGTGATCTTGGCTCACTGCAACCACTGCCTCCTGGGTTCAAGTGATTCTTCTGCCTCAGCCTCCCGAGTATCTGGGATTACAGGCACGCACCACCATGCCCAGCTAATTTTTTGTATTTTTAGTAGAGACAGGGTCTCACCATGTTGGCCAGCCTGGTATCGAACTCCTGACCTCTGGTGATCCACCTGCCTTCACCTCCCAAAGTGCTGGGATTACAGGCATGAACCACTACACCCTGCCAGAGAGTAGATTTTAAGTCTTCTCACCACAAAAAAAGTTACATGAGGTAATATATACGTTAATTAACCTGTTTTAGCCATTCCGAGGTGTATACATATATCAAAACGTCATGTTGTATATCATAAGTATTTGCAATTTTTATTTGTCAACTAAAAAAATTAGGTAGAGCTTTCTGAAAATTGAATCTATCAAACCACAAATGGGCTGCTAAACAGGGCACTGAGTTCCTCTTACCAAATATACCAAAATTGAGGCCATGTGATTGCAGGTCCCAGATATTACAGAGGATTTAGGTCATGGGGGATTGTGAATTTGGTCAGAATCTGTGTTCGTCGGTTGGTTATTTGGTTGATCTCCCAGTTTGCCTAAAAAAGAGTTTGTTACCTAAAAGGTACTGGATAAATATTTCATTTATTCATTCAACAAATATTTATGGAATTCTTACTACATTCTAGGCACTGTTGTAGATGCTAGGAATATGTCTGAACAAAATAGATGAAAATTCATTCTCTGTGGAGCTCAGGTTCTAGTAAAAGCAGATATGTGATAACCACGTAAGTGAAATATATAACATATTAGGTAACGATAAAGTGTCAAGGACCAATAAAGTAGTTGCCCCTTTTCCATAGGGGATATGTTCCAAGATCCCCAGTGGATGCCTGAAACTCTGCAGATAATACCAAACCCTATATATGCTATCGTTTTTCTTGTACATACATACCTATGACAAAGCTTAATTTATAAATTAGGCACAGTAAGAGTTCAATGACAATGATGATGTAGAAGAGTTATAACAATATACTGTCATAAAAGTTATGTGATTGATCTCTGTCTCACAAAATAGCTTATTGTGCTGAACCACAGGTAACTGAAGTTGTGGAAAGTAAATCCAAAGATAGGAGCAGACCACTGTATAAAACAGGGGAGGGGGATATGTAATATCTGAAGAATGATTTTCCATTATAAATACAATAGCCTGGAAATAATCATTTGTGGTGAATTAATGGATAAGGAAAATGCCAGAGTTTAACTCTTCGGCTTAAAAATATTGAATATATTCTTAGACACTCTTGTAATCACTGGGAACAAGGCAGTAGACAAGATCCAAGATCTCCGCTTTTAGGCAGTTTATATACTTATCTTCTACTTGGGGAAAGGAGACAACAAAAATAAATTCATCAGGCAATTTCAGTGAGTGAGAAGTGTGCCCTCCCACCAGCTTCCATAACTTCAAAATTCTCAGTGTCTGACCATTTTTGGTCCTACGAAGCTCTTGTTTCTTCCAGGAATAGACTTAAAGACATGTTTCTTGTTGTAATTGTCCTGTTTTGTAATTGTCCTGCCTCCTGGCTCTGCCTGGCATTCACAGACCAATGAACTATTTGTGGCTCCATTTTTTTTTTTTTTTTTTTTTTTTTTAGACAGAGGTTTGCTCTTGTTGCCCAGGCTGGAGTGCAGTGGCGCGATCTCAGCTCACTGCAACCTCCGCCTCCCGGGTTCAAGCAATTCTCCTGCCTCAGCCTCCTGAGTAGCTGGAATTACAAGCATGTGCCACCATGCCCAGCTAATTTTGCACTTTTAGTAGAGACAGGGTTTCTCCATGTTGGTCAGGCTGGTCTCGAACTCCCGACCTCAGGTGATCCGCCCACCTCGGCCTCCCAAAGTGCCAGGATTACAGGCATGAGCCACTGCACCCGGCCTATTTGTGGCTCCTTTTATTAGGTGATAGCTGTTATCATCTAAAGAAATTAATCTTTCAGGCTTTGGATTAATTGCCAGCACCACTGATTATTGATTGGCAATAAGAGCAGAAAATCTAGGTGAGGATGGTTCTCTGTTCTTTTGTGAGGCTGTAGCAGAGCGAGAGTACACACGGGTCACTTCTAAACAATGGTGCGTTTCTTGCATCCTTAATAAGAAATGATGCAGAAGAGGAGATGATGGGGATTTATCTCAGCTAGTTTTGCTTTGATCTTCACTGCTGCTACTCCTTTCATATGGGCTAATTCGAAGGGAGGTTTCAGGCCTAACGTATTATGAAGTCTGAAGTCTGAGAATCTGATGGAATGATTGATGATGCCATTGATGATTCCATTAATCATTGTTGATTAATATTCCAGGCACAAATGTGGCAGGGCAGATGAATGGGTCCAGAGAAATAATAATGAAAATTCAGACTTTGAGGTTAGCAGTGTAGTTCAGTTCAGCAAACATTTATCCAGAGGACACTAGGTTTCAGAAAAGGATGAAAAAGACAAGGTTCCTGCTTTTGAGTAGCTCACAGTGCACTGAAGGAGACAGACATGGGAATAAATCATTTCAGGAGACTGGATGAATGTCCACAAAAGTGAGCACAGTTTGAGGAGTGGCTAAAAATCATTCTGCATTATCTTCATAATCTTTAGATTGGTAGTGTTCTCAGTTATGTAAACTGGGTATGAACCTCAGAGTGCATGGTTAAAACTGTCCACCTCTAGCTGACCCCCCATGAGTAGAATCATAACACTAGAAGCACTTGGGAGATTATATGTTAATTTTCATACAGAGACCCTCAGTGTCTGAATGTTCTTTTCACTTATTATCATAGGGAAGAGTTGTAGGTAAGTGAATTCTTGATTTCATAGAATATTTGTCACTTAGAGCTGTACCAGGTGCCAGAACATAACAATGAATAAGAGACAGTTCTCTTGACCTCAAATTGCTCACAGTCTAGAAGGATTGAATGGAGATCAACAAGCAAATAGACACTTAAAATGCAGGATGATAATTAGTGTCCTAGAACTATACACATAGTGGCATAGAAACATACTAAGGGCACCTACATAGGTCTGCAGGAGGCAGGGAATGGCTTTACAGGAATGTTTGGATTGAGGCTTCTAGAATGAGTCAGGTATATTCCCAGGAGAGGGCATTCCATGAAGACAAATGGCTGTGCAAAGGAATGGAGCTATAAGAGCATGGCATGCTCAGGACCTCCCAAGCTCACCATGTAACTGAGCATAGAGATGAGAAAGAGGCAGACAGTACAGGCTGATCAACAAAGCCAGATGCAGAGAGAATCCAGCCAGATCTTTGTCCTCAAGGAGCCCCTGAAGAGTATTACGCAAATCAGCGACATGATCAGATTTTTGAAGAAGAAATATCACTCTACAACAAAGGCAAAGGCTGAAGGCAGGGAGGCCAGGAGGCTACTGTGGCCATCCAAGCAAGATGCAAGGGGGGTCTGTAATAGGGCAGTGTGACAGAAGAGTTGGCATGGGGTGAGGGGTGTGTGTGAGATACCTGTTGGTCCCCAAGTTCAATTGGATATAGATAGTTAGACAGAGGGATGCCTAGGATTCTAGTGTGCACCAGTGTGTGAGTAGATAGGGGTGCCATTTATTAAGACAATGGACATAGGAAAAGGAGGAGGTTTGAGGGTATTGATTTCAGTTTGTGACTTTTGGGGTGCTAGGATCCAGAAAGTAGATTACTAGTAAATAGTTGATCATGTTGGTTTGGTGATCAGGAAATAGGCTTAGGCACAAGAGATACACATTGGAGAATTAGCAGCATGTAGGTAGTAGATGAAACCATGGGTAAGGAGATGGAGGAGTAATTGGCAAAAAGGCAGGAAAAGCAGATTGGAGCTATGTTGTTAAGGCCCTTGAACCATCTCAGAAGGTTTTGCAAGGTGAGACTGATTTGGCTAAAGAGACTGTTCAAGTAGGACCTGCATTAGAGCCTCATTTATTAAATAAGCATGAATGGAGCGTGTTCTGTGGCTTGACACAGGGGTGAGAGCAGTGAGAAAACAAGCACAGTCTGTCTTTGCCCTTATGCAGTTTATCCACTTAAGTGGAGAATCATGTATTTAATTAATTTCCACAATGGTAAGTGCTACAAAAGAAAAGCATAGGGTGATTTAACAGTACAGAATGAGGGGGCGGGAAAGCTGGCACTTGGTCTGTGGGGTCAGAGAAGGTAGCCTTAAGGAAGTGACATTTCAGCTGGACTTAAAGGGTGAGTAGGCAAGCTCCACAGAAAGGATAGGGACAGCTCTCCAAAGAAAAGAGGACCTGAAGGATGCCCTTATGGCCTGAGGGAGCTGGGTGCTTGCAGTAACATGATGACGAGTGACCCGCTATGCGTAGCACTCCTGAGAGATTCTTCAAGGGCTGTGCAGCTACCACACTTCCCGCCTGTAGGTAGACACCTCAAGGATTTGGGTTTGTAAATCCAGGTCCGTTTCAAAGAAAAACATTTTATAGCAGCAGCATCCTCTAGTGAGCAGCGAACTGTTGCCAAGAGGGGCTCCTTTCCCTGGCAGCCACCTGTCCCTGAAGCAGCTCCAGAACACTGTCTCAGAGCCCATTGCAGGGCATTAATTGACAAGGAGGTGATTTTGTGCACGATGAAGACATTGAGAGTTGTCTGAATTTGGACAGGCTTCTCAAGCAGAAAAGAGAGGCAGAGTAGTTGAGCAGCCAAGAAATCAATATGTTTGGTCAACACAGGTCACCTGGGAGTGTAACATTTGCGTTCACCAGCAGCAGCAGAATGTGCCTCTTCAGAACTGGCATGTCAAGGAATTAGCTCAAGAGTCAAAATCCAACCTTGGCACATTTTGGTCCCAATGTGGTTCTTTTGTGAAACACAACAAAGCAATTGGGAAAATAACCTTGGAAGGAAACTTGATTGATTTTTCAAAGAAAGCGAGAACTTGTGTGAAAATTTATCTTAAGTCTATTAAAGCTATCCTCCTAGGCAGCTTGTAAGAGAAACTAAACTAGATTGCAATTCCATTTTGCAAAAAGGCTTTAATGTGTTTTCCCACATTTTTGGCCTTTGTTTCAGTTATACCTGTCAGGTTGTTTTATTAGGTGAAAAAATAGCTGACCAGCTGCTTTGATTCACTGTTGTTTTTCTCCTATTGATGTTGAGCGCATCTTTATGTTCCTTCCAGCCTCCAAGTACATATATGGAAGTAATAATCTGTTTCATTCAAGCTAATGATTTAAAGATTAAATATGGGTTCTTCCTTTTTTTGTTAAACAGAACATTAACAATTTCCAAAAGTTTAATACCTAGCTTTACCACTTATTAACAATGATCTGTTTTGAGCCTCTGTTTTCTCAATTGTGAAATGGGAATAAATAAACCTGCTTCACTTACTGAAGAGGATATTTTGGAAAGTGAATGAGATAATGCATGAAAGAGTGCGTTATAAACTGTGCCACACTATCGACATGTTAGGTGTTAATATCATACTGATTATCACTATGACTAATAAGAAAATTATTTACACTAGGATGCAAAGTCTATATATTCTGTGAAAATTATGTATGTGCTCTTCATTACTCTTTTCTATCTCAATTTTCACAGGCACACATGAGAACAGCATCATAGTGACATGGAGAGAGGTGTACATCCCCCTCCCATTTTCCAGAGAGAAATAGAAAAATATTTTGCAATTGTTAAAGACATTGTAATGTACTTAAAATCAGACATCAAACAGTGGAACATATATCATAGTTTTCCTTTTGTTCAATGACAATGTAAAAATCAAATCTTAACATGGAGATGTGTCTTAGTCTGCTCTGGTTGCTGTAATAAAATACCATAGGCTGGATGGCTTAAATAACAGAAATTTATTGTTCACAATTCTGGAAGCTGGGAAGTCTAAAATCAAGGCACTAGCAGATTCAGTGTCTAGTGATAGCTTGTTCCTCCTAGATGGTGCCTTCTGGTCATGTCCTCATATGGTGGAAGGGAAAAGCAAGCCTTCACAGCCTCTTTCGAAGGGCACTAATCCCATTCATGAGGGTTTGATCCTCATGATCTAATCACCACCTAAAGGCCCCACCTCCTAATACTATTGCATTGGAAATTAGGTTTTAACATATGAATTTTGAAGGGTTACATTCAGACTATAGCATGAAGACTGGAAAGTCCAAGGTCAACATTCCAGCAGGGCTCATTTTGTGGTGTGGGCTCTCTTCCTGGCTTGCAGACAGCTACCTTCTTTTGTGTGTTCACATGGCAGAGAGAGATTGGGATCTCTAGTGTTTCTTTGTCTTTTATAGGGACATGAGTTCTGTCAGATCAGGACTCAATCCTTATGATCTCATTTAACCTTAATAACCACATATGGGCAGTTAGAGCATCAATATATGAATTTTAAGGGGGACACAATTCAATCTATAGAAAGATGAAAAAAGAGAAGAAAATGAATACTAAAAGAATTTGGATAGGATAGCATTGTCCGTGCATTAGAAGAAACACCCATAGGTTAACATGTAATAGCAAGAATAATTTTCTCCTTTCTGATCACATCATACTCTCTTTTTCAGGTGACTGTGACAGATGGTGGTCCCTCTCCAAAACAGTCAACCATTTGGGTGGTGGTTCAGGTTCTAGATGAAAATGACAACAAGCCCCAGTTCCCAGAGAAGGTCTACCAGATCAAGCTGCCAGAACGTGACCGAAAGAAGAGAGGAGAACCGATTTACAGGGCTTTTGCATTTGATAGAGATGAGGGCCCCAACGCAGAAATCTCCTACAGTATTGTGGATGGGAATGATGACGGAAAGTTCTTTATTGACCCTAAAACTGGGATGGTTTCTTCTAGAAAGCAGTTTACAGCAGGCAGTTATGACATCCTAACGGTAAGATCTTCCAAACTCCAGCAGCACAGCAGATGGGGGGAAGTGGTTATGTTCTTATTCAAGTATACTCCTTTGAGCAATAAATCTTTAGAGTAAAAAGTGAAGCCACACAGCTGTGGAAGGGTTCTTTCTGGGAGGCAAGTGCAGGTGAGAACTCTTGCCTGTTTCATTGATATTCTTAAATGACGAGACAATTTCCTTTGGTTGTGTCCTGTCAGCATTTTCCCCCATTCCCAGGCCACAGCCTGTTTCACCACATACTCAACCACTCTTTCTGCAGCCCTAAATCATCCTCAAAGTGCTGAACATAGATGCAAACTAGCGGTAGGGGAACAGCAGGGCAACACATCCTACCCACCACTGAACATATCTCTCAACATGTCCCCGAGACTTCCCATAGAAAACAACTTTTGAAATTATCAACAATGTGATAGAGCATGGATATAGCTGTGTAAATTGTGAGACACAAATCACAATGATGTTTATTCCATAAAAACTGAAAAAACTCAAGTATAAAGTGACTGAATTTTTTATTAAATTAGAAAAGTAAAAACAAGCACGGGCACCATGTCATGTAGAAACTTAAAGCTCCTGTATCTACAGTGCCAGTGTGCTCCCCTGATCCCAACCACTTTAGCCAGGTAGTACCTATTCCAGAAAGGCAGCTGGTATCCTTACGAGCAATGAGCATGGTCCAGGGTCCCAACAAAGTCACGGTGGTTCATGCCTGTAATCCCAGCACTTTGGGAGGCCGAGGCAGGCGGATCACTTGAGGTCAGGAGTTTGAGACCAGCCTGGCCAACATGGTAAAACCCCGTCTCTACCAAAAATATAAAAAATTAGCTGGGCATGGTGGTGTGTGCCTGTAATCCCAGCTGCTCAGGAGGCTGAAGCAGGAGAAACGCTTGAACCCGGGAGGCAGAGGTTGCAGTGAGCCAAGACCACGCCACTGCACTCCAGCCCGGGTGACAGAGCAAGACTCTGTCTCAAAAAAAAAAAAGGCACCATCCACCACTCTTTTCTTTGTCTTTATCCTTCTCTGCTAGGTCTGTCCTTTATTATTTTAAACGATGGCCTGAGTCCCTTGATTTATCCTTTCTCTCCTGTGGTCTAGACGTGGGCTCCTTGCTGTGCTCGGTTATGTGTCCAGAACAGTGGGCAGAGAAAAAAAATATAGTAAAACACCAGCTCTGTATCTACTGTTAGAAGCTCTGATGTGCTGTGTGCCATTGCAGCTATGTGAGACTTGCAGTTTGGGAATCTGAGGACTGGATAGATTCAAGTGGATACTGTTGGTGTCCTGCCCCAATCCCATTCTCAGACTGCAAGTATTGGCTGTCAATGGCTCACAGCTGCCCTGTTCTCCAGAGAATCATCCTTGGATGATTCTTGGTGAAAGAGAGTCTACATTCCCAGCCTCCAGTCTAGCAGCCCACAGCCACTGGCTGACTGACACCCAGATGCAAAAGTCCAATCCCCTTGCCTCAAAGTGGATTCAATTCTGGTGCAATTAATGGTTCAGAGCTCCCCATGGGATCCCTCTGGTCAGCCAGGACCACATCCTGGTTTAACTCCTACCCTGCCCACCCTGATCTCTATTCTCTTTCTCCTGAGAGCACTTCCCCACCAAAAAAAACCATTTGTACTCAAATGCCTGTCTTAGCTCCTGGGGGAACCTGGCTTAAGACATGTATCCTCAAGTTTTCTCACCCCGCAGGGAGTTTCTAGGGCAAAGCAATCATCCATGAACACATAGCATGAGGGTGCTATGCATTGTCACTGTTTCGAAGGGCTATAGCTATCAGTTATGTTCCTATAAATGTTATTTTTTAAATGTAATACTTGAAAGTCCTTTTAAAAATTTATTTTTATTTTTGTTTTGCTTTGGCTTTTGCTTCTTGAAGCTTTTGACCCTCCCATTTGAGTCCAGGGTTCACCTGGACTCTTCACCCTGCCCAGCTGGGGAGGGAGACTTGCTTCCTCAGCCCTTATATCAGCTAATTGTGACCACAGAGGAGAGTCATTAGCCCTGTCTTCCCTTCCACGCTGCCTCCAGGGACTGTGCTATCGAGAGAGTTCTCTGTTACCTTTTTGCAGGTGGCAAAACTGAAGGGCCTCAAGGCAGCTAGCTCCAGGCTGCTCCCTTTCCCAGCCCACTCTATCTTGCTCCTGGGATCCTGTGCTGCTATCAATCACATATAGCAGAAGGGAGGAGCTGCGAAACACAACCACACACTGCAAAACACAACCACACACATACACATGCACACACACACTTCTGCACGTATCATTCACACATATATAAGGTTTCACAATGCACTTTCTTCCCTTTCACATATCACCACCAGAGGTGAGGCTTAGGATCATGCTCTCAGGAATCAAATTAGCTATTTCTATTCATATAACTATTATTCAGGCCCACAAATCACCACAAACTGTAAGTGCAGCATTTGTCTTTCAAGGTCTCAATATCTGTAAAGTTGACTGTGGTCCAGAGAGCCTCTGGCAAACATGGTGCAAGGTCTGCACATGACTGGGTTGTTCCCCTCCATTCCCAAGTCTTTACTCCCCAGACCTCTGCTCCTTTCTTCCCCTTGCTGACACTGTGTTGAAGATGGACTCTTGGCCCAGCAACATGAGTGACAGATCCAAACTCTACAACAATCAGAGGTCTGAGACATCTTTCTCTTCTCTCCCTGTGTGAGTAGATAAAGGCAGTGGACAATGGGCGCCCACAGAAATCCTCCACGGCCCGCCTCCACATTGAATGGATTAAGAAACCACCCCCTTCACCTATACCATTGACCTTCGATGAGCCGTTTTATAACTTCACAGTCATGGAAAGTGATAGAGTGACTGAAATTGTAGGGGTGGTGTCTGTGCAGCCAGCTAACACCCCTCTGTGGTTTGACATAGTTGGTAAGTTCGAGTCTTACAGAGCAGTATCATGCAATGTAATAATTGACTGAAGCAACTAGGAAAAAAAAAAAAAAGAAAGAAAGCAAAAAACTAACAATTAGTGCCAAGATTAAAAGATGTATAGTGCTGGAATGCAAAAGAGCCAGTAAAGTGAATAATCGACCTGTGCTTTCGTTCCAACTCTGTAGCTAAGCTGAACCGAAAGTGCTCTCTGGCTGGATTTTCCATAGTACGTTATTTACTGCAATCTTAATGTCTTTCTGTGTGTCATTTAAATTCTATTGTCACACTTGGCTAATCTCATTTCTAAATGTATTGATGGTACTAGACTTGCTGTCCTTCATTTCTCTCTTTTTCTTCACCTTTTTTCTGCATTCTGTTCTTTTTTTTTTCTGCTCCCGACTGCCCTGCTTCAAGGTGGCAAGCATGCTCGAGAGATGTTCTATATTCTACAGACAGCTTGTGGGCAGAACTGTTCAACAGAAGGTACCCTTAGTGCAAACACATTTGCTAAAATACAGCTATCCAATCTGCCTTTTACGGTTTTTTTTTAAAGCAAATTGAATTACATCTTTCATAACTGCCTGTGACAGGCTGAAGTGCAGCCCACAGATTTCATATATGCCTCTAACAACTATTGCATTACTCGTATCCAATGACTTCTTTGTTTGAGGTTTGATAGGGTTTGGATTTTTTTTGAGGGGGGGGTTGTTTTGACTTTTATTTCTTTGCTTTTGAGGTATGTGGGCTTTTTGTTGTTTTGTTTTTATCTTTTTGTAGGTTGGTTTATTTAACTGGGCCTTTTCCAATGGAAAAAGAAATTAAAATGTATTTCAGCCCCTCTGTTTTGCAGCGGTAGTACCATTCATGCACCAAAAGCCCCATCAGGAGAGTCCCCTGGCTGTCGTCCATAAGAGGAAGGGCAGGAAATGGAACCTAGATATATAGCCAGTCAGCCTCCCCCGCAAGCCGAATAGAGGAAGCAGATGGAAGCATGCAGGATAGACCCTGGGAGCCAACCTTTAAATTCCTTGAAAGAAAGCAAGCAAGCACGCCAGGCTGCAAAAGGAAAGGGCAAAACAGCCCTATGGCCCTTGACAAACCAGCAGGGAGAGGCGCTGGAGAGGAAATGAGTGCCGAGGACCAGGAAACAAAACAGGCTGTTGCTAAAACAGAGGGGAGAGTGTGTGTCGCCCAATCCGACACTGGGTTGAGCTAAAGCTGACTTCCCACGCTTCTCTGTGGGAGGCAGGGGATCCAGGAGAGAGTCGGTCTGGGGGAATCATTTCCTTCCCCATGGCACTGCCTGGATAGGATGGGCAGGAACCTGCCTCTCCCCCCCAGGAATGGCTGTACTTGGGAAAAGCATTTAGAAAGTTCCACAGCGGTTTTAACAAGGCACAGAAAAAGAACGCCCCATGGCCCGCAGTCAAACCTCTATAGAGAGTCCTCTGAACTTCCAAAAAAGCAAAGAGCTGTTTTCTACGTGTTTCATTTGATGAAATGATGGTGGAACATTTTTGTTTTACTTACTTGGTATTAATCATGCCATCGTGTACATGGGCATCCTCACAGCAAGCTTTCACTTCTTTCTTCATTGCTACTCAACATATTTGAAATGAAACTTCTTCTGATCCATGAAAGGGGTCTCCATTTCTTTATCTTCTTAGTAATTTTCAGCTCATTAAGATATTATCTGATGCAGTTTCTTCTTTCTTGGCACCACAAAGGGTTGCACGTAGTCATGGTCTGGTTTTCTGTACAGTCACCTTTAATGATTTCTTCACTTCCACCCCCAGAGTCACAGAAAGTGCAATTCAGTTCTTACACGTGCCCTTAGTGCCAGGTGTCCAGAGACATGTGCAATAGTGATTTTTAGCCGGGCACAGTGGCTCACGCCTGTAATCTCAACACTTGGGGAGGCTGAGGTGGGTGGATCACTTGAGGTCAGAAGTTCGAGACCAACGTGTCCAACATGGCGAAACCCCATCTCTACTAAAAATACAAAAATTAGCTGGGCATGATGGCGGGCGCCTGTAATCCCAGCTACTGGGGAGGCTGAGGCAGGAGAATTGCTTGAACCCGGGAGGTGGAGGTTGCAGTGAGCCAAGATTGCATCACTGTACTCCAGCAGCCTGGGCAACAGAGCAAGACTCTGTCTCAAAAAAAAAAAAAAAAAGCCTAAAGGAGAATGCAGCAGAAACCGAATAGGCAACAGAATGTCTAGTGTGCTGTCCTGAGATTAGATGAGTTGCCCTTTCTCATCAGCCACTGATTTTTCTCCCTCCTCCTTGAACACTCCAGTGTCCAAGCACCTCTACAGCCTGACAGTGTCACATCTCTCCCTGGCATGATCCATGCACTCAACCTGCTGACCCGTAGTACATCCCACCTACCACCCATGTGCCCTGGGATGCCCTCACTTGTACTCTGCTTTTGAAATCCTACTGGCATGCCTTTCTGTAATGGTCAGTCTCACCAGCTGCCTGACCCTAGTTATCCAGGTCAGGCTTGCAACTCTTCATCATTCCTGCATGTGTGTGTGTGACTGTCTGTAGGTAAGCATACCTAGCAGTACTGCATGTAACCTGATTTGCAAGTTTCTCATGTCAGCATGATGAGTGCTGCTGTATGTTTTCATTTGTGCTTATCCTGTCTCCACTCTTAACCCCTATGGTTAAGGCCCATGTGTCCTCATTCCTTCCTCCTGCCAAAACCTCTGTTGCTACCAACCCAGGATGAGTGGAATAAACTATGGTGAATGATGGAGATACCCCAGGCAGCCACTATGCTAACCCTACTGATGCCTCCTGGAACCTACTCAGAGTCAGTGTGACCTTCCACTGTGCTACTGGCCACGGCAACCTACACACTATGCACCTTTGACAAAATAGAAACATCATTGGTCCAAGAAGAGAGAGGCAGTTTACAGATGAGAGCTCTCCCTGGAAGGAGTCCCTTTAAGCTACCTTAAATATAGACCCAGGATCCATCATCAAGAACATGGCATCAGTTTTCATGTTTCTTCATTGGTGTATTTCTAAATGCTATACTTTTCCTAGAGACTGCCTTCAGTTTCAGTGCACTTGTAGGTCTCTGAATGAGGACCTACAGGGTTGTCCCTCTGGTCTGGATGCTTCCATCACAGAGATTTCACTGTAAATCAGGTAACATCTAGCCAAGCTTCTTTTCCAAATTGAACTTACTGGGCCAGATGCCCAAACAGAACATGATTTTATTTCCATCCCCACATCCAGCCAACAACATCTTGAAACACCAAATCTTTATTTCAGCGCAGAAGTAAAATCCTTTTCCCAGGTGCTGGTTACTTCAGTATTGATATGGTCCACGTTCCACCAAATCCTCCTTTTGAAAATCTTTCTAATCCATCAGAGTCATTTTTTCTCAATCTGCTGACAACATCTTTCCCCTTCTTTAAATACCTATTGTTTCCTTTATCATATTCAGATGTTTTAGTCTCGCTCTCAAGATTTCCTGCTTATTTATCTTCAGCCATGGAAACTCTCATCTCTCTGTTCCCTTCCTCCTTACGTAAGCATCTTTTTTGGCCAAGCTAACATACAGAGGAAAGAGGGAACAATGCGCCTCAATGCTTAAGAAACATAGCAGTGAATGCCTGGAATAGGCACTAGGTATGTAATATCAGCATGGATCTGAAATGAGGTCTCAGATATAAGTATGGGCCTTGCCTAGGTAAATACTCTATGACTCTTCCAAGGGAGTGAGAATTTGGCTCCATTAATAGACCCAGTGCTTGCAGACACCTAAAGAGACACTGAGTTACAGAGAAGACATCATCTTGGCATGACACTTACAGCTTACTAATGCTATAACTAATAAATTCTCATTAAGTGAGCAGAAATAGTGTTTCAGCATGCTTTTCCCCTGAGAGTAAAGTCGCCCCATTTCTGCATTTCCAAATCTAGCCAATTCTTGCTTAACTGCATTTCTTTGTCTCCCACCATGATATGAATTCACAAAAGCTGGGTAGCAAGCAAGATTTTGTTCCAAGCCTGGACCCTTGCATCGAGGATCTGTCACACACTTTCTTGTGCCTCCAAGGAGACCACTGCTTACAATATTATGCAGTGAGACTTTTCAGCTTCCAGAAACAGAAGCCCTACTTGTAACTGAGTTAAGAAAGCTGTAATTAAAAGGAAACATAATAAAGTTCAGCTGTTCTGTGTTTAAACAGCCCAACGCACAGCATGTTCCTTCTCTGTGTTAAAAGGGAAAGAAAGTGAAGGGAACACAAATAACCCATAATCCTTTGTGGCTTTATCACATATCTTCACACTTCTCAGGGGACTATGATTTCAACTCCACAGCTCCTTGATTTACAGACTCTCTAATGTGCATGCAATCTGGTTCACAGTTCAGTCCCTGTATCTTTATTCTGTTGGCAAATATTTCAATAGAGAAGGCCACCTTTATTACACACCTCAGACAGTTCCTCTTTACCTGCAGATGGATGGGGGGTGCTGTCACCCATTTTTTAGCTTTTCACCTGACTTAGGGGAGAAAAATAGTTTTCTTTGTAAATAGTAAGCACCTAAAATATCTTTCTTTATCTCGCCTACTGTAAGGCTGCTCTTTGAAAATGTTTCTCTGTTGGTGAGTGATAGAACGTAGTTCCAACTCCAGTTGAAATGTCTTTCTGTGTTGCAGGAAGGCTGCTTTGACCCTTCATTTGTCATAGGTTCCTTCAAACTTTGGGCTCCAGGCTGCTGCTGTGTCATAAGCTTTTGCCTGTCTTTCTTGAACCTTGTCCCCAGTGGAGCCATCGCTTATTTAGAGATGAATGAAGTAGGCCCATTGAAGTCTCTGGTAGGACTAGCAGCAGCCTTGTTCTTCAACTAGAGCTTGGACACCTCTGGGTCTTCCCTAATCAGGTGGCTGTATTTCTCTAGCGAAAGACTCTTACCCAGTGATATGGAGAGAAACCATATTCATACGTCATTTCTATTACAGCTGCTCCTTCATCAGGGTGACCCTTGCTCCAAGTCATTCAACTGACATCAAACACTTCATTTCCCCTATTCTGCCCCTTTTCCCTAATTTGATCCCAAATAAGCCTCTCATTTTTCCATAGCAACAGTCTGGTCCATAGGAGCACATCTGTAGAAACTTCAGGAAAATAAGAAGAAGCCTAGAAACACTTCATATACTATTAATAGTTTTAAGAAAATGAATCCTAAACTCGATTCTAGAAGAGATTTTCTTTCCAGCCACTTTTTCCTGACCTCCACCTGGTGTCCCCTGTCTTCCAAGTAAATATCCTTTTCAGCCAGGTACTGTGCTTGCTTTCATTTCAAGGCAGAAAATTAGGGGAAAATGATAATTGGTGTTTAGCATTTTCAAGATCAAATTGTAACTGGTGTTTAGCATTTTTTCTTAAGTTCGGTGTACATGCGGAACCTGAATCAACAGCTTGTGCACAACTCCCTGAATTCATTGAGGTTCGGCAGCTCCGTGTTCTGGAAGCTGCTCACATAACACCTTCCCCTTGGTGACAACTAGATGTGGGTTGGTATTTTTACAATTATATGTGGAGTGGAAAAGAATCATATGCTAGGGGAGGGACCTGGAAGCTCTCTAAAGGGGAAGCTGTGTGATTCTCACCATTGGGTGTCTTTACGGAGGGACAGAGGTGCTTCGTACCCTTCTTTAAAGAAAAACTAGACTGAATCACGGCCCAGTGCTCCAATGCCCAGCATATTTAAGCAGTAGCTGCTGGCTCAAAATATTTCCATTTATGTCCCATCTTTAAAGCCTTTTGGGACATTCCTACTTGGGATGTTTAACTTTAGAATCCAATAGAAATCCATTGTGCCTCATCTGCTCTTTGTTTACTCTATTACACCTGTCTTGACCGAAAATGGTCAAAGAGACACATCCCTGATGTGAATTATCTGTTATGTGGGCTGTTCACAACCTCGCTTTTAACCATCTCTGCCGCACACCCCTGCAGCAACGCTCAGGCTGTGGCTTTTCTAATTTCCCATTTTGTTGAAACTCAGACCAGCTCTGCGGTGTCCTCCCTCCTCCCCACCTTTTGTTGAGCCTAACGCTGCTGCACTGAACACACTCTGGCTTTGCATGTTCTGTTACTGGCTCTGAGGAAGCACACCTTGTTTAAGCGGAATGCTGCTAGTGAAAATGGACTCCTTGCATTTGATATTCTCACCCTGGACGATTTGGACGTGGTTTCCTATGAAACTGAAATCACTTTCAGGCTAAAAGGGAGCCTGAAAAATGAGACCTGGGGGAGAGATATGGAGTCGTTTATGAAATGGGATGCTTAAGTGGTAGGTTATTAAATTGTGTGAGGGTTGATGGTAAACTGCTGGTCTGGATTCTGTGTCCCTTGTCAGAAATTCATTTTAAAACTCATGGAAGATTTTGTTTTACATTAAATCTTAGTTTAACTAGGAGCAAATGTCCTGGAAATGAGTGTCCGAGGCTGCTAGCTATATTGGTAAGCTGAGAGACATAGTTTGTAGGCTCTCCTTCAAATGCTCTTGGCTCTGCTCTTGGTCTGTCTCCCCTGTCCCTTTAGAGGTTTCTGTTCTAAAGAATTTGAGGGAGATATACACATACACATACACATACAAATACATATATGAACACACACAGGAAGAGAGAGAACTGTAAAAAAAAAAAAAACATAAAATTAGCCAAAAATGGTATTTGATATGAAAAACGACTAAGAAAAAGCACACACTCTATATGCCATATGTAAATGTTATACCACTAAGCACGTGCGATGATTATGTATTTTTATACAGGGCCCTGGGGAAAATGTGAGTCAAATTCAGTGAGAGAGAGCAAATTGGACTGCCCCATTTAAACAGTAACTCAAACTGGAATCTATGCTTGCTGGTTCTCTAAATTTTATTTTTAATCATCTTTAAACTGGAGCAAACTAAAGTTTTATAATTTGCATAATCTTTATTTTGACTTGACTCACACATTTTCACATTTTAAAATGATCAACATTAGAGGATGACTCCTTCCCCCACCTCCAAATAATATCATGACCCAAAGATTTAAGAAAGTTAACATTTTGGTAAAGAAAACATTCTAAATGTGATTTAAAATGGGATTTAATACCCACTAGAAACAACCTGAGAAGTTACATTCTCATCTTTCCTTCCATACAGGACTTATGAGGCAATTTTATGTCCTTTCTTTGAAAGTTTCCATGGCAAATTTTTTCTCAGAATGTACCGCTTAATAGCAAATGATCATGTTTTTTTTCTCTTTTGCTCATGAAGATGGTTTTTCAAGACACTCAAATCAGCCTTCCATTTTATTTCATGTTGTTATCAACATGAAACATTCCCTTTGAATAAGAAATGGTGACCTAAGGCTTGCTTCCCTTTTCAGCCTAGACTCCCCCCTCTCTCCTTATCCTATCTTCAAACAATTTTTTTGGAGTTAATATTTAGTGCTCCTCATCAAATCAATTAAAGATATTAATTGGAAGATGAGTCTCTTTTTAGATGAAATTTTTTAAAAAGTATATAATCTCCAAGCAATTCTCTGATACTCTCGTATCTCCGTAACTTTAATTAAATGTCAAGGGCAATTATATTCTCTCTTGCAATTAAATAATCTTAAGTGTATATGACAGCTGCAAGCAATAAGTATTTGAAATATATATATGACCAGGTTTTTTTTAAGTAAACCATATTATTTATTCCATGTCATTGTACATCAGATTCTAGTAATTCAGGTAAAATTCTCCTTCCCTTAACTGACTATTCGTAACTGTTATATAAAAGTAATATATTGTTCATTGATCAGCAAAATGAAATGCAAAGATGTGGAATGTAAAAATAAACCAAAGTTAGTTTTCTAAAATATGAAATTCAATAAATACATTGCCCTATATGCTGTAGTTAAATAAAATTACTGTCTGAGAACAAAATCAACACCATGAAATTTCAGGCCAAAAGAAATAGAGCTTGTGAACATACACTCATGCTTAATTAAAATTGTTCCCACATACATACCATTATTTTTCTCCCCCTCAAAAAAATCTTTCATTTTGGGAAGATCATAAACCACACTTTGGTTCCCAGAGGTAGAAACATCAGCAGTGATTTCAACAATGGCAGTGTTGTCTTAAGCAAATCACTCACAGACTGTGAGTTATATGTGGCCAGGGGGTTGAGAGGAAAGTAAAGTTTTCTAAACTTCCATGTAAATTGTTTTGTAATTTGGTGTTATATAAGCTGATGTTTTCTTCTACTTCTTTCCCAATTTTATTTTGTGACTTTCCCTAGGCTTTCTGCCTTTTTAGGAGAAAAATAATTTACACTACCAAGATGGCAAAATAAGTATTTCTATAAATATCCCAGCTTGCAGATATAGAATTTTTAATATGAAATTTTTTTGCTTTTTTTTACTGTTTAGAATTCATAATTTTATTTCTGACGTTTAATTAAGGGAATCTGAATTCTAGCAGCCAAATGTTTACCATCAATCCTGGAATAGATTTTAAATGTCTACTCATTCTATTAATAATAATTGGACTATTTATTTACTTGGAATTTAATCTACTTTGGAAAAAACAAAAAGATCTACAAATTTCTAATGCAGAAGCCACAAGAAGTTGAAGGGCCTTTAGGTTTCTAAATATTTAATGGAGTCAGTTTATGCTTCACTACTCTAACATTACTGCTGAGGTTTTTCTTTGCACTACATTCCTTTTTTGTGACATTTGTTATGCATTGTAGAGGCTGTGTTTTGAACTATGAATCAAGTTAGAAATAAAGAGGTCCCATTTAAGATGTACAAAATTGAGCCATAGGGATGCCTGTCAAAAAAAATTTCTGTATAAGAGCTCCCTTTAAAGATATATGATATAATGCATGTAACAAGTTATCAGATTTGCTAATTTCATGTTTCTGTGAAATCATCAGGGGGGAATTTTGACAGCGCTTTTGATGCAGAGAAGGGTGTTGGGACAATTGTCATCGCAAAACCTTTGGATGCAGAGCAGAGGTCCATCTATAATATGAGTGTGGAAGTCACCGATGGGACAAATGTTGCTGTTACTCAGGTGAGATGTTAAATTACTGAATAGCAGGAATGCTGAAAGAGCTGCCAAAGTCAGGGGTGCAAGCAATGAAAAAAAAATGTAATGGAAGTAGTAAATTATGTCGACGGTTTTCTAGTGTTTAAAAAAATCATTTTCAAGAACAAGTGAGAAAAGGGATTCTATAGATGATATCATAGGACTTAGCTGCCGCTTTCAAGAAGTTGTGATTGATCATGCATGGAAAAATAATGCGTGTTTCTTTCCTGATCATCTACTGTAGATTTATCTGTTTGACAATAAAGTCAACTTTCCTTGAATTTACAAAGAGGAGGACATCTATATTGCTTGAGTTAACACACCATGTTATTCTTTACCTCCTCATTTTTTTTAGTCACAGAAAGTTATAGCTAAAGAATACCTAAGAGTCCAAATTCATTTATAGACTTAGATAAGCTAAGTGATGTATCCAAGGTCACACAGCCTTAGTAAAGAAAAAGGACTGGGATCTAGGTGTCCTGACTCTCTTCTGCCATTCTAGCCTCTTTGTCCTTGCTGTCTGTATAGTAGAACCCCCTGGTTGTGGGGAGAGGTTAAAAGCACCCGTGGCTGGACCCCAGCCACAGAAATCCTGTGTGATTCTGACATGCAGCCAGGGTCGAGGACCGCTCCTTATACTTTGCAACCTAAGCGCATGTGAAAGGGCATTGAGAGCAGGAGGAAAAGAAAATCTTTGGGCTTCTCATGTGGCTTAGTACATCTTTCTGAGACTAGCACAATGTTAGATAACAATATGGGGCAGACCTGTACTAAATATGAGAAGATTTTTTTTTCTTATTTTTTAGCACCAGAGACCTAAGCCAGTTATGGCAGAGAGCTGGCACACATGCATATGCTGTAACCCCTCTCTTAGTCCCTACTGCGCTCTGAGATTCCCCTAACCCCAGAAGGCATCACTAATTCATCAAGGCCCATTTTTCTGCTGAGCCCAGATATGTCCTTAGAGTGTTTCTGAACACAGTGCTTCAGGTGGTGAAGGTGAAATTTTTGCCAACCCTGAAGCAAGCAAGTCTTGATTCATCTTAAATATGATGTAAGCATTTGCAACTATGTTGTTTTATAAAGGAGAGAGGATGAATATTTCATGTGTTTGCCTAGCCAGCTGCCTCTTAGTTTGAGACTATTTGAAAAATATAATGCAACTCTTTTCTTTGAATCTGTTTATAATCATAGAATGGTAGAATTTGAAGAAAACAATAGGGTTCACTTTAGTACAACTCCTTTACTTTTCATTTGAATAAACTGAAACCTTAGAAAGGGGAAGTGACTTGCATATAATACGGGAGCCAGTGTGAGACAATTTCTGATCCTCCAACCTGTGTCCTTTCCCAGTAACTAGGATGATCATATGACTCTGTTTGCCTTAAAGAGTCCCATTTATGTCTGTGGAATTGGCATAATTATTCTCCTTCCCTTAACTGACTATTAATAATTGTTATATAAAAGTAATATATTGTTCATTGATCAGCAAAATGAAATGCAAAGAATGTGGAATGTAAAAATAAACCAAAATTAGTTTTCTAAAATATGAAATTCAGTAAATACAGCCACAGAAATCCTATGTGATTCTGACATGCAGCCAGGGTCGAGGACCCCATTAACTCTCAAAATTGCCCCATTTGGGATGATAAATTATATGGTCACCCTATCGAAAATCATACTGTTTCCGGGTATTTTCAAGGCTGAAATATAGACACATGGAAAGAACCCATGGCTGAGGTGTTACGAGAACCACACAGTCCAAAAGCGCACCCCCAAAGACTAATACAAAACAACCCACCTGCTGTATTGCTGTCTTAAGTGTTAATTCATTATAAATGTGAATTTAAGTTTTAAAAATTAGCCTTGTCTTAGCATATTCAACCTTGACTTCTTAGTGCCACTTAAAAACATGACATATTTGAGTAAAATACAAATAAAGCATGAAACCGTATTCATTTCCAGACTTTTCTCCAGAGTTTCATACCAGTTGAATTAAATGGTATTCAGTGTGCCCAGAATACAATTATGGATATTTTAAAAATTGAATATTTTTAGAACAAGTGAATGAATAGTAGATACATATTCAGCAGAGTCTATGCAGCAGATATGCTGGATCTCCAAAGCACAAAACTGATTCATGTTAAAAACAACAACAAAAATTATCAATGATACTTTTACTTTAGAATTTTATTAGAACCAGATGAGAAATCATTTAACAGCGTTTGTTCCACAAATATCTTTAGAGTTCACACCATAGGCTAGGAGCAGTTCTAGATGCTAAGTACTAAGGTCACAGTGATTCACAGTTTTAAATCCAGGTGACTGACATGCATTCATTTTTTTCAAGTTAATATGGAAACATGTATTACAAGACTTTGAATGTACACACTCTTTGAGTCCTGTTTTTGTTTATTTTATTTGTGGCTAGTATACAGTTAGGCTTATCTCCAGGGCTGTTTAGAATTAGTTAGAGAATTAGGTGAACTTTGAGGCACCTTTTGGTAGGGCCAAGATAAGGAAGTTAATGAAGGGTGCCAAGAGATTTTCTTGTCTAAAGTATTCAAGTCACTCTGTGTCTCCAGAGTCATGACCTTTTTATGAAGTGGGAACTAAGAGTTTCCAAAGTACATACTTGTATGTCATTGGTATTGCCATCAGGAAGTCATTACTCTGTCTGCTGAGCTATCTTAGGGCCTGACCACCTCACCAGCCCCTGCCAATCCAGGCCTCTCTCACACTTACCACGGCTTTCCCAGCAGTGGTGGCAGGAATGCTTCTCTGAATTAGTCAGCACCCTCCGTGTCAAGAACACTTTTACAAAAGGACATTTTGGGAAATAAAAGGCATTCTGAATTTCTTTTGGAAACCATGAAAGCATGTTCCCATGCATGACGCTGGGCAACTTAATGATTCTACCATCAAACAGATAACCTTCACCATATAACTAAATAAATGTCCTGTAGCCCCAAAACACCTGTTTAGTTTTCCTTTGGGAACTTTTCTCTGCTTTGTTCATTTGGAATCATAAAACATGATATGACATGGGGTTCAAGTCATCCATAAACAACATGTTGAACTTGGCTTCACAAATGTCAAATAAATCAGATCCTCAGTGATTCTGTATCTACATGAAAACCCTTCCCTCACCTTCAGTTTTGTCCTATTCTCCCAACTCTCACAGGATTCATGTGCCTCAGAGCTACAATATCTAATGACACACATCCTTTTCTTTCCTGAGATTCCTTAGGGTGAGCACAAAACATAAGAAGGTCCTGTGGGTTTTAAGTTGTAAAGATTCCAATGAACTAAACGCAAGAACAAAGCATCCCAACACTGACAAAAACCTCCTAGCAAGATGGACAAGGGCCTCTGCATAAACTAGTTCTTTATTTTGTAAGGGATATTATTATACTTTTTATAATACAATGTTAGTATTTGGCAACATGGGCTTTGTAGCAGGTAATTTTGCATCCCAATCTCAACTCTGTCACGAAACAGATGAGTCACCTCAAGCAAGCCACCTAACTTCTCCGCACCCTAGTCTTCTTGTTTGGAGGTGCCAATACCTACAACATGGCAGTTGCTATGAGGATTACATGAGTTTATGAATGCAGAGTATCAGCATGAGGTCTAACTGTAGTAAGAATTCAGTTAATATTAGCTACTGCTGCTATTATTATTATTCCTATCATCTGTTAGCTTCTCTGAGGCAAACATGGGGTTTGCCTCACATGTTGCTGTGAGAAATGAGTCTATGTTGGATCTTCCACTTCATCAGAGACATCAGAGCCCTGTCTCTGATGAAGTGGAAGATCCAGTGGCTGCATCCCCATCCTTTAGTGAGGACTATTCTGGATACTTTCTGACTTATCCTGGGGTGGAAAGTGCAAGACAGTGCCTTAAGGCACCCTCGGTGCACATGAGGTAGAATTTGTCAAGGGCTCTGTGGCCACACCAGGCCAAAGGTATCTTAGTGGGTTTTTCCCAGTTCCTCATGTGCCATCCCAGGATGGCCGCCTTTAGTGGCTCTTTGATAGTCTTCTCTTTGCCTAAAACCAACTGGCATTTTTTAGTGCTTGCCATGTCCCAAGAATTATCCCAAGTTTTAAAAGCTTACCCATTCTCTACACTACTAATGTTGTGGAATGATAGCAGATAGTCCATTAACTGACACCAGAATTAGCATTTCCCTGGACTAAAGAATGACTAATGTTCACTGGAGTGATTTTAAACCAGCACCCTGATGCCTTCTTATCCAGACCCCTGCCCCACTTCAAATCCTGCTGTCTCTAACAAACCCGTGCAAATCAGGACCTAATTGTACAAACAACTTAAACCTTCCAAAACAGTTTGAGTTCCTAAGAGGTCCTTGAAGCCCATGAACTTGTTAATAAATTTTGGCATGTGTATATGTTTTTCTAGAGAGAAAGTCCATAATTTTCATCAGATGTTCAAATGGGTATGTGATCTAAAAATGGTTAAGATAAACTAACTCCTTAACACTTTTTTTTCAGCCAGTAACTCTAGTTAAAAATTTCAGCATGCAGCCCCCGACACTCCCTGGGAAACATATGCACACACCTGGGGGGATCATTGTCCTCTGAAGGCTCCCCAGCTCTGTCACCGGGCTGCCATGGTGTTTCAAAGCACTATTGTTCTGGGTTAAGAAAGACTGTCCACCAAAGCCTTGGACAGCAAACAGGAGATTCACTCTCTTTGAGAATTTTTTTTAAAAAATAGGAAGATTCTGTGGGAGAAAGGGGTACTACCAGTCTTAAACATTACAGAAGTGTTCCTCATGTTAATGTCTTAGAAGCTCAGAGATGAGTGAGGATGTCTGAAGGGTTTCTGGCACAGGGGGATGAAAAGGTTGAAGGAATCGGTACTGTATCTGCTTGGAAAAGAGTTGAGGAATCACAAGGAGCATTGGCTGTTATGAGCAAGGGAGGAATAGAGAGTATCCAGGTAGAAACAGAGACCCATAAGGAGCAGGAATAATGAAATGCCTAGGAGGATGGGGTTATCGTCCCTCCAAACATAAAGTAGCACTACGAAGCCATTTTAAGAGGAATTCTACCCATAGTGCCCAGACTGTGGTATTTACATACCGTTTACCTTGGAAAGGAGTCAGGATTCCTCATAGAAATGGATAATTGCAGGTTTGGGGCAGGAGCCTAGGGCATCTTTTCCTGCCAGAAAAGCCTACTGGAATCATGGTAAAGCATGACAAGAGGAGACTTAAATGGATTTCCACTGATCAAAGATGGGATAATATGAACATCAAAAAGAATAATGGGATGAGTATAACAGACTGAAACACATGAAATAGATTAAAAAAAACCCAAGTGTTTACATATATTTATCCTCAAAAATAAAATCATTTAACTCTTACAGTTACTCAGTGAAGCAGGTGCTATTTGTGGTAGGCAACAGAGCTCTCCTTCACTTCCCCAAGAAGATGTTCATGTTCTAATCTTTGGATTTGTGAATATGTTATGTTACATGGCAAATGGGACTTCGCAGATGTGATTAGGGTATAAATCTTAAGACACAGAGAGGATCCTGGAGTATCCAGTTAGGCCCAGTCGAATCACATGAGCCCTTAAGCAGAAGAAGAGAGGCAGCAAAAGGGTAAGTAAGAGATTCAAAATGTGAGAAGGACTTGAGACATCATTTCTAATTTGAATATGAAAGCAGCAACATGACAAGGAATTAACGCAGCCTTAAGGAGCTGAGAGAGACTCCCAGCTGACAGCCAGCAGGGAAACCAGGGGCCTCCGTTCTACAACCACAAGGAACTATATTCGGTCAAACAACCTGAATGATTTTGGGGCAGTCATCCCCAGAGCTTCCAGAAAGAAACACATCCATGCCAACCCTTGATTTCGGCCTTGAGTCCTCACCTACACAACTATGAGATAATCAGTGTTTTAAGCTTCTAAGTTTATGGTAACTTTTTTTTTTCTTTTTTTTTTTTTTCCAGGACAGGGTCTCACTCTGTCACCCTGGCTGGAGTGCAGTGGCACAATCACGACTCACGGTAGCCTGGACTTCCTGGGCTCAAACAATCCTCCCACCTCAAGCCTCCCAAGTAGCTGACACTATAGGCATGTACCACCACACCCAGATAATTTTTGTATTTTTTGTAGAGGTGGGTTTTTACCACGTTGCCCAAGCTGGTCTTGAACTCTTGGGCTTTAGTGACCTGCCTGCCTTGGCCTCCCAAAGTGCTAGGATTATAGATAGGCGTGAGGCACTGCACCCAGCCTATAGTAACTTTTTATGATACAAATAGAAAAATAACGTACTACTGTCATGCCCGTTTTACAGATAAGGAAAGAGAGGCAAAGCAAGGTTAAATAACTAGAGTAGATCAGGGTTTATATCCAGGTTCCAGATCCTGTTCTCTTAACCACTACACAATGCTGTCTCTTAAAAGCAAGATGAAAATTTTGATATCTGTTCTAATGCAGGAAAAGAAACTCACCTGGCCCTACTAGTTATGAAGGAGACACTCTTAAGATGGTGGCTTAGGGAACATGATGCCACCTGTGGCTGTCAGATTGTCTTATAGTCAGCCATTCAAAGAAGAGAGCAAAATACTTCAGCCTTCTCATAGCTCTAACTTCAACCCACTGAGCTTTTGGGCCCCAGAGACACACATTACCAAAAATGAGAAATTATGAATTTTAGCACCTTTCCCCATACATCTGCCAAATCAATCTGAGTTACTGCATCATCAGAGCAAGTTTAAATGAAACTAGAACATGGCTCTTTCAAAGAGTTAATGGATGAAAATACATAGTAATATATGATACCTGGTATTTATATAATAATTATTTAAGTAATAAGGTTCTTTTTTTTCTTTTCTTTATTCTTTTTTTTTTTTTTTTTGAGACAGAGTCTCACTCTGTCGCCCAGGCTGGAGTACAGTGGCACAATCTCGTCTCACTGCAACCTCCACCTCCCAGGTTCAAGCAATTCTCCTGCCCTCCTGCCTCAGGCTCCAGAGTAGCTGGGACTACAGGTGCATGCCACCACGCCCGGCTAGTTTTGTATTTTTAGTAGAGATGGGATTATCCCCATGTTGGCCAGGCTGGTCTCAAACTCCTGATCTCAAGTGATCCACCCGCCTTGGCCTCCCACCGAGCCACCGCGCCCGGCCATAAGGCTCATTCTTAAGCTTATTTTCCCTATAACTCTGGGATACTTAAATCAGGTGTTATCATTACACTCATTTCCAGTGAGAAATTGAGGCACAGACTGCTTAGGTGGCCTGCTTAGGTATACATAGGTAAAGAGATATAAACCTGCTTCTTCTCAAAATCATATACGAGTCCAGGAACATTTCCTACACATTTATATATATGAAATACACAATTTAACTCATTATTGAAATCATCTGGTATAATGAAAGGAGCACCAACTCAGAATTAGGCAACCCAAGTTCAAGTCAGCACTTAACCAACTGCTGTCTGTGTAACTACAGAAGGCAGTTCAGTCACTTTGAGACTCAGTTTCTTCAGCATAAAGAGAATAAAACTTTACATGCCTCATAAATTTTAAGATGAAATACGCTATTACAAGAAGATTCTTGGAATCTGTGATATGCTAGACACATACAGACTTTATTAATGTTTGTTTCTCAACTTAAAATTAGCTATAAAATATGTGTATGGCTATTATTGTTATTTATGAAAGACAGCAGAGACAGCCATGTCCAAATTATAATCTAAAAGTTACATTGATTTGATTCAGGGACTCATGTGATTTTGTGGTTTTAATGTTTTTCTTATTCAAGTAATCCTTTAGACTTATAAGGATAGGAAGGCCAGGCATGGTGGCTCACATATGAATCCCAACATTTTGGGAGGCTGAGACGGGAGGATCACTTGAGGCCAGGAATTCAACACTAGCCTGAATAACACAGCGAGAACTTATTTCTGCAATAATAATAATAATAATAATTTTTTAATTAGCCAGATGTGGTGGTCACGTGCATCTATAGTTTCAGCTACTCAAGTGGCTGAGGCAGAAGGATCACTTGAGCCCAAAGGTTCAAGGTTATAATAAGCTATGATCATGCCCTGAGACCCTGTCTCTAAAAAAATTAAAAGGCTGGGTACAGGGGTCATGCTTATAATCCCAACACTTTGGGAGGTCAAGGCAAGAGGATTGCTTGAGCCCAGGTGTTCCAGACCAGCCCAGTATTTACAAAAAATAAAAAAAACCAGACAGGTATGGTGGCACACACCTATAGTCCCAGCTACTTGGATGGCAGGATGATCCCCTGAGCCTGGGAGGTCGAGGCTGCAGTGAGCCATGATCACACCACTATACTCCAAAGACCCTGTCTCAAAAAGTAATTAATTAATTAAAATAAAATTTAAAAGATAGGAAAATCAGCTTGTATCTCTATGCTCCACAGCCAAACTTGAGATTAAAAAGCTCTTTCAGATAATCTCCAAAATTCTAAAGCCTCACAAAGGCAATTAATGAAATTGGCCAGTCTTTCTGCAAAACGACCTTCATGTATTGGGGCTGGGAGGGCTGTGACCTGAATTCCTAAGGTTAGTCTTGACCTTCAATGCTTTGAGGAGTTCATTCTTCCTCTCTCATCTCTAACTGCTGTGTTTGGAGTTTCTAATTGGCCTGCTTCCTTTAAAAGTAGGTTTTTACCTTGAAGATGTGGACTTTGTTTTATGGCCTCCCTTCATCCTGAACCTACTTAAAAGTGGAGAAGAAACAAATCACTTTTGCCAAAGCTGCTCTATGATTCACTAGAACAACAGACTCCCACAGGGCATCTCCCTCATCAGGGTTTTTCTTTCGTCTCCTTTTGTGTCATCTGCCTCTTGGCAGTGAAAAAGGCAGTGGCTTGCCGGGTGCAATGGCTCACGCCTGTAATCCCAACACTTAGGGAGGCCAAGGTGGGGAGATCACGAGGTCAGGAGTTCGAGACCAGCCTGGCCAACATAGTGAAACCCCTTCTCTACTAAAAATACAAAAATTAGCTGGGTGTGGTGGAATGCGCCTGTAGTGCCAGCTACTTGGGAGGCTGAGGTGAGAGAATCACTTGAATCTGGGAGGCAGAGGTTGCAGTAAGCCAAGACCACGCCATTGCACTCCAGCCTGGGTGACAGAGCAAGACTCCATCTCAAAAAAAAAAAAAAAAAAAAAAAGGCAGTGGCCTATACTTCCCTTGTGTATTTAGATTAGGAAAATGCTGGAACAACTACAAATGTATATAGATAAAATAAGGCAGCAAGCCAAATCTTAAAATGTAAGACTTTCTTTTTTAATTAAAAAAAAAAAAAAAAAGACACAGCAAGGTGTGGCAGCTTATGCCTGTAATCCCAACACTTTGGGAGGCCAAGGTGGAAGGATCACTTGAGGCTAGGAGTTTGAGACCAGCCTGGGTAACATAGCGAGGACTCATCTCTACAAAACAAAAAATTAGCCGGGCCTGGTGGTGCAGTCCAATTGTCCCAGCTACTTGGGAGGCTGAGGTGTGAGTCTGAAACTGCAGTGAGCCATGATTGTGCCACTGCGCTCCAGCCTAGGAGACAAAGGAAAACCCTGTCTCATAAAATAATAAAAATGAAATTTTACTGTATGTATAGATCTGGGCTTAACAACTTATGAGGAGATCAATTTTTGAAAATAGATTCTAATTTTAAAGGGACCAGGGATCTTTATATTTAAAATAACCTCATAATGAATGTTCATGAAAAGAGAATGGAATCAGTTATCTATTTTGTAAATTAGGATTTCTCTATAGCAAAGTACATAATATCTGTACACATTGTATGTATAAATGTTAACATGCATTTACTTTTAATGTGTGTGTAACTTAATGCACACGGAAATGATAGGATGGGGTGAATACAGAATTAGCTCTGTAATACCTGGGGTTGAGTCTGGCCTTGACATAGGACTTTAGGCATATCTTTTAACTTCTCTAATTCTCATTTTCCCCACTGGTAAACCAGAAATAATAAAGTCTAGGAAATGAATGTGATACAGATTTATAAACTGTAAAACAAGTACAAGCTGATGTGATTTTTCTACTTATACATTCAAAAAGAAAACTTACAAGCTTGAGGAGAATACAAGGGGCTTCACCCTTGAAATCACAACTATAGAATGTTTTAAATACGGTTTTGAAATGCCAGCAGAGGCAGAAGAGAATTTCAGTAATTCAGGACTTAATTGGTTCTAATAAAAGACAGTGCCTTCACCCTACTGCTCGCCCCATGGACACTTTATACCATGAGCCTTTGTGAAGCAGAGCTTGGCATCTACCCAGACTTAGCTTAGAAGAGCCTGCAAAACCCGAAGTGTTTGTGGTGGGCAGCATTGAAACCAGCTCTGAAGAGATTTCCTATATTCGGGTTTCCTCCTGCTTTGATTTCATTGTACTTCTTTAGGCATTTCAATTACCATTTTGAACACAACATCTTTGAGAGTTACTTTGCTTTGTTTGTTAGTTCGGGAGCTCACAAATGGCCCCGACTGTGGGAAATAAAAAGTAAATGAGGAGAAGGAAGTCTTTTACTGAGAAACACTTGTTCTGACTGTAGATTAGGCGTAAGACAAAGCAAGCAAAAAGAGGCAAGCTTTTCAAGAGCACATCAACTTTGAAACTTCATGAAGGTCAGGGCAGGCTTGCTGGCCGGAAAGGCTTTTTCCTCCCATTAATATAACTGAACACAAATATTTTAGCATCTTGACTAAGTTAACTTGAACTTTCTGAATGAAAGAATTGGCATTCAAAGAATCTAGTATGGTTCTGCAAATACAGTGGAGATAAGAACAATACCCAAAACTTTACTGGCACACTTTTTAACCCTTTTTCTACCACAAAGTACTATAGGGCAAAGCTTGTCCCATGTCCAGCTGACTCTGAATGGCAAGTTATCCCGGCATAGAGGTGGTAGCACCACCATTTGTCTCTCCCTCAAAAAAGGCATATTTGTACCAAAGTGAGTGATAGTGCAGCCATTTATGCAAATAGCCATAATCTGGTTGCATTTATTTTTAAAAGTAAATAATGTTCTGGAATACAGCCAAACACTAGGATAATATTTAATGGAGAATAACTAGAGGATTTTTTTTCTATTAGTCAGGAATCAGACAGGGACATCACTATATTCAGTACTATTTACTGTCATGCTGTAATAGCCAATGCAATTAGACAAGATAAACCAGTTTGTGTCATAAAGAAAAAGGTAAAACTATCTCTGTTTGCATGTAATATAATTATATATCTGAAAAACTCAAAAGACTGAAAGGAAAAACTTCTATAAGTGATAGGAAAATAACAGGTTAAAAATTTAATATACAAAAATCAATAGCCTACATATATATAACCAAAAAAAACAGTGAAATATATATTGGAAGAGAAGACTCTATTTAGGGTAGTACATATATAAACTTTAAAAAGTGTTCAAAACCTATTTAAGGAAAACTAAATGTTCCCAGAAAAGTAAAACAGTAGATTGAACAAATGAAAAAAGACAAACCATATTCTTGGATAGGAAGACTACATTAGAAAGAAGTCAGTTTTCCTTTATTAACCTGTCATTATAGCATAATTGCAATTAAAAATACTATCCAGTTTCTATCAGGTGCTATACAGGTTTATTTAGAAGAACAAGTGAGAATAGCAAGGAAAACCATGAGAAAGAAGAAAAAGAGAGCCTAGCCTTTCCAAACATTAAAATGTACTATAAAGCCTCTATAATTAAAACATGTTGGTACTGATACATGAGAAGTCAGATAAACCAATGGAACAGAATAGAAAATCCAGAAATATGCTAACTGCATGTGTAAATATAGAGTACAATAAAGGTGGCTTCTCAAATCAGTGGGAAGTGATGGTCTTTTAAAGAGTGGCATTGAGATAAATGGAGAGCCATATGGAAAATAATCGCAGTATGCCAGGAAAAATTGCAACTCGATTAGCGATGTAAATGAAAGAAAAGAAAACATACAAATGCATGTTTTAAAATGAATGTGTTCATTTATAACCTGAAAGCTCAAAAAATATTCTAAACTGTGAATTAACATCCAGAAACAATAAGGAAAAAGATTGATGTATTCACTTTTGCATGGCAAAAAAAAACACCATAAGCAAAATAAAAATACATGACAAAATTGAAAGCGTATTTGCAATTTATATCACCAAACTTCCAAAAATAAAGAATGAGAGGCCATCTAACCTATAGAAGAATGAGATGAGATACAAATAATTTAACAAAAAAAGAAATGCAAATGGATCTTAAATATATGAAAAGTTTCTCCAACCTCACTCAAAAATAAGAGAAAGGTAAATGAAAACTATACCGAAATGCCGTTTCTCATCTATCAGATTGGCAAAAAATCTAGAAGTCTTACTACATATTATGTTGGCAAGGTTGTGAGAAACAAACATTCTTATATATTATTATGGGAATGCAAAATGATAAAACCTTTGAGTAGGGGAAATATGGAAACATATATAATAATAAAACTATATAAGCACCTGTACTTTGATCCAACCATCCCAATTCTAGAACCAAATATATGCTAGCAAAAAATATTTTAAAAATGGGCACAAGGCTCTTCCTTGCACACTGTTTCTAAGAACAAAAATTGGAGACATCTTAAATGAACACCAATAGAAAACTAGTTGAATTAACTGATTCATCTACTCACTGGAAGAGTATCTCTGTACTTCTGTGGCATTATCTTCAGGATATAATGCAGGGTTTCTCCACAGCAACACTACTGACATTTTGGGTCAGATGATTCTTTCTTGCGGGGGCTGTCCTGTGCATTGTAGGATGTTTAGCGGCATCCCTGGCCTGTACTACTGGATGTCAGTAACAGCCCTCCTCCAAGTGTTACAACCAAAAATGCCTCCAGACACTACTAAATGTCCCCCGGAAGACAAAACCCTCCCCAGTTGAGAACTGATGTTAATGTTATGTTAACTGTAACTGTAATGTTAAATGAAACAGCATGGCAGGGAAGAGTGTATATAGTATGTTTATATTAACAGAATGTTTGATGAGTAAACCATACATATTTTTAAAGTTATCTGTAGGAGAAGGGAATAGAGTGTAGGGGGAAGGTATAGAAGCTGAACTGCTTTGAATATATCTCTTTTGTAAATTTGACTTTGGTACCTTTATATATAATATTAAATTAAATATTTAAAAAGCAAGTCTAAAATTTGAACACAAGTGGAAACAAATGATGTTAGATGCATATCTAGTTGGTGGCACATCTACACAGAGAAGAACTATTCTAAGTGACTTTAAACATGCTGGTTTGACTTTATATTCCTAGTTGGATAAATTCCTGGTTATTCTTGCTTGTTCTTCTTAAACCTGTATAGCACCTGATAGAAAGTAGATAGTATTTTAAATTGCAATTATGCTATAATAATTGCAATTATTTATCCAACTAGGAATAAATTATAATTTATTTTATTATTATAATGATATAAATACATAATTATAAAATAAAAAGAACTACAAAATAATATTAAAATTATTTTTAATGATCATAGTTATAATATAATAAGAATGTTGGAATTATTCTGAGATTTTTGTGCATGTGGTTCAAATAAAGCAATGAATAATTTTGATGATGTCATTAAGCATGAGAAATTTCAGCATGAGAAAAAGGAGATACCAATGTAAAAATAATGAGATTAAGTAAAAACCTTGATGCTCTAATTTTGAATAGGAAGTAGCAATATGAACTCGTGCAATATTTACTTTTAAAAAACCACAGACCTTTCCTGACTCTGTCCATTGAATGAAACCGAAGCATAATAGCCAATCCAGTAGCAATAAGTATTCCTAGCAGCGGATCATGGTCTCTAAATTCTAACTAAAAAGAAAACAAGCCATTCTGGAGAAATGGATAATGGGAAAATGCACAAGATAACACTGGAAAAAATTACTGGTAGCAATTATCAGAAAGCAAGGAAGCTATCAAAGAATACTAGAGTTATGTCAAAAGATGTCAAGAACTAACTGGAAGAGGCTCCTACAGGCCAAGGTAGGGCTATTTATCATCATTAATATAATAACTACAATAGAGAGAAACAAATCAGATGTGATTAAATTCATGAGTTCATAATAATGGTTAAAAAAGAGTACCTCATTGGTCACTTTGGGAGGAGCTAAGGAACCAACTCACTATTTCAAAAGAATAAAGGGAAAGAATTATTTATCCTAACTTTCCTATATGAAATGTACTTCACAGTAACCAAATAGTTGAGAAGTTTCTTTTTAGAGAACTATTCCAGCTAATAAATGAGGAAGAAAATAATAGAATTAGAACATTATCAATCTGAAATTTTTAATGAATTATCTGTATAATGATTGCCAGTGTCTGCTAATATCACAGAACAAGAGAGAGAACCAGATATTATGTATCTCCAGATGGAAGTACACTAAATCACTCATGAAGGATTTTTGTCAAAGAAAAAGAAACAGAAAAAAGGAAATTGAACCTTAGCAAGCCTTTTAAATCAAACAATTTATAAGAAATACAGGGTACAGAGGGACATGTAAAACAAAACCACAGCGATGCTATGAGCAAAATTCAGACTGTGGAAACTAAACAGAAAATGGCTCAGTTTCTTCAATAACAACAATAACACCATAAAAATTGCAGGGAAATAGTAAGAGAAGAGTTTGAAGGAGAACCTATAAATTAAAATATAATTAACCCATTTATGGATGTATTAACCAAATGCAATGTTTGGACCTTATTTGCATATCTTGGTTAAAAGATTATGAATATATATATGTGTGTATATGTGATAAACAAACAAAACATACTTAAAAAACAATTAGAGAAGTATGAACACCAAATGGGCTGTTTGATGATATTAAGGAACTACTCTTTTCTCTGTTTAGGTGCAGCAATGGTATTGTGTGTGTTTGTGTTTATTCTAAGAGTTCTGTCTTTTAAAGATGCATACCGAAATTACATGATGGGTGGGATTTGCTTTAAAATAACGTGGGAATAGGCAGGGATGAGTGGGAGTTTGATGAAACCAGATTAGCAATTGATTATTATTAAAGCTGAGTGATACATACTTGAGTGTTCATTACACTATTTTATATTTGTCTGAAAATTTACGTAACAAAATGCTTTATGAAAGAAAACAATTAGAAAACTTATTGGGAAACTTCGTACCTTAGCTATCATTAGCGCCACGTTCTTTGCTGGACCCCTACTATCAGGACAACCACAGGGCATGGACACTGCCACTGAGAAGCTGTGACTGCTCTGAGTCCACCTCATTGGCTCCTTTGCCTCTTCTGTACTCCTTTTCCCATTCTGTCACTGCCTCCACAGAGGTCCACCAAGAGAAACACATAATAAGAACTTAAGATAATGGCAACTTAACAAACTAAGGTCATCTTGTGATCATATACATTGTGCATCAAAGAATTCCACAGAATTATCACCTTCAAGTGGTTGTCTCAGCTGTTCAATTAATAGTGAGAATATTGGTCAGCTCATAGTTTATGTTCCTGCTAATATAAACTACTGGTTTATTGTCAACCTCTAATTACAGAATGTTTTTATTAGTGAGTTTCCTCTGTGTTGCAAGAGCTACTAGAAGCTAGGATCCAAGGACGGGGAAGCGGGGAGAAAAAGAGGGAGGGCATACTTTTATTAGCAGTGAGCAAATTGGCATTAGTCATCATTCTTTTCTTCTTTTAACTACAGGTATTTATCAAAGTGCTGGATAATAATGATAATGGCCCAGAATTCTCTCAGCCGAATTACGATGTGACAATTTCCGAGGATGTGCTTCCAGACACGGAGATCCTGCAGATTGAAGCCACAGATAGAGATGAGAAGCACAAGCTGAGCTACACTGTTCATAGCAGCATCGACTCCATCAGCATGAGAAAATTCCGGATTGACCCTAGCACTGGCGTGCTCTATACTGCCGAGAGGCTGGACCATGAGGCCCAGGACAAGCACATTCTCAACATAATGGTAGGACCAAAATCCTAATTAGCACTCCTACAGAACCACTGACTGTTCAGGCCACACACATTAGCCTTCAGAAGTATAGGGCCCCTAAATTTTATAAGTAGTTGTAAATTTAGTCTTTTCACAGAGAGATTGCATTCATTTTTGCCTTTTTATTTCAATGAAGAATTACTGTTGTTAGATAGCAACTCTACATTTTTGCCAAACGAAAATATTAGATAAGTTCTGCAGCAATGGCTGCTCAGTAAATGCTCCAAACAGACTGACTTGAGAGGGAAGGAACAGGTCATGTTCCCAGGCTCTGGGGTTGGTTTGCACCCAGAAGATTTCATAGAAAAATTGAAAAGACATTCCTTAAGAAGTTAATCACAAGGGTAATCATTTACTCAGCCTATGCAATGCTCAGTCCTTGGAAGGATTTACAAAACCAATTTATTATTTATTGTACTGGCACTGGACCTAGTAGTAAATACTGGCACACAAAAGAGATCTCAATACATGCTCAAGCCTACAGAGAGTATAAATCTGAGTTTGTGTTCATGGGGCCTCCAAATTATGTAGGAGATATTGCTTTACTTTTAAAGTAGTGTTTAGCTAGTTCACATAATTGGGAAGTAGAGATGAATGAGAAACATCGTTGATTAATTTATGGCCTGAAGTCTATCTCTTCAACCACCCAAGAATCTCTGCGGCATTGCACAGCCACTTCCTGTCAGAGCCCCCACTGTGTTCCTTTAAGACCAGGTAGAAGGACAGACTTAATCTTCTGCACTGATTGGCTTTAAAATACTACACTAAGACAGTACAAATTCCTAAGCAGCTGAAAGTAATGTTCCACTAAGTGCTACTTTCCTTTCATAAGACTAGAAACCTTCCCCAACAAGAGGAAGCTTGAGTGTCATGCACTTAGCTATGGTTTCCAGCTAAGACTCCAGGAAACAGATGGGGTTACTTATAGAGGTCTTCCAGTCATCACTATGGCCCTTCATTCATTCATTTAACAAATATTTCTCAACCACTTACTGTGCACCAAACTTTCTTCTAGGCACTGAAGATACAAAAAAGACAAAGTTCCTGCACCCTAGGAGCTTACACTAAATTGGAACTGACCTAGATTTCAACAATCCCCAAATAGAGTTCAGCTTGGTCCTTGGGTATGGCAGACCAGTCTGCAGACAGGGAAATTCAGCATATTCACTGAGCTAATTCTGCATGTGTTTTCTCCAAGGGCAGAAACCTTGTGCTAGTGACTAACTCCATTCTCATGATTCTTTAAGTCATTTCTGTTCATTCTTTCTTTAACAAACTCAGAAATCAGTTTGGTCACCCTCTACCATTTATCACTTACATAATTGAATATTTACAGCAAACAAGTGCTTTACACTGCCTTTTTCCTAGCTAAGCCTTTTAGTCATTTTGCTTATTCCTCCTAGGTACTATTTCTGAAAACCCCTTTCTCTTTGATGGCTCTTCTTGGTATATTTTCTAATTTCTTCACATCTCTCTGCAGGTATGGAGTTTAAAATTGAAAAAGCCAAGTGCACATATTTGATTAGTGCTACATCAAATGATAGCAAAACCTTGTGGTTAAAGAAATGATTATTTTCAAACTTCTGCCATATGCAAACTAAAGGAAACTTTAAAACTGCCAAGCAAGGTTTTTTGGTGAAATCAGAAAGGAGGTGCTTCAGCACTTTGAAGAAAATGACAAATGGTTGTGTAAAGTGTGACATTTTATTTAACATTTCTCTAAGTAAGAAATTAAGATTTGATTCATATTCCCGATGGTCAGGGTTCTCTCAGCTCTAGGCTTTTGTATATATTGGCTTTTTTGCCTGAAAATGCCACACACTACTACCACCACCATTTTACCACTCCTACTTGTTCTTGTTACCTTTTTCAGCAAGCTAAATGCTAGGTTAGTTTCTTCTCACTATTCTGCGAGCATCTTTAGTGCATCCCGTGAGAATACTTAGCCCTGAGCATTATACCTATCTATTGTTTGTATTCCCACTTGACTCTAAGCTTCTTGAGGGCAGGAACTGTATCCAATTCACTGCTGAACCACCAGTGCAAAGCCAGGGACTTGAACAGATAGGTGACAATAAATGTTAGTTGAATGGATGAGTGAAAATGCCTACATTGTGTTCATTAATTCCAGTCTTTAATTGCTCCTGCAGAGGAGCCTCTACCCACTATTCTGTTATCAGCTGTGTACACAAATAAGGGGGAGGCCACTATATGGGGAGAGCCAGAGCACAGTGCTGTGTTTGTGATATCAAGGCATCAGTTCTACACACACAGACTGAGCACAGACCACAGGCCAGACATTAGGCTGAGCAGTAAAGGTGTTGTAAACCCTGCTCACGATTTGCTCACAATGTTTCCTCACTTCATGATACTACCATTTACTGAGCACCTACTAGAAGCCTGGAACTGGGTCAAGCACTTTGCGTGCATTATTTCATTTTGTTTTCACCCCAAACATAGCCATGTGAGTTCTTTGCAATTTAAAATTTGAGTCCCACCACTTCTTGTATTTTGCCTAAAGGTCAGAGATCAGGAGTTTCCTTATCGAAGAAACTTGGCCCGAGTCATTGTGAATGTGGAGGATGCTAATGATCACAGTCCTTATTTTACCAACCCACTGTATGAAGCGTCTGTGTTTGAATCTGCTGCTCTGGGATCAGCTGTTCTGCAAGTGACGGCTCTGGACAAAGACAAAGGAGAAAATGCAGAACTCATATATACCATAGAAGCAGGTGAGAGCTGTTGCACTGCACAGATTTCAGCATAATGCAAGGCATTCGACCCTCAGTAGTATTTATCACCATGTAAAATTCAGATCATTAACAGTGGAACATCTCTAAATGAACTTTTTTGGCCAAGCCGCTGTCCTATTTGGGAGATGATGGTGGATAACGTTCTTGATGTTTCAGTAATAGGTTTTCCATCATTAATAGCAAGGAAAATTTCCTTTGTTGTGTTTGATCTTGGATTTTTCTTGGATAGAGAAGAGAAAATAAATACGTAATAAATTTAGTGGCTTTTACCTGTGGACCAACAAGCCAGGGCCTCAGACTAAAATAACAAAAGCCGCCCGCCGATCATCTGAGGCCTGCCAGGGTGTTCTGTGAATTGAATCTTAACAAGTCTTTGTTTACTTGTGAATAGGTGGTCTGTGGGCTTCAGAAATTCCTTCACCCTCATAGTTAGCACAAATTCACATCATTGGAGGCAACCTGAGTAGCAGAGTAGATGGTAGATATGGAGTCTGAACTGCTTGCTGAACCTGACAAATAAATACAGGCTCTTGTTTTGTTAAATTTGAGATGTTTTAAAATTAATTTTAACATCTATAAGGTAAGATCATAGTTTACTGATGGTTTGAAGACTGATAGCTAGAAAGCTTTTATGACTGAGAGATGAATGGCTAAGCAAGAAATAACCTAAAAATGACAAATATCCTTTATCTGCTCTATGTTCTCCTCCCCATTCCATCTTTTTTGAATATTCAAGCCACCTATTTTCAAAATGTTCTGCAACTTATGTCTGTCGTGAATAATGCCAAATGCAATATCCTTTCATGCCAGGGATGGAAAGACTTCTCTCCTTTCATTTAAATGTAGAGCATTTTTGAGAGGAGTTGAATTAAAATATGAATGCTAGAATGACAGTTTTGGACTAGAAATTTTAGAAAAAGAAAAGCCAACAACCTTCTAAAAAAAAAAAGTTCTTTCATTGAATGATAACTTAGAACTATTTCTTGTATTAGGCACCCACATTTTACATGGGTCTGTGCTAAGCTCTACTTAAAAAAAGAAAAAGAAAAGACATGAGTTCATAATAGCAAAGTTTCCGGAGAGAATTTACCTATTTTTTTTCTAGGTTTCCATGGAATTTCCTTTCAATCTAAAGCCTGACCAGTGTTTTTTTAGAAATGCTATTTTACATCTTTTATTTTTCACAGGACATTTTTATTACTTAATTATATAATCTTTGTTCTTTGGGTTCCACAAATAATATAAGGAAACTTTTCCAAAAAATGAATATTTAAATCACATCCCAGAAAATGTCACCTAACCCAACAACTCTTTTTATTCTTTCTATGGTTTTTTCCAATGTTGTGTTTTTTTCTTTTCCCCGTATTCATTCATGCATATACATTGTTTCATGTCACTGTAATTATTTAGATATAGGGTTTTATTTCTACTTTTCTTACCATGTTCTAAACATTAGCTGTGTGTCTCTACCTGCTTTTTATATTTGTCATTAAGCCTGCTACTTATACTCCTTTTAGATAGCCAGATAATGTTTCAACCAGTTTGGAGTTTCTTAAGGAGTAATTTAACTTACCATCCAACCGAAAAGACTGCTCTGCTTATCTTTTGACCTCTACAGACTACAGCATGGTGCCCAGTCGTTTCTTTAACTGACTAAAACAAGACAGAACAGTTATTTCCTTAAAACATCTTTCATAAAGAAAACCCAAACTTCCAGAAAACCATGGGAACAATTGATATCGCAAAAAAAATGACCTTTGATTGTATGTAAGAAACTATTGAGGATTACAATGTTCACAATAAATCTCAAATGACCAGCAGGGCTCTTCACAGACAGACAGACAAACCCACACTGGTCCGCACTGGTCCTAGAGGAGCAAGTTTCTTCCCAGTTGAGGGTGGGAGACAGGCAGATCCCAGATGCTTCAGCACTTTGAAGCAAATGACAAATGGCTGTGTAAAGTATTATGTTTTATTTAACTTTTCTCACACACATCAGATAAGCAAGATTTCACTCTGTTTATTGGTGGGCTATAAATTTCCTGTCTCCTGCCTGTCCTCTAAAGTAACTACGGAAGCTTTTTATTTTGGCCTGAAGGACTGAGGCAGAATTTGAGTGCAGAGCTTCAGGTCTTATATCTAGTTTGAGTTTTGTGTTTGGTGTCAATGGTGAGTCTGAGGCAGGATTGTACAAGAGAGACTGGGACTGAGTTGAGTTCGGGTGAGGGCATATGGATCCCAAGATGCATATGAATAGAGAGTTTAAAATATTTTTTTTAGATTTACCTCTCCTCTCAATCATTCAACAAATATTAAGCAACTTCTTTGTAGCAGATGCTGTGTTGTGTACTAGATAAGGAATGATAAGAAAAGCACAGCTTTTATTCAATTGCCAAAAATCTACAAGAGGCCATAGATTCCAAAAAACAAACAGAGGCCAATTTTTCAGGATTCAAGTGTAGCAGGAAAGAATAAGCAGGAAGTGGATTCCAAGAGAATGGGTCAGTGTGTCAAAGAGGGAAAGAGGAGAAGGGCCCACTTTGGACCTGATGTATCAGCACACCATTCTGGAAGCGTGTCACAAGCAGATCAGCGGCCATGGGATAGCAGGATTATGAATTTCTACTTGAGGCCAGGCACAGTGGCTCGTGCCTGTAATCCCAGCATTTTTGGAGGCCAAGGCAGGTGGATCACTTGAGGTCAGAAGTCTGAGACCAGCCTGACCAACGTGGCAAAACCCCGTCTCTACAAACATGAAAATTAGCCAGGTGTAGTGGTGCCTGCCTGCAGTCCCAGCTACTCTGGAGGCTGAGGCAGGAGAATCACCTGAACCCAGGAGACAGAGGTTGCAGTGAGCCAAGATTGCACCACTGCACTCCAGCCTGGATGACAGAGCGAGACTCCATCTCAAAAAAAAACAAAAAATTATATTTGAGGTCAAAAGCTGGCTCCCTGCCATCCCCACCATAATCTATCTTTCTGGGCATGAAGAAATCTGCCGGGTGTGGAGTGAGGGAGGACTTACCTAGAAACTCTGCAGTCGGGCACCATAATCAGTGAACACCGAGATCCCTGGCTCCAGTAGCATTCATCAGTCAGGGTTGCATGTTGGTGCCATCACTGGAAGGTGACCATTGCTTAGGTGAAGTGATTTCCCCTTATAAAGTTCTGTGGATCACCTGTTGGATTCACACTCAATTCTATGACACTATTCATTGCAAGCTTGAACGTTTACTCATAAGATCATTGAACTTTTTATTATTGTCATCACAAAATGGCCATGTTTAGGTGGCAAAGTAATAAATCATGCCGACATCAAAGACAACATTGTTTAATATTCACATTTGGGGGGGCTGGAATCAAAATGACCTCTTTATTAGATATACTTTGTCTTTTAAAATAAGCAAGTATCTTCTTGAAATAGATGTTACATGAACATGACCATTTTGTGTTCAGACATGGAAAACTTTATATAATTAGCATGTAGGAAGAGGTATGTAGACACATCTCATAACTGCCCTGAAAATCCTGGTCCCTATTTTAATGATTTTAACATTTAAATTATATACCTATCATACTACAATACTCAGAAAGAAAAGTCCAGATAGAGTTGAATAACCAAGATCTTTAACTTTTGATTGGAAAGGATCTCAACACAGAAGTATATGTGTTCTTTGAGAAGTATGAGAAAGCCTGATAAGAGAAGCAAAAAGCAACTTGGTGAGGGATGCAACTTCACACTACCCACTGCCTTTCAGCTCTGTCACCACCTACCTTCTTTACATACTCCACATTGTGTCTTCCCCATTTTTTATTCCTCTGTTATTTCTCTCATTCTCAACAATCCCAGATTTCGAACCACAACATGTTTCTGAAGCAGAGCTGTAAACTACTACAGTGTCATGGCCAGAGCCCTTCCCCTGCCAGCTCTATCAAAGTGGGGTGCCCAGGTTTCAGTTTCACAAGGATTATGTCTCAGGTTCTTGGTTGCAGTGCTGGTTCAGATTCCCAACAGTTTCTTGGTACACTAGAAACACCTCAAATGCTTGGTGAATAGAATGGTTACAGATTGAGCAACTGCCCTATAACTTTTTATGTTTACTTTTATGTCTAGATGTGTGCATGTGTGTGTTCAGAAGCATGAGAGAGGGGTAGAGCATGAGTGGAGAATAGAAGAGAAGTCAGGAAAATTCATCACACTTACAAGGCAAATAATGACTTGCCAAGAATTCTCCACACCTGACTGAACAAACCCCTTCACCAAAGTAGTGTTTTGGATAAAGTCATTTTTGATAGGGTGAAATAATACCAATTCCATGTAGCGAAGTTTGCTTTTGGGATAATCAGAAAACAACTGACTACTTTATAATGCTCTGAAACTATTCCCACAACCCTCTTTCTTTAAACCTAGAACAGAAAATATGACACTGCTACCTAAACCAGTGGCATTCATATGTGGGCTTCCCAATCTATCTGTCTTCTCACAAGGCTGGAAATAAGGAAGTCCTATACATTCTTAGCAGAAAGATCTCTCCTTCGGGCTCTCTTATTTCCCAACTTGAATGCACATAAGACTGTGTCATTGTCATTGTGTTTTTAACCTGGATCTAGAAGTTACTGATCTGAAATTTACTATAATACTGGGAAACTCATTTTGGTTCCTTTTCAGTACCCCTGAAAGAGAAGCCTCTCATTTTATTTCAGAATGACACAGATGAGTACTATAATTGCTTTCTACTTGCCACATTGCAGTAAGGTACCTATAGATAAAGAGTTAATCAAAAAGATTTCAGTGACCCACATGTAACTCATTTCACCATTGATTTCTGTATTTTAGGGAACACTGGGAACATGTTTAAGATCGAACCGGTCCTAGGCATCATCACCATTTGCAAAGAACCAGACATGACGACGATGGGTCAGTTTGTCCTATCCATCAAAGTCACAGATCAGGGATCCCCGCCAATGTCTGCTACTGCAATTGTGCGCATTTCCGTCACCATGTCTGACAATTCTCACCCCAAGTTCATTCACAAAGACTACCAAGCAGAAGTAAATGAAAATGTTGACATTGGAACATCAGTCATTCTAATCTCTGCCATCAGTCAATCTACCCTCATTTATGAAGTCAAAGATGGAGACATTAATGGGATCTTTACCATAAATCCATATTCTGGAGTCATCACCACTCAGAAGGCCCTGGATTATGAGCGCACATCCTCTTATCAACTCATCATTCAGGCCACCAATATGGCAGGAATGGCTTCCAATGCTACAGTCAATATTCAGATTGTTGATGAAAATGATAATGCCCCAGTTTTTCTCTTTTCTCAATACTCAGGCAGCCTAAGTGAGGCTGCCCCAATTAATAGCATTGTCAGGAGCTTGGATAACAGCCCACTGGTGATTCGAGCCACAGATGCTGACAGCAACCGGAATGCTCTGCTTGTGTATCAGATTGTGGAGTCAACAGCAAAAAAGTTTTTCACGGTGGACTCCAGTACAGGTGCAATCAGAACAATTGCCAACCTGGACCATGAAACCATTGCCCATTTCCATTTTCATGTGCATGTGAGAGACAGTGGTAGCCCCCAACTGACTGCAGAGAGTCCCGTTGAAGTCAACATTGAGGTGACAGATGTGAATGATAACCCACCTGTTTTTACTCAGGCTGTGTTTGAGACTATCTTACTTCTACCTACCTATGTTGGAGTGGAGGTTCTGAAAGTTAGTGCCACAGATCCTGACTCTGAGGTACCCCCTGAACTGACATACAGCCTAATGGAAGGCAGTTTGGATCATTTTTTAATTGACTCAAACAGTGGAGTACTTACCATAAAAAACAACAACCTCTCCAAGGATCACTACATGCTGATAGTTAAGGTGTCTGATGGAAAGTTCTACAGTACCTCCATGGTCACCATCATGGTTAAAGAAGCCATGGACAGCGGCCTCCACTTTACACAAAGCTTCTATTCCACCTCAATCTCAGAGAACAACACTAACATAACCAAAGTTGCTATTGTCAATGCAGTTGGAAATCGCCTTAATGAGCCCTTAAAATACAGCATCTTAAACCCAGGAAATAAGTTCAAGATAAAATCTACCTCAGGGGTCATTCAGACGACTGGAGTCCCCTTTGACCGTGAAGAACAAGAGTTATATGAGCTGGTGGTAGAAGCCAGCCGTGAGCTGGACCATCTGCGTGTGGCCAGAGTGGTGGTCAGGGTTAACATTGAAGACATAAATGACAATTCTCCAGTCTTTGTGGGCCTCCCATACTATGCTGCTGTTCAAGTGGATGCGGAACCCGGGACTCTGATTTATCAGGTGACAGCCATTGACAAAGATAAAGGTCCAAATGGAGAAGTGACCTATGTCCTGCAGGATGACTATGGCCACTTTGAAATTAACCCTAATTCAGGGAATGTTATTTTAAAGGAAGCATTCAACTCTGACTTGTCCAACATTGAGTATGGAGTCACCATCCTAGCCAAGGATGGCGGAAAACCTTCTTTGTCTACATCTGTGGAGCTTCCCATCACTATTGTCAACAAAGCAATGCCTGTGTTTGATAAGCCCTTTTATACAGCATCTGTCAATGAAGACATCAGAATGAACACACCCATCCTAAGCATCAATGCCACCAGTCCAGAAGGCCAAGGCATCATATATATCATTATCGATGGGGACCCTTTTAAACAGTTTAACATTGACTTTGACACTGGGGTCCTGAAAGTTGTTAGCCCTTTGGATTATGAAGTTACATCTGCTTACAAGCTGACAATAAGAGCCAGCGACGCCCTTACTGGTGCTAGGGCTGAAGTCACTGTTGACTTGCTAGTTAATGATGTAAATGACAACCCCCCTATTTTCGATCAGCCTACATACAATACAACACTATCAGAAGCATCTCTTATTGGGACACCTGTTTTACAAGTTGTCTCTATTGATGCAGACTCAGAAAACAATAAAATGGTACATTATCAGATTGTCCAGGATACCTACAATAGCACAGATTATTTTCACATAGATAGCTCAAGTGGCTTAATCCTGACAGCACGAATGCTGGACCATGAGTTAGTACAACACTGCACTTTGAAAGTCAGATCAATAGATAGTGGCTTCCCATCACTGAGCAGTGAGGTTCTCGTTCATATCTACATCTCTGATGTAAATGACAACCCTCCAGTTTTTAATCAGCTCATTTATGAGTCATATGTGAGTGAATTAGCCCCCCGGGGCCATTTTGTAACCTGTGTACAAGCCTCTGATGCAGACAGCTCTGATTTTGACCGGTTGGAATATAGCATTTTATCTGGGAATGACCGGACGAGCTTTCTGATGGACAGCAAGAGTGGAGTTATCACATTGTCCAACCATCGGAAGCAGCGGATGGAGCCTCTGTACAGTCTCAATGTGTCTGTCTCTGATGGGTTGTTCACCAGCACTGCACAGGTGCATATTAGGGTACTTGGGGCTAACTTGTACAGCCCTGCCTTTTCACAAAGCACATACGTAGCTGAGGTGAGAGAGAACGTGGCTGCAGGAACAAAGGTAATTCATGTTCGAGCCACAGATGGTGATCCAGGGACTTATGGGCAGATCAGCTATGCCATCATCAATGACTTTGCCAAGGATCGATTCCTCATAGACAGCAATGGGCAGGTCATCACCACAGAAAGGCTAGACCGGGAAAACCCTCTAGAAGGGGATGTTAGTATTTTTGTGAGGGCCCTTGATGGTGGAGGGAGAACAACTTTCTGCACTGTGAGAGTGATTGTTGTGGATGAAAATGACAATGCTCCCCAGTTCATGACAGTGGAATATAGAGCCAGTGTCAGGGCAGATGTTGGAAGGGGCCACTTGGTCACTCAAGTTCAAGCCATAGATCCCGATGATGGAGCAAATTCAAGGATTACTTATTCCCTCTATAGCGAGGCCTCTGTTTCAGTGGCCGACCTCCTGGAAATCGATCCTGACAATGGCTGGATGGTCACAAAGGGTAATTTTAACCAGCTGAAAAATACAGTGCTTTCGTTCTTTGTCAAAGCAGTAGATGGGGGCATCCCAGTAAAGCACTCCCTCATTCCTGTCTATATCCACGTCTTGCCCCCTGAAACGTTCTTGCCATCATTCACCCAGTCTCAGTATTCCTTTACCATTGCAGAAGATACAGCCATTGGGAGTACAGTGGACACCCTGAGGATTTTGCCCAGTCAGAATGTCTGGTTCAGCACAGTTAATGGGGAACGGCCAGAAAATAACAAAGGGGGCATATTCGTCATAGAACAGGAAACAGGCACTATTAAGCTTGACAAACGCCTTGACCGTGAAACCAGCCCAGCTTTCCACTTTAAAGTAGCAGCCACTATACCCCTGGACAAAGTAGACATTGTGTTTACTGTGGATGTAGATATCAAGGTATTGGATTTGAATGACAACAAGCCAGTCTTTGAAACTTCAAGCTATGACACCATTATAATGGAAGGGATGCCTGTTGGCACCAAACTCACACAAGTGAGAGCTATTGATATGGACTGGGGAGCCAATGGACAAGTCACTTACTCCCTCCACTCGGATTCCCAGCCCGAAAAGGTAATGGAAGCATTCAATATTGACAGCAACACGGGCTGGATCAGTACCTTGAAGGACCTAGATCACGAGACAGACCCCACATTCACCTTCTCTGTGGTGGCCTCTGACCTTGGAGAGGCATTCTCTCTTTCCTCCACGGCCTTGGTCTCTGTCAGAGTGACAGATATAAATGACAATGCACCAGTCTTCGCGCAGGAAGTGTACCGAGGGAATGTGAAGGAGAGCGACCCACCGGGCGAGGTGGTAGCCGTCCTCAGCACCTGGGACAGAGACACATCCGACGTTAATCGCCAAGTGAGCTACCATATTACAGGTGAGTAAATACCCCCAGTTTTCATTATGTGCACTGCTTTATAAAGAAAGATGGAAGATGGCGGGGAGAAGAGTAAGAGAGAAGGAAGATGGGATAAGGAGTCCAGTGTAATGAAGCCTCTCTGGAGCTGAGTAAAGGATCTCTGAGCAGACTGCGTTTTTTGCTTGTTGGCTGTTGCTAACTCAGCCTTAGTTTGGAGTTCACAGGTTTGCTGTAAATGTGTTAACCATATTGGTAACTAGTCTTTGTGTCACCTCTTCCTATTTAAAAAGGAGTCCAGCCAAATATCTCAGTTGAAGGAATGAAAATAACAACTTTTTGGTGGAGAGGTTCTGTTTTTAAGCATGTTCCTTTTTTCTACCTTTTGCAATGCTGAGCAAAACAAATAGCTTGATCACAGTAAGCTTCACATGCACACTTCCCCTGGCCATGGCAACACCTGTGCACACATGTACACACATTAGATGGAATGGTTTGATCCTTCCCTGAGAAATCCTAAATTATCACTACAAATCAAGGGGTATTTCTTCTGACAACCAAAATTTTTTGGATTTCTTTTCTGTCTTTCAGAATAGCAAGTAGCAATTCAAGAGGAAAGCCAAGATAGACAAAGTCAGTCATTAGGAAGGCACAGAAAATGTCACTGTTGCCCTGAGAGGCTAAGGATTTCATGTCAGAGTGGTTTCCTGGGGGGCAGGCGACCTTTAACTGAAAGAGGAGAGGGTTGACAGTGTGGGAAGGTTCTTCCTAAAAACTATTTGGGGGGTGGGTTAAAGCTAATATTTTGATGTCGTCACATTCAAAGGCAGAACATAAACAAAGTGCCAAAAGATTGTAAAGAATCATCAATACTTGTAGTCAGGTGGCTTCCGTTTAGAAAAACTACATCATTCAGAGTGAAAAATGAATTAATTAGACTGCCCTTAGGACATAGAATCTGCTTGAGTATGTTAGTAGGAAAGTTAATTAATCACTGCAGAATAAGAT